>NC_000008.11:48427265-50927265 GCF_000001405.40 Homo sapiens
CCCTGGGGCCTCCTGCACTGCCGTCTCCTGGGAGAAAGGCCGCTCTCACAGCCAGCCATGTGCACATCATCCCATTGGTACCCACAGATGGCACTGGCCCCTTCCTTCAAACCCGGGCCAAGCTCCAAACACAGACTGTCTTTGGAAGGAGGGTAAAGTGTTGAAAGGAAGAACAGATTCAAATGAAGCATGTGTCCCACCTGGGAGCTGCGGCTCTGGCTTGGCCCTCTTGGACCCCTTGTTTTGGGGCCCATGCCCTACCCTGTCCTCTGAGGGGCTCCTGGTTTGGGTGGCTCTGAGGGTACATTCCTACTTCCAGGCTGGGTACTGATCGTGTGTTGTGGGTGCCTTTGCTCCTGAGTCCACACAGCTGGTGTGTCCCCAGGGACACAGGTGCCTGTGCTCAGCAGAGCTGGAATGCCATTCAGAAGGCTGTGGGGTCAGGATCCTTGCCTCCCAGGGGGCACCTTAGCCAGCACCCATACTTTTCTAGTGTCGGGCTCCATGCCCCACCTGCCCCGTGCCTCTCCTGAGAGGTGAGACAGACAGCCTCCCACACTGCCCATGTCCTCCCGTCACCCGTGGTAGCCCTGGTGGCTGGGGACCCGGGACCACAGCTCTGGCCAGCACTTGGGTCTGCCCTGTTGGGTGGGCAGTGGCAGGGCCTGGACGGGGCCTCCATGCAGAGGACACGGCAGGCTCGCCTACACTTTCATAACCACACAGAGCTATGAAAGGTTCTGTCCCAGGGCTCCTGCGCAAGGCCGGCTGCCCAGCCTGGCTAATTTGTGTCCTTTCCTGAACACACAGTTCACCGAGGATCGCCAGGCTTGGCAGTCTTTGAAAGAAGACTTTCTTTCCATTTTGGCAACTCTCTCTTTAAAGACACTGCATTCTTTTTATTGGATGGGAAATAATTTCACAAGTAACGCATTTACTTTAGTAATAGGCCCCCGCCCGTCCTCCCACCCTCCACCTCCCACCAATTGAGTTTCTCTCTTATCGAGTTTTTTTTTTTTTTCTTGGCCTCTGGTGTTAATTGTCACGAGGTCAAAGTATAAACTCTCTAGAGGATCCCAGCGTTGTAAGGACTTGACTGGAGATCAGAAACAAATTGCAGTGAAGCAAAAACATCAGGGCCACAGTGCCGAAAGCTGTGAGCCTCCCAAACGGCCGTCGTGTGTGCCGCGCTCGGCCGTCTGGCGCCTGCGTGGCTTGGCTTGGCAGCCTCTTACTCAAGCTTTGTTTTCCTTGGGGGGCGGGAGCGGGGGAGGGGGTGGAGGGTGAACCAAGGAAGGAGGGAGGGCAGGACTGAAGGAGTTCAGTTGCCCTTTGCCTTGTGATTTATATCTGGTGGAGGAGCCCTGTTCCGCTTCTTCTAGCTGGAATGCTGGGACATGCTGTTTCAATATGAGACAATCAGCTGGGCCCTCTGTGGAATGTCCCTGGAGACTGCAAACTGCCTCCCAACAGGGTCATTTGTTCAGTAGGATTCTAAGTCGCATTCTCCAACATCTGCATTCTATTAATACCTTCAGAATATTTCCATCAGCTCTGGGAAATCAGGAGATGCCTTGAGAGATGTTCGGCACCAAATCCTGGAGGCTTTTAACAAATATTATTCTTGTGATGCTTCTGTGTTTTTATGGGAAGAACCACCCCCTGCCCCCACAACTCCATCTTGTCCTTTTTCCTTTACTGTCGTGCAGGTGGATGTTCACGTCCACCCAGTGAGATCCAGGGCGAAATGTGTTGGGCGGACCTGCGGTTGACAGGGATCCACAGCAGAAGGTGAATTTGTAAACACATGAGGCAGAGATGGCTGCAGATAGACACTGCAGGGCACTTGCCTAAGGCCAGTTGGGGAAAGGCTGTGCTGGAGGGGCCCTGGGCCAGGGCCAGCTTCCCAGTCCACATGGGGCTCTGTTGTGTCCTTCGAGGGCACCATGGCCTGGTCTTTGGGGACAGGAAGGAAGAAAGATGGGGAGGGAGGAGGGGAGAGAAGGAAAGCTCTGAAGAGAGGGGTGCACTGAGGTGATGGAAGTGAGGAGGATTTCATTAAAGAAAAATAAAATAGGTGTAATACCTCGAGCAAATAGAAATGAAGCTCCCATCAGTAGAACGGCCGTGGTGAGAATGCAAACCTGAGATGCAGCTGCGGCCTCAGAGGGGGTGGCCCAGCATATTTGACCCTGTGAGGAATTGGCCACATGGAGATATTAGTGGGGTGTCGTCAGGGTGGAGGGTTTCTTGGGAAAGACAAGGGAGAGGAGAGGGAAACCGCGATCCCAAGGACATGCATTTAATGCAAGGGACACTCAGCCATGTTTCACTATGTGCAGACACCAGGCCAGATGCCCTGTAAGGTGGATCCCGACATGAGGGGAAGGCCCATCAGAAGGAAGACACCAGGGACATGGGTCTGCCCTGCGAGTTCCGCTGTCCCCTCACAGGGGAGGTCCCAGCATGCCCAGCCCCGCCTAAGGGAAGCAGAATGCGCATCCACCGACAGGACCAGGCCCACCTCTTCCTGGCCGCGGCAGCCCCTTAAACCCGTGTCAGAGCAGATGCTGAGTGAGGCCAGAAATGTTCATTTGGTCATTATCTTAAAAGACTACAAAGTAAGTCTCCACATGTACTTCATCGCTTAAAATTCTAGTGTGTAGGGTGAGATGGGCAAATGATAAGTCTTGATAAAAATTATGGAGCAGTTTTCTTGGAAATTCAAAGGAAAGCCAGAGTCTGCTAAGGCCTTGGATGGTGATGAATTGCTTCCTGGTCATGATCTCCTCTGCCTGCTGGAGGCCCAGGGCTGGATGATGCTGGGGGAGAGGCTCGCTGGACAGAGGGAACCAGCATGTGCCACCTAATGCGTCTCGGGCCCAGTAATCTGCTGTCCCTCTGCCCCAGGGAGGGGTCTGTGGGGCACACTCTGCCTGCTCCTGGGCCCCTGCAGGGTCGCCCTCCCCAGCCTGCAGGCCCCATAATCTGAATCACAGCCTCCTATCCCTCTGCTCTGTGAGCAGAGGCTTCAGAAGGGCAGTCATGCATGTCTTGGCTTTATATCTTCTTTCCCTTTGTCAAAATTATGCAAAATCTCCAGGAAAACAAATAATCAGTTACAACAAATAACCGGAGTCAGATCTCTGGCTCAGGAAATTCCTGGGCTCACATGTTTGCTCGGAAGAGGTTCCCACAGCCCGGCCGTTATTTTTTATCTATCCCCGCAGGATGTCCTCCTCCTCTCGCCTCCAGGGTCCCCTGCTTCCTGTCCGCATTCCCACAGCTGCCGAGGCCACAGCTCCAGTGCGCGAGGAGGGTCCTCAGTGTCTGCCCGGGCTGGTAGCTCTGTGCAGAAACGTGGCAGATGTGCAGCATCAGGAATCAAAACAGTGTTCCCACCACGCAGCACATTCTTCCTCCCCAGTCCCGTTCATTTCCTCTCCACGGGATGTGGAGCAATTTCCCTCATCTGTTGCTCACTCAGTGGATTTGGCATTTTGTGAATTTTACAATGATACTTAGATTCCTCCCGAATCTGTTCCAAGAGGAAAAAAAAAAAACCAACAAAAAAAAACCAGAATTGATGATTCGGTCACAGACTCTGTTTCTGCTTGAGGCGTTTCTGGTTTTGTGTGAGACGCAGGTGAAACCAGGGAGCAGAGGAAGGAGATAGGCGACCACATGGGGTCTTGAGTCTTGGCATCCCAAGAATGCCCTGATGAGCTGGGGTCCTCTGTTTCTGGAGAAAACATGAAAAGTCTGCAAGATAAAAGAAGAAATCAAAAGGCAGTTTCTGTTCATAGTGTGCTGGACGAATTCCATGCAGCACTACTGCAATATTGCCTTGGCACAGAGGGTGCTCTGGTGGGAGGTGGAAAGAGGGCATGCACTCAGTATGTGACCGCCGTCCTCCGGAGACTGTGGAAAATAGCCCACTGCAGCAGCTTCCTCCTGTACTCCCAGGCTCTGCACGGCCCCCTTGGCTCAAACTCTTTGTTTTCCTCTTCCATTAGCAACCGGGAAGGCAAACTCACATTCGCCGCTCCTCACGGGGAGCCGGCCCCTTTTGATGTCATCCCATTTGATTCTCACAACACCAGTGTAAGCAGCATTATGCCCATTTTATGGATGAGGAAACTGGGCTCAGAAAGAATTTATGTTGGTTTTTTTTTTTCTTTGGCTTCTTGCTGCTTGAGAGAAATGGGCTGTTTTTCAGGGACTCTCATTCTTGCTACCTGATTTCCCCCTTGGTCCCAGCAGTACAGTGGGTTTCACAGATGCTGTCCCAGGGGAGCATGGCTCCCCCAGTGTCTGCACACACTAGGTGCCAATCATGTGTTGAAGGGAGCCAAAGCCCCAATCTGTGTTCTTTGTGCAAAGGTGGAATGGGCAGGAAGCGCCTAGCAGCTTTGCTCTGTGACCTTTCAGTTTTGTGTGTGTTCAGATATTCCCACCAGCTCATGGGTCTGTTCGCCTTACACTGGGGGTGGAAAAGGTTATTGACTCTTTTTGCACTCCTAAGGCAAGTCTATGAAATACTTTTCTTTTTCTGCCCTGCTTAGAAGGCCTGGATTTCTGCATCTCAACCCCATGGGTGCCACTGGGCGAGGCTGGCTGCCTGGGAGCCGGTTTCAGTGTGGCAATGGTCCTGCAGGAACCTATTAATAGCCTTTATTTCCAGTATGTGCCCTGTAAAGCCAAGCCTCATTTTTAGCAGCTCCGTTACTCACAATTCTAGGAAAAGTTTCCTTTGAATGTCTTCCTGCCAGAGGACTGGCGGTTCAACTCCCTCCACCTCTTAGGGAAGAGGAGAGAAGAGGAGCCCAAAGACAGACAGTGGGGACCCGTCCTTTACAGCAGCTGCTCACACTCTAGCTCTTCCTGAAGAGGCACCACCTTTGTTCAGAGAGCTGCCTGGATGGGCTTCCTGGAGGAGGAGGGCAGGATGATGCTTGGCCACCCGAAGCTGAAGTCATGCTTGACTCATCTCTTCCTTCCATGCTGCTCTCCCAGTGCATCACACATTCGATCAGCTTCCCCTTCAAAGTACGTGCAGAAGCCAGCCTTTCTCACCACATCCAGCTCTGCCTAGCTCCCCAGGCTGCCATCATTTCTCACTGGCCTCCCTGCAAGCCCCCGGCCTGGTCTCCCCTTCCCTCAGCTCACACCTTGTATCTCTGAAAACTGACAGAGGGCTCTTACAGCATGTCACGCTCAGCTCAACTGCTGCTAGCCACTCTCTGTCTCATGCTGAGCAAGAGGCAGTCTCCAGTAGCCTGTGTGCCTGATGGCCTGGGTCCTTCCTGCCTCTTTGCCCTATTCCTTGCTCCTTCCCTTCCTATGCCAACCACCCTACCCCTGTCCTGTGCTGCCACTGTCCCTGCCTCTATGTTTCGCACATGCTATCTCCCCCATCTGGAACGCTCTTCCTCCAGGAAACATCCTGGCTCTGCACTGATGTCCCCTTATCCAGGAAGTCTTCCAGGACTGCAACTCTCAGCCCTGGCAACACCAATGCCCCTGCTCTTTCACTTCTGTCCTTTGCCTCATCGTGACCTAGTAGACAAGCCACCTGTCTGCTGCCTGGCTCCCACCACTGTGAGGAAGCCCCAGCAGTACCCTCTCGGGATATGTGCTTGCTGTGTTTGCTCAAGGAACGAGGGCTGAGCTAGGTCGACATGACATAGCCAAACTGCTTTGCACTGGGGATGAACAGCACTTTGCCAATGATGGGGAGAGGCAAGAGGGCGGAGGAGAGGGGTGGCACATTCAGAGGGGCTATGGCCTGGGTGCAGCTGTGCCTGCTGGCTTGGAAACAGGCTTGTCCCAGGCAGAGCTTTATGGTATGATATGACTGCCTCCTCTCCTCACCTGAATATGTCTTTGAGTTTCTTTTTTTTTCTTGATGGTCAATAATTAAGAGGACTGAGTCACACTGTGTGCTGATCACTAAATAGTTCACACTCATGGGAGCCAGAGGCAGGAGAATATGAGCCGCTCACCTCAGGTGAGTCTCTGAAATCTTAGTGAGAGTGTTGGCCATGCACAAAACATGGAGACTGGATGCTAATCAGTCTTGCGTAGACTTAAGGTAGGTGACCTCTGCTTACCCCTAGATATACTCATGAACGCCTTAGGTACCTTTTACTAGAAGAGCCACAGCTGATGCTCAGAACAGAAGGAAGAGAACAGAGGGAAGTGTGGAGTCAGGAACTCGGTGTTCCTGTTGGAGGAACCTCAGGGAGGGAGGCAGCCGCATTATACGTCAGCATCAACTGCCAAATTGTGGAACAGAACATTGAAGGAAACTTCGCAGCATCTTGCCAGCTCGTCCTCTGGCTTGGGCTGGTGGAGGAGGCTAAAACCATAGCTGCCTGTCTGTCTTTGTCCCTGCTCTAGTGCTGGCAGGGTGGGACAGCCTCCACACTCTTCCCCAAATGGAATGCATGGGAGACTGAGGCACGAAGGATTACTCTTCATGACAAAGCAAGGCAGTGCTTCTGGAGAAGGGTTCTCTCTGCCAAGACATCACATTCTCTTTACAAGCAGCTAAAAATGATAAACATTACAACTTCTAAAAAAATACTCAGAACTTGGTACTTCTACTCAGTGCACCTGGTTTTCTTTCTAGAGTATCAAAGAACAAGCTTGTTCCCTCTTTTACTAATACTTTTGTTGAAAATCTGTTGGGGCAGCTCAAACTCTCTGGCCAGCAGAGCAGATTACTATTAGATTGTAAGAATAAATAATATAAAATCTATGGTGAGAACCGACGACTCCCTGTGTGCCCAGACGATACTCCGCCATTTCCTCCTAGGCTGGTGGGTTTCTGAGGTTGGCTCCATTGCAGCTGGAGAGGCTCTGAGGTTAAATCACTGTGGGTTGCCCAACGTTAGAAAGGCACCCATGTGGGAAGAAAGGGCTGAGGACCGTCCAAGTACTAGCACAGCCCCAGACATGGAAATACTACTCACATACTGAAGGAGGAAACCCTCCCAGCCACATCAGTGTGTGGGGTGTGGGGACGGCATGGCACCAGAAGTCTCTGAGGCTGGCACTCTTGTCTCTACTTCTGTCTTGCCTGCCTGAAGCCAGATAGTGATATCAAGCCATCCAGCTTTTCTGTGAATAACTTAATGCTAATGGCCCTGTCTTCCCCAACAGTGCTGGCCACTGTTGCACTCTGCATTGCCCCAGGGTTGTGAGAGCGTAAAAGACCTTCTACCCAGTTTGGACTCCCCTCTGCCTTCACCTCCCTTTAACTCCTGTGGTGTTCCTTGGGCCCCTCAGTCTAAGTAAGGTTGATAAATGTCAGCAGCTCAGCTTACTTCTACTCGGATCAGTATAGAGAAATCAAGGTGAGAAGCAGGTGGCCCTGGGGCAGATAGAGGAGCCTGGGTGGTTGCTGAGAGCCCCAAGGGCCAGATCTGGGGCTCAGAGGACACTGCGGGCTCTCTCGGATGCCCGCCAGGGACTCCTGGCAGGATCATTAGTCTAGCAGGCAAGTAATGAGTTTCAAATGACAAGGAACAATAGAAAGGAGGCCTTTTGGTGTCCCCCTTTCAACTCCTCCCTTTCTTTTTCACCCTCCTTTCCAGAAACAAATAAAAACTAGAAATAGCTGAAAGCCCACACTTAAATTCCTCCAGGGCCAGCTTCTCAGGCTGAGCGTTGCCTGCTCTTGGAGGAGTTGGGATGGCTGTGCATGGCATTTGTGAGGGTTCCTGTGATTTCTGTGTTTTCTCCCCGTGAGGGGTCCAGGGCCCAGGGTGGCAGTGGACAGCTGCAGGGATGGTGCTGGGGCATGCAGGAGCTGACAGTGGTGGCTGAGCCCCTTTTCAGGGGGTCTCTGACAGATGCCTGCTGAAACACTGAGGCTACTCCTACCCCCGACAGCTCTCAGCTAACAAGTGGTTGGAATGAAAATTGTACAGCCTCTATGGAAAACAGTAGACAGATTTCTCAATACAACTGCTTTTTGTGTGTTAATTTTATACCCTGCTGTAGTCCCAGCTACTCGGGAGGCTGAGGCAGGAGAATGGCGTGAACCCGGGAAGCGGAGCTTGCAGTGAGCCGAGATTGCGCCACTGCAGTCCGCAGTCCGGCCTGGGCGACAGAGCGAGACTCCGTCTCAAAAAAAAAAAAAAAAAAATTTTTATACCCTGCAAATTTGTTGAATTCACTTATTAGATCTAGTAGCTTTCTTAAGAATTCTTTGGTATTTTCTACATACAGAATGTATATGTAGAACTACCATTTGATCCAGCAGCCCCACTACTGAGTATCTACTCAGAGGAAAATAAATCATTATGTCAGAAAGACACCTGCACTGGTGTGTTTATCACAGCACTCTTTACACCAGCAAAGGTACAGAGTCAACTTCAGTGTGTCCAACTTTGGACAAAGAAAGCGTGGTATATACACACAATGGAATACTATTCAGCCATAAAAAGAATGAAATCATGTTTTTTGCAGCAACATGGATTGAACTGGAGGCCATTAGCTTAAGTGAAACAAGTCAGTCAAATATCAAGTGTTCTCACTCATAAGTGGGTGCTCACTAATGTGTACACATGCAGGTACACATTAGACACTGCAGATGGGGAAGGATGGGAGGGTGGAGTGAGGGATGAGAAATTACTTAGTAAGTACAACCTTCACTGTTAGGGTGATGTTTTCCCTAAAAGTCTGGACTTCACCACTGTGCAGTATATCCATGTAACAAATCTGCGCTTGTATCCCTTAAATTTATGTCAAAAAAAGGTGATTTAACAGGAGACCTATGATGAAGTAAGACGTGGATCATGGCTAAACATGAGTGCCTTTTGCCTCCCCTTGCTCTCTGTTTTCCCATTTTAGAACCCAGTGAGAGGAGTCCCCTCTTCTGCACAGTGCTGTCTTTTGCTGAAGGGACCCAAAGCTGTTGCTGGAATCAGATGGGGCACCAAGGACTACTGTTAACAGGGCCCTAATGAATCTCTGAGTGCTGGCTGAGAGAGGAGTTGCCTGGGATTTGGTTATATAGCCAACCTGACTTTCTCGTGAGAGCCGATTTGTTGTTAAGTTACCTGGGCCCTCTGTGCTGGTCTCCTCTCCTTCCCACCTTCAGAGCAGTTGGATACTTGGGTTCAAGAGCCAGAGGGACACAGCTTCGGATCCTGACATGGTTCTTGTTCTGCTTTCATTATTTAATTCACCTCCTCAGGCTTCAGTTTCCTCGTCCATCTCCTGGGCCTCATACCAGCACCCGCCCCACGGAGGAGCTCTGAGTGCTGAGTGAGACAGTTGCTGTAACATATTTGGTACAGTCTAGGCTCACAGTAAAGATTCAATAAATATTGGTTCTAGCCTATCTTGGGGACTGGAACCTAAATCAACTTCCAAAAATCTGAAGACTGACAAGTAGATTTTGAGGCACAAAGAAAAATCATAGTTAGAATTTTTCAGCTTTTCCTCAGTGTAGAACAAAGGGAGGAATTGCCAAATAAAATACCAGTTATCCAGAATCATAATGAATGGACTCTTCCAGGAAAGTGATTTTTTTGGATGGTGGAGATTTTAACCCTTTGTAATAGAGGCATTTAAATGTGACAATCTTTTTGAAATATACTTTCCAATTTCCTGCAGTCTTACGCAAAGTTTCCAGGACATAATTCATCCATTTTCTCCTGTCCCAGGTTGTCATTGTCTACATCAATTTTACTGTGCTGTGTTTTAGCTGGAGATGGTGCAGGAAAGAAGGCTTTCTGCTAGTGCGACAGGTCTCTGTGCTTTTCTGTGTAGTGAATGTCTGCCTCACTGCTCTGAGCTGCTGGGGGTGTGGGGTGCTTGTGCCCGCTCCTGAGAGTTCTTTGTTCTCCTCCTGGCTGGCTCTAACACCTCAGTGCCACACACAACAGAGGGTGCCTTGTACGTGTGTCTAAAAACGATAGGGGCGCTTGTTTAGACCATTGGGGGCCTTCTCCTGGGCTTGGGAATGTTGCAGTCACTTGGGAGGTGTTAGAATACAGGCCTTGGGCCACTGAGGTTTTACTTTCTCTTCTTGCTTCACTGTTGACCTTGTATTTCCCAGTTTTTTTTTTTTTTTTTTTTTTTTTGAGACAAAGTCTTGCACTGTCACCTGGGCTGGAGTGCAATGGCATGATCTTGGCTCACTGCAACCTCCACCTCCCGGGTTCAGGTGATTCTCCTGCCTCAGCCTCCCGAGCAGCTGGGAGGCTGCTCGTGCCCACCACCACGCCTGGCTAATGTTTTGTATTTTTAGTAGAGACAGGGTTTCAACCTGCTGGTTTCAGACTCCTGACCTCATGATCCATCTGCCTCGGCCTTCCAAAGTGCTGGGACTACAGGCATGAGCCACTGGGCCTGGCCATTTCCCAGTTTTATTTTACTTTTTATCTTTCTTCACAAACACTTAGGGGGGCCTAAACCTTCACTCCTGATGGGTCTCAGGGTCTTTGTTGGATGGGTGGACTGTCTGCAGGTCTGCCCTTGGCTGAGGAGGAACTGGAAGTGGAGAAATAAAGTCGGGACTGAAAGTGTTTCTACATCCAAAGTTTCCATGGCTGATGGCAGTAGTTCTGCAGGTAGGAAATGCAGTGACATTTGCCTGCCCTCCCCGTTGAGAGATGGAGCCAACCCTCAGAAGCTCAGATGCTTATTCGAAATACATGCTTTGAAGGAGAGTCAGGGTAGACCTGGGTCAGGTGATTCCTCATCCAGCGCCTTCTGTTCCCCTGCAGTTCCGGGGATAGAGCCCATGTTCAACTGCGAGGAATGTGCAGAAAAATTTATAAGAATAGCAACAATGGTTTGTGCTTAAAATGAGATCACACATGTAATTATTGCAGTTTCTGCATGTGTTTGATTTTCTATCTTTAGGATTGCCCAAATAGCAACTTTTAATTAAATATCAAATTCCAAATAGTCCAAGTATGAATAAAACCCTCATGTAAAAACAAGAAGCTTTGCCAGGAAAACACACACACAGACACACAGACGGCCCTCTTTCCAAGGTTCCTCTTCTCTTGCAGTTAGAGCCCTGTGTATGCCACAGCTGGGTTCTTGGACCCCACCAGCTCTCCATAACTGAGAGTGTTATGCAGGCCACGTGCATGCAAGATCACAAAAGCCCATCCTGTCTCCATTTTGCTTTTCAAAACACAGCACGGCACACAAGCTTGTTTTGCAAAGATTGATTGGTGAAATTCCAAATTTACCACTAGTGGTATCTAAACGAGGGCCCGGCCTGGTTTGGAGGAAGCAGGTCAGTTGTGAAGAGCCTGGCACCTCCCCCGGAAGAGCTCAGGCCTTCTTCGTGAAGCTTCTACCCAGCCTGAACTTGCTTCCTTGTGACACGTGACATGACACATTGCTGTGGCCTGGAGAAGGGTGCAGTGGTCTTGTTTCATTCTCTGTGAATGGGTTGGGAGTAGCCCCGGCCGAGGCTGGCACACAGTGACACCTGGTAAATGGCGCTGCTTTCTGTTTGCTGTGATCGCTGTGAGGCCTGCGTTCCTTCACCGCTCATGCTGCCCTCCAGGCCTGATGAAGTGAGGCCCTGAGATGGGCAGGCAGCTGTGGACATGGAAAGAGCTGGGACATTTCAGACATCCTTTGAAGGAGCTGGTGACTTGGGTTGGGTAGAAAGGATAAATTGGAGATAAGTTGCGAAGGCAGGACATGAGGCTATGATGCTGCCAAGACATCTAGGAGGGCTCCCCGCTGGTGCTGGAGGGGAGATGGGGTGCCTGGAGCACGAGGGTACTGACCCACTGTGTGCTCCCTGTGGGAACAGGATATGGCTGGCAGGAGCCCCGGCAGGTGGGACAGATGCAGGACACACCTGCCCCAAGCCAGAGTGGGATTGCAGCCACCCTGGCCTGAGTTTCCAGGGCTGACCCAGCTGACCACAGGCCTGGTGCTCAATTTCCTGCACTCCCAAACTCGGCTGCATTCCTGGGAGCTGTGCAAGCCCTGGGAATGGTTTCTCCACCTCCTGCCTGCCTTCACCTTCTCCTTCCTGGGCCCAGGTCACCTTTCTCACTGTTTCCCCTGCCCTCGAGGACTACTCAACATGTTCTAGGAGACGAATGGAGTGGCGTTTGAACCACAACAAGGTCTTGCTCCCTCAGCCTCCTTGGACCAGGATTCCCATCAGTCTCTGGTCCGTCTCTGGTCAAGCATGGACGACCCCAACGTCCGCAGAGGCCAGCCTGCTCTGTGGCTAAATGGCTCTGTCATATTTGCAGAATGATTTTCTGTGTGTTTTACTTAGTGGCTTCCCCCCTGCATGTTAGAGTATTTATAGAGAAACAGAAGCCTTATGGGTCCTTTCTATCTCAATATGGAAGTAGCTGAGAAAGAAGGACTGCAGCTGAAAGGCAGCAGATTAAAACTTCTAGACCCAGGGTGGATGAATGGCCGGATTCTTTTTATAATTTCCCAAGCTCAGTAATGAATGAAAGATAAACAAATAGTGGTGCAAATAGTGAAAACCAAATTAGATTTGAGGTTTCTCCCCCCTCCAAGTTCATAATAAGTAATCCAAACAGTTATCATTCGGGGGGGTGAGGAAGTGATACTGTAAAAATAAATGCGTTTCTCCGACTAGCATCCTTTGTCCTTGTGTGTTCTTGCAGTGTGAGAAGGGCTTGCTGCCCGCGGCTCCACTGCAGAGTTCGGCAGTCACCAAGAAACGACTCCCCAAGAAGCAAGGAAAGCATTAGTTAAATGGGAAAGGAGATCATTTCAGGCCTGGGGTCCCCTGTGAGGAAGGGAAACTTGGGAAAGTGTAAGACACTCTGTGTTCTTAGAAGCTGGAAACCTGTATCCAAAACCACCCCCAGGGTTTTGATTTTATAAGCTCTTTTGAAAGTGAAGAATGAATTTGTTTTTACGTTTTACTCATTTATTTTTGAGGAGAATGACTTTTTAAAATGAAGAGTCAGGATGACAGTGGTTCCAAGTCAAGTTCCAAATTGTGGCAGGTCCTTACTTAGTATGACCCGCAAGAAAGAACCAACATGAGGTGGGCAGCTTTGAAAAGGGACACAACCTTGGGGCTGGGTTTTGCTTTCACCTCCCTCTGCCTCCTGCTACTTGGCTCAGTGTCCAGGCCAGGAAATGGCCCGGATGGTTCCTCAGGCTCTGTGTTCCAGACAGCAGCCCTGGGAATTCCAGCTCAGCCCCTCCACCCAGACCTGCGTGGAGGCACAGTGGTGTTAATCCAAGACAGGCCGCCTGTCTAGGGACTAGGGAAAACAGAATGGAATGCCTTCCCATTGGTTTCTCCAAAGTAGTCCCTGGGAAAATGAAACACTTACCATTCTCACCTTGAGAAATAACTATCTCTCTTTCTTAGCAATAAAATATGACCCCCCACATTGTACTGCTAGTATTGTGGCTAAATAGTCTGTATCCAAAACCCTTAAAACATGTCTGTCTTTCATGTGCTGCTTTTCCCCAGCTGCAGGGTAACGTGCTATGCTTTAATTTTTTTCCAACTGATTAATTAATCTAGTCTGAACAAGGATAGAAAACCGAATTTTCCAATGGCATTAACAAACACTATTTACGTTATCTGAGCCTTTTCTTTACGTATACAACCTCTGTCCTTACGCACCGTCCACATTCTGCACATACAGAAAAGGAGATTCAGCTGGGCTGTGGAGTTACTGAGGGGCAGAGGCGGGATCTGAACCCAGCTCTGCTCTGACTGTGGCCTGTTGCTCTCTGTTGCACCCTGTTGCCCTCCGAAGGGCAGCAGTAGCGTTAGGCACAGTTGTAGGGAAACACTCTTCATGCTTATCATGTGTTCTTGAGTTGTGGTATTCATAGCTTTCAATGGATTGTTTAGTCACACCAAGCACAATTCCCGTTGGATGCTTTTATTTTTCATACTTGTTTTGAGGATTGCTCTTAAAGCTCTTAAGAATAACACATGGACCCTTGACTAAATGGAATGTCCTCTGATCATGCAAATCACTGAGAAGTTCTATGTGCAGCATAACTGACTGAAATTAGTACAGAATCATGAAGTTTGGCCTTTTGAAATAGGTGGAGGGCAGTAGATTCTTTTGAAGATCAGATGCACAATTCTGGACTCATCAGAATCTAACTTGGACCACTGAGTTGATGCCAGATGCTATGTTGTATGTATGTACACGTTTGTGTGCATGTGTGTATGTGTGTGTGTGTGTGTGTATCTGTGTGTATGTATCTGCGTGTGTCTGTATGTGTGTTTATCTCTGTGTGTATGTGTATTTGTATCTGTGTGTATGTGTATATTCTTACATGTATATATGTGTATATGTCATGTGTATGCATATATGTGTGTTAGTGTTTATGTGTGTGTTGTGTTTATATATGTGTGCATATGTGTGTATTCATGTATATGTCTGTGTTATATGTGTATATATGTGTGCATGTGTGTGTGTGTGTGTGTTGTGTGTGTATGTGTGTGTCCATGCATATGTATCTTCGTGTTGACTTGAGAGGCAAGGACTGTGCTCATCTAACATCCTTCTCTTAACAGAACTTCAATCTCATTGTGAGTGGCAATGAGCTCAGTGGGAAAGGCTCCATTTCTCAGCTGGCCTTGCTGACAAGTGGCTGCAGGACACTTGTGGCCATGTTATGTGGCAGTGGTCAGTTGAAGCGGGATGGGGAAGCTCCTTCAAAGGGGAGTGGAGGCTGGCGGCATGTGCTTTTTCCCTTCCTCCCTGCCTTGCCTCCTGGAATGGGGGAGTGGAGGGGTTCAGCGCTGATGGCCAGGTGGGGCCGGCTTGTTCATGAGGATGAGAGTGGCTATCAGGGTGACGGCACAGGAGACAGAGGAGCTTGGGACGCTCTGACTTTGAGGGCGGGAGCTGCTGCCTGCAGACTGGCTGTCGTGTGTGAAGACCCCCTGTTTGGTTTAAGTGGTCCTAGCATAGCCGAAAGCAATCCCCAGTGGAATTGCTTGCATCTCTTCCATACTACACAACTTTTACACAACCCCTCTAGAATTCCTCCCTTGATCCCATCACATTCCTGTTGAACTCTAAGGGGGCGGTGTGGGGAGACTTCCTGGAGCAGGCCATGCTGTGGATGTGGCTCTGACCCCATCCAGTCTCAGGAGCTCGTCAAGGATGGCCCAGCTTTTCATCAGGAATTTACCTAGGGCAGCCAAAAGATCAGAGAACATGGACTCAATCATTTCTCAAGTTTGTAAAATGTGCCTAATGGCTCTCGGGAGGAAGAGGTGAAAGGCTGGAGTGGAGGAGAATGATGGTCATGTTTGTGGAGTGAGTGCCCAGCATCTGTGCACATTCAGTCCACTGAACATTTCTGAAAAATGGCTTTGTGAGGCACGGCCAACCCGTCAGATGCACCTTGACTTTCAATGGGGTTATGTCCCAGCAAACCCATGGTCAGTTGGAAGTACCATTGACAGTGCATTTAATGTACCCACCACACTGAACATTACAGCTTAGCCCAGGCTGCCTTAACCACGCTCAGAACACTTGCATTAGCCCACAGTTTGGCAACATCAGCTAACACAAAGCCTGTTTTAGAAAAAAGTGTTGTCTATCTCTTGTAATTTATTGAAATTGTACTGAAGGTGAAACACAGAATGTTTTCATGGATATTCAAAGCACAATTTGAGTGCTTTGAGTGCTACATGCGTGTTGCTTTCACACCACCATAAAGTCAAAAAATCGTGTTAGGCCACGAGTTGGGATGGGCTGTACCAACTATCAGCCAGCATTATGCAAAGTCATAGAAGCCCACGAGTGTCTCAGGGCCATGAAATTCAACTGGTTTCTCTTTCCTTTTGGACTTTCTGAATAGTGAAAGGACACATTTAGTGGCATTTTATAGATTATTTGTAACTCCCACGCTGTGCCTACACTCTAGAGGAGCAGGGGGGAATGCACAGAAATGAACATGCCTCCCCCAAGCTCCCGACGGTTGGTAGTCCACGCTTCCCCACCATACACATGGGCCAACCCTGGGCAACAGCACCGCAACGCAAACCTTCCCCAGGGAAAAAACCAAAAATCAGCTAGAACGAATCATGACAATGAAAATAACACATTATACACCGATTCCATTTGCTTTCTAATCTGTAGAATAGTTTTAGTATTTTTTTCACATTGACTCAAACCTAAGATGATATTAACCTAAAATGATGACTTAAAATCCAGCATGTCTTGAGTTCTTTCTTCAGCATCTTTGTACCATTCATGCATGTGTTTATTTAACAAACACTTACTGAGCACAGAATATATGTGCTGTACCTCACATACTTTTTGTGGATTAGGGACATAGAGTTGGGCAAAATTGTGTAGTGGAAGGCAGCTGGTGGGAGAGACAGTAATCAAACCAGCTGAACATTAAACATCTAACTGCAAACTTGGTAGATGGTTTGAGGAATAGTGTGCTAGAAGCACCTGAGAGTGGTATTGGTGAGGGTACTAAATGGAGTCAGATTTGGGGTTGGGGGAGGACAGGGCCAAGAGGAGCTTCTCCCTCAGGAGGTGTCCTTTGAGCTGAAGTCTGAAGGCCGAGTTAGGTGTGAACTCATTGGTGTCCAGAAGTCCAGGAACAAGAGGCCTTTCAGACTGGGAGGGTGGATGCATGGCTCTCTTGGCTGGGTATAAAGGCCAGTTGAGGGTCTTGGGCTGGTGAGGGAGGGCAGCAGACTGAGTCACAAGCAACAGAGGACCCGGGAGGGAGTAAGTCTGGCCAGGACTGCACTTGACGACCCTGAAGGCTGCAGGGTAGACAAGGAAAAGGCAGGTCAGAGTGAGGATGACAGGGGATGACCAGGAGGCCTCTTGGGGTGCGGGGCAGGAAACCTGGGCCTGGTGGGCTTTCCTCAGATGCCCACCCATTCAGGAGGCTTAGTGATAGACTGGACATAGAGGTGAGGGTAGAGGTCATGGGAGGCCTCAGCTCGGGCTCCTTATGTTGGGATCCTACAGAAAGGTGTCAGGGATCCTTTGGGCAGGGAGGGGCTATGGTGAGTCTGAGGCCCCTTGGGACAGACAGCTAAACGTCCAGTGCATGCTGGTGTCTGCAGGTCTGGAGCCCAGTGTTCAGACATGACCAATGGTCACATATTTGGGAGTTCTCAATATGTGGATAGCAAATAAAGCCATGAGTGGGTAAGATTGCTTACAGGGAGAATAAATGTATTTTTGATACTACATTTGCAATGCTGACAGTGTGTCTCTTCATTCCGGGGGCCTGGATGGCCACTGTTTGCTGCTAGGCTCCTCCTGCCACCAGTCCATGCGTTACTTTGTCACTGATATGCTTCTTTTTTAAAAAAAAATTTTAAAAAATATTAATTTTTTTTAAGAGACAGGGTCTTGCTCTGTTGCCCAGGCTGGAGTGCAGTGGTGTGATAATAGCTCACTGCAGTCTCAACCTCCTGGGCTCAAGCAATCCTCCTGCCTCAGCCTCCTGAGTAGCTGGGACCATAGGCTGACACCACCATGCCCAGCTAATTCTCTGTTTGTTTACGTAAAGATGGTTCATGTTATGTTGCCCAGGCTGACTGCTAAGCTTCTGATGGAGAAAAAGTGAGAAGCTGTCTTTCCTGGCCATTCTCACCGTCTAATGAGGTGTGAGCAGGGGCCAGGCTG
Organism: Homo sapiens; assembly: GCF_000001405.40. Lineage (NCBI taxonomy): Eukaryota > Metazoa > Chordata > Mammalia > Primates > Hominidae > Homo > Homo sapiens. The sequence goes on from NC_000008.11 coordinate 48,444,905, forward strand.
GCACACAGCCTCCTGCTGTACCTCCTGCTCCCTGGAGGGGGTCTGTGCACCCGCAGCAAAGAAACCTACCCTCCAGAGGCTGATCTGTGACCTTTAAATTTACCCTGAAACAGGGGCACGTTAACAGAAAAAGGCTGGCAGCAAATGCCCAACTGGACAAAAAACAAGCAAAGAAGGAGAGAGACGGGAGGGAGTTGGCCGGTCGGCAGGGGTGGCAGACACCCTGGTGAGTGCATTCCTTCTCGTATTCAGGCCAGACCCTAGTGGGAGCAGGGTCTTCAAGAGCAATCCCAGGATGCAGCTGAATCCCCACCCCACCCCAGGCTGCTGGGACCCTCAGGGAGGGGCCTTCTTTCCTCACACCATTTGCTGGGAGATGGACACCTTTTGTTAAGATGCAGGGTCCTGGGTTTTGTGTAAAGGCCTCTGTGTGAGACTGAGTTTTGGTTTTCACGCGAATGTTGGTACCCGCTCTGCCTCTTTGCTGCGTCACAGGGTGTGATAAGTTACACAGAGGAGGGCCCTGAGGACAGATCACAGACACAGCCACTAACATGAGCCAACCTCAGGTCAAGATGTGAAAATAAATATCCGGGCCCATGGACTAGACCCAAGGCTGCAATGATTGAATTGCATATAAAGACTTCATTCAAGCCTCTTAATACGGGATTGCAAAATCTGCAGGTTTGCTGAGTAGCTAAGGGGATCTGGTAAACAAACCTGGGCATAAGCACAGTGGACCTTGTTTCTTTTCATTCCTTAATCACTGGCCCTGGTTCGTTCACAGTGGACACCAGTACTCAGGATTTAGAACAAGGTATTTTAAGAAAGAACAAAAAACCCTGATGATAAATATTACTGGGATCACAAATCCCTTTCTTGGGGGTGGGGGCTAAGGTGCTGCACTGGTCCTTGTAAGCAGGCATCTGTGTACACATTAGTCCCAGGCAGGGGATGGCCAGGTGTCCAGCCACCCACTTTGTCTCAGGTGGGCCATGGTCCTTGCTGTACCAAGATGTCACTAGCATGTCCTCCCATGTGAGAGCTTTGCAGGGGATCCCCCCTTTATTAGCCAGCCTCATGCTCATTCTGTTTCTCACCAGACATCAGGTGGCCAGGATCATAGCTCACTGCAGCCTCAACCTCTTGGGCCCAAGCAATCCTCCCGTCTCAGCCTCCTGAGTAGCTGGGACCACAGGCTTGAGCCACCACATCCAGCTAATTGTTTGTTCGTTTGTTTTTGTAAAGATGGCTCATGTTATGTTGCCTAGGCTGACTGCTAAGCTTCTGATGGAGAAAAAGTGAGAAGCCGTCTTTGCTGGCTGTTCTCACCTTCTAATGAGGTGTGAGCAGGGGTTTGGGAGCAGAGAGAGTGTACAAATGAAGATTTTAAAACATATCTTTGGTAAAGTAGTTATGGCTGGTAATTTGGGTCATGTTCTTTAGTCCTTTTGTTCCTTCAGGTTAGTCATGAAAATAGTTAACATTGATTTGTTTGTTTACCAACATGCTTTGAGGTGTCAGTCAGGTCTTCAGTGTTTCAGAAGTGATTCTTGTGAAGGTTGATGGGGTAGGAAGATGGGTTATGGAAGACCCTCTATGAGAGGGTCTGTAACGAAGGAGATTGGGCCAGTGACTCTCCCAGGAGCCTGCAGGGAGTGTTGCCTGGTTCTGACCAGCTCCTATGGCCCCCGTGGGCCCCGCTCACCCATAGAACATGTCCCTTGTTGCTGGAGCCGGGGAGGGCATGGGACACCCTGTGCTGTGGGACCCTGGCTCAGCCCTCATGCAAACAACCTGAAGCATCTCAGAGGCCTGCCCACCTGCCTAGGGCAGCAGCGTTAGAGTCAAAGAGCCCAGTGAGCTAGAGACATTAGCAACGGAGGAGTGCAGTCCTTAAAACAAAGTCAGAGGAGAACTAAGGATGTTCTGATACAGTTTCCTTTTTCAAGTTAGAGATCGTCCTTGCATAAACCCCCAGAGTTCCCTACCTCAGCTTAACAGGAGCCACACTTTTTGAAAAGTTGTGACTCAGGGCTTCTTGAAATACAACTTTTGCAACTCCAATTTACTGCTCAACAGGAGTTTTGGAATGTTACAATGGAGATTGAAGTTTAAATTAATCTAAAGTCTGGAAGAGCTTATATTTCTGTTCCAAAGACTTTTGAGGTTCTTATGTAAAAGATACACCTGAGAGCGAAGTCATATATGTGATGTATGTGTAATGTTATGCACATATATTAATATATTTAACTGAAAATTAAGTCCTATCTATCTGTCATTTATCTATCATCCAGGTATACCACATATACATACACATTTATGAGGTCTAATTTTCACTTGTTTACATGCACGAAAATAATTTTTTCTTTTTCCTTCTTTTAAATTTTATTTTATTTTATTTTAAGTTCCGGTATCCACATGCAGGATATGCATGTTTGTTACAAAGGTAAATGTGTGCCATAGTGGTCTGCTGCACCTATCAACCCATCATATAGGTATTAAACCCCACGTGCATTAGCTCTTTATCCTGATGCTCTCCCTCCCCTTCCCCCCAAAAAAGGTCCCAGTGTGCACTGTTCCCCTCCCTGTGTCCATGTGTTCTCATTGTTCAGCTCCCACTTATAAGTGAGAACATGCAGTGTTTGGTTTTCTGTTCATGCATTAGCTTGCTGAGGATAATGGCTTCCAGCTCCATCCATGTCCCTGCAAAGGACGTGATCTTGTTTTTTTTTATGGCTGCATAGTATTCCATGGTGTATATGTACCACATTTTCTTTATCCAGTCTATCATTGATGGGCATTTGGGCTGATTTCATGTCTTTGCTATTGTGAATAGTGCTGCATTGAACATATGTGTGTATGTATCTTTATAATAGAATGATTTATATTCCTTTGGGTATATACCCTGTAGTGAGGTTGCTGGATCAAATTGTATTTCTGGTTCTAGGTCTTTAAGGAATAGCCATACTGTCTTCCACAATGGTTGAACTAATTTATATTCCCACCAACAGTGTAAAAGCATTCCTATCTCTCCACAGCCTCACCAGCATCTGTTGTTTTTTGACTTTTTAACACTAGCTATTCTGACTGCCATGAGATGGTATCTCACTGTGGTTTTGATTTGCATTTCTCTAATGCAGTGATGTGGAGCTTTTTTTCATGTTTGTTGGCTGCATAAATGTCTTCTTTTGAGAAGTGTCTGTTCATGTCCTTTACCCACTTTTTGATGTTTTTTTCTTGTAAATTCATTTAAGTTTCTTGTAGATTCTGGATATTAGACCTTTGTCAGATGCTAGATTGCAAAAATTAAGAAAATGATTTTTATTGGTCACAGGCAACAATAAAAGAGACAAGATACTTATTTTTTTTTAAACTTTTAGTTTAGAAATAACTTCTAACTTACAGAAAAGTTGTAAGAATAGTACAAAGATCCCATTCAAATTTCTCCAATTTTCCCTGTCATAAACCTTACAGGAAAAGGCCCTGACTCAAGATCACATGTTGCACCCACTTGTTGTATATCTTTAATCTTCTTCAATCTGGACCAGTTTCTCAGTCTTTCCTTAAATATTATGACCTTGAGATTGTTGAAAATTGCTGCCTCGAAATTTTGTAGAATATCCCTCCACTTGGTGCAGTCCAGTGTCTCCTCTAGATTAGAGCTGGTTTCCACGTATTTTCACTGAATTGTCACGTGTGTGGTAGTGTGTTCTGTTACCTCTTATCAGTTGGCAAATTGATGCTGATTTCTCTCATGGCTTGTGACACTGACTTTGATCACATGATTAAGGTGCTATCTTAGTAGCCAGGCTCCTCTGCTATAAAGTTACTTTTGATTCCATTTGCAATCATTCAGTAACTATTTGGTGTGGAGATAAAGTTGAAACTATTTAAGGTCTCATTCCTCATCCATTTGCTTTCTTAAGTTTTAACATCTATTGATGTTTCTTGCCAGAATAGAGGACTGCTGAGAGCTGTTTTTCAAATGTCATTATTTTTTCTGCATTTATCAGTTGGCATTCTACGAAGAGGTAGTTGTTTCTCTTTCATATATGCACATGTGTACATACGTGTGTATGGTTTCAAAACATTATTTTTGTGCATTCTCATGAATTCCTGTTTTATTCAATGAGTTATAATGCATTGCTATCATTATTGTCTTGATGTCCAAATTACCCTGGATTTGGCCACTGACAGCCTCATCAGCCTGGCTTCTGTGTTTCCTGCACATGTGCCCATTATTGTTTGAGCATGTTCTTATTTTCCGCCACATCAGGATACTCCAGGGCCATCTTGTGCTTTCCCTGCTAACCCTGAACCAGGCATTTTTCCTTGTGGTAATGAAAAATGCTATTTGGAAGCCAAGATCTGCAACGTAGGTGTGGCCTTTGTTACCAAGGGGCCCTTGTCCCCAGGTACCTTTTGTGGACAGCATGAGGAAATATATTTCATCATCTATCTCTATATCTCTACACACATACACACATTTATACATACTCACATCTATACTTCTTTCCACATTTATCAAGTTAAATTGGAAACCACGAGTTCACACCAATGCCTCCCATTTCAGGCCCACAGCACTCACTCATTCCAGCCCTTCCCTTTTCTGCATTTGTGAGGCTCTCTCCCCACAGTGAAAGGCTGGCACCACCCCGCCTGGCTACCATGAAGAACCTAGCTCCTTGTTTACTATTTACTCAATCCCCTCTCGGAGGCTAAGCTTCCACCTTCCACCCTGCTGGATGGCCATCTGCTCAGACCCCTGGGACAGCCCAGGCCTGTGCCGGGCTGCCTCACAACTCCATCCCCAACTTTCTGGTGTTTTCTTTTGTTTGTTTTTAATGTGGGGGTTACGTACTATAAGACGTGTGAAAGATTTCAACAGGAAAATGAGTATTTGCAGCATTTTAAAACCTCAGAAATCTAGAGAAGGCAAGAATGTTAGGAATAGACTATTAAGAAGGAAGCTGCGTCTGGAAATTAAGGCAGGCTTGGGTGTTGGGGGTCTCTATCCCAGCACCCCAGAGCTCAGCGGTCAGCTCTGCCTTGCGGAAATCCTCAGGCCCCCTTTTATGCTCCGTATTGTAATTTGAAGATTGGTATTTATGCTCTGTACAAACAATTTCATTAGAAAACTCAGATTAATGACAGTTCTGCCTTAAGTCTTAACAGATTGTTTAATGGATGGTTGCTGGACCCATTAAGATCTGTAGCAATGAAAATAGTATCTATCTTTTGAATAAGATAAAGTTGCTATTCTGTATTTGTCTTAATTCTTTGTTCTCATTCATTATCTTGCAGAGCACATTCACCCTGTGTCCTAGAGACATTCTCAGGTGTTTAAGTCAGGGGTTGCCCTCCCATTGGGAATCTGAAGTACTCCTCTAGGGTGTCTTCTTCTGGCCCTGGTAGGAACAGATGCTTGAATGATCTATCTGGAGAAGACACCTGGGAAGAAGCCAACCCCTAAGAGAAGACTAGATTTCCCTTTTCACATACAGAAGGGGAACCTGCACTCTTGTGTAACAGGTGCTGTAGCTCCTGCAGGGAGAGGGCATCAGGTGAAGGGCAGCTTGCTCCCAGGGTGCCTGGCAGGTGCGCCGTCACCCTACACAACTGCTGCTGAATGCCCTGCTGGCCCCAGGGACCCCGAATGCTCCCCAGCAAGGCCTTCCTGCTCTCCTCTTCTAGGGAAGTCTGGCCAGAGCCAGCTGCAGTCATTTATGTGGAATGCAGGTACAATTCAACACGGGCAGCAGGAGCCCCCCAGGGTGCCTCAGATGAACGGCTAGTGGCTCAAAATTAGGAGACTTTCCAAGGGAAGAGAGGAAAGAGGACTGTGTCTGGATGAGGGGGAAGGTGTGAAACCAAGACCTGGCAGCCTAGGGATGTGGGGGCTGCCTGAGCTATGGGCCCCTACGGTCCTGGAGCCAGCCTGTTATGGGCCTGAGGAGCTGTGGGAGTGCAGGAATCTGTGTCCTGGTCACAGTTCTGACACTTGGCTGACATCTCTGTCAGCAGGTGGGGGCTGGGGGATTGCCTGGGGTGGGGAATTCCTACCCAGTCCATTTTTGAAATTGGTGCTCAGGGGCCCTGCTACTTGAGAGGCTGACTTCGGGGGACTCCATGTGACAAGAGGCGAGAGAACAGATGCCTTAGGGTGTGTGACCTTTGTGAAGCAGGCCCCATGAAGGTCACTCTGCATTTATTAGTACTCACAGAAATTGAGTTTAGACTCAGTGCTGTCTGACGGAAATAGAATGTGAGCTTCAGATTTAACATTAAATTTTTTGGTAGCTGCATTTTTAAAAAGGAAGAAAGGAGCAAGTGAAATTAATTTTAATTTTAATGGGATATTATTGTTATCCCAACATATCCAGAATATTAACCTATCAATATTAACCATGTGAAATTATTAAGGAGATACTTTGCATTTTTCTTTTCATACTAAGTCTTTGAAATCTGGTGTGCATTTCACACACAGAGCACGTCCCGGTTCACACCAGTCGCATTTCAAGGGCACACCCAGGGGATGAGGATGGGCTGGACCCTTTACATTTTGGATCTGACTAAAAATGAGGAGATGGGCTTCCAGAGACTGTGTGTCCAAACCACAAGCGACTAAACCCTGGTTACGCTGGGAGAATCTGGGAGACAGCTCATCAAGAAATGTTATCTGTCCATCATTACAGCAATCAAACCACGATACTGGATTGCCTCATTTGTGTAAAGTCCTCTAGGCCTTGTGTGTGTGTGGGAGGTGGGGCGGGGTGGGGGGGGTAGGTGCCTGTGCAATAATAAAATACAGCTCTGATAAAAGGTCTTAGATTGAACTAAAATGAGCTGAATGCCCACTACTAGGTTTATGAACTGTGTCTACACAGTTACACCTTCCTAGGCCAAGACAGGAGTTCTTTACTGGTTGACAAATCTTTCACCATCTTGTGTAGTATTTTTATCAGAAGATTACAGATATTTTCATTAAAATACCACACAAGGTTTAAAAAAATACTACATAGAAGGTTTAAGATGGAACACTTCGTGACGTTATTTCTAATATTTTTGTTACATTATGTAAATTTAAGACTCTCAATCTTGTTGTGAAAGACAGAATATGCTGGACAATTAAGGAGATGATTTATTTAGGCTGTTGCAGTAGGGGAGAAGTTTCATCAGTGAGGGCTCAGTGAGATTCATCATTCCCAGGGATCAACACTCACTCTTCCCTTTAATGTGACATTTACACTCACATTTCTCTTCATCATTTTAGGCATTTCTCTTTCAATAAGACTGGCCTTCAATGTATTAACACTCTGGACTGTGCCACCCCCTCTCAACAGGTGGTTGAACCGATTCACAGGAATACCACCAGCAAAAGTCCTGGTAGAGTGTTTCTCAGACCCACTTCACCTCACTCAGGAAGATGATGATTAACCTTGGTGAATATTGTTCACCAATGATGATCTTCATTCCTCTTGAATAAGAGGGGAGAATGACAAGGTTGAACTTTACCTTGTCCTGAAATACAACAATTGAAGGTCAAGAAATCCTCCTCTACCCTCAAAGTAAGTCATTACATAAGACACCTGAGCTTGTATGTTTATTGCAGCACTATTTACAATAGCGAAGATCTGGAATCAACCTAAATGTCCACCAACACCATCAACAGGAGACAGGATCCAAAAAAAAATGTGAGATATACATATACATACACATACACACACACACACACACACACACACACACACACACACACACACCATGGAATACTATGCAGCCATAAAAAAGAATGAAACCATGTCTTTTGCAGTAACACGGATGGAACTAGAGGCCATTATCCTCAGTGAAATAACTCAGAAGAATAAAGTCAAATATTGCATGTTCTCACAAATGTGACCTAGAAATGCATACCCATGAACCTACAAAGTGGAAGAATAGACCTTGGAGACTCAGAAGGGTTGGAGAGTGGAAGGATGGGTGAGGGATGAAATACCACCTACTGGGTACAATGTACACTATCTGGGTGATGGTTCCATTGAAGGCCCAGACTTCACCACTTTGCAATGAATGTATGTAAGAAACCTGCACTTGTACCCCTAAATATATTATAAATAAATAAGATATCCTCATCCTCTTCTACCGTTTTGTGATCTAAGAGAGAAATGGACAGTCCCACAGGACCCCCTGCCCTCCCATATTCCGGGATGAGACCCTCCTCTAGCCTGGCTCAGTGGCTTGGAAGACCTGGCTCCTCTCTCTTGTGAATCCCAGGAGACTCTGGACGACTCCCTGTTTAACTGCTTTAACACCCCAGGCTCTTGTCCTTTCTCAGTGGGTTCCAAGCCACTAGGCAGCCCCATTCCCTGAGTTTCTGCAGTTCCCGAGCCAGGCTGCTGGTGTTCTTGTGATGCTGTGCACAGGTATGGTTATCTCTTGTACAAGGGTGTGCATGACCTGAGCATTCTGCTCAACCTTCTTCTGACCTGTCCAGGGGAATCCAGCCCATGCAGGGTCTGCTGTGGGCAGGGGTGGGGGGGGTGGGGGGTGCAGCTCTGGGAGGTTTGGATCAAGTCCAAAGGCTTCAGCTCACAGAGCTTCTGCCATCCTAGGCAAGGGCCACTATGAGGCAGCCTGGAGTTCTAGGGGATCTGGCCATCAGCCTTGAATTCTCAGTGACACCAAGTCAGGAGGGAGGGAGAAAAATGGGAACTGTTTGCTGGGAGAGTTTTAGGTAGACACTGAGGGAAACTGACGATCTGAATAAGGTGACAGGGTCTGATCTAATTTATAAGTAGGTATCAATACCGTTTTCTTCAGAGCGGGAGGAAGTCAATTATTTCTTTGCCAGATAAGACAGAGAATGCATATTCATCAGGTACCTTGAATTACAAAAAAGAGGCAAGAAACAGCCCAAAGGCAGGGCCAGAGTTCGATAAACCCAGGGAGTGCTATAGTTTTCTACTCAAACACAATTCTCTTTAACTATCCCCCTTTTGATTAAAGATAATATGAAAGAAAGCTTGCTCTTGATCACAAAATAAGGCTGGTCTCATTAGATTTAGCCTACTTATTTATGTCGGTATTGTAGGATGTTAAATTTGCTGGCCTTAAGTTTGCCGTGCTGGAAGTTTTCATAAAGAATCTCAGATTGGATTTCTTAAAGCCTCTTGATGCTAAGCAGGCAAAGCTATATCAAACCACTAGATTTCACTTGCAATATCTATAAATTTGGTCAAATTCTTCTCATCTTGAGGTCCCCACCCAAGCTGTCCTAATGTTCTTGGGCTGGTCAGGAAGTAGTCTTTGCTCATCTGTAAGGCTGAGAACATATTTGCCAGGTACCACACCGGTATTCCTGGGAGAGTTTGTAAACATTGGCTCCATACAGTCAATCTTAGTTCCTCAAAAGTGTCTGTTCATATCTTATTAAATGACCATCATTCTCAAATATGACATTTCCGTCATGGCCTTTGTTATGGAACCATTGTTTCCAATTTTGTCTTGTTACAAGGAGGACAGATTCTTATCCAACCTAGACAAACAATTATATTGCCATGAAAAAGTAAGAACACTCAATAAAAGTTCTGACTTCTGGAGGGCCCAGGCAAGGAGAATAAGATATCACTTATAAATGTTTTATTTCCACTTACAAAAAGAGTCTAATAAATTGTTAGTTACAGATAGCTTAAGAGGAAAGCAAAAACACCTTATGTATTCAGAGAATAGAATATTAAAACATCAATAATATTCTAAACAAAAACCACAGTTGTTCCTCATCTGTTCATTCAGCCCTATGCAATTAATTCTTGGATATTGGGTCAGCAGTCTCACAAATCCATCTGTTTCTCAACTAGAGTCTTGGAAGTCCTGACTCAATCCACAGACATGGTTTAGGCAATGCCATCAGAGATCTGCATCTAAACAGATACCTTTTCCATAGGGTTCTGAGAAAACTCTTTTTTGAAACCATATCACCTTGGCCTATAGCTGATTGTAAAGCTTTCAAAGAAGCATCAGAGTAAAAGAAAAAAAAAAAACTATGTAGATGAAGAAAGACTTACAATGGCTGTGGTTACCTTATTACTGACCATTTTCAAAAGTGAAAGTCTGATGAGAGTTCATGACAAGAATGATCCAACCAACAGGGAAATTGTGCTGTTGCTCTGGCATATGCAAAACATGGTAGTAAAATCAGTCCAAGTAAACTTAGATAAAATACCCACAAACATGGACAGCCCCATTTTCAAAGAAGAATGGCTGTCACATCTAATTTATTAAAATGGATTAACATGATCTTTATGGAGACAATATCTTCAGATACAACATATAATAATACTGACATAATATGTGAAAGCATATAGTTAAAATATATCAAGAATATATGAAGTGCAAAGGGACTCAGGAAGGAGCAGGTCCTGAATGTCTGCACATTATAAAACTTCATGGGTAAGTGATGTGAAAGCCCCAGTTGAAAACCACCGGCTGAGTTAGAATGGCGATGATTAAAAAGTCAGGAAACAACAGATGCTGGCTAGGTTGTGGAGAAATAGAAACGCTTTTACACTGTTGGTGGGAATGTAAATTAGTTCAACCATTGTGGAAGACAGTGTGGTGATTCTTTAAGGATCTAGAACCAGAAATACCATTTAACCCAGCAACCCCATTACTGGGTATATACCCAAAAGATTATAAATCATTCTACTATAAAGACATATGCACGTGTATGTTTATTGCAGCCCTATTTACAATAGCAAAGACTTGGAATCAACCCAAATGCCCATCAATGATAGGCTGGATAAAGAAAACGTGGCACATATACACCATGAAATATTATGCAGCCATAAAAAAGAATGAGTTCATGTCCTTTGCAGGGACATGGATGAAGCTGGAAGCCATCATTCTCAGCAAACTAACACAGGAACAGAAAACTAAACACCGCATGTTCTCACTCATAAGTGGGAGTTGAACAATGAGAACACATGGACACAGGGAGGGGAACATCACACACTGGGGCTTGTTGTGATGGGTGGGGGGCAAGGGGAGGGAGAGCATAAGGAGAAATACCTAATGCATGCGGGGCTAAAAACATAGATGACGGGTTGACAGGTGCAGCAAACCACCATGGCACACGTATACCTATGTAACCAACCTGCACGTTCTGCACATGTATCCCAGAACTTAAAGTCAAATTAAAAAATAAAATAAAATAAAATAAAATAAATGTATACATTGTGGAATGTCTAAATCAAGCTAACATGCATTACCTCATGTATTTATAATTTTTTGTGGTGAGAACACTTAAAATCTACTCTGTTAGCACATTTTATGAATAAAATTCATTGCTTTTTTTTTAAAAAAGAAAACCACTGGCTGAGAAGTTGTTAGATTCAAATTAAAGAGGGAAAATCATGATGAAGTTGACATTTTAAAAATAACTGAAGACTGGGCATGGTGGCTTATGCCTGTACTCTCAGCACTTTGGAGACTGAGGCAGGAAGATCTCTTGAGGCCAGGAGTTCAAGACCAGCCTGGGCAACACAGTGAGACCCCTTTCTACAGAAAAATAATAAATTAGCCAGACACAGTGGTGCTCACCTCTAGTCCTTGCTAAGCAGGACGCTGAGGCGGGAGGATCACTTGAGCTCAGGAGTTCGAGGTTGCGGTGAGCTATGATCATGCCACTACACTCCAGCCTAGGCCACAGAGACAGCCCCTGTTTCTAAGATAACATTAAAAAAAAAAAGGTGTAATCATGGATTACTGAGAAATTGTACCTGGCTACCTACTTAACCAAAGTGACATTAAAGGATCACCTGAGGTCGGGTATTCGAGACCAGCCTGGCTAACATAGTGAAACCCTGTCTCTACTAAAAATACGAAAATTAGCTGGGTGTGGTGGCATGCCTGTAATCCCAGCTACTTGGGAGGCTGAGGCAGGAGAATCGCTTGAAACCAGGAGGTGGAGGTTGCAGTGAGCCAAGATCATACCACTGCACTCCAGCCCGGGTGACAGAGAGAGACTCCGTCTCAAAAATAAAAAGTTTTATAAGGAAACGTAGGGGGTAACATGACTATAAAGAATCTTCATGCTTTCAAAATGAGAATATTTGGTTCTCTTAAATAATCAAGAACATTAAAAAGTCAACATAAAGCACAAGGATCTTTACCTTCTAGGCAGCTTACTCAGAAGGCAAAGGACAACTTTTTCAACATCTCAGTGAGAGCAGACCAAATGTAAATGTAAAAAGTTCTTTTTGAAAATTGTGTAAGTAATTCCATTAAACCTTAGCCAGCTTTTTTTTTTTTCTTTTTTATTATACTTTAAGTTTTAGGGTACATGTGCACAATGTGCAGGTTTGTTACATATGTATACATGTGCCATGCTGGTGTGCTGCACCCATTAACTCGTCATTTAGCATTAGATATACCTCCTAATGCTATCCCTCCCCCCTCCCCCCACCCCACAACAGTCCCCAGAGTGTGATGTTCCCCTTCCTGTGCCCAAGTGTTCTCATTGTTCAATTCCCACCTATGAGTGAGAATATGTGGTGTTTGGTTTTTTGTTCTTGTGATAGTTTACTGAGAATGATGATTTCCAATTTCATCCATGTACCTACAAAGGACATGAACTCATCATTTTTTATGGCTGCATAGTATTCCATGGTGTATATGTGCCACATTTTCTTAATCCAGTCTATCATTGTTGGACATTTGGGTTGGTTCCAAGTCTTTGCTATTGTGAATAGAGCCGCAATAAACATACATGTGCCTGTGTCTTTATAGCAGCATGATTTATAGTCCTTTGGGTATAAACCCAGTAATGGGATGGCTGGGTCAAATGGTATTTCTAGTTTTAGATCCCTGAGGAATCGCCACACTGACTTCCACAATGGTTGAACTAGTTTACAGTCCCACCAACAGGGTGAAAGTGTTCCCATTTCTCCACATCCTCTCCAGCACCTGTTGTTTCCTGACTTTTTAATGATTGCCATTCTAACTGGTGTCAGATGGTATCTCACTGTGGTTTTGATTTGCATTTCTCTGATGGCCAGTGATGGTGAGCATTTTTTCATGTGTTTTTTGGCTGCATAAATGTCTTCTTTTGAGAAGGGTCTGTTCGTATCCTTCTCCCACTTTTTGATGGGGTTGTTTGTTTTTTTCTTGTAAATTTGTTTGAGTTCATTGTAGATTCTGGATGTTAGCCCTTTGTCAGATGAGTAGGTTGCAAAAATTTTCTCCCATTTTGTAGGTTGCCTGTTCACTCTGATGGTAGTTTCTTTTGCTGTGCAGAAGCTCTTTAGTTTAATTAGATTCCATCTGTCAATTTTGTCTTTTGTTGCCATTGCTTTTGGTGTTTCAGACATGAAGTACTTGCCCATGCCTATGTCCTGAATGGTAATGCCTAGATTTTCTTCTAGGGTTTTTATGGTTTTAGGTCTAACGTTTAAGTCTTTAATCCATCTTGAATTAATTTTTGTATAAGGTGTAAGGAAGGGATCCAGTTTCAGCCTTCTACATATGGCTAGCCAGTTTTCCCAGCACCATTTATTAAATAGGGAATCCTTTCCCCATTGCTTGTTTTTCTCAGGTTTGTCAAAGATCAGATAGTTGTAGATAGGTGGCATTATTTCTGAGGGCTCTGTTCTGTTCCATTGATCTATATCTCTGTTTTGGTACCAGTACCATGCTGTTTTGGTTACTGTAGCCGTGTAGTATAGTTTGAAGTCAGGTAGCGTGATGCCTCCAGCTTTGTTCTTTTGGCTTAGGATTGACTTGGCGATGCGGGCTCTTTTTTCGTTCCATATGAACTTTAAAGTAGTTTTTTCCAATTCTGTGAAGAAAGTCTTTGGTAGCTTGATGGGGATGGCATTGAATCTATAAATTACCTTGGGCAGTATGGCCATTTTCACGATTTTGATTCTTCCTACCCATGAGCATGGAATGTTCTTCCATTTCTTTTTATCCTCTTTTATTTCATTGAGCAGTGGTTTGTAGTTCTCCTTGAAGACGTCCTTCACGTCTCTTGTAAGTTGGATTCCTAGGTATTTTATTCTCTTTGAAGCAATTGTGAATGGGAGTTCACTCATGATTTGGCTCTCTGTTTGTCTGTTATTGGTGTTTAAGAATGCTTGTGATTTTTGCACATTGATTTTGTATCCTGAGACTTTGCTGAAGTTGCTTATCAGCTTAAGGAGATTTTGGGCTGAGACAATGGGTTTTCTAGATATACAATCATGTCATCTGCAAACAGGTACAATTTGACTTCCTCTTTTCCTAATTGAATACCCTTTATTTCCCTCTCCTGCCTAATTGCCCTGGCCAGAACTTACAACACTCTGTTGAATAGGAGTGGTGAGAGAGGGCATCCCTGTCTTGTGCCAGTTTTCAAAGGGAATGCTTCCAGTTTTTGCCCATTCAGTATGATATTGGCTGTGGGTTTGTCATTGATAGCTCTTATTATTTTGAGATACGTCCCATCAATACCTAATTTATTGAGAGTTTTTAGCATGAAGCATTGTTGAATTTTGTCAAAGGCCTTTTCTGCATCTATTGAGATAATCATGTGGTTTTTGTCTTTGGTTCTGTTTATATGCTGGATTACGTTGATTGATTTGCGTATATTGAACCAGCCTTGCATCCCAGGGATGAAGCCCACTTGATCATGGTGGATAAGCTTTTTGATTTGCTGCTGAATTCCATTTGCCAGTATTTTATTGAGGATTTTTGCATCAATGTTCATCAAGGATATTGGTCTAAAATTCTCTTTTTTGGTTGTGTCTCTGCCTGGCTTTGGTATCAGGATGATGCTGGCCTCATAAAATGAGTTAGGGAGGATTCCCTCTTTTTCTATTGTTTGGAATAATTTCAGGAGGAATGATACCAGTTCCTCCTTGTACCTCTGGTAGAATTCGGCTGTGAATCCATCTGGTCCTGGACTCTTTTTGGTTGGTAAGCTATTGATTATTGCCACAATTTCAGAGCCTGTTATTGGTCTATTCAGAGATTCAACTCCTTCCTGGTTTAGTCTTGGCAGGGTGTATGTGTCAAGGAATTTTTCCGTTTCTTCTAGATTTTCTAGTTTATTTGCGTAGAGGTGTTTGTAGTATTCTCTGATGGTAGTTTGTATTTCTGCGGGATCGGTGGTGATATCCCCTTTATCATTTTTTATTGCATCTATTTGATTCTTCTCTCTTTTCTTCTTTATTAGTCTTGCTGGTGTTCTATCAATTTTGTTGATCCTTTCGAAAAACCAGCTCCTAGATTCATTAATTTTTTGAAGGGTTTTTTGTGTCTCTATTTCCTTCAGTTCTGCTCTGATTTTAGTTATTTCTTGCCTTCTGCTAGCTTTTGAATGTGTTTGCTCTTGCTTTTCTAGTTCTTTTAATTGCGATGTTAGGGTGTCAGTTTTGGATCTTTCCTGCTTTCTCTTGCGGGCATTTAGTGCTATAAATTTCCCTCTACACACTGCTTTGAATGTGTCCCAGAGATTCTGGTATGTTGTGTCTTTGTTCTTGTTGGTTTCAAAGAGCATCTTTATTTCTGCCTTCATTTCGTTATGTACCCAGTAGTCATTCAGGAGCAGGTTGTTCAGTTTCCATGTAGTTGAGCGGTTTTGAGTGATTTTCTTAATCCTGAGTTCTAATTTGATTGCACTGTGGTCTGAGAGACAGTTTGTTATAATTTCTGTTCTTTTACATTTGCTGAGGAGAGCTTTACTTCCAAGTATGTGGTCAATTTTGGAACAGGTGTGGTGTGGTGCTGAAAAAAATGTATATTCTGTTGATTTGGGGTGGAGAGTTCTGTAGATGTCTATTAGGTCTGCTTGGTGTGGAGCTGAGTTCAATTCCTGGATATCCTTGTTAACTTTCTGTCTCGTTGATCTGTCTAATGTTGACAGTGGGGTGTTAAAGTCTCCCATTGTTATTGTGTGGGAGTCTAAGTCTCTTTGTAGGTCACTGAGGACTTGCTTTATGAATCTGGGTGCTCCTGTATTGGGTGCATATATATTTAGGATAGTTAGCTCTTCTTGTTGAATTGATCCCTTTACCATTATGTAATGGCCTTCTTTGTCTCTTTTGATCTTTGTCGGTTTAAAGTCTGTTTTATCAGAGACTAGGATTGCAACCCCAGCCTTTTTTTGTTTTCCATTTGCTTGGTAGATCTTCCTCCATCCTTTTATTTTGAGCCTATGTGTGTCTCTGCACATGAGATGGGTTTCCTGAATATAGCACACTGATGGTTCTTGACTCTTTATCCAATTTGCCAGTCTGTGTCTTTTAATTGGAACATTTAGTCCATTTACATTAATGTTAATATTGTTATGTGTGAATTTGATCCTGTCATTATGATGTTAGCTGGTTATTTTGCTCATTAGTTGATGCAGTTTCTTCCTAGCCTCGATGGTCTTTACAATTTGGCATGATTTTGCAGCGGCTGGTACTGGTTGTTCCTTTCCATGTTTAGTGCTTCCTTCAGGAGCTCTTTTAGGGCAGGCCTGGTGGTGACAAAATCTCTCAGCATTTGCTTGTCTGTAAAGTATTTTATTTCTTCTTCACTTATGAAGCTTAGTTTGGCTGGATGTGAAATTCTGGGTTGAAAATTCTTTTCTCTAAGAATGTTGAATATTGGCCGCCCCCCCCCTCTTCTGGCTTGTAGAGTTTCTGCCAAGAGATCTGCCATTAGTCTGATGGGCTTCCCTTTGTGGGTAACCCAACCTTTCTCTCTGGCTGTCCTTAACATTTTTTCCTTCATTTAAACTTTGGTGAATCTGACAATTATGTGTCTTGCAGTTGCTCTTCTCGAGGAGTATCTTTGTGGCATTCTCTGTATTTCCTGAATCTGAATGTTCGCCTGCCTTGCTAGATTGGGGAATTTCTCCTGGATAATATCTTGCAGAATGTTTTCCAACTTGGTTCCATTCTCCCCGTCACTTTCAGGTACACCAATGAGACGTAGATTTGGTCTTTTCACATAGTCCCATATTTCTTGGAGGCTTTGTTTGTTTCTTATTCTTTTTTCTCTAAACTTCCCTTCTCGCTTCATTTCATTCATTTCATCTTCCATCACTGATACTCTTTCTTCCAGTTGATTGCATCGGCTCCTGAGGCTTCTGCATTCTTCATGTAGTTCTCGAGCCTTGGCTTTCAGCTCCATCAGCTCCTTTAAGCACTTCTCTGTATTGGTTATTCTAGTTATATATTCGTCTAAATTTTTTTCAAAGTTTTTAACTTCTTTGCGTTCGGTTTGAATTTCCTCCTGTAGCTTGGAGTAGTTTGATCCTCTGAAGCCTTCTTCTCTCAACTCGTCAAAGTCATTCTCCATCCAGCTTTGTTCCATTGCTGGTGAGGAACTGCGTTCCTTTGGAGGAGGAGAGGCACTCTGCTTTTTAGAGTTTCCAGTTTTTCTGCTCTGTTTTTTCCCCATCTTTGTGGTTTTATCTACTTTTGGTCTTTGATGATGGTGATGTACAGATGGGTTTTTGGTGTGGATGTCCTCTCTGTTTGTTAGTTTTCCTTCTAACAGACAGGACCCTCAGCTGCAGGTCTGTTGGAGTTTGCTAGAGTTCCACTTCAGACCGTGTTTGCCTGGGTATCAGCAGCGGTGGGTGCAGAACAGCGGATTTTTGTGAACCGCGAATGCTGCTGTCTGATCGTTCCTCTGGAAGTTTTGTCTCAGAGGAGTACCCGGCCATGTGAGGTGTCAGTCTGCCCCTACTGGGGGGTGCCTCCCAGTTAGGCTGCTCAGGGGTCAGGGTCAGGGACCCACTTGAGGAGGTAGTCTGCCCGTTCTCAGATCTCCAGCTGCGTGCTGGGAGAACCACTGCTCTCTTCAAAGCTGTCAGACAGGGACATTTAAGTCTGCAGAGGTTACTGCTGTCTTTTTGTTTGTCTGTGCCCTGTCCCCAGAGGTGGAGCCTACAGAGGCAGGCAGGCCTCCTTGAGCTGTGGTGGGCTCCACCCAGTTGGAGCTTCCTGGCTGCTTTGTTTACCTAAGCAAGCCTGGGCAATGGTGGGCGCCCCTCCCCCAGCCTCACTGCCGCCTTGCAGTTTGATCTCAGACTGCTGTGCTAGCAATCAGCGAGACTCCGTGGACGTATGACCCTCCGAGCCAGGTGCGGGATATAATCTCCTGGTGCGCCATTTTTTAAGCCCATCGGAAAAGCGCAGTATTAGGGTGGGAGTGACCCGATTTTCCAGGTGCCGTCTGTCACCCCTTTCTTTGACTAGGAAAGGGAATTCCCTGATCCCTTGCACTTCCTGAGTGAGGCAATGCCTCGTCCTGCTTCCGCCTGTGTACGGTGTGCTGCACCCACTGTCCTGCACCCACCGTCTGGCACTTCCTAGTGAGATGAACCCGGTACCTCAGATGGAAATGCAGAAATCACCTGTCTTCTGAGTTGCTCATGCTGGGAGCTGTAGAACGGAGCTGTTCCTATTCGGCCATCTTGGCTTGACCCCCGCAAATGTCTTTTTTTTTTTTTTATATATAAACCCTTGTGTCAAGGGCTGACTTTCAATAGATTGCAGCGAGGGAGCTGCTCTGTTATGTACGAAACCCCAACCAACCTTAGCCAGCTTTGACCACTGCAAAGAAAAATCACTTTCTGAGAACCTTCTGCAACTTCCTATATTCATTCAGGTTTTGTCCTGTACTTTCCTCTTTGTTATTATGGAAAAACAAGTCGTTTTACTTTAGGACAAAAGTACTCTCTTTTCCCTTTAGCAAAAACATATCCTACACAGATTGCTTACAAAGTTGTTTCTCTCTGCTTTTATTGCTTCCAGTAGAGTCCAGTAAAATCATATATATTGATTTTAACTTTTTTCCAAAGTAATTTCTATGTCACACAGCAAATTAGGAGGTAAATAATTGCAAACTGTCACACACCAGCATTTTGCAACAGGTTAGCAGAACTCATGAATATACATTTCACAGCTTTCTGAGACCCACATATCCCTTATACTACAACTTCTCAAAATGCCAAAAATGTGCATCTTCACTAATAGGCTCAAATATATATATAACCTCTCTGTACATATAAAAATAAGAGGCTGAGCATGGTGGCTCATGCCTGTAATCCCAACACTTTGGGAGGCTGAGGCGGGCAGATAACAAGGTCAGGAGTTCGAGACCTTCCTGGCCAACATGGTGAAACCCTGTCTCTACTAAAAATACAAAAATTAGCTGGGCGTGGTGGCGAGTGCATGTAGTCCCAGTTACTCGGGAGGCTGAGGCAGGAGAATCACTTGAACCCAGGAGGCAGAGGTTGCAGTGAGCCAGGATCGCGCCACTGCAATCCAGCCTGGGTGACAGAGTGAGACTCTGCCTCAAAACAAAACAACAACAACAAAAAGAGGCAAACATTATACAAAATTAAAATTATGCTTAGTAATTAATCCTTCAATGTTCTCTTACTTACAAATGATCTAGGTATATAATAAATATTCATTAATTAAGCATCAGTCCCAGTTTTAAATTACCTAAAGATCTTGGAAACTGTAAACTTAAGTTGACTTAAAGTTGACTCACTACAAAACATACAAAACATGATTACTTATGAATAAAAGTTTGTCAAAATGATTTAATTTTGTTAAACACAAATTAAATTTTTCGTAATATTAAATATTTAGTATGGGAGTGGTGGCTAACACCTGTAATCCCAGCACTTTGGGAGGCCAAGGGAGGTAGATCACTTGAGGTCAGGCACAGGCCTGGGTCTCCGGAGCACCAGTCAGGAATGGAGCACCAAGGGCCCCAAAAGCCTCGTTACCTGGGGATCAATGGGGGCTCCAGGTGAAGTCTGGCCCTATCCAAGTCACGGCACCAAAACTGAGAAAGAAAGAATGCACAGATCAACTGAGACTGCTTTATTTGGGCTGCCGTATTGGGGAGAAGGTTTTGCAGTGAGAGGCATCTTGAAGTGAAGCTGGCAGCCTGGGGATGTGTCAAGGCAGGTAGACAAGGAAGGCATTCAGAGTCCCTTGGGATCTCAAGAATAGGAGACAGGCCTCATGTGAGTGACTGAGCGATGCTGGAGGAGGGCCTTATCTCAGAAATGGGATGGCAGGGGGTCCTGGGGGGCTGTCCATTTCTTGGAACACTTCCCAGGAGAACTGGGCTTAGGTAAAGTTCAGCATTGCCATTATCTTCCAAATTAATGAAGGCATATTAAAACAGAAATCCTTTTCTTGCTGAATATAGTCTCTCTCTCTATGTATATATAGGAGATGGGGTCTTGCTCTGTTGCCCAGGCTGGAGTGCAGTGGCATGATCATGGCTCTCTGCAGGTGTGACTTCCCAAGCTCAAGGGATCCAGTCCTGCCTCAGCCTCTGGAGTAGCTGGGCCTACAGGCATGCAAACACCCCACTCAGCTAATTAAAACAAAATTTGTAAAGATGGTTTTCACTATGTTGGCCAGGCTGCTCTCCAACTCCTGGCCTCAAGTCATCTTCCTGCGTTGGCCTCCCAAAGTGCTGGGATTACAGATGCCAGCCACAGAGCCCAGCCAATATATTTTGTTGATCCTTCGATTACTAGTGATTCAAATCCTTGTAATTAACCATCTTATGTAAGAATAGAAATAGAATTTTTAAAATTATTCATCAATTCTGAAGCAACACTTTCTCTGTTGAAAAATATTTTGATTTATGGAGAGATTTGTTGCCTTAAACAAAAGGATTGTTATTTCAGTGGAGGCACTGGATTCCCTGTTGAGCAGATTTGGGGGCAGCTCTTCTTTCTCTGGGTAATGACGTCATCAAAAAGAGATTCTCACAATTAGCTGAACCCCTACACTCAGCACAATTTAGTGATTTTCAAAGAAAAACCACATCTCAGGATATTTAAATTTCTGGGTTACGTTTAGGTTTTTAGTAATAAAACTGACTGCATAAGTAGCAAAATCATCCTTTCACAATGTAACTTTCCTACCAAAAGCTTTTCATCTTTGTTTTTCCTTAAGGGATTTAATAATCAGGTTAAATTATAGAAATTCTTGATTTTAGGCAGCTACATAGTTTTTGAAAAAGCTGCCAACTATTTTTACATTACAGGAGCATACAAAGCAAGAAACAGAAGGATGATTTCTGGGAGCAGAACAAGATGAAGGTAAATTCAACTCTAGGTTTAGAAAGGGAAGACGGTTGTGTGCTGTCTGGCCAGTAAGCAGCCCTGAAGTGGTCTGGGAATAACTTCTCATCCACTAACCATGCAGGCTCCTAAAAGCACCACATCCATGTCCCAGCGAGGGACATTTTCCTCCCCTAGACCAACGGCCACAGCTAGGGTTACAAATGGCGATGGTGGAGAAAGTGGGATCCTGTTGCAGCAGGGGAAAGCCCTACCTCAGGCTTGCTCAAACCAGCAGCATCACCAGAGGGCAGGCATCATCCTCTCTTCGCCCTCCTCATGGTACCCTGTGGCAGGCGTTATTGTTTCCATGTTAAAAATAAGAAAATGGAGCCCCAGGGCAGTAAAGTGACCTGGCTTGAGTGAAACCTTCAGGGTGCAAGTAAGCTTGGGTTTCTGACTCTGAGGCCAGCGCTCCCCCCACTCCGGGGAGTTTGCCTCAGGGAGGAAGACCTCCGCATTTAGATGACTGTGGGGAACAATGAAAGGACACCTCTGCCTTTCTGTAAACAGCAAGCTTGACATAAGTAACTCTATCTTGGAAAACTACTCCATCTTACATCTCAAAAGGCGTCGTGCCAATAGAGAAAAGATGTTCCCCTAATCAACAGAGACTGCACCTAACTAGACAAGGGCATGAACAGGCACACGCTTACTATCAGTCCTTGCCAGATGACTCAAGGGCCATAAAATGAGCAGAACTTCACTAGCTAACAAGACCCTCTGGGCAGATGCGCACTTAACCAGATAAGACATGACCCTTTACTATCAGTCTTCACCAGAGGACTCTGTGGCCATAAAATGAGTGAGACTTCATCAGGTAGACACTGCTGTGTTGGCAGACCCTGTCCTGCTGTCACTTGTGATGAGCACCTGGCATCTGCTGATGAAGCCTCTGCCCACATCAAAGCCTCTTCCTTGCAAGACACTGGCGTCCGTTGGGATCAGCCCAGGACACTCCCCTTCTCCTCGTCACTCTCCTTGGACTGCTTCATTAGTTCCTTTTCTGACCTCCTTTTCTCTTGATGTTGAACGTTACTTTGTTTGATGTGAAATGTTTAATCTATAACATTTATATATTGATTAAATATACTACTATGTATGGTTTGCAATATTGACTGACTTGTGGAGTGGCTTGAGCCTGTGTTTCCATAGGTGATACTAAGAATTGCCTCCTTGAGAACTCCAGGTAGTTTGTAGCTTTTATGATTAAAATAGCCTCTGTAAATTCTGACCTGTGGAAAGACATGTGTGGGCCTGGTTATGTCTCATCTTACACTGCTCATGACTGTTTCCCATTGGGTGAGGCAGACAGCAACTGTCACATTAGAGCAGAGGAAGCAGCGAGATTGTTTCTTTATCTAGAAAGTAATAGGGTGGCTAACATCCAAGAGGTGACCTTCCCATGGCTCTGGCCTGGTGGCTGGGGGGCGGGGGTGAGGGAATGCCAAAGAGGGGACATGCTCTTGGTGCCAATGAATGCCCAAGGCCAGTCTGATTGCCTGGGCTGTGCCTGTTACAAGCACATTACCTTGGGTGAAGTGTGGTGAGGCCAGATGCAGGTCAGGAATGACACCAGAAAGAATTTTACAGTTTGTTATTCTCATGGCTCCTTGGGGAGGCTCGGATAGGGTCAGGAGGCCCTGAATGAGGGGAGTGAGCTCAGGGCAAGCTCCCTTGTTGCAGTTTCTGCATGAAGGAGCAGGTGAGGCCAGGCAAGCAGGCTGCGGATTGGTGGGATTGAACAATGTCAGGGCTCCGGAGCAGTGGGGCTGTGCTGGGCTGTCTGGTATCTGTCCTGGGGTGATGAGGGCAGGTGGACAGTGGCCCAGAGTGGGAGAGCCCAACAAAGGCAGCCTCTGGGGATGTGGAGTGAATCTGCTCAAGAAGGGGAACTGACTGACTTCTAGCCAGGGCCTCAAAACTGGATCAGGGCAGCATTTCAGAATTGCGGCACCCTGCCCCAGCCTGGCCCCTGCTCACAAACTCCTGGGCACACCCCAGCCATACCACCTGCCCAGCTGACTCTTGGCTCCTTCTGGCTCCTGGGAGCAGAGTCTGACTGTGCACAAGGCCAGAGAGTGGAAGGGCCCCCACTGGGTCCAGCCTCAAAGCAACTGAAGAGGCTTCAAACTACTTGAAGTTAACTTCTAGCATCTCTTAAATATGCAAGAAAGGAAATAGAGATTTGGGTATTAGTCCGTTCTAATGCTGGTAATAAAGACATACTCAAGACTGGGTAATTTATAAAGGAAAGAGGTTTAATTGACTCACAGTTCAGCATGAATGGGCAGGCCTCAGGAAACTTACAATCATGGCAGAAGGGGAAGCAAACACATCCTTCTTCACATTGGTGGCAGGAAGGAGAATGAGTGCCCAGTGAAGGCGGAAGCCCCTTATAAAACCATCAGATCTCATGAGAACTAACTCACTATCGGGAGAACAGGATGGGGGAAACTGCCCCCATGATTCAATTATCTCCACCTAGTCCCTCCCATGATACATGGGGATTATGGGAACTACAATTCAAGGTGAGATTTGGGTGGGGACACAGTCAAACCATATCAGGTGTTAAGGAAATGAAAGAAAATTGTTTTCTTGAGGTGGTGGGTCAGGACTGAGTTGAATCCCCAGTGTGCAAGGTAAAGGCACCAACCTTCCAAATGACTGTCATGAGAACAGAATCCTTACCAGCTCTCACTGCCTGCTGCTCAGTTGTAAGCCAAGCCCTAAATGGGGTTTTCCATGCAGATTTAATTTACTTACCTGAGACTTACCTTACCTAAGGTTGCATGTGTCCGTTGCAGAGCCGGAAGTTCTGTCTCTAAGGTCCATGCCCTTCTCAATACACAACATGATTTCAAATGGTAAACTTGTCTTCCCTGAATCTCCTACTCCAACGCCTCCCAACTTCCTCTACCTCTGCTCCTAGCCCCAGTCATTGAGGGCTGTGCTGATTTTGACTTGGAAAAGTAAGGAATCAAAAACCATCACTTCAAAGGCTGACCATAAGGGCTGCTGTGAGGTATTCAGGGGGGACAGCATGAGAGCTTCTCCCCCTGGAAATGTTTCCCAGACTTTCCCAGAGAAGGAGCCCAGTAGACAGACGGACTGCCCCCCTTGGGGGATGTGCAGCAAAGTGAATTGGGTAGCCAGGTGCAAAGTCAAATACGTCTTGGAGGCCTTTGTGTCAAATCTTATAAAGGCCTCTTTGCAGTGATACTATTGTTTTCTGTCATGTCGGCTAATTATTCAGTAGATCAGGTCCTCTAGGAAGTAGTACTGTATTTATCCAATGACCTTGTGTCTTTCCATGATCCCTCAAGAAAACCTTTTTGGGCATAAATAACCCAGCATCAGATGAAAGCTTTTCTAGCACTTCCTGTGGGGCCCAGACCCAAGTATGTTCTCAGGAAGAAATCAATTACCTTCATTTATTCATGCTGCAATCATTTGCTCATTTGCTTGTGACTTCCTGTTGTGTGCCGGGCACTGTGCCTCCTAGTGAATAAGAAACACTGTCTGTCCCCAGTCCCTGGGACTAGTGGGCGTGTGGCATAGCCCAGGGTCAGGTGCGTGGAGCCAACGCGCCCACCAGTGCCGGCCTGCCTAGCAAGTCACCAAGGCCTCTTCAGGGTCTGGTTTATCTCAGCTGAAATGTACGGGAAAAGTAGACGTCAATCAGGTGGAAAAGGGCAGAGAGAGCACCGTCCAGGCAGAAGGGAGAGCGTGAGCAAGGGGCCCGTGGGACTGAGTGCTGCGTGTCGCCGCAGAGGGGCATGAGGACAGTGCTGGGCACGGCGGCTGTGGGCAGTGTGGGCCGACAGAATCCCCAGGCCAGGTCAGGTGTCCCGGCCATCCATGGAGAACAAGGAGTCATTACAGAGGCTCGGTGGCACACGGTGAAAATGAGGTTCTTCTGGGAAATTTTAGGCTGCAGGATGTGAGTGGCCCACAGCAGGGAAGGTCTGGCAGGCAGCGAGAGCTTCCGGACTGGACCCCAAGAAGGAGGTCAGGCTGGGAACACAGACTCGGAGGTTCCCATCCACAGATGGTACCGAGGCTACTGTGTCGGGTCAGATCTTCCAGGAGACCGGAGGAGGGACGTGGCTGCGGGAAGCAAGCCCAGAGCCGCCAGCCCGGGACCAGCGGGAGGCCAGGGAGCAAGGCCACAGCAGAGGCAGCCAGGACCCCAAATATCAGAGGCTCAAATGAAGTTGACGTTAGCTGTTTTATCTGTTAATCAATATATTTTTCTTTATATTTCTTTCCATTTAGATTCTCCACTTCAGAAGATTTAATTTTTTTTTGGATTGACAAAAATTCTGTATATTTATGGTGTACAACATGTTGTTTGGAAATATGTGTATATTGTGGAATGGCTAAATTGAGCTAATTAACACATGCATTTCCTCACATACTTTTTTTGTGATGAGAACACTTAAAATCTACTCTTAGCAATTTTCAAAGATAGAATATATTGTTATTAACTACAGTCACCATGTCCTACAATAGATTTCTTGATCTTCTTGAGATTTTGTATCCTGTCTTCCCAATCCCTTACCCCAGCACCCCTCCCCTGGCAACCACCACATTTTTTTTCTTTTAGTTTTCTCTCATCTTTCTGTCTTTTAAAGATGCATCTGTTCTTTGATTTCGCTGAAGTTCTTTACAGAAGAGGGCCAAGAAGACAACAAACATCTATCACCAAATCTTGGATTCTGGAGAATTTTGTTTTCTTTCTTTCCTAAAAATTCCTTGAAAGAACAATAGCAAGCTGATGATTCATTTGAAAAGTCATGTGCCAATTTTGGTAAAGGCTCCTGAGTTTCCTGCTTGATGGAGCAGTATGGGGTGAAGGGCTGCACGGGAGAATGTTTTGTTAGTAACTGAGAGTCAGAATTAAAGAGTTGAGTGGATCCCAAGGAAATCCAACTTTATTTTTTCTGGTTTCCCCCACCCCCCATGAAGAGTTTATTCATTATAGGACTTCTTTGTAAAGTGATCTTTGTGTTCTTTTTGAGCTTGAAATTATACTCAAATGTTCTTCTGGAATGTTTTCATTTTTCCTTTAAAATAATACATGTATTGACTCCCTGGAACTAAATTAAATGAGGCAACAAGGCCAGGAGAGAGCAGGCAGCTGGACATCGCTCTGATTCAAGGACTGCTTCGAGGTGCATGTCCCTTGCTTTGGTCAGTCTGGCCTTGGGTAAGCTGTGGTTCACTTTTTAAACACACTTCAGGGCCATCCCTCACCAGTTGTGTGACCTTGGGCAAGTCCCTATTTCTCAAAGCATTAGTTTGTACCTCTGTGGAAGGGAGAGAATAATATCTAATCCATAGGGTGCCCCAAAGATTAAATGAGAAAGTGTATTAGAGGCATAGCATATAACGAGTGCTCAGAAAGCCCAGCAGTTATTTTCTAAATGGACAGGTGCCAGGCACCAGTGGCTTGAGCCTGTAATTCCAGCTACTTGGGAGGCTGAGGTGGGAGGGTTGCTTGAGTCCAGGAGCTCGAGATGAGCCTGGGCAACATAGCAAGACCCCATCTGTAAAAAAATCAAATAGAATTAAATTAAAAATAAAATAAGACAAAATGTACAGGCCATACACACAGTTCATATGGGAGGAAAGTCTGTCACAATGGGAAAATACTACCACTGACACATCACGTTATATAATTATGGTGTTTCCAAAAACGCCAAGATGTAGGCAAGATGTGGCCCTTTGCTTAGGTGAGGGTACAAACCGCAGGAAACAGGGGACTCTCCAGTAGGTTGGAAGCCCCATTTTGGATTCAACAGTGAGATTCCAGGGTGGTCTGAGGGCCCCCACAGGCAGCTGGCCTGCCCCAGAGGATGCATCACATCCCCTGTCCCCTGCAGGAGTCCCTGTCCTACTCACCGCTCTGCCTTGTGGCTGGGGCTTCTTGGCAGGGCCAGGTGTGTCCGTGCCTGAGTCATTGTGGCCAGGGTTGACTCAATGTTCTTTTGTCTGTGGATATAGCGTGGAGTGTCCCTGTTGATGAACCTTGGGGTGAACTGGAAACTCCAGTTTATGGGACCTCTTCTCCTGAGACATCCATAGTGAGAGGGGGATGGGGGCTAAAAGTCAGATGAACTAGGGTAAGTTCAGCCTTTAGTGCACATAAAGGTTAAATAGTGCAAGAGCACACACAATGTTCAACAAAAATTGGTTTTGGTATTCAAAATATTTCTCACAAAAATTAGCATATGGGAATATCAAGGAGGCAGATGTTAAAATTCCTTGCCATCATCTCCTGCGTCTTTACGCACGTGGTACTGGCACAGGCTGATGCACTGAAGGTGCTCTCATGCTTCCTCTCTGTGCCTCTCTGTGCCCCCAAGACAGCCTACCTGGCCCTGGGTAGCGTCTCTCACACATGTCATTTGCCTTTGAAGCAGATTTGTTTTGGATGGTCCACGTGTTCACTATCAGGCCACTGTGATGTCATTTTAGGGCCACTGCCCTCAGGAGCTTGTCAGCCTAATTGGGAAGACAGATAAGTGACAGAGGGGTTTAACAGGTACTGAGGCAGGAGAATAGGGTCTGGAGGCAGGGAACCTAAGGCTGTTTCACCCCAACTTCCTAGAACTAAATTGAAAGGAAAACCGTAACTTTCCACGCCTAAGTAACAAAAGGACCAGAGGCTACTATTCCAATCCCCCACCTTTTCTGTGTGGCAGATTGAAAATTGTCTTCGTTTGCAACTTCATCTTAGCCTCTAATTGGTTGCAAAAAGCAACCAATCAGATACTCGCATAGGAGTGTGCCCTTTGTAACTGCACTTCAGCCTCTGATTGGTTGCTTTTGCAACCAATCAGACCGATTGCAGGCCACCATTTCATTTACATGAGGGGAGCATGAAGTGGCCAATGATCCTGACAATATTCTGTCCGGGCCCTTGAGCATTGCTCAGCAGGCTCCCACACTGTGGCGTGTACTTTCGTTTTGAATAAACCTCTGCTTTCATTGTTTCGTTGCTTCATTCGTTCGTTGCTTTGCTGTGCATTTTGTCCAATTCTTTGTTCAAAATGCCAAGAACCTCAACAACTTGCAGTCAAGACCCTGTACCAGTAACAGTGCTGTAACAAAGGCAAACTTAGGTGGGGAAATTGTGAACAGAGGGAGGAGAGCACAGGTGAGACGGGGGGATGGTGTTTGCCGGGGAGAGGCCAGCAGGTGTGGGGCAGGAGGTATGAGTGTCTCACTTTCCATTTCATCTCTGACCCCTCTGTGTCTCACTGTACCACGCATTGATCAGGACATCTGAGTGACCCATCACAGTGTGGTTCCATTTGTACCCACATTGTAATTTGCCACTGTTCAGCACAGCTCTCCGCCAACCTGCTGTCCTGCACAAGACGAGGTCCCACCCCTACCCCCAACCCGCTGTGAACCATACCAACTTCTCCGCATCTGTTCTCTTCCAGGAAATGGAGGTAATGACTTCTGCCCTGGAGGACTACATGGCATCTTCTATGTTGAAACCACTTTCAAAGTTTTCAAAACTATACACCCATCATGTATCACTAATATAGCTCGATATACTACGGATCACAGTCCTGACTTCAACTGTTAGTGTAATGTCTCATCAACACTGAGAACACGTTATGTGGTGTTTTACTGTCATGAACGAAACCTATTTCCCCAGAAAAACTGGCAGATATTAGCATTAATCTGATTTTTCAAAGAAGTTAATTATTTCCCAGAATAAGTCACTGTGACTTATCAAAGGGCCTTGGTTGGTGGGAAGTAAAGCCCAGACTGCATTCTTGAAGCTGCTAGCCTTTGCCAGCTCATTGCAAATTGAGCAACACTGATGAACCCACAGTTAATCTATGGAGTCAAATGCAACTGGACACAAATGCCTGGGGATTTTCCCTGTGAGATTCTCTTGCCCTTCTGGTGATGGTGAAGGACAGCACTACCCATGGCAGGGGCGGTCACTAGTCTCTGGCATTTACTTGACCTTATGGCTGCCATGAACACCAGGCACAGCCTTTGCAGGAGGCACTGCTGCCTTCAGCCTGCCTGGCCTGGGGGCGCAGAGAGGAAAGGGATATGGGCTTTTGCAAAAGGCCCCTAGAGCAAAGTCAGACTGATGGCAAAGGCTTGAGTGCTCGATGGGCGAGGGAGATGCTTTCGCTTCAATTTTCACTGAGTAATGAGGCGTACTGAGCAAAATACACTTGTCCTTGGAATGTGAGGCACACACGTGGCAGGCATAAAGTTATAAAAAGGAGGAGCTCCTTAGTCTGCTGAACTTAAAGACTTATCTTGCCTTCCTGCTGTTAATTCTTTACAGAGACTTCCTCTTCTCCATTTCCCAGGGTTCTCCATGGGGATGTGCTTGAGGGAGAATGAGCAGTTTAAGAGAAAAGAATTCCTCCAGAGTGGGTTGTGGAGAGCACTGGAGAAGGTCTGGGCTGGAGCTAGAGATTTACCTTGGCTAAAGATAAGAGTCTGTGGTGTATATACACAATGGAATACCATTCAGCCTTGAAAAAGAAGGAAATATGTCATCAGTGGCAACATGGATGAACCTAGAAGACATGCTAAGTGAAATAAGCCAGGTACAGAAATACAAATACTGCATGACCTCACTTATATACGGAATCTTAAAAAGTCAAACTCACAGAAGCAAATGGCAGAATAGTGTTTATCAGGGACTGGGGGTAGGGGTGGGGAGATGGAGATTGAAGAGAAAAAAACCCTTTGAAAATGATCCATCAGAAACACTCATTTGTGATTTCCCCACAATTGTGGTGCTCCAGGGAACCTTAATGATCAGTTACTGAGCCCTTATTATCTTCCTGGCTTTGTGCTAAGCCTCACTCACGTTCCCAACAGTCCTATAAGATATTTTAAGTATTATAATCCCCATTTATAAGGGGCAAATGGAGCTTGAAGCCATGGAGTATGTAGGGGAAGGCGTGCTGCTGGTAAGTAATACAGCTTCAGCCTTCTCTGATCCTGGGGCCCCTCTCATCTGTGAGCTCCTGCTCCCGTGCCCCCTGCCCATCTTCCCAGGCTGGGGCTAGGGCTTGTCAAGCTGTACCCCGCCAGGCGGGGATATACAGGCACCTCAGGAGCTTGTCTCCAGCTGTCTGGACGCCAGATCCCTACTGCCCCATTCATATCCTGAGTTCAACAGGTCAGCGTAGGGTGTCATTCTCTATTGCTACATTTCCCAGGGAGCAGAGATAGCAAAATGTCTCAGCACAAAGATTATGTATTTCACTAAGCAATTATAATTTCAACTAAAATCAGCTGGGCGCAGTGGCTCACACCTGTAATCCCAGGACTTTGGGAGGCTGAGGCAGGTGGATCACAAGGTCAGGAGATCGAGACCATCCTGGCTAACACGGTGAAACCCCGTCTCTACTAAAAATACAAAAAATTAGCTGGGCGTGGTGGCGGGCGCCTGTAGTCCCAGCTACTCGGGAGGCTGAGGCAGGAGAATGGCGTGAACCCGGGAGGCGGAGCTTGCAGTGAGCTGAGATAGCGCCACTGCACTCCAGCCTGGGAGAAAGAGCGAGACTCCATCTCGAAAAAAAAAAAAAAAAAAAAAAAAATTTCAACTAAAATTTTTCCCTGCCTAAATCCGATTTAAGCAAATGTGAAATGTACTATTTTAAAAAGTCAGGCTTAATGGGCTGGAAAATTTTTCATTTTATGATATTTTTATTGGATCTTCCACAATATTGATAGAGTACTTAAAATTGCAACATTTTTTCAAGAGGGGATTCCCAAGATTAGATTTTTTACTAACTAGTTATAATTTCAACTAAGGTCTGTCCTAACCAACTCTCAGATACGTGGCTGGGGGCTCCACCTTCCTCCTGGTGGGCAGAGTCCATCTGTGGACACATCTGCCCAGATGTCCTGCTGGTGTCACAGGAAGGCTACAGGAGGGAATGACTGGTTGCCCATCAAGATGCACAATTTACAGTGAAAAATTGTAGGGGAAATATTCTTGATTGAAAAGGGGATTTCTTGTGTTTATCTACTTTGGCTAAACCTTCTCTTGGCTCAGCCTTGGATTTGTTGGATGTTGTGTGGTGTTTCTAAGGCAAACTGGCTGATGAATTCTCTCTCTGAACTGATCATGATGGGAAAGTATGTCCTTGCATTCATCCAGCACACTGAGCTTTATTTGCACTGGACAAGATCTAAAATGGGTTATTCCCCAAAGTATTCCAATAACAGATACAACTCAGAGGAAGCTCCTTACCCGAGAGGCCGGCAGCTGGGTGAGGGAAGCAGGGCTTTGGAGCCAGGTCAGACCCCAGTTTTGTCGCCTGTGAGCTGTTGCCTCAGCTGTAACCCAACATCCCCACACCACAGTTTCCCCACTGGCAAACAAGCAAAGCAACAGTGCTCATCAATTAGTGCTATTTGAGGTTTCAATTAGATAAAGTGTGCAAAGCACTTGGAAGAGCACTTGGCTTCCTTCTAGGATTGTGCACAGAGTTCTCCAAGCTCTTCGTGCGCTGTCTCTGCAAGGAATCTGCTTGTTTGCAATGGTTAGAATACTAGAAGGACTCTCATACCACTCTCACGACAGACAGCCAAGCAGGTGGAGCAGAAGAAAGGACTCTGGAGGACAAGGAGGTCAAAGGCTCTCGATTGGTTTCCTGTAGCTTAACAAATTACCGTGAACTGGGTGGCTTGACCCAACAGAAATTCATTTTCTTACCCATGCAGAGGCTGGCAGGGTCAGGTCCCTCTGGGCTTTCCAGGTGAAAGAGTCTGTTCCTTGCCTCTTCAGCTTCTGGTGGCTGCCGGCCTTCCTGGGCTTGTGGCCACATCACTCCAACCTCTGCCTCCCTGGCCATGCAGCCTCCTCTGTGTTTCTATATCACTGGGACAGAGACGATTGCATTTAGGGCCACCCACATAGTCCAGGGTAAATTCCTCCTCTGAAGATCTTTAATCACTTTTTTTTTCCATATAAGATCCTGTTTACTTCTCTGCATGTATCTCTGTGTCCACTCCTCTTTTTCTAAGGACACCAGTCATTGGATTTAGGGCCCAGCTTAAATGCAGTATGATTTCATCTTAATTAATCACATCTTCAAAGAGCCTGTCTCCAAATCAGGTTGCATTCTGAAGTTCCAAGTGGACAGGAATTTAGGGGACACTATCACCCCACTACAGTTTCCATTTGTGGGTGGTAGTGCTCAGTGAATTTTTAACTAAATGCTTGCTTTCTCAATCGCTCTCTCCTTGGATGAGCAGGGAGTGTGCCTTATTCCCAGGACTTAGCAGTTACGCACTAGGCCTCTAGAGATATCTGACAAATGGATGCATTTAATTACTGAATTGTCCACATTTTCCTGTATTAACTTGGAAACTCTGTTGCATATTTACTTAGAAATGAAAGGCAACCAATTTATTTTATTTTTATTATTTATTTATATTTATTATTTTATTTTATTATTAGTTTTTTACTGCGTTCCTCTTAAAATAGGAATTAGTTCTGAATTGCAGGTCAGTTCTATTAGTAATGCTCTTCGTGGATACAAATACTTTGTCTTCCATTTGGAACTCCAAAGCCCAGCATCCCACAAGGACGGACACTCACTACAGCCCGGTGCCTGCGGAGTATTCCGAACGCGAGATCCAAGGAAACCACGAAGGCTCCTCTGCGGGCTCCCTTGCCCCTCTGCGGTTCAGTCGGGAGACGCTCAGGCGCTGACAACAGCCTCCAGGTGCCGTTCCCTGCGCATGGCCCCATCTTTGCGGGCAGTGTCCAGTGGGCTTGTGCTCACACCTGCGCTGGGGGCTCCACACTAGACGGCCCTGGACTACTGAAATAGTGGACAGAAGGGTCTCCCGAGAATGTCCAGGGTGGGCAGGCAGTGCTGGGGAGCCAGCGGGAAGGGAAGGGAGCCTGAGGCGGAGAAACGCCCACGCGGGAGCTGCTAGTGCAGCCGCAAGAGCAAGGCCTGGGCTGCAGTAGGGGGGCTGGGCAGTGGCCCGCAGTGTGCAGCAGGCCCTGGAGACCAGGCCAAGGGAAGCCTTGGAGTGAACCTGGTCGCAGGTGCGCAGGTCAAGGCTGCGTTAGAAACCTTCCCCAGCAGCCCTGCTCATCTTGCTGCAGCCTCAGCCTCTGCCCCCGGCTCACCTGCCCCACTCAGTGCTGAGTTGCTGTATTAGTCTCTTCTCCCACTGCTGATAAAGACATAGTTGAGACTGCGTAATTTATAAAGGAAAGAGGTTTAATGGGCTCACAGTTCCACATGGCTGGGGAGGCCTCACAATCATGGCAGAAGGCAAGGAGGGGCAAGGGCAGGTCTTACATGGCGGCAGGCAAGAGAGCATGTGCAGGAAAACTGCCCTTTATAAAACCATTAGATCTCATGAGACTTAGTCACTATCAGGAGAACAGCACAGGAAAGACCCGCCCCATGATTCAATTACGTCCCATCAGGTCCCTCCCAGGACAGCTGGGGATTATGGGAGCTACATCTTGAATTCAAGATGAGATTTGGGTGGGGACACAGCAAACCCTATCAGTTGCTTTGTCATGCTTGCTTTGAGGACAGCTTTTATCTGACTGGTGGTCATCCCTTCAGATCTCAGAATTGATGTCACTCTGTCACCTGCTCTGTGACCTCACCTGAGGCCCCCAGAAGAGGGGACTCCCAAGGCCTGTGCTCTCCTGATCAGTGGCTGCTGAATTGTCTGGGTCAACCAGGCAGGAAGCACAGAGGCACTGAAAGCCTCTTACTTGTTCAAAACATGTTTCCTGAACAAAGGAACAAATGTGGTTGGAAGACTCGGGGCTCTGCCAGGGCTCAGCCTGGGGAGAGTGCTCTAAGAGCCTCATGAGGTAAAGGTTTATGCTGGTGATCAGCCTTACACATCTAAGGATTTGGGGGGCCCAGTGGGAAGTGGGGGTCAGAGCAGGCATCAGAACACCTCCAGGCTGAGGGGCTGGCACCACAAAGTCCAGTGCCAAAGCGGGGCTGCAGCCTGGAGCTCTGGGGATGTCCACATTGTGCCCATGCAGGCTGCCTCCTGGGTCCCCAAGCAGGCTCTGTGGTGGGCTCAGGCCCTGTTCAGTGGGATCACAGGTCAAGACTGGCAGCCGGACTGGAGAGGGGAAAGACTGCCTAGAGCTCACCCAACACTTGCATCTGATCTTCACCACATCATCTGATCTGGAGAAAACCGTCTGTGAGTCGGGCTTCTCCAGAGAAACAGAACCAAGAGAATGAAGAGAGAGAAGATTTATTATGAGAACTGACTCACAATTATAGAGGCTGAGAAGTCCTGCCATGTGCTGTCTGCAAACTGGGCACCTAAGAAAGTCGGTAGTATAATTCAGTGCAAGACCAAAGCTGTGAGAACCGGGAGCTCTGATGGGCAGGAGAGGATGGATGTCCCAGTCAAACAAGAGGGCAAATTCTCCCTTTCCCTGCCTTGTTGTTGTGTTCAGGAACTCAGCAGATTGGAGATGCTCACCCACAATGGTGAGCCTTCTTCACTTAGTCTAGTAACTGAAATGCTTCATCTCTTCCAGAAATTCCTCCCAGATTGCCCAGAAATAATGTTTACCTGCTCTCTGGGCATCCCTTAGCCTAGTCAAGTTGACATAAAATCAGCCATCACAGACAATGATGGCTGCTCAACCTCTGCTTCCCAAATCTCTCAGAAGTTCCTCTTTTGGCTAACTCTAAACTGGAACACACAGGAGAGGGAATTCTGGAAAATGTAGTTCCCACCTTGACATAACGCACTCCACCATGCCAGGCATCAGTAAAAAACTCAGGATCAAAGTCATTGCAGAAGGTATCCTTATGACAATACTAAAATAATGGTAACAATAACAGCTGCAATAGCTGAAACATACACAGCAATTCTGAAGTGGGACATGCTCTTTCTCAGAGATTAACACATACTAATTAACATGAAGCCCAACTTTTTAGTCACATTTAAATGCAGAAGATTTTGTAGCTTTTTATGGTATTTTTCTTGTAACTTTATTTCTTTTGGCATACCAAAATCTAGGACAGCTTTAAGAAAATAATAGCCTTATTGAGATTTAATTCATTTATCATAAAATTCATCCATTCAAAATATACAATTCAGTGGTTTTTAGTATATTGGTAGAGTTGTGCAAGCATCACAGCTATCTAATTTTAAAGAATTTTCATCAACCGCCAAATAAACCTTATCTCCTCTATTCCCTATTTCCCTTTGAAAACTGCTAACCTATATTCTGTAGGTTATCTAAAAAAATTAGATTTGCCTGTTTTGGATGTGTCTTACACATAATTATACAATATGTAGTCTTTTGTGACTTGCTTTAAAAAATTTCACATGATAGCAAGGTAATCTATACCGTAGCATGTATAAGTACTTCATTCCTTTTTATGGTGGAATATTATTCCATCCTTTTCTTGTCCTACCCCTTCCCCCGCCTTGTTGTTATGTTCAGGAACTCAGCCCATTGGAGATGCTCGCCCACATTAGTGAGAGTGGGCCTTCTTCATTTAGTCTACCAACTGAAATGCTTCATCTCTTCCAGAAAGATTATTATTCCACAATAAAAAGAAAAGAAAACCCCCAAACATTTGGGTTACTTCCATATTTTAGCCATTATAAATAATGCTGTTATGAACTTTTGTGTTCAAGTTTTTGTGTACATATATGTTTAATTTCTCATGAATATATACAAAAGAATGGAATTGCTGGGTCATATGGTAACTCTTACGTTTAAGCTTTCATGGAATTGTCAAGTTGTTTTCCAAAATAGTGACACTCATTTTACACTTACACAGTGTATGAGGTTTTGTTTCTGCACATCCTCACCAACAGTTGTCCTTGTCCACCTTATTGATGTAGCCATCTTAGTGAATGTGAAATGGTATCTCATTATTATATCGATTTACATTTTCCTTATGCATGACTAATGATGTTGAGTATCATTTAATGTGTTTATCGGCCAACTGTATATTTTCTTTAGAGAAATAGCTACTCAAATTTGTTATTATAGTTGCAAGAGTTCTTTATATATCCTTGATACAAGTTCCTTATCATATATTATTTGCAAATGTTTTTTTCTTCTCTGTAAGTTGTTTTTTCACTTTTTTGATGGGGTCCTTTAAAGAACAATAGTTTTAAACTCTGATGAAGTTCATGTATCTCTTTTTTCTTTTGACCCAAGGTCATGATGACTTCTATGTTTTATTCTAAGAGTTTTATAGTTTCAACTCTCATTAGGCCTATGATCCATTTTGAAATGATTTTTGAATATGTAGTATGAATTAGAGATCCAACTTCATTCTTTTGCATGTGTGTATCCAGTTGTCTCAGTACTATTTGTTGAAAAGACTATTCTTTCCCCATTGAATTGCCTTGGTACCCTTGTCAAAAATTGATTGAGTCCGTATGTATAGGTTGATCCATGAGCACGAGATACCTTTCTTTCCATTTATTTAGGTCAATTTCTTTCAACTATGTTTTGTAGTTTTCAGCATACAAATATTGTAGTTTCTCATTAAAATTTATTCCTAATTTATTTTATTATTTTTCATACTATTGTAAGTGAAATTGTTT
Source organism: Homo sapiens (assembly GCF_000001405.40). NCBI lineage: Eukaryota > Metazoa > Chordata > Mammalia > Primates > Hominidae > Homo > Homo sapiens. Next base: position 48,481,638 of record NC_000008.11, read on the forward strand.
TTTATTTTTATGTTTGGATTATTCATGGCTAGTATACATAAATACAGCTGATTTTTGTACTTTGATTTATGTATCCTGAAATTTTGCTGAACTTATTTATTCATTCTCATAGCTTTTCCTCAGGATTTTCAATATACAAGATCATGTCATCTGGGAATACACATGGTTTTACTTCTTTTCCAATTTGGATGACTTTTTTTAAATTTATTATTTTTTTTAGATTGAGTTTTGCTCTTGCTGCCCAGACTAGAGTGCAATGGCGTAATCTTGGCTCACTGCAACTTCTGCCTCCTGGGTTCAAGTGATTCTCCTGCCTCAGCCTCCCAAGTAGCTGGGATTACAGGCATGTGTCACCACACCCAGCTAATTTTTTGTATTTAGTAGAGAGAGTGTTTCTGTTCGTCAGGCTCATCTCGAACTCCTGACCTAAGGTGATATAACTGCCTCAGCCTCACAAAGTGCTGGGATTACAGGTGTGAGCCACTGCACCTGGCCTGACTTATTTCTTTTTATTGCTTAATTGCTCTGGCTAGAATCTCAAGTACAATGTTAAATGGAAGTGGTGACAGTGAACATCCTTATTCTTTTCCTACTTTTAATGGGAAGACATTGTCTTTCACTGTGATCTCAGCTGAGAGTTTTTCATAGATACCAGTTATCAGATTGAAGAAATTTCCTTGTATTGCTAGTTTGTTAAAAATTTTTGTCATAAAAATGTGTTAGATTTTGACAAATGCTTCTACATCTGTTGAGCAAATGGTGTGGTTTTTGTCCTTTATTTTAATATGTTGTATTTTTGGATGTAAAATAAACTTTGCATTCATGGGATAACTTCCACTTGGTAATGGTGTATAACGTTTTCATATGCTTTTAAATTTGATTTTCTAGTATTTTGTTGAGGAGTGCGTCTACATTCATATGGAATATTTGTCTATAGTTTTTTCTTTTTGTTTTTTGAGACAGTCTCACTCTGTCACCCAGGCTGGAATGCAGTGGCATGATCTCAGCTCACTGCAACCTCCGTCTCCCAGGTTCAAGCGATTCTTCTGCCTCAGCCTCCTCAGTAGCTGGGACCACAGGCCCCCACCACCATGCCCGACTAAGTTTTTTGTATTTTTAGTGGAGACGGGGTTTCACCATATTAGCCAGGCTGATCTTGAACTCCTGGCCTCAAGGATCCACCTGCCTTGGCCTCCCAAAGTGCTGGAATTACAGGCATGAGCCAACATGTCCAGCCTATAGTTTTTGTTCTTTGTGATGTTGTTATCCAGTTTTGGTATGAGGGTGATACTTGTCTTAGAATTAGTTGGAAAGTTTTTCTTCATTTTCTATTTCTTAGAAGACTTTGTGAAGTATTGGTACTAATTTTCCTTAAATGATTGGTAGAATTCATGTGAAGCCATTTGATTCTAGGCTTTTCTTTGTGAGAAATTTGAAAATTTCTAATTCAGTCTCTTGTTCTATGTCTATTCAGATTATCTATTTCTTCTTGAGTCAGTTTTGGTAATTTTTTTGTGTCTTTCTAGCAATTTATCCGTTTCATCTAGGTTAGATAATTTTTTGTCATACAGTAGTCCATAGTATTCTTTTACAATTCTTTTTATTTCTCTAATGTTGGTAGGGACGTCCATTCTTATCATTCCTGACTTTAGTCATTTGAGTGTTCTCTATTTTGTTCTTGGTCAAACACCTAAAGATTTCTAAATTTTATTACTCTTTGCAAAGAAGCAAATTTTAGTTTTGTTGATTGTCTCTAATTTATTGTTCCTTCCTTCATCTTCCTTCTGGTTGCTTTGAAATTTTCTGTCTTTTCCCTTAGTTTCTTAAGATGGCAAATTATGATATTGATTTCTTTCTGAATGTAGGCCTTTACATATTTACATATCAGCTATAAAAATTCCATATGGTTTGACATGTTATGGTTCTGGTTTCATTCATCTCAAAATATTTTTTAATTTTTCATGTAATTTCTTGTTTTACACTTGTTATTTAGCAGTATGCATTTAATTTCCACATATTTTGGAATTTCCCAAGTTTCTTTCTGTTACTGATTTCTAATTTTATTTTATTTTATGAGATAACATATTTTATATGATTTTAATCACTTTATATTTATTGAATGTCATTTTATGGCCTAATTTGTAGTCTAAACTGGAAAAAATTTCATGAAGATTTCAGAAAAAAGTATATCCTGCTGTTTTTGAGTGATTTTTGTTATGTCTAGTTGGTTTATAATATTAAGTATTTTATTTTTCTGTTGATATTCTGCTTAGTTGTTATATCCATCATTGAAAGTGGGGTATTGAACTATTCCAATATTTTCAGTTTTCAATTTCTTTTAGTTATGCCAGTTTTAAAATGAATATTTGATATTTTGACTTTATTTTTATAAATGTAGAAATGATTGCAAAGAAAATTATTGCTACCTAATACACTTAAATATATTCATTTAAGAAAATACCTTGGGTGGGCATGGTTGCTCATGCCTGTAATCTCAGCACTTTGGGAGGCTGAGGTGGGCAGATCACTTCAGATCAGGAGTTTGAGACCAGCCTGGCCAACATGGTGAAACCCTGTTGTAATTTTGTAAAAATACAAAAATTAGCTGGGCACGGTGGTGGGCACCAGTAATCCCACCTACTACTGGGGAAGCTGAGGCAGTAGAATCACTTGAACCTGGGAGGCAGAAGTTGCAGTAAGCTGAGATTGTGCCACTGCACTCCAGCCTGGGAAACAGAATGAGACTGTCTCAATAAAACAAACAAACAAACAAACAAAAAACTCAATCATTTCACTGCTATTGTTTTACAATTTAATCACAACAGGAGCCAATCTTTCCTGACTGTTTTTTTCAGCAATTGACATATATATTACTCCTACATTGCTTCATTTCTTCTACTTTCCTTTTTGCTATGACTATTTACTATGACTAATTAATATGTGAATTATTGCTTTAAACAATTATTTTTTAAATCAGATAGGAAAAGAGTTGCAAACAAAAAATACCATTACACTGACTTTTATATTTACCTTTGTAGTTGCCTTTTCTAGTGCACTTTCTTTCTTAATATGCATTTAGATTACTGTCTCATGTTCTTTCATTTTAACCTGAAGGACTCCTTTTAGTGTTTCTTGCAGGGCAGGCCTGCTAGTGACAAATTCTCTCTGTTTTTGTTTATCTAAGAATGCCTTAATTTCTCCTTCCTTCATAAAGGATAGTTTTGCTGGATATAGAATGCTTAATTGACATTTACTTTCTTTCAGCATTTTGAATTTTCATTGGCCTCTAGTTTGTATGTGTTCTGATGAGATGTCAGCTTATCATCTTGTTGACAATCCATAATATTTGATGAGTTGTTTTTCTTATTACTTTCAAGATTTTCTCTTTATCTTGGGCTTTCAACAGTTTGATTGTAACTTGTCCAGGTTTGGAAGTCTTTAAGTTTATCCTTTTCAGTGTTTGTTGAGCTCCTTGGATGTGTAGATTAATATTTTTAATGAAATTTGGGAAGCTTTCAGTTATTATTTCTTCCAGTACTTTTTATGCCCCTTTCCTTTTCTTCTGGGACTCACGTTATGCATATGTTGATACACATGATGCCATCCCACAAGTCTCTGAGGTCCTGTTCTTTTTCTTCTTTCTTTTTTATTTTTGTTATTCAGACTGGATACTCTCAATTGACTTGTTTTCAAGTAAATTATTCTTTCTTTAATCACCTTAAATCTTCTCTTGAGTCCCTCTAGGGAATTTCTCACTTTAGTGATTATACATTACCACTTCAGAATTTCTGTTATTTTTTTTCATAATTTCTGTCTCTTTCTTGACATTTCCTATTTGGTGAAACAACATTCTCATACTTTATTTCAATTATGTATACATGATTTTCTATAGTTCTTTGAGCATATTTATAATGACTATTTAAATTTTGTGTGTGTGTGTGAGTTTTCCCTTCCAAGATGGCCGATAAGAACAGCTCTGGTCTGCAGCTCCCAGCATGATCGATGCAGAAGACGAGTGATTTCTGCATTTCCAACTGGGGTATCTATTTCATCTCACTGGGACTGGTTGGACAGTGGGTGCAGCCCATGGAGGGCAAGCTGAAGCTGGGTGGGGTGTTGCCTCACCCAGGAAGCACAAGGGGTTGGGGGATTTCTCTTTCCAAGCCATGACAGACCGTAACTGGAAAAACAGGACACTCCCACCCAAATACTGTGCTTTTCCTGTAACCAGCAGACCAGGAGATTCTCTCCCATGCCTGGCTCAGCATGTCCTATGCCCACAGAGCCTTGCTCACTGCTAGCGCAGCAGTCTGAGATTGACCTGTGAGGCTGCAGCCTGGCGGGGGAAGGGGTGTTCACCATTGCTGAGGCTTGAGTAGGTAAACAAAGCAGCCAAGAAGCTAGAACTGGGCAGAGCCCACCACAGCTCAGCAAGGCCTATTGCCTCGATAGACTCCAACTCTGTGGGCAGGGCATAGCTGAGCAAAAGCCAGCAGAAATTTCTGCAGAATTAAACGTCCCTGTCTGACAGCTCTGAAGAGAGCAGTGGTTCTCCCAGCATGGCATTTGAGCTCTGAGAACAGACAGACTGCCTCCTCAAGTGGGTCCCTGACCCCCATGTAGCCTAACTGGGAGACACCTCCCAGTAGGGGCCGACAGACACCTCATACAGGTGGGTACCCCTCTGGGATGAAGCTTCCAGAGGAAGGATCAGGCAGCAATATTTGCTTTTCTGCAGCCTCCGCTGGTGATACCCAGGCAAACAGCGTCTGGAGTGGACCTCCAGCAAACTCCAAAAGGCCTGCAGCTAAGGGACCTGATTGTTAGAAGGAAAACTAACAAACAGAAAGGAATAGCATCAACATGAACAAAAAGGACATCCACACCAAAACCCCATCTGTAGGTCACCAACATCAAAGACCAAAGGTAGATAAAACCACAAAGATGGGATAAACCAGAGCAGAAAAGCTGAAAATTCTAAGAACCAGAGTGCCTCTTCCCCTCCAAAGGATCACAGCTCCTTGCCAGCAACGGAACAAAGCTGGACAGAGAATGACTTTGACGAGTTGACTGAAGTAGGCTTCAGAAGGTTGGTAATAACAAACTTCTCTGAGCTAAAGGAGCATGTTCTATCCCATCTCAAGGAAGCTAAAATAATTGAAAAAGATTAGACGAATGGCTAACTAGAGTAAACAGTGTAGAGAAGACCTTAAATGACCTGATGGAGCTGAAAACATGGCATGAGAACTTTGTGATGCATGCACAAGCTTCAATAGCCAATTCGACTAAGTGGAAGGATATCAGTGATTAAATATCAAATTAATGAAATAAAGTGAGAAAAGAAGTTTAGAGAAAAAAGAGTAAAAGAAACGAACAAAGCCTCCAAGAAATGTGGAACTATGTGAAAAGACCAAATCTACATTTGATTGGTGTACCAGAAAGTGACAGGGAGAATGGAACCAAGTTGGAAAACACTCTTCAGGATATTATCCAGCAGAACTTCCCCAACCTAGCAAGGCAGGCCAATATTCAAATTTAGGAAATACAGTGAATACAACAAAGATACTTCTTGAGAAGAGCAACTCCAAGACACATAATTGTTAGATTCACCAAGGTTGAAATGAAGGAAAAAAACATTAAGGGCAGCCAGAGAGAAATGTCGAGTTACCCACAAAGGGAATCCCATCAGACTAACAGCAGATCTGTTGGTATAAACCCTACAAGCCAGAAGAGAGTGGGGGCCAATATTCAACACTCTTAAAGAAAAGAATTTTCAACCCAGAATTTCATATCCAGACAAACTAAGCTTCATAAGTGAAGGAGAAATAAAATCCTTTACAGACAAGCGAATGCTGAGAGATTTGTAACCACCAGGCCTGCCTCACAAGAGCTCCTGAAGGAAGGACTAAATGTGGAAAGGCACAACTAGTACCAGCCACTCCAAAAACATACCAAATTGTGAAGACCATCAATGCTATGAAGGAACTGCATCAATTAATGGGCAAAATAACCAACTAACATCATAATGACAGGATCAAATTTACACATAACAATATTAATCTTAAATGTAAATGGGCCAAGTGCCCCAATTAAAAGACACAGAGTGGCAAATTGGATTAAGAGTCAAGACCCATCAGAGTGTTGTATTTAGGAGACTCATCTCACATGCAGAGACACAAATAGGACCAAAATAAAGGGATGGAGGAAGATCTACCAAGCAAATGGAAGGCAAAAAAAAAAAAAAAAAAAAAGCAAGGATTGCAATCCTAGTCTCTGATAAAATAGACTTTAAACCAACAAATATCAAAAGAGACAAAGAAGGCCATTACATAATAGTGAAGGGATCAATTCAACAAGAAGAGCTAACTATCCTAAATATATATGCACCCAATCAATACAGGAGCACCCAGATTCATAAAGCAAGTCCTTAGAGACCTACAAAAAGACTTAGACTCCCATGCAATAATAATGGGAGACTTTAACACCTCACTGTCAATAATAGACAGATCAATGAGACAGAAGGTTAACAAAGATATCCAGGACTTGAACTCAGCTCTGCACCAAGCAGACCTAATAGACATCTACAGAACTCTCCACCCCAAATCAACAGAATATACATTCTTCTCAGCATCACATCACACTTATTCTAAAATTGACCACATAATTGGAAGTAAAGCACTCCTCAGCAAATGTAAAAGAACAGAAATCACAACAAACTGTCTCTCAGACCACAGTGCAATCAAATTAGAATTCAGGATTAAGAAATTCACTCAAAAACACACAACTGCATGGAAACTGAACAACCTGCTCCTGAATGACTACTGAGTAAATACCGAAATGAAGACAGAAATAAAGATTTTCTTTGAAACCAATGAGAACAAAGACCAATGTACCAGAATCTCTGGGACACATTTAAGGCATTGTGTAGAGGAAAATTTATAGCACTAAATGCCCACAAGAGGCAGGAAAGCAGGAAAAGATCTAAAATCGATACCCTAACATCACAATTAAAAGAGCTAGAGAAGCAAGAGCAAACAATTCAAAAGCTAGCAGAAGGCAAGAAATAACTAAGATCAGAGTAGGACTGAAGGAGATAGAGACAGAAAAAAAAAAAACCCTTCAAAAAAATCAATGAATCCAGGAGCTGGTTTTTTTTTTTTTTTAAAGATCAATAAAATTGATAGACCGCTACCAAGACTAATAGAGAAGAATCAAATAGATGCAATAACAGACAATAAAGGGGATATCACTACCGATCCCACAGAAATACAAACTACCATCAGAGAATACTATAAACACCTCTACACAAATAAACTAGAAAATCTAGAAGAAATGGATAAATTCCTGGGCACATACACCCTCCCAAGACTAAACCAGGAAGAAGCTGAATCCCTGAATAGACCAATAACAGGCTCTGAAATCAAGACAATAATTAATAGACTATCAACCAAAAAAAGTCCAGGACCAGATGGATTCACAGCCTAATTCTACCAGAGGTACAAAAAGGAACTGGTACCATTCCTTCTAAAACCCCTAATTTATTTTATGAGGCCAGCATCATCCTGATACCAAAGCCTTGCAGAGACACAACAAAAAAAGAGAATTTTAGACCAATATCCCTGATGAACATTGATGCAAAAATCCTCAAAATACTGGTAAACTGAATCCAGCAGCACATCGAAAAGCTTATCCAGCAAAATCAAGTCAGCTTCATCCCTGGGATGCAAGACTGGTTCAACATACGCAAATCAATAAACATAATCCATCACATAAACAGAACCAACTACAAAAACTACATGATTATCTCAATAGATGAAGAAAAGGCCTTCAACAAAATTCAACAGCCCTTCATGCTAAAAACCCTCAATATACTACGTACTGATGGAACGTTTCTCAAAACCATAAGAGCTATTTATGACAAACCCACAGCCAATATCATACTGAATGGGCAAAAACTGGAAGCATTTCCTTTGAAAACCAGCACAAGACAAGGATGCCCTCTGTCACCACTCCTATTCAATATAGTGTTGGAAGTTCTGGCCAGGGCAATCAGGCAGGAGAAGGAAATAAAGGGTATTCAATTGGGAAAGAGGAAGTCAAATTGACTCTGTTTGAAGATGACATGATTGTATGTTTAGAAAACCCCATCGTCTCAGCCCAAAATCTCCTTAAGCTGATAAGCAACCTCAGCAAAGTCTCAGGATACAAAATCAATGTGCAAAAATCACAAGCATTCCTATACACCAATAATAGACAAACAGAGAGCCAAATCATGAGTGAACTCCCATTCATAATTGCTACAAAGAGAATAAAATACCTAGGAATACAACTCACAAGGGATGTGAAGGACCTCTTCAAGGAGAACTACAAACCACTGCTCAACTAAATAAAAGAGGACACAAACAAATGGAAGAACATTTCATGCTCATGGATAAGAAGAATAAATATCATAAAAATGGCCATACTGCCCAAGGTAATTTATAGATTCAATGCCATCCCCATCAAGCTACCAATGACTTTCTTCACAGAATTGGGAAAAAATACTTTAAAGTTCATATGGAACCAAAAAAGAGCCCACATTGCCAAGACAACAATAAGCAAAAAGAACAAAGTTGGAGGCATCACGCTACATGACTTCAAACTATACTGCAAGGCTACAGTAACCCTAACAGCATGGTACTGGTACCATTACAGATATATAGAACAATGGAACAGAACAGAGGCCTCAGAAATAACACCACACATCTACAACCATCTGATCTTTGACAAACCTGACAAAAACAAGCAATGGGGAAAGGATTCCCTACTTAATAAATGGTGCTAGGAAAGCTGGCTAGCAATATGTAGAAAACTGAAACTGGATCCCTTCCTTACACCTTATACAACAATTAATTCAAGATGAATTAAAGACTTAAGTGTTAGACCTAAAACCATAAAAATCCTAGAAGAAAATCTAGGCAATACCATTCAGGACACAGGCAAGGACTTGATGACTAAAACACCAAAAACAATGACGACAAAAGCCAAAATAGACAAATGGGATCTAATTAAACTAAAGAGCTTCTGCACCACAAAACAAACTACCATCAGAGTGAACAGGTAACCTACAGAATGGGAGAATATTTTTGCAATCTACCCACCTGATGAAGGGCTAATACCCAGAACCTACAAAGAACTTAAACAAATTTACAAGAAAAAAAACAACCCCATCAAAAACTGGGCAAAGAATATGAAGAGACACTTCTCAAAAGAAGACATTTAGGCACCCAATAGACAAATGAAAAAATGCTCATCATCACTGGTCATCAGAGAAATGCAAATCAAAACCACAATGAGATACCATCTCATGCCGGTTAGAATGGTGATCATTAAAAAGTCAGGAAACAACAGATGCAGGAGAGGTTGTGGAGAAATAGGAACGCTTTTACACTGTTGGTGGGAGTGTAAATTAGTTCAACCATTGTGGAAGACAGTGTGGCAATTCCTCAAGGATCTAGAACTAGAAATACCATTTGACCCAGCCATCCCATTACTGGGTATATACCCAAAGGATTATAAATCATGCTACTATAAAGACACATGCACATGTATGTTTATTGCAGCACTATTCCCGATAGGAAAGACTTGGAGCCAATCCAAATGTCCATCAATAATAGACTGGATTAAGAAAATGTGGCACATATACACCATGGAATACTTGCAGCCATAAAAAAAGGATGAGTTCATGTCTTTGCAGGGACATGGATGAAGCTGGAAGCTATCATTCTAAGCAAACTATCACAAGGACAGAAAACCAAACACCACATGTTCTCATTCATAGGTGGGAAATGAACAATGAGAACACTTGGACACAGGGCAGGGATCATCACACTCTGGGGCCTGTCAGGGGTTGGGGGGCAGGGGGAGGGATAGCACTAGGATAAATACCTAAGGTAAACGACGAATTGATGGGTGCAGCAAACCAACATGGCCCATGTATACCTATGTAACAACCTGCATGTTGTGCACATGTACCCTTTAAACTATAATTAAAAAAAACAACTTTTTTCGTAAGTCCAACATCTGGGCTTAGTTATGGGGTAGTTTCTTTTGGCTCATTTTTTTCCTGTGTAGTTAGTGTGGGCCATACCTTATTGTTTCTTTGTACATCTCATCTTTTTTGTTGAAAACTGGAAACCAGATTTTATTTCCCTCTCTCCTCCCCCAGGGTTTGTTGTTGTTGAAGGGTTTAGTGACGTTGCTAAAATGATTTTGTAAATTTTGCATTCTTTGTCAAAATGACCACTGAAGTCTGCTTAGTTGGCTTAGTAGCCAGCTTATAGTTGGACAGAAATTTTCTTAAATGCCTTAAACCAGTAAGTCTGTCATTATTTGCCAAGGGGCTATGTGTGTATGTTGTAGCATACTTTAAACATACTGAGTTTACAACTCTGCCTTGTCTTCACTTCCTGCTTGCTGAGTATCTGTAGATTATCCAAAGTTTAGAGATTATGGCTTTATCAGGTTTTTCCTGAGTATGCATGCAGCTCTGCATATGTACATGACCTTCTCAAGTCCCAGCAATATGTAAAAACATTTCAAAGCTGTTTTAGATACTAATTCCTCAGATCTTCCTTTTAAAGTTTATGGCCAGCCTGTTGTTTGCCCCAACTGGTACCAATGCCTTAGGAAACTGTGATGTTACAGAATTGTCACTGATTATTTCACAAAGTCCTGGGAATAAGACTGTTCACACCAAGTCAGTACTAAATCAGGTCAAATAAAGACAAGCCCTGACAACAGAGTTTTCCAGGGATCTGCCAGACAGGTCAAATAGTGACCTTTGGAGAGTCAAAATCCACTCTTTCCCTTCTTGTGGCTACTAGGCTGCTGGTTTTCACAGCTAGCAGAATTGTAAGACTGGTGATTTTCAATCCTACTGCAGAGCTGGGGACAGAGGTATGATAGGCAGAATAATGCACCCCCTCCCCCTAAATGTTTATGTCCTAATACTCAGAACCCATGAATATGTTATATTACATGACAAAGGGGAATTATGTTTGCAGATGAAATTGAGTTTGCTAATTAGCTGAATTTAAGATAGAGATCATCCTGGATTAGCTCAGTGGGCTCAGTGTAATCACAAAGGTAAAAGTAGATGAGGCCAGGCGTGGTGGGTCACACCTGTAATCTCAGCACTTTGGGAGGCCAAAGTGGGTGGATCACAAGGTCAAGAGATTGAGACCATCCTGGCCAACATGGTGAAACCCCATCTCTACTAAAAATACAAAAATTATCCAGGTGTGGTGGCATGTGTGTTTAATCTCAGCTACTCAGGAGGCTGAGGCAGGAGAATCGCTTGAACCCCAGAAGTGGAGGTTGCAGTGAGGCAGGATTGTGCCACTACACTCCAGCCTGGCAACACAGCAAGACTCTATCTCAAAAAAAAAAAAAAAAATTAGATGAAAAAGGCGAGAGAGAAGGTTGGAGTGACATGATGTGAGAAGGACTCATTGTTGGCTTTGAAGATGGGAGGAGGCCATGAGCCAAGGAATGAGGGCAGCCCATGGAAGGTACTAAAGGCAAGGGAATGCATTCTCCCCTAGATCCTTCAGAATGAAATGCAATTCTGTCATCATCTTGACTTTAGCCCAGTGAGATCCATGTCTCACTGAGCCCTACAGAAATGTAAGGTAATAAATTTGTGTTGTTTTAAGCCACAAAGTATGTGGTAATTTCTTATTGAAGCACTGAAAAATGAATGCAAGAGAGTTTATAATAGGGCAAGTTAAAATGCCACAAAACTGTTCTGCTGAGATTCATTTTTTCTTGAATACATACCTTTTGGATTGTTGTAATTTCTTGGTTAATTTTCAGAGTTCTGAAAAAGTTGACTTTGAATATTTTTCCCCAGGGTTCCTGTTGCATTTTTGGAGTGGAGCCTTGGAGGTCCTTATTACCCTTTCCACAACTGCTTCTAGCAGACAACAGCTTTTAAATGGTGTTTGTTGAAGTCCTAGGAAGTCTGCAGAATGTTTTCAAAGGGCATTTATTATAGGAGGCCAAATGACGGCAGGTGAGACTCCAGGTTCTCACCCAAAAAGTTTAACCTGAAGCAAAATCCATTTTTATGTGTTTAATGCATTGAGCTTTTATTTCAATTTTATTTGAAAGTTTCTTAGTTTTTCCAATAATAAACAAATTTGAAAACTCTTCTCTTTCCTTTTGCCCTGTCTTTTCACTTGATTCTTGTAATCACAAATGAGACGTGTTAAAAATTATAGGATGATCACTTCCTTTGTCTTGGGCCAAGCTTGCTCAGCATGAGTCATTGCATTGTTTGAGGCAGAGGTCACTGGCAGATAGCTGAAGATATAGGAACACAGACACAAGCAGGTCATCCTATGAAACTGCCAATCAGGCATGAACTGGCTGACTGAATTAGGATAGCTAGGGTAAGACGTATCAATGTGAATTGAAGAGAATAGAGAGCAACATAAACAAAAGTAGAAAAGAAAAAAAACAACAACAAAGACATCAACAACAATGATTAAGTCTTTGTAAAATTATAAAATTGAATAGAATCACATACACAGAGTCAGAGCTGAACGGGTCTACAGAGGTCATTAGGTCTAGGTCCCCAATTCATAGAGGACCCATGTTGTTCTTCAGCTCCATAATGACTGGAAGTTAAACATAGCTCTGAAACCTTCTGGAATAATTCCAAAGACATAGAGCAGAGTTAGTGGTGAGGTTGAGGGCCCCCTCTGAGGGGCCTCGTGCTCAAGGGCTATAGGCACCATCCTGGGGCAATTGCTTTTGACTCTGAGAAAGATAGGGCTGACTTTGAGTTCCATCCGCAGACACACTTGTGGGTTTTTTGTTTTGTTTTATTTTGTTTTGCTTTTTGAGACAGGGTCTTGCTCTATCGCCCAGGCTGTTGTGCAGTGGCACAGTCTTGGCTCACTGCAGCCTCTACCTCCTGGGCTTAAATTAAGAAATCCTCCCATGCTCAAGTGATCCTCCCACTGCAGCCTCCTGAGTAGCTAGGACTACAGGCATGCACCATTTTTAAGTAGAGACAAGATCTCTCTATATAGTCCAGGCTGGTCTTGAACTCCTGAACTCAAGTGATCCTCCTGTCTTGGCCTCTCAAAGTATTGGGATTACAAGTTTGAGCCCCCACGCCTGGCCCACAGACATATTTGAATTCCATTTCTAATTACTAGCTGTGTGACCTTGGGGTTACATAACTTACTATCTGTGAGTCTTGTCTCACTATCCTGAAAAGAAAGCAATACTTAATATATTCCTTAGGTGTAGGGTAATGATAACATATGTAACTTTGGTTAGCACATGGCCTGCACATGATAGAGCTTCCCTTCCTTGACCTATTAGGTGAGGCTTTGGTCAAAAATCCAATTACAGAGATTAGTTTCTGCCAGAAGAAATGATATATGAATCCACAGAAACACAGTTAGCGTGACATCATTTATGGTACCTATATATCCAGCCATTCTGTTAAGTAACAATTTCCAGAGGGTTTTCAGAGTAAACTTTCATTTTCAAAAGAATGAATTTGGCTGCATGAAAATATCCTTTAAATAAGAGGTTAAAAAAATAGGCTGGGCACAATGGCTCATACCTGTAATCCCAGCACTTTGGGAGGCTGAGGCAGGTGGATCACTTGAGCTCAGCAGTTTAAGACCAGCCTGAGTAACATGGCAAAACCCCCTCTCTGCCAAAAAATACAAAAGTTAGCTGGGCATGGCACCCGCCTGTGGTTCTAGCTACTTGAGAGACTGAGGTGGGAGGACCACTGGAGCCTGGGAAGTTGAGGCTGCAGTGAGCCATGAACATGCCACTGCATTCCAGCCTGGGTGACAGAGTGAGACCCTATCTCAAAAAAATAAATAAATAAAAATTAAAAATAAATAAAGCCAACGATTCTCTTTCAACATAAACCTGGTAGACGTTGGCTGGTTGACCACTTCTGCAATCACAGTGCTTCTCATCCATGACCCCATTCCCCATCTCAGGGACGCTTGGTAATGACTACAGACACTTAATTGTCAACAGTTTTTGGGACAGTTTCACTGGCATCTAGTGAGTAGAGGCCAGGGATGCTGCTTTACATCCTACAATGCACAGAAAAACCCACTCCCCAAAGAACAATCTGGTCCAAAATGTCAACCATGCTGCTGTGAAGACGTGTCCTAATGTGATGTAAGTTTTTAATGGGGCTGAGCTCCTAAGTGGCACAGTCCTCTTTGACTGAGTGCCCCCATCTTGCTATCTATAGCAACATCTTTGTGTTATTGAACACTTGCTGGAGCTTACAGGGTTTCATTCTCCTCCTGACAACCAGGCTGTTGAACTGGTGCTAACGCCCATAATTAACTCCTACCGTCCAGGCAGAGACAACACCCAAATAGGCCAGACATGTCACACCAGGGTTACAAACAGCAGGCAGGTCACCTCTCCTACCACTGCTTCCTCTGAACCTTTCCCTCCTCAGATGATGTGAAATGATTGGGGTGGGTGGGTGGGGTAGAGAAGGTAGAGAAAGTGGTTGTTATTGGGGTTACAGGTCACAGGGAAAGGCAGGCATTTGTGGTGAAAAGTTACTTTCTTCTTTTCCTGTAACACCTTCTCCTCCTCCAAAACAAGTAGACAAGTGAGGATTTGGGAATCCTGCAAGAAGTCCAAGACTGCCATTCCGTTTCCCAGGTTGATGTCTGTGTAGGTGAAGTTTGGCTGATGTTTTCTTTCCTTTGCTATCTGAATTTGGGAGATGGGTTGGGGGAGGGCGGTGGAGGAGGAACTCATGTTTTCTCTGTTTGTGTCTCTGGTGGACACTGCAGTCCAAGAGGGATGCCCTCTGGGCACGGTGAGGCAGCCGCATGCGAGAAGCCGATGGTGGGAGCTGAAGAGAAGAGAAGGTCAAACCTCAGCAGGAATGTCCATCTCAGGGAATTGTGCAGGGGGCACCTAAAGAGTTTCCCAGAGGACCCCCCTATCCCAACCAGCACCCCCAAAAGGTGTAGCCAGATGGAGAGAGGGCAGAGAAGCCAGTCAGCATTATAGAGGGAGACAGTCACAGCCAGAGAAATAAAAGGAAACCTGTCCTGTTTCTGCAACCTCCTAATCCCTCCAACCAACTGGAGAAGGTACATCTTGAAGAGACAGGAAGGAAATCTCTTAGAGCAACAGAAGGACCTCCCTCCCTCCACTCCAAAGAGTCAGGCACCTACTCAAACCTCCTGTAGACTGGGGAAGGGAAAAGGTTTTAATTGGGGTTAAGACTGAAATTTAAGTGGGACTGGGATTTACTAGCTGGAAGAGATCAGAAACAGGAAGTCTGTCATACATTTCGGGAAGAGACGGGAAAGGGAGATTCAGAGGAGCAGAGATCAGCAAACATTTTCCGTAAAGGGCCAGGTATGAATAATTTAGGCTTTGTGATCCACCAGTCTCTGTTGGAATGACTCAACCCTGCTGTTATAGCACAATGGCAGCCATAAACCATATGTAAATGAGTGGGCACAACTGTTTTCCAATAACACCTTACTTACAAACACAGGCATCTGAGGCAGGTTATGTTTGCCAACACCTGCGACAGAGTATGACTGGAGGCAGAGACTGGAAAAAATAAAAATCTTTATTTTGATAATGCATCAGCCAGTTCCTGTTAAAAAATCAGTTTCCACAATATGTCCCGAATCTCTTCGGGCCCATGTATGCTTCCTCTGTGCTGCCTTCCCCAGCTGTCCTGGCTGGGAGCGTGCATGCCCTCTTCAAAGGTCCTTCCTCATAGGACTTGCTCCAGGCTTCTTCATCTGCAGACTTGCGGGTCTCACACACTTTTGCGTTTTGCCACATGGGTAGATTTGAAAGAACTTCATGAAGTTATGCACTTTTGTTTGTATTATGAGCCAAATGTGCTTTCATGTTTCACAGCCAACTTAATTTACTGAATGAAAAAAATAAAAAATCAATATATAAACTTTAAAGGCAGATGGCATATTCTTTTTGTCCACTGCATATTAGATTACCTCACACTTACTGCCCACTGAGTGTCTTGAAACCACACACATTTGCTATCTCACAGTCTCTAGGGGTTGAAAGGCCAAGAGTGGTGTGACAGGGTCCTCTGCTCAGGGTCTCACAGGGCTGCAGCTGAGGTGTTGGTGAAGGATGGAGTCTCACCTGGGGGCTCGACTGGGGAAGAATCCACTTCACCATTTGCATGGCCATTGGCAGCTTTCTGTCCCCTGCAGTCCAGTCATTTTCCTTTTCTTCTATTTCACTTTCTGCAGTTTCCATTACCTGCAGTGAACTGTAGTGCAGAAACATTAAATGAAAAATTCCAGAAATAAACAATTTATAAGTTTTAAATTGGGTGCCATTCTGAGTCGCATGATGAAATCTTGAACCATCTCTTTGTCCCGTGTCTCCATGCTGGTAGGCTTGTGTGCTGTCAGTCACTCAGTAGCTGTCTAGGTTGTCAGATCAAACCAGCACGGTGTAGATAGGTTTGGGAGTATCCACAGTGTCAGGCATCCACCAGGGGCTTGGAGTGTATCCTGCAAGGACAAGGGGGATCTGTGTTTGTAGGAAGGAGAGCTTCAGTTTCCTTTTCTTTTCTTTCTTTTTTTTTGTTTGTTTGTTGTTTGTTTTTTTTTTTTTTTTTTTGTCTGTTTGAGAGGGAGTCTCGCTCTGTCACCCAGGCTGGAGTGCAATGGTGTGATCTTAGCTCACTGCAACTTCCACCTCCTGGGTTCAAGTGAGTCTCCTGCCTCAGCTTTCAGAGCAGCTAGAATTATAGGCACCCACCACCACAACCTGCTATGTTTTTTGGTTTTTTTTTTTTGTATTTTTAGTAGAGACAGGGTTTCATCATGGTCTCAAACTCCTGACCTCAGGTGATCTGCCCACCTCCACCTCCCAAAGTGCTAGGATTACAGGCATGAACCACCACGCCTGGCCAAGCTTCAGTTTTCTGTTGACTGGAGGCAGGAGGCCTCCAGTCAAGGAACTGAGGTTCCTTGCTACATGGGCTTCACCAACAGAGTTTTTTATCTCATCAAGCCTGCAAGGAGAGTCTCTGGCACAAGTCTACTGTGAGATGGAGCCCTACAGAGCTTTGGCAACCACTGAAAGGACATCTCCCCACCTTGCCACATTCTATTTGTTGTCCTGTCCACCCTCAAGGAGAGAGGTAGCACCAAGGCGCACAGTCAGGTGGTGGGGGTTGTTGTTGGTCCTACTGTCTGCCTGCCACAGATGGTAAAGGTGTTCATATGTTCTGCAAAACCCCGAATTGAACTAATTAGTAGCAAACTGAGGAGCTGACTGAGGTCCTTACCTTTTCCCTGCCTGAGTATAAGAAGAGGAAGGAGGCAAATTCATTTCTCCCTAGCATCTCCTGCAGACGGAGTGGTCTCCAGGCCTCCCTGTCCACGGTTGACTGAAACCAGCCCCAGTGAGGAGCTTCCTCACAGGACTTGCTTGGTCTTCAAGGGAAATCTTCCTATTTTTAAGGAAATTTTAGGAAGAGTTCCTTTAATTCCATCTAGCTAGAAACCTGTCTACTCATAGAAGCTGTCACATCAGAAAGGGCTTTTTTATCTGGACAACAGCAGCAAAAATATCCCAGCCAGTCAAGTTTTTCTCTATAGGGAAACTGAGGCTCAGAACCAAAGACCCCAGAGGGCGGCTCGGCATGATGGTAGCAGAGTTCTGGGTCTCCCAAGGCACTGGCTGAGATTTGACTCCCCAGATGCTGCCATTTCTCTTTCAATGGCGGGGGATGTTAGCGCAGTCCTGAACTTCGTCAGCAACCACTAGCCACAGAGTAGCTCTGGCAGGAGAGTGGGAAAATCAGAGGAGAACATTGTGCCCCTTCATAGCAAATGAGTTCTGAAGAGACTGTCTTAAAGTTCAAAGTACTTTTTTTCTGACGTGAAAACTTTAAATTACTGTTCGTATGTTCCATGAAAGGTATTTTGTTTTTTACATTTCTGGTTTCATCAGGAAGAAAGTTGTGTTTTAATCTATTAATACCTTGTAGAATTATTTACAGTCAATTCAGACCATTAGTTCCCCTCTGTCCTAGTTCGGGCTGCTATAGTGGAATACCATAGACTGGGCTGCTATGGGCAAAATTAATTTCTCCCAGGAGGTTGGAAGTCTGAGTTCAGGGTGCCAGCATGGTCAGGCCCTGGTGCGGGCTTTCTTCGGGAATGCAGACTGTGGGCTTCCCATCGTATCCTCACGTGGCACAGAGAGAACTCCCTGGGGTCCCTTCCATAAGGGCACTAATCCTGTTCACAACGGCTCCATCCTCATGACCTAATCACTCTCCAAGGGCCCCACCTTCTAAGGTCATGACATGGGAGGATGTGTTAGGGTTTCACGAAGTGAATTTTGTGGAGACACATTCAGTTCATTGCATTCTTTTAACCAAAAGGCTATGTTCTTGATTTAGGATTTGCACATTATAATAGTAGTTTGGGGTAATAAGGAAGGGTTTAAACCTGGAGCTATTCTGAAAAATAGAATATACACCAGTACACGGGGGAAATATTTTAAATGAATCTTCAATTCTTGTTTGTGGAGCGGTGGTTCTCAAACATTAGCATGCATAAAAACCACCAGGGAAGTGTGTTATAAAAGTAGATCCCAGGATTCCATCCCAAGATCCTGATCCATGAAGTCTGCTAAAATGCTCTGCAGTTGTTTGTCTTTTGATAAGCACCCAGGTGAGGTGAGGCAGGTGCACAGAGCTGTCCTGAGAAGCCTGGCAGCCTCCGTGTCTCATCCAAAGCCTCGCTTTATAGATGGAGAGCTCAGGTCCAGAGAGGTGGATGATGTGCCCACATCTGGGCAGGTCATAAGAACCCCAGCTCCACTCTCAGGTCAGTCAGTATTCCTCTCAGGTTGTCATTTCTCACAGGAAGATTTCTCCTGATTTATATTTTAAAGAGAAGAAGCACTGCAGGAAGATGGCATAAAGTAGAATTTGAAGAAAGTTCCGAAACTGATAACTTTGCAAAAGTAAATAAAATTAAAAAAAATTAACTATTTTTCATCAATTCCGTGTCTTGAATTGATTCCTTGCAGGATGGTTAGAGAGATGGGGGAGTCATAAAAGAAAGCAGGCTCTCTCCTGACACTGCATTTTTCCTCTGCTGCTCCCACTTGCCTCCTGTGTTACCTCGGTGCCCCTTGGAGATTTGCTCCTTGCAAACCATGCACCCATAGGCTCTCAGGGCATGCTTGGGGCTGGCCTTGAAAAGCAGCCCAGGAACATTCCTAGTGCTGCATAAATGCTGGTTATGAGACCAGCACACTTGCTCAATAAAGCACTGGGACTGTGCAGTGTCAGCCCACATGGCAGGATGATGAGGGCCAAGGACCCTGCTTGGGCTTGAGCCATGCTTTGCTGTTTATCTTTGTCATCTAAATGACTTTTCTTTCTCATTTGGTCTGAATTCTGAAAATCAATATTTTAAACACAGAGGACAAAATAGAATGAATAAAATTAATTGTCACATTGGGAAGGAACATCATTCTGGTGAGATTTGAAATCACAAATTAGTTATCATTTTTAGAAAGCTGAAAGAAAATGGCTTTGATGGAAGAAGTTAATTGAGCAGTTTAGTTTCTTCCCTCCTGAAACCTAATTCAGAACCTGAAGTAAACGGATAGTCCGGGGACAGCGCCCTGGGAGCTCTCTGTGAACAATGGTGCTCTTGGGATCTGTACTGACACGTCCAGCCCGAGAGCCAAGAGCAGAGCCTGTCGTGGCCTCGATGCCAGTGTGCCTGAGAGACAGCACCCAGTGGGTGTCTCACACAGCCTCCTCTGGATGCCATCACAGGCGGCCTGCAGTAAAGGAACATTTTGCCATTAGATGATAGAATCTTTTCTAAAAGTTGGCAGAACTCCACAGTTCCACCTGTCAAGTTCAGCCTCCTTAGAAATCCCTCAATTAAAACTGGGCTCAGGACTAGAGGTGTGCCTGTGTTGCTGGGTTTGACTTGGACCCGACCGGCTGGGGAAGGTCATGCCTGCCTTTGCTGTTTGTTGCAGTAACACGTTGCTCACAGCAAGCTGTCTTGGGGGTGTGGTAGAGCTGAGATGTGAGAATGACTCATAAAACAAATCTCAGGCTGGGGACTTGTTCCTATGGGATTCCCACGTTACGTGGGAAAGTGTAGAGCACACTGTACACATCCACCCTGGAGCCAACTGTTTGGATGCTATATTGTGAGTGATTGGTCCCTGAGTGCAGGCAAAGTGTCAGGGTGTTTCAGCAGCAACACCCACGTGGGGTAGAGTTGGAAGAAGTGCCAGCAGCTATGTCATGCATCCATTTTTAATAGTTATTTAATTCCATTTTTCTAGCCTGAGTCAATCACCAAAAAGGTTGAGAAATTTCAAAGCTGGATATATCAGATTTGTATCAGATGTTCAATTTGTTATAAAACAAACAGCTTTAAGAGTGTTCTGGTAATACATAGAGACAACTATATGTTTTAAAAATAAGTTCTTAAAGTTGTTATCAGCTTATGTCATAAAACTGATGATGGTAGAAATACACCTTTATTGTATATTAAATTTTTTTATATTTAAAATATATTTTTAATTTAAATTTGAACTGTTTAGTTTCTTTTTTCTTTTTTCCTTTATGGATTTGGCAAATGGCATAAATTTAGTTTTTAATGTGAGACTTAGAAATCTAGACTGCAGCTCTTTGAAAAAGATAATTTCTAAAGCACTTAATTTAAGATTTGGTATGACTTTGTTGTAATGCAATGTTGGCAGACATAATAGACATATATTAATTTTTTAAAAAGAAAGTAAACTATTTTGCTCTACTCTAAAAGGCTTAGGATGATATTAAATGTGGCTTAAAATAACTTGTACATTAGTAACAGCTTTAATTTTAATATTTCCATGTTTATTAGTGGAGACCACTTTGATCTGCAGTGCTCTGCTAGCTTTTGATTTAAACTGATTTTGGTTATGAACTAAGTGGGAAAGATCACACATTTTTTTGTTTCGACTGTTCTGAAACCACTTTACTTAAACACTCTACAAATAAAACTGACTAGTTGGCCAGTGCCAATGAAATTTACATATAAAGGTGGCCATGAAATCTTGCATGTCTTGTCATTTTAGTCTGGTTCCAAGGATAAATACCTTGGTTTCAAATCCAAATTTATTCACTTTCTTAAAAAATATGCTATTTGCATGTATTTTTAAAGCACATAGGCCTTTTTTTAAGCCAACATTTTGAGGAATCAGGGTGGTACTCAGAGGCATTGTGTATGGACTTGGACATAGCTGCTTTCTTTTCTACCTGGGGTCTGCTGATGGGATTTGGTCCCATAAGGGAGGGCAGAGATGGGCTGTGGCTTCCTTCCCAGTGATCCCAAGGCCTGGCATGGCTCTAGCAACATAGCAGGTGCTCAATAAATATTTGTAGAACCAGTAAGTGAAATGCTTGATAATTTCATTTTTTAATTAATCAGTTAATAAATAACAACTTTGGGAGAAAGTGCTTAGTGTGACGACAAATGGTTCACTGCTTCTGCACTTACTGGTCCTTTTCCCACCTATAGGCAGCTGTCATAGAGAAATACTTCAGAGGTACTTCTCAAACCAACCTAAATTTCTTTCCTTTTGTATATGACTATATAATATATGATTTATATGAATACATCATTATATACAATTATAAATAATATAAATATATACTTTGAGTATATTGATATGACATATACATATATATAGTATTTATCCATTTTCCTTTTGGAAAGGCAAATGATATGGGACTAGAAAGGAAATTGCCACGGTGCCAGTGTTTCTGCATGGTCCTGCTTGCTGCCTGCTTTTTCTCCGCCCCCAGTTTCTTTGGTTGAGGCTCATTTTCAAAAAAATTTGTCTTCGGAAGGCTGAGGCAGGAGAATCGCTGGAACCGGGGAGTCAGAGGTTACAGTGAGCCGAGATCACACCACTACACTCCAGCCTGGGTGAGAAGAGCGAAACTTCATCTCAAAAAAAAAAAAAAATAAAAATTGACTTGATTCAGTTACTTAAAAAACCCTTAAGAAGGCACAAGTTCTCAGCCACTTTGCACCAAGTTCTCAGTAAAAATTAAAATGTCCTCAAGAAAATGAAATGGTCTGAACATCCATTTTTGGGTGCTTCTAAGTATGTGTTCTTTCCATTTTTTTATTTTAATTTTTAGTTTTCGGTACATATGCAGGATGAGCAATATCCAGAATCTACAAGGAACTCAAATTTACAAGAAACAAACAAATAACCCCATTAAAAAGTGGGCAAAGGATGTGAACAGACACTTCTGAGAAGAAGACATTTGGTTTTTTATAAACAGTATTAAATGTGTGTGGCTATTTTGCATAAGAGTCAACCAGGAAAGAACCCTAATAAATGTCGTTTTGCAGAATGGATTAGGCATTGAGGGCAGTGCCAGGTTCCCATCCTATCAACGGCGTGAGAAAATTTCCCAGGGTGTTCCACGGCTGGGAACCTGCTGCGCCGCTTTGTCCCTGGCCACTCGTGGCCCATCCCTAGAAGCCAACAGCCTCGCTCACTCCGGCGCACCTGCAAGCCCGGCTGGAGGCAGCTTTCCCACACCGCTGCTGCCGCTTGGCTTCCTGGAGATTGTGAAACCTGTTTATTGAGTGCGTTTCACGGCAAGCTATGGATTATGCATTTCCCAGGAAGCCCTGCCCTTTCTGTTAGGGTGGATAATTAGTTCATCGGGTTAAATTTTACTGTGTGGCCTGCCAAAGCTTTGAATGCTGTCACTTTCTAGGGGTTGTTTCTGGTCACTCAGAAGAGTTTGATACAGCAAAGTTCTTTGATCCTCTTGGGAATCAGATTCAGTTTAGTGGCACTCATTCAGTGTGTCTCTACTTAACAAACTCACAGATCAAAACAAGTAGGTCTTATACCTCCCAAACACATCCTACCCAGGATAAGATTGAAATAAAGCCAATGCCTCTGGCTGTCACCACAGAGCACCTTCTCTGTCTCAGGCCACACTGCACTGCTGTGGAAAGGGGGTCCCTGATGCTGGAGATTCAGGCTCTGACACTCTGCACGGAGCCACCGCTCTACCTGACTTCATCACGTGGCCCCTTTTTCATGTCAAAATACATAAAAATTTGTGGAAACCACCCCATTTGGGGAACTTGTTTTTTCTCTCCTCAAAACTCAAATTTGCTGAGATGATCCACCAGCACTGGGTAAGCAAGGACTAACAAAATTGAGAGGGAAGAGCCAGGACGCATCTGAAACCACGATGTTTGAGAAGTATCATTCGCTTCTTTTTATCTTGCTGTACCTTTGCTCTAACCTCAAGCAAAACTCTCTATGATGGCTTCCATGAACAATCAGTTACAAAGATTAAACAAAACATAGCCTCGAATGCACTTTCTGTGCGTGGATTCCTCTCTCAGATGCACTCTTGCTCCACTATGCGGACCTCTGACTTCCACTGGGTTGAGGGGTGCACTTGTGAGGGACGGGCTGGCCCAGGGGACTTTAGGAGGTCAGGGGGTGGCTCTTCTAGGGATGGGCATGGTGCCCTCTCAATCCAGCACACGGAAAGTAAAATAGCTCCCTTAGTCCTTTATTATCATGTGTTCCAATGCAATCTATTATTTTTTAGTGAAGAACAAAAAATAAAACACATGAAGGTAAATTTGGTTTTGTCTTTGTGCCGGATCCTCAGGAAAATGGAATCGAGTGCTCTGTCTTCTCACATCAACCTACTGCTTCCCACTGGCTATACTGATGACCCACAGGGTCATTCATTTTTCTGAATAATGCAAGTTGTAACCTATATGAATGGTTCAAGATTTGACTGCTGTTTGAGTCTGTTTCATGAGAAGTTAGAAGTTCTGCATTAACTGCTTTTGCATTCAGTGCTATTGCAAACCTTAGGTGGTGTGCAGGGTTCACTCATTAACTATTCAAACTCGTGGAAGTCATGATAAGTATCAGGCACTGTACGAGGTCCCGGGACACAGTGATGAACAAAATCGCTCTCTCCTGACTGGTGGAGTAACTCTACAGCCTGGTGAGAAAGAAAAAAGTGACCTGTGGGCAGAAAGTACTCGATAGTCTATTTGTGTGTGTTTTCTATTATCTTAAATATTTTAAATTATATTTTGGTATTGTATTATTTAGCATATACAATATAAAAGTACATGTACATACTTTGAAATGAATAAATATATATGTTGCATAGATGAATTAAATGGATTTTTTCCTAATAAATGAGATAAAACAGATGTGGGGATGGTCTGAAGGATGGTCAATGAGTGAAAGTCAGCCAGAAGGTAGAGAGGCTTGGCTCACATAGCAGTTGGCAGTGATTGGATGTGCAGTGAGCACCGTGCTGGTCCTGGCTTCTGTGTCCTGATACACACTGCTGCTGTCCGCTTGGAATTTCCTTTTGCAGCTTGTCCACCCAATTCCCACGCATTATCACTGGGCTTGGCTGAGCTGCCTCCTCCAGGCAGCCGTCAGGGCCGCGGAGGCAGTGTGCAGAGCTGCGCCTATAGGCTCCTCAGTTCCTGAGATAAGCGGCGAGGGCACCGCACCGCAATGCCACTGTGCCCTCTGTTCTGTGGCTGTTGGCGGTGGCATTGCCTCTCTGTGACAACACTGCTTCTCATTCTCAGCCTCTGTTTCCCTGTGGGTTGCCCCACACTGTGATAGTCTCTGCACCTCCGAGATGCCAGATGCCAGCTCCCTAGAGGTGGAAAAGCCTTGAGGAAGAGGGCCCGTGCAAGGTGTGGTCACTCCAAGTATGGGGCCAGGAGGAAGACTATGGAGCTGCTGTGAGGGGTCGCCCTGAGCTGAGGGCCCCGGGTCCCACATGAGCCGCAGTGGACAAGGGGCGAAGTGCGTCTCTGCTGGGACATTGGCAGAGGTGCTGAAAGCTAATGAGGAGTGCAAGCTCATTGGAAGACAGCAAAGGGGGCACGTTTTCGTGTGTATCTCTCTTTCATTAAAGCTCATTGTATAGGGAGGTAGTATTATTATTATGAAAACTTTTGCATGTAGTAAAATATCATTGATCTCTCTTGCCATAAAAAGATTTGAAGAGGTTCAGCCATTCCAGTCTTCAGGTTGAAAACTGGTGTCACTTTTTAGACCTACTGTCCACTGTAGATTCCTTATGTAAACTTTAGGACTTCAGTGACTTGACCTCATTGCCAGGCTTAACTCCAGGCTCTTCGCATTTGACTGGCTTTGTGGTCAACTGTCCAGCCTGCAGCTGCACTCGTCATTGTGTTACTGCTTTTTACCTGAATCCTAATTTACCACAGAACATTCTGGCTATACTACACTGTGAGAAGTTAGTCAGGCCAAGGTAGGGAAAATTGAGAGGTGAAGCCAGCTGAGCTTCTGGGTGGGGTGGGGACTTGGAGAACTTTTGTGTCTAGCTAAAGGATTGTAAATGCATCAATCAGTGCTCTGTGTCTAGCTAAAGGATTGTAAACGCACCAATCAGCACTCTGTAAAATTGCACCAATCAGCACTCAGTATCTAGCTAAAGGATTGTAAATGCACCAATCAGCACTCTGTGTCTAGCTAAAGGATTGTAAACGCACCAATCAGCACTCTGTGTCTAGCTAAAGGATTGTAAACGCACCAATCAGCATTCTGTAAATGGATGAATCAGCACTCTGTAAAACGGACCAATCAGCGCTCGGTAAAATGGACCAATCAGCAGGATGTGGGCGGGGCCAAATAAGGGAACAAAAGCTGGCCACTGCAGCCAGCAGGGGCAACCCACTTGGCCCCTTTCCATGCTGTGGAAGCTTTGTTTTTTTGCTCTTTACAATAAATCTTGCTGCTGCTCACTCTTTCGGTCCGCACTACCTTTATGAGCTGTAACACTCTCTGCAAGGGTCTGTGGCTTCATTCCTGAAATCAACGAGGCCACGAACCCACTGGGAGGAACAAACAACTCTGGACGTGCCACCTTTAAGAGCTGTAACATTCACTGCGAAGGTCTGCAGCTTCACACCTGAAGTCAGCGAGACCATGAACCCACCAGAAGGAAGCAACTCCAGAGACATCTGAACATCTGAAGAAACAAAGTCTGGACACACCATCTTTAAGAGCTGTAACACATACTGCGAGGGTCTACGGCTTCATTCTTGAAGTCAGTGAGACCAAGAACCCACAAGAAGGAATAAATTCCGGACACAAAATTACCAGGAAGGCTTGGTGTAAGCAGTTAGAAAAATGAAACCATAAGCATAGGAGGCTTCCAAGTGAGTCAGAAGGAACTGCAAGCCAATCTCTGCACTCCTCTTGAAAATGTGTCCTCCTCAGATTTTCATGCTTGTTGTTCATTATAAGCCGCTAGACTAAGCGGCATCACTGGAGTACATGTCAGCCATTCATAAAATGGTGTGGGTAGATGGCAAGCTGTGTGCAGCACGTAGGAAAAGCTGAGTCTTCCTCACTAGTTTGTGCCAGATGCCCTGATGGACCTGTTTGTTTTTAATCGCAAAAGAGTTGCCCAGCAAGGGGGCCTGGAAGATTCCTTCCTTAATGGAAAGCACCAGGACTTCAGTTACTATTATGATATAGCATCAAAAGCAAGTAAAACAAAACAAAACATTTTCCTCATATTTTCCTGTGATCTATTACAAGGCATGTCTCTAAGTTTTGCTTTATATGGCTTGTGTTTTGTAGTCTATTAGAGTAAGGCACTTGTCTTAACAAATAACTCTAAAATCTCAGGGTTTTAATGCAGTGGTTTATTTCTCACAGTTTGCATCTAGACTTGGAGATGATAAAGGAGGGTGGAGACAATTAAGTGGATATGCAGGATGGAGGGATGGGCAGTGCTTGCTCCACAGAGTCACTCAGAGATCCAGCCTCTCTCCACCTGCAATGTCGGCCATTGTCTACAGCCAGGTTTCTCAATCTCAACACTATCAACATTTTGGGCTGGGTAAATAGTTGTTGTGGGCACTTTCCTCTGCACTGTAAGATGGTCAGCAGCATCCCTGGTCTCTACCTACCAGTTGCCAATAACACCCTGCCCAGTTGTGACAACCAAAATATCTCCAGACATTGCCAGTGTCCCTTGGGGGCAAAATTGCCCCTGAGAGCCAGTGGTCTAGGGCCTCCACATCCTCCCTGGGCTCCTGTGAAATGACAGGAGAAGCACAGGTGACAGGAGCAGAGAGAAGGAGTGGAGGATCACACAGGGAGCTTTGCCAGCCAGTGCTAAAAACTGTGTGTCTCATTTAACCCACATTCCATTGGCCAGACATAGTCACACGATGGTACAAAGAAGGCTGAGAGTTGCAGTGAAGCTGTGAAAAAATAGAAAACCCCTAAAAGACACAAGTAATATTTTTACTTAAAATGACAATGATAGACTGTATAATAAATGAATGTTCTGATTCTCTGCAAATAATATCTATCTTCACATATTTCTGAATTTTTCTTCCTGGTCAATTGCAGCTGATTTTTGGTGGAGATATATCTATATATACATTTTTTTTAATTGAAAAATTTTTAAGAAATGAGACAGGGTTTTGCCATGTTGCCCGGGCTGGTCTCAAACTCCTGGACTCAAGCAATCTGCCCACCTTGGCCTCCCAAAGTGCTGGAATTACAGGTGTAAGCCACTGCGCCTGGGCAGGCAAATATCATATATTGTGCGTGTATGTGTGTGCATGTATGTGCACACATGTACATATACAGACGTAAACGCTTTTCCCTACATAATGTCTCCATACAACGCAGTTGATAACTGCAGCAGAGACTGATAGGAGATGTAGCAAAAGAAAGCAAAGCAGTGGGTCCTCCATGGCTGGAACATAAACGGAAGGGATTTTAATCACTGCCTACTCACACATAATTGTTGCGGGAAAGCCTTTGAGACTTGTTGAAGGGGAGATTCTAGAGAGGGGAGCCATAGGCTCACTCTAGGTGACAGGTCCTGTAGTGATGGAGACCTTAATGTCTGCCCGTACTTGGCGAAGGTGGAGCGCTCTATCTACACTGTAAAAATCTGTTAAAAAGTGTGCTGGTAGCAGGAGAGAATTAACCAAATAAATGTGGTATATCTGATCTTATGTATTAAAATAATATATATGGTTTTGGTTTTTTTGAGGGAGACGTGGCTTGTAAAAACAGGTTTAAACATTGAACAACTGACAATGTTTACTGACTATGAATTTCATGCAGGCTATTGTACTATGTGCAGGGGAGGGGTACAAAGGAAATGGAAGTCATGGCCCATGTACTTGAGGAATTTACAGGCTAATAGATTACATACACATGCTAGGGAATAGGCAACATGTTGGCTGACAGCCAGCTGGAGATCTGTTTGCTCGTTCACTCTATCTTCCTATATTTTCTGAGCGGTATCTCACACCAGAATAAGCAGGCCAGTTTCAAAGAGCTCTTCTTCAATTAGATGAGTATTCTTGTGTCTTTTATCATAAATACCAGACCACTTAGAGATTAGGCATGGGTTTACATGGGCAGAAAGAGATGAGTGAAATACTTTTTGAGTAAATTAAATCAGTGTGGATTATCACTCTGGGTGCTATTGATTTTTCACCACTCTCTCTTACTATTCCCAGATCTATAAAGATCCCCCATAAGTCAGGTTTCTGCCAGAAACAGGTAACTTTAATTTCACAGTTTATTTTGCTCACACAACTATTGCTCAAGTCCCTGATGGGGTTTGTGGGCCGGAGGCCACTATCCCAGGCTGCTTCATTGAGGACAGGCCTGGGCTTCTGCTCTCCTGGGGAGCACAGTCTTTTTCTTAAGGGGAGGGATCTTTCCTGGGAGGAGAGGAAAATCTCCATATATGAAGTGGAGTCTTGAAGCCCTACATAACTCAGGGTACTGCCATTCTTCACCTTTGTTAAACAGGGGGAAAACCCACCCAACTCAGCTACTGAAGAATTCCTTCAGACGTCCCCTGTCTGTTTCCTCCCCACTCTTACCCGATGCTGACCCTAGGTAATAACTGATTAGTCAGGAGAGGTATAGGAAGGGTCCTGCAGGGCAAATGCCTCTGCCTCCCATACTGCAGCACCAGAACCATGGGGCCTTCGCAGAGCAGGGTCACTGGGCAGCAAGAGC
Organism: Homo sapiens; assembly: GCF_000001405.40. Taxonomy (NCBI): domain Eukaryota; kingdom Metazoa; phylum Chordata; class Mammalia; order Primates; family Hominidae; genus Homo; species Homo sapiens. Next base: position 48,510,798 of record NC_000008.11, read on the forward strand.
TTTTAAACATATTTGGTTATTTTTGTTTGAACTCATGTTGGAGGAAAAGACCCAAGTGAAATAACATAATACCTATTCAGGTTAACACTGGCTGAAACTCTTTTTATTTTTAGCATGCGAATTCCTTCATTTCCCAGGTTTCCTGTAATGGCTGAACTTTTAGTGTAAGCTGATCAGTTCTCAAAAAGCTAACTGAAAAATAATCTGAAATAGAGCTCCTTTTCAAATAAACTAACAAGGACTTTTGGGCAAAGGTACTTACTTCATTTCATTTTAGTTAAATAGTGTTCTGTTTTTAAATAGAGGTGGGCTTGTGAAAAAAGCTGATTTACTGATTTCCTGGCCCTCCACAAAGTACCATTACATGCATTATCTCATTAAAATCTCATAGGAAAACCCTTGGAATAAGCACTTCTTAAAAATCTCTATGTATGAAGAAATGAGATCTGAAAGACTATCTTAGTCTATTTTGTCCTGCTGTAACAGGATACTACAGGCTTGGTAATTTATAAAGAACATAACTTTATTTCCTCAGTTCTAGAGGCTGTGAAGTCCAATATCAAGGTGCCAGCCTCTGGTGAGGGCCTTCTTGCTGCATCAAGCCATGGTGGGATGGCAAAGAGAGAATGAGGGAGAGCAAGAGATTGAACTCACAACCTCAGGGTCTTTAATAAATTGGCATTAACCCATTCATGAGGGTGGATGCCTCAAGACCTAAATACCTCCTATTAGGCCTCACCTCCCAACACTGTTGCACTGGAGATTAAGTTGTCAACACATGCTTTTTGGGAGGCACATTCAAACCATAGCAAAGATCTTAGAGCAAACTGCCAAGGTTACAAAGCTGGTACATCTAGGGGCCAGAACCTGAATCTAGGGCCACATACTCTGAGGTTGGTTCTTAATGCTCACAAAGCTAATGCTTTAAGTGGGGCCAATTAATGAGGTGGTAGCATAAGGATAGCTCAGGAATTAGTTGGTCATTTAGTTCTCCCCATCCTCCTTCTCTACTCAAGTTTCAAACCAAAATATATTTGGGGTGTATCTGATGTATATTTTTGTTCCCAAAAATTTCTAGTTGTCTAGCAGATGTATATATATATATTTTTTTTCTTCTTTTTTTTCATCAGGTCATGATATGTTGTTCTTAGTACATGAAGGAATCCTGTGTGTTGTGCAGTTTCTCTTGAGATACTAGCTTTGTATTCTCATCCAGTCAGTCAGGGCCTACAGCCAGGTGATGCAGTAAAACCAAGGATGTGCATAGTGCTCATTTGGAGGTGAGCGCTATGAACTGAATGATGTCCCCTTCAGATTCCTATGCTGAAGCCCTAACTCTCACTGGGATGGTGTTTGAAGGTGAGGCCTTTAGAGAGGTAAGTAGACTTAGATAATGTCCTGAGGCTGGAGCCCTCAGGTGCTATTAGAGCCCTCAGAAGACAGACATTGGAAAGCTTGCTTCCTGTCTGTACTTGCCACCATGTGAGGATGCAACAAAAAGATGACTGCCTGCAAACTAGGAAGAGACCCTTTGCCGGACATCAAATCTGTTGCCATCTTGATCTTCCCAGCCCCCAGAACTGTGAGAAATAAGTGTTTGTTGTTTAAACCACCCAGTCCATAGCAATTTGTTATAGCAGCAGAAACTGACCAAGACAGCCCATAGATGGATTTGGTTCAGCTATTCATTAGCCATGTGACTCAAAGTATTTAATTTACCTGACCTCTGTTTCTTCACCTGTTAAGTGGGGGATAACAACACTTACTAAAAGAGTCATTATAATAAAATAATATAGGGAGGTGTGTTGGAAATGACCAATGTCACTGCAGGCAGTAGTTGTTATTGCAATGTTACTATGAATCAAATCTGACCTCATCCCCAAAGAACCATCATCATGATCTCTAGCTTTGATCTGGACAAATTTCAACCTTGAATCTTGGTAGAATCAAACCAAAGTTGGGAAAGGAACAGGGGTGCAGAAAGAAAACATTTCTACTTGCTTTACCTTCCCACTTTCATGATACAGACTGTAATTACAACTGGGAAGGTTATTAGTAAATATCATTTGGTGATACTTAGTATATTTTGTTATTGCTCCTTAGAGGCCCAACTGTAATACTCTGCAATACATTCTTGTTGGCTCATTGGGATTTCATTTTTTTCCTACTACTTGTATATGGATAAGAACCTAAATCAAAGCATAGAAAAGTCAGATGGGCTGTTTTGAAATCCATGTAGTTAGAAATTCCTTTATTCTCAAAATGAAGACTTTTCTAGATCATTGGTTAATAGAGATAGGGCCTTTGAGTATTTTGAACAGTTTGAAGAAAATCAGCTGTATAAATTTAGTTTCCCCCAACAAAACAGATTTGCTCGGTTTTCCATATAAATCCATTCCCACAAGAGCTAATTTCTTGTTTCTCCACGGTACCAGAAATTGTGCTATAGATAAAATCAAAATGAGATTTTTATCCTTTCAGTTGTTGTTCAGTATACATGTGTTCAAGGGTTTTCTAAAAATAAAGCTCCTTGAATCCATGCACATACTTTTATGTCTGGAGAGTGGAGCCAGTGTTTAGCAGTATTTGGTCTGTAGGAGAGGAGGCAGGTATCACCTTCATGTCACCTTCAAGTGGCTGTAATATGCTTGTGAAAACTCACCTGCCATCAGATGGCAAGTACAAGGCAAAACGCCAGCATCATTGTAGGCCTCTTTGGGGTTCTAAGAAACAATACAGGGTACATTTAAGACAGACGCCTAAAATACTGGTATGTTCTTCTCAGGAAGTTATAAGAATCTGTAAAGTCTCAGTACACTGATTAAAAAATAAAACAACCCACTGTTCTGCTCTATACTTGCAGGCCTCCATGTCTCAGCTCTAAGACTAGGCCTTGTGATGCCTGCCTTCACTCAGGTCGCTCAGGCTTCTGTGACCCCCAGGTCTTTCTTCTCTTGTCAGTGAAGAACCCATCATAGCCCCAGAGCCCTGTGAGGGTAGTCCTGTGTGAATCCAGTGGCCTCCAGCATCTTTGCCTCCTTTGGCCAGGATCTTGGCCATGGCTGACATTTCCAAGCCTGCCATCTCCTGCAGTATATTCAGCACATAAGATGAGCCAGATGCGCACTATACAACACTGTTGCATAACCTGGCCTTTCCTCTGCCTGTGACCCCCGTGTCCCCACCATGAGGTCCTGGAGTTGGTTCAATTAATTGTAGACAGCATACTATAAATTGTATGAGATGCTCATTGGCAGACACTGTGAAGGTTTTCTTTGGGGTTGCTATTTATTTGCGTGAACATGCTGGAGGTATAAAACTGCCTGTGTGTGCACACTGTGTGAGCGAGGCCAGGGCCGCCACTCTCTGGGGCTCCTTCTGGTTCTGGATAGGTCCTTGTTGGGACTCTCAGCAAGCTCATCTGGCCCAGCCCACACAGTTCCAGTAACATGACGAGCAGCCTCCTGGCCAAATTCCTCCTGTGCCACAAGGAACAGTTACCTCCTCTCAGTACCCCACCCCCTCTTGTAAAAGTAGGTCCAGAGGCAGTTGTGTGAGGAGTGCTATAAAGAGCCTGGGTTGTATCCTGCAGGCAGCAACATCGCGGTTCAGGAAGGTATTTTATGCGGAGGATGGCTCCCTCCAGGACCAGGAGAACTGGTGGAGGGAGAGAGACCCCCAGGCAGCTGGCCCCCTGGTGAAGCCCCAAGCTTCCCCCGCCCCCGCAGACACCCGGCGCCCTTCAGTCTCAGGCGGAGCGGACCCGGGTGTCTGACTCGGGCGGGGGCGGGGTGCTGACGTCAGCCCGCGCGCATGAGCTCTGGCCAGCGGCTGGGCGGAGCCAGGTGGGCGGGGCGGCTCCTGCTCCGGGGTGCTAGCCGCTAGGCGGCTAGTGATGGATAGCTGGGCTTGAGCCCCGCCAGGCCGCCGAGTCCACCCTGGCGTCCGGGGGCTGGCAGGCCGGCCCTCCACAAACAGCGGCCTCCCGCCCAGGCCGGCCACCCGCCACCGGCCTGGTCTGCTCACGTCCCCTGGACCCGCGGGCCAGCCAAGGAGCCGCTGCCCTTGGCACCTGTTCTCCGTGCCTGCAAACAGACAAGGCCCTGCACTTTTCTCCTCACGTGTTTCAGGGACTGGTCTGTCTCCTAATTCTCCCAGCTCTGGTTCTCCCAATTAATTGCAAACAGTGTATTGAAAAAGGCATGCTGGGACTGCCGAGCAGGGTTTTCCGCGGAGGGAGGAGCGGTTCCCTGCTGGCGATGCCCGCGGAGGCCAGCCCCTCCCGGAGGCTCGGGAGGAGGGTTTTGGGGAGGAGCGCCATGCAGACGCAGCCAGGACTGAGAACGGCTTCCGGGCCTTCATTCCCACCAGCATCGCCTTCTCTCCACGCATCTGTTTTCATTTTCTTAGTATTTAAACTTGATTCCGCCCCCACCTCCGTGTCCTCCCACCACTCCCATGAAAGACAGAAGATGGATTTCATCTGTGTCCTGAAAGAGGGCAGAGAACACGCAGTGACTGGATACCCTAGGGAATGCGAAGTGCAAACTGTCGCCTGGGCTGTCTCTGGAGAAAAGTAAAGGAATGTAACAAGTTTTCATTAAGAATCCAACTGAAAGCATCATCATTTTTCCCCGCTTAAACACGCTTTACCAATGACATGTGAGACCTATGAACTAGAAGTTTCTCAGATCTATTGCCTTTTCCCCCCTTCATTTAAACTTTAACACCGATAAGCTGTGGGATCATGAGACACTCATTCCATCTCTTTGTACCTCAGTATTTGGATGTTTAGAAATGGCACAACCCTATTTACTTCACATGTTTCGTGTACATAATCCGATATACCACCCACATTGTCCTAGTATAGTTTCTAAAAGTGGGCAGCAAAAAAATTTGCACAACATTGTCAAAATGTTCTCTTTAAATTGGGTAAATGAGTGTTAGAAGACTCATTTGGGTTTTCTAACCGTCCCGGTGGCTGCCCCCGACCCCCAACATACCTGAGGTCTCCAAGTACACAGTCATGTCCCTTCCCACTCACAGTCTCACAGTTTGGGGGCAGCTGTATTTTATTTAAATACTTTTAAGCTACACTTCAAACTAAAGGGATTAAGCACTAAGGTCAAATTGGAGTCTTTCCGGTAGGGTGACAATGATTCGAACTTTCATCATTTTATATCATGGAGATTTCCTAATCTCCCCACTCCAAGAGAAGCCTACATGGAAAAAGAGTCCTTTCCCCTCTATTCCTATAAAATTCACTACTCCTCAAATTCCTATCAGATGGCCTTGTTGACTTAGGACCACTTAGCAGGAAACTTGTCCTGTGCTTACTCCTTGAGAAGAGCTTGGGTCTTGTTTCCACTGCACTGTGGGGTGGAAGGAAAAACCGTGTAGCTAGAAGCTTCTTGGCAGCAAGAAGTGGGTATCGTGGCCGGGTGGTGAGCTTCTTCCCAGAGTTGTTTCAGAAGGTATTTTACTTTTTCTTCAGAGCTACTGTAATGCCTTTGACATGGCACTTCAGTAGGACTTCAAATATTATTGGGGTTAAATCTGCTAAAAACACAAAGAGCTTTGTTATTTTCACTTGAATATACTCTTCAAAGTTTCATTTGATGAGATAAATTCTAAATTGCCTAATGCAATTACCTAATATAAACTGACAAAAAATAAAAAGGAGTGAAAAATTTCAGTTTGTGTACTTATATGATTGTATAAATATTCTAATTATTTTACCATTTAATTAGTTTTCATGGTGTGTTAGATGTTATACAGACATACACAATATAAACAACACTTGGAAAACATATGAAATGACCTATTTCACCATAGGGATTTAAAATGAAAATTAGTTTTCTTTGAATCCATTTTTGATTCATTTGAAAAGCTGTGTACCAAAGGGCACAAAAAGATAACAGAATCTAAAGTCAATCCCTCATGAAATATCTAGGTTAGCTCAGTCTCACAAATCAAACCTCATGTTCAGTGTGGCTGCTCAGTAAACCCCGTAAAAATGGAAACCAACAATGAGAATTGCCCCCCAACCACTCTCTTCTTCCTCTTCCTCCTTCTTTGTATTAAGTAATATTCAAATAATATTTGAAACCATCAGCCGCTTCTTTGGCCATGGGTAACTGGCAGGAAAGCAGAATGAACCATTTCAGAGCTAGAGAAGAAAACACTCCTTGACCCTCTTTCATTGTCATCTAAAGAAGCGAGCCATTGAAAGTATCCATGTGGTGTCAAGAGCTGCCTACCTGCAGGGCTGCTCACTGACGGCTGGGGCCCCAGGGGTCCACCCCATTCCCACCATCTTCAGAATTCCCCCGGGGCTGTGGATAATCTCTCTCCTGGCCTTCCATTGTGAACACTGGAGAGGCTAAAGTTGTTATCAATGCAGCACCTTCACTGGAACTTTGAATGGACAAGGAGAGAAGATTCAGAACCACAGGGAAAGTAAGCAATGTGAACATTCTCAATGGGAAGGCTGTTTTCAACGGGCACTGGGTGACCCTTGCATTGATAGAAGTGGGGCACAGTATGCTGTTTGTGGAGAAGAAACACTGTACCTTTATTCAGAGCTTGGAAGGTTAAGAGGCCTGAGATTTATGGAAACAAGGAGGGATTTTAAAAAGAAGAAACTTCCTCTTGCCTGGCTGCAGGTGCAGGGGCAGTGGGGCCTCTCCTCCCTAGTGGGGCGAAGAGACCTGCCTCCTGGAAGTCACTGTGAGGTAATGTTCTGGTCTGCAGAACCTCATCTGACCCTCTGTGTATTGGGATCAAGGCCCAGGGAGGAGGTGAAAGCTCCATTTGGGGAGAGCAGGCTTGCTGTCCAGAAATAGAGCTGGGATATGGAGTGGAGCATTTGAAAGGTTCTAGGATCCCAGTGGATAAGCCTTAAAGTGCTATGTTCTGGATTATAGCAGTCTCTTGAATGCTCTTCTGGGTCTCTGTGTCTCAGTTGAACTTCACAACAGTAAAAAGCTGCCTGTGATAGTGGAATCAAATAATGACTGTACCCAGAGTTGCTTGGATAAGTTAGTAAATCTCCCTGAGCTGGATTTGGTGTGAGATTGCTCAGGTTTCAACACTGGCACTAGCTCTGCAATCTTGAGTAAGGCATTGTATTAGTCCATTGTCACGCTGCTGATAAAGACATACCTGAGACTGGGAAGAAAAAGAGGTTTAATTGGACTTACAGTTCCACATGGCTGGGGAGGCCTCAGAATCACTTTGGGAGGTGAAAGGCACTTCCTATATGGCAGCAGCAAGAGAAAATGAGGAAGATGCAAAAGCGGAAACCCCCGATAAAACTGTCACATCCCGTGAGACTTGTTCACTACCACGAGAAAAATATGCGAGACACTGCCCCCATGATTCAAATAATCTCCCACCGGGTCCCTCCCACAACACTTGGGAATTATGGGAGTACAGTTCAAGATGAGATTTAGGTGGGGACACAGAGGTAAACCATATCAGGCATTCAACCCCTCTGCACCTTAATTTCTTGCCTATAACATGGACATAGTAAAGTACCTGCCTCATTTGGTGGCTGTGAGGGTTAAATGAGAAAACGCTTGTGATTTAGTTATAATTCTTGCTTGCCAACATTGTAGATGACCACTGGCTTTCCAAAGCAGGGATGAGCTTATGAGAAGGCAACCATCGCATGACTGAGGAAGTAGGTTTAACAATGAGCAAGAGCCAAAGCAGCTGGACCTTGACCATTTCTCATCCCTCATGGGTAGTCCACTGCTGCTGCAGGGGAGACTGGCCAACTGTTTCTGAAATGAAACCATTTCTTCACGAGTCAATGGCCCATCTGAATGGTAGGATGCAAGCCACCAGAGGGTGTGCTGAGGGAAAGTGGGACTCATTCCTTACCTCCACTCCTCAATAGGATGGGGATTTAGATGCTGCACTACTAGTTAATGGAAAATGTGCCCTAAGACACATAAAGTGTGTAGGATAATGCTTGGTGCGGGGCCAGCACTCCCTACAAGCCAGTTGTGACAATGATTCATTTTTACATTTCATGAGTAGTTATGACAATATCTGCCTGGAAAGGCATAATTATAGCAAAGACCTAGTCCAGTACCTGGCAAATAATACACGCCCAACATGTGCTAGCTGATGTTGTTACAATATAGTATAGATAATCAAAGTTTACAGATGCATTAAAATATTTTAGTCTGATCTGTAGCTTCAGTGCCCTTTTCCACTAATATCATTTTTAAAAATTAATATAAAAGAGCAAATTAGCCGCAGTTCCTCTCCCTGGTTTACTTTTCTACTTCGCCATCAACACCTCCTTGTGCCATCCCAGCTTTATAGGAGGGAAAACATTTGCTTAAAGCTGAGTTTTCTCTGAAAAACAAATTCTAATAAAAAATGGCCACATGACACAGAAAGTAGCATTTACTCATTTCCGTTTTATTTTCTAAATCTCAGGCAAATGCTTATTTTTAACTTAGAGCAATGTATACTGTCTTGGAAAAAATGCACATGATATAACTTCATAGATTTTTCTCAAAAGGTAGAGCTGTGTGTGTTAGTGATCCTCTTAGGTTTTATTTTATTTTTTAGTCACATCAGCATTGTGTGTAGGTCCTCTTAGATTTTAGATGAGAACAAATTAATGATTAAGGATTTCAGGTATTTAATATATGTCTTTAGCTCCCTGGGAAAAATGTAACCTGTTCCAGGCAGGGATTAGGATCTAGAGGAGAGAAAATGCATTTGGTGTGTGCTTTCCTTTCTCCCTCTGAGAGGGCCTGTGTGTTTCCATATAAGGAAACTGCACATTTGCAAGGTACGTCTGCTGCAAAATTTCCATAGTGATCTGTACTTTCTATTCCTCCTGTGCTTATTTAATGTTATTTGCATTTGTTTAGTTTCTGAATTCTCCCTTGTGGGACCCATGAGGGCAGGAGATGTTGGTATTTTGTGTGCCAGGGTACCCCAGGCCCTCCAGTGGATTCGTGCTTAGGCTTCTGAGCCAGGTGACCTGGGTGAGGTGTCACATTTGCTGCTTCCTTGCTATGTTGTGTGTGCCAGTGGCTTCACAGCTCCGAGTCTCAGTTTCTTCATATGTAAAACTGGGGTAAAAATGTCATCTACCTCATAAGGACATGAAGAATGGGAGGGAATGCCTGCAAACTACCCAGGATACTGGAAGGCCTGAAATAAATGCCAGCCAGGAGCTAGCAAGGCCCATGAGCTCAGGAAGTGCTTGGCGACTGGCTGAGTTGCAGATAGGCTGTCCAGCAGTGAATGGATCCACCTACCCCAAAGATGGAAAACTTTAGAATCATTCAAGACAAACTAAAATAGCAAGGCCATTTGCAAGAGGCCATTAGAGACACAAACCTTAAAGGCTCGGGCTTTAGGATGCATGTTGGAAGCAAAACAATGGAAAACATGAGAAGATCCTTGTGAAATGTCCAGGTTTGGAGACTGGTGTTGACTTAGAAAAGCTGACTTGGAAAGCATTTTCCACTCGGGCAGGGGTTTGTTTATAGTGCTCACCTGAAAGCAAGCCAGCAGTTCGAATGGTTTTGAATGATCCTAAACACCTTGGGGGACTTGGGAAGGGGATTTCTGCACACTGGCAGTAACATGGCACCAAAGAGGGTGAGGATCTTAAACAGAGAAAGCTGGCGCTCTTTGTGCTCCGCCCGGCACCTGCTCACTCTGGTGAGATGGCTTTCGGGTGGTGGGCGCTGCTTTTTCAAAAGGGAGTTAGGTGAAGATAAACATACAGTGAGGGAACAGACACGTTGGATTTCTGTGCACATCCCACCCCTCATCCTTTTAACAGTGTGTAACCATTTTAAGACCCTAATTAAGGTTTTACAAGTCAATGTGCTTGACTCTGAAGCTCCGGGAAAGAATGCAGCTGTCCATGGGTAAACCCAGGTCGCCACGCTCACGATTGTATTTCTCAGCTGCGGGGCCCTGCCCAGGCTTCTTTGAACACACATGCCATTTTCCATTGAAATCAAAGCTGCTGAGAGAGTTGGACTGATAGACAAGGGCCTCAGTTACACAGCTTTACCTGTGGCCAATAGCACAGTAAAGTTGCAAAGTAGAGCAGGTGGAAATTGGCTGTCTAGGCTGGACATTTCCCATGTCCATGGATCCCCTGGGCCACCTAGCTGTGCTTGTGAGCCCTGGCAACCTTGCCCATCCCTTTCACAGGTGCTTCGTGGGCTTGGTCTGCCTGAGGGTCTGGGTCTCCCATCTTCCTGTGACTTGCTCCTGTAACTGAGTATTGTTTGCCAGGTTAAATGAGATGCTTCTGCAGCTGGCTTAGTGCCAGTATTTTTCACTGTTGCCTCTGCATTGGCACTGCAAGAAGAAGTAAGCCTTGGGCTTCTGAATATCCATGCTAGAAGGGCAAAACTTGACTGACCTATGTTTATAAGTGGTCTGATGGTTAGGAATGTGCTATGGACAAGGCTTTTGGGGGAGGGAGAAGGGATGATAATACGTTGGCAACATTAAAGATGGCACCTTCATGGAACAAAATCCAGGGGGAGACCACAATATTGACCACAGTGGGCCTGACCGCAGACCACAGTCCAATAATAGACCAGTCACCACTTCCTGAACACAGTGGCTCTGTTTGCTGTGACCATGGAAAGGGGGAAGCTGGAGCAAAAGTAGGAATCTCCCAGCTTTTGCCTGTGTGGAACACTGGGGATTTGGGGGCTCTGCCCAAATTGGGCTTCAGATATTTCACGGCAGCAGCTGTTCCTGCATGGCAGAGACAACAGGAAAGCACTCTCTGGCCCACACTCTGCAGCTATAACCCAGGAAAAGAAGGGCACAGCCAGAGGACTTATAAAGAACCGTCAAATTATTTTTCCTTTGTCGTAAAAACATGTCTTCTCTGTGTTTCATTCTAATCTGAAATTAGTCTATGGAACACACTGATGCAACTCCCCATTTACACGTGGGTTATCAGGGCGCTAGGCTGCTCTTGAAGAGTCTACTCATCCATTGTAGCATAATGAAAGCATTCCTTATCTATTATCACCTAGGCACTAATTCAGTGTCTCTGTGCAATTAGATTTGGCTTCAAATGGGATTCATTTCTCAGCAGGATTACTCAGTGAATTACTTTATTGTCTCTTTGTTCCCATAGTGGGGTCCTTTCATACAAGCACAGGGGGAAATGTTGCTTCTGGGCAAATCCCAGCACAGAGGGCCAGGAAGTGACTGATGGTGTCCTCTGGGCCTTGGTTGTCAGGGCTAGTTCCTTTCCTACTGTTTGGCAGCAAAGAGTTATGAAGAAGAATCCAAAGCTGGTTGCTTTTAATTAAAGAAAATCCCAAAATATGTTGGATGTGGAAATTCATGCTCCATAGTGAGCACTTTCTTTCACTCTGAAAATCTAACCACCCCATTGGGCTCTTGAGCTCCACAGAACTTTCCTCTTCTCGTTGTAAGAAAGTGTGAGCAGCAAACATTCTTTTTCAATTGGAGACAGAGAGCATTGTTAAGAATATAACTGTGGTTCGCAAACACCTGCTCACCCTCCCACATCATGCGTGCACGTACAAGTAAATTTTTCAGCAGGTACAAGTCTATTTCCCAATTGCTTTAACAGGTAAAAACTGGCAGAATTTCCTGGCAGAACACGTACTTTAATTGTCCTTCTAGCTGATACCTGTTCTGAGTTGCTCCAAGTAGATTCATTATAAAGTCCTCTTATGACCATTCAGCTATGAAGCATTCCAGTGGACTTGCTTTGAAAGCTCAGTGGTTGCACAGACCATATAGAACGAACTGGAGAAATACAGAGTTGAAAGACGTTTCCCAACCACCCTGGGCAGAACAGGTGTATGCAAAGGTGACCCTGACTCCCAGGAGACAGTGCCTCCGGGAGCTGCAAGTCAGAGCATGCGGCAGAGTTTTCAGGAGTGAGGTGTAAAATTCCAAAGATTTGGGTTCAGTTCAGATAAGCACCCACATGTTTGGGTCTTTAGCAGAAACCTGTCTGAAATGTCTCCAACAGCCTGTTAAAACAGACTGGAAATCTTGCAGCAGCTCCATCCCTCCTGAGGTTTTTGGTACTTCCTGTAAGACTCAGCCCAGAATAGCCTTTCCATGTCTGAGCCAAAGATGGAAAAGTAATGAAACAGCCTTCTCACTTTCCATTGTTTTGTGTTAAAAGATTGTGCTTCTTGGATGGTTGTGAGCACTTTATGCGTAGATGAAGTAATAGAAACGTTCAGACATTAAGGCTCCTGTTTGGTTTCGGAAGTCTGCAGAGGCAGTGTTGGGAGAGGGTTCTCATTTCACTCAGACGGTTTACCCATAGACAGGCATTTCCCTTGAAGAGGTCATTTTTATTCTGAGGAAGGGGGAAAGTAGCAGAACTGGAGAGTGGTATTTGTTCCAGAGCTCCCAGTTTTTAGGAGGTGATGAGACGACACTGCTGACCAGTGAATCCGAGTTGGTTCCTGGAGACTGCACCAGCAGGCAGCATAGGGATGGGGCTTCCCCGTGGTGGCCCTGCAGGGCTGAGGTGGGGGCTACAGGCTGGGAGCCAGCGGGATCCCAGCTCTTCACAAACTCCTGCTAATCACAAAACAGCCACTTACTTCAGCAGAAAAACTGGCTGGTCTTTCCTCATGGGGAGGAGAGACACCACCATGGCTGGCACGTCCGTTCCCTAAGGCTCCCGCACAGAGGAGCCTCTTTTCTGGGGGGCAGGAAGGCCATGAAAATGAGACCTTCTGAATGGTGATGCCATGTCTCAGCATGTCAAGGTGCGCTTTCTCTGGATGGGAAGTGTGATAGTCTGTGCCTTGGTGATGGATACAAAACACTGTTGTTGCAAATTAGCTTTAGCTTCCCTGTAAGTCCCCTCTGGTGATGGCACATCTGATTTTCGAAATTGAAAAGGACTGGCAAACAGCTTGTTCAGCCATTTCCTGCGTTTTCCTGTTGCCCCTGTCTATAACTTACATTAATACAACCACTTGATTCCCAGTTGAGAGGCTTCTCACCCACCTCCTCTGGGGGATGCTGGCCTGGCTGCAGCGTGGGTCCCTCTGCAGCAGAGAGACTAAGGTCAACCAGGAGGCAGCTCGTAATTGTGGAGAAGTGTGATGGTATCTAAAGCCAAATGATAGAGAACATTTGGAAATATTTGAAGAACAGATCAAAGCCTGTGAATTTAATTACTCCACCCTACCTAATTAGCTGCCGCCTGGCTGTGCGGTCTTCCCTGCTGATGATTATTGATGGGCTGCTGCCCTCCGTGCTCCCTTTCCTGGGCCAGCTGCACCCCCAGGGTGGCAGGTTTTCAGAGATTTGCAGATGAGAATTAATGACAGTTTGTGGTGGGGGAGTTGGAGGCAGAATGGCCGGGAAGAGAAAGGGTTGGGGTGGTGGAGGGATACATGTTAGGGGTGGAGGCCTCCTCTGACAGGCTGCGGGCTTGGCTACACCTGTGAGCAAAAGTCATGGTGGTTCAGAACCCGGAGACACCAGATGGACCCACCGTCTCCTATCCGATATGCAAACCTTGGAGGTATAAAACGATGAGGCATCTCCAGGGAAGAACATTCTTTTGGTAGAGTTGGCTGGGGCATGGCGTGGGTTGGGTGTGGGGTGTTACAGCCTCCTAAGGTGAGGGTCTGGATGGCTGTGACCAGGGACCGTGGCTGGCTGGAATTCAGGTTGGTCCACTGTGGGGAGTGGACGCTGGGGGTCGAGGTGCCACTGCCCTGCTGACTGGACCTGGGAATTTTCCCATTTCTCCTGGGTCGGCCTGCGCTGCACAGGGCTGACCCCACCTTTGAGCAGAGGAAATGTCCCTGAGAGGTTGGCTGGCAGTGGGTTCCTCTTGTCCCTGTGGAGCTGACACCACGTGCCTTACACATGATCAGAACAAAGCATATCTTTCATCCAACCTCCATAAGAGAAATATTTTAAGAAGACATTGCATTATTCTATTTGATCGAGTCCTTAAACTTTGCAGATCAGTTTGATGAACACAAAGACTCCCATAAAATGATTCTTTTAGATTTCTTGGTCTGATGATGAAAAAGATGGAAAAAAAGTTGTTTTGTATTTGTTTCTGTGGGCACAAGTCTTCGGTAGATGGTGTATTTTAAAATGCTCACACATCCTGAACCTCTTCACTCACCTGTCTGGTGTGTCCTCAGACCCTGTCTTCTTTGAGGGCGCTGCCCTTTCTGGAAGTTTGGGTGTAGCAGATATTGACAAAGTGAGTCTGGTTGCTCAAACCTCGTGCCACAAAGCTGACTTTCCGTTCAGGATTCATTTTTTTTTGTTTGTCTCTCAAATGCTTTCCTCAGGAAATCTATTCTGGGTCACTCCTATCCAGGAACCCCACACCTTTCTTGGGGATGCATGTTATGGGCTTTATTTCAAGGTCGGGCTTTGGGTTTCTCTTCCTGCACCTGAATTACTTTCCTTATGCAGTATCTCAGGGCTCCCTTTTTTCCTTTGTATTTTATGCGTAGACTAAGCCTTAGGTCTCTGTATTTAAAACAGCTCCTCTATTTCCTATTCCTAAACTTCCTTTATTGACCACAAACTTCACAGATTATGGGACTTCAACAGGAGATGGGATTGCCCAGCCTGAGCCTCAGGGAGCTCTTGTGGAGGCTGGGTGGGGGGCAGAAAGAAGCCCCTGGGCAGATGCAGTTGGGAGCACCAAGTCCCTGAGGTGGACCGTGCACAGCCTTGCACAGCCCACCTCAGATGGACCCTACCCACGGCAGGGTTGCAGCCACACCAGCAGCTCTTCCAGAAACCCTGATCTGTCCCCTGGGGTCCTTGCTGAAACTGGCTGATTGTTTTCAAGTTGTACTACTCTTCTAAATAGCACTTTGGAAGTTCTGCATTTTATTTTCTAGAGAATTTCACTAGCCTGTCTTCTCTGCAAGAAACCCAGTCTGGGAAACCCACCAGAGTGCAGCCAGCTGGTGCATTAGTGCCAGAGGTGAGGTGAGTGCAGACCTGCCCCCTAGGTTGTCACGGGGGTGCAGGAGGGTCCTGGAAAGTGTGGAGAGAAGGCCAGCACTGTCCTCTGCCATCCCTTCCTCAACAGCACAGCTGAGTTCACGCCTACCTGTTTGGGGGAGCTGGGAGTAGTTGGTGTAGTCGGCTTTCTGGGCCTTTTCTGACCTGGCCAGTCTCAGATTTTCAGTCTCCGGATCAAAAATTGACCTGGCCCTTGGCCCTTGCCCTTTAATCCCTACACTGCCCGGGGCCCACATGCAGGGCAGCCCGGGTCTGTGGAATGCATGCCTCCATCTCGGGCTTCGTAAGCTTTGTTTGTTTACCCTGCGCACATGTGTCTGCCGCCGAAGCAGTCAGAGTGGGGGTTCTCACTTTTTCCTTTGGGTGTGTAAAAAGCACAGACATTTCATGTTTATTATTGTTGAACTTTTCTCAGCTAAGCTGAAGAAATATATCGAGATGGTTTATTCTCAGGGGACTGAGTTCAGACATTTCACGACGTACAAATAATTATCTTTAACATAAGCCACTTATTCTATGTCTTCTTTGTTTACAAAAAAATTCCCTTATTCAATGTTAATAAAACAACTAATGCACACTTTGTGAGCTCAGTGACTAATCCTGTATTCTTGACCTAATCTCACATCTTTGGTGCTAAGAACATTCTCATTCCCACGTAATATTGGTGCACTTCACAAATCTTTGCCCAGCCCCACTGTGTACTGTGTACTACACCAGGGGCTGGGGATGCAGTGTGGAATGAGACAAAGACTGACTGTCTACCTGGGGTTCAGTCTCAGTGCCTTCTCCAAATGAGCTTTTCTAACTACTCTTTGAATGGCAATGCAAGTCAGAAGGCCAAAGGGACCTTAATAAATCATAAAGCCGTAAATTAATTTCTTCTACAGAACTTTAATCCCAGGTCTTTTTAAAACTTACTGGCCATTCAGTCTGTGACTAGGAGCTTCTGTTAGTTTTTCAAACATAATACATCATGCTTTCTGGAAAGGGCTGTGTGCAGTGGCTAACCTGACCCCCCAGATTCTGGCATCTCAAAATGCCCACAGGAGTTTCTGAACCAGAATGTGTGGAGCAGAATTTCTCCCTAACTAGAGGCAGGCTAGTTCCCCTAAAATCCACATGTTCTCTCTGAAAATGTGCAGTATCTATGTGAATCAGTACTTCTGCAAAAGTCATGATTTAATTTAACAATGTTGATTTTGGTTGCCTTTACCGTACACGACGAACATATTCTGAACCCTAAAATAAAATTGGAGGCCAATTCTTCTTCATCTTGTTCCCATAACATTCCAGACTCAGATTCAAGAAGGAGATTGTGCCAAAATGCAAAACTTTTGGGAAACAAGAAAACCCAGGAGGCATTATTAAGCAATCAGCATCTGAAGGTTCTAGGTTTTGGCCCAACAGCTTATTTAAACATGCTTTGGAGCCAGGCCGACCTGGATTTGAATTCACCATTGCCACCTTTTCTGTCACTGGACAAGTTCCTTTGTGATCCAAGTGTCCTCTTCTGGAACATGAGGTGGATAGGCACCCACCTCACAGGACTGGGTCCACACACCAGCACCTGGCAGAGTGGGTGCTCAATGTGAGCACATTTGCTTTCTAAATTTTTTAAAGGCCAGGCGCAGTGGCTCATGCCTGTAATCCTAGCACTTTGGGAGGCCGAGGCGGGTGGATCACCTGAGGTCAGGAGTTCAAGACCAGCATGGCCAACATGGAGAAACCCCGTCTCTACTAAAAAAAAAAATAGAAAAATTAGCCAGGCATGGTGATGGGTGTCTACAATCCGTGCTACTCGGGAGGCTGAGTCAGGAGAATCACTTGAACCCAGAAAGTGGAGGTTGCAGTGAGCCGAGATTGTGCCACTTCACTCCAGCCGGGGACAGAGTGAAACTCCATCTTAAAATAAATAAATAAATAAAATAAGTAAAAAATGTTTATAGATGTAGCAGGTACAAGTGCAGATTTGTTACATGGATATATTGCCTAGTGAAGTCTGGGCTTTTTGTTTAACCATCCCCTGAACAGGGAACTTGGTACCCATCCCTCAAAACCTTCCACCTTTCCCAGCCTCCAATGTCTATGATTCTGCTCTCAGTGTGAACACATTTGAACATTCCCCATCCTGTTCCTTCCTTCCCTGACTGTAGTCTACCAAATTTAAGAAATGGGATCCCTTAAAAGTTGATCCCATTGTGATCACAGTCAGTGAACTTTTTCTCCTAAGAAGGGAAGAATGTGGTCTTGTGTGGATATTAAGGATATGAAGGGTGTGAGATAATGGTGGAAAGAACACTGAGTTGGATCAGGCCAAATGCATTGATACGGGCCCACTAAGCAGAGATTCTGAACTAATTTTTGCAGCGGCTTGGGGAGTTGAAAGGGGCTCTAACTCTTGGGCTGTTTGGCAGAAACAGACCAAAAGCCCACAGTGAATGAGTTAGAGATGATAACCCTGTCATGGCTTAATGCAGAGGAAGGGATTCAAAGCCTTGGGGAGGTTGGAATGCAAGAGAGGATTCGTCTTTCCAGACATCCTCACTCACCCTGGGAGGGCCCAGAACTCACACCTTTTCCCACGATTATGGGAAATGCATGTGAGAGGGGAGCCCCAGAACCCTTGATGAGCTGTGACTGCTCTTCTCTGTGGGCCACACCCTACAGTGGGGAAACATCCACACAGTGGGAGTATTAAATCCTTAAGTGGCAGGGGCCAAGTAGCATCACTGCATGGATGTGGACCCTGTAAAGGATGGCAGAATCCAAGCTGCAATCAGAAGAGCCTGACTCATGCCAGCCCGGGGCATCGGCTGGTGGATCATGGTATTCTCAGCAGTGAAACACACAGGAAACCTACTAAATTCTTACTCGAGCTGTATAAGCAGTTAAATTCTGGATCAAGCAAACTAAAGTCTAACTTGAACCATGAAAAGAGAGTCATGCCCCCTCAATCAATTCCCAGACTTGAGCCAGTTTACAGACTCAAACCCATTGAATGAAGGGGAGGTTGGGTCTCCTTGAACAAGGACCCTGGTATGCAGCCAAAAACTTACACTCCATCTTTCTTCCAGCCTTCCCTAAAGGAACTTACAGCCTTCAGAATGGGACTGCAACATAAGCCTTTTCCTAGTTCTCCAATCTAATGGCCATTAGGCTTCAGCTGCAACATCAGCCTTCTTGGGGTCTCCAGCTTGCCAGCCCACCCTGTAGATTTTGGACTTGCCAGCTTCCATAATTGCATGGGTCAATCTTTAAAATAAATTGCTCTCTCTCCCTCTATGCATATATACCTCCTATTGGTTATCCTTCTCTGGAGAACTCCAGTTAGTACAGGTATAGTACAGTCATTGTACACAGAGCGAGTGGATGTCACTGTCCACTCACCCTGGGGTTGCAAGTTCAGAGGGTGGTGATCTCTGTCTGATCACAGGGTGAGCTGTGTGAGCTGGGGACACTGTTCCTCATGTGCTTGGCATGGCCACTTGTGCTTTTGTTCTCTCTTTGCTCGTCCCACACAGGCCCAGACTCACTGCCTGTGCCCCTCCTATGGCGTGCTCATTCTCTGCCTCTGCACCTTCAGAGCTGTGTTCTGTGACACTTTGGAAAGCCCAGTTTCCCCATTCACCTCCTGGCCCCTTCTGACAGTCACTAACTAGTCTCTGTCCTCGTTCATTTTCAAACACTTTGCAGGACTCTGCTTCTCCAGATGCTCTTCTGTTTAACCTCTCTAGGCTCTAGTTGAACCCAGCTCTGTGAGCCACCCACTGCTGTCCACCAGGCTGTGTTTAAGATGTTCCCATGGCTTGCTCTTGGTGGGGTCCTCCCTCGCAGGCATTCAGTTTATCATCTGCTTGACTGTGGAATTGTAAATGTTAATGTTTTGTCTTTGTTCTTCCTCTACGTCTCTAAGGAGTACAGGCACCTAAAGTGCAATGCCTGCTGTTGACAGGACTCAAGTAGATGCTGAGTGGTGACACTTAAAAGTCCCCTTTTCTAGAATTCATAAAAAACAAGTGACTTCACCTGTCTGAGTTGTCATTCCTTGGTGCCTTGTTGAACTTTTAGCATCGTCACTGCCATACATGATAACTTTTCAGCGAGGTGCTTCCTAGCAGCAGGGCAAAAAATACTAAAGTCTGACTGTTTTCCCCCATGTCTTACTCCTTCATGCAAGCTCGTCTTTGACATCATGGTTCTTTCTTTGCAGAAGCTCTTCAAGGTTCTTAATGGTGTCTGTCAGCCTGTCTCCCTTCCTGCTGCATTCTGTGGCTTTTAACAAAGGCAGGCATTGGAATGCATGAATATTGAAGAGGTACACGCCGACAGTGTTACAAACACATCTTGAATTTTGAATTTTAAGTTAACATCCAGTAGAGCCAAGTTCTTCTGCATGTGTGCACCACCCATGAGCCTTAACACACGTGTAGATTTGTCTCATTACAGGCAAGACACAGGGTAGCTGCAGCACCTGGAGGCCCTGAGCTGCCCTGGGGCGATCACACCCTCCCCCATGCCACCCCAAAGCCATCAGTCTGCTCAGTCATGTAAATAGGGTCATACAGGTAGAAACCTCTTGATATTGGCGGTGGCTTCTCCTCCTCTTCCTCCTCCTCCTTCTTCTTCTTCAAGCTATTATTATTTTCATTTTAGGAAACAGAGATTCAAATAAATTAATTGTATAAGGTAACAAAATTCAGGGATGCCAGAGTTGATTCTGAGCCTAGTTCATTTTGAGTTCCAGTCTTACAATTAGAGACTATACAAATCTGTCCCCACACTGGATTCAGAGCATCTTTAAAATAATGAGATATTGTACTTGATAGATTGAAACTTACAATAAATATTATTTGCCTAGCAGCATACAGACATGGTTTGAAATATCATAAAATGGAGGAATTAACTTTGGATATTGGCATCTTCTGATTCACCCATGTGATTGAGGATATCAGTGGTTTGTTCCTTGTTGCTGCTGACTAGTATTTCATTGTATAGATGTGTCATAGTTTGTTTATTCATTGGTTAAAGGACATTTATATTGTTTTCTGTTTTTCATGATTATTACTAGAGCTGCTATGAATATCCATTTACAAAATTTTTGGTGAACATAAGTTTCCATTTCTCTAGAGCAGGGATGGAAATCTTTTTTTTTTAATGGTCAGATAATACATATTATAGGCTTTTCAGGTCACAAAACAACTCAAAATCGAGGCTACTATGCAGGAACTTTTATAACCACTTAAAAATGTTAAAACGATTTGAAGTTTGCACAAACCATAAAAAACAACAAAATGAAACAAAGCAAAAACAAGTTCCACTTGTTTTGTGAAGTTTTGCTGAAATATAGCCATGCCCACTTGTTCATGTATCTTTGTGTGGCTGCATTCTACAACCGGGGAGTTGACTTTCTGTGACAAAGACCTTGAGTCTAAAACATTTACCATCTGACACTTTAAGAAGTTTTCCAACTCCTGCTGTAAACACTGAGGAGTATATTTTTACATTTGTAAGAACTGCCCAACTTTTTCAGGGTGGCTGTGCCCTTTTACACTCTACCAGCGATGTATGAAAGACCCAGTTTTCCCCCATCCTCCCCTGCACTCAGTATTGTCAGCAGTTTTTGTTTCAGTCATTCTAATTTGTGCGTAGTGTTACTTTACCGTGGTTTTAATTTGTATTTTCCTAATGAATTATGTTGAACATCTTTTCGGTGGGCTTATTTACCATCTGTATATCCTCTGGGGAAATGATAAGTCTTTTGCACATTTTTA
Source organism: Homo sapiens (assembly GCF_000001405.40). Taxonomy (NCBI): domain Eukaryota; kingdom Metazoa; phylum Chordata; class Mammalia; order Primates; family Hominidae; genus Homo; species Homo sapiens. Next base: position 48,531,599 of record NC_000008.11, read on the forward strand.
TTTTTATTTTTATTTTTTTGAGATGGAGTCTCACTCTGTAGTGCAATGGCACAGTCTCAGCTCACTGCAACTTTCGCCTCCCAGGTCCAAGTGATTCTCATGCCTCAGCCTCCCAAGTATCTGGGACTACAGGTGCCCACCACCACACACGGCTAATTTTTGTACGTTTTAGTAGAGACAGGGTTTCACTATGTTGGCCAGGGTGGTCTTGAACTCCTGACCTCATTATCCGCCCACCTTGGCCTCCCAAAGTGCTGGGATTACAGGTGTAAGCCACCGCGCCTGGCCTTTTGCATATTTTTTAAAAATTGGGTATTTGTTTTCTTATGCAGCACTTTGAGAGTTCTTTACATATTCTGGGTACAAATACTTTTTTGGATATGTAATTTGCAAATATTGTTCCCCAATCTATACAATGTTTGTTTTACTCACTTAACAGTATATTTCACAGAGCAAGAGTTCTTAATTTTGGTGAAGTCCAATTTTTTATTTCTTTTATAGACTATGCTTCTGGTGATACATTTAAAAACTCTTTGCCTAATTCCATTCATGAAGATTTTGCTTCATGCTTTTTTTCTAGAAGTTGCATAGTTTATGTTTTACATGCAGATCTATGATCCATTTTGAGGCAAATTTTGTATGAATTGTGAGGTTAATTTGAGGTTCACCTGGATATCTGGTTGTTTCAACCTCATTTGTGAAGGTGACTACCCTTTCTCCATTGCACTACCTTTGCACCTTTGTCAAAAATCATTTGGTCACGATTGTGTGGCTCTATTTGTGGACTCTGCATTCTGTTCCATTGGCCTACATGTCTATGCCTCACCAAGACCACACTCTCTTCTTTAACACAGCTTTCCGTGTGAGTCTTAAAAATGGGAAGTCCTTCACATCTCTCCTGAGCATTTACCTTGCATGTTTCACAGGCATCCTGGTCCTCATATCACTAATGCTTAGTTTAGTCCATCAAACCTCCATTTGGTAAAAGGTAACCCAGAAAACAGGAGCACAGGCTTGCTTCTGTTTCTACAGAATTTGCACCGCAAGGCGCAAAACCTTGTAACTCTCTTAGTTACAGAACTTGGCTCTTTACAAAGTGTTTCCCAAGGCATTATTTTGTGTGATCCTCCCCCAGGCAGCATATTTTCTGAGGTATATTTAAATATAAGGAAACCAGGGCTCCTCATCTGCCTGAGGGCCACGGCTTCTAAATATGGAGAGGGGCTCCTGGGCATCCCCTATTCTAGCCCCAGTTCACACGCTCCCGAGAGTAGGGTCCAGAGAGGGCATAAGGTCCGCTGGCCCTCCCACAGCTGCCTCACTCCATCGGCCCACTCCGCTCCAGCCAGGCTTCTCGCCTTGCAGGCCCCAGCGAGCTCCTCCCACTCTTCTTGCGGCTTAGCGCGTCCTTCAGGCCTCGCCCGACGTTTCTTCCTCGAGGAGTGGGCCCTGACTACCCCATGGAAAAGAGCGTCTTACCCCTTCCTGCTGTGTGGTCTCAAGTAGCATGCATCACCACTCTGCACCTTCTGCCTCTTACTTGGCTATTTTGTTTATTTTTTATTATTCTCGCTGGACTCTAAACTCAACGATGGCAGGAAGTTTTGTTTTGTTCACCTCCCAACCCCTAGCCTTTGGACAGTGCCTGATATATAATAGATGCTCACTATTAAATAAAAAAATACCATGAGAGATTGGCTTCTTATGTAGGATAAGTGGTTTATCTTTTTTCCTTCTTTGGCCTCCAATATATAGACAGACAGCTGCAAAAAGGTGAGTCTCGCAGTGCTTTATAACCCCGCTTCTTGTTAGGGATATTTCCTGGTGATACCTAACCTCTTGACACATTTTAAAAATCATCTCCAACACACAAAAGTCACTTGTGATTTTATCTGCCAATAATAATCTGAAAGAGAAATTAAGAAAACTATTCTACTTATAATAATAATATCAAAATGAATAAAATGCTTAGGAATAAGCTTGACCAAATAGACAAAAGAATTGTAGATCAAAAACTAAAAAAAAGTTGAAAGAAATTAGTCAGAAATAAATGGAAAGGCATCCTGTGTTTATAAATTGAATGACTTAATATTGTCAACTAAATTAATTTACTGTTAATAAATTGAATAAAATATGTGAATTCTACAACCCCTATCAAGTTCTTAAAGGCATTTTTTTTTTGCAGAAATAGAAAAATTAATCCTAAAATTCGTATAGAGGCTCAAGGAATCTGACTAGCAAAAGCAATCTTGAAATAAAATAACGAAGTTGGAGAACTCATACTTCCTGATTTTGAAACTTATTACAAAGCTGCAGTAATCAAAACAGTGTAGTGCTGGCATAAAGGCGGACATATAGACCAATTAAACAAAAGAAAAAGCCCAGAAGTGAATCCTCATATATACATAGTCAATGTATATGAGGTCACAATGGTGTCAAGAGCATTCAATGGGGAAAGGACAAGCTTTTCAACAAGTGATCCTGGGAAAATGGGATAGCTACATTCAAAAGAATGAAGTTGAACCTTTATACCATATACAAAAATTAACTCAAGTGGATCAAAGCTCTAAACATAAGAGCTAAAACTATAAAACACAGTTTTGTAGAAAACGGGAAAAACTTCATGACATTGAATTTGGCAACTATTTCTCGGATATTGAAACCAAAAGCACAGGCAACAAAAGAGAAAAATAGATAAGTTAGATTTTATCAAAATTAAAAACTTCCGTGCATTAAAGGAAACTATCAACAAAGTGGAAAGAAAATATTTACAAATCATATATCTAATAAGAGATGGATATCCAGAATAAACTCCTACAACTCAACAACAACAAAAACAAACAACTCAATTAAAAAAATGGGCAAAGAACTTGAATAGACATTCTCTAAGGAAGGTATACAAATGGCCAATATGCACATGAAGAGACGCTCAATATTACCAACCATTACGGAAACACAAATAAAAAAATTTGCTACTATCAGAAAAACAGAAAATAACATGTTGGCAAGGATGTAGAGATTACATTACATCCTTAGGATGGCTACTATCAGAAAAACAGAAAATAACATGTTGACAAGGATGTAGAGAAACTGGAACTGCAATTACCAGCATTGTTGCTAGGAATGTAAAATGGTGTAGACGCCATGGAAAACTATATGGAGGTGCCTCTAAAAGTTAAACACAGAATGACCATATAATCCATCAATCCCTTTTCTGTGTATATATCCAAAAGAAAGCAAGGACTCAGATATTTGTACACCAATGTTCATAGCACCAGTGTTCACAATAGCCAAGAGGTGGAAATAACCCAAGTGTTCATTGATGGATGAATGAAGAAACAAAATACAGTATACATATATACAGGAATATTATTCAGCCTGAAAAAAGAATGAAATTCTGGTACATGCTACAACATGGATGAACCTCAGAGATATTATACTAAGTGAAATAAGCCAGATGCAGAAGGACAAATGTTGTCTGAGTCTACTTATATGAAGTATCCAGAATCAGCAAATTCATAGGAACAGAAGGTATTATAGCAGTTGCTAGGGTATAAATGGGGGGAATCATGGGGAATTATTGTTTAATTGGTACAGAATTTTTGATTTGGATAATGAAAAAGTTCTGGAGATGGCGGGTGGTCATGGCTGCACAGCAATGTGAATGTACTTAATGCCACTGAACTGTGCACTTACAAAGAGTTAAACTGGTAAATTTTATGTTATGTATATTTTACCACAATTAAAAAAGTCATCGTGTTACTGTGCAGGAACCACAAGGTCCATATGTAATGCTAAGTCTCCTAAAACAGTGCTCTGTTCATGCCTGCTAGAGAAGTCATTCAAATGTAACTGGTGACACATGTGCGTGGTAGGAGGCCACAGTGACTTCTGGGAGCCATCGGCTCATTCTAAATAAAGCAGATTCACTAAATGAAAAAAATGAGCTGCAATTGCAGAAAATTTTCCTGAACACACGATTATTGTATTAAGTTCCCCTGAACCACAAGCTCTTATTACATGAGTTCTTTGCCCATGTCTGGAACTCTATCTTGTGGTCAAAAAAGGGAAAATTTTGTTAAAACTTTGAGGATATATATTGCATGCAGAAAGAAAGAGGCCAATTTTTTAAAAAGCCTTTCAAAGCACTTAAAAAATAGCCATCCTCAACACCCTCTGAGAAAACGGACAGTAATTGCTGTATGGCTTTGACTAACAGCCCCCTCTTTTGTGTGGGCTCCAGTTTAAACCACATGGCTTTAAGGTTGCAAAGTGGGTGTGGCTTATAAATGCCCAAATTACAGCAGCAAGTCTGCATGAATGATTTTTTCCCCTTTGTAATAATAATGTCAGGACTGTTATTACACTTGGCTCCACGGGGGATTGGAAGTGTTTCTCAGAAGGGAAGTGCTTCCAGCTCTAGGGCTCTTTCAAGAGCTCCATTCCCATGTACTTGCTGGAAACTTTCAGGAAACCGCATTCCTTTTCTTGTCCCCATTTAGCAATGTGATCTCTCCCAGCTAGAATGCTTCCCAGACCACCTCATCAGCCAGGCCTGGGAATGGAATGTGGCCGCGAGGGGCTAACGCGTTGGGGTTTAGGTCTAGTTTCCATGTTGTGTTTGTGAGTAAGAGAGGAAAGGAATGATTTTTTTCTCCTGAGAATATTTTGTCAACCCCCAGCATATTTCAAAGCATTCAAGGTCTCTAATGAATCAAAGGATTCAAAGTCTCTAATCTGGGGATGAGGGGGAATGGAACTTGAGATGGCAATGATATCAAGTTCTGTCTCAAAGTGGCTAGAGTTGGCCTGTATTTTAGGTCAAGAGGCATTTGACAAGTGTCAGAAAAATCCATAGGAATCTTACTAGTGATTTTCTGTCACTTCCTTTGGAAATGATCAGACTAGAGGAAATTAACTGTAAGAAGAGCAAGACTGTGTTAAGACTGTTAAAAAGGGTTGGGGGGGAGGGCGTAGGAGGCAAAAAAGAAAAATCAATTGGAATATTATATGATTTTGGACGAATGATTTCTTTATTTTAGAAAATGCAGTAAAGCAAATTGCAACATAAAGCAATAGAATCCAACAAATTGTACCACAAGGATTATTATATACAATCCCAAGACAAAGTCAATGTTGCCATGGAAACACTTGGCCATAATGAAGTTCCTTGCTACATGGAGAACAGCCTCAGTGGGCTGTTCCTTTCATAGCGTGTTGTTTGCATTTAAATGGGTAAGTATATGTGGGGGAGTTTTGACAGAATGGAAGACTAGATTGTGGAAGTGATAATATTCACAGGGGCAGTGATATTTAGTGGTTATATGTGGCACCAGTTTTGTTTTTTCAGGTATGGATTTGATTCAACTACTTAGCATTCTATATAAAACAATTAAAATTAATTTTCTCCCTGACTAAAGTCTGTAAACTGAAATCGTGATAGTTGTCAAAGATTTCTAGGTAGCACCAGAAAATATGGAGGCAGCCCTTTTAGTCCCTAAACTACTTCCTGTGGCAGAAATGTTGACCCTACAGTCCGCTTCTATGGGAAAGAACTGGAGACAGACGTGGAAGTCTGTTTGTAGAATAACAGAGCCCAGGATTTGCTAGAAAAATGATACCAGAGAGGCAATTTCTGTGCTTGTTACCCAAACGGCCTCTTCAATCATAAGCTTTCGCTATGTGCTGCATAGGTTTTATGTACATTTTAAAGTCAATTGTTTAGATTCACATGTGCGTCCCTCTGTGTCTCTGCTCACTGACGCTTCCTGCATTTACGTTTTTCTCTGGCTTCCTCTCCCATCTTCCTAACATATATCCTTAGCAGTTATTTCAGTGAAGGCCTCTGACTGATAAGCTCCTCTTTATCTGAAAAAGCCTTTATTTTGCTCTCACTGTTGAGTAATAGTTTGACTAAGTAGGGAATTCAGGTCAACAGTAATTTCCTCTCCAGGCTTGGAGGGTCTCATTGCATTGTCTCTTTCTTTTGAGGAATCTGCACTGAATCTGTGATGTCTTTTCTCTGTGGTTACTTTAAGATTTCCTTTCTCCCCTTGATGTTTTGAATGTGTCAAAGTACAGACTTATTTTTAACCTTTCTGGTTGGGACTTAGTGAGACTCTTCCTTCTAAGTGTTTACGTTTGATTTGAAAATTTCTCAGGGATTTCTACTTAAAGTATCATCTCACTTCTGTTCTCTTTATTCTCTCCTTCAAGATGCCTCTTAAACATTTTATCAGTTAGAGACATTACATCCAGCTGCATCAGATAGAAAACACAACTTCACAGTGGCTTGAATAGATGAGAGTGATTTTTTTCCTCACATACCTAGCTGCCTGGAGGGAGGCAGGCTCAGGACATTTTAGCTTTCTGCTTCATCGTCCCTTGTACATCTGCCAGGTAACTGCTCCACCTCAGCACTGTCTTTGGTCCACACAGAAAAAACCCTAAGGACACAAGGTAGGATTTTAAACTATACACTCAGGAACGCCACTTGGAAATTTCTGCTTCTATTTCACTGGATAGAATTATGTCACTTGCTGACTTTTTTGCTCTGAGGAGCTGGGAGATAAATATATATTTAGGGGTATTGTCACCCCAAACAAATCAGCAATCTGGGAGGAGAGGCGGCAGAATGGAAGCTGTGCGAGCAGTAAGCAGGGTCTGCCCAGGCATGTGGGGGACTCTGTTCTCCAACTCAGGTCTCAGTGCTGCTTGCATGTTATTGTCTCTCTCTCTCTCTGTGTCTTGAGATTCTGGGTGACTTCCTCAGATACATATTCTAGTTCACTAATTCTTTATTTACCTATGTCTAAGGTGGTATCCCAGCCAATCCTGAATTTTTAATTTTAATAACTATATTTTATTCTAAAAGTTTTATCTTTCTCAAAGATATCTACACTAATTTTAAAGTGTCTTATTATTTATGCTAGGATTCTTTATCTTTTTTTAATTATACTTTAAGTTCTAGGGTACATGTGCACAACGTGCAGGTTTGTCACATATGTATACATGTGCCATGTTGGTGTGCTGCACCCATTAACTCATCATTTACATTAGGTATATCTTCTAATGCTATCCCTCCCCCCTCCCCCCACCCCATGACAGGCCCCAGTGTGTGATGTTCCCCTTCCTGTGTCCAAGTGTTCTCATTTTCCAATTCCCACTGATGAGTGAGAACATGCGGTGTTTGGTTTTCTGTCCTTGCGATAGTTTGCTGAGAATGATGGTTTCTAGCTTCATCCATGTCCCTACAAAGGACATGAACTCATCCTTTTTTATGGCTGCATAGTATTCCATGGTGTATATGTGCCACATTTTCTTAATCCAGTCTATCATTGATGGGCACTTGGGTTGGTTCCAAGTCTTTGCTATTGTGAATAGTGCCACAATAAACATACATGTGCATGTGTCTTTATAGCAGCATGATTTATAATCCTTTGGGTGTATACCCAGTAATGGGATGGCTGGGTCAAATGGTATTTCTAGTGCTGGATCCTTGAGGAATCACCACACTGTCTTCCACAATGGTTGAACTAGTTTACAGTCCCACCAACAGTGTAAAAGTGTTCCTATTTCTCCACATCCTCTCCAGCACCTGTTGTTTTCTGACTTTTTAATGATCACCATTCTAACTGGTATGACATGGTGTCTCATTGTGGCTTTGATTTGCATTTCTCTGATGGCCAGTGATGATGAGCATTTTTTCATGTGTCTGCTGGCTGCACAAATGTCTTGTTTTGAGAAGTGTCTGTTCATATCCTTTGCCCACTTTTTGATGGGGTTGTTTGATTTTTTTCTTGTAAATTTGTTTAAGTTCTTTGTAGATTCTGGATATTAGCCCTTTGTCAGATGGGTAGTTTGCAAAAATTATGGATTAAAGACTTAAATGTTAGACCTAAAACCATAAAAACCCTAGAAGAAAACCTAGGCAATACCACTCAGGACATAGGCATGGGCAAGGACTTCATGTCTAAAACACCAAAAGCAATGGCAACAAAAGCCAAAATTGACAGTTGGAATCTAATTAAACTAAAGAGCTTCTGCACAGCAAAAGAAACTACCATCAGAGTGAACAGGCAACCTACAGAATGGGATTCTTTATCTTTTTAATGTTTAAAAGTACTTATTTTAGGCTGGGCATGGTGGCTCATGCCTGTAATCCCAGCACTTTGGGAGGCTGAGGGGGGTGGATCACGGGGTCAGGAGATCAAGACCATCCTGGCTAACATGGTGAAACCCTGTCTCTACTAAAAATACAAAAAATTAGCCGGGTGTGGTGGCGGGCACCTGTATTCCCAGCTACTCGGGAGGCTGATGCAGGAGAATCACTTGAACCTGGGAGGCGGAGGTTGCAGTGAGCCAAGATCACACCACTGCACTCCAGCTTGGGTGACAGAGCAAGACTCCATCTCAAAAAAAAAAAAGTACTTATTTTATCTTATTTTATAACTTTTTTTTATAACATCCTTGAGCACATTGTTCTATTACTCCTAGGGTTTATTGTGTCTGCTAACTCATGCTTAGTAAATACTTCTTTGTTTTGAAATTTTTGGTTATGAGATTCTCTTGAGAGAGAATCTTCTCCTGCAATCCTGTGTGGTCTCCATTGAAAGAATGTCCCTCAGTGCCGCCTTGTGCTTACTTTTCCAAGTGCCTCTAGGGCTCCTGAACAAAGGATCTGAGACCATGCAAGTCACCATCGTAATGTTTCTATTTCTCAGAAGAGACTTTTGGAACTACCAAAGTCTAGGCATCTGGCCTGGTTTGCAGCCCTTTTTGGTCCCAGCTGCTTTGGGGTTTTGGTTCTCATGTGTCTCTTTGCCCCATGTGGTTCCTGGTTGGGCACACCACGTCAAGGCCTTGGAGGGATGGGCAACACAGCAGAGCTCTCAGCTCTTCATGGCACAACTCCTAGCTTGGTGCAGAAATGGAGGCTGTGAGAGAAAGAAGTGTCAAGGCAATTCTGATCCAATGAGGTATTCTGGGGCCTAAAGTTGAAATGAGGAATGGAAATCTACAAAGCAAAAGGACATTCAAGGTGCCACCTTGCATGGGCCTTAAACCTCAGACTACATGTGCATCTTTAACAGCAGCCTGAGCTAGCCATGGGGGCTGTCACTCCGGGCGTAGAAGTAGGAAATAATGTTGGGAAAGTAGAAAATGATCCAAAGTTTCATTTCTTTAACTGCCTGTGGCCATCCCACAATGTGGATGTATTCACATGGTCATCCTCTTACTGGGGCAATTTTCTTCTGACTGCCCACCAGGTGCAAGGTACTGTGCCATACTGTGGTCAAGGTGAGTGAGGCGGGGCTCCTGCTCTCAAGTGTGGAGGCAAAGCTACAAACACTTCAGTCTAATGTAATAAAATCCATAGTGAGAGGACTAGAGGGCACGGAGGAGGGGGCTCAGCTTTGTAAGTAAGGACTTCTTGAGGACGTGGCACTTGGGCTAGGTTTTAAGAGACAAGCAGGATTCTGACAGGTGAATGAACAGGTCATGGAGCCCTTAGCTCACCCTGATCTCAGCTGGGATGTCCCCACCTTGGGGAGGCCTTCCCCGACAAGCTCGTTTAAAGGAGCTCTCCCATCATTCTCTTTAATCCACTTTGTCATACTTCTATCTGACATTCCTTGTTTGTCTACTTCTGTCTTCCCCCTAAGATGGCAAGGCCCATGAGAGCAGAAACTTTTTTTTTTGTCCTAGTCATAGTAGCACACCCAGAACAGAGAAAAATATTTAGCACATCAGAATGTAGCTCTGTTGTGTGAGTGGAATGGCACACCTGGATTCCCAAGGCAGGAGGACAGAGGACACTCCCTCTCTGGACTCTGGCTCTATGGGTGACCAGGCACACAGGAGCTGTACCGCGGCCACCTGTGCAGCCACAGGCCCCGGGCACACCATGTGCCATCCATGTACCCTGTCCTCTGGCCCTTCACTGGTGGCTATGCCAGCCAAGACTCTTTTTATTTTCTTTTTTGTAGAAGGGAGCGAAATCATCTTTTTCTCTTAAACATTATACATAATATCTACAGAATTTACTTATATTTGCCATGAATTACTTAAAAGGCGAAGCAGTTTGTGTCACTCAGTCTGGTTTGCTTCATGAGAAAAATCTTTATGTTAATCAGATCACGTCCTTTTGCTTTGTGTTATTGTGCAGATGAGGAACCCATCTTAAAGTTTAAAAATTATAAAAGAAAGAAAAGAGAAAAATCATTTCAAATCCAAAACAACAGCCTATACCTTCAGCTTCTTCTTCTGGTTGGTGTGAGTTCATCAGATAACTCTAAGGATTAATGTGGTGCTAGCATCATAATGTCTTTGAAAATCAATGTGCGCTGAACACTTTTAAGGCTTCCTTACCCCAATAGGAGCAACTAACTGGGTGCAGGGTCAGCAGATTTAGTCCAAGGTCCACACAGACATTTCCACACATGCTTTCACTGAAGAGGCCACAGAGTTCTTGCCCACATAAAGTATGTGCATTCACTAATAAATGCAAACACTAATTAGCCAGGTGCAGTGGAGTATGCGCCTGTAATCCCAGTTACAGGAGGCCAAGGCAGGAGGATCACTTGAGCCCAGAAGTTGGAGGCTACAGTGAGTTGTGATCATGCCACTGCACTCCAGCGACAGAGCAGAGGCCCTGTCTTTAAATAATAATAATAATAATAATAAATACAAGCACATAGCCTTTACTTTCTTATTAAGAAAGCAGGGATATAGCCTTACTCTTTTGTTCTCTGTGTGTATTCTTCTAGAACTGCTAAATTTGTAGAGAGGAAAGTGGTTCCCTCTTACACCACCCCCCCGGACTTCTTCCCAGTACAGTGAGAGGCGCAGCTGTAGCACCCCATCTAGCCAGTCGCAGGCCAGGCTGTGCTTTGGGCAGTGTTCACAGCCAGCAGGCCCACGGAGGGGGCAGCACCTGAAGAACGCCTTTCAAAGAAAGACATTTCCGCTGTCTTCAGAAGGGAGCGTCCTTTTGTTCTCTTTCCAGAGGGTCACATGGTCAGGCAGCCTCCTCCAGAGCAGGAGAAATTCCTCAGGAGTTCCCTGGAATTGTGCTTCTGTTCTATATCAGGCCACAAGTGGCTGGCCGCACTGTTTACAAGATACCCTGTGGCTTCCAAGAGTGACCTGGTTTCAGAGAGCTGGTCCCAGGTGGAACATGAAAGCTGTCCAGGCTCCCAAGACAGCAAAAGGCATTTGTCTGAGAGGCAGGCTGCTTGATGGAGAGAGTGCAAACGCCTGTGAGAGGGGCAGGCCTAATGCAGTGCTCTGGTTCATTAAGGAATGTATTAATTTGTGCTGGCAAATCAGTGCCATTAATTTCTCTGCCTGATCAAAACCCTTCCAGATCATTTGGTAGGTAAAGAGCCTGAGATCCCAGGAAGGAGAAAAGCAACACTACAAATGTCCTCTGCTTCTAGGGAACAATAAATATCAACACATTTCTGTTTTCTTTCCTATCTTTTCTTTTCTTTTTCTGAGATCATCCATGGGAAAACACATTTTAAGCCATTTTGGCAAGACAGCAGTTGGAGATTTTCAAGTTGTTGTTTGGGGAAAAAAGACACCAGTTGAGCAGGATTTAAAAGTTCTGTTAATGGAGGAGAGCAGAAGTTGTTTTTCTTAATTAAAAAGTATGAAGACAGATTGGATAGCAATTTTCCCTCTTCATCTCCTCCCCACCCATTGAACAACCCAATTAATTTTTCAAAACAAATTTTATAAATACATGTAAAAAAGCTTTACTGTATAAACTGCTTAAAAATGTGCCTTTCCACCTGTCCTGGTGGTAGACGTCTCAGAACTGTCTTTGTATTTGTTTATAAATAATAGGACAATGTGAGCTGTGTAATCTGCTTGGAGATTAAAATAATTTACCCTCTCCAACTCCATGGGCCCTGTGAAAGATGTACAAACTAAACTCCATGGGAGAACAACACTGCAATATAAATGCAAGGAATGGAACGTGAGAGAGATAGAGATGAAAGGAAAACGAAACAGGAAATCCTAGTGGCGAAGCTCCATTCTCAAGTCCCATTAAAGGAAGAGGTCAGAGTTAAAGAGAGTGCTGAGCCCACTCATTCGCATATTTATTTTGGCCAGACGTCTGCCTTCTAACCTAGAAAACTGCAGTTTTGGAGCTGGAGGCTCCCACGTCGGATGGGGACCAACTTGTAACATGCAAGTCCTGTGAAAACTTGTTAGTAGCTCATGAAACAGCTTCTTCCACATTAAATATTTTCACTTCATGGTTTTTGAAAATGAAGGATGTTTTAATAGAATTCTAGGCCTGAGATAGAACTTATAGTTGCTCAATCAAGAAGAAAGGGCTGGCTGTGAGTACACCATCTCCTCTGTGGCACTTTTAAAAATATTGCTTCTTTCTCCCAAAGGGAGATTGATGCATAACTCCCAGGACTTAGCTTAGCTGTCTTGGTTTACTGGGATTTTAAAGTATGCAGAAGTACCATTTTGAACCAGAAGAATAAAAACCAGTATTGTGCTTTGGAAAAGGTTTTATGTGCTGCTCAGCCTGTCTCAACTGCTATCTCAAGTTTCCTTCCTGAAATGCAGGGGAGCAAGCATTCGTTTTTTTGTTTTGTTTTGTTTTTTTTTTTTTTTGAGACGAGTCTCGCTCTGTCCTCCAGGCTGGAGAGCAAGAGCGATCTCGGCTCACTGCAACCTCCGCCTCCTGGGTTCAAGCGATTCTCCTGCCTCAGCCTCCTGAGTAGCTGGGATTACAGGCGCCCGGCCACTACACCCGGCTAATTTTTGTATTTTTAGTAGAGAGGGGGTTTCACTGTGTTAGTCAGGCTGGTATCGAACTCCTGCCAAGCATTCTCATGATCGGTGTGGTGGTGAGTTAGAAAGACTAAAGCACTTTAGCTGAAGTCACTTCGTGTTTTTGCAAGCTGAGGGAAAGCCATGATTCAACCAGCTTTGACTTGTTCCTCACACAGATGATAAGCATTCAACAAGGTTTGTCTACAAATGTAATTCTTTAGCATTTTTCTCTTAGTTTTTGATGTCTGTGTTTTTGTTGCCGCACAATATAAAGATCAGCGGACAAAGTTTGTTTTCAAAAAGTATTGGTGACAAGAAGCCTGATTTTGACTGCATGATGCTCTCTGTACCTAATCCTCTTAAATGAAACAGCTTTCTCTGCATTTCATGATACAGGACAGTGACTCGCTTTGTGCCCTAGGTGAGCTCAGGCTGCCACCAAAGAATGCATGACGTCTCATATGAAGCTTGCATGAGCACACAGATGTTTTCACACCCCAGATGGTAGCCGGTGTTTCAGGAAGCTGTCCTTTTGACACCGCATCACCAGGAAAACCCTAGGAGGTTAACGATATCATAGAGGCAACTTTGGGAGTAGCTCTGCAATTTCAAGGGCACCAGGCCATTGTACCAATGCTCAGGTGTGGGGACCGGGCTTCAGGGCAGCTCTGTTGATAGTGTACTTGGCTGTCCTGCGTACGTCATTTTGCCTGCTTTAGAGTTGATCTTCTCACCTATAAAACAAGGAGCTTGGGCTAGAAAATCACAGGGCATGATGCCAAAGTCCCTCCCGTCTCAAAGAAGTCATTACTACAATGGGGCGGGCCAGGCAGGTGAGGCTTTGAGGAAAAGCTCAGGTCCCAGCAAGGGCAGGAGTCTCAGTAGGAACCCCGGCCGCCTTGTCTTGCAGGGTCTGCTGGGAGGTGGGCAAAACGGCTGGCCACAGGGGGGCGAGCCTGGGAAGCCTGGGATCACCTGAGATGCTGTAGAATCGGATCTAATGGGGGAGGGGCTGACAGGAAGCAGGATGGCAGTTTAGAAAGAGCTTGGGCTGTGGAGTGTGGTACGGGAAAACCCCAACTTTAAATCCGATTTCTGTCACAGTGAATCAATCTCCCAGTGATTGTGTTTAGAAATGAGGATAACAATGTCCATCCAGCAAGATTGCTCTGCAAATGGAGTTGGATATGGGAAAGCTCTTAGTGTATAACAAGTGTTTGGCAGATGTTTGTCCCTCCCAGGGCTTGGGGATTTGGTCTGTGGCATGCACATAGTGAGGCTCTTAGGGCTTCAGGGACTGCCGTCCAGTGAGCTGGACTAGCATGGTCCCTGGTGACCCTTCCTTCCAGTTTGGACTTCCTGGTTGGGTCCCATAAGGGCACCGTGCATTCCTGAGACACACCTGGAAGCTTTGCTGGAGAGAGTGTATGTTTGTTTGGTTTGCTTTCAATGGCAACATCACTGAACTTAGAGGCAATGGGGCAGCTAACGTCAATGGTGCAGCTCTGACCTTCCTTGGAAAGCTAAGGGCAGACCAAGGGTGAAGGGAGAGGGTGAGGCAGGCACAGTGTGTTTCTGTGTTCCTTCAGCTTTCCTTTTTGATGCTTAGAAATGTCAAGAGAAGGCTTCTCCTTTAATCTCATATCTCCTTTAAGTCTCATAATCTTGAGACTTAAATGTCAGGGGCAGACTTTGGTTCTCTTACCTTGTGTTGGATAACATCTCTGGTGCAGACACACCCTGGAAGCATGCCTCCCTTTTAAATGTGGCACATGCAGTTTGCTTCAAGATGGTCTGAGTAATGTCCTTTACAATTTATAGAGAGGTCGTAGATGCCATCACACCGCATAAAGATTGCATCTCAGCTGCAGGGAGGGTTCACAGTGACCAGGGTTTGCCCTGGTGCAGCCTCCTTCCTCAGGTTGTTGGCCCATTCCCAGGGCGTCATCACACTGGCATGAAAATCTCCCATCCACAAGAAGAGCAGAGGCTGGCTGCCCCCCATCCCATTCCACCTTGGATGGAAAGACTGACACCTGTATTTAATTTTGCAGCCCTAGCATTCAGCACAGGGCCTGGTACACAGTTGATGTTTACAAAACATTAGCAGAACCAAAGGCTGGAGCGTGCCCCACGGAGCTGCAAGACTCCACCTCAGCACTGTGCCCCTTCCACATTATTCAGGTCTCAGCCCAAAGGGCACACACCCCACCTCTGCCATGTCGAGGACTCCATCATAATTTCCTATTGATGTCCTTCTCAGGACGCATCCTACCCTCATATGATCTGCTCATGAAAGAGTTCACTTGTCTACTATCTCCCCCTTCCCACTAGAATGCAAGTTGTGGCCTGTAGTGTAAGAGACATTTTCCATCTTGTTAGTTGCTTTTCCCCAGTGCTTAGAACAGTACCTCATCCAAAGTATGCACTCAATGACTATTTCCCCAGTGCTTAGAACAGTACCTCATCCAAAGTATGCACTCAATGACTATTTCCTGAATTTGTTGGGTGGTTTATGATGATCATTGAATAAATAAGTATAACATACAGCAATATGCTCATTTTCTAGGAGTCAGAAATTTGGCAACTTGAACTTTCTGGAAAAGTCTTCAAAGTTGGAAGTCTCAAGAAGAAAACTCCTACACACAAAAGAAGTCTTAAGCCAGGTTACCTTGTTTTCAAGCCCACACTGCGTTAGAAGGAGTGAACATGAATAGTGTTGAGGGTAGATCCAGATGCAACAGCTTTCTGACAGAGTGCGGTTCAGAAAACTCAGAAGTAGCTAGGGTTCTGTGAACATGGACGCCAGGCTGGAGCTCCTGCTGCAATGGGGGCCCCCAGAATTGGTTGGGAACCCTGCCATGCTGAAGGAGGGGCCACAGGTAGCTCGTCTGTGCATATGGGTAAGGCCTGCAGAAGTACACACTGTTTCTGGACAGGTGCAGGCACTTAGAAGGGCAAGCTTCATTCATCCGGTGCTCATTTAGCTGTTTCTTCATTGTTCGGTGGGTGTTTATTTTGTCAGGAAAAGTAAAAAAATGATGTTGCTTCCAAAGTCCCACATGAATCTATTTTTCTTTTTATGTTGCAGTTTTTGCAATACACATACTTTGAAGAAATTGCTGGAGATAGATCCTTTAGATGACTTCTTGTCTAAAGACAATGACATTAGAAACACAGCTGTCTTACCAAAAAAGACCTACACACTCCCGTCCTGTAAACAAGGCTCTGTGTGCCTGGCACAGGCATGGCTGCTCTTATTTTTAACTGCTTTTGTGTGAGAATACAAAGAGAAATATTACGTAAAGAGCAGGATGTTTTGGACATCCACTGCTACTGCATTACCTAATCCCATGACTGCAGATTTCAAGAGATTCATCTGCAGGTGTTGAGAGCCTCAGAAATGTGTACCACAGGCATTGGTATATAAGAGCAAAGTTGAAAACTCCACAAGTGATATTGGAGATGTCAGAGGTAATTGTGTGTCTTCTTGGACTGGAATGATGACACCAACTCAATACAGAAGATTCCATTTATGGAAATTGGGTTCTAATTGTGTCACCTGGGGGAGTTAGCTCACTTTTTTGAGGGGGTTGGTTTCCACGTCTGTGAATTGGGAAAAGCGATGCGCCCTGTGACTCACGTATTACAGTCACATGAGATGTCAGGTAGAAGGACTGTGGAACTCTGGGTGCCGCCCATATGAGGTTATTCATATTTGGAGCTTTGAACTTTTTCTCAGAGCATGCTCTTCCCTCTGACTCAGTGGTCACAACAACCAATGAGGTGCCCATGTTTCACCAATGAGGACTCACTTCCAAGGTCAACTTAGTGGGAAGCTGAATGTGGAACTGCCCTCTCTCAGCTCCTGTTTGAATCCTTCTTCTGTTACTCAAAACAACAGGGGCTATAGGTTAAGATTAAAGTGCAGCTCCATAACTGTTCCTTCGAAGACTAGAAGCAGCCAAGGTGGCTCATTGTCTTAATGACTACTCCAGAGGACAATGTGAGCATCGCTCATTTACTCCAGCCAGGAGGCACAGTGAAGAGGGGAGCATCATGGTGGAGAAACAGGCAGCCTGTGCTGAAACCTTAGCTTCCTCCGTCTGTGTGACCCCGGGCAGTTATATAACCAGTCTGTGACTCAGTTTCCTCATTTGTACTCATAGGGCTCTAGGGAGATTTAAGTTAGATGACATATGCAAGCCACCCAGACCATGCTTGGCACATAGCAAATAAAACACTGCTAATTGTTCTGTTAGTATTAAAGCTCAGCTTACGGGTTAGGAAACTGAGGCTCAGGAAGTAAAATGACTTGCTCAAGATTCAGTCTAATGCAGCTAGTCTACAGGTTTCTCTCTTAAACACGATACTGGTTTAAACCTCACAACCAACGCTGTAACGCAGGAGGAAACCTCAGAAAGCCTGCTGTTCTCTGCTGAGGACAGAGTTTTGTCCTCTTTTGAGGTAGGACTACCCCTTTAGGCTTCTCCAAGATGAAGGCCAGTGAAATGCTGGGATCATATGAGCAAAACCCCGAGGATTGCCATTTGCAGGAGCTATCATTTATTCTGACATCCATTCTGAAGTCTTCACATCTTACTCAAGGAAATCAGATACAGACCACAAATGAATAGTGCTACTGCATAACAGGGCAAAGACTTTCCTTTTTTCCTTTCTAAAACTCACCAAGATAAAATATTTTTCTTGAAATCATATGCCTGTAATTCTCGCTAACTACTTGGCAGAAAGTGACCGTGGTCTGAGGGTGACATTGATTTTTATTTCAACCGATTTTTGTAGGGGTTTGGGCCATCACTCTTGCTTTGCGCAGTCTACGCTGACTTCTAGTTCTGGTGAACCGACTCGATTGCAGGCTCTTCTGCCAAGCTGTTGTGGCAGCTCCATGTTGGCTCCTGCCTTGGTAGCTATGAAGTCAGAGAACACTGCGGGACAGTTGTATTGACACACTCTTTTGGGAGGGGAAGGAGGGGGGCTCATGTGTTAAATTGGGGTTCTCAACCTTGGCACTGCTGACATTTGGGACCAGATCCTTCTGAGTTGTGGGGTAAGGGCTACCTGTTTACCGTAGGATGTTGAGTAGCATCCCTGGCCTTTACTCACTGGATGCCAGTAGCACCCACACCCCACAGTTGTGACAACCAAAAACATCTCCAGACATTGCTAAATGTCTCCTGGGGGGAAGATCACTCACAACTGAGTACCACTGTGTTAAAAGCCTGGAGTCTTAGGCTTTTCCAGGGTGATCAGAGACATGGAGGATTTTAGGGTCCCAGGCTAGGTAGACATGGAATAGGTTGGGAGGCATTCCTTGATAGGGTTATTTGCATATTAAAACACATTCTGATTACCTGTGTTGGCTATGTTAGCAGCATAGTTCTTCAATGTGTGGCATAGCTGTCCTTATAGAAAAACAAAATGGTTAATTCAGGTTTGGTTTTTGAATGATCTTGTACACCTGGAGGTATGTTGGGCTATGTTTCTCACTATTTACAAAAACCTGTTATGTGTAAATACATCTGATGCTTACCCATATCATCCCCAGTTCTGTAGAAACAAATTCAACAAAAGAGGAGAAGCCTGGAATAGTGGAATACTTTAATCGTCACACCAGTACTGTTGTGTGGTTTTCTTTTCTTCTGCCCTGGTTTCTCTAAGCTCACAATGTGTTTGCAGGGCTGGTCTAGGTCTTCCTTCTTGCCTTTACTGGGCAGAACTAAGATAATAGGAATAAAAAGGGGAAGCAGAACAAAAGGATGGGCAGGTTCTCCCAGGTAGAATCGACAGTCCAGTCCAGTGCTCCTGCCACTTCTCTTGGACCTGCTGCTCCCACTGTGTGTGTGTGTGTGTGTGTGTGTTTCTGTGAATGAGTGTATGTGCACATGTATGTCTGCATGTGTGTGTGCACATATGTCTGTGTGTGCTTGTATGTGTCTGCATGCGTGTGCATGCATGTGTCTGTGTGGTTTGGACTTGGCGTGTTATCCCAGGCGGGCCTTGCCATCCAGAAAAGAAGAAGGCAGTTAGGAAATGCACTTAACTGCTGCAGGGAAGCTAGAGTTGCTTTGTGGAGCTTGTTTCAAATGGGTTTTGTTTTGAATCTACAAGTTCATTCAAATTCAATCACAGCAAAATTCACAGATTGTGATGTCATGCGGATTGAAACCAAAAAAGGCTGTATAGAATGCTTTCTGCCAGATTTTACTCATGGCTTCAGGAAACTCCCCCACCCACCAGTCTTTTTTCTTTTTTCTTTTTTTCCTTTGCATTGTGAGCCAAGACTTAAGGGCTGTGCCTTACTAAGCCTCACTTCCATTTACAGAGTTTTCTTTTTTTAACAGCCCTTGGGCCTACGGCCTTGACATCTGTGCTGCGATTTCTCTAAGCTCCTATCACTCTGCTTTGCTTCCGCATTAAAAAGAGAATAGATCCTTCTAATTGTACAGACACCAACATTGTCTAGGGCAGGGGGAGGGTTGGGTAGAGAAGGAATTTATCAATCATGAACCTAGTCCACCTGTTTATTGTTATTAAGCTAACTGCATGGAGAAGACACCCTCAATCCACAAGGAAGGCCCCTCGGAGGTGACTGTTACTACTGGGCCTTCCTTCCCCATGACGTGACACTTGCATTCCTCTGGCCTCCTGGCAGATGGAAACCTCACTTATGTCATCCCTGTGTGGTGGCTTGGACTTTGGTAGTCCAGCACTGTTATGGGATGACTTAAGGAAGGGCTGTGCCCTGGGTCTGTTTAAGGGAAGGTGTGGGCCTCGGGCTCTTAGGATAAGGAAGGAGCAGGAGCTGGCATGACCTTTCATTCCTGTGTGTCGGCCATGCTGGGGCTGTGGCTGGGAGCACACCAGTATGGCCTTCCTGGACGCAGCCCTCTGTGGACAGTAACTGGACCCTTTTGGTCTAGATTGGATTAGAACTAGGATTACATTCGATTCCTTGTGGTGAGTCTTTTTCTAGCTAGAGAAACCTAAACCCACCTTCTCCCAGTGTGATTCTTGAGTGATACCAACATGTAAGAATGTTAGTTCAAACTGTCAGGCACAGGGAGTGGAATCTCAGTGTTCCCACGAATGAATGGATAAATATAGAAGTGGCATAGGAGTCAAATTTACTTAATTTCTTGTCTCAGTCTAGACCACTGATGGGCTGAATTCCTATGAGTGGGGATGAGACCCTCAATCTCCCTGTGCCACTCGGGGGCTCTTCGCCTTGTGCCTTGCCTTGAGGTCAGTGGTGGTTCAAGGATGATCTCGACCTCTTGAGAGTCGTGAATTCCTTCTTCTTGCTGCTGTGACACTGTATTATCTCTTATCACAATGCTCACTGTTTTGTCTTGTATGTTTTCATCCATGTCCTCTCCCAACGCTTCCTTTCAGAATGCGAGCTTCTCCAGAGAAGCTGTGGCTTCCCGTGTCTCAGCACCCAGTGCGCTTCCCAGCGCCCAGCACGCTGATTTGAAACTCTCTCAATAAGTGTGCCAATGAAGTTTTGTTGATAAATAATTAAGAAATAAATGAGAATAGTCTCTCTGGTGCACGAGCCTTCCTATTCGCTCTCAGTGAATTCTTGGTTTGAAAATGCAGTGGTGTGGTAGACCAGAAACAAGGTCAGAACTCCAGTACAGAATAGACAGGTGAGTACTTTAAAGTGCAAAAAAATTACAGTGGAATAATTATGATATTATTTAACCTGCATGAATCAGTTTCTTCCCCTCCTCCTTTCGCTCCTCCTTTTCTTCCTTTCTTCTTCTTTCATCTTATTACAGTTTTACAGCTTCTTCCTCTAAACAGATTGTATTCAATCTTTCAGGAACTCAGATTTATTCAAAAAATAGTTAGTGGGGCTCTGTGCAGCGGCTCATGCCTGTAATCTCAGTACTTTGGGAGGCCAAGGCAAGGAGGATCGCTTGAGCCCGGGAGTTTGAGACCAGCCCTGGTAAGGTAGCAAGACCCCGCCTCTACCAAAAGTACAAAAATTAGCCAGACATGGTATTGCATTCCTGCGGTCCCAGCTACTCCGGAGGCTGAGGTGGAAGGATCACTTGAGCTCAGGAGGTCAAGGCTGTAATGAACCAAGATCGTACCACTGCTCTTCTGCCTGGGTGACAGAGCGAGACCCTGTCTCAAAAAAAAAAAAAAAAAAAAAAAAAAAGGCGGCTATTAGGCACCAATCACGTTTAGGACATACTGTTAGATGCTCTGTGGGTCACATCCCTCCAAAACTTATACAATTGCATTTTTACAAAAGGTACTTAAATATCAAATGAGTACTCACTCGCTCACTCAGGGTACCGTATATCAGTCAGGACATGAGTTTTCTTGGCAGAAAATGCTCTCAACCTGGGCGGTGTGAAGAGAGCATAATGAAGGGAATATTTACCAAGCTGTGAGCAGGCTTAGGAAGAGCAGAAGAAATAGTGCAGGACCTGGGGTGCACGGTGGGAGGAGCAGGTTCCCGCCCGAGCTGCACTGCCCATGGGAAGCTGGAGGACGGGGCAGCCAAGGGGAGTGGGGAGTGGCCTCAGAGCACCAGGCAGAGTGGGCAAGGCTGAGGGGTGGACCTGAGGGGCCCTTTGGTAAAGGTGGCAGTGGTGATTGGCCTGAAAACACACACTTGCCAAGACGGTCCTGCCCACGGAGCCCTGGAAGGTGGAGGAAGGTGGCAGGTGGCAAGTAGAGTCCTCTCTAAGAAGCAGAGCGCCAGGTCTCAGTTGCTGCTTGGACTTCAGAGTGGAGAAAGGAGAAGAAGCCCGGGGTTTCTGAGTTTTGATTTAAATAAAACCAGATAAATAGACCATTACCCTAAAGTTAACAAATGGAGGATATGAAAGAATGAAGAGAGTTCCAGGGGAAAGACAAGGAGTTTGATTTTAGCACTTCTGAATTGGAAGTGTGGTGGGACATCTGATAGGCACCAAAACTGTGGAATGGACCCAGTGCTGGGGATCAGCCAGTCATTGACCTCACTGGGGGTGGACAGGGTCTCTCTGGGTTCAAGGGCCATCCCTGCGGAAGCTTGTCCTCTGCAGAGGACTGTAGATTTGATTTTGAGTTTGAGGTTTGGTTAGAATTTACCCTGGTAGAGAGCAGGAAAGAGTTTAAATCTCCTTTAGCAGCCAAGATCTGTAGGAATGGCTCCCCAGGCTGGGTTTGGGAGAGTCCACAGCAGGCAGGGGCCAGAGAGGCTCCCGAGGATGAAGGCGGCTGAGGACGGAGGTTGTGGTGGAAGAGGAGGTTATCACCAGTTGTGGAAGTTTCCAAGGTTAATGCACGTGAACTTTTTCACACAAGGCAAAAGTGAGGGACCACAGGGACAGCAAAGTTTTGAACAGAAAACTTACACTATACTGTGAGGGTGTTTGATGGGCACTGTGATTGTCTGCTGACTGGGCGGGAATGGGCTTCTGGCTCTCTGGTTCACTATTTGTCTGCAGAGCAGGGGGACAACACCCAGAGCTCTGTTGCAGAAATTAGAATACAAACCAAGCAAGAAAGGAATGAGTTAAGGAATGAGCCTATGGGCCTCTATAATGAGAGAGTGATGCTATCTTTGGTAGAAATTGGAGAGTCAAGGGGGCTGAGTTAAGGGAAGGTGTGGCCCTCTGGCCCTTGGGATAAGGAAGGAAAACCACGCATTTCCTTGTCAATGCACCAAATTTGAAATGATGATGTGAAATTCAAGGGGAGATGTCTAGTTACAGCTGGAAGAATGCACCTACAACTTGAGAAAAATGTCAAGGCTGTAGCTTCAAATTTCAAAGTCAGTTCTATTAGTGTAAAGACAATTGCCGAAGAATACAATCTGCAGAGACAACTGCAAAGGGCAAGGTCTCAGCTGCAGGGTTCGCCCACAGTCAGGTGGGAGGCGAGATGGTGCGCTCCCACAGAGAAGCAACCAAGCACTGAGAGGAGCTGGAACAGGCTTGCCAGCAAAAGCATGACACTATTTTTGACCAGTTCTGAAGAGACACAACTAACCTGCTGTAGACCTGCCTCTGGTAAAACATGCCCAGCCTGTGGGCAATGCAAATCGGTAGGTCAGGGACCCAGTTCATGAGGATTTTCCAGTTAGTCTCTGATGACAGCTTTTCCACGAACAGACTTCAAAGCTGTATGTTATGAAGGTAAAAGTCATTGGCAGATAAGGAATTCTTGCTGTGCTCATTTCTATCTCAGAAGAGGGCCCAGATATAAGTAAGTCCCTCTCTGGACTTTGGAGATACAGACACAGGCATGGGGAGTTGGGCTCGGGGAGTAGAGTGTGCTCATGTTGGTTCTGTGAGAATCTTCATCTCTTGTCTGGTTTAATGTTATTTTAAAATAGTGTTTGTGGTTTAATCATTTTTTGAGATCTTGCTACTAGATTTTTAAAATCTGTTGTTAGAAGCCAGGATAATTGGCTCATATAATTGTTTTTGAAACAGATCTAATGCAAGACATTTTGTCCTGGTGAAGCTGAGCTGTGCATCTGCTGAGCTATGGGCAGACACTAAGAAGGACCCCAGCTGATTAGCAGAGTTGTGCCCTTGCCAGGAATTGGATCTGAGGCACATGTGGCCATCCTCATGACTCAGAGGAGGTGGGGACTGAAATCACTGTGGGCTGAAGAGGCCTGGCTGGAAGCCGGCCTGCATGCTGCTGAGATAAGCAGTTCTCTCCCAGCCAGCAACATATGCCTCCCTGTCCCTGGGGAGTGGGCCCCAGCTTCCTCTCCTCACCCCCCTACCCGCCACCCCCCAACTCTCCCACTCCCTGGAGGCCCTGAGCTATCACAGCCCTTCCCTGGGAGAAGCCTGGCCCAGCCCGGGTTTTGGCCTGCAACTAACACATTGCGTACACCACCGTTATCTCTTCACTTAAGTCCTGAAAGGGGTCAATAAAGTTACTCAAGAAGGACTGGGAGGCTCAGCCAGATCCATTTCAGATTGTGATGTTACAAGTTCTTGGACTCTTGACTCTGGCAAAAAGCAGAAACAAACAAAAAAAGATTTCGATCATCAGAATTACTGTAAAATTAAAAACCGTTTTCAGCAACCATGACCACAGGCCGCTTGAAGCCGGTGACTGGTAGGAACTTGGGATTGTAAAAAAAATAGTTCCTGTCTTCTCCTTTTTATTACAACTCAGCTAGCAACGACTGTGTAGGCGGCGGGCGATCAGAAATAAATGTCTGACTTGGATTTTGCACAGTTGGGTCTCGCTTCAAAGCATACTGCCTGCCTGCTGACCCAGCTAGAGTTTTTACAGGGACAGCAACTAGGTGTCGTTTGGGAACTGACAGGGCCGCTCCGGGGCTGCGCCTGGGAGCTTGCTGCTTTGCAGGTCTCTGCTGATCAGAAAGCCGCCAGCTGTCCTGTTTCCCGCGCTATTCCCGGAACACCATAGAAACGCATCCCTTTTCTTTTGCTTTTTTTTCCCCCCCAGGTCATTTTATTCTTCTTTGATTCCTTCTCCTCCCTCCTCTTTCTCTTTCTTTTGTTTTTACAGTCCCCTGTAATGACTAATTGGCAGTGTTTCCCAGCTTTTTTATGTTTCTCTTGCTCTGGTTACAAGTCGTACTAACGCGGTAATACCCACAGGGACCTATAGACAGCCAACATTTCCAAATGATATACAGCATTCCCCTTTCTTTCAAAGTGTAAAACATTTACAAGGAAATGTACAAATGTATTAGGAACATTTCCCCGGTCGGTCATTAGCGCGCGCTCTCCCCGCGCCCAGGGTGCCCCCGTGCCCAGGGTGCCCCCGCCCGGCGCCTCCGCGGTCCCCTCCCGCGCGCACCTTTCCGAGTGCCAGTGGGGCGGCCCCGAGACCGCAATTGCTCTGGCCCGGATTGACGAGCCTCCGATGCCCATTTACTGCGCGCGGCAGCCACTCTGGAGCCGCGGCACATCTGGATGGAGTCAGCTGCCTAGCGCCAGGGGCCAGCACGGCCCAGCCAGCGGAGCGCGGCGGTGAGCGCTAGGGAGGCCGGCGCCCGGGCCGCCTCCGCGGCCGACCCCCTGTCCCCACCCGAGCAGGATTTCCTGATGTAAACACAGCGGCTCTGCGAGAACAGAGCTGCTCTCCTGAATGTGTCATTTAGTGTTCTTTATCTGCTTGGGGTCAGCATAGCGACTTAGAAAAACAGCAGTCTTGCTTTGAATTTAAACAGCGAAGAAGCCAGAGGGTCCTGTTCCGTATGGGGGGAGGGAGAGGCCTGGAAACCTAGCTCCTGCTTTCGTGTTTACTTTTTCCACTTTATGGTAATTTGGGGGCTAATTTCATTATCTACAGCCAAACTGGAAACAAGATGCTGTTTCTGTGAATGGTGCTAAAGGCATGTGTGAGTTTCTGTGCAGTAGGTTGAAAGTTCCAGAGGCCCCACCAGTGCCTGGCAGGCTCTTGCCCTGCTGCAAAGTGTTCGGACAGTGACTTTTTCAGGGGGAAGCGACTGCCCCGCAGGTGGCAGAAAGAGCATCGCTTTCTGTCATTGAGTACCAGCCAGGAATGTGCTTCCATCCTAGGTTTCCAGAAAGGCTCTGGTCTTGGGGGCTGAAGGGACAGGTTTCCTATCCCAGACGGTGGGATGTGTTTCCTCTCCTATTTTTAAAGGAATGGGAACAGCTCCTCTGCTGTGTCTGGCGGCAGGCTGGTCCCTTTCTCCATTTAGCTGTGCGGGTGGGCTTTCCTCTTTCTATGACAGGGAATGGGATCTTAAGGATTTGTGGTTCTGAAGGTTCATTAAAGTAGAAGTCAGCCGATGATAAAGCATGATAAAGTCATTTTGAAATAGACGGTAGAGAGGGAAAATACAAAATGATGGCAGAGTTTGTGTTGTCATCACCAATAATTAAAATGAAATGTAGATGTGTTTCCAGTTCAGTCACAAGCCATTTAAGCCGTCGCGTCTAGAAAATTTCAACTGGCGGCATCATCCTCAGATACTGGCAGAGCTTCCCTAACCCTCAAGTAGGAACGAGGTTTGCAAAAGCCTTTAAATGGAAATCAGGAGGCCATGTGTGCATATCTGAGGGTAGAATTTGGCCAATATGCAGGATATGAACAGGCTTGGGAGAAGCTCTGGGCTGCTGGTATAAGATTTCAGTAGTGCAGCTTCATGGAAAGATTTGTCACACTGTTTTCAGTCTTCTGCCACAGACAATGGCTGGACTTCAGGAGCACTTTTCTGTTGGAAGAATTGGGGTACATCACCAAACTTCACAGTCACTTCTGTGTTAACGAAGGGGTCAGTCAAAGCCAACTCTTATTTGTGTTGGGGGATTAATCACCAATGAATTGGTTAATAGAGAACACTTTTTCATCCCACACACTGTATTTTGATGAATTTGCCAGAAGGTGAGCCAGGACTGCTGGAGAGAACCAGGGTCCGACTTGGCAAATTGGCTGTTAGCAGATCTGCGTGGTTGTTTGATAAGGAGATGGGGCCAAAACCAGTTAAGACGAGGTTTGTTTACAGCAATTCCCCCCGTGCCTGCAAAGGCAAATATAGGACTGGCTCTGAGCTCCCTTCACGTGCCAATATACTAATGTCACAACTAGGATATTGATATTGACACAATCCACTTACCTTATTCAGTTTTACTTGCACTCATTTATGTGTGTGATTATTTGTTCTGTATAATTTTATCACATGTGTAACTTCCCACACACACCACCGCAGTCAGGAAAATAGTTCCATCTCCACAGGTATCTCCCCTGTAACCATTTTATAAAAGGCCACATCCACTTCCACCCTGCCTGTGCCTTCCCTGCCTCTCCTTTTCTAATCCTTGCCATCATGAATTTGTTCTCTATTTCTAAAATTTAACCATACCAAAAATGTTACATAGAGAGAATCCCACAGTGTAACCTTTTGGGATTGTTTTTTTTTTTTTTTTTTTTTTTTTTTTTTTTTGCTCAGCATGATTTCCTGGAGATCCATCCAAGTTGTTGCATGCAACAATGGTTTCTTCTTTCTGTTGCCGAGTAGTGTCCCAGCACTACTCAGTGTTTGTCTCAATCACAGTTTGTTTAGCCATTCACCGGTGGAAGGACATATAGGCAGATCCCCACTTGTTGCTATTACAAATGAAGCTGCTACAAATTTTGTGTGTAGATTGTTGTGTGAATATCATTTTCATTTCTCTGAGATAAATGTCTAAAAGTACTATTGGTGGGTTATATGGTAGCTTAATGTTTAACTTTATTGGAAACTACCAAATTGTTTTCCAGAGTGGCTGTTCTACTTTATATTCCCACCAGCAATATATAAGTGACCCAGTTTCTCTGTATCCTTGCCAGCGTTGGTATTGTCTCTTTTTATCATTTTAGCCATTCTGGTAAGCGTATAGCAATATCATTGTGGTTTTAATTTTTTATTTCCCTAATGATTAATGATGGTGAACATTTTCTCAGATGCTTATTTGCCATGTGTATATCCTCTTCAGTAAAATACTTATTTATGTCTTTTACTTATTTTCTAATTGAATGTTTTAAATGTTGAGTTTTGAAAGTTCTTTATATGCTCTAGGTACTAGTCCTTTGTCAGATTGGTTTGTCAATATTTTCTCCAGTCTATAGCTTGTCTTTTTATACCCTTCACATGGGCTCTTACAGAGCAAAAAAGCTTTTTAATTTTAATGAGATCCAAGTTATCAATATTCCTTTTATGGATGTGCTTTTGATTTCAAGTCTAAGGACTCTGCCCAACTTGAGATCCTGAAGATTTTCTCGTAATTCTTTTTCTAAAAGTTCATAGTTGTACATTTTACACGTGTGCCTATGATTTAGTTTGAATTAATTTTTGTATAAGAGGCTTAGGTTTAGGTTCTTTTTCTTTCTTTCTTTTTTTGTCTCTACATGTCCAGTTGCATCAGTGCTATTTTGTGAAAAGACTAGCCTTCGTTCATTGAATTGCTTTCACACCTTTGTAAAAAAATCAGTAGAGAGCATTTGCCTGGTTTTATTTCTGGGTTCTCTATTATGTTCCATTAGTCTATGTGTCTGTCCTTTCAGCAGTACCATACTGTCTTGATTATTGTAGCTGTAAGACTCGATATTAGGTAGATTGCTTCCTCTTACTTTATTCTTTTTCAAGATTATTTTACCTTTGTCTTTCTACACAAATTTTAGAATAAGCTTGTCTGTATCTACAAAAAAATCTTTGCTGGGTTTTGATAGAAATTGTATTTAACCTATAGACCCATTTGGGGAGACTCGACATCATTACTAATGTTGATTTTTTTTCAATTCATGAACATGGTATGTCTCAGCATTTATTTATGTCTTCTTTTATTTCTTTCATCAGCCTGTGTAATATACAGTACAGAGCTTCTGTTCAAGCTTTGCTAAGTGTATATCTAAGTATTTCATTTTCTTTTGTGTGCTTATAAGTGGTAAAATGTTTTTAATTCCAATCACCACCTGTTCATTGTTAGTACACAGAAATGCAATTGATTTTTCAGGCTGATCTTGTATCCTGTGATCTTGCTGAACTCACTTCTTACTCTAGATATTTTCTTTGTAAATTTTTTGGGGATATTACCCTTAGGCAATCATAATGTCTGCAAATGCAGACAGTTTTTATTTCTTCTTTTCCAGTATGCCTGCCTTTTATTTCTTTTGCTCGCTTTTTCAGTGGCTAGAACTTCTAGTACTATGTTAAATAACAGGGGTAGAGCATTGTCTTGTTCCTGATCTTAGGGGGAAAGCATTCGGTCTTCTACCATTAAGTATAACGTTAGCTGTGGGTGGTTTTTTGTTTTTTGTTTTTTGTGTTTTTTTTTTTGTAGATGCTAGACACTTTTTTATCAAGTTGGGGTAATTTTCTTCTGTTTCTAATGTCTATTTTCATCATTCATAAGTGTGGGATTTTGTCAAATGCTTTTCTTACATCAATTAATATGATTTTTCTTATTTGCTTGTTGTTATGGTGGAAGACATTGACCAATTTCCAAATGCTTAACAAGTTTGCATACCTGGACTAATTATACTTGGTCATGGTATCTAATTCTTTTGATATGTTGTTTGGATTTGATTTGCTAATATTTTGTTAAGGATTTTTGCATTTAAGTTTATTACATATATTGATCCGTAGTTTTCATTTTATTTGCATTCTCTTTGTGTGGTTTTGGTTTCAGAATAATACTAGCATTAATAAATAAATTGGCAGTGTTTCCTCTTCTTTCATTATCTGGAAGAAATTGTGTAAGATTCATTTCAATTTTTCTTTAAATGTTTGGTAGAATTCTTTTATCTAGTAAAACCATCTGTCCTGGAGATTGCTGTTTTGGGCAGCTTTTTAATTATAAGCTAAATTTTGACCAATGTCTTTATTGGTTATAGGACTACTTGGATTGTCTATTTTGTCCTGGTTGAGTTTTGGTACTTTGTGGCTTTCAAGGAATTGGTTCATTTCTTTTAAGTTGGAGAATTTATAAGTGTAAATTTGTTCACAGTATTCCCTTGTTATCTTTTTAATGACTGCAGCATCTGAAGTTCTGAAGTGGTATCTTTTATCTTATTATTATTATTATTATTATTATTTTTTTTTTGGAGGGAGAGGGGACAGGGTCTTACTCTGTCACCCAGGCTGGAGTGTAGTGGTGCCATCTCAGCTCACTGCAGCCTCGACCTCCTGGGCTCAAGCAATCCTGCTGCTTCAGCCTCCTGAGCTGCTGAGACTACAGGCTCAAGCCACCATGCCTAGTTATTTTTTGTAGTTTATCTAGAGATGGGGATTTGCCATGTTGCCCAGGCTGGCAATCTTGTAATCCCAGGCTCAAGCAATCTGCCTGCCTCAGCCTCCCAAAGTGCTAGGATTAAAGGTGTAAGCCACCATGTCCAGACTTTCATTTCATTCTTAGTAGTTGTGATTTGTGTTTTCACTCTTTATTTTTGTCAGTCTTACTATGGGCTTATCAATTTTATTAACTTTTTTCATATAACTAGTTTTTTGTTGCATTGATCTTACCCATTGTTTTCCTATTTTCAATTTTATTGATTTCTGCTCTATGTTATTTTCTTCTTTCTGGCTCCTCTAGATTGTTTTTCATTCTTTTTTCTCTAGTTTCTTCAGGAAAGAATAGAAACCTTTTCTTATTTCTAATGTAAACATTTAGTGTTATAAATTTCCTTCTTATTGCTGCTTTAATTACATCCAACATCTTTTGATATATTAAGTTTTTTGTTTTCATTCTGTTATATGCTTTTTAAAAAATATCCCTTTAAGGCTTCCTTTATAGCCCATACATTATTTAGAAATTTGTTTGGAGGTTTTCCTGTTGTCTTTGTTACTGGTTTCTAGTTTGATTCCATTGTGGTCAGAAAAGATATTCTGTATCACTTTAATTCTTTCACATTTGTTGATGTTTGTTTTATTGCCCAAACATATGAACTGTCTTGGTAAATGTACCATGTACACTTGAGAAATATTTGTATTGTATTGTCGTTATGTAGCTTGTTCTATGTATGTCGGTTAGATCCTATTGGTTGACTTTATTGTTCAGTCCTGTATATCTTTGATGAATTTCTGTCTTGTAGCACTATCCATTGGTGAGGTAAGGGGCTGTCAAAACAATCAACTATAATTTTCTATTTGTATATTTCTTCTTTCAGTTTCATCTGTTGGTACTTCATGTATTTTGAGGTTATGTTGTTTATTGCATACACAATTAAGATAAATATTTCTTTCTGGTGAATTATCTTTATATCCATATAGACTCTTCTTTCTTGTTTCTAGGAATTTTCTTTGCTCTGAAGTCTACTTTATGAGATATTAATATAACTACTACTGGTCTTCAAAAATTTTTATGTTTATATAGCTTATCTGTTTTCATCATTTTCCTTTTGACCTGCCTTGTGTAAGAGTTTTTTGTAAGCAGCATATAATTGGGTCATGTTTATGCATTCTGATAATGTCTACCTTTTGATTTAGACAATGCACATTTAAGGTGATTATTGGTATGTTAGTACTTAAAAGTGGTATTTTATTATTTGTTTTCTCAGGTGCTTGATCTTCTGTGTTTCTTCCTTTTCTCAGGATTACTTGAATGTTGTTTTAAAATTCCAACCTGATTTATTTTTAGTGTTTTAATGTGTCCCTTTGTATAGTTTTTGTCATGGTTGCTCTGGGTTTTACAATATACATATATGACTTACAAAAGTTGATTGGTATCAATATTTTACCATTTTCAGCTGTGTGTGGAAATCTCACTTCTCTTTAGGTCTTTTTATCTTTCCCCTTTAACCATCATTTTGTTATGAATCAGAAGATATTATTTTTGATTCAATTATAAATATAACTTATAAAACTCACCAGGAAAAGGGTAGTCTAGTGTATGCACCCATGTGTACTCTTTGTCATTTCTTTTACTTTCCTGATTCTCAAAAATTTTTTATCATTTTCTTTCTGTTTGAAGTACTTCATTTATATAATATTTAAGGATTGACCTGCTCATGACAAATTATTTAGTTTTCTGCATCTGAGAATGTTTTCATTTCCCCTTCCCTCCTGAAGGTGAGCTTAGCTGGATATAGAATCCATGGCTGACTATTCTTTTCTCTCAGCACTGAAAAAATATTGTTTAGGGTTTGTTCAGCTTTTTGGATCTATAGATTGATATGTTCTTGACAGATTTGTGAAGTTTTTAGTTATTATTTCTTTAAACACTCTTTAATTCCCCACCCCCTTCCTTTTCATTTTGAGACTCCAGCGATTTGAATGTTGGCTCTTCTGTCTCAGAGGTCAGTGAGGGAGAATGTTTTAATTTTTTAAAAATATCTACTTTCTCTCTGCTGTTCATATGGAGTGAATTCTATTGTTCTGCCTTAATGTTCACTGAAGGAATGCTCTTCATCTCTGCTCTACTGTTGAGCCATTGGGCAATTTTTTTTTTTTGAGATGGAGTCTCACTCTGTTGCCCAGGCTAGAGTGCAGTGGAGTGATCTTGGCTCACTGCAACCTCCACCTCCCAGGTTCAAGCAATTCTTCTGCTTCAGCCTCCCCAGTAGCTGGGATTACAGGCACCCACCACCACTCCTGGCTAATTTTTGTATTTTTAGTAGAGATGGGGTTTCACCATATTGACCAGGCTGGTCTCACACTCCTGACCTTGTGACCTGCCCACCTCGGCCTCCTAAAGCACTGGGATTACAGGCATGAGCCACTGCGCCCGGCCTCCATTCGGTTCCTTTTTATAACTTTCTTGAGATTTACTTTTTCATTTGTTTCAATAACATTTTAAATTGATTGTTGAAGCATTTCCATGGCTATTGCTTTTACATTCTTGTCAGATAATTCCAAATTTGTATTAATATCACTGTTGACATCAGTTTATTGGCTTTTTAAATTCAAGTTGTGAATCTCCTAGTTCTTGATATGACAGGAGATTTTCAGTTGTATGCTGAACATTTTGTCTATTATGTTAGAAGTCTCTGAGCCCTATTTAAATCATATTTTATTTTAATTTTTTATTTTATTATTATCACTTTTTTAAGACAGAGTCTCACTCTGTCACCCAGGCTGGAGTGCAGTGGCGCAATCTCAGTCGGCTCACTGCAACCTCTGCCTCCCATATTCAAGCAATTCACATGCCTCAGCCTCCTGAGTAACTGGGATTACAGGCGTGCACCACCACACCTGGCTAATTTTTGTATTTCCAGCAGACATGGGGTTTCACCATGTTGGCCAGGCTGGTCTCGAACTCGTGACCTCTGGAGATCCACCTGCCTTGGCCTCTCAAAGTGCTGGGATTACAAGCGTGAGCCACCATGCCCGGCCCAAATCTTATATTTTAGCAGCAAGTCACCCAATTTAGGTTCAGCCCACAAGTTTTGGACTGTTTTTGTGGACTGTGGTTCTGATGGCAGCTTAATTTTCGGAGTCTTTGCTGTGTTGTTTGGTCTGCTTGGTTTTTCTGGTTCCCTGGGGGCTCCCACTGGTCCCTGCTGGTGTGGCCTGTGGATTGGGAAAGGCTTCACTGGGCCAGCTGCCAGGAGGCTCTTGGTGGAAGAAGGATGTGGTGGGACCCATGTGCCTGTGTCCTGGGCAGCCCAGGCACCTCTGGTCAGGGCAGGAGAGCCCCAGGCCATGGACAACAGAGTTTCTCTGAGCAGCTGCTTGCAGTGGCAGGCCCCTTTATGGTTCCGCCTCCCACTCCTGTGTGTCTCAGCAGGAAAAGGGCATCTCAGGCCCAGTGGTAAGGAGACCTCCCCTCCAGCCACTGATTTCTGGTGGGGCTCTGATGGGCCCCTGCCAGTGGTTCCCCTGGTGCTACTGGAACAGCTCTGCTCCATCTGGAGGATGAGCCATCTGAGGACCTGCTGGTGCTGGGTCGGGGGTGGAGACCATGACTAGTGGCCGTCCTTGCTGGGT
Source organism: Homo sapiens (assembly GCF_000001405.40). Lineage (NCBI taxonomy): Eukaryota > Metazoa > Chordata > Mammalia > Primates > Hominidae > Homo > Homo sapiens. The sequence goes on from NC_000008.11 coordinate 48,564,795, forward strand.
GGAGACTGAGACCTGGCACTGTGCTGCTCCTCTTGGGTCTTGGACCCTCTCCTCCAAGAGTCCTCCTGGAGTTGCTTCATGTGCCATCCATGGTTTCGCAGTTGTGCTTAGTCAGGGGAGCAGGAGCAGGGGGAAGGGTCTAGCCATCTTGTTCCTCCATATGGCTTCTATCTCAGCCTCTTATCAGTAAAGTCATCCAGTGATTTATTGGGTTTTCCATCATGCAATGAAGCAGTATGGCTATAAGCCCAGCCCTGAATTCTGACATCCTGGGCTCCATTCAGTCTGTACCATGGCCTTGTAATGTGACCTTGGCCAGTGCATTCTCTGTTCAGGACCAGGATGACCTTCATGCCAGTGTCCTGAGCTGGTCCAGATTTATTCCTGCTGCCATGATGCAGTAATTAATAGTGAGCCCCTCTCACTCCCTTGGGACTTTGGGTTGGACAGTAAGTTATGTGGGCATCTCATCCCTATGGCTGCTGTGAGAATTCATTGAGTTAACCCAGGTGACCCAGGTGAAGTACTTGTAATAAATGTCTCAATAACTGTTACCTATTGTTATTATTATAAGAATTTATATCAAAAGTGTTATATGTATATAATACATATACATGTCCCACATCAGTCATTTATTAAGTATTAATAAAGCTCTACTTTTTAATTTTAGTAAACACGAATATAAATACAAGTTCTAATCTCTCCTCCCACACCCTAGTGGGTTGTCCAGTGTGCCCCTGGAGTCTGATGCTCACAGGTGAGCACAGCAGGGCAGTGAGTGGCCGCACAGATGCAGGAGGGATGCATCACTGCTCGGTGAAGAATAATGCCACATGGTAATGCAGGGCACTGATTTTGAGGCTCCTCTCCATTAACTTCATATCACATACACTGTTCCCAGGGTTATTCCTGCTCTCAGAAGCTCTTAGGATGTGAAGAGAGCAGTGACTCTCTTTGCTTTCAGGCTGGGACTTAGCTTAGGTGTCTGGCTGTTGGGAAAATTTGGGAAAAGCTTGGCATGTTAATTTAGAGAGGGAAGGATTTGCACAGTGAGGATAAAATATCATAAGGAGAATACAGGATGCAATATGCTGTTTAATTTGTGATATTCTCTAATTAAGATTATTTCATATTTTATGATGCAACATAGTAGCATGCGATTACTCTGCCCTTGGGAGTAAGCAATCTGGTGAAAAAACAACTCACACAATTAATTGATTCGTGGATTGTCCCCTCTTGGCGGAATCTGTTTGAACTTTGTTCCCCTGCTGGCTTATTTAGCACCCAGGCATTTTTAATAGTGACAGAAACAACTTTCTTGGTAATTTGCTTTGCTTGTCGATTACATTTTTGTGTCAGTTTAATGACATGTAGGACACCGGGCGTGGGGCCAGCTCTGCAAAGGTGTTGGTTTTACCTGTATTTTCTTGCCAAAGGATTTTCTGACAATATGGATGTTTGGAGAAGACTTACCAGTCTGTTTTTCAAAAAAGATTCATATTTACGGAAAACTACTTTTTAAAAGTTGCGAATAAAAGTCCTTTTTGCCATTCAGGGAAAGAACTGAAGAAATATTAGTCATTTATGTTAGGAATTATCCCTACTGCTATCTGCTATAAAGTTTTTAAGAGATAATCTTTTCTTCCCCAGTTTTTATTTTAATAATAGTTTTTAGTTATACAGATGTCTTAAAGGGAGTAAATGAGATTCATGGTTATACAATGTGGGAGTCAATGACCCATCAACTACTTTCTTTCTTAATCTTCAATAGCATTTTTCTTTTATTCTATAAAAAACTTTTAAACCAATTAGTTCTCCTCTGAACTATCAGACTTAAAATTGCTTGAAATTAATGTTCTTTGTACCCCAGTGAGATATTGAATCTATCTAAAAATCCTTCAATAATATGATGCCCTAAATGTATTTCTTAAGGGCTTTTGGCTTTATCTCTATAGCTATGTTTTCTTTTAAAAAGCGCTGGAGACCTTTTCACCTATGGAGTTATTTCTATGTTATTATTAAAAGAGCATTCAGAATAAGACATTTCTCAAAAACCTAATACTAGAATTATATCTTGTTTGCACAACTTTCCAAACACCTTTAAAAATATTTTATGTTTTCTTACCTGCCTTTTTTCCCCCCACTGGAAAAACCAAGGCCATTGATTCTATAGTTTTGTCATCCTGATGGGATACACTACGGGCCAGTGTGCTCATGCACATTCCATCCTGCAAGTGCTTACACATGGCAATTAATTTATGAAGTACACAGATATTTAAGAAAAAGTCATTCACAAATAGGTATCATATGATGTGAAAGTGAAACAAATGGAAAAAAATTCCATGCTCATGGATAGGAAGAATCAATATCGTGAGAATGACCATACTGCCCAAAGTAATTTATAGATTCAATGCTATCCCCATCAAGCTACCATTGACTTTCTTCACAGAATTAGAAAAAACTACTTTAAATTTCATATGGAACCAAAAAAGAATATAGCCAAGACAATCCTAAGCCAAAAGAACAAAGCTGGAGGCATCACACTACCTGACTTCAAACTATACTATAAGGCTACAGTATCCAAATCAGCATGGTACTGGTACCAAAACAGATATATAGACCATGGAACAGAACAGAGGTCTCAGAAATAACACCACACATCTGCAACCATCTGATCTTTGACAAATCTGACAAAAATAAGCAATGGGGAAAGAATTTCCTTTTTAATAAAATGGTGCTGGGAAAACTGGCTAGCCATATGTAAAAAACAGAAACTGGACCCCTTCCTTACACCTTATACAAAAATTAACTCAAGATCGATTAAAGGCTTAAATGTAAAACCTAAAACCATAAAACCCTAGAAGAAAATCTAGGCAATACCATTCAGGACATAGGCATGGGCAAACACTTCATTACTAAAACACCAAAAGCAATTGCAACAAAAGCCAAAATTGACAAATGGGATCTAATTAAACTAAAGAGCTTCTGCACAGCAAAAGAAACTATCATCAGAGTGAATGGGCAACCTACGGAATGGGAGAAAAATTTTGCTATCTACCCATCTGACAAAGGGCTAATATCTAGAATCTACAAGGAACTTAAACAAATTTACAAGAAAAGAAACAAATAACCCCATCAAAAAGTGGGCAAAGTATATGAACAGACACTTCTCAAAAGAAGACATTCATGAGGCCAACAAACATTTGAAAAAAAAGCTCATCATCACTGGTCAACAGAGAAATGCAAATCGAAACCACAATAAGATACCATCTCACACCAGTTAGAATGGCAATCATTAAAAAGTCAGGAAACAACAGATGCTGACAAGGATGTGGGGAAATAGGAACACTTTTACACTGTTGGTGGGAGTGTAAATTAGTTCAACCATTGTGGAAGATAGTGTGGCGATTCCTCAAGGATCTAGAACTAGAAATATCATTTGACCCAGCAATCCCATTACTGGGTATATACCCAAAGGATTATAAATCATTCTACTATAAAGACACATGCACACGTATGTTTACTGCAGCACTATTTACAAGAGCAAAGACTTGGAACCAACCCAAATGCCCATTAATGATAGACTGGATAAAGAAAATGCAGCACATATACACCATGGAATACTGTGCAGCCATGAAAAAGAATGAGTTCATGTCCTTTGCAGGGACATGGATGAAGCTGGAAAACATCATTCTCAGCAAAGTAACACAGCAACAGAAAACCAAACACTGTGTGTTCTCACTCATAAGTGGGAGTTGAACAAGAAGAACACATGGACACAGGAAGGGAAACATCATACACCAGGGCGTGTCAGGAGGTGGGGGGCAAGGGGAGGGAGAGCATTAGGACAAATACCTAATTCACGCAGGACTTAAAACCTAGATGAGGAGTTAATAGGTGCAGCAAACCACCATGGCACACATATAACTATACAACAAACCTGCACATTCTGCACATGTATCCCAGAACTTAAAGTAAAATAAAAAAAAAAAGTGATGTGAAAGTGAAGTGTTATGAGCAGCTCAGGTCCGACCATGGGGCACTCAGAAGAATTTGGAAAGCCCACATGGGAGGATTAACATCACATCAGCTCTGCACTCAGGGTGCTGGTCAAGGGTGAGGATATCAAGTAGGCCACTTTCTGGGTGCATCTCTGTTAAAAGATAATTTTCAGAAAGTGAAAGTGTGATATTCATATACATACAAAAACAAACCCATGAAGATTTTATTTTACTTGTAATCAGTGAGGGAACCAGATGTTAAAAGCAGTCCAAAGGAAAGTAAAAAAAGCACAAATTTATATGGAGTAAATGAACTGAATTGCAAATGGAGGCAGAACTGATTTTTCACAGGAACCCTGAAGTCAGCTGAAATTCCACAGAACACTACAAGTTTGCACATCCATCCCTTGCCTGCTGTTTACTAAGAGGTGCAAAATAGCTCGGTGACAATGAACAAGGTAAAAATCAGACCATCTGGAAGAATGTGCTATAGACAATGCAACATTTCTTCACTGAAGCACAAATTTTTTTTTTGCTACTCCATCCGTGGGTTCATTTTCATTCCTTGCCTCCCCTCCATAAGTGAATTAAATCAGGGAAGGGAGCAAGGGAAAAATCCTGCTTGTGCAATCCTTCAGCTCACTGGGAACAAACCAAACAAATGAATACACATTGTTTCTAATTCACTTGATGAAAGGCACACTTGAGTTATAATGGGAATGGCCTTTTCATTATTAGTAATAGCGTTTTATTACTCTTCCAACAATACATTGAGGCTGTTACATTACTTTTGAGTCCAGCTAACTACTGAACCAATACCCTACTGAAGAAAGATCAGAAACAACAAGAAGGCAGGAAGTAACAAAGCTTAATAAAAGTAGTGGTAGATTAGATAAAATAGTTACAATTTTACATTATGTATAAGAAAAACATTCCCTGTAATATCTTCTCACATATAATTTGAGTGCATCCTCTAAAGAGAACCATGCAGAGTCCATGTCCCAGTGCTGTCCTGCTCTGGTCTTGTGACCTGGACATGCCTCCTCTAGACCAGGAGGATGGGATTTAAAAGTTGGGGACTTTAGTTCACAGGTTCCTCATCCACTGCTTCAGCTTTTCCTTATCCACTGCTTCAGCATACAGTGGCAGTTTCTGAGGGCAGCTTACAGGTAAAGAGAATTTAAAATGCTCTCAAGAATTTAGGCTTTGGTCAGCTTCTGGGAAGGGGAGAAATGGAAGAGAGTGTTGAGGAACTAGTTTTCCTTCTTGGTAAGAAAAACAGGGTGCATGTACAAAAGAGCTTAAGGAAGTTTTGAATGGTGCATAATAACAAATTCTAGCAGACAAGATGAGCTAGTTGATGGGCTTAAGAAGGATCTTGAAACCCTGTCACCTGACTGGGCACTATATCTCACACCTGTAATCCTAGCACTTTGGGAGGCCAAGACAGGCAGATCAACTGAGCTCAGGAGTTTGAGACCTGGGCAACATAGTGACACCCTATCTTCACGAAAAAGAAAAAAACATTAGCCGGGCCTGGTGGTGCATATCTGTAGTCGCAGCTACTCTGGAGGCTGAGGCAGGAGCATCACTTGAGCCTGGGCGATTGAGGCTGCATTGAGCTGTGATTGTGCTACTGCACCCCAGCCTGGGTGACAGAGTGAGACCCTGTCTTTAAAAACAAAACAAACAAACAAAACCTTTGTCTCTCATGGGTCTGGTGCTCTAAGTCTGAGGAGAGATCTGCTCGGGGCCTCTTTTCTCAGATAGGAGCTTGATTAGGTGTCCTGACTGCTGAAAGCCACTTAGAGCTTTGTTTTGTTACAAAACCTACTGAATCTTGGTTTCCTCATCTAATAAATGGGGATAATGATAAGTACCTTGCAGGGTTGTGAAAGTAAAGTAAAATAGTGTATACAATGCAAAAGCAGACTGGTTCTTACTCACCGGTGACTCAGGGAACGCAGCTGTGACGGAGGCCTTCCTGAAGGAGGGTGCTCCTGCGGCTCTGCCTGGCTCAGGGATGGGATGGGAGGTGGCCTGGCACAGGGGAAAGGACAGGCTTTGGACGTGGAAGAGTGCAGATTCACATCCTGGCTTTGTCCCCAGCAAGCTATAGGTGTGGGCAATTGGCATCTCACTAAGGTCACCATCAATGCATCATTTCTGAAATGGAGATGATTCTGCCCCCGCAGTGAGAGTTTAGTAAGAACAAAATAAGTTTAGTAAGAACAGATTGAAAGCTCTGGGCATGTGATGCGTAGGAGATGGTGTCCTGTCACCATCATGTTCCTACTATCACCGTGGTGATTCAGCTACCTCCTGCCAGGCCGGAAGTCAGCCATGCCATTGCCCTCTTCTATTGGTCTTTGTGTTCCATTCCCAGTCTTCTATGGAGATCTGGCACAATGACTGCTCCCCTGTGCTGCCTCTCTGACCTCCTGGTGGATGGTGCAGTAGCTGCCTCCCTCCCTAGCCCTTGGCTCCCAGGCGGAGCAACAATGGGCCTTGGGCCATGAGCACCGGGCACCTGGGGGCTCTCAGCAGAGGCTGGGGAAGGCATTTCAGTGCTCAGAGGTCTATCTGTGACTGTGTGCAAAGGGAAGAAACTACACCCTGCCCTATTCCTGGACAAAACTTGGCAAAAACATCTCTTAAAGTCGGAGATATGAGGGCAAGCTATTTAACTTCTCTCAGCCTCGCTTTCTGTATCATCACAATGAGGATTAAATGTAGCTCATAGATGTTTGTTACAGTCTTCTGAGCAGGCCGCTTCTGGGCATATAAAACAAGAGCTTACTAAACGGCGACTCCAGCAAGCCCAGTGTCGAACTGGATTCCCTCCGTAGGTCTCAGGCTGGAGTGTACACAAGTGTGTCTTCACAGTCAGCCCAACACAACACTTATGGCAGAAGCCCCTCTTGGCAGGGGGCACATCCTCTCATCCTTAGGACCTGGCTCGGGTACATGCTGAGAACAGAGAAAGCAGCTCTCATTGGAGGTTTTTCCTCAGCATTTCCTCAGGGTGTCCTGAAGCCACCCAGCACATGGTCCACCCTCTTTCCCTTGAGCCTCTGATGGTTCCAGCAAAGTCAAAACCCAGGAGCAAGCTCTTCTCCACTCAGGCTGTTACCTAACCTGCTCTCTGATCATGCAGCTTCTGTTGTGAGAGGGTGCAGCCTGATAGGTGAGTGCCAGCCACAGCTCTCTGGGGGCAGAAAGGGCTTCTGTCTCCTGCTGTGTCCTGCATTCATGGTGCTGGCAGGGACAGTTTTACTTGAGCCACTGATTCCTGAAATACAGCACTTGAGCAAAGCTGCATTCAGTTCAGGGAACAAGGAGATATAGCAAGCGAAAAAAGAGAGCACTCTGGGCTTAAATTGTGGTGATGAAGATGATTTTTCAAAAGCTTCCTGGATGGGATGGTCTTTTGGGTTGGGTACCTCGCCACCTGTGTGGCTGACCTTTCCTCTGGAATTTCCTTGTGTTTGAGGCCACTGTGGTGCAGTGAAGTGGGGCCTGGCTTGGAGTCCGGTGTCCTGGGCCTAACTCAAGGTTCTGTCTCTCTCTAACTGAGTGATCTGAGATTATTTATTTATTTATTTATTTTGAGATGGAGTCTCACTCTGTCACCCAGGCCAGAGTGCAGTGGCGTGATCTCAGTTCACTGCAACCTTTGCCTCCTGGGTTCAAGCAATTTTCCTGCCTCGGCCTTCTGAGTAGCTGGGACTACAGGCGCGCGCCACCATGACCAGCTAATTTTTTTTTTTTTGTATTTTTAGTAGAGATGGGGTTTCACCATATTGGCCAGGCTGGTCTCAAAGTCCTGACCTCGTGATCCACCCGCCTCAGCCTCCCAAAGGACTGGGATTACAGGCGTGAGCCACGGCACCCGGCCTGAGATAATTTATTTAACCTTTTTGGTGCTCCATTGCCCCAGCTGCCATAAATGAGAATAATAAGACTTATGACTCATGTGTTGTAAGGAATAAATGAGAAAATCTGTGAAGTTGCCGGGCACTGAGGAGATACTAAATCAAAGTTCGTTTATATATATATTTTACTTTGCCAATCCTCGTGTTGACATGATTTTCCTAGGACTTTATTTTTTATTCCTATTAAATAGCAGTACTTTTATTATTTATTCTATCATTATTTATGATGGCTTTCTACTCGAGAGCCTCTATCCCCACGCTCTGTGGTGACACTTGGACCCTGAGAACTGAAAGCACGCCCTCCTCTGTACATCAGCATGGCACTGTGCAGGTCCTCTGCCATGAAGGCCTTATTTAATTTTTCCACCCCATCTCCTGCCTGGAAGAATGGTTTGGTTGTTTATTACAGGAGCTTCCTCAAAGACGCAACAGAGCTTCGGTGGAAAACATCCACAGTTCATGCTCTTAAGACTCAAAGGTGTCCCTCAGCTCAACGTCTTCACCTTGCTGTTTCCTTCCGTATCTTGGACAGGTTTGCCATGATCCTTACCCGATTCTAACTATGCCCTGCTTTAAGCCAAAATTTGCAATTTTCAGTCAATCCTGACTTCACCTTCCCGTCTCTCAGTTCTGACAAAGCTTGCAAGATGGCCTTCTCCCTTACTGCAGTTAAGTAACAAACTCGACTTCGCTGTCCCAGGTGGTATTGTTAATATTTGGGGAGCCCAGCTGCAATGATTCTGGAGGCGGGACTGAGACTCCACAGCCACAGCCCTTAGCTGGTAGACGAGCCCTCCCCAGGCCTAGGGCTCCTGATCACGAATCCGGGGAAAGTAGGTGCACTGGGGAGAACGCCAGTCTCACAAATGCCAGGATCTCAGATGCTGAGTTCATTTTATCTCCTAGGAGCAGGAAATGCTTTTTAGATCTCCATTGGATATCTGATTGGATTTGAGAAATGCTGTCCTTGGTGGAAATCTGACTCATTATTCACCCTCTGGTTTGCCTCTGCCTGTCCCTGTCATTTTTATTGTTCCCTACTAAGAGGGACCTTGATAGGAAACTATTCCTTGGGCCACCCCCAGGAGCTGGGAAGTTCCGACATTTTCCTTTGAGACAAGCATTCTTTGAAGACAGTTTGCCCCAGGTCAGCCATCAGCATATCTGCAGGACTTACCCCAGTCTTGCCTCCTTTTGTGGGAGGCAGAGTCTGGTTCTGGGAGATATGGCCTCTTCAGGCCTCTCTGTTGTTCTGGGGCCACAAGCCTCTTTGGGGGTTTGTAGCTTGATGGCCCATCTGTACGGTTGGGGGGTCTGGGGCATGTTTTTGACAGAACATTCCTAGACTCTCGTGCATTTGTCTCAGCCTAAAGCCCAGGCTGGCCTCTTGCCTCATGAATAATGTGTTTATGTTACAATGCCAATTTGTGGGCTTATCTTTCTAAATGGTGTGCTTTCACTAGGATGTTTGTTAAACTTTTGATATGATCAAGAGAGTTTGAGAGATGTCTTTGAAGAAAAAAGGAGCAAAATTTCAAACTTTGGTAATCTTTACTTTTTAATTAGTATGAGGAAGCATCAAAAAAATTTAGTTTCCAGAATCTCTTCCTTAAGAGATTCTATGACTAAGGCAAAAGAAAAAAAAAATTGGAAAATTTTAAAATTGTGTCTTTTAGAACTTGAACCTAACAGCCTACTATTTCCTTGCCACACCGTCCTCCATTTTTTCTGCCCCTGTCTCTCTCTTTGACCCACTCCCTTCCCTCCTGACAAGCCAGAAACTCCCAGGACTCAGCTGCATCTTAGAGTCAAACCTTCAGAACAGGAGCATTCGCTGTTGATCAGAAGACCTGGTCTTACTCTGAGCTGAGAGCCGTTGTGAAATTTTTCAAAAGCTGGCTGAATAGGGAGACATTTGCAGAGGGATTTAATTTTAGGAATTATAATACAGGGCTCTCTGGTATATATCAGTTGATTCATTATTAGTGAGGACCTCAGTTGATAAAAACTGGGTGGAAAAAGCAGGATGAGAAGCCCCAAGGAAGATTTTTAAAATCTCGAATTTCATAGAAACGAGAGGGGTTTAGAAAAGCTGTCAGTGTTGGAAAAGATCTGTAAAAGACTATACCCGAAGTCTTTCCTATGAAGAGAGATGGGACTTTGACCAGTCTTGTAGGAAGAGACAGGACTGGGGATGGGGGCCTCTGACACTGGCAGGCAGCCTCCAGGGTGGACCTTGAGTCAGATGGATCCCCACTCCCTCCTTGCTTTTTGTAAATGTTATTAAGCCAGAAATTGGGGATTCATATGTAAGTGCAAACTGGAATGAGAAATAAACCCAGCATCAGAACTCCTTGCTAAGCATTTTGAAAACACCTTAGAATGGAAGTAAAGTAGAACCTGAGTAAATGCATGGCTTTATAGATAAACAACCAGATGCCCCTCCCTTTGTGGTTCAGCCTCAGGGGAGGGAGTCTCTTGACAAAGATGCCCATGGATGCTGGAACAGAAAGGATGCTGGAGTAGGAACCACCTGTCTTGGCTAAGAAAACACAACATACATAAAGAGTGAAACAACTGATTCATACACTGCTCAGAGGGAATTTTCAAGGTGAAGTTGATCTAAAGGTTAAAGGATCTCTTCCAGCTTGTAGAGATAAATAAGTGCAAGTAGTGGATCGGAAAAGCTATGGCATGTTGAAATCTAAGTGAAACTTGCTTAATTTTGATGAGCTTGTTTCTTTGGTTTACTGTTTATTGTCATCTAAATTATGAAGGAGTATTTTTTCTGTGTAATCTGTCAAAGTACTGTCTTGCCAGCATACCTTTTTGGGCTTAATCAAGTTACCTTCTACGTTTATTTCTAAGCATTTTATTGTCACTTTCAAATAAGTAGCAATCCCCTGCAGTTACAAAGGGACAAGTGTATTTTAAAATATTTCAGCTTCCTGAACACCATCTAATATAAATGCAATGTATTTTTTTCAAAGTTCAACACACAATTATTTGATTTTTTTTTTAAGTTAATGACTGGCTATTTATTGGTCAGTCTTGTACCACCCCCAGACAGTAGATCTATCGAGGTGGTGCTGGCAACGATTGGGGTGGAAATGAGCATCTACATGTGCCAGGCTTTGTGTTAGGAGCTGCACACACACCACGCCATCTTTACCCTCCCAGTGACCTGCCATGGGCCCACCTTGTTTTGCAGATGAGGAAACTGGCTCTCAGGTTAAAGGATTTCAGACCCATGTTTGTCTTCCTGTCCTTCCCCAAGTGCTGGGCACAGTGTGGGCTGTCCAGGGACACACAAGCATTCACAGACATGTAAGAATGTCACAAAGTATTGTGACATTCTTTGGGAGATGCAATGATGTACTCACAAGGTGTGTTGGGAGCATTCAACTCCTAAAGAAGGTAATGGGCCACCTAAAAACGTGGCAACCAGCCTGCATCTTAGGTCTCAGCTGAACTAGATGGTCGGAAGTTCCCTCTTCCCCAGAGACTTCTCAAGGGCTCCCCTGTTGGGTGCTGCCCCTGTCTTCTTGTTTGCCTGGAAGGCCAGCATGTGGAGTTAATGGTCCTCATCTTCTGCTGCTATTGCCCTTAGACCACCAGGAAGTGTGGGCCAACGTCACCCTCTAGTCCCACGGGGGATTTTGCAAGCTCCCCGTCTGTGCCTTGCCATTCTTAATGGGCTTCCTGCAAGGGTTCTTAGGTTCTCTTTAGTGTAACTCTCTTACTACGTTCCCGATCTGGTGCCTGGGGAGGCAGAGGGCATTCACCCATGCCACACAGGTGCATCTCCATGTGTCCTTTTCTGTGCCAGCCTAGATGGCAAAAAGTCACTTGAGGTCTTCAACTTTCTCTTACATCAGAAGGAACTTGCTGTCCTTTTAGAGGTTGCCCCACAGGTAGTCCAATCTTTCTCTTAATTGGTTCTCTCAGGAAAACATGAAGTCTTCATGCCAGGGAACTGCTGGCTCACCATGAATTCCCAGAGAGAAAATCAGATAAGGTGGATCTGGGATATTTAACACACACACACTTTAAATGACTGGATTCCTTGCAATGCTCTCAAGTGTTATTCAGGGTAGCTTTTCTTAAAATGAAGAAAGCACTCACATTGTTCTCTCTCTTGCCCTTCCCTTCTCTTGCTCTGTATTTTCCTAAATACTGTCCCATCAGGTAGCTATTAGGAAATGTGCTGGAGGACATCTGAGCTTTGGGAAAGCAAAGCCCTTCTCAACTGTCATGAATTTAATTTAGGTTACATAACTTTTCCTTGGGCCTCGGCCAAAGAACATTTTTATTGGGAATAAGTTATTACTACTAAGTACTACATTCCTAATACTTTTGGATATTTAAGAATCTTTATCAGAAGCAAGTGGGACACCAGTAACTTTTGGTCCTTTCCAAATAAAATAACTTTGTTCAAATGTAGCAGGAATTTATTTCAGTGTTATGACAGATTTTAATTGTATTATTTACAATTCACTTATTTGTCTCTTAGAGGGGATGATGCCTTGAGAGAAAGTTTAACTGAATCAGATGTGGGCAACTTTTCAGCATTTCAGGACAAAGAGTGCTTCTCACCCTGTGCAGCTCTGCTGGGACTGGTGCCTTTGACCACCTTGGGCTGTTGGGAGGGGCACCATGGAAGGGATTTGGAGATGGGGTAAGGCCAGTGAGTCAGCGCTGGGCTCTAGATGCAAGGATAAGGGGCTGTGTAGCATCAGAGTAAATCACCTGTGATGTCAAAAAGCAGTGCTGAAATCAGCATCCATCCAACGAAAATAAGATCTTTTTTGTTTTGAAAACATCGTAGGTTATAGAAGCCACAAAACATTGAATGAAAATAAGAATTCTTTTAAAAATGCAAAGGGAAGGCCAGGTGCGGTGGTTCATGCCTGTAATCCCAGCACTTTGGGAGGCCGAGGCGGGCAGATCTCTTGAGGTCAGGAGTTCAAGACCAATCTGGCCAATATGGCAAAACCCCGTCTCTACCAAAAATACAAAAATTAGCTGTGCGTAGTGGTGCGCGCCTGTAATCCCAGCTACTTGGGTGGCTGAGGCATGAGAGTCACTGGAACCTAGGAGGTGGAGGTTTCAGTGAACCGAGATTGTGCCACTACACTCCAGCCTGGGCAACAGAGCGAGACTCTATCTCAGAAAAAAAAAATGCAAAGGGAAGTCTATTTTTCTTCCAAGTAATATCTCATATGATATCATCTTGAGCATTTTGGCTTGGGTAGCTCTCTCTGCTTTGCAGTGGAATTAATTTTATTTTTAAAAATTCATTCATCTCCAGGTAATCATTGCCCTCTGCTGATGCAGGCCATTCTTCAGCAATTCTATGGAGTAAGAGCCTTCATTTCAGGTTTCAGGAAATCTTTTTTTGTTGTAAAATGAATTCACAGTAAAACAAAATGACAGTTGATAGATTCTTTTATTCAGAACTTACAAGTTCTTTATAATCATGAATACATCCTTACTAATTTGAGTAAATGGCCAAACCTCTGATAGTGACAGACAGAAACTCCGGGTCAGAGAAAGCCCAGGTCAGCTGCGGTGGGTGTCACTCTTTCTCTGTATGGTCAGAGCCCTTGTGAACAAGGGCCTGTTTGCTTTGCTTGCAGAGTAAAGATGTTAACTCTCCCCAGTAGATTAGATTTAGTGTCTGGCCACATCCTTAGTTTACAATGTTAAACAACAGAGATCCTGCACTAACCTTGTAATGCACTGTCATCCTCAAAACTTTAAATTGAGTTAAATGAATAGCACACAAGAGGTATGTTGTTGAGAGCCACATCTGTTTTATCAGCAAATGCGTGACATCAGAGCCATCTTCTCTGCTGCTTTTAACATCCCATAGTTGCCTCAAAGGCAGCATAACTGAGTAACATTAAAAGGTGTATGTAGCTTAAGGTTGCTGAATCAGAAGCCTGCAAATATGGTTTATTAATTTACGAGGCTCATTCAGGTATATCTGGATCTCTCTGTGATTGTTCTAGTCATTGTCAGATGGGTGTTTACTGAAGGCCTTGTCTCAGCTCCCCAGCCTTTTTGGGCACAAGCTGAAAGTACTGCATGTTAATGAATGTCACTCTTCAGTTGCAATTCCACTTTCACTGCCCCAATTAAAGCTTTGAAACATGCTGCAAATTTACCCGTGCTGCCATCGAAGAGTATTTGGAGGGTAAAATAAAAGAGAAACTCTGGTTCTGAACAAAATACCTGAAATTACAGTTAGAGTAAAAGTCATTTACAAAGAAGCAATGCTGAAACAGTCTGGCCAGCGACCCCAAAACTGCCATGTAGGGTTTGTTTGGGTAAACCAGCCAATTTGGCTGTATTGGGAGTATCAATTTGATGAGCTTTGCCATTTTCTTAGGCATAGCATGAGGCCCATAATTGCTTTGTTTCCTTATGCAGGGAACACCAACTCGCGTTAATTGGAGTTCCTAACTAGATTAAGACTGGTTCGGAGAGAGGTTGTCTGTTCTTCTGGTAGTTGTGTTCTGAGTTAGGGGAGAAGGCACACAAGATTGCAAACCTGGTTCTAGTAATGCCTCCTATTTTTATGCGCTGGCTGCACCCACATGGGCAGGGCTGATGGTGGACTCAGTGCCAGCTACAGTGGCCAGTGGAGGGTGTGGCCAGTGCTGACTTCTGTCTGTGAGAACATTGCATGAATGGGGATGGGCTTTTGGCAAAGCAGCAGGAAAGGATGGGATGGCTGGGAGGGGCTAACTTCGAGAAAAAAGTGTTACAAACCATGTACTTATCATCTACATTTTGAAATCTCTGACTTTGCATCCCTAAAATCTAAAGTTGGCCCTAACAAATACTCCATTGGGGGAGAATTTGGGTGAAGTCACCATGGATGGCTTACTTGTGCTCTTTCAGGATGGCAAATGGCATTTCTTATCTTCTCCACACTGGTCTTTTCAGTTGCTTGCCAAGTTTAAGGGGGAAAAATCCTTTAATTCTGGTTAGAAGTGATTTATGTGTTACATAAAGGATAGCTTGGTTGGTTAACATGAAGAGAAGTGTGCTAGCTTCTAAACAAGTTTATGTTCAGAAAGCGTTTATGCATGCTTTGTAGGATAGCACTGCTAGTAAATACCCGTGATTTAATGCCCTCCGTACACCTTGATCTCAGCATCCCCTCTTTACTGACTCATTTTTCTGCCTAAGCGCACCAGTATATAAAACAACAAATGCATTGTGTTTGCTGAAATTCTTTGGTTTATATTTGCAAAGGTGCAATGAATTCCAAATTAAAAAATAAAATTCTCTGATGAAAATGTTTCTTTTCCTATGTTTTAGGTTTTGCATCTTGACCTTCAAAGGGAATTCGAAAATTGGCACATGGTAAAGCCAGAGCTCCCATATGATTCCACACTTCTAGTCCTAAAATTCTGTTTTCATTTATCAATGAAATCAGGAAATGCTGTGCCATTGGTAACATTTTGACTCTCCAAGTGTTAGCATTAGATCAGTTTTTTGGCTATGTATTTGTAATTGTGTAGATCAGAGAGCCAAGACAAATTCCACTCTCCACTAAGTGTGGAGAGGGGAGCGTTAAGCATTTATGCTATAAAAGTCTCTTTTCCTTTAACCTGGCATTTGCAGTTTGTAGGAACAAATTTTGTGTCCCTGTTCCGGTAGACTCAGTGGATGCCACAATGGTGTGTCTCAGTGCTTTGTGGTTGGGAACAAAATTTCATGGTCAGTCACAAGTGGAAAAAAGTTATTCTGCATGACAGGCATGGCCATGATGGAGGACTGTGCGGTGGCTTCTGCAGCCGCAGGGTAATGTCACCAGGCACTTAAATGAGCGGGGGCAGCGGCTAGTGGAATCTCTTCAGCTGTTGGCACTTCATTTCTGGGGAGAGCTTGTTCCCAAGTGCGTGAGTGATTCTGTGCCAGGACTCATTTGTTATGACAAATGCAGTTCTTATATTTCTGAGTATGGTGGGAGCTACAATGTTTGCACAGGGCACCTGTCATCAGCAATGATATCTCTCCAGGAAATTTCCAGCGCGTTGTCCACAGATGCTTCTCTAGAGGTAAACATCCTCTCAGGGGAGCTGACTTCACTAGGTGACTTTCTGGGGCTGGAACCTGAGCTGATTCCGCGGAACACTCAGTCCTCTGCACAGGCTCCCCATTCATTGCCCCAGTCATGAATTTATTCCCTAACACTCATTTTGTTGCTCTTTAAGGCATGATTTGTTTTTCTTAAGAATTCCTTATATAATACATGGAGCTTCTCATCAAACCTCCATAATTGAATGCTGTGTAGAGAACAGAGAAGACAATTAAACAAATATGAATTTATATTATTTCTATGAAAAGATGCTGCACCGACTAAGTGTAACCGTTTAGGCCAGCAGGTTAGATAGCCTGCATTTTGCTGAAACACACACATCAGTGACACACTTTAAACACAATGTGTTTTAAAATGCAGGGATACCGTGGATTGCAGTGAGTCAGGGATCCTGGATGGGCGAGCCGGGGGAGGAGTCCAGTGCCCAGGCTGTAACGGCTCTGTTAGTTCGGATAAATCGCACAGCCCTGGTCCCGGATCCCCAGTCTTCAAAGCCAGAGTGTCCGGTTACATTTTATAAGTAGAAACTCAGATTCAAAGGACTCACAGAGATAATCTAGCCTTAACTGGAAGGCCCTTCATACATACTTTTGATATTTATATGCTTTATTTTCACAGGCACTATCTTCTGCCCGTCTTTTTGTAGGTCAGTGGTTTGAAGGACGGTGCCATGGTCATCCTTCCCAGCGCAGGGCCGGCGTGGCCCTGGGCGGCTGCATCATCCCCATGGAGGCTGCCCTGCCCGGGCTGTGCATGATCTCACAGGCGCGCTGCCAGGGGCTCTGCTGTCGCCAGCCCGGGCTCCGGGCGCTTGGGACAGCTCGCCGGACAGGACAGGGTGACTTGTAATTTACTCCCGCCTGTGTGCGTCTGTGGGGCGGTTTCTCAATCAGTGCAGGGCTTGCTGTACAATTCCATGTTTAACTAGAGGCATCTGGTGCCTCTGCTGCTGTTTACTGAAACCCTTCGTTGCACTTCATAAAGCGGTTGGCCGGGGGCTGTTCTTCCTCAGGCGCCCAGCCCGCCCCGAGCTGGCTGGGATGAGGCTGTGGGAGCGAGGTCTGCAGGGCGGGCTCCGCGGGCCTGTTTGGACGGATGCAGATGCTCTAGCGGATTTGCTTCTACTTCAACCCCTGGGCTGTCTTAATGGGATTTGGGCCTCTTGGCCAATGCCAGTTCAGAGAACCATTAGACACTTCCTGGAATCTTTGCTTCACCAGGAACCGCTCCATGTTCTGTGCCGGGGCTCCTGCCGGCTCCCGGCAGGACTCGAGGTCCAGGCGAGGGGCCCTCCGTGTCTTCTTCCCCTTGGCGCCACGTGGGTCTTTTGCTAACAGAACACAGCCCCTTCCCAGCTGGGCGGTCCCCGCAGTCCAGGCTCCCCTCTCAGCCTGGGGATGCAGCCTCGCCAGGCGCTCCTTGCCACCCTTGCGAGGGACATGGGTTGCTTTCTCTTGCATTCCACCGCCCCCCTGCTCATTTGAGCACTTTGGAAACCCGCTGGTGGTGGCTAAGGCAGATGGAGGCAGGGCTGGAAGGGGAAGAAAAAGCCCAGGGAGTAACTAAGTGTCAAGGAACTCATTGTCTGCTCTCCACCTGTTGTTATTCTGGTCCCAATCAACCTGCTCGCCAGGCTGGAGCCAGCGGCCATCTGGAAACACTGCTCTGTTTATAAACTTGGCATGAAGCAGCACTCCCGGGCCCTGACCTCCCACACGAATCTGGAAACAATTAGAGCAAGATGATAGGCAGGCGGGGAGCGCTCCGGGGAGGGGAGGGAGGGGGCGCCACAGAGGGGGGCGAGCGGGAGCCAGGGGTGGGAGGCCGGTGGGGGAGGAAGTTGGGATGGATTTGGGAGGAGCGGCGGTGAATGGGGATTGGGTGGTAGGGGGGCGAGGGAAGCCTGGGTCTGGGCTGGAGCTGAGGGACTGGGAAAGAGTCTGGGGATATCTGGGTCTGGGCGGGGTCCGGGTGGGAGCCAGGGATGGGGTGAGCCAGGGGGAAGGGTGGGGATCCCCAGGACGGTGGTTTTGGGGGCCCTTGTGGGTCTGGGAGAGTCAGGGAGGAGTCTGGTGAGGTCTGGGCCCTGCTGGGAACTGGGGACGGCCAGCCCTCCTGGGGTGTGAGGACCAGGAGAGGGGCCTGGGCTGTTTGCTGAAGATGGTGTGATGGCAGCCAGGCTCCACACTCCCCTGCGGCCTCAGCCTCACAGGGTGCCCTTCCTGGGACCCCCTCAGGCAACAAAACATACGGGGTGGGGGGTAGGGGGAAGGAAGTCATTCCTGCCTGTGCCTTCGCTTTGAGCAGCGAGCAAGTGGACTCTGGTGAATGAAGTTCTCTCTCACCTTGTAAGGAATGCATTGTAGAGTTTCAAGTCATTTTATTAGTTTCAGAAACACATTCTTGAAGAGCACTTTTTAACCAAAGGAAGTTTAAGCGTGTCCCGTTTTGCTGGAGAAAAGCTGAGATTCTTGGGCCATGGGGGGACATTCCTATACTTGCAGAGCGTACAATCTAATCTGTGTAGACGCATGCCATGTTTCTGTGTCTGGGGAGCTGATTCAGGCTTTCAGAGTCCTGAGTATTTGTGAGATGAATGAGTCTCTTCCTCTTTTCTCAAGAAACAATCTCTTTCGCTCGCTTTTTTCCCTGCAGTTTTGAAATGTGATTCTTAGCTCCGAGTCGATGCTGTTTTCACGCTCAGCTGGGTTTCTAACTCCTGAAATATTAATCTGTGGGAGTTGCTGGCAAACCAATAATTGGCACCAATTAACAAGCTCCTCGTTGGCCAAATGATACTTGAAGAGGGAAGTTGACTGTGCAGGTCTTCTTGGCTCCTGGGGCTCAGGCCCGGCGGCCTCTCCCTGGCCTCTTGTCCTGCTTCAGATGCACAGAGCTGCTGATTTCAGCCGGGAACATTGGCCCCGAGTGCATCTGCTTAGATCTTTAAGAAGAATTAATCCGTGGAAAGCGGTGCCATCAACCGACACTCGTCCTCCCGCCCTTCCCTGCCCAGTCCTCGCCTGACTGGCCTCTTCCCTACATGCTGTTCTCCACGTTGCCTTCCCGTGAGCTTTCCTTTTTGCCTAAACACATTTTTCAGCTCCATGTTTCTGACAGACTGGTTACTAAAATCCAACCCAACAACGTGTAGGACGGCCAAGTGTATAATATGCATCAAGGTGAAAAAATAACCAGCAAGGCCTGCAGAGGTTTGGGGCACAGCCCACAGGGCACGGCAGTGGGAGCTGCACCTGGGTGGTGCTTGTTGCCCGGTGGCTGCAGCTCCGCACAGGGCTCATTGCTGTCCCTGGAGAGGCTGAGTCTGGTAAACCAATTTTTCCCTTTGAGTCTTGTTGCAAATGGATGCATTTGAACTGTAATATAAAGTATTGTGTTTATTTAACCCTGCAAACGGATCTCCTTTGTCTTTGTGAACTGGCTGGGCAGCTAAAGACCCACATTCCTTCCACAGTTAATAAAACTTCTTATTTTTCTCTGTGCTTATAACTTTAATTACACTCAGACTCATTTAGTCTACTTCAGTTTTTCAAACCACCTAAATTAAAAAAGAAACAGCCTCTCTCAATGTGCAACATAATCATCATCTTTAGATTAAAAGACACAAATTGAAAACGCATCTTGTCAGTTTTGTCTTCAAGGCGTCATCTTAAGTATTGTCCATTTTCAGACCTGGAGCTGGTAGAGATGTGAATGGACTGGGCTGTACTTCCACCTGAGAGAAAAGATTTATGCTTTAAAGGACTCCATTACTAAATTTCAAACTTATTAAAATAAAACAAAAAAGCGCCATAAAACAAAAACCAAGCCAGATCTAGTTTACTTTATATAAGACTCTGTACATTCTCTCAGATATTCAGAATGTACTTGGGTTTGCATATGATCAGGAGCTGGAAACTGAGCTGCCTGGGTAAGGCCCCAGCCTCGACGCATCTCCCTCACAGTGGTTAACACAGTTTCCTTCTGTGCCTGTAGCTCCTCACGGGGTTTTCATGAACATTAACGGCATTTCTGTAAAGTGTTTTGCTCCTTCTGAGAGACGTAAATGCAAATATCAGCATCCAGGAGCTCCCTGAATCTCTGGGCAGCCACCTTACAGACTGGAGTTTCATCCTTCAGCTAATGGCTGAAGTGTTGTCTAGTTTGGCCTTCTCTTGAATCTTCTCAAAACAACATCTATTCACATGGTGCTTAAAAATGATCTTTTGTGATTAAGAACACCACGGCCTACTCTTAGTTCAAAGCATTCATCTCCATTATCAGAGATTTGCTTTCTTCTCCTTCCCCATGGGCTCTCTTTAGGGAGCCCTTACGTTTTCCTCTCTGGACAGATTCATTGCTAACCGCTGCCTCCTCTGTTCCTATCTGTTTGCTACCTTTTGGGTTTTTCCTAATTTGATTGGTAAGATTAAATCTTTGCTCTCCCTCCATATACAAAAATTAAAAGTTGAAAACCAAAACTTCAAAGCAAAACAAAACCTAGATATTGTCTAGAGAATTATTTTTTTATTTGATTACTTCTTGAAATTTCATTTCTACATAATGTGTTGTTACAATAACATTTTGCTTCAATGTTTGGCCCAAGGAAGACTTTACAAAATGATCATCTTTGTGACTTTCTCATTGGGTAGTCAGTAGCTAATGGGGAACTATTTGCTGAATGGAAGAGCACAGCTTTTAGGTTTTCTCTCCTGGAGAATGGAGCTATAGAGGAAAGTAGCTTTGAGGTATTCTCTCTTTCCAGAAATGTGCAGCTATGTAGCTTGGATTAAAATTCTAAAATTCGTGACCTCGAACCCCCATCTAAAGACTGGACATTTTATCCCTGCTCCAATCTTGTTTCTGGGGAGATGTTGGAGGGAAGCAGAGTCAGGAGCATTTCCAGCCCCCTGGTGCTGCTGTGTGGACTCTACTGGCTGTTTGATGACCAGATCCTTTAATGGAGGATGATTTTTAAGGGAAATGTAGGACTAGGCCCTCTGTGGGTTAGTTCCAATGATTGCTCGCCTCTTTTTCAGAGGAGTGAGTAGTTCTTGGACCTTTGCAGTTGTTCACAGCAGTTCAGACTCCTGCAGCTACAGATAAGCAATGGATGAGACTGGGCTCAAGCCCACATAAGACTCGCATGTGGTGCTAGCGATGCTTGTGTGAGCATGGCGTGCTCCATTAGGGCTTCTGTAGGAAATGCTCCATAAACCTGTGGTGCCATGGTGGAAGAGCTACGTAGGGAATGCCGAGAGGGCTGTCTGTGTGACGGTCCCTCTGCCTGTCTGCCCTTCTAGATAACGTGCATCATGTCTGCCTCCTTCGCCACTATACACCTGGTTCCTAGCATATTGGCTGGTGAATTGTAGGCATTCAGTAAAAATGTGCCGAATGAATGAATGGCCGGCAATATTTTTTGCTTTGAGAAATTGAGAAATATAGCAAAAATATCAGAAAGTCCAAGTCTAAGCTGGAGGGATAGTAATCAAATAATGTTCTTTCTATCTCCTACTGTTCCGCTCGAAGGAGGCTTTGCCACGTAAACATATTTGTCATTATTACTATTATTGGGAAGCAGCATTATGCTGCTACTAGTGGTGATAATAGGAACTGGAATTTTGCAATGGGGGTGATACTTGCAGACATATTGTTATATCATCTTCATCTTGTGTCCTACAGACTTCTGGTTTTGGTTCTACTGGAAAAGGGCAGGTATCTACTGAACAACAAAGATTTCTCATTTTGAAATTCACATCCACTTATGGTTTGGCAACTTAATGTGCTGGAAAGCAAAACTTTGCAGAGAGAGAGAGGAGAGACAACACACACACACACACACGCACGCACGCACACACAAACACATTTTCTAAATTCCTTAGCATATCAAGCATGGGCGATTCAGAGCATAGAGTGTCACCCACCAGCATCAAGAAGATACCGCCATGGTGGTGCTGCTCCAAGGAAAAGGAGTGCATTGACTAAGAGGTCAGAGAGCCCAGGGCCCCAGTGCTTCTGGTACAGAGGTCTACCAAAAGAAGGTAGAGCCTGTTTCAGTTTTTTTTTTTTTTTTTCTCTGAGATGGAGTCTCGCTCTGTCACCCAGGCTGGAGTGCAGTGGTGCGATCTTGGCTCACTGCAAGCCCCACCTCCCAGGTTCGAGCGATTCTCCTACCTCAGCCTCCTGAGTATCTGGGATTACAGACGCGCACCACTATGCCCGGCTAATTTTTGTATTTTTGGTAGAGACGGGGTTTCACCATGTTGGCCAGGCTGGTTTTGAACTCCTGACCTCAGGTGATCTGCCTGCCTCGGCCTCCCAAAGTGCTGGGATTACAGGTTTGAGCCACTGTGCCCGGCCTATGCCAGTTCTTACTAAGAGCTTAAGGCCTACCTCAGGTACATTGCTTTAGAAACATTCAGATTAGCATGGGGAGCCTGGAGAACTCGAGGGCTGGAGGCCTCCCCATCTCTCAGGATATGAGGGCTGTGGCTCATGGGAGCCCCATTCATAGCCACCAGGACATGGGCCCTGTGCATACCTTTGGCCCATGGGCAACATCAGAAAGGCTGGTGAGTCCAAGTTATCCAAAGGGGAACGTTTGAAACAACCCTGGTGGGGGCTGTGAGGACGCTGGACAATCACAATGCTGCTCACACCTTTCCTTCTTTTCTGGTTTGTAGAGGTAGGGAGTGACAAGGATTGTGGGCTTCCGAGGGCAGGGTATAGTCCCTGTCTTCAGGGACAGGTGCTCTAGCGTCTAACAAGCTGCCTGGAATGCAGGGGCCCCTCAAGTGAACAGGGGCACATTGACTACTCCTGTAGCGATGCTCAATACAGCTTTGTTGAAATCAGAATGGTCCTGTCTATTCCAGATGTTCTCTTACTAAGGCTGTCCCCGACTGCACAGAAATACTGGACTGAACAGCAGGCTCACAGCAACCTTACTTATTGGGTGTATGCATGTATAGGTATTTCTATTCTGTTCTTCTGTATCCCTCTTTTACCAGGCCAATCATAGTTTATTTCTGTTTGGACGTCTGTGGAGTAGTGGCCACAATGGTACTTCTGTTTTTGTTTTTACTTTTTCATTTTTTTGCTTCTAAACTGTGCAAATTTTTCCGGTGTATCATCTCTACTGCTCTCACTTTGCGTTTTCTTTCTCTTTCAACCTCTGTTCTTTTATTTTGCCTTCCCCTCCCATTCTCTACAAGGTGGTTATTCCAAGCAGTGATCTTAGCCGTGACTGCAGCTTGTTCAGGTTCCCATCCTAGCTCAGAGCTTCCACTCAGAGCCCACACCTCATTCCACACACAGCACTCTGGCCACTGTCTCTCTGGGAGATGGATAGCAAAAATAACCCCAATTCTCCCTTCTTCCCTGCAAAGATATCCATACCATTTGCAATATGACTTTGCAATTTTCCCATTTGAGGCTGATCTATTTCTCCAGTCTCTGGGGCTGCATAGTCTAGTGACTTGCTTTGGCCAATAGAATGTGATAGAATGTGCTGGTTCCAAGGCTAGTCCCCAAGAGGTCTTGCATGCATCCTGTCTTTATTTTGGAACTCTACCACTGCTATGAGAAGTGTCTGGGCTAACACTCTGGAGAATGAGTTTTTGTGGAGCCCAGCCACTCTCAACTGTCAAGCCCCAGCTGACCTACACAAAGTACCAACTCATGAATGAAGCTGGAGGACACCAGCTGAGCCCTTTCCAGATCAGTAGAGCTTCCTGGCCAATCCATAGCCCATGACAAACAGTACATCATTGATTTTTCAAATCACAACATTTTTGGTGTGGTTTGTTGGGCAGCAATAAAACTGATACAGTCAATAACCACCTTTTGTTGCTACATGGAAAGGATCTTTCTTATCAGTCCTTATGGCAGAAATTGTAAAGGTTAACCAAAATCTGTTTCCTTTTCCATCACAGGCACACAGCTAGGTGATACTGCCTGTCTTGCTTGTGGCCATGTGACTGAGTTATGGCTAATGGGATATAGGTAGAAGGATGCATGCCATGTCTAGGTCCAGTCCATAAACGCCTCCATCTCTTAATCCCTTCCCCATATGCTGGCCCAGTGGAGAGGAGCTGGGGGAGGCCAAGCCACTGGATGGAAGATGCACGGTCCCTGAGTGACCATGTGGATGACTGCGACTCAGCAGGGATGTCTACAGAAGACTTTGTGCAAGTGAAAAGCAAGTTTTCATTGTGTCGAGTCACTGGTACTTTAAGGTTCATTATCACAGCCGGAGTTACTTACCATCACCACCCTTCTTCTCCCTCTTGGCCTCCCTGTGGCTGTGGGCAGTAGATATCTCCCTCCTTTATAACTCCTCTTCCCTTGGTTTCCTGGATGCCACACATCATGGTTTTCCCACACCTGTATCAATGGCTCCCACTACCTTGCAGATAAAGCCCAAGATTCTGAGCTTGGTTGAACTCTCTGCCCGTCGTTCTCACCACACACCTTCACACCCTGTGTGCTTCCCTAAACACACCATGCTCTCATTTACTCTGTGGGTTTACATTTGTTGTTCCCTCTGCTTGAAATACTGTTCCTACTGATGTATTGCTTGTTCTGAGAACACTGGGCCCTGAGATTGGGTTGCTCCCATGGGTTCTGATGGAATCCTGTGTTTGCGCCACCATGGGACTTGCTGTTGTAACACTTCTCCATCTCTTTCACCAGCTGACTGTGCAAGCTCTGAGTGGTTTCAGCCTGCTGGGCTCATGACTGCGTGCCTAATGCATAAACAAGTGCTTGTCACCTAGCCATACTAATCACCATTTGGTGAGTGCCTGAATTAATGGGCTTTGTAGGACTGGGGAACCAACAGGGCATGGAGTCTAGAAATTGGACTTAAAGTTCAATAACTGCTAATGAATGAGGAAATCAACCAGAAAAAATGATGCTGCTTAACTTTCCTTGGAGATTATCTGTACTTGGTCCCCCTAACAATGACTAGACTGTTTGCAATTATAGGTACAGAATAGCCTTCTTTCAAATAGTATTTCCTTCTATCATCATTAGTGATGAAAATTGGCCAGGATTTATTTCACATATTACAATGCAGAATTTGATGTTGTTTTTATGTGAACATAACTGCTCTCTAAAACCTCAAGCATTTTTCTCTATTAGAATTGGCAGAGGAGAGGTTATATAAACTTGTGGCCAGTTGAGAAGTTCCCAAAACATCACTATTGAAGTAGAGGGAACTGAGAGCATAGCATGGTGTGTGTGATTTACTCCTTTAGGATGGCTTAGACCCATGATTGCATCTGTTCTTGATTATGGCGCCGCTTTTAACCACAGAGATGACTCAGCACTGGAAGGTTAGCTGTGCTGCCCAAGGTCACACAGCAACATGGGTTTGATGGGGTATCCAAAAGCAGGGATAGCTGTTTTTCCCTAGGAGCCCACACTGACTCCCTGCCTCCAGCACATGGAATGAATCACAGAAAGCCTCTGTTGAGTCATGATGACAAACGTTGAAGTTGACGGCATGTACCCATGAGGTCATATGGAGAATTCCCAAGGGGCACCCTAGCCCACGTTCACTATTGAACACAACGGAAGGGGGAATTATTGTGCTTCTTGCTTTGATTCCCAAGCTGGTGTTGTCTGAGCCTGTCTGGCATGTGCTCTGCCTGCCCTGACTTCTGACCCCAGGAGGAGCATTCAAGGAGCCAAGGAATGGGTCCAGGCATTGTGCTAGTATCTAGCCATGGCAAGATGCTAGATCTAACCATGACGAGAGCAGCTAAGATCGGACTGTACCTGAGTGAGCCCATTGAATCCTCCACCAGCACCACACGGGGTTTCTATTGTTTGTCTCAGCTGCAGGTGAGGAAGCTGAGCTGGAGAGGGCTTCAGTGGCTGGACCCAGGCTGTGTGGGCTTCAGACTGGTCCCCAAAATGCATACCCTCCTCTCCTTACAGGGTACCTGTCATGAGGAGCTCTGCTCACTCTATGACACATTCATCCCAGGGGGTCTTTTCTATGGCCAGGGCTCCTTTCCACAAGTGCTGTGTCCTGCCTTCAAAACAAATCCTCTTTCATGTTCTCTTTCAGAGTCCCTTCCCCAGATATCTCTCTCCTAGCCTCTGACTATTTAAGCTTACTTTATAAGGACTACTTCTTATACCTGAAGTGAGGGCATATGAATTTGAATGTGCAAGGATGGAGAGTGAAATGATCCCATTGAGAGTAAATGAAGCATCCTTATATCCACAAAATATTTGTGTTTGTATGGAGCAGTTTGGCTGAGAAACCTACATTCTTTGCCGTTTATTTTTATGTTGATTTGAATATGCCCATCACAGACAGCAAAGGATGGCCTCTGTGAATGTAGGCAGGAAGGGACTCTCCTCCAGGCGACATCCATCTCGTTATTTTGAGTGCATGACCCTCTTATGACTCGACCCTTCCACACAGGCCGCTGTGCAAGACCTACCCCCATGCATCCTGTTCAGGGTCAGCGTCAGACCCTGCAGAATTTTCCTTCTATTTTTCAGCAACATAATATGAGACAAGGGCCAAGAACTGCAGAACTGTGCACGGTGTTTAGAAGAGGCTGCGAGCTGCTGCTCTGCAGAGTTGGGAGGTGCTTTCGGGCTCTGCAGGCTCCCTGCAGGCCCTTGCTGACTGTCCATGGCCTGCACCTGCCCTACCTGCTGAGCTGCCCCATCAGCTGCTCCTGGCTGTGGTTTCCTGAGGGGTCCCGTCTGCATCGGCTGCCCTGTGTCCTGACACTATGGTGGGTTTGCAAGTGGCAAAGTCCAGGGAAGGAGACTGGGGAGCATGGCCATGGGTCATCCGGGGGGCACGGAGGGTTCCGGCTCCCGCCCAGGTCCACCTGCTTCATCAGCAGTGGTCACCAAGATTGCATAACCAGGACGATGACAACGCTGAGAGCTCTGTTGCAGTTAAAGACTTAAGAACAACTTGTGCCTGCTGACTAATACATTTTATCACCCAGGCAGCGTCAGGACTCTGAGAGCCTCTCACATGCTGCTGTCATCTGAGCGAGACCTCAAGATTTGTCATCGAGCAGGCTGACCCTTGCCTGAATGGACCTCACATTCTTGAGGCAGGGAGAGATCTGCAATCAGCATGATCGATCAGCGATTTTCATAAGACGTTAGAAGTCATCAGAGCTTAGGAAACAGGGTGAGGAAGTAGGGGAGGAGCCGGAAGGGCCCCCATTTAAAACAAGGTGGCCAGGATAGGCCTCTCTGTAGGGGTGACATTGAAGAAATGGTGGGAGAGGGTGTGAGGTGCACATCTCTGAGGGCAGAGTGTTCTGGAGACAGGAAACCATCTGTGCAAAGGCCCTGTGGTGAGAGGGTGCTAGGAGCTAGCAAGCCCAGTCTACTCAACACAGCCATCATTTTAAAACCTCGGTGAGCCCTGTCCCTTATCTTCTGAACCCCCTCCCACAGAAGCGGATGTCACTGAGAGTGAAAGCTGCAGTGTAGGGTGGCCTCCTCTGCACACCGGCCCTGGCCCTCTGACCTCTTCTACCCCATGATGGTCCCCTGTCAGCTGGGTCTAGAGTGGACCGTCGGGGCAGACCTGGAAGGGGAAGGCTGTCAAGTTCCTGCTCCCCTGTGACATACAGCAACACATTTGTTTCCCCCTGGATTCTGGGGATCAGCAACATGTGCGGGTGGGGGCAGGGCAGTCCTGCTGCTCTGGGATGGGCTGCCCCCTCAGGGAGGACTGGCCAGCTGGGTGGCTCTGCTCCTGGAGAGTGACCGGCCATTTGCTGGGTGGATGGGGTGACTGTCCTGAGAGCTTGGCACCACCAGAAGTGTAGTCCACGCAGCCCTTCACAGGTGGCTCAGGGTGCCCAGCGGGGCAAGAGGTGGCCCTCAAGCTAAGCTTGAGCTTAAGCCTAAGCCTAAGCTTGCCACGCTTGGGCTAGGATGCCAAGTCTCCATGCTGGCTGCTGGTCACAGCTCTGTCCCTGTGGGAGAAGACGACTGAAGCCTGGCCAGGCTGGGCCATCTCCCCAGCAGCCACCAGGGCTTGCTGTGAGATGTGGGAGCCATGCTAGGGTCCTGCCCCGGGGATGTTGGTAGGCATGGTGGGAAGCAGTGCAATTATGGATATTTTCTGGAGATAATCATCAACAGGATTTGCTGATGGAATGGACCTGGAATACAAGAAGAAAAGGAATCAAGGATGGCTCTGAGGTTCGGGGCTTGAGCAACTTGGATGGGGGTGCTGCTGAGTCAGGTGGGAGGGGAGCAGGCTCAGGGGATGCGGACTCCATTTGAAGTGGCCGCGTTGGAGATGTCTGTGGACATCCACGTGAAATGCTGAGTGGCCAGCTGGACATGTGGATCTGGTGTCCAGGGGGAAGTTTGGGCTGCAGATACAGATTTCACCAGGACATATTTTTAGTGATGCATAGACTGACCAGGCTCGAAAGAAGCACAGGGTGTGCAGCCCCATTCTGGTAAGCGTGTCTCTGCCTTTACTGAGGTGTCTCCACTGCATCCTTGATTTAATGGAATTCAACTGAACCATCATTGAGCATCTGTTGTATACGATGTACTCTGGAGGCATAAAAACTATTGGGAGAAATGAGGAAGTAAATAAGTAATATTGATATAATTCTTCTATTAATAAGAATCAATTTATCTGAAAACAAAAAGTCTCTTAAGCATTTGAATAAAATAGAAAGCCTTTATTAACATATGAAAATAAATCCATACCCATAAATAAAAATCTGCACACTCACGGGTGCTGACCAGTATATCCTAGCTCACCAGCACAGTGGGCTGGGTGTGGAGAAGGTGGGCATTCAGCTTTCACATCAGGCAGAGGGAGCCTTGGAGCGGAGGGTGCTGGCTCAGGACTGCTGGCCAAGCCCATGGTGGAGTCAGGCCGGCCTGCAGTTGGACACTCTTGACTGATTAAACATTAATAGGCAATTCTAACAAAAACAGAGAGGATGGCAACTCCATAGGAAGGAGGGCCACATGTGGGGGTGAATTCCAAGTCAAACATTTTCCCCAAAGAATTTGTTGTTAAACTTTTAATTTTGAGATAACTGAAGATTCACATGTAGTGGTCAGATATAATATAGCATGATCTTCTGTGCCTTTTACCCAGTTTTCTCCGTCATAACATCTGCAAACGTAGCACTATATTACAGTATCTCAACCAGTGTATAAATGCATACACTCACCAGTGTCACTGGGGTTCCTCCAGTCTCAGTTCATTTGTGTGCATTTATTTTCCGTAACTGTATCACTGCTGTAGAGTAGGATGGCCACCTTGACAGTCAAGAGGCAGAACAGCTCCACACGAGGGTTCCTGTCTTCCTTGCTCCTGGAACCATTAATCTGCTCTCCGTCTCTATAATTTTATCCTTTGAGACTGTTACATAAACAAAACCACACAGTAACCTCACAAGGCATTTTTGCACTCAGTAAAATGCCCTTGAGACCCATTCACGTTGCTGTGTGTATCAGAGCCCGTTCCTTTCCATAGCTGAGCCGTGTTCCTGGTGTGGACACACCACTGTTTAATCAGTCATCGTCGAAGGACGGCTGCCTTGTCCCCCATTTTCGACCATTACAAATGAAGCTTCCATGAGCATTCATGTACAAGTTTCTTTGTGAACTTAAGCTTTCAAGAAATTAAAAAAGAAATGTTTTCAAATGCTTGAGCAAATAGCCAAGATCCCAGGGCACCGTGGGAAAGTGTGGAAGTGAGGATTTTTTTTTTTTTTTTGAGATGGAGCCTTGCTCTGTGGCCCAAGCTGGAGTGCAGTGGCACAATCTCGGCTCACTGCAACCTCCGCCTCCCGGGTTCACACCATTCTCCTGCCTCAGCCTCCCGAGTAGCTGGGACTACAGGTGCCTGCCACCACACCTGGCTAATTTTTTGTTTTTGTATTTTTAGTAGAGATGGGGATTCACCGCGTTAGCCAGGATGGTCTTGATCTCCTGACCTCGTGATCTGCCTGCCTCGGCCTCCCAAAGTGCTGGGATTACAGGCATGAGCCACCGCGCCTAGCTGGAAATAAAGATTTTAACTTGAAAATTGTATGAATAAAAGTTACTAGTTGGCAACCTCGACCATGAAACTAAACTTCAGCATGGCTCACTTGGAGCCTGTGACTTTGAGAGCGCTGCCTCCTGCTTCTGCCTCCCTGCATGAACTGACTTAGTGAAAGACGCTATGGAATATTACCCGTTTGAATGCTGGAGAATGCCTGACAAAGACCATTTAGCTTTGCCACCGTCAGCGTTCTTTCTAACTGCACCGAGCTGACACTGAGTCTTCAGTGTGCCTCTGCGAATAATACAATTATGCTACCAGCTGAGAAAATAGCTCCCATCTTTCTTTTGGCTTGGGCAGGATGACATGTGTTCATTGCATTTTTTTTTTTGAGGTGGAATCTCGCTCTGTCACCAGACTGGAGTGCAGTAGTGCGACGTTGGCTCACTGCAACCTCTGCCTCCTGGGTTCAAGCTATTCTGCCTCAGCCTCCGAGTAACTGGGACTACAGGGGCACGCCACCACATCCAGCTAATTTTTGTATTTTTAGTAGAGACAGGGTTTCACCATGTTGGCCAGGATGGTCTCGATCTCTTGATCTCATGATCTACCTGCCTTGGCCTCCCAAAGTGCTGGGATTACAGGCATAAGCCACCATGCCCAGCCAATTTCAAAATTTTAAGTGGTTATTTTGAGAATTTAAAACGTGGGGGATGAGGACTTTGGATGCTGCTGTATCTGTAGTGATTCTGAGAGTTGTGTTATTTTGTAGTCATACCTTACACAAGGCCTCCTCTGCTTTCTGAATGTGGCATGCAGGGGAGAGGGTCTGCACTGGTCCTCAACCCGGGTACAGCTGGAGTATGTGGCTGACACCAGCGTGAGTGCTGTCCTTGGAGGAGACTGCATTTCCCAAGTGGTGCTTCAGAAGAAGTTCCTGGAATAATAGTGGAGGACATTTCACTTTGATTTTTTGGGCATGCTGTCTCAAATGTCCTCCATGCCCTCGGGCAAATTGGAAGTCAAGGTTGGTCAAATTTAGGGGTGTCTAAGACAGGCATCTCCACCGGATGCCTTACATTGATAGCAGTGACATCATTGTTTAAATGATCATCTCTGAATAATCAAACATAACATGTTATGTGTGGATTTGTCTGCTATCGCTGAAACTGTTCTGGATTTGGAAGAACTGGACAGAGGTGCCTTGAGTGACGGTCAGTATTCGAGTGTGAGGGCCATATTTTGTCACCTGAATGAAGTAGGGTGCCATTTCCAGAGGAGGCGTGGCGGAAGTGGTGCTTCTTGGCTGGGTGCCGGCTCATCTATTCAGCCTGACACAGTTCCACATGTGCCTTTGACCAGTGCCACCCCTGGCCTGCACTGAAATGCCGTAGTCTCTCTTCTTGGTGTGTTTCTAGACCTTGATGATCTTCCTGCCTGGTTATCCTCTGAATACTGCATAGCCATATATTGTCTTCCCTTGAAGGTCCAGATTCAAACTTTTAGGAATTCATTCACCAAGTATTTACAACATGCCACAGATTTTGTTAGTGTTGGGGAGACAAAAGGTATAGTTCCAAGTGCCTTTAGATGCCTTCAAGACAGACACAAGACACAATCTGCACACGAATTCCTGGTGTGGTGGCCCTGGTTGTGAGGTGTGACGGGAGTGCTGATGAGGGACCCCAAGCCACCTGGGGCCAGAAGGGTCCTTTCCTCTGAGACCTGCTGGGCCACTATCTCTTAGCTGGGTTAGCAGGTCTCCTTGATAAGCATCCACGTGGTCCATGGCACACTGAGAGCTTCTCTCCCTGTCAGGCACCTAGGCATTCCCTGTGTGTCTGTCTCAGGTCTTTCAACTGGCATTGCATTTGATTTCTTTTCAGCCTTTGGTTAGTATTCTCACTACACTAGGAAAACATGTGAGGTGACCTCCACAACAATACACAGGACCATTAAAAATAACATCAGGGGGAAGGACCAGCCAGAGGAAGAGTGGGAGATGATGCCAGCAAAAGTCTGTCTGCAGGTGCATCTGTCTGCAGGTTGCCCTGGGCTCCAGTGACCAGCCTGCTCTGTCTACCTTTGCATGATCTCCTGCAAATTGAGTAGCTTAATTTTTTTTATTTTTATTTTTAAAATGGTATCTCTCTGTCACCCAGGCTGCAGTGCAGTGGTACAATCACAGCTTACTGCAGCGTCGACCTCCCGGGCTTAAGGGATGCTCCCGTCTCAGCCTCCCAAGTAGCTGGGACCACAGGCACATGCCACCACGCTTGGCCAGGTGGCTTACTTTAGTGTTAGTTGGTGTGCTACTAAAGAATTAAAAAAAATTATCATTGAGAGTGTAATATAAGCTGATAAAAGCTTGAAAATACTAGATCTTCATTGTTTCTAGAAAATTTGGAACTCCATGTTGGGAATTCTAGAATGGCTACGGCCGCCAGCCCTCATTAGACCCTGAAATGAAGGAACTCAGTCCTGTGGTTTGTTTTTAACTTCCTTTCTGTTTCTTTGTCCCTGTCTTTCTGAGCCTGGCTTTTGTTGTTGTTGTTGTTGTTGTTAATCTGTATTTAATCCAAGCTCCAATACTTTTCCCTGTGCAAGTCTTCAGGACATTCCTTGCTCTTGAGTCCAAGTATTTGCCTGTGAAAAACAGGGAAAATGATATGTACCTTATGCTGATGTCACTGGGTAAATTAAATGATGGCTAACTATATAAAATGTCTAGTGAGGTGCCTGGAAGAAAACGTGTTCTCAGCAGCTCTTAGGAGTCCAGGTTTCAGTCCTGATCTGCTGACTTCCACTGGAGTCCTGCTGGCACTCTGGGTGGTTAGAGGACAGGAGAGCCATGCAGTGCACGGGGAGGAAGGCGGCAGTGCCAGCTCACATCTGGCAGGGGGCAGTGGCCCTGGTGTTGGGAAGCCCATACCTCCTGGCTGCTGTAGTGTGCTGTGACCCGCTTCACCTGCACCCATCTACAGACCTGCCCTCGGGGTCCCTCAGTAAGAACCAACTGGGATTCAACTTTAGCTGACATGGAAGAGTGATCTCTACACTGTAGATGAGTAAAAGGCAAAAGTCTTGTATTTAATGATATCAAAGCATGGTAAATTATTCAAAAATTTTCACATGGAGCAGTTGTTTTGAATGAGGTCCACTTAATGCTACTCAATAAGGTCTTAATTTGTATATGATTTCACCATTAAGTCTATCATGGTGCAACCATTAATAGCGAGCATTGGTTAAATACTTGCATTATTTGTAAGGGGATTCCATAAAATATATATAGTCATTAAAATTGTTTTGAGTAGGTAGCACAGTCATAGAGTTCCAAATTCAAAACGTACAAAAGTTTAAATAATGTATTCTTCCACTCTTGTCTTGACACAAATTCCCTTCCTATGAAACAGCCAGTTCTATAATTTTTCTAATATTTTTCAGAAATAGGTTACATCTCTACAAAGGAAGTTAATTCATGTTCGTATTCTTCCTTCTTTATATAAGTGGTAAAAATACTGTACACACTCTTCTGCCCTTGTAAGAGCAATATATTTTCAAGTGCATTCCATATTTGCACACAAACATTCCTTGCATCCTTTCTACAGCTGCATTATATTCTATTGTATGATATGCTGTATTATTTAAAAGTCCTTTAATGATGTATACTTATGGCTGTCTCCAACATTTTGATCTTACTAATAGTGTTATAATAACAAGTATGTGTATATGTCATCTCACATGTATTAGAGTATTTCTGTGTGAAAATTCCTAGAAATAAAATTGCCAGATCAAAAAATACATGCATTAGTAATTTGTATGTATTTTGCCAAACTGCTTTTATAGAGGTATGACCAGTTAGCAGCCTCACCAGCAGCACAGAAGCAATGTAGATATGACATCCCCACAATCTCTCACTGACACACCATGTTACCCAATTTTTTTTCCTCAAAGATCCTTGTTCTGACCATTATCCAAATTTTGATCTCTATGAGAGAGGTGAAAAACAATTTAATATAATTTTATTTGACATCACCTTATTAGAAGAGAGGTCAAGCCTTCTTTCCAAATGTTTGAAGGGCATTTGTATATTCTTCCTTTTCCCCCCACATTTTCCTACTCTGTTTTGACCTGTTGGTTGTTGGTTTGTAAGAGTATTGTATTTATTGGAAAAACTAGCATTTTTATGTTTGCGAAATGCAATTATGTTCCCTAGCTTGTCTTTTTTTTTTTTTTCGAGACAGAGTCTCGCTCTTGTCGCCCAGGCTAGAGGGCAATGGCGCGATCTCAGCTCACTGCAACCTCTGCCTCCCGGGTTCAAGTGATTCTCCTGCCTCAGCCTCCTGAGTAGCTGGGACTACAGGCATGCACCACCACGCCCAGCTAATTTTTGTATTTTTAGTAGAAACTGGGTTTCACCATGTTGGCCAGGCTGGTCTCGAACTCCTGACCTCAGGTGACCCACCCACCTCAGCCTCCCAAAGACCTGGGATTACAGGGGTGAGCCACCGCGCCTGGCCGCTAGTCTTCTTTTTTAAGTACTCACTTAGAGTGGTTCTTTTTTGTACACAACTTTTTATAATTAAAATTGCTACAAAGTTATTAATTTTTCTTTTATATCTCCTGGGTTATATGAAGTAATTTTAAAAGGCCTCTTTCATTGGAAGATTATTAAAAGTGAATTATTACATACTTTTCAAGAAATGTATTGATATATATTCACATGGATTATGTATAAAGAGGTATATATAATTCACATGAAATATATATAAAAATATACATTCTGTGTGAATTTTATTCTGATTGTTAGGTGTGATATTTTCAATGAATCTATATAATACTGTTTTTAAAATTGTGTTACAATATATACAACATGAAATTAACCATTTTAACCATTTTAAAGTGTACAATTCAGTGGCATTGATGGTGGTACACACTAGCCATGTGCACAACCATCACCACTATGTGGTTCAAGACCTTTTTCATTGTCCCACGAAGAAAACCCATAAATTAGGCAGTCTCTTCCCATTGCCGCTTCTCTCCAGCCCTAGGCAACTACGCATCTGCTTTCTATCTCTATAGATTTGCTTTTTCTGGGCATTTCATATAAATGGAATCACACAATAATGTGGTTCTGGCTTCTTCAGTTAGCATGATGTTTTCAAATTTCATCCATGTTGTAGAATGTATCAGTACTTCCTTTTTGTATGACTGATTAATAGCCCATCTTCTGGCTATGCCACATTTTTAAAATCCTCTCATCAGTGGATGGACATGGGGGTTGTTTCCACTTATTGTGGATAGGGCTGCTATGAACATTGGTGCACAAATTCTTGCTGGAACACCTCTTGTCAGTACTCCTGGCTGTGTACCTAGATGTAGAATTGTGAGATCATATGGTAATTTCATGTCTACTTGTTGAGGAACTGCTAAAATCGCATAGAAGGAACTTTTCAGAGGCCCTGTTTACCCGAGGTGTCACAGGCTGGTTTTTCCTCCCAGGCTTTGGGCGCGTCTGTTGTCCACTCCAGCTGTTACTCTTTGCTCCCGGCAGCAGTAGCTTGCTCACTCACTTCTGCTGTTCTGGGAAGCCCTGTCCTCTTAGCCACCCGCCCTGATCACTCCGAGATAGGCAAAGCAAGGACAAGCCCTGTGACCCAGGAAATCCCCGTCGGGTCAAAACAGACACAGTTCCCTGAGATCCGGGTCTGGTTTGCTTCCTCGGAGCCCAGTACTCACCCCAGGCATGGGAGCAGCCACCTCGCCAAGGAGGGCAGTTGAGGCTGCAGCGAGGGTCTTGGTCGCCTCTGTCCTAGCTGGGCTTTCACTTGGTTGCTGCAAACCATTGGCTATCTCCCAGCAGTCTGAAAGGTTGATTTGACATTTTTTTGTAAATTTTTAAAATTTATTTATATTTATTTATTTATTTATTTATTTATTTGATACAGAGTCTCGCTCTGTTGCCCAGGCTGGGGTACAATGGCATGATCTCGGCTCACTGCAACCTCCGCCTCCCGGGTTCAAGCGATTCTCCTGCCTCAGCCTCCCAGTAGCTGGGGTTACAGGCACATGGCAGAGGCCTGGCTAATTTTTGTATT
The DNA here is from genome assembly GCF_000001405.40 of Homo sapiens. Lineage (NCBI taxonomy): Eukaryota > Metazoa > Chordata > Mammalia > Primates > Hominidae > Homo > Homo sapiens. The sequence goes on from NC_000008.11 coordinate 48,600,971, forward strand.
TTTAGTAGAGAGAGGGTTTCACCATATTGGTCAAGCTGGTCTCCCACTCCTGACCTCAGAAGATCCACCCACCTTGGCCTCTCAAAGTGCTGGGATTACAGGTGTGAGCCACCGTAAGTGGCTCACTTAGAGTGGTTCTTTTTTGTACACTCTAAGTACTCACTTAGAGTGGTTCTTTTTTGTACACTTTAAGTACTCACTTAGAGTGGTTCTTTTTTGTACACAACTTTTTATAATTAAAATTGCTACAAGGTTATTTTCTTTTATGTCTCCTGGGTTATATGAAGTAATTTTAAAAGGCCTCTTTCATTGGAAGATTATTAAAAGTGAATTATTACATACTTTTCAAGAAATGTATTGATATATATTCACATGGATTATGTATAAAGAGGTATATATAATTCACATGAAATATATATAAAAATATACGTTCTGTGTGAATTTTATTCTGATTGTTAGGTGTGATATTTTCAATGAATCTATATAATACTGTTTTTAAAATTGTGTTACAATATATACAACATGAAATTAACCATTTTAACCATTTTAAAGTGTACAATTCAGTGGCATTGATGGTGGTACACACTAGCCATGTGCACAACCATCACCACTATGTGGTTCAAGACCTTTTTCATTGTCCCATGAAGAAAACCCATAAATTAGGCAGTCTCTTCCCATTGCCGCTTCTGTCCAGCCCTAGGCAACTACGCATCTGCTTTCTATCTCTATAGATTTGCTTTTTCTGGGCATTTCATATAAATGGAATCACACAATAATGTGGTTCTGGCTTTTTGTCATATGGCCTTTTTGTCATATTTTTCAGTGTTTTTGGGAGGGACAGGTCCCCAGAGTTTCCTACTCTTTCGTTTTTGCTGTACAAGTTTTAAAAAATTTGAATAACTTCTGTCCTGTAGTTGTAGACTAACAGCAAAGTAAAAATGTTGCCCTGGTTGACTGCTCAGCTGCATGCTCTGCCAGGCTGGCAGCTCAGCAAACCCTCACAGGTGCTCGATAATCACAACCCTCAGAACTTATGAATGAGCCCTTAGATCATCACAGGAGGTCAGTGAGATTTTTGGCCCCATCATCAGTTGGGGATTTAAGCTCAGAATGCAAATTACCTTTGAGACCTCCTACCTGAAGGGGGCTGCTGGCTGTGGGGTCCCGCTTGTGCCCGCCTCCTCCTTCTCTGTCTTCTATGTCATGTGAGGCTGGCATTCCCACGCGTGATTCCAGGCTTGTTGTTCATCTACACAAAACTTTTAATACGATTTTGACAAAAAACATAGAAAAGGATGACTTGCCCTACTGAATATTGAAATGAACCGTGGACTAACTATGAACTTTCAAACAATCCATTAGCGGCTGAGAAATAAACAGAAAAATCAATGGCCCAACACAGACAGTGGAGAAACAGGCTGAGGAGCATGTCCAAGTTTGTATGGTCAGGAGTGTGCCTTTCAAGTCTGTGGGGAAATACGTGTGGAAAAGCAAGACAGGAGTGTATTTCATACCACAGGGCAGAAGGATTCCAGACTTATGTGGAAGGAATAAAGTCATCACAATGTGAGCTTACATGGGCCTGTGGGGCAAAAGGCTTTCTAAGTATGACTTCTAAGGGAGAAATCATAAAGGAAATGCATGAATAATAAAAAAGGATACATTTTCTATGGTAAAATAATATCACAGAAGGAAAATTGCAAACTGTGAAAATATATTTGCATCATATGTCAGATAAGGGTTTTATAAGAAGACACAGAAAAAATGTCTCATGGCCAGGTGCGATGGTTTATGCCTGTAATCCCCGCACTTTGAGAGGCTGAGGCAAGTGGCTCTTCTGAGGTCAGGAGATTGAGACCAGCTTGGCCAACATGGTGAAACCCAGTCTCTACTAAAAATACAAAAATTAGCTGGGTGTGGTGGTGCATGCCTGTAATCCCAGCTACTCAGGAGGCTGAGGCAGGAGAATCACTTGAACCAGGGAGGTGGAAGTTGCAGTGAGCTGAGATTGCGCCATTGCAGTCCAGCCTGGGCAACAGAGCGAGACTCTGTCTCAAAAAAAAAAAAAAAAAAACCCCAAAAAAACAGAAAAGAAAAGAAAAAATGTCTCACATATGGATAGGTGTAAATATTAAGTATGTGTAATCAAAATATATTTATTAAATATATATCTACATATAGAAAGGAAACGATAAATCTACCAATATAAAAATTAGTAAAAGACGGCCAAGAAATGTATAAAAGAGCAAAAACAAAGACCAGTAACTAATAATTGAAAATGTTCAATCTCATTAGTAATCAAAGAAATACAAAAAAATCTAGTGATGATATGCCATTTCCCTTTACCAAATGACAAAAGTAAAAAGAACTGATGGCACCCAGTGCTTTTGGGAAGGTGGCACATTTCTATACCACTAGGGGTATTATAAATTCGCACAACTTTTGTGAAGGATAATGTGATCGGATGCATCAAAAGCCTTAACATGTTCACCAACATTTTACGTGGCACTTACACTTACAGGAAAATATTCTAAAAATTGATTATTGATTTATGCAGACACTTTGTTGTGATGACACCAACTATAGTGCAGGCTAATTACAGCAGAGAAAACTTGAAGAAACGTAAAAGTTGAACATTTGAGTTTAATTGGATCAATTATGAAATATACATACCATTAAAAATGATGCCATTAAAAATGATGCCATTTTAAGTGTTTTTATTGAAACACATGTTCCCAATACATCATGAAAAGGGAAAAAGAAGTTTACAAAACACTCTATTCAGTAAGACCACAAGACCCTCCTTTTGTAAAATGTGTATTTATGTATACTAATAAACATATGATAGTGTATTAAATCATACCATTTAGTATATGCATGGAAAGCTGCCTGAGAGAGAACTCCAAAGTGCACTACAATGGATTCTATCTGACTGGTTTGCTTATGGGTTATGTTTATATTCTTTTTGCTTATTTGTTTCTGATTGTTTTATAATATGTATTTGTTGTGTAATAAATCTTGAACCAAGTGTTTATTTAAAAAAATAAAGCCCTTGAAAACTCTCCACTGTCTTATGAATTAGGTGAAAACTCCCAGGACTGTCACTGAAGGCTTTCCACAGTGTGTTCCCAAAGTATGTTTCCAGTTCTATTGTCTACTATTTCCCTTATAATGAAATCGGATCACGTTACTTCCCTGATTAAAACCTTCAGTGGTTTCCCATCGCACTTGCAGTCGAATCAGCCTCTACCTGCTCTGTAGCCCCCTGGTCATCTGGTTTGCCTTCTGCTCCGCCTTATCTTAAGCAAATCTCCCTTCTACCTGCTTCCACTACTGTGCTGGCCTGTGTAGAACAGGAATCTTGCCTCACACAGAGCCCATCCAAACGCCGTGTTCTCCACTTTTTATCTGCCTGGTGCCTGCTAATCCTTAAGGTAACTTTCTCAGTGATGTTTCCCTGATATCCAACTCAAAATAACACTTCTTTGCCCACTTGAGCTTTCTCTTTCATAACCATCTGTTTTTATTTAGAGCAATTATTTAATAGAATCACTGTTACAGATTTTTTTAGTTTGTTCACTTGAAACATACCTGTCTCTCCTGTTAAACTTTGCTGTGTGAGGGCAGGGACCTCCATCTGCTTTTTGAAGCCACTAATATTAGACACTATTCTAATATTATTATTATAAATTAATTATTATTAATAATATCAGACAGTATTCTAAGCTAGTGCTTAGAATAGTGTCTGATACTTAATAGACATTTACACATTTATGGACTTGGTGAATGAACACGCTCTGCTTCAGTCAAACATAATCATAGCATTTGAACACATATCATAATCACATACCTAAATGCTGTTATTATTCTCTCCATCTCTGCCTGTCAAGTTCTATCTGTCCTCAAAAGTCCACTCTAATTCTGTTTCTCCAGTTGAAGCTTTTTCTGATCGGTAAATGGTGGGAGGAAGGGTGGCAGGTTATCACCGGAAAAGAAGAGAAGTGAGTTATTGCAGACATGCTAAGTCAGACATCTGCAGGAGTTATGATCCAGTGAAGGGCAGAGAGTCCCCAGCATCTGGAGGAGAGGTTGGAGGAGGGTGGAGATGGGAGGGTCAATGGCAGAGTTTATTGTAGTCTGAGCGGTGGGTGGAGTGGGTAAAGGCGAGAAGGGAATGAGAAGACAAAAGGAGCACCCAGGAAATTTAAATTATCTTGCCATGGCCATATAATGTCATTTCATTTAGTAGTTTAAGTTTTACTAAAAGTCATGAGATTAAAAATACTTAATCATGAGATTAAAAATATGTGAATTGAGGCTTCTGCTTCCAGGAAGATGCAGTGGACATACTTTTCCCCATTCCTTTGTCTAAACATAACTAAAAACGCAGGACATTATACATGAGCCAATCATAAGGAGACTGTGAATGGAGGAGAGAAGGCAAACCTACTATGGGTCTTGGGACAAGAGAGAAGACATAGTTATGAATTCCCTGGGTTTTCTTTTGGCCCCATATATCCTAGACTTGGAGCTGAAGAAGCCAGGAAACTGGAAACAGTAATAGGCTGAGACCAAAAAGCCCCAAAAGAAGCATGCTCTCTCCAACCAAAGCCAGGAAAAGGGCACCAAGGCAGAAAACTTCAAGACAATACAGCTTTATTGTAGCCAAATGCCACTGAGCAAGCTGGGCCCAACCCCACTCATGCCAGCAAGGGCTGAGTAGGGAGCCTGAATTCTTGCACTTGGCAGGCTGTAATGAGGCACCTCCACACTCCTGCCTGGATGGTGTCAGAGGAGGCCAAATAGGATTCCTTAACTTTCACTCTTGCCAGCTGGTAATGAGCCCCTGCCACCCCGTGTCAGTGGGACCATGTGGAGAGCCTGGACTTTCACTCTCACCCAGCAGTAATGAGGCTCCTCCCTCTACCAGCTGGGGTGGTATCAGAAGAAGACTGGAGGAGCATCAGGACTTTCACTGTGGCCCAAAGAGAATGAGGCCACCCCTACCCCACCGTGGTGCTAGTGGAGATCATAGGTAAAGTTGAAACTCCCACATCTGCCTGGCAGTGATTAGGAACAACCCCCCTGCCCTGCCCTCAGGTGCCAACAGAGGTGCTGTGAAGAACAAGAACTTCTACTTCCACCTGGTAGTAATGAGGCTGCATCCTGCCCTCTTCCCCTGTGGGAGTGCTGACAAAAAAAAAAAAAGAAATTCAGCTAAATCGGAACACCCAGGCTCAAAATGCAAATATCCCCACTGAGACAGGAAATATCACTTGAACCTGAAAATTGCCCACCATTCAAAAACCCAGGAAGATCCTAAACTGAAGGACAAAAGACAATTAACAGATGCCAACACCTAAAGACAGAGATATCAGATTTATCTGAAAAGAGTTTAAAGTAGCCATGACAACAATGCTTCAATAAACAATTTGAACACACTTGAAAAAAGTGAAAAAAAAAAACAAAACCTCAGCAAATATATAGAGAAGAACCAAATGGAAATGTCAGAACTTAAAAATAAAAAAACTGAAGTGGATGGGCTCAATAGCAGAAGGAAGTGAGCGGTGAAAAGAATCAGTGAATTGGAAGAAAAAATAAGAGAAATTAACCAATCTGAAGAACAGAAAGAAAATAGAGTGAAAAAAATGGACCCAGCCTGGCGTGGTGGCCCACGCCTATAATCCCAGCACTTTGGGAGGCCAAGGCAGGTGGATCACGAGGTCAGGAGGTTGAGACCATCCTGGCTAACACGGTGAAACCTTGTCTCTACTAAAAATACAAACATTTAGCCAGGTGTGGTGGCACACGCCTGTAGTCCCAGCTACTTGGGAGGCTGAGGCAAGAGAATCACTTGAACCTGGGAGGCGGAGGGTGCAGTGAGCTGAGATCATGCCACTGCGCTCCAGCCTGGGTGAGAGTGAGACTCTGTATCAAAAAAAAAAAAAAAAAAAAATGGACCCATGGGAATATAACAAAACATCTAACATTCGTGCTATCAGAGTCCAAAAGGAGAGGAGAAAGAGGGTGAAGCTGAAAAATGCACTTGAAAGAACAATTGCCAAAATCTCCTCAAATTTGGCAACATAAATAAATCTACTGATTCAAGAAGCTGAGATAACTTCAAATAGCAAACACCTGAGACACATCGTAATTAAACTTCTGAAAACTAAAGACAAAGAAAAAATATTAAAAAGTGGTCAGAGGAAAGCAACACCTTACCCACAGAAGAGAAGCAACTTTAGTGACAAAGAATTTCTCATCAGAAATCACGTAAACCATAAGGAAGTGGCAGAATATTTTTCAAGTTTTTAAAGGAAAGAACTGCCAACCCAGTGAAAATTTTCTTCAGGAATGAGGGGAAAACCAAAACATTTTCAAATGAAGGGAAACCAAGAGAATTTGACACCACCAAACCTACCTAAAGAATGGCTAAAATAAGTTCTCCAAACAGAATGGAAGTGATAAGAGAAGGAAACTCAGAAAATCAGGAGAAAAGAAAGAACATCGTAAGCCAAAATATAGATACATAGAATAGGTTTTCTTTATTGCTTTGAGTTTTCCAAATTATGTTTGAAATCTAAAGAGGAAATATTTATGATAATTATTTTATAAGTGGGGGAAGGTAAAGAGACACAAAGGGAGGTAAGACTTCTGTAATTTACTTGAACAGGTAAAATGATGGCACCAATAAGGGTGTGATAAATTTTGTGTATATAGTGTAGTACCTAGAGAAACCACTTTATTTATTTGTGTATTTATTTTTTTGCGGCAGAGTCTCGCTCTGTCACCCAGGCTGGAGTGCAGTGGCACGATCTAGGCTCACTGCAAGCTCCGCCTCCCGGGCTCATGCCATCCTCCTGCCCCAGCCTCCCGAGTAGGTGGGACTACAGGCACCCGCCACCACGCCCAGCTAATTTTTTGTATTTTTAGTAGAGACGGGTTTCACCGTGTTAGGAAGGATAGTCTCAATCTCCTGACCTTGTGATCCGCCCGCCTCAGCCTCCCAAAGTGCTGGGATTACAGGTGTTAGCCACCATGTCTGGCTGAGAAGCCACTTTAAAAGTTTTACCAAAAGAAATAAATGGAATTATAAAAAGTGTTTAAATAAAAGTCAGAGGCAGGAAAAAGGAAACAGTAAGAAAAAGCAGAAAAAAGCTGAAAACAAAAAAATTAAATGGCAGACCTAAACCCTAATATATCAATAATTAAATTAAATATAAATGGTCTAAATATTTGAAATAAAAAACAGAAATTGGAAGAGTGGATTAAAAAATATGGCCAACTATATGCTGTCTACAAGATACGCATTTCAAACATTACTTTATAGGCAGATTGAAAGTAAAATAATAAAAAAATGTCATGCAGATACTAATTATGGAAGACAGAAGTGGCTATATTAATATCAGATCAAGTATGTCTCAGAGCAAAGACAGAGAAGGAAATTACATAAAGATAAAAGGGGCCAATCTACCAAGAAGGCAAATATACCAAAAATAGAGTTGAAAAATATGTGAAGCAAACAGATAAAGCTGAAAGGAAAAATAGATAAATCTTTAATTATAGTTGAAGGCTTCAATACCTATCTCTCAACATTCGATAGAACTAATAGAGGGAAAATCAATAAAGAAACAAAATAACTGAACCATACCACCAACCAACAAGATCTAATTGACATATGTAGAGCACTCCACCCAACAACAGCAGAATCCATATTCTTTGCAAGTGCCAAAAGATTATACAGCAACATAAACCATATCCTGGGCTGTAAAACAAACCTCAACAGGTACAGGAACTGAGGTGATACTGAGTGTTCCCCTGCCATGACTGGATACAACTAGAAATTAAAAACAAAAATACAACAGGAATATCTCCAAACACTTGGAAATTAAACAGCATGTTCTAAATAGGTCAAAGAAGAAGTCAAAAGTGAAGTGAAAAAGTACATTGATTTCAACAAAAATGAAAATACAACATATCAAAATTTTTAGGGCTCAGTTAAGGCAGTGCTGGAATGGAAATGTATAGCACTACATGCATACATTAGAAAAGAAGAAAATGTTAAATTGGTAACTTAAGATCTCATTCTGGCCGGGGCAGTGGCTCACGCCTGTAATCCCAGCACTTTGGGAGGCTGAGGCGGGCGGATCACGAGGTCAGGAAATCGAGACCATCCTAGCTAACACGGAGAAACTCCGTTTTTACTAAAAATGCAAAAAATTAGCCGGGCGTGGTGGCGGGCGCCTGTAGTCCCAGCTACTCAGGAGGCTGAGGCAGGAGAATGGCGTGAACCCGGGAGGCAGAGCTTGCAGTGAGCCGAGATAGCGCCACTGCACTCTAGCCGGGGCAACAGAGCGAGACTCCGTCTCAAAAAAAAAAAAAAAAAAAAAAAAAAGAAAGATCTCATTTCAAGAACCTACAAAAAGGAGAAGAGAAAGGAAAGCCAAAACCAACAGAAGAAAGAAATACTAAAGATAAAAGCAGAAATCACTTGAAATTGAAAACAGTAAAATAACAGAGAAAAATCAATGAAACAAAGAGCTGGTTCTTTGAAAAGATCAATGCAACTGACAAACCAAGCACCACTGATGAAGGAAAAGGAAAGAAGACACAAGTTACCAACATCACAAATGTCATTGTCACAGATTAGCAGGGACATCATTTAGACTCTACAGACATCAAAAGGATAGTAAAGGAATACCATAAACAACTCTTCATACATAGATTTTGCAACTTAGATAAAATGGACCCATTCCTCAAAAAACAACAAACTGCCCAGACTCATCCAATATGAAATAAATAATTTGAATTATCCTATCACTATTAAGCAAATTGAATTCATAACTGGATTCATGAAAAAATCTCAGGCCTGGTGATTTCACTGGTTCAGTTGACCAAATGTTTAAAGAAGCATTAATATAAATTCTGTAGAATCTCTTCCAGAAAATAGAAGAGGAGGGAACACTTCTCAATTCATTTCATGAAATTAGTATTACCTTTATACTAAAACCAGAAAAAGAGAGCAAAAAAGAAAAAAACTACAAACCATTGTCCCTCATGCATACAGAGGGATAAAGGAATATAAAATTCTTTAACAAAATCATTAGCAAATGAGACGTAGCAACGTATCAGAAAAATTGCAGACTGTCACCAAGAGGGTTTTATTTCAGGGATTTAAGACTGGTTCAATATTCAAAATCAATGTAATCTTCCTCAACAACAGAACAAATTTACAATAGCATACATATGATCATGAAAAACATTTGGCAGAATTCAACAGCCATTCGTAATAAAAACTCTCAGAAAAATAGAAATAAAGGGAAATTCTCTCAAGTTGATCAAGAATGAGCCTGTGCAAAAGGCCCGTAGCTAACATTATATCTGAAGATGAAAGAAAGACTGAATACTTTACATCAGAGGTAAAGACAAGGATGTTAGCTCTTAAATCTCTTACTCAGCATAGTGCTGGAAGTTCTACCCTGTGTAAGAGTCAAGAAGAAAAAGTAAAAGACACACAGGTTGAAATGGAAGTGAAATTGTCTTATTTGCTGGTTGTCTGTGTGTAAATGCTCAAGAACCTACAGTAAAACTCTTAGAATTAATAAGTTACTTCAGTAAGGTCATAGGCAATATGATATGCTTAAAAATCAGTAGTATTTCTACATACTAGCAGTGCACATGTGGACAATAAAATTTTTTAAAATATCACTCACATTCAGTCAAAAATGAAAATTCAAGACTTGAATGATAAAAAGTACATATATTGATGAAAGAAACCGAAGAAGATCTTAATAGACTGAGTTCATGGATTGGACAATTCAATGTGATAAGAATTCAGTTCTCCTAAAAATGATACACAAGTTTAATGCAATTCCTATAAAAATCCCAGCAAGATGTTTTCTAGATAGCAACAAGATTAGTCTAAGATTTATATGGAAAGGCAAAGAAACTGGAATAGGTAAAACCATTCTGAAAAAGAATAACGTAGGAGAAATCAGTCCACCTGCTTTCAAAATGCACCACACAGCTAAGTAATCAAGACTGTGGGATATTGGTAGAAAGATGGGCATTTTGATCAAGGCAAAAGAGTAGAGAACCCCAACATAGACCCACACAAATATGCCCAACTGATCTTTAACAAAGTAACAAAAACAATCCAAAGGAGGAAAGATAGCCTTTCCAACAAATACCGCTGGATTAATTGAGTATCTATAGGCCAAAAGATAATGTACTCTGGACTGTCTTACACTTGTACAAAAATTAACTCAAAATATATCACAGACTTAGATGTAAACTCTAAAACTTTTAAGAAAAAAATTGGAGAAAACCTTTGTGATCTAGAGCTAAGCAAAGAGTTCTTAGATTTGACACCAAAGAAAGCATGACCCATAAATAGAAAAATTGGTAAACTGGACTTAAAAAGTTTTTTTCTTTGTGAAAGACCCTGTTAAAAGGGTGAAAAGACAAGTTACATGCTGAAAGAAGATATCTGCAAGCCGTGTATCTAACCGAGGGCGAATATCTGAAATTCATAACACCTATAAGCCTGAATAATGGAAAAATGAACAACTAAAACATAGACAAAAGAGAGGAAAAGACAATTTACTGAAGAGGATATGTATATACATGTGTGTCAAAAGACCACATGGAAAGACGTTCATCATTAGCTATTAGGGAAATGGTAGTTAAAACCACAGTTAGATACTGTTACACATTGATCAGAATAGCTAAAGTAAAACATAGTGACAACACCAAATCCTGGCAAAAATTCAGAACACTTACACATTGCCTGACAGAATGTAAAATTGTACAGCATGGTGGATTCTTAAGAAGCTAAACATGCAGGTGGCTTGCAACTCATAATGTGCACTTCTGGACACAGATTCTAAGGAAATGAAGGCCTATATGCATACATGTATGGGAATGTTCATAGTGCTCTATTTGTAATAGTCACAAACTTGAAACAGTGCAGATGTCTTTCAAGACTGAATGACTTAACAAACTGGGGCAAGTCCACACCATGGGACACAAGTCATAATTAAAAGGAACTAACTGTTCACACACACAACCATCTGGATGAATCTCCCAGGAATAATGATGCTGAGTGAAGAAAGGCAATCCCAAAAGTGAGATCTGTTTGACATCTTGAAGTGACGAAATTATAGAAACAGAAATTAGATTAGTGGTTGGCTGGGATTAGGGAGATAGTGGGTGTGACAGGTAAATAGATGCGTGGCTACATAATGTCAAAACGTGGTGTCCTAATATCAGAAATGTCTGTGTCTCTACTGTACCATGTCTGTATCATGCTGTGCTATTGTACTATAGTTCTGCAAGGTGTCACATTGGGATAATCTGCATAAAGGGAACAGGTATCTCTCTGCTGTGCTTCTTACAGTTGCATGTGAATCTACAAATTTCACAATAAAAATTTAGTCAAAAATGAATAGTATATAAACCTTTATAAACAGATTAGGAAATTGGGCAGAAATTTGGACACTGTCAATTTCTCCTCTGAAGCTGAAAGTAGATTGTATTGAAAACATATTAATCAAAGAAGCCAAGCGTTAGATTCACGAAGAGGTTCTTGGTCAATTACAGACAAATCCAACTTTTTTTGGCAATCACAGGATGCTTCCTTCCCTTTCCTCACATAAGGGTTCTGCCATGGTCCCTTTACCTCTCTGTAGCAGGGTGAGGGATATGAAGATTCTATAACCAAATATTTCATTTCCCCCTCACTTGTTGACCACACTTCTGGCAAATCAAGAAAGGTATAAAAAGAAATTGACTTTGTGGAGTTTGCAAGTTAATCGGGGACGTGTTAATAAAAGTAAGTGTGGAGGCTGGGCGCAGTGGCTCACACCTGTAATCCCAGCACTTTGGGAGGCTGAGGTGGGCGGATCACAAGGTCAGGAGTTCAAGACCAGCCTGGCCAACATGGTAAAACCCCACCTCTACTAAAAATATGAAAATTAGCCAAGCATGGTGGCAGGAGCCTGTAATCCCAGCTACTTGGGAGGCTGAAGCAGGAGAATCACTTCAACCCAGGAGGCAGAGGTTGCAGTGAGCCAAGATTGCATCACTGCCCTCCAGCCTGGGCGACAGAGCAAGGCTCCATCTTGGGGAAAGAAAAGAAAAAGTAAGTGTGGAAAGTTTGGGATCATCTCTTAAAGAACAAATATGAAAGTGACAGATACGGTGAAGCCTGGAGCTTATAACAGCCTGCTTACTCTGAGTGGGTGTGTGTTCTCAGATCAAGAATAGTTGTTCATTGTTGTTCATTGTTGCTGGAGGGAGAGGGGTTTTCTTGTAACAATAACAACAACAACATCAGCCATCATTTACTGAAATAAGTCCTACTGTGTCCCGCAACAACAGTAGCACATTTATCAAGAGATCATTCCTAAGTGCTTTACACTTATTAACTCCTTAATCTTCACAACCACCCCATGAAGTAAGGACTATTATTTTTTTTCATTTTACAGATAAGAAAACTGATTCATAGAGAGATTGAGTTATTTGCTGAGAGTAACTAAGGTAGTAATTGGTCAAGGTGAGTTGAACCCAGGCAGTATTTTGGAGATTCTAGAAAAGTCTTCCATTCCTGTTGGATGTCTGTAGAACGTGTGACACAATGTGAGTTTGGATTTGTCATTGAGGTGGGCTTTACATTGGCATTCGGTGTGTGGCTCCCACAGGCAGCTCTGTGCGGATCCAGGATTAGTATCAGCTCTTTCTGCTGCAAGCACAGGGTTGCGTCTCAGCAGCTGTCCTGCAAGCGCACCTATTCAAATACACAGCCATACTCAGAGCTCTTTGTCTGGAGAAAAGGATATAAAAGTCAAAGTACTTTTCCTGCCAGCTATTTGGTTGATCAGGATGGAATATATTGTATTGTAGGACACAATTCAGATTTGTGAGTTATTTCCTCTCACCCTCCCCCGGCTGCTGAATACACACTTTTTCTTCTGACTTTTAGGAAGTGTTTCCTGTGCAACCACATCTCACTTTTTGCATCATCTCCCACAAGACCACCTGGCTCCTTCCCACATCGTCCTCCATCCAGAGTGCAATTCCTAAGTCCCCTAGGGTGGCATTCTTTTCACATACATGATTCCAACCACAAATTTTTGCAGAGGTGTTCAGTGCAAATGGGACAGCTCCATTTCAGTGGGTGGGCGCAAGTTGGGGCGGAGGAGTTTCCCGAACTCTTTGCCCTTTTTGGAAACTCAGTGAGATTCTTTTAATCGTCTGGATGACCCTGTGTGTCAAAGGCACAGGTAGCATGTGCTATCAGATCTATTGGTGCCTGCGTCCAATATGTATGTATAAAACTAAAATCTGTACTTTCCCCATTGTTCTGTTTATGATGATGGGATCAGGAGTTGAGCCCTGGTGGCATTTAATGCACTATTGGGGAAATGTTAGTTGCAAGTGAATTACATTCTTTGCTTGCTGTCTAGCCTGAATTTCATATTTTTATACAAAATCTTTTTTATTTATTTACTTTTTTTGGTTTTTATTTTTATTTATTTTTTGTGTGTGTGACGGAGTTTCACTTTTGTTGCCCAGGCTGGAGTGCAATGGCCTGATCTAGGCTCACTACAACCTCTGCCTCCCAGGCTCAAGCGATTCTCCTGCCTCAGCCTCCCAAGTAGCTGGGATTATAGGCGCCAGCCACCACACCTGGCTAATTTCGTGTTTTTAGTAGACACGGGGTTTCACCATGTTGGCCAAGCTGGTCTCAAACTCCTGATCTTGGGTGATCCACCCTCCCTGGCCTCCTTACATGCTGGGATTACAGGCGTGAACCACCATGCCTGGCAAAGAAATCTTTAGGTTATCGACACACTTTACGTATCATGAATCTATAATATGTATTTATACATACTCTGTGTCTTTTCTTCTCTGTTTGGATAAGGTATGTTTATGCTAACCCGTATTAGCAATGGGACTGGTGATCCCATAGCTTGCAGAAGCTACTGGAGCATGGGCAATAGGACCAGTGCTGGCCGCGGCTTCTCCTTGCACCAAGTCCTCTGAGTGGCAGTGCCGGCTGACTGTCCTTCATTTCTTCTTGCTGGTCTGGAGGGAGTTCTCGGGCTGCGGAGCAAACGCTGCTGCCACACGACCTTTCCTGATGTGCCTGTGAATTCCTTCCTTCTGCCGCTTCATTTTGGATACTCTCATGCTGATTTTTGCTCAGTGATGAATTGAATGGCCTGTCAGTGTTTTCCAGTAGAGATGAGCTATTTTCCACCCTGAGACATGGCTTCTGTAAACTAAATTTGCTTTAGTTTCAAAATCAAAAGCAAATGGGCCCACCTTTATGGTGGGAAGGTAGTGGGCATGGGAAGTCAAGGAGCTCCCTGGGAAGGTCTGGTGGCAGCTCCCATGTCACTCCTCAGACAGTTTCTCAAAGGCTTATTTATCCTAGGCTGTCATGGATGTGTCAGCAGGGATGGTTTGGACACAGCTCTAATGCTGAGAACATATATTAAAAAAAGGTCTTGGCCAGAGTTAGTTTCTGAAATTCCTCTCTCAATTATTGAGAATAGTTTTGCTTTAACAAGCATTCTTTTCCCTCACAGTTCTGCTTCTCATTTGGCCCATCCTCTTGTGAAGTCATAATTTTGTGCTTATGATACGGCAGATAGTGACCAAGATGGAAACGATTATAATATCATGGGTGCCCAACATGCATGTTTATAGCAGCACAATTCACAATTGCAAAAATATGGACCCAACATATATGCCCATCAACCAATAAGTGGATAAAGAAAATGTGGTACATATATACCATGGAATAGTACTCAGCCATAAAATGGACAAAATAATGGCCTTTGCAGCAACCTGGATGGATTTGAAGACCATTATTTGAAGTGAAGTCACTCAGGAATGGAAAACCAAATATCGTATGTTCTCACTTATAAGTTGGAGCTAAGCTATAAGGATGCAAAGGCATAAGGATGATACAATGAGCCAGGTGTGGTGGCTCATGCCTATAATCCTACCACTTTGGGTGGCCGAGGCTGGTGGATCACAAGGTCAAGAGTTCAAGACCAGCCTGTCCAACATGGTGAAACCCTGTCTCTACAAAAATACAAAAAGTATCTGGGTGTGGTGGTGGGCGCCTGTAATCCCAGCTACTTGGGAGGCTGAGGTGGGACAATTGCTTGAATCTGGGAGGAGGAGGTTGCAGTGAGCTGAGATTGAGCCATTGTCCTCCAGCCTGGGTGACAGAGCGAGACTCTGTCTCAAAAAAAGAAAAAAAAGAAAAAAAAGGAATGATAGAATGGACTTTGAGGACTCAGGGGAAAGTGTGGGAGGTGGGTGAGGAATAAAAGAAAGACTACACATTGGTACAGTGTACACTTCTCAGGGTGATGGGTGCACCAAAATCTCAGAAACTACCACTAAATAACTTATCCATGTAACCAAAATTCAACTGTACCCCCCAAACTATTGAAATTTGAAAACAAATCACAGATGCCTAGCACTAAGGATGGACAGACGTGCAGGACAGAAGTAGAGACCTGCTCCATCCTCAGCCACAGCCACTTGTCCTCTTCCCCACCCTGTCTTTTGTCCGAATCAGCTCAGGCAAACCAGTCTGCCTGCACTCCATCGTATTCTTACAATTTGCCAGTTGTTGCCTCAAAAGTTTGTACAACAATCTCTGGACCAGCTGTTAGCTGTTGTCTCCCAGGGTTCTGGGATTCCTCTGGGAATAAAATGAGGCCAGGCTTTCTGGGACACCTTTCAAGTGGGGAACTCTACAGCAGATGCACTCATGGGCGGCAGCTGGAGGAAGTCTGGCAGAGATGATGGTATACGCTGCTGAGAACAGGAATGGAGCCTAACCATGTACTTGGAAGGCTCGGAAAGAAAAGAGGATTTGGAAGGAAAGAGGAGGGAGAGTCTATATTTAAGATTAACCTTGGAGGGAAGCTCACACAGGCAGAAAACTATGGCCACCAAAATTCCAAGTTACTAAGCTTTTCAGGGGATGTCTTAGCCAACAAATTTAACCTTTGAACAATGCTCTTTAAAAGAAAACAAAAGAGGAGATGTTCACAATGTAATAACAGAAACAATGAGATTTTTGCTTGCGTGTACTGTTCTTGAACTTGATCTCATCCCACATTATTGTTCCCACCACAGTGGGTGACTGAAAACCAAACCAGGCTGCTGCTCTCCTGGCCCCGAGGGTTCACTGGTGCTGGTGTTGCCCAACTTCTTAACCCTCCTCTGTCGAAACCCGCAGTGGCTGGTTGTCTCTTCTGTCATTTCAGAGGAGGGGGGACTTAAACCTCACGGGCATTTTCACTGAAACACAGAAAGCTCTGCTTTTCCACAGAGGCTGGGCTTTCTGAGCACATGCCCCACAGCTGTCTCAGATATCTGGAGCCTTCTCAGTTTTTCACAGAATCATCTAAGTTCCATAGCATCTGAGCAGGGTTGGGAACCAGCCTTGGAAAACCTTTACTTCTTAGGTAAATGGAAATTAGCACGACTCGATGTGAATAGTCAGGGCTGAGCTAATGCAAACTGACTGACCTTCTAGGCCAGTGTGGCTCAGTGTTTGCAGGAAAGTTCTGCCTGAAACCGTCTGATGAGGGCATATGGGAAAGGCAACACTGATTTTGCCCTCACATGGACTTGCATTAGAGAAAATAACAGTCCTGGTCTGAGAAGATAATTTTGAGGCATGAGAAAACTGAAACATTGTTTGGCAGATGTGTTTTCTGCATTTTCCTGTTCGTGTATTTTAGTTTAAGTAAAAGTTAGGGGTTAGGAATCTATCCTGTTGCCTGCGGGCTTACTTTAATCAAGCGAACACACACTGTCTCTGTCTTGATGGAGCCTGTGTTACATGTAATTGAGGGGTAACCAACATAAAGAACTCTCGGGTTGAAGAATGAGGACTTTGAGCTTAGGACCACTGCAGTGTTGTAAACTATAATCCTTATTTCTGTGCAAAAAATCACTCAGAAACTCTATAGAGAAGGTTGATGTTGTAATAACTATTGGTGATAGGCATTCATTCACCAGTAGATCACAGCCAGCATAGCTAACAGGACCCAGGTTTGCCATTTGAGAAGTGTTTGCTGGGAGGGGTTCCCCCAGGCAAGTGCTTGGTTCTGGAGTTGTCAGGCTCCATTTGCTGAGGGTCCATCGCTGTTGTGATCCATATGCTTAGTGTCTTCCTGAGAATCTGCACAGCCCAGAGTTTTTGAAGATTAACAAATGGATTTGATTTCCACTTTGCAAAAACATTCCCTCAGTTGAAAATCGTTTTTGCTTCCCCATTAAGTGCTATGTGGGAGAGATCATCAAGTCTCCTTCTGGGAGTTTGCAAAGGAGAATTGTTAACAGTTCAGCCAGAACAGAGTCAAGACCTGCATCCCTGAGGGTGGGCTGAATTTTCCTCTGTGAGGTGGCAGGTTTTGAATAATTCTAAATGCAGGTGGCGTCATTTTCACTGGGTGTTATGTCTGATGGTCATAAAGGATTCAAGGACAACAACTTCAAATAGGGAATCAATGCCGTAAGTACCAGCCCGTCCTTCCCACAGGCATGCTAACAGGCAAGATGGCTGGCAATTGTGGAAAACAGTCTCAAATGGCAAAAATGCAGTTTTGAGGCTGTTCCAGATAATTGCTGCTGGAGAGTTTAAGCTTTTGGTAGAAACTGATTTCATGGGCAGATGCTACTGTGGAGCCAGAGGTAATTTAGGTCTGAAAATTGGCCCCATTCTGAAAGTGGTTGTTGTGGATGATTTCAGATAAAGAATCCACTCTGCCAGATTGGACAAAGCCTATTGGAGTATCAGATCTGTTGCAGTCTCTCTTTACTATTGCTGAAGGAATGATTTAGCTAATTAGAACTATGCTTACATGAGATCAGTGTATCGAATCACACTTTGTCTTTTGCCCCAAGATGTCTTTTTTTCCCACTCTGTTTGGTGGGCTTCTGGGACTGCAGAGCAAACCAGTGAGAACAAATGTTGTTTCTGTGTGCACAACTGTCCAGGCATCCCCTCCCGTGTGGAGGACCCGTGGTGGAGGGTGTCAGACGAAGTTTCTGGGATGATGCGCCAGAAGGGCCTCTTACCATGTTGACTCCTTCTTTGAGTCCAATATTTTTGACTTAAGCATTAACGTTTATCTTAACAGTATTCTGATTCACAGTGGAGATTCTGAGGAATAGTCTAGCCTTGATAAGTCACTGAAAGATGAGACTCCGGGCTCTCTGATGGATGAAGGAGCAATGATAATGTTAAGCTGAGAGGCAGGAAGAAACCAGGGTTTGGGAACCTGCTTTGATAGGAAGAATTACATATGTGGAGAACGCCAAGTTGCCAGGCCTTGTTAGTCATACCTAGGTCTCTTTTCACTCTAGCCCTTTGCAGGCTTGGGAAACACAGCCTCTCCTCCTGTGCTCTCACACGGGAGCCCCCAGCCCATCCCACCTGCACATCATGACCAGCTCCAGGGTCAAGCCTCTCCCCTACAGCCACTGCTCCTGTTGGAGTTCAACCTGCATGGCCTCTGGCTTCTCTGCGTCGTGGCCTTTTACCTGTTCTCACCCCCTCTACTACCAGTCACTTTCAGCTACCCCAGCTCAGCAACTAGTTGCACTCATCGAGGACAGCAGAAATGATAGCGATAGCTAGTGCCCAGTGCTTGCTTCCTGCATGGCAGGCACCTTCTAAGCACTTTACACATGTTGATCGATTTATTTATCCTCCAGTGCTAGTATTATCCCCATTTCATAGATGAATACACTGAGGGGTGAAGTCACGTAGATAGCACTTGGTAAGTTGGATCTCAGGTCCCGATGTCACACACTCTAGTGAACCAAGTTAGTTTTCTGCCATGGGTGGCCATCCCACATCCTCTAGGAACACCCGAGACAAGCCTACGTGTTTCTCTTTTCTCCCCAAATAGGCAGCACATCGGCCACAGGCAGCCTTGGACAAGAAACTGGAGTGTTGATCATCACATTCCTCCCTCCCACCATCACCCAGGCCAGGAGCCGTGGCCGAGAAAGCCCTGGCCCGGATGCTAGACCTCAGCTTCGTATCCTCCCCCACTCCCAAGAGAACAGAGATGGTGAATAGATTTATCTTGAGTTCCGCCCTGGAGGACTGGCTGGGCTGTGGAATGTGTGTGGAGGAAGACCTTGAGGTGAAGTCTGCCCTGCGCCCAGTAGGGGAGATATTTGCCAGCCCCGCCTAAGGGCAGTTTCTCTGATGTTTCATTTTCTGTGCTCTGTGAGAATCACTGAACACACGGCCAGCAGTCTTCAGGGCATTTCTTTTCCCTGTTGGAGAGACGCTGTTATTACGCTATTATTGGTCCACAATGTGCTGACTCAGTGGTTACGGCGTAACCCTCCCCTCCACGCTGACTAGAGCATTGGCCTGGCGTAGGCAAATGGCTGAGCTCTTCTGGATGAACTCAGGGCATCTCTGAGGACTGTGGACCTGGCCCAGCCCTCCGCAGGGTGTAACCCTGCTCTGGGGTGAACTTTCATTCACTGTGGAGCAGGTAAAGGGCCCATGGTCACGGGCACCATCTAGTTATCTAACGCTGTAGTTCAGTGTTCTAGAGAAGGGGAAATGGGCCAAGTTGATCGGTTCTTACACGGCAGAAGGAGTCACTGCTTGTACTGAGGTTTCAAAACTGTTACTGCCTCATTGATTCTGCAGTTTAATGTCTACCTTCTCAGTTGGAAAATAATGGATTTTCATAACTCATAAATGGCTTTATGAAAACCATTTCTTACCGTGGTAGCAGATGAGATGAACAGCTGACCGAGAAGGCATGACTGGGCAGGTCCAGGGTCAGCACTCCGGCCTCACATACTGCAGACGGGGTTACGCAGCCGTGGTCTCTTGACCACGCTGCTCTTCCATAAAGACTCCACAAACGACTGCAAAAGCCGAAGGCTGGCCACCTTCTATGCCGATGTTGTGACTCCAGAATGCTTGCAAAGGGGAATCCAGGCACAATCTTCAGCTGTTGTGCATCCAAAAACGATTATGGAAATGATGCTGGTAAATCTCAATGACTTCCACATTGCCTGGCGCAGTTCCAGGACTGCACGGCTCCCCTCCCTCGCCTGTCAGACTGTTCCTTTCGTATCCCGTCTCCGTGGGGCTCTGACAGTACTAAAGTGCAGAGATATGAAATGTGGAATTGGCATTTCCCCCATAATTATCTCTCAGTCAGACAGTATTTGAACAAGACTCCTCGGCCTCAGAGAGGGGGCTGCTGGAAGTCTCCGTGTAGACCAATCTTTTTGATTTTTTTTTTTGCCCATTGTTCTGCTGAACCTGTGCAATACCATGGCTTATATGTGCCCATTGTCCTTCCAGTTCTTTTCTTCCCTAAAACATGTTTCCAGGTTTCTCATCCTTTAAAGTAATTAGCATTTTAAATGTTTCTCACAGTTGGCAAATCTTAGTTTATATTCAAGGTGTGGAGGTTCTCATTCCAAACCATTTAATCTGGAAACAATTCTTCACATCTTCTAGGTAAACATATGCTAGCCTTTTGTTAACTGTTTACTTCACCACACTGTTTATTTTTCTTCAATTGCTCCACAAACATTAGGTTTTATACAGCGTTCAAATTCTGTGATTTCTTTGATTTCTCCTTTCTTTCTTAGAAAACAATCATGGGTGGATAGGTAGAAAGAAACTACCCTTGGCTCCCGTGAGTGGCTTTCTCCTCTGGCACCAGGTTCTAGCTAACCATAAAGTTCCTGGCAATGACCAGGTTCAGCCAGCACACCACAGAACACACGGCGTGCCAAGGGCCTTCCCTGGCTGCAGTGCCTTCCTTGCTCCATACCTCCTTTTCCTTTTCCTTCACCCTGGGCCACCACTTGGGGCTGTGTGACCTTGGGCAAGGTATTCCCCTTACCGTATTTAAATGGGAATCATAGCAATACCAGCCTCAGACAGTTGTCCTGAGGGTTTTAATGAGTAAATGCACACAGAACATTTATTATTTATTTATCTTTGGCTCTGTTGCCCGGGCTGGAATGTAGTGACACAATCATAGCTCACAGCTGCCTTGAACTCCTGGGCTCAAGGGATCCTCCTGTGTCTGTCTCCTGAGTAGCTGGGACTATAGCTGTGGGCTGCTGTGCCTGGCTAATTTTTTTTTTTTGAGACGGAGTCTTGCGTCTCGGTCTGTCGCCCAGGCTGGAGTGCGGTGGCACGATCTCGGCTCACTGCAAGCTCCGCCTCCCGGGTTCATGCCATTCTCCTGCCTCAGCCTCCTGAGTAGCTGGGACTACAGGTGCCCGCCACCACACCCGGCTAGTTTTTTTGTATTTTTTAGTAGAAATGGGGTTTCACTGTGTTAGCCAGGATGGTCTCGATCTCCTGACCTCGTGTTCTACCTGCCTCGGCCTCCCAAAATGCTGGGATTACAGGTGTGAGCCACCGCGCCCGGCCACCTGGCTAATTTTTAAGTTTTAGTAGAGATGGGGTCTTGCCATCTTGCTCAGGCTGATTTCGCACTCCTGGGCTCAAGTGATCCTCTTGCCTCAGCTTCCCAAAGTGTTAGGATTACAAGCATGAGCCACTGTGCTGGGCCACAGAGAATATTGAGACTAGTCTGGTGTGTGGCATGTGCTGTTCAAGTGTTTGTGATGATGCTCTTTATTACTATGGTCATTCTCTATTTCAATTTCTCCTTGGCACTTATCACCAGCTAACATACTATAGATACTTCCTTACTTAATTGTGTTTATCGCCTGCTCCATTAGAAGGTAAATTCCGGGCAGGGCCCGGTGGCTCACGCCTGTAATCCCAGCACTTTGGGAGGCCAAGTTGGGCGGATCACAAGGTCAGGAGATCGAGACCATCCTGGCTAACACAGTGAAACCCTGTCTCTACTAAAAATACAAAATATTAGCTGGGCATGGTGGCGGGTGCCAGTAGTCCCAGCTACTTGGGAGGCTGAGGCAGGAGAATGGCCTGAACCCGGGAGGCGGAGCTTGCTGTGAGTGAAGATCACTCTAATGCACTCCAGCCTGGGCGATGAGACTCCATCTCAAAAAAAAAAAAAAAAAAAAAGGCAAATTCCATTAGGGTGGAGATGTTTGTCTGTTTTGTTCACAACAGCATGTGGAGCCTAGAGCAGGCATCTGGCAGGTGTGCTCCACAAATGTTTGTGGATGCAACTGGTACCACCAGGCTGTATAAAAAACAGTTTAAAAGGCCCAGCAATTTTAAATAGGGTTGTGTTAGGGATGCCATTTTGGGGGCCTCCTGTTTTTGTAGACCCACCTTGGTACCTAGGATGCAGACTTATTGGGCTCCAAACCTCCAGGACAGGGCAAGGCTTGAGGTGGCTATTTGGAGCTAGTTCCCAGTGAAGTGTTTGCATCACTTGGAGTGTGGGCTGGAGGAATAGGGACACAGGGACCCCAGACCAAAGCCATGCAGGAATCCAGAACTCAGCACTAGGAAGAAGGACTTGGGGGAGCCAGATTTTAGGAGAAATGTGCCATGTGTCTATCCAAATCAGCTACAGGAGGTGAAGGCAACAGCCCTTTCCCTGGAGTTGTTCAAACTTGAATAAGATTAGAATCCAATAGCTACAATGCAACAGAAGAAAAAAAAAGCTCATCTATCACTGATAATTCCAATAAAACTCTGCACTCTCTTTGCAGAAAATGCATCTATGAGCATCAATTTACTGTGTCCTGCCTGGCTTCAGGGCCTCAGATGCATCCTGAAGAGCATCCAGGGAAGTCTTAGAGCCATGGGCTTCTCTGCTAAGAACTGGTGATGTCACGCAGGCTGGAAGCTGACAATTTAAGTCAATTCACTCTCCAAAATGTTGCACCCCTGCTGCGTGTTAAGCTCATTAAAGTTGGAGAGTTGAATGAGCTAATGTTCATGACTCGCTGTGATGCAAATGTGCCTTCAGAAGGGGAGAGGGTCCTTCCCTGGGGGCTTCCACAGACTTCATAGAAGGCAATGCTGTAAGGTGATGATCCACCGGAGGGGATAGAGGGTGGGGACAGGGAGATGGAGGCTTTCTCAGAATCCATGGCACACCTCCTGGGCAATTGGAGCTCAAGCTTGTATTTTGGCGAGAAAGTCAAGCAGAGCTGTAGCCCGGTGAGATGCATTAGTCAGTGCAACAGTAGGGAAGACGTTTCCAAAGAGGGTCGCCTTGCATGTGGAGAGATTTCTTGGTTTGATGAAAAAACCTGGGGAGGGAATAGTGTGACTGGAGGGACTTGGATCAGGGTCCTCTGGCGCAGGTGGCCTGGGCCGTGGGAAGCCCTGGGTGCACCCTGCTCTATGCTGAGCTGGGCTCTGGAAAGCCTCTGTGCTTGCGTCTCACCTCATCGCCCTCAGAGCGTTGCCCCCGTCTTGCCACTCTCTCTCTCAGCCTCATTTTGTCCCCTCTCCCTGCACACCAAGCTCTGCCTGGGCCCCTGTACCCTCCACATGGAGCTTGCACCCAGGAGATCTCATCCAGGGCCTGGTTTGAAATTCCATTTGTATACCAAGAACTTTTCAGTCCTTTTGTCCATCCTTGGCGGGCCTCAGAGCCCACTCCCTCCAACCTCACAACAATTCCACCTGTCTTCTTGCCATGCCCACTGGGGTATCCAATGGGAATTTCAAAGTTAACAGGGATACATGTTAGGTTTTTATCACCACCCCCTCTCCTTCCCCCACCCCCAGAATTTTCATTTCAGGAAATGAGACCACCACCCACTCAGTTCACTTGAGTGAAAACAATGGGGCTTCCGCGATTCCTTCCGTCCCCACTCCCACACACCCAGCCTGCTGACGAGCACCGCTTCCTCTCCCTCCAAGTGCACCCGGGCATCCTCCCCTCAGCCCTGCTGCCCTCAGCCCCCTCATCCTGTCTGGCCCAGGCCGGCAACAGGCCCCCATGTGGCTTCCCTGTGCCCCTGGCCTTCCACTACGGAGTCCCCACGCAGCTGCCCGGAGGATCTTTTGAAACTGTCATCAGATGACTGCCCTGCCGCACAGGAACCCCCAGTGTCCTGATAACATCAGCGTGGTCCTTCTGCCCTGTCCTGGCTTACTAAGCTCTGATCTGCCCGCCTGACCATAGCTAGTCTTCCTCTTCCTGGAGCACTAGCTGGTCCCTCCGCTGGCCTGGCCGTTTCCCAGCCCAGGACGCCCCTGCCCTTGCTCCCCATGCCTGGGTCCTTCAGCACCCTGAAGCCAGCCCCTGCAGAGGGCTCTCTGAGCTGTTAACCTGACGCAGAACCTGCTGTGGCCTCTGGGCTTTCCAGCCCTGCTCTGTGGCTGTTAGTGTCAGGCGCGGCTCTGGGCGGTCTTTGATGCCTTCCTGTCCTTTTCCCCAAATCGCATCTGTGCGTATGAGCAGAGGGGAGTTAGTGCACACCCAGGCCCTGAGGTGGCACCTGGTTTGCAGCAAGTGCTCACTGCATCTTTGTGGAGAGCTTAGCTTTGGTGAACGCCCCCTGAGGCCCATGCCCCCGCGGACTCTCTGCAGGCTGGGTGGGGCACAGCCATAGCAGGTGTCTCCTGGGGGGCCGGCACAGCTCGGAGCCCCAAGGCCGCCAAAGAGCTAACTAGCTCAGGGGATCCCATTTCCCTTGGCTGAGGGACCCACAGCCCGCGCATCCCAGGACCAGCTCCCTGGACGGGTCTGTGCGCCTCTCCAAAGGCGCTTCCGTGGAGTGCTGGCAGGGTTCTGGGAAGGGCGGGAGACTGGGCAATGCTGGCCTCCCCACTCCAGCCAGACCTTCTCCCTCCCTCCCCTCGGAGCAGGGAGGACCTGATTCAAACAGCCCAGGAAACCTCTGGTGTCCCCAGCAGCCTTTCGGGGCCAGGGATTTTATTTTAGAGCTTTGTCAGCAGTGGACCGCAGGGACTCCCAGTGCTGGTCCCCAGTCGTACAACCTGAGTTAGGAGCTGGGCGCCAACTGTGTGTGTGAGAGTTGTGAGTGTGGGTATTCATGTATGTGGATGTAAGTGTGTGAGTGTGTGTATTCATGTGTGAGTGTGTGAACATGTACGTGTGTGAGCATTGTGCATGTGAATATCTGTATGAGTGTAAGGGTGTGAGCATGTGTGTGTGGACATGCATGTGTCTGTGTGTATAAGGATGTGTTTATGAGTATGTGTGTGGTGTATTTTTATGTATGTGAGAGTGAATGTGTGAGTGTGATGTGTGTAAATTGGCTGCGTGAGTGTATGAGAATGTGTGTAGTGTGTGCAAGTGTGTGAGCATGTGAGTGCGAGATGTGTGTAAGTGTGCAAGTAAGCGTGTTAGTATGTGTGATGTGTAAATGTGTATGTGTGTGAGTGTATCTGTGTGTGATAGGTTGTACAAATGAGGGTGTGCGCATGAGAGGTGCGTCTGCAAGTGACAAAGTGTGGTGTGTATGTAGTGCATGTTTGTGTGTGAGCATGTGTGTGAGGTGTGTGCAAGTGTTTGTGTGTGTATGCTCTTGTGCAAGTCAGTGTGTGAGCATGTGTGGGAGGTGTGTAAGTGCGAGTGTGTGTGTGTGTGAGAGAGAGAGAGAGAGATGGATGAGGAGGAGAGCCAGTGGATACAAGAAGCCGGGCTGTGGGGTATCTGAGGAAGAAGGGGCCTTGCTGAGGGGTCACGGGGGCTTTGGAATTGCAGGTGATGTCCAGAGGGCATCGGCGTCTGTGTGTGAGGACCTGGGACACCATAAGGGGCACAGGAAAGACAAAGAGGGCGGCACAGACCCAGGCTCAGGGCAGCTGCCCGGTTTGCCTCGTGCACACTGATCGGCTGGGGTTCTCGTCCTCCTCATTCCCAGCTTCTGGATCCCACAGCAGGCACTGCTGATTCTCTTCTCCGGTCCCGGAGAGTCACTAGGATGTGTGTGTTACCCCTCCCCCTTCCCACAGACTTTAGTCTACTTTTTATTTTAATTAATTAATTAATTAATTAATTTATTTATTTATTTTTTATTATTATTTTGAGACGGAGTCTTGCTCTTTCGCCCAGGCAGGAGTACAACGGCGTGATCTCGGCTCACTGCAAGCTCTGCCTCCAGGGTTCACGCCATTCTCTTGCCTCAGCCTCCCGAGTAGCTGGGACTACAGGCACCTGCCACCATGCCCGGCTAATTTTTTGCATTTTTTAGTAGAGACGGGGTTTCACCATGTTAGCCAGGATGGTCTCGATCTGCTGACCTTGGGATCCACCCGCTTTGGCCTCCCAAAGTGCTGAGATTACAAGCGTGAGCCACTGCGCCCGGCCAGACTTTAGTCAGCTTTATTAATCATCTTTCTGGAATGTAATTTATAGCAATACCATTGACTCTAAGATGTTATCCGGTATGACACATTCCAACTTCTGAGGAGTGAAGAGGTGAAATTATAAGAGATGGTGGCCTGTTTGTCCTCTCCTGCCTTGGGAAGCCCAGGGGTTCCCAGGGGCCTGGCCACTGCCTGGGCTGCCAAGCTCAGGAGCCCAGCCCAGCTTCCAGGGCCTGGGGTGCACAGGCAGGGTTGGGGTGGAGAGGCCCAGGGTCATCCTGGTATCCTGCTTCCTGCCCCACACCTCAGCTGCTCTCTAGGGTCTGCTATGTTGGAGAAGGCTCCAGGAGCCCCTGGATCATTCTGAGCTAGGTCCAGTGTACTATTTTTCTGGGATCTTTGGGAAGCAACTTCTATTCCACAAGGATCTCCCAGTTCAGCTG
The DNA here is from genome assembly GCF_000001405.40 of Homo sapiens. NCBI lineage: Eukaryota > Metazoa > Chordata > Mammalia > Primates > Hominidae > Homo > Homo sapiens. The sequence continues at coordinate 48,627,698 of NC_000008.11, forward strand.
CCCCCAAACCAACGCCCCCAGAGCAGTTTTCGGTTCATTTGGTGAGTACCTGCGCACAGACCTGAGCCTCACTGCGGGCCAAGGATGACTCCAGGCTTGAGGGCCACTGTGCCTCCAAGCACTTCCTGACGGACACACGCGTCCTGTCAGATATGATAGATACTTAGGATACATATCGCAATTATTAACAGTATATTTTTATATCTTACAAAAATAAGATCACGTTGCGGCTTCACAGTCTTGACAAATTACACTGTAACCCTGTAAAAGAAGAGAGTAAAATAATGTTTGGTTTTTATTTTTAATGAAGTTTTTATTTTGGATTAACTTTGTTTTTTTGTTTGTTTTTGAGATGGAGTCTCGCTCTGTCACCCAGGATGTAGTGCAATGGTGTGATACTGGCTCACTGCAATCTCCGCCTTCTGGGTTCAAGCGATCCTCTTGCCTCAGCCTCCCGCGTAGCTGGGATTACAGGTGCCCACCACCATGAGTGGATAATTTTTGTATTTTTAGTAGAGGTGGGGTTTCACCATGTTGGCCAGGCTGGTCTCAAACTCCTGACCACAGGTGATCCTCCCACTTTGGCCTCCCAAAGTGCTGGGATTACAGGCATGACCTAACTTGGGTTTTATAGATAAGCTACAAGTACAAGAAGTTCCTGTCTACCCTTCACCCCATTGTCTCATGTATTAATATCTTACATAATTGTGCTATATTTGTCAAAATTAAGAGATTAACATTGGTAAATTACTGTTAACCAAGCTCCAGACTTTATTCAAATTTCTCAGGCTTTTCCACGGATGCCTTCTTCTGTCCCAGGATCCCACTGAAGATGCCACGTGACAGTTAGTTGTGTCTCTGGAGTCCCCTCTGAGACAGTCACTCAGGCTGTCTTTGTTTTTCATGGCCGTGGCAGTTTTGAAGAGTAGTGGTCAGACAAACCTGTAGAATGTTCCTCAGCTTGGGTTTATCTGATGTTTCCTCATGATTAGACTGAGGTTACAGGTTTGTGGAAAGAATACCACAGAGGGAATGTGACCTGCTCCTATCAGGGGTACATGGTGTGAATATGACATCACTGATGTTAACCTTGATCACTTGGCTAAGGTGCTGGCTGCCAGGAATCCTCACCGCAAAGTCACCACCTTTCCCTTCCCACACCCTGTTCTTTGGAAGTGAGTCACCTGGTCCCACTCACACTGAGGGAGGGGAACTGAGCCCCGCTTCTGGGTGGGAATCTGCACAGATTATTTGGAATGCTTCTTGAAGGACAATTCGTTTCTTCTTCCCCATTTATTTATTTACTCAATGATTTATTTCAATCAGTATGGACTCATGTATATGTATTTTATACCTTAAGCTATAATCCAATGCTATATTTTGTGTTTTGATGTTCAGATTCTTCCAGCTTTGTCCACGGGCAGCACTCTCAGGATGGTTCCTGGTCCCTTTGGCATGCCTTCATTTGTTTGCTTTGTGAGCACTTCCTTGATTTCTGGCATTATAAGATGCTGTAGGTCATCTTGTGTATCCCCTGCCCTAGGCCTAGGATCAGCCATTTCTCCAAGGAGCCCTTGTTTCTTTTATTGGAGGATATTATGTAGAAACCAAGATCTGGCCATAGTTGTACTCATTGCTGCTAGGGTGTCATTCTGTCTGGGCCTTCCCCAACAGACAGAGCTAGGAAATACATGAGTGGCTATTAACCCAGGTGTACACATGTATTTATAATTGCTTCTGTATTCATGTATATCTCTCTATATATAATGATAAACTAAGTGTTAAGTTTATACTGATATCTCTGACTCTAATCCAGTAGTCCAGGGTTAATTCTAGACTTCCTCTCTTGCTTTTTTTTTTAAAAATAACTTGTGTTGTGACAATGAGAAACCAGACCCCTATTGTCATTTATTCATTTATTTGTTCAATCCTAGTATAGACATAAAGAACTTTCTGAATTGTTAAAACAGTTTTACCAACTACAGTATAGTGTATATACAGTTTCATTTTAACTTTTAAATAAACAATTTTTATAAGAGCTTTATATGTACAGAAAAACTGGAAATTGTACAGAGTTATCATATAGTCCATATGCAGTTTTCCCTGTTATTAACATCTTATATTAGTATGGTGCATTTGTGATTAATTAATATGACAATTAGTGATCTTAGTACATTTGGGCAGCTATAACAAAACACCATAGACTAGGTAAGGGAAAAACAGCAGGCATTTATTTCTCACAGTTCCGGAGGCTGGAAAATCCAAGATCAAGCTGCCAGCATAATCAGTGTCTGGTGAGGGCTTGTTTTCTGGCTCGTAGGTGGCATCTTCTCTGTGTGTCCTTACATGGTGAAAGGGGTGAGGCAGCTCTCTGGGGCCTCATCCCATTCATAAGGGATGTACCTTCATGAGCTGGTCACCTCCCAAAGGCTTTATGTCTTAATATCATCACATCAGGAATTAGCTTTCAGCATATGAATCTCTGGGGCATACAAACATTCACAAAGCCAATACCTATTTCAGGTTTTCTTGTTTTGACCTTTTTGCGTTATTTCTGTCCCAGCATCCCATCTAGGATACCGTATTACATTAGTTGACATAGCCCCTCATGACAGTGACAATTTCTCAGACTTAGCTTGTTTTTGATGAGCTTAGCAACTTCGAGGAATGCTGGTCAGGTATTTTGTAGAATGTCCTGCTGTTGAGATTTTTCACATGTTTTTCTCATGGTTAGACTGGTGTTGTGGGTTTTCTGCACAGAGATAAACTGCCATTTCCATCATGTCATATCAAGGTTACATACTATGAACACGACTCATCACTGCTGATGTGAACCTTGGTCACCTGGCTGCAGTGGTGGTGCTCAGGTATCTCCTCTGTGAAGCCACCCCCTCCCATCCTGTGCTCCTTGGAAGGAGGTGACTGCACAGCCCACACTTAAGGAGTGGGGAGTTAGGCTTACCCCCTTCAGGGTGAAATGTCTACATAAATTATTTGGAATTCTTCTGCATAGGAGATGTGTCTCTTCTTCCCAAGTATTTATTTGTTTATTCAGGCATTTATTTAGTTATATGAGTATGGACTAATGGACATTTATTTTATACTTTGAGTTATGGTCCAACACGACTTAATTTTGTGGCCTGAATTGTTCCAGCTTTGTCCAATGGGAGCTATTTCAGTTGGCTCCTGTGTCTCTTCCACATCAATTAAAAATTTTTTTTTAGCACTTTCTTACTTTCTGGCACTACAAGATGCTCCTGACTCATATTACATATTTTCTGTCCCAGGCCTAGACTCAGCCATTTCTCCAGTGTGCCCTGGTTCTTCTCACTGGAGAACGGTATTTAAAACCATGCTGGTGCTCCTGGAGTGTTTTTGTTTCTGGGTCCTCTTAGCCTACATAGTGTGGAGGTATGTGTGTGTATAGTAACTCTGGTATATACACTTATCTATAAATAATTATATATAAAACTAGCTGTGTCTATTTTAAGCAAAACAGAAATTCATACTGATGTCTCTCATCCATTACCCCATGAGTAATTCTAGCTTTTTTCTTTTGCTTATCTCTAACCTCCCGCTTCAACAGTAAGAAGCAGGAAGCAGGCTCCTACCATCTGCCATCCATTAGTTATTCATTTCCAGTGTTCATCTATAGCAGTATCAGAATTGTTAACCAGTACCCCCATGGGAAACAGCTTTATCAACTAAAGTAGAGTGCTTACGGACAGTTTCTTTTGTCTGTAGTCCTATAGACCCTGCTCATTCCTAGAGTTGCTTAAGTCAACACTTTTCCACCCTAACCCCTTTGGGGAGATTGTTTGTTAATACAGCTAGATTCTTTTGTCACATATTGCATTCCATCCTGGGGTACCTCGACCTCCTGAACAATTTTAGTTTTAAATTAGCATCCATTAAGATTCATTCTATGTGCCATAAAGTTCTATGTGTTTTGACAAATAGCACTCTGTATCCACAATTATAGGATCATACGGATTAGTTTAAACTCTTTAAAAAAACCCTATGCTCCACCTATTAAACTCTCCCCGCTTCCCCAAAATTTCTGGCACCCTTTGATCCTTTTAATGTCTCTGTAGTTTTGCCATTTTCAGAAAGTCCTATAATTGCAATTATTGGTATGGGGCCTTTTCTGACTGGCCTCTGTTACTTAGCAGTATGCATTTACATTTTCTCTATGTCTTTTTGTCGCTTTATTTCTTTGTATTGCTGAATAATATTCCAATATATGAAAGTAGCAAGGCTGTTTATCCAATATTGGTTGCTTCTACCCTTGGCAGTTATGAAGAATGTTTCTATAAACATTTGTGTACAGGGTTTCTTGTGAACATGCCTCTTTAATATGCTTGGGTAGACACTTACGAGTGGATTGCTGGGTTTTATGGTATGTCTGTTTAACTTTGTAAGAAACTGCCAAACTATCTTCCAGATTGGAAGACATTTTCCTTTCCCACCAGCAGTGAATAGGAATTATTTTTGTCTTGCCTTCTAGATAACATTTACTATTATCTTGTTTTAGGATCGTCACCTTTCAATAGGTATGTAGTAGTAACTCATTAAAATGTTAATTTGCATTTTTATAATGATAATTGGGGTCTACATGCTATTTACCATCTATACATCATTGTTGAAATTTGCCCTTCTTTTTAGTGTTATTTTTTATTGTTGAGTTTTAAGAGTTCTTTATAAACTCTGGATATGTTTCTTATCAGATATATGATTTGTGGGCCAGGTGAGGTGGCTTGCGCCTGTAATCCCAGCATTTTGGGTGGCTGAGGTGGGCAGATTGCTTGAGGTAAGGAATTCAAGACCAGCCTGGCCAACATGGTGAAATGCCGTTTTTACTAAAAGTACAAAAATTATCCAGGCATGGTGGCACACACCTGTAATCCCAGCTACTCAGGAGGCTGAGCCAGGAGAATTGCTTGAACCTGAGAGGTGGAGGTTGCAGTGAGCTGAGATCCAGTCTGGATGACAGAGCAAGACTCCATATCAAAAAAAAAAAAAAAAATACATGATCTGTAAACATTTTCTTTCAATCTATGATTTGTCCTTTCATCCTATATTAGTGTCTTTCATAGGTGGAAAGTTTTTAATTTTAAATTTTTTCTTTCATTAACAGTGCTTTTGGTATAGTTCTTATCTTGATCCCATTCTTTTAACATTTGTGGATTGGATGTGTGAAGTTTCTTAGATTTAAAAGTTGCCTTGTCAGTTTTAAAAATATTCTTTTGGAATTTCAAATAACCCAAGAAGAGTCATTCTAATTACATAGCAAAATTGAACCTGGTTAATAATTATAGAAAACACCACGAAACTTCCACAGTCTTTTAAAAATGACCATATGTATTGTTTCTTGCAAAAGTTTTGAAAACTAAGCTAACAGGTTTGTGCATTGTAAAAATTTTTTTGAATTATTATGATACTATATTTATATTAAATTTCTTTATGGATTGCACTAGTTTAGGTGCTCTTTAAACAGGCCACTTATATAGAGTCTGCCCTTTAATACCTGCATTAATAACAGTAGCACCTATTTATTAACTCCCTCTGTGTGGAAGATATGCAAAGCACTTCACATGAATTCTTCTATTCACTCATCATTATTGTAAGCAGTCAGCATTACTGCTTCTGTCTTATAGTGGGGGACACAGTGCAGAGAGGCTGGATGCCTTGAACTTGCAATTCACAAATGGAGAGCCAGGGAACTGGATAAAGTCCATTGCCTCTATAAGATGCCCCTGAGAAAGCAGGAGTACCAATGAATGGCTCCATGGAATAGCTGCTGGGAATCCAGATACAGAATTATAGAAGTACAGAGCTGAGAGGGACCTTGGACTTCTTGTAGTCCAGCGTTGGGACATTTGGCTGCACGTCGGAATCCCGTGGAAAGATGGGATAAAATACGAACACTGCCCAACCCCAGCTGTGACCTCATACCTTTAACCATTTCATGCCACGTGGTTCCAAGATTTCACTTTGCCGCTGGGAGACTCTGATTTGATTAGACAGAGGTCTGGCCTGAGTAGAGAAAAATGTTAAAGCAGCCAGATGACTCTAAAGCGCAGCCAAGGTTATGAACCACTGTTATAGTCCAAACTCCTGCTGAATGTTGGCATTCTTCTTCAGCATTATCAGGCAGCCTCTGACTTGAAGATTTCTAGCAATGGGACACTAAGATGTGTTGACAAAAGGAGCGTATTTCATGTCAGGCAGCACTTTCTGTGCCTCGTCGCATTTAATTATCTTCAAACAATCATGATGTACTGTTAGTCATACCTGTAGTAGGAATCCCATTGTACAGATGAATGTGTTACCATCTCTTTTTTTTTTGAGACAGAGTCTTGCTCTGTCTCCCAGGCTAGAGTGCAGTGGCGAGATCTCGGCTGGCTTCAACCTCTGCCTCCCGGGTTCAAGCAATTCTTCTGCCTCAGCTTCCTCAGTAGCTGGGATTACAGGCACGCATCACCATGCCCGGCTAATTTTTGTATTTTTAGTAGAGACAGGGTTTCACCATGTTGGCCAGGCTGGTCTTGAACTCCTGACCTCGTAATCTGCCCGCCTTGGCCTCCCAAAGTGTTGGGATTACAGGCGTGAGCCACCGCGCCCGGCCTGCATCCGCATTTTTCACAGGCTCAGTGCCCGAATGAGCTGCAGTGTAGTCTGGCTGGCTCCCCAACCTGTCGCACAGGCCTTGCTCACCACTCCTGACTTTTCAAGGCAGTTGATTTCACTGTTGAATACTTCCCTATTCAAATAAAGCTCTTTACTCCAATGTTATTCGTTGCTCCGGGTTCCGTTTGTAAAGAGCAAGGCTGCACAGACCTGTCTGCTCCGTTGAGACAGTGAAGGCCGTCTCACAACCGCACCTTGGGACTCGCTTCCACATAACACCTCTTCTGTTCCTCTCACGGTTCCTCACAGCGCCAGGGCCAAGATTCTCTCGGGGCTGGTTCCCTGCCTCGCAGTCCTGCCTGACATCTTGGGGCTTTCGAAATGGGCAAGTCCTACGGCTGAGTTTTGATCCTCCCGGAGTTCAGTGGGTCTCACCCCATCCCCCATTTTCTGTTGTTTCTGCAAAAGGTTTCATTAGCTCTGCAGACAGCTGCATCACAAGTGGCTCATATTGACGGATTTTTGCTCATGAACTTCTGGCAAACAACCTGGTTTCCCAAACTTGCATTTAAATTGTTGGTGTTTTTAGGGCGGGCGCGGTGTCTCACGCCTATAATCCCAGCACTCTTGGAGGCCGAGGCGGGTGGATCACGAGGTCAGGAGATCGAGACCATCCTGGCTAACACGGAGAAACCCTGTCTCTACTAAAAATAGAAAAAAATTGGCCGGGCGTGGTGGCGGGCGCCTGTAGTCCCAGCTACTCGGGAGGCTGAGGCAGGAGAATGGCGTGAACCCTGGAGGCGGAGCTTGCAGTGAGCCGAGATCGCGCCACTGCACTCCAGCCTGGGTGACAGAGCGAGACGCCGTCTCAAAAAACAAACAAACAAAAACAAACAAACAAAAAACTTGGTTTTTTTAAAAACCCCAATACAGAACTCTCATCTGTTCTTATTAAACTTAAACATTCTCGTTTCCTACACATTATTCTTATCTATTCAGATCGTTTCATAAGATTGCCAAATATACTACCATCACCAATTATTCAGTTTTCTCACAGGGTTGTTTTTTAAATATTTGTTATACGCTTCAATAAAATCCTGATATATATTTTGTAGATACTAATTTGCTTTGAGTTATGCAAGCTACCATTTTTCCTTCCAAATTTTCAGGCATTGTACCTGACCAATTCTGCTTCACTTACTCTGCTGTCCCAATTATCTTTAGTCAGAATGGGGATTACTTCAGGCTTTCTACACAGGTGGGAGAAAAAAGCCAGACTCAGGCAATCTCTGATCCATCCCCTTCTAAGTTCACATGTTCCATCCATGTAGCTTCATGTATTAGTCATCCATTGCTGCCTAACAAATTGCCCCAAAATGTGCTGGCTTAAAACAAGAAAAATGGATGATCTCACAGTGTCTAAGGGTAAGGAATTCACGAGTGTCTTGGGTAGGAGGCTCTCGCTCAGGACCCCCCTCATGAGACTGCAGGCAAGGTGTCAGCAGGGCCTGTACCTTCTGAAGGCTTCCCTGAGGCTGGGGGCTGCTTCCCAGAAGGCTCACTTATGCGGCTGACAGCTGGAGGTCTCAGTTCCTTTCCACAGGCTTCACAGTGACCTCTAGACAGGGAGATTAACTTCCCCCAGAATGAGTGACCCAGAAGAGAGAGACCACCATACCTTTTATGACCCAGTCTGTGATGTCAGTCACCATCACATCTGCTTTATTCAAGTCATTCAAAGTGAGCCACTAAGCCTAGCCCACCCTCAAAAAGAGCAGAATTAGATTCCACCTCCTGTAGGATGGAGTGTCAAAGCATTGTGGACATATTTTTAAATTAGTACAAAACAGATATCAGAATTTTTCTCCCTAGTGCAAATAAATATTTATAGCTTTGTATGCATATTTTTGAAACCAAAAGCTAGCCCTGGGTTTGTGATAAGGAAGGCATGTGCAAAAATACAGCTGGAATGTTTATTGCTACACAACTAGCATAGAACACTCTCCTTTGCTCTCAGAGTACAGGACTCTGCACCCTCTGATCACTGCTCTTGTCTCCCATAGCAGTCACGGTCCTGCCACTTTTTGGAGAATTCTAAGTAGAGATGGGCATCTTCTTTCCTAGCATGTGATCATGTGTTTGTGTACTGCTATGGCTTAAATATGGTCTGTCCCCACCAAAACTCATGTTGAGGTTTGGTCCTCAACGCAGTGAAGTGGAGAGGTGGGGCCCAGTGGAGGAGTTTGGTTTCTGGGGCTAGATCCCTTATGAATTGATTGATGCTGGCAGGAGTGGATTTGTTCCTGAGAGAGTGAGTTATAAGGCAAGGCTGCCTCTCCTGTTTAGTCTTTTTCACAAACACCTTTTTTCTTCTGCCTTCCACCATGAGTTGAAGTAGCACGGGGCCCTCACCAGATTGGCTGCCTAATCTTGGACTTCCCAGCCTGCAGAACCATGAGCTAAATAAACCTCTTTGCTTTATGATTTATCCAGTTGCATGTTGGTATAAGTTCCATAAGAGCAGATGAAGGCTTTACCCAAAATGTGAACCATGCCTAGAAAGTTCATTTAAAATCACCCTTTTTCTTGTTTCATTTCTTATTTTTAAAAGTAAACTTTCAACTTTAGAATAGTTTTACATGTATAGAAAGTTGCAAATATAGTACAGAGAAATCCAATATACTCCATACCCAATTTCCCCTATTATTAACATCTTACATTTGTGTGGTACATTTAGTATAATTAAAGAACCAATATTGACACATTCCTATTAACAAGTCTATATAGATTTCCTTGTTTTTGCCTTATGGGCTCTTTCTGTCCCGGTACCTATGTTACATTTAGTCATTTTGTCTCCCTAGGCTCCCATTTGCCATGACAATTCCTCAGACTTTGCTTGTTTTTGATGAGCTTAGCAACTTTGAAGAAAGCTGGTCAGGTATTTTGTAGAATGTCCTGCTATTGGGATTTGTCAAATGTTTTTCTCATGATTCGATCGGTGTTGTGGGTTTTCTGCACAGAGATAAACTGCCACTTCCATCACATCATGCAAAGGTTACATACCATGAACATGATTCATCACTGCTGATGTGGACCTTGGTCACCTGGCTGTGGTAGTGCTGGTCAGGTGTTTCCTCTGTGAAGCTACCCACTCCCCTCCCATGCTCTTTGGAATGAGGTGACTGTGTACAGCCCACATTTAAGGAGTGGGGAGTTAGGCTCACCTCCTTCAGGGTGAAATGACTGCATAAATTATTTAGAATTATTTTGCACATATTTGTCTCTTCTCTCTCATGATCCAGTATTATTTTATTTTGTTGCTCGACTTTATTCCAACTTTGTCTAGTGGATACATCTGGCAGCACCTTTCACATTCCCTGTTCCAGTCTTTGAATTAGTTTCTCCAGCGAGTTCTGATTCCTTTCCTTGGGCAATAGTGCTAAAAACCAAGATCTGGGTGCTGGGTGTGCTTATTGCTATTGTGGTGCCTTTGCTTCTGGGTCTTCTCAGCCTACAGAGCAAGAAGATACGTGTGTGTACTGTAACCACTGTATATACACTTATCTATACATAATTGTATGTCTGTTATCTATCTATCTATCTAATAAATATGTATTTAATGAAACAGGAGTTTCTTCATCCAGATGTCTCCACTTTCATCCATTACCCCGTGGACATTTCTAGCCTTGTCCCTTTGCTTACTTGTAACCTCTCCCCTCCAACAGTGAAAAACAGGTTCCCACCATCTGACATGCATTTGTTTCATTGTTCAGTTCCTGTGTACCTCTATACAGTATCAGAATTGTTAGCACACGACCCCATGGGAACAATGTTATTAATCAAAGTAAAGTGCTTATGGACAATTTATTTTGCCTTTACACTTACAAACTTCATTTATTATTATTTTTTCATTGGTCTCTGCAAACCTACTTTTCTTTTTTCATAAACTTCATTTGTTTTAAAAGTTACTTAGGTCAGCACCTTTATTCCTCCAACCCCTTCACTGAAGTATTAGAATTTCTGGTGGATAATCTTATTTTATGTGAGTTTCAGCTCAAAATATTTGGATAAAGATGAATAAGTGTCTGAATCCTAGGATATAATTTGGGATTTGTTCATTGCCACTTAAAATAACCCTGATATGTTTCAGAGTCTGAAACGTTGACATGAACTCCTCATGGATTTCATCAAACCACGTTTGAGGGGAGAAGCTACATGACTATTTTTAGCATTTATGAGGTCAGCAATAGGTAAGTGTGTCTTGGATGAAAAAGAAAGAAAGGGGGAAAGCTAGGCTTGGTGGATTCCTTGTATTCTGTGGTTTATGTCCACACAGGCAGAGAGGCACATGGAGTTCCAGTATCCTTTGTAACACTGGGGATTTGTGTAAAGGAGCAAATGACAAGGGTTCTTGATTCAGAAGAGAATAAATACATTGTATTTCTCTGGAGCCCTGAATGATGATGAGATTCTTCCTGTGCTCTGGAGCCCTGAATGATGAAGAGAGTATTCCTGTGCTAGACCATTATTTATGTTTCTTCCGTTGAAAGTTTTGCTCTAGGAAATTCCTTCAATATTCCCCCTTTTCTTATTTTAATGAATGAAGTCTTCTCAAAATAAAATCTGGGGGAGTGAGTTATTTAAAACCCTCACAGAGGAGCCAAGGCTCTACTATTCCTTGATGCACAAATATGTGTGCCATGTTGGAAAGCTGACCTGCAATGCTTCTATCCTTGTGAGGTGGTGGATTTCCCCAGATTGAACACAAGCCATATTCCATTCTTCTGGTCTCCTACTTCACTTTCTAATGTGCTTTTTGAGTGAGCACCTAAGGATAGGGCAAGGAACTCACCCTTCGCTTTGCCCATTGCTGCTCATCCTGAGCCTGAGCCCAGCAAGTGCACATCACTTGACCCTTGCAGCTGAGCAACTTATCGGTCTAGCAGCATTCACTTCAAGCCCACATTGACATTCACTGAGTTCCCAATGCCAAGTATTTACTGTTCCCCTAAGATTTGAGCTATCAGTCAAAAGAATAATGAAGAATGCCTTCCAATCCCTACTTTAGAATTTTCTAAGTTCCTATCTATCTAAAACATCGGTTTCCCATGTAACCTGTCAGTCCGTGCCATGCTCTTCAATGCTGCTTCAAATCCTATGTGACCAGTTGCTTCTATAGCTCGGGAATTCTCCCTTTAATGTTGCAATAGCCCTGTCTGGGGATAGCTGGATAGAGCTCCCCTTGGGCATTGCTGTGACCTGGGGGTGCCTGGGTGTAATTGACCCTGCAGCTTTTTGCTTATTCCATGAAACGTACCTTGTGGTGATGTTGAAAAGTCCCAGAGCTGCAGGTTTTCAGAGGATGACTGTTTTTAACACTGCTGCATATGTAGGTGCTCTCTTTCATCGCAGACCAGGAGCTGGATTGCTAATACTGACACTGTGACCACCTGGCGAGCTAGAAGCTTCTGGATGTCATGGTTATGCCACCCTTTTGATAGGGGCATCAATACCTCCCAACCAAGCTTAACATCTTATTCTACACTTTTTTCTCAAATGTGAATACCATATTTGGGAAGAGTCCTTGTCTACTAGAGGTCTTGGCTGCATTGAGAACCTCCAAAGCTCTGGCAGTACCCATGGAAATAACCTTGGGTGTTCATTCATGCCAGGCCTTCCTCTCTTGGTCAAGACCCACACCAGAGCCAACCTACATGCACCGGGGGCTGCATGTGATGTAAGGGAGAATGATGTGAGTGTGCCAATCAGTTGTTTTCCTGTAGCCCCCATCTTTTGGCTCTTAACCAGGAAGACATCTTCAACTCATGCCTCACACCTTCTTTCTCACATTGAATTCACCAAAATCCTGCAGACATTTTGTCCCCAATGTTTGTGTCTTCCCAGTTCTACTACCATTGGCCCTAATTTCACCCTTTTTCAAATCTAGCAGGACCCTGTAGCCATCCACCCCCCCGTTTTGTTCTCTTGCAATCCATCCTTCACTCAGTTCTCAAAGTGATGCAGCCCTCATTGCTTCCCATGACCTCCACAATGAGGTACTTGAAGGATTTTGTTTGACTGCCTGCTTACCTCCCGAGCTGTGTTTAGACACTCCCCACCTCATACTTGTTGCTCTAGAACGGTGCTGTCCAATACAGGAGCCATCAGCCACAGTGGCTGCTGAGCACTGGAATGGGGGCCAGTCCAAACTGAGATGTGCCACGAGTCTAAAACACATAGTGGGTTTTGAAGACTTGCTATTTGAAAAAAAGACTGTCAAATGCCTCCTTAGTAATTTTTATATTGGTATCATGATGAAATGGCAACATTTTGAATCTATGTGGTTAAATAAGATATACTTTAAAGTTGATTTCAGCTGTTTTTCAATTTTAGTACAGCTACTAGAAATTTTTAATTTTAGTGTGGCTATTAGAAATGTTTTAAGTTATACTAGCAGCTTCTATTTGTGACTCACATTAGATTTCTGTCAGACAGTGTGCTGTCTAGGATCAAACTGCTGTTGTTTCCCTGAACACATTGTGCCACCTCATGCTTCCTTACTTTTGCTCTTGGTATTTCCCTTGCTTGAAACCACTCCCCACCCTTTCTAGCTAAATTCCTTATTGGTTAAAATTGAGTCAAGTAACCCCTATGTGAGCTTCCAGAGTGCACTTGCTTACCTTTATCATGGCACTTACAACAGGAGATACGTTAACATATTTGTCTTCCCTGCCAACAGGAACAGGGATGGTGTTTATTTGTTTTTGTTTTTGTTTTGTTATGTTTTGTTTTGTTTTGTCACAAACACCTGTCACATGCACCTAATAGGCCTGCATTAAATGTTGCAGAACTGAATTATGGAACAGAGTTCCGAGTCTTATATGAGAATGGGACAGCATGCTATCGTTTTGAAGTCCATAAAATGTAAATGTTGATGTAATGGAGCTTTACAATCATATTATGTCTTACTTGTAAATATACACTCGCTGGCTCATGAAAAATTAGTAAGAATTTATGATACAGTGAATGGACTAAGATGTAAATCTTGTTTATTCAATATATAAATCAGACACTAGCATTTATTGAGACTCCCCCTTGTATATACAGCACTCACTGGTGTGTTTCACTGATTCTACAGTTCTTCCACTTAGGGCAGAAATCATTTGTGTGGGCTGATGATTCTTTAAGATAATCTCAATTTCATTATTATGTAAAGTTTGGTTGCCCTTATTTACAAATTATGTAAGATACTCTGGAATTTTCTACACGATAAAGGCCCAAAACTATGAAAAGTATTTAAAAATAGAAAGCACTTTTTTTTGTTAAAAGCCCCAGATTCCCAGGCATTCTTAGGCGTCTCCTATAAGGTTGACCTCCCTGTTACTGAGTCCACTGTAATAAACATCTCTTTTCCTGTGAACATTCTGCCTGCTCCACCGTGGGGTGAAAGCCTTCCCAGTTTCCTATGGAGAGCCAAACTTTTCCCACCTCATTTTCTTTGGGGACACTTCACTTTGGGGAGATCACAACCTCAGACCTCCCCCATCACCACAGTTCATCTACCTTGTCACAATATTTAGTTTGGGGATGCACATAAAATCTGCTTGTGGCCAATACATGCTAGGAATCTTCTCAAGTTGCTGGTGGTGGGGGGTCCTCTCTTCTCGTTGGCATTACTAAGTATAAGGGCTGTGGTGTCTAGGAACCGACTTTGACCCCACGGTGGGAGCTGATTAGCCTCCCCTCTTGTGGGTACTAGTTTGAGTTGGGTTATGTCACCTGCATGCAGAGACTCTTGGAATATCATCAGGTGAACCTGAAGCCATGTGTCCTTAAGCCTTTATGTCCCCTGAGTCCCTGGGCCCTGTGTTTCCTGGAATTGACACCACACTGCAGGCACAGACAGGGTAGCACACAGAGACAGAACAGTATAGTTCTCAGGCTCTGAAACCTGTCTGTGTGGGTCCAACCTGACTCCACCCATTCCTACCTGAGTGAACTTTGGTGTTTTCTCCACAGTAAGACTCAGTTTCCTCATCTTTTAACAGGGAGTAACCAGAGAACCTGCCCAACAGGATTTTTAAATAAAGATTAAATGAGTGTATATATGTATACATATATATGTACACACACACACACACACACACACACACACACACACAGCACTTAGTATTGGATTTGGCTTATAAGTGTTCCATAAATGTCAGCTGCCATGAAGCTAGTGGTGATGAGGATGACATTCTGATACTTCTTCCTGGCAGTTTCTAGGGTCTCTGAAGACACATGAATGTGTAAGATGATTGTGTAACATGGAATGTGTAAGTTGGTTGGAGATGGAGTCTTCCAGAATCAGGCACTTTTGTTGTTGTTTTGGCTCAAACCTCCTACGTGGGCCCTGTCTCACTAGCGGATTGACCATGAGTACAGAGATCTGAAAGTTCATGGGTATTTAAGTTCATGAGTAATTAATGCAATTTAAAAACTTCCTGCAATGTTTCTTTCTGCAAAATTCAAGCCCAGAGAAATGTTTTTGTCAATGAACCACCTTCTTAAGACGTTGCGTTAATATCTTAACAAGTGACAAAGGTTTCAGCCTTTATGATGAAACGTGTGTGTGTATATGTGTGTGTGTGTATATATATATATATAGTTTCCATATCTGTATCTGTGTCACAGTAATCTGCATACCATGATACAGATTATAGGGACGTGAAACCCAGGCTGTCTTTTTGACAGCATGCTACTCTAAGGAAAGCCAGTTCTTCCCTGCCTACAGATACTTGACAAATGATTAACATCCCTCTGGTTGTAAGTAATAGAGGGAGTTGGGGGAATTACAGAGAAATGAAGAACAGTTTTCATTTTAAAACATCAATAATTAGATACCTGTTGCCTTAAGAGAGTGTTTTTCATTCTAATGGAAGTCCAGAAACTGTGGCCTAGGGGCTGTTTAATTATGGGCTAATTGGTAGCAAAAGTACTTTTTGAAAAGAGAATTGTTACATCTTTCCTGCAGACAGTAACCTAAGAAAAAAACCCTGGAAACCGCTGGGGCTTAAGAAAGAGCAAAATCCTCTCTAAAGTTGCTAAATTACCCCTTTGTATTTAAGTGATTCATCTTGATAACGTTAAGTAGGAATTCAGACTCTTCAAGATTTTCATGTTTTTTATCTTTTGAGTGATTGGGAACATTCTAGAGTGTTGTGAAAATGTGTCTGCATGTCCTGCACTTGGAAGGCTCCCGGCCCCCGCCCTCTGGCTTATCTCCCTGGGAAATGTCAGCTGGATTTCTTGTGGCTCTGGGATCCTTCACTGTCCAGCTGGACACTGGTGGAATGTCCAGCTCTGCAGCCCCAAGCGGCTCTGTTCTTAATCCGACAAGGCAGAAGTGCCAGGAGACAAGAGGCGCAAGCTCTGAGGAGCTGGGATGGCATTTCTGTGGCTCTGGGAAGTCACTGATATTCAGAACTGGGGTAAAGCTTAAAGAATCTCCTCCTGCTCCTCATTTGGAGATAAGAAAGTGAGGCCTGAAAACACTCCCTTGTGCTGAGGTCATGCAGTGGGTGGATGGCAGAGTGAGGCTGGATCCCAGGTCCCCCGACTGTAGGACCAGTGTGCTTGCCTCGGAAAGGTTTTTGTAGGAGCATTTCCTGTTGGGCAGAGAAACAGAGAAATAGAGGAAATACACACGAGGGAGCTAAGATTTTGACAAAGAATAAAATGCATTTTTCAGAGTAACCATAAGTGAAAGGCCATTATTTCCTCTTGACAGTAGTGAGGCAAACTTTGGTGCATCTTCTCATGCTGGAACTGGGAAATGCATCATTTCATTGGGAATGGTGTGCAGACGTGCACTGACTGCAGGTTGCACAGCTGGACTTGCCAGATGTGGAGTTATGTGGATTTTTGTATGCAAGACATGACTGGGGGCTAGGCATGATGGCTCACGCCTATCATCCCAACACTTTGGGAGGCTGAGGTGGGTGGATCACCTGAGGTCAGGAGTTCTAGACCAGCCTGGCCAACATGGTGAAACCTCATCTCTACTAAAAGTACAAAAATTAGCCAGGAGTGGTGGTACATGCCTGTAGTCCCAGCTACTTGGGAGTCTGAGGCAGGGAGAATGGCTTGAACAGGGGAGGCAGAGGTTGCAGTGAGCTGAGATCGCACCATTATACTCCAACCTGGGTGACAGAGCAAGACTCCATCCAAAAAAAAAAAAAAAAAAAAAAAAAAGACATGACTGGGTATCTCACTTCTGTGTACCCCATGGTAAAAATGACTCCATCCAAAAAAAAAAAAAAAAAAAAAACATGACTGGGTATCTTACTTCTGTGTACTCCATGGTAAAAATGAATTCTTTTTTTAGACTCTTCATTGTGCTTGTTGAATAGACTTATTGGGAGAGAAATTAAATGTGCTCAGGCTCTAAGTTCATTTGAACTACATGATGAAAGTCTAGAGCTCAAGTGAGAATAAAATTATAGGATTTTAAAATTCCTAAGACAGAGCAGTGGAGCAAATGGGAACCCTCCTGGAAGCTGCGCTCCTGGAAGACAGAAACCAACTTTGGTAAGAATGAAAATCAACAGCCCTACCTGATGTCCACGAACAATGGACTTTAGAGTTAAGATGAGCAACTTTAGCATCAGACATTTGATGAACAAACCTTGATTTTGGTGAGGCCCATTTGATGAAGTCCCAGAGAGAGGAGGTTTCAGGTGTGGGGTGAAGGATGGTTGCTGTTTTAAACTCTATTCTTTCTGGTTTTCCTTCTTTTCAAATAAGAATATTTTTGCATCCTTCCTTGATTTCTAGTTATAATAACAATGTTTGCAAAGAGACAATTTTTATTTTATAGCATGCTTTCACATATATTATTTATTTAATCCTTACAATAGTCCTGTAATGTAGGTATTATTAATCTTATTTTACAGATTAAAAGACAGACCCAAAGAAAAGGGCAGAACGTGGTGGTTAAGAGTCCATGATACAGAATCTTGGGCCTGTATTCCCGCTCTTTACTCTCTGGGTTGGGCAGGTGTCATCTTTCAAAACCTGTTTCCTCATCTGCAAGGTGGGCATCACCAGATTAATGTCATCAAAGGCAGCTGAGAGAAGTGAAGAATGCGTGAATGCATGCCAAGTAGTGAGCACAGCTCCTGGACGCAGCGCGCATGAGCTAGGGCTGCTGCCCTCACCACCGCCCTCTACCAGAGCCTTATCATGTGAAACCGTAAGTGGCAAAGCTGGCACCAGTTTCTCCCATGCAACTCTGTACTCATTCCAACAAGGCGCATTTCCACAGTCACCTCCTAGATCTGCGGGCCTGGAGGATGGGGTTTTCGTCTCCTTTCCTTCCTCTGTCTCCTGCTCCTCCCAGTCCCAGTGGGCCTGGGATGCCTTGCTGTGCTTTGGATACCACTGCCATGAGGAACGTGTGCAGCCTACCCAGAGGGTTTGGAGCCTGGAAGGCAGGTTTTCTGATGAATGTTGTCCATTGTCAGTCTGTAAGGACAGTGGCCTCGTCCTTTGTTTTTCAGGCATGTGCTGGGCTGGGCGAGGGCGAGAATGGGCCTCCCTCACTCCCTGACCTTCCCACAGGGGGTCTACTCCAGACACCACTTGCCTGGGCAGGATATATGGGGGCTCCATCTGCCCACCCAGCAGGTGTTGCTCACTGCCACCCTCCCCTGTAAGTGTTCCCTGGACAATACCTGCAGTATCTTCACCTCTGAGGCTGGGCCCCAGTGTGGAGGAGGGACAGGGTACGGAGACCACCTGACCTCCTTTATGCAGAGATGATTTACAAACTCGTGTGGGATGGAGGGCCCAGTGCTTATTTCTTTATAGCTGAGAACAGCTGACAGGTTCACATTAGGGGGATCATGATCACATTTCCTTCAAGTCTTACTGTTTGAAAAGGGGTTAATTCCAGTTAATATCAAAAGAGGAGGCTGGCAGAAACAGAGAGGGGAAGAACATGCATGCCATCCCCCACCCCCCACCTCTCTCTCCTTTCTCTTTTTTAAAGCATAAAAGCCAGGAAGTCAAGCAAAACCAAAAACAACCCAAAACTTATAAAACACAATCTTTAGAGTCCTTGTATTGATCACATACGTTTCTCTCGGGGTGTCATGCCAGCTTGTTTGGGAGCTTTGCAGAGTCTTGCATTTTCTACTCCTGATGTAGGGAGTCTAAGCAACAGCACCTCCCTGGGATTATGTAGCCCCATCTGTCTTTACCCTGCAGTCAGACCCATGAGTAGTTTCAGTTTGCACGAGCTGCTCGCAAGGAGTGGGCATTTGCTGTTTCTGACACAGAGAAGAGTTACAAGAAGTGGAGGGAGAGGGACGCTTGTTCCTGAGACGCAGCCCAGGCCCGCTCACTGCTAGGCAGCCCTGGCTGCAGCTAGGGCCAGGTCTTCTCTTATCATGCTTTACTCCAGACAAAGGGAAAGTCTTTAAAAACACAAGCTTTGTTTTCGTAGTCCCCGTGAAAAGCTCACAGATATGTCACGGAAACGGAAACAAAGCTTTTAAGAAAAGTTGCAGATTTTGAAAGTCAAATTTCCAATTTCCATGTAATTTTAAAATCCAAGTTACTTGCATATGTGGCAGTTTATTATAGCACTGGGAATTCAGGAAAGCTTATATTTAGGTGCTCAGATGTCATTTCAGATCTTTAAGTTGGTCTGCAGGATGAGATGCAGTAGAAGCAGAAACACACAGGTTATCCTTTTACTCCCACCCCATCCCTCACTCCCACTCCAGACCATGAGGAAGCAGGGCAGGCTCTTCTGAGCCCCAGGCTCGGATCCTCTGGGGCAGGGCTGTCTGTCACTTCATCTGTTCATTCCTTTCCTTCCTACGAGATCCCAGCTCAGTGAGGACAGCTTTCAACACCCAGCACTCAACATAGCGCCTGGCCCATGGCAGGTGTTCAGTAAATCCTCCTGGAAGGCAGAAAGGAAGGACATTCGGTGGCTGTGGCATGAGGTGTGGACGTCAGCCTGAAGAACATGAGAACTGCAGGCACAGAACGAGGCTCTCAGATTCCTGCAGCCTATGGGTGGGCTCAGTGAGGGGTGGTGTGAGGATGGAGCCAAGGAAGTGTGGAAGGACCTCCCTGGCAGGGGGAGGTTAGAGGAACCCACTGGAGGAAGGAGACAGCAGGCTGAAGCCTAGGGAGCTAGATCAGAAGACCTGCCGAGAATCGCTGCTTCCCTGTGAACCAAGTGTGCCTGGTCTGGGAAGCCTGCTTTTGGTTTTGAGATGTGAGATGCTTATGGGTAACGCTGAACATGGAGTTGAGAACTCAGGCAGCTTGGGGCCTGTGCAGCACCAATGAGTTGTGTCTGGTTTTGTGCAGATTACAGAACTCTAAGCTTCGGTTTCCACATTTCTAAAATGGGCATTGAAATCGAACCACCTCCAGGATTCAGTGAGGAAAATGCATGTGGAGTGTTTATTTGAGAACCTGGTCTACATTAAGTGTTCAGTTAGTGAGAATTGCCATCAAGGTCTTAACTGTTAATGGACTTTACTGCGTGGAGGAGAAGCTTTGGTGGTGAAGGAAAGGTTGAAGATTAGCAGGGAAAGGAGATGATGGATGGAGAGAGGCCTGCACGGGTGTGGGTGGGAGGGACAGGCTGGGTGCAGAGAGCAGAGAGGAGGGCAAGGTGTAGCTGCGTGTGGGGTTCCCTTTGCCTCCCCTCCAGTCTCGGCATTACTCTCCTTCTGCAGAGCCTTTGTGGCACGCGAGAAAGGCGAGATTCCATGCACATCCTGGGATCAGAGACCCTCGAGCACTCCCAGGACCACGTCTGGGTGTGAATGAAGTGTGCCTTCAAGTGCATATGTGCATGGGTGTGTGTACGAGTCAGAGGCTGAGGACAGGAGGAAAGTCTGCAAAGCCATTGGGCCTTTCACTTCTATGCCACATTCCTCTCCATTTCCCTCCCAAACTCTTGGAAGACCGTTCATGTTTGGCACAGGTAATGGGCCTCAGAGGGACTGTGACTCAGGAGAGCTGTGAATCAGGTGGTTTTTGGACCTCTCCTGAGCCACACCTGGCTCTGCACTGGGGGCACTCGGTGGCCTGTAGGCCCTGTTCCTGAACACAGGCATCGGCTGGGTGAGCCGCTTCTCCAGTTTTCTTTCCATCAGAGTTGGCACCTCTACCACATGTGTGATTCAGAAAGCAAGACCCGTTTCTCGGTAAGCAGCCTGACATGTGGCACACATATACAAAGAATTCATACACGGACGGGAGGAGGAGCCTTTGCTGCACACTTGGATCACTTTTCATATGATGCGAGCAAAAATCCTCACGCACTCATCTTTATATTTAGGAGGTGATTTCACATTTCCAGAATCCTTTTGCAGTAGTCCCAATTGCAATGATACATCCTTCTTCTATGTATTAATGAAAAGAGAGGGGTAGTTCTTAGGATACAAATAAAGGAGGAGAAACAAGGGAAGTGTGATCATGAGGAATAACCTCTCCCATCCCTGTCCCAGTGAGATGGTCCATATACTGTTGACTCTAAGTTCATTCACCTCCGTTTCCAACTTTCTTTCTTGCTAGGTTCAGATTGTCAATAGCCGATTTAAATTTCATCTCGGAAGTTCTAAAAAAAGAAGATTTGGGAGTGAATTACCCAGGGCATCTCAGGGTTTCCATGGCAAAAACGCATGTGGGGGGTACGATTCCGGTGCCAGGCCTGCTGACTCCTTCAGACTCCAGGATTCATTAAATATTTTAAAATAACAGAACAAAGAATGCTTATGGCAAAAGTCTGCTAAGCACTGATGTTTGTTAGGCCAGGAAGGGCTTTCCCAAGAATAACACAGAGCAGCCTCATGGCGGAGTAGAGAAATCCAGGCGAGGCTGTTCCTTCTGGCCTTGCGGTTAATCTTTTGTCCATGAGTCTGTGGGTAAAGGCTCCAGTGGCTTTGCTTTCTGAAGAACAGACACAGTGTACTAGGACTTGTGTTTTACTGCTGTGTTTTTTTACAGGGAACAAGGACACCGTGTAGACTTGTGAAGCCTGTAAAATACCAAATTGCATTTGGCAGCATGCAATCCTGAAGATGGGAGTATAACCTTTCTTTATCCCAGGGGGAATTTCCACAACTTGTGATGATTTATATAGCTGGGGTCTTCTGTGCTTAATGTAAAGGATTTTGCCCACTCTGAAGCTCCTCTGTAGCCTGAGGTGCGGCCTGTAAGGGGAGAGCCGGAGGCCAGCTGTGGGCTCAGTTCCCTGAGGCCCCCGAGCAGGTGGTTTGAATTCTACTGACAGGTGTTATCTACTTCCTGTGTCAAGGACAGCAAGCTTGCTCTCTGTTGCACAGATACTGGAAACAAAATATTTCTTTTTAAGGAAAACTTTTCAAAGCCAAGCAGATTTATTTCTACCACAATCTGGAGGCTAATTCCCTGTGTGATGTTTGTTACAGCCTTAATTACACAATATCAAAAGTGCTAGCTCTGCACCTCACAATGTGCCTGTGGAATCACTTGATTTGTTTTGGCCCAACTCTTCTCGCTTGCTCAATAATATGAATCTTGGCAAAGAAAAGGGAGCCAGAGTCCAAGTTCATATGACTTGGAGTTTGCAACCCAAGGATATGTGAGGTCTCTGTGTATGTGCATGTGTGTGCATGTGTACATATGCATGTGCGTGCCCGCTCACTTACCACCTTTCAAACAGCTCTGGAAGTTGGGTTACAAAAATATTTAATTTGTATATATTGGGGAAGAAAAAGAAAGGAACAAGATGGTGAAGCAGTGACCAGGTGTCTACACTGGCTGCAAAGGGTGCTTGCCGAGGGCTGTAGCTCGAGCAACCCCAAGCCCAGGCAGAAACCAGCACCAGCCTGACAAGTAGCACCCAGGGGCAGGGTGGGGAGAGCAGGGCCCACACCCTCTGGCATCCTTCTGCACTCTTGTCATGGGCATTTTGGCGCTCTTGTCACCTGCAGAACTCTGTGGTATGTTTGACACCAATAGGGGCATGATGGCCACTGGTTCTAGAGAGGTTTCAGGAGCATTTGCAATAAGGGCCAGGGGATATCAGATGACAGGCAGCTCCAGACCAATGCTGTGGATGGCACCTACTCCTTGGGTGGAACGTCAGGGGTCTTCATCCAGAACCGACCTTCTTCAAGGTCATGACACAGCAAGACTCAGCCGGGAGGGTGAGCAATGACAGTATCTGATAGGGAGTATACATGCGTGAGAATTGAGGGTTTTTTTAGTTGATTCAAGTTATTAAAAAATTTTTTATTAGCTGGACTAAAGTTTGCACATTCCAAAATGTGTTGGAAGGAACAAAATAACTTCCGGAGAATTGAGGTTTGGTGCCAAACACTTACAAGGGGAAAATGCACAGGGGTTTTTGGAAGACAATTCTGAAAGTGATTCTTTAGCAACTAGTTTATAAACTGCTTTTGACCAGAGAGAAGTAAGTATAAAGAAATCTCAATAAATTCATTATTTTGAAATAATTTATGGTTTTTATATCTATTTCTAAAATGTACTCAAAGACAGGAAACAATCTTCTCCAGCAAGATGAGAGGATGAGAAAGGTTTACAGAGCACTCAAGGATAAAGAGACCTACTGAAATCAAAGCACAAAGTGAGTCATAAAATAACTAAAGTTTGTATTCTACTTTAAAGTTTAAAAATTCTTTAACATGCAAAGAGGATGTTTGGGCACAGGAATAAAAATTAAATGTTGAATAAACTTCTCTTCCTTTCTGCACAAATTTTGGTGCTCCTAATTTCTTTGATTGTGAAAGTAACACTATTGAAAATTTAGGAAAAGAAGCATTAAAAAATGAATTCAAAATCACTGCTCCCATGACATAAAGATAATAGACCATGATGCACATTTTGGAATGTTTACTTCTGGTTAAGGAAGTGTCTAACTACAAAAGGGGAATCATGTTGTTCTGTACCCACTTTTTAAATTTACATCATGGTACAAGCATTTCCTCATGCCGTTAGATAATTTTTACAATCATGAGAGGAGACAGGGTAACCGTTCAAATCTCTGGTTCCATGATGATTTCATCATGCAGCCTGAGCTCTCACTCCCCCGGCTGCCAGCTTCCGGGTCCTCTATCAAATGGCAACTGAATAATAGGACCTTCCTCCAACTGTTGTTACATCATTGCTATTCCATGAACTCTGTTAGTGGGTATAAAGGCTTGCTGATACCATGCACCTGCACCTGTGAGCTACTGTTCCGGATGGTGAATGGCTGCATAGTGCTCCGTCTCATCAAATCATCTGCATCCTGATTCTGAAGACCACCTTTCTGTTGTTCACAATGGCTCACCCAAATAAAGAACACTGTCTTGAATATTCCCACACATAATGCCTGGGGTCCTCTCTGCTTTCTTCATTGAACCCCCACCCCTCCAGAGCAGGTTCTTGGAGTGGATTGCTGCATGGCTGTCTAGAACTGCGCTAGGACTACCTTAACAGCTTGCCATTTTCGTAAACAAATACTTTTCCACTTTTCCAGGAAGAGTTTCCCCTTTCATAATATTTATCTCACCACGCTGTGATGGGAAGTGTGTGCCTGTATTTTCATGGATATGAAGGTCTGTGTGGAAAACAGAGGGTGTGTTTGTTTTAGGCGGTCTCGCACCTCCAAGCCCAAGATCCGCAGGAGCACTCAATAGTTTGTTCAATGAACAAGTTGAATCCTCAAGTCATTTTAAGTGAAATGGCTTTAGATGTGCCAGAAAAGTGTTCATTTCCAGGATGTTTGGAAAAGAATTTGTTCAGAAATCACCCTAATTATGATGACCTCCTTTCTACCGGGACGCCCACGGCTGCTCCAACACCACTTTTTCCTCTCGGCCATCCCCTTGGCCCTTTCTCTCATCCCCCAGACCCCAGGTTTCATTTCCAGCTGGTTCTTTCTATTCTGCTAGAGCACCAAAGCCTACCTTGTCCACCACAACAGCCAAAATAAGATACAACTCCAGTGCTTCTGTCACACTGGTCCCATTCTGGGTGCTCAGTGGGCACCACCAGGGATGGCGCAGAGAGAGGGCGTTTCCCAGGGAGCAGGGGGTCAGCTGGATGGTGCTGGGCTGTGGGCCATTGGGAGGCCCTCCCATATCACTGCATCACCTCCTCAGGGAAGGCTGCCTGGGCACAGTCCCATCATAGCCCTGTATACTTCTTTATGAAATGTATGACAGTTTAGATTCATCGTTCACTTGATCAATTTTTTTTTTTTTTTTTTGGAGACAGAGTCTCTGTTGCCCAGGCTGGAGTGCAGTGGGACAAACACAGCTCACTGCAGCCTCAATCTTCTAGGCTCAAGCGATCTTCCCACCTCAGCCTCCTGAGTAGCTGGGACTACAGGCTCATGTCACCACACCCCACTAATTTTTTTTTAATTATTTTTTTGTAGTGATGGGGGTCTTGCTATGATGCCAGGCTTGTCTCAAACTCCTGGACTCAAGCCATCCTTCTGCCTTGGCCTCCCAAAGCCCTAATATTACAGACATGAGCCACTGTACCCAGCCCTGACCATCTTTTTACATGTGATTCCTCTGGCATTGAAACTCCCCAAATACAAGGATTATAATTGCTTTATTCATGGCTGTATTTCTGCATCTAATCTCATATCTGGTATATGGCAAGTTCTCAGTGCTTAGGGAAAAAACGGAGGGAGGGAGGAGGGAGGGAGGCCATGTGGAGGCAGGCCGCTGCCTGGAGTGGAGGCATTGTCTTGAGTTGGTTCAGGAAATGTGACATTGCCTCATGGTTCTGCAGTTGTGGCCGCTGATGTGGGCAGAGGATGACTGGCAGTTGATCAGAGAGGAAGGAGCAGATCCCCAGCTTGCTTTCTCTTCCAGCTCCCCAAGGAGCTGAAACCTGAACTGGAGGAGGAAACTGGAGAGGTTTGGGTTGGATGGGAATCTATGTTCTCTTGACAATGTGGTTTGAACACTTCAGTCTTAGGAGGTGTCATGAATAAACACATGTACATGCTACTATGTATTTTTTTTTTTAGACTCTAAAACTCCTCAGCTTGGGTTGGAGATGTTTTCTAAATATGTGTAGTAACTTAAGCTCTTGGTAGTGTGGTTGAGAAAAGAATGGATGGTAAAATCCTATCCTAGATTTGTTATTGTCTAACACTGAGACCTATTCTAAATTGTTAGCCTCTGTGGGTTTCAGATTATCAAATGGAAAGTAAAATGAAAACCTGGATGTGATGCACTCTGGAAAAGTGTGTGTGTGTCTGTATATATATAATTTTTTTTACAAAAACACAATGTGTTATATACATGCATGGAATGCAAGAAATACATATATTCTCTATATATGACAGTACAGAAACACTTGCAATATATTCTATGAAAATATGGCCTTACAGAAACACTCATAGTCTTTTCTATGCGCATATGGCATTAGAGAAGCACTCAGACTTCTATGATGAATCTCTCACTCATAAACTACTGAGTGTTCCTTTAGTGTATTTAGAATCCAGTCACATTTCCCTTGCACCCTTCCTGGAAGTGCCTGGAACTCATGAAGACATCATTGCATCATTTGGTGATTTCCTTGCCCTTCACTCATGTCCAGAGGGTGCCTCATCTGAGGTTGCTTTGCTCTGGACTTGCTAATTCTAAGTCAGACACCAGATTGTCCAAGCACTGCCCTCTGCCTCTCCAGTGAGTCAGGAGAAGGGAGCTGGTGGGTAGGAGACCACAGAGGACTGGTTGGGCGGCTCTGGGTGCCTCCAGAGTGAGGGGCAGCAGGATGGCCCTCGGGCTTGCATAGGAAAGAGGGCACTGCTGCCTCTTGAGTGTGCAAGGCCCAGGGTGCGTCTCACATTCACACTCCACCTCGCGCCCTGGGCCGTTGAGACCATCTGGAATGTCTCACATCTCCCGGAATTTCTGCTAACCAAAACAATTTTGCTGGTCAGCCAGCTTCACAGACAGGCCACTGCATAGTCAGGCCCATCACTAATATATTAAATATAGCACCCAGTTTCCCAGACACAGGCGGTTCCTTCCTTCTTCCTCTCTTCCATTAACTTTGCAGCATTCCCATGATGACTTAGGGTAGAGTTTTGTTGCTTATTTCAAACCAGTTTTAAGGCATGCATTTCTTCACCCTCCACCCTTGGGGTTTTTCCCTTTAATAAATGTTTATGAGAATGCACTGTCAACTCCAGGAACCTCAGAGAAGGGGGCCCAGGCTGCCAGGAGGTCGTGTGCTGTGTCAGGGGAAAGAGCACACTGGTTAGCACTGTCCTTCTGCTGTCTTGCACCCATGCTGCCATTCCAGGACCCTCAAAGGGAGTGCCTGTCCTGCAGAACTCTCATTTCTTTACTAAAATATCTATAATTTTCCTTTAGATAATATTTGAAGCTTAGAGGAAGGTTGATGTCAGCTCCTATTTTTTTCCGAACTAATATTAACCTAGCCTTAATTAAGGAACTTGAAAAGAACAACTGCACATGGCCCGGCATTCACCTGGTCATTATTCAAAGGGCAAGGCTAGTGTGGAAATGACGCTGAGGCCATGAACTAAGCTAAACATGCCAGGAGATGCGTGCTCCACACCGACTCTGACTCTCCTGCACAACCTGAAAGACACTGGAAAGAAACGTGGACGGGAACGTTCACCTGAACTGTCCAGGCTTGGCTTTATGGTCGGTCATAATTTAAAATGTATTTTATATCTATTAACTTATTGTCTATAAATTTGTTTATTCACAAAACATTTATTCGGTGCCTGCTCTGTCTCAGGTGTTGTAATAAACTGTGGCAATGAAAAGAAATTCAGAATTCCTCCCATATCAGTAGGGAGACAGGCTGACTCTAGTAGTAGCAATTAGTAGCAGAGTGAAGGAGGGATTTGAAAGTGTGTGTACACAAATGAGCAACCTGAAAGACTTGGGCCGGACCATCAGACACAGAATCGGTTGTAAGCACGTGTCCTTTGTCATCAAGAACTGGCACAAGCTTTTCTAAAATGGTGGAGAAATAACCAAAAAATTCCATAGAATCTATTAAGAACCCATTCTATTCCGTCAGTATGTTCTCCAACATTTACTTATTTTATTTTATTTATTTATTTATTTTGAGACAGAGTCTCACTCTGTTGCCTAGGCTGGCGTGCAGTGGAGCAACCTCAGCTCACTGCAACCTTCACTTCCCGGGTTCAAGTGATTCTCCTGCCCCAGCTTCCCTGGTAGCTGGAATTACAGGCCAATTTTTGTATTTTAGTAGAGACAGGGTTTCACCATGTTAGCCAGGCTGGTCTTGAACTCCTGATCTCAGGTGATCCACCTGCCTCGGCCTCCCAAAGTGCTGGGATTACAGGCGTGAGCCACTGTGCCCAGCCCCGGCATTTATTTATTTTTAAAAAATTTTCCCAAAGGAGAGAGAATATAGGATATTGGGCATCCTCTATATGAAACCCTGTGATGAAGCATTTTATGAAGTCAGGAATTAATTGTCATTCCAAACCTTTGCCCCCATTTGTATGTTTATTATTTTAAAATCAGATTTTCATAAGCATGAGCATGCTATATATCTAGATCTACATCTATCCATATCTATAGCTGTTGCAAGAATATAAGTTACTATTCATTTAGTTAGGCAAAAGATTCTGTGAATAAGGCTAAGACAATAAAAGTAGAAGATTGTAAGTGATAGAGTTCCTAGTGGCTTTGCAACTAGACCTGTTTGGCTTGAATCCAACTTATGCTTTTTAGCTTGTTTCCTCAACTGTAAACAAACAAACAAACAAAAAAACCAAGTTATTAACTACTTTCTAGGTTTGTTGTGAAAATTAAAAGTAAGTTTATTCACAGAAAGCATTTAGCAATGTACCTGGCATTTAGTAAATGCTTACTACATACATGGTACCTTATTTTACTGTAGCAGGTTTTAAATGAGGTAATGTAAGCAGAGCATCTAAACGAGAGATCTGTCAGTGGATCAGCAGAGAATAGGAGCCTTTGCTTTCACCCAATTACATGTGATTGCAATGTGGGGTTTTATTTCTCCATATTTTTTCCTGAATTAGGCAATCTTCCTCATTATCTTGTGCTTGATGACACCATTCTCGAGGAAACACTAGTTTTTGAATCTCTTAGATAGATAAGTAGAAAATAACTTCCAGATTGACTTAACTCCAATTCTCTCCAGCATGGGTACTTTTTCTGGCTGATGGTCCCCAGTAGAGACAGTGGGGGATCCACCTTCCACGTTCTGCTCAGGTGAGGCAAGGAAGCCACACAGCTGGGCTTTCCTGTCCTCAGGAAAAAGAGGGGTCACATGCCGCTCACCACCGTGTCACCTCCACAGTGGCTGGGGTGGAACTGAGCTGCTGGTGCTGACTCTGAGGATATCCTAGACAGAATGCTTTATTCTGACGTAGTGCCAACTGTTTCACAGGACCTCAGACTCCTTCTAGACCAGATCTAGAGCTTCGCCATACAATAGGATGGTCACTAGCTGCAGATGGCAATTTACAGACAAATTAATTCATATCAAATAATACTGACAATTGAGTTCCTCAGTCACATTGGCCACGTCTCAAGTGCTCAGTAGCTGATGTGATGAGTGGCTCCCTATTGGAGAGCACTGAAGTGGAGCTTTCGGTCGTCACAGAGCATTCATGGGGCAACCTCAGTCTCTGGATGCTTACTCCATTGTTAGTTTGGGACAGTTTGTGCTTAAGATCAACAAATTCAAGATGCCCCACATCAAGTTCAACTTCTGTTTATGCCACACAGCACATCGAATCACCTTTCTTTCTTTAAAAGCTGACAATTTCACTTTGGGTCAGATTGTATTTTTGAATTCCCTTTTCCATCTTCTTCACTGAGCATCTGTGAAATAACCCAAGTGGCAAAGGCATTTCAAAACTTGGAGCAAAATGGAGATAAAAGGAATCTGTCTGAAAGAGTCACAGAAATCCAGAGCTAAAGCCCTCGGAACAGTCACAAAGTCTGCAGGAGGCAGCTGAGACAGCCTGGAGTAAACTCTCACCAAAGACAGGAGCCTTCCATGTACACTGCGATCGGCACCAGCAAAGGAAGTCTTGGGTGAACGTGATGAATATGCAAGTCTAGAAGAATGCCATGCCTTCAGCCAGAACAGAGGAAAATCCTTTCATCAGCTAAGAGACACCTCAGAACAGACTTCAGCAGAGCTTCCTACACTCTGCATTGGAATTCTCTCTAGCTTTATTTTCTTAGATATGTAAAAGACAGTGCCCATATTCAGGAAATACAGTATTACATAATTAATCAAGATCCTTCATCTTGTTAAAGAAAAACAGAAATCTTTGCAGTTCACCTGAGAAATGAAAAAAATGAGGAAAGAAAAAAATCCTTGGTAAAAGAAAATGGAAATATCTTAAATCTAGGATTCAATGAATATTATTTAGTTGTACATTATTTTATTCTCTGTATCCCTTGAGTTCTTAATAAATATGATTTTGAGATGTAAGCTCTTTTTTTCCTTTTGTCAATAAACTTATCTTAGGGGTGACTTATAATTTCTTCAAAATAGTTGTACATGGAGGTATTTTAGTTTTTGGAATTGCAGAGTCATGTGGAAAACTGAACCATTTTCCTATAATTGCAAGCAACTTATATTTTGAGACACATCAGGTAATACATATGTTATATATAATACATACAACATATATAATGTGTGTGTGTATATGTATGTGTATATATATGTGTGTGTGTGTATATATATATATCTACAGCAGACTTGGAGAAAAAGAACATTAAAAGCAGACCAGGTGAATGAGTTTGAAATGGCACACGGAACTAGAAGAGAGAAAAGGTTGCAATTACTGCTCAAACAAGTTCATACATATATATATACACACATAAACATGTATATAAAACATATATACATACATATATATATATGTATATATATATATTCCCTGATATTCCAGTAAGCATTCGATAAATATGTGTTGAGTAGATGAACTGTTGGGCCCTAGTGGAATGTAACTAGAATGAGAAGTAAGCTCAGAAATTTCATGTACAGTCCCTATCCCATGGGGTCTTGGTACATAGGAAAACCTGATAGAATTGGCTGACCTGTAAATCAGTGATGCTCAAATTCAGGTATAGTTAGAATTGTAAAGGCACACAGCCCAGCTCCAACATCAATCAAGCAGAATCTCTGGGCAACTGCCTCTCTGTGACAGTTTTCCAAATGACTCTGCTGCTCCATGAAATTTTAGGACTTATTGCTATTGTTGAATCAGGCGACTAATTTCAGGGATCTAAAAAGGCCTTATGATCCATCATCTTTTCCTTCATCTGCCCACAATCCCCCAGCATTGGCCAACATGGCAAACTCCCATCTGAGTACCTTGGAACTTAATCAGTGTGGGGCAGAGAACCTGGAACGGATAGGCTGTCCGGGAACAGTGACAGGACGGCTGAGGTGAGAGAAAGGAGACAGGCCAGCTGTTTCCTGACGCCCTTGCTCAGTACAAGCACTGAACCTGAGATCTCGGTAGGTTTGTATGGATCTGCAGAGATCGCCCTAGGTTGGGTTGCTATGGGAGCAGGTCTTTAACTGGAGGAGTTCTGAGAACGTTTTACCCTCTCTGGATCCATGAGGAAATTCTGGAGGGCAGACACGTTCTGTCTCTAGCTTAGCTCTCACTCGTTAAGGTGGGTCTGCCACCGCTGAGGTGCCCCCTTGGGTGGTCTGTGAGACTCCTGCAGCAGCTCTGCACGACTTCTGGGGTCCACAGTCCAGGACAGATGTGAAGTTTTGGCATCAACATATTCTTGGGAGGCTGCGTCGTCCTATCACAGTTAAGAAAGAATTATTTCGTGAGTTTTACCTAGCAGTTTACATAAATCAGTTTACAGCAGATTTGGAGAAAAAGAACATTAAAAGCAGACCAGGTGAACGAGTTTGAAACGGCACACGGAATTGGAAGGGAGAAAAGGTTGTGATCACTGCTCAAACAAGTTCTTCCTTCCCTCCAAGAAATGAGGCGTGGGCTGTGGAACCCATTGCGGCTAATCGTAAACAGGTGCATCTTAAACATAGGATGCCAACCTGCTCCAACATGCTGGGCACCGGGCTTAGCTGCAGCTAATTACGCGTGCGCTCTGACCGGGCGGCCCACAGCGGCTCTGCAGGCTCAGCGGGGCGAGCGCAGGAGGCGCGGGCCCGACACGCGTGTTTAGACCTGCGAGGCTGTCGGGGGTGCGCCTGGGACTGAGCTGGGCTCGTCTTCATTTCCCTCAACTCCCAAAGCCCTGCTTGACACCCAGAGATGCTTCATCAGGATATGAAAGTATTCCACTTCTCCTAGAGAGCTATGGGAAATGTTATTAGCGATTTTTTAGGTCTCAGAATTCTGACACAAGCCAACCGTAAGGGTAACATTTTTGTCAGATGGCCCTCGGGTTACCTCCGGGGATGATTTTTGCAGGATGACGGATTTGAACGAGCGTGTTGCCTCTTGTTCTAGTCTTCAGCCTGCGTTCTCGCCTGCTGTATTTTCTGACAACTTATTCCCCTTTTGTAGGATCTGTAAGTCTGCCTGGGCGAAATTCCCGCAACTTATACTCAATTCTCAGAAACGGTAAATTTCCTAACCCTGTGAACTGACTGCTAAAGGAGGGTAAGAAATGTTTTCCCAAGCTGATCCAGAGATGAGGACCCTGAAGCTGAGGAAGTACAGCATCCGGGTCCTTCTGCTGAAAGTGAGGCTCTCCCAAGGCTCCTAACTTAACTTTGTGTGTATAACACTATATTTTCATTTTCGAAAAATGTGCAGTCTCTAAAACTGTACAAGCTGAGGGTCCTTCAGAATCTGTGTCTGCCACTGTGTTGATCATTAGGGTACAACCTCTTCTCAACAGAGTCAAGACTTCAGTGTGAGAGTCTCACTGACAGTAAAACAGACACTTGAAAAGAGTGGCAATACATAAATAATATGCTCAGCATGATCTTTAAAAGATAATCATTAGTTTAATATACTTTTTTATTTTAGAAGAGTTTAAATTTATAGAAAAGTTGCCAAGAGAGCACGGATGATGCCTGCATCCCCTGCACCCAGCTTCTCCTATTGGTCACATCTGTCACAATGGATAATCCAACACCTACATATTACTCACTGAAAATTGATACTTGGTTTAGATCTCCTTAGTTTCACGTCTCTTTTCTATCCTGGCATCCCATCTGGAACCCCACGTTGCATTCACTTGCCTTGTCTTTGAGGCTGCTCTTCACTGATGGTTTCTCAGACTTCCCTTGTTAGATGACATTGGCAGTTTTGAGGACTGTTTTTCTCATGATTAGACTGGTGTTATGGATCTTGGGGGCAGAGAGCTTGGAGGTAAAGTACCATTCTCATCACATCATATCAAGGGCACATATTCTCAACATGACATCACTTCTGATGTTAACCTTGATCACCTGGCTGAGGAAGTGTTTGCCAGGTTTCTCCATTGCAAAGTTACTTCCCCCAGCTTTTCCATGCTGTACTCTTTGGAGGGAAGTCCCTCTGTGCAGCCACACTTAACACGTGGGGAGTTATGCCCACCTGTGTAAGGAGTCGGTATCTACATAAATTACTTAGAATTCTTTTGTATTAGAGATCTGTCTATCGTTTTCCATGTATTTATATAGTCAATCCTTGATTTGTATCATTAGGGAATCATGGATATTTGCTTTACATTTGGGGGTATTTATTTTGTTGCTCAAATTGCTCTGACGTTTGGGAGCTCTTTCTGTTAGTGCTGGTATCCCCCTGTCATAGTCCATCACTGTGGGTTTTTTGTTGTTGTTTTTTGTACTTCCTGACCTTCTGGCAACACAAGGTGTTCCTGGCTTATACTGTGTATTTCTTACCTCACACCTAGAATCAGCCATCTCCCCAAAGAACTCTGGTTTCTTTTATTGGAGAACAGCATTTAAAACCAAGGTCTGGTTGCTAGGTGTGCACGGTGCTAGTGGGATGTCATTGCTTCTAAACTCTCTCAGTTACAGAGTAAGGAAATATGGGCGTATATGCTAACATATTTAAACACCTATGTATAAATATTTCTATATGAAACAACCTGCATCTATATTAAGCTAAATATGAGTTCATATTGATGTCTCCAACTCTCACCATTACCATGTAGAACATACTGCCTTCCCCTTTGCTTGTCTATAGCCTCTTGACCCTGCAGTTTGGAACCTACTCCTACCATCTGCCATCCATTTACTTAATTGTCCAGTGTACATGAACAGCAACATTAGAATTGTTAACCCTTGCTCACATGGGAGGCAGCCTTAACAGCTAGAGTATAGTCTATAGACAGTTTCTTCTACCTTTAGTCTTATAGTCCCCATTCATTTCTAAAGTAACTTAGGTGACCACCACTTTTTCCTCCAACCGTTTCACTGATGAACCTCAATGAAATTGCTTTGTAGATGTATCAAGTAGTTAGATTCTACATTTCATCCTGGGAGCCCCAGATCTCCTAAAAATGTTTTTAAAGAATTGCGGCCGGGTGCAGTGGCTTATGCCTGTAATCCCAGCACTTTGGGAGGCCGAGGCGGGTGGATCACGAAGTCAAGAGATAGAGACCATCCTGGCCAACATGGTGAAACCCAGTCTCTACTAAAAATACAAAAAATTAGCTGGGCATGGTGGCAGGTGCCTGTGATCCCAGCTACTTGGGAGGTTGAGGCAGGAGAGTTGCTTGAACTTGAACTTGGGATGCAGAGGTTGCAGTGAGCCAAGATTGTGCCATTGCACACTCCAGCCTGGGCAAAGAGTGAAACTCTGTCTCAAAAAAAGAAAAAAAAAAGAATTGCATACATGAATGTTCACTCTGTGCTCTAAACTTCCATGATTTTGAAAAATGAGTAGGGCCATTGAGCCAACACTTACAGTATCACACAGAATACTCTTTCCACCTAAAAATATTCCTGTACTTTACCTTCCAACACCCACCCCAATCCTCTGCAAACCACCTGAAACCACTAATTTGTTTTTCCAATCTATACGGTTGCCTTTTCCACAATGTCAGGTTTATTAGTCTGTTTTCATGCTGCTGATAAAGACATATAGCAGATTGTATAATTTTTACAGAAAAAGAGGTTTAATGGACCCACAGTTCCACGTAACTGGAGAGGCCTCACAATTGTGGCGGAGGGCAAAAGGCACATCTTACATGGCAACAGACACGAGAGAAAAATGAGAGCATAGTGAAAGAGTTTTCCCCTTATAAAACCATCAGATCTCGTGAGACTTATTCACTATCATGAGAATAGTATGGGGAAAATTGCTTACATGATTCAATTATCTCCCAGTGGGTCCCTCCCACAACGTGTGTGGGAATTACGGGAGCTACAATTCAGGATGAGATTTAGGTGGGAACACAGCCAAACTATATCATCCGGTAAATGGAATCATGAAGCATTTTCAGACTGGCTTTTTTCAGTCAGTAATGTGCACTTAAGTTTCACTAGTGTTGTTTGTTGTGGGGATTGATATTCACTTCTTTTCATCAATGAATACTATTCCATTGGGTGTTTGTACTACAATTTATCCATTCACCTGCTAAAGAACATCTTAGTTGCTTCCAATTTTTGACAATTATGGATAAAGCTTCTAAAACATGTGTGCACACATTCTTGGAGGGTGAACAGAAGCATAATTGCTAGATTGGGTAATAAGACTGTTTAATTTACAAGAAACTGCCAAACTGTCTTTTATAGTGGCTGTATCATTTGCATTCCCACCAGTAATTAATTGAAGTTTTTTTTGGTCCACATCCTCACCAAAAATTGGTATTGTTAGTCTTTTTTGTGTTTAGAACATTTTATTATGTGTGTGGTGATTGTTGCTTTAATTTGCATTTCCCAAGTGAAAGATGATGTTGAATAGCTTTTCGATATTTATTTGTCATCTGAATATCTTCTTTGGTGAAATGTTCAGTTCTTTTGCCCATTTTAAAACTGGGGTTTTCATTTACTTATTGATGAGTTTTAAGAGTTCTTTGTATACTTTGGATACAAGTCCTTTATCAAATATGTATTTTGAAAATATTTTCTCCGAGTCTGTGGCTTTACTTGTTATTCTCTTAACAGTGCTTTTCACAAGGGAAAGGCTTTAAATGCTGATGAGGTCCAGCTTATTAGTTTTTTTTCTTTTATGAATCACCTTGCAGCTCTATTAGTTTTTGTTTCATATAATGTGAAACTCTGTTACTAAGTCCACAAATAATTAGGACTATAATGTTCTCTTGATGAAGTGAATACCTTAAAAACTTCATTTTATCATTTCTTGTAGTGTAAATCCGCTGGCGATGAATTATTTCAGCTTTTGTAAGTCTTAAAACACCTTTATTTCACCTTCATCTTTGAAAGTTTTTATTTTTTTTCCTTTTCTGGGTGTAGGATTCTATATTAGCAGTTTTTTGTTTCAGTATTTTAAAGATGTCATTCCACTGTCTTCTTGCTTGTATTGCTTCTAGCGAGAAGCCTGCTATCATACTTATCTTTGCTCCTTTATAAAATGTTTCTCTTTTTCTCTGGCTGCTTTAAAGAATTTTCTCTTTATCAGTGATTTTGAGCAATTTGATGATAATATGTCTTGCTCTAGTTTCTTCATTTTTTGCCTTGAGTTTTGTTGTGCTTCTTGAATCTGCATGTAAATTTATAGTTTTCATTAAATCTGGATTTTTTTCCAGATATTTCTTCAAATACTTTTTCTATTCTATCACCTTCTCTTAGAACTCCACTTACTTACAGGTGAACCTTTTGAAGTTGTCCCACAGCTCAGTGATGCTCTGTTAACTATTTTAAAACTCTTTTCCCTCAGTTTTGTTTTGAATAGTTTCTATTCCCGTTTTCAAGTTCATTAATATTTTCTTCAACAATGTCTGTCCTGCCATTAATCCTATTGAGTACATTTTTATCTCAGACATTGTAGTTTTCATGTCTAGAAATTTAATTTGGGTCTTTTAAAATATCTTCCATATCTCCACTTAACTTTTTGAGCATACGGAATATGGTTATTGTAACTGTTTTAGTGTCCTTGTTAGCTAATTTTAACATATATGTCAGTTGTTGGTTTTGATTTATTGATTTTGCTCATCATTTTAGATTTTTCCTGCTTCTTTGTGTGACTGACAATTTTTAATTAGATGCCAGACATTGTGAATTTTATCTTGTTGGAGACTGGATATTTTAAACTCCTATAATATTCTGAGCTTTGTTCTTCAATGCAGTTGAATTACTTGGAAACAGTTTGATTCCTTTGGGTATTGCTTTTAAGTTTTAGGTGGGGCCAGATAGTGCTCAATTTAGGGATAATTGTTTCCTACTATGGAATTAATACCATTTTGAGTACTTGGTCCAATTCCTGGTGAGTTGTGGTTTTTTCCATTCTGGCTGGTGGGGACAGACACTATTCCCAGCCCATGTGGGAGTAGGGTACTCTTACCTCTGTTCCTTTCAGAGGGCATTTTGCCCAGCCATGCTGCACTGATCAGTCCTCAATTAAACACATGAGCGAGACCGTCTGTGTATTTCTTTAGTTCCCTCTCCTCTCCAGCTCTGCCAATGCTAGCCTTCTTGGTCTACGCAAAATCTCAGCTTCCTCTTCTCAACTCAGGTGTCTGCCGGCTCTCTGCCTGGGTTTCCCCTTTACATGTTGTGGCCAGAACTCTCTCAAGGCAGTCAGCTGGGCAGTATCAGCGCTCCCCTGGTTTGTTCCCTGTCCCTCAGGGGCTAACGTTCTTTGTTGTCTGATGTGTCTTAGAATTTTTCTTTCACATGTTTTGTGTGGATTTTTGCTGTTTCAGCCACGAGGGTAAATCGGCCTGTTATTCCCTCTTGGTTGGAAGCAGAAGTCCTGGGCAATGTTCTATTTGCCTTACCTGCATTGTTTTACTTAATCCTTATGACAATTTTATAAGATAAGAATTATTGTTATACTCAGTTTTTAGCAGAGAAAACTGATGTCCAGATAGGCTAAATAGTTTTCCCTTGGACCCACAGCTAATAAGGAGGGGATTCAGTATTTGCTCCCTGTGACATACAGTTCTGGAGCTTGCAAGATTGGTGACCATTTTAGAGATGGCTTAGATTAACTTCCATAAGAACATTTTATAATTGCTTTCATCATTGTTTAAAAAATGGCCTAATGCTGTTATCAAAATTTGGGAAAATAAATAATCTTGGTTTCTGAAATTTCCACTGCTATGATAAAAATGATATTTCATTGATGTAATTGATAATGCTTTAAAGAAAGGGCTTTAGAACACTCAGGTAGTTGGCACTTTCTAACAGGGACTTACACAAAATTTGACTTTTTAAATTTTTAAGTTCTAAACAGAGACTTCAGTCAGAGTATTATATTTAGATGAATGTGGAAAGAAATTATCTGGTAACCAGGTTAAAAAACAATCTCTTATATCATGGGTTTAGAGGCCCACATTCAGAGGGGATAAAAACAAAAAAGCACTTTCTTTTCCGTGCTAGACAGAGTGATTTTAAGTGAAATCTGAACAAGGAGAGGAGTGACCCCTAGGAAGAATGCTTGCAGCAGAGAGAAGAGCCTGTGCAGAGGTCTGGAGCTTGGAGTGGCCAGGGAGGCTGGACCCCAGACCATCAGAAGGGTTCTGGGATGTGACACTGAAGGTGCTGGGTGGCCACACGGGGCTCTAGGGGGATGGTCAGGGCAAGGCCTTTATTCTAATAGCAATGCCAGGCCATGGAAGTCGAAGGGCATTTCATAATCTATGGCCTTTCACGTTTAATGAAATATGCTATATTGAGTCATATAAGAAGTGCCTGCTGCTGTAGTGACATCTCCTCATTTAATCCCAAGTATGATCCTAAAGGAGGTAATGGTGTCTCCATTTGGACATGTGGAGTCAGCCTAAGAGGCTGAGGGATCTGAAGCTGATGGACTTTAAGTGTGGATTTACATCCATCCACTTCCTTCCTGTTATTTCATGCTGCATCCTATAACACCATCTTTATCTGACTCTAAGATTTTGGAAACTAAAACTCCCATGTACAGAGGTTGAGTTTCCTCTTGTGATTTTAAAATATTGAGTTTTGAATCCCTAGCATCTAGACTGTGGTATCTAAATATCATTGCCGACTGGGTGCGGCGGCTCATGCCTGTAATAGCAGCACTTTGGGAGGCCAAGGCAGGCAGATCACTTGAGGTCAGGAGTTTGAGACCAGCCTGGTCAACATGGTGAAACTCTGTCTGTACTAAAAATACAAAAATTAGCCAGGCATGGTGGTGTATGCCTGTAGTCCCAGCTACTTAGGAGACTGAGGCAGGAGAATGGCTTGAACCCAGGAGGTGGAGGTTGCAGTGAGTCGAGATCATGCCATTGCACTCCAGCCTGGGCGACAGAGCCTGGTAAATAAATCTCATTGCCAGTGCCCCTTTGAGGATGGCTAATTCCAGGTCTGGGGCAGGAAATGTGCAAGATAAGACCAGAACATCTTGCCATTCAATAAATCAAGAATACTTGCAAAGCCTCCTGGGGTTTTGTCAAAAGGACTGAGGAGCCAACCTGAAGGGGTTGAAGATAGGATAATTTGTGGATCATTAAGGATAGTAGCTTTAATAGTTTCAGACCATCAGATATTGCTCAGGAATCCTTCCCTGCTACCCTGGTCTGAGGTAGAAAGTCCCATCTGTTTGCTTAGTAAATGGAAGTTCTTCCATAGTATTTCTTTCCATCTGCACTTCCAAATTAGCCCAAAGAACCCCTAATATAAGGGATATATGTGTCTTACCTACCAGTGGATCCTACATAGCCACTTGAGGCTGAAATGAAAGTCCTTAACCCCTCTGGCAGATTAGCAGGCCCTCCTTTGGCTAAAAGACCCCCAAATTGTAAGTTCCTGGCTGTATTAGTTCATTTTCACACTGCTATAAAGAACTACCTGAGACTGGGCAATTCAGGAAGAAAAGAGGTTTAATTGACTCACAGTTCCACAGACTGTACAGGAAGCATGACTGGGAGGCCTCAGAAAACTTACAATCATGGCAGAAGGGTGATGGGGAAGCAAGCACATCTTCACAGGGTGGCAGGAGAGAGAGAGCAAAGGGGGAGGTGCCACACACTTTAAACTATCAGCTCTTGTGAGAACTCACTTACTACCAGGAGGACAGCAAGGAGAAAATCCGCCCCGATGATCCATTCATCTCCCACCAGGTCTCTCCCTCAACATGGGGAATTACAATTCCATATGACATTTGGGTGGGGACACAGAGCCAAACCATATCACTGGCCATGGTGGGATGGGAGTCTGGTCACATCCCATTTGCTTCCAGCCCCCTTCCCCTTACTAATCACAACTAGATTTTCTCAAAAGCCAGCTTGAGGGAATGAAAGGCTCAAAGACCCCTTGGCTTAGATCAGCTGGCTGCCCAGAGTCGTGCATGGGTCTTCTTCATGAATATTCATAAACTTTTCTCATATCCTGTTAAATATGTACACCCTGCTGCCCCATTTAGCATATTTACCTGTCTCTTCTTCCTTCTCCCTGAAGCAAGGTTCTCTAGTTTAGCCTGAGACTTTGCTTCTTGCCTGCATGTTGTAACTGCCTTAGAAATAAAGGTCTCCTTTTAAATTCACCGACTTTGTGACTCTTTTCACTCCACACAATCCATAAATATTAGTTGGATAATAAGTAAGTGAATAGACAGAATAAAAACATCATGTATTGAAATGGTTATAGTAAAAGGAAAGGGTTAATGGGCTCTTACTCTTTTTAAGGCAAGGTGGCCCTTGGATAGCTAAGGGAGGAACAGTCCCTTCTCTCTAGGAAAATTCACATATGTACATTACAACACAAACACAAAGTTTCCTATACAATTACAAGAGATTCAGAAATTTACAGTAATCTGTCTAACCTCCATTTTCAGAAACCATGATTTAGTATATGGCAGTTACTTTCTTATCAGGTTCACACGTATTTTTTTTAAATTGAAGAATGAGAAGGAATGTGTGAGGTGAAATTACTTCCAATATGATTAGAAGCCACACCATAAGATCTTGCACTTTACCTCATGTAGTGCATAACATTTTGATGGATGGCTAAAAACCTGGAGTCTAGCTAGGTAACCAAAAATCCCAGTTATCTAACGTCTTTATTTTTTGTAATACAATTTACTGAAATTAAACCTAAATTTAAAATTTGAATGATTGTCCAGAAAGTTTCAACAAGTACAGTCTTAGGGAGATTTTTTTTAAGCTACAGAATACTCACATCTCACATATACTTGTAGCCAACTTTTCAGTGCACACTTAGGGAAAGTGGTGTGGCATGATCCAATAAGCAAATCCATACTCATTCAGTCAAAATACACCCCATTCCCATTCTTCCCCCAACATCTTGCTCAGCTTTTTTCCTCTTTGCATCCCATGGCCCATTGCTTAATTTTGATCTTGAAATCTTAGCCATGTCTGACAGCTGAGTCTTTCCATATGCAGAACTGAAAGCACATCTCATGGCCAGGTTTGTACTCACAGAACATTATCTACATAGAAGTTGCTGTTAACTGCTGTGGATATGACATCAGAGAGAATGTATGTTATTCACAGCCTGAAGACGCAACGTAAGATTATATGAAGCCCCTGGCCCTTTGGATGTCTACAATACTCCACAGCTGAGGCCTCTTGAGCTTACATTTCATTTACATCAAAGGCACATCAGAAAACGTAATAATGTTCTCTGGAGCAGATAGTTGTCTTTTGATTAGTACATGTGTAATGTGTCCAGAAACCCCTGAGCTTCTGTCCTTGACCAGTATAAAGATAATTTAGGATTTCAATGTGGGTTTACACAAGAAAAATTCTACTAGAACATTATAGAACATAATTGAAAACTATATTAGAACATTGTAAACTGCCCGCCCCCCCATTAAAGCCAGTAAATCGTATGTAGTGAACCTTACTCCAGGCTACAGAAGTGCTGTTTCCATAACTCTGATGTATTGTAACAACGAACCTTTTTCTATTAACTGTTCAGTTCACTTTGGTTTGATTCTCTGTTATGGCGTCAACTTACAAATATTCCCAGGAGGATACACACTCAAGGCTCAGTGTACAGAGGGATAGAACTTTGAAGTGAGATCTATCAGGATGATGAATTTCAGTCACTTTGGTTTCATGGGGAAGAGATCACTAAATCAGTAAAGCACACAGCCAGTTTCTAAGGGTGATTTTATTATTAGGGGTAAGGCTGAAATTCTATATCAAAGGTCTAGGCAAGAAGATGTTTGTTTAAACGACTATTTTCTTGTTCTCTTGCCTAACAATGGGTGGGATTCTGGGAAGGGTTTGAGCTAGTAGATGCATCTTTGATTAAGCCGAGGATATCTATAAGTTGGTGATAAACCCGTTGGCCCATGTTAACCTTTGGTTTGCAGATCTTATTGGTGCATCAAACATACAACAACTCAGTTAGCTTTCATCACTTGAATTGTGTTCTCTGACACCCAGCAAGACAGTTTTCAGCCAAAAAGCAATTAGTAGTTTTTCGAACAATAACA
Source organism: Homo sapiens (assembly GCF_000001405.40). NCBI lineage: Eukaryota > Metazoa > Chordata > Mammalia > Primates > Hominidae > Homo > Homo sapiens. Next base: position 48,669,912 of record NC_000008.11, read on the forward strand.
ACAACAAAGGCAAAAGAAGAATGATCCATTGTTTCACTAACTGCTATAAATCAGGAACATTCAGTGTCATGAGCAGGATACACAAAAAATACACAATGGTGCCCAGCCTGGCTCCCTGCAGGATGGTCTCCCAGCACTGCAATGTGGAAGATGGCCCCGGGCAACCCAGTGACCTCACATTCACTTAGATTTCTTTGGAACAGAATGTTTCATTTGCAAATGTGAAAATGATGATGAAGTTATTTAGGGTCTGAAGGGAGTTTGGAGTTTTGAAAAATGGAAAGGAAATGATCACAAACAGCAGATAAAAAGCTGAAGGGTTTTTGTTGACTCCTTGTTCCGCTCCCAGCTGGGGGAGACGACGGAACAACAGACTCCTCTCCCCATCCGATTCAGACTTGATAAGCAGGTGATGTAAGGCTGGGGAGGCCTGGGCATGAGACCTCCTCCTCATTCTTGCATCCCTGAAGTCAAGATTCGTGTCTCTTTGGACGCGGCCTTAACCAACTCACATTTGTGTTTCCCAGAGTTTTTTCCTCAACAGTAGCCATATACATATGTGGATGAGGCGCTGTCAGCCCCATCCTGGGTTTCCTACTGACGTTCGGGTGATGCTGAAATGACAGTGCTCTCTCCGGGCTCTCTGTTGGTTTCTGTTTGAAACCGTCCCCTTGTTTCCATCGTGGGCACCTCTCACCGGCATCCAGAGGTCCCTTTTGGCAGGCGAGGCGGGTTTCCATCTTCCCTGTGCCTCTTGGATCTAACTGGGCTCAGGAGTTTATTTTCCTTCCTTTCCTCCCACCTCTCACTCCTTCACTGCAGGCTCTTAAAGACAAACTCTGAATGTGATTAATGGTGGCAGAGATTGGGAACATAAAGTGCAAGCACTGGAGTGTTTATTTGTTTAAGAGAGTTGTTTTGGGGCTGTTTCTTCATGCAGCTACATGGCCACTAGAAGAACCTTGGCTCTGCTGTGAGCTGGAAGAGTCCTTCTAAGAGTGCTGAAGAGAAGGAGAGGCAGGGGAGAGGCTCACTCTTCTGAGTAACTCCTTTCCATCTTTAGCATAATCTTTTTTTTTTAAGAGATGCCCAGGCTGGCATGTAGTGGTGTGATCATAGCTCACTACAGCCTTGAACTCCTGGCGTAAAGTAATTTTCCCACCTCAGCCTCCCCAGTACTTGGGATTAGAGGCATGGGCCACCACACCCACCTAGGATAATTCCTCTTTCAACCTTTACAGGGAGGGAGATGCATCTTTTGTGAAGTTTATCTCAATGTTAGCAAGTCTTGCGAAGGCTGGTACCTGACTGCTGGATTGAAGTGCGTCATTCGATCAGAAGTAGGGGAAGAGGTCTTAGCGAAGCTCGAAGTTAAGTGGAAATGTTTTTAGTATATGCTTATCATATCACCAGCTATGTTCAGAAAAGGATTCTATTCAAATTTTGCATCTGGGGCTCCTCATTCCCCAGATCTGCTCCTCAGCCGACTTGATGTAATTCCCCAGAGAGAGATTTCAGGATAGCACGTTTCTTTTTAGAAACAAAGACCTCTCTTTGCTGTTGTGCGTGGTTGTGCGTGTGCCTGTGTTCCTCGGCATGACTGAGGCCAGGTGTCAGGTGTCAGGTCTGAAGACTGCACAGCAGGGGAGGCTGCCCAAGTATGTCAGTAGCTCCTTCCGGAGGCGAGGCCTTTGGCCTGGGGCAGGTAACGCACATTTCATGTGTGGTATGGGAAGGAGAAGTTCACAAGTGTGTCGGCTAGATTTCCACCAGCTCATTATTTGTTTAGCTCAGATATTAATAGAGTTTATGTAACATGTTTGAATTTGGTACCTACACACTTGAACAGGATTTCTTGAGTTCACCTGTCTGGCTTTCCTCACCCTGAGCTGCTGTGCTGTTGGACACCACTGGACAGGTGTGGCCTGAAGGGTGAGCTCCTGCTTGGAGCAGGTGGTCTTGTCTCACTCAGGAGGCTCCCTTGCTGGAAGTCAGGCTCCCTGTAAATGCAGCCTCTGCACTTCATGACTTCTCTGCCATGATGGCAGTGTTTTCAAGGGAAAGACACTAATGTGTTCTCCTTTATTTTAATGTTTTTTTCTTTCATATTCAACATGATGATTACATTAGCTCTAGATTCTGCCTTTGCAAAATGCTCCCTTCTGTTTTCCTTATCTGAAAAGGTTTTGAGATTGGAATAAAGTGATTCCTCATCGTGTTGCCTTTCTTGAGAAGAGGTACTATGGACTCTTTCAATTATTTATTAGCTTAGGCAACTTTAAATCTTTACTCTTTCTCCTATGTCTGCCACAGTAAATGCTGACAAACTGCAGGAAGATATAGAAAAGTTTTAACATTAAATTTCTGAGGATATTTCTTCCCACACTTAAAAATCTAGGATTGTTATTCTTCATAGGTTGATTGCCAAATAGTTCTTTAAAATTATAGCATTTGCTTCCTGTTTTCAAGGGTTATCTGAAATCAACGATTCAAATATAGACTAGTTGCAAAACACAGAGCTTAAATTAGACTTTGTGGGGACTGTAGGGACAGCTCTGTCCCAGGGCAGGTGTGGAGGCTCCAGCATGCAAACACAGCTACCACATTTGTGGCAGGGCCTGACCCCCACAAATACCCCACCCCACATACTCCAGGCTAATGTGAGTGTCCACAGGCCCCTAACCCCCTCCTCAGCTTGGTGTCACTGGGGCTCTGAAATCCAGAGGTCAGACTCCACTCAGGAGGTCTTGGTGGTTTTCCTGGAAGGTGAGTGATTGCCTGAGTTCCTTTATACCTTTGTTGCCTCCAAGTAGAAATAAAGAGAAGAAATTGATGTTTCTTCACACATTTCTTGTGTGGATCATATCTTCAAGGAAGGTATGATCTTTCCTTGTGACCAGACATATTTATAAGTGTTCTCTCCATGTTACATTTTCTGTAGGAGGCTCTCTATCAAATTACTGTATTATTGGCTTTCCATTCAGTGGCAAAGGCCCATTTTGTTCTCATTAAGAGTGCTCTTATATATGAGACCCAGTAATTGCTCAACAAATAATAGTAACTGAATTAGTTCATGGTTCTGATAATGCCAGAGATTTCCAGGAAGAAAGGGTCAGTGATACAGAATGGATACATGTGGTTCTGTGAGCAATCTTGAGTAGGTGATATTGTTGCATAGTTATCTCTGTCTGTAGCCTAATACTGAAATGCCAGCCCAGCTAATTCCATTTATTCAACACTAAAAACACCAATGTGATATTGATATTAATGGTCTGATCATCCCTCAATACAATTTCCTCTCATTTGATAATGAGGCCACTGGCCACATAGTTCTCCAGCAGTGTCAGTGTGCAGACATCACCACTGAGTGACCAGCATTATTTGCAACTTTTTGTTGGCTGGTCCCCAAAGCCCCGCTGCTTTACTTCAAGGGCAAAATGCCCCAGACACCATACCTGCAGCAGTCTCTTCACTCAAGATGCCTAAGTTCTTACCTCCCATCACTTACTTAACTTACTTCCTGTCAGGTGCTCAGCTGGTCAACGTGCTGGATGGTATCTTCTGTGTATAATAGCACTGGTACTGTTAGGGAGCCCTTTCACCTCAGTTCACTGCATATCATCTGCTTGGATAGCTTACTCTGGAAGGATGTCCCCTGAATAAGTTAATTCCTGTGTGTTCTTGTAGTTCCACGTGCCTGTGGCTTGTCAAGAGAAACCATCCACATTGGGTTTCTCATCTGAAACCCCAACAGCACTTAACTGGTGAATGTAAGCTGCAGTTCTGCTATCTGGCACAGCCTGAATGCATCATCTTGCCATGTGGCCTGGTCTGGCATGGGTGTGTGTGATGATGCTCCCATAGCCTTGGCTACACACCGGCTGTATCCCTGGGGTGCCCAGGGGCCCGATGAATCGGCTGAAGGTACATTCCTCACTTGCTTCTTTTCATGACCTTGGAATTCAGCACTGAAATTACTGTCTACACATCTTTACTTCCCATTCCTGATTCACTTGTGGTTGAACGTCTGAGGGCATTAGACCACAGGAGAGTCTGTATTTAGCTCCAGGAATATTCTGAGGGCTGGGCACCAAAGCCGGTGGCAGCGTGAGTGTCCACAGTGCTGCTCTGCATTCCACCTTGCAGAGGTGGCGTCTGGTGAGTGTCCCCAGTGCTGTTCTGCATTCCACCCTGGAGAGGTGGGCATCTGGTGACCTGAGTGGCAATGAGGAGCTGGCTTCCCAGACCATCAGTTCAGAGGGGGATGCATCTCCTTTGTCTCCTTTTCACCTGCAGGCCATGTGTGTGTCTCATAGCTCAGTGGCTCAGCATGACTTTGTTTCTAGACATACAATTGCTGTGGGGTTCGTCGAAGAGTTAGGAAATCCTTGTCATTCCTCATCACTATTAAGCAATCAGTTTCCCTGGAATCCTACTTATGTTGGACCAGATAAGCTGTCAGCACTCCAAGTGGCCTTTCACTGATGTGCAGCCCCTTGTCCCCTGTTTACTTAGAGCGTGCCTAATGGTCAGAACCTGTCAGATGTAGTGGGTTCACGGGTTGTCTCCAATCCGCCAGCCAGGCCTCCCTCAGGTGCATAACTGAAGGGAATAATTAGAAGAAAATACTAAAGGATGTGCAGATTGACTAACTCCAGTGGGGAGAGTGAGAAAGGAAGTCTGCATTATGGGTACCGCAGCTACACAAAGCTCAGCGGACTGGCTGCATCGCTTGGCCTGGGGCTGGCTTTCTTCTAGCAGATAGAGACAGAGAGCAATTAGCGTTTGAAAGCATAAGCAAGCCAATCTGTTTTGTTTATACAGAGAGTTTCCCCCAGAAGTGAGGCAGAAGCAGAGACATCAGTAATGAGCACATGTGTTTGGAAAGAGTATGAGGTACTTATAAATATTATAGTGGCGTCGCTATAGTTAAAGGTCTGGCAGCATTTCCATTATAAACTCTCAGTGTCAGGGGTTTAAAACTCAGCTGTAAAAATTCCAGGCTACAGCTTGGCATCCCAGGCTCTGCCTGGGAACCAGGCCTGCATCCGTGACCTCCTGCAGGTCTCTGCTGGTGTTCCCGTGCTGTGCTGCTTCTATCTTTGTGCCTCTGGTCCTGTTTGCACCAACTAGGGGAGGAAAGAGCTGACTCTGGAGCTTGTATGGCAGGGTAAGGCCTCCTCGGTTATTGGAAAGGAGAAGCCAGACAAGAGGTATCCACTGATTTCATTGACCTCTGTTTCGAGCTAGAGCTTGGTTTGCATAAGACACCTTCCAGTTGTTACAAGTGGCTCCTGTGAACCACAACGCCAAGGGCCAGATATCACTGGACATGCAGTCGGGTTAGGAAAATGCAAGGACAATCATGCTAATACCTGACAGCCAAGCATTTTACATATGCACCTCCCTTAAGGTCGTCCAGCCATTTTAAGGGAAATCCCCAAGGCTATCCAGGAGACTGTACTCTCCAAAGAAGGCACTGTACTTTATCTTTGGTCTATAAGGCTAACAGTCCAAAAAATTGATTAGCAAGTTGGGCACAGGGTTACTTGCAGACAGTTAAAATAGGTGTAGAGAGTTCCAGAATTAATACGCAAACCATCTTGGCTAACATGACTTTTGAGAGAAACATTTTTCCCCTCATTTTGTGATAGCAGCACGTGTGGAATTTAAATCAACAGATGCTCTTTCTATGATAAGCGTTAACCTAAACCGAAGACCAATCAGAGCGACGAGCATCAGTCTCCAGAGAGTGGCCACATCCCGTGATCTGTGAGAGAAGGGCTCACCTTGTTCTCCAGATGGTACACGGATGGCTGTGACTCTACAGAAACTGTCTGGACCTTGCGGGAAGTGGAGGCTGGAGGCAAGCTTCCCCCTGCAGTCTCATCTTATCTAGTGCTAGCAACACCCCCCTTTTATCATTACATTATCCCCGCTGTTGTTACATCCCTGTAACAGCTACACATTTTCCTTTTGTAATAGACTGACATGCACTGTGTTGCCAGAGATATCCTGAATTGTTAAGTGAAAAAAATTTTTTTTTTTTAGAGATGATCTTGCTCTGTTGCTTAGGCTGGAGTACAATGGTGTGATCATAGCTCTCTGCAGCTTCAACCTCCTTCGCTCAAGCCATACTCCCCTCTCAGTGACCTGAGTAGTTGGGACCACAGTCATGCACCACCATTCCTAGCTAATTTTTATTTATTTATTTGTTTAATTTTTTTTTAGAGATGGAAGATTCTTAAGATAATACTTCAGAAGTCTTAACAAAGCCTAGGAAAAGAGCCAAACAATTTATTTGGGACCCGAGACTCCGTGAATTCATAAAAGGTCAAGTGCCAGTGTGAAACTTAAGAAAACATCTTCCTTTGTCCGGGCATAGTGTCTCATGCCTGTAATCCCAGCACTTCGGGAGGCTGAGGCAGGCGGATCACCTGAGGTCAGGAGTTTGAGACCAGTCTGGCCAATATGTTGAAACCCTGTCTCTACTAAAAATACAAAAAGATAGCCGGGCATGGTGGCGGGCACCTGAAATCCCAGCTACTTGGGAGGCTGAGGCAGGAGAATCGCTTGAACCTTGGAGGTGGAGGTTGCAGTGAGCCGAGATCATGTCACTGCACTCCAGCCTGAGCAACAAAAGTAAAACTCCATGAAAGAAAGGAAAAGAAAAGAAAAGAAAAGAAAAAAGAAAAGAAAGAAAGAATCTCCCTTCTGTTCTCAGTCATGGAATCCTATTTGATCCTAAGCTAATGTCACTCTCCAAATCGCCACATTATGTCTACATAGGTAGAAACAATATTTATCAAAGGGAAAATTTCTAAGAATCATTTGCTACAATCATAAAACCATTTGCTGTTTATTCTATTTTGTGAGAAACTGGATTTAAGCAAGGTATAGTCAACTGATTTAAATCACTAAGAAAGAAAGATATTTGCTGTTAAAATGGACACTTCAATCCTAGCTGAGTCCACAGTATAAAAAAGTAAGAGGCAAAAGCCAAACTTTGTGGGTTAAACATAGTAAGCTTGGGTTTCCAGCCTTGCCCTTGGATGCTTTGGCTTCAGGTGAGATCTGAGGAAGTACAGGATGAGGGCTGAACACACTGCTTTCATTACAGACACACTTTTCCCTCAGTGGCATAGTGAGGGCTGGGGCTGGGGCGGGCATAGAAACCATGCTGAATCCAAAATAAATCAGGAGTAAAATTCAAAGTTCCCTTTTGGGGTGGGGTATAATAGATTGGAATATTTTTAAAGAAAATTGAATACCTTGAAACATGCTTCTGTTTTTGTGTGTGTGTGTGTGATGGAGTATCACTCTTGTTGCCCTGGCTGGAGGGCAGTGGTGCGATCTCAGCTCACTGCAACCTCCGCCTCCTGGGTTCAAGTGATTCTCCTGTCTCAGCCTCCCAAGTAGCTGGGACTACAGGCACCCACCACCACACCTGGCTAATTTTTGTATTTTTTGTAGAGACGTGGTTTCTCTATGTTGGCCAGGCTGGTCTGGAACTCCTGACCTCAGGTGATCCACCTGCCTCGGCCTCCCAAAGTGCTGGGATTACAGGCCTGAGCCACCGCACCCAGCCAAAACACGCTTCTTATCTGATCAGGAGCAGTACTTTCTGGGCTATGCGTTGCTGATGAATTGTATGTTTTCGTTTTGTCTGGAGACAAGTGAAGGATCCGTGGGGTTTTCAGGTGGCATACCTGCCCTTCCACCTCTTCCTCTGGGCTTGCCCCCTCCTATTCCAGAAGCTTCCTTTACCATCTTCACTCTCATCTTCACTTCTCAGCATCATTTTAAGGACCTATAGCCAGCAAGATACATAAAATCATTTAGACGATTACTTACAAATGAGCGCAACAGGCAGACGAAGCAAGAGGGTGGCAGCACGCAGCCCAGGCTGGGCCCAGGGTCTCAGAGTCTTGGGTCTTCACAACTCACCTGTGGTTTTCTCCCACAGGGTTGTAGGCCTGGCATGCAAAGACATCTAATTGTGTGCAAAACCTACAAACACCGTGTTGATTTGGGTCACACACACAGAAAGCACCGTTACTACATTTGTTTTGTAATTAATAATGGCTTGAAAAATTTGTTTCTCATTCTTAATGAATTTTTCTTTGAGGGACATTTGAAATCTATTATTTCAAGCTTAAGTCTTGCAAATTTATATTAGCTCTTTGCAGCAATACTTTTCTACCATATTAACATAACACACACACCCTTCTCAGCAGAGCAGTCACAGAACACATATTTCCTTTCATGAGCCAAAAGATTAACATCGTCTTCAAATAGTTCCTGAACTGATTTTTTTTTCTTGTACTGAAGATGTTGATTAAAATGACAGTACTTTACTCTAGCTACTATTTGTTTCTTTTTCTACCATGCTAGAAGAATGAGCCTTTAATCCTAAAGTTCCCCAGCGCCTCAGGCTATCAATAGTGTGGGAGATCCACTTAAGACTATTTTTTATTGCTTTGTTTCTTCTCACGGTAAACAACAAAGTTGGGGATAGGCTGGCAGTTCATCACTGGGTAAAGTTTTAGTAGCTGCACATCTGTGGATGGCCATGAGTAATCATCTCGCGCTGGTTAGGATTAGGCTGCTGGAGGGGGCGACCCTCAGGCTTTCAAGTACAACGGACGCACCTTGACCTTGGGACGTGGGGGCCTGCACACCTTCCATAGAAGAGCAGGGAGCTTAATAAGGTTTGTTAAATAAGGAATGCAATTTGTAATCACTAGTTGATTCTAACGTATTATAAGACCTGAAATCCTGTTTCCTTTTGAAGACTGCCTCTTTGTAACACCATAAATAAATACGTATATTTCTCTACATGGAAGGCCTCTATGTTCCCTACAAAGTGTGGGAACTTTGTAAAGTGTGATTCCGGGGAAAGTGCTCACAACCCTTGAAGGCCATATGTCCAGCGATGGAGAGCCATGTATGGATTTGCCTCCGGTAAGTGCTTTACTACCAGACCTCTGTGTCACAGTTGTAGGCCCTTTCTACCACAGGATTCCAATATTAATCTTCAAGTTTTAGGAGTTATATGTAAAAACTGGAAAAGGTGATAAAAGAAAATTGTAAGGTAATTTATTTGAATATTGGAATTGGACATAAGTTGAGCTAATGTGACTGTTTTAACCTAAAGAAGAAAAGGTTACATTTGTTTTCAAATATTTGGATGACAAAATAATGTAGCATTTTATAGAAAACAGATTAAAGAGATAGAAGAACCAATCAAAGTTTGAAATGGATCATGTAACAAGTCCTGTGGATGCTTTAACCTTGAAAATCAGAAACAAGATTTGCAATAGTTTGATCCTGCCAAGGCCCTTTCAGTACTAGAATTTTAGGGCAGTTTTGGCTAAATATTTTCTCCAAAAGAACAAATATTGCTTTCTGACATTAGGATCACACAGGAGATCATAACTATTTGGTAGTTTGAAGACATAATCATTGTTACGTTAGTAAAAATGGAAAAGTACATATTTCTTACAAAAATCCTACAACTTGGAGAACTGCCAAGTACCTGTTGGCCGGGAAGGGAAGCTGATCTGACCGGCGTGCTTCCTTCCCTTGGTGTTGTTTTCTACAGAAATAGAGTAAAATGCCTCCCACAGTGCCACTCCTCCACTGTCAGGCTGGAAGTGCTCCTAGCCCAGAACAGAAACAAAAATGATGTGCCCTTTGTTGATTTCTCCTCATCGTCAAATGGCCAGTGGCCAGGAGGCAGCCCTTGGCAACTAACAATGAAATCGGAAATGGCTTGTGGTAAATATTTCCCTTCAAGGCCCTTTTCCTACCACAGCGCTGGTCAGGTTCAAGATGGACATACTCAGATGACTAATGTGTGGCTTTCCAATGATTTGAACTTGTCTGAGGGATGCTGTGAAAATGAATTATTGTTTTCCCCACATTTAAAAAATTGAGACCAAAACTGACGAGGTAACCACCTTAAAATATTTTTTAAAACTCCACAAATTCAGATGAGCACAGTGGCTCACACCTGTAATCCCAGCACTTTTCAAGGCTAAGGCAAGAGGATTGCTTGAGGCCAGGAGTTTGAGACCAGCGTGGGCAACATAGTGAGACCCTCATCTCTACAAAAAATAAAAAAAATTAGCTGTGTGTGGTGGCACGTGCTTGCAGTCCCAGGCACTTAGTAGACGGAGACTAGAAGATTGCTTGAGCCCAGGAGGTTGAGGCGGCAGTGAGCTGTAATCGTACCACTGCACTCCATCCTAGGTGACAGAATAAGACTTTGCCTTAAAACAAACACAAACAAACAAAAATCCACAACTTTAACATCTCAAAATATTTTATTTTTAAAACCTTTCTTTAACGCAAGGTATTAAGTTGTGAACACAAAAAGATAATGAAACAGCTCAACGTTGGAGAAAAAATTGCATAAGCCAGTGCCATTCAAGATGTGATGGATATGGAATGTTTAGGAAAAGATACACCATCAACTTTTCATTATGTGGTTGCAATCCTGGGGTTTCTGCTAGTTGGAACCTGTAAGAGGGATCAGCACAAAAATTGTATAAAATTAATACAAATACATAGTATCCTCATCATTAAGCTTTTGTATATCTTAAACTTTGTTTCACAATGCTGTTTATGACCATTAAATTACTAATGTACTTACTCAAGCTAGGAAACCTTCCTGAGAGGCTTCCCATTTTTGGACTTAGGTTGAATACTGTCTGTTGCTTTGCATGTCTTTGTCCATCTGACAGGTTGCATCTTAGGATAATATTCACTGGATAGGACATTTCTGTATAATTTACTTTTTTTCTGAGTCAATAGCCTCTTTGCCTTCTCAAATGCATCATGTTTTCTACTTACGGATGTTGGAATCTACTTAGTCTTCTAAAGTTTTGCATAATACAAATTATTAACCATTGTCATCTGCACAATGAAAAAAGTAAATTAACATCTTAGATATTAGTATACTTTATAAAGTAATCATTTCTTGATCTTTTTAGAATAGTAGAGTATATTTTCCCATGCCGATCCTCCTACCTACATGTTTTACAGGTCTGTGAGTAGCAAAAGTGAAGAAATGAGAAACAAGTTAATTAGCTTGCTTTCTTGCTGGCTGACTGCCTGTGCTTTTAGCTGTTTCTCTGAAATTCTGATTGACCTAATCTTGTAATTTAACCTGCTTCATGGCAAACTGGTATAAAATCTATAAAAACTATTTATCAAAATTGTTAAAAGTGGCAGAGGTGCTGGACGCACATGTTCTTTATACCTCAAAGCTTTTAGAAAATCTTTCAACTGGCTTAAGTCCCCACATACAAGAAAAACCCACCAAGCCTCCTTCCCTCTTCAGATTCTCCCTCAGCCTGGAAGGAATGGGAGTTTCTGCCTCAAGACTGATCCTAGGTTCATTCCCATTTTCTCACCCAACAAAGTCCTGGCATCTTGGCTCCCTGATGTTGATGACTGAAGACACAGGTTGTTACCTGTTTCCATTTTTTAGGTGGAGTACTTCTTTTTTCTTCTTGAATGTTTAGAAAGCATGGTCAAGTTAGACTTATCTTGCAAATGTCAATATAGATCAAACAAAAGATTGAATATGAAAAAGGATTTATGATTTGGAGGTTTGGTTTGGTGATTCTGTTGGAGGAATTCTGATGTGAAGATTAAGAAGCTTGCTATAGGCAGGATACTTAATGGAAGGACAAGAGGTAGATGGAGCAAAAGAAAAAAAAAATCCTTAAATCCCAGAGTTAAAACAAGGTGGTGCTTATAAAAATCATACTTGCTTTGTATAAAATTTTATCATCTATAATTTATTAATCAGTAAAACTGTAGGTATCCTTGATGCCAAAAAAGATTAAAATTCTATTTTTCCTAAACAGATTTTTTGATTCATTAATGTTTTCACGCTATAGAGAATCTGAGTATAAAGTTACCTAACTTTTAAAAACACATAGCGATCATAACGTAATGTCCCAACACACAGGGGCTCAGTTTCTTTGGGCCCTGGGCCTGTGTGGACACTAGAGGTTGGGTATAGAGGGAGAGCTAGAGAAACACACATGTAACCACTTTCATTGTGAACCCCCAAATGAGGAGGCCTCCTGGGAAAAATATAGTTTCTTTGCAAGACTTCAAGATGCATGTATCTGAGCATATCACAGGATCAGAAAGTTACTCTCATCTTGGTCAGTACAAAATCTCTATGACTAAGGCACCTGGGGTGGGCTTTACGGTTTCTAAAACCACTCGTTCCTCTAGGTAATAGGATAAAAGTGGCAGAAAAAGTGATGTCCTTCCTTCCATTGAATCATGTGACCTCATTAGTGTTACTTGATATTATACAACCAGGTTATTTTGGGCCCACTTAAATATGTTTATTTTGATTACTTAGTTTTCTGTGGTAATTTCATGATTATTTCTTAAGATATCCAGAAACGTACTCTTCCTTCATGCCCATGCTCATCATAGTTCTGATTTAGTAACCATTTTATTTTAGCTAGAAGATGGGTATTTCAATAATTTGAAATGAGTTAATGTGAGCCTAGATCCCAATCAGATCCAACATTTTAAGTGCTCATAAAAATGTGAAACCCTGCAATAACATTAAATCCCCATATGCAGAGGAAAACAATTCACATTTTTGTGGCACTGGCAGTGAACTTCCAGACATTTCTGCCTGGATTGTCTGTTAAGCCTCCTGCTATATTAATGTAGCTTTGGAAGAAAAGGGCGAAGTTAGGTTTAAAACGTCACATTCAAAACATTGTGCGTATGAGAAATATAACCCCAGGGCCAAAAGTCACCAATGAAAAGAAATTACACTGGTTGTGTAAACACTGTGTTCTTGAGGCAAGGAGGTGATTGTTTTTTGGTGTAAAGGAAAAATCTATTCCATTAGGGGAGGGAGGTGAGGCCTCCTAGAGAAGAGCTGGGAGTGTCAAATTAAAGAGAGGCTGTGGGTGGTGCCGGTTTGCATGTGCCTGAGGGAGGCACAGCTGGGCTCGGGGTCAGGCGCCTTGCGCCGCTATGTTAAGACAGGCTTTCCCGTCTCTACAGCTCCTTCCGGTCTTTTCTTAGCAGGCTCTTTAGTCCACCACGTCGCAAATGGGACGCTGCTTCCTTTGGGCCTTTCCTGACCCTTCCATTGTGGATCAGTCTTCGTTTTATGAGCTCCTTTAACGCTTTGTGTTGATCCCTCAATCTCAATGGCAGCTAAAAGGATGTAGCCTAGGGCACGTGCCCAGACTGTGCGGCTGCCCCGCTGCCCGGTGAGTGGCTCTACTGCGCTCCGCCCGAGGCGCCTTCTCATGCACCCCCGGCGTTCTCAGGAAGCACTTCTGCCAGCAGTTTACAAAGCATTTGACAGCAGGGGATTGGCCTCCTGCACAGGAAGTATGTGGCTGATTACAATCGTGAGTGTATAAATAGCTCAGAATTTAGAATTAATATTCAAATTTGTTGAAAATTGTTGAGAAAAACAAACCCATAGTTCTCAGGGATGGATGCTCTAAGGAATAATAGAATGGAACTGTTCTAAGAAGCCTGCCAATGACCTCTGGTGTAAAGCCACTAGGTAGAGTCATAGACCACCTCCTTCTCCAATTTTAAGACATAAAAATGCAGGTGACCCCTTGTGTAAGGTCAGTGGGTCACATCCACAGACCCCTCTTAATCTTCTGGTTCTAGATTGTTCTAGAAGAAAACGTGAGTTAAGTGGAACCCAGTCTCATTTCTGAGGCTCTGCAGGTTTCTTAAGCTTATATGGAAGCCACTTTTCCAACTACAGTGGGATGTGTTATGGAAGTGGGTACTCCTTGGGAGTCGATGTGGTAATATATGTGAAAATGGGCTTTGCGTCCTCAGGAGACTAGAAGATATAAAAATCCAAGGTATTACTGTAATTACTTGGCCTACAGTTAAATTGAGACTGTACAGCTGTCTCTTGGTATTTATTCTCAGGGAGTTCATCTGCTGTCTAACTAAGGAAATGGGAAAATGATAGGACACCCAGTCCATGTTTCTCAGGAGTGATTTATAAAGAGTGCAATGGAGGTGGAGAAAAGCTCACTGTTTAATACAAATATTTTTTCGTTTAGGCTCAATTATTTTACATAATTTATTGCTTGTTGAAGTCTGTGAATAGATGCAGCTATTTTCTTTGCTAATCAGTGACCTGAAGTTAAAATGAGTGGAGAGGTTTTAGGCACAAGTGTGTTAGTTTTGCTTCCTCCATTTCATGCTTCTCTAAAAGCCAAAGTCCTTGAACAGATGTTCCTAAGATTTTTCCACAATGTAAATAAGTGACCCCTAGAGAAAGAGAAAAACCATAGCATGGAAAGTTTTTGGGAAAAAAATACTTTGTTTTTCAGAAAATTATAAATGAAGGTAAATAAATATGAATATGATGAGAATATTTATGAAATTTAAACTTTAACATTCTCTTCCTAATACCATAATAGTTTGGTTTTATTTTTTTACAGATATTTCTGTTGTAATTTTGGTCATCAGAAACGAAAATTTATTTCTCATTCGTTTTTGACTAGAAACTCTGCTTTATTTTGTATTAAAAGATTAAAAAATCTCATTATTCGTGTTTCCATGACAGCATAAGATTTTTTTTTTTAAAAGCATCAGTATTTCTGAAAGTTGTACGGTATTTTCAATTGCATATCTAGGGAGCAATTATAATTATAGTTTCAAGAGATGGTTTGGAGCTTAAACCATCTTAATATTTGCTAGTAGAATTTTAAGTCTATTAATTCACTAAAAGACAGATTTTACTTTCTCAAACCTGAACCTATAATTTTAAACTTTAGTCAAAACCATATATTCTGTAACCTGCCATTGAACTTTCTTGGGTGCAAGCATATTACCTGTGGAAAGATGATAGCTTGCAAAAGACTCTGAGGGAAGGGGAATATGGAAAAGCAGGTACGGAGTGGCGAAGGAGCATTTGACTTGTTCGTAACTAAATGACTCATGATTTGAACTAAGGTGTATCTGCCCCATCCCGCCGCCACTGAACGCAAAGCCGTACAGAAACAAAGACGAGATTTTAACTAAAGGAACTGAGATTCAGAAAACAAGCTAGTCCAGAAAACAAGGGTCACCGCCACTTCACTGCTGTCTCTCATCTGTTTTGCAACATGTGTGGCATCTATCTTCTGGGACAGTTATAAAATATGGGCTAAGGAGGTGAAGTTGCAGGGATGGTAGAGAAATAAAAAAGTGGCAGATATACAAGAAGGGAGGAACTAGCGCAAGTAAGAAAAATGTACAAATCCAATTTTATATCGAGCCGATTGCTCTGGGTCTCATTGACCTTGGCAGGACTCAAAGGGTCATATTTTATGTGGATGAAGCATCTTCAATTTCTCCTGCATCTCTGGAGCATGCAAATGTTTTTTTCCATCCCGCATCACTACATTCCTTATATTCCTCAAAGTTCTTTTATATTAATAGATGTTTCTTGACGTCAAGACATGTTTCTTGACATTAAGACGTGTTTCTTGATGTTTTTTGAATCTGTCTTGACATGATCTTTTTTATTATTAAAGAAAAGTACCTTTTTGATTTTGCCTGAACTTTTGAACCTCTAGCCTCTGATATGATACTAGAGCTTTCCTGACAAATTCTCCACTATATTTTAGAAATAGAATAACATAATTAACTGAGTTTATGAGTCACATGAAGTCATCGTCCTCAGATGTCATCATTAAACATGATGGTGCACCTCAGTGTTCTTTTCTTGACGGATTCTGACTTGGGGAGGTCATCCTGGTGGAGTTACTGCACATCTGCACTGGGCAAGTGTTTCTAGCAGGATCATTTTCTTGACCTCATCTTCCCATTCCTTATTGGGAGCTGTATTAATTTAGAGAAGTACACTCAGATGGAGTTAAAGATAAGGGAAAGGGATGGAAACACATTCTGCCTAGAATACTTCTCAGCAATCACATATGAAAGAATGCACAGCTCCCTGGCATGCTCCCCTGTCCCTGGTTCACTATCACCAGCTGCTGTGCCCCTCAAGCAGTGGATAATATCATTTTCTATGTGTAAGAGATCAGGCTGACTTAATCCTTCAGGCTGCAAGTGGTGATAGCACTTTGTCTCACAGGAAATTTTTCTAGATGCAACATACATTTTTAGAGTAGCTTGGGCCAGTGCTTTTCACATCTTTGACATACAGACAAAAATTAGTAAAGATTTATTGAGTTGCAAATAAGAGAAAACTCTAACAATAAAGACATTTAGCATCTCAGAAAAAGAAGTCCAGAAATAAGACAGGTTTCAGGTCGGTTGATTCAACACTCATGGGTGTCTTAAAAACCAGGTTTAGTTCATCCTTCCCTCTACCTTCTGTGTCAACCCATTCTCACCTCTGAGAACAAGATGTTTGCAGCCCTTTCAGGTATCACATCCAGACCAAAGGATGTCCAAAGGCAAAAAATGGGCTATATATCCCAGGGTCTCCTTAGGAGTACAAAAACATTTCTTAGAAGCCCCCCAGAAAGTCTCCTTTTACATTATATTGCCCAGAAATGGATCACTTACCTAGAGAATCCATTGGCAAGGTGAATATTACCATTATCGCTGGCTTAGACCAATCACCACTCACACCTAGACTTGGGGAAAGGGTAAGCTTACCCATAGTGGTTGACATTTAAACTAAATATGCATTCTGCCTTCTGAGAAGAAATTGTAATGGAGACAACCAAGAGTAACTGCTACACTCACAAACAATTTTGAGGAATATTTCACAGAGATCTTAAAAGTTCTCTAAATCCCCAGATTCAAACCACAGAAGGAATTTTATATTTGAAAATAAAAATGTTGGCCTGCTTTTTTGTATCTATGTCCAGTTACTGCGATGTGATGACTGTATTTCATAGGCACCCACTGGAATTTCAACATTTTCAGATATACTACCACAAAACAAATATACGCAAATTAATAGTGAACTATGCCTGAGTAGAGAAGAAGCTAAATGCCTCTCATTTACAAAACCAAATTTGTTTCTCATAACATTTCTATGGCATAGATATTAACCCATTTTTCATGTAGACAAATTAAGGCTTAGAGAAGGTAAAGGCTTAAACAAAGTCTCATGGCCAGTAGGAATCCAGATTCAGTTTCTTGATATTTTGAAGATATTAATTGAAATGAGTTAACATAATCTGGGCTTCAAGTTTTTTATATAATATGTATATTCAATGTTGCCAGTTACAGATGGTTGGATGCAAGTAATTCATTTACCTTTACTGACCTGATATGGTTTGACTCTGTCCCCACCCAAATCTTATCTTGAATTGTAGCTCCCTTAATTCCCATGTGTTATGGGAGGAACCCAGTGGGAGATCGTTGAATCATGGAAGTGGTTTCCCCATAATGTTCTTATGGTAGTAAATAAGTCTCACAAGATCTGATGGTTTTGTAAGAGGAATCCCCTTTCACTTGGTTCTCATTCTCTCTTGTCTGCCACCATGTAAGACATGCCTTTCACCTTCCTCCATGATTGTGAGGCCTCCTCAGCCACGTGGAACTGTGAGTCCATTAAACATCTTTTTCTTTATAAATTACCCAGTCTTGGGTATGTCTTTATCAGCAGAGTGAAAATGGACTAATACATGATCCATATTCTCTTGCAGGAAGGGCTTAGTATGTGCATATAAAATAAAAATCCTAATATTCACAATTTGCCTTTCTTGGAGGTGGTGTTTGCAAGTTCCACAAAAGGGCATGTAGGATGTGCACAAAGCATTCATCTTCATC
This sequence comes from Homo sapiens, assembly GCF_000001405.40. NCBI lineage: Eukaryota > Metazoa > Chordata > Mammalia > Primates > Hominidae > Homo > Homo sapiens. Next base: position 48,687,687 of record NC_000008.11, read on the forward strand.
TGTAGATAGTATCATCATAGATGTTAGTTACAGAGCACTTTTCCCCTGGGCAGCTTCAAGCACTCCTTGGAATTTACTCTGGTGAATACTCTTGTGATTAATATTACTATCCTTCCCTTTTGATACATGATAAACAAATGGAAGAAATACAAATGTACCGAGTTGGCTAGTCTTTCACATTGCATAGGCTAGTGAACTGAAAGAAAAGTGATGTGATGGTCCTTATGGAGCAGGGAGCTGGTTGGGCTGGAATGAAAATCAGCCCTCTCCCTTTACTACCTGAGGCTTTCTGCTGGAGTTCAGGCTTCATCTGTCCGTTTGAGATGGCTACACAGAAGGGGCCACCATATCTATCCTCTGTGCCCTCATGGAGCTTAGCACCTTACTGGAAATGCACACACCTGCAGCTCCATGGTTAAGCAAATGTGTGCTGTTGAGCCAGTGCTACCCATAAGAACGTCTGTGCAGATAGATGCACAGGAGAGGTGAGTGTAGTGGGGGTAGTAGGTGGGGATGCAGAGGCAGTTGGTGGGGATGCAGCCGCCATCCCATGCGGTGGCTTCTAGATGGGGAGCTGTGGATGGTGGCCCAGTGGCAGGGTTTGTAGCCAAGCAGAAACATGTGTGGCCAGCGGGGAGAATCAGTAAAGCAGAAACACAGGAGAGACTGTGCCGCCAGGACACCCTCCTGCTGCCTACTACTCTGCCAACTGCTGGGACATAGCCACCTTTCTATCTTGATTTCTTGGTATAATAAACCCTTAGTAATCTCAGTAATACTAATCATATCAGTCCTAATAACTAATGATGGGAACAACAGCATTATTGATAACCAAGCACCATACAGAGTTAATTTACAAGCATGACCTCATTTTGTGATCACAACCAGCCTGGGAATTAGGCCTCATTATCCCTACTGTGTATATTAAGAAACAGAGCTTCTAAGAGGAGGTGACACTTGTTCAAGGTTGAGCAATCACTAAGTGATAGAGTCTTGCACCCCGTCCACTTGGTTCCCTAATTAAGGAATGGGAGTTCTAAATAAGCACACAGACACTCAGTTGCCCTACAAATATGGTCTTTGAATAACTTTGAGTGACTATTCCTTTCTTAGTTATTATCTGAACATACAGACCTCATTCATGCTGGCTGCCCATTTATGACGCCTTTTCCCATTAAGACTGACCTTGATACAAAGAATAAGACAAACAGCCCATAAAATCCTCCTGTCCAAAACCACCTGGTTGAAGGCAGCATTGTGGGGTAGGCAGAAGATGAGTGGTCTCTCCCACACCTGCGGTCACCAGCGAGGCCAGCATGGCTCCACACTGGTCTGTTGACTGCTCTCCTCCACTTCACTACATTTCACTGCATCCGCCACTCCTTACTCCTACTCCTGGAAACTCCCTCCTCCCCTGGGCTTCAGACGCCAGCAGAATTCCCAATAGCTTGGCTTTGGAGTCAGATAGACTCAGTCCTGGCCCCCACCTGTTCCCAGGGATGCTGTCTAGCCTTACAGCTCTGTGCCTACTCTCCTTGCAGCAACAAGAGAAAACAGCAGGACTTGCTGCAGAGGTTCCTGCAAGGACTGGCTGGTGTGCTTGTCAGTACCTGGTGAACCCTGCAGTGCAGGGAGCACTCACTCCTCCCAGCCTGGGGGAAGGGGGTAAGAACGAGGGTCACTGGTCAAAATGAGAAAGCAGGCATGTGGTCGTCTGTGCTAGCACCTGACCTCTTCCTGCAGCAGAGGATCCTGGGAGTCATTGTTGGTCCCTCCCCTCTGTTCTGAGATGGCAGGACCCCAGTGGCATCAAAGAAGCAGAGACCTGAGGGGTAGCTGTCTGCCCCGTGAAGCCTGAGACCCCCTCTCTGGGCAGCCCCTGCACTGGCCACCACCTGGGAGCGCATGGATCCTTCTAGTTAATGCCTACTCCCAGATCTGATGTGGAGTGTTGTTTATTGTAGACATCCATGTCTCTGTCTCTCCAACCAGGCCTCCTGGGTGGCTGGAGGCAGGGGAGATATTTATTCTCAATGACATATATAGTAGGCATTCAGTAAACCTTAGCTGGACTGGTGAATTATCTTTCAATCACTCATTGTCCCTGTGAAACCATGTGAAAGAGAGAAACGTCAGAAGATTTCTGCCTGTTGTATTAATTCCTTCAAGGCAGGGATCCACAAACTTTTTCTCTAAAGGGCCAGAGAGTAAATACTTAGGCTCTGTAGGCCATCCAGTCTCTGTCAGAACTACTCAACGCTGCTGTTGCAGTGCAAAAGCAACACACATAAATGCACCAGCCCTGCTATGTTCCGGCAAAACTCAGTTTACACAAACATGGGTGGGCTGAGTGGGCACAAAGGCTGGAGTCTGTCTACTTCTATTGGAAGGGTTGCCACAGAGCTTTTAAACTCGGTGCCATAAGAAAATTTCCATACCATGTGTCTTCCAAACATAAAGCCTTCAAGCAACTATGCTAACCCTGTGGGCAGCCTCCACATATCATTCATTCATTCATGTGCTAAATGATTCTGGGCCCTCCCATGGCCAAGTGCTTTCCCAGGTGCAAAAAGAAACAACCCCCAAGCTAGAACCTCAGGTTCCTAATTAGTCCCGAGAGGCGTGCCCCGAGAAGCCTTTCTTTGCTCAAGATTTCAATTCGGTTGATCCTTTGGCTTTTGAATATTTCCTCAACTGGTATGGCTTCAACTCAATGAGTCCTCAAGGAGACCCCTCACTGCAGCCTTGTCTCTGTTTTGGGGACATGCTTTGGGCTTTCTTGGGCAATGCTCCTGTGGGATTGAGCTAGAGCTGGCAGTGGGACCTTGAACCCTTCCCTGCTCCACTGGGCTGACCGTGCGGTCTGAGCTCCTGGGAAGAAGCAGACGTTAAGTGTGTTGGAACATCCCTGCGCTCTCTCTGCTGAAAGAGTACAGTATATGTCGGTGTATTTATACATATATGTATAATTTTTAAAAATTACACTAAAATTTTAGGAGAAAAAAATCCTTATTTAAACAATTGAAATGATGAGATATATAAGATCAGTAACTGTTTAGACAAGAGTATAATTTATTTTATTTTATTTTATTTATTTATTTTTGAGACGGAGTCTCCCTCTGTTGCCCAGGCTAGAGTGCAGTGGCACGATCTCAGCTCGCTGCAGCCTCCGTCACCCAGGTTCAAGCAATTCTCCTGCCTCAGCTGCACCCACCGCCCTGCCCCAGAGTAGCTGGGATTAGAGGCATGTGCCACCAGGCCTGGCTAATTTTTGTATTTTTAGTAGAGACAGGGTTTTACCATGTTGGCCAGACTGGTCTTGAACTCCTGACCTCAGGTGATCCACCTGCCTCAGCCTCCCAAAGTGCTGTGATTACAGGTGTGAGCCACCACGCCCGGCCCAAGAATATAATTTAAATGGACATATGTGAACAATATTTTCTGATAAGCAATACTACTGAATAGTGAGATCTAAAACATTTTTCAATATAGTCCCAGCATTTTGGTAAATTATCTTTTGGTAAATATCACCGAAGAAATTCATTTCTTCATTGACAGTGTTTTTTCTGCAAAACAAAATATCCCTTACTGTTTCCTGAGGAGAAATATTTAGGCAAATAGATCTCCTTTAGATTGGCTAGAATTTTCATACATAGAGAAAAACTGAAAAGGGCAGGTAGCCAGTGGTGTGCTGGTAAATGTATAACAACCAGATCTTCAGGAAAAAATGTATGCATATATATGCACATAATTTTACTAACCATCATCTATGCATAAAGATGTACTGTGCACAAGTTGCAAACAATCATAGCATATATGATGATAAAACATATGCTTTATCATAAATTCTGTTTTATCCTCACAGAATGCTTTCGTTGATTTTGCTGAAATCTTGTTTCTGTAGCCAACCTAGTGTTGCAGCTGATGTGCAGATGTGACTTCGACATGAATGTTGGTTGATATTTTCATAATAATACTAACAAGTAAGGTGAAAAGGAAACAATGAAGATGTGTGTTGGAATGTCACTTGCTCTTCAATGATGTGAGCTATTTATTTGCTGAATTGGATAATGGGTTCTGAACAGAGGAAGAATATTCTCTCAATTGCTGTGCTATTTCACAACGTAACAGCTACCTACACAACACACTTTTAGGTTTAATCTGCATTATACACATTTTATTCTTCACTTTCATAGGTCTAAGTAATGCATGAAGCTATAAATAAAGGTCTGATCTGTGGCATTTGCTGATTCCAGTGGTATAAATACTCCCACCGTGGCTGATTTCATGATACGAATGAGACATCATGAGCTCAGAGCTGGAACGAGATGTGCAGTAGCTTGCTGTTAGGCTGTGCTTCCACCACACAGATACCAGAGATCTAGAACGTGCTAAAGTGGAGTAAAATATGGACAAAGTAGTGATTTTTGAGTTCTTACTAACTTTGCATTTAATATAAGTCATTCAGTTATAGTTCTATATAATTTGACATTTAATAATGGCAGAGTTTAACAAAAAGCTCACAGAATTCCTGATGGTTTAATAGATTTTTTTTGTAAGCCATTATGAGCTAGTTCCAGCATGCTATTGTTCTTTGACAAATATATATTTTCCACTGATGCTGTGATTACTGAGCTGAGTTTGCTGAATGGCTCAACAATTAAAATGAGAAAAAACTTTTAAAAAATTGTAACTTTTTTTTGCCGAAATAGTCACAATGGCTCCCAACAAGATATGTTGTGTGCATTTTTTCATGGAATTACCTTAGAAACTCATATTGCTTCTGGTGACTCTTACTGTATCAACATAAGTATACATATTGCAATAATAAGACAACTCATTGACCTAATTACTAATAGTTCATATTGAGGATTAATATTGACAAAACTGCAATAATGAGACAACTCATTGACCTAATTACTAATGGTAATATTGGGGATTATACATTGACAATAATGCAATAATGAGACAAATCATTGACCCAATTACCAATAGTACATATCAGGGGTTATATATTGATTCTATATTCAGTGAACATAGAATTATATTAAACATAGACTGCAAATTCCATGAGTGTAAGGACTGACTCCTCTAAGTTCTTGTAAAATATCATATATATATATTTGGTAATGTATCTAAAATTATTATCGTCTATCATCATGATAATGTGTAATTCAGATTTAAGCCACTTAACACAGGTAAAATTAATCATGAGGCCAATACAAAAAATATCTCACCTGGGCAACATAATGAGACATCATCTCTACAAAAAAATTAAAAAATTAGCTGGGTGTGCTGGCATGCACCTGTCATCTCAACTACTGGTGAGGCTGAGACAGGAGGATGGCTTGAGCCCAGGAGGCTGAGGCTGCAGTGAGCTGTGATCAAGCTATGATGCACTCCAGCCTGGACTACAGAGTGAGGTCCTGTCTCAAAAAAGAAAAGTGTAGAATTTTGACTGGGTGTTGGCACAGAGTGATTACTGAGTAATTACTCAGTGAATGAATGTAGATAGGAAAAGGATACGCCATATATTAAATCTTTGAGTCTCTGGACTACTTTAAGATTTGCTAGGAGGTTGTCTAATTATTCAGGTGAAATGAACACAAAGTAGTTCTTTCAGTACCCACTTCTTTCTGTTCTGCTTCCTTGTAAGACATTTGCTACTTGATTATGAATTAGGATGGTCGTGAGTGTTGGGAGTAAAAATGCCTCAGGTGCTCGGTGTGCAGGAAGTGTAGGGTGATGAATAGATAGTGTTCAAAGTGGATGAACTCCAATAATGATCTGCTGGAGGAGATAGAAAGGGGAGCCCTGTCTCTGGAGCAGAGACTTTGCCTCAGACCTGGTCAGTCCCATTGCAGATGTAATCTGGGGCCAGGATTGCGTGTGTGTGGGGCAAGCCCTGTGAGCTGGGGTGGGGCGGCCCCTCCTCCAGCCTGTGCCACCTTGTCACTGCTCTGCAGCAGGCCTGCGCAGGCTCATCTGTGCAGGTGTGGCATGCAGTCAAATTTAAGCAAAACAGGTACCCAGTTTTCTTTTTTTAAAAAAGAGAAATAGCTTTCTCCCTAACTTTTTCTTTTGGTGGGCTACTTGTATTTACAAAATTGGATTTCTCCAGTGGGGTGGGACGCACTGGTCTGTGGTGGCATGGGTGCCGCTGGGTGTTCAGTGTGGGTTCTTGTTGGGCTGCTGGCCTGTTAGGAAGGTTTGGGACTCCAGCAGTTATGCTGCTGGCAGAATCGCCTCTGACTTTGGCTGCAGAAGCAATGGCTGGGCAGAGCAGTTGCTGTCACTTGGCTTTATGATCCCCTGCCAAAAAGACACAGGTAGTCCATGTATAAAACAAACACAGCTAATGAATTCAGGAGGAGACTGGGCCCAGCCCTCCTTGGCACTGTTAAACATGCAGCATCAATCACTGTGAAAAGCTGGCTTGCTCAGTTCCCATGCTATACGCGGGGTTCCCAGATCTCCTCCACTCCAGTGAGTCCTGTAGTTTGCTTTAATTGTTCTGTCTATAGAAAGAATATATAATCCATTTATGGTAATAGGAGGTGAAGCTTGGAATCTTTCACAGGAACAGGTTCCCATTCTAGAACAAGTGACTGCTGGAAAACTATCCTGATGGTTTACCCCTTCATGCCCCTCCCCTCAGCTGGAAACAAAACATCCCATGAAAACAAACAAAATCATCACACATACATACCCACACCTGCACCAGGGACACATGCGGGGCCATGACAACTCTGCAGTGTCTATTTCACGGGGTGGTTGATATATTTCAACAAATTTCGTTAAATTGCTATGGCTTTTAAGGAGATCTGATAAAAAGGAAGTTAGATTATTTAAACTGGCCAAACGTAAGAATTAGCTAAGCCTTTCTAGGAAAAACAGCATAAAAGTGGGGTAAGTGTCAAAGGGAACCAAAACAGTATCGGAGAAAATGCTTTTAAGACATGTTGCACTAATAATACTAAGCATGATACAAAGAATAGCTGAACACTTGATACTGCTCTAAGTACCTAACGTACTGACGGAAAATTACTTACTTGCTCCTCTAGAATCAACATCGTCATCCCAAGTAGGAGACCAGAGTCTGTAATCTCAGAGAGGCTGAGATGCTGCCCTCCAGTGTGATGTGAGAGATGAGTGTTGGGGACATAGCAGATGATAGCCTCGCTTTCCCTATATTTGTAGAAGAGCAATAAAGGCCCATGCATCTCACCAGTGTAGAAGAGGAACTGGAAGGGAGGGAGGGAGGGCCATCCGGCCATGGGGAGCTGCCTGAGCAAGGCTTCCCGCTCTGCCAGGCTAAGGAGGGCAGGCCAGGCAGCTGTCGCTCACATGCTCTGGCCTGCATATTTGGGAGGGGAAGAGCGCCTCCTTGCCAATGTGCTGCAAAGTGCTCAGCCATGAGAATTGCCACAAATCCTGTGGAGCATGCACCTTTGGAAGCATCAGGCTGGAGCTTTGACACACAAAAGAATTTTGGAAAGCCAAGTGGCCCTTGCCAAGGTTTTAGAGCTGGGATTTATCAAAGGCTTACCTGCCACACTAGTCATAAGGAGCTCCAGGTGTCTGGGGCTCACCTGAAGCCACCTGTGATTTCCGTAGGGCCGTGTGGGAGCTATGGGTAAGCGCCTACTCCAGCTCTTGGGTAGGCCTACTTTGATCAAATGTTCTTGCATCGTAAACATTAGTCATAGGAAAGTGAGACTTCTGTGTTCTCTGTAGGTTTGTCTTCTCCTGAGGAAGTGGATGCCATGTGTCACTTTGCAGATGGATCAAGTGCAGGAGGTAAAATAACTCCCTGAGCTTCCCAGATCTTCCATTCATCATTCTTTTTCTTTCCCTTGGAAAACTGATTTGCACAGAAATGAGAAGTTTACTCTCTTGCTTTTGGATCTGTTGCATGATCGCAAAGAAAAGAAATGCCTTACTTGATATTTCGACATTAAACTTTACAATCTGGAGAATTTTTCTTCCAGCACCTCGTCCTGGGTAGTTGAGTATAACGGCCCCCATATTTTGACCAGGAACTGAAATGAACCCCATCCAGGGCTTGCTTGGGTGTGGAAAGCTTTCAGACTCATGGGTGGAGCAGAAATCCTCATGCTGCACTCCCCCATGAAGCAGAAGTCACAATCTGTGTAGAGTCATGGAGAGGAGGAAGTTGAACTTCACTGTGCTCCGAAAATAAGACATTGTGTGGTAGAGTGTGGGCCAGCAGCCTGGGTAAGGCATGGCCCAGGTAGAGAGCTCAGGATGACTAGGTGTCTTCCCTCATTGCCACTAGGAAGTGAGTTCACTCCCAGACTCTCCTAGGACCTCAGTCTTAAGAGCGATCACAGCTGCCTGTTAACCAGCCTGAATGCAAAAAGTGAAAAAGCATTGCCTTCAACTGGAAAAGAAGGGCACCTTTGAAGGAGCTGCTGCAGAGAGGTCATTGGAGGAAATCTCAGCATCCCCCACGCCCTCCCCTCCCTGTGGCTGGAAGCCATGGGGGGGCTTTCATGTTAGGTCAGAGGCTTCCCCACAGCCCCTTTCCCTTGTCTTGGAATGTCTGTGTGAGGGCGTGGCTGGCAGAGTGGCCGGAAGTCCACAGAGTGAGAGGAGTAGGTGCTGGACCTGGCATGCAGACTCTGGGCTGTGACTCAGGCCCAGGCAGGGTGGGTGGGGAAGGGAGTGGTGGGGACATGGGGTCCTGACGGAGGTCGGGAGGCACAGGGTGTGGGTGCTGCTTGTCTCCCCAGCTTCTCCACCGCACCATGTGTCTGGGTCTGTGATTACCGGAGGCGACTCGCAACAGGCCCAGACTCGCCTGTGTGCATAGCACTAAGGGTAATGACAACTCCTCTGTGTGTGCAGGTGCCTGTTGGAGACGCAGAGCTCTGCAGCAGCAGGTGAGCTGATGCTGCAACCTGCTAAACGCCGCTCCTGCGGAGCGCCAGGGCCCAGAGTGCACATGGCTCTCAGGCTCCGTGAAAAGCTTGCAGTGAGCTCAGCCACTGAAAAGTCACTACGAAGATGGAAAGCAAAATGAAAACCGAGTCCTCGGTACCCTATGTTTATCTGTCTCTAAGAGAACATCCTTGGGTTTATTTATGATTTGAGTACTTCATAAGAAAAGTAGTATAAAATAGAAAATAATGTGTTGATGTCCTATATAAGTGAATCTACTCAATACAATTTATAAAGCATATGCTTCTACAGAAATGTCTTTGTACTTAGAAATGACACTTTAGTTAACTTCTTAGCCAGTCCTTGGACATTTGAGTATAAAACAAAATGGAAGTGGCTCCAGCCAGCGCCAAGAGACCCTGGGAGGTTTGCACTGTGTGCTCTGCAGGGGCCAGGTATCCTTCATCACAGCAGCAGCCTGCGTGGCCCAGCACAGCCTGCAACTGCAGAAACAGAGCTCACCGTGGCTGCTCCCCATTTACAGTTTATGCCAAAATCTAGGTCACTTGAGTTCTCAAGTGAGTTCTTAATCAGGGAGTACATGGATAAGGCCTATTTTAATGTTTTTATTTAATCCTATTTAGTTTTGTGTACTTACGGCATCATCCTGAGAAGGAAGTTTGTAGGTTTCATAGGAGCCAACATGGTTCACACACAAAGACAGGCCAAGAACCCCAAACATGCCATCGGAGAGCAGCCAGGGCCCCCAGGATTGACCCTGATCCCTGTCTCTCTTCAGGCCACTGCCTCCCCCAACCCCAGGATACCTCAGGCCTGGCACTTAGGCCCACAGCGGAGGGCATGTTCCCCCACTTCGACCTACCCCAAGACAGGCCTCTCCTTGTGAATACTGACAATGGAAAATGTTTCCTTCTGCCAAGGGAATCCCGTGGCCCTCACAGGAGTGTGGGTTTGGCCTTGGGTCTGAATAGATGGCTGCATGACTGCCTGGGGTCATGCCGCTCAGAGGCTGAGTGCTCTAGCCTGCAGGAATAGTGGGGATGGGGGTCTACACACCAAGCCCTGGTGGACTGTGTTGGGTGGGGCAGTGTCTTCCTCAGTCTGTTGTCAAGGAGGCTGTAAAAATACTGTGGCTCAATCTCGTCCATGGCTACAGAGCTGCATGCAGAAGCCAAAGGTGCCTGGTTTTGCCTTAGTATTTTTCACGTAGAAAGAGAAGAGACAAGTACATTCGTTTAGAAGAAACTCACCAGGAAAAGCAAGCACGGACTGACTTTTTAGGCATGTGAGCTGGATGGGAGGAAAGGCAGTGGTTGGGTGGAGGAGGGGATGACTGTTTTGCTCAGAGCCTCCTTCAGTTCAATTAGTCCGTCTTCCATCTTCACCTGCACCTGTAGACACCGCTTCCTGGAGCTGTTCTGTGCAGAAGTTGAGTGAAGATACTGCAGCGAGCCCTGGGTCTGAACGCCTGTGTGCTGACTCTAGACCTGCTCCTCAGCCCCAGTTTTCTCTGAAAAACCAGGATTCTAGCACAACTCGTACCCCCATTCTTTTCAGTCCTGCACCCACCAGCGAGCCGCAAGGCCCAGGAGCTACTGGCCCTGTTTTCCTGTCTCCAGTACTGGCCTTTGATTTATGAGATGTCCCCTGTCTCCCCTGCTTCTGACCTCCCAGGATGGCATTTGGTGATTTCTTGATGTTCTCTTGCTTTGGCATTAAAATATGGATGGGAGTGTCATTTCCAGATCTTTTCCAGACCTGTGCAATTCTTTCCATTCTTCATAACAGCCCATGACCCACCTTCCTCTGTTTCAGCCACAAAGCTAGCCATGCCTGTGTGCGCACTGCTGTTTCTCATTGTTAATATTTTAACTGTTATTAAAAAAAAAACTTTCTTTTAAACTGTGTGTGTATGGTTTTAAAAATTGACGCACTTCCAGAGCTCTCAACTTCTGCAGTCTTTCTGAGGTCCGTGTTCCTCTTCTTCAGCTGGGAAGCAAATGCTTGACTTAATCCTTTCCCAGGTTTTCTTCTACAACTCCACGTGGAAAAAAAGCAACACACTGAGCCGGAAATGCCTTGCCCAGGAGGATTTGTTGCCAGGCTGCATGGAGGGGAGTCCTTAGAACCTGGGCAGCCTTCACCTCCCCATTCCTGTCGCTCCCACGCAAGTCTTCCTTGGACAGCAGGTTGGGGCATTGTTCAAAGAAAGTCCCTGCTAACGAACAGAGTATGGCTTCCCTCATTATTACGGCAGATTTCCTCCCACTTTTTTCTTTTGTAAAATGAAGAACTCTTCACACTACAATTTTTATGGGAGATATTCCTTCTACCTTGGGTGGATGTGTGAAAAGCAGCCAGAGGAAAATATGATTAAAGAACAGGGTGGCAGAAGTTTTGGTCAAGTGAAATATTTCCTGAGAGCCCTGTCTCTTCTCTCCAGGTATCCAGTTTCCAGGCAGGTTGCATGGGAGAGAGGCAGGTGTGTGTGTGCATGCAGAGGAAAGAGAACAAAGCCCGAGGGATCCAACTTCCAGGAAATCTCTGCTGCGCTGGTGCAAAGGAAAAATAACCCCTGCTCTCCTCTCAACTTAAAAAAAATTTTCTGTTTGGTTTTAGTTTACAGAAGTCTAAATATTAAGCAGTTTCGTGGTGATAATGATGCAGCCACATTTTAGATAAATTCTTTGAACTTTTTAAAGCCCTTTGTGTTTTCCTAATAGTTACTCATAGAAGGGCTGGGATAGGAAAAATGCAGGCAGGCCAGCGCCTGCTCCTGAATGCCCGTTTGAGCAATCGTATACCCTACAAATTCAGCTCGTCACTTTTTTTTTCCTGGTGGTGGCGGCAAGAAGTTGGACGGGTTTCTGGGTACATCTCGTCCTGTGGTGAGATGAATGATTTCCTTTCAGCCTTGTATGTTTGAAATGGGTTCCTGACATGGTGTCTGTGCCCTGATGGGAGCTGCTTGTCTGTGTGAAGACAGCTAGCAGGACACAGAGGGCTCCGGGCAGCCGGGGTCACTCCGCTCCTAGCAGGCCCACCTGCACCTCCCTCACCTGGGGGCCCTGGAGGGGGGGCTCACATGGCCCCTCTTCCCTCCAGATGTCTCAGGTCAACTCTGGGCTCTGATGTCCTGGGACATGTGCTGGGTGCTCCTGGCAGGAGCTGCTGTCGCGTCTGAAGTGTCCCTGTGGTTGGGGCTGGCAGGCAAAGGGCCAAGAGATGTTATCTTTATAACATCTGCCGTCATCTCTGCTGTGTGGGAACTAATGGCTGCGTTTGAATAATTAGGCCTTTGCACCATAGCACAACAAAAGCCGGCATTGCTCCATTAAAGCAAACATAATTACTGTAGCTCACACATTCAGAGCCCCTTTCATCCCTCCAGAAGCTGCAGAGTCGGGAGGATCTGAGTCTCTCGCTCAGCTCCCAAGGAGCCTGCCCCCTGGGTGCAGTGTGGGCATCAGGGTGGTTTGTCTTTCTGTCTCCTCTGTGCTTCCTGAGCACTTGTGGCAGACCTCTGCTTTGGCCTTCTGCATGCTACCTTTTGGTCCCATAAGCTGTTGTCTCTTGGGCCCAGCGCTGCATCTTGCCCAAATTCATTTCCCTTAGGCAGATGTTGGGGCTTAAGTCTCCTGACCTCTCTGTGCCTCAGTTTATTCATCTGATAATCACCACATCTGCCCCGTCAACTTCCAGGATGGTTGTAAACATCAAACGAAGTCATGGATATAAAAGTGATTTGCAAAGTGTAAAAATGCCACACAAATAATAAAAATCTTACCGTTACTCAGGTTAGGGCACGGATACTATTTAACCAGTCACCAGTCCTGGGACTCAGCATGTGGCCCTCCCACTGACAGCTTTTGGAAACTAGGCTTCATTTTCATGGTGGCCAGGATAACCTTAAAGACTAATGGTCATGTTTACTAGAAACTCTGGCCTTCAACTTCCTGGGAGATGTTTCCTTTCTCTCAGTGATCAGTGTGTTCTTTTCATTAGCCAATTAATCAATATTTTTGGAACACCTATACCAAACAAGATACTGTGTTAGTCAATGTTGCAATATGAACATGTGTGAGGGCAGTGGTGAATACAAATCTCTCAAGTCCCTTATCTGAAAAAGTTGTGCCAAATTGGTGATAAAGACAAAGATGACTCTGGATTTGGAGCAGGGACTTCCTTCATCCTTCTCTTATTTTCAAGTTCTGTTTTTTTATTCATGAATCTAGGGTTGGGGATGTGTCATGGAAGAAGTGGAAGTTGACGTACACCTTCAAAGAGGGATACACTCTTAGTCGACAAAGGAAGGATGGACTTGTAACATCATTCATTGAGAGCTCAGATGGGAATCATATTTTGGAATTTGCCCTAAGACACCCAGCCACCCATTGCTTTCCTGGGTGGCACACCTCTCACAATGGATGGGTGAGAATCCTGCAGGCTGTCACTTGTAAGCAAACCCAAGATTAATCTGACACAGTCTTTAAGGAGCAGTGATTGTATTGTGGGCGAAAGGGGAAATGTGGGTAAATTCTTCACACCAACTTCTGAATGGAGATGTGTTGGGTTCTCCCATTTGAATTTCAAGCCTGTAGAGAAGGACACATGGGTTTGGTTTTCTTTACTTAGCAATCTTCCTGGAGTGCTCTAACTTTCCAAGGATCCAGAGAGCTCTTTAGCCTCTGCAAAGCCCTCTGCTCTACAGAGCCGCCCCAGGCGGCTTGTAGAATCTTCACACAGGGTGGGAGCTTAACTGTCATGTATTGACATGGAAATTGCAGGTAAATGAGATCTATTTTGTCTCTTGAGGAGTTTATATTTTGTAGAGTGTAAAGATACACTAACAGGAAATTGTGTTTTACAGGGCCAAGTACGACAATAGGGTAACAGGGGAGTGTGGTAACCCTACTAAGGGAACACAGCTTGCCAAGAGCCACCAGAGAGAGTTTCTGGGAAAAGACAACGCCAGGAACATGTCTGGTGCATGAGAGGGAGTCACTCAGACGGAGAAAAGGTGCGAGGAATGCCCAAAAGGGAGGAGGGAAAGAGGCCAGTGCAGGCTGGAAAACTGGGAGAAAATGTCAAGACTGAAGTAGGTAGTGGGGGCGATTATGACATGGAAGACAAAGTGCAGTTTGAGAGGAAGAAATTGAGGAGATGGTGTTCAAGGTTTAAAATAATGAAGATGCAGATTGTGGAGGGGAACACGTTCCAAAGGCGGCCAGGTCCATGGGGTGCATGCTTGCTGAGAGGCCCTGGCACTGTAAGGCTCCCACAGATGGTTTGCTACAGGACATTTGTCATTTGCAAAGGAAGAGCTGAATTCTGGGGATGTATGGGGAAATTTCTGAGATTCTAGCATCACGAGTTTGAGCTGAGCATGCTCTTCATTTGTCATCAGTTTAATGCGGGTTTATTATACACCAGACAAGAGCACTGTGGGGAATGTGAGTCCCAGGCCTCATGACATCAAAGTTGATAATAAGTGTGATGCTCTCCCAGGCTGTAACAGATGCCTGGACAACACACTCAGGGTGGCCAGACTTCTTGGCAGAGGCTGGAAGGGCTTCACTGGGGAGGGAGAGCAGAAATTTTCCAGGCAGAAGGGAGAAAAAGGGAAGGAAGTCCATTCCTGCAAGAGACACGGAGGTGTGGGAGTGTGGACAGGCCTAGGGTTGCAGCATCATGGCAAAGGTGACTCAAAGGATCTCCAGAAATCCATTGTCTTTCAGAGAGTTGTAGTGTGTGCCAAAAACCTCAACAGCCTTTCAGAAGCACCAAGTTGCCCTAACACCCTCTCCTAACCTCCTGACTGGCTCAGAACCTATCCTGTCTAAGAATAACAGTGTCTGCTGAGGAAGGGAGAGAGTTTCTCAGTCAGTGTAACATTTACCATATAAATTCCTATTCTGTTGACCTGCACATTTACCTCCTTTGAAAGTTATGGTTTTGTGGTTAGCCGAGTGCTAAAAACCTATAGGTTTCAAACCCCTCATCATTGTAAGTTTACCAGGAGGCTGAAGATGAATAGAATCATCACCCTAGTGAAATCCTTCAGTTACCTATACCTGCAGGGGCTCATCTTAGGAATCATAGAATATCTCATAGCTTAATTTTTAAGTTTCACAATGATGTTTATTTCTTAATGCATTGTCATAGCTTGTTCTAACCTTATCAATGTAATAATCTATTTAAATCAAACCAAACTTATTATACACTTCAGTTTAGTCTGCTTACTTTACTTCCATTTTTTTGAGGATATATTCCAAGTAATAAAATTCCACATGCAGAGTTCAAATAAAGGCATTGAATCAGCCCTTGCTGTTCTCCAGGCAAAGACATGCTTATTCCAGTAACTTTGCCAGGTGTACGAGTGTCTGCAGTTAACCCCCTTTTGTTCTCCAAAGGTCTTGCTTTATCACCCAGCCTGGAGTGCAGCGTTACGGCCTCGGCTTACTGCAGCCACGACCTCCTAGGCTCAGTGATCCTCCCACCTCAGCCTCCCGGGTAGCTGGGATTATAGGCAAGTGCCACCGTGCCTGGCTAATTTTTGCATTTTTCTGTGAGACAGGGTTTCACCATGTTGCCCAGGCTGGTCTCGAACTCCTGGTCTCAAGCAATCCTCCAGCCTCGGCCTCCCAAAGTACTGGCATCACAGGTGTGAGCCAGCACATCCAGCCTACAGGGGCATTTGTAATACCAAATGAAACAGGACCAAAATGAACTGGCTGCTACTGCAGCCATGCACGGATGAGTAGAATGGAGACATCCATTTCTGCTCTTGGTTTCACACAGCACATCAGAGGCTGTCAGAGCTGTAGGCCATAGAGAGTTACCAAGCCCCGCAATTTGTATTTGTTGGGTATACAATGGCGTCACATCTGCTTTCTTGAAAAACAACATTGCCTTGAGCACACACACTCCGTTGACATTCAGGTCAAAATAAGTTTTCCACTAATGCTGTGCCGTGGGGTTCAATCCTTCACTCATTCAGCAAATATTGACTGAGTGCCCACTACCATATGGGTAGACAGCACAGAAGAGGACTGACCAGGGCCATGTTTTCATGGATTTACGTTCTATAGAAGGGGAAAAAAAGAGAAACATAAACAGAAAAAAATGCAGCAGGGCATGATATCGGGGTGCATGACTGTGGCCAGCCATGTGCAGTCCCCTCTGTGGGCACAGGTGAGACCTGGTCCTCCCTGAGACCGCACTGACATGGCTTGCCCTAGCAAACTGTGGTGATGGCACGGTTAATGTCACATTTATCTTCTAAAGTGTTGCGAGCTTAACATGTCTTCCTTTTTTCACAAAATAATGGAGGGAAATATTAAATACTGGCCAAGGACTGAAGCCTGTTGCAGGCAGCGAGGGCTGGATTTGAAGGTGTGTAGGGCTCCCTGTCTAACTTTCCCAGACATCAGGAGACAGTGTCACCCTCCTGGGGGAAGAGAGGCTGCCTCAGGACTGGCAGAGTAGTCCCTACCCCGCCTCCTCTGGCACAGGCTCAGCCAGCCCACACCAGCACCCTGGGATCTCCACTGCCTGCCCCACCTCCTCCCACTGCCCCTCACTCTGGAGCTGCCCCTGTGTGTCATCAAAGCCACCAGAGCAGGAGACTCCACACACCACTCCCTCCCTCTTGTCCCCCCACAATGCACACCATCATCTTGCAGCCAGACAATGAGCATAGGACTGCTATTCAGAAAAGCGCGTGGCTTCGGAGGCTCAGGACATGTCCTGACGGCACCTGCAGGTTTTCTTTTCCTGGGGCCACGGGCACTGGCGGTGCTGCACCTGCCGTGGGCCAGCGCCCTGCCTGTCAGCCGCATACCTGGGCGCTGGTGCAGGCCCTGGCCTGCTCCACATCCTGCCCTGCTGCGATTCTGTCTCCCCACTGCACCATCTCTCAGTAGACTCTGTGGAGCAAGGCTGTCCCTCCCAGACTGCTATTTGATTTTCTAGAATCCTGCGGCCATGAAAGGAGAGAGAAACACCGCCCTTTTCGCCTCTCCCTCCCGGCCGCAGGCCAGGGTGAGAGCTTGCTTGCCTCATTCAGTCTGTTGTCAGTCAATTTCTTTCCTTATTATGGTGTTTCAAGAAGCAAACCCATCTCACATATATGGGGTCATGTTGTGTTTATACTAGTGCGTATCTCAGAAGAGAGGTGAAACTCATCGTTTGGTGAAATAGGCATTTGTTGACATGAGAAGGCCAGCGTTCATCAGAACCAACATGTATGCTTTTTATAAAACCAAAGGTTGTGTGCTACTGGATCTTGAAAGATTTATATAATTTTTTCAAGCTCTAAGAGATGTCTGCAGAGATGAGCCTGTTCAGAGAGCCAGGGAGAAGCTGACTCAGAAGTAAGTGGCAGCAAACAACTCTCAGCAGGGGCCTGGCTGAGAGCAGAAGAGGGGCATCCCTGTGGGTGCAGGAGGCCCGTCCTCTGCCCTGGGAGCTGCATCTGGCTCGCAAGGCTGGACTCCAGGGTCTGCAGTCTTCGCCCCTGTGATTTGTTCCTTGGCACTGGAACAATGAGGAAGTTTTGCTAGTAGTGGTGGAGCAGGTGCCACTGACTTTGTGACCATAGCAGTGATTGAAATACTCCAAGTATTCTCCAGTGACAGGAGTGAAAAATCTCGTTTTCTGCTTTATTGGACCTCTTCACACAGGCTGTGCATTTCATCTAGGGTACGAGAATGCTCTGTCCACTGCACAGGTGACAGGCAGTTAAGTGACCATTGTCTAGTCAGTGGATGTCTGCTGGCAAAGGGAGGGAGGTGGTGACAGTGCACTTCAGTGGGGAGGGAGCCTGAGTTTCACCCATGTAGACTAATGTCCTCTCAGCCGGCAAACCCTGCAGGCCCAGAACTCTGTGTGAGTGGCTGGGGCCCCATAACAGGGGCAATGTGGAGAAAAACAGCCAGGAGGGAGGCAGAAATAAACAAGGGGATGTGTGTTAGGGGGAGGAATGTTTTCTTCAGGGACTAAGTGGCAGCATGAGGTGCACAGCAAGCCATAAATTACGGAGGAAGGGGCCACGCCGTGCAGCACCCATGCTGGGGCGATGGCATGCAGACGTGAGAACACATGGCGGGGGGTGGTCTGGCAAGTCCTGGGCCCTCCCCGTGCTGCCCCCAAACTTTCCAGTCAGAGACCCATGTGTGGCAGTGCACTTGTGGGTGAAAGGCGGTGAGGGAAGCCTCCGTCCACTTGATGGGCACAGTGGGGATAAATCTCTTTTTAATATTAGATGTACTGACATGCCTTCCAAAGTAGATAATTCCTCTCTTCCCAGCTGGCAAGCCCACTCGGCTCTCCAGGACCACCGCAGAGGGATGCTGAGGAAGGTGGTCTGCCTTACTTCTGGCAGGGCCCATCAGTGTTCTTCCTCATTGTGGCTGGCCACATTATTTCTAACTGCCAAAAATACCATTTGCTTTACTTTCCCTGCTTACTGCTCATGCTCATCCAGCTTGATGCTGTCCATCAAAGAGCAATTCTAGGTGCTACTAGATGGACTTGTACAGTGAGTGCTACTGTGGTCTCATATCCACACTCTTTCTTGATTGTTTATAAGGAACCAACTTGTATGGCCACATACAGTTTGTGTGGCCTATGGGACTAGGGCATTACTTTTCTACCCTCTCAGCCATCAGCATCAGCCAGCTGGCCTGCTCACCTGTGCCTGCCCACCTGGGTCTGCTCACCTGCACCTGCCCTCCCGCCCCTGCTGCCGTCAGAGCTGAGAACAGGGCTGCTTTTGCAGGTCAGCCTTCAGGAGCCAGTGGGCAGGAGCAGCCTGCAGCCTGAGGCTGTAATCACAGGCCTGAAGGCACATCTGTTGCTCATGATCCCAGGACTGTCCAGCTCACCTTTATCATGAACTCTATTTTCCCATAACCCTCCATGAAGTGACTGGAATAGTCACAGGGTGAGTAGAAAACCATGTGCATTAATCTAGAGGCTTCCTCAGCAAGACATGCAAGTAAATGCAAAGCCAGGTGGAGCTGATGACATGGGAGATCCAGAGAGGAGGTCTCACTTCATGTGTGAGCTCATGCATGCATGCATGTGTGAGCTCATGCATGCATGCATGTGTGCATGGAGGAATACATAACACACATGCACACCCACACATGCACGCACATACAACCAGAACTTAAATTAAGACCAGATAACAAAGTGCTCTAAAACTCACATAGCAATAGGTTTCAGTTGGGTGGTTAGCAATAGGTACAGGAAAAGATTTCTTCACAGTAAGCTGTGAGTTTCTGAGGCACTGTTTTCCTAAAGAGAACATCCCTGGATGCTCAGCCAACAGGGATACTGATTTGACCAAGAGTCAGCATTCTGTGGAAGTAGACAGTGCATTCTTAGCTCGGCAATTTTGCAGGGAAGGTATTTGTGTATCATACAATGAGGAATCTCTTAATCACCTACTCGTGGCAGCTGAACTGCACCTTGGCTTCTGCCAGGCCTGCCCACTTAGGACGCGGAACCCTGGAGGAATTCCAGTCCTGCCCTGGAATAGCTGCAGGTGGGCTGGCAGCCAGCAGCATGCACTGAGCGCTGCCTGAACGCTGGGAGGTGTGACCCGGGTGGGATGTAGGGTCAGCATGGCTGTTCTCAAGAGCATGACACTGAACAGAACACTGCAATGCATATGGACTTTTGCATTACGTCACAATCACGAGAGTTGACAAGTACTGAACATCTCCTATGTGCTGGGTACCACTCTCGGTGCTTTCAGTCTATTCACCTAAATCTTCCCCACCCTGCATGGCAGGTGTTCTGAGGAAAACCCCACCCCGCAATGACTGTGTAAAGTGAGGCACCGAGTGCTCTAGGCACCCGGGCTGCAGTCCCTCCTGGCAGCCGCCTTTCCTGTAGGGTGCACGCAGGGGCATGGTGGGTTCTGGAGGAGGGAGCCCTGGCATGGCGCTGAGTTCTTGCTCAGTGGCCCAAGCAGAGGTATGCTTGCTCCATCCAGGGGGATCAGCTGTGAGCACTGGGTTCAGAGCACAGGGCAGGGTGCAGGGCTCAGAGCACCTTTTCAGGAGGCTGCAGCAGTGGCCCTGTGAGGCCGGAGAATGAAGGAAGGGCTTGGGTGCACCTCTAGCTGGGGAGCAGTACTCTTGTCCCGGGGTCTAGCTGGGGTGCACTACTCCTGTCCCTGGGTCTAGCTGGGGAGCACTGCTCCTGTCCCTGGGTCCAGTGAAGAGCACTACTCCTGTCCCTGGGTCTAGCTGGGAGCACTGCTCCTCTCCCAAGGTCTAGCTGGGAGCACTACTCCTGTCCTTGGGTCTAGCTGGGAGCACTGTTCCTCTCCCAAGGTCTAGCCAGGAGCACTACTCTTGTCCTTGGGTCTAGCTGGGAGCACTACTCCTTTCCCTGGATCTAGCTGGGGAGCAGCCTTTCCCTGGATCTAGCTGGGAGCACTACTCCTGTCCCTGGATCTAGCTAGGGAGCAGTGCTCCTTTCCCTGGGTCTAGCTGGGGAGCAGCCTTTCCCTGGATCTAGCTGGGAGCACTACTCCTGTCCCTGGATCTAGCTAGGGAGCAGTGCTCCTTTCCCTGGGTCTAGCCAGGGAGCATTGCTCCTTTCCCTGGGTCTAGCCAGGGAGCATTGCTCCTTTCCCTGGGTCTAGCCAGGGAGCATTGCTCCTTTCCCTGGGCCCAGCCGGGAGCACTGCCCTGCCTTCATTCCTGCCTCCTTGCTCCTTGGCTGCAGCCAGTAGGACAACAACCACAACATGGAGTTAACTTTCTACAAAGGGAAAATGTCCTCCTATTCCCCACTCCCCCAAAATGTATGCCAGCCCTTTCAGAGGAGGGTGGGAGATCCCCTTGATCAGGTATTCAGAGCTGGCAAAAGACAAGTGGCTCCATTACTTTCTCCTGCTTCCAGCTGAACGTGATAATTGCTTATTTTTAGAACTGCCTCTGGTGACAGGTCATGAGCGGGCTGAGAGGTAACTCAACAGAGAAGCCCCGGAGCACCAACAGTGTGTACTAACCCATGTGCGCTCCTGGCATGTGCAGGGACTCAGGCAGCATTTATAAATTCTTGGGATTGTGAGTACTGAGCTGAACTGCTTAGAGCCAATGTGCCGCAGATGGCTGAAGGTAGACAGAGGAGAGTCCCAGGCATGTAGGGACAGTGGATCATACTCACAGGGGTGCTCTGCAGTCAACAGACTGCCCGCGTCCATGCAGCCTGGGAGAGAGGGCAAGGAGGGGCGCTCTTCTGGGGGAAGAGGAGCTGCCCCGGGACTGGCAGGGGAGTCCCCACCCCGCCTCCTCTGGCATAGGCTTAGCCAGCCCACACCAGCACCCTGGGATCTCCACTGCCTGCCCCGCCTCCTCCCACTGCCCCTCTCTCTGAAGCCACCCCTGTGTGTCATCAAAGCCACCAGAGCAGGAGACTCCACACACCACTCCCTCCCTCTTGTCCCCTCCCAATGCACACCATCATCTTGCAGCCAGACAATGAGCATAGGACAGCTATTCAGAAAAGCGCGTGGCTTCGGAGGCTCAGGACATGTCCTGACGGCACCTGCAGGTTTTCTTTTCCTGGGGCCGCGGGCACTGGCGGTGCTGCACCTGCCGCGGGCCAGCGCCCTGCCTGTCAGCCGCATACCTGGGCGCTGGTGCAGGCCCTGGCCTGCTCCACATCCTGCCCTGCTGCAGTTCTGTCTCCCCACTGCACCACCTCTCAGTAGACTCTGTGGAGCAAGGCTGTCCCTCCCAGACCTGCTATTTGATTTTCTAGAATCCTGTGGCCATGAAAGAAGAGAAAAACACCACTCCCTTAACTCTCTGCTTGCCTGTTTCCTTTTTTAAAAAATTCATGGCATGAAAACTTTTTTCTCCACTCAGTTAATCTTTTTCTTTTTCCACCTCCCCCTCGCCCCACTCCGTGTTTTTGTTTTCCTCCTCCTTTTTTCCTTTCCCCTCCTCTTCCTCCTCTTTCGTTTCCAAGACAGCAAACAGCAACTCTGTTCTTCTAGACTGAGAGCTTGGTGCGGGTAGGGGCAGGGCCGCTTCTCCGCAGCGCTTCCGTTGTCTGGGATGGGGTCTGCCGGCGCTGGCTGCAGGGGCTGCACACATCACGCACACATCCCACGGCGTAACCGCCAGGGTCCCTGGAAATACGGAAGGTGCACCCACTTCCTGGTTAGTGACTAACTTGAATTTCTGGGGCTGCTATGTTCTTTTCTGTGTTTACATGGATCAAAATACAGTACCAAGTAATGAGAGATATGAAGAGGGAAGCAGCTTGCCTTGCACTTAGTCAGATTCACACTATCCCAATTAAGAACACAGCAAGTGGACCACGGCATGAATTTGGCTTGTTGGAGCTCACGTAACTTGGATGCAAGTTCATGTTTATCTAATGGGATTTTAGACTTTTATCCTTTCATACAAATCATATCTCATTAATTTCCCTTTGATATTTTAGCACTTTAGAGCCAGCATAACAAACACATTAAATCTTGAATGTGGTTAATCAGAACCCTCGACGTGAGCAGTGTGATGCCAATTGCTTTAGAATTAATGAACTCTTGATGGGATGAGAGAGATTCAAATAACTCTACTGCATGTGGTAAATGGGATACACTATGGTGTGTATGTCTGTATGTTCTGAGTGTGTCATGAGAGAGATGTGTGTGTGTCTGTGTGTGTGTGTGGGGGAGGGTAGTTGCATTAATGCTGACTCCAAGAGGGTAGCATTCAGGAGCATTCTGGTGATGTTTACACCAGCACTTTACCGGACTTTCATGAAATTAATTTTTCTAAATTCAATTATTAAAGATACTTTAGAAACATCCTTCGACTTCCTTATACTAGTAAGAGACTTAAGCAATGCCATGCATTTATTACAGGGAGGGATCCAGAAACCAGGGTTCCTCATTTCCAGGCTTTTGGTGCCCATACTTAATCATTACACATGAGCACCTATGAAGAACCTAAGCACACTCCAAGATGGGCACACATGTCACTGTCCTGACACACCTACCATAATCCATGCATTCAGATTATACTTACAGTTTATTCAAAGGGGGAAACAGCTTCCCTCTTTGTAACATGATGTAACAGACATTATCTCATTCAATCCTACCTTACAGAAACCCTGCGAGGTAGAGGCAGAGAGAGCAGGTGTTATTCCAATTTTACATAAATTTAATTTGTGGAGTAATTCATAACCTATAAATAGGGTGACAATACATCCTGCTTTGCCTGGGACAACCCCAGATTACATTGTGCTGATGTAACTATGAGCATCTTCTTTCACGATAGCATCCCATTTGGGATGATAAATGCCATGGTTCCTACCAACCTATAATCACTTTTCACTTATATCACACTTTCAAAGTTCATGTGACCTGTGCCATGCCAGGTGGTATCTTGTGACAGTAAGAGGCAGTCAGGGCTAGAACATGGGTAATGGCCTGGGCTGCAGGTCAAATCTGGTACAAATCCCAGCTCTACCATGTCCCAGCTGTCTATCCTTGGGCTAGTGACTGGCACCTGGAAAGCACCACATTATAATTTATTATGTTTGCCACTTCATTTCATGGCCTCTTATCATTGGCATCTTCTTCTTCTCTAGGTAGAAGCCTTTCCCTGACATCATCCGAGACGGCCCAAAGAAGCATTCCTTGTCCCTCTCTAGTTGAGGAGTCTGGCTTCCACCATTCTCCTCACAAGCAGGTGGTGGTCTCTACCTCTCTTCCCTCTTAGCATAGTCTGTTGACGCTCCTCTCACTCTGCCTCTCTTGGTGCCAACAGAGTTTTCCAGCCTAGTGACCACTCCATGTTCTCCACCACATCTGAACTCTTGTTAAGGCCAGGTCCCAGCCTAATGTCCAGATTCTTATTAGCACCAAATATGAAAGGCATTACATCCAAGCAGGAAACTCCCACTAAAGAAAGCAAATCCCAAGGTATGTTCAGATGAGAAGAGTGGATAGGAGAGGAATCAATGATCTCACAATACATGTACACCACATAGCAACCCAGCCTGCAGCCACGAGGGTCTGCCGGGAGATTCTGGAGCTGGAGACACTCACTCACTCCACAGGAGTAAGTGGAGGATATGTGGCGAGAACAGATTTGCTTTAGACAAAGGTCTTCAGCATTAGAACTAGATAAGGTCTGAATCTTGGCTTTTGCCCTTTTCTAGTTGAGACACATAGGACGTTCCTGATTTTCCAAAATCCAATTTCCTCAATCTGTAGGATGAAAATAGTAAGTAATGTTTACTTCTTAGGATAGTTGGGAGAAATTAGTGAGACAATGCATGTAAAATGCTTAGCCCAATATCTGGAACAAAAGCGCTCATTAGATTTTCATATCATGTATTATTGAGATTATGGGGATCTTAAAAATTTAATTTATTCCATTTTCTGACTTTATCATGTTTCTAAAGGATTCATGAAGGAAGACATGACTAAATGGTTTTAATTAACCTCCCAGACTTCCCAGTGCTTTTGGGCTAATTATTTCTGCTGGGAGGCAGTGACTCAGGCTCTAAATGCCACTCACAGAGAGGATTCCTAAATCCTTCTGCTTACTTCCACACTGTTCTCTGTCTTCAGGCTGTGTGGCTCCAAGTGGTGGTGTCCTCCCTCAGGGAGCAGGCTGCTTAGGTCCCCTTCATCCACACGAGGCTTTGGAAATGCAGATGGGAGGTGGGCAGGTGCAGCTCAGGCTAGGAGAGGGCAGCCTGGGTTTCAACCAGTGCATCCAAATGTCCTCCACGCTGACAATCTCTCACCCCAGGGACCTCTGTGAGCCTAGCTGGGACCACATAATAGGGGCAGTGTGGAGCAAAACAGAAAAGAGGGAAGTAAAAATAAATGAGAGGATGTGTGTTTTAGGCGGGGAATATTTTCTTGAAGGGTAGGTAGGAGGCTTGAGGTCCACAGAAAGCCACAAATGACCAATGGTGGAGCTGGGTCAGTGAGCTGCTGCCTGGGCAGTGATGCCGATAAAGGCACTTCAAATGCAGACGTGCGCCCAGCCTCATTAAGGATGCCTCCATTAGATTTCCTGTTTTTATTACTTTCCCACGAAACTGAGAAAGTTTGGCCGGGCGTGGTGGCTCACACCTGTAATCCCAGCACATTGGGAGGCTGAGGAGGGCAGATCACAAGGTCAGGAGTTTGAGACCAGCCTGACCAACATGGTGAAACCCTGCCTCTACTAAAAGTACAAAAAATTAGCCAGACATGGTGGTGCGTGTCTGTATTCCTAGCTACTCAGAAGGCTGAGGCAGGAGAATCGCTTGAATCTGGGAGGCAGAGGTTGCAGTGAGCCAAGACCGTGCCAGCTTGGGCAACAGAGTGAGACTCCTCTGTCAAAAAAAAAAAAAAAAAAAGAAAGAAAAAGAAAAAAACTGAGCAAGTTTACTTGAGATATATCTGTGAGAAGTGCACTTTGATTTACTTGCTACCTGTTTGGGAGGGCTTGTCCCTCAATGGCAACTTAGACTGGAAAACACTGCAAGACACCATCTGCCTCAATCCCTGACAGAGAGGGCAGTCACTCCATCAGAAAATGCAGATCTATTACTTCTGCCTCTTTTGGAAATATTACCAAACCATCCTCACAACTTGCTAAATTGTAATTAATGTATATATGGGTTAAATTTCTATTTTATTATGTATCTTTTGTAGTCGCTCTATGTCTAATGCAATTCCCAATCCTCCCTTGGTTGCACTTGATGAGAACTAAACACTAGCTGTGAACGACTGGGCGAGCGTCAGAGGTGACTCTGGGAGGAAATGGCCCCCTGAGATAAGACACAGGGTCAGGAAAAGCACGGGAGCTACAGAGCAGCTCAAAGGAACTTTCTCCAGATGGTTGTCTTCATAGTTTCAAAGTAATTGATTTGAATCCCCTTTAACAACCTTCTTTAATACAAATGATATAACTTTGTGGGGGGAGGCAGGAGAGGCGCTATTACCATGAATCCAAGCAGTGACAGGTGACGACACAAGCAGCCCATGAAATTATCACTTTACATGGTGAATGGGGTTAGGGCAGGGACAACCAGCTTAGAATACATTAACCCTCATGGTGTTGCACAAAGTAGGAACTTAGTGAATGTTTTGGATGATTTTATGGTGCAAGCAATTGCAGGCCTGGTTTCTTACAAGTGCAGTCTTGTACACAGAGATATTTGCAGGTTAAGAATGCAGGACTACCAGTTTTCAGTGGTGGTTTTTAAATCCTGTAGTTAAAAAAAAACACTTAATTGTTTCCCAAATAGAATTTCTTCATGCTGCTTGCGAGGTGATGTCTACCTCTCCTAAACAGGCCTAGCCTGGCTTTCTGGTACTCCACATAGAGTGCTGGGAAGAGAAGGGGAAGCCAATGAGAGGAGCCAGTTAGAGGAAGGCTATCGCTAATCCTCCAAATTATAACTGCTCATCCACAGTCCTAACCCACCCCCCCGACAAACCCAGGCAAAGACCAAGGTCAGTCAGGTTGGCTGTACTTAGCGGGGAGAAAAGTCAGGCCAAGCCTAGCAGTCGGGAGGTGAGGGCATAGAATGGGCAAGAGGGGAGAGACAGCTCTTCCTTTAAGCTACCCCAAGGGTACTTAGATACCCTTACTATGTGGTGAGTTAATTTTCAGTGTTACAATCATTTCTGAGTTGGTACAGTAGTGAAATTAAGAGAATCCATCAATCTAGATATTGCAGCACAAGGAAGTGATTTGGGCAGTTTATGATGAACGGCAGAGGAGATGTGTTCTAGATATATTGAAAGGCTCTTGAACAGAGCTTATGAATTCTTACAGTCAAGTGCCACGATCATCTTAAGCTGGATTAAAATTACTTAGGATTTTTTTGTTGTTGACATCTTTTAGGTTTAAATAATGTCAAGTAATAAAAGAGGGTTATTCATATGGAGGTCAGTATATACTCAACATACAGTAAAAAGTTTAGGTACAGATGTCTAAGAATAGTACTTTAAATGATAAATTAAAATCATGCTCATGACGGTCCGTGATACTGGTAAGGAAATTAAAAGAATGTATATTGCAGGGAAAGGGAGTCTCGTACATTGGGGATGGCAGTTCAGTTGGAAGCCTTTCCTGATGAATGATCTGGCAACACGTGCTAGAAATCTCAGAATTATGCAGAGACTGTAACCCAACAATTCTACTTTTACAAACTTATTCCAAGAAAGTAAGCACTGTGTTATGTGAAAAGGTTTATCTACAGGGAGTGTTCAGTATTAGAATTATTTATAATAGCAAAAATGTGGAAACATCTGACATGTCAATGGCATGAAAGTGGTTTAATAAAGTCAGTCATGATGGAATACCAGGCAGCCATTACAAGTCAAGCTACAGACAAATAATGACCTCAAAAAATGTTCACAAAATAGTAGTACACCAAGACAAAAGTGCATTTTCAATATGATCATCTGAAAAATACAGTATTCTCTTTGCAAAAATGTAGATGTACTTACAAATGCATTGTAAAAGTCTGGAAGGATTTATACCAGAATATTAATCAATATTTTCATCTTATTTTAAAATTTCCTAAATATCTGAAATATTCTTCAGAGAACCTCAATTCCTTTGTAATCAGAAAAATTAGTTAAAATATTAAAAGCAGGCAAGTAATATCAACAAGATGATACACTAGGAGATCCCAGCTCTTGTCTCCCCAACAAAAGCAAGAATTTAACAGCTACTTGCCAACAAAAATAGCTCTGAGAATACTCCAGAGTACAGTGAAGAAGCTGCAGGAACCCATTAAAGCACCCCCAAACCAAGGACAGCTGTATATAAAAGTGTTGGAAGCGTTTTATCTGCATCACCTCATCTTCTACCCTGGCACAGCTTGGCAACAAAGGGGATCGTTTTGGCTGTGACCTCTCTCTGTGGGGAAAAAGGAGAGCAGAAGTCCAGTAGCCTTTGCCACTGAGGACCCCAGCAGCTTTTGTCACCATCATGGACACCCACAGTTTTTATGACTGATGGTGCCCACAGTCTTCACTGATGCTGACCCCAGCTGATTAAGCTGCCCAGAGTCCAAGATGTATCCACCTGGAGCCAGAGCTGTCACACCCCAGCTGGTGCCTTCACACCCACCAATAGGTGAAGGTCTTTCCCCACCAAAGGCAGCCCATAAAAGTGTGGAAGAGGTGACTGCTCCTTCGTGTGTAGATATAAATGCAAAGCTACAAGAAACATATAAAACCAATGAAACATGACTGATTTTCCAGTAACCAACCCCAAAGAAATGGAAATCCTTGAATTTCCTGACAAAGAATTCAAAATGATTGGTTTAGAGAAGCTTAGTAAGCTGTAAGCTGCACACTTGCACTCCTCAGCCCTTGGGCAGTTGATGGGACCAGGCACTGTGGAGCAGGGGGCAGGCCTGTCGGGGAGGTTCGGGCAGAGCGGGAGCCCACCCAGACAGGTCGGGTGGGGCTTGGGCATGGCGGGATGCAAGTCCCGAGCCCTGCCCCGTGGGGAGGCAGCTGAGGCCCAGTGAGAATTCTAGCACTGCTTGGGCGGGCCGGCAGTGCTGGGGGACCCAGCGCACCCTACGCAGCTGTTGGCCCGGGTGCTAAGCCCCTCACTGCCTGGGGCCGGCGGCACCCGCAGGCCAGCCGGCCGCTCCAAGTGCGGGGCCTGCCGAGCCGGCGCCCACCCAGAACTCGTGCTGGCCCATAAGCACCACGTGCAGCCCCGGTTCCAGCCTGCGCCTCTCCATCCACACCTCCCCACAAGCAGAGGGAGCCGGCTCTGGCCTAGGCCTGCCCAGAGAGGGGATCCCACAGTGCAGTGGCAGGCTGAAGGGCTCCTCAAGCGCGGACAGAGTGGACTTCGAGGCCGAGGAGGTGCCGGGACCGAGTGAGGGCTGATAGCACATTGTCACCTTTCAAGAGAACACAGTCAGACAACTCAATCAGGAAAACAACACGTGAACAAAACTAGAAGTTCAACAAGGAGATAAAAGTCATTAAAAAACCCAGAATTTCTGGAGCTGGTAAGTACAATGAATGAAACAGAAAATGCAACAGACAGCCTTAAGAACAGATTCAATGAAGCAGAAGGAGGAATCTGTGAATCTGAAGACAGGTCATTTGAGATTATCCAGTTGGGGAGAAAAAGGAAAAAAAAAACAGTAAAAAAGAATGACGAAATCCTACAGGATTTATGGGCCATAATCAAGTGAACCAATATATGCATTGTGAAAGTATCAGAAGGAGAAGAGAAAGAGTCAAGAATTTTACTTAACTAATTAATGGCTGAAAACTTCCCAAATCTTGGGAGAGAAATGAACACCCAGATTAAAGAAATGCAGAGGACCAGGCTGACCAATATGGAGAAACCCCATCTCTACTAAAAATACAAAATCAGCCAGGCATGGTGGCACGTGCCTGTAATCCCAGCTACTTGGGAGGCTGAGGCAGGAGAATCACTTGAATCCAGGAGGCAGAGGTTGCAGTGAGCCGAGATTGCACCATTGCACTCCAGCTTGGGCAACAAGAGTGAAACTATGTCTAAAAAAATAAAAGAAACACAAAGGGCCTAAAATAGGGTCAACCCCAAGAAGGGTACAATGAGGTACATTATAATCAAATTGTCAGAAGTCAAGAATAAAGAGCATTTTGAAAGCAGCAAGAGAAAGGTGACATCATATGTAAGGCAATGTGGATAAGACTATCAGTGGATTTCTCAGCAAAAACCCTGTAGACCAGGGAAGAGTGAGATAACAAAATCAAAGCACTGAAAGAAAATAAAAAAAACCCTGCCAATCAAGAATACTATACCTGCAAAATTATACTTTAAAAAGGGAGAGATAAAGTCTTTCCCAAATAAACAAAAACTGAGGAAGTTTGTTATAACTAAACCTCACTTACAAAAATGGTAGAGAGTTCTTCAATTTGAAATAAAAACATGGTAAGCAGCAACATGAAAACAAATGAAAGCATAAATCTCATTGGTAAAGATAAATATGTAGACAAATACAGAATAATGCAACACTGTAGTATGTAAATTACTGTTAACCCTAACATAAAAGTTAAAAGATAAACATTTAGTAAGAGACACACAATGTACAAAGAAGCAAACTAATTACAAGAACACAAAATGTGTGGGAGGATTAAAAGTATGGTTTTTGTGTGTGATCAAAGGTAAATTGTTATCAACTTAAAATAGACAAGATATTTTATGCAAGCCTTGAAATAACTACCAAAACCCCTATAATTGATATATACACAAAAATACCCAAAAACAATCATTACAAAACATCATCAAATCAAAGAGAAAACAACTGCCAAACAGAAAACAATAAACAAAATGGCAATAATAGGTACATAGTTATTAATGGTTGCTTTAAATGATTATAGATTAAGCTGCCCAACCAAAAGGCATAGAGTGGTTGAACAGATTTTAGAAAGATCCAGCAATACGCTGTCTACAAGAGACTTGCTTTAAATTTAAAGGCACATATAGGAGGAAAGTTAAAGGATGGAAAAAGATATTCCATGCAAATGGTAACCAAAAGAAAGCAGAGGTGATTATGCTTATATCAGATAAAAGAAGTATTAAGTAAAAAATTATCTTAAGACAAAGGACTGAGAAATGGTCAATTCAACAGGCACATATAGTAGTTTTAAATATATATACAACCAATATCAGAGCACCTAAAGTATATAAAGCAAATATTGACAGATCTCAAGGAATAAATTTATAGCAATACAGTAATAGTAAGGTACTTTAATATCCCACTTACAATAATGGATAAAATATCCAGACAGAAAATCAGTAAACAGATGACTTGCGCAACACTATGGATGAAAAGACCTAACAGACATGTACAGAACTTTCTATCCAACAACAAAAGAATACAGTCTTCCCAAGCATACATGTAAGGTTAGATCACATGTTAGGTAACAAAACAAATCTTAACAAATTTAAGAAGACTGAAATCATTACAAGTATCTTTTCCAACAGTAACAGAATGAAACTAGAAATCAATAACAGTAAGAAAATGGGCAAATTCACAAATATATAGAAACTAAACAACACATTTTTGAACAGCTATTTGTTCAAAGAGGAAATCAAAGGGAATTTAAAAATTATCTCAAGACAAACAAAAACAAAAACCCAACACAAAACTTATACAATGCAGCAAAAGTAGTATTGAGGAAAGTTTACAATGATAAATGTCTACTTTAAAAAAGAATAGAGATCTCAGGTAAAAAAACCTAACTATACACCTCAAAAAACCAGAAGAAAAGAACAAACTAAGCCCAAAGTTAGCAGAACGAAAGAAATAATAAAGATAAAAGCAGAAATAAAACAAATAGGGAACAGAAAAGAATTAACAAAACTAAGACTTGGTTTTTTGAAGAGATAAACAAAATTGACAAACACCCGGTCAGACTAAGAAAAAAAAAAGACTCAAAATCATAAATGAAAGAGGAGCCATTACAATGGATGCTTCAGAAATAAAAATGATCATAAAAGACAATGAAAAATTACTATGCCCAAATTGGATAACAGAAGAAATGGATAAATTCCTAGAAATATACAACCTACCAAACTGAATTAGGAAGAAACAGAAAGCCTGAACAGGCCAATAACAAATAAGGAAACTGAATCAGTAATCAGAAAGTTCCTAACAAAGAAAGGTCCAGACCAGGTGGCTTTCTAGGTGAATTCTACCCAACATACTAAGAAGAATGAATACCAATTCTTTTATTTTCTAAACTCCTCTAAAAAAATAGAAAAAAAGGGCCCACTTACAAAAACTCCTTTCTTGAGGCCAGTATCAACTTGATTCCAAATCAGCACAAGAAAAGAAAACTACAAGCCAATATCCCTGATGAACATTGGAACAAAAATTTTCAATAGAATACTAGTGAACTGAATTCATCAGTGCATTAAAAAGATCAAAATGCCATGACCAGGTGGAATTCATCCCTGGGATGCAAAGATGCTTCAGCATATGCAAATCAATTAATGTGATACAACACAATAACAAAAAGGAAAGTAACCTCACTATCATCTCAACAGATGCAGAAATAAAGCATTTAACAAAGTTCACCAACCATTCATGATGAAATCTCTCAATAAAATAAGTACACTAGGAACTTACCTCAACACAAGAAAGGCCATGTATGAAAAGCCCACAGCTAACATCATCATTAAAATAAAGAAACTTTCTGTAAAACTTCTGGTAGAAACGGTGCTCATTCTTGCCATTTCTATTTAACATAGTACTGGAAGTTCTAGCCAAAGCAATTAGACAAGTAAAAGAAGTTAAAGCATTGTTGCGGGAAGTCAGGGACCCCGAATGGAGGGACCGGCTGGAGCTGCGGCAGAGGAACATAAATTGTGAAGATTTCATGGACATTTATCAGTTCCCAAATAATACTTTTATAATTTCTTATGCCTGTCTTTACTTTAATCTCTTAATCCTGTTATCTTTGTAAGCTGAAGATGTACGTCACCTCAG
Source organism: Homo sapiens (assembly GCF_000001405.40). Lineage (NCBI taxonomy): Eukaryota > Metazoa > Chordata > Mammalia > Primates > Hominidae > Homo > Homo sapiens. The sequence goes on from NC_000008.11 coordinate 48,720,126, forward strand.
GACCACTGTGATAATTGTGTTAACTGTACAAATTAATTGTAAAACATGTGTGTTTGAACAATATGATCTCAGTGTACCTTGAAAAAGAACAGAATAACAGCGATTTTTAGGGAACAAGGGAAGACAACCATAAGGTCTGACTGCCTGCGGGGTCGGGCAAAAAGAGCCGTATTTTTCTTCTTGCAGACAGCCTATAAATGGACATGCAAGTAGGGAAGGTATCATTAAGTTCTTTTCCTAGCAAGGAATATTAATATCCTGGGGAAGGAATGCATTCCTGGGGGAAGGTCTATAAATGGCCGCTCTAGGAATGTCTGTCTTGTGCAGTTGAGATAAGGACTGAGATACACCCTGGTCTCCTGCAGTACTCCTCAGGCTTACTAGGGTGGGGAAAAACTCTGCCCTGGTTAATTTGTGGTCAGACGGGTTCTCTGCTCTCGAACCCCATTTTCTGTTGTTTAAGATGTTTATCAAGACAATACGTGCACCACTGAACATAGACCCTTATCAGTGGTTCTGCTTTTTCCCTTTGTCCTATTCCCTCAGAAGCAGGTGATCTTTGTTAGACCCTTATTAGTAGTTCTGCTTTTTGCCCTTTGAAGCATGTGATTTTGTACCTACTCCCTATTCTTACAGCCCCTCCCCTTTTGAAACCCTTAATAAAAACTTGCTGGTCTGAGACTCAGGTGGGCATCATGGTCCTACCAATATGTGATGTCACCCCCAGTGGCCCAGCTGTAAAATTTCTCTCTTTGTGCTGTCTCTCTTTATTTCTCAGCCAGCTGACACTTACGGAAAATAGAAAGAATGTACATTGAAATATTGGGGGCAGGTTCCCCCAATAAAGCATCCAAGTTAGAGAGGATGGAGTAAAATTACCTCCATTTTGAAACATCATCATCATATATGTAGAAAACCCTACAAACACAACAATGACAACAACAACAGCAACAACAACACACTGTTAGAACAAATAAGTGAATTTCATAAAGCTGCAGGACACGAAATCAACTTACAAAAATCAGTCACGTTTCTACCCACAAATGAGCTATCTGAAAAACATTAATAAAAAACTCATTCCTAATAGCAGCAAAAAAATAAAAAATAGTAATAAACTTAAGCAAAGAGGTGAAAGTCTTATACACTGAAAATTATAAAGGCAATGATGAAGGAAATTAAAGAAAATACAGACCAATAAAAGGGCATCTCATATTCATGAATTGGAAGAATTTATATTATTAAAATGTTCATACTACCCAAAGTGATGTACAGACTCAATACAATCCTTATCAAAATCCCAATGGCATTCTTCACAGAAATAGAAAAAATAATCCTAAAATTCATATGGAACCAGAAAAGACCCTAAATAGCCAAAGCAATCCTGAGCAAGAGGAACAAAGCTGAAGACGTCATACTTCCTGATTTCAAAATACAGTGCTTTAGTAATCAAAACAGCTTGGTACTGGCATAAAAACAAACATATAGACCAATGGAACACAAGACAGGCCTAAAATAAATCCAAGCATCTACAGTCAACTGATCTTCCACAAAGGTGCCAAGAATACACAACAGGGAAAGGAGAGTCTCTTCACAAAATGGTGTTGGGACAATTGGATTTGCACATCAAAAGAATGAAATTGGACCCCATCTCACAACATATACAAAAGTCAACTCAAAGTGGATTAAAGACTTAATGTTGACTTGCAGCTGTAAACCTATTAGAAGACAACACAGAAAAAAAGCTTCATGACATTAGTCTAGGCAATGATTTTTGGATATGATGACAAAAACACAGGCAGCAAAAATAAGTGGGATTGAATTAAACTTAAAAACAAATCTGCAAAGAAAAGGAAATAATCAACAGTGAAAAGGCAACCACTGGAGAAAATATTTGCAAATCATATATTTGCTAAGTGGTTAATGTCTAAAATATATAAGGAATACCTACAACTCAATAGCAACAACAAAAACCAAACAAACATAAAACCCCCCAAAACCTGATTTAGAAATGGGCAAAAAACCTGACTACGCATTTTTCAAAGATAATAGCAATGATCAACAGGTCTATGAAAAAGTGATCAGGTAAATGCAGATCAAAACCAGAATCAGATATCCCCTCTTACAGAGGCTATTATCACTAAGATAAATGATAACAAGGGCTGACAAGGATATGGAGAAAAGAGAATCCTGTAAATTACTGGTGGGAATGCAAATTGGTACAGCTAGTATAGAAAGCAGTATAGAGACTCTTCACAAAATTAAAAGTGGGACTACCATTTGATCCAGAAATACCACTTCTAGGTATACAACCAAAGAAAATAAAATCAGTCTCATGAAGAGAAATCTGTGTCCTTATGTTTATTTCAGTGTAGTCACAGTAGCCATGATATGGAAACTACCCAAATAACTGTCAATGAATAAATGAATATATGAAATACATATATGTATATGTGTGTGTGTATATACACATGGCAGTTTTCAGTGTATCCCTAGAGTCCTTCCAGGCAATTACTGCCCCGTGCATTGCAGTTGGTTGCCAAAGCCCCTCTCTGTCCTGGCACCCAGTATCCCTCCACCCTAACTCTACATTTCACCCCATGCCACTGCCTAAGTGCATCATAGTGTCCCTGTCTCCCCATTACACACACACACACACAGACACACAATGAAATATCATTCTGCCTTTAAAAAGAAGGAAATTATGCCATTTCCAACAACATGGATGAACCTGGAGGACATTATGCTAATTGAAATAAGCCAGACACAGAAAAAAACAAATACTGCATGTTCTCACTTATAAGAGGGACCTAAAAGGGAAAAACTCATAGCAGGATAGAGTAGAATGGTGGTTTCCAAGGGCTGGGGATAGCAGGGTGGGGCAAAATGGGGGGATGTTGGTAAAAGGCTACAAAATTTCAGTTATGAAAGATGAATAAGTTCTGGAGATGTAATAAACAGCAATGTGACTATAGTTAACAGTATTATATATTTGAAATTTGCTCTAAAGGTGGCTAACACACACAAAAAGAAAATGGTAACTGTGTGAGGTGGTGTATGTGTTAATTAACTTGATTGTGGTGATTATTTCACAATGCATACAAATATAAAAACATCAAGTTGTATACCTTAAATATATACAGTTTTAAATTATCAATTTTCCCTCAATAAAGATAGAAAAGCATTGTGTTGCATTATTTATATTTACTGCAAATAGAAAAATTGTGTCAAAGTCCATCTATGTAAGAATCTAAAATATAAAAAAAACTTGGACAGTAAAATATGTTTTCTTTTATTTCATGGATCTGTTTATTCCATTTATTAGTAACAGTGCATTTTTTCACACAATATTCTATTTTACTTAAACTTAATGCATATGTAGTAAGAAAGATTTACTATCCCAACTAGCCTCTCAGTATTTAGATGAGGATAGAACAGATACGGTGTAACACGCCTCTCCACTGCTTACTGTGTGTACCAAGAAGGCAGAAAGCAGCTCACCCAAGCCTAACCTGGCCCTGTCTTTTTCAGGCTTCTCAGGATGCCCACAGCACATACTGGGGAACTGGATGCAGGGAGAAGCCAGGTCTGTCTTCAGGAGGTCACAGCCAGCAGGGCACAGTTAGGTCGTGCCCTGATAAGGGGGTACACAAGGGGAACTCCAGGCAGTGGGGGGATGGGGACACTATGGTGCACTCAGGCAGTGGCAAGGGGGCAATACGTGGAGTCAGGATGGAGGAACACTGGGTGCCAGGACAGAGGGGGGCTTTGGCAACCATCTGCAATGCATGGGGCAGGGACTATCTGGAAGGACTGCAGGGATACACTGAAAGCTGTGCCAATGCATTAGCCATGAAACCTAAGAAACTCAGTACATGTTCTCCCTCTGCTCACCAAGAGTTTGCATTTATCTTGTGGTACTTTTTGATTTTCAGTCCAATCTACAGTAATTATGGACAGCCCATTGTATGCAGAGGACTAAATGCTATGGCAGACAAAGATGTGGTGGATAAAACCCTTGCCTTCAGGTGCTTACAATCAGTAACGTTATTTAGCCAAAGCCTCAAACAATAATGCAAATCATATTATATTTCAATATAATATGATTTCCATGTATCTTTCATCTCTCTAGATCTCCCTCAATGCCTACCAGAAAGGCGTTTCAATGCTCAATAGAATACTCTTATTCTTTTGATGCCATCTTCATTATTTGTTTCAAAGGAAATCCAGTAGTTTCAATGATTTTTCAGTGTACACCCAGCTTCTTTTTGACATGCAGAATATTTGTATTAACAATTCATAATTATGTAATCTCTCTATTCATTTAATGAACCCAAAGGTTTTATGCCAGTTATGTGCTTCGACAGATAGTCTATGTGATAAAACATCTGTAGAAAAGTTAACTGTCTTGCCAAACCCATCATCTAATAAGGGACTTCTTGTCTTCCATCTATTTTAATTGCATCTTACACTGATGTTAAATGATATATGTAAGTGAACCTCATCTTCACCCTGAAACACACAATTCAACATCATTTTTCTGAACTAAGTAGAAAAAATAAGCAATATGTGTGTGCCTCCTTTTTTACTCACTTGAGACAATATAGACATTTAGTTATTCACATATCATTGAATTCATTTGGATCTTTGAATACTTGAGCTTCAAATTCCATCTGGCTCTGTAAAAAAAGGTACTCAATTTAGTATAAATTTCCAAAAAAGGTAGAACACCACAAAATATTCTGTATGTCTCCTTAGTGTAGAGACAGGATAACTGAGGGTTAGTGGGCATCGAGAACTTCTGGTGTTCAAGCGTTTCACTCACAGATCTCATGACTACACTCAAAACACAGTGCTTGGTTATGTGGCCACAAAGATGAGCAAGACCAATTGACCCAACTCTCCAAAAGTCTCCAGCCTGGTGGCAGAGACTGGCCAGAAACTTGCAAGAATCAGTCAGGGCTGCATGGGCTGTGGTAGGGAAAGGCACATGGTAGACTATGGGAGTCCAGGAGGAACAATCAAGGCACAGCCGGGCCTTGGTTGGGAACGAGGCACTCTCTGGAACAGGAAGGCTGTACTGAGAGCCAAGGGTGAGGGGGATGTGGTTCAGTAAGGTAAGAAGCCAAGAGCATTCAAGGGATTTATTCACAAGGTGGGAGGGTGACCTTGCAATAGCAGATTCAGGGGTAGATAGGAAGAAGTGATAGTAGTTAGATATTAAATCTGGACAATTCTTTCAAGAAGCTAGGTTTTAAGAAGGAAAGCCATTATATAAGAAACAGAAGTAATAAGTGTGAAATTAAGGTAAGTTCTCTCCTTTTCTTTCCTTCTTCCTCTCATTCTTTCATTTTGCTTTTCAGATGGGACAGTTTTGAATCTTTTAAAATTCTAATGGGAGCCAGGCATGGTGGCTCATGCCTGTAATCCCAGCACTTTAGGAAGCCGAGGCAAGCTGATCACTTGAGGTCGGGAGTTCGAGACCAGCCTGACCAACATGGAGAAACCACGTCTCTACTAAAAAATATAAAATTATCCGGGCGTGGTGGCGCATGCCTCTAATCCCAGCTAGTCGGGAGGCTGAGGCAGGAGAATCACTTGAACCTGGGAGGCGGAGGTTGCGGTGAGCCGAGATTGTGCCATTGCACTGCAGCCTGGGCAACAAGAGCAAAACTCCGTCTCAAAAATAAATAAATAAATAAATAAATAAATAAATAAATAATAAAATTCTAATCGGAAGGTTTCACTAGAGAGGGAAGAGATTGAAGATGTGGTATAAAGATAAAGGTAAATGAATGAAATAGCTCCTGAGGAGATGGAGAGATCCAGAGCTCCCCATCAGGCACTTCTGAGACCCACCCACCCACCTCACCATCCATCCACCTCATCCATTAATCCATCCACCCATCCATCTACCCACCCACCTACCTCGCCCATCCACCCACCTCACCCATCCATCCATCCATCCACCCATCCATCTACCCACCCACTCCATCCATCCATCCATCCATCCATCCATCCATCCATCCATCCACCCACCCACCCCATCCACCCATCCATCCACTCATCCATCCATCTATCTACCCACCCTCCCATTCACTTCATCCATCCATCCATCCATCCATCCAACCATCCATCATCTATCTATCCATCCATCCATCCATCCATCCACCCACCTATCCATCCATGTACCTACACAGCCATTCACCTCATCCATCCACCCATCCACCCACTCATCATTTCATCTGCCCATCCATCTATTCACCTACCTCACCCATCCATCTGCTCACCTCATCCATCCATCCACTCATCCATCTACCCACCCACCTACCTCACCCATCAATCCATCTCATCCATCCATTCATCCATCCATCCATCCATCCATCCATCCATCCAATCCATCCATCCACCCATCTATCCATCCATCTACCTACCCGCACATTCACCTCACCATCCATCCGTCCATCCACCCACCCACTCATCTTTTTATCTACCCATCCATCTACCCACCCACCCACCTCACCCATCCACCCACCTCATCCATCCATGCATCCATCCATCCATCCACCCATCCATCTACCCACACACCTACCTACCTCACCCATCCATCTACTCACCTCACCCATCCATCCATCCATCTACCCACTTACCCACCCACCTCACCCATCAACCCAGTTCATCATCCATCCATCCATCCATCCATCCATTGTCCATCCATGCATCCACCCATCTATCCATGCATCTATCAATCTATCTATCTATCTATCTATCTATCTATCTATCCACCCACCCATCCATTCACCCACCCACGCATCCAACCATCCATATAACCAATCACCCACTTCACCTATCCACCCACCTCATCCATCCACTCATCCATCCATCCATCCATCCATCCATCCATCCATCCATTCATCCATCCACACACCCATCCATCCATCTACCCACTCACCTCAACTATCCATTCATCCATTCACCCATTCACCCATCCATCTACCCACCCACACACCCACATCACCCATCCATCCTTCCATCCATCCATCCATCCACCCACCCACCCACCCATCCACCTCACCCATTCATCTATCCACTCATCCATCCATCCATCCATCCATCCATCCATCCATCCATCCATCTCTCATTACTAGACACACACCATGTGCTACACACAGGGTATGGGGAAACACAGTGAAACAAAGACTAAGTTCCTGGCCTCAGTGAGCTGACATGTACAAGGCGAGACAGATATACCTAGGTAATAAAAAGAGCTGCTAAGTAAAAGAAAGAAAGAAGGGCTGGGGGATGAACAGGGAAGATTGTTAAGATGGTCAAGACAGGGCTCTGTGAGGAAGTGGCATTGCAGCAGAGACTGGATGAAGTGAGAAAATGAGGCCCAGGAGGGTCTGGGGAAAGGGCTTCTGGACAGAGGCAGCAGCAAGTGCACAGGCATGGAGGAGGCACATGAGCCAGAGGCTGTGGCTCCAGCAGCAAGAGAGAAGGGAGATGATAGGACATGTGGGTGGAGAGAGGGAAATGGCCCACTGGGTCCACTTCAGAACCCTCTGGGGGGTTTTGAGCATGGGAGGGGCCTGGCAGCATTTGCATTTTAAACATACTGGACATTGTTGAGAAAAGTCAGTAGGGGATGACAGTGGAAGCCAGAAAGCTAACAATCTAGGCTAGGTAACATATAACAGTGGCTTAACTTAGAGTGGTGGCAAACAGATGTGAGGAGAAGAGGCTATATTCAAGGACATATTTTGGAGGTGTAGCTAACAGTGTTAAAAGAGAGAAATTAAAGATGGCCCCTAGGTTTTGACTGAACAACTGGGCGTATGTGGTTGCCACTTATTGAGATAGGGAAGACTGGGGGATGGGTGAGTTTTGGGGAAAAGTCAAAAATGTGTTGAGGAGATCTAAGTGGACATGTTGAGTAGGCGGCAGGAGACACATGCTAGGGCTGGGAAGAGTGATACTGTTTCTATATCACATCACACTGCCTGCCTCAATCTTCCAGGGATGCCTCATCACCTTCAAGACTAAATCTGAGCTCCAAGCTCCACAAGCTGTGCTTCTGCAGCCTCATCACCAGCCTCAGAGCACACCAAAACCTCGTCCAGTGCAGATGCATTTGCATCTCTTGTTCCATCTCTTTCTTTCTCTCTCTCTATCTCTCTCTGTCTCTCTTTTGTGCATACATCACCCATTGCTCAGATTATTTTTCCCCATCTGACCTGGCTATTTTGTCCTTTGAAAACCAGTTACTCTGATAAGCTTCCTGCCCTACCAGTCATTTACCAGTCCTCCCATACAGCTGTTTAGATGACCTCTTCTCAAGTTCCACAACACTCTACACATATCTCTATGACTCTGGCACCAGGGTACCCAGGGTATTCCACTAATAAGTGAGTAAACTTGGACAAGGTGCCTAAACTCTCCAAGCCTTGGTTTCCTCATCTGGAAAATGAGGCTAATATTACTACCTACTTCACAGGGTTATTATGAGGATTAAATGAGGCAATATGAGGCTTAGTGTTTACAACGTTGCCTGGCATTGATGAAGAACATACAAGTAATTAAGTATCATTATAATAATATGTATCATACTCTTGTGTAATTATTTTCACTGGAAAATATGAGCCCTTGAGTAAAATCACTGAGCCTTTCATCTGTGCTTCTGGCACACATTAAACCTCATTAATTGTTTCTGACATGAATGAGTTAATGAATGAAACACAGCACTGGGTCACACTAGTACCAAGAAATGAATCAGCAGGTTATTCAGTGGGCTTTCTGTATTTAAAAGGTATTCTTTCTTGGTGGACAGGATTTGTCTGATCCACTACCCATTAAATCAAGAAGTCCTGGGTTGTTCTACATTCTACTTTGATTACCGTTCAGGGAAAGTCATATCAATACCTTTGGATCAGGAAGACATGGCCCAAAGGCCTCCAGTAGAAGAGTCTCTTCTCTCACAGCCAGTTCATAGTCTGCAAAAGACAGCTTCCCATCATGGTCATGATCCTAGGGGAATGAGAAACATGTTAGGCAACACGTAAAATGATTACTGCAAATACATGCTCTTTTCATAGTCAAGTGTTAATTTAAAAAAATGTGCTAGGCTGGGGATGGTGGCTCAGGCCTGTAATCATAGCACTTTGGGAGGCTAAGGCGGGGTGATTCCTTGAGGCCAGAAGTTTGAGACCATACTGGGCAACATAGTGAGACCTCATCTCTATTAAAAAAAAAAATTAGCTGGGCATGGTGGTATGCGCCTGTAGTCCCAGATACTTGGGAGGCTGAGGCAGGAGAATTGCTTGAGCCCAAGAGTTTGATGATGCAGTGAGCTGTGATCATGCTACTGCACTCTAGTCTGGGAGACAGAGCGAGACCCTGTCTCAAAAAAAAAAAAAGTGCTAGAAAAATAAGAGGTTAGGTGGTGAAACTGAAAAGAACTATTAATATGTTGAGGAGCATAATTTATGTGTTTTATTTAAGCAAGCAGAGAACTGAAAATTATAATAATTTGAATTCTTATTTCTAGCCCATATCTGGCCCACAAATTTTAATAAAAAACTTGACATTACCCATATTTACCATTTTCTTCAGTGTTATTTCAACCAAATCTTTAATTCCTTCATCAGGGTCTTCCTCAGATGGCTGTTTGAGAAGGCTGTTCTTCAACATGTGAAACATTTCCTCCTTTGAAATGAATCCGTCACCATTCAAATCAAACACTTCAAAGCAATCTTTTTAAGAAAATAACAAATCATGAATTTGATGCTATCAGTAAGGTAATATTTTCTCTGATAAACTTTTCAGGGCCAAGTTCTATCTTGATGCTGTACCCACAGGTCTTAGTGCAGCCTGATTTGCATTGTAAGTGTCAACGTATACTAGGATATATACAATAATCCTTAGAAAATATTTCCTGATTCTCAATTATGAAAAAGCATACCAAGGAACAGTAACTTGAATATCTTCACCTTGAAACTCTTGGAAAACTGATTGAAATATGGCTCATAAGCAGAGTTCATCAGAATTAATTGAGAGTTAATTAAGAATAAGAACACTTGAATCAATATTCTCTAGTTTTATGGTTACAATTCAAGTAATGAAATCTGTCAAATGCTTAACATATAAATGTATATGTACATAATTAGCATATGTAGTAATGCCTATGGTGTCTTCCTTCGCATAAATTACTCCTCAGAATCACTTGAGTTTTCTTTTTATTAACTTTCTTTCATATTTTATTGACTTGAATTCATTCCATAAAATAGGTTAGTGGGATTCAAACCAACTAACCAGCCAACCAACAAACCCACTTTACTGTCTTGGTTGAAAGACACTGATTTAAGTGCTTTAGATATGTTATTCATAATGTACGAACCAATAGGACAACCTGCAATCTTACATTTCATTTTTTCTTCCAAAGATCCTCGAAGAAACAGTGATAATCCATGAATCCACTCCAATACATTTACACAGCCATCATTATCTTTATCAAAACCTCGGAATACTAAAGGGAGAGAGGTTAAATGGAACACCTGTCCTGCATAATAACTCTCAGTAAAGTATCTACATTGGCATCACTCACTTTTAAAATTAAGAGAACACTTCAGCTTGTGAAGTCCAATATTCTCATTTGACGAAAGAGGAAACTAAGACATCATAATATCATGAAACTCTTTTATTAAACATTCAATTTTTAAAATGTTTTTGTGGGAACAAATACAATTCTCAATGTCTAAGTATATTAATCATTATTTAATAATAAATATGTTGCTATAAAATATGTTGGTCATATTAGATAAATATATGAATATAAATAAAATACTTAATAGTTTTGTTACTCAAGTCATTACTTGATGCATAGAATTATATCTTGTCACTGAAATATCTTCTATGATGTAAAGAATGTAAATGTCCTTTTAAAACTATTCTATTTATTATGTTTATTAAGTGGAAATCGAAATGTTTTAGGTTTTCTGATATAAGGTAAGAGAAAGATGTCAACATGACTTTGTCTTCTTCTTAAATACACAAAATAAAGCCAATATTACCTCCTTTTCTATGATCTTCTCAAAATTAAATTTGTATATTCCAATGACACTGGGAATGCAAAACACTAAGCTTCCTACCAAGAGGATGTCCAAGCACCAAACCCTTTTTTTTTCAGTTATGGCTGGATTTGGCTAATTTGAATCTTGTGTGTCTCTTACCTCTGTCCATAATCATGTCATCTGTCATTCCAAATGTCACATGCAGGATGTTTCGAAATGCATTACGATCCAGTCCAACAACCAGACCTTGCCTCTCTACTCCTCCCACCAAGTCATAAAAAAGCTTTATAAGACAGTTCACTTCAAATTTATTAACTGAAATAATAAAATAGATATAACAAAAATGAACCCTTAATCTTTAAGTTCTAACTTAAATTTTGCAATAAGTTTACAGACAAACAACGTCAAAGACATCAAATAGGTAATTGTCAATAGAAGACTCTCCTGTTTTGAGATTCATGAACCCTTAACTTAATAGAAATAAAAAAAGCAGCATACCCTCCAAACAGGAATTCCCATGTTTAGGGAAAAAAATACGATAGTATTAGCCAAGTTACTAGAATAATGATGGTGGTGTCGGATTCTAAACTCTACAAGGCTAGTAGAAATACGTCTCAAAATAAGAATGGTAAGACTAAAGAATGGTAACTTTTTCTCAGTATTTTTACCATGGCATTTACGAGATTTACAACTTCTTTTCCCTGGAAATAGATGTCAGATTCATGAGAATTAGGTAACAATTTTCATTTCAGTTTAGCCTTCATTAATTCATAAGCCAGATTTTGGAAACTAGAGTCACCAGTTTTCCAATAAAAAAGCTTTAAAGCATATTTTAGCACCCAATATGGCTCTTCTTGAGGATTACGTAAAAATTAACATGCAACTATTCAGTAATAGTTTGGAGGAAGGAAATTTTTATTTAAAGGATATACACACAAACAGATACTTGCTCATACACATTATTGTATAAAGGACCATGGTTATAAATACCGAGTTAATTATTTGTGTTCCAATCCCCATTTGAGAATGTAGGTGGAAGGGTTATTGCCTGGTCTTGATAATATAAAAGCTCAAATACCAAGTATGGGCGGAAGTTGGGGAAAATTTATTTTGAAACCAGTCAAAACTGTGATTGAGCATTTTAACAAACAAGGACAAAACCTGTGTGTGTATAACAGAAGACAGCATCTAGGAATGGAAAAATCACACCTCATCCTAGAGGTCAGTACAGGCATTTGTGGGATTTCTGGTTTGGAAAACCACATTTAAAGAGAAACACTAAAAAGTCTGGGAAAAAAGATTCAGCAAATAAATAGTAGGAAACAATATAATGGTTATGATTTCAAAAACAGCTGTTAGTCACTGTGGAAAACAGTATGATAGCTCCTCATAAAAATTAAACACAATTATTGCGTGATCCAGGAATTCTACTTCTATTTACATACTCAGAAGAACTGAAAGCAGGAACCTGTACAACAATGTTCATAGTGTCATCATTCACAACAGTCAAAAGACAGATGCAAGAGTCCATCAATGGAGGAATGGATAGACAAAATGTGGTGTATTCATACAATGAAATATCATTCAGCCTTAAAAAGGAAGAAAATTCTGACACATAGATGAACATTTATGGATATTGCACTTAGTCAAATAAGCCAGACACAAAAGGACACATATTGTATGATTCCTCTTATATAAGGTACTTAGTCAGATTTATAGAGACAAAGTAGAATGATAGTTGCCAGGGACTAGGATGAGGAGGGAATGGTGAGTTAACATTTAATGGGTAGAGTTTCCACTGGGAACAATGAACAAGTTACGGAGGTGGATGGTGGTGTTGCAAGCAGAACAGTGTGAATGTACTTAATGCCATGAAATTAAGCACTTAAAATGGTTAAAATAGTAAATTTCATGTTATATGTAACCACATACACACACACACACAAACCTCCTAAAAAGCAAGAGCTGTTAGTTGTTGCGGAAGAAAAGCCTGCATGAAGAATGATGTACTCTGTTCATGTACATAAAATGGTAGCAGAGGGGATGTTGGTTAGCCATTTTTCCATCTCAGCTGAAATAAAAATTTTTAAAAACTAGTTTAATTTATTACCCAAAGGATCAAAGGTTAGCCATAAGAAAACTTTTATTGCTAAACATTTCTTAAATTCTAGAATACAATACTAAATGAAACAAGAAAATTCAAGAATAGGTTTTCATCTTCTTGGAATGCTGTGAATGTGTCCTGCAGAACATATCTGTAGAACAGTGCATGAACTAGATGTTCTCTTAAGATCTTTCACTCTTCTTTGATTCTACAAAATTTATCCATTGAATCTTGATAGCTTTATTGTCTTGCAACTAAAACAAAATTTAACTTTAGGGGAAAGTTCTTCCGTTAAAGAAAATTTAAAATTATTATAATGTCCATGACGTATAACTATTTCTATAGACTTTAACTAATAATCATCTAAGTTTGTAAGACTCATTGAAAATTTTTTAGTAAACAAAAAAATCAAGAGCAGACTTTTTCCTGCCATATTTTTACTTACCTTTAAAAATATACACTCACCTTTTGATTGTTCACAGAATGATTGTCTGCAATGCATTCAAACTTACCGAACAGAGACTAAATCAAATTCAAACTTACGGAAAGGGACAAAATCAGTATTGTGTATAGCAGCTATTGCATTGTTTTTGAATATTTATCAAAAATGTTTACTAGATGTTTACTAGAAGAATACCTATTCTCCCAGAAATGAAAGTGTTTTAAGAAAAACAATAACAGAACAAAACCCTCATCAGAGTATAGTAGTCATAATAATATCTTAAATTACAGGATTTTTTTCCTAAACATTTTAAGATGCGTACACACACCATAATATTCATTTATATCACCATCCACTAAGAGAGCATTTCTTACCAGGTATTAAATCAGATACTAATGATAATTAGAATGCACTAGATCTTACAATCTCTAAAACTACATCAACATGTTTATTCCTTCTTTTTTGAGCGACTCGGTTATTTGGGGGATTGTTGCTTCTGTTTCTTCAAGTGGCCAGTAGTTTTGCAATTAGCACACACAACTTCTAAGTTTGCTCGACAGGAAATTATCTTCCTCATCTAAACCATACCCACGGCTTCCTTGCTAAAGTGCAATTATGTTTTTCAGTCTGAATATAAACTCAAAGTTTCCTATGAAATTCTAGGACCACCCTTTCAAATGCGAGATTAGAGCAGGTGCCTTCAAATAGGGCTCATCTTGTCACCTGCAAAGTCTCCTTTATCTTTCAACACCAGGGGCCACTGGAAAGTGGGAGTCTAAAGTTGGGAACCCATTCTTTACCACGTGTTTAGTTGTGCTGAACTCTGGTTTCCAAACAAATATTGTTCTGAGGCACAGATGAGATGACACAACTCATCTCTCCGAAAGATGTTGAGAAGTTGAGCACCGTTTTCTCCTATGGGTCTCTTGGTAAGCTTCCAGAACTTGGACCTGCGGGTGTATGTGCGAGCTATAAAGCAGGGTGAGTGCACGGTCTACCTTGGTGGTGCTACTTTTCTTGAGACCAGTTGGTTTTAGCATTTATTTTACACCTCATTGAGGCTAACATCACATGTTTCTATCAGGTAAAAGAAGAGGGTTGGAGAAGCAAGTAAATGCATGTGTGGGAGTGTAGGTAGCACCAGAGGCGGAGGCCTGGGTTCCTAAGATCAAACGCAAGGAGCTGGCACCCCGGGATTCCCTCTCTGACTTCTGCTTAAGGGGCCGGGGTGGAGGGGCGGTAGGTAGCCCACAGAGTCCCAGCAGGCGGGAAGCAGGCACAACAGCGGACCTTAGCACGGGGTGGGACCCAGGCTCGGTCCAGGAGCCTCGGCCTGTCCAGCACTACATTCTTACTTACAATGCTTGCAATTTTTGGTTAAGGTGTCCGTCAGCTTCTGCAGTTTCTTGCGGTTCATGTCTGGCGCTCAGAGAATCGGGCCGCGGCGGGGGTCTCTGGGCGCGCGGCTACCGAGACCCTCGCGGGACCCCCGCGAGCCCTGGTGCTGGGTCAACGCGGTGAGGTCTCAGTTACTGATCTCGTGCGCGGCCCTAACAGACGGTGTAGCCAAGGCAACGGCTCAGCCCGCCGCGGATTGGCTCCCAGGCTGCCCGCGACGTAGCCAAAGCTACAGCTGGGCCCCGCCCATCGGCTCAGCGACTGCTCGCGCTGGGTTCTCGGTGCGCGGTGCCGCCGGCAGGGTCCCAGCTGGCCGCCTTGAGGGCTGTATTCTGACTGTTGACGTTGGAGTTTAAATGTTCAGTTGTTGCTGGCTTTTGAGTTCGCAGCCTCTTTGCTTGATTGCAGTGTAAATCATTAAAATCTGAAATGTGGTGTGCACGCTGTATGAGAGGTGTTTCGGGTCGTGAGCGTCACGCCTCAAGGGAAGGCCCAAGATCTTGGACATCTTGGGGGCTGGAGCAGCGTCACAAAATAGCAAGGTGCTGTCCAGAGGACGATCTTGCCGGGCCTCCCGTCAGAGGGCTAGAAGCTTGCTCTTTGGGCGGAGCCACTGCTTAGGTTTTCAGTCTTGGTGAGGTAACAGGAGGCAGTCTGTCACCTGAGGTCTTCGAGCTTTTAGTTGTGTTTCTGAGAGCAAGGGGAAATTGGAATACAGCCACGGGTTGCCTAAGGAGCGGGACGCGTTCCGAGGTCACTAGGAGATTTCATCACTGTGTGCACATCACGGTGCACCGACACAAACCTAGATGGCCTTGCCTACTGCACGCCAGGCTGTATGGTACAACCCATTGCTTCTGGGCTGCACCCCTGCACAGCAGGTCACAGCGCGGAATGCTGCAGGCAGCTAAAACAGAGTGCTAAGCACTCTGGGGAAGGTGCAGTGTTCCAGTACAGTGTTACATCTTATGGGACCACTGTCCTAATGTTGTCTGATGTTGACTTAAATGGCGCTATGTGGCTTGTGACTGTAGTTTTTTTCTTTTCCCACTGCCCTCATCTCACTTCCAAAAGATGGAGGTTGTCTGTGGAATCTGAGGAAAGCCACGAGGAATTTTTATACTGCTTAAATAGGCATTCCCCCCAATGAAAACGGGCTGACAACACCACTTGGGTGTGGGGTACAGCCCAATCTTGCTTTTCCGGAAAATATCTCAGCAACCTTGGTCCTTTACTTATTTGAAAGACAAGTTCTGTGCCGGCAGACAAAGGATATTCCTTACATCTTCAGGGTGGGAGGACTTTCTGCTTTTCCTGATCACAGAGGGGATATCCTCTTTCAGCTAAGGCAGCAATAAAAAGGGGTGGCTCAGCCAGGATCACCAAATCTACAGTATTCTCCAGAGTGCCTGCTCGTTTAACTTCAGAGGGGAAAATGACAAACTATGTTATTGTACACATACTGGCATTTTTAGACTGAAGGCAGAAAAATTCTACTAACCATGAGTAATAATCCCAAATGAAATAATTCCAATGTCGAGGCCTCTGGTTTTTCTTTACTGTTTCATTTGTTTGTGGAATGAAGGATTGGGATGCTGTTTGAAACTAGAGCAAAGGGTGCTTGGTAAAGGCATGGACTGTGTTATCCTAAAGCAAATGTCCTAACAACAGTTACCCGATATGAATTGATGGTGATTATGAGTTTGTAACAGTAGTATTTTTAAATAGTGTTTCTACATATCCCCTTGTCTAGAAGAGTGAAATTCCTGAGACCATAGAGAACAAAAGGGAAAGACTGGACATATTTGAATTATACTTACCTGTGACACCTTATTGATTTCTGTTGGATCACAGAGCTGTAGCAAATACTTAATTCCTAGAGATTGCTGCACTGCTCACTTCAAGAGACAAGGAACCGAAAGAGTGGTTGTCAGTAATTACTAAGAGACGCTGTGGGCTCCCCACCTGATGTACTAGGCCTGTGTTGGGGAGCAGGCCTGCGCTGTTGGTGAGCACATTGGTGGTTATTTCTGGTGGCCTGGGGAGATCGCATACACCGGGTGCTTGCTATAGGTAAGCTAATTAGTTATTCCTTCACGAGTTTAAGGCCTAGAGCCCATCAGCCATGTTCCCTTAAAGTTAAAAAAATAATAAAAAGATGTAGGGGCAATATCACAGATTGTTGAAATTAAAATATGCCGGGCCAAAACTCCTTAACCTGTTGAGCAAACTTTGTAAGTCACCTCCTCCTCTTCCACTTCTTTTATCCTCCAGTTCTTTCTTCCATGCAGTTCTTTTAGCCAAAAAAATCAACCAATCTATCTATCTATCTATCTATCTATCTATCTATCTATCTATCATCTATCTATCTATCTTTCTATCTATCTATGCAAATGCATTGTTTTGTGAATCTCACTTATCTAAGAGAGTGATTTGCAGAGTTGACCTTACAATAAGGTCTTATCATCTTTTTCAGGGAAAGCACAATGTTTATTTGGAGTATGTTTTGTCAACATACGGGTAAACTTCAGAGCTTTCATTACATTCTTGTGAAGTTTTGGAACTTAATATTTTTAGACTTTAGAAACAAGTTGCAGGCCTGATTGAGTCAGTGAATAACATTTCAAAGCAAGTTGAAGTTTCTATTTGTAGTTTTAGTTGCTTATGCTGAGTAGACACAGGACTGCTTTCCCCCAAGAGCTTTCTCAGAGTAAGGCAATTAAGCCTAAGAGGCTACTTCATATTAAATCAATCAATAATGGAATAATAAAGGATTGTGTTTAATTCGTATTGGACATAAATTTTACTGTGCATGAAATGATCATAGAACTTTCCAAAAATCCAAGCAACCTCAAGATGAATAACTTTGTAAACACAGAAGTACATTAAAGTGACTATTAATGCTATGTTTCCTTTAGTTTTGTGTGCAAAACAATCTTCCCTTTGACTCAGCATTCACTGGATTGTTGCCATGATAAACAGCTTGGACCTTGACTTGATGAAATTGTTTTCCTTAATGTGGACCTTTTATGATGAAGGCCTTTGGAAACTGTTGAGGAAATGACATCATAGAATTGATCTCCAAGTATATCACAAATCTATTATAAAATTGCTTGAATAAAAGGGAAATAGGTTAGTTACCTGCATAATAGAAATTCAACTTTACTAATTTTATTTTGTGGAGACAGCGATAACAAAAATAAGAGTTATATGTGTGACCAGTTGTTTGGGTGGTCGAATCTCCAAATCTCTACCACTTGTCACTCTCCCCTTTGCTGTAGGGTTGTGGTGACAAGCTAGAGTCTCAGTATTCAGACCCACAGAACACTGTCTTATGCACAACTTCTGCATATTTTTCACCCCAACCACTCCCAGTGGCAACTCTTCAAAGAGCTCTTTCTGACACCCTACGTGAAGTGAAGTGAACCCTTCTCCACCCAGCCATTCTCTTCCTTGATACTATTTTTTTAGCACTTGCTACTGTGTGAAACAATTGTTTTTTTCTAACCTCTCCTTCCCACCAGACTAAATCACATGATCTCTCTCTCTCTCTCCATATATTTAAGTCTATTTCACTCGCTGTATCTCTGCATTTGTTTGTTTATCATCTGTCTGTACCTCTGAAATTTGACCACATGGTCCATGTTGTGTGGTCTGTATTGATGGAAAGTGGTAGGAGAACCACTCCAGCAGGAATGAACCCCAGGTTTCCCTGCAGCACCCTGGGGCTGAGTCCCTGGTACAGTAACCACAATGGAGCCTTTAAAGGGAGCTGGGCAATATAGAAGAGCTTTCATTTAAACTGACCTTTCTCCAAAATTCACACTTGATATTCACTGGTGTTGACGTATTTCTAGACTTTTTTTTTTTTTTTTTTTTTTACTGTAATCAAGTGACCAGCCAGTAAGACAAATGCCTAAGGTTTACTAAGGATAGGATTCTTGTATCTCAACATGTAATTTATAAAGTTGTAAATTAAGATGTGGCCTGTGACAGTTAATTATTATGATAGCCATAATGTCAGCAGGTCTGAAGTTTTCGGTAAAGAATCTGGCTCTTTGAGACCTGGCAGAGCTGACCAAGAAATCCTGCTGAATGTGCTGGGCTTGATCCCCTCAGCACTGGGTCATGCGCCACTGTAGCCAGAGTCATGGCAACTGTACTACCTGCAAAGCTGCCTCAGAGACAGAAGATACCCACACCTTTTTCTTACCAAGCCCAGGGCATCTTGCAACATTTGAGCCCTAACCAGGGAATTCATGAGCATCACTAAGCACAGAACAGGACCTGACCTACCCAGAGACCCCACCAGGCAATGCCTGGTCCTCTTAGCCAATGTCAACCAGAAAATAACTGGTATCACTTCTGATACTTGCCACCATTGTTTAAACCACTTCCCCCAACTCCATAGTTCTTGCTCCCTAAATGAAAAGGAAGCACCCAAGATCGCCTACCTTGAATCATGTTACCCCTTTAGTAGACTCTGTTTATTAGCCTGCACTCTCTAACCCCTTTCACTCATATCCAACAAAACTCATTTCAACTGTGAATGTTTACCTTACCAGATCCATCTTTGCACAAAGCCAACTCTCCACCTTTCTTCCCTGAACCTGCTACTCCCCTGAAAATATTGCTTGTCCTGTAGATATTCTCCAGAAAAAACTACCCATTTCCTCAAATCTACTCACTCATAGCCAGAAGAAAGTCAAAATCATCTGGACTGTCATCAACTTTCCATGATCTTATGAGCTCTATCCATTCTTCTCTACACTTCTTAGAAAGTGCAAGTGCTGCTCCCCCCTCCAGTGCTGCACCTCTTGCTTTGTTCATCCTTTATGCTCCTGCCTGTTTCCTGAATTTGCCTGCTGTCTTCCATCTTGTGCTCCTCAAAACTGCCTGCTGGATTGCCAAAGTGATCCGACCATTTCTTCCTCCTGCTTAACATTGAAAGGCCTTCCCAGTGCCAGCAAGATGGAGTCCAGACCCAGTAGCATGGTTTCCATGGTTTTCCAATATGTGGCATCTGCCAGGCTTGAATGCCTCTTCTCTGACCAGTCCCTGTTTTTAAAGGCTGGAGCCCTAGCAGCCCTGTTAGACTATGAGGTTCACTGGGACTTTGGGCCCCTCAGAGTGTCACATTAACTAGAAGAGGCTGTGTCTCTCTTACTGTGGGCACTCCTCAACAGGCATGTGAAATTAGCTTGTCTCATTTATCCCACTGATATTTGGGGTTTTTCAAAAAATTTCATTTACACCCAAACCTGCAAATGCAAACTTAAAATGAGAATGTTGGACTTCATTTATTAAGAGTCCTTTGAGCTTTGTGATTCTTGAAAACAAAACTAAAGTTGATATCCATATATTCTCACTGTCCTTTCACGAGGCCGACCTTATGAAAATGTCAGCAGTTGACCATTTTGACTACAAAAAAACTGCAATTTCATATCAACCTAATGCATGACTGTATCTTTTTATGTTTACTCAATATTTCAGATGATCTAAGCAAAGCCAAGATTCATCTGCAAATTTAAAGTAGCTGTGTTATTATCAGTCATTCAAATTCCGTGTGATTTCCACTCTAGATGTATGTCATGCTATAGGAAGGAATTTTGGATTTGTTTTTTCTGCTTGTCTCCTGTGTTGGTGGGGAATACCAAATGGCTGTACCTGGAGCAAGTGCCATATATATATATCCTTTCATTAAAATTAATGTTGCCAACCAAACCACTTAGAGCACACTTTGTCTAGCACTTAAGAAATGCAAGTCTGTTTTAAAAAAAATCATTTTCCTGCTCTGATGTAATCTTTAACATGGGATTACATTCAGGGGGATTCAAAGGGGAAATTTTTTTTTTTTTTAGTACTAGAAACTGGAAAATTAGAAAAAGCGATTTCACATCCATAATTGTAGGAAGTATTTGGTCCTCATTGTTGTCTTTATGTTTGTAAATATGTGTTAGGTCTGTTTCAGGGTAGCCGTTTTTCATATGATCCAATTCCTAGAATCAAGTGTCATGTGGTGCACTTGCTGAATCCACACATCCATCTACACAGTAGTTTTGGGTGCCTGCTCTGAGCCAGGTGTGTCATGTTAGGGCCTGACAAATTACCCCTGCTTTCCACTTGCTGGGCACTGACCCTTTTTGCTGGAACATGGGTAACGTGGTCTATATATATGAGGCTGGGAAGATCAAACTCTGCACGGTATGGTTCCACAAAGGAATTCAGTCCTTGGGACATGCTAGTCCAGGGAACACTTTCTAAACTCTAGAGTGTAGGAGGGCTCAATTTGTTCATTTACTTAAATGTTATAATGAGATAAGATGTGATTGTGCATTATGATAAAAGATTGGAATCTCTGGGGAGAGCAGAGCCCTGGCAACTGCTGTGCACGTTGTCCTTTTGGTTTTTTTTTGTGTGTCATATTAATAGCGTCCTATGGTTTCATATCTGGCTGTTTTCACTTAGCATGCTTTTGAGATTCACTCATGCTGTTGCATGTGTCATGGTCTATTTTATTTCTCAGCAGCACTTAGACTTGCGAGTCTTTTAGTCATTCTGGTGGGTGTGCAGTGGCATTTCATTGTGTTTTAATTTGCATTTCCCTAATGATTAATAGATTGTTCATCTTCTTTTTTTTTTTTGTGATGGAGTCTCACTCTTGTCACCCAGGCTGGAGTGCAGTGGCATGATCTGGGCTCACTGCAACTTCCACCTCCCAGGTTCAAGCAATTCTCCTGCCTCAGCCTCCCGTGTAGCTGGGACTACAGGCATCTACCACCACGCCTGCTAATTTTTGTATTTTTAGTAGAGACAGGGTTTCGCCATGTTGGCCAGGCTTGTCTCGAACTCTTGACCTCAGGGGATCCGCCCACCTCAGCCTTCGAAAGTGCTGGGATCACAGGCATAAGTCAGTGCACCTGGCCTGTTTATCGTCTTAATATTGGGCTGTATGTTTTCTTATGGATGAAATATCTTTATCAGATATTAGTCTGTGACGTCTTTTATTCTCTTGTTAGTGGCATTTAAGAAGTGAAAGTTTTGGCTGGGTGCGGTGGCTCATGCCTGTGATCCCAGCACTTTGGGAGGCCGAGGTGGGCTGATCACTTGAGGTCAGGGGTTCAAAACCAGCCTGACCAACATGGTGAAATCCCATCTCTAATAAAAACACAAAAATTAGCTGGGTGTCATGGCGGGCACCTGTAATCCTAGCTGCTTGGGAGGCTGAGGCATGAGAATCACTTGAACCCGGGAGTCGGAGGCTGCAGTGAACCGAGATCACACCACTGCACTCTAGCCTGGATGACAGAGCGAGACCTTTTCTCAAAAAAGAAGAAAAGAAAGAAAAAAAATGAAAGTTTTGAATTTTGATGAAGTCCAATTTATAGAATTTTAATTTTATGGTTCATGCTTTTTGCGTCCGATCTAAAAAATCTCTCCCTAACCCAAAACCACATAGATTTTCTTTTCTTTGTTTTCTACATGGTTTGTAGTTTTATCTCTTACATTTAGATCCCTGGTGCATTCAGTTAATTTTTGTATATGTGTGAGGTAAGTGTTGATGTTCATTATTTTTCATGTGGCTATCCAATATCAGAAAATCAGAAAATAAGATAATCCATATTCCATTGAATTACCTTAGCATTTTTTTTGGTCAAATAACCTAATAAGTGTGGATTTAATTTTGGACTTTCTATTCTGTTCCATTGATCACTGTGTCTGTCCTTATTACAATATTGAACTGTGTTGATTTTTGTAGTTTTACTGTTAGTTTTTAAATCAGATAGTGCAAGTTCTTTAAGATAGTTCTTTTTCAAAATTGTTTTGCCTAGTCAATATTCTTTTATTTTATACGTATTTTAGAATCAGCTTGTTCATTTCTACAAAAATACTGCTGAGATTTTTATTTGGATTGCATTATACCTATATAGTAATTAGGGTAGAAATTACATCTTAAAAACGCTGGCTTTTCTCATCCATGGACATGGAGTATCTCTTCATTTATTTAAGTCTTTATTAGTTTCTCTTAGCATTGTTCTCAGGTTTAAAGTGTACAGGTCTGCGCATCTTTTGTTATGTACATCTTTTATATTCATAGTATTTTTGATGCTAATATGAATGCAATGCTTAATATAACTCTATTGTTCTTTGACAGTATATAGAAATATAATTGATATTTTAATATTGGTTATGTAGGTTGGAACTGTGCCAAACTCACATATTACCTCTATTAGATTTTTTGTAGTAGATTACTTAAGATTTCCTACAAATAAAGGCAGTTTTACTTCTTTCTTTCCTATCTGTATGTCTTTTAAAATTTTCTTCCTTTATTAGCCTGGCTAGACCCTGTGGGACAACATTGAATAGCAGTGGTAAGAACTGTCATCCTGGCTTGTTCCCACCTTCAGGGGAAGGAAAGCATTTGCTTTTTTCCATTAAGTTTAATGCTAGCTGTAGGTTTTTCCCAATGCCCTTCAAAAGGTAAAGAAAAGTCCATCTATCATTACTTTGTTGATACTTTCTATCCTGAATGAATGATGAGTTTTTTCAAATGCTTTTTCTGTATCTATTGAGGTTCTGTATCATAGGTTTTTGTCTTTTAGTCTGCTAATGTGATATATTATGTTGATTAAGTTTGGAATGTTAAACCAACCTTGCATTCCTAAACTCTTGGTAATGATGTCTTATCCTGTTTATATATTCTTGGATTCAATTTGCTGTATTTCCAGTAATGATTGTCACACCTACCTTCAGGAATATTGGTCTGTAATTCTGTTTCCTTGTAATATAGCTGGTTTGGGTTTCAGGAAAGTGGTGACTTCATTAAGTAAATTTGGAAGTGTTGCCTCTTCTTTTATTTATTGTAAGTTTGTGTAACATTGGTGTAATTTCTTCCTTAAATGGCTAGTAAAATTTGTAAGTAAAATTATGTTCCTGAAGTTTTCTTCTAGGGAAGGTTTTTAATTAACATTTTTAATTTTAACTAATAGATGTAGGATAATTTGAGTTATCTATTTTTTATTAAGTGAGCTTTGATAGTTTGAGTCTTTTAAGAAATTTATCCATTTCATATAAAATGTAGTTTATTGGCATAAAGTTGTTCATAATATTCCCTTATTGTCCTTTCAATGAACATAGGATCTATAGCGGTGTCCACTTTTTAATTTTTATTACTGGTAATCTGTATCTTCTTTCTTTTTTCATGGTCAGTCTGGATAGAAGTTTATCAATTTTACTAACATTTTCAAAGAACTAGCTTTTGGCTTTATTGATGTCCTCTATCATCTTTCTATTTTCTGTTTTTTTAATTTCTGTTCTCATCTTTTATTTTCTTTCTTCTCCTTAACCAAGATTTATTCTTCTCTTCTTTTTCTTATTTATTTATTTATTTATTTTGAGATGGATTCTTGCTCTGTCACCCAGGCTGGAGTGCAATGGTGTGATCTCGGCTCACTGCAACCTCCGCCTCCTGGGTTCAAGCAATTCTTGTTCCTCAGCCTCCCGAGTAGCTTAGAGGCACACATTGCCATGCCTGGCTAATTATTATTATTATTTTTTGTATTTTTAGTAGAGATGAAGTTTCACCATGTTGGTCAGGCTGGTCTCAAGCTCCTGACCTCAAGTGATCTGTCCGCCTTGGCTTCCCAATGTATTGGGATTACAGGCATGAGCCACTGTGCCCGGCCCTATTCTTCTCTTCTTATTCTAGTTTTCTTGAAGGAAACCTAAATATTACTATATAGAAGCATCTAATGTTCTACATTTCTGTTTAAATACAAAATTAAATTCACATCCTACAAAACTGACATGTTGTGCTTTTATTTTCATTCCTGGTAAATTGGAATAGACACTGAACATTGTGAATCTTATATTTTTTGTTGCTGGCTTTTGTTGTGTTGCTTTAAGTGAAGCTGAATTTTGTTCTACCACCCAGTTATGTTACTTGGAATCAGTGGGATTCTTTGAGGTTTTTGACTCTAGAGCAGTTATTTTCTGGAGCTAATATAGTCCTACTACAAGGGTGAGACTGCTCTGAGCATTCCACCTGATGCTCCAGTTAAAGTTCTTTCAATCAGACTTGTGAGACCATGGACTATTCCCAGCTTTGTATGACCTCTAGGGATGATTTGATTATTTGTTTGGCCAGTCAGGGTTAATTTCCTGTCATTTTTTACAGATCAGTACTCAGCCAAAAATCAAGGTGACCCCTCTGTGATGCTGTTCCCAACATCCAGCCATCTCACTCTTCATGAACTTCCATCTGAGTCTCAACCCAGTGAGAAGCTCAGCCTGTTCATGCATTTTGGCCTGGGCACAGTCTCCAAGGGGTGAGCTGTTATCACTTTAGGCTCCCAACCCTTTGCTTACCTTTTTCCTGGGGCCATGATCCTCTGCTACCTTCTCTCCAAAGCTCAAGCCATATTTAATGTATTTTGCCTGCTTTTCTAGTTGTTTAAGTTAGGAGAATAAATCGGATCCCTGTTCCTTATCTGGGACAGAAGAGAAAGTCCCACTGTATTTTTTTTTCTTTTTCTTTTTCTTTTTTTTTTTGAGACAGAGTCTCGCTCTGTCACCCACGCTGGAAGTGCAGTGGCACGATCTCGGCTCACTGCAAGCTCCGCCTCCCGGGTTCATGCCATTCTCCTGCTTCAGCTTCCCGAGTATCTGGGACAACAGGCACCCGCCACCATGCCTGGCTAATTTTTTTGTATTTTTTTTAGTAGAGATGGGGTTTCGCCGTGTTAGCCAGGATGGTCTCGATCTCCTGACCTCGTGATCTGCCCCCCTAGGCCTCCCAAAGTGCTGGGATTACAGGTGTGAGCCAGTGCGCCCAGCCAGTAATTCTATAATATATAATAAACTCATGAAAAGCAGCCTTGATATACTTTCCAGCATTTAAAACTGTTCTAGATCTCTACACTTTTATGGTTTCATAATATCCTTTTAAGAAAAAAAATGCACATATTTTCAAACGTATATTTTTACATACTTATATATTATGTACATTCATATACATGTATTTTATATTAATGCATTTATGAATTATAAAGCATATACATCTATAAAATCTACGTCTATATACATTTATAAAATGTATAAAAGCATACACATTTTAAAATCTTTTTTTGTCTGATAAAAATTATTGCCTAGTGAGAAATGTGATCAAATGTGCTTTGCATTTCAAGATCAATTTTGTTTTTACGTAAAAATCCTGCCGCGGTTATGATTGGGATACCATCAAGTCTATTGACTAATTCTCAGAGGACTGAGACCATAACTGTGTTAAATCTTCCCGTGCATATGCATGGGATATCCCTTTTATTTTAGTTTTCTTTAATTTTCTCAGCAACATTTGATAGTTCTAAAAAGCATATTCTTAAACGTTTATGTTTTTGCTGCTGCCATATATGTAATTCTTTTTTTCAAAAAGTTTGTTTCCGATTGTTTGTTGCTAGTATATAGAAGTACAATTGGTTTCTGTTGACCTCGTATTTTTCAAACATGCTAAATATCCTTCACTTATTAGTTTTGGTAGCTGTTTAGTAAGTGCCTCAGGATTTTTAGAGAAGCAATCATGTTGTTCATATATGTTGGCAATTTTACTTATTTGTTTCCAAACTTGATTTTTTTTTTTTTCTGGCTTTATTGAACTGGTTAGGTCATCCAGTACAATGTTGATAAGCGGTAAAAGCAGACATCCTTGCTTTGTTCCTTCCACCACTAAATATGTTAGCTGAGGATTTTTCATGGATGTCCTATAGCAGATTGAGAAATTTGTGTTCTATTCCAAGCTTCCTGGGAGTTCTTATCAATGGTTATTGAATTTCTTATTGCTTACCCCCATTTGCTGGAAGCAACACAAGTATCTATTAGGTGATAGCTACATGTTAGAGAAAGCGTCAACGAATCTCAAATGCTTCTCTTCTAGTAAGAAAAATGATGCATAACTTACTCTTAAATTTGACAGCTTTTTGAAACTGTGCCACACTATGATCAGCAAACATGCGTGTGGCACAAAAAAGACACATAATCTCTCCCCCTCTTGTTATGAATTGTCAAGATTTCACAATTTTTGTAAAGCTCTTGTTTTTATAAAATTGAGTATATCATTGGCTTTGTTCACTTTGGATTTAATTTCCTTACTAAAGTACTTGCCCATGACTTATGGAATAGAGTCACTTGATAGCCCTACCTAGTCGTTTTTGTTTTCATCTTGGTTAAAAATTCATAATTTTTTGGTAAAATATTGTTTTTATTTACTACTTCCTTTTGTGTTAGATATGCTTTCTTTAGCATATCTGTCCCTTAGAGGCTCACAAAATTTCCTTCCTGAAATGAATTGATCACATACTATAAGCTTATACATATTAGAAATCTATGTGGACAGTTTGAAACACACCTTTATTTTTCCTCTGAGTTATATGGGAAGATGACTCTTCTCAGCCCCTTTGCATCAAGATGAGACAACGTATCTGGGTTCTGGCCAGTGAAATATGAGCAGAAACAAGAGCAGTTCCATCTAGGCCTGGCCACACAATGTCTCTTGATCTTCTGCTTGGCTCCCCCTCTCTGTGCTGCCAGAAGCAAAGGATGCTGCATGGTGTGGGCACATGACAGTAGGAGCTTGGGCCCCTTTGGTTAACCCTTGGAGGGCAGCCATTCAGGATGGCTTCACAGTCAAGGGTCCCCAGTGGACACTGGATAAGTAAGAAATACTCATATATCTTCATTGCTTTACAACACTGGGATTTGGTGGTTGTGTGCTACAATAACCTATCCTGACTAATACATACATATATATACACATGCATATATATACACACACACAATACATATGTGTATATATAGTATATATACATATGTATACATATGCATGTGTATATGTATGTGTATATATAGTATATATACATATATACATGCATATATACATATACATAATATATAAATATATATGTGTGTGTGTATATATATAAAATTAGTGTAGCTAATCTTCCAACCAGGTAACAAAATTTACTCCTTCTTTTAATGCTTTAAATAAATATTTTATATGCATCTTCTAGTAGTATTTACTAGCAAATTGTGA
This sequence comes from Homo sapiens, assembly GCF_000001405.40. Taxonomy (NCBI): domain Eukaryota; kingdom Metazoa; phylum Chordata; class Mammalia; order Primates; family Hominidae; genus Homo; species Homo sapiens. The sequence continues at coordinate 48,748,217 of NC_000008.11, forward strand.
TGTTTAATTTTAGGTGTCAACTTGACTAGATTAAGGAATACTTACAGGACTGATAAAGCATGACTTCTGAGTGTGTCTGTGAGGGTGTTTCCTGAGGAGATTGACACGTGAGTAAAGATCTGCCCTGCCCTCAATGTGGCAGGCACCATCCAATTGGCTGGGACATTTGAATGTGTCCCCCAAAAGAAGCATGTGTTGGAAACATAATCTTGAGTGCAAAAGTGTTGGGAGGCATTTAGGTAATGAGGGCTCCCCCATCATGAATAAATTTATTGCTGATTATGGAAGGGCTTGGGGTTATGAGTTTAATCTCTTTTTCTCTCTCACGATCTCTTGCTCTTCTGTCTTCCTTCCTGGGATGATGCAGCAAGAAGGCCCTCAACAGATGCCGAGCAGATGCTGACATCATGCCCTTGGACTTTCCCACTTTCAGAACTGTGAGCCAAATAAGCTTCTTCTTTTATAAATTGCCCAGTCTGTGGTATTCTGCTATAGTAATATGAAACAGGCTAAGACAGAAAATTAATACTGAGAAGTGGGTCTGTTGCTAAAACAAATACCTGAAAATGTAGAAGCAGTGCTGGAACTAGGTAATGGGTAGGGGCTAGAAGAATTTGGGGGACAAAGCCAAATTGCTGTGAATAGAATGTTAAGGGAAATTCTGGTGAGGGATCAGAAGAAGACAAGAATGTTGGAAAAGTTTGGTACTTTTGATTACTTAAGTGGTTGCAATCAGAATTTTGGTAGAAATATGGACAGCAAGGGTCATTTATACGAAGCCTTAGGTGGAACTGAAGAACAAGGTATTGAAAACTAGAGTAAGGGCCATCTTTGTTATACAGTAGCAAATAACTTGTCTTAATTGTGTCCATGCTTCAGGGCTTTATGGAAGGCAGAATTTAGGAATGATGAAGCAGGATATGTGACAGATTGAATTTCTAAGCAAAATATTAAAAGAGTTGCATGGCTACTTTTAAATCACATATAAGAAGTGAGAAGAGGGAAATGATTTAAAGATGGAATTTATAATCCAAATAGAAAGATAACATAAAAATTTGGAGAATTTTCCAAATTCTGGCCATGTAAAGAGTGAAAAGGCATCTTTGAGAGAGCAAACAAAAGGTCTGCCCAAGTCACTTTTTCTTTTTTTTTTTTTTTTTTTTTGAGATGGAGTCTTACTCTGTCACCAGGCTGGAGTGCAGTGGCATGATCTCAGCTCACTGCAACCTCTGCCTCCTGGGTTCAAGCGAGTCTCCTGCCTTAGTCTCCTCAATAGCTGGGACTACAGGTGCATGCCACCACACCCAGCTAATTTTTATATATATATATATATATATATATATATATATATATATATATATATATATATATATTTTTTTTTTTTTTTTTTTTTTTTTAGTAGAGATGGGGCTTCACCATGTTGGCCAGGATGGTCTTGATCTCTTGACCCTGTGATCCGCCTGCCTTGGCCTCCCAAAGTGCTGGGATTACAGGCATGAGCCACTGCACCTGGGCTTCCCAAGTTATCTTTTGCTGAAGAGACTAGTATAGATAGAGGGGAGCCAGATGCTATTCATCAAGACAATGGGAAATGACCCTTAAAGCACATCAGAGATCTCTGAGGCAAGCTAAGATCTTGAGGGAAAATTGCCAGAGGGGCACCTACAAGAACTTCACATGTGCCTCCTCAGAACTCTGTTCCTTGCATTGCAGTGCAGTGCTCCTCTGTCACCCTAGCCTTGGCTCAAGTGGGTCCACATGTGGCTCATTCCACTGCTTTGGAAGGTACAAGCTGTAAACCTTGGTGGTGTCCACATGGTGCTAATTCTGCAGGCATGCAGAATGCAAGAGCTGTGGGCCATGGTGAATTCCACCTAGATTTCAAAAGATGACAGTCTGGAGATCCAGGCAGAGGCAGATCTGAGTCCCCACCAGGGCAATGACTAGTGTTTCATGGAAGTGAGACCACCTCTGAGATCCCAGAACTGGTGTTCAACTTTAGCTTGGGAGAGTTGCAGGAAAAAGATTCCAACTCATGAGACCTGAAGCATAGGCTGAACTCAGCAAAGCCATGAGGATGGAGGTTTCTGAGACCTTGGAGGCCCAAACCCTGCCCCAGTGAATGAATATTCTGGAATTTTAAGATTCAGTGTCTGCCCTGTTGGATCTTAGGCTTACTTAAGACCAGTTACCCTTTCTTATTTCTAATTTCCTTTTTATAGAATGGGAATGTCTGACCTATGCCTGTCCCACCATTCTATTTTGGAAGTAGATAACTTGTAGATTTAACAGACTCAAAGATAGAGGGGAGTTTGTCCTATGATGAATCTTGACTTGCGTCTCATCCATATCTAATTTAGATGAGACTCTGAAATTTGGAATTTTGAGTTGATGCTGGAATGAACAAAGACTTTTGGGCCTAATGGATGGAATTAGTTTTGTATGTGAGAAGAACATAAAAACTGGGGGCTAAGGACAGAATTCCATGGTTTGGATGTGTCCCTCAGAAAGCATGTGTTGGAAACTTAATCCCCAATGCAACAGTGTTGAGAAGTTGCGCTTAATAGGGGGCATGTAGTTCATGAGGGCTCCATTTTCATGGATTAATTGATGCCAATTATAAAGGGCTTGAGGCTGCCAGTTAAAACTCTTGCTCTGCCTTGTGGTCTCTTGACCCTGCCTTCTGCCATGGGATGATGTAGCAAGAAGCCCCTCACCAGATGCCAAGCAGATGCTGGCACCATGCCTTGGACTTTCCAGCCCCCAGAACCGTGAACCAAATAAATGTATTTTCCTTATAAATTTATCTGTCTGTGGCATTCCGTTACAGCAACACAAAACAGACTAAGACAAATGAATGATTTAAACATTGTTGACATTGACATATTCATTTCCATGTATTATTTCAATAATTTTTCAGTGGCAGGAAGAACAAATGTTTTCCCAAAGCGATTTGGCTTTTCTTGGCCTCTTTTATTATCTACTGAGATGCCATCAGCAAGACTTACAAATATTTCTCATTAAGTTAATAAAAATTTGTAAAGTGCAATATTGAGTATTCTTGGCTTTATATATCTTTCAAAAATTTTAAAGATTTTTCTCCGTATTCTAGACAGCTACTTTTAATTATCTTACTAACCATTCTATCATTAGTTTATATTTTAAATCACAGTGCACAGTTAGTTCAGGTTTCTCTTCATTGAGTCACTTGAATCCCATAAATCAAATGATCTTTCTAATAAATTTGTATTTCTTTTGGTCAGCATCTTACAGATCTGGCTAGATCATCACTGATATGACCTCATGTTGGTGACAGTGATCTTGTGCTGGGAGAGGGAGAGAGGATGGCTCTGCCACTCTTGTTGTTGGCTAGTGATTTGAGTGTCAGTATTATCTTCAACTCAGGGTTTCTGTGAAGGAATGATTTTAAAAAACTTGTCCTTTTTTGTCAGGGTTAGTTTAGTTAAAACCAGGTAATAGAATCCATAAATTTACTTAGCCAGGCAATACCTATGATATTTCAAAAGCAAATAAACAAATTAAGATGCCAGCATTACTTCCTCCATGTTCTCAGAATACTTGTCTTAAGGATACTGTTGTGGACTGAATGTGCTTCCCTAAAATGCATCTGTTGAAATCCTCATCAGAAATGTGACACTGTTAGAAGGTGGGGCTTTTAGAAGGTGATTAGGTCATGATGGTTTCGCCTTCATGAATGGGACTTGTGCCCTTATAAAAGTGACTCCAGAGGGCTAACTCACCCCCTCTGCCATGTGAAGACACAGTGAGATGGCCCCTTAGGAAGCAGAAAATGGACCCTCGCCAGAGACTGAATCTGCAGGAGCCTTGATCTTGGGTTCCCCAGCCTACTGTGAATGATAAATCATTGTTGTTTGAGCCACCCAGTCCATGGTAGTTCATTATAGCAGCCTTAACTGGTTAGGGCAGGTATGACTATTCTCTATATGTATAAGAGCATGTTATTTTGAGAGCCTGCCTTCAAATACACCCCATAACTCAAAAACAAAACAAAATGAAAACCTTGGCTCATTCTAACTTAATAACCAATGTTGGAGAAATTTTCCTCTCGGTAGTTTGTGAGATGTGTCATCGCATTTTGTGTGTTCCTCGTGGCACTCCATAGGTGTCACATCCTTTGCACATAGCCTTGCCCCATGCTTCAGACAAGAAGTAGAGGTCATCCTACAGAGTCCTGAAACTCTTCCCTCTTTTCCTCCTCCCTGAGCAATCACATTTACCCTTCCTTCCTGACTCATGGGAAGAGTATTATCGCCCTGACAAAAAGAATAATCTTAATGTTTCCAAAAAGCACATAAAATTCTCTTCAGTGTTTTACCTTATTTTCAAGTGTACTTTTGAATGACATCCTCAACGCTTTGAAAATCAGTTTTCTATTTTTTATTTCTATTGTTTTTGAGCATCTGCCTACCTTGAACCGTATTGTATTCTGTAAGGTGATATCATGTCCTGTACTAAAGATATATCATATTAAACAATAAAAAGTTCCAACTAGAGCTTTAGTTATAATGACATCATTTGACATGTCAAAGTGGGTTTTGAATTTGCAGATAATTAGTTTCCTGTCATTATTTGGTTGTTCATCATCTTGCTGTTGAAGCCTCAGTATTGAGCCAGCCTCAAGATCAGGAAGGCCTTCACTTTCTCTTTCACATTCCACACTGAATGCAACATGAATACAAATAGAGTTACTTGTCCTGGCACTGTGGCTCACGCCTGTAATCACAGCATTTTGGGAGGCCGAGGCAGGTCAGAAGTTTGAGACCAGCCTGGCCAACATGGTGAAACCCCGTCGCTACTACAAATGCAAAAATTTGCTGCGCATGGTGGTGCACACCTGTAATCTCAGCTACTTGGGAGGCTGAAGCATGAGAATCACTTGAACCCGGAGGTGGAGGTTGCAGTAAGCCAAGATTGCACCACTGAACTCCAGCCTGGGTGACAGAATGTGACTCTGTCTCAAAAAAAAAAAAAAAAGAAATAGAATTTCTTGTCTTCCACTTCCTTTTAGCTGTACACACAGTTTAGCTACACTTGAAGAGTTTAGAGCCAAGAGATTCTTTACTTTAATAAAATATTGACTTTTATAGGGGCCACACAATGACTTTGGTTTGTTTAGGGGGAGCTTAGGAGGAATCAAATACATTTTTCTTTTTCTTCATTCATCCCTGGTGAAATCAGTTCCTCATTGAGGTCAAGTTTAAGAGTCTTAAACTTGGCAAATCTAAGAGTCTCTCATTAAAACCCTGATGGCATACACATGGCTGTTTAAGAGTTACAGTAGGCAAGGGGTCATGGCACAAAGGCTGATGTTGTTTCTGCTTCTTTCCCCCAAAGTATCCAGCATGTGGAAAATGTGTATCAACTGACCCTGTGTCAATGAAACCTCACAATGGATGTGTCTTTTGAATTCCCCTGAAGCAGTGCCATTCAATTTAGACCCGTGGTTCTATGAAACAACATGTGACTAATTCTGATTTTAGAGGGCATAGTTAACAAGGCAAGTGCTATAGGTGATTTCGGGGAGAAAAGCAAACTCCCTACCCATGCAGTGTTGTTTTATAGTCACTATGACATCAGCTGATTTTCTGTAGATAGCGATGATGCATTTGAGAAGCTGGCTTTGAGACTGGGAAGTGTGGGTGTTGTTAAGTTTAGGAATCATTATGGGACTAGCAGGGACTTGAGAAATTAGAGGAGACTAGTGAATCTCTATAAAGAGTGATTCAATTTAATGTCTGCTTGGGAGCAACCAATGGCTCATCATTAAAAAGGTTGTCTGTGATTGGGCTGTGCTGCAGTAAGCTAATTGAGGAATCCTGCAATTTCAAATTCAATCTATGAACTTAAATATTGTCTCCTTTTAGTGGTCAGAGAGCCATGCATTTAAACAAAAATGAGCCAGTGTTGTAGAAGCCTTTTATGTTGACAGAATCCTAAAGTGTTTCTTGTTCTGGATTTCAAGTTCTTAAAAGTCTTTGTTTCAGTCTTTTGTTTGAATTATTGATGTCTACAATACACATATTAAAACTTAAACTTATTTTACCACTCTGTGTATATATCGATATAACCAGTTAACAGTTAATCAAGTCATACCTTATTTAGATTAAAAATTGGTTCATTTTAGTGTTCCCTTTTTACTAGCAAAGCTCTGGATAATGGAGCAACACAGCACAAAGGGTAACTGACTTATAAAAGCTCTTTATGATGCCAGGAGCAACAGAACACAGTTAATGTACTCCCCTTCCTTGCTTGGGTCTTCACATAAGATATTCTGTAAGGCTGTGCTTTCAAAATAATGCCAGCCTTAATAGCAGAATTGTGAGTTTTGTGTAAACAAATATACTTTCCAGTACTTTGGGGGTTATTCTTCTAACAGTCGTTGAACAATTGTTACTTAAACTAAGCCACAGTGTCTCCGCGATGAGTGTCTTCACTGCAGTTGGCTCTGTAGTGGCTGTTACCATTTCCTTTTCATAAACAGGCTGTAGGGTTTCTTCAGTGTAGACAATGGGTTGGGCATGGTCAGTACTCGTCGTTCCCATGCCACCTTTGATTTCTTGGGCCATCTTTTGGATATAATTGTTTGGAGGTATTCCCTTTTCTTTTTCCTTTTGGGCTTACGGACCTTTAAGCATGCCAGGTCTGTGTGTGTGAGTGCTTCAAGTAAATGTAGTACCTGTGTTTACATTTATAGCTGCATTAAAAAGAAAACAAACTGTAAAATCATCCAAGTGTTACCTCTATGGCGGTCATGAAATGCCCTACATTTATTTTTCTTCTTATCACTGAGTAGTAATAATAAGGATGACTGCCATCTTAAGGAAAATTTGCTAATTCCGAGAAATATGTATTTCCCCAGGACCAAATTGGCCCTTAGCTGGTTGCTGTGTGCCTCCCCACATTGGTCCAGGTCCTTTCCAATGTTTATGCCACCTTCTGGGTTCCAGTCTGCTTTCGCTGGTCATTACTTAATTTCATTCTCAACAATACCCTCTGAAGCTACTTCCTGCTTTTCTAGAGAAAGAAGCCAATGATCAGAATGGTGAATTGATTAGTTCACAAACCAGCCAGCCAGTGGCAAAGTTGGGCTTGAACTGGGAAGGGCCCTGCTGCTCACCCCAGCCCCGGGGCTGTCTCTCTCTTCCTGCTTTCCTGTCTAATTGAGATTGGATGCTTGTTTTCTCTTTTCTGATGTTTGGCTAGACCTCTATCTACTGGCTTTTGGTAGACCCCACCAGCTAATCCATCATGTCTCTCAGTTAAACCTAAGGAGCCCTAGAAAGAGGGGTGCATGTATATCATCTATTTCTCCTTTTTTATTTTAAATTTCAATGTTAATTATTTTGGTGCAAGTTCCACAAGCACAATTCCTGGGAAAGCTATTAATTTCTGATGGAACTGGGGCCAAGTCTGTTGCTGATATTCAAAATCTCTTCTCTCACCAGTCATAGGCTTATAGCTGGGCACACAAATGCCCTGCCAGGCCCTGGCTCAGCCTGTATTGTGCATACAGATGGCTATAGGAACAAATGGATCTGTGCACCCCAGGGCCTGTGATGTGAAACACTGAAGCAGATTCACTCCCCCACGAACTGAGGCGAGAGTGTCTCCTGTCACTCAGCCTCAACCATGCAGGGGATGGTGGAGAATTTAGATGCAAGAGCTCCAGTCCTTGAAGTATCTCATGGCACAGAGCCCCCTGCCGGCCTGGGACACTTACCTTGGGTCTGAGAGGATATAGCTACTTGTCCTAGTCTGTTTAGTGTTGCAAAAAGGAATACCTGAGACAGGGTAATTTATAAAGCAAAGATGTTTACTTGGCTCATGATTCCTCTGGCTGGAAGATCGGGCATCTGGGGAGGGCCTCGGGCTGCTCCCATTCCCGGTGGTGGGAAAGGAGCAGGTGTGTGCGGAGATTGCATGACTATGGAGGATTCAGGAAAGAGCGGGAGGCACCGGGCTCTTTTTAACATGGCGACAGAGGACGCCGGAGAGCGCGGGAGCGCCGGGCTCACCTTGGGTCTGAGCCCTGGCACGAACAACCAGCCCTGGCACGAACCAACAGAGGCAGAATCCACTCACTCCCCACCTTCAGAAAGGGCATTCATCTATTCACAAGGGGTCCACCCCATAACCCAAATGCCTCCGCCCCATAACCCAAATGCCTCCCATGAGGCCTCACCTCCCGCCACCCCCACAATAAGGTTAAATTTCAAAATGAGATTTGGAAGGGTTGAGTATCCAAACTGTTGCCCTGCCTACCTGTTTTAAGCCACTAGGTTGTCGCTGGATCTCTCCCCAGCGAATACAGTTTACAGTGCAGGTAGTATTCCAGGACCTAGCCAATGAAAACTTCCCTCATGGAATTCTCCTGCCTGAGACAGACATAAACAACCAGAGTTGAAACATGTACAATGTGAGATAGTGGTGAGGGCTGTGGGGTCAAGGAGCAGCCTTAAGGAAGGAAAATGAAAATGTTAGGGAAAATGGTTGCAGTTTCAGATGAGGTCAGGGAAGGACTCCTTGTGCCTGAGGTGCAGTTGTACTGGTTATCTATTTCTACAAAACAAATCACCTACACTGTGGTTTAAAACCACAGTCAGTTATTAGCTCTCAACTCTGTGGGTTGGCAATCTGGGCTCGGCTCATCCAGGCAGTCCTTCTCCTGGTCTCAAGTGAACCGAGGCTCCACAGGTGCCAGATGGCCCAAGATGGCTCCATCAGGACACGTGCTGGTTGGCCTTGGTCTCTCTCACCAGGTATCACCCTCATCTTCCAGGAAGTCAGCTCGGCCTTCTTTCCACGGGCATTGCAACAGCAGAACGACCCTGAGTGGATTCTACTGGCCCCTTGAAGGCATGCTTCTGAAGACCTCACATTCTAATTGTTGAAACAAGTCCCAAGGCCAGCCCAGACTCAAGGAGTACAGAAGTTGCACCTCTGGTTGGTAGGAGTGGCCACTTTGGAGGGGTTGGGGGAACCACCGTGGTCCTCTTGACAGCCTTTCTACTGCAAGAGTAAAGGAGGCTGACAAGGTTAGAATGAACCAGGACCCAACCATGTGGTTCTGTGAATTCTAGTCCAAGATACCTTCTTCAGGTTTTGGCCAACTATTTTACAGAATCTCCAAAAATTACTGGGAATAGATTGACTGAATGAACACTATGTGACAAGGAACTCTGACTGGTGGCAGGCAGAATACTACCACTAAACAGATGACCTGTATAGCTCACTCTGCCAGCGCCGGGAAAGACCTTCTACCCATTACTGCACTTAATTCTGGGCAGCACTGTAGGTAAGGAGTGGGGTAGGGGCATTCCAAGAAGGCCTATGTGGCAGGGCTGGGACTTCCACCCCACCCATGTGTCCAGAGAGCTTGAGCCGTCCAAGAGACCCTCTGTGGCCGCTGAGTTCCCACATGATCCAGAACGTCCAGAAGGCATGAAGTCAGAGGTCTCACCCTGGGAATACTACCCACAGGGAGGAAGAACTCCTAAAAATAACTGGGAGAGATTCTAAAGGAAGAGCCAAGAGGCAGCCCTCCCATGCTTCTACTAATATGGACTTTCTTCACCACCAGGAAGGACTTTGTTTCGAAAACAGCTGGGGCTTTTCCCAGAGGAACCTTGGCGCTGTCAGCATCTGCACCAGGCCAACACTCAGGGGCTGCTGCGGGAGGAGGGTGGCCTCTGGGAATGCTAGCACCGGCTTCCTCGTTCCTGCTGTGGCCGGGTTTGTCATGCCCGGGGTAAAGGGGACCTGGAGACCAGCAGGAGGGGCTTCCCCTCTTCCTTTCCTAAAGTTGGAATTGTTAGTGTGGAGCAGGCATCTGAAAACACAGCTGAGAAACTGGACAAGTTGGCTAAGGCTAAGGATTTGTCCTAAGAACAAACTTGGAGCTTGCCTAATTGGAATTTAGCAGCATTTGTAATCACAGATTCTTGTTTTAACAGGTAAAAAGTTGGAGGTAAAGGGTAGACATCAGTAAGGTGGCAAGGAACAATGAACATTTTGTTCTAAGAACAAGCTAACTTTTAGCAAGTGCTTACTATATGCTAGACACTGTTCTCAGCATTTTATATGTACTAAAGCATTTAATCCTCATGAGGACTCTAAGAAGTAGGTACTATTATTTTCTCTGTTCTGCATTTGAGGAAAGTGAAGCTCAGAGTGATTAGTAAGGTGCTCACTATTACAAGCTAGAAAAGGCTATCTTTAACTTCAGAGGGGCTATGGTATCCTGCCCAAATGTACTGATGACGGTTTTTATGCCGTGTGTGTGCAGGCATGTGTGTACACATGTATACTTTCATGTATGCACGTGTGTGTGTGTGTGTGTGATGTTTTTGGCAGGCATGCATTTGCCTGCATAACTTCCGTCAACATTGTACTGGCTTTCCCATCCTCAGGGGGCCATTTGTCCTTTGATGCTAGTGCTCTATTTATCACTTGCCATTTCTTATCAGCCCGCGGTCCCTGGAAAGCTATTTCCCTGGGAAGATGGATGTGGACAGGGTTTTTTGGGGAAAGCGTATGTTCTGTTTCCACATGCCCCACTGCAGGGTGTCTTTAGCAGATGTGTATGTGCTGTGATCTGAGCACAAGGTTCTGCTCTCAGTCTGGTTTGTAGACTGCCCTTTTTTCTTTTATCTTAGGTGCAGATTTAATTTATATTATATGCATTATAAAGCAGGCTTCTTTCTGCAAAGAGAAGTTAAAGGTGAACAGTAGAACCCAAGTGTCTGAAAAATAACCTTATATTGGTGTATGAGCGTATTTGTTTCCTTTGTATACTTTGTCACATTTAATATTATGTTTAGACTTGACCTTCCTTGGTAGCAAGGAATTATCTTTTTTAAAACAAACAAAAATTTTATTTGTGTTTATAGCTGCAATGCATCGTTACACTCCATCTTATCACATACCTTAGCTTGGCTACAATTTACATTTGTAATATATCTGAAGACTTACTTGCTTTAAATTCATAATACAAGCAGGGTTTGAAGCTGACATAGAGCATATTAAAGATAACATTTTTGTGTTCTTCCGTATATGCCTTATATTCAAATCAATGTCATTAAGTACAGTGTAGAATTAATTACTCCTTAGCTTCTTGTGAACTAACAGTTCAAATTACTAGATGTGCAATTACTTGAAAGAACTGACACAAAATTTGGTTAAAATGTATTATAATCCAAAATCATGCTGCTATAAAGACACATGCACACGTTTGTTTATTGCGGCACTATTCACAATAGCAAAGACTTGGAACCAACCCAAATGTCCAACAACGATAGACTGGATTAAGAAAATGTGGCACATATACACCATGGAATACTATGCAGCCATGAAAAAGGATGAGATCATGTCCTTTGTAGGGACATGGATGAAACTGGAAACCATCATTCTCAGCAAACTATCGCAAGGACAAAAAACCAAACACTGCATGTTCTCACTCATAGGTGGGAATTGAACAATGAGAGCACATGGACACAGGAAGGGGAACATCACACTCCGGGGACTGTTGTGGGGTGGGGTGGGGAGGGATAGCATTAGGAGATATACCTATTGCTAAATGATGAGTTAATGGGTGCAGCACACCAACATGGCACATGTATACATATGTAACAAACCTGCACATTGTGCACATGTACCCTAAAACTTAAAGTATAATAATAATAAAATTTAAAAAAAGTATTATAATCCAAAATATTTATTATTTAGACCCTATCACTGACTACTCTGTTTTCTTGTTATTTTTATGCATATACTCACTTTGAAATGCTTACCGGGCCCTATTTTAATTTTGATGGGGTTATGTCTCATAAACTCATCATTAGTTGAAAATATTGTAAGTCAAAATGCATTCTCCACCCCAATAAGCCTGTTGTAAGGTCAAAAAATCAAATCATCATGAGTTGGAGATGATCTGTATCTTGTTCTTCATCTGTCTTTTTAAAAATTTTATTTTTAATTGACAAATAGTAATTGTATACATTTATTATTGGTCTTTCTGAACGCACACTGATTACTTTCAGTTAGCAGTGGCTCAGCTCAGTGTGTTCTGAAACTGAGAGGCTCAGGGGACCTATGTCTTCTTGGATCCTGGCATTTGCTCAGACTTAGTGGTTCTCTCTGCCTGGGAATGACTTGGTACCTTCTTTTTTCTGGAGGAGATTATATGAAACTGCTGTTGATTCTTAAGTGTTTGGTAGCATTCTCCATGGAAACTGTGTCTACGATTACCTTTTTAGGATACTTTTGGTTACAAATAGAATTGTTTTACTAGTTATAAGGCTATTCAAATTAGATATTTCATATGGTTGAGTTGTAGTAGTTTGTGCCAAGGAATTTGTCCATTTCATATAAGTTGTCAAATTTTTCTGTGCAGAGTTGTTCATTTTACTCCTGTATTATCATTTTATTCTCTGCAGGGTCTACAGTTATATTCTCTATTTCATTCCTGATACTTGATAATTTGTGTCCTTTCTTTTTTTCTCTGTAAATCTTACTAAATGTTTGTCGATTTTGTTGATATTTTCAAAAGAAAAGCTTTTTTTGCTTTATTGATTTTCTCTATTTTTGTTCTGTTTTTAATTTCATTGATTTCTGTTCCTTTACATTATTTTTCTTCCCTCTGCTTTCTCTGTGCTTAGGTTTCTAGGGTCTTGAGATGGGAGCTTATTGATTTGAAATTTTCCCTCTTTTCTAATATAAGCATTTAGTGCTATAAATTTCCTTCTCAGCACTGTTTTAGCTATGTCTCACATTTTTTCTTTTTTTCTTCTTTTAAAAAATTTGTATAAATATAAGAGGTACAAGTGCAGTCTTGTTACACGAATATATTTTGTAGTGGTGAAGTCTGGGCTTTTAGTGTAACCAGCACCTGAATAGTGTACATTGTACCCAGGAGGTAATTTCTCACCTGTCACCCCTTGCACCCACCCATCCTTCTGAGTCTTCAATGACCCATGATACACACTCTATGTCTATGACGTGTTGTTGTTTCATTTGCATTTAGTTTGATGTATTTTTTACTTTTTCTGAGATTTCCTCTTTGACCCACGGATTATTTAAAGGTGTAGTCATTAGTTTCAAGAGTTTGGAGATAATTTTCCGTTATTGATTTCTACTTTGGTTCCATTGTAAGTGACATGCTGTATGATGTCAATTCTTTTAAATTTGTTTTGTTTTGTTTTCTGATGGAAGATATGCTCTCCCTTGGTGTGGTGACTAGATTTTGTTGGTAGATGGTATTGAGTTCTTCCATATTCATGGTGGTTTTCTGTCTAGTTGTTCTATCAAATATTGAGGCAGGGTATGTGTTGAAATCTCCCACTGCAATTGTGGGTTTGCCATTTCTTTTTTCAGTTCTATCAGATTTTGCTTCATGTAACATGCATCTCTGTTGTTTGATACACACATTGAGAACTTTTATGCCTCCTGGTAGCTTGACACTTCTGTCATTATGTCATGTACTTCTCTGTAACTGGTCATTTTCTTTGCTCTGAAGTCAACTTTATCTGATATTAATATAGCTATTCCTCATTTATTTTAATTAATGATTGTGTGCCATATCCTTTCCATCCTATTATTTCTATTTACTTATACCATCGTATTTGAAGTGAGTTTCTTGTAGGCAGTACATACTTGGGTTATGTTTTTGCAATCCACTCTGCCAATATATTTTAATTAATTAATTAACTATTTCAGACAGGGTCTTCCTCTGTAGCCCTGGCTGGAGTACAGTGACTATAGCTCATTACAGTTTGAAACTCCTGGGCTCAAGCAATCCTCCTGCCTCAACCTTGTCAGTAGCTGGAACAGTGGGTGCATATCATCACATCTGGCTAATTTTAACAATTTTTTATAGATATGGGGTCTTGCTATATTGCCCAGGCTGGTTCAAACTCATGGCCTCATGTGATCTTTCTGCCTCAGCCTCTCAAAGTGCTGGGATTACAGGTGTGACTGCTGTGCCCTGCCTGTCTTTTTTAAATCATATATTTAGACTACTTAAACTAAATTTAATGTAATTATTGAATTGTTAAACTTAAGCCTGCTATTTTATTTTTCTTTCTGGTTTTTCATTTTTTTTTGGGGGGGTGTGTGTCTTTTTTCCTGGCTTCCCATGGGTTAATTGAAACTGATATACCAACAAACAGGCTTTGAGTTCCTCTTTTGCTCAAGGCGTGAATGTATGTGTCATTGAGGCATAAGAAGCTGTATTAGTTTATAAGGGCTGCCATAAGAAAGCGCCGCACACTGAGGGGCTCAAACAACAGAAGTGCATTTCCTCAGAGTTCTGGAGGCCGGAAGTTGAAGGGTAAGGTGTCAGCAGGATTGGTTTCTCCCGAGGCCTCTCACTGTGGCTTGCAGACGGCCGTCTTATCCTGTGTCTTCACATGGTCTTCCCTCTGTGTATACTTATCTCCTCATCACTTCTTATAAAAACACCAGCTGGCCAGGTGCAGTGGCTCATGCCTGTAATCCCGGCACTTTGGGAGGCCGAGGTGAGTGCATCACCTGAAGTCAGGAGTTCGAGACCACTGTGGCCAACATGGTGAAACCCTGTCTCTAATAAAAATACAAAAAAAATTAGCCAGGTGTGGTGGTGCGTGCCTGTAATCCCAGCTACTCGGGAGGCTGAGGCATGAGAATCGCTTGAACCTGGGAGGTGGAGGTTGCAGTGAGCAGAGATCGCACCATTGCACTCCAGCCTGAGCAATGGGGTGAGACTCTGTCTCAAAAAAACAAAAAACAAAAACCAAACCCACCAGTTATATTGAATTAGGACCCACCTTAATGATGTTATTTTACCTAAACTATCTCCTTTAAGGCTCTGTCAAATACAGTCACAGCATGAGGATCTGGGGGTTAGGGCTTCAACATGTGCGTTTTTAGGGGACACAATTCGGGTTCGGCTCATAACTTAGGATTCTGAGACAGCCCATTTCAATGGAGGACACAGCACCACACCTACCTGTCTGCTGCCCCTGGATTCAGAGGTCAGCCAGGCCCAGGTTGCCCATGGAGGCCGGCTGCCTGAGGTAGACGTTATGCTGGGTGTTCAAGGGGGGTTAGGCCAGCTTTCAGGAAAAGATGGCTCCTAAGTGAGAGAAGCCCTCTCACTCTTGTTCTGCTCAACCTCCTGCTTGAAGCAAATAGGGTATTTTTCTCTCACAATAAAGGAGACAGAGGGCCTGGGGCATGTGTTCCTGTGCACTGGGATAGCTGCTGGCTTCTTAGAGCCCACGGCTATCCAACAGTTCCTGTACTCATAAGGATATTTCATAATTTTTGAAACGATTGATGGTTTTTTTTCTGCTTTCTAAAAGAAAACTGATTCTTAAATTTTATTGAAATAGAAAACAAATGATGTATTGCAATAGATCCTTTTGCTAAGAATTCACATATTCTGAGGATAGGTTCTTGTTTTTTTGTTTGTTTAATTTTAATATAACATCTGCACTTAGATTTAGCAACTGGATTTTCTTTGACCTCAAAAATCCATGTAAACCAAAGCTCCAAGTATGAACTGCCTCCCCACCCCTTTTTTTTTGCCTCCTACCTCCAACACATACACATTTTCTGTTGCATTCAAAAAGCCTAGTGAAGTCTCTGAGCAGCAGTTGGTAGGGAAAAAATAGCAGCATAAAAGCCTCCTTCCAGACATGTTTAGCAAATTCTTTCTTATTTTAATCTTTCATTATGATTTATTGACGTATTCAAAGTTTGTCCCAGCGACCCATCCCAGCAGCCCCAGGCTGTAGAGATAAACATCCTTGCTGACTCTTAGCTGCGTTTGGCCATTTATTCATGGCTAGTTTTTACTGCACCCCTAAGGAAATAAGAGCACTGTGTATTCTAGGGAAAAAAAACACTCTTTTCAAATATCCCTTCTTTCCGCAGCTCTGTGTGTGTGCCCTGCAAGCAGTCCTTGGTGGCAGTGAACAGAGTGGCTTTCTGTGGAGCCGCCACTCCTGTCTCAGGCTGCCGACTCAGTGTCTGTGAGGGGAATTCCTGTTCCTGGCCCAAACCCACAGGCCTTGCTCGTGAAGGCCTCTCACACACTCTCTTTTTCTTGCTTGGATAAGAATCTGTGCTCTGGAGACTCTTCCATGGAACCCAGAAAGAAAAAAAAAAAAAAACAGAGAGAGAGAAAAGCTTTCACTCACATCCATGGCTGGAAAATTCAACTTGCTCTTTGTAAAGCAGACTTTCCCCTGGACATTTCTACTGGGCAGTAGAATGCAGATAAAAAGCCACATACCTGCCAGACCCTGCTTTCTGGAGGCTGAGCCAACTGTGGAAACCATAATTCCTACTCCTTGTCCACAGCCCCGGGGGGTGCTGCTCCCACCCACACCTTTCTCCTTTCCCTTTCCCCAGGGTCTTATCTGAGTGGCCAGTGAGTTATTCTGCCCTATGAAGCTGACCAAGGCTCTGTCTCCAAGGACTGCTTCGTGTCAGATTTAAATTGACTCACCCAGAAGCTTCTTGTTTCCAGAGCTGTTTGCTAGCGTCACAGAGTATACGCTGCTTTACGAAGCAGTGGCCTTTGGGCAGAGCTGCATTCTTACCTCTTTAACCCTCCACGGCCAATCAGTGAGCCCCTCCACCCCTCTTCTCAAGAGAACTCTCTGGGCTCTGACAGTGAACCCTTGTCAAGGTGTCTTGTGAGTCGCAGGGTGAGAGGAGGAAAAAGCAACCCTGGAGTCTGGAGCCAGTTTTTGCTTGTAGGTTTTGCTGGTAACTATCGTAAAGATAAAGGAATCAGGTGATGCCTGTGGCCTCCACACCTTCCCTGGCTCATTAGAAATGCCGTGGACACTTTTGAGAAATAAAGACTCCTAAATCCTGGCGTAGGAGAGTGTGATTCATAAGCGTGTTTGGGAAGTGTCCCCTGAAAGTGTATTTCTTAAACGCTCCAGATGTGATTCTAACTTCAGCAAGATTTGGGAACCATTTATTCTGGTGAATTCTAATATCCTCTGAAAAGCAGTTGCCTGGGAAGGAATGATTCAGAAGAGGAATCCTTCTGAGTCCAGCCCAAGTCCCCATGACTCCTTCTATTTTTTCTTTGAGACAAGGTCTTGCTCTGTCGCCCAGGCTGGAGTGCAGTAATCGTGGCTCACTGTAGCCTCGACCTCCTGGGCTTGAGTGATCCTCCCACCTTAGCCTCTTGAGTAACTGGGCACATGCTACAGGCACATGCCACCATGCCTGGCTATTAAAATATATATATATTTTCTGTAGAGATGGGGTCTCCCCATGTTGCCCAGGCTGTTCTCAAGCTCCTGACCTCAAGGAATCCTCCTGCCTCTGCCTCCCAAAGTGCTGGGGATTACAGGTGTGAGCCACTATGTCTAACCACCTCCTTCTATTTTTGGTGAACGACTGGGAGTGCCATGGAACAAAAAACCCTGAGTGGCTGCAGAGCTGACATTTCCAAGGGGACCCTTTCAGTCTGCTGACAGGGGCCCAGGAGCAAGGATGGGCAGGAAGGCTTTTCTCTGCAATGCACTTGTATTTCCCTCAGCACAGCGGGGCCGGGCACATTCAAATGCACTCAGCAAATGGTTAGTCCCTAGGAGATTTTATCTTGGTAACCTCAGGTATGCACCAATTGTTATATTTTTAAAATTCTCTTCTGTAGAAACTAACACCTTGAGAATCAAAAACCTCTTTGTCAAATTGCATTCTTTTTCTAAGCTTGTTCACATACACTTTAGGATGGGGCCACTGACTCTCTGAGGAAATACTTGGAATTATGCTGGAACATTTCTCTCTCCTGCACATCAGGGATAACCCTCCATCTCAGGAGGTGAGCTTTATGCTATTGAGAGGTCGTTTCCATTGGGACAATCATATAAGCTGTTCACTGGTGATATTTTAGTGGAAACTAAAATACCTTTATACAAGCACCTGGAATGCTTACACAGAAGTAAAAAGAGGTAGCCTGGTGCTGCCACATTAACACTTTAATGTTCACTAATATGCATTGATCAATATCATGGGTGGCCTGAGATCTAGGGTAGCTTAGCTGAGTATTTATTTGTGTGCTTATTATTCATTCCTTTTATTTATGAATTAGGTAACTTATTTGTTTAGGGTAACTAGACTGAATTGTTATTATTTATTTAGGATAGCTTAGTTGAATTAACTTATTTATTTAATGCCTCTGTGTTACTAAAAATACTGGGAATTCATTCTAAGACTTGGGAAATATTAAGTCCTTACTTCTGAGAAATGACATGATCCTCTCTGAAAAAAACAACAAAACAAACCAAATAATCAATCTAAAATCAAACCAGAAATGGTGTCCCATCAAGACAGTTAGAGAACTGAGGACAGGGTTGAGAGAGGCCACAGCAGTGAGCTGTGCAGGTGGCTTCAGAACCCTTCTTTAGCTTGAGGTGTCTGGAAAGAGGCCATCTTCTTTGTTCAGACCTGATGTGGCTGCAGAGAGGTTGAGATATTAGAGTGGCACTTGTGCTTCCTGGAAGGTGAATTAGATGTGCTTTCCCTATTCCTCTCACCAAGAGCAACTAGATGCAATGGACATTATACATCAAACAAACAAAGGAAGACTCAAAGGTGGAGAGAAGAAGGTGACAGGCTAGGGGCCTCAGGACCTGTGGGAGCTGTGGCAAGTTCCCTGATGTTGTGGTCTGAATGTCTGTGTCCCTCCAAAGTTCTTATGTTGAAACTAACTCCCAAAGTGATGGTATTAGGAGGTGGGGCCTTTGGGAGGTGATTAGATCAGGAGAATTGGAGCCCTCATAAATAAGATTAGTGCCCTTATGAAAGAGGCCCCCGAGAGTCCCTTCCATCATGTGAGGATGGGGTGAGAAGGTGCCATCTGTGAGCCAGGAAGCAGGTCCTCGCCGGACTCCGAGTCGGCCAGTGCCTTGATCTTGGCCTCCCCAGCCTCCAGAACTGTGATCAGTTAAAAGTCTGGTGTTCATAAGCCACTCACTATATGTTTTTTTGTTACAGCAGTCTGAATGGACTAAGACAAAACTTGGTACCAAGGAGTGGGCTGCTGCTATAACAAGTACCCAAAAATGTGGAGGTGGTTTTGGAACTGAGTAATGGGTAACAGCTCTAAGAGTTTTGAAGTTCGTGTTAGAAAACACCTACTATAGACTCTGCAGTATCAAAATGATAATAAAGGTATAAAATGAACAATTTTACACTCACACACGCACACACACACATACACATTTTACAATGTAGATGTAAAGGACCAGTTTCTTGAAAAAAAAAATCACTACAATTCACTTATTATAAGATATGTAATTGGAATAGCCCTTTAAATATTAAGAAAATTTAATTTGTAATTAAACCTCTACTCCTTTCCAGAAATCTTGAGGCAGAGGGTTTCCATGGAGAATGCTATCCAACCTTTAAAGAAGAATTAGTATAAATTTTAAACTACCTATTCCAGAAAATAGGAGAGGAAAAGACCCTACCCAATTCATCATACTGAAATCACAATCAGATGAAACAAAACAACAGCAACTGTAGACCACTATCCTCCTTAAATATTGACTCAAAAATCCTAACAAAATATCAGCAAATCAAAATAAGAAATGTATAAAATGAATTATATACCATAACCTAGTGTGGAGGCTAGGCTGTTCAATATTCAAAAACTGACCAAAGTTATATGCCCTATTAACAGGCTAAGAAGAAAAATCACACGATCATGTGCATAGATTCAGAAAAAGCATTTGATAAAACTTAACACTCATTCAGGATAAAAACTCTCAGAAAAATAGGAATACAGGAACACTTTGAAAATCTCACATAAAGATCATCTACAAAAATGCTACAGTTGACATACTAGTGGTGGAAGACAGCTTGCTTTCCCTTGGGACTGGGAAGAAGCCTAGCATGTCTGCTCTCACTGCTCTAATCCTGCATAGCAGTGGAAGGTATAGTCACTGAAATAAGGCAGGAAAAGACAATCAAAGGCATGTATACCAGAAAGGAAAAAATTCACAATTCTTCCTCTTTACAGATGGCAGGATTGTCTCCTTAGAAAAAACAAGGAATCTACAAAAAAACTCTTAGAACTAAGTGAATTCAAGTTCACAGGATGCAAAATCAACATACAAAAATCAACTATATTTCTCTATACTAATAATATCTCTTCATACTAATATTTCTTTGTACTACCACGTGGACTACAAAATTAAAGATACAAAACTACAAAAATACACACAAAACATGCACTGTGTAGAGAAACCTACAAAACACTGATGCAAGAAGTCAAAGAAGATCTAAATAAATTGAGAGACATACCATGTTTATGAATTGAAAGACTCAACAAAGTAAAGGTGCCAACTCTACCCAAATTGATATACACGTACACAATTCCTATCAAAATCTTAGTGAGATTTTTTGTAGATATAGACAATATTATTCTAAAATGTATATAGAAAAATAAAATAAATATAATAGCTGAAACAAGGTTATAACTCTCAAAACCCAAAAGCAATGAAGACCCCCCAAAATTATTAGAAATGGCAAAAGTCATGAATAGAAATTTCACTGGATAGAATATGTGGATGGCAAATCAGCACATGAGAAGCTGTTCTCAACACTATTGGCCAATGAGGGAATGTAAATTAAAACCACAGGAGAGAGATCATTCTACACATATAAGAATGGTTAAAATAAAAAATACCGGCAACATCAAATGCTGATGAGGATGCAGAGAAACTGGGTCTCATATATGACAGGTAGGAATGTAAAATGGCACATCTACTTTTGCAAATAGCTGGGCAATTTCTTAAAAAACTAAGCACTCAACTATCATACCAACAAGAAATTACAATCCTGGGCATTTATCCCAGAGAAGTGAAAATTTATTTTCATTTCACCCAAAAACCTGTAGCCAAATGTTCATGGCAGATTTATTTGTAATAACCCCAAACTGGAAACAGCCCAAATATTTTTCAGCAAGTGAATGGTTAAAGAAACCATGGTACATCTACACCGTGGAATTGTACTCAGCAATAAAAAGGAATGAACTATTCATGCAAGCAACAACTTACATGAATATCCAGAGAAATATATAAAACAAAGAAAAAGCCAATCCCAAAAGGTTACACACTGCGTGATTCCATTTATTCAATGTTATTGAACTGACAAAATTATATTGATGGAGAGCAGCTTAGTGCTTGCCAGGGATTAAGGATGGGAGCAGTGGGGAGGGACATGGATCCTATTAAAAAATGAAATAGGAGGCATGGTTGTGGTGATGGAAGTGCTCAGAATCTTGATTGTATCAACATCCACATCCTGGTGGCATTGTACCATAGCTTTGCAAGACATGAATGCTGGAGAAACTGGACAAATATGTGTGAGATTTGCCTGTATTATTTCTTGTAACTGCATCTGAATTTACACTTACTTCAAAATAAATATTTTCATTTAATTTAAAAAATGATTTTCTGACCAAGTGCAAATCCTTCAAGCCCTGCTTTATGGGGAATGCCTGGAACTCCCATGCCAGGTGCTGCGGGGTCCTTCACTGATGACAGCTGTCTCTTGGTGCTGGGGATGGAGACTCCTGCTTGATGTGACTGTGACCTCATAATAGTGCTCCATATCTTTAACAACAAAAGGTCTGAATTGGGGGCTCTTTGTTTTGACAGTTTTGGAGCCTGGGGTTGGGAGGGAATGAGGAACAGTTCTATACATACCTGAATGAACTGTGCGTCTGGTGCTCTCGGAGTAGATTCCATGCTGTTGAATGAAGTTTTTATGGTTCTTAGAACAGTTGTGACCACTCCTCTTGACGTCTCCTCCCCACATTCACATTTAAGTGCTTATTGAATCATTTAGGGTGCTTTTTCTGGCAAAGATAATAGAAACCTTGCTTGAATACTCATATAACAAGAATTTTGGAGGTAAGGCACATAGACAGTGCAGATGCATTATCAAGATGCAGGTCCTTTCCTTCTGTCTGCACTGCCATTCTTAGTATTCAGGTGACAACATTCATCCCCAGTTGTCAACTCCAGGCACAACTCCCCAGGCAGGTGAGGGAGCATGCATCTTGCCTTGTCTCTCTCCTGTATCTGGAGGCTGGCCCTAGCAGAGGGTGCCTCATCCTCCCATTGCCCAGAATTGGGTGACATGCCCATTCCTGACTAGACCACCTCTGCCTAGATGGGTGGATGTATGCAGTGTGTCCTGTGAGGAAGACAGGGGAGGTGTTCCTGCTAAGGTAGCCTCATGGCACATTGTACCCTGCTGTGTACCAGCTATGTGTTAGGTGCATTACATTTGGTTCTGCAACAACTTTACACACTAAGTAGTGGAGGGTCCAGCAACACAAAGGGGAGTGTCATTCATGGTGGTTGAGGCACACATGTCACTACACATCAGAGGACAGGGCTGCAAGAGGAGGAGACTTTGAAAACAGAACTACCTTCACTCTCATTAAACCCCTCATTCTCAACAGTGGTTATTTTGTGGGTTTGTACTGTCTAGATACCTTTTTTATTGTATTAACTTGTGTGCTTATTAATTATTTTTAGACAAAAAGCAAACTTTTCAGCCAATGTGACTCCTGGCTCAGCCACTTTCACATCTGGGCTCATCTTTGTGAATGAACTTGTGAATAGTTCGGGCAGAATTGTTGGAAATGCAGAGGGTGTCTTGGAATGAGCATCACGTCCCGGCTGATGTTACCCATTTGAGCATATGCCATGCTGACTTTCTATTTCTCTTCTGGGTACCAGCCACGTGTGGTTTTCAATTCTGTCTTTGGGTGATCCGTCTTTCATGTTTACAGATGGGCGAACTGACCATCCGTGGATTCCTACACAAGAGTTCCTTGATGGGCAAATAGGTAATTATTTACAAGTATGATCACAGATTTCTCAAAGCAGTGTGCCAAGCTACAAGACTCCTTTCTGTAGGAGAAAAAGGAAACTTGTAGGAATAGGAGAAGTGGAAAAAACCATTTCCTGACACCAGCATTTGTAATTAAGCAGAATATTCCATGTTGTTGCAACCAGGATTCCAAGCATTACCTGTTTCAGAGACCCCCAAGGAGTTGCTAGTTGGTTTGTTTGTACATGGTGTGTGGTAGGCACTCAACAAGTGTTTGCTGGTCAACTTTTGGTGGGTCTGGCATTTCTCTTATAGCACCTAGCTATTATAAGGATTCAGAAGGGCAGATACTGCAGATTAATGATGATTTAAAAGCAGCAAAACCCAAAGCTAACCCAGTTTTTCCTTATTATGCTCTTCAAAGCAGTTTTGGTTTGGCTTCAGCATCCCTTAGGGAAGGGGTTTGGATCCAGTCATATTTTATCTGTAATGATTCCCCATCTTAGGTTTGTAGGCAGTGCCTCCAGTCCCTATGGGTATCTCTGCCAGTCTAAACTAAATAGTGCCGATTGTATATTGAAAACATGCACTGGATTTTACAAACCAAGAGAAGCAAGAGAGAGATTTTTAAATTCTCATCAATGCATAAATACATTTAGATTTTTAAAAATAAATAGAATATTTGTCAAGGATCCACCTTAGCTAAGTCAGCATTCACACACTTGTGTGTGTGTGTGCATGCTCCTGTTCCTGTCCATGAGGAAGTGGAGGAAGGGATGGCCCTGAAGACTCTCTGTGATTGGCTTCAGTCACCATTCTGTCTAATTGTTCATTAAAATATCATAGCGCTACCCATAGGGTGAATACCTACATAAATTTCACAGTAGTTTCTTTTTGAAATCTTTCAAACAAGAAAAAGTTGTTTAAGGGCTAAGCCATGTTGCTCAGCAATATTATGTGTTTACATAATTTTATTTATTTTCTTTATTTCACAGCTCCTAGGACTTCAGGCATTAGGATTAATTCATAAGAAAGCTCACTGTGTTTCTCTGAAGTTTATTTTATGGTAGGAGAATATTTTCAATAAATTATGAACTCTGTGAAATGTATATGTAGTTGATGGACATTGAGTATATTTTCACTCTCATTGGATAGTTCTTCTGTCAAAACTTATTTCTTGTCTGAAAGCTACCAATCGGGCAACATTATCGGTACTACCATCTTCCTTACTCTTCACCCCTCCTCCTTAAGTAACAAATGGCTGTCTTTCATCCTTTGCTCTATTAGTTCTAATCAATACCCTAATTATGTAAATGATACTCAGCAGTGTTATCAGAAAGCGACTTGTTAGAGGAAAATTGTTAAGGCATAGATACACAAGGAAAGACAAAATAAACGCTTCAGAATTTTATACAAAGAAACCTTTCTATTCAAATAACAGAGAAAGTAATTTGAACAGCAGGGAGAGTGACAGAAGTTGGGGAAGGGGGCAGAAGATACATACATGTATATATCAGAGAAAAAGAAGGCATAAGAGACATGGGAAAATCCATATATGTATGTATATATATAGGTATATATACATACATATATACACACACACATTATTTTAAAAGATGCTTATAGAATCCATATATTACATTTGTGAATGTCTTTAAAGATTTGAAAAATAACTTTTAGTGAATCTAGAGAATGATGGCTGGGCATGGTGGCTCAGGCCTGTAATCCCAGCACTTTGGGAGGCCAAGGTGGGTGGATCACCTGAGGTCAGGAGTTCGACACCTGCCTGGTCAACATGGTGAAACCCCGTCTGTACTAAAAAAAAAAAAAATTAGCCAGGCGTGGTGGCAGGTGCCTGTAATCCCAGCTACTGGGGAGGCTGAGGCAGGAGACTCGCTTGAACCCGGGAGGCAGAGGTTGTAGTGAGCCGAGATCGCGCCATTACACTCTAGCCTGGGCAACAAGAGGGAAACTCCATCTCAAAAAAAAAAAAAAAAAAAGAAAGAAAAAAAAAGAAAGAAAATAATAGTTCAATTTTACAATAAGAAAAGTGTGCTATAACATAGGTTAAATAAAGTCGCACATGAAGTGTACCTACCCTTATTGAACCTCTTCATGGGTTCCATCTCCTAGCATCATGATTTCGTTATGTTTGCCACCTGCTGTGTAGAATAGCAGATTGTTATTTTGTTCTGCTGTACTGGCATTTAATAAAAAGGCCCATGTTGAATCCATGTAGACTTTCTTTTTTTTATTTTGTTTTTATTTAATTAATTTATTTTTTTTGAGATGGAGTCTCGGTCTGTCGCCCAGGCTGGAGTGCAGTGGCGCCAACTCGGCTCAGGCTCACTGCAAGCTCCGCCTCCCGGGTTCACGCCATTCTCCTGCCTCAGCCTCCCAAGTAGCTGGGACTACAGGCGCCCGCTACCGCGCCCTGCTAATTTTTTTTGTATTTTTAGTAGAGACGGGGTTCACTGTGTTATCCAGGATAGTCTCCATCTCCTGACCTCATGATCCGCCTACCTCTGCCTCCCAAAGTGCTGGGATTACAGGCATGAGCCACCGCACCCGGCCCGAATCCATGTAGAATTTCACACCTGAGTGACCTGTGCTTCAGAGCCTGTCAAAGTCCAGGTGACAGACCTTTGACAACTCACCCCAGGGGAGCTTACCTGCACTTTCTCTGTGGCACTGAAGTGTTTGTCCTGGGACCCTGCCTGCTGGTTTCCAGCAGTGTTTGCGTGGCCTGTTTTTCTGTGGTGACACGCATGGACGTATGATTTATACTTGTGGATCACTCCTGCTGCACAGCAGGTGCTATCCAGCCAGCTGCAGCTCTGCTACTTCTGCTCAGAAGCACGTGGGAACACACTGGAGAGGAGAGTGAGTTTACCACAGGGAGAACTGCATACTTTCTAATTTACAGAACTTGGCGATTCTCTACTACTTAACAAAGTTAACAAATAACTTTTGGCACACCTCACAGAGAGGTGACATGCAGTGACCCTTGATTGCTCTGCCTGCACTGTGGCAAACACGGAACCAGAGCCACTGCGCTGCGGGAAGGCAGAGTTCAAGGGGTGGAGGGCGGGGGTTAGAAAAAGCCCTAGGTGAGCCCTCCCTGCTTCCTCCTGCTTCAGCTGGCCAGGAAGGTGACTGAAGCCATCAAAGCCTCTGTTTCCTCATCTGTAAAGTGGGAATACATGACCCCCAACCTCATTAGACTTTTGTGATTATGCAATGAAATGACCAGCTTAAAGCATTTAGCGTGGTGCCTGGCACAGAGTGAATAGCTGATATACCCTAGCTCTATTATTATAGCTAATCTAGCTATCTCATTTGATTGTCTTCCTGAAGAAATGCTTTCAGTAAGTGATGTTTCATCATAGACATCATAAAACTTTACATTCTCAATGTTTTCAAACTTCTTAGCAACAGGATCTATTACTAACAAACAAGATCATTAGAAAATAAAAAGTATAACATTCAAAGACCATAGCTATGATGAAAAGGACAATTTGTGTAGTATTATTCAATAGTGTCTTGAAAGATGCCATCATTTTTACAGTTGGTGTTTTAAAATATCTTTCTATATACAGAGAAGTCGATTACTCTGAAGATTTTTATGGGACCGGTAGCCTTTGTGTTTCTTCCTGCTATAGCTTTCAGACCATCAGCACATAACATTTTTGCCAACTTATTGATTACGTTTTTAAAATTAGCATAAATTCTTAAAATTCTTTCTTCTTTTGTATCCATGTCAAAAGGTTAGCAAAATAGGATATATTCACGTTTGTCTGCATTTGTCTAAAAATGCCAGAAAAAAGAGATCTGTATATTTGTGCTCTTTTGAACTTTGACGATATCACATAATCTTAAATATCAAACTAACTCAATAGGTATTATAATTTTTTTGGAGTATTCATTTTATTATCAGAAAATGACTATATAGCCCTCTACCAACTACCATACTTATTACAATGTCTAAGTAGAGGCTGTAATAATTTTTTAATAAACTGATGCATTTCTTCCTCGAAGGCTACACAGCAAATTGCTTTGAACAACCTCCCAACTCACTTTAAAAAGGTTTGAATTTTGCATATATTTTCAATAATACTAAGTCATTCATTCCTTGTGTGCATAAAAAAGTTAAAAAATATTTTCTTGTCCTCAATATGTTTTATTTCAAGATGCCCCAGCAGAGACCCCAGAACTATTCTGCAAACGTTTATTGTAGAGGTTGCTTTGAGGTCTTGGGTGTTTTCCATCCCATAGTTGGATATGTTTTGCCATCCTTTCTTGTCACTGACTTCGTTTGAAGGTCAGCATCTACTGTGTCATTTGCATCTTGTCACACAGTGGACAGCAGGTGATGAATTAGCTCATGCAATATGGTTAATTTCATATAAAGCCAATCAATAACATTATATTCATTATTAAAGCTTCTATTAAACATCTTGTTTTTAACCAGAAATTTACTACTAGTTTTAAAGCGAACTATTTCGTACTGTGCAGTTTTCCACCAGAGAAAAAAATACACAGGCTGAAAATTATAACTTTACTTGAATAGATCAATTTATTAGAACATATAAACTGAGATAGGCACCTGGTTCCATTGAGATAAGCAAGGGTTCAAATCCTGGCTCCTTCACTTCTAAGTAGGATATAATGCTTATAGTATTATAACACAGTTTTAAATTTGTGGATTGAATTTACCAGCCCATCCCAAATTTATAGGGTTTAGAATGTCAAATAAAGGCTGACCATTAAAAAAATACATAAAGTTGGAGTGGTTTATTATTAGTAAACAGAGCTTTTTATTTTATGAATAATATAAAATCTCTAAACAGAATTGCTTTTTGTAGATACATTGTCTTAAAACCAGCATTTAAGTTGCTTATATTTTGTGGGTTATTTCCTTTCCATTTTAAGTCTTGAGTCTAAAACGTGAAAAGGGGATTGAACA
This sequence comes from Homo sapiens, assembly GCF_000001405.40. Lineage (NCBI taxonomy): Eukaryota > Metazoa > Chordata > Mammalia > Primates > Hominidae > Homo > Homo sapiens. The sequence continues at coordinate 48,776,082 of NC_000008.11, forward strand.
ATAAGGAGACTCCTTCAAAGAACTGATACTCTAGAAGACATCAGCACTTGAGAGAATAGCTTTTAAACAGCAGCTGAAATATGAGGCCTCTCTTTTAGATATCCTAAAAATCATCTTCTTTATCGTGTTTTATCGTGTTTTCTCTTTCTCGGGAAGCTGTGTCCTCTGTGGGCAGAGCCAGGGTCGCAGACATGAGTGGATAGATCAGCGCGGAAAATGCTGGCGTGAGAAGACCTCACTCAGACTTCCCAGGCCCACACTGATGGACACTTTTCATTCCCTTCCGCTTCTTCCATTCTCCCTCTTTTCCCAAGCTCCATGTTAGATACTTTTAATCTTATGTCCTTCTTCTCCAATTCAACAAGTTCCCACTACTGAGGACCTTTTACACTTCTTTCTCTATTGACCTTTGTTTCCTGGACTTGGTAACAAGATTACACTAAGTATCAGAAAGAGTCCAGATGAGTTATTTTGCTATCTTTTATTTAAACACAAACAAGCAAACCAGCATCTCAAAACATAATCTACCCCATTCTCTTGTTATCTCAAAAGTTTGTCTTGGCTGGGCACAGTGGCTCATGCCTGTAATCTCAGTACTTTGGGAGGCCGAGGCAGGTGGATCACTTGAGATCAGGAGTTCGAGACCAGCCTGGCCAACATGGTGAAACCCTGTCTCTACTAAAAACACAAAAATTATTCCGGTGTGGTGGTGTGTGCCTGTAATCCCAGCTACTCGTGAGGCTGAGACAGGAGAATTGTTTGAACCTGGGAGGCAGAGGTTGCAGTGAGCCGAGATCATGCCATTGCACTCTAGCCTGGGTAACAGAGCAAGACTCTATTTCAAAAAGAAAAAAAGTTTGTCTTTTGATATAGTCACTTAATATTGTTGAATTAGTATAATTTTAATTAATAGATTGTTTCTAAAAAACATAGTTCCTTTTGGTGACACATGTGATTATGGGAGATTGCTAGAGGAAATCATCACAGTTTATCTTTAAAATACCATGGGATTTTTTTGGTAACAGTTACGTAATTGCCATCAGGCATGGAATATTTTGGTGGTGCTGAAATGCCTGTGCACTCAGATATACATTTTCTGCTCTGCAGCAGAAGGAATATTGGAAAATGCACATTTAGTTTTGGGGGGACTATGAAATGGAAATTGTGTATAACCGTTTCTCTTATTCAACCACAAAGGGTGTGGAACATTATTTCATAACGATCTGTTTGTTGGGTCCAGAATTCAGTCTCTTTTAAGGGAAACGTAAAATAAAAGCCATCATGCATAATTATAGAGTTGATGTGTTTATTTTTATATAAGGCAATCATTTCAACAAAAATTTTGAGCTGTTTAATAAAATGTGACCACTATTTACTACTACCCCAAGTCTTGACTTCAGGGGCTGTTTACTAGCCAGCTGGTGGTTTTATACACTGGAAGAGTTTGGCGATGTGTCTCATGGCTTCGTTGAAAGGCTCTCCTATGTCACACAGACTTTTCTTAATTTACTCATGCATTCGTGCAATCTTACTGTGGGTGATTATTCTATAACTGTCCCCCAAGGGCAAGGAAGGGCTCTGGACACTTGGTGCAGGAGTCGGAATGCCCTGTTTCCTGCAATCTCCATCGCTACCCACAGAACAGTTGCTCCTGCACCAGGGAGGGGGTTTCTTTGCATTTTCTCAACCCCGTAGTAAATTCAGGGGGGTTTGTGAATGTGCTGTCATCACAGTTACTGGTTCACCGTCAGTCTGGTGCTGCCACCTCTGAAATCCGACATGAACATCTCACTCCCCCAGCTCTTATCTGGGCTCAGCTGCCCATGCTGCCCATGACTGCACTCCACCAAGCAGCTGGCTGGACCGTCTCACTGCCCTGTGGACAAGCCGTCTAAGGCGGAAGTCTTTGTTAGAGTGTGGTCTGTCTTGTGAAGCTGCAGACATGATGTCCCAGCACACAGTGAGGCAGGGGACATCCTGGAGGCCATCTGAGCAGCCAGAGTTATTGGTTAGTTACTTGGCCTATGGATCTCTTATTTTTTTTTTAAGCAAATGGTAAATGCCCCTTTGGAATAATCAAATAATGTAATCAGCTCTCTTGCTGGGATTAGATCAATAGAGAATTTTGATTTTCAAGGGTTGGTTGAAGAGGAGATATGGGAGCTGCAGTGCCTGGGCAGCTCTGGAGGGGACAGTCCCAGCATTGACTGCCACAAAGGCTGGACTCTAACTGCCTGGCGATATAAGGAAGTTGTCAGCTCTCTGAGGCCTGGGGAAAGAGGGTAGCAAGTCCAGTGAGATGCCACTGAAGATAAACAGACAGCCGAGGGATTTTCCTCTAGGTCTTGGTGGTGACAGTTCTCAGGGTATGTGCTTGATCTCCAAGTCCATCCACCCCCCTAGGCTCCACCCACCTACAGATAAAATTCATGTGATATGGTAAGAGCTCAATAAACATTTACTGTTGTGGACGGAATTGAATTTAATCCTTTCCTAAGCTGTGGTGTTTGTCCTTCAAAGGCTAAATAGCAAAGAGAACCTGTGGCATGAAGAGAATGCATCACTGCTCTGTGGAGACTTCGAATCTAAAGGAATTGCCCACGTGAGGGGGAGAAACAGTTTAGCTAAATGGGAAATGTACAGTTAAAGATTTGCCCATTGAGTTCTGTTAGAGTGGGGAAACATTTACTTCATGCTCATGATTCCTCATTTGACTGTGCATAGATTTCTTTCACAAAGATATGATGTAATTGTAGTAATATTTTCTTAGTATATCAGGGCCTGGAGTGAAATTGCACATTATATTACATGGAGACTTACACATTGAGCTCCAGAGTTCTCATTTGACAAACTTCCCCCACTTACAAAAAGGCTTTTCTTTTGCTGAAAAGGCCAGGTACTTTCTGAAATACTACGTTCTCTGCCTTAATCAAATCCAAATGGTGTTTAGGAAGATGCAAGAGAAATTAATGAAGTTTTTACTTATTTACAAGATACAGACAACAAATTTAGGGCTTAGCAGTATTCAAAGGCTTACTCTCTTGGAAGCAATTTGATGTCTTAAGCCTGCATAAACCCTGTGTCACTTTTTACTACTCTTTTCCAAGTCACTGTTGCTTTTGACCATCCATTTTGTTTCATAATTGCTCTTCTAGTTTTAAAGCAACATCATTCTTGAAAATGTGCACTTGAAAATTTAAAAGGCAAAGAAAATATGCAAAGTTGAATGCAGCTGGCAGGGACTGGCCTAAGTAAAACAGCATACTTCTTTGATGAAAGCATCCAGTGCCGAAACTGTGACATGGTCAAAGACTGTGTGCTCTGGATTAAAAATGTGAATGGCATATTCTGAGCCTAACAGTTAAAAATCCATCAGAATTTAGACTCTGGGCCAATAGACCAAGGGCACCATGTCCAAGTTCAGTATTGCCAGTACATTATCCTGTCTTTCAAGAGATAGATGTAAGAGTATTTTTCTCATTTGTGGATGCACTCAAATGGGTTTTCTTCTTGATAGAGAATTTTAAAAAAGAGGCAAAATTTTGCTCTTTGTCACAGAAAGGTACTGGCAACAAGTGACTTTTGGAACTAGGGTCTGGTAGGATCAACAAAGCTAAAAATAAATGGAACTGAAAGGTTATTCTGGCCTTTTTATGACCTGAGAAACTAAAATGATTTTTTCATAAAATTATTAAGAGTAATCTACCAACATCACAGAAGTTCAGTCACTCATTGGTTCTATGGTGTTGTAAGAGAAAAAAAATGAATCATATTTCTTCCTTAGTGGCATCTCACTTCCAGGGGCTTTTGTTCCTTTCAAGGGTGAGTTCCGAGTGAGTCCTTCCTTGGTGTTTGTATGACCTACATAGTGCGCAGTCTGCCCCCAGCTCAGGAGCCCTGTGTGCAATGCAACTCATTTTAAAATGCAATGCATTATAATCATTTCCTTAATTCAAATCTGATGAATTATTTGAAGTCTTACTCTGTTGTTTCTCTGATAGTCCTAGCATTTCACAGATGAATACTTTTAGGGGAAAAAAGCATTCATGCAAATGAATCTCATCTAATGTTACTGTGTGCCGTTCCCACTCAAAATGAAGCTCTTCTTACCCATTGGAACATTTTCTGTTTCTCCTCCAGACAGAAAAATCTGAAAATCTATAGATCAGAATAAAATAGGCTAGGAAACATTTAAGTAAGTTTGCTCAGTAAAAATGCTTCAGTGAAGAGTCCCTCAAAACCCTTTTTACCTTATTGAGAGATGCATTTCTTTAGGTCACCAAGACAAACTTTGTTCAAAGCTCCTCATATCTTCTCCAGGAAAGAAATCATCCCTTACAGCTATGGTGTGAAACTCAAGCACAGGACTCTGATTTGGAGAGCACCACTAAAGGATTTACTTGTGCTCTGGTTACATGGTGGAATCTAGCAGAGAAGCCCAATGTATCCTGTGCGGTCACTTTGTCTACCTATCACCCACGTGTTTGCCCCATTTTGTTTGTTTGATCATATCACAGGTTCCAGCAAGGGTTTGAGAGGACATAACAAAGGCACAGAGGACCCTAGGAAGCTGATTGCCTATGCTCAGTTACATTGGCTCTTGCAGGACTGGACATTTGGCTGAAGTCACAAAACAGACACAAACAGAATGAAGCCAGTGGTGACGACTGAGAAGCTGACCCGCCTCTGGCATTTGTCCGTATCCACACTAGAGATGGAACTCCCAGGTGACTTTTGGGCCTGCCAGTTTCCCATGCACAGGGCCACTGAATCCGGCTGAGAGAAGAGAGCGGTGAGATATTTATTTTGCTTTTTTCCTCAATGGTTTTTCTTTTCTTTTAACACTCTGGTTTTAATTCAGGGCAAGTTTGTTTAAAGTCTCATGAAGTAATTTATGATACAATAAGTCAAATAGATATTATATTCTTTTTCTTGTTAAAACTCTTGCGTCTCTTATTTAGATTTCCATGGAAAACCCTATGCTGTAAGATAGTTAACTTTTTAATATCTACAGCTGATGCATTCCTAACTATACAGTTATATGTGTATTTATATGCATATGTATGCATTATACCGTTAATATATGTACATATATAATTACAAAGAAGAAAAACTTTCTAATCACATTTATAAATTGAAGATCATAAAAGAATGGCATTTAGCTCAGTTACCTAAGAGTGACTGGCTCACAGTATAGAGGCCACTTAAAAAGTATTTATTGAACGAATAAATACAATCAGTGGGGATGCGACTAAGCATAAGCATTTCTGTTCTCAATGGAAATTATTCTATGGTGGTTATTTGATAACTTAGAAAAGCCTTCATGTTAGAATAAACATCTAAGGGGTATATTTGAAGAAAGAAAACAATATTCTACTTATTAAAATGATTTTCAAAGGTCTGGAATTTTACAGAATCTCTCACAGGATTAAAAAAACACAGAAACTATTACTCAAGCAATAAGCCCCACAATCTCTAAGTTATACATTTGCTGAACAGCTTCTTTTTGATGTTAAAACAAAACAAAATGAAAAGCACAAAACCCTTCCAACAGAAGAAAGCTGAAAACCAAGCAAACAAAAAACGGATCTATTTCTTTAGAGCCTATTTCTGTGCATGTGCTTCAGAGCACTTCCACTGAGATTTGGCTGCATGTGACAAAAAATTAGAAAGAGGCAATTTAGCTGCCTGCCTGGTGAATTTTTACAAATGGGCTACTTTTATTGGAATCTAAAGATTTTGCATAAAAGGAACTCCAAAATGTGAGTAAAAAGAGGTTTGACATTGAAGGCATGTCTGGCAAAGTGCTTAGTGCCTTCTGAGCATGAATTAAGTATTTCCTGTGTGTGGAATGAATGAAGGACCAGCCACAGTGCTTGCTGTGCTTCCATGCAGTTGGCAAACTCTGTGACTTGCCATGCCAGGCCATGGCGTCTTAGCAGGTGGCATGCTGTCCATCCGCAGCACACCCTAGACCAAGGAGGCATCATGGAGGCCTCTGCTCCCTCATTGCCTTTTAAATTCCTCCAGCATCTTCCTCTCCTCTGATCGCCTGGCCTTGGTCAGGAGCTCCGATTATGCCTTCATAGACACATTGCTGTTTCTCATAGTAATGGTCATATTTTGCAATTATACACTGATTTTTATTTGAATAATGCCGTTTTAATGGAGTGTTAGTTCCATGAAGGCAGTGGAGATTTGGTCACTATTGTATCTCTAGCATTTAGCACAGTGCTAAGACCTGTGGAGTGTGCTAAATACAGATTTCAAAATGAATGAATAAGATCACTGTAACAGTAATGACCAAATTACTGTGGTTCTGACCGTCACCAACTCAGATAGGCCCCTTATAGAGCTCCATCACCTGTAAGGACTGCCTCTGTGGGTTTGAAAAGCTCCACTCCTGGTTCTGTCCACTGTAAGGACTGCCTCTGTGGGTCTGAAATGCTCCCCTTGTGGTTAAAGTGTCACCCTTGGCAGATGTTCTCTCAGCCCTCCACCACTGGCGGTGCTCATGGGGAAAAGGCAAGACTGGTGTCAAGTAATGACCATTACTGATATTCCTGAGGCTGCAGATACTCAAAAGGGTCCCGTCTCTGCACCCAATACACAGACTACCACCTGCTTGTGACCATTGAACAAAGGCTACTTGCAAACAACTTCTCCACTGCTGAGACATCAGCCCAATCCCACAGTAATCCTCATTGCCTTTTATTTCTCCATTCTTAGGACAAAGTAATAATGGTCAAAATATCCTTCTTCTACAATGACAAAATATCCCATATTGATGTCAAAGTATGTTACTGCACCCCCAGGGGGACCACCCCCAGTTCGGACCTGCTCTGCAAACCGTCCCATAAGTGACTAATTTATATGCTGAATCCTTGGTGGGCCCAGCTTCAGCACTTGGGGCACCACTAAGGTAGAAAAATTCCACCACAGTTTTTCATGTAAACTCTACTCCTTTTGCATCCTCCAACGACTATTGAATGGTGCAGCTGAAGCCAAGCCCAGGCTGAGGAAACTCTGCAGAGCTCCTTATTCACTACATGGGGAATGCCATCAATGTGGTGCCTGTGTCTGTGAATGGTTAAGTATTTTTGGCTTGGTCTTGAGAGCTCATTGTAAAAAGAAATGTGATGAAGGAGAAAGACATCAAAGTTAGAATTGTATCTGCTAGAATCCTGACTCCCTCCCTGCAGCATTGACACCTTGTAAGTGCTACTAAGCACCTATTGGCATGCGTTTCTTACTAAGTGGTAAATGTTAATCACCACTGTGCTTAGCTATTGTGAGGATTCGGTCTGCTGCACAGGAAAGCACTTGGAGCAGAGTTCGCCCTTGACACTCCATGGCAAGGTCAGTGATCAGTCTTCCTTTCTTTAATTAACTGCTTGAGAAAATGTATGCAGCTTATACTCCAAATCCCCCCAAATCCTATTTGAGCTCTGTGCTTTCTTGTCTACTTTATTCATATGACCACCTTAAACGTTCTTCATTTCCTAAGTCAAGCTAGGAAACGTAATTCATTGCATGAGGGAAAAGCTACTTTCTGGGAGTTCTTTGTTTGGTTAGGCTGTATGCCTCTTTGTGCCATGGTATTGATTTATACATGGCATAGGTATATAGACAGTACCAGAGCAAAGTTATACAAACATGGAAAACACAGTCTGGTCTTCACATTCAGGACCTCCTCTCTAGCCAGTGTAAGCTGCTGCCTGAGCGTGGCTGCCAGCAGCTCCACTGTCTCACTCTGTAGACCAGTGCACACTAGGACAGCCCGGAGGGGAAAAACCTGGGGACCCTGGAAGGGGAGTATTTTGGAAGATTTTTCTCCATCCTAGCCAATCTCCACCATTCTGTGTTGGGATGAAGTCAGCAAGGCATCATTTGGGTAGGAGGGGATACTTAGACTTATTTACAAGGTTGACTTATCCTGGAGGAAAAACAGTGGCTTACGGAGTGACCTGACTTGCTTCACTTTTAAAGACTGTATAGAAATGAACACTCACAACCTATCTTTTGGAAACTTGTTCTTTTGACGTGGAATCATGTGCATGTTTCTTGACTTATGTCATAAAAGGTAATAGAATGGTCTCACTTTTTGGTAATCTAAGCATTTAGGAATATGAAATTTATCTTGCATAAGAAAAGATGTTAACACATTGAATTTCCAAGTTATTCAACTAGAGTAATTTTTGCTAAAATTTTGTAAATGCTATCAGAAATCTCATGAATATAGTTTACAATTAAGAGTTCTATTTCTGCTAATGACTGTGAAAAGAAAATTATAGACCAATGTTTCTAAGGAACATAAATGCAAGAATCCTAAATAAAATATTAGAAAACTGAATCCAGCAATCTACAAAAAGGACAGTACATTATGACCAAGCAGGGTTTATACTAGGAAGGCAAAGTTGGTTTAATATTTAAATATAAATCAATGTAGATTACTTTGTTAACAGCATAAAGGAGAATTATCTGATCATGGCTGTAGATACAGAAAAAGCATTCATTAAAGTTTAATACTCATTCATGATAAAAACTTGCAGTATACTAGGAGTAAAAAGGCATTTTCTTAATCGATGAAGGATCTTGATCTAAAATACCCCTACATCTGATATCATGTTTAATGGTGAAATATTGAACATCTTCCCCCAGAGATTGAGACCAAAGTGAAGGTATCCATTCTCATTACTTGAATTCAACATACTACCGAAGGCTCCAGCCACTGTAGCAAGGTAAGAAATATAAATAAAGGGCATAATAATTGCGAGAGAAGAAGTAAAATTATTTTATTTGCAGATGATATTATGGTTTACACAGCTATCTAAGGAATCTTCAAAGCAACTGCTAGAAACCATAGTGAATTCAGTAGTTGTAAAATACATGAACTATATACAAAAATGAATTGTATTTCTATATACTTGCAGCAAAGACTTGAAAAATTAAACAAAAATAATCCATCTATAATAACACACATACAAAATAAAACAATAAGTTCAAGAAAAGACATCCAAGATTACTACATTGAAAACTATAAGGCACTGCTGAGAGAAATTACAGGAGGCCTAAATGAATGGAGAGTAATAACCATGCTCATGGCTGGAGGACACACTGTCTTTCTTGTGTTGTTTCTCCTCAAATTGATCTATTGATTCAACACAGTCTCAACCAAAATTCCAATGGCACTTTGTAAAAGAAAAGGCCAGCTGATTCTAAAAGATATTTGGGAAAGCAAAGCACCTAAGAAAACCGATACATTGCTGGGTGGTGGGGGTTGTGTGGAGAAAGAGAAACACATTGGAGGACTCATTATCTGACATCAGTTTTTTTTCTATTGACCTATATTAATTATAATAGTGGGTTATTGCTTTAAGAATAGACAAGTAGATCAATGGAAGAGAATGGAGAGTTCAGAAACAGACCTACACATACATGGTCAAGTGATTTTTTTGACAGACGTTCAAGGCCATTGTTGTCATCAGAATGACACCTGTTCAGCTACATAAAAGTGTGAAAAAATGACTCAATCTTTATCATTCACAAACACACAAAATTAATTTAAGATGTATCATAAACTTAACCACAAAAACTAAGAGTCTAAGGCTTCTGTAAGACAACACTGAACAATATCTTTGCAACCTTTGAAGTAGGCAAAGATTTCTGAGGGAGGACAGAGCAAGTTAAAAACAAAAAGGAAACAAAGACTGATAAATTGGACTTCATCAAAACTAAAACTGCTCATCAAAAGAAACCATTAAGAAAATGAAAATGCAAGCTACAGATGTAAATAAAAATATTTACAATACATATATGTGACAAAGGACTTCTATAAAAATAAATACATTACATATATAATTCATTTAAATGTGCAAAAGACACTTCTCTAAAGAAGAGAGGAATGGTCAACAAGTACATGAAAAAGTGATCAAGATCCTACAAAAATGCAAATGAAAACCATGACATACAATTTTATACGCATTAGCATACTTAAAATTGGAAAGACTGACAGCACCAAATGTTGACAAGGCTATCCAGCAACTGAAACTCTCAAATGCTGCTGGTGGGAATGTAAAATGGTACAACCATCTTGGAAAACAATTTGGCAGCTTCTTATAAAGTTAAACATACAGTTGCTTCAGAGCCCAGCCATTCCATTTCCAGGTATTTACAAGAGAAATAAAAACCGAAAAAGACTAAAATAAGAATATTCATGGCAGCTTTGTCTATAAAAGCAAAAACATGGAAAAAACCAAATGTCTGTCAAAAGAGAATGGATAAACAGTTTGGTAGCCATAAAATGGACTACTACTTAAAAATAAAAGGAAACAAACTATTGATAAATAAAACATCATGCATGAATCTCAAGAACATTATGCAGAGGGAGAGAAGTCAGACCCTAAAAAGCATATACTTCATGATTCCATTTGTATTAAGTTTGAGAACAGGCAAAATTAATCTATGGTGGTAACAGGCAGAAGGGTGGTTGTCTCTGCACGGGTGGCATTGTCTAGAAAGGGATATGATTGTATTCTTATAGTCTGTGCATTTCCCTGTCTGTACATTTCACCACAATACAATAAAAATGCAATCTTAGAAGTCTAAGTTTGCTGAGTTGTTCTTCAGTGTTTACTTTATTAGGAATTGGAGAGAGCGAAGAGGTTTAAGCTTTGGGACAGGAAACAGACCAAGGAAACAAACCCCAAGGGCCGAGTGGGTGTGGCATGAGGAAGGATTCTCTCCTGATGACAGGCTGTTTCTAGCCCAGTTCACTCCCACCTGCCCCTAAGGACCCATTTCAACTGTCCATTCTATTTGGGTTAGAGGTAAATTGCCAGAAATAGAGACAAATTAAAATGCCAGATTGATTTCCTTTATTTTCTCCTTCCTATTTTGGTGACTAGGGAGAGGTCTGGAAATGTTGATAACAATTTTAATAGAGACAAAAGCAGAGACCAGGATATACTACCATTTTTCATATTTTTTTTCTCTAAAATTCATTAGATTCTGAACCTTTCTGACTCTGGAGTTTTTCTATCCGGACTCCGTACATCCCATGAACTTTCATTACCTCATGGTGTTCCTTCTGCTCAGAATTCCTTATTCTGCTTTCTCTTTTAAAAATTCTTTTTTTCCCCCCAAATGCAATTCTAAATATCATGTTTGTCAAACCCACTTCATTTGAAGGAACAGATTTGTGTTTTACTCACAACTTTGCTCCCAGCACCTAGAACAATGACTGGCACTTAGAGGGTGAGCAGCTCCTTCCCTCATTTTCAATCAATCAATCATCAATCAGTCTGTATTATGCATTCACTGTTGGTGGGCTGAGCAGTATCACCGCACACCATGCATACCCACTGACTTCCTCAGGCAGCATAAACGGCTCCTCCCTTTATATTCATACAGCAGAGGCATTAGTGGGTTGCTTGTGTGTGTACTCATTCCCTCTTTGTAGAACCTAAGCTTTCCGAGAGGCGTCTGAGTCTTGATTGTTTTTGTTGGAAAAGTGCAATGTCTGGTATACAGTAAACATGCAACAAAATCTTCAATGAAGGAAGGAAGGAAGGAAGGAAAACAGTACTCACCAGAGGACAACAAAACTTTCAGAAAAACTGTGGTGTTTTGTCCTGGGTGTAAGAAGGGGTGTGTGTGTGTGTGTGTGTGTGTGTCTCGTGTTCCTCTTCTGCATCCACTTTGACATCTTGGGAGGATGGGATTTGCCAACACACATTCACTGTGACCTGGGAGTACAGCAGGGATTCCCTGTCCCAGTGGAGCTGGCTCCCTCCCAGCCCAGTTCAGGGAATATGGGAGTGGACTGAGATGGATTTACAAGAGGGTCTTCTTCACCTGAAGCACCAGGAGCTCTGGCATGTCACTGGCCATTCTCATGAGGTGTGGGAGGAGCTCCAGGGCTCCTCTGGCCACAGTGACAGTGGCAGACTCTATGGCAAACCCATGGGGCTAGTTTGTTGTGAACTTTGCCCAGAATTCAACACAACACCGACTTTATGTGTAGCTGTGGAAAGGGCCTGGCATCTCCTTGGTGGGGAGAAAGGCAGTGATGACCATGGGCCAGCTTCTGGGCACCTCAGGGAGCAGCTGGTGGGGACTGACCAGGTAAGGAGGTTAGCGTGCACCTGGCAGCAAACTAGGCCAGCAACTCACCAGTGCCAGTGAAGCCCAGGGAAAGACAATTTAGCAGCTTTAGAAGCTTTGACTACCCTTTCATGTCGTCTGTTAGATTGAACGATATAAATTGAGGATATTTGTCCATTTTTGACTTACCAAAATATCAGTTTCATATACTTCAATCTAATCTTTATTTTTTAGTACCTGCTGTGTTTAAAGTTTAAGGTGCATACATCCCAGAAAGAAATAAAAAGAAATACCGAGAAATGAAAGAAAGAGAAAGAGAAAAGAAATAAAAAGAAAGAAATTGTAAAATCAAAAGTACCATTTTCCCCTTTTTTTGCAGGTGACTTAGGGACAGTTATGAGCATGAGACAGGAAACATTTATGGTGGGGAAGTTAAAACATCATTTCTGAGAATTCTAAGTGTGGCTCTTTTTCTCCTCCTGGGCACCCCAGCAGGTCCCTCCTTTGTATGGAAATGGTTTCTACTTTTCTTCCAGCCTTAATGTGACTGCATGGCAGCCATGGTGCAGAGCTGGGAGTGGTCAGAGTGAGAGGTTCAGCCGAGGAGAGACCTGTTAGTCACCGTGTGCTGGCTGGAGGTTGGAGTGTGCCGGTGTCCACTTGACTGGCTTCCAAGGGAAAGGTAGACAGCTGCATGACAGACAGGCCTGGTCACAGCAGGTTACGATGCACTGTGTCATCCGGCACACCAGGCAATTTCCTTTTTGAGTCACTTTTCAGCTAAGAATGAATCATGCTCCACCCTCCTTTTCAGCCCTTTATGCTTGCCGGCTCTGCAGCCAAGATGGGAGGGAGGCCATTTCCTCTCTGCTGAGAGCAGGTCAGCAAGGAAGCTCCTGAGAGTGCAGCCCTTTCCCTGCTGGGCGGAATCTGCAGGAGAATGCCTGGTCCCCTTGTAAGGTGGCCCCTCCAGGAGCGGGGTGGCCAGCCCCAGAGCCTTCTACCACCTGGAGGCAAACCCTGAACCTGGAAAGTGAGAGGCGGGGCCAGGCCATTTGCTAGTAGAGAAATGTAGGAAAGTTCCTTTTCTGTGTGTGTTTTCTCTTGACTTTAAAAAATCATAAGCTTGCCCATGGAGCTTTTGTGAGAGGAGAGATTTGACCAGCTCTGTGCCTGCCCCCTGGGTCCTTAGCTGGTCGCTTTGTGCTTTGTCACTAGAAAAGGAAGATGTATCTAAATCACTATCACTAGATTTGGCCAATGGAATTTTTGAAAACGTTTTCCATTTTCTCATGGTTTTGAAAAGTCTATACTTACCAAGAATTTGGCTTTAAGTTGTTGTTTTGTTGTTGGCAACTTTCTTTTGTTCTCTGTTTCGTTTATCAACCTATAGAAACAGGTCAAAAATTAAATGACTCCTTATACAAGGCAATTAAAGACATGAATGTGGGTGACGGACTCTGAGCAGAGAGCCTTTGCGATTCTCTGGCAGGAAGGAAGAAGCCGCGGGTGTGGCGGAGGTGAGGTGGCCGGGCCCCTGCTCCCTCGCGCTGGGCTGCGTGCTCTGGATGGGGTGGTGTCAGGGCTCTGCGCCTCCGCCCGGCGGCCTTCCAGACCTGACGCCTTATTCGGAGCAGCGAAATGGAATCCTGAAGCCTGAGAAAAAGACAGGACTCATCAGGGGATCTAAAAGCTGGTGCCTTGCTTTCAGGCCAGGTCCAGGGTTGGGGGATTCCCGGGGAGGCGCCAACTCTGAGAAGCAGGCTTGGTGCGCGCCTTTGCCTTCGCCTTCTCCTCCAGGCCTCTTCCATTCCCTCCTGGAGGGCTCCCTTCCAGCGGCGGAGGCATGCCTTTTGGATTTTCAGGGTTTTTTCAAGAGTCTTCAATTTAAAACGAGTTTCTTTAGAAAAAGATTCCTACTTTGCTTCAGGACGGATGCTGTGGGTAGAGTGGATGGCGGAATAAGGGGTAGGCGCCAGGCCCCAAGTGGAAACAAGCTCCCAGGGGCAAAGCACTCCTAGTTCCTGACCCTTTGCCTCCCAGCCACACCTTAGGTCTGACTGTCACACACCCAGGAGTATCCTGAGCACAGCACCCCTTGCTCAGACTCCTTCAGTCATCATCCGCTGCTGGAGAAACAGCGTCCAAACTCATCAGTCTGGTGTCCAGGGAGCCCATCTATCCGCCTGCTCCTCTTGCTCCCTTGGCCCCAGCGTGCCTGGGCCCGAGCCTACCTTCTGCATAGCCGGTCACAGCTGCACCTCTGTGCCTCTTTTCCTTTGCTGACTTTGCTCTCTTAGCCTATAACTTGCTTTCTAGTTATGTCCATGCCCCTTCCTTCTAATTGTTGAAATCCTAACCATTTTTCAAAGGCTATTTATCTACTCCACAAAAGTGCCCCCAATCCATTAAGACAATGTAAGTCTTGCATTTATTTATTCTTCCCTGGCACCTTGCATTTATTTATTCTTCCCTGGCATCATGACCTGAGACGTCATGATGATAACGTCTTCTGCCTGGCCCACCATCAAAGTTATTTGATGGCCAGGTCCCTGATGTGCTCGTCTTTGGACACTCTGTTGCACTGAACGCAGTGGCTAGGTTGGAGTTGTTGGTTCAGGATCCAGTTTAACAAGAAACTGAGCCTATAAAAAAAAGACAGGTTTTAATTGTTGAACGAGCCGCTCAGATGCAAAATGAACTTCAGGGTACTAGCAGGTTCAGAAGTGGTGTGTGGCTGCACAGCACCTGCCTGCTTGATGAGGGTCTGGTGTCAAGGAAATAGAAGGATTCGGGGATCAGGACTGCCCTGTATTGCTTTGCAGAAAATGTAGAAGCCACAGCCATCATCCAGATTGTATTCAGGGAACCAAATGTTGCAGAGAGCCCTGCTTTGAGACCCCCTGCCTGGGCCCACGAATACCATTCCTCTTATCCAGCATTGACTTAATTTTAGAATAGCAGTATCTTAGAATTGGAAGGTACTGAGGAGATGACCTTGTTCGAATTCCCAACCAATACTAAGGTCTCTTCATCGGGTCCATGCATCCTTCAGCAGCATGCACTGTGGTATTTGGAGTCATGCCCCTTCCAGGAAGGGCTCATACACATCAGGCCCCTTTCCCCTCACCAGCCTGGCCCTCAAACATGGGGCCTTGCAGAGAATGTCAAGGGACCATATATAGAGGAAATCTTACGAAAGGCTTGAAAAGAGTCCAGCAACTTGGTAGAGACACTGTACCACTGTCCCTGTGCCAGTCAGCATGCCTCCTCTTAAGGAAGGAGTGAGATGCTGACAGCACTCCATTCAGACTCAAAAAAGACCAAAAAAAAAAAAAGCCATCTTAGTGATAAATTTCTGTAATCACTCTTAAAAATCTCACATATTGTTAGATCTTCCAATCTGCTTGTAAGGAGCCTAGGATTAATACTTTTCAGTCTGACTGGAGTTTAGCATAAGCTGTTATGCATGAGTAGGGGTTAGTACAAATGCAAGGACATTTAGGATGTAAGTAATTCATTCATGGTAGTTTCAGAGCTGACTGAGGGGTTTCTCGCTCAGAGGAGCGTTGATGAAGAAAGAACTTCACTGAGAGGGTGAAGCCAGCTCATCATAACTCTGTCTGCTGGCCTTAGGAGACGGATGCATCCATCAGATATATCCAGTGCATCAGGAAATGATAATGATAAGGAGGTCTTTTTCAAAAACATAACATCCTCTGTTATATACATGGGATATGTGCTATGAATGGAGTTTTCAGAGAATGTAAATGAGACATTTTCCACACTTCTTTTCCTAAGATTCTTGAGCGCTGTTTATAATTCCTTCAGAGGGAGCAGGGAGGTTGTTGTGATGCACTTTTGGACTATGGAGTTCTTGTTTTCTCTCTCCTAGATGCAGATGCTTCGCATCTGTGACTGCTTGCAGAGTCCTTCCTTTGAGCCATTGCCCCCTGCTGTTATTTTGCCACCTCATCCAAGATGCCAAGAACTCTCAGGACAAGGCTCAAGATAAAAACAAAAGATCAGAGCTGAGCACACTCTCACACACAGGCACACACATGAGTGTGCACAGGATTCCGAAGCCTCCAGGATTGACTCTGAAGCATGCAGGCAGAGGTGTGTTTGTATGGGGAGGTACGGATGTTGAACTGAGCAGCACCTCCTTTCTTGTGATCTGGCCATTTGTCTTGAAAGAACCAAGAAGAGACAGGCCTGAATCCCGGAGCCATCAGAGGACCCCAAGCAGCAGGGGCTTGCTGGTGGAACAAAGGGCCTTCTGACATGTGTGAGGGCTGTGTTTTGTCGACTAGGTATCACATTCCAGCCACAGCATGACAGACAAATGTCAGGCCAGATGAGGAGATGCAATCTGCTCGACCAAATGCATCTTTACCTGGCTCATGTGATGGGAGCAGATGCTGACTCAATACGGGTGCAGGTGCAGAAAAAAAAAGGAGGAAAGCCCAGACACTGAGGCATAGTGCTGTGAAAGCCCAGAGCCTCCAGGGAGGCTCACTTTTCCACATTATTGATCCAAACTTCTATGTGTCATAGATCTTGTCTGTGCTATACCTTGTTGAAGCTTTCTGGCAGAGGAAGCCTGAGGGAATCTTTGACATCTGGAAACTGAAGGCCATTATACAAATACCAGTCTTTCTACTCCCCTCCTTGTGAGATGGACCTGAAGAGTCTCCCATCATTTGTGGCTGCCACATCCATCCTTGATGATAGGACTGTATTTATGCTGCTGGGTGTCTTTGGAAGGGTGCTAAGGGGAGACTGCCTCAGTTAGGCAGGGCTGGTGAACTCCTTACTCCTGACCTCTCCTACTGACACAGGAAACTTCACTTTGTTTATTAAGGAAGCCCAAGCTTGTGTCACACAAGAGTTTTAACATTGTACAGTGAACCTTGAAAATGGCCAGTGTCAACCTTACTAAATAGCTCTTGAGATCAGAGTTCCGAAATTTTCTGATTATTGTTGTTTTTCCAAACATTATTTATTGACATCTTCTGTTAGTGCGTCATGTGTTCAAATGGCAAACGTTGACATCTGGTTATCCACGGGGACACTAATATGCCTCCTTCTGCAACTCCTTTTTCTTCTTCTTCCCTGTATCCTTCCTTTTCTTCTTACTACTACTATTATTGTTATTGCTTCCTCTAGAATTTGCTCCATCCTTTCTATTTTGGATATTTCTTTATTCACATAAAAACTGACTTCAGAGGCATGAAATTGCTCAAATTCCTGCCTTCTTTGCTGCCCTTAAAGCTGTTCTTTTTGGAACTGTTTACTTTTTTAATTGAAATTTTTGCTGAGATGATGACAGATCCACATGTAGTTGTATCCTTTAACCAGTTTTCCTCATTGGAACATCTTGCAAAACTATAGGCTTGCAGTATTACAACCAGGATGTTGACATTAATATAACCCACTGTTCTTCAGATTTGCCTAGTTTTACTTATTCTTATTTGTGTGTGTGTGCATGCAAGTATTTAGCCCTGGGCAATTCTATCCCATGAATATGTTTGTGTCTTCACTACCACAGTTAAGATACTGAGCAGTTCTTTTATTTTTTTTTGCTTTTAAAAGCTTGAGTATTTATTAACTGGATTCCTTTAAAGTAAGGTTTATACCCCACCACACAGCTAAAATTCTGTTAGAGCCTTTTTATTAATTGTTTTTTTATTAAGTTATAATTTTATTAATAATTTTTTTTTCTTTTTTTTATTATACTTTAAGTTTTAGGGTACATGTGCACATTGTGCAGGTTAGTTACATATGTATACATGTGCCATGCTGGTGTGCTGCACCCACTAACTCGTCATCCACCATTAGGTATATCTCCCAATGCTATCCCTCCCCCCTCCCCCCACCCCACCACAGTCCCCAGAGTGTGATATTCCCCTTCCTGTGTCCATGTGATCTCATTGTTCAGTTCCCACCTATGAGTAAGAATATGCGGTGTTTGGTTTTTTGTTCTTGTGATAGTTTACTGAGAATGATGATTTCCAATTTCATCCATGTCCTTACAAAGGACATGAACTCATCATTTTTTATGGCTGCATAGTATTCCATGGTGTATATGTGCCACATTTTCTTAATCCAGTCTATCATTGTTGGACATTTGGGTTGGTTCCAAGTCTTTGCTATTGTGAATAGTGCCGCAATAAACATACGAGTCCATGTGTCTTTATAGCAGCATGATTTGTAGTCCTTTGGGTATATACCCAGTAATGGGATGGCTGGGTCAAATGGTATTTCTAGTTCTAGATCCCTGAGGAATCGCCACACTGACTTCCACAATGGTTGAACTAGTTTACAGTCCCACCAACAGTGTAAAAGTGTTCCTATTTCTCCACATCCTCTCCAGCACCTGTTGTTTCCTGACTTTTTAATGATCTCCATTCTAACTGGTGTGAGATGGTATCTCATTGTGGTTTTGATTTGCATTTCTCTGATGGCCAGTGATGATGAGCATTTTTTCATGTGTTTTTTGGCTGCATAAATGTCTTCTTTTGAGAAGTGTCTGTTCATGTCCTTCGCCCACTTTTTGATGGGGTTGTTTGTTTTTTTCTTGTAAATTTGTTTAAGTTCATTGTAGATTCTGGATATCAGCCCTTTGTCAGATGAGTAGGTTGCAAAAATTTTCTCCCATTCTGTAGGTTGCCTATTCACTCTGATGGTGGTTTCTTTTGCTGTGCAGAAGCTATTTAGTTTAATTAGATCCCATTTGTCAATTTTGTCTTTTGTTGCCATTGCTTTTGGTGTTTTGGACATGAAGTCCTTGCCCATGCCTATGTCCTGAATGGTAATGCCTAGGTTTTCTTCTAGGGTTTTTATGGTTTTAGGTCTAACGTTTAAGTCTTTAATCCATCTTGAATTGATTTTTGTATAAGGTGTAAGGAAGGGATCCAGTTTCAGCTTTCTACATATGGGTAGCCAGTTTTCCCAGCACCATTTATTAAATAGGGAATCCTTTCCCCATTGCTTGTTTTTCTCAGGTTTGTCAAAGATCAGATAGTTATAGACATGCGGCGTTATTTCTGAGGGCTCTGTTCTGTTCCATTGATCTATATCTCTGTTTTGGTACCAGTACCATGCTGTTTTGGTTACTGTAGCCTTGTAGTATAGTTTGAAGTCAGGTAGTGTGATGCCTCCAGCTTTGTTCTTTTGACTTAGGATTGCCTTGGCGACGCGGGCTCTTTTTTGGTTCCATATGAACTTTAAAGTAGTTTTCTCCAATTCTGTGAAGAAAGTCATTGGTAGCTTTATGGCGATGGCATTGAATCTATAAATTACCTTGGGCAGTATGGCCATTTTCACAATATTGATTCTTCCTACCCATGAGCATGGAATGTTCTTCCATTTGTTTGTATCCTCTTTTATTTCCTTGAGCAGTGGTTTGTAGTTCTCCTTGAAGAGGTCCTTCACATCCCTTGTAAGTTGTATTCCTAGGTATTTTATTGTCTTTGAAGCAATTGTGAATGGGAGTTCACTCATGATTTGGCTCTCTCTTTGTCTGTTATTGGTGTATAAGAATGCTTGTGATTTTTGTACATTGATTTTGTATCCTGAGACTTTGCTGAAGTTGCTTATCAGCTTAAGGAGATTTTGGGCTGAGACAATGGGGTTTTCTAGATATACAATCATGTCATCTGCAAACAGGGACAATTTGACTTCCTCTTTTCCTAATTGAATACCCTTTATTTCCTTCTCCTCCCTAATTGCCCTGGCCAGAACTTCCAGCACTATGTTGAATAGGAGTGGTGAGAGAGGGCATCCCTGTCTTGTGCCAGTTTTCAAAGGGAATGCTTCCAGTTTTTGCCCATTCAGTATGATATTGGCTGTGGGTTTGTCATAGATAGCTCTTATTATTTTGAAATACGTCCCATCAATACCTAATTTATTGAGAGTTTTTAGCATGAAGGGTTGTTGAATTTTGTCAAAGGCTTTTTCTGCATCTATTGAGATAATCATGTGGTTTTTGTCTTTGGCTCTGTTTATATGCTGTATTACATTTATTGATTTCCGTATATTGAACCAGCCTTGCATCCCAGGGATGAAGCCCACTTGATCATGGTGGATAAGCTTTTTGATGTGCTGCTGGATTCGTTTTGCCAGTATTTTATTGAGGATTTTTGCATCAATGTTCATCAAGGATATTGGTCTAAAATTCTCTTTTTTTGTTGTGTCTCTGCCTGGCTTTGGTATCAGAATGATGCTGGCCTCATAAAATGAGTTAGGGAGGATTCCCTCTTTTTCTATTGATTGGAATAGTTTCAGAAGGAATGGTACCAGTTCCTCCTTGTACCTCTGGTAGAATTCGGCTGTGAATCCATCTGGTCCTGGACTCTTTTTGGTTGGTAAACTATTGATTATTGCCACAATTTCAGCTCCTGTTATTGGTCTATTCAGAGATTCAATTTCTTCCTGGTTTAGTCTTGGGAGAGTGTATGTGTCGAGGAATTTATCCATTTCTTCTAGATTTTCTAGTTTATTTGCGTAGAGGTGTTTGTAGTATTCTCTGATGGTAGTTTGTATTTCTGTGGGATCGGTGGTGATATCCCCTTTATCATTTTTTATTGTGTCTATTTGATTCTTCTCTCTTTTTTTCTTTATTAGTCTTGCTAGCAGTCTATCAATTTTGTTGATCCTTTCAAAAAACCATCTCCTGGATTCATTAACTTTTTTGAAGGGTTTTTTGTGTCTCTATTTCCTTCAGTTCTGCTCTGATTTTAGTTATTTCTTGCCTTCTGCTAGCTTTTGAATGTGTTTGCTCTTGCTTTTCTAGTTCTTTTAATTGTGGTGTTAGGGTGTCAATTTTGGATCTTTCCTGCTTTCTCTTGTGGGCATTTAGTACTATAAATTTCCCTCTACACACTGCTTTGAATGCGTCCCAGAGATTCTGGTATGTTGTGTCTTTGTTCTCATTGGTTTCAAAGAACATCTTTATTTCTGCCTTCATTTCGTTATGTATCCAGTATTCATTCAGGAGCAGGTTGTTCAGTTTCTATGTAATTGAGCGGTTTTGAGTGAGATTCTTAATCCTGAGTTCTAGTTTGATTGCACTGTGGTCTGAGAGATAGTTTGTTATAATCTCTGTTCTTTTACATTTGCTGAGGAGAGCTTTACTTCCAACTATGTGGTCAATTTTGGAATAGGTGTGGTGCTGAAAAAAATGTATATTCTGTTGATTTGGGGTGGAGAGTTCTGTAGATGTCTATTAGGTCCGCTTGGTGCAGAGCTGAGTTCAATTCCTCGGTATCCTTGTTGACTTTCTGTCTCGTTGATCTGTCTAATGTTGACAGTGGGGTGTTAAAGTCTTCCATTATTAATGTGTGGGAGTCTAAGTCTCTTTGTAGGTCACTCAGGACTTGCTTTATGAATCTGGGTGCTCCTGTATTGGGTGCATATATATTTAGGATAGTTAGCTCTTCTTGTTGAATTGATCCCTTTACCATTATGTAATGGCCTTCTTTGTCTCTTTTGATATTTGTTGGTTTAAAGTCTGTTTTTTCAGAGACTAGGATTGCAACCCCTGCCTTTTTTTGTTTTCCATTTGCTTGGTAGATCTTCCTCCATCCTTTTATTTTGAGCCTATGTGTGTCTCTGCACGTGAGATGGGTTTCCTGAATACAGCACACTGATGGGTCTTGACTCTTTATCCAGTTTGCCAGTCTGTGTCTTTTAATTGGAGCATTTAGTCCATTTACATTTAAAGTTAATACTGTTATGTGTGAATTTGATCCTGTCATTATGATG
This sequence comes from Homo sapiens, assembly GCF_000001405.40. Classification (NCBI taxonomy): domain Eukaryota; kingdom Metazoa; phylum Chordata; class Mammalia; order Primates; family Hominidae; genus Homo; species Homo sapiens. The sequence goes on from NC_000008.11 coordinate 48,797,955, forward strand.
TTAGCTGGTGATTTTGCTCGTTAGTTGATGCAGTTTCTTCCTAGTCTCGATGGTCTTTACATTTTGGCATGATTTTGCAGCAGCTGGTACCGGTTGTTCCTTTCCATGTTTAGCGCTTCCTTCGGAGCTCTTTTAGGGCAGGCATGGTGGTGACAAAATCTGTCAGCATTTGCTTGTCTGTAAAGGATTTTATTTCTCCTTCACTTATGAAGCTTAGTTTGGCTGGATATGAAATTCTGGGTTGAAAATTCTTTTCTTTAAGAATGTTGAATATTGGCCCCCACTCTCTTCTGGCTTGTAGGGTTTCTGCCGAGAGATCTGCTGTTAGTCTGATGGGCTTCCCTTTGAGGGTAACCCGACCTTTCTCTCTGGCTGCCCTTAACATTTTTTCCTTCATTTCAACTTTGGTGAATCTGAAAATTATGTGTCTTGGAGTTGCTCTTCTCGAGGAGTATCTTTGTGGCGTTCTCTGTATTTCCTGAATCTGAACGTTGGCCTGCCTTGCTAGATTGGGGAAGTTCTCCTGGATAATATCCTGCAGCATGTTTTCCAACTTGGTTCCATTCTCCCCATCACTTTCAGGTACACCAATCAGACGTAGATTTGGTCTTTTCACGTAGTCCCATATTTCTTGGAGGCTTTGCTCATTTCTTTTTATTCTTTTTTCTCTAAACTTCCCTTCTCGCTTCATTTCATTTATTTCATCTTCCATTACTGATACCCTTTGTTCCAGTTGATCGCATCGGCTCCTGAGGCTTCTGCATTCTTCACGTTGTTCTCGAGCCTTGGTTTTCAGCTCCATCAGCTCCTTAAAGCACTTCTCTGTATTGGTTATTCTAGTTATACATTCTTCTAAATTTTTTTCAAAGTTTTCAACTTCTTTGCCTTCGGTTTGAATGTCCTCCCGTAGCTCAGAGTAATTTGATCGTCTGAAGCCTTCTTCTCTCAGCTCGTCAAAGTCATTCTCCATCCAGCTTTGTTCCGTTGCTGGTGAGGAACTGCGTTCCTTTGGAGGAGGAGAGGCGCTCTGCGTTTTAGAGTTTCCAGTTTTTCTGTTCTGTTTTTTCCCCATCTTTGTGGTTTTATCTACTTTTGGTCTTTGATGATGGTGATGTACAGATGCGTTTTTGGTGTGGATGTCCTTTCTGTTTGTTAGTTTTCCTTCTAACAGACAGGACCCTCAGCTGCAGGTCTGTTGGAATACCCTGCCGTGTGAGGTGTCAGTGTGCCCCTGCTGGGGGGTGCCTCCCAGTTAGGCTGCTCGGTGGGCAGGGGTCAGGGACCCACTTGAGGAGGCAGTCTGTGCGTTCTCAGATCTCCAGCTGCATGCTGGGAGAACCACTGCTCTCTTCAAAGCTGTCAGACAGGGACATTTAAGTCTGCAGAGGTTACTGCTGTCTTTTTGTTTGTCTGTGCCCTGCCCCCAGAGGTGGAGCCTACAGAGGCAGGCAGACCTCCGTGAGCTGTGGTGGGCTCCACCCAGTTCGAGCTTCCCGGCTGCTTTGTTTACCTAAGCAAGCCTGGGCAATGGCAGGCGCCCCTCCCCCAGCCTCACTGCTGCCTTGCAGTTTGATCTCAGACTGCTGTGCTAGCAATCAGTGAGACTCCGTGGGCGTGGGACCCTCCGAGCCAGGTACGGGATATAATCTCGTGGTGCGCCGTTTTTTAAGCCAGTCCGAAAAGCGCAATATTCGGGTGGGAGTGACCCGATTTTCCAGGTGCGTCTGTCACCCCTTTCTTTGACTCAGAAAGGGAACTCCCTGACCCCTTGCGCTTCCCAAGTGAGGCAATGCCTCGCCCTGCTTCGGCTCGTGCACGGTGCACGCACCCACTGACCTGCGCCCAGTCTGGCACTCCGTAGTGAGATGAACCCGGTACCTCAGATGGAAATGCAGAAATCACTCGTCTTCTGCATCGCTCATGCTGGGAGCTGTAGACTGGAGCTGTTCCTATTCGGCCATCTTGGCTCCTCCCCCCATGCTGAGCAGTTCTATTACTTCAGAGATCCCACCTTTCTTATTAATTCACTTTATTTTTTTACAACACCTTTGGATTAATGAAGAAATTAAGCAGATAGCACAGAGACTTCCCATATGCCTCTCCCGCTCCCATATAGAATTTCTTTTACTGTTAGCATCTTATGTAGCTGTGGTTTATTTGTCACAAATTAATGATAAATTATGATTTATCACAATATTGATAAATTATGATTTATCACAATATTGATAAATTATGTAACACAAGTCCATACTATATCCAGGTTTCTTGGGCTTTTACCTACTGCCCCTTTTCTGTTCCAGGATCCTGTCTACAAGGGTACACTAGGTACACTCTACCTTTAGTGAGCATGTCTTCTTGGGCTGCTTTTGATTGACTATTTCTCAAACTCCCTTCTCTCTAGTGACATTTACAGGTTTGAGAAATAATGGACAGTTGTTTTGGCAGATGCCGTCTGATGTTTTTCTCATGATTAGACTGACGTTATGGGTTTTGGGACGAAGATCACAGAGGTAAAATGCCATTTTCATCACATCATATCAAGGGTACATACTATCAATAAGATATATCACTTTAAATGTTGGCCTTGAGCTGGGCGCGGTGGCTCACACCTGTAATCCCAGCACTTTGGGAGCCTGAAGCGGGTGGATCACCTGAGGTCAGGAGTTCTAGACCGTCCTGGCCAATGTGGTGAAACCCTGTCTCTACTAAAAATACAAAAAATTAGCTGGGTATGGTAGCCTGTGCCTGTAATCCCAGCTATTCAGGGGGCTGAGGCATGAGAATCACTTGAACCTGGGAGACGGAGGTTGCAGTGAGCTGGGATCACACCACTGCTCTCCAACTTGGGCAACAGAGCAAGACTCCGTCTCAAAGAAAAAAAAAGATGTTGACCTTGGTCACCTGTTGAAATAGTGTTTGTCAGGCACCACTCCTTTTCAACATCATAGTAGAAGTCCTAGCTAGTGCAGTAAGACAAGAAAAGGAAATAAAAGATGTATAGATGGAGAAAGAAGAAATAAAGCCATCTTTGTTTACAGAAGACATGATCATCTATGTAGAAAATCCCAAAGAATCGACAACCAAAAACCCTTTTAGAACTAATAAGCGATTATAGAAAGTTTGCAGGATACAAGGTTAGGATCCAAATGTTAATTGTTTCTCTATATACTGGGAATGAATGATTGGAATTTGAAATTAAGAACTCAATATCCTTTATATTAGGACCTCAACAAATTAAATAGTTAGGTATAAATCTCACAAAATATGTACAGCATCTTATGAGGAAAATTAGAAAAATCTGGTAAAAGAAATAAAAAAATAAAAAATAGAGAAGTATTTTATGTTCATGTATAGGAAGGCTCAATATTGGCAAGATGTCACTTCTTTTTAAATCCTACAATCAAAATCCCAGTATTTTGTGGATATTGACAAACTGATTCTAAGTTGATATGGAGAGGCAAAAGATCCAGAATAGCCAACACAATATTGAAGAAGAACAAAATTGAAAGACTGGCACTACCTGACCTCGAGACTTACTTTAAAACTTCAGTAATCAAGATATCAAGATATCATGGTATTATTGGAAAGAATGGACAAATTAATGAAACAGAATAGAAAAACCCAGAAATAGACCCACATAAATATAGTCAGCTCAACTTTGACACAGGAGCAAAGGCAACACAATGAATCAATGATAATCTTTTGAACAAACGGTGCTGGAACAATTGGATATTTACTGGCAATCAAGCAATCAATAAATCCAGACACAGACTTTTTTGACATTTGTCAACATCTATAGAATGCAATTTCAAGAGTGAACCTTAAGGCTAACTATGGACTTCGGGGATACTGATGTGTCATTGTAGGTTCATGATTTGTAACAAATGTGCCACTCTGTTGGAGGATGGTGATTGTATGATAGGCTGTTATATGCTCTTGTTCTACAATAAATCCTAGTCAATTGCCTAGATAATGCCATCTGTAGATGGTATTTCAACTCTGAAAACATCCAGTAAATGGGACTCATGACTTACTGAGACACCGTATTCTATCCTTGACCCATTCTAAAGTTTTAGAAAGTTTCTATGTGTATATGGTTTCCTTTGGTTTGCCCACTTAATCAAAACAGAGCAAAGAATACCCCTCCTTCACATGAAAGTCCTTCAAATGGCTCAGATAAAGATCATGTTATATCTCACTTCTCTCTGTCCCAAGTCTTCTATTTTCCAGCTAAAATCAAACACCCAAAACACCAACAAACTTATCTTCTGGTTCTTTCTACTGTTCCTCTTATGGAGTGATTTCAAATTCTGCCCCCATCTGATCTCAAACCCCAATTACCTCCATTTGGAAGTGCCCTAATCTCAATTCACCCTCTTGGCCCATGTCCAGACACTGCATTTATATCAACTTGACCCAAGACCACACTACTGTTTTGTTACACTCATACAATAGCTTTCGTTTAATAACTATTTATTGAGCAGCTACTTTACTGAGAGATGTTCAAAATGGGAGTCAAGGCCTCAAACCAGGCAGAGGTTTTAGGGATCCCATAAGGTGTTTTCCACAATGTATTAGGAAGAAAATGGTAACAAATGTCCTAATAACACAAAGGACAGAAGGATCACATTGGCCAGGAAGACACAAAAAGTTTTATGATGTAAAAGGCTTTTTGAATCAATCTTGATGAGTGGATATGACTTGGAAATATCCAAGGAGGAGGTACATGGCTAAATTGATTGATATTTAATTTCCATTCAACCATTAACATATTTTACCAAGAGCTGAAGCTGGGCCTTGTGTCCCTATGTACATATTAGCAACATTGTTTTCTGTTTTTTCTCTTAACTTTTAACCAAATGTAAAGCATTTTAAATCTCTATTAAGATTTAAAGATTTAATGAAGCCCACCAGTCTAGACACTTGGGGTGTTTTGGTGTCCTCATCTTGCTATCCAGCCTGCTACATTCCCTACCCAGCTTCCGGTCACCCAGCAATTTAATACGTTTTCTTTCCACTCCTTCCTCCAGATGGTTAAGGAAAAGAGTGGCCAAGCCTGAGCTGAAAACAGGCCTGAACTCACACTGGAAGCTGCCCTCCACAGTACCCTTGATCACATTTATCACTCGTTGTCTCCTGCATTCTTCAACCCACATGCCAAAGGACAGAAGGAGACCCCGATAGACGCCTTCTTGGAATCCTGTTTGCCATGTATCCCTGATTTGCCAGCTGGACAACAAAGGAAATCAGGCTTGTTGGCATAGCTCCTTATTCTTTGTAAACCTCTGGTGACTTGAGTGATCACTGTCTCCTTTCTAAGCACTTGCACAGCATCCTTGGATTCTTGCCTAAGTTCTGCAGCAGGATTTCATGTCTGTAGTCAAACTGGACACTCACTTCCCACGTTCCTGCTCTTGGTGTCATCTTTCTAGTCTCCTCCCCTGTCTACAGGCAGTCATGATGACCCACAGTGGAGCAGTGGTCCTGGCCACCCATTCGTTCAACAAGTGTAGACAGTTTATCTATTTGGGTATATAATTTATTTTGGCCAAGAGGCTCAAACTACTATTGAGAAAAGTTAGAAGCAAATCACATTTTTCTTATGGTCTTGTTGGGCTTAAATTTCCTCTTAACAATATTTGTTTTGCCCGTTCTGTCCAAAATGATTTAGTTTGATGGGGAAGACTGAATTAACATAAAAATTGAGTTTTGGTTTCTGTTTATCATTCATCAGCCTTTCCCTCACTGACCTCTGGCAGGAGATCTATCTTTTCAGTTCCCTTTGATTCTATGAGGACAGCGTATGATAGTTTAAGTGGGTAAGAACATGGCTTTGAAGTGTGCACCTGGACTAGATGACCGCTGCCCTGGAGCGGGGGACCAGGCTTTTCCAGGTTTCTATCTTCTGCCCTAAAAAGTGTGGCTTATGATGCTGTCCCATCAAGTCACTATATAAATTAGAAGAAATTAGAAGTCTGTCTCTCATAGGCACTCTCTAAGTGCCAATTCATAAGCTGTTTTTTTATTCAGGTATTTGTTTAAGTTTACAAGTTTTGTTCCCTTGGTGTTTTCACATCTTTAACATGAATATTGCATGCTATGTCACTCTGTTGCATGGATCCTTGCTCACATCTCATCTTTCCATTTGTGGGCATGCTTTTCCTTAAATGCAAAGGATCAATTAAGACAACATGAATACATAGCATAGTGTTTAGTTAAAAAAAAAAGTCAGATACAAAATAACAAATTTGTGGGATTTCATTTATAGAATGTCCATAAGCAAGCAAAATGAAGTGTAATATTTAGATGCATACTTATGTATGAGAATTATTCATACCAGCAGGTGAGTGACCCTCACCACTCACAAGTAAGGTCCTTCAGAGGAGAGGGAGGGTGGAGGCCTGGCAGTTTACAGGGGCCTGGGAGTGGTTAGACTCAGGCGGTGAACATGGTGTGATGATGTTATGGTGACTCAGTATGCCATCTATCCATATTGTATGGATGTTTGTTTATTCGTCTTGTGCTTCAAAATAATTTGCTTTAAAAAAGGTTACATAAAGCTAATTTAAATATATATAACATGTGAAGATGGGAGGAATAAGCATATTTTATTACAAACTTAGAAAATGCTCATTAAGCTCGATTAGATTTTACTGTTATTTTAAAGTAAGAAGGACCAAACAAATGATGAGTATCTTTGCTCTGCCTTGAAGTAATCTTTATCATTGAAGCTGAGGGCTTCTCTTGTGACTTCCGTCTTCAAGCTGGCAATTCCTGTCTGATTTCAACGCAGGTGTGCCCCGGTGTCAGGTTGGGGTGTATTCCTGGAGGCTTCGTAGATGCTATGCTGGGGAAACTCCTGTGCCCCCACCACTGTTTTGTGTGTCTTCTCCACTCCACCTCAGGCAGCTCCAGCCCTCCACCCTCCCCTACAAGGCAGCCTCTCAGTCTAGTAAAGCAGTGTTGGGTCGGACGCAATTGTGGACCAGAAAAATAATCCAATGCACTGCTTTAAACCTGTGACTTTTTTTCCCCATTCCTCTCATCTTTGGACTTAATTTCATAGGTGAATAAAATCCCATAGAACCCAATGCATGTCTACAATAACGAAGGAAATGAGTATGAATATTTTTCAAATAGCACATTGTAAAGAATGTACCAGCCATCCAGCAAAACAAATTTCTTTTGCATGTACAGTACAGCTATGTGCTCAAAGCTTGGAGAAATACGCTTCCGGTCCTGACAGGATGCAGTGAACACATTTATCTTTGTTCTCCCCCACTAAGTTCACCTATAAACTGCGGAAGTAACCAAAGGAAAACAGTGGAAGGTAGTAAAAGAAAGGTGAATCGGCTTGGGAAAAAAGTGGCAGCAGGATGTCTACAGCTCCTTTATCAACAGAAGGCAGCCCAGACCCTGGGCTTTACAGCAAACGGCAGCCCACATGGGCCCATTCCTCCCTGGAATGGGAGGGGCTCTCTCACAGCACCACTAACAAGGGTTTCCTTGACCGGCCAGGGAGTGCAGCTCCTTCATTCCCTCTCCACCCAGAAATACCGATAGGAGGATTTCATTACAACAAGCCCCGGGCCAGGAAAGCCTCTTCGTTCCGACAAGCCTGAGACTCCCTGCCCCATGAGGACACACTGGAGTGGGCTGGCATGACCAACCCGAGGGTCCCGGCCACAGCCAGCAGGCTCTGTGTCTCACAACCCGAGACTCGCCTCCCCTAATCAAGAGGCACCAGCAGACCCACACAAATAAGTTGAACTGAGTTTCTAATAGTCTTAATTTTTCACAGCAGTTTCAGGTTCACAGGAGAATTGAGATGAAGGCACAGAGTTCCCATATATGCCCTGTCTCCTGGCATGCACAGCCTTCTCCACTATCAGCCTCACCCACCAGAGTGGAGCATCTGTTACAATTGAGGGACCTCCACTGACACATCATCATCACCCGGAGTCCATTGTTTACATTAGGGTTCCCTCTCGGTGTTGTATATTGGACAAATGTATGATGATATAGATCTGTCATTACAGTGTCATATAGAGTAGTTTTGTTTTAAAATCCCCTGTGCTTCACCTATTTATTCCTCCCTTCCCCCTAACCCCTGGCAACTGCTGATTTTTTTGCTAGCTCCAGTTTTAACTTTTGCAGAATGTCGTATAGCTGGCATCATACAGTATGTAGACTTTCAAGATTGTCTTATTTCACTTAGTGTTCCGCATTTAAGTTTCCTCCGTCTTTTCATGGCTTGATAGCTCATTTCTTTTTAACATGGAATGGTATTTTATTGTTTGTACCACAGCTTATGCATCCATCCACCTACTGAAGGACATCTTGGTTGTTTCCAGGTTTGGCAATTATGAATAAACTGTTATAAACATCCATGTGAGGATTTTTGTGTTAACGTATTTTTTAACTCCTTTGGGTGAATATCAAAGGGTTAGTCCTCGTTTATTGTTATTTTTTTTATTTTTGAGACGGAGTCTCACTCTGTCACCCAGGCTGGAGTGCAGTGGCGTGATCTTGGCTCGTTGCAGCCTCCACCTCCCAGGTTTAAGCGATTCTCGTGACTCAGCCTCCCGAGTAGCTGAGATTACATGCGCCCACCACCATGCCTGGCTAATTTTTGTATTTTTAGTAGAGACAGGGTTTTGCCGTGTTGGCTAGGCTGATCTTGAACTCCCAACCTCAGGTGATCCACCCACCTCAGCCTCCCAAAATGCTGGGATTACAGGCATGAGCCACCACACCTGGCCTATTCCTGGTTTATGTGGTAAGAATATATTTAGTTTTGTCTGAAACCGCCGCTCTGTCTTCCACAGTGGCCATACCATTTTGAATTCCTGCCAGAAATGAATGAGAGTTCCTGTTGCTCCACATCCTCACCAGCGTTTGGTGCTGCCAGTGTTCTGACTTTGGGCATTCTAATAGGTGAGTAGCAGTATCTCACTGTTTTGAATTGCAGTTTCCTAATGACATATACTGTTGAACATCTTTTCACATGCTTACTTATAATCTCTATATCTTCTTTGGTGAGGTGTCATATCAGTTTTTTGCCCACTTAAAAATCAGGTTATTCATCTTATTATTGTTGAATTTTAAGTTTCTTTGTATATTTTGGATAACAGTTCTTTACTAGGTGTGTGTTTGCAAATATTTTCTCGAAGTGTGTGGACTGTGTTCTCATTCTCTTGACAGTCTTTAATAGAGCAGAAGTTTTAAATTTAATGAAGTAGAGCTTATCATTGTCTCTTTTGTAGATCATACCTTTGGTGTCGTATCTAAAAAGTCACTGCCAGAGTGAAAGTTACCTGTTTTTTTTTCTGTTATCTTCTAGAAATCTCATAGTTTTATGTTTTGCATTTAGGCCTATGCTCTATTTTGAGCTAATTTTTGTGATGAGTATAAGGTCTGTGTCTAGATTTATTATTATTTTTTGTGTGTGTGATTGTCCAGTTAATCAGCACAACTTGTTAAAGGACTATCTTTGCTCCACTGTATTGCCTTTGCTCCTTTGTCTAAGATCAGGTGACTATTTATGTGAGTCTATTTCTGGGCTTTCTCTTCTGTTCCATTTATCCATTTGTCTATTCCTTCACTAATACCACACCATCTTGATGACTGTAGCTTGACTGAAGTCTTGAAGTCGAATTGTGGTAGTCCTCTAAATTTGTTCTTCTCCTTTAACGTTGAGTTGGCTATTCAGGGTCTTTTGCCTCTCCATATAAACTATAGAATCAGTTTGTTGATATCCACAAAATAACTCGCTGGGGTTTGATTGTGATTGTATTTGGCACATCACAAAAAATAAATGTTGCCCACAAATTCTATATCCACCAAAACTTTCCTTCAAGAATGATGGGGAAATCAAGACATATTCAGAGGAAGTAAAACTGGGAGAATATGTTACCAACAGACCTATCCTAAAAGAATGGCTCTAGAAAGTTCTCTAAGTAGAAAGGGAATGATACAAGAAGAAATCTTGGGATACGAGAAAGGAAGACAAGAGCAGAGTGAGGGGAAAACATTAACAAATACTATGTAGTTTCCTTTTATCTTGAGTTTTCTAAATTAGTTTGATGTTCGAAGCAAAAAATGTAATATTGTCTGATGTAATTCTAAATTCATGTGGAGGAAATATGTAAGGCAGTAATAAGGAACAGTAAATAGAAGTACAGTGAAATAATGTTTCTATTTATCAATAAACTGGTAATATGATGACAGCAGTAAGTTGTAATATCATACAATGTAATGCAAAAAAGAACCACTAAAAAAGCTATGTAAAGAGACATACTCAAAACCACTATAGATAAATCAAAATTGATTTCTAAAAAATGTTCAAGTCACCCCCAGAAAGGCAGAAAAAAAAATAGACAAGCAAAAGATGAGAACACACAGAAAAAAAAATTAAATGTCAGCTTTAGGTTTTAACATACAATAACTGCATTATAGGTAATTGATCTAAACATATCAATTAAAAAGCTGAAATTGGCCAGTAAATTATAAAATATGACCTAAATATATATTGTATACCAAAAACTCACTTCAAATATAACAATATAGGCAGGTTAAAAATAAAATGATAGAAAGGATACATCATGAAAATATCAATCAAAAGAAATGAAAAAGTTATATTATTATTAGATAAAGCAGACTTCAAAAGCAAGAAAATTATCAGAGGCAGAGAAGGTTATTGTAATATGACAAAAAGTCAATCTGCCATGAATACCTGTCAATCTTAATTGTGTATGCACCAAACAACAGAGACATAAAAACTGTGAAGCAAAAATTGATAGAACCAAAGGGAGAAACAGGCAAATCCACGATTACAGTTTGAGATTTCACCGTCCCTTTCTCAACTAGATAGAAAATCAGCAATGATATAGAACAATTCAAAATAGGCTCTCATATGCTTGGCATGGTGGCTCACGCCTGTAATCCCAGCACTTTGAGAGGCTGAGGCAGGGTGGATCACCTGAGGTCAGGAGTTCGAGACCAGCCTGGCCAACATGGCAAAACCCCATCTCTACTAAAAATACAATAATAATAATAATAATAATAACAACAATAATAATAATTAGCCTGTCCTGGTGGCACGCACCTATAATCCCAGCTACTAGGGAGGCTAAGGCAGGAAAATCACTTGAACCTGGGAGGCAAAGGTTGTGGTGAGCTGAGATCGTGCCATTGCACTCCAGCCTGGGCAACAAGAGCAAAACGCCGTCTCAGAAAAACAAACAAACAACAACAACAAGAAAAACAGGGTCTAATCAACACTTACGGAGCAACAGCAGAACACTCATTTTTTTTTTTCTCAAGCACCCATGGAGCATTTGTCAAAATATTTTGGTGGAGAAGGAAGAGTCTAAGTAATTACAAAAATGCTGAAATGATACAGAATATTTTATAACCACAATGGAATCAAAATAGAAACAAACAACAGAATGATAATGGAAATATCTAGACACTAGAAAACTAAACAACATGCTTTTTAATAATTCATAGACCAAAAAAGTCTAAGAGAAAGTAAAAAACACATTGAACTGAGGAAAAATGAAAGTACAACGTATCAAACATTTTTGAACACAGCTAAAGCAGTGGTGAGAGGAAAATTCATACCACTAGATGCTTACATTAGATACGGAAAGGTGTTAAATTAACAACCTAAGATCCCATCTCAATGATCTAGAAAAAGAAGAGCAAAATAAACTCAAAGCAAGAAGGAGGAATATAAGAGAGGTAACAGCAGAAATTAATAAAAATTAAAACAGAAAAACCAAAAAAACCAAGTACACAAAAAGCTGGTTCTTTGAAAATATTGTAAAATTGATAAATCCTTAGCAAGACTGACAAAGAAAAAAGAAGACACAAATTCCTGAGAATGAAATAGAGACTATTACTTCAGACCCTGTAGTCATCAAAAGGATAATAAAGGAATACGCCAAACAACTCAATACACATACATTTGACAATTTCAATAATATGTAACAATTCCTTGAAGAGCACGAACTATCACAACTCAGTAGACATGAAATAGATACTTGACTAGTCCTGTGACTATTCAGGAAATTCAATTTGCAGATATAATATCTCTCAAAAAAGAAATCTCCCGGCCCATCTAGATAGCTTGAGAATTCTACCAAAATTCTACCAAAAAAAAAAAAAAGAATTAATGACAGGTTCCAAGGGAATACCTTAGAGAAGGAATGAACACTTCCAAGTTCACTTTATGAAGCTAGTACGAATGACCCTAATACCAAAAACAGACGCAGGCAGTACCAACAAAGAAAACTAAAGACCAATACCCTTGAGATAATATTATTCTGTTCACTTGAAAGATAAAGAATTGGAATCTCAGAGGATTTGCTAATATTTTGTAGAATAAGGGTTTGAATTTATAACCTCTGAATTGTTATGACTAGTAACCACCTTCCCTCCACTATGGGTTGTTTTTTCTTCCCACTTCTTATTGCTCTCCTTTCTCTAAATCTCTTCCATTTCCTTCTCCTTCTCCTTCTCCTTCTTCCGCTTCTGCTCCTGCTCCCGCTCCCACTTCTGCTTCTTCTGCTTTTTCTACTTCTTCTGCTGCTTCTTCATTTTTGAAGACAGAGTTTCACTCTTGTTGCCCAGGCTGGAGTGCAATAGTGCGATCTTGGCTCACTGTAACCTCTGCCTCCCAGGTTTAAGTGATTCTCCTGCCTCAGCCTCCTGAGTAGCTGAGATTACAGGCACACACCACTATGCCTGGCTATTTTTTTTTATTTTCAGTAGAAACTGGGTTTCACCATGTTGGTCAGGCTGGTCTCAAACTCCTGACCTCAGGTGATCTGCCCACCTCAGCCTCCCAAAGTGCTGGGATTACAGGTGTGAGCTACTGCGCCCAGCCTCTTTAAATATTCTTCTATTTACTGAATGTGAATCCTAGCATTACTACTTTGAAGATAAGCTTGGGCAAGTCACTTATTTTTCAGAACTTCAGTTTTTTTAATCTGTTAAAATGGGTAATGATAGTACTAATCTCATGAGGTTGTTGCCAAAATTAAATATACAAATACATGAAAAGTGCTTGGCAGAGTATCTGGCCACAGTGCTGAGAATTCATCATCATTATCATCATAACTACTTTTTATTAAATACACTTAGTTGGTATTTCTCAAGAGTTACTCTGGTGTTTGTCAGTGAGTCTAATGAATCTGTCTACATGAGTTCATTCCTTAATAGGATGGGAAAGCCTGTGATTCCCGTAGATGTTGTTTGGTGGTAGAGGGAAAACGTTTCAGATCCTAGGTGTAGCTATGGCCCGAGGAATCTATCCAGTGTTTTGGGGCTTTGTGGATTAACGAGGTGCGTGGGTGCACTTTTGGGTTACTGTGCTGGAGTAGATTCCTCCCTAAGGCATTCCCTGGGAACCTGACTTTTAAACATTTTACTGGCCTGAAGCTAATGTGGTATGTGGAAAAGAGAAGAGAAAAGAAGAAGGTGGAGGAAGAAAGGGAGGCAAAAGAGAAAGAAATTGGAGGCAAATGTGTATTTAAAACCTTAGAGAGAGTGCATTCAATTTGGGATAAAATCCAGACATCAGCTAAAGTTGAAGAGACCTAAAATAAAAATTATAGCTTTAATTCAGGCTATGGAGCATCATGCAAGTGAAAGGCATTTGTCAGTTGGAATATAATGAAGCTGAACTGTTGGATAGAATCAATTTGGTTTGAGCTTTTGGTTAGTGAATGGGTCTGTCTTTGCTTTAAACATTTTAGCATTCCTTATTCTCATCAGTAGTAAAATCTTTCAAAACATGATTCCTTAAGGCAAATGTCTGGAGCTTAATTGAGTCATATTATTTCAACTCTTCCATTGTCTTTGATTGTATGAGATGGAATACATTCTCCTTTCTATGTTAGAGAAGCAGGAAATGTAATGGCTGAAGCTTTTTAATTTCATAGAAAGGTATATTTCTGGTTTAATGTTGTGTGATGTAACAGAAAGGGGACTGAATACGCAGCTCTGCAGGTCTTAGGGTGAGTCACTTCACTTCCCTGAGCCTCAGATTGTCCAGTGTGGAATGGGGATGGCAACAGTTGTCCGTCTGTGCCCAGGCTTTGTGTTGTGCAGATGTTATCAAATGGGATGTACATGAGAACGTGCTTTGTAAATTGTTCAGCAATTTACATTGTTGTTCTGATCATTAGATAGAGACAATGTTGAATATTGAATACAAGTAACGAAATATATTTTGCCATTTGTTTTCAATTTCACCTCTATATTGCTGAAGGTTACACTATTTTTTCTTGTTGAAGAGAACTGAAACCATTATTTTCTCCTATATATGGCTAGGGAGTTAGATATGACAGTTGTCCCAATTATCTTTATTTTTGTTTTATTTATTTTCTTTTGATTTTATTTATTTATTTACTATTTTTTTTTTACTATAGAGACAGGGTTTCTCCATGTTTGCCAGGCTGGTCTCGAACTCTTGGGCTCAAGTGATCCGTCCATCTCAGCCTCCCGAGGTGCTGGGATTACTGGTGTGAGCTGCTGCACCTGGCCTCCCAATTATCTTTATGTATTTAGTATGTTTCAGATATAATTTTTAGCTCTAATTTTACATCTTTAGAAAGTGTTTTCAGACTAGCATTTCTTCAGTTCCAAATATTTACATAAGATACTTCTACTTCAGTCCTGTTGAAATTGTGTGTGTGTGTTTGCATATACACACATGCACACGAGTGGAGAATCCTTTGAGTTCCATAGATTGCAACTAGGATTCAGGGTTGAGACCACACCAGGTCTGTATTACCTGGGCAAAATGGACTGCTGGCCCTGACAATGGAAAGACTGGCTTTTAAAAAGAGGAACTTCAAAAAACAGATATTCCCCTTTACTCAAATCATGTGGAATAGTATTATTAGGTGAGGGGTAAATGGAAAGAGATTGCAGAACTAGTGTACTTACAGAGTCTGGCTAGAAAAAGACCTATTTAGGTCATATTTATGTGAAGTTAAATCAGCTCATCCCCTACAAACTCATCTAGCAACACACACACACACACACACACACACACACAATTTTTCCTTCTAACAAATGTTTGTGTTCCTTAAGGTTTCTTATCAAATAACTCATCTTTCTAGACTTTGTAATTATTAATTTGTATCAGCTACAATGGATTGGATTCCTGCAACAGATTGTCTCTTCATGGTAAGGTTGAATCAGGATGGTTTCATAAGTATGATGTGCTGTACAATGACAAGGACATTCTAATTTTCATTAAAAACAATCAAATTTTATTATTGTAGGCTTGTTATAATTTTCAATTTATTATTTTATTATCAATTATTGAAATATGAGGAGAAGCAAAGTTGAAGAAAATATTTCTTCTTTTGAAATGTAGTCTAGCATGAGTGTTGTAATGGAAAGAACCATTTTCAAGAACTGCCTCCCCATCAACCAACTGTGTAACTTACTGCAAGTCATCTGACTCTGTGAGTTTCAAACAGTGGCTGCTGGAATGCATAGTAGGCTTGCCATGATGATGGAAGGGGACACACAACAGTCATGATTGTTATTACTATTGCTACCACTGTGAGATTTAAAATAATTTTTTTTTTACCTATTTGTACCATAGCAACTAATGTCAGTAAAAAATCTTATTTCATATGTTTCCTTTGTTGATATTACTGACCTTGATGTTTCGGCATTTTGACCTAATTCATCTGTGCTTTTACCTGATTTTATTCTAGCTTTTAGATTTGTAATTTTCATTTTAGGTATAGCTTGCATATTCTTGATCTTTTCAGCGTAACTGTGTATTTAATTGCTATCTTATTGGAAACAGAAAAATCACCTGGGGAATGGTAAAGTGTATTGGTCAAACAGTTCAGAGACTAACTTCCTACTGCATTACTCTGGTATAATTTCATATTTTCTCAAGACATAAAATACTTCCATTTTATAGACTATTAAAAAGAGAAAATATGCTTCCTACTCAGCCAGTTTCACTCACTCTTGTGTAGGCTATGGCTTGCAGCCATGTCAAGCTGTCCATCACTTTTCTGTGAATGTTCACAGGTGGAAATTGAGATTTGTCTGCATTTGGGAGAAATTCATCAGATCCATCAAGGGGCCAGGAGCAAGTAGGGGAGGTGAGGATCTGATATCCCCTGTTTTTATTAGGGAATGTGGTTTCTTATGATGCCTAATGATACATGTCCATCTTGAACCAATTTCAATTTTGCTATTTGTGTAAAAGAAGAAAAATAACTATGACAAGTCCATAAGACTAACAAAAATGAGATTGTGAGCTTTGGCAGAAATGTGGGTTTATTTTTTCCTTTAACCCCAGTCTAAGGGAATGACGAAGAATGCAGTATACCACTTCCATAGAGGAATTGTAACCAGTCAGCTGCTAGTTTGAAAGAGTTGAGTAAGTTTGACATGTTTATGGAGAGTGATATGCCTCCCTGAGACAGTTCCTCAATGAGTGAGTCAAAGTAAACACCCTACACCTAGAACCTGGCACTTATTGGCAGCTGATGCATAATTTGTTCCGTGAATGATGCTTATGTACTGAGTGTTCGAAGCTGGGGGTACAAAGGTGAAGGAAAGTTAGTCCCTTCTTGTGCGACTTAAGAAAAATACAACTAACCAGAGTGGAGGTAGAATACAGGGGCCGCAGTCATGCTGATCATCTCCAAGAACCTTGTACATTTATGAGAAATGTGATGCTGAGAGTTGAATTAGTGAGCAATGGTTTGAGATCTTCACATTTTGTAACCCTAGATTTCTAACATGGAATGGTGTTGTGGCAGGCACTGTTGATTGGTCAACTCAGCCCATTTGGAAGTTCTTCTCCTTAGACACTGTCCGTAGATACTGCTTCCAGAAAACCTGTGGTTTCCTGAGGAAAAAAAGAGCAGATTGGCTGCATGGCCCATAACCCTCTCCCCAGTTCCCTTTGCCCTTTTACTTGCTGGAATGAGGAAGTGCCTGGGGGTGCAGAAATCCTCTTCATACCATAGAAAAAAAGGTCAATATATTCATGATAGCAGAGAAGAGAAAACAGAAAGAGTGATATTTTGATGGCATTGTTGGAGCAGCCCAAACCTAGATGATTTTGTGTGAGAAAGAAATTCATATTGGATTAAGCCACCCTTCCTTGGTGTTCTCTTCCTTGCAGCTGAACACACTCTGAATGGGCACGGAGGCCCTGCACAATAGTCCTTGCCTTCATGTTCATTTCACTCTTCCTGCACTCCATTCTGCAGGGTGAGGCTGTGCAGGACTCTGTTCCCAGTGTGGACTATGTCATCTGTGCAGGGACCCTGCCCAGTGGTGCCTGGTGGCCCTGATAGTGATGCTGGTCTTTTTTTGTGCTTGTCTCTGTCTTTACATGAAGACAGAGTCTAAGTCTGCACAATGCTTCTCTATCTGGAATGCTTTCTTACTTCCCACCCCACCCCCTCCTGGCCTGGTCAACACCTCCTCCTCCCCTTCTAGTCTCAGTTTAAATGTCATTGTTCAGGGAAGCCATCCCCAGACCTCCAAGCCAAGTGAGGAACCTGTGGTTTACACTTTCACAACACCCTTATTTTCCTCAAAACACTCATCACAGGTGTAAATAAATAAATCTCTGGGTCATTAAAAAAGTTATGTTGCCGGGTACGGTGGCTCACACCCGTAATCCCAGCACTTTGGGAGGCTGAGGTGGATGGATCACTTGAGGCCAGGAGTTAGAGACCAGCCTGACCAACATGGTGAAACCCTGTCTCTACTAAAAATACAAAAATCAGCTGGGCCCACGTGGTGGCACGTGCCTGTAATCCCAGCTACTCAGGAGGCTGAGGCAGGAGAATTGCTTGAACCTGGGAGGTGGAGGTTGCAGTGAGCCGAGATCGTGCCACTGCGCTCCAGCCTGGGCGTCAGAGCAAGAATTTGTCTCAAAAAATAAGTAAATAAAATAAAAAAAGTGATGTTTTCCCTTCTGCTTGATTACAAGAGACCAGGCCCCTGTCATTTTGTTCACTGGGTTTGTGCCCATACCTGGCAAAGTGCATGGCATGTGATAGGAATGTGACAAATATTTGTTGAATGAATACACAAAAGAAGGAATGGAATAATTTATTTGTAATAAGATCAGTTATATACTTCTGCAATGACGGAGGATTGTCGGGTAGACTAAGAGCTGGGAGACCACCATGATTCATGAAGGCTTCAGAGTTCTCAGTCTGTTCTCCAACAGGGCAGTGACCTCCCCAAGAGGAGGCCACCTGGGTGTGTCCAGACAGCATGGCTCTGGCCAGCAGGAGAGGAGCTGCGATGGTCACAACACGGGTGGCCACTGCGTTCTCATGAGCTGCGTTGCTTCCCCCTTCTTTGCTGTTGCTTCCTTTCCAAAGACAAGTTACAGAGAGCCCTTCCAAGAGCTGGGAGAGCTTGTGGGCTCCGACAGCCTGGAGAGGAGAGCTTCAGGGCTGCTCAGCCCTGACTAGCACGATTTATCAGCATAGCACTATTTGTTTTAACCTTTAGGGGAAAATGGGATATGATGAGACCTAAAGAAACATCATTTCCCAAAGGTGGATTTCATTTCTTTAACCGTTTATAAGTCTCAAACAATAAAATATGACTATTTGGGGACTGGTATTATATTTCAATGACTTTTCCAGCTGTTGTGCTATTGCACACATTCCGGAGCCTTCTCTCCTCCAGCTGAAAGCCGACTGCTCACTCACAGCAGCGGCAACACAACCACCTCCGGCTGTTCGGGGCGTGCGGCCTGCACACAGTGACACATTCACACACCGGGCGAGGGTCGGGCCTGCTGCCTGGGTGTGAGGAAAACCAGTCATGTTCTCTCTGTTCTTGAGATTGATTACCCTGGGCTTCTGCAAGCCCATTAAAGTAAGTCAAAGGGTGACTCTGGGCTGGGTGCTAATGTGACCACTGTTGTTGGCAGGTGCTGTGATTCTGGAGAGGCATTTGTCCACTCAGCATGTAAGGGAGAAGCCATGCTTTCCTCAGCTGTGCCTGCACTGTAACGGCCCTGTGTCTGTCACTACTGCTGGGGGCACCTGGAAGCGCCCAGACACACATTTGGGGACCACAGCAAATCCTCTGTGTCTTGCATGTGAGCCATGGGGAAGCTCGCCTTTAAGATAAAGCCATGGCGGGGCATGGTGGCTCATGCTGTAATCCCAGCACTTTGGGAGGCCGAGGTGGGCGGATCACCTGAGGTTAGGAGTTTGAGACCAGCCTGGCTAACATGGTAAAACCCTGTCTCTACTAAAAATACAAAAATGAACTGGGTGTGGTGGTGGGCACCTGTAATCCCAGCTACTCAGGAGCCTGAGGCAGGAGAATCACTTGAACCTGGGAGGCAGAGGTTGCAGTGAGCCGAGATCATGCCACTGCACTCCAGCCTGGGCATCAGAGCGAGACTCCGTCTCAAAAAAGGACCGGACACGGAGGCTTACGCCTGTAATCCCAGCACTTTGGGAGGCCAAGGCGGGTGGATCATGAGGTCAGGAGATCGAGACCATCCTGGCTAACACGGTGAAACCCCGTCTCTACTAAAAATACAAAAAATTAGCCGGGCATGGTGGCCGGTGCCTGTAGTCCCAGCTTCTTGGGAGGCTGAGGCAGGAGAATGGCGTGAACCCGGGAGGCGGAACTTGCAGTGAGCCTGAGCCGAGTTAGAGCCACTGCACTCCTGGGTGACAGAGCGAGACTCTGTCTCAAAAAAAAAAAAAAAAAGATAAAGCCATGTGTTTACTCTTTATCAAAGATGCCAAAGAGTATAGCCTCTGATTACATGGTTTTTAAAAAATTAGAGTATGGAAATAGTGCTTAGTATTATGTCAGTAAATTCAATGTTTTCATACATTTTTTTTGCTCTAAATTGGAAACGGGGGCAATCCCCTGAAATGTATGTATTTTATTTTAAAATAATCCTAGCCCCTGTATTTAATCCTTTTCCTGTCTCTCTCCTCACTCATCTTTGCTCCTTACACCTCTGCCCAGCAGGGCTTCTTTCTTCTTTTCCCCCTTCTTTTTCTTTCTCTATAGAGCATCAAGCCAGCTTCTTCCTCACCAGCCTCACCATCCGAGTTTCTCGTGGGCAGCTTCTCAGTGAACACAGGAAGGCCTAGACCCCACTCTGGGAGCTCTGAGGACCACGGTGTGCACAGGCAGGTTGGTGCCCAACACTCTACAACATTTACATACTCTTGTTTTCAGAGGACATCAAATATCCAGTAGTTTTGCATTTGGGCCTGAGCCATGACTCTGACGTTGGAGATTAGACACTGTGACAAAGGGAGAGAATTGTAGGGGGAACAGACTCCGGGTTTCTAAGCAGATGGAGTGAACAGCTGACTGAGAAGCTCAAGCCTGAAGCAGGTGGCGGATTCTCTTAGCAGCACCAAATCACCCTGTCAGGCAGCCCAGCCAGGGCAGCTCAGGAGTGGGCCACAGAGCAGGACCTGCCAGGACGTCCAGAGAGTGTGGGTGGAAGCTGCTTCCCAGTGGAGCCTGGCCAGGGGGCGACTGCCAGACAGTGAGGCGGATGAGTCAGCCCTGAAAGCGATCCTGGCCATGACCTAGTGGGAGAGGAGAGAACAGAAGGGGCAGTCAGGAACTGACAGGTGGGCTGTGCAACAGGAAGGGGTCACAGACCCAGCAGGTGGCAGGGCAGATGGAGGAGATCAAGGGATGTGTGATAGTGGGGGGGCACCCACCTGGGTGTGGGGGGTGCAGGTTGGGGTGGGTGGCTGTGGGGCAGGGAGCAGGGCACCAAACGGGGTGGTGGGTTGAGGGGACACGGGGCAGGTGGGCAGGACACCAGCCAGGGGATGCGGGGTGGGGGATGGGCAGGCGGGAGCCCTTCTGACCCCTGTGGCTGCACGTGCTGTTTGGAGCACACAGAGGCCAGAGGTGCCAAGGTGCAACCTGTTCTTTCAGGTTATTGATCTGTTTTTAAAGGAAATGGCTTGGGATGGCTGGAACAATATTCACTTTTAAATGAACAGCTTTGGACTCTTTCGTTGTGTGATCTCAAAGTGCCAAAGGGAACCAAAGAGGACCAAATTATTCCAAAGAATTATAGCAGCCCAGTTGTTAGGGATACAATGAAGCTCGGCTTCCCTTACTGAGGCGTTTTGAGTGGAATGAAATGCTTCATTTAGCATTTAATGAGATTATAGTGGCAGAGATAAACATGCTATGATAAGGTGGAAAGATCACCTGGTCAGAGCCAGATTCCTGGAGGTGATCCAAGCTCTGGGAACCTGCTGCTGAGCCGGGCAGTCACCACCCCCTGCTTGGTTCTCAAATCTGTCCAGGCAGCCTGCCGCTGGGATGTCTGCAGGGGTGCATCTGGGAAGAGGGGGTTGTTATTGGTATGTGCTCTGCTCACTCGGGGAGGGCTGGGCTCGGGCCCCGGAGCCACCCAGTCCTGAGTGTTGCTTTCCGCCTCAGCATAAGAGCCGCTTTTCTTACTGTGTGGGGAAGAGCCAGTCTAAGGAATATTCCTGCATTTGTACAGTGCCTGCCACCTGCAGTGTGCGTCCCAATTCGTGTTATTCTTCCATTTCGATGCTAACTCTGGGAGAGAGGAGGCACTGGTGTTAGTGGAGGCACTTTCCAGGTGCAGAATCTTCTGCACAGAGGGAGGCAACAAAGGCCGGCAGCTGGGAGGCTGGGCCCAGGTCAGGCCAGGATCTTGGTCCAGACCCCACTTGTCACCTGTGCGTTAGTGCGCTGGCCCTCAGGGGCTTCCCCAGCCCCTCTGCTCGCCTGATTGTGACTGGAGGGCTTTGTACCCTGGAGAGAGGAGCTATGGAGCTAGGAAGGCAGGAAAGCTGGCCCTGGACTCTGGGAGAAGAAAGGGCCAGAAAGGGGCATAGGAAAAAAGGGAATGAACATTTACCAAAAGTCTCTGTTCTTGGTGTTTTCCGTACAACGTATTTAATCCCACAAGGTCCAGTGAGTTTGTGTTAGTCCAGTTTCACACATGTGGAAACCGAGGCCTGTCACAGAGTTGGGCAGAGCTGGACTCCAGCATCAGGCCTCGCTGCTGAAAGGACTGGAGGAAACTCCAGGCCAGAGCAGAAGGTAGGCAGTTTTCAGAGGAACTCTGAGACCTTGGTGAGTAGCAGAGGCTGGAGTTGGGGATGTCAGAAATAGCAACTAGCAACCAGAGACATCCAGGGAGCTCTGAGCATAGGCACAGAGGACGTGCAGGCACTGCAGGGCGTGGCATGAGGACACAGCCCCAGGGCTCAGCCAAGGTGGAGAGCAGCACAGGGGCCTGGCAGGGAGGAGCACTAACGGATTAGTGCCAGTCCTGGGATGGCTTCTTCCCCAGGACTCTAGGCAGTGCTTCTCTATCTTAGGCCTTTCTTTCGAATTCAAGTTTGCATTTTAAATGAAAACAGAGGCAATCTCCTTCAAAATATACTCTTAAAGATGATTGTACTTTTGAGGCAGTATCCTTTTAGTATATTCTGTACACTGAATCTGTTTTGGTTTTGCTTGACTTATTGGTGGTGAATTAGTTAAACAAAGGGAAGGAGTATCCATTTCCTTCTTTTCTTGCACAAGGCAGGGGTTTATATTCAGGAAGTAGAACTTGAATCATGAAGTTTTGCATGACTTGATCCAAGTCATTATTATAATTAGTTTTGTGGAATATTAAAGAAGGCGAGAGAAAGACAGCGGGAAGAGGAGAGTGCAGCCTTTGAAAAGCTGTGCCCCCGATAGATGTGGAGTCTTGAGTTGCACTTTGCACCGTGGTCTGGACCTCAAGGTGTCATTTTTGTCGCTGAGCCACACTGAAAGTGTCATGAAAATGGTTTCTTTTCTCCCCTGTGGCTCCTGGCCAGTCACCTGGTTGTTTATTATGTGTTCTACCATGATCATTAATGTTTGAAAAGCAGTTTTTCAACTTAGGACTCCTTGTCAATAAGTTCGTGGAAGGGGATTTGATGGAATGCATCTTAGTTTGTGTTTTGAAGGTCCCCACCCTCTTCTGTCGCTTCTGCTCCAGGTAGATTTCCTTTCCTAAAGTCTGCCTCTCCCTGTCTCCTCTTCTGGGTCTTCAGAGCCCTGCACTTCTCAACAATGTATCTTTGTTTTCTGGGTCTTACAAAGCACAGTGGCAGAATGTTCAAGAGACAATTCAAAGAAAAAGATGCCAGTAAAAATGGGAGGCGATTATTAGAAGGGACACCTAGAAACCTACCCTATGAGAGGTCATGGCAATTGCAGCATGACAGAGGAGGAAAGGTCTTAAGGTTTTGTCCTGGTGCAAACGGAAGCTGTCTGGGCTGAGAGATTCGCTTGAGCCCTTCCAGGCCATCTGTTCAAACTTGCACAAGGGTGGGGGAGGGGGGATGACTTGGTCAACCATCTCATTTGTTTCTACCATCATCTCCATGTCCATCTTTAATTATAAGAGAGTAAATCTTAAAAGTTGAAAAGGTATATTAAGTAACTATTGTTGTGGGGAAAATCCTACTTCTAATGTTTTATATTTTTTTTCAGAAGCTTGATTGTAAAGAGTGTTAACTCTTCAAGGAAAAAAAATTAAAAATATTTTTTAAAGAAAATGAAGGCCCAGATGGAAGAGGCCCCCACCTGTAACGCCAAGGTGAGCTCATCCCCAGGTACCACAATGACCTGAGGTGCTTGTAAAAGATGCCGCTCTCTTGGTGCTTGGCTAGGAGCAAGCTATGGCATGGAGAACAGGGATAGACCCACCTGAAAATCTGGACCTGCTTCTTCGTGGATGAAGGAATGTGCACCCAGGAGGCCAGGACCCCTGGTCACCTGCATGAAAGGTTTGAGGTGGTGCCGCACATTCCAGAAGGTGATGTGGTCTCAGATGATGCCCATGGGCACTGTCAGGGTGGGTCCAGGACTGCAGCTGCCTGGGCTGTTTATTCTGCAGGCAGACATGCCCTGGGGGCCAGTCTGAAGAGCAGCTCAGAGAAGGTGATCAAGCTCCATTTTCAAAAACAAAACAAAAAAGTGAAGACAGACTAACACCCAGTAAACGTGATGTGATCAGGGCTGCCACTTCCAGAGCACCCTGAGAGTCAAGACCAAAGATCACCAGCAGCCTCTGATTTGAACTTCAGATTGGATCTGGAGGCTAAGCATTCTCAGCCTGCTCTAAAGCTGGACAGGCTTCCTGACACCAGAGCTGGCTGCTGGACCTGAGGATGCACCACAGGAGGCTGAGCCTCCTCCCACAGCGGGGAGATGGTGCCCAGGTGAAAGACACGTGTCCTGAGAGAAACCCCTCGGCCCATCACTCATCACAGAGGGGCCGGGGAACAGCTCCTACTTTTCTCTCAAGCAGTGATAACATGTGATTTCCCAGGTCAATCTTGATTTCAGAAATGTTAAAAATAAATGGGCCTGGAAGACTTGTAATTTGAGAATAAGACTTGAAAACAAGTGAAAAGCAGTGAGAACAGATTTTGGTGCCTCCTAGACTTTTCTCATTGGCTGCGCACATTTAGCCTTGAAAGTAAGTAAGCTTATATAGCTGGTGTTCTTCAATCATTTCACATGAAATTGTTAGGTATGTTTTGTATAAAAATGCATGTGAAAGATATTGTGACAAAGGAAAACAAGCCTACTTGAGGATTCTTAAGAAAAGAAAAAGGGTCATTACTGAGATGTCTGTGGTCTCGAAAAGTGACTATATCCTCTTGCCTGAGGCTGAGACAAGACATGTCGGGTGGTCCCACTGCATCCGCCTCACCCACCCTCTGGTGAACCAGGCGGGGAAGTCCTCCTCCTGCAGTGGATGCACACAGACTCTCCTCACAGCTCAGAGAAAAGGCTGCTTCTGCCCACATGTGGCTTGGCAATCCAGGGCACCTGCCTGGGGAATAAAAAGTCATCCTGGGAGGTGCTTCCATGGTGGCCTCTGGCAGAATGACACCTTCTCAGGTACAGGACTCCACATCCCCTTTCTGAGCCACTGGCTGAGTTGGGCGCTCTTGTATGAGTGGGGAATAGAAGCAAAGATGTTGCTAACACCCTGCTTTGAAAGATGCTTCCTATTTAGACTGATCTCAGGTCTATCTGAGGCTCGAGGCACCGTAAGTCAAGAGGAGACAATGCCACATGCTGAACCAGGGTCAGGCAGGTACATGCACGCATTGCAAGGCTGTGAGGGAATCCTTGAGGGAGATGAGAGGATGGAAGCTAGGGGTCAAAAGAGGATGCACCAACGTGAAGGGAAATGTTGACTGGGACCCACAGCATCAAGACAAACACATGAGCAGGCTGGAGAGGAGCCCCAGGTGAAGCTTATTCTGGGAAAAGAGAATATAAGGGGTGACTTTTACTAAAGATTCAGCTCTGAACAGAACCCAGATATCATAGGGTTGCTTGTCATGCATCTACATCTCCAACAAGACATGCTAGAAGTGATGGGAGCTTGTTACACTCAGACGTGTGACCTGGAGACTCTGAGTTCTAATTCTATTCCTTTGAGGCCTGCAGACATGTCTTTGTCTTGTCTCCTAATCTCCTTTCTGTTTAGGAAAAGACAGAACACCAGAGCCACTGTCAAAATGGTGAGGATGGGATCTTGTTTTGTGGATTCCACCATAATGCTAACATAGCCCAGACTGTTGCTTTCTGTCTCCGGTTCCATGACTTCTTAATGACAAACTTGTTAAAATATGGTTTTATTTCCAAAATTTAAATGCAGGTGGGACACAATACTTCTTAAATACTGTTTCTACCATCTATTCCTCCTCTTGTCCTTTTGCTTCCACTAATATCTAGGAATAGCAAAAGCATAACTACATGAGAAGTGATGCTTGGCTTAACTGCATGTGGGAGAGGAGGAACTGGAAAAGAAAGAGAGCGTTCCATTAAGAGAGGACAAAACAACACACACAGAGAAAGACAGGGACAAGAGACAGCAACAGTGGAAACATCATTCTTCATATCTTCACACTTTTCAACACTGGCTTCCTCAGCCTATGAGGTATCACACCATTTACAGAGAATAAAGGGAGGTCTAGAATTGCCGAGGTTTGCCAAAGTTCACACAGTTCGACAGTCATTGAATGCAAGACCCAGACATGCAAGCTCCTGCTGTCAACAGGGGGAAAGGAAGGGTGGAATCAGATCAGATTCCCTCCTCTACCACAGTGTATACAGTTGTAACAGGGAGGCCTGCTTCCACAGGGAGCCAACTTCACTCGCACATCTCGCACATCTCAGCCATCCTCTCCCTTCTCTTGCCTTCTCTATTCTTCATCTGTAGCTCCTTTCCTGCAGCTGCTAGAGACACCATCATGTGCAATTGCAAGCCTGGCTACTGAAGTGCAGGAGTGGCCACTGTGCCCGGAACAGCATGCCTCAGTGGGGGATATGGTCAGAATGGACACGGAGGCCACACTGCAGGAGGCCTTGGGCATGACTGTAAGGGACTGGGTCTTGATTCCGCATGAATGAGGTGGCGCTGGAGAACTCTCTGCAGAGAAGTGTCATTATGCAACATTCTTTTTAATTTTTAAAATTTTCCTTTTGGATTAATTTCAGATTTACAGAAAAGTTACAACACAAAGTATGGAAAATTACTATAAACCCTTCACTTGACTTCCTCTAATGTGCATATTTTACATAAGCACAGTACATTTTTCAAAACTAAGAAATTAACATTGGTTATGACTGACTCATCTACAGATGTTATTGAGATTTCACTAGTTATTTCAGTAGTGTCTCTTTTTTGTTCTCTTGTCTATTTGAAATATCACATTGTATTCAGTGCCATGTGTTTTCAGCAGGGTCACTGAAGCTGCTCTGTGGGTGGAGGGAGACATTTATGGGCTTTAGGAATAGACTTAACCAAAGACAATGTTGGTTTGGCCCAAAGCGGGAGCTTGGGCCAAGGATTCTGGATACATTTTGAAGATGAGACAGCAGCACTGGGGAGAGAGAGGAGTTAAGTGTGTGTGTGGCCTGAGCACCTAGCAGAATGGAGCTGCCATTTACAGAGATGGGGAAGACCAAGAGGAGCAGGTTTGTAAGCAGTGCCAGGCACTCAGGTTGGGGGTTGGGGGAGGTTTGGGACACGCTGCCTGCTAAACATTGAGTCTGGCAAAAGCTGCACACAGATGGAGAGCCTTGGCCTTGGGTGAATCCAGCCTTTGCAGACCCATCCAGCTGATACTGACCCATGTATGCCATGTGCCATGGCCTTCCTTGGATTTACCACTCTTCATTTAATATGGCTTCACCAGCAAGTGACAGGAGTTGCTTTACACAAACTGGCTTGACCAAGAAATGCCCTCACCTCACATAATGGGAACTGGAGAGACTGGACAGCATTCCCGGGTGCCCACAGGTCATTTCCTATTGCCCAATCTGCTGCCTCAGTGTTGCTACCTGGCAGGTGGAGCTGGTCAGTTTGCAGGGGCAGATGGCTTCTGGCAGCAGTCAGGGCACAGCCTTTTCTTCACTTCAGAGTGGGGTGGGAGGGACAGGCGAGTCCCCATGGTGTCCTCCCCAGGCCGGCTTTCAGCCGGGATGAGTCTGACCCCTGGGCACACTTGGCCTTGCTGGGAGACATTTGGGTTGTCACAACTGATCATGGAAAACATTGTGGGATGCTGCTAAACATCCTCCTGTGCATCGGACAGCCTGACAACTGACCAGAGATGAGGTGCACCCACCTCTTGACAGGCTTTCCTGGTACTGTGAACACTTGGGTGTCAGTGGTCCCCAGACTGGCTGGGCTGAGCTTCCCAGGCCTGCTCTTTATTCTGCCCTAAGATTGGTCCCTGTACAAGTGCTATGTCCACGTCCACTTCCAAGGCAGTGGAAAGATGCCCTCAGATCTATCAGAGAAAAAAAGTGTGTATCTGTGTTTTGAAGCTTCACATTCCTTTTAGTTTCTACTCTGGAAAGTGCGAGAAAAAGAAGGTGATCTTCAGTTCTGAGGGTATCTGTGGAAGTCCCCACACTGATTCTTTCCTAGGGACCCAATCATAACCCTCCAGGCTTACTTTGGACTCAATCTTACTGTGAGTTCTTCCAAAGTAGGAAGCCAGCATTGTTTACCTTTGTGCCCTGGTGCCCAGGAACGTGTTTGGCATGTGATGGGCAGCTAGGTTGTTGAACTGACTTTCACTTCTGCAGTATGGTTTATGTGGCATGATGCCTGCAGTGTTTCATTTCTGAGCAATATTGGAATCCAAGGCCTAGCCCATTGGTGGGCACACCATGGATACATGAGAGTGACTGCTGACTGTTATGTCCAAATGCCTTTGGATGGAAGCCCATATTGGCCTGAGTCACCTGAACAGCTCATCTGAGTCTCCACATCTGCAAAATATTCACATACATTCGGGACCATATGCCCTTGTTGGGTCATTTTAATCTTTGTTTTAACTTTCTTATTATTAACTTTATTTTCTGCTTCACTGCAGGCATAGCAGTCCTACACCCATCCAAAATGAAGGAAACTGTTCTGGAAACATTTTTACCTTGGTTTCTCCTAAAGCAAGTTGGATCTCTGTGATGCTATCTTGCATGCTGCTGAAGTCATTTTCCAGTGGTGTAATTTTCCTGTTAACTTAAAAAGAGAAGCTCAGCATTACATGTCCCTCTGGGCTTCAGACATCTGTTCCTTCCTCCCATGTCCAGAAATATTAGACAATTTCTCTCCAGCATCAAGAGAAACAAAGTGATGGGAGCTTATTTCAATTTTGAGAGAATCTGAGTTTGTAGGACTAACACAATGATCAATACCAGTTTGACAGTGGAAGGGTGTTAACATTTATTTCTTTTTTTTTTTTTAAGGATTTTATGAATCTTTTGTCTCTCATTTCTTAAGAATTCTAACTACACTGCTTGATATCATACAATAATAATTTTTCTGAAAACTGAGAACAGAGATTCTGTTTAGTTAAAACTTCCAAATCAGTTGTAAATGTGGGTATAGTCTGAATCATAATCAATGCAATTCAAAGACAGAAGAGAAGGATGTCAGAGGATACAGTGGGCAACAGGGAAGACTTCAGGAGACTTCAGGTGGATCTCCGTATTTCATGAACAAATCCCAGATTTCCAAGAAATAGGAAGACGATTGTCCTGAGGTTTACAGATCTCTTCCTCCCCCACCTCTCTCTCCTTTTTAAAAAGTAGTTGAAAAAGACTTGAGGTGACTCTAAATACTTTTATTTGTTAGCTTACAGTTGTAAAGAAGTTGAACAGCATTTGTTAAGGTGGCGGGGACTGTACAGGAAGGGAGGGTGTGCAGAAGGACGGTGATCATGGGCAGCAGCACCAAGCTCCAGAGGAAAAGAAACAGGCAGAACTGCTTAAAATCCCTACAAGGAAAAAAATCATGCATATCTCAGGGTACACAGGACAAGCATTGTCATTAGCTCATTCCGCAACAAATGTCACTTCTTGTGTGATTCCATTTCCATTGCTCCATTTTTGTTCAAAGTTGAAAAAATCTGGTGTCCCTAAGCACGAAATGGAGTAGGCTTGCAACTCTGTGGATCTTATGATAATGACACTGGTCCTTCTCCTTCCTTTGACTGTAAAGAACACTGACACATTATTAGGATTTTATTGGTACCTGTGAGCCTGACGGGACAGCAAAGACAGGGAAGGAGTTCCTGACACACAAGATATCACACACACATGCTCACCGGAAATTCTTTAAAAGGGGCTTTGATTTAAACATTACAATTGCGATTTAAAGTGCAATAACACAGGAATATTTTTCTAAGAGACTCAGTTAAGTGTATGCTAAATTAATTGGATAAAATATAAAATTCTGAGTGCAGGTATTTATTTAAAATTCCCAGTGCTAAAAGTTTTGGGGTGATATTGCGAAGACACAGTGAAACATGGTGTAATTTCTCTCAGTAAAGGAATTTGGGTTCCAACCAAAGGAGACAGGAATGCATGCAGGCAGTGATTAGACACTGGGAGGAGAGGCAGCACTCAGTGTGGTCGGAGGCGAAGTGGAGGCAGGCTCAGGGCTGCAAATGGGACTGCTGGTATTCTAGAGACAGCTGCTTACTTTCTAGTTCAGCTGTCTAAAAACCTGTCCTGGGCCTGGAAGCAGGGTGCATCTGGAGTAAAGGCTGCTTTAGAGTTTAGCTCCCACAGCAAGGTGGCATCATTGTAGATCTTGACACAGGTAGCTCCTGGGGCCACTTTTAAGTTCCCTTCTGATGTGTTGTCCTTTTTGGGACAGGTGAATAGAGCAATCAGAATTGCTGCAAATGAAGACATTGCCCCTGAGTTGAATGAGAGATCTATTCACTTCAATCACTGTCATTTTCCTTAATAATGAAGACACTAAGTTATGACAAATGTCTCCATTACCTACATCTATGGGAAATTAACTGATAGAGCTTGGTACAATAAACAGAAAATTGATGAGAAAAAATTGGGGAGAAAATTTAACAGCCAGGCCCAAAACTGAAGAAATATCTCCCACAGACTGTGGTTCTGTTCTGTGCAAATATTGTAGACTTTTACATATTTTGGTTGATAAAATATGCTGAATGAGACGCCCTCACATTTGGGTAAACCAACTACATTATACAAATAAAGTTTTGGAAGTATCTTTGTGCACTGTGACTAATAATAGGAAAAGAAAAATGGGGGTTGAAAAGAAATACTCTGATTTGCCTTGAGAGTTTTTTTGGTGCTTGAAATATTTCCTCGATATTCTTCATAAGATGTTAGAAAATCTCTATGTCCAATTTAATTATATCTTGGTCTTCTTTTTTGGTTCTTGTGAGGATCTGGGTTTGGAGACCAAAGCACTCCAGGAAGGCAAGCGTGTGAATGCTTGTGAGCTCACTGTCTTCTTGCTATCTATTCCCCAACCTGTTTTATTAACCATCAGATTACAGAAACAGGAAAGCCAAAAATTCTCCAAGGGGACTCCACTTCCAATTCCAGTTCTTACTCGTTCTTCGTAGAATAGGCCTTTGCGGCCTCTTTCCTGACCAGCGTCCTCACCTGGTGCTCAGAACCTCATGTTGTCCAAAGTAGGACCCTTGACAACATTTCAAAGACCCGAGTGACTCTGGCTGTTTCTCTGAAAAGCAATAATAGAAGCCTTCCAGAAAATGGCCTTTAATAACTTGGCATAAACTCAACTCAAATAGGGACCTCTCTACCTCTTCACCAGGCTCAATACTGTTAGGGAAACTTAGCTAGTTCTGATCCAAAAAAGGAGATTGCTGAGGACAGTCCCCTTCAGCTGAGCACTTAAAACCCTGCCGTCCAGAGCCGTCCACCAAAAGGCAAAATGACTGCTCCTCCCTCAACTTCTTCCTTTAGGATATTGTGTATTTTTCTATCCTTGGTTCTTTCTGGAATAACCCTGACAAGGTGTTCCACATTTCAACTATAAATTTCATTTTGGTATTATAGACTGAAACTGTTTTTATTTTAACTGAAAAGTTTAGTGAACTAATTACAGATTTTAGCCATTCTGATAGGTGACACATCACTATGATTTTCATTTTCATTTCTCTGAGAGCTAATGAGGCTACATCTTTTTAGATGTGCTTTTTTTAACCACCTATAAATCTGCTTTAGGTATATGTGTGTTCATGTCTTTTACCCATTGTCTAACTGGATTGTTTGACTTTTTACCATTGAGTTTTAAGAATTTGTTAAATATTCTGGATACTTTTTATTTGTTGGCTATGTGCAAATATTTTCTCCCAGTCTGTAGCTTATCATTTTATTCCTTTCACAAGGGTTTTTATAAACAAAAGCTTTAAATTTTGATGTGGTCCTACTTATTAAATTTTTTTGTTATGGATTACGTTGATTTTCTACCTAGTAGTTTATCAGTTGCTAAGTGAGGTTTTGAAGTCTCCAACTAGAGTTGTGGATTTATCAATTTCTCCTGTCAGCTCCACAGTTTTTGCTTTACAAGTCTTAAAGTTTTTATTTTGTGTGTGTCCATATTTATAGTTGTTAAGTCTTCCTGATGAATTGATCCTTTCATCCTTATTAATGTCTCTCTTTGCCTCTAGTTTTTTTTTGCTCTGAAGTCTACTTTATTAGATACTAATATAGTAACTCCTGATTTTTAAAAGTTAATGTTTATATGGCACATATCTTTCCATCCTTTGCTTTTAACCTACCTATATTATTGGATTATATTTTCTTTTAAGTAGTATATAATTGGGACTTGTATTTGTATCTACTCTGATAATCTTTGTCTTTTAATTGGTGTAGTAGATCATTTATATTTAAGGTAATTATTTATTTGTTGGTAGTTAAATTCATCGCTCCATTTTTTATTTTCTCTTTATTTCTGCTGGTTTCTCTTCCCCTGCTTATTTTGTATTGCCTTCCTGTGAGCTAAATTTTTTCCAGGACTCTATCTTGATTTGTTTATACTGTTTGTTTATAAAACTGCATCTCTGTTTGGTTTTAATACTGGTTTCTGTTGTGGTTACTATATACATATGTGACTTATAACAGTTTACTGGTGTCAGCATCTTACTATTCCAAGTGAAGTGTGGAAACTTCACTTTTGTATTAGACCCTTTACCATCCCCACTTTTACATATCACTGCTTTGAATATCAGATGCTGCTATACGTTTTGTTCTAGTCATAATTTATGATTTATAAAACTCACAAGAAAAAGGATAGCTCATGTTATGTACCCATATTTTTCATCTTTCCATTGTTCCTTCTTCCTTTCTCATTCTCCAAGATTGTTTCTGTCATCATTTCCTCTGTGTTTGAATAGCTTCCTTTAGCCATTCATTAAGGCTAGGTCTAGTAACAACAAATTCTTGTTTTATTTATATGAGAATGCTTTTATTTTCCTTTAATTCCTAAAATATCGTTTTCTCATGTATAGAATTAGAATTTCACAACTCTTTTCTTGAGCACAAAAATACTTTCACCTCCTTCTGACTGTCATGGTTTCAAAGAGAAATCTGCTGTCATTTTACTTCATGTTCTCCTACAGGAATGTGTCATTTTTCTCTAGCTTCTTCCAAGATTTGATTTTTGATTTTAGTTTCCAAAAGTTTAATTATGATGTGTTTTGGTA
The DNA here is from genome assembly GCF_000001405.40 of Homo sapiens. NCBI lineage: Eukaryota > Metazoa > Chordata > Mammalia > Primates > Hominidae > Homo > Homo sapiens. The sequence goes on from NC_000008.11 coordinate 48,831,047, forward strand.
TGCATTTCATTGGATTTATACTGTTTGGGACTTGTTCAGCTTCTTCGATGTGTAGGTTTGTGTCTTTCACCCATTTGTGAAGTTTTCAGCTATTATTTATTCATATACTCTTTCAGCTACAGTTTTCTTTTTCTGATAATCTGGTAACAAAAAGTGTCAGATTTTTCTTATTGTCACTCAGATATCAAAGAGTGTATTCTTTTATTTGGTCTTTTTTTTTGTTCAAATTGGGTGAATTCTTTGTTATTTCCTTAAGTTCATTGATTATGTACTCTATGATTCCTACTCTGTTATTTAAGCTCTCTAGCAATTTTTAATTTTTTATTGCATTTTTCACTTTATAATTTCCATCTGATTATTTTTATAGCTTCTGTTTCTTTGCTGAGATCTCATATATTTTCATTTGTTTCAAGAGGATGTGTAGGTGAGTATTGAAGCATTTTTATAATGCTGCTTTTAAACCTTGTCAGACAATTTCAACATTGGATTAATATCACTGTTGACATCAGTTTATTGGCTTTTTTCATTCAGTTTGTGAATCTCCTAGTTCTTGGTATAACAGGTGATTTTCAGTTGTATACTGAGCCCTATTTAAATCTTATATTTTAGCAGGAAGTCACCCAGTTTAGGTTCAGTACACAAGTCTTGGGTATTTTTCTGGACTGTGGTTCCAATGGCAGCTTAATTTTTAGAGTCTTTGTTGTGTTGTTTGGTCTGCTTGGTTTTTCTGGTTCCCTGGGGGCTCCCATTCGTGGCTGCTCGTGTGGCCTGGGAAGTGGGAAAGGCTTCCCCAAGCCAACCACCAGAAGGCTGTTGGTGGGAGAAGGATGTGGTGGGATCCGTGTGCCTGTGTCCTGGGCTGCCCAAGTGCCTCTGGTCAGGGCAGGAGAATCCCAGACCTTTGGCAACAGAGTCTCTCTGAGCAGCTGCTTGCTATGGCAGGCCCCTTTTCTGATTCTACCCCTCACTTCTGTGTGTCTCAGCAGGGAAAGGGCATCTCAGGCTTAGTGGTAAGTAGACCCCTGGGTACGGATTTCTAGTGGGGCTCTGATGTGCCCCTGCTAGTGGCTCCCCTGGTGCTGTTGGAGGAACTCTGCTCCATCTAGAGAATGAGCAATCTGAAGACCATTTGAGGAGCTGCTGGTACTGGGATGGGGTGGAAACCATGACTTGTGGCCTTCCTTGCTGGGTGGGGACTGAGACCTGGCACTGTGCTACTCCTCTTGGGTTCTGGACACACTTGCCTTCCCCTCCTCCCAGGGTCCTCCTGGGGTCACCTCAAGTGCCATGCTGGGTTCACAGTTGTGCTTGGTGGCAGAAGCAAGGAGAATGGGTCTATTCATTATTTGGCATCCAGAAGTCTGAAAAGCTACATTAATACTTTAATGTCTACTTTGGACACTCACCTAGAGGAAATTCTACATCTTTCCAAAGCTCTTCAATCTGTCTGTCACTTGTATCTGTAGTTTTGCTGCCTCATTTCACTTGTGTCACTTCTCCTGAATCCACAGTAACAGCTGCAAACATGAACTCTGACTGTTCAGATGGTGCCCTCGGTCTGTCCTCCTCACTGCCTCACACTACCCTGGGACCTTCCCATACTTTCTGCTGAAACCATTACATGCGGCCAATGCCACAGGGGTGCCTTTCACCTATTTTCAACTCTACACCCAGCTGCCTGAAATTCCCCCAAATGTTGTTTAATCTGTTTTTCTCTACCGGTAGGTGGTTCATTCTTTACTTTTTTGCCCTGGCTAATTGTGATTCACCCTTACAAACTGAGCTTGGCATAACCTCTCCAAAGAAGACTTCCCAAATCCCTCCATGTTGGTAAGGTGCCATTTTGGGGGCCTTTCCTAGTGCCTTACCTACTTTTCTGTTTCCAAGCTCTGTTGACATGATCATTTCCCATGGAGCAGGCTCTGTATTGATCACCCCCATTGTTGCAATTGCACACTCTCTATAATTGCCTGTTTACACTCTCACTTCCTTAGACTGCAGAACTTCTGAGGGCAGAAATTATGATGTATCTATCTTTCTATCCCCAGAACCTCTCAAATGTTAGATACTCATTGTTGGCTGAATGGCTAAATGGATGAATATCATCTCATATTTATTTATTTATTTATTTATTTATTCTTCCTTTTCTGATTTCTAATTCTGAATAAAGAATTTAAGACAACAGGGAAATGTAATTACACTTTGTAAACCAATTTTTCTTCAGGAACTTCATTCAGGGCATATATTTTCTGAATATTTATGCCCATTTACACACAACAAGCAATGTTTACACAGATCAAATAGAAAATCTGGATTTGAAGGGGGAAGCTTCGTGGGACAATGCATTCTAAGGAAAAATGGAATCTGTGAAGAGCAAATCCACTCATCAGAGGTGATCAGTGGCATGAGTTAACTCTGTTTACTCAGCAACACTGGCTGAACATCTTGGCACAGTGGAGTTTAGAGAGAAAAGACATTTTGTTCAATGATATTTTTAATGACTAAGCTAACTTTAAACAAGTTTTACAGTCACATAGTCCAAATGTACATAAAGTTAGGTTAGTTTTCCACCACTTCATGTAAATTATGCTCACTGATCTAAGAAGCTAGTTCTTATTAAAGGCACAGCTAAGCAACACAATAAAATAAATTTAGTTCCTCCCATTCAAAAATACGTTTAAATGATGAAGCTGAGTGAGCTTTCTTTTTCCCTAAAAAGTCAAGGAACAATGGTTTGCATTTCCTCTGTCATTCCATTTATCTAAGAAAATATTCTGGAAAATCACCAGAGCACTTCTAGAGCCTTCATGTGAATACAATTAAGAGCTTGATTGGTAAATTTTGGAAAAGGATGCTGAGAAAAAAATCCGAGATCGAATCGATCTCTTTTAGAAGTCCATCATCATCAGCTTTCATGGGCCTTTAAGTTCTCCCTGACCTCCTGAGGTTGCACGCCAGAGGGAAGTGCGATTTGAGTAGGCTGCGAGCCCTACTCACACTGCAGTAAGAACACGGGCTCTGGAGCCTGCAGGCCTAGTTCAGAGCCAGGTTCTGTGGCTGCACACAAGGCGACTCTGCCCACCTGCGGCCTCGTCCCTCACACTCTCTAATCTATAAGTTGAGGGTCGCACAACTCAACTCTTTGGTGTCCCCTAACCATGAGCAGGAGAGCTCACCTCGCCTTCCCGGCACAGCCTTGGACTCAGCGTCCTCCCTCTTCTGTGGTCCTCTCTCCTCTGTGTTCCTCCCTCCTCTGTGTTCCGCAGCATGACTGGAGCTCTCCGAGAGCGCCTGTCTCTCCAGCAGGTCATCGTCAGCTTCCTGGGGTGTGGTGGGGTGGGATGGGGCGCTTTTCTCATGAGCTACCTATGTGGGTACCTCAGCCCCACCCCCAAACCCCAGGAGGGACAGGGCAGCCCCCACCTCCAAACCCGTGTGCATTCGGCCGGCGGGTCCCTCTGGATGTTCCGGCTCTGTCTTGGAATGGGACGAGGCCTCACTCCCAGGGCCACGGTGTGCAAGTGCGTCTGGAACAGGGCTTGGGAAGAAGCCGCACTGCAGGGCACAATAACCATGTGTAGTGCTTCCTGGCTGAAATCTGCACTCAACAGGAGGTCGCTCTTAGAGTATTAGGCTGCTGCTTTGATATGAGGCGCGCGCGCTCACACACACACACACACACACACACACACACACACACATACACACACAATTTCTAGAAGCAGGCTTGACTGGCATGCATGTGCATAGATGCGGGTGGCCCCTCATCAGGAGGGATGAGGAGAGGAGCCGTGGGCTCGCGGAAGAGCAGCGAGGGACACTGGCGCACAGAGCAGAGAGGAGCAGTGAGCAGGCGGCACCCCCGGGCAGGGTAAAAGGGCACGAAGAAAAGCGAAGGTGCGAGGGGAGGACCGACTGGCAGCAAGCGTCCGGGAGGGGCAGGCAAAGGCTCTCCTCGAAGTGCCTTTACGCTTAGGTAGAATTTCCATGCCTCCCTCGCGCTCCACCCTGCTGCGTGAACATTTTCCTGGCCTGCTAAGGAGGGAAAGCAGCTTTAAAAGGCATTAACTGTAACCCTCACACATGGGCATTAACATGTAGCCGGTGACACACTTCACTGAGAAGGATGCAGGGGGCCCCGGGCGTGGCGTCTGCAGGCTTTTGAGGGGACGTCCTTGGACAGAGCTAACACTTTGTCTCTGGAGCAAAGTGGGATGGGATCCGGGGCTCTAGGCTGTGTGATTCTCGCAGGGGGAATGGGAAGCTGCTCTGCGGCCCCCTCGAGCATGCTGACCCTGGAACTGGCTCTGCTGAAGTGTGCTGTGCGCTGAACGCTGCACAGGCTGCACACACGGCCTCCAGCCCTGACTCGAGGGCTCGCTGTACTTTCTTTTCAGAGCCAAGAATGTGACACATAAAATGAAACAGTTTTTAAAATAGGCATTTAAAAACCTTATATGCTTTGTACCTGGTTCCACAGTCAAAGGTGGCTATGCCATTTTGGTTTTAACCCGGGTCTGGCCAAGCCTGGGATTTGAGGGTTACAGCGGTCAACCCCATCTAATGCAATCCTGAGACGATGGCAAAGTTAGGCCAGAGCGCTCTCAGTTCGTTCAAGGAGAGCAGTGCTCAAATAAGAGGCACACAGCCGTCGGTTAACTGGTGGGATTATCCCCAAGGAAAGAAGGTTTTCTGGAGAGGAATTGGGGTGTAGAGAGCAAAGGTAGTGGTCTCAGATCTTCTTCTAACTTGCTCCATGGCTTTGGTTGTTCCTGGAAGTTTTCTGGGCCTCTATTTCCTCCTTTGCAAGCGTGAGTGAGTCAGACGACAGGCACCATCAGATGCGTGCTGTACTGGAAGGGTGGCTTGCAGGTGAGTAACACGGGAAGTTACTTGTGTTTGTGTGTGCAGGCACAAAAACAATCAGTATTTGGAGAGGTGTCCTCACGGCCTCAGGAAGGCCCCCACCCGTTGTGTGTGGGATTCACACAGCCAGAATCCGCTCCTGGTTGAGAAAAGCCCGTGCTTTGAATGAGTTTGTTTACCAGGCAAGAAGGACAGCCTTCTTTCCTGCAGCTGTTGGCTTGGCCAATTATCTCTCATGAAATGAAAAAGTATTATGTTGATTTCTGCAGAAATGACCTTCCTCTACTTCCTGTCCTCCCCATATGGCCCGTTACTATTTTTCTTTTTAAAGGTATGAACAATTAAGCCCAGAATTACTGAAACTTTTATCACCTTTGTTCTTTGGAACTGTTAGAAATTCTGTTGAAAGATTATAATTCTATCCTAGTTCTTAAAAAATGCTTTATTGGCATAATATATAAGGAAATTGCTTATCTTTTTTCTACTCTTTTTTCCACGATATTTTCTCTTAGATGTAAATGATTAATTTAAAAGCCACTGAGTTTTATGTATTCTCCAAAGTGTAATGGAGAGTGACTTTTCCCTAGTCCTTTGCGTATAGGAGTTATCATGAAACCTCCGACATTATCTTGTCATCAAACAAGAAATGAGCAATAGTATTCAAGCCACTGTAGGTTCAAAAATTTAGAAAATTTGGATTCAAAGTGGAGAAAGGGTGTTTATTTACAGAATAGTTACTTCCTGCAGAGGGTTCTCCATGCTGATGGTTTTATACTGAGCGCAAAATGGCATGGAATATGGTATTTACTTTAGGCAGACATGCAAAAAAGGTAAGAGAGGCCTTGATTCAAATCATTGAGCACTCATTGAGTACCTATTGCTTGCTAGGTGTGTCAGTTTGCTATGGGGATGCCAAAGGTAAAGTGTCCTCTTTTCAGGGATGGTTCACTTCTTCTTTAGGGTATCATACCTCAGATGACAATAACAGAAGACTGTAATCAGACACTGGAGTGGAAATTCATCCTTGCATTCCATATTTATTGAGCATCTACTTTGTACCAGACTTTAAGCTATCCAAATACAATTCCATATTGTTACATTGTGTGTATTTTAATATTCAGGGAGGTTTTGATTAGTTGGAAACTCACAACCTTGGCAAACCTCAGAGTGTTCATTGATATGAAAAACAATAATTGTACGACCTTATCTATCTCCTTGAAAATATTTAATGGTATCCCCTCCTCTTGCGGTCTCTGTGTGTCTGCAGCCCTGCAACCCAGGCAGCTATGGGGATGCTGGTCCTCACTTCTCAGCCTGCAATGCACCGTCCGTTCATCTCTTGTATAATAACACTGAGGGGAAGCATGATGGCAAATGGTTGTGAAACAGGGTGAAGTTGAGACTATGCTGAGAAAGACAGATGTGTGGAGGGAATGGTGGTGACACTGAGAGATGCCATTTCTAGTTAAGTAGCTATTTGATGACAGGGAATAACAGACTGCCCAGCAGTGGGGTGGAGAGCAGAGAGTAAATATCCACAACCTGGAGAGAGAAGTGCCAAGTATTTGAAGGGTGTGAAAGGGATGCATGTTTACACTGATCACTTACGAAGGACACTGTTCACCCCAGTGCACCCAGACACTGTTCCCACAGTACAGCAAGGCTACCAATGAAGCTACAGCCACTCTATCTAATCTAATAGACTCTTCTTCCAAGCTTCCACAGACCCTCAATGACTCTACACTGTGGGGATGTATCTGTCAGGATATTCTAAACTTTGGTCTAAGAGCAAACCATGTGAAAAGCTGAATGGCTTAAAACAACAGGGTTTATTTGTTATAAAGAGTGCAGGTCCAGGGTGGATCAACAAGGGGTCTGGTCATCACTTCCCGTGGCAACAGAGGTTCCTTATTTAGGATATGAGGTGAGCCGTGGGAGAAAGAACTTCCAACTCTGACCTCCAATTTTATGCTGAGATATAAACTGTGGATTGTGGCTTGAACATTAGTTATCCTAGAAATCATTTGTAAATGAAATGTTCCAACTTGAAAATTATCCTCAACACCACATCGAAGATAGCACAGAGGTAGGTTGATTATTGTCAATTTCCACTGAATCCTATAGAGTAGGGTGACCTTGTGGGGTGGGGAAAACATTTATTTTGCTAATCTTGAAAATACTTTACATTGGACTATATAATAGATGTGTATGTCTGCCTCATATGAATTATTTCAATCTCCCTGTTAACATATTCACTGGGTATTCCATAGATATGTGGCTACTTAGAGACTGTAAACAAACTTGAGCTTTGTGGGACTCATTATTTCTTCCTTTCTGCAGTTGGACGCATTTTTACAAAAGAAATTTAAGACTACAAGGAACAGGTGATCCCTTCCTAGCAATCCTGAAATTATGCTGCTCCAGGAAATGTAGAACTCCACTAATTACAGAGGAATTCTGCATTGCGTGTGGTATTTTTCATAGTTTTGGATTTAGAGGGAATTCCTAACAATTTGCAAACCTATCGATTAATTGCATACTGCTGTTCAGGAAATAAATCCTTACAGAAACACTGCTCATGGTAGTACTATAGCAGAGACCAAGCATAATGCTCATACAGTAAGGTTGTTTTCCTTTAATTTTATTGCTATTAGTCAAGGTGTCCAGCGGTCCAGTTCTCAAATCCTCTCTTGCCTTGGCAGTTCCTTTGAAAATGTCAGTGGGGAGAAGTTCACCCCTGTGCAAATGATCCAGTCCACCAGGCACTTCCTCCTTGCATTGCACTCTTCAAAGTGATTAACCTTGTAAGCTACAACATGAAAAAGCCTGAACCCAACCGCCAGGCATGTTTGCAGATCATGGCACCAGTCCTAATATATGCTTTTAAATAATGCCCTGCCACAGGGCTCTCAGAATGGAATGGAGCCAAATAATTCTTAATTCGTATAATTTAAACACAGCAGCATGAATGACTAACCACAAAGGGGGAGGGAGAAAGACAGCAGAAGTATTAAGAAAATAATCCAAGCTGAGTTAGAAAATCAAATGAGATTCCACTTCTTGTGTGATTGAAATTATCGTCTTTGAGAGGCTGAGTCTCTCGATACCTCTGTTTAATGAAGATTTGGAGGGCTCTGGGGCCACATGGACAGACAAGGCTCCTTAGAGCTCAGGGAGGAATGCACCTAAAATACACTTAGTGGAGAACAACTGAGCTAGAGGCATAGGAGGGCTAGAAATCCCTAGACATCCCTCCTCCATTGGCTGCCATCTCCCTCAGTGCCCCCCAATGTCATACTAGTCTCTGAAAAACAACAACAACAACAACAACAACAACAACAACAACAACAGCAAACCCACTCAAATCTGCCCATATCTATCCCTTGAATAAAATTCCCCTGTGGTCCCTCAAGCTCTCCAGCATAACAAATGCTAGGCACAAGATCCGGCCTGCCTGTCTTCTCCATTGCTTCTCCCAGCAGCATCCATGCAGAGCTGGGAGAAGACAGCCCTCCTGGACTGTGTCCCGCTGCTCCTTTGCCCCAACACCTCGGTCACTTTCCTCTGTCACTGTCAGACTCAACTCAACACTCATCCTCTTAACTCATCCTCAGCAGTGGCTCCTCTGCAGATCTCCTGCTTCTTCTTCAGGCAAGGCTAAGACTTTCCCCTACTGAGTTCCCCAAAGGACTTGCATGTGCCACCCTGCTAGCCACTATGATGGTGTCATGGTGTCATCACACTGGCCAGAGCCTTTTCCCACCAAGCCAAAGTGGACAGCAACTCTGCTTATCAGCAGAGCACTTAAACGCTGAAGAAAGGGCACATACTTGTCATCCTTACATATTGCCATTACTGGCTACTCTAAACCAGATTGCATAGTTCTTTAAACTTCAAACCTGTGACCCTAAGGATTATCTACCTAAATACCTTTTTTTTTTTTTGAGATGGAGTCTCACTCTGTCCCCCAGGTTGGAGTGAAATGGTCCATTCTCGGTTCACTGCAGCCTCTGCCGCCCGGGTTCAAGCGATTCTCATGCCTCAGCCTCCCGAGTAGCTGGGATTAGAGGCACGCACTACCACGCCTGGCTAATTTTTGTATTTTTAATAGAGACAGGGTTTCACCATGTTGGCCAGACTGGTCTTGAACTCCTGACCTCAAGTAATCCCCCTGCCTCAGCCTCCCAAAGTGCTGGGATTACAAGCATGACCACAATGCCCTGCCTATCTACCTAAATACTTTCAACATTAGTTTTTTCATATGGTAAAAGTGAAATGGGCATCACCAAATAAGACTGCACATGTGGACGTTCTTTGAAAATCTTAAACTTGGTAAATATTCTTGTTCTTAACCTTTTAAGTCAAAAGTCCAACATGGAGTAGACACATCCTTTGAGAGGTGAGTGGATGGACACCAGAGCCCCTGGCACTGGAGCTGCACCTCAGGGGCATGCCCGTGTCTGCCGGCTTGTGGAGCTGCTGCATAAGGAAGTCCCCCTAAAGGTTTAGCTGTTTGTGCTCAAAGCTGCACCCTTCTTGCCTTTACAGCTGGAGAGGGGGGAAGAGGAAAACACAACTAATGCAATAAATACTAACATTCTCCCTATGATTCCTTCATAATGTCTTTCCTTGATGAAAAAGAAATACTCCATTTCCATTTATTGCTGTTATCCCATCTTCCTGGGTAAGATGGGTGCTCCCATCCCTCGCGCAGCTGAAGTTCAGCGTGCTTCTGTCGTTTCTGTCAGCGGCGTCTCTTTGATGGGGCCTTCCTCTGGCTCTCCGCGTTTGTGAGGTCCCATGTTCAGGCCCGCATGAAACCTCTGAGAGAGACAGCCTTTCCACTTTCCACCTTTCTGTAGCGGATATGGCGGGTTGGTGTTAATGGACAGATCTGAATGGAGCCCTTCCATTTCCTTCTATCACTGATCTTGTCCTCCACACTGACAGACTCCATGGCCAGACATGCAGATGGTGGCAGATTTTTAAAGGCTGCTCAGTGTGGAGACACCAGAACATGACTCTGTGGGGAAAAGGACCATGTCTGTTTTCTCTCTATTTATATTTCCAGTGTCTGCTGAATAAACTATCAATAAATATTTACTAAAATGAAAGGAATCTTTGTAAAAACATAGCTTTTAAACAGAAGTTGTTTTAGGAGGCTACCCGGACCACCTGCCTCTGGGATTGCACACTGGATGTGGAGTCAGCTCTTGCCTGTGCAGTGCTCTTATATCAGCCCAAACATTTCGAGAGTGGCGTTAAAATGGAATCAGTGATTCAGTGATCATTAGGTGTTTCAGCATATCTAAACATCTGTTCCTTTTTACCTATTAAAGGAAGAGTGAAGACCAGCTTTAAGACATGTTTTGTCCTAGAAGAATAGAATGGCCTCAATGGAGATGTGAGACTCTGAGTGCAGCTGAAATTGGCAGGGGCAGGGGCAGGGGCCAGAGTATTCAGTTAGAGTTATCATTAAACATCTGCCATCATTAAACAAATGCTTTTAAACTGTGTCCTTTAGAAATGTGTATGTGAAGTCCTAACCCTGAGTACTTCACTACCTCAGAACGTGAGTGTATTTGGAAATAGGGTCATTGCAAAGGTAATTAGTTAAGAAGAGTTCCTGCTGCAGTAGGTGGTCACCAATCCAGTATGACAGGAGTCCTTATAAAAGGGTGGATTTGGACATGGACGTGCACGCAGGAAGAAGCCCGTTGAGAATGGAGGCAGGGGTCGGGGTGATGCTTCTGCAGGACAAGGAACACTGTGATACCAGCAAACCACCAGAATACAGGGGAGAGGCATGGAGCAGCTTCTCCTTCAGAACTGTTAGGAGGAACCAGTCCTGGATGCATCTTGATCTCAGGCTTCTAGCCACAAAACTATGAGACACTCATCCCTGTCACTTCAGCTGCCCAGGTTGAGGTACACTGTTATGGCAGCCCTGGAGAGCTCATACAGCATCCCAGTGAAGACAGTAAGCAGTGTCAGGATCTGGAATTTGGGAGAGAGAGCTGGACTGGGAGGAAATGGGATTTGCTGCTATATAGGCAGCAGTGAAAGGCCTGAGATCAGATGAGATCACAAGGGAGAGTACCCCTGGGAGCAAAGCATGAGTCCTCAGTGCTGCAGTGTTTATTGGGAAGATGAGCAGTACCCTGCAAAGGAGGAGCCAATGAGGCAGCAGGGAAGCCAGGGTGATGCTGTCACCTGCAGGATGAGAGGTCTGGCTTGTCTTCTGCTAGTTGACCTCGAAAGCTAGGGCAATGACTGGTACACAGTAGGCCTTCATGAAATAGTTGCCAAATTAGAAAATGACTATGTTATCCTGTGACCTATGCTGTTGGATGGTAATTATTTTGTTATTTTGTTGGTAGTAGTAGTTTTGTTTATAAAATAGCAGCATATTTTTTAAAAGTATTCATTTTTAAAAGCAGGTTTCAGGATTTATAACAAGATAATTAACTATTCACAGATTCCTGAAAACCAATGTATTTAAAAGCACTTCTTTGTTGAATAAGCATGTGTTCACATTTGGAAATTCAAACAGTAGAAATTGTTGTAGTGAAATTCTCCCCTCGCTAACAGCAGCCAATATCTACTCAGATGGAATGGATCCAACAAAGGCAGCTGATACCACTGATCAGTGTCTGTGGGTCTCTCCAGAAACACTTCGTGCATGTAGGAGACACATGCACACACACACTCAGCATCCTATCTTCCCTTCTTTAAACACAGGTGAAAGCGTTCTACCAGTACTACTATGTACCTTGTCTTTTCTCACTTTTCTCAGCGTCTTCCAGATGTGTATATAAAGTTTCATTCCTGCCTTCCCAATCCCAATGGCTTCAAAGGATTTTATTTTCAGAATATAACATAATTTATTTAAACATTCCCTCCCCCCACTTTTTTTAAAAATGGAGTCTTGCTCTGTTGCCCAGTCTGGAGTGCAGTGGTGAGATTTCAGCTCACTGCAACCTCTGTCTCTCAAGTAGCCAAGATTACAGGCGTACGCCACCACACTGAGCTAATTTTTGTATTTTTTGGTAGAGATGGGGTTTCACCATGTTGGCCAGGCTGGTCTCAAACTCCTGACCTCAAGTGATCCACCTGCCTTGGCCTCCCAAAGTACTGAGATTATAGGTGTGAGCCACCACATATGGCTGAAACATTCCCTCTTGATGGTCATTTAGGTTATTTCCAATATTTTGCTACTACAACCAGTGTTTCCATGAGTAACCTTGACATATTCCATTTCCTACATGCACAAATGTGTCTGTAAGATGAATTTCTAAAAGTAGAATTTGTGGGTCAGTGGGTATGTTTGTTCTACTTAGGACTGATATAGTCAGTCATTGCTCTCCAGATGGATGGGCCAGTTCATATTCTCACCAGCAAGTGTCTGCTCCTGCGTATGCTTGCTGAAACTGTGTACCATCAAGCATTTTTATGTTTGTTAATCTCATAGGTAAAAAAATAAATTTCCATGTAGCTTTTATTTGTATGTCTCTCATTATGAAACTGAAGAACTTTTCATATGTTTAAGAACCATTTGAATTTTATCTTTAGTCAACCGTTTATATCCTTTTCTCATTTCGCATTATTTTGTAGAATCTTTTTATATGTTACGAAAATTAGTCTTTTCTTTATGGCGTAAATTTCAAATATATTTTTTCTAGCTTGTCTTTTGCCTATTTTAAATAACTAATATTGTAATTTGATATTGACGATTTTTATGTAATTGAATTCATCAATTTTTTTATGGCTTCTAAGTTTGTTTCACAGATTTAAAGGCCTTAACTTCTCTGAAATGATAAAATAATTCTCCCAATGTTTCTCCCAAAGTTTTGTAAAAAAACTTTTACATTTTTACTTTTTGTTTGAGTGACTAATCTATATTATGTTGGTGTTGTTGTGAAGGTGGCATTGTTTCCAATTTGGCTATTCACTTATCCCAACATCATTCACTAAATAATCTCCATTTTTCCCCTTCAATATGAGAGGATTCCTGTATTATATACAATATTTCCAAACATGTTTAGGCTATGAGTTTTCCATACTGCTTTTTTTGTTTACTGTTACATCAGACTTCTATTAATTTAATTACCATGGCTGTATACAATGCTTATTTTCTGGAAACATTAGCACCTTCTTTTTTATTTTCTTTTCTAGAATAACTCTTGATATATATATTTTCTTTGATTTTCTGAGACATTCATTTAATTTAGAAAGTACCTAATACTGTTGGCATTTTTAATGGGAGAAAGTTAAATTCTAGATTTATTTAGAATGGGTAGTTTCATAGAAACATAATAATTTTATACAAATGCATATTGCAAACATTTTCTGTGGATTAGTTTTACTCTTGGAGAAGCAATTGTGACCTTAGATTTTAGAATGTTCAGTAGTTTCCTCAATACAAATATGAAATTTATTCTCTGTGCTTACCATGATTTCACATGTGTTTCTGTGTGTAAGGATAACATGTATATTATGAAGTGTTTCTATATTCATTCTTCATGTGGAAATATCTGTGATGTGGATGAAACTTATATCCAGTGTATCAGCAGAGATGAGTATCACCTTATCAAATGTTACCTAAAATATATAGGGTTCATCTTTCACAAAAAAAAACCCCATTAAATCAATGAATAAAAATCAAATTTTGGGGAAAAAGTGTTTATATATCCCATGGCTTACTGAATTTCCCATGATCATCTCAAAATAGTACATGTTTATAAATAAAAGGTTTACAATCACAGGACAATGGGGATAACACACACATACATGCAATCTAAAATATTGTTTTCATGGTAACAAGTCCTGCCTCAGAGATTTTGATCATGGATAATAAAATACAGGTCTGTGATCCAAACGCACCATACCTGTGTAGTCCCCATGGGCAAAGCATACTAAGTTTCTTCTAATTAGCCTCACAGAAAATTTGGTGTTGTTTCGTTCATTTGAATGTGGCATTGTCATGCGTCATTAGAAAACTCAGGCTAATTCAGCACGCTACTTCCTTTCTACTTCCTACTGCTGAAAAACAGTTGCACTTTATATTAAAAACATCAGCAAGATATTTATGTACAAACTAATAAGTGAGAATCAAAGTGTTTCCATAAAGCAGTGAGAGAAAGGGAGATAGCTGGGCTTTTATTTTAACATTATCAACACTTAGCTATAGATAAGTGACCCAACCAAGGTGGCCTTCATTTCAATCTGTAAACTATGGCGGGACAAGAAGGATAGACATGCTGTCCACCCTGTTGGTGGGACAGGTAGGGTGGAGTCGGGCAAGGTCAAAGGAGAGAAGAGTTACCTGGGAGGTTTGTCAAAAACAAAGCTCCCATGACAGAAATTCACATTAGCGAGTACATGGAAATTGGTAGGGCCTAAATGCTTGCCTCAGGGACTTGAGTAAACATTTGATCTGAATGTGGAAAAAAAAAATTCACTTGTCATGGATTGTGCTGTTTATAATAAAAAGAAACTAAGAGAATTTCAAGAGCTCATTCAAGTCAAAAGCTAAGGCCTGTGTGCCTGGCATCAAGTGTATTATTCACAGGGTGAGAGTTCTAATCTCTTTCCAGATTCAGTTTTATTGCATGATCTGATGGAGAAAGTAATTAAGATTGGCAATATCTTTCAAACATATGCCCTTAGTCAATGACTTGGGAGAAGGTGAAACAGAGGGAATGAAGATTGTAATATTTAAATGCATCAAAAAACTAGGTATAGGAGATTTATTGATGGGTTTTAATAATATGCTTCCTCTCATCAACGAAACTACCATTCATTAATCCATCACAAGCTCATTGATGCAATGAGAAATCTAAACTTGACATTGAAGAGAGAAGAAAATCATTTTTTTAAAAAGAAAGTACAGTTATTATGCTTTATATTAACAGTTATTAATATGTTGTTGAAAATCTTAACTTCTATGTCTATGGGAGAGATTGGTCTGTAAATTTCCCTTGTAGTAACATGTTTGTCGAATTTTGGCATGAAATATATGCTGCTTTCAGAAAATAAACCAGTTGCTATTCTCTTTATTTCTATTCTTTGGAACATTTGTGCAAAAATTGATGTTATTTTTCCCTTAAATGTTTGGAAGGCATTCCCGGTGAGCCAAGTGGTCAGACAGCCTCAGCACCAGCGTGGGGGGTTGCTTAACTTGTGTGAACTTCTGCTTCTCTATCTGTAAGTGAATTTCACATCTATCCGTCTCATCTTTTCAACTGATTGTGGAGATAATAAGGTCCTCTTGCTTTACCTGACATGTATAAGCATGCAAAGTGCCCTATAAATATACCATACACATCTTTATACTCCCTAATGCTGTTTTACGTAAGAAAGCAAGTTAGTGGGGAGGAGTAAACAGTCATGGCCAGGAAGCGAAATCCAGATGTAAGGACATAAGTGTATCTCCTGAAGGAGATCAACAGGAATCCTAAAAGAGATCCTTGCACCATCAAGTGAATAGGGTGCACAAACAGCCTCCCATACCTGAGATATGGACCAGCTTCCCCGCAGCATCCTGCATCCCTCAGGAAACAGCTGCGGCATAGAAGACAGCGTCTGAGATAGAACACTGTCAGTTCAAATGTGGGGATGTTTGGGAGAGTACTTTGATCAAGATTAACTTATTTATTTTTTTCAACAGGAGACTTTTAAGTTACAAAAATGAAGTAGTGGGTAAAAAAGAGATTGACAGCCAACTACAAATTGCTTTCTATCTGTGAAAGAAAAAAATCATACAAAATTTTTATTCATGAGGGAACCTCAAATAACCAATGCCTTGATCTCAGCAGGTCCGAGTCTTCCCAGGGCCTGGAGCAGAGGCTGCGGATACCCTATCCATCTCCTCTCAGCCTAGCCCTGCTCAGTGGGGAGAGCTGGCAGCTGCCTGCACTTGGTCGGGGTGGCCTGAAGGGCAGTTACACCCGAGAGGACCCTCAACAAGGGGAAAAAGGGGGTCTGTGGATACTCACTCAGCTTCCTTGCCTCTCAAAGGGATGGGTCCACATTGCCTTCTTCAGGGTCTGTGGTGAGTCAACCCCAGTGGCCCGCTGTGGCCTGTTAATTTGGTCTTTTATTAACTTTCTCTCCTCTCCTGTCTCGATTCCCCACTCCCTCAGTGTTTCTGGAGATCACATTCCAAGTAAACTACAGGAACTTAAATCCTTGTCTTAAGGTCTGCTTCTGGGGGACCCCAAACTAAGTCAGTGCCAACTGCCAGCTGCCAGCAGGGAAGTGTCATCTTCCATACCAGGGACAAGGGAGAGCTCTGTTGTAACTTGCTTGCCCAGTATTTCATATTTTATCTCTGCTCCATGGCAACTTAAAAAGTTGATTGATTTGGGTGGAGCATGAGTACTCTGTTAAAAGATGTTTGGGTTGAATTTAGATTTAATTTTAGTTTGAGTGCTCCATTTTTAAACAAAATGGCAGCTGAAAATTTTCCAAATGGATTGTTTTTGATAATTTGTAAACTGTATTTCACAAATGCAGCTTGCAAGGGAATATGCTACATAGCCAGAAGTCTCTGGTTGTCTTTAATAAGATCTATAGCTTACTAAGCTACAATATAATATAGGATTAATGAAATCAAAGCCCCCACAAGTTTCCATGCAAATAGCTATCATTTTCACCCACTGGCTGGGGTTCAATCTGAGAGTGAGTGTTTCAGAAAGCACATGCTGGGGCGAAGAGTGTGAAGGGAGAATGTCGGAACCTTCCTTCCTTCATTCAGTTACTCATGGCATGGCTTATGGACACCAAGTGTGTTAAAGGCATTGCCTTCTCTAGGATTGCAGGAAGAGGTTGTGTGAGATAATTCTGAGCACTCAGCTGGCTTATGTTTTGTTTTGTTTGTCTTGTTTTCTGATCCACTGGTACATCAAATGGGAGGACCAATAACCCTGTAATTAGTCTCTGCACCAGAGGAAAAAAAGGCAGGACTGCAGAGCTCCTGAGTGAGCTCATCAGGGAGTGAACCTCTGATGTGAGGATAGTCGCTCCCTGTGAGGTGGGGGGATTCCTCTTCCTTCCAGAAATTCCCCTACTCTGTGGGTCTGGGGAGGGGTGGGTGTGCTGAGGGCCATGGTAGAGAAACCTTCCTGTGTGTGAGGGATGTGATCTGAAGTCCAGGCTCTCCCAACACCTGGCTGAATACATGGGAGTCCTCTGTGCAAGGGTGTTTCCATGGCAGTCACGCCTGGAGAGCTTTTCCTTGCTGTGCTGGTTGCTGGAAGTTGCAGCGCTCAGTGTCTGCTCCATCTCTGACAAAAATACAGACCCCATGGCACCAGCTTTTTGGGCTCATTCAACTCATTCTTCCTACTTTTCTTTTTATCCTTTCACTTTTTTCTCCATTATTTAGTTTTCTACATGTTATATAATTTTCTGTGCCAACTTTGTATGTAGCCATTTAGATATATAATAGAATTAGTAGATTCTGATAATATATGGGTCACTTTTAAGTTCCATAAAATCTAGCATACTAGCAAATGGCTTTAAATTATAGCACAGTGACTTAAGTTAGACATTGAGGATTTACTGGCTATCAAGATTGTTAAATAGCTCACCACAGAGTGTTGTGAGGTCTTTCTCTGGATATGTTCATGGTCACCATTCCTCTGAAGCAGCTGTGTTGGAGTCCTGTTTGGAGAGAGAGGGATAGGTTTCATTTTCTTCCAGAAGAAGGAATTAGAAATCCCAATCACTGAGTTTCTTTCCTATGTGACTGAAAGGATGTGCAGCTACCAGCCTTCTGCCCAATTCTTGCAGACATGTTATCCCAAAGAAGCAAACTCCTCGGCTTAACTTAAGGCTACATTGTGGAAACAGTATATGCTTATTCAGATAATAAAAGGAGGCCCAGTCCCTCTTAGCCAAGTGGCATAGAGCTTACATTGGATGTGAGGACACTCCCCACAGCTGCTCTGCAGGTCCCTGCACTGTCCTTGTCCTTGCCCCACATCTGACCAGTCAAGGAGGAAGGGGTTGCATCCCAGCTGAAACCAGTGCCACCATGCATTAGTCAGGATGGGCTGTGATCTGCTACAGTAACCAATTCCCAGCGCAAATCTCCATGCTGGGAACCAGCAGTCTTTCTCAGGCATGAAATATGCCTTTGCAGTTCAGCAAGGCTCTGCTTATTTTTGTTGCATAGAAACTAGGTTGAGGGAGCTGTCACCTTCTTGACAGTTGCCAGCTGTGGGTCAGAGGGAGAGAGAACTCTGCAAAGTCTTGTGTTACCAAGTACCATTTGTTAGCAGTTCTACTCATCATCTGTAGGATAGAGCAATTGTATGAATTTATCCACCAAACAGAGGGTCAGAAGTACAATCTTACAAGGGGAGGAACTAAAATTAAGTAATGACAGTAATAATTATTACTGCATCTCTCTCTCTCTCTTTTTCTGTCTCTCTCTCTCTCTCTTTTGTAGACTGCAAAGTTGGTCAAAATTGTTGGACATCTGTTACCATGAGTATAGACATTGCGGAATGTATTTTCTTCACTGACTTCAGGAGAGCTAGTAACTATCTGTTGATATTGTAGAGTGCTAGGAGATTCTCATTTATTTGAGGAACAAGATATAATTTACAATCAGTTGGACATGAGCAATATAAGAGAGAATGTTAAAATTTTATAATTCCTCTGCATGGTTCCTTTTAAATATTGATAAGAAAGGCTTACAGTTCTAAGGAGAGGACCTATTTTGGCCTTCACTGATTTAATAAAATCACATGATTCCTTTTTTAGTGCTAAGTAAGACAACATGCCAAGAAGTGATAATTAACTGAACCACGAGATACAAAGGGAAAGAATAGACATTTGTTCTAATCAAGTGTTTCGCAAATCTAAACT
Organism: Homo sapiens; assembly: GCF_000001405.40. Classification (NCBI taxonomy): domain Eukaryota; kingdom Metazoa; phylum Chordata; class Mammalia; order Primates; family Hominidae; genus Homo; species Homo sapiens. Next base: position 48,849,791 of record NC_000008.11, read on the forward strand.
GCGTGATGTCCACCAGGCAGGCATGATGTGTCTTGTTGAGTCTGCTAGAAGGAACAAGTTGTAGGTTAACTAGAGAATGTTGCAGCACCCACATCCTGAAAAACTACAAGTATTTTAAAGATTTTACTCTTTGTGGGAGTAGAATTTTAAAAAACCTTATTACGTAAGTACCAGTCATTAAAGCCTAAACATATCGTCTTGTGTTGTTTGGTGTTTTAAATCTGTGTTTGCGTGTATGCGTATGCACATGGTCTGTGTTATTCTCTGTGATGTTCCATTTTTCCTTTTTTGCTGGAGGGACTATCGTTCTAACCATTCTCTTAGAATGATCTAAGAAAAGGAGACTTCCGTGACTCTCATTCTGTAAAGGAAGTCTCATTGTGTGGTTCTTAAAGTGACCAGTGTGTACCCAAGTTCCTTTAACTGGAAATACGTGAAAGGCTTATTTTTATTAAACCTTCCTCAGGGAATTACTGCCACAAAGCATAAAACTGGTGTCTCCAGTATTCAGTATAATATTCACTCTCTAGTTCAGATTATAGAGGGAACCCAGACTCCTTTTTATTGGTTGAGTTAAATAAGCATTTTTTGGTACATCAGCTATAGGCCCTGTATTCACTGTTAAGAAGAGTAAAGAATATATTTCTTGTCCGTAAAGAGCTGAGTATATCTGGAGAGAGACAAGATTTATGTATATCTATTTAAGAGAACTTGGAGCATATGTAACTTACAATAGAGCCAGGCATGGTGGCTCATGCCTTTAAGGCCAGAATATTGGGAGGCCAATGTGGGAGGATGGCTTGGGACTAGAAGTTCAAGACTAGCCTAGGCAACACAGTGAGACCTCCTTCTCTACAAAGCAAATAAATTAAAATAGGCATTTTGACTCTTCACAAACAAAAGATAAGATCTGGAAGAGGCTGGATTGTTTGAGCTAATACCAGAGCAGGACAAACATATGTAAGGTGACCTTCTGAGCATTTGTGTCTTACTTCTAATCCATATGTTGGACAACTGGGTTGCAGACTGCAATTGTCCAACTAGCCTTGAAGGGCATACCTATGTTGGTCTTAGGATTTGAGTTTTTGTGATAACTTTGGCTATTTAGATATTTTTTTGAATTTTCACTTTCAGCATATCATATATGCAGATTGCTTGTTCCATGTAATTACGTACTTTCTCAAAGTAATGATTTTATATCACTGGCATTAACTCAAATTTTGCACTAACCCAGGGTTTTGATAATTTATAGGTAGGTCCTAAAATAGTTTCCATAAACAAATCATGTTTTATGAAAAATAAGTCAGGTTTTCCTTCTTGGGAATTTAAAAACTATGCATGCTTCCTACATAGGACTTATGTTGCTAACATAGGACTGAAGAAACACCCTAAACAATGGCAGCCGTGAGAAGAGGTCAGCTTGATTTGGGGTTGTAGCTCACACCTGGCTCTGGATGAGTCAATGTTATCTTGACAGGATGTTTTCAGCAGACCCCTACATCCCTTGCCATAGCCAATTGTAAAGTGTTTGTTTCAGGAAATCATGCCCTACTACTAACAATCCCTTTCCAAAATATCTTTTAGTGTTTGGCATGCAGTTAGTATTGACTCAGAATCTAATAGGAAAATTGTAACTGACCCAGGCTGAGTCTCAAAGTGAACCTATGTGTATTACAGCATCATCCTCAGGTAAAAAGCTTACCTGAGGTGGATAGAAGCTTAAAACCTGAAGCTGGGAACTCCTTAAAGGGCTCTTAGCAACTCAGGAGGACAACTGGGGTTACCAACCTGGAGCAGAACCAACTTCTAGTCTCCACTCATGCCTGGTCTTTTAACACAGCTTTTCTTGGAGATGATTGCATTTCAAGTTCCTCCCACAGAGTTAGCATTTCTGTTGCTGGACATAAGCACATTTTCTCCTGTCTTAGCTGTGGAACCTTACACAAGTTACTTAACCCCATCTGTGCCTCATGTCTTTATGGACACAATGAGTACAATAATAACATCCTTTTGTTAGGATGGGAAGTGCAGTATAATCCTTAGAAAAGGCTAGGTATTAACGTTATCTATACCATGATCCCAGGAAGAAATGTTGTTGTGTGGTAACTGGCACTGGATTGCAAGCACATTCAATAAGGTTCCATTAATACAATAAATTAGGGCCTTCTCCAAAGTCCAGTCTGGGCTGTCAATCTTTAGACCCTGTAAGTGATAATATTGAATTCAAACTTGCATTTATATTTTTATACAATAAATTATATAAAAATATATTTTTATAAATATATATGTATATATATAATATGTATATATAAATACATATTATTACAGTCTTTTCTCAGCATCCCTGGGTATTGATTCCAGGACCTTTGCAGATACCAAAATCCTCGATGCTATAAAATGGCATAGTATTTGCACAAACTATGCACATTGTCCTATATAATTTAAATAATCTCTAGATGACTTATAATACCCAATACAATGCAAATGTTATATAGTTATTAAACTCTATAAGTTTTAGTTTGTATTTATTGTTGTGTTTATATATATATATTTTTAATATTTTCAATTTGTGATTGGTTGAATCTGTCATTGTGGAACTTGCGGATACAGTTGACTGCAGTTTATTTTGCTTGATTTTATAATCACATTTCCAAACTGCACATACAAATTTTAAATTCTGTTATGCTGAAATATTCATGTCTAGTCAGAGGTAATTCAGAGAGATTTGCCTATTAATCTAAAATTTGAGTTAAAAGATAAGACATTTTAATTGGAACTAATATTAACTGCTCATGTGTAATTAGTACTAATATAAAATACAATTAAAGAGTAAAAGAAAAGAAAAAATGAACCATGAATACTTTGAATTTTTTTGCTGTCCTTTCTTCTTCTGGAGCTGTGAAAAATCTAGATCGATCTCTTGAAATGTACACAATCTTGAGTCCTTATGGTAATGAGGATTGCAAAACAGAAGTGAGAAGCAAAGCTAAGGGAGTGTGGTTGACAGGGGAAGAGTAGGCACAGGCTGTTATTTCCAGCTCCTCCTGAGACCCCCCAAACTGACAGCAGAGGGGGCACAAGGAAGCCACTCATAATGGCTCAGACAATGAGGGCAGGACTGGGCATGGGGCTGGAGGTGGATGAGCTCACCTAAAGAGAAGAGATTCCTGCTGGAAAGTGGGTGGGGGTGGGAAGGCAGAATGGCCTCATAATACCCTGGAGGGGGATGGAGAGTAACCTTCCTGGAAAGACCCAGACTCAAGGTCAGTTGCTACAGGGAGGATTAGGAACCAGCCTGCAGGGGAGGAGGCTAAGCATCCACAGAGGAGATCCCTGCATCAGTTAATACTGCCTGGTTCCTCTAATAGAAAACATTGCTTTCAAGACCATTGCCATTGCCATTTGTTTTTATATGTATGCCATCCTGCCATAAAGTGACATTTAGGACAATCACAGGCTGCATATACTACATATACTACTGTGGTCCCATGACATTATAATGGAACCGAAAAATTCCTATGGCCTAAAGATGCCAATAGCCATCATAATGTCAGAGTGCAACAACTATGTCACTGGTTTACTGGTTTATGTATTTACCATGCTATATTTTTAATTGCTTTTTTTTTTTTTTGAGACGGAGTCTCGCTCTGTCACCCAGGCTGGAGTGCAATGGGTGCAATCTTGGCTCACTGCAATCTCTGCCCCCCAAGTTCAAGCAATTCTCCTGCGTCAGCCTCCAGAGTAGCTGGGATTACAGGCATGAGCCACTGTGCCCAGCCTTAATTGCTATTTTTGAATGTATTTCACATATCCTTCAGGAGGTATCCAGAAGAAGGCATTGTTATCATAGAGATGACATAGAGATCCGTGTTATTGCTCCTGAAGACCTTCCAGGGGGACAAGACGTGAAGATGGAAGACAGTGATATTGATGATCCTGACCCTGTGTAGCCCTAAGATACTGTGTGTGTTTGTGCCTTCATTGTTAACAAAGCAGTTTAAAAAGCAAAAACAATAAAAAATAAAAGAAAAATAGAAGAAAACTTAAAAGCAGAAGAAAACTTACATAATAAGAATATAAAGAAAATATTTTTATATATCTGTACCATGCATTTGTGTTGTAAACTAAGTGCGATACTAAAGAACTTAAAAAAATATTTTAAGGAATGTAAAAATGTAAAGTAAAATGTTACGGTAAGCTTAGTTTACTGTTTAAGAAACAAATTTTTAAAAATAATTTTAGTGTAGCATAAGTGTACAGTGTTTATGAAGTCTATAGCTGTGTACAGTAGTGTCCTAGGCCTTCACCAATCATTCACTGGCTCACCCAGGGCAACTTCCATCCTGCACCTCTATTCATGGTAAGCCCCCTACACAGGTGTTCCATTCTTAATCTTTTATACCATATTTTTCTATTTTTAGATATGTTTAGAAACACAAATACTTACCATGTTGGTACAGTTGGCTACAGTATTCAGGACAGTATCATACTGTAGCTATACAGACGTGTGCCCTAGGAGCAATAGCGTCTACCATCTAGCCTGAGTGTGTAGGAAGCTCTACCGTCTGGGTGTGTGTAAGTGCACTCTGTGATGTTCACACAATGATGAAAAAATCAGAAAAAGCCAAATTCAACTGGGTGTGGTGGCTCACACCTGTAATCCCAGCGCTTTGGGAGTCTGAGGCAGGTGGATCACTTAAGGTTAGGAGTTTGAGACCAGCCTGGCCAACATGGTGAAACTCTGTCTCTACTAAAAATACAAAAATTAGCCAAATGTGGTGGTGCATGCCTGTGACCCCAGCAATGCAGGAGGCTATGCACGAGACTCGCTTGAACCTGAGAGACGGAGCCTGCAGTGAGCTAAGATTGCACCACCGCACTCCAGTGAGACCCTGATCTAAACAACAACAACAATTCTTGGCTTTGGATTTTTTAGATATAAAACCAAAGCAAGAATTTCACTCTTTTTTCTTTCTATGAATTTTGTTTTTGATGTCCTCTCCTCAAGAGGGTATTAAACCTTGGCTACAGTGTCTAGTTTTAATGAGAGAAAGACTCTGGGGCAAAATGGAATTACTGAAATAGAAAAATACATAGGATGGTGGTTAAAATGTTTTATATTAAAGGATGAATAAAACATGGGGCAGAATAGATATTTTTCACTACACAAGTATTTAGAAAATGTAGATTGTATCTTGCATGCATTCTCCTCTAAGAAGTCAGTTGAGAATGAATTTCAGCAAAATAAGGAAATAAAATGAAGGAAGAGGAAGACATGATATACAGAAAATAGTCGATCCTGCCCGGAGTACAGTAGAGGGATGCGTCTGGAAGAGGCTGACTTCCAGCTGGGGAGGCGTCTTACAAGACAGAGTAGGAAGAAAGTATTTTCAGGAGGGGAGTCTCCTGGGAAGAGAGGAACTTGATAAAATAGAAAGCATGATTTGAGCTTAAGGAAGCATGCAGTTGTAATAAGGCAAATAACTCAGGTAAAAAGAAGGCAATTAGAACTTTGCATAAAGAAAACCTGTGTCTGAAAGTTATTGCTCAAATGTGGAGTGAATGAAAATGGAGAACGTTCAAGAAAGGAACATTATCTTAGAAGAGAGATTGCATTTGATATTGAGGACAGACAGAAACAGTAGAATTTGAGTGGCCCAGATGCTGAGACACTAGATTCAGAAAAAGAGTTTCTGGCCTACTGATTGCCTCTGTGAGCGGTATTTATACAATGATAAGACTGTCAAGGCTGCTTATTGGTTTTCAATCTTCGGAGTCCTCCCATGAACAAAGCAGCAGAGACTGACTGGTGGTGCAGAGCTGAGCCAGAGGAAGCACATGGCAGCTCCAAGGGGTGCAGATGGGTGGGAATAATGGGGACATTCACATCTATTCTCATCCTAAAGTGTGCGTGGGGATGTCAGGATGTACAGCTTACAGTTGAAGAAGAAAGGAAACAGACAAATACAAAAACAGATAATCAGCAGAAGAACCAACATATACATTTCAAAACTGAGAAGCAGCAGGTGGGGGTGTATATGAGCTTAATTCTTACATCTTACAAGAAAGTCGATGAATATTGTCTAAAAATATAAACAAGAAATAGAGGAATGTATATATTATCTAGGTTTGTGGAGGTCACTATCAAGAGAAATAAAACAAAATAACAATGACAGGAAACTTTTGAGATAGTTTTTCTTAAAAATGAGGCTGGGATAAGGAGGGAGGAGTCTAGCCAGGGTCTGTTGTTTTTCTTTGAAAGTTTTTTGCACTATTTGATTTTAATTTTTTTACATTTATTTTTTAGAGATAGTATCTCTAAAGGCTGAAGTGCAATGTTGCGGCCTTGGCTCACTGCAGTCTTGACTTCCTGGGGTCAATCAATCCTCCCACATCAGCCTCCTGAGCAGCTGGGACAACAGGTGATCACCAACACACCCAGCTAATTTTTAAAATTGTTTTGTAGGGACAGGGTCTCTCTATGTTGCCCAGGGTACTATTTGATATGTTACATGCACATATATTACTTTTATAATAATTAAAAAATAAAAATATACATTTATTAAAAGAGGACATATAAATGGCCAACAGGTATATGAAAAGGTGCTCAACATCACTAATTATCAGGGAAATGCAAATCAAAACCACCATGAGGTATCACCTCACAGCTGTCTGAATGGCTATCATCCAAAAGATAGGAAATAAGTGTTGGCAATGATATGGGAAAAAAGGAGCCTTTATATACTGTTGGTTGGAATATCATTGGTACAGTCCTATAGAAAACAGTATGGAAGTTCCCAAAGAAATTAAAAGGAGAACTGACATATGGTCCAGCAATCCAACTTTTGGGTATATAAAGGAAATGAAATCAGTATCCCTGGTGGGATCCACTATTTTCTGTATATCATGTCTTCCTCTTCCTTCATTTTATTTTCTTTTTTGGCTGAAATTCATTCTCAGCTGACTTCCTAGAGGAGAAAGCATACAATCTAAATTTTCCAAATATCTGGGCATTGAAAAATGTCTATTCTTCCCCATATTTCATTCATCCTTTAATATAAAAGCATTTTTAAACATCATCCTACGTATTTTTCTATTTCAGTACTTCCATTTTTGTCCCAAAGTCTTTCTCTCATTAAAATTAGACATTGTAGCCAAGTTTTATTATACTGATGAAGACAGGACATAAAAAATATTCATAGAAAAAAGAGTGAAATTCTTGCCTTTGGTTTTAGGTTTTACATCTATTTAAAATCCAAAGCCAAGAATTTCGCTGGCTTGCTTTCTTTCTCTTTCTTTCTTTCTTTCTTTCTTTCTTTCTTTCTTTCTTTCTTTCTTTCTTTCTTTCTTTCTTTCTTTCTTTCTTTCCTTTCTTTCTTTCTTTCTTTCTTTCTTTCTTTCTTTCTTTCTTTCTTTCTTTCTTTCTTTTTCTTTCTCTCTCTCTCTCTTTCTCTCTTTTTTTTTTTTTGAGACTGTATCTCGCTCTGTCACCCAGGCTGGAGTGCAGTGGTGCGATCTCAGCTCATTGCAGCCTCTACTGTACTCCCATGCTTGCTGCAGCACTGTCACAAGAGCTGAGCTACAGAATCAACCTAAGTGCCTGTTGGTGGATGAATGAATGAAGAAAATAAGATACCTCTGCACAATGGAGTATTATTCAGCTGTAAAAAAAGAAGGGAATTCTGCCTTTGCAGTAACATGGATGAACCTGAAGGGCATTGTGCCATGTGAGATGGGCCAGACACAGTAAGACAAGGAATGCCTGATCTCACTTCCATGCAAAATCTAGAAAAGTCAGGCTCACGGAGGCAGAGTGGAGTGCTGGTTGCCAGGGGCTGAGTGGAGGGGAACGTAGGTCAGAGGGTGCAAATGTTCAGTTCCAGAAACCTAACACACAGCATGGTGACGGTGGTTAATAATACTGCATTGTATATATGAAATTTGCAAAGAGCATAGATCTCAAGTGTTCTCACCACACACACACACAAATCATACTACGTGAGGTAATATGTGAAGTAGCTGGATTGTGGCAATCATTTCACAGTGTATACATATATCAAAGCATCATTTCGTGCACCTTGCATGTACACAGTGTTTTATTGTCAGGCATACCTCAATAAAGATGGAGGGACAAGAAGATCATGGCTCAGACTCACAGGTTCAGATGCCATCTCCACTACCTACTGGCCATAACAAGGCACGAAAGCCCTGCCAACACCCCAATTTTAGCCCAGTGAGACCCGTGTTGGGCTTCTGACCTCTGCAATTGTGAGACAACAAGTTTGTGTTGTTCTCAGCCCCTCGTTCACGTGGTGCATTTACAGGGATAGTGAACACGTAATTGAGGGGCTGTGGGTTCAGATCAAGCTGGAGCCTGAGACACAGTCAGCGAGTGGTCCTGGGACCCGACAGAGCTGCACAGAAGGCCAGGGACTGGGGTTGAATGCAGCTGTCCAGACCAGCCACACCAGCTCCTCTCAGAATCAGGTGGCGCAGATGGGGATGGGCACAGCAGGTGTGGATGCTGTGAGATCTGGCCAAATGCCGGCAATGTGTAGGACCTGCTGGGAGGAGAGGCCATGGGCTGGGAGGAGCAGAGAAAGAGGAGAAAAGGTGAGTGGAACTGGGGGACCACAGCACACATGAAGCCTTGCCAGGGACAGTGTCACCTCCATTGTGAGAGCACAGACATGAAAGCCAAAGGCAGGCACACCATGTTCCAATCACAGGCAACACCTGAGCATTGGGATTAAGATAGAATGTTGGAGGAACATTATTATTTACTGTGTTGAAGAGGGCTTTAGTGCCCCCAACCGTTACATAACTGCACTTTTTTTTTTTTTTTTAGTTGGAGTCTTGCTCTGTCGCCCAGGCTGGAGTGCAACAGCGTAATCTCGACTCACTGCAACCTCCCCATCCCAGGTTCAAGTGATTCTCCTGCCTCAGCCTCTCGAATAGCTAGGATTACAGGCATGCGCCACCATGCCCAGCTAATTTTTGTATTTTTTTTTAGTAGAGACGGGGTTTCTTCATGTTGCTCAGGCTGGTCTCGAACTCCTGACCTCAGGTGATCCGCCTGCCTTGGCCTCCCAAAGTGCTGGGATTACAGGCGTGAGCCACTAGGCCTGGCCATAACTACATTTTTAAAATGTCAACCGATAATAACTACCTTTAATTAATTCAGAGTCAGATGGTGCAAATGGTCTAAGAAGCCTAATCATTTGGTAACCTTTAAAATTGGTGTATTATACTTCAAATATATTTCTCATTTATCTAGCTGGGAGAGGAAGAGAGCAAGTGTTTTACTAGTAAATAAAAATGTGATTAACTAGAAAATATTTACTGAGCATCTATTTATGACAAGTACAGAGTGTTATGAGCTGGAGATACTGTCTGTCAGAGCAAACAGGGTCTGTAGGAACAGCTCCACTGGCCAAATCAGTTATTATTATAATAAATGTATATTATTCACATTCCATACATATGTATATCTCTAGCTTGGCCCCACAGGCCTCACCCAGATGCCCCTTCTAGCCTTTCAATTGATCGGCCACTTCTCAGGCCCATCCTAGGGATAGTGAACACTTTGAGGGGTGCCATCAGGGTCCCTTCCGGGAGCTGTGAGCAGGGCCACCGTCAGCAGTCCTGCTGCTCCCACCTCCCAGTGCTGCTGCACATGTTGATACGCTTTTTGTTTTTTTGGTGGGTGCCATCTCCTTCCAACCCCTAAATAAGCAAAAAGCACCTCTGTTCTAGAATTCCCCTCGGTTATCTGAAAGTTGCCTGTGCTGACCCTCCGCCAGGCCAAGGCCCAGATAAGGGAGATGGAAAGCCCCGTGACCACCCCCAGGCACAGCTTCCTCTACCTGCGCCACCAGCAGCCATGGCCAAGCATGGTCACCGAGATCTGTGTTGTCTTTACTCAATGAATGAAAGCTGAGGCCTCAGTCTCCCTAACTGGGTTCTCATTTTCTCATTGAACCAACATGTAGCTGTGTCTGCTCTTCCCCTGGAGCCTCTGGCCTTGTGAGCCCCTGTCCTGGGCCATTAGTGGGACCCTCGGGTGGGTTCCTGAGGTGCGTGAGGAATGTGGAGCATGGTCAGTATGACACAGGCTGGCTCGCATATCTTTTGTCCTGCTGCAAAGTCCTGCTGTGCTTGCAAGAGTCAAGGGTGAACCACATCCAAGTTCCTTTCTATCTGTGTAGCCTCTGAATAATATTAAGTGTCTTCCTCTACCCACAGGACTCCTGTCCTCTTAGGGGTGAGTGACAAAGGAAAGGTTAGAAACACTAAAATGCAAAAGAGAAAAGCATGTTCATGTTTTCCCAAATCAAGTCCCTATGACAGTGCTATGAGAACAGAGCCACGTTCAGCAATTCCCTGAACAGTCTGTGCCTTTGTTTCTTCTTCTGTAAAATGTAGGGATGTGGGGAAGAGCAGAGATGAGTGTGCCATCTGGCCAGCACCTGAGATTCTGTAACAAACTGTTGTTACTGATGGGTGATAGCAGTGTCTGCGTCTGTATAGTGGGGAGGTGTTCAGGGAGAAATTCCCAGGCAGAAGTGGGTGATATTTCATTATCCAGTGATGCCTGTGACACATCTTCAGAGCTACCCTGCAAAGTCCCTGGACTATTTTTAGTTTAATTGGACAATGTAATTTATTATAAGATTTAGCAGAGTCTCCACTTCAAGTGTCTTTTCAAAGAGACCGCATGCTTTAAAACCCCGACTTCACCATGCCGTGAATTGCTGTTGGCTGAGAAGTCACTCTTTACTATTTGATACCATTCTTCTGTGGACCCTCTAGTGTAATACATCCCTAGAGAGGATCAACAATCTGGGAACCTGAAAGATTAGTGGACCTCTGCTTTACGAGGCGCACCTTAAACCCCTGTGACAAAGGTTTTTGTAAAAGCGAAACACAGTTCACTAGCTCTGTGGTGGGCCCTGGGATTCGGTCTAATGACAAGCTGCTGGCCACGGTGCTGCTTCTGGTCTGCAGGTCCCATGGCGACTGGAGTGGGGCATGCCAGGTCTGACTGCTGTGGCTTGATAGCAGTGAGTGGAGTGTCCTTATTCACACCCGCCTGCTGAGATGGGACCCATTGTAGCAGCGTGGGTGCCGAGCACACCCCTTAGTGCCCTCGGTCTCCTGCAGCTGGAGCTGATGGAGGGTGTGTTGGGTCCCAGCTAGGGCCACTGCTGTGGTTCGGGGCAGCAATAGGATTCTCGGACTTTGGTGTGCAGTGCAGGGCTTCCCAGCTAGTTCATTCTGCTGTTGCTCTGTCCACACCGAGTTTTGGGCGTGCAGAGCTCCCAGGGTAGACCCTGGGTATCCTGCGGTGCTTAAGCAATGTTTCCGTGGAGTGTACTGAGAAGATTGGGGTTTGTTGCACAGGGTTCTGCATCTAAGGTGACCCTACGCCCTTGCTGAGCGGCCCCTTGTGAGAGTGGGGGGGGTGCGGAGTCCTGGTTCTCCAGAGAGGGCCGCACCACTTGCAGCCACTGTGACCGGGTGGTGGAGAGCACGGTGTGGCAGCCTTCAAGAGCACTTTGCTGATTTTCCACTGAGTATGCAGTGATGACGGGCTTTAGAGTGCTGTTCCACCTAACTGTATGCATCAGCTATGGTACCCCGGTATTTGATCAAACACTAGTCTAGATGTCTCTGTGAGGGTATTTTTAGATGAGATTGGCATTTTAATCAGTAGACTTTAAGCAAAACAAATTACACTCCATGATGTGGTAGGCCTCATCTAATCACCTGAAGGCCCTAAAAGCAAAGACTGAGTTCCCCAGAGGAAGAGGAGCTCGGCCAGCACTCTGTCTTAGCGCAGGAGCTGCAACACCAGCACCTCCACAGGTCTCCCGCTGGTCAGACTGCCGTGAAAATTCAGACCTGCAGCCGCCACAATGGCCATAGCAAATTCCTTAAAATAAATCTAACTCTCTCTCTACATATCCCTTGTTTCCATTTCTCTGGAGGACACTGACTAATAAAGCACGGTGTTAGGTGTCCCTGGTGACTTGAAGAAACTGTTAGGGGATGCATGCTGTTCATTCCATCTATCCCCTCAGTTGGGAGGGTGCAGAGCTCAGTGCGGAGTGTCCCATGGAGGCTGTACTGCTACTCGGTGGCCACAGGGCGAGCATGGTGTAGAGTAATGTGGGGTGTCCAAGGTGGCATCATGGTGCTTTTCAAGGAGGGCACTTGGGGTGTGGGGCCGCTCACAGAGTGTGTGTCTTGAGAGATGCTGGAGCTGCTGGTCCACAAGCCAGTGTGTCTGTGTTCGGCTCACAGCACGGTGTGGCATGTCACAGCTGATGCCTTCTTGCTTTTGCAAAAACCATCTTTGATTAGTGGGGTGTGAAGCACAGGGCTGGATGTCACAGCTCAGTGTTGGGTGCCTCAGGTGTTATTTGTTTTATTGCTTCGATGAGCACTGTGATCTCCACGCAGGTGGAGCCCAGCTTTGGGTGTCCTGGAAGGCATTTCTGCATTGCTCTTCTTACAGCGGGATACAGAAGGATCAACTCGGTCCTGTTGTAATGGTGTCTCCATGCAGCAGAGGCTAAGTAGATGCTGCCCCTTTTCTGTGAGCATTGCAGGGTGAACAGGTGGCAGAGAAAAAAATGTTCCTAATCTTTGAGCACTGCAGTTGGCTTCCCTGGAAGAACTTAGAATGTTGAAACTGCTTTGATATGGCCATCCCACTGATACCAGTATCCAGGTAGAGAAACAGCTTGGGAGAGGAGAGGCGAAGGTGAATTCTGAAGTCCTGAAGAAGGAGAAGGTGCTTGTAAGCCTGCTTTGTGTATCTTAAAGAACCATATTCATGTTGGTTACTAGTGATCTTCTGTACACGTGCCTGGTGAATTCAAGCATGTTCCAGGAGGAAGGTCCTATAGTCCTCTCTTCTTTTCTAAGGGTTTGCAGTTACCTTTAAGAGACAAAGAAAAAGGGTCCTACTCCCCAGAGCGGATGCCATAAAAGAGAAGCCTGGGGCTTCCTGCCAGCATCACACTCATGCTTATGGGGTTTTGAGAAGCTCATGGCAGCACTTTGCAGGAGCTGCAGTGAGTCCTGGTGAGCACTGCTTCTTACTGTGATGTTCATAGCTGTGCCTCCCATGCAAGGGGCTGTGCTCAAGCAAGGTTTAATGCCCTGCCTCCTTAGGAACATCCCCTCAAGTGGATGCACCCACTGCAACTGGCAGCAGGGAAGTGGTACTGAAAAGAGTTTTCCTGGAAGATTTTGTGGGCTGTTGGAGTCAGAGGAGGACAAAGCATCCAGTGTGAGAAAATCTCTTCTTTAGGCCCCTTCAGCCCCACATGGTGCATGTGGAGAATGGCCAGGATGCTCTTCTTTTCAGATGGCAGAGTGTGCCCTGCCAACGCAAAAGAGAAGAGTCTTCAACAGTATTTCCATGACAGACTTTGCACTTGAATTGTCAAAGGGGGAATGAGAAGAGATTTTCAACATGTTCATAGCAATGCAAATTCTAATAGAAAGGATTCCTGCAGAAGCAGAGGGCCAGAAAATTACTGCAGTTCCTTGAGGCAGGGATCAGAGAGCCTAGGGTAAGCAGGAGACAATGCCCTGGTTTATTCCACAAGCAGGCAAACTCTCAGAGAAATCCACTCTGCCTCCAGGCATGGCACCAATGTGGAGGTTTCCAGGGCCACTTAGGGCAGGGCTGGAGTTCGCCTCTTCTCAGCCATTTTCAGACTTGCTTTGTTGGCTTCCAGCGATTTCAGTTTTTTAAGAACAAATGGTCTGTGTAGGGTCAGCACTTCCTTGAGGAGTCCTGCGGCAACGGGGGAAGGAAGCAGGCGCTGGCGTCCCTGAGTGACAGGGAAATGTGCCTGCTGTGGCTGACAGGCCCCCCTGAGTGTCCCCGCTTAGTGACTGTCTTGTTTAATGTCCCAATTATCCCCCGCAATGTTTAAAAAGGGTGCTAGAAATGTTGCTTTCTCTCCCACCTCCCCCCAGGCTCTGTATCTGCCAAGGAAAACAGCATTTGACATTTTACCAGCATAATGATTTGTTCAAGAAATCACTGAGAAAAAGAATGAAAAGTAAAGGCAGCACTCAAGTTCATGCAAAGGTTATGTTGATAGCAGTGTCTAAAGGAGACGTGGAGTCTACATGTTGCCTGGTGGGCAGCTTTGTTCTGAGGGCTTGCTTGCAGGAGGGTATGATAGGTTGAAGGTGATGCAGGGTCCCCAGAACCATCAGGGCACAGCCTGAGGGGTCTCAGCTCCACCTATTGGGACAGTGACTGGAGCCAGGGCATGCAGTGCACAGCCTCGCCCTTGGGTCTGGGATCTGCTGCCACCAAGTCAGGGTGCCCTGTGGCATGGGTGGGGAGGATGCCTTCCCTCTTCATCCCTCCTCCACCTAGCTTCTAGTGGGATGTCTCCACACAGCCCTCCTTCTTTCCTCTTCCATGCAAGTGATGGCACCTTTGGGAAATGCACCTGGGGCTGGGCAAGGTCTATACATAAGCATGTGCAGTGTGTGTGTGTGGTTGGTGAGTTTGCGTAATATATGTATATGGGTGTGGGTGTGTCTATGTGTGTATGCATGTATATGTGTGTATACAAGTGTTTGTGTGAATATATGTGTATGTGTATGTGCATGTGTATGTCTGTATACAAGTGTATGCATGTACGTGTGTATGTGCATATGTCTATGCATGCGTGTGTGAGTGTGTATGAATGTGAGTATGTACGTATGGATATGCATGTCTTTGTGTGTGTGTGTGTGTGTGTGTGTACACACATGTATATATGTATTTTTTGGCCTGAGTACTGTTTTTACAAGAGGAAGAGCTCTGCCATCAGTGTACTGGCGGAGCAAGGTGAAGGGTAGAACAGTAACATCACTCTTTCCCCTTTGTTTTAGCTCTGCTTCCACCATTTACTAAAAGGATGAAGCCCTTAAGCCTGACTCCTTGGGAATGACAGAGCAGGGCTTTCCAGGTAAGCAAAATGGCATCAGTGTTCAAACAAGCCCACAACAGATTATTGTCCTGGAGGCCACCTTTGGTCGTTGTGATATCATGATGCAAGAGGGTCACAAAAGAGGAGCGTGCCCCTCTCCCACCTGGTCGAGGCCATCAGGCTGGGTCGGTCTGGCATTCCACACCTGCAGATGCAGCCTTCCCCTTCCTCCTGTCCACAGGCAGGAGCCTAGCTCCAAGTCCTGACCAGCCCCAAGCCCCATGCCCCCGCCCACCTGGGCAGATCAGGTGGGACAGGTGACTGTTGTTTTCCGTTCCTGCTCTTGCAGGTGTCTGCATTCCTGAGAGCGTGGTCACTGGCGGCAGCGCGTGCTGCAGGCAGCACCTCGCCTGTGCTCCGGGATGGGGAGGATGGGCCCGCCCTGCTGGCAAGATGTCTTCTAGGTCTGAATTAGAGCTTGAAAGTAGGAAACCAGCTCTGCTGCCCTGCCTGAGGGAAGGGGTACGGGTGTCACCTCAGCCTCACATTCCAGTTACCTGGGAGGCAGTTAGGGCACGAAAGGCAGAGATTCAGGCGGTTCCTATTGAAAAGCACTGAGGTTTGTTCCACCATCTATTCAAGAAAACTATTTTAAAGAATTCAGATGACACTAGAATAAAAAGCCAATTACCTTCATGGAATTCACTGGAGGCCCCACAACTGCCTGTGTTGTTTTCTGCCACTCTGACTGTCTCCCTGGAAGGCAGAGGCCTGAGGGGCCCCGGGAGCAGGGCTTCCATGGTCCTGGCAGCACCCTGGTGGTGTGTGATTGGGAAGTGTACTCATCCCCACCCTGTAGGTTCACATTACAGCTATCCTAGAAGTGAGCACCAGAGAAGCCCCGGCTTTGCTGAAGCTCCTGGAGCTGCAGGAGCTCCCCAATTAATTTGAGTTCCAGCCCCAGCTTTGCTCCTAGTGAGCGCTGTGTCCTTGGACAAGCTGCTTATTTTTTGTTTTTGTTTTTGCTTTAATGTGGAAGGTTAGGTGTTTTCCTTATGGTCCTGGAATACATGATGCTGTGTTCACACATACCATGCCAGGCCCAGCATGTACCCCAGGGTAGGTGTTTGGTACATGTTAACTCTCTCCTCCTTCTTTCGCCTGAAGGACTTCTATCTGTAAGATTTTTATACACATTGTCCAATTCTAACAAGAGAACTTTAGTTATCATAGCATCCAGGACAGTTTTGAAACAGGACCTCAATTATATAGGCGGATAAAGTAGTAACAAAAGAATATGTAAGAGAAGGAAGGCTATGGGAAAAATGAGAGTGGCCTTAGGAGGACTCCACACACACTGAAACATAGAGAATGTTTCCTTTTATCAATGGGTATTGTGCCATTTTTAATCTGCTAAATGAGGCAGAATAGGAAACTAGCTCCTCAGAGCCTGTCATGAAAAACACCCTGGCACTTTCTGTAAATCCACCAGCAGCTATTATAGTAGATACACGTTTCTCAAAAGATACACCTCATGCTTTTCAAATGGTGGCAGGAGAAATGTCCCAATGTCCAGATTAGCATCCCAGACCCTGCACCCCCAGCCACCTCTCACCTCCGCCAAGGCCCCCTCGGCTCTCCTCTCTGTGCTGGGCTCACACTGCTTTGTTCTACTCCCCTGGAGGCCCCTCCCACACATCTTCACTGGTCATCACCTCCTCAACTCTTCTGGGATTTTTGAACCCAAAGTGATCCTGATCTTCTTCCCACCTACTTATTTTGTTTGGCAAATTATAAGGTATTGTCTTGTGATCTCCTTTCCATCCTTGAGGCTTCGTAATTAAGCTCTGCGCTGGTGAAACACCATCTCTTGGTTGTGCTTTGGGCAAGGTCTGCCCCTGAGGGCACCTTCAGTCCCCCTGCATGGTGAGTATTCAAGAAGGGCTTGCTAACCTTATTTGCTCTGTCCCCACCCCCACCTCCACCTCACACCTCTTCTATATAGGGTTTTTTGACACTCAGACCAATCACATTTTAATCCCTTTTGTTGCCCTATTGTACTATAAAGATGAATTCTCCAACACGGTAGCCACTAGCCACATGTGGCTGTTTAATTTTAAATACATTAAAATGGAATTAAATTAAAAATTTAATTCTTTGTTTGGACTAGCCACTTTTCACATGCTCAATCATCACTTGTGGCTAATGGGTACAACAGTGGACAGTATGCATTATGGAGTGCTTTCATTACTGCAAAGGTCCTATTAGACGGCACTGCCATATATTTAAAGGCATATATAGATATATATATACACATACACACATATCTTTTATATATATTATATGTAATTATATACATTTCATATATATATATATAAAATGATGTTTTAAAGGTGGAAAACAGATCAAATTTTCCACATTCATTGCCCTAGACAACTAATTTTAATAGAGTTACTGTCCTTTTTATTGTTACACAGTCAATAGACTGCCTTATAGCAATTTTTGTTTCCTACATATAGAGTGAGCAATTCAAATTGGGACTATTTTCATTTATTTCCTTCTTGTTTTTCAAACTAAATGAAGAGTACTGAAACCTAGAAGGTGTTTATGCATTAAATTCATACTTTGGAACATATGAAAGTTCTCTCCTAAGAAAATGAAAGACCAAATAAGAGCGGAGGTCATGGACAGTATCTCTTGTATTTTAGGTTGGAGAAGACAGTTCTAGACATGTTTATTATCAATTTGTAATTATTTGACTTCTGCTTTAACAGAAGACTAGAAAGTTGCCCCCTTTTGAAGGAAAATGTAATTTACTTCATTTTCAAAACTATACCAAAGGCAAACAGCTGTGTCCATATGTTGCTAAAAAATTTTTCTAAATAGTAACACTAAGAACAAACTTTATTTATTTATTTTTTTAAAGAAAAACCCAGAGAAGATTAAAGACACCCAGTGCTTCCTCCTTGCAGAGCTGCCTTCCCTTTTAGTTTGCAAGAGACCATGGAGCTGGGGAATTAGAGTGTACTGGTCACCATGCCGTTGAATTTTCTAATGAGTGGCAGATTACAGTAGTTGGTACAAAGCAATGCATCAGTGCTGATGACATTAGTGTCAGCCTGACATAATTTCCCTTATTACAGTGGGGAAAAAATACTCTCAGTACATTTCTAAAACTTATGTTGCATTTGACATCTTTAGAGTTTGCAGAACGGGTTCTTATTTTTGTATTTTTTTTTCTTGAGTAAAACCAAAGTTAATTTCCTCAGGCTTTGTACTGGATTTACTGCTTGTAAGAATTGGCTGCCTTCAGGAAACTGATCAAATTTGTTCAAATACAATGGATCTTCCATCTTCCTCAGTTCTGTTCAAGTCTCCAAGATGCTTTCTTGCTATCCCACGTGACTGAGCAGTTCTTAGTTTGGCAAGAGCAGGTGTATGCCTCTCTGGCACCTGGCCCATGATTTCTCATGCCCATGGCTCCTGCAGCCAGTTGTATTTGCAGTAGCCAGGTAGAAACTCCCTGAGGTTCAACAGACCTCTGGATATGTCACACGTGTAGTTACTTAATGGATGAAACTTTGTAGGATTTGCAGGGCAAAATCTTCCCATGAATATTCAACTCCAGCTCTTTTGTCATAACTTGCCACTAAGGGGACTTTGTATTTCCAGTTTTTCTCTGTTCCTGCCCAAGAAGCATATAAAAAATGCTCGGCTTATGTAATAAGCAAGTTGGTGCCTGATAAGTATTTTTTTTTTTTTAAACAGAGTCTCACTGTGTTGCCCAGGCTGGAGTGCAGTGGTGATTTCGGCTCACTGCAACCTCCGCCTCCCGCGTTGAAGCGAGTCTCCTGCTTCAGCCTCCAGAGTAGCTGGGATTACAGGCGCCAGCCACCGTGCCTGGCTAATTTTTGCATTTTTAGTAGAGACAGAGTTTCATCATATTGGCCAGGCTGGTCACAAACTCCTGACCTCAAGTGATCCACCCGCCTCAGCCTCCCAAGATGCTGGGATTACAGGTGTGAGCCACCTTGCCCGGCCATAAGTTTTAAAATCAACAACAAGCTATTGATTTTTCAGTTCAAGATGCGAGAGGGAAACAGAGTGACAGAGATCTGGTTTCGCATGAAAACAGCCCAAAGAAGAATTTGCAAAGGAAATACACTATTTGCCTTTTTAATGGCAGGGCTTTCTTTTCAACAAGTAATATTTAATAAGCAGTCAACTTTGCTGAACAAAATAGTTATTCATTCAGGTTCTATCACAGGGATTCTGCAACTTATGAACACGTCAGCATCCCAAAGTGAATTTGTAAATTGGTTGTTTGGAAGCAGAATTCATTTTCTCATAGAAATGATGTTATTGGTTGTGGCTGTCCTCCTAGGTTAGCCCATGCATTCCCGTTTAATCCATAGCATAGCGAGACCTTATTTGCAGTTGTCCAGAGCACCAGATTCCAGTGGCACCAGCAGTGGACGGGGAAGTGGGAAGGGAGGCAGGGCACAGGTGGACCTTCTGGAAGCTGGGCAGCGCCCTAAGCATTCCCAGGACCAGACGCCTGCAGGAGCCAAGTGAGAAGGCGGGAAGGGGTGGGGGTCCCCGGATGGCCCTGGCCAGAAAATAATGTTAGGGCTGTGGAGACAGCTGGTGGGGGCCCGGGAGGTGGGAGCAGGGATTCCAGGTGAGCTGCAGGGGTGTTTGGATGCTGTGCATCCGTTTCTAAGTCAAACGTCCTGCAGCAGAGCCCTGTAACACTGACAGAGACGTTCTCCACTGAACTGTGGTGGGCTGGAGTCAACAGTTTCCATGGAATTCAGCTCTGGGGCACCCCAGTGAGGGGGATGTTTCATGCCTGCCTTTACTAGGCACGTGTGAAATATTGCCAGACAAACAAGTGTTACCTCTTTGAGCCTCAACTTTTCTATTCACAAACTGGAGATAATACCTGTTCTTTCCTTGCCAACCTCACAGGAATCCTATGAAGAGCTTTTAAAAGGTGGATTTTTAAAGAAATACATGTAGCTCATGCTAAAGCCAAGTTATTTAGAAGCTAGTTAATAAACGCGGTAAGAGGCCCAGTTGACTAACTGCTCTGATCTTTATATCTGCTACCCAGTTCTCATGATGTTCCAAATTATCTTCAGGGGTGGGGAAAAGGAAAAATGCGATTTGGCTGGTCCATGAGTTTTAAGCGAGACTTTGCCCTTCAGTTTCGAGGGGCGCGTGTGCTGCGTGTGAAGATGAAGGTGTGCACAGAGACGCATGCAGAGTGCACAGGGAGCAAGAGTGGCCGTGGGGGGCCGCTCAGCACCAAGAATGCCTAGGAAGGCTCTCAAGGGCACCTGCCTTCCTCGGGAAGAATGTAAATGCATGGAATGCCCAAGCTTCGCCCCCGGCTAAACACCCCCTTGGCGTCCGCCTGGGGGTCCCCATGAAAGTCCCCGCACGCCCTCCCCGGCCCCGCCCTCCTCAGAGCGTGGGCCCCGCGCGCCGCCACCGCCCGGCCGGGAGGCGCGGGGCTCCCTAGAAGGCTCGGGCATGTCGGAGGGAGCCGCGGTGCAGAGACTTGCCACGCGGCTGCCCGGGCGGCGCGCGCTGGAGCAGCTTTGTTTCCTCTGCTCCCGACGGGCATCCTGCCCTGCGGAACACCCACCCGAGCCCTGCGCGGGAGGGGCGGCCGGGAGGCGCGCGGGCATGCGGAGGGGAAACAGGGCTGCAGCTTCAAGCCCAGGCAGGACGCCCTTAGTCACCTTATCGGAAAGTGGGCAGCGCCGCGTCTCCGGTTAGTCAGAGCCCCAGGTAAATAAAGAGCTCGGTGTCTGCGGGGCTCTGGCCTCAGTGGCTCGCTCTGTCACTCCGCTTTCCAATACACGCACCCGCAGGACTTTCTTTGAGGGTTTCCTTTTTTGGAGTGAGCACTGAACGCAGAGCGCTTGGACGGTGGCGCGGCGTTCACGACCCGGCCCCGCGCAGACTCCAGAGACTCCTGCAGGATAGGGAGCAGCTCCTAAAGGCCCTTTCCTCCTTCCTCCTATTTGCCTCACAGTCCCCCACAAGAAGCACCCCCTCTTAAGCAGGGCCAGGACAGGTGACGCCTGTACATCCCACCCCCCCACCCACATTTGGAAAGGGTTAGAGAGGAAAAGAAAAGCCTAGCGTGTTAGAAAATTAAAGCAAAATCCTTGACAAATGAAAACAATCCAGCGCATTTTAGCACTGCTTTTAGAGGAGTGCTGTGATAGTGGTCCGGCCCTGCCACACTCTAATCTATTAGATGCCGATCTGATATCCAGAGGACAGACTGGCCTTGGCAGAAGTACCCTCTATGGCTGCCTCTGCAGTGGGTGCTTTCGGCTGTCCCGTGTGAGAGTGGAAAGGACTCCGTGTCTGAGGACGTCCGTCCGGCTCTGAAAGCCTGGGGTCCTGAGACCTGTGTGCCTGAGCTGCGGTGCGCCTAACGCTTTTGTCAGACTTCCCACCCTGACAGGGTCGGGGGTCACAGAGAAAAGCAGGCTTGGCAGAGAAGGGGATCTGAAGGCTTGGACTGTTCCGATGAACCAGGATCCATGCTGGGCACCAGACCGAGGTCTTAGCTCATGATCATCTCGCTTCTCATGGAGGCAAATGGAAGGCAGTGTTTTCAGATGTCAGCTGACATCATGGCCACATCTCTTAGTCAGTTTTAGGCTATGCAGGGAGGGTGAGCCCATGGACAGGAGGTGAAGGCTTCATGTGTTTAGAAATGTGCTTACTTTTTATTGCTTGCTTTATAACTCATTCTCTGGATAAAATCCTCCCACACTGGAGACCAGAGAAGGGATTAAATTCCTAGGAAGAGAGAGACGCAGGATTGACTTCAGTTTGAATTTGCTTCAGTTTGCTTTCTTTCTGTTTTCCTGCAGCTCACGTCCAGGTTTATTCAGAGATCTTAGCAGAGGCGGGGAAGCGGCCT
Source organism: Homo sapiens (assembly GCF_000001405.40). Classification (NCBI taxonomy): domain Eukaryota; kingdom Metazoa; phylum Chordata; class Mammalia; order Primates; family Hominidae; genus Homo; species Homo sapiens. The sequence goes on from NC_000008.11 coordinate 48,871,694, forward strand.
CTCCTGCTTGTACGTGCCTGATAAGGGTGATGTACATCGGAAAATATGTCCGTTTTTCTTAGGCTCCACATGCTGTTTGTAAAATTGTTTTCTTTATATTTTCTGATTATATGAACTGTTATGTACTCATTGTTTATAACAAATGTGCTTCAAAACAATAGCTAGTGGAGGAATAATTCTGCCACCTGCTTTCACTCTTTTGGACACTTCTTTCCGGGCCTCTCTATGCTCCATCTTTTCATTGGTGCCTAAGAGATCTTTGATGTTTGCCTGGCTTCAGTACCACCTCTATGTAAATAATTCCAAAACTTCTATTTTCAGTGTCACCGAGCCTCCATGCACTAGCCCCTTATTTTCTTAGCAGCGATTTTGACATTTTACTGGTGTGGCCACGTTCACCTTTAATTTCTGAATACTTACAACTGAGCGTCTGGGTTTCCGGTCCAGACAAGACAGCATTGACTCATCTCTGCTCATCTCTACAAGCACAACTGTAAACTCTGGAAATGACACAGACGCAACCATAGGAGAACCCCAAAGGGGAAAGAGGAGAGCAGTCTGGGCCCAGACCCAGGACCGTGGCTGAAGGAGCAGCACAGAGGAGGGTCTTATGGCCCCACCCGACAGGAGGAGACAGCTCAGGACTGGTGTCCCCACCCCTGACCAATAAGAGAAAGAGGCCTGGCAGGCTCATTCCTCCCGGGATGACACCAGGTCAGCCAGCAGTGCCTGCAGGGGCACCCACGAGGAGCCTGCGTGTGACGAGAGGTGGAGGAAGGGTTGGCTTTGCACTGGGCCTGCAGCCCCCTCTGTCCCCTAGTACAGGCATCGGCTGACACGATTCCAACACACATTCTTTGTTCCCATAGGAAATAGACTCCCTTTTCCCTCCTATAGGCACCATGGGTCAGGAGAACATCACAGGGAGGAGGTACTACAACAAGTTCCTGGCTTGGGAAGTGCTCCTCAAGCCCAAGGGCTGCAGTTCCTTTCACAGTCTACACACACCAGGTGGCAGGGCAGCCGGTGAGCAATGATGCAGCCACAACAAGCAACTACCCAGGGAAATGTGGTCTGCCACTCAGAAACTGAGCTCCTTTCTCTTCTAAGGAAAAGCCAGGGCACAGCAGCTGAGGTTACAGAAAGGGGCCTGAGAAATGTCCTTTGTCCCAGAAGTCCTCACACTCCCTTCCTTCATCCAGAGACCTGTGATTTCCAGCCTAGGGACACACCTTCTGCACCCTCGGCCAGCACCAGCAGGGCTCGGGGACCACCACTGGCACCAGGTGACCAAGTAGATCAAAATAATACCACCAAGACTGAATGTAAACTGCCATGGCAGCCACGGCCCACAGAGCTGCCCAGAACCTGCACGCTAAGCCTAAACACGGTGACTGCTGGATAAAATGGAGGACTTGGGTAGGAACCAGACACTCCTAACAAAACAGACAAGATGTCCAGGATCCAACTGAACTCACCTGTCAAAGAACCAAAAAACATCACCAGCTGAATGAGAAAACATGATCAACAGATGCCAACACTGAGCTGACTCAGATGTTGAAATCATCTAACAGGAATTTTAAGGTACCCATCATAATAATACTTCAGCGTGAATTTCCAAATCCTTTTGACACAAATGAAAAATAAGAATAGAAATTATAGAAATGAAGAAAGAGGAGTTATAAGTGGATATTGTAAAAATGAAAAATACAATAACCAACATTAAAAAAACACACTGGAGGGGCTCAATAGCAGGGTGGAGATGACAGAGGACAGAATCTGTGAACCGAATGGCAGAGCAGTAGAATTTGCTTAATCAGAATAAAGGAGAGAAAACACATTTAAAAAAGATATGAGGAAAGCCTCAGGAACCCGAGGGAAATGAGGAAAGTCCAACTTTCATATTATAGGAGTTTCTGAAGGAGAGGAGAAAGAGAGTGGAGCTGAAAAAGTATTCAAAGAAATAATAGGTGCCAGCTTCCCAAATGTCAAAGGTGAGAAACAGAAACCTACATTTTCAAAGAGCTGAGCAAAACTGAAATAGGAAAAACCCATGGAATCCATGCCAATACACATCATAGTTAACTGTCTGAAAACTAAAGATAAAAAAACAAAATCTCGAAAGCGCCAGAGAAACATGACTCATCACCTACAGGGGAACACCAGTGTGAGTGATAGCAGATTTCTTATCTGAAAACATGGAGGCCAGAAAGGAGTGGCATAACCTTCTATAAGTGCTGAAAGAACTATGAACTACACGTTCTATATCTGGCAAAACATCCTTTAGGAATTAGGAGAGTTAGAAAATTAAGAACACTTGTTGCTAGCAAACCAGCCTTTAGAGATGTAATAGATGAGAAAATGATATTCAGGAATGTTCAGAATGTCAGAAAGAAAAGAATCTTTGATGCTTCTTCTTCTTCTTCTTCTTATTTTTGAGACGGAGTTTCACTCTTGTCACCCAGGCTGGAGTGCAATGGCGTGATCTCAGCTCACTGCAACCTCCTCCTCTCAAGTTCAAGCAGTTCTCTTGCCTCAGCTAGGATTACAGGCACCTGCCACCATGCCAGGCTAATTTTTGTATTTTAGTAGAGACTGGGTTTTACCATGTTGGCCAGGCTGGTCTCAAACTCCTGACCTCTGGTGATCTGCCTGCCTCGACCTCCCACTGGGATTATAAGAATGAGCCACCGCACCCGGCTGATGCTTCCTATTATGACTTCCCAAATCACACTTGATCAATGAGGCAAGATTTATAAAACCATCTGACGTGGTGCTCTTAGGAAAAGTGGGAGAGTAAAGGGACATAAATGGAAGTATGGTTTCTACACTGCACTGGAGTTGGTAAAATGTTGATGCCAACAGACTGTGATAATTTATGTATACATATTATAATTACCTACAGCAACCACTAAGGAAAATATGCAAAACAATATTCTAGAAATCACTATGAAGAAATCAAGATGAAATTGATAAATTGGACTTTATCAAAATTAAAACATTTTCTCCATGAAAGATTCTGTGAAAAGCATGAAAAGACAGGCTGACAACCTGGAGAAAATATTTGAAAACTACGTATCCAACAAAGGATTAGTATCTAGACTACATAAAGAACTGTCAAAGCTCAACAGTAAAAAAAAAAAAATCAATTCAACAATTAGTAAAAGACACAAACAGACCGTCTTGATGGAAAGAGTATGTAGATGGAAAATGAGCACATGACGAGATGTTCAGCATCACTAGCTATTGTGGAAATTAAAACTGCAATCAGGTATCATTATAAATTTATTAGAATGGCTAGAATAAAAAATTGTGACAATACCAAATGCTGACAATGATGTGGATAAACAGGATCACTCACACATTGCTGATGGAATGTAAAATGATATAGCCACTTTGAAAAACAGCTTTGTAGTTTCCTGTAAAACTGAACATGCATGTAACTATCAAAAAATTCGACAACTGTCGTCTTGGGCATTTATCCCAAACAAATGAAAACATATGTGTATGCAAAATATGTAACTGACTATTATAGCAACTTTAATTGTATAATCCCAAATAGAAAATGACCTAGATATCCTTCAATGGATGATGATTAAACAAACTGTGGTGCATCCATACCATGAACTGCTACCCAGCAATAAAAGGGAATGAAGTATTGATACACCAAACAACTTGGGTGAATCTCCAAGGAATTAGTCTGAGTGAAAAAAGCCAATCCCAACAGGTTACAGAATGTATGCTTTTATTTCTGTACAATCTCAAAATGACAAACTCACAGGATGGAAAACAGAATAGTGATTGCTATAGGCCAGGCGTGAGGGCAGATGGTGAGGGAAGTGGGGTGTGCAGACAAAACAGCAACAGGCGGGCTCCTTGGGCAATGGCACGATTCCATAGCTTGGCTGTGTCAGTGTCAGTACATGGTTGTGATATTGTACTAGAATTTTTCAAGATGTTACTATTGGAAGAAACCAGGTAAAATGTACACTGGATCTTTCTGTATTATTTTTATACCTGCGTGTCAATTTAAAATTATGTCTTTTTTTTTAAAAAAAAAGCTAAATCCAAATTTAACCTCAATTTAATGAAATTAAGGACTCAAAAATGTTCTGATACTAGGGAACATCTGGCTAATATTGACATCTTCTCTTTAATTGGAATGCTTGTTAGTTTTTAAGATGGTAGTATGTAACAACAAATTAAGACACAATTGCAATTTAGAAAACTACATTTTAAAAATAATTTTTATCTACAGTGAGGGTGGCTGGTATAATAAAAATGGAAATTATTCTGTTTTATGATTTGAATTTCATTTCCACTTGAGAAATATTTAAAGTAAAATAGAAAAAAATAATTAATTTGATTTGGAAAGTATGTATCTTTTCAGTAAGAGCTGTGCCAATTAAAACATGAATAAAGTTTCATTTGAAAGAGTTTTTTTTCCATTTTTGCCCCATGACATTTAATTGAAAGCAAAATAAACAATGTGTGGCAACCACATGCTATTAAATGTGCGATTTCATTAAGCAATATGTGAGGGAAGAATTTGGCTAGTTGACAATAAACTGAGGTAACATTCAGGAGGCTTTTGTTTTTAAACAGATACAGAATGCTTAACATGATCACTGAAATGGTAGAGTTTGATTGGCATTTGAGGTCAAAGCTTAGCTGTTTGTTCTTTCCACTTCATTGCCATTGCTTGGTTAATGGAGATAGAATAGAGGGTGGACTTCTTCCTCAAACCAGTGGCTTTGTTGGGTAGCACAAGGAGTTGGTCAAGAATATCAGCTGCCACACAGTCTTCAGTCCTGCTCATGAGCAGACAGGCGTACCACTTTTACTCAGATACCTAGCATTTCAATGCTCATTTAAATAATTCAGACTATACACATGTCTTAGCAGATTTTCCTCTTCCAGCCAACAATTATTTTGAAGGCCATTGCAGCACTGATTTAGAAGAACAGGCTGGATGCATCAGCTAAATGGATTTTTATTCTAAACTGAGCAGTTAGCATATTAATCACACTTCAAACAGCAGAGTTGTGATGCTGCTACCCCTGTGACTGTCATGCTCAATGTGGGGAACTCAACTGCACAAGGAGAACAATTCATAAGGAACCGTGTGTAAATTCAACTTGGCAAGTCTTGCTGCATTAACTAGGGCAGCACCAAAGAAAGTTTCATAACTTACCAGGCAAGAATTAAGAATTTTAAAAAAAAGAACAGTTAAGACACATTGCACAAATCTTGACAGCGTAATGTAAATATTATCTTTTAATAATTTAGGATTTATTCTCTTTAGCTCTGCTCCCAAATGTACAACCCTTGGACCAAAATCAATTAAACCTTCAAAAATGACAAATAAGCTAAAAATAATATGTAGTGAGGTGATCTATAATTATATGCATCAAAGGAATTTTTCTTGAGTTTTTAGTATGCGTTGACATTGAAAGAAAGGAGAAGGATCACCTTAAAAAGTAACTTTCAAGTTTAGACTCAGCTTGCCTATCACCTTTTCTATTAAGGATTGGTTCTTAATTTTTTTTAGAAGAAAAGCATTTAACTTTTAACGATAAAGAATATTTTCAAATACTTAAGGCCTCTATGAGTTTTCATCATGGTGCCTCTCAGATCCACTATTTCTGTCACTTGACTTACTTCCCTTGGTATAATAATGTGAAATCGTGGGTTTGGAAGGCATTATGATGGAAACTCATAGAGAGGCTTTAAGTAGCTGTACATTCTCTCACCCCTCACTCAATTCACTCACTGACTCTCTCAGAACAACCTCCTTTCCTGCAAGTTCCATTCTCGGTAAGTGCCCTATACAGGTGTACCATTCTTTTTCTTTTATCCTGTATTTTTACTGCACTTTTTCTAGGTTTAGATATGTTCAGATACACAAATACTTACTTTGTGTTACAGTTGCCTGCAATGTAGCCTAGGAGCAAGAAGCTATACCATAGCCTAGAAATGTGGTAGGCTGTGCCATCTGGGTTTGTGTGTACGCTCTGTGATGTTCACACAATGATGAAATCACCTAATGACATGGTTCTCAGAACACATCCCTGCCATTAAGTCACGTGTGACTGTGTTTTAATGACTGCTATAGAGAGACCTAAGGACAAAGACCAAGGTGCTTTGTCCATAATCACTTGCTGTATTTGGGAAGCAGTCGTGCGTTTGAAACTATAAATCAATAATTAGGAGCAAACAGAAGTCCCAAGACCAACTTTGATATTTGCCATTGGGCACACGCTGATTTTACACATAAAGCACTCAGCATGTGGCCTTGGCCTGGCGTTGGGGGTCTGTGAGTGCTCCTGCCAGAGCCAGCCTGCAGGAGGCACATCCCACATACAGAGGACAAGGCGGCCCATGGCAGAGGCCCTTCACACAACTGGATCTGAAGAGGGTGGAAACGTTGTCGGCAGAACTGAGGTATATTGCAATGAATGCTACTTTTCCTTTGTACCTACCTATCCTTCCAAAGGGAGATTGCTAGGGAGATTGGAGAATGGATCCTGAAACCTCACAGGGCATCCAGGGCCCATCCAGCAGCAGATGCCTGTGAACGGGCTGGGTAGGACCCTGGGGAGGGTCAGAGCCTAGGGGCCTGGGGAGGGCGTGCCTCTCTGAAACACTGTAGAAGCCAAATGATACAGCTACCAGCAGTATTTGGTTCTCATGCTACCACACTTTGATCCCTGTCTCAAGAAATAATGAAACAGAGAATAGCCCCCATTTTCTTACCTTTAGGAGGCAGCCCTATGCAAGCACTTACACGAACTCATTGCATCTTAACAGACTCCTCTGAATTAAACACTATAATCTCCCTTTTACAGATGAGGAGATTAAGGCTCAGAGATAAGTAACTGACCTAAGATTATACATAAGTAAGTGGCAAAGAAGAGCCTGTTCAGCTTTGCCTCACAATTCGGGGTTCTTAGCATTCTGTTTTGCTGCCTCCAGTACAAAAATCCATGCAATGCGGGTGGCCTGGAGGGCAGCCATGGGGGATCTGAGCCAAGCACAGATAACACCGTCCTGCAGGTGTGGACTTTCATCTGAAGAAGGCAGTCTCAGCAGGAGAGGCTAGGTCTTTAGGACCAGGGCTGCACGGCACAAAACACCCACCTCCAGCAGGGCTGCCTGGAAGTCATTCAAGCATTTATTCATTAGGATCTTTCTCACAGCCGAAGCTGGCTAAGATGTCTCTCCCTCAGTGCTGCCTGTCCCCGGCCCCACTACCACCTGGCCTTGATCTCCATACTGAAATGGCCTGGACTGCTTTTGAGGCATTTGCCAATGTTGACCTCGCATTGTGCTTATTCTGTGCTTTTGTAATATGTAGCAGTTACAGTCTAACAGAACCAGTATCTTAGCTCTGCCATTTGCTCAGGGTGTGAGTTTGGACGTTGCCTTAAATATATTAAATCTGAACGTTCCTACACCAGGTGGGCATAATAATATCTCCCGCCCTCTTTGATTGTTACCAGGATTTAATGGGATGGTGCATATAAGTACTGGGTGCAGAATTGGCACCTAGTAAGCTCTGAAAAAGAGGTTTGTGTAATCTTTGCTAATCATAATAAGTATTATTGATTTTACTTCACAGCACATTCTAAAAAAAAAGTCAGTCTAATATAGAACCTAGCAGCACCTGTTTCATTTAGTAAATAAAAGAAAATAAACCTGCCAGGCGTGGTGGCTCACACCTGTAATCCCAGCACTTTGGGAGGCTTAGGTGGGTGGATCACCTGAGGTCAGGAGTTCGAGACCAGCCTCGCCTACATGGAGAAACCCCGTCTCTACAAAACTACAAAAATTAGCCAGGCGTGGTGGTTCACGCTTGCAATCACAGCTACTCAGAAGGCTGAGGCAGGAAAATCACTTGAGCCCGGTAAGTGGAGGTTGCAGTGAGCCGAGATCCTGCAACTATACTCCAGCCTGGGTGACAAGTGAGACTCTATCTCAAAAAAAAAAAAGAAAAAAGAAAAGAAAAGAAAAGAAAAGAAAAGAAACCTAATGCATTTTAAGTACCTCACTGAAGAATGGCAGGAGACATAAACACTACTAATATGACTAATTCTTGTTTTTTACCCATGTATTCAATTAGTGTTACATTGAGGCTCATATGTTATGTTAGCTACTGTCCTGTTCTCTGTAGCTTCAGCAATATGTCTTGGAGCTTACCATTTCTCATTTAGGCAGAGATTTCAAAAAATAAAGATTTATATTTAAAATACATACCTATTCTATTTTTGACCACTAGTTTCAAGTAATGTCCTTGGAAATGGGTTTCAGAATAGCCTGTGGGCAACTAGAGTGGTCAAAGAATACTTTTGTCTACAGAAAATTTTATAATCATTTAATTAGAGTCCCCTATAGTTCCAGATAAACAGATGAGATTATTTTCTGGTGTGCTTCTATCAGATGAGGGAGTGTTGAAAATGTGGGCTTCCAAAGGGGAATTGTGCTGCTCCCAAATAACATCAGAGTCGCGTGACTGGAGGAGGGGTCATGGGTGTAGGGGAGCAGCCAACATTGATGGCCACCTCCCCCAGAAGCAGCCAAGCCCAGCCCTGGAGTCAAGGTGGACCTCAATGATAAGCTGGTGAACACATGAAGAAGGCTGCATGCTGTTTATAGCATGTTCATAACATTATTGAAATGACAAAATTACAGAGATGGGAGGACTGTGAGACTGCTTTATTTGAGGCTCTATTGTTTGGTGCAAATACATTGAAGATCGTTATGTGTACTGGGGGATTGATCCTCTTACCAGTGTATTAGTTTCCTAGGGCTGCACAACAAATTTTCATAAACTCAGTGGCTAAAAAGATCAGAAACGTTGTCTTCCAAAGTTCTGGAAGTTTGAAGTATGAAATCAGAATGTTGGCAAGGCCCTGCTCCTTCTGAGGGCTCTAAGAGAGAATTCTTCCTTGCCTTCCCTGGCTTCTGATGGGTGATGGGTCCCTGCCGGTCCTGGGCTTGTACATGCATCACTCCCGTCTCTGTCTTCCTCATCACATTGTGTCTGTGTCCAGATTCTCTTTCTATAAAGACACCAGTCATTGGATTAGATCCTATGAGAATCCGAAAAGATCACATCTTAACTTGATTACCTCTGCAAAGATCCTACTTCCAAATAAGGTCACAGTCACTGGTAGCAGGCATTAGGACCTCAACATATGTTTTTGAGGGGGTAAATCAATCCCCAATGACCAGTATATCATGCCTGTCTTTGCCTCTGGTAATTTTCTTTTTCTGAAGAATACTTTATAATATGAGTAATACTCTATTAGATGTTAATATAGCCACTTCTGCTTTTTAAAAATGCTGCATGGCACATATATTTCTTTAACTTTAACTTTCCTCATCCTTTAACTTTCAATCTGCGTGTGTCATTGTATTTGAAGTGAATTTTTGGGAGACAGGATATTATTGGATAGTATTTCTTTTTATCATTTCTTGCAAATCTCCGTCTTTTGATTGGTTATTTAAGACTGTTTACATTGAAGACCATTGTTGTACCACTTCATTATTCAAGTGTGTCACTTCATTTATTGTTTTCTGCTGGTTTCCTCTTTCTCATTCCTTGGTTTCTATTTTCTTGCTTTCTTATGGGTTACATGAACACTTTTAAGATTCCACATTGGTTTATTTATAGAGTTCCTGAATATAACCCATCTTATATTTTAGTAGTAGTTGCTTTAGATACTACAATACGCCTACACAATTAATCACTGCTACTGGTATTGAGCTTTTATAACTGAGTGAAGGGTAGAACCCAGTCTTCCATATAGGTCTTACTCACTACCCTCTCTGCTTTAAAATGCAATTGCTAAGTACTTCTTCTGTGTACACACTTGCCCCACATCAAATGGTGTTATATATTTTGCCTTAGCCATCAAATAAATTTAGGAAACCCATGAGAAGGAAAGTCTATTATATTTACTGCTATTTTATTCTCTCCATTGTCTTTCTTTCCTCTCCGAGGTTCATAGCATTCTGACACCATTTCTTCCCTCCGTGAGGGAACATCCTTCATCCCAGCTTCAAGGGCTATCTTGCTGGCAGCAGACGCTCTGAGTTTCCCTTTGCTAGAGGATGTCTTTATTCATGAAGCATATTTCCACTGGATATTAAATTCATGGTTTACATTTTTTTATCACTTAAAAAATGTTGTGCTAATTCCTTCTGGCCTCCATGTAAGTCATCTCTCTCTGGCTGCCATCAACATTTTTTTCTTTGTCTTTAGTTTTCAGAAATTTGCTTGTGATGTGTATTGGCATAGATTTCCACAGATTTATCCTGTTTAGGGTTTGTTCAGCTTTTGGAAGATGTAAGTTTCTGTCTCCCATCTTTGGTATTTGGAAAGCTTGTACCTATTATTTCTTTGAATACATTTTCAGCTCCACTCTCTTTCTCCTCTCCTTTAGAAACTCCTATAATATGAAAGTTGGACTTTTTCTATTTTTTCCTCTGGTTCCTGAGACTCCAATTTCTTTTCTGTCCATTTTCTCTCCTTTGTTTTGATTAGGCAAATTCTACTGATCTGCCATTCAGTTCACTGTTTCTATCATCTGTTATCTCCATGCTGCTATTGAGCCCATCCAGTGTGTTTATATTTTGGTTGTTGTATTTTTAACTTTATAATTTCACTTATAACTTCTCTTTCTTTGCTTCTGTAAATTCTCTCTCTTTTTATCCTTTTTTTTTTTTTTTTTTTTCTGAGACAAGGTCTTGCTCTGTTGCCCAGGCTGGAGTGCAGTGGTGCGATCACAGCTCACTGCAACCTCAGTCTCCTAGGCTCAGATGATCCTCCTAACTCAGCCTCCCGAGTAGCTGGGACCACAGGCATATTGGACAACAGACATGTGATACCACACCCAGCTAATTTTGTAATTTTGTAGGGATGGCATCTTGCCATGTTGCCCAGGTTGGTCTTGAACTCCTGGGCTCTAGTGGTCCTCCTGCTTCAGCCTCCCAAAGTGCTGGGATTAAAAGCATGATAACTGTGCCTGGCCTACTTCTGTCATTTCCATTTTTCATTTGTGTCAAAAGGATTTGGGATTTCATGCTGAAGGATTATTATTATAGGCGCCTTAAAATTCCTGTCAGATGATTTCAACATCTGATTCAGTTCAATGCTGGCATCTGTTGATCATGTTTTCTCGCTCAGCTGGTGATGTTTCTTGGTTCTTTGACAGGTGAGTTCTGGTTGTATCATGGACATTTTGTCTATTTCATTAGAATGTCTAGGTCCCATCCAAATCCTCCATTTTATCCAGCAGTCACCCTGTTTAGGCTTAGCATGCAGGTCCTGAGCAATTTTGTGGGCTGTGGCTGCCATGACAGTTTATATTCAGTCTTTGTGGTGTTGTTTTGATCTGCTTGGTTGTCTGGTTCCACTGGTGGTGCACTGATTTCTGCTGGTGGTGGCTGAGGGTGCTGGGAAGCAGGGCCCTCTCGACTGGGGAAGGGAGTATCAGGCCCTCAGGCCCACCCAAGGGGCAGGCAGCTGTGGAGGTCCCCAGCTGCCCGCCTCCACCACATGACGTCTCCTTGGTGCTGGGCAGAGGTGGAGGCTCTGCTGGCTGCTGGGTCCTGCACACTCCCTGCTGGGCAGTGGAAGATTAGCTCCCTGCTCTCTCCTGCTGGCACTACCCCAGTAGGGGAACTAGGAGCAGAAGAGGAGGTGGGAGTTCAAATCTCCTCTTGACCAGCTGATATGGCTTGGCTTTGTGTCCTCACCCAAATCTCATCTTGTAGTTCCCATAATTCCCACATGTTATGGGAGGGACCTGGTGGGAGATTATTGAATCATGGGTGTGGGTCTTTCCCATGCTGTTCTCGTGATAGTGAGACGGTCTCATGAGATCTGATGGTTTTTAAAACAGGAATTTGTTTGCACAAGCTCTCTCTTTGCCTGCTGCCATTCAGGTAAGATATGACTTGCTCCTCCTGCCTTCTGCCATGATCGTGAGGCTTCCCCAGCCATGTGGAGCTGTAAGTTCAATAAATGTCTTTCTTTTGTAAATTGCCCAGTCTTGGGTGTGTCTTTATCAGCAGTGTGGAAACGGACTAATACACCAGCCGAGAAAATACAGAGTTGGGGGTGGGGTAGAAGCAGAAAGGGGAGTGTGGTTTTCCACTGGAGCTTGGCTGGAGTAAGACAGGTATTACCAATGAGATTTTCTGTTGTTAGGCCACCTGTGTCCTGGCTCTGTGGCCAGAAAGACCAGGCTTTTCCTGGAATTATTTTTGTCTGTCTTGTTGGGAGCTCTGGGTTGTGGGCTTCTAGAGCGTCCTGTCTAGGACATATGGAAGCATGAGGAATACCCAGGGGACTCACTGCCATTTGCTCCTCAAGTCCCGAGGCCCCCTCGCTGTCTTCCTTCTTTCTTTCACCTTTCAGAGTCTCCATGTGCTTGTTTTCCCATTATGTTCAATGCTTTCTAGTTGTAATAGACTAGACAGGGCTAGCCTAGCTAGGAATAGCTGGAAGTCACCCATGGGCCTAATTTTGTCAGTCCCGTTTTACTTTAGATAAGTGGCTGTTCTGAGGCACTACTGTGATGTCATTCAATCAGGTGAGTGATGCATTAGTTCTCAATTTTGGAAGCTTTTGCAATTGTGCTAGATCTATAGTTGACTGGGGGAGTGGAACGGGGAAGCCATTTGTCCACTTGTCTTTATGTGGGTGAAGAACATGCTTTCTCTTTGTGAAGCGCCAGCTGAAGGTGAGATTTTATAAGTCAAGGTAAACATAACCCCAACCACAGAATGAAAAACTCAGGCAAAACAAGGTTGTAATAGTTTTATGGATAAGTTGCAGCTGGCAAAATGTTAGTTAGGATGAAGATACATAAGAAACAGGGGGCCGGGTGCGGAGTCTCATGCCTGTAATCCCAGCACTTTGGGAGGCCGAGGCGGGCAGATCACGAGGTCAGGAGATCGAGACCATCCTGGCTAACACGTGGAAACCCCGTCTCTACTAAAAATACAAAAAAATTAGCCGGGTGTGATGGCGGGCACCTGTAGTCCCAGCTGCTGGGGAGGCTGAGGCAGGAGAATGGTGTGAACCTGGGAGGCGGAGCTTGCAGTGAGCCAAGATTGCGCCACTGCACTCCAGCCCGGGTGACAGAACAAGACTCTGTCTCAAAAAAAAAAAAAAAGAAAAAGAAAAGAAACAGGGACTTTCGGCTTGGGCATTACCTAATGATTAAACAGTACCAAGTTTTGTTGAGTGAAAGGGAACATTCAAACTCTGCCCTTTGGTATTAAGTCTGTCAAACTGGTTACCAGCAGCTCCAAGCCACTTAAGACTTAGCAAGAACAACAGAAACATTTACATATGATCCCTCTCATAATTACACATTGCAGTGCTTTGGCGTAAATGGAAAAAAAAAAAAAGTAAAATTACTGAGCACATAGAGCTAGTGCCCTTAATCTAGCTGCTACTCCCTTCCAATGGTTACCAGTTGATAGTCCTCGTTAGGGAGGCAGATCATCTCACAGGAGTCACTTTTTGCATGAGAACCAGCCAGTGGAAGCTCACACATTTCTCCTCAGGAGGAAAACTGAAGGAAAAAGAGGACACAGGTGTGGTGACAGAATGACACACGTCATGCTAGTTGGGAATTTTCTTACCCTGCCTCCACTTCCATCACCTTTTCCTATAAGGTCTTCAGGGATGTTCTTCAGTGCCTCACGCTGGATTTTGCAGAGTCTCAGAACATGAAGGAGGTTTGGAGGCAGCTGCTGCTCTGAAAGACAGAGAAATCGGGCATGCACAACCTGGGCTTGGTAATTTAAACCAAACTCAAGCTTTTTTGCAGATCCTTAGGTCGAATGCTGCCTCTACTTAAAGTTTGATTTTCCATATTATTTTATATGTGTATATGAAAAGAGACCAACCTTATTATATTGACTTTCAATATCACCTAAAAGCCTATTGAACTTTAAAATACCATATAAACAAGTAACCAAGAACATATTTATAATGTTGTCAGCATTGCTCTGATCTATTTAGCATCTACTGTATTCTTGCAGCTTAACATAAAAGTAGCACATTCTTGGAAAGTCTGTCCCTGAAAACCTCATGCAGGTCAGCTTCATATACTGTTCTCCATCACAGTACCTCATTCAGTTTCTTCCTAGCACTTACCTTCATTATCTGAACTTATGTTTTTATTTATTTTTGTCTTTACATTTCTAGTATGTGGCTTCTGCAACTAGGATGTAAGTGCTGTGAGTGTAGGGACATCATTTATCTTTTAACTGCTGTGCCACTGTGCTTTGACCAGTGCCTAACTACAGGAAAACTCAACAATAATTGTTGTTAAATCAATCAATCCATCAATTCACCAACATACACTGCAAGGTTATATTATCCTCATTGAATGGATTAAAATACCGAAGCTCTCAGAAGTGTGGACATTCTGAGGGCTCTTGTCATCTTGAGAAGCTGTTGTGCAAAAGCCAAAGACAGGGTGGGTTACTTACACATTAGCACTGAATAATAAATACGTGCATATTTGTGTAAAATGTTAACTATTTCCCTGTGCTCCTCATGGCCACTTATGTATTATTGTCCCTGATACAGTCTCAAAGCCCAAAGTTTTGAACTTTGCAACCAAATTATCCTATTTCTTATCCAGTCCTGATGTCAGCAGTTTGAAGATCCATAGGAAATAGGGACTTTCAGCAGGAAGTCCTCTAGCCATGCATTGATCTTCCCTGAAGATTCTACCCCCTGGCTTACATCAGTGATCATTGCCTTGTACCTGAGATACAGCTTCCTTGGCTTTCTGGAAAATGTTTGTTGTAGACTGTATTTTCCAGTGGTGCTCACAGTAATATTTCCCATCTTATAGGCTTCTTTACAATGTGACCTTGGCATTCTTTCCGTGGAGAGTGAGATCTTCCTATGTTCCTCCTGTGAATCTGGGCAAGGTTTAGGTTGTTCCGACTATAGCATATGGTTGAAGTGGCACCAAGTGAGTTTTTAGGATAGATCATAGAAGGCCGTGCAGTTGAATCCTAGGCATTGAAATAATGAAAGAAAGCAATATGAAAACGTGGGCATTGCCCCAGGGTACTCCCTTGTAGTTTGCTTCTGCATACTTATTCCCCTGACATAAAGCTGTTATTACTACTATGGGAATGACCACTCTGCTCTCTTTGTTAATTAAATTAAATTAAATTAAGTTAAATGTGGATGGAACATTTGACAGGTAGCCAGAATCAAGTGCTTTCTTGCTATACCACATGTTTATAGAGTCTGCAGAAGGATACTCCAGATGAGGGACAGTGCAAAACTGTTTCTAAGAATATGCAGAAGATAAGTCATGACAGAGAAAGCCTCTTTCTCTTAGTTCTCTCTTTTTCTCTCATTTTCCATCTCCTCTTCTCTCCTTTTCCCCCTCTTTTCCAATATTGATGGTCCATTCTGTGCTTCCACTTCGATCTTAATTGCGATAAAAATGCATTTTTCTTATTTTCTCTGCTTTCTTCTGCTTACTCTTTAATCTTAAATACAGGTGTACCTCAGAGATATTGTGGGTTAAGTTCCAGACCATGACAATAAAGTGAATATTGCAATAAAATGCATCACACAATTTTTTGGTTTCCAGGAGCAAATAAAAGTTATGCTTCCACTCTACTATAGACTATTAAGTGTGCAGCTGTACCACGTCTAAAAACAGTATATACCTAATTAAAAACACTTTATTGCTAAAAAATGATAACAATCATCTCAGCCTTCAGTAAGTTGTCATCTTTTTGCTGGTGGAGGGTCTTGCCTCAATGTTGATGGCTGCTGATTGGTCACAGTAGGGATTGCTGAAGGCTGGGATGGCTATGACAATTTCTTTTAAAAAGACAACAATAAAGTTTGATGCAACTGGAGTCAATTCTCTCAAGCCCTGCTTCTGCTTTATCAACTAAGTTTATGAAATATTCTAAATCCTCTGTTGTCTTTTCAGCAGTGTTCACTGCATCTTCACCCAGAATAGCTTCCCTCTCAAGAAACCACTTTATTTGCTCATCCATTCAAGTTTCATCACAAGATTGCAGCAAGATGTGTGTGTGTGTGTCTCTGTGTGTGTGTGTGTGTGTATGTATAGGCTGTAAGCTGTGTTTATTATGAATCCCCTTCCAATACACTGTGCTAGGTAATCTCAGTGGGCTGGTCGTGAACACCACGAGGTCGGTGTGAATGTCAGAACTTAGTGTGGAGCTTAGCAGTGCTATATACGTTACTATATAAGTGGTACTGCTGAACTTCAAACTAAGTTCCAATTACAATGAATGACCACTTTCTTTATCCTGCTTAGGCATTTTCATTGACTAATACTTTGCACAACTATTGATTTAGTGAGGCCAGTTTTTGATGACCGTGAGCAAAGCACAGATTAGAGTAGAATCTGAATGTCTGCTTCCCGGCCTTGTCCATATAGCAGAATGTCACTCTCTTGCTAACCCCTGCATCCGTCTTATCTTCTGGCTCTTGGATCGCAGTTTTGGCTCTGTTGCCATTATCATCTCAAGTGTCTCCCTTGGGATCGTCTGCCATTGGGATCCTCTGTTCTGGCTGAACAGTCTGTCCTCGTGCCCTCTCCTCAGAGATGCCCTTTAGTGCTGCTACACCCTGGGTGGAGTTCCCTGCCCTGCATCCTCTCCTGACTCACTGGTTCCACCTCTGTTCTTCTGTTTTTTCACTTTTTTCCAGCTTCTCTATCTTATCCTAATGTAGCTTTGCTCACCAGTTTAAAACTAATTCAGAAAGTAATGTTCCCTGGGATACTGAAACAAACACACAAAAGGACTTTATGAAATACCCATTAAAAAGTAGCAACAATTTCTCTAATTCAAGCATAGTTCATTGAGCTATGAATGAACATGATCATAAGTCACATCATGATCTGTGACTTATATAACTTATGTTGTTACTAGTACAAAGCTATCAGTTTGAAATTTCCTAGAAAATGTTATTTCATTTGACTTATCATTACCCAGCAACACATAAACTTCAAATTATAGGCCTATTCACTCTACAAAATTGCCATGTCACATCCATGGCCAATGGCTGAAAACAGCTCTCAGAATTCCTGCAGTAATTTTAATTTTAACTTCTTAGCATTTGTGAAGCATATTTGCTTTAATCATTTGATGTGAAAACTGGGAGAAGAGCTATCACAGCAAGAATTCGACATTGCATCTGTCCTTCACAGAGCTTTTTCCACCAGAGATGCGGCATAAACATATCTGGGTGAGCAAAATATATCAGGGCTTTTCCTGTAAGTATGTGTCTCTCACAGGTGGAAATACAAACAATAAATCAAGCTTTGAAAAGAGTTGTAATTACTAGTAGAGAAGCATGTCAAGCACATTCCTTACTTAATAGTATTTACTTCTACTTGTTTGCTGCCAAATAGAAACTCCAGTTGTTAAAGGAATGATGCTAAGGACACTCATAGATTCTCATAGCATGACAGTACATTGTGAGTAGTCACATGTCTTATTGGCTAGTGGTTTCCTAGGAAATATGCTTTGTCTTCATTTTATAAGGTAAAAAGAACACAATGGTGTTCCAGGAGAGTGCATTCTGGGGCCCGCAGGGCTGGTGGATCTTTGGTGCTTTGGGGTTGCATAGGGCCTCAACAAGGAGAAACAAGTGTCCATTCTGTCATCACAGGTGGTATCACGATCTGTCTGTGCAGACAGAATTGTGAGTTTCTGGTTCTGGGGATTCTAGTAGAGAACCATGACATTATGCAGTGAGCGGTGCAGTCTTCTGGCATCTCCGGCAGCGTAGAGTGCTTCCACACCTTCTCAGCTTCCAACTCTAGACTGCTTATTTCTGTGAAAGGCTTCTGCATTCGAATGGCCTTATTTGTCCTCCTGCTTGCAGGTTGTCATCCTATTTCCCCTTCCCCAATGCCGTGAACTTGAACCGCTAGAATTTTTTGTGATGGTTCACAAACATTTGGAACCCATGTAATGTTGATTGGTTTGGAGAAGTTTCCATTGCTCTTCCCGAAGGAGAGGGCAATGGATTCTGCATCATTCAGGATGTACATCCCTAGGGTAATAAAATGCTACCCTGCAGCATACAGTGCCATTAAAAGTAGTCACTAAATATTTGGTGTCGTGTGCAAGTCACTTTGCATACATCTCTAATTCTTATGGTAATTTGGCAAAATAGTCATTTTAATGCTTGTCACATAAATTGGAAACAACTTTCAGTGAGATTTAGTTATTTTCTTCCAGCTAATGTGCATCAAAGCCAGAATTCAAGCTCATGCATTTCTGGCTCTCTCAGCTTTTCTGCTATTTAACAGCTAAATTAGCTTCTCCAGTCTCTCCTCCCGTCTTCTCTTTTTCTCCTTTCCTTCAAATCAATGGGCAGATATTTACTGATTGTCAATGTGACCCAAACACCATGCCAGGCTCTGAAATTAAAAACAGTGCATAAGGTTCCACTTTGTCCCTCAAGAAACTACCACTCTAGCAGGGGAGACAGACATGAAAAATTACATTTTTAATAAAACTCATGAGTTTAAGAAGAGAGAAGCACAGAGTACTGTGGTGGCTCAAGGAGGATCCAAGATTTTAAAAAATGGCCCAGAGGAGGATGCTGATCAGCAACAGCATGTGCACAGACAGAGCCAGGAGCAGAGGGGGACTGGCGGCACAGCAGCCACATGGCAGAGGAGGCCGAAAGTGGAGGAACCTGAGACAGACAGGCCATCTCACCAGCCTGGCCCACGCTGGGCGCAGGGATGCGGGTGCCACACTTACAGTAGGACTCAGGAAAGACATTTTCCTCCTTGTACTTCAGTGTCCTTATCTGTAAAAATATGACGTAAATAACGGTGCCCAGCTCGGAGGGCTGACATGAAGATTAAGTGGGCTAATACTTGTAACTCGCTTAGAAGGGTGCCAGGCACGTAGCATTTTATACAGCGACTTTGAGTAAAAACGATCTTGGTGATGTGTGCCAGAGACAAGTTGTAGAGGCTCTGTGGGCCAGGCAAATGTACTGAGTTGGGCCTGGATGAAAGGGAAGCCATTTAAAGGTTTTGCCCAGGGAGTAACGGAATTAATTCTGCCCTATAGAAGATGGCTGGGGCATTGGTGTGGAGGGCGCTTGGAGGACGGTGATGTGGGAGCAGGGCTTGGTGGCCAGCCTTTCCCAGTAGGGACTATGCCCATCATTATTTAATAGATGCTCTTCCCTCTTTGAAAATGCCTAAGTATCCCCACATGGCCAATTTAAAGGAACAGCAAGGATTCGGATATGTACATTTAAAATATAGTCTCTTTAGCAAAGTCACATTTTATACTAATGTGGTTTCATGTATTTCTCTGAAGATCTGGAAAAGAATACTGGCCACAAGGCATCATTTGCTCTGTTAGAAACCTCCCGAGGACTTCAGAGTTTAGTAGAAAATTCAATTGCATCCAAAATGAGAAAGGAGAAAATTCAGTTATAAAAACTGTTCTTTTACAGTGATAAATCTTAATGGAAAAATATACTCATAGACTACAATTTTATTACTTAAATAAATTACTCTCAAATTAGTTTCCTAAGTAAATTATTTCCAAATTAGTTTTCTGACCCTTGTGGGTCTGCAAGCCATTGGTTGCTCAACATTTCTCTCTTAATGGGGACCACTTGGACAAAGAGTTTGACATTACCTACAAAAACCTAGATATTTTTCTTCCTGGCATATGTACCCCCAAAAAATGCATTCACGTGAGCACTGAGAGACTTGTTCAAGAATATTCATAACAATTTTATTCATAACAGCCCCTAATTGGAAATAACTCAGACCTCCATGGATACGTGCCTTGTGGTGTATACACAGGCAATGAGCTCTAAAAAGCACTTTAATCGAACGAACAACGGCTGCTTTCAGCAGTAGGATGAGTCACAAACTTAATGTTGAAATCAAGCAGCCAGACACAGGAGAATATATACAGGATGATGCTATTTATATTAAGTTTTAAAAATGGGCCAACTTAACTGGTGTTGTAAGTCTGCATTGCATTTACTTTTGATGAGAAAGGAGGTCACAATGACTGGGCAAAGTACAACAAGAGTTTCTGGGCTCCTAGCATGTGTGGGTTGTGATCTAGGTAGTTATCACAAGAGGTTTTCACTCTGCTGTCTCCCACTGTCTTGCTCTCTTGCTCTGTCTCTGTCTCTGTCCCAGTCCCAGTCCCCATCCCCATCCCCATCCTCATCCCCAAACCCATCCAGTCCCCACCCACATCCCCATATCTTTGTGTATACATGTGTTTTCACCCTTCTGCGGTTTTTTAAACATAGTTTTAAAGAGATAATATTCTAGTATTTCTAAGGATATATTTTAAAATTTCATAAATAAAACCTATATATAAAATGTTAAACTACCCAGGTGTTGTGGCTCACGCCTGTAATCCCAGCATTTTGGGAAGCTGAGGTGGGAGGATCCCTTGAGTTCAGGAGTGCCAGATCAGCCTGGGCAACATGGTGAAACCCTGTCTCTACACAAAATACAAAAATTAGCAAGGTGCGGTGGCGCATGCCTGCAGTCCCAGCTACTTGGGTGGCTGAGATGGAAGGATCCCTTGAGCCCGGGGAGGTCAAGGCTGCAGAGAGCAGTGATCATGCCCCTGCATTCCAGCCTGGGGGACAGAGTGAGAACCTGTTTCCAAATAAATAAATACATTAAAAATGTTAGAAATTGGAAAAAATCAGTCAATTATTGGGCAAAAAGAATCTTTTAATATTTTAGCTCAATATAAATGGTCAGATCTAAAATGGTTATAATATTTTGTAATTACACCAGAACTTTGGAATTGTAATAACACAGCATTAGACTCCCTTCTCTCTTATTTCTTAAGCAATATTCTTTGAATAGAAAGCAAATCTAGTAATTTGCCAGTGACTTCATTCATTTTAAGTAAATGGACTAAAAAATATGAAAACTTGTATTGCTCAGTGCTAAGTCCTACTGCACTCTTTCAATGTGTAAAAGGCCTACGTGATATGTGAATGCAGAGATCTGTGGTGTATACACTGTGGTAATAAAGTAAAGGGCTTGTGCTGTGAAAGTATTAATTACATCAGTGATGCATGCTTATCAGCAAGTTTTGGTCTAATGTTATATAGTTTGTGGTCTAAGCCATGTTAATAATATCTAGAAAGGACAGGAGGATATGCATTTTATGTGGCCAGTTTCACAAACAGACATGCACACACAAATGTAATCTCCAAATAAATGCACACATGATTCAGATATGAACATTTGTCAAGCATGCAAAAATTTACACTGTAAAATAAGCCCATAAAGTTTTTATCCAATCCCTATATGAAAAATGTGAGTTTCACTCTAATGAGCATTTGTGTCTCCTAGACAGACTGGGCTTGTGTGTTCTCGGGGATCCACGTCTTGGACCACAGTTGGTGTTACCAGTTTTTTAAAGCCATTCTGATGGGTGGATAATAGTATCTGATTATGTGATTAGTTTTGTTTGGTTTGGTGCTTTTATATGTCTTTGTTATGGAAATTTTCAAACACACACAAAAGTAGAGAAGATAGTAAAATAAACCTGATTTTTCCAACATACGGCTTCAACAATTTTCCAAAAAATTGCCCTTTTTTTTGTATGTCCCCACCTACTTGCCCTTCTCTCCCTTCCTCTGCCCTGGGTATTAGGAAGCATTTCCCAGACATCAGGAATACCAGCCTTTAGCTATGGTGTACAACATATTACAGATGTGCTGGAGGCTGTGTTTTGTTATGTTATTTTCTAAATAATCCAATATATATTCTTTGAAAATTCTCCAATATAAACAATTTCAGGTCTATATGAATTTATAAGAAATTATAAATCACAGAACTTTAGAAACATGCTCCAAATATATTGACTTCTTTAAAATGTTTCACATTAGTGGAAGCTGTTTTTAGATTTTTGCTTGGCAATCATATTGCTAAATTCAGAGTGTCATTTTTAATGGTGTCCGTATACAGTTAATATTTTTTAAAGTTTATTTTTTCCAAGATAAAAGTAAATCATGAACATTTTACAAAGTGAAAACAAAAGTATATAGAGTAAATCCATGGCTCCCTTTGGAAGTATCCAGTGTTGACTTTTTTATTATGGTTTTTTTTCAGTTTTTTTTTTCTGTGAATACTTTTTATATAGTTAAGGTCATAGGTAGTGCTCCCGTAGCTTTCAAAATTTGGCTATTGTCCAAGTTTATCTTTTTAAAGGAAAAATGTTGAGTAACCGATGGTTCATAGAACCCCCATAGGCGAAGAACCTAATTATTTAAAAATCTAATTTGAAAATAATTTATGTAAGAAACTAAATTTTTATCCTATGATATATCTTCCAATTGAAAATTTTACTGTAAGAGAGAAGTTATTATAACTGAAAACATATTTTTGGATTGTAATCAAAAGTAAAATACATTAAAAATGTTCCAGAACTCACAGCTCCTTGGAATCAACAAATACCATTTTGTAAAACATTGGACTACCCAATTGATGTGTCACAATCATAAGCAATTAAACTTTATTTCAGCTTTGAATTTGATCTTCTTCCTAAGCAAATTCTTATCCAGAGGATAACAAATAACAAAATGAAGCAGTGTGAATATGACATATTGTCCTTTGACTTGGAGTCTTTATGTGGATAGCCACCCAGATTGTTTTGAGATTTAGTGGCAGTGTCATTGCTAAATACCCCAGTCAATATTTTCTGCAGAATTGCTTGGCTTTGCCTCATTTTATAGGGCAAAAGATTATCAGAGATGAAAATCCTAGTGATAGCAGAACTTTAGTTTCCAACTCTGGACCGAGATGTTCTTCAACAATAACTTTGCAATTACAGATCCCATTAAGCTCTAGGCTCTGGACTTGTTGTGGTATAAAAGGGTGGTCTATGGGCTTCATGAGTCTCTATTACACACGTACAGGAAAGAAACATTTCTCTTTTATAATTTCAATATTATTTTCATTTCAAACTTTAACACTACCGCGATTTTGTTTGTTTGTGGTGCTTTTTATCCCTTTACAATTTATTGGGGTTGAATGTATTGGGCTGGATGGGATTTCAGTAATACATGCTTACAGTAGCAAGTTAAGCAATACAAAGGGTTTATAAGAAACTTATTACTAATTGCCCCTTCCTCCAGTCACTCCATTCCTTGAAAAAATCAAGTTCAGCATTTGGCAAGTGACCTTCCACAGGGTTATTTCCAACATACATACGAGTATATGTGCATGTGCGTACTTGTGTACACACACAAATACATGCCTATTTGTTCCTTTCTATTTTTATAATTAAGATCATATAGTACATATTACTCTACAACTCTTTTTATTTTCAAAGTTTCTCTCAGTTGTTATGTTTGTTAGTCAGAAATCATTTCCCAAAACAGCTCCACATCATAGACAAATGGATTTCTATTGTCACATTATTTTACTGTAAAAATTATCTTCCATACTAATTTCATCTAAATAAAATGTTAAGGGCCATTACAATGCTTATTATAAATAAGATTGCTATAATTCTGAAAGCTATTATTTTTTAGTACCAATGAGTAACTTTTTGTATTATTTACTGTCATAATACAAACAATCAGATGATCTCAGATTTGGGGTTATTATTCAGTGTTCTTTTAGACTGGGTTCATGTGAGATGTGATCTTCACTTTCCAATTGGACACGGTGACAATGGCACACTGCATATTGTACAGAAGTCACATAATTCATCACAGAGAATCAGGTGAATTCTGTGAATAAAAACTGGATGGTATTCTATAAACACATGATGGCTTCAATGGAAATTGGATCATATATAGTTTTTTTTATTTATTTTTATTTTTTATTTTTTTGAGACTGAGTCCCGCTCTGTCGCCCAGGCTGGAGTGCAGTGGCACGATCTCGGCTCACTGCAAGCTCCGCCTCCCGGGTTCATGCCATTCTCCTGCCTCAGCCTCCCGCGTAGCTGGGACTACAGGTGCCTGCCACCACGCCCAGCTAATTTTTTTGTATTTTTAGTAGAGACAGGGTTTCACCGTGTTAGCCAGGATGGTCTCAATCTCCTGACCTCGTGATCCACCCGCCTCGGCCTCCCAAAGTGTTGGGATTACAGGCGTGAGCCACCACACCCGGCCCACTCATATTTTCTTACATTAAATATGAACGAAGCACTATATGAGACTATAAATGGAATTAATTTTTGTGAAAACAAGAAAAGGAGTCCCCGAATTAATTACTGCTGTAAGATTGAGCTTGAGAATTTGTCTTACAAAATCTTTTAATAATGTATTATTCTACTCACAAAACAGATATTGGTTTTGTGCCTAGTATGTTCCCTGAGGTGTACAGGGAACCTCAAGGAGCTCCCAGACTATGGGAGTGACCCCTGCGGAGCTGACAAGCCAATGCTGGAGAAGTGCACGGGCAGGCTCAGGCGCAGCCACTCAATGGGCCTGTCTGTGTCGGGGGCAGGGGCACAGAGAGGGGCAGGTGAGTCGAAGCTGATTGGGTGAAGAAAAGACAGTGAAAAGACGGTGAGACCAAAGGCACAGAGCGGGTTTCCCGCCCCAGCTACCACGCTGGTCTGCAGAGCGGTAAGTCTAAACTGGGGAGAGGTCAGAGGCAGCACAGGGGCCTGTGGGGCAACCGCAGGATCCGCGACCCTCTCTGAGCTCTTGGGAGCCGCTCCCTGGCTTTAAGAGGAGTTTAGCTGCACAGTGAACGCCAGCATTGGCCTCTGCGTAGTGCTCATTAGGAACTCAAGGGTCTTTCCTAGCAGCCCCACATGTCCCCTTCTCCTCTGGCCCTGGGTGGCTTTTTTTTTCTTTTTTTTTTTTTTTTGACTGAGTCTTGCTCTGTCGCCCAGGCTGGAGTGCAGTGGCGCCATCTCAGCTCACTGCAACCTCTGCCTCCTGGGTTCAAGCAATTCTCTTGCCTCAGCCTCCCGACTAGCTGGGACTACAAGCGCCCGCCACCACGCCCGGCTAATTTTTGTATTTTTAGTAGAGACGGGGTTTCTCCATGTTGGCCAGTCTGGTTTCGAACTCCTGACCTCAGGTGATCCGGCTGCCTCGGCCTGCCAAAGTACTGGGATTACAGGCGTGAGCCACTGAGCCCTGACTCTGGATGGCTTTTTGATTCGGGGAGACCACTCTGAGGGCTCTGCTCTGGGCGATCTCCATTCAGGCAGAACTTCCTGTGCACCAGGCACCCAGAAGCTGGTGAAATGGGAGGAGTTTCCTTATCCCCCTCACAGGGCGTGGGACAGGGTGTGGCTCAGGGTGTGGCTCACTTCTGTGCCCTGCTGCTCAGGCCCCTAGGGGAGCAGGAAGACAGGTAGGTCGTGGGGAGCATTTTGGGCTTTGACCCCCATGGCAGCGTCCAGGGTTGAGTGTCCTGAAGCCCCAGTGGGCGTGTGTTACAGTGTGCTTTTTCAGCTTAGCCATCTGCCAAGGGGGCTTGTGTTTATCAGCTCAATTAGACCCTTTGCCTTATCAAAGCTTTCTGTATCACAAAGGAAGAGCTTTGGTGTACAGGAAAATCAGATCACATGTGGGCTAGGAGAATGAGTGCAAGGCTTTACTGAGTGATGGAAGTAGCTCTCAGCAGATGAATGGGGAGCAAGAAGGGGGATGGAGTGGGAAGGTGGTCTTCCCCTGAGGTCAGACGCTCAGCCCCCGTTTGCTCCTCCAACCGCCCTCAGCCAAATTTCCCTTGGGTCCAAATGGTTCCAACTTCCATGGCCTGCCAGCATGTCTGACCATGTGTTCTGCTGGTGTGTTCCTCTTGATTTCCAACCACTTGTGTCTGTGTCCACTAGGGTCTCAGGGTTTTTATAAGCACAGGATAGGGGGCCTGATGGGTCAGAGTGGTTTTGGAAAATGCAACAGTTTGGGTGAATATAGGAGTGCCTGTCCTTACTTAGGTCCATGGGGACAGGCCCAAGGGTGGAGCTGTCACCACAGACCCTGCCCTTCTCTACCCAGCACTTCCCTGCCTCCCTCCAGAATCACTGGGATGGGGCCCTCTCAGGCTGGCTGCCGGGATTGCCTTGGGAGAGGGTCTTCCCCTCTAAGCCCTGGAGCAGGGCCCTAGCCTGGCTTCTAACATGTATTCCCTTTGCTAAAGGTCACAGCTGGAATGCCAGGCACTGCTCTCTGGACAGTGAGTTGGGAGGAAATATGGCTGCCGTCCACCTACAGAATTAGAATAGTCAGTATGCTTGCCCAAATTAAACATGCAAAAAGGTCCCAGGCATGTGCCCTGGGGCTTGGAGCCTATTCCCAAAGAAAGGCAGTGTGGGGCGATAGGCCAGGCTCTTCCTGGCCTTCCTCCTCTGCTTCTGCGATCTGCTCATGACTTGATCTTGCATAGTTTTCCCTTTTGTAAAATGGAGATAATAACAGCTCTACCTTGTAGCCTTTTCATGAGAATTAAACAAGTTATTTTGTTAAAGAGCTTTGAATCGCTGGGCACAGTGACGTACGCCTGTAATTCCAGCATTTTGGGAGGCTGAGGCAGGCAGATGATTTGAGCTCAGGCGTTTGCAACCAGCCTGGCCAACATGGCAAAATCTACTCTCTACTTAAAAAATGCAAAAATTAGCCGGGTATGGTGCTGCACATCTGTAATTCCCACTACTTGGGAGGCTGAGGCAGGAGAATCGCTGGACCCAGGAGGTTGAGGCAGTTGTGAGCCCACATTGTGCCACTGCACTCCAGGTTGGGTGACAGAGTGAGACCTTTTCTCAAAATAAAATAAAATAAAATAAAAAGAGCTTTGAGCAGTGTTTGGCAATTGGTAAGTGTACTATTTCTTTATTGTGATGTAGACATTCAGTACACATTTGTTGAATGACTATTTGTTGCATAAATGAATAAGTGAGTGAATGAATGGAGAAAATGAAAATGGTGCCCAAAACAGTTTGCTTATGGCTTACTTTGTGGTCCATGTCACTGGCTGGCCCATGGATCAATATGTGGAAAACAAGCACACAAACCATACATAGACCATACTCACACACACACCATACATACACACATGTACACATCACACATACACCATGCCCACAGGGCACACACAGACACAGGCACACACCACACATAGACCATACGCATATACATATCACACACACCACCCACACATATACCATGCACATAAGGCACACACAGACACGACACACACAGCACTGCCCACACCCATACACGCGTGTCCGGCTGGAAGCAATCCAGTCCTTACATTAGTGGATATGTGCATGCTCTCCGGGTTCTCAGCATTGTTCTGTGCTCCCCTGTGCATTTGCTCCCAAGTGAGTAGACGATGGGGTGCACCAAACCCTGTTTGTTTGTTATAGGGAGTGCCTGGAGACAAGACCACGTACAGATTTCATGCAAGGACAATTTGAAGAGTTCCGAGGGTTGTATAGACTGGTTTGGGACATATAAACCTGGAGTGTATGCTTTTTGGGTGGGGTGGGTAAGACTTTATCATCATTCTCAAACTCCATGAATACCTGGAGTCCTGCCAGGGCTGGGTCGCTGGTGCAGCATACCACCCAGCTGCAGTCCCTGAGATCAGGGTGCTGTGGGACAGTGTGCAGGGAAGGACAGGAGGGTGCAGGTGCTTGCCTTGTCAACTCAGTAAAATACACCTTCCAAGTATCCCAGGGAAGGGTGACCAGCACTGCACGTGATGGCAAAGGGTAGAGAGGGGTCAGGGCAGATTCCTTCTCTTGAGACAGGTTACTGAGTCACTTCTAAATTAAGCCTGTGACTATATTTGGTAATGCAAGATGTAGGGCTGAAGAACATGCAATTTACTTTATGCAAACAGATGACCATCTGATGTATACAGTTGGGCTCTTGCTGCTTTGGGGCTTTGGGTGGAAAAGAACAAGCCAGTCTGGGTTTTGTGGGGTGCTGAAGCCAGGCTCCCCAATTTCCTCATGTATGTTTTCAAGCAAACTAAAATCCTAGGTCAAACACTGCATTCCTAAACTTTTTCAAGGTTGCTTGCTTTCAGAGAATTGTAAAAGACCCTCTGTTAGATCACCAGGGCAATTTGATGTTAAAATGCTGGAACCAGAACCAGCAGCGGGGCTTCTTTCTCTCTGCGGGCAGCTCTGCTAAAGGGAGTGAAAGAAGAGCCTCCCAGAAAACAACGTGTGCATTGTAAGCAGGCCTCCCTCGGGCCTCTGGCTGGACAGTGGGAGCGTGAAGCCTGCTCACAGGATGGTAATTTCATTGGTTCCACTCGCCGGTCACAGTGGCACGTGCTGGTCAATGACTCTCCACTCAGTAGGCATTGGAGGCTAAGGGCTCTGGTTCTAAAGCTCTGCAGACCACTCTTGGTGACTAATGGTGCGGCAATCATGTAGACACCATGGGTTAGATTCCCACCCCAACCGCAAAAAAGCAGTTGTATAGGCAAGGAGGGCTGCTATCCAGATGGTTAGATGTTGTAGATAAAGTACAGATTCAAGCTCCATTGCAGAATCAAGGCTGGGGACATCTCTGTAGTCTTGGAGGTTATTACCCAAGAATTTTTTTTGCAGCTATGTATCCTGTCAAGAGTCACGTTATGTTTGCAAATGCATTGACCTTTTAGAATCCATCACGTTTGTTTCTCTTTGAAAAGGAAGAGGTCTTAAGCTACTTATTTATTGAGATGCATAATACAAAATTAAATGAAAAAGTATAAGAATAGATCCACTACCCTTCACTGTGTGTGAAGGAAGAGCAGTGCTAAAAATTAATCTTTCAAATATTTACACTGAAAGATGCAGTTTATAAAGAACAAAGATAGCCATGAGTTGGATAACTTTTCCTGTTCGGTAAATGGTATAGTAAACTGAGGGTGAAAATGGAGTGAACGTGGTGGTCTGTTTTTAGAGAAAATGAGGATGCAGTACAACTTCCTTTCTAATGGTTTGTGAAGCCAGAGATTCAGTTGCTTTATTATTATATCGAGCTTTGGCAGTATTATTACTCTGGGGGGATATGATTTAATTTATGTCACATGTGCCTCAATGTAGAAAACGCTGTGTGAAAACAGGTGATGGAAGCACCTAGGAATAGCTCTGCTCTCCTTATGATGTGTGCTTCATGGAGTCACTCTGAAAATGATGAATGCAATAGATCCCAACCTCCAGACTTCTAACGCCTGGTGAAAATTATGCTAGCTGAAAATTCCAGGAAAGTACTCAAAGTTTTCTTGAAATTAGAATATAGATAGTAGGAAAGAATATGGTAATAATGATGAAAGATTTATCTCTGGAGTTCAGTTTTGCTCCTTTTAGTATAACAATGGCCACATCTGTTGATGGACACTTACAGTGATTCCATATCTTTGCTATTGTGATTAGTGCTGCAATAAACATGAGGGTGGGAGGATGAGACAGGTTGGTTCATGGGCACAAACATATAGTTAAACAGAAGGAATAAAATCTAATGTTTGACAGCAGAGGAGGGTGACTATAGTTAACAACAGTATATTTTATATTTCAAATAATTAGAAGACTTGAAATGTCCCCAATACATAGAAACTCACGAGTGACAGATGCCCTAAATACCCTCACTTGATCATTACATCATTACACATTCTATGCATGTAACAAAAGATCATGTGTACCCTGTAAGTATGTACAAATATTATGTATTAATAAAAATTATTAATGACAAAATGCTTCATTAACTTAGCTATTACTGTTAAGAAATAAAAACGAAAATGGTCGTGGAAGCTGTCTCAGGCAGACTGGACACTTTTTACATTAGCATATTACCAACAGGGATGCCATTCAAAGTGAAGGGTTGCAGACAGAGACCCCCTCATTCTGTTAGTATAGATCACTGGCAAGGTAGTCAGTTTTATTTCCTAGCTAACAATTTCCTAAAAGCAAACAGTTATATTAGCTTGAAGAGCAACGATCCTTTAAAAAATAATGATAGCAACAGGATCTTCAGAAAACAATCTGAATTCTTTCAAAGTGATAAAGACGTTGGTACGTGCATCATTCATTTCTGAGCATTTTTCTCAAAATAAAATTGAGGTTTAGAAAAGTACCTCCCAAATGGGCTGGATCCCCAGCATGGGCTGGGAACATCCTCTTACGTGTGGTTGAAATAACAATGGTAGAACCTCCCATGTGGTACATCTTTTTATTTGCTTTTAAAATCGGGATTTTAGTGTGTTTATCTCTGGCTCATACACTATTTTTTTTCAAGGATAAGAAATATTTCTCAAATTTAAATATTCACTAATCGGTCTATTTCTAGTTTTTAAAAGGTTTCAAATTCCTTATATATACACATATATGGAATGTGTATGTGTGTATGTGTGTGTATGTATACACGCACTTTACTTCTTAATTTTTTACTTTCTAAAAAATAAAAGTCTGATGGGAAGAAGAAAAGGTGAACTACACTTTCACCATTTGCCTCTGAGCAAAACCTTTGGTGCATAATTCTATTTTCCTTAGAAATATATGCCCTGGGAGTGCTCCTTCCTCCTGCAGCCCCGGATGGCCCCTCACCCTCAGGCTCACCATCCTCCCTAGCTTTGTGCTGTGGCACAGGGCAGGAGCCGAGCGCAGAGACCGCAGGCAGGTGTCAGCCTCACTCCCTGTCCTTGGTGGTTTCCCAGACTCCACAGGGTACAGAAGTCCAGGAAATGAGAAATCAGCCACCCAAGTTGAGTGGAAAATTTCAGCATGTTACAGAACATGGGACAGCTGATGTCTGAGGTCGCAGTTCAGAAGGATTTGTAGGTTTACCTGCTTACTCAGTGCATTTCACTGATTCCTTACAAAGATTACAAATAAACTCACAAAAAGGCAAAAAAATCAGTTGTTAATTCATGTTGACAGGCAGGGTAACGGGTATCATTTTGTTTAATTTCATATGTTTAGCACCATCTGTAGGAGCTACATAACAGAACTCTCTGGAGTTGTTTTGTTTTTAACTCATTTCTCACAAATCATTGAAGGGTACATATTTGTAAGGAGAGTTCAGCTATCGTAGAAGTAGAGATGAGTGATGGTGAATGTTGGGATGCAGCTGAGAAGTGTACTTTTTGTCACTGGGGAGGAGACACCCACCCTTTGGTTGAGATGCTGTGTTGCTCTGCTGAGAGTGTCAGAAGATGGCCCTCTACAGGATGTTCTGCCTCCATAGAGCGAAAGAGAGGGGATGACATTTACTCTGATTGATGCTGTTGTTGGAAACGTGGCCCAACACGCACGCTGGTCCCTGTATTCTCTAAATTCTCCATTCCTCCCAACACAG
The DNA here is from genome assembly GCF_000001405.40 of Homo sapiens. NCBI lineage: Eukaryota > Metazoa > Chordata > Mammalia > Primates > Hominidae > Homo > Homo sapiens. The sequence goes on from NC_000008.11 coordinate 48,903,030, forward strand.
GCCACTGAGTTGCTCACATTCCTCCCATCTTCCCAGTTTGACTCAGCGCCCTTCTCCCCACAGAAAGAAACAAAAGGTCAGATGAATGTTTCCCCTCAAAGCTTCCCGCAGTGACTGAGTTTTAGAGAAACTTACTCTAAATGAGAAATGAGAAATGGGAAATGAGAGGGGCTGGTAGTTTACAGAATTTAGGGCCATGCAGTGACCTTGCGGATTCCATGGGGTGTTCACAGAGACCCAAGGATAATGAGACTGAATTCCCCATTATAATCATTTCCCAGAGCCTTTCGACATGCTAAAGTGAACTTTGAAACTGCGAGAAGATGTGGCACACACGGCAGGTGACGGGAGTCTGACCAGAGGAGTCGGGGACCATCTGAGAAGACGCGTGTTCTCTAAACACGGCTTGGAAAATAGGTACTGGTTTTCAAATGCGCTCAGTGAACTCCTTAGACAAGCTTTGAGAAGAGGCAAAGAAGCAGGATGTCGGCCCGTTTCAAGGACAGTCTTCTCCTGCTCGTTTCTTTCACATGTCTGGCTCTGCAGTGACTAAGCTTTCCTTTGAAGAAAGGTTTCTTTGACTATCGCAACCCCCCAAGAAAAGGATTCTAGAAATATTTGTGGATGCTCAAGACCGAAGCTCAACTGTCAGCTATTTTCCCCCTGGCCTTGCTACTCCTGAGACTTCAATATGGTATTTTTGGAATGAAACCACATATGAAATCCAAAAGGCAAAAACCTCTGACTTTTCCCCACAAGTGTGTTAGAACCAGGAGCAAAGGGAAGGGCGCCCTCTTGGTGGGAGGTCACTCATGAAGCTGGACAGAGGCCAGAGACCCGGCAGTTTGGTGACTTGTGTCTAAGCTCTGAGTGTGGATCCCTGGCTGGACATTCCCAGCTGCAGCACCAGGCTGTCCTGGGCAGAGGACTCCAGTCCCTGCATTCAAGCGTCAGTCACCTCAGCATTCACAGCGGCAGCCCGCGGGGTAAGGTAGCTGAAGACTAGAGGCCTGCTCCCGTGGGACAGATTTACACAACAATTCATCACCATCTCCTGGTGAGGGGGAGATGTTCAAAACTGTGAAAGGTGTAGATGCAAAAGCACAGGCCCTCAAACACAATCAAGTGTGAAACCAGAGAAAAATGATCCTTGAGAATCCGGCTGGGATTTCATCTTTATCCTGCATTATCCTAAAGTTCCAGGCCCAAGGTATGCACTGTTAGCATATGTATACATCATTTAAATGTGGTAAAAGGAAAATCAATAAAGGCTGATGGGCATGCGTCTCTGGGTCCCCTGGCCACACTGGGCCCTTGCAACTGCCCTCCGGTGTGCCCAGGGCCCGCTCCTGTGGAGGCGCAGCTAAGAAAACCCCTGACAGCATGCCACAAAATCAGTTTTCTACCTTCTGCTTTTTTCTTTCTTTTTCCATTTTTAAAAACTTATATACTGCCTAACTTGCTTCGGGCAAAAACCTCTCAACAGGCTGTGGGATACATTCAAAATGAGTAGCAGAAGTGACAACTTATCTTTATTTCAACATGGAAATGTGGTTTCTCCAGATGTTTCTAATGTTCCCAATAGGGATTTCCAAAGACTGAATATTGCATCAAGGCTGCCAGCCTGAAGGGCCCTACACAAGGATAGTGCTTCTGTCTGACGTGCACTCTCTCCTCCGCCACAAACATACACACACACACACACACACACACATGCCAGAAATGTAGACTGTGACTTAAATCTGTGCACAAGTAAAGATGATTCAAGCTGAAACACATTTTCCCTTCTTGACATAGTGACTGATGATAGTTAGACATAGATTATAGGCAACTGCCTTATTTGCAGAACCAGTAAGGGTATGAAAGACTCTTAACCAGCCCAGAGCATCAAGTAGTGGGTGAATCATTCTGAAGGCTGCCTTCCAAGACCACAAGAAATTAGGGGGCAGCCTATAAGAAACAGCAATAGCACACCACACCATAGGAAAATCCCATATGGCTTCATCCCAAAGTATTGCAGAGAGAGAGAGAGAGAGATCTCACAAAGTTGGAGACAAAACTTTTGTTAGACATTGTTTTCTTGTTATTTGTTTGTTTGTGTCTTTTCATCACGCCTTTAACTTTTCTGCGAGATGTGGCAACAGTAGCCACAGCATGATTCGAAAAGCGCATGAATGAAGGGGCAGTTTGCTTTCGTGCTGCATGTTGTATTGTTATTCATAGATGGACATCTGTGCTTTGTGTTTTGGTTTTTAGGTGTTTTGTAATACCTTAAAATGTTTACAGTCAACCAGAACATGTCTACTTTAGGACAAAATAGTCATTTGTTCAATAAAAATTTTCTGTTCATCTATTAGGTCCCAGGAATACGTTGCTGGGCATTTGGAAATAAGAATGTGATCTCAGTCCCTACCCTTAAGGAATTCATCATCTAGTGAGGAGACAGGCACGTAAAGTATGCACAATTGTGCAGTAAGAATATAGGCAAAGGACCCTTAGGTAGGCCTGAGAAAATCAGGGGAGATTCTTAGAAGAGGCGGCAGTTGAACTGAGATTCCAAGACTATGTAGGAATTAGATGGATTAAGAGGACGATGGGCATTTGAGGCAGTAGGTACAGCACATATAAGAGTTTAGTTTGTTTAGGGAACTATGAGTTGTTTGGTATTTCTGGAGTGTACAAAAATGTAAAATAAAACATTATTTATGGAGGAATAAACACACGCTTATGGATTTGAGTAATATCTTACCATGTACAGAAATTGCCTTTATGGCCATGTGCTAAGAAAATATTTTTGTTTAAATTACTTTATTTTGCTATACTAGAAAAAGATGGAAAGCCAGGACTCTGTTTTGAGGCTTCTCTGCCACCTCTTATCCTGGCTGACAGAGTTGGGTAGGCGGTTTCCATGAAAGCACTGCAAAGGCATGCTTGCCGATCCCATAACCTTATGTTTGCCTTAGAGTTGCGCCAATGGGTCAGACATTCCTTCAGATTAATTTATCAAGTACTCAGCCGAGAGCCACAGCCATATCAGATATTTCACGTTTGGACCAGAATTATTTGAATGTTGAACACGATCCCAAGATAGGCCCTCTCTGCATTTTCTAGAAGCCACTGACCCTTGAGTAAAGCTTCTCCCTCCTTCCTCTGTGAGCTGGAACATCTATAGATCTTTGGGGAACATATTATTCCCAACCATATTGGGTCAATGAATTGCCCATGAAGTTTTCAGATATTTAGAAAAAAGTTATTTGTGATAGCAAATAAATTAAACAGAACACCAAAAACATAAATTCTTAACTTCTTTACAGCTTTTGAGTGTTTATTTACTTAGTAATTGACAAAAGATAATCTCATGATTACTGGATAGCAAAAGCTCTTTGGCCAGTTAGAAACAATATTGAAGTTTTGATATAATTTACTGAGTTTTTATTTTATCCAATGCCCCCCATAAATAAGCTAGCTGAATGAAGTTGGGATTTGGGTCCCACCCTCTGTTCAATAAGACCCATGGTTGATAATGTTGGGCAGTGGCCAATCTAAAAGCCCAATTATATATATGTGTGTGTGTGTGTGTGTGTGTATATGTATATATATACATACATACATATATATATTTACTTGTTATGGGAAAGAGAGCAAAACAAGATAACAGTAAGTTCAAGTAACATTTTTCTCATTCCTTGTATAAATGATAAGAATTTGAAACTTGACTGCATTAACTGGGTTAACTAATAGAAAGAGCTGAGGTGGACACTGAAGGGTGTGGAATGTCAGACAAAGTGGGTTTGCTTCCAGTATCAGCTCAGTCACTTTTTGGAAAGATATGCTTGACATGGGAGCAGGATGGAGCAGATCACATGGTCCATGGGTGGAAGGTCCTTGCATTCTCAGGCAAGCAGGCTCCTCTGAATGGCAGGCGGAGGCCAGCCCCACCATCCATGCCTTGTCTTGACTTGGGTGTTCTGGCTCCTAAATAAATACTGACTTCCTGATCCTTGTGGAGGATCCCTGGAGGTATCCATCTGTGCACAGCACAACCTTGTTTCAGTTTCAACAAAAGAGTCAGGAAGTTATCATAGCCTACTGCCTTTGTGTAAAATGTCCAGTCACAGGCAAAAATTTTGGCAGGTGGAATTCACAGGTGTCAGTGGAAATTGTATTCATAAACAAAATAGGTGAAATCCTGGTTCTAATCTTCCTTTTCAACTCTTCTTTAAATCATTTCTCTTCTGAAATATCATTTTTAACCCTCCTGATTGAACAAAAGATTCTTTGTTTTTAAAAATTACTTTATCTGTAACATAAACCCAGATAACAGCTAAAGTTCATAAGAAGAGAATAATGACTCAAGCTTTGGGCATAGAATAAGAGATAAATATAAAACTCTGTCCTTTGGGCTTTTAAAAATATTTATTTCTTTTCTGATTTCGTAAGTAGTTTATGTATCCCAATGAGTGTACACATTATGTAATGCACTATAGAGAAGGCAAAATTGTAAAAAGTTTTGTCAAACTCAATGGATGATGAAGAGACATTTGTGTATTTTAGTGGTCTATAAATTGGAGAAACATCATTCTGACTTCTTCAGCTTTTTGCATCATGCTGAATGAGACAATGATAGTACATGCATACTATCTACACACGCAAATCCATGACAATGACATGGCTGATTCTCTGATCATGCCAATGTCAGGTGGTTTTGTATTAAACAATGATGAAGAGCAGGTAGGAGAGACTGATGAGAGAAGAATGAATGCCTCTTTCTAGTAGGCAGGGGTAAGACAATGTTTTCAGTAGGTAAAAAGTACAATTTCAGCTTTCTTCTGAGTGTTAGTGGGTATGGATTGAAAGCCAGGCTCACTTTGGGAAGCCAAGATGGGCGGATCACAAGGTCAGGAGATGGAGACCACCCTGGCTAACATGGTGAAACCCGTCTCTACTAAAAAAATACAAAAAATTAGCCAGGCTTGGTGGCGGGCACCTGTAGTCCCAGCTACTCAGGAGTCTGAGGCAGGAGAATGGCATGAACCCGGGAGGCGGAACTTGCAGTGAGCAGAGATGCACCACTGCACTCCAGCCTGGGCGACAGAGTGAGACTCCGTTTCAAAAAAAAAAAAAAAAGCCAGGCTCAACTTTAAGGAAAAAATAAAATAAAACACCAAGCTCCGCTCCACTGTGCAGGACACCATGGCATGTGCTTGTCATCAGTTCCTCCACTCACCTGGGTCCAGGAATTGTCTCCACCATAGAGCTGATGAGACAGAGAGCAGCTTACCCACCTCATAACATACATGGTAAGGCAGCAACCTGAAACAAGGCCAGTCTGAGGACAGAGCGCTGATCTTCCAACTGCTATGCTGAAATAACAAAACCACTATGGCCTGGATTAGAACATGGTTGCACCAGTTGTTTTTTTAAAAAAACATAGTATATGTATTATATTATATTATATTATATTATGTTATATTATGGTATATTATATTATATATTTGCCCACTGTTATTTCAAACATCCCAAAAGTAATTTCTGAAAGACAATTACAAATGCAGCACTCTTCCTGTTTAAGGTTTTCCAAATTGAAAAGAAGAGAATGGCTGCCTTTGAAATCAATCAGGACACCTCTGTGGAAAATTACCTGGGCTGTTTCATCCTTGGCGTGAGCAGTGGTGGGAGCTGGCATCCCCTGGAGACACACACGCCTGGCCCTGGGTCCAGCCAGCACCCACTGGCAACTCAGCCCTGGAGCTGTTGAGATTTTCCTAAATTGTAAAAAATCTGAAAGTTATGTTTTAGAGTAATCTTTTCTTCTAATTCTTTTTTATTGCCTTTTTATTGCCTCAGGAAAGCAGTAACACAAAAGATCCTTTTACATCTTTTGATTTAAAAAGCAGAATCCAAGAGGGGCTTGTCTGGCTGTGTTCATGGAGAAAAATCTGTAGCTGATCAGTGCTCATCCTCCCAGGAAAAGCCCCATTACAGCAAACAAGTTCATTTATTTTAGCCTAGAACTCAAGAAAATTATTCAAAACCCTGAGATACAAAAAACAAGCCAGATCCTCACTTAATTTAATTTTATAAAGAAACCATCATAGTTATGCAAGCTATAATTTATTTCTTTCATTATGTAAAGGTTTTTCATTATGTAAGGGAGCCCCTACTCCACACCCCTTCCATCCCTGCATATTTTATAGTATATCTTTTCAGCTTGATTTCAAACTCTTTCAAAGCCCCTGTGATGTAGACTCTTTTTTTAAAAAAGGCATTGATAAGGAATTTAAAGTCATTCAAAAAAAAAAAGTTTCTGTTTTTTTCTTTTTTCACTAAAGGGTCTTGTTCAATCCTTCTTTTCACTGACTACCTAACAGTGATTGATTGGCAAATAGTAGGCATGCAATAAATAAGAGGAGAAAGAGAAGGGATTCTGAAGTTGTATAAAACTTGTGATTTACAGCACATCATTAACTACAACAGTAGAGGCTCAGTCCTGGCTCCTAACTTCCCACTCTGTTATTCTCAGAATGTGGTCCCCACACTGGCTGTGCCATCTTCCCCCAGGAGCAGGTTAGAAATGCAGATTCTCAGGTCCATTACAAACCCTCTCACTCAGAAATTGGGGGTGGGACCCAACAATTCCTGCCTTAACACACCCTCTAGCTGATTCCCATGGTCGCTGAAGTTTGATCATCTCGGAGGCAACCCTATCCTTGCTCCTCTGATTTCCTTCCTGCCATGGGTGAGCAACCCATGGCCTCTGGGGCCTCCCTTCTCCTCCTCTCTGGAGGCAACAGGCTGCTTCAAACCATCTAATCTCTGAAGATGGAGGGGGGCCAGGGCTCTACTTCTGACCCCTCAGGCTAAGGCACAGCTGGGATGTGAGCCTCATTCCTGACACAGCGATGGGGAAGTGGGGCCAGTGGTCACTAAGGCTTCATCAGGGATCAGTTGTGTGTTTTAGGCTGGTACTCAGAAGAATGTCTTTATCCCCAAGGACATATAATTTATAGTCACCACCAGAGTTCAGAGCAGCTCTGAAGCCCATACTGGACAAGCACAGGGGGAGGAGGGAAGAAACAGCAGCTCCAGGGCACGATGGTCCTGCAGGCCTCCTCCCACCCACCTCCTGGAAGTCACGACCTGAGGTGGTGGCAGACCTCCTAATAAGCGTAATTATCTATTATTTATTTATCTAATTATCTATTATTTTATTGCATTTTGGACTTGTTTAGGTGTTATGAAATAAAAGCATTTAAAAGAGAGGGAAGAGATGCTTGTCACCAACTTGGAGACAACGATGTCCCCCAACGAAACTTATTTTCAAATTTGCATTAATGTTAATATATAATAAAGGAATAAAATAAAATGACATGAATAAAAGTAATCAGAGAACTGGAGAAAAATGCATCAGGTAACATCCCTTTGGCAAAATTCCAAACATTTAAGAAAAATGATGGTTCCAGCGCAGGACCCGCAGAAGCCGCGCTCTCAGCCGGAATTGCCTCAGATGTTCCAGGCAGAAGCCCAGGAGGCCTCCAGGAACCGCCAGACCGGCAGGAGGAACGTCGAGGTCCAAGGCACAAGTCAGAGGTTCCTGGTCTGCAGGGGCCCAAGGCCTGCGTCACTACGGAGGGTAGCCCTTGAGGCGTGGAAAGAAACCCCATTTAGAAGCGTCACTGCTGAGAGCCCTGCCCAGCCTCTCTGGCCTTCGTGGAGCAGGGCGAGCCAGGGTGTCCAGAAGCCTCTAGTGGAAACCGGAGCAGTACATCGCAGCAGCCCCAGCGCACTATTCTGTGAATCCGGGATCCGGGTGGGGGCCCTGCAGAGCGCGCAGGAGCAGAGGACGCTGGCTTCCGGGGGATCCTGTTTTCAGGCCCCCCGTCCCCATTCCTAGCGGCAAACGTGGAGCGCAGGCACCTTCCAGGCACCCTGCTCTCCCGCTGTGTGCGACTGAAGGCGATACCTTCTATTATCGCCTTTTCTGCTAAATTAAACAAAAAACAGGTTATCACACAATACGGGAAAGCTTTAAACCTCTATAGGTCTGAAGGATGTATGGGCAGAGAAGCTGGAACTCACAAGAAATAGAATTAGCATTCATTTCCTTTGGCCAGAGAAGACATCACTATTTTATTCAATCCAGGCCTTCCCTTTCCATTCCTTAGAATTAGCTATTGCTACCTCCCAACTATATAGAAGAACCATATTAAGTGTTGCTCCTTATCTGGGAGACAGTTGATTCAAGCCCCAGAACAGATTCGTGGAGAATATCGTCACATCCTTCTCTGCTGTCCTAACTGGTGAAACGAGTGAATGACGGGCCCTTCCCCCGGCCACTGTCTACAAAAATTACTTAGTGATCATTCAAAGGGCCTCACAACTATCTCTACATATTTTCAAAAGAAAGTGCTAAACGGATTAAACTGATGCTTGTAACCAGAGGAGCTTAAGTAGATGAACTGGTAAAGAAAGTATACATGCACCCATCTTTTACTCACAGCAGCTCTCCTACTCATGGCTATAAATACCTCCCAGCCTCTTAGGAGTCTGCGGACAGGGATACGCTGCCATTTCCTCTGCTAATCTCTCATTGTTCGGGGGTCTGGCCAAGTGCCACAACGGAAAAGTTGCCATGCTTGTTGATTTTTACATGCATGCCTTCCACACAGTAATTATTACTTCCTGGAGGGCTGTGTGCTAACCCTAACTTTAGCCATAGATTTACTCTTGTAGTGGTAGGTTGTACACATTTACTGCTGAAAATTAAATCAGAGGGTTTTTTCCTTCATATGGATCCATCTCAGGTTAATGGAATACATTAGTTCTTCCCCTGTGTCTGATGAGAAGACAAGAATGATAGAAAATTATCTTATTTGAGAATTGTTGCTTTCCTAGATGACAAAGTACTCATTCTCAAATTAATTTTGCTCAACATGTTTCGCTTCTATCTAAACTAGGGACAACTCCTTAGATGTGGATCTTAGCCAGAAAAGCCTTATACTTTTCAAAGTTATAATTGCCTCATTACACCAGAGTGTCCACATTTTAGTAGTGAAAGAAATGATTGTTTAGCTTGGAAGACTTTTCAGTCTAAGAAGATAAAAGCCGGGTGCGGAGTGTGGGTGTGTGAGGGAGCAGCAGTGGCCTCCAGCAGATGAAGTGTTAATGTACGGAGGATGGAGACCAGCTGCTTCCCAGCCCCACTGAGAACAGCCCTACAGAAAAGGCTCAAGGGCACCAGGAGAGCTTGAGGGGCTATGGGGAGGTTTCATGGCAGGGTGGGCCGATGCCTCAGGGAGTGGAGCCCACAGGATTTCTGGAAGAAATTGGGAAATGGCTGAGAAGATTTTTTATGTGCTTTGCACAACTCCTGAATGACGGTAGTTTTAAATATACCATTGGAATATTTAGCACATGATCACAGTCTTCTTCAACAGACCTCTGCTATGTGCCTACAAGGTATAAATCTCTTGCTGAGTGTGGTACAGCAGCTCCTCCTCACTCCCCTGGTGCCATGGAAAATGCAAAGTCTTTGCAGCCCAAAGACTCTGGGTTTGTATTTCAGTTTTGCAACTTGCCACCTTTGTTACTTTGGGCCCATTATCCAACCTTTCTGAGTTTAATATCCTTATTCATGAAATACCAACTTCAGAGATAAATTGTAACCATTGAAGAAGATCAAATATATCAGTTTCCTTGTACAAGAGCAGGTATGGACATTTAATGATAACATTGAGAGCTCATTATTATGATATATGAGGCAAAGTACTGTTGAGTACTTTATTTATAATACTGAGATTCTATTTCTATTTTACACAATAGGAAACGGATACATAACTTGCATAAGGACATAAAGACAACAAGTGGTGAGGCAGTGATGCAATGAATGCATTTGTTGGATTTAAGAACTTGTGCTTTCCTCACTATAACACAGAGCCCTAGATTATATGAAACAAATTAAAGATACTGAGAATGCTTATGTGCATATGTACATGTTGTTAAAACCGTAGTTTCCCAAGCACAGGCTTTCAAAATGTTTATTAAACCTTGTCTATACGCACTCTATTTACCCCACTTCTTCACTTTCTTGGACATCCAATCTATTTTGGGGATCTGTCATCACTAGGAGACACCAGTAAATTTGCTTCAAGGATCTCTCAGAAATTATCGATCCTATGCAATAAAGGGAAATATGATAAATTTCTTTTAGATATGTGAGCAATTTTTACCAATTTTTGTCATTTTATTGGTATATTCATTCAACAAACATTTGTTGATATTTGTGTTCTAGATGGTGGGCTGGGTAATAGGAATTTCTGCTTTAAGGTTGTTTTGTGTAGTGAAAAAGACATTAACAAAAGATTGTGATATAATGAGGTAAGTGATATCATATAAATGGTATAAAGCTCCCAGAGGAGGTGAATTTGGTAAAGTATTTCAAAGTAATTGACATTTGATTCCGGTCTTATGTATGTATATAGGAGAGCAGACTTTTACCAAGTGCAAGATCTTGGTAAAAATTCTAAAAACTCTAAAAATTTACTTGAGATGTATCTTACGCCGGGTGCAGTGGCTCATGCCTATAATCTCAGCACGTTGGGAGGCCCAGGCAGGTGGATCACGAGGTCAGCAGTTCAAGAGCAGCCTGACCAACATGGTGAAACCCTGTTTCTACTAAAAATACAAAAATTAGGGAGCTGAGAGGGAGCTTTAAGGGGCGGATGGGCAGCAGGTCAGGGTCCTCCGGGGATTAGAACAGGTGGCCATGCTGTGGGTGACATTTCTTGGTGTCTCCTGAGGAGCCGCCCCCTCGTCAGCCTTGCTCAGCTCTTCATCTCTCTGGTCGCTATCACCGGGGACATGCCGTCCCCAGCTCAGTGACAAAAATGCTGAGTTTCTTCCGTAGAACACTAGGGAGTCGGTCTATGGGTAAACATGCAGAGAAGGAACGACTCCGAGAAGCACAATGCGCTGCCACACATATTCCTGCCCCTGGAGATTCCAGGTCCATCATCACGTGTCAGGTGTCCCTTCTGGATGGTACTGATGTTAGTGTGGACTTGCCAAAAAAAGCCAAAGGGCAAGAGTTGTTTGATCAGATTATGTATCACCTGGATCTTATTGAAAGTGGCTATTTTGATCTGAGATTTATGGATTCAGCACAAGTAGCATCACCAAAGTAATTCAATGGAAGAAGAATAGTCTCAATAATGGTGCTGGATTAGAACCTGTGGAAAAAGGCAAAAAAAAAAAAAAAATGGTGCCGGAGCAGCTGGATATCTATAAGACAAAAAACCTTGATCTAAACCTTGTATCTATACAAAAATCAACTCAAAATGGATAATTAATCTAAATATAAAATGTAAAACTGTAAAACTTAGAGAAAAATAAACAGGAGAAAATCTGTGGGACCTAGAGTTTAGAGAAGAGTTATTTGACATGATACCAAAAGGATGATTTAAAAAAAGATAAAATAGACAAAAGGATGATGTTTAAAAAGAGATAAAATAGACTTCATAAAAGATTAAAAACTTTTGCTTTGGGAAAGACCCTGTTAATAGAACGAGAAGCTAAGCTACGGACTGGGGGAAAATATTTGTGTATCGCGCATCTGACCAGGAACTCATGTCTAGCACATATACAAAATGCCTAGCTGGGCACAGTGGCTCACCCCTGTAATCCCAGCACTTTGGGAGGCCAAGGCAGGGGGATAACTTGAGCCCAGGAGTTCGAGACTAGCCTGGGCAACATAGTGAGACCTTGTTGCTACAAAAAATATGTTGTAAAAAATTAGCTTGGTGTGGCTACTTGGGAGGCTGGACAGGAGGATTGCTTAAGCTTGGGAAGTGGAGGCTGCTGTGAGCTGTAATAGCCACTGCCCGTTCAACCTGAATGACAGAGAGAAACCAAGGAAATGTCAAGGAAAAACAAAACAAAACAAAACAAGTTCCTCAGCTCAACAATTAGAAAGCAAACAATCTAATTCGAAAATGAACAAAAGACATGACGAGACATTTCACTTCAGAGGATATACAGATGACAAATTCATGAAAAGATGTTAAACTAGCCATCAAGGAAGTGCGAATTAAGACCTCAATGAGATGTTTTCACTACACATCTATTAAAACAGCTAAACAGTAAAACATAGTGACAACTCCAAATTTTGGTGAGAATGTGGAGAAACGAGATCTCTCATACATTGATGTTGAGATTGTAAAGTGATATCACTACTCTGGAAGATAATTTGGCAGTTTCTTTTAAAACTAAACATACACTTAAACCATATGACTCAGCAGTTTTATGCCTGACCACTTATCCCAGAGAGATGACGACTTACTTCCACACAAAAACCTGAGCATAATTGCTCATAGCATCTTTATTTGTAGTAGCAAAAAACTTGAAACAACCACAATGTCCTACAATAAGTGAATGATTAAACAGTGTCACAATCATACCATGTAATACTACTCAGCAATAAAAAGTAGGAACTATTGATACGCAACAACTTGGACGGTTTTCAAAGGGCATTATGCTGAATAGGAAATAAAGCCAGTATCAAAAGGTTATATATTATATGATTCTATTTATGTAACATTCTTGAAATGACACAATTATAGAGACTGAGAAGAAATTAATGGTTGCTAAGGGTTAGGGATATTGGAGTTGGGAGAGTGGTGACTATAAATGAGTAATATGAAACAGTTCTTTGTGATAATGGAATAGTTCTGTATCTTGATTGTGGTATTAGGTATGGGAATCTAAATGTGATAAAACGACACAGAACTATACATGCACATTGTACCAATATCAGTTTACTGATTCTAATATTGTACTGTAGTTCTGTTAAAATGTAAGCATTGCCAGAAATGTACACAGGACTGGACCTCTCCTTACTATCATTCCAACTTTGAGTGAATCTCTAATTATTTCATAATAAAACTTTAAAAAATAAACGTAGTGTGGATTTTAAAAAAAATTAGCTGGGTGTGGTGGTGCACACCTGTAATCCCAGCTACTCAGGAGGCTGAGGTAGGAGAACTGCTTGAACCCAGGAGGCGGAGGTTGCAGCGAGCCGAGATCGCACCACCATACTCCAGCCTAAGTGACAGAGCGAGACTCCATCTCAAAAAAAAAAAAAAAAACAATGTCTTAATATCTGCTTACCTTAATTCAGATCCATGATACCTTAATGAAAGTAAAACATTTTAAACATGAAATTAGAATGATGAGAATGAAGTCAAATAAATTACAAAAATATTACTACTAATTCTTCACTAAGAAATTAAATAATGAATAGACTTTTCCTCTTAGAAAGCTGATTAGATTTTGGACACCAAGACACTACTTGCCTGTAGACCTACAAATGAGGAAGGGAAACAGGAGTAGATATGATTCCTGGGATAGCCAACCAGAACATCCAAGAAGGCTTGACTCACTCACACTTCCCCTTGCCAGATGTTTCTACATGCTAGCTGGCTTGGAAACTTCTAGACAATCATTGGCAATCATTTTTATACCATATACATTTAGCTAAATTGGTACTTTTATAAGTTTAGAATGCTCCAGTCAAGCTATCAGCCATTTTTTCATATCCATAAACTGCTATTTCAAATAATTTTGCCTCTAAAAAATATGTATTGCAATGTCAAAAAATTAAAGCAGAATACTTGGGAAGCCTTTTTTTAGTCAAATGCACCCCCTTTTATATGGTGGCTGAAAATGTAAATGTAACATACAGTGGAAGGAATGCGAACATTAAGGGAATAGTATTGGTATTTATTGTTGGTCATTTGCTAGGGGCCTGCTACCAACATCTTTGAGATACAGGTTCTGGCATTTATTGGTATAATATTACAAAGATATTAAAAGGAAAAAGATGATTCTCCAAGTTCTGATCAAATCACCAGAGAGATGTGATGAACAGAAGCAGGACTCTTCTTCTTTTAGTAGGTTTAGGAGTTTGAATTCAAATATATATTTGGCTAACTTTCACAGTTCCTATGATGGTTAGGATTTTTGCATGTGAGTTACTACACATGCATTTATTTAGCATCTACACATGCATATGTGTATGAATGCATGGTCATGTTATACTTTCTCCAGTACACATTAGGTTTGAGTGTGGGCTTGTCCAACGTGTTCAAATACCTTAAAAGGTAATTTCCACTGCTCACTGACCTGTTCCTATCAAACACATCACTTATTTTATATATTACTAGATGCGGGGTTTTCTTTGCATGGTTTAACTTTCCAACTTGTGTAATTTATAGTAAATCGTTTCTCCTGGTCTTTTCATGCAGTTTGTATTCTTTTCCCTCATATATCTCTTTACATAATATTTCTTTTAAAAATCTTAAACTGTTACAGTGTGTAGGTAATAATAAAAGTGATTGTATTTTTTGTCTTCATAAAACAAACTTAATAAAGTCAACATGAAAAATTTTGAAAAGTATTTTTAACTATTAGTAATACAACTAGTTTTGCACCCAGAAAGTGTGATTTTTGTTAAAGTGGTATGCTAACAAACCACCGTCATGTCTCTTCTGAATGTGATACTACTATCTTGAGTAAAAATAATACTAGCAGCTTACTTTATTATAATCTAACACATAAAATAACACTTCAGATGCATAATAAGCATTATTCATTTTTTTCTTGTTAACAAACAATTCTTTGTACAGTGGTTTGGTACTAATCATGAAGCAAGTAAAGTCTCTGAAAATAGTATACAAACGAGATTTTAAATCAAAACTGTTTATTGTAAAAAAAACTTGAAAATTGTTTTTTAAAAAAGAAACATTGATTTCACAAGTCTTCAGGTTGTTTATAGACATAGCTATAGACAACATCTCAGTTTCATACAGAACTCATTCAATCATATAAAAATAAACACAAATTTACATTGACTCATCAACTATACAATTTAAAAAGGCACTTGGAAGGGGTATTGTATTATTGCATTTGTGGTATGCATTTGAAATAGTTTAAGTACATTAATGAATTTGTAAGAATCCTCTTTTGCACTTATTCCCATCTTTAATTAATTTTCAAAAATTATTAAAATGTTTTAAAATAGTAAGACAATGGAGCATGCGCCAGGAATGTTCAAAGCTAATCTTTCCCTCCTCCCCCAAGGCACATACTGTTAATTGGCAAAAACAAAACAAAACAAAAATACTTTTAATACATTCTCCTGTGTTTTGTTCTTGTTATTTTTTTCCTCCCTTTTAAAAATATACTTTAAAGCACTACAGGTAATCAAAAAAAGGCTTTAGTTCAACAATGGCAACCAGACAACCGACATGTAATGGAGTAAACTTGGAATACTTTTTAAGGCACCTGAGTTCGCGTCTGGCAGATCTCTTCCTATGGGAAATCCTATTACAGACTCTATTACAAAGCAATACTGTTCTTTTCAGTTGAAATGATTTGGCAGCAATGTAAATCTTTGCATTTTTTTAGGAAGAAAAGATGCAATGTGCTTTTCATTTTATCTTTGAAGAGAAAGGTTACTGTCTTTTATTCTCTCAATCTAGCCATCAGCAAATATATAGTAATTTTAAACTTCACATGGAAAGGATTATCTTTAAACACATGAATTCCATGCTCTTGCAGCTCTCTCTCTGTGGGTGTGTGTGTGTGTGTGTGCATATGTGTGTGTGTCTATACATATTATTTGGTTGGTCAGCACAGGAGAAAATGCCTTTGGACTTTATTTGTCATTTGGCTTCGGAGTGAAGAAATGCATTCTGTTCGAGTAAACATTGATTGCGTCACTCAGTGTGCTACACAGCAGCCAGATTCCTCATGTTTGTGCAGGAGAGACATTCTGGAGAAGGTTTTGGAGCAGTTTTTGCACTGGTATTTCTTTACATCAGAATGGGTCTGCAGATGAGCCCTCAGATTTGACCTGTCTGCAAATGCTCTGTTGCAGTGAGGGCAAGAAAAAGGCTTCTCCCCTGGGGGTGGAGTGGGAGAAAAAAAGAAAGACAGTCAGTGTTTTTAGAGGAAACATAAAGTAAAATCATGTTAACAAAAGTCAATCACATTTTGCTTAAATAATGAGAAGCAGCAAAACCTGATTAAAATCCCTCATAATAGACACTTTTAAAAATACCTGAATTTTTAAGATAAACTTGAATATTGCATTTAAAAATCATACACGAATATTATTACTGCTGCCAATCATACAGAAATAATTTACGTAGTTCTTGGACTTTCACTTCTTAAAGCTTTCTGCTTTAGCAGATGCAGCTAATGTTGAGCACCTCCCAACATTTCCCAATATTTCCCCTTTTCCCTCTTTCTGTACTATGATTAAGGTGGTCTAAGTGCCATGATACCCTGCAGAATAATTCTGTGATACGAATAAGAAATTAAGGAGCAAAAAATCCCCAAACAAAGCAAGAGAGGCAAAGTAAATTTAGTTTCAACTATCCAAGTCACCCACGGGTGACAAATATCAGAGCAAGAATGTAACTAACAGAAAACTGTAGGAAAAGCCTTCATCTATTAACCAAATCAATTGATTAAGATAGCAACATTTGTATTTGCTGATTACTGGGGGCAGTTTCACAGAACACACATTCAAGCACATCTTTCCTGATTTTCTAACTGATCTTTGAGACCAAACCTTCTGAATCTACTTTCCAAAGTCTACATGCTGTTTGCAGTCCCTGGAGCAGAGGTTGTTAGCAAGAAATGGAGCACTTTGTGCCCTAACAACTTTTTGAGTAGTCAGGAAGTAGCTATCAATGACTGTCCATCATTAAAAGCACTATGTCACAACTTCATGCAAATCCAACAGCCAGCCCAGGGCTTCATTGTATCTCAGAGTAACATTCCTGCCTATGGTTTTTCTCTTACCCGTGTGAGTTCTAATGTGTCCTTGAAGCAACCAGGGTCTGGAAAACGCCTTGCCGCAGATCTTGCAAACACAAGGTAATGTGTGGGTCCGAATATGCATCTTCAGGGCGCCCAGGCTCACATATTCCTTGTCACAGTATTTACAGCTGAAAGATTTTCTAGACTGGGCATCGCAGTGCAGCTGCTTATGTTTGGCCAGCCCAGAAAAAGTTGAATAGGTCTTATTGCATAAATTGCACTGAAACTTTTCAGCTTCAATGGCATGGGGGTCTGAAAGCTTGGACTGTAGTCTTTCCTCTTCATCACTAATGGGGCTTTCTGAGCCACTGTGGTCCTTGGAGGAGGTGTCAGATGGAGGAGGGGGACTCACTCGCCCCAAAGATGAGGAGTATCCGGAAAGAGGAGAGAGGCCATTGGGTAGCTGGGCGTGGAATGGAGCAGCGGTAGTCCACACAGTGATGGGGCTGTATGCTCCTGAGCTGAGGATCTCTGGTTGTGGTATGACAGGCATGGAGTAACTCTCATAGAGATACGGGGAAATAATCACTGGGAAAGAAAAGGGAGGGAGAGAAGATTAAGGCAAAAATAATTAAAAATAAATCCACACGCAAGTATACACACACTGGAAAGATATTTAGCAACACACACGTGATTTTCTTAGGAAGAAGATAGACCCATTTAGGAGGGCATACACACTGGTAAAATGTTTCATTTCCACCCTGGCACCTACGGAGTTACTGTACTTAATGCACACATAGGCTGACAGCTGCACGGAGCTATAGGTGCTCTGAAGTCAGACAGTGCAGCCAAGCCAGTGCCTTCGCCGTCCCCATTGAGGAAGGAGAGCCTCAACATTATTTTTAAACATACAGAAAAGTTGTTTTCCATGTTACGTATGGGCTATTTAGGTGTATTACGACCGTGAGTACAAAGATATGCCTGCATCAAGCCGCCTTCTAAAGGAAAGGAGACTTAGTGCATGAAAAACGCAGTAATTCAATCCTTATGTTGCTCATCTTTCACATACTCATTATGCATGTATACACAGGCTTTAGCAAACGAAGCTGCGAGATTTGAATGAAATGTTCCTTGTTAGTCAAGAATTTTAAAAGTTTTGAATTAAAACGAACCCTAAATGATCAAAAGAATGTAAGCTCCCTTTCAGGACACTGTTAAAAAGGAAAACAGTTGAATCTTTGGCTCTTTTGTAATGGTATTTGAAGGGTAATACGTAGATTCATATTTGCAAAGCTCTAGATACGTAGTTCTAGATATATTTTTCTCTTTTTACCTGTATGTGTGTCCAGTTCGCTGTAGTTTGGCTTTTTGGAGGCGTTGAAATGCTTCTTGACCAGGAAGGAGCGCGGCATCTTGCCAGCGGGTCTGGCGGGCGCCCGGCGCGGATAACGGTCCGGCGGGAGGACACGGCGGTCCCTACAGCATCGCGGCGGGCCAGGCTCGGGCAGGGGCCGTGCTCAGGTGCGGCAGACGGACGGGCCGGCGCCTCTGAAGTCACCCGGCTCCTTTACGAACTGAGCCCGTTTTGGCTGGGAGGGTTTTTTTTTCCTCTCTTTTGCAAGAAAGATCCAATCACAGCTGAGAGGTTCAGATTTCAGCTCCTCCCTCTGGGACAGCTGTGAACAGAGGAAGAATCTGTTGTCAGACTAAATTATTCTGGTTCAAAATGGGCTGTTTTTTGAGATTTCAGTGGAGAGGAAAAAAAGTGTTTAAGTATTTTCAAGAGAGGTAACCTCGCTCGGTGAGCCCCGCCCGCGATCCACGCTCTCTGGGAGCTAGGAGGGGCGCAGGAGCCGGGGTCTCTGCCCTGCCCGCCTGGCTTCCAGATGTGGTGCAGCGCCAGCGCGCGGGGACACAGTGTCCGCCAGGAGAAGGAAGGGCCGCCCTGCACCACACCAGGCCAGCCTCTGGTGTTAATGAGAGCCTATATTTGGAAGTGGCATCTGGAGAGGTTTGCCTTGCACAAAGACCAAATAATTACCTCTTGGCTTTTGAAAAAGGAAGGGGGAAGCGGGAAGACAAAGGCGCCTGTGAGCGCGGAGGACGCTCTCCTGGGACTCTGGCCTGGAGCGGGACTGCAGCCTTGCGTGCGGCGAGGGCGCTGCGCTACTCAGGGCTTCCGCGAAGCCAGGGGCAGCGCGGCCGCGTGCAAATTAAGTACTCATGTCACCGTGTTAGCTATGGTGGCTTGAAAGAAATGCTTTGTAGCCCTCTAAAGGCAGGCTGATCGGAAGAACTGGAAGATTGCAAAGATAAAAAGGAACTCTGGCAGAGAAGGGGGGCAAGAGGTAACTGTCATTTGGAACCACCGGACATTCTCTCACACTTTTGACAAGAGATCTTATCTTTTCATGTATTACAGTGCATCTTTTTTTTTATGGGAAAAAGGGTTGTATGGGTCTTTAGAGACAATTATTTTTATTTCTAATATTCCCCTGCTTTTATGTGGTGCTATTTTCATCAGTATAAAGCCATTAAAATCCATCTCAGTATCTACCAGTTTCCTGTATAATGCTAAAAAAGAAATTGAAGGATATTATTATGAATATAGATTGATTAAAGTTTTAAGAACCCAGTCTAGTAACTGCAAAAACACCTTTATTTTGTGTATGGTCTTCAATCTAAAAATACTTTCAGGTGGTTTATTTTAAATATAAAATTTCAAGCATATTTTAAAGCATCTCTGTCCATTGCAGACTTTTATCCCTATCTTTTGCTAAAAGAATAAGGAAAGAACAAATTCACATGAAGATCACCCTACTCTTGTTTCTAACAGGTGCTGGAGGAAAAAAGTGAAAAAGAAAATAACAGTGGTGATGTCAAGACTTGTCAGAGAAAAGTGCATTGTCAGGTTGCATAACTTCTTAATCTTGGAATGAGAAAACAAGAGTGTATGTGTGTTTGGAGGGTGAGGTGGGGCACTCACAGATTTCCTAAGCTAATTTCAATGATTATTCTTATTTCTTCCAACAGTCACTAATTTAAATGTCAAACAGAGAAAATAATTCAAAGGAATCCTTATGCTAATGGAACTGTACTTGCAGGAGAGAGGAAAATATGAATACATATTCGATTTCTCCACACACAAACTGGAACCTGGAGTAAAAGCCAGAGGCAGTTTTCTAAGCTTGCTACTCTATGTGAGGGTTTGTTCGGATGTAGGCACCTGGGTTTATGAGAGCAGGAGTCCTCCTTGCTTTTCACTCCATTTCCCACAAAACACACATTTTTGTTACAGATATAGCACAGTTGAGAAAACACATATCGCCATGGCTATTATTTCCTTGTTTCACTCTACACAGTCTATTCACAACAAAGAAGAGTGTTAGACAATGTTTTGGTATTTATTTGCTGGTAGTTATAACACAAGATCATCTACTAAAATGTGTATTCAAAAATCCATTTACAACGTTTAATAATAATTCACTATGCATGAAAAAAGCTTACATTTGGATCACAGAGGCATAATCCAGCCCAGCCCCATCAGCAGGTATCCGAGGGTGCACTGCACAGATCGGCGTCAGGACGTGCGGCCACACCTACTGTGAGGAGAGGATGGGGCTCGGGTCTGTGCATGGGGCATGTCATTACACAGATCCGCGTGCTAGCGAGTAACACGTATGCCCGTGTGAGGTCTGGGCCGCTGTCAGAGCAGGGCGAGTCTGCGCGCTGATGGCGTGAGTCAGACGAAACAGGTGCTCTGCTCAGACACAGCGGAGGGCATGTGGCGCCAGCACCATGTGGTAAAAACGCAAGCCGGGAAGTCAAGGCCACACCCAAAGGCCAGCTGCTGGGACTCTGCTAAGACAAGACAGAGGTTTCCTTTCCTTCTGCCAGCCAGAGGGCTCATCTGGAGGGGTTGGCTTTGGTCGTTGACAAAAAGACTTTCTCTTGCCCAGGGACAGAAATCTTTGTGGAGGCAACTGCACCAGATTTTAAAGCTTTCATTCTGGAATCCAATAGAAGTCAAATCAATGACTGAGGGGGAAAAATGGAACAAGCAAACCCAAGTGGGTTTGCTAATCCAAGGATTCAGTCCTAGGTTGGTGAGAAATTGGTGCTCCATAATTAGGCTGATTGGGTTTATCAGCCTAATTTATTTCATAACAATTAAATAAATGGTGCTTGTTCTTAGAGCCACGTGGACACAGCCCAGCCAGGGTGAAGCCAGTGGGCACGGGTAAGACAAAAGGAAGGCACAAGCTCTGCTCTTAGGCTCTTGAGAGTTTAATGTAGTGTAGGGAGAAAAAAGGAACTCTGGAGGCCATAGTGAGGCTTAAAAAATAATCCTTCCTAGGCTTGAGCCACACTGGCGAGACTCCATGGCATGGGTTGTGCGGGTTGCCTGGCACCCCAGACACCCGTATAATCTAATTCCTTAATTGCCATGATGTGATTTGATGTGACGTACCTGACAGGCTCTCATTTTCTCTGTTTTCTGAAGAAGCTGACCAAGATAACTTGTGGAAAACTTTGTAAGTTAAAGATCTGGGCCAGCCTTCCCCACAGGCTCCCTGGATGGGTGGGGTTTCTCCCGGAGCCAGTTTTCTTCATGAAAGACACATTCTTGCCCTGCCAAGTAGGGGAATAAATTAGATCCGTGAGGTTTGGGAACGCACCTTGGGTTTCTTTACTTTGCGTGGAGATTTGTACACATTTAGGTATTTAGGTGTGTAAAAAGCAGTGCAAGTATTGACTACCATGTTTAGGAAATGGAGTAGTAAATCTAGCACCAGAAGAAACCAGAGTGTGGCATAGGCTGAAAAATCCCATTTTATGCTGTGTCCTATCTCCTAAAATGAAAGGCATCTCTTTCTAAGTTTGGTGTGTGGTATGATCACTCTGGAGGGGGTTCATATCTCCTCAATTCATATGCATATTCATATCCCTTGAAAAATATGAAGTGATGAAATATCATGAGTTTGGCTGTGCTATCTGGAGAATATTATAATACATTAGTAATTTTAAAAATCTATTTACATAGAAACAAAGCATTTATTAAATATAACTTTGAAGTTTGAATGACAAGGGTGTGATGCCATTTTGTGGGTTTTTAACATACACATATCTGTATGTAAAAGGATTTAGGAAGAAATATTCCTAAATTTCCTTTTGGAAAATTGTCAGAGCGGGCATGGGATTCTGCTTATATATTCTGAGCTCCACAATAAGGAGAACCTCTTTTCTCAAAGGGAATGGATGGCACTCGCCTATGCACTCCACATATGTAAGTATATGTGCTTGGTGATGTCAACAGGGCCAAATATGAGCATGAACACACCTTTGTGTGAGCACTCACATGTCTGAATGTTGGGAAAATAATAGCCAAAAATGGTGTCAGGATGTCCCTCTGCTGTTTAGGAGTTTCCATTATTTCCTGCGTGTTCCCAGTGTCATGTTCAGCAGGCCAATAGCCACTAGGCATCTGCGTCTGTCTGGAGTTAGTGCTAATGCCAATAGCTCAATAAGTACCATCACATATGATCAGTAAATATTTAAGATCACTCCAAACAGAAAACCCTTAACTTGGGAACAGCATTTTAATGAAATCTGCTTTCTGCCAAGTCACTTGTGTTCAGAATCTTATTCCTAGTTATGTTTGTATGATCTCATTTCCCTTTGGGTGGATAGAATATGGTTAAGTGCATCATGAAAAGTAAGAGATATTCATCTCTTCAGTGTTCTGTGTGTACCTTGTGGAAAGTGTTGATGATATTATCTGTAAAATGAAAAAGAAAGACTAGGGAGTGTTGAATTTGTGTGTATTTTAAGCGACAGCTCAGGGATATGTGGTTGCAAAGAGACATCTATTGGTCAGCTTCAGAAGACTCATTATTTTCTTTGTCTTTCTTTCCTTTTCCGTAACTTTTTAACAAGGTCTGCCACCTAGTGGAAAATGGGTGGATTTGACTCAACCCTGAGAACATCAACCTGACCTTGTTTTGCAATTGCCACAATTTCAGATGGACATTATATAAATTTGTTGAACTTATTAATGTACTCATAATTCAAAGTGACACATTTGTATTTGTAGAAATATGCACAACATTTACACAACAAATTATGATGATTTTATAAGATAGGCGAGAAAGGGAATGTTATGACGTCATCAGTCTGTGCAGTCAAGAAGGAAGTAGGCAGAAACAGCTAGCATTACACTGGAGGCAAGTGAGCAACCTTCTGGACTCTTTGTTATGTTTGCATGATAACCTCCAAGGTAGAGGAATTTTAAAAATGGGAAACCAAGCCTGAGCCCAGTTTCCAGGGCATTCAGAATGATTTCTTCTTAGTCTGTCTGCCTCCAAGGCTATGTACTTCGTTGCTGGAATCTGCTATCCCATTTGGTTTGCTTAAAGGACACTCAGTGCCCAACAGTGTGTGGCATTATGGGTAGTGATAAGAGCTGCTATTCTTCATGATTAATATGATTGTCTGTCTACTATGCTAAGCACTTCACACGCATTATTTTAATGCATGCCTCCAAAGTAGCTTATTTTGCAAGGTAGAAGTTATCCCTACTTACAGATGAAGAAATGAAGACACAAGGAAGTTAATTATCTTGGTCAAATCACACTGCTAGTAAGGAGTACTTAGAGGTCGCACTTGAATCTAGACCTGTTTAACTTCAAATCCCATGCATTTCACTACAGTAATGGTAATAACACATCATAATGGTGAAATAGACCCATGATTAGCTGTAAAACATGACTTGTTTGAAAATTGGCCTCCCTGCTTTCTCTTCCCCACTCAGAGGATACTCACATACAGTGTTTGCAATCCCTCACTTTCACTCACTGCTCTCTCCATGCTGTCTCTCCCCCTTTTCCCAAGTCATACCAGGGTCAGGGTTACTTGATTTCAGACTTGATGCCAGTTGCCTCCAGGTGTTGGGTGTGACTTCAAGGAATAGAATACTAAGTGCTTAATGAAATAGGTGCCATTGTCTTCTGGTCTGCCAAAAAAGGAGATGACCATTAATTCTTATTCTGTAAGAATCATGTGGTTTTTCCAAACGGGTGGTTAAATTTGTTGCCTTATCTTGAATGGGATTATGTGGGGAAAGATAAATGCATCAATGAGGAATCAATGTTTCCAAATATGATGGAGAAGTTTTATAGTCTGAAAATTTCTCTTTTCCTCTCATAGGTGTACCCATGTGTGGGTGTGTCCATGTGGTGTGCCTGCCTTGCTCCAGAATAAGCCTCCATAGGTTCCCATGGCAGTGGACATGTTTGGTAAACTTGTAAGGTAGGCTGGTCTGCATTCTTTTACAAGAAGGGCTTGAGGTGCTTCCTGGGGGAGAACATATCCAGGAACAGTAGGGAGAATAGGAACCAGGCCTACCAAGCCTAATCTTACAACCAGCTCTTAGTAGCCACAGAAGGGTGTTGAAGCTGAGTACAGCAGGGTACCAGCCACTTCAGTATGTCTTTTGGCCATGCACCCAAACATGCTACGGAGAAGCATGCATGATTCCCTCAGTGAAGCTGAAATGTGGCTTTCCTAGAACTCTGTTGGCATTAGAGAGCAGGTAGTGCTGCCTTGGAATCTCTGAGGCAGAGGTCGCATGAGACAAGGAGAGAGCTTCCTGAGAGCATTGCCACAGCTGGCAGTGAGCATGACAGTAAAGTCCCTGAGTGCCCCAGGGGCATCAGCGTGGGTGGTGGGCTTGCCAACAGGTGTCGTGGTGTCTGACAGGCAGGTGGGTCCCCAGTGGAAGTGGCAGTGCTCTGCTGCTGTGGACCGAATGCTTGTGTCCCCCTAACATTCCTGTGTTGAAACCTGACTCCCGAGGTAGTGGTCTTTGAAGGTGTGGCCTTTGGGATTTGGTTAGGTCCTGAGGGTGGAGCCCTCATAAATGGGATTAGTGCCCTTTTAAAAGACCTTAAGGAGCCCTCTCCTCCCTTCCTGTATGTGAGCATACCAAGGAAGACAGTCTGTGAGCCAGGAAGCTCACCAGACTCTGAATCTGCCCGGGCTTTGATCTCTGACTTTCAGCCCCCAGAAGTGTGAGAAATGAACTTCTTTCTTTTGTTCTTCATAAGCCAACCAGTCCCAACACTTTATTCTAGCAGCCCCAATGGAGGGAGGAGGCTGCCCAGGGAGAAATGAAGGCCTTTCATATCCGTTGGCTCTCAGCAGAAGTAAGAGCAGTGCCCTGTAAGGGGGCAGAGAAGACAGGGTGCACAAGACAGAGAGACTGGAATGGATTAGGAGGAGGAACACTGCCTGTTCTACATCAACACCCAAAGCTTATCTTCTAGACCATAAAGGACAGCACTGTGGGATTCCCAGAATGATGTTGCAGTTGCTGGGCCCTGCATTAGTGGGAAGGGAACACAGCCATCGCCTGCACATGAGCAAAGGAGAAACAGATTGGGATCGCTGGCCTAAGGGTGCTGGTGTGAACTCCCAGTCCTTGCCCTGCATGGCACCACTGCCTCTCTCTAGGCTGGAGATCTGAGTCATCAACACACCTATCTGAATATGAAATTTAAAATCCTTTAGAACAGCAGACTGTGATGCTTCCCAGGGTGATGCAGAGAAGCAAAGTCTAAATTATGACATGTGTAGGATGGACTCCCTCATTTAGATCTTGATGAACCAATTGCTGAGCTATATCCAAAAGCAAACCTGTCAGAGCTCTGGGAATACAAGGCTTGGGAGTGCTTCCCAGGTCCTACAAGTGCTGTTGCTTTTTCTGCTCCACAGACACTGGCCACTTGCATATAAAACTTGGTTACACCATTTGCAAACCTAATCCTTGATAAAGATCCCTGAAAAAAGATGGAGAACCTGGCCTTGAAGAACTTTGTGGCTATTTGGACTCACCACAAAATCCAAATTTTTCCCGGGATAGAAATATTTGTATGTTGTGCTTTATCAAAGGAGGCATTTTCTTAAATGATACCATGGCTATTTAAAAAGAAACACACACGTGCACACACTCCACAGGTAGAAAGATCTTTTCTAAAAGTGCTTTTGGGCCTTGCATTTAAAAATGAAAGTCCTATCTTAAGGCCAGAATGATAACGGGAAAGAAATATTGCACTTATTTGTCCCCTTCAAACCTACTGCTGTCCTTGGATATGAGCCTTTGCTGGCACTAGGAATGTGCCCTCATTGCTCAATTGTCAGGTGAGTGGGCAGTCCAGGTGAGCCAGTAAGAGAGGAGTATTCGAATCTAACACTGAAGTTATTGACATAACACTTGCCAGCACTTAGAGGTGATTGGCTGCTTGCGGAGGCACAAATCCTTTTAAGAGCTGGGTTGATGGGTCCCTTTGTCATTGTGACTTTTTAGACAGGCTTTCTTCTTCCCCACCCTGCTTCCCCAGCAGCGTTATATAGACCCAAACTCTACTGAGTGGGTGGAATTCATCATTGTACTTTTAAAGAGAAGGTGGAAGATACTGTGAAATCATTTGCAAGTGATAATGAATGGAAGTTAATGGCATGCAAATCATCCTGAACCTCCCAGCTCTCTTGAATCTTTGGGATTGATTGCAGTACCTCAATGATGAGTGAGTGATGAGCTAGAGTCGGTAATTGCACTCCAGGAAAGTGGAAAGGGAATCTGAGTCTTAAGAGAAAACTGAGATGGAATGAAGTCATAGAACATTAGAGTGAGGGAGGGCCTTGGCGATCTAGTGTAACACTCCCTCCCATTTTTTACTTTTGCCTGAGAGGGCAAGAAGAGGCTTGTGCAAGGATGTGAATCTTCCTAGCATCATAGAGGATTACAACTGTAATGTGCAAACTTCTAGCAGAGCGCCATAGCAGGTAGCCCCCAAAAGGTACCCTGCAGAGGCAGTCTTTTATTTGAAAATGTAATTGATCAGCTTCTGCAAATTATCCTTGAAGGCCTTTAAAGAGAAAGAATAGTACTCTATTTAAAAACTCAAGTGCAATTCTGTATCTTGACCTGCTTAGTCCTTTCCCACCCCATAAAGTAGTACAGTTTAATATCTAAGGGGTTATTCCTTGTGGGCCATCTACCTTGCGTGTTTCATTTTCATTTTCATTATTATGCTTCTGCACCCTGTGCAGAAAACAGAAGGTACAAGATATTGTGGCTTCAATAATTTTAGACCAAAATGCAAAGTAGGACTTTTAACCCACACAACTCCAAGTGGCTATATCATAAGGAAGAACTTATGGTGGAAAGGATGAATGTGTACACCTTGATCTTCCTGACTCCCAGTGTGTGGTTTTCTTTCTATTCAAGTCAAGAGTGGATTTCCCTTAGCTAGAAGCTACAATTGAGTAAGATTTTGTTGGCCTAGTGAGTAGATACTTTGAATTTTATACCGCAACTATATGGGTACAATGGTGTTCTCAAAATTGGGTTGCAAGTTCTTTAGTCCCTGATATCTACCCCAAAGCCATCAAATGAACCCAAGTCCTGCTAGGAATGGTGAGGTTGAGCCCCCACTTGAGACACTCCTGTGGGGACTCTAGGGATAGCACTGTCAGGCACAAGGCAACAATCCTCACTCCACCACATACCACAAAAATGTCTCTTATTTCTCTAGGTGACAAGGAAAATTGATCAAGTTACGTTAAGAGGAAAAAAGGCATTCCAGGCCACCATATCCTTAGTCACGTAGGCTACTACCAGGTCACTTCTATAGAGGGAGAATGCCGAGCCAATTTGTCTGCATCATTTCTATGGCATGAATCAAAGTTGTATTTGTGTCCATCAGAATAGAGACTTTATGCTGGAGGAAAATCACCCATGAGCCCCAGGGAAGGCAGTGATTTGACACAATGATGTTGAAAGTCAAGAGTGCTCAGCATGAAATGCCCCAGCGATGACAGCAGGATTAACCATCAGTGTGAAGACAGAATGGGTGTGCCTGTTGATGAAAGGCGCTTGGACACAGAGGCAGCCCTTCCCTGGCTCTTCTGAGGATGTCTGCTGGATGGAGAACAGTCAGAACACCTATGGATCTGAAGCTTAACCAAAGTGGAGATTGAGCAGCTGTGGGAAGTCATAAGTAAATCACATTTACAACTCAGCTGGTTGTACAGATGCAGTTTGGAAAATTTGGAAGCTGGTTTTATATATTGTATCATTCTCTTTTGAGAAAAGTTGGATATTTCTGCTTGGAGTGTGTCAATGGATTCCAAAGTGAATTTGAAAAAAAAAATCTAGAAATGATAGGAAGTGGTATGCTCTTCATCACCATCATCATTTTCTTATGAGAGCACTTAAATGTATATATTTTGAAGAAATTTCAGTAGATACACCCACAGTCATTTCAGGTTGATGAACCATGCTCTTGAAGCCTCAGCGCAATTGCCAGAGCACTAAGATGGAGAAACAATAGACGTTTTCTTTGGAAAGAACAATTAAAGGTGATTGATCACAAATTCTTTGTCTTACACGCAGCTTATGTTTTCTTAAGCTGTGTCAGCCTGGAGATTAAAAGAAGGTTCAATTAAAAACACAGAAGAGTAGCTGTCTGTCTTTGTCCCTATAGCTTTGCAGAAGGCCTCCTTCTCAGGCTCTCCCCATCCTTCCCAGAGTCCTGGGTGGGGGCTTGGGGTCTCTCACGGCCTATCCATCTTGGTGGCACTGTTATTGTCTTTTTCCTCCTTTCCTGGCCCCAAGCCAGGCCTCTGGTAGTCACCATTGCTGCCAAACATGCTGTGCAAGTTGCCAAAGCCATTGCAAAGCTTGTATGATGTTCTTGAAGGGTGGTGTTCCTTCTGGCTTCTTTTCCTGTGTACATGCAGACCCATTTTGCTTAGACTCTAGTGTCCATGCTCCCATGGGCTCCAATCCTCTGCAGGTAGAGAACATCTCACTGCCAGATATGTCTTCTTCTCTTCCACATGGATTGCTGAGCACAACAGCCATAAGGCCTCACTACCTTTACCCAGCCCTATGCTGTATAAATTTGTTTTAATCCCCCACCCTAGGGTCTGGAAATCAGGCCACGGGGCCCAAGAAGAAAATATTAATACGAATGACAGATACTGTGCTCAATGCAAAATAACCTTTCTTCTTTGACACTGAAGCACTTGTCTTCAGATCTGTGCCCTTGGATTACCATCATATTCACTTAGCGATGGGGATATATTCTGAGAAATTTGTTGTGCAATTTAGTTGTGTGAACATCAGGGTGTATTTACACAAACCAAGATATCAAGCCTACCACACTCCTAAGCTATATGATATGGCCTATTTCTCCTAGGTGACACACCTGTACAGCATGCTATTGTACTAAAAACTGTAAGCAATTATAAAATAATGGTATTTGTGTATCTAAACATAGAAAAAGTACAGTACAGTAAAAATACAGAATCATAATCTTATGGTATCACCATTGTATGCATGTTCCATTGTTGACTCAAACCTCCAAAACATTGTTTATGTGATACATGACTGTATTTTCCTTGAAGGCCTCCTGGTCTTTTATGCAAATAGACACCTGATAGGTGATCTCTCCCCTGCCCTGCAGACATCTCCTGATTGTTGAATGCCAGGATGAACACAACCTAGGTCCTTGAACTGAAAATCTTATTACATACAGATTAAGAAATTAAGAACTAGGCCAGGTATGGTAGCTCACGCCTGTAATCCCAGCACTTTGGGAGGCCTAGGTGGGTGGATCATGATGTCAAGAGGTAGAGACCATCCTGGCCAACATGGTGAAACCCCATCTCTACTAAGAAATAAAATGGCTTATTTGAAATCCTATGTGTGCTTGGTGACAGAGTAGCACCTGGGAGAGCAGACCCTTCCTCTGCCACACTCAGTCTATCACCATGGATGCTTCTGTTCCCTTCAGCTCTGTGCTTTGTGTCACTTAAAAGCTATGGAGCATTTCCCCCTTCATTTGGTCAATACCAAACATTCTGAAAGGGAATACAGTCACCCACATGGCAATGTGGGCATAATGTAGAGGACACTGCTCGTAATTTCTCCCAGCCAGAGACATTATAGATTTGTATAGCTCTGGAAAGGGTAGAAGAACCTTGATGACAGAGAATGAAATAGCGCAAATGGGTAAAGGTGGGCTGTACATTGTTTTAGGAGGAAGTGATTCTTCAGGTTGCAAAGATTTCATGTGCTACCTATCTATCAATCATCTAACATCTAACTATCACCAATCAATCTATCATCAATCTATCATTAACCTGTCACCTATCTATCAGTCATCTATCATCAGTCAACCACCAATCTATCAACAAATCACCTATCAACAAATCATCTGTCATCAATCAATC
Source organism: Homo sapiens (assembly GCF_000001405.40). Taxonomy (NCBI): domain Eukaryota; kingdom Metazoa; phylum Chordata; class Mammalia; order Primates; family Hominidae; genus Homo; species Homo sapiens. The sequence continues at coordinate 48,933,153 of NC_000008.11, forward strand.
ATCTATTTATCATGATCTACCTGTCAATCATCATTTATCACATGTCCTCAGAAATGTACATATAGATATATATATTTCTTTTTCTTAAATAAACACTTATTGAGTGCCTACCTTGAGCCAAGAATTGTACTGACTATATTTATGAATCTTATTTAAATCTCTTAACAACTCCCTGAGACAGGTATAATTTATTATTTTACAGTGGATGATGTTGAGACCTAGAATTTATACAATGGTAGTTGTTCTAACTCTAAGTTTACTGGTTTTTTAAAACTGGATCTTAGCAGAACAACCAGTTATCGACTTCCAATTTTTTCTGAATCAGAAAATAACAGCCATTATTCAGATGGCGGAAATTGTGTGTGTTTGGTTAAGAATATAATAAAGAATAACATGATGTAGTCTAAGTGCCCATTACATTATACAGCTTTAGAGATCTGTAATGATAGCAGACTTTGAAGTTCTATAGGTCTGGATTTAAATAATGACCGGTATTACTAGCTCAGTGACCTCAGCTTCTTTATTGAATTCCCATTTACTGACTGGTAAATGGGAATGTTGATGATTGTCTTGCAGAGATGTTGTAAGTATGCAAGATAATGCATGTAAAGTTATAAATAGAGTGCCCAGCACATATAGAAATAATGAAAAGAACTGCCCTTTATTAAGTGCTTACTATGTGCTAGATACTCTATTAAGCAATTTAGCAGATTTTATTTAATCCTCTCCCAATCCTTTAATTCAGTCCTGATAAAATCACTGTTTTGCATATGGGCTGCCCAAGTTAACAGCCCATAGCTATTACAGACAAGAGGTGAATACAGTTAGTCTGACGCCAGAACCCATGCTCTTATCTGGTATGACCTCGTGCTTCTCCCACAAGACCTGCTGCAGAGGAATGGAATTAATGCTCTTATTGTTCGAAATCACATAACACAACTCCCTTTCATTTTTTTTTTTGGTTATAAGAACATTTTAAAAGGAACTAGATTGACCTGTAGATCAGACCTATAGAACTGATTTAATATCCAGCAACAGCAGTTTTATTTCAGAAACATGATTATTGACCTTTTAATGCCATGATTCTAGGGTGACCGTAAGTTTTGTTTTGTCTTGTTTTTCTTTGTTTTTAAGCACCTTAAAACAAGTTGAGATAGAAGTAATCCTAAGACTTCTTTTACATAAGATCTTGCCTCTGTCCTTACTGCTGTTAGTTCTCAGGGTGGTGTTATTTATTACTGCAAAAGTGGGCATTGGATCTGAGCCAAGATAAGCCATTGAGACCTCTGTCACTCTCCTGCCAAAATTTAATAATAACAGTAGATCCCTGTTACGGCATGACTCATCTGCAGATCTGGATATATTGCTGGTCAACTAAGTCTTCCAAACATAACAAGGACACCTGCCAAAACCTCAAATAATGTGATTAGTCTGTGATACAGGTATTAGTCCTATTTCTTGGGACTTGACTTATAAAGTATGAAGGTGTAATAATTCTGAGTATATTGCTTGGATAGACTTTGCTGCACTATAATGATTTAAAAAATACACTGAAGAGGATATGACTAAGTAAATAAGGCAGGGGGAAAGGAGTTGATTTAATTTCCCCCTTACTCTTACTTTCAAGCATGGTGACTGGAACTTAGACATTCTATACAGGGAGAAGTGAGGGGTTGTGAAAAACGATGTATATACTAGTTCATTATTTATTCCACAGATATTTTATTAGTTGTCCAGTATATACAAGATGATGTTCAGGATGCTGGGGAAATGATAGCAAAACAGACCCCTGATCTCATGGAGCTTGCAATTTAGAGGGGAGAAGGGTATTGATTGCCTCAAAAATGTGAACCACAAATTGTAGCAACTGTAGAGGCTGAGCGACGCTACAAAAGTACTTAACAGGAAAAGAATCCTTTTCTGGAGAGTCAAGATCCTGTTCTGATGAAGTGATGCTCAACTGAGTTCAGAAAGTTGGGTAGGTATTTGCTACCTGAAAGGAGGAAAGGGCTGGGAAGCATTGTAAGTAGAAGAAATAATGAAAGCACAGAGCCTGGGGAACATGCAGGAACTAAGAGGCCCTGTGTTAGAATGGGGGCCATGGGAAAAGTGTGGCCAAAGGAAACCCAGGAGGTGAGGCTGAGTCTCGCAGGCTACTGCTGGCCATGTTGAGGGTATTTTCTTTATTACAAGATTAACAAAAAAAAAAATGGAGAAATCATATGTGTGAATATGTACATTGACATTTTGTTAAAAGTGTAAAATACTCTTGTATTTAGAAATAAGCCACTTTTTCAACAGTCTAGCTTGATTAAACAAAAAGTAAAACTCTTCATCCTTGTTCTCCTTCCTTGTTGCATTCTTCGGAACATCAGTGTTTGTCATTTCCCCATATTTATCTGTATTGTTGAGGGTGAGCTCCATGAATTCCAGTCACGTTTCTTGGTTTGTAATGCGAGGCAGTGTCTGCTAGCTCCCCACCATGAAAACTGGACTGAAAGTGGGGAGGTTCTCTCCTCTCTCCTTCCCCAACCTATTTGTGGTTTTGCATTAAAAATTTTAATTCTGTCAGGTTATTTTACTAGTTAGAAACTTAACTATATCTTTGATTTCTGTAGCTTTGCAGTAAGACTTAATATCAGGTAAAGTGATTCCTTCCACTTTATTCTTCTTTTCAAGATTGTTTAAGCTATCCCAGGGCCTTTCCCTAGGAATCTTAGAAGGAAGCTTTTCTATGCCTATCAAAAATATTGCTGGGATTTTCATAGGAATTGCATTAAATCTATAAATTAATTTAAAGTCTATTGACATTTTTGCTAAGTTTAGACTTCTGATCTCTGAATAGGGCATGTAGCTCTGTTTATTCAGATCTTCTCTTATTTGCCTTGACCCTGCTAATTAGGCATATTAATATAGTTTTATGAAATTATTCTTATTCACATTTACCTATTTACCATTATTTTTGTGGTAATAATGATAACCCAAATGAAAACAAACCAAGGCTGTCTATTTGGAGCTTGCTAAAGCAAGGAAGACAGCTACCATCACTGAAGATCTGCAGGTCTTCAAAGGTAATCAGGGGAGTGGGAAAGTTTTACTGAAAAGGAGGGAAGACTTCAGGTATTTCTGATTAGAAGTTGTTTGTTATGGGGAAGCTGGAGTGAGCTAAATAGAAGCTAAATATCTTTCATAATTGGTTTGGGAAGCATATTTAACTTTCTCTATCTGTCCTGAGTTGGAAATGAGGGTAGGAGCCTGGGAGAGGTGGGCCAATTCCTATAGAGGTGGTTTGGTTTCTAGAGCTGGTTAATGCAGAAATTTGGGGTTAGAGTTCTACAGGCATGCACGGTCTAGCCATGGTCAGTGTGTATATTTAGTCTCTTTTGTTCTCTATTCTTTCTTGCATCTTAGAAATTTCTTGCAGAATCATTTTTGTTTTCTTCTTAAAGAATATTCTTTTCTGATTCATTTTCTAAAGCTCTCTTGGTAATAAAAAACTTATTTTTCTGTCTGAAAAATGTTGTTTCGTTCAATTTCATGAAAGAATATGCATTATTTCCTTTTGCTTCTGTGTTGAATTTGCTCTTTTTTTGGTTTCTTAAATTAGAAACTTATATCATTGATTTAAAGTCTTTCTTTTCTTCCAATATAAGCATTTAGTACTTTAAATTTACCAATTGGGACTGTTGTAGCTGCATCTTTACATATTTTGAAATGTTGCATATTCACTGTTATTCAGTTCAAAATGTTTTCAATTTACCTTGTGATTTCTTCTGTAACTCATTGACTATCATTGGGTTGTTTATTTTCAAAATATTTGGGAGTTTTCAGATATATTTCACTTACTAATTTCTAGTTTAATTTTTGGGGGTCAGGTTTCAAACACCTGTAATAGTTTATCTTTGTGAAAGTGTCATATGCCCTTGGAAAGAATTTGTCTTCTGCTATTGTTGGCCAGCGTGTTCTATAAATGCCGAGTAAGTCAATGACTTGATTGCATTGTTCAAGTCTATACATCCTCACTGAATTTCCACTGTTTTTTTATCAATTACTGAAACAAGAGTGTTGAAATCCTCACTGATAGTTGTGAATTTATGTCTTTCACCCCTCACTGCTGCCACTTTTTTCTTCACCTATTTGGGACCGCTATTACATGTGCGAACCTTTAGTGTTGTTACATGCTTATTGTGATTGATGTCTTTATTGTATTGCCTCTTTTTATCTTTTTTTTTTGGATGGGTATTTGCCAAATCTTTTTGCATCCTTTTCTTTTAACTATATGTGTCTTTATATTTAAAAACGTTGAGCGGTTTCTTGCATTCTTATTCAAAATGACAATATCTACCTTTTAAGTTAGATTTGTAGACCTTACACATTTAGCACATCTTGGGTTTGTGATTTGAATTTTAATATGCCAGATTGCTACTTGCTTTCTACTCCTGTCATTTGTTCAATTGTCATAATTTTACTTCTACATATGCTACAAACTCCATAGTATAATAGTCAATTATATCCTAAGGAGATGAAAAGTGACATAAAAATGTCATTTATATTTACTCCCGTATTATACTTTCTTTTCATCTGCCATCATTTCCTTTCTGCTTATGGAACTTCCTTTAATATGTTTTTGCACTGCAGGTGTGCTAGCAATGAAACTTATTTTTTTCAGATTTTGTTTCCTGAAAAAGTCCTTATTTCATCTACTTTTTAAAATGACATTTGTGCTGTGCAAGGAATTCTATGTTGAGAAGTTTTTTATCTTCGGTACCTTAAAATGTCTTTGTTTTTAATAGTTAAAAAGAAATAAAAATCTATACAGTTGTTATTCTCATTTTTTAATATATCAAGCTAATCCTATTAACTAATGTAACAGATAGATTATTGAACAATGAACCAAGCAATTTAATTAGATAAAAAGAGGGATGAAGAAAGGAGAAAGCTAATGGAAGAGGGAACTCACAGAATTCCATAACAGGAAGGCTTGTAATATTTAAGAACAGATACAGGGAATTAGATGAGTAAGCAATTCAATAGAATGAAGGGATATAATCAGATAATAGGAAGCTGGACTGATTCTGGAGGTAAGGCAGTTCTGAGCACGCAAGGCATCAGCCCCTCAGTTGACTGGCGTGGGAGCCTACATTGACCCGAGAGGCCAGGGCGTGGGTGTATCTCACATGGACACTAGGAAATTCAAGATGAGAATGACACTTCAGGGAAAGAGGAAAGTTGCAGGTCAGATCCTAAGGTTCTTGCAAAATAACAGCCACACAGAGGTCATTATCCACAATTATGGAGGGTACTAGAAGGGTATGGTTGTTGTAGTTATGTTATACCCCTGTTCTCCTTTCCTTTTGTTCAGAAAATATACATAAATGAAAAGACTTTTGAAAAATGTCCGTAAGCCACTGGCAGGACCCTAAAAAAGGGAGAATTGTTGAGGTTGATCTCTTAATGTCAACTTTGAATGACTTCTATTTGAATTTTCTCTGAACTTGCAAAAGGAAGGATTGAAGGCGAACACTTTTCATTTTGAAAATAAAGAACCATAGAATTTATTTCATTCATAGTAAAGTAGAATATTGTGTGTGTATATATTACATATGTATGTATATATGTACATGTATATACACATATATGTTGCATGTATACACACACACACATGAACACACACACCTTTGTATATGAGTTTATGTTAGTTTGGTGCAAAAGTAATTGCGATTTTTGCCCTTAATTTCAATGGCAAAAACTGCAATTACTTTTGCACCAATCTAATAAATGTACCAAGACATGTGGCAGAAGCACTCATATGTTACTATAGCTGTTTTCTTTGCTTAGACTTTGAGATTTTATAATAAGCACGATTAAAAAATTAAATAAATCTTGGACATTTTTAAAAACAAAAATAAAATGGACATATAAATTATATATTTTTTTTATTATTATACTTTAAGTTCTAGGGTACATGTGCACAACGTGCAGCTTTGTTACATAGGTATACATGTGCCATATTGGTTTGCTGCACCCATCAACTCGTCATTTACATTAGGTATTTCTCCTAATGCTATCCCTCCCCCAGCCCCCTCCCCTCACCGACAGGCCATGGTGTGTGATGTTCCCTGCCCTGTGTCCAAGTGTTCTCATTGTTCAGTTCTCACCTATAAGTGAGAACATGTGGTGTTTGGTTTTCTGTCCCTGTGATAGTTTGCTGAGAATGATGGTTTCCAGCTTCATCCATGTCCCTGCAAAGGACATGAACTCATTCTTTTTTTTTGGCTGCGTAGTATTACATGGTGTATATGTGCCACATTTTCTTAATCCAGTCTATCACTGATGGACATTTGGGTTGGTTTCAAGTCTTTGCTATTGTGAATAGTGCTGCAATAAACATACCTGTGCATGTGTCCTTATAGTAGCACGATTTATAATCCTTTGGGTATATACCCAGTAATGCAATCACTGGGTGAAATGGTATTTCTAGTTCTAGATCCTTGAGGAATTGCCACACTGTCTTCCACAATGGTTGAACTAATTTACATTCCCACCAACAGTGTAAAAGCATTCCTATTTCTCCACGTCCTCTCCAGCATCTGTTGTTTCCTGACTTTTTAATGATCGCCATTCTAACTGGCGTGAGATGGTATCTCATTGTGATTTGATTTGACAAACCTGACAAATGGAACTGATGACCAGTGATGATGAGCATTTTTTCACCTGTCTGTTGGCTGCATAAATATCTTCTTTTGAGAAGTGTCTGTTTATATCCTTTGCCCACTTTTTGATGGTTTTTTTTCTTGTAAACTTGTTTAATTTCTTTGAAGATTCTGGATATTAGCCCTTTATCAGAGGAGTAGATTGCAAATTTTTTTTTCCCATTCTGTAGGTTGTTTGTTCACTCTGATGGTAGTTTCTTTGCCATGCAGAAGCTCTATAGTTAAATTAGATCCCATTTGTCAATTTTGGCTTTTGTTGCAGTTGTTTTTGGTGTTTTAGTCATGAAGTCCTTGCACATGCATATGTTCTGAAACCTAGGTATTGCCTAGGTTTTCTTCTAGGTTTTTTATGGTTTTAGGTCTAATATTTAAGTATTTAATCCATCTTGAATTAATTTCTGTATAAGGTGTAAGAAAGGGATCCAGTTTCAGCTTTCTACATATGGCTAGCCAGTTTTCCCAGCATCATTTATTAAATAGGGAATCCTTTCTCCATTTCTTGTTTTTGTCAGGTTTGTCAAAGATCAGATGGTTGTAGACGTGTGGTGTTATTTCTGAGGGCTCTGTTCTGTTCCATTGGTCTATATATCTGTTTTGGTACCAGTACCATGCTGTTTTGGTTACTGTAGCCTTGTAATGTAGTTTGAAGTCAGGTAGCGTGATGCGTCCAGCTTTGTTCTTTTTGCTTAGGATTGTCTTGGCAATGTGGGCTCTTTTTTGGTTCCATATGAACTTTCAAGTAGTTTTTTCCAATTCTGTGAAGAAAGTCATTGGTAGCTTGATGGGGATGGCATTGAATCTATAAATTACCTTGGGCAATATGGCTATTTTCATGATATTGATTCTTCCTATCCATGAGCATGTAATGTTCTTCCATTTGTTTGTATCCTCTTTTATTTCAATGTGCAGTGGTTTGTAGTTCTCCTTGAAGAGGTCCTTCACATCCCTTGTAAGTTGGATTCCTAGGTATTTTATTCTCTTTGAAGCAATTGTGAATGGGAGTTCACTCATGATTTGGCTCTCTGTTTGTCTGTTATTGGTGTATAAGAATGCTTGTGATTTTTGTACATTGATTTTGTATCCTGAGACTTTGCTGAAGTTGCTTATCAGCTTAAGGAGACTTGGGGCTGAGACTATGGGGTTTTCTAAATATACAATCATGTCATCTGCCAACAGGGACAATTTGACTTCCTCTTTTCTTAATTGAATATCCTTTATTTCTTTGTCTTGCCTGATTGCCCTGGCCAGAACTTCCAACACTATGTTGAATAAGAGTGGTGACAGAGGGCATCCTTGTCTTGTGCCAGTTTTCAAAGGGAATGGTACCATTTTTTGCCCATTCAGTGTGATATTGGCTGTGGGTTTGTCATAAATAGTTCTTATTATTTTGAGATACATTCCATCAATACCTAGTTTATTGAGAGTTTTTAGCATGAAAGGCTGTTGAATTTTATTAAAGGCCTTTTCTGCATCTGTTGAGATAATCATGTGTTTTTTGTCGTTGGTTCTGTTTATGTGATGGATTACATTTATTGATTTATGTATGTTGAACAAGCCTTGCATCCTAGGGATGAAGCCAACTTGATCATCATGGATAAGATGTTGATATGCTGCTGGATTCGGTTTGCCAGTATTTTATTGAGGATTTTCACATAGAGGTTCATCAGGGATATTTGTCTAAAATTCTCTTTTTTTGTTGTGTCTCTGCCAGTCTTTGGTATCAGGATGATGCTGGCCTCATAAAATGAGTTAGGGAGGATTCCCTCTTTTTCTATTGATTGGAATAGTTTCAGAAGGAATGGTACCAGCTCCCCTTTGTACCTCTGGTAGAATCCGGCTGTAAATCACTCTGGTCCTGGACTTTTTCTGGTTGATAGGCTATTAATTATTACCTGAATTTCAGAACTTGTTATTGGTCTATTCAGAGATTCAACTTCTTCCTGGTTTAGTCTTGGAAAGGTGTATGTGTCCAAGAATTTATCCATTTCTTCTAGATTGCCTAGTTTATTTGCACAGAGGTGTTTATATTATTCCCTGATGGAAGTTTGTATTTCTGTGGGATCAGTGGTGATATCCCCTTTATCATTTTTTAGTGCATCTATTTGATTCTTCTTTCTTTTCTTCTTTATTAGTCTTGTTAACAGTCTATCAATTTTGTTGATCTTTTCAAAAAATCAGCTCCTGGATTCGTTGATGTTTTTTAAGGTTTTTTTTGTGTCTTTATCTCCTTCAGTTGTGCTCTGATCTTAGTTATTTCTTGTCTTCTATTAGCTTTTGAATTTGTTTGCTCTTCCTTCTCTAGTTGTTTTAATTGTGATGTTAGGGTGTGGATTTTAGATCTTCCCCTCTGTCTTTTGTGGGCATTTTGTGCTATAAAATTTCCTCTACACACTGCTTTAAATGTGTCCCAGAGATTCTGGTATGTTGTTTCTTTGTTCTCATTGGTTTCAAAGAACATCTTTATTTCTGCCTTCATTTCCTTATTTATCCAGTAGTCATTCAGGAGCAGGTTGTTCAGTTGCCATGTAGTTGTTCGGTTTTGAGTGAGTTTCTTAATCCTGAGTTCTAATTTGATTGCACTGAGGTCTGAGAGACAGTTTGTTGTGATTTTTGTTCTTTTACATTTGCTGAGGAGTGCTTTATTTCCAATTATGCAGTCAATTTTAGAATAAGTGTGATGTGGTGCTGAGAAGAATGTATATCCTGTTGATTTGGGGTGCAGAATTCTGTAGATGTCTATTAGGTCCACTTGGTGCAGATATGAGTTCAAGTCCTCGATATCCTTGTTAACCTTCTGTCTCATTGATCTGTCTAATAGTGACAGTGGGGTATTAAAGTCTCCCATTATTACTATGTGGGAGTCTACGTCTCTTTGTAGGTCTCTGAGGACTTGCTTTATGAATCTGGGTGCTCCTGTATTGGTGCATATATATTTAGGATAGTTAGCTCTTCTTGTTAAATTGATCCTTTTACCATTATGTAATGCCCTTCATTGTCTCTTTTAATCTTTGTTGGTTTAAAGTCTGTTTTATCAGAGACTAGGATTGGAGCCCCTCCTTTTTTTTTCTTTCCATTTGCTTGGTAGATCTTCCTCCATTCTTTTATTTTGAGCAAATATGTGTCTCTGCGTGTGAGAGGGGTCTCCGGGGTACAGCACACTGATGAGTCTTGTCTCTTTATCCAATTTGCCAGTCTGTGCCTTTTAATTGGGGCATTTAACCCATTTACATTTAAAGTTAATATTGCTATGTGTGAATTTGATCCTGTCATTATGATGTTAGCTGGTTATTTTGCCCATTAATTGATGCACTGTCTTCATAGCATTGATGGTCTTTACAATTTGGCATGTTTTTGCAGTGGCTGGTACAGGTTGTTCCTTTCCATGTTTAGTGCTTCCTTCAGGGGCTCTTGTAAGGCAGGCCTGGTGGTAACAAAATCTCTCAGCATTTGCTTGTAAGGGATTTTATTTCTCCTTCACTTATGAAGCTTAGTTTGGCTGGATATGAAATTCTGGGTTGAAAATTCTTTCATTTAAGAATGTTGAATATTGGCCTACACTCTTTTCTGGCTTGTAGGGTTTCTGCTGAGAAATCCACTGTTTGTGGGTAACCCAACCTTTCTCTCTGGCTGCCCTTAACATTTTTTCCTTCATTTCAACCTTGGTGAATATGACAGTTATGTGTCTCGGAGTTGCTCTTCTTCTTTTTTTTTTTTTTTTTATTATACTTTAAGTTTTAGGGTACATGTGCACATTGTGCAGGTTAGTTACGTATGTATACATGTGCCACGCTGGTGCGCTGCACCCACTAACTCGTCATCTAGCATTAGGTATATCTCCCAATGCTATCCCTCCCCCCTCCCCCCACCCCACAACAGTCCCCAGAGTGTGATATTCCCCTTCCTGTGTCCATGTGATCTCATTGTTCAATTCCCACCTATGAGTGAGAATATGCGGTGTTTGGTTTTTTGTTTTTGCAATAGTTTACTGAGAATGATGATTTCCAATTTCATCCATGTCCCTAAAAAGGACGTGAACTCATCATTTTTTATGGATGCATAGTATTCCATGGTGTATATGTGCCACATTTTCTTAATCCAGTCTATCATTGTTGGACATTTGGGTTGGTTCCAAGTCTTTGCTATTGTGAATAATGCCGCAATAAACATACGTGTGCATGTGTCTTTATAGCAGCATGATTTATAGTCATTTGGGTATATACCCAGTAATGGGATGGCTGGGTCAAATGGTATTTCTAGTTCTAGATCCCTGAGGAATCGCCACACTGACTTCCACAATGGTTGAACTAGTTTACAGTCCCACCAACAGTGTAAAAGTGTTCCTATTTCTCCACATCCTCTCCAGCACCTGTTGTTTCCTGACTTTTTAATGATTGCCATTCTAACTGGTGTGAGATGGTATCTCATAGTGGTTTTGATTTGCATTTCTCTGATGGCCAGTGATGATGAGCATTTTTTCATGTGTTTTTTGGCTGCATAAATGTCTTCTTTTGAGAAGTGTCTGTTCATGTCCTTCGCCCACTTTTTGATGGGGTTGTTTGTTTTTTTCTTGTAAATTTGTTTGAGTTCATTGTAGATTCTGGATGTTAGCCCTTTGTCAGATGAGTAGGTTGCAAAAATTTTCTCCCATTTTGTAGGTTGCCTGTTCACTCTGATGGTAGTTTCTTTTGCTGTGCAGAAGCTCTTTATTTTAATTAGATCCCATTTGTCAATTTTGTCTTTTGTTGCCATTGCTTTTGGTGTTTTGGACATGAAGTCCTTGCCCATGCCTATGTCCTGAATGGTAATGCCTAGGTTTTCTTCAATGACTTTCTTCACAGAATTGGGAAAAACTACTTTAAAGTTCATATGGAACCAAAAAAGAGCCCGCATTGCCAAGTCAATCCTAAGCCAAAAGAACAAAGCTGGAGGCATCACACTACCTGACTTCAAACTATACTACAAGGCTACAGTAACGAAAACAGCATGGTACTGGTACCAAAACAGAGATATAGATCAATGGAACAGAACAGAGCCATCAGAATTAACGCTGCATACTTGCAACTATCTGATCTTTGACAAACCTGAGAAAAACAAGCAATGGGGAAAGGATTCCCTATTTAATAAATGGTGCTGGGAAAACTGGCTAGCCATATGTAGAAAGCTGAAACTGGATCCCTTCCTTACACCTTATACAAAAATCAATTCAAGATGGATTAAAGATTTAAACATTAGAGTTGCTCTTCTTGAGGAGTACCTTTGTGGTGTTCTCTGTATTCCTGAATTTGAATGTTGGCCTGCCTTGCTAGGTTGGGCATGTTCTCCTGGATAGTTTCCTGAAGAGTGTTTTCCAACTTGGTTCCATTCTCCCTGTCACTTTCAGGTACACCAATCAAATGTAGATTTTGTCTTTTCACATAGTCCCATATTTCTTGGAGGTCTTGTTTGTTTCTTTTTATTCCTTTTTCTCTAAACTTTTCTTCTCACTTTATTTCATTAATTTGATCTTCAATCACTGAAACCCTTTCTTCCACTTGATTGAATCGGCTATTGAAGCTTGTGTATTTGCCACGAAGTTCTTGTGCCATGGTTTTCAGGTCCATCAGGTCATTTAAGGCCTTGTCTACACTGTTTATTCTAGTTAGCCATTCATGTAACCTTTTTTCAAGGTTTTTAGCTTCCTTGGAATGGGTTAGAAAATGCTTCTTTAGCTCAGAGAAGTTTGTTATTACCAACCTTCTGAAGACTACTTCTGTCAACTTGTCAAAGTCATTCTCTGTCTAGCTTTGTTCCATTGCTGTTGAGGAGCTGAGATCCTTTGGAGGAGAAGAGGCGCTCTGGTTTTTAGAATTTTCAGCTTTTCTGCTCTGGTTTCTCCCCATCTTTATGGTTTTTATCTACCTTTGGTCTTTGATATTGGTGACCTACAGATGGGGTTTTGGTATGGATGTCCTTTTTGTTGATGTTGATGCTATTCCTTTCTGTTTTGTTAGTTTTTCTTCTAACAGACAGGTCCCCCAGGTGCAGGTCTGTTGGAGTTTGCTGGAGGTCCACTCTAGACCCTATTTTCCTGGGTATCACCAGTGGAGGCTGCAGAACAGCAAATATTGCAGAACAGCAAATATTGCAGAACAGCAAATATTGCTGCCTGATTCTTCATCTGGAAGCTTCATTCCAGAGGGCCACCTGCCTGTATGAGGTGTCTGTCAGCCCCTATTTGGAGGTGTCTCCCAGTTAGGCTACATGGGGCTCAGGGACCCACTTGAGGAGGCAGTCTTTCCATTCTCAGATCTCAAACTCTGTGCTGGGAGAACCACTGCTCTCTTCAGAGTTGTCAGACAGGGACGTTTAAGTTTGCAGAAGTTTCTGCTGCCTTTTGTTCAGCTATGCCCTGCCCACAGAGGTGGATCTATAGAGGCAGTAGGCCTTGCTGAGCTACAGTGGGCTCTGCCCAGCTGGAGCTTCTTGGCCACTTTGTTTACCTACTCAAGCCTCAACAATGGTGGATGCCCCTTCCCCGGCCTGGCTGCAGCCTTACAGGTCAATCTCAGACTGCTGTGCTAGCAGTGAGCAAGGCTCTGCGGGCATGGCACCCACTGAGCCAGGCACGGGAGAGAATCTCCTGGTCTGCCAGTTACTAAGACCCTGGGAAAGCACAGTATTTGGGTGGAAGTGTCCCATTTTTCCAGGTACAGTCTCTCATGGCTTCCCTTGGCTAGGAAAGGGAAATCTCCCAAACCCTTACTCTTCCTGGGTGAGGCGACGCCCTGCCCTGCTTCGGCTTGCCCTCTGTGGGCTGCACCCACTGTCCAAGCAGTCCCCATGAGATGAACCAGGTACCTCAGTTGGAAATGCAGAAATCACCTGTCTTCTGTGTCCATCCTGTTGGGAGTTGCAGACCGTAGCTGTTCTTATTCAGCCATCTTGGAATGGACTCATGAATTATATTTTAATTGACACATGTGGTGGACAATTTATGGTGGACCCAATGACCTCACACCTTGGAGTTCATGTCCTCTGCAGTCTCCTTCCCTAGAGTGTGGGTACAGCCTGATGGTCCCTAGCCAATAGAATATGGCCAAGGTGATAGGTTGTCACTTTCAATGATTATGATAGTACATGGGACTCCATCTTACTAGAGGACCCATTCTAGAGACTCTCTCCTTCACTGGCTTTGAGGAAGTAAGTGGCCTGGTTGGCCACAGGTGTCAAGGTGCCAAAGTGGCACACAGGTGCCAAGCCTGTGTGGCAAACATTATTCAAGTTTCTGTCTCTGTAAATTTTCCTTTCATGAGTCTTTCAAATAAATGAAATCATTCCATATGTTGTCTCTTGTATCTGGCTTCTTTCACTCCACATAAATGTTTTTGAGGTTCATCAGTCTTGCAGCATGTCTCAGTACTTCATTCCTTTCTATTGTCCAGTGGTATTTTATTTTAAGGACATAACATGTTTTATTTAGTCATTCACCAATATACTAAAGGGGAAAGCTTAGATTATTGATTTGAGATCATTCGTCTTTTCTAATATAGGTACTCAAGTTAAATTACAATAAGCACTGTTTCAGTTGAATACCATAAATGTCAATGTGTTGTATTTTTATTTTCATTCAGATCAAAATACTTTCTGATTTACCTTATAGTTTCTTCTTTTGCTCATGTATATTATTTAGAAATCTATTGTTTGATTTCCTAATATTTGTGGTTTCCCCAAATTATGTTGTTATTGATTTCTCATTTAACTTTGTGGTCAGAGCATATAGTTTGTATGATTTCAACCCTTTCCATTTATTAAGACTTGGTTTATGCCAGGATATGGTCTGCACTGGGGGATAGTCCATGTGTACTTAAAAAGGGTGTGTATTCTGCTGCTGTTGGATGGTATGTTCCAGAGGTGACTGTTAGTTCAGGCTGGTTGATCGTGTTCCTCTATGTCTTTATCAACTGCTATTTTTTCTTATACATGAGCCATAGTTTCCTATTTCCTTAGGCATCTTAAGATATTTTGGTAAAAACTAGATATTTTAGATAACATAAGATAACAACATTGCAATCAGATCCCCATCTCCTCCTGCCACCCTGCAGGATTTGTGTGGTTATTGCTGTTTTCCTATCATTATTTTTCTTTATTAACTTTCCTAGACTAACTCCCTGAAGTCTGTATTCCCTGTTGTGTGTTGAGCACTGAACTCTTAGTTTTTAGTTAATGATTGATCAGTGATTTCCTTAGGTGTCTCACGCCAGTAATTCTACTCTTTTCTGAGAGGCTGTATGTGTGTGCATGTGCATGTGTGCATGTGTGCATGTGCATTTGTGTGTGAGTGCATGTGTATGAGTGTGTTCACGTGCATGTGTGAGTGCATGCGTGTGTGTGTGTGCATGTGTATGCATGTGCGTGTGTGCATGTGCATGTGTACCTGTGTGTGCATGTGCAAGAGTATGTGTGTGAGTGCATGCATATGCATGTGAACATGTGTATGTGTGTGCATGTGTATGTATGTGTGCATGTGCATGTGTATGTGTATGAGTGCATGCGTGTGTGCATTGGGTCACACGTTCAATGCTGAGACAATTCCATGTTAGTTTCCACTTTTAGCTTGCACAGAGCCTCCAGGTCAGCCAGAGATAGCTGGGACCCTCCATGTTTTTCCTGCACATGCACTTGGCCTTCTAGATCTCCAGGAATATGCCAAGCTTTTCACATCCCCCTTTGGACATCTTCTCCAGATCATTCTTTTAAATTTTTGGTCAGGCTCCTGTTTGCATTAGGCAGCTGCCATGTTAAGCAATTGCCCTGGGATAGAGTTTTTCAGGAAGGGAGCTCTGAGCCAGATTGAATAATGGCAATACCTTGGAATGTGGCTTTTCCAAGGAGCTAGAAGACAGACGCGATTGCACCACTGCACTCCAGCCTGAGTGACAGCGAGACCCCGTCTCAAAAAAAAAAAAAAATGATGTTTCCCAAAATGCATTCAATGCAACTATGGAGGGAAAACAAAAATTGAAAAGAAGATAGGAAATTGAAATGGAATTATTTCAAATTCAGATGAATAATAATAACCAGGAAATAAAACATAAAGATGAAGAGGATTTTAAATAACTTTTTAGGGAAGAAAAAAAAATCTAAATTTAAATAGAATAGAAAATGGAGAGAGGAAATCCTTCTTCGTAGCTCTAAAAAATTAATTCGAGGGGTCAAACTAACTTACTTTCACCTGGCACCCTGATTTCATCTTCAATAATTTTCTGGGCGTTAATCATTCTTATTTCCCTTCATAATATAAGACTAGTGACAACTGGCCACTAAACATTTGAAATTTCAAAAGGTAAGTGTCATGAATGCAATTGTTTTGGATATCCGTGAAATCATATATCTGAAAATATTCTAGCATATATCCTCTATCACCAGACGTCCTTGAAAACATGGAGAGAAGTCACTGTGGGGTGGCAGAATAAGCTTCATGAGTGATAAGGTGTCTTTCACCTCCAGGGGCTGGAGTTCAAGGCTTGCTGTGGTTGCACACATTTGGCCTTCTCTCTACGACCTCACTTTGTCCTCAGTGGATATCTGGCTTGGGCCTCCAGTCTGTCATGTGATGGCTGTAGTGTAGAACAGCAGGCCTGCTCCCTTGTTACAGGGTCTCTGTTCAGCATTGACAAGCATTTGACAAGGAAGGACTGAAATATTTTGGGAACCTGAGTAAGTTAGAGTTTACAAAAGGCCTTTGTGCTTTGCCAAGCTGAAATGTTATTTCTGATGGACTAAATGCCAGCTCTACCTGAACCTAGGGAAGTGAGAAAAATGAAGTTTCCGCAGTAACCACAACACAGCCACTCCCAGCAGCAGGAGGGACCTTTAGTGCATGTGCAGCTGGGGCCACGGCCTGTCACACACAGGAAGCGGTCACAGAAAAGCTCAGTATTGTGGTTGAGGTGTGTGCTCTTCATACCTCATCAGCACAGCAGGAAAGAGCCCCTAGGATGGATGTTCCCCCTCCTCATTTGAGAAAGGAAATAACGTGATGTTCATGACTATGCAACTTCTGTAGGAACATGGCATGGTGTTAAATTCCAAATACTGCTTCTTCTGGTGATTAATATATTACATATTTGCATGGGAGCAGTTTACAAATAAAAATGATGTTTTATTGTTAGTCTGAAAGCTAGAAGAAGGAGGTAATATTTTTAATAACTGTGGCACTTCAGTTCTGATTATTTTGTGGGGGTCACTTGTTTCCATTAGTGCCAGTGACAATACATTTTGATACTCTGATTCCTGGTAGGTCATTTTCACATATAGTCAAAAATTTCAGTATAAAGACTTAAAGGACCACGGTAGCTATTAAGATGGTGATTCTTTGGTGTCAGCAGAAATAAAACAATTGCCCAACAGGCACCTCCTGGGGTAATATGGAGCTAATTGGCAAGTGGGGATGTCCAATCTTTTAAGGGAGGTTTTTTTATGTTTCTAAGTGCATTGTCTGCAAACACTTAGATTTTTAATATTTTTATCTGATTTTGCATAGCCTTTTGAACTTCTTTACCTTAAAAAATACATTTCTTTATTTTTAAAAGAATTTAATATTTTCAAGAATCAAATCAATGACCTGTGAATATGCTTAAGTTGTCTTTTATTATTAGTTTAGAAATGTAGCACAATAATCACTCATTAAACTATTATATTTCTGAATTGAATTGTTATTAAAAGTTACTACACAAAAATAATGCTGCTATAATTCTACTACTTTGCACAGGTGCTTCTTGAGCATGAAAATTCATAATTTTAAGGGGTTGTTTCAAGAGAATTCACTGCTTTTCTAAAAGCACCCTATGTGTTACTCTTTTTACTTTGATCAGAGCACCTACAATTGTCGTTTGGACCAGTTCCTCCCCATTTCCCATCCCAGACCTTTTCTCCACTCCTCTGTAAGCCCTCAAGGGCTAGCACATGTGGAGTGCATTCCCTAGGCTTCTGGTTGGCTAGTTAGGAGTCCCTGGGTAGCAGAGCAGCAAAGGGAGAGATTTGGGGGTTTCCTCTCCTTCCTTGTGTCACAGTCATGCCTCCTGCCCTGAAGAGCAAGCAGTTTGGTCACCCTTTGCCTAAAGTGCCAGCTCCCACTGGGTTTCAGAGTCTCTGTTCCCTCCCTGTGCCCCTTCCATCCTGTGGGTGGTGCCAGTCTCCTGCTCCTACTTAACTCCGTGCACCTCATTGTCTTGTTTGTTCTTTTCCTCTGTCTGTGTCTGTATGAGTAAGCCCTGCTTTTAAGGATCTTCATTTGACCATTGGGGTGAAGTTTGTTGTTTGCAGGGACCCTTATTCCTTCACATGCCCATCTTGCTACCCAGCTACAGGGTCCTGGAAGCCTGGGAATTATGGGCGAATTATGTGTCATTCAGGGTAGGCTAAGTCATGCTGCAGTAAGGAAACAAATATTAAATTTGAACAACATGAACTATCACTAGCTTAAAACATAGAGGTTTATTTCTTGCTTTATGTTAAATGCACATGTTGAGACTATGTCTAGAGTAGGGAGGGGACTCTCTGCTTTTTATAGAAACTTGGGATTCCAATTGTCATGGCAGAGAGGAAGGGACTGACATTTGTAATAAAATATTCTCTTCTAGGAGTGGCACACGCCAGGCTCTCCATAGCCATTTGGCCTTAGAACTAGTCATATGGACCCACCTAAACAGAAGAGGGGCAGGGAATTCAGTCTTGTCATCTGAGGGCGGAAAGTCAGCATGTTTAACAAATAGCACTAGTTCCTTCTAAGTGTGCGCTTCTGTCACACATACTCAGCTCATGGTCCTCCCCAAAGGCAAGATGTTCTCACTTCTTCTTAAGGGGAGCAGCCCAGGGTTCCAATCCTGGCAGGCCCTATACTTAAAGTCAAGACTGTCTGCAGAGTGTCTGAGGCCTCCACAGGTGGATGTCTGCCTTGGTCTACAGACCAATGAGCTGTCCCTTTATACACCTGATATATGATGGTGAAAAGGGAAGAAAAAGTCGACAATAAACACTCTCTCCACTTGAAAAAATAATAATGAGGGACATACAGAAGTCACTGGGACTCTAAGTATTCACTGGGCAGATATTTTAAGCATCCCTCACACAGGAAGTGGAATTATTCCTTGACCCAGCTCTGATTCTTCTTCCCAGAGTGCCTTGATCACCATGGTCTCCAACACATCCTGAAATATTCTTCCTTCTTCATATGCTCCTTGGTCACATTTGAAATGGTCACTGGGCATGGTTGCTCCTTGGGGACTAGTTTCTTGAGCCACTACTTCCCCATGGAATGTTATACACATTTGGTTCTTTTAATTCTAATACAGTCTCAGTCTCCTTTCTCCCTGGCTGATTGTTTCTTTAGGCAGCAAAACCCTCAAAAGACTTTGGTGGCTTTCAAGAGAATTGATTCCTCAAGTATATGTGGCAAAAACACACCCACTGTTATTTTCTAGATATGTTTCTTAAATTCGCTATATTTCTCTGCTTTCTGGGTACCATGTCTTTCTCTCTCACAACTTTAATTCTGGCTTCGGAAGCTGAAATCTTATTTCCCTGAATCATTTTGTCCACTTGAGATTTATTTGGTGCCAAAATTGTAACTGATCATTGCTTTAAAATACCTCAATCCATCCTGATATTGTAACAATGCATGTGACTTCTATGCCTTGGTATTAAAAAAAATGTTGTTTGTAAAATGTCCCACAATCTGGATTTATGTGAAGATTTAGGTTAACATTTTTGGCAGGAGTACCACATAGGCGATTAACATTATTCTAATAATTGTGTCAAATCTGGTGGCACATCATGTCAGTTTGTCTTATGATATGAAGCTTGATCGCTTGATCCCTTACTAATCATTTTGCTGTTTTAAAAAGAGCTTTTTCACTTTGTAAATAATCTGCATGGGGTACTTTGGGCAAGGAAGTCCATTCTGGATTAAAGGACACTAAAAATACTCTCTGGGTGGTCTCGTGTGCTTTAGCCACAGCTTGCTGGTGGCAAGCTTCTTGGTCTGGAATGGTCCTGGCTGCAGTGACAGCTCTCCCCCTGGGGTCTGTCACTCAGGCTCTTTCCTATGGGGGACACATTCTCATGGTGGGGTGTGGATCTCCAGTAGAATGCTAAACTTCCTAACTGTTTTTCCAAGGCTTTGCTAGGGTCTAGTTTGCTATGACTCATTGGCCAGAGAAAAATCCCACTGCCAATCTCAGAGTCAGTGTAGAAATGTATGTCCAAAGGGCATGGTCACAGGGAGGGCTAAATAAAATGGAGGCTCTTAATGAGTCAGAATGTAAATGCATATGTAATACTGCAGGTGACTGACAATTCTCCTCTGCAGGGAATAGTAGTCTTCATTCCCATCAGGAATGAAATTTTATCTGTTAAGAATTTATTGGACTGTCTATTTCTCCAGGATCTCCTCCACAGTATATGTTGTTAAATTTTGGGTTATGTCATCAGTCTGATTTTGGAAAATTGTATATCACATCTTAAAAAATTGCATTTCACTTATGCAAAACAGAGAGCATTTTTAGTAAGGTGAACTGCCATTTGTAGATTTTTTTTTCCTGTAAGCTGGCTTTTTATATCTTCAATCTATTATTAATTGTGTAATTGCAGCTTTATATATTACAAACGAAACCCTTTGTAAAATGTTGCAAATATAGTTTTACTTTGCTTATGGTGTTTTTTTGTTTGCCTGTTCATCACAGAAATTTTTATGTAATAAAAAATTCTATTAATAAATATTTTCCCTTATTGCTTCAGGATTTCAAATGATAGGAAATTGTTTTCTGCTGCCATGTTTCAGAGAAATTCATTGGTGTTTTCTGTTAATACTTGTATGGTTTCATTTTTCACATTTAAATGGCTGATCAATTTGCAATTTATCTTGCTTTCTAGAATAATAATTGAATTTCTTTTCTTTTAAAATATGAACATCAATTTATTTTAATAATAACAAAGAACATCAATAAATTTCTTTTTTTCCTTTGAAATCCACTTCCTACTTTTTAAAAATATATGTATTATATATATTTATTTATTATACTTTAAGTTCTAGGGTACATGTGCACAACGTGCAGGTTTGTTAGATATGTATACATGTGCCATGTTGGTGTGCTGCATCCATTAACTCACCATTTACTTTAGGTATATCTCCCAATGCTACCCTCCCCCTTCCCCCACCCCACAACAGGCCTCGGTGTGTGATGTTCCCCTTCCTGTGTCCAAGCGTTCTCATTGATCAATTCCCACCTGTGAGTGAGAACATGCAGTGTTTGGTTTTTTGTCCTCATGATAGTTTGCTGACAACGATGGTTTCCAGCTTCATCCATGGCCCTACAAAGGACATAAACTCATCATTTTTTATGGCTGAATAGTATTCCATGGTGTATATGTGCTACATTTTCTTAATCCAGTCTATCATTGTTGTACATTTGGGTTGGTTCCAAGTCCTTGCTATTGTGAATAGTGCCACAACAAACATACATGTGCATGTGTCTTTATAGCAGCATGATTTATAATCCTTTGGGCATATACCCAGTAATGGGATGGCTGGGTCAAATGGTATTTCTAGTTCTAGATCCCTGAGGAATTGCCACACTGTCTTCCACAATGGTTGAACTAGTTTACAGTCCCACCAACAGTGTAAAAGTGTTCCTGTTTCTCCACATCCTCTCCAGCACCTGTTGTTTCCTGACTTTTTAATGATCGCCATTCTAACTGGTGTGAGATGGTATCTCATTGTGGTCTTGATTTGCACTTCTCCTATGGCCAGTGATGATGAGCATTTTTTAATGTTTCTGTTGGCTGAATAAATGTCTTCTTTTGAGAAGTGTCTGTTCATATCCTTTGCCCACTTTGTGATGGGTTTGTTGGTTTTTATCTTGTAAATTTGTTTGAGTTCTTTGTAGATTCTGGATATTAGCCCTTTGTCAGACGAGTAGACTGCAAATATATTCTCCCATTCTGTAGGTTGTCTGTTCACACTGATGGTAGTTTCTTTTGCTGTTCAGAAGCTCTTTAGTTTAATTAGATCCCATTTGTCAATTTTGTCTTTTGTTGCCATTGCTTTTGGTGTTTTAGACATGAAGTCCTTGCCCATGCCTATGCCCAGAAAACTTATGCCTAGGTTTTCTTCTAGGGTTTTTATGGTTTTAGATCTAACATTTAAGTCTTTAATCCATCTTCAATTGATTTTTGTATAAGGTGTAAGGAAAGGATCGTTTCAGCTTTCTACATATGGCTAGCCAGTTTTCCCAGCACCATTTATTAAATAGGGAATCCTTTCCCCATTTCTTGTTTTGTCAGGTTTGTCAAAGATCAGATGGTTGTAGATGTGTGGTGTTATTTATGAGGGCTCTGTTCTGTTCCATTGGTCTATATCTCTGTTTTGGTACCAGTACCATGCTGTTTTGGTTACTGTAGCCTTGTAATATAGTTTGAAGTCAGGTAGCGTGATGCCTCCAGCTTTGTTCTTTTGGCTTAGTATTGTCTTGGCAATGCAGGCTCTTTTTTGGTTCTATATGAACTTTAAAGTAGTTTTCTCCAATTCTGTGAAGAAAGTCATTGGTAGCTTGAGGGGGACGGCATTGAATCTGTAAATCACCTTGGGCAGTGTGGCCATTTTCATGATATTGATTCTTCCTACCCATGAGCATGGAATGTTCTTCCATTTGTTTGTGTCCTCTTTGATTTAGTTGAGCAGTGGTTTGTAGTTCTCTTTGAAGAGGTTTCACATCCCTTGTAAGTTGGATTCCTAGGTATTTTATTCTCTTTGAAGCAATTGTGAATGGGAGTTCACTCATGATTTGGCTCTCTGTTTGTCTGTTATTGGTGTATAGGAATGCTTGTGATTTTTGCACATTGATTTTGTATCCTGAGACTTTGCTGAAGTTGCTTATCAGCTTAAGGAGATTTTGGGATGAGACAATGGGGTTTTCCAGATATACAATCATGTCATCTGCAAACAGGGACAATTTGACTTCCTCTTTTCCTAATTGAATACAATACGCTTTATTTCTTTCTCCTGCCTGATTGCCCTGGCCAGAACTTCCAACACTATGTTGAATAGGAGTGGTGAGAGAGGGCATCCCTGTCTTGTGCCAGTTTTCAAAGGGAATGCTTCCAGTTTTTTCCCATTCAGTATGATATTGGCTGTGCATTTGTCATAAATAACTCCTATTATTTTGAGATACATCCCATTAATACCTTATTGAGAGTTTTTAGCATGAAGAGTTGTTGAATTTTGTCAAAGGCCTTTTCTGCACCTATTGAGATAATCATGTGGTTTTTGTCTTTGGGTCTGTTTATATGCTGGATTACGTTTATTGATTTGCATATGTTGAACCGGCCTTGCATCCCAGGGATGAAGCCCACTTGATTATGGTAGATAAGCTTTTTGATGTGCTGCTGGATTTGGTTTGCCAGTATTTTATTGAGGATTTTTGCATTGATGTTCTTCAGGGATAGTGGTCTAAAATTCTCTTTTTTGTTGTGTCTCTTCCAGGCTTTGGTATCAGGAAGATGCTGGCCTCATAAAATGAGTTAGGGAGGATTCCCTCTTTTTCTATTGATTGGAATAGTTTCCGAAGGAATGGTATCAGCTCCTCCTTGTACCTCTGGTAGAATTTGGCTGTGAATCCATCTGGTCCTGGACTTTTTTTGGTTGGTAAGGTATTAATTATTGCCTCAATTTCAGAGCCTGTTATTGGTCTATTCAGAGATTCAACTTCTTCCTGGTTTAGTCTTGGGAGGGTGTATGTGTCGAGGAATTTATCCATTTCTTCTAGATTTTCTAGTTTATTTGCATAGAGGTGCTTATGGTATTCTCTGATGGTAGTTTGTATTTCTGTGGGATCAGTGGTGATATCCCCTTTATCATTTTTTGTTGTGTCTATTTGATTCTTCTCTCTTTTCTTCTTTATTAGTCTTGCTAGCAGTCTCTCAATTTTGTTGATCTTTCAAAAAACCAGCTCCTGGAATCACTGATTTTTTGAAGGGTTTTTTGTGTCTCTATCTCCTTCAGTTCTGCTCTCATCTTAGTTATTTCTTGCCTTGTGCTAGCTTTTGAATGTGTTTGCTCTCGCTTCTCTAGTTGTTTTAATTGTGATGTTAGGGTGTTAATTTTAGATCTTTCCTGCTTTCTCTTGTGGGCATTTAGTGCTATAAATTTCCCTCTACACACTGCTTTAAATGTATCCCAGAGATTCTGGTAAGTTGTGTCTTTTTTTCATTGGTTTCAAAGAACATCTTTATTTCTGCCTTCATTTCGTTATGTACCCAGTAGTCATTCAGGAGCAGGTTGTTCAGTTTCCATATAGTTGAGCAGTTTTGAGTGAGTTTCTTAATCCTGAGTTGTAGTTTGATTGCACTGTAGTCTGAGAGACACTTTGTTATAATTTCTGTTCTTTTACATTTGCTGAGGAGTGCTTTACTTCCAAGTCTGTGGTCAATTTTGGAATAAGTGTGATGTGTTGCTGAGAAGAATGTATATTCTGTTGATTTCGGGTGGAGAGTTCTATAGATGTCCATTAGGTCTGCTTGGTCCAGAGCTGAGTTCAATTCCTGGATATACTTGTTAACTTACTGTCTTGTGGATCTGTCTAATGTTGACAGTGGGGTGTGAAAGTCTCCCATTATTATTGTGTGGGAGTCTAAGTCTCTTTGTAGGTCTCTAAGGACTTGCTTTATGAATCTGGGTGCTCCTGTATTGGGTTCATATATGTTTAGGATAGTTAGCTCTTCTTGTTGAATTGATCCCTTTACCATTATGTAGTGGCCTTCTTTGTCTCTTTTGATCTTTGTTGGTTGAAAGTTTGTTTTATCAGAGACTAGGATTGCAACCCCTGCCTTTTTTTGTTTTCCATTTGCTTGGTAGATCTTCCTCCATCCCTTTATTTTGAGCCTATGTGTGTCTCTGCACATGAGATGGGTTTCCTGAATACAGCACACTGATGGGTCTTGACTCTTTATCCAATTTGCCAGTCTGTGTCTTTTAATTGGAGCATTTTGCCCATTTACGTTTAAAGTTAATATTGTTATGTGTGAATTTGATCCTATCATTATGATGTTAGCTGGTTATTTTGCTCGTTGATGCAGTTTCTTCCTAGTCTTGATGGTCGTTACAATTTAGCATGTTTTTGCAGTGGCTGGTACTGGTTGTTCCTTTCCATGTTTAGTGCTTCCTTCAGGAGCTCTTTTAGCACAGGGCTGGTGGTGACAAAATCTCTCAGCATTTGTTTGTCTGTAAAGGATTTTATTTCTCCTTCACTTATGAAGCTTAGTTTGGCTGGATATGAAATTCTGGGTTGAAAATTCTTTCCTTTAAGAATGTTGAATATTGGCCCCCACTCTTCTGGCTTGTAGAGTTTCTGCCGAGAGATCAGCTGTTCGTCTGATGGGCTTCCCTTTGTGGGTAACCCAACCTTTCTCTCTGGGTGCCCTGAACATTTTTTCCTTCATTTCAACTTTGGTGAATCTGACAATTTTGTGTCTTGGAGTTGCTCTTCTCGAGGAGTATCTTTGTGGCATTCTCTGTATTTCCTGAATGTGAATGTTGGCCTGCCTTGTTAGGTTGGGGAAGTTCTCATGGATAATATCCTGCAGAGTGTTTTCCAGCTTGGTTCCATTCTACCCATTACTTTCAGGTACACCAATCAGATGTAGATTTGGTCTTTTCACATATTCCCATATTTCTTGGAGGCTTTGTTCATTTCTTTTTATTCTTTTTTCTCTAAACTTCTCACTTCATTTCATTCATTTGATCTTCAATCTCTGATACCCTTTCTTCCAGCTGATCGAATTGGCTACTTAAGCTTGTGTATTCATCACATAGTTCTCGTGCCATGGTTTTCAGCTCCATCAGGTCATTTGAGGCCTTCTCTAAATTGGTTGTTCTATTTAGTCATTTGTCTAATCTTTTTTTCAAGGTTTTTAACTTCTTTGCGATGGGTTTGAACTTCTTCCTTTAGCTCTGAGAAGTTTGATCATCTGAAGCCTTCTTTCGACTCTTCAAAGTCATTCTCCATCCAGCTTTGTTCCATTGTTGGTGAGGAGCTGTGTTCCTTTGGAGGAGGACAGCTGCTCTGATTTTTAGAATTTTCAGTTTTTCAGCTCTGTTTTTTCCCCATCTTTGTGGTTTTATGTACCTTTGATCTTTGATGATGGTGATGTACAGATTGGGTTTGGTGTGGATGTCCTTTCCGTTTGCTAGTTTTCCTTCTAACAGTCAGGACCCTCAGATGCAGGTCTGTTGGAGTTACTGGAGGTCCACTCCAGGCCCTGTTTGCCTGGGTATCAGCAGCAGAGGCTGCAGAACAGTGAATATTGCTGAACAGCAAATTTTGCTGTCTGATCGTTCCTCTGGAAGTTTTGTCTCAGAGGGTACCCAGCTGTGTGAGGTGTCAGTCTGCCCCTACTGGGGCGTGCCTCCCAGTTAGGCTACTTGGGAGTCAGGGACCCCACTTGAGGAGGCAGTCTGTCTGTTCTCAAATCTCAAAGTCCACGCTGGGAGAACCACTACTCTCTTCAAAGCTGTCAGACAGGGACATTTAAGTCTGCAGAGGTTTCTGCTGCCTTTTGTTTGGCTATGCCCTGCCCCCAGAGGTGGAGTTTACAGAGGCAGGCAGGCCTCCTTGAGCTGTGCTGGGCTCCACCCAGTTTGAGCTTCCAGGCTGCTTTGTTTACCTATTCAAGCCTCGGCAATGGCAGGCGCCCCTCCCCCAGCCTGGCTGCCACATTGCAGTTCGATCTCAGACTGCTGTGCTCGCAATGAGCGAGGCTCTGTGGGTGTGGCACCCTCTAAGCCAGGTGCGGGATATAATCTCCTGGTGTGCCATTTGCTAAGACCATTGGAAAAGTGCAGTATTAGGGTGGGAGTGACCCAATTTTTCAGGTGCCATCTGTCACAGCTTTGCTTGGCTAGGAAAGGGAATTCACTGACCCCTTGCATTTCCCGGGTGAGAGGATGCCTCGCCCTGCTTCAGCTCATGCTCAGTGCACTGCACCCACTGTCCTGCACCCACTGTCTGACAAGCCTCAGTGAGATGAACCCGGTACCTCAGTTGGAAATGCAGAAGTCACCCATCTTCTATGTTGCTCGTGCTGGGAGCTGTAGACTGGAGTTGTTCCTATTTAGCCATCTTGGAATTGCCCCAATAAATTTCTTTATTCAAGAGAACCAACTTAATTTAGAAAAGTATGTGGAGATGGTCAAGCCTAAGGGTGATACTGCAAACAATAGAGATTTTGAAGGAAAGCGATTAAAAGATGGCTGATAGTCCACAAAAGCAAGAAGGTAAACCACAGTAAGTTAGTAGTTTACCAGAGAACCAGAGAAAGAGACAGGTAAGAAAGGCCTTCTTGGGGTTGGGATAAGCTCCAAAAACTGGCCTAAAAACTACTACTTCATAGAAGTTGGAATTTAGTTGGATCAGACTGTGCAGCAATTTATGGCCCAGGGCATTGCTGAAAACAACAGAGAAACCAGCCAGCAGTTAGTGGAGGCTAACAACTGGTGTGATGTCATCCAAGGCAGTGGAATTAACAGGGATATGAAAGAAAGAGAAAGGCAGAGAGAACCCTAATGTAAACACTGTCTTTCCAAGGTGGCTGTGCACCTGCCCATGGCTACATTTTCTGCAGAGTGATGGCAGGAGCTGCACACTGTTGTGGAAATAACAATCACTGAACAGTCCAGCTAAGGCAGTAACCAAGTAATAAACCAAATAAACAGGCAAAGAAAAGCAATGAAAAGCCCTAAACCAGATGAAGATAGCACAAGTAAACAATAACAACAAACTATTGACCAAAACCTCCTAAGGCTATAGACACAAAAATCCTCCACAATATTATAGAAAACCACATCCAGCAACATTTAGAAAGTAATACATTATGACCAAGCAGGACTTATCCCAGGAATGCAAGGCGATTTAACATACAAAAATCAATGAATGTAAGATACTCTATTGATAGAATAAAGGAACAAAATTCAAATGATCATCTCAATTGCTGCCAATAAAAGCATGGATAAAATCCAACACCAAGATACAAGAGAACTCCACTTGATAAAGGACATCTATGAAAAACTCAAAGTTAATATCATGTGAATGATAAATTAATTCATCATGATGAATTGATGGTGAATCACTAAAAGCTTTTCCCGTGATAAAAAAAAAATACACAGCCTGAAAATCTGTATTCTTCATAAGCATTTACTGTAATTCCATATGGTGAATTCACAGATCAATACTCAGTAATCTCTGTAAGAGAAAAATAGAATTTTTTTATCTGATTAGAACCGGGAATTAATAACCTATTAAAGAGCACAGATTAAGGGGGAATAATCATTAAAAATGACATGCACATATCTTAACCTTTCAATAAACTTGGATTAGTGTAGGTTACCACAAAAGTGACAAGGAGTTTGGTGCAGGTAATTTATTTGGGACTTGGGAAGTGATTCCAGAAAGCAGAAGGGAGGTAATAGGGAGAACATAACTCCAATATAGAGCAAACATCTCACAGCCTTGCTAGGGGCATTAAAGACTTGAACCCACCAGATCATTCTTGGGCCTAGTCATTGCAGCTGTGCCTGAGATCAGAAGTGGGCAGAGAAATGTGAATTGCAGCATTAATGGCATCTGCTACCAATATTGATCCTATTCAATAAGAGAACATTTTATTGTATGTCATGCCAACACTCCTTCATTCTTCAATCTTTGAATGCTGGAAAAGTTCCAGAAAGGTTGGTTTAACTGCAATGTATTTTAGGGGACCTTTAAAACTTATTGAACCTCTCTTTCCTTTAGTTTTCTCATATTAATATTCAGATAACCCTAGTAACTAAGTTGTAAAATTGTTTTAAGGAATAAATAATCATTACATATAAAGCTATGGAAAAACACCTGACACAAATTTAGCTCTCAGTAGATGCTATTTGTATTGTTAAACTGGCTGCATTATCTGTAGTTACACACTTGTACTATACACAACCATAATGATTTGCTCTTTTACGTATTTTAAAGTGGATCAAATTTTAAAACACCTTTGTAAAGAAACCACATAATCAGAATGTGTCTAGATTTTCATGATTTTCCTTCAGTCTTGTACATATGTTTGTCCATACCACAATTTGGTATTTGTTATTTACCTTCATTGAGTCTTTTCAAAATAGTTAACAGACATTAAATTCCAGTATTCATGTACTTTTTTTGGCAAGGCAATATACATAATGCACATTATTCAAAAGGCACAACGCTGTAATCAGTGAGGAGCAAAATCTCTCCTTCCTTGTCCCTGGGCCTCCTAGGTTATTTCCCAGAATCAGTGGCTCTTACCATTTTCTCAAAATTCCTATTAGAGATGGTCTGTGCCTTCAGAAAGTTTTCCTTAACTTTTTGCTCCACATTTATGTTGGGAGCAGGCCCCCCCAAATCTGCCATAAACTGGCCCCAAAACTGGCCATAAACAAAATCTCTGCAGCACTGTTACATGTTCATAATGGCCCTAATGCCGAAGCTGGAAGGTTGTGGGTTTACAGGAATGAGGGCAAGGAACACCTGGCCCACCCAGGGTGGAAAATCTCTTAAAGGCATTCTTAAGCCACAAACAATAGCATGAGCAATCTGTGCCTTAAGGACATGCTCCTGCTGCAGTTAACTAGCCCAACCTATTCCTTTAATTCAGCCCATCCCTTCATTTCCCATAAGGGATACTTTTAGTTAATCATATATCTATACAAACAATGCTAATGACTGGTTTGCTGTTAATAAATATGTAGGTAAATCTCTGTTTAGGGCTGTCAGCTCTGAAGGCTGTGAGACCCCTGATTTCCCACTTCACACCTCTATATTTCTGTATGTGTCTCTTTAATTCCTCTAGTGCCACTGGGTTAGGGTCTCCCCGACCAAGCTGGTCTCGGCAAGTGGTGTCCATCATGGGGGTTTGAATCCAGGTCAAAGGGTCATCAGAATGATGGTTGGAATGGAAAACTAGCTGGAGGACACCCAAGTACTCTTAAAACAATCCCCATGGTGAGTAAGAAGGGGAGCTCAGAAGCGTCAAGGTAACCATGGGACAGGTGTGGGACCTGGTTCGTTTCACCTTGGAGCTTTTTCACACTGATGATGAGGAGGAATGAGAGTATAGCGAAGTAACAGAAGAGGTTACAGAGCACGTTTATTTACCAGCTAAAGCTAAAGTGGCAAAGGAAGGGGAGGTTCATCCCTACCCTTCTGCACCCCCTCCTTATTATTTTGAAGAAAAAGACCCTCCAGATCTTTCTTTTCCAGAGGACACTGGGCAAAAAGTAGTTGCTCCAGTGACTGTTCAAGCAGTGCCTTGAACGACCGCTCTTAGTTCTATTCTGGCAGGAATTCAGCAACCTAGATGAGAGGGTGATTTAGAGGCTTGGCAGTTCCCTGTTAGACTACATCCCCCAGATCAACAGGGAAATGTAGCTACATTTGAGCCTTTTCCTTTTAAATTACTCAAAGAATTTAAACAAGCTATAAATCAGTATGGACCAGGTTCTCCTTTTGTAATGGGACTGTTAAAGAATGTTGCTGTTTCCAGTCAGATGATTCCTACTGACTGGGACACTCTTACTCGAGCTTGTCTAACTCCTGCTCTGTTCTTACGATTTAAAACTTGATGGGCAGATGAAGCTTCCATTCAGGCTGCTTGCAATGCCCAGGCCCAACCTCAAATTAATATAACTGCAGACCAACTTTTAGGGGTTGGTGGCTGGGCTGGCTTAGATGCACAAGTGGTCATGCAGGATGATGCCACAGAACAGCTTAGCAGAGTGTGCATTAGAGCTTGGGAAAAAATCACTTCAAATGCGGAACAATACCCTTCCTTTAGTGCTATAAAACAGGGACCAAGAGAACCATACTTTTATATTATATCTCGGTTACAGGAGTCTCTTAAAAAGATGATTGCAGATTTGGCTGCTCAGGATATAGTGTTGCAATTACTAGCTTTCGACAATGCTAATCCTGATTGCCAGGCTGCTCTGTGACCTATCAGAGGGAATGCACATTTAGTTGATTATATCAAGGCCTGTGATGGTATCAGAGGTAATCTGCATAAAGCTACTCTGCTAGCATAGCCAATGGCAGGACTGAGAGTGGATAAAGGAAATACTCCATTTCCTGGAGCTTGTTTTAACTGTGGGAAGCATGGTCATACTAAAAAAGAATGTAGAAAAAATCAGTGAGTCAGGCCACCGATAGGGGAAAAAAGAAAACTGCTGATCCTGAAATATATCCAAAATGTGAAAAAGAAAAACATTGGACTAATCAGTGTCACTCTAAGTTTGATAAAGAAGGGAACCTGATTTTGGGAAGCACCATGAGGGGCCCATCCGGGGCCCCATTCTAAACTGGGGCATTTCCAGCTCAGGCCATTCCCTCACCCCCATACAATGTCTGTCCCCCACCACAGCCAGGAGTGCTGCAGTAGATTTATGCTGCACAAAAGCTGTGAGCCTTCTGCCTGGGGAACCCCCACAAAAGGTCCCAGCAAGAGTCTGTGGACCCTTGCCAGCAGGGACAGTAGGATTACTTTTAGGAAGGTCTAGTTTAAGTTTAAAAGAGGTACAGATACATACAGGAGTCATTGATTCAGATTATAAAGTGGAAATTCAGATTGTTGTATCTACTTCTGTTCCCTGGAAAGCAGAGCCAGGAGAGCGCATAGCACAGCTCCTGGTTGTGCCCTATGTGGGAACGGGAAAAAGTGAAATTAAACAAACAGAAGGATTTGGAAGCACAAATAAACAAGGCAAAGCAGCTTACTGGGTAAATCAAATTACTGATAAACATCTTACCTGTGAAATAACTATTCAGGGAAAGAAATTTAAAGGTTTGGTAGATACAGGAGCAGACGTTTCAATCATTTCTCTGCAGCACTGGCCATCCATGTGGCCAATTCAATCCACTCAATTTAACATAGTTGGAGTTGGTAAAGCCCCTGAAGTATATCAAAGTAGTTATATTTTGCATTGTGAAGGGCCCAATGGACAACCTGGGACTATTTGACCAATTATAACTTCTGTACCTATAAATTTATGGGGAAGAGATTTATTACAACAATGGGGAGCACAAGTTCTAATTCCAGAACAATTATATAGCCCTCAAAGTCAACATACAATGCATGAAATGGGGTATGTCCCTGGTATGGGACTAGAAAAAAATTTGCAAGGTTTGAAAGAACTGCTTCAAGTGGAAAAACAAAGTTTCCGCCAAAGATTAGGAAATAACTTTTGATGGCGGCCATTGTTAAGCCTCCAGAACCTATATCTTTAAAATGGTTAACAGATAAGCCAATTTGGATAGAACAATGGCTGCTAAGTAAAGAGACACTGGAGGCTTTAGAGAAATTAGTTACTGAGCAATTAGAAAATGGGCACATAGCTCCAAATTTTCTCTTTGGAATTCTCCAGTTTTCGTAATGAAGAAAAAATGAGGTAAATGGAGAATGTTAACTGATTTAAGAGCCATTAATTCAGTTACACAACCTATGGGAGCATAACAACCAGGAGTGCCTTCTCCTGCTATAATTCCAAAAAATTGGCCTTTGATAGTCATTGATTTAAAAGACTGTTTCTTTATTATCTCTTTAGCTGAGCAAGACTGTGAATGGTTTGCATTTACAATTCCTGCAGCAAACAACCTGCAGCCTGCTAAGTGTTTTCATTGTTTTACAGATGGGTCTAGTAATGGTAAAGCTTCTTATTTTGGATCAAAATGTAAAGTTTTTCAGATGCCCTATACTTCAGCTCAAAAAGTGGAGCTTGTAGCTATAATTGAGGTATTGACTACTTTTGATATGCCTATTAATGTGATTTCTGATTCTTCATATGTGGTTCATTCCACACAGTTAATTGAAAATGCTCAGTTACAATTTCATACAGATGAACAACTGATGACTTTATTTACCCAATTGCAAACAGCAGTTAGGAGTAGAATGCATCCTTTTTACATCACTCACATTAGGGCTCATAGACCTCTTCCAGGACCTTTGACTAAAGGGAATCAAATGGCTGATTGCCTAGTTGCAAATGCAATATCTAATGCTAGACATTTTCACAATTTAACCCATGTTAATGCCTCTGGTCTCAAACGCAGATACAGCATTAACTGGAAAGAAGCTAAAGTGATTATCCAGCGATGCCCAACTTGCCAAATGGTACATTCCTCATCTTTTACAGGAGGAGTTAATCCTCGAGGATTGGAACCTAACTCTTTTTGGCAAATGGATGTCACACATGTTCCCTCATTTGGGAGACTAGCTTATGTACATGTATGTGTGGACACCTTTTCTCACATTGTCTGGGCTACACGCCAAACAGGAGAGTCTTCTGCCTGTGTTAAACATCATCTTTTGCAGGGTTTTGTGGTGATGGGCATTCCAGCTTCTATTAAAACAGATAATGTCCCAGGCTATACTAGCCAAGCTCTGGCTACATTTTTCTCTATGTTGAATATTAAACGCATTACTGATATCCCATACAATTCTCAAGGTAAAATAATAACTTGGGGTAGAGGTTATGCTTGTGTTTCTCCAGGCAAAAATCAACAGCCGATTTGGATACCATCAAGACACCTTAAATCTTATTATGAGCCAGATTCCGGGAGGATCCCAAGGACCCCTCAGTTTCAGCCATGTCAAGACTGACGCTGAGGAGGACCCCAACTGTCATAAGCAACACCTGTCAATCACAGCCACCCACCTGGGGACAGATCAAGAAGCTGTCACAGATGGCGGAAGAAAACCTGAGGAAAGCTGGACAACCAGTCACAACGAGTAATTTAATGGTAGCTATGATAGCAATTTTCACCACTGCCGTGAGTATTCTTTCAATAAGGGCTGACACAGAGAACAATCATACTTATTGGGTATATTTATCAATCTTGGCTGGCAATAATGCCTGGGTGCAATCACTTTATGACACAGTTACACATGCTTTCTGATCTCAGTACTTACCATAATAAATCTGCTCCTATAATTGAGGCATACTGCCCTCAAAAACCTATTTGTAAACAGGATTGGACCCAGTTAGAAAAAATGAACATACTTGTTTAGGAAGATTGCATTGCAGAACAGGCAGAGGTGCTGCACAACGATTCCTACAGAATCATTATTAATTGGAGCCCTAAGGGGATGTTTAGCTTGAATTGCACCTCTCAGTCTGCGTGCCATGACCACACTATGTTCAGCTGGTCGGAACAAAATGGTCAGATTGCAGATATAATAAGAAGTATGGCAAGATTTCCTATTATCTGGAACCATGGCGGTATAGTGGCATCTCAACCTCAAATGATATGGCCTGCTCCAGGAGCTTAATGTAAGGATTTAAAATTAAAAGAACAAATATTTAAAGCATCCCAGGCACACCTGACCTTAATGCCAGGAACTGGAGTGCTTAAAGGAGC
Organism: Homo sapiens; assembly: GCF_000001405.40. Classification (NCBI taxonomy): domain Eukaryota; kingdom Metazoa; phylum Chordata; class Mammalia; order Primates; family Hominidae; genus Homo; species Homo sapiens. The sequence continues at coordinate 48,967,318 of NC_000008.11, forward strand.
TGAAAATGGATAAAACACTTGGAAGCTCTGTGATTTCAATGATGATTGTGCTTTTAATCCATGTTGTTTGTCTCTGTGTAGTCTGCAGATGTGGATCCTGACTCCTGTGAAAAGTAGCTCACCGTGACAAAGCTGCCTTTGTGTTTATCAATTTGCAAGTCAGAGAAGGGGACATGTTGGGAGCAGGTCCCCCAAAATCTGGCCATAAGCTGGCCCCAAAACTGGCCATAAACAAAATATCTGCAGCACTGTAACATGTTCATAATGGCCCTAACACCCAAGCTGGAAGGCTGTGTGTTTATGGTAATGAGGGCAAGGAACACCTGGCCCGCTCAGGGCAGAAAACCTCTTAAAGGCATTCTTAAGCCACAAACAATAGCACGAGCGATCTGTGCCTTAAGGACACGCTCCTGCTGCAGTTAACTAGCCCAACCTATTCCTTTAATTCTGCCCATCCCTTCGTTTCTCATAAGGGATACTTTTAGTTAATCATGTATCTATAGAAACAATGCTAATGACTGGTTTGCTGTTAATAAATACATGGGGAAATCTCTGTTTGGGGCTCTTAGCTCTGAAGGCTGTGAGACCCCTGATTTTCCACTTCACACCTCTATATTCCTGTGTGTGTGTCTTTAATTCTTCTAGTGCCGCTGGGTTAGGGTCTCCCTGACCAAGCTGGTCTCGGCACATTTAAATAAACTTTAACGTTCTTTTTTTTCCCCTACAAATGGTAGCATAGTATATAGGTCATGTTTATTTCCCCTTTCTCTATCACAACTTAAAATTTTCTCTTATTCTTTGTTCAATGTAATTTTTATTGGAATCTAATTTACTATTTATAATTTACCAGTGAAAAGTGCCAATCTTCAGGACATGTGGGAGACATTTTGAGAAATAGATCTACCTGGGAAGCCCACATCTGGATCAAAATAAGGAACATTTCCAATTTCCCTGGAAGTTCCTTTGTGCTTTCCCAGTAATCCTTCCAGCCATGGAGGTACTCTTGGTGCACAGGTGAGTCTTCCTGTTCCTGAGCACAAGCACACAACACCCTGGGCTTGCTCTTCTCCCTCCATGCAGTGCTAAGGCCATATGACTTGTGGGCTGCTCCTGTCCCTTATTGTGCAGTATTCTGTGGGATGAGTAGACCATAACTTATTCAACCACCTGTAATGAATTTTTAGTTGTTCTCATTTAAAAGAAACCAATAAACTTTAATGATATATAATTTCTATACAATTAATGTCCCTTAATTGCACAATTCTATACATTTTGGCTTTGTGTGTATGTGGTGTGTGTGTAGTGTGTGTGGTGTGTATATGGGTATGTGTGATGTGTGTATGTGTGTGGTGTGTGTCTATTTGTAGTCTTGTATGTACATGTGCATGGTGGCTATGTGGTGTGTTTGTGTGCGGTGAGTATGTGTGCATGTGTGTGTGGTGCATATGTGTATAGTCAGTGTGTGGTGTGTGTATGGTGTATGGTGTGTGTAAGCATGGTGTGGGTGTGTATAGTGAATGCATATGTGTGTGAAGGTGTGAGGTGTGTATCATGTGTGTATGGGTAGTCAGTGTGTGGTGTGTGTGTGTGTATAGGGTGCGTGTCATGTGCATATGTGTATGAGGTGTGTGTGTGTATATATGTGTGGTGTGTAATCTAAATACAGAACAGTTTTAGCACCCCAGAGAAGTCCTTCATTTCCTTCTCCAGTCTCTCTCAGGCCCCTACTCCTACAACCAAAGGGCAATTGCTGTTTTGAGTTCTATCATTATCCATTTGTTTTCCTTTATCTCAGATCTCACCTGACTGGAACCCTACAGTATCCACTGTTTACAGTGTGTGGCTTTTTGGCTATGCATGAGTCAAAATGAGATTCAGCCATATTGTTGTATGTTTGTTCCTATCTATTGTTGAGTGGTGTTTTATTGTCTGGATATACTACAAAATGTACACCTCTTGGTAGACATTTGGAATGTTTCCAGTTTAGGACTATTATAGCTAAATCTGCTGTGAACATTTGTGTACAAATCTATTTGTAGACATATGAATTTAGTCCTCCTGGATAAGTAGCTAGTCACAAAGTTACTGCATCATAGTGTGGATAAGAATGCGTGTTTATTGCATTTGTGGATATAGAAAGGCAGGTGTAGGAGATAATGTTATGGATGTAGAATAAGATTATTAAATAAATGTTGGCAAAGTGGAACAACGGTCCATAAGTTACATTATTGAATATTCTAGGTAAAAAATGTAAAAGTTAAATATACTTAGGGAAAAACCAACTGCAGGAATAGTAAATATGGACATAGTCATTTATCCCAATAAGTATATGCGATTTTGTTGCCACAAAAGGCTAAACTGAAGGTAACCTGCTGCATGTATTCAGAGGTATGGTGTCCATGATGTGGCACATTAGCAATACTTTTAAGGTGTTCTTCCTTCTTTAGAACATTATCTACTGTCTTACAACCAGTCTGTATGCAAGATTTTGGAAGGGAACTTAATGAATTAGAATGCCTCCAGTGTGTGTGGACATTTTGTTTAAATAACTGGAAAATTTACATTAAAAATATTTTGTATATGTTTTCACATACTTTAAGAATTATCAAATGGAAAAAAATAATGAACTTAATCTTGCATAGATTTACAAACACCTTTGGGGAGACTGAAATAATTAAGGTTTTAAGTTCATGTAAAGAGTATATTTTCAAAAGAATTTTCAAAAGGTGGGTTGAGAGGGGACACACATACACACACACACACACACACACACACACACACACACACAGAACGTGAGAATGTTCTGGCTTTGTTCATGGAAGATAATGTCTGCTGTACTTCACATATTTGTATCTGGGAAAACCCCTTGGGAGAAATTTCCTGTTAGCCTTGATATTTTTCTAAATTAACAAATTTGTACCACTAAGTCATTGCCAAATTTAGTTATTCACTCTCCATAAATTGTCACTTATCAGAAGCAGGTCTCTGGAAAGGTATGTTTTAATTTGTTAATTGGTTTGAGGCAGATAACTAAAATTGGAAGATGAGGCATTGTGAGCAAATCAGTTTTCATATATCATTTCACTTAAAGTTTAGGAAACTCTTCAAAGGGAATATTATTATGAATAATGTGCAGGTGAGGGAATTTAGTGTACAAGATGCTAAGTAACTTCTCCAAGGTCACAAAGCAGAATTGGGACATGTTTTCATTCTGCTTTCAAACCCTCAACCTTTTCTACATCCCACTTTCCCAATATACAGCAGGGGTGAGTCACTGCCAAAGTGAGTCATATATTAATTCTTATTGTAATTTATTCCCAGTCAACTAAATTCTGTCAAGATTTAAGTTATTTCCCAAAAGAAAGTCAGGCACATTCAGGTGAAGACATTTATACATTTGTTTCTGCAGCACATTAAATTACTCCCTTGTGACCTAAAATGGAAAGCTTTTAGTCAAATATTCAACTTCTCTCCACAGAAAGGCTGGCTGACATGTATTTTGACTACTGAACTTTACTAAAAAGAATTAATTCTGATCATATTTTTTTCCATAGTTAAATTAAGTCTTTGGGGGGGAGCTTATTTTGAACTTAAAAAATATTTTTACAGGAATAAAACCATGTTACAAATACAAATGCACCTACCCAGAGAGGTGTTTTAGAAGTGGTGTGAAAACAATAAAAACCATTTCATTAGATTTAGTAAATTTAGCCTTTCCTATTGTAGCCCTAATGCTAGTACAGTACATGGTTGGCTTTGATGGTTGTTCAAGGAAGATTGGATGAATAATTAATTCTTTGTACATATATCCCATTGGAAGGAATATGAGTTTTGTGTGGAAAGAATGGGCTCCCCAAACGCTTTTCTAATTTATTTTCAACTTATCAGTTGAATGCAAAGTAGGGTTTAACAAAACCACTAGCACTTGGCTTTTCTCTCTCCTTTTCCACAAACAAGTAAACTACTCAGTGGATTTCAGCTGGAAGTCACTTCTGTGACTTCTCCCTGAGTGGTTCCCCTGAGTGGTTTGTATGAAGTAATTCATCCTTCACAAAGAGCTGGATAACAGAAAAATTTTGTAAAATAACAATTTTTGCTTTTAAATTTTGTTTTATTTGTTATTTTGTTCTGTTTACTCTTTTGAGGTATTGAGAAATCCTAAATTAATCGATGCCCATATTAAGCAGCCCAGTGATATCATGTATTCTGGGTCCATTGTTTTTTATCAGATGTTTTGTTAAAAGCTGAAAAAGACAAGCTTTTAAATACTCCAATTATGTTTTTCCCTAAAGCTAATATAATTATTGGGAATTCTTAAAAATATATGCTACTATATAATATATTTATTATGTTGGTAAATGATAAGCTGTTTAAAGTGTTCTTTTAGAATTGACAAAATATTGTCAAAAAATTTGGGAAACAAAAAGAAAAAAATATATTACTCTTAGTAATACAAGAGAGACTTTACTAAAATTTTGTTTTAATTTTCAAAGATTTTGGGTGCACATTTAATACTTTGTTGCAACAATATTGTTCAGACAAGACTGTGCTCTGCCCTATTTAGCTCTGCATCCTGAGGATTTTCCAATGTAATTAAACAATCCTCATGATCATAAACTATAAATAATTACTTAATATTCCATCACCTGGAAAGATCCTAATGTGTTTTAATAGTCTTCTGTTTGTCAACATTTTGTTGTTCCCAAATGTTCACTGTGACAAATAGTACTATAATAAGTATGTTTGATGATATGGAATTTAGGATTATACCATTAGAAAATAGTCTTGGAAACAAAATTGTGATGCCGAAGGGTATCAACATTTCAATAGCTCATGATACAAATTGTCAAAATTTCAGATATTAAAACCGAAGTTCTGTGTTCAGATAGAGTATATGAGTGAGTTCACGTAGCCACACTGCTGTCATCATGGACAGATAGTGTCTTCACTGTAGATGTTTCCTTAGTGTGTGAAAAACTACAGCACATTTTTTAAAAAATGCATTTGATTCTCAGAAAGGTTAAAGTCTTTGTTTTCATATTTAAATTACTAGAACTATTTATCATTAATGAAATGTCTGTGTATGTCCTTTGCCTATAGATTTATTGGGACTATCATTGCTTATTGACATATATGAGCCCTTTATAAAAAAAATTAATACTTTTTAGATAATAATCTTTTTGAGATCTGCAATGGGTTTCATGATTAAATGTACGTACATGGTTTGGCCCTTTTTAAGCTTGGATTCAAATGTTAGTCTAATTTATTATTGTTGTTGTTGTGTGCAGTACATTCTCATGAATATATTTTTTAAATTTTCACTATTGGCTCTGAAGAAGGTTTGAAAGCCCTTTGTCACAGGGTTGTTTTTAACGTTTGAATTAACTGTTAAACTGAGCAAAGATGTATTGACTATCTACTCTGTGGCTGTCCCTAGAGGCCCCTCACTCTCCCCGTCCAATACTCTCTTGATGCTGTCTACTTTTCTCTCCCTGCACATTCCTTCCAAGCCATATTCCTAAGTCCCAAGCCTTCATGGGCTGTCTCTCTGGTGTTGGCCACAAACCAGAACCTCTGCTCTCATTTCTTCCCCAGTGTCAGACCCAGGCATGCAGTGTACTCTGTGCCTTGGAAGTCCCGCACATACACCCACGCTGAATCGATCCTGTTGTCTTCTGCCCCCTTTAGTGCTACCTGTCCCCTTTCTGCGCTGATAGCACTTCGCTGGTTTTTCAAGTGAGAAGCCTCACTTACACCTCCCTCCCCCTCATTCCCCATCCAGTCACCAGACCTGTGGTTTTTCTTCCTGCACCTGTGTCTCCCTATGCCCTCCGCCCTGCTCTAGGTCAGGCCACTGTCCACCTTTACTGGGGATATTGAGAACCTCTCAGTTGGTCTCACTACTTTCAGTATTCCCCTCTTTTAACCCCTTTCCTGATAATATAGAGAAAAATATCCTTCAAAAAAATGTACGAATCGTTAAGTCGCTGTTTCGTAAAATGCATCAAACATTTCCATTACTTTTAGGATGAATCCCCACATCCCAGGGTGCTGCTAAAGGCCCCGTGTTCACACCATACTTCCCTCTCACATAGCTTCAACCAAAACCCCTGTCTTCATCTGTGATACAGACAGATTGAGCAGTTCCATAAATTAACTCCTTGAGTTTGTCCTGCTCTCTCTTGCCTTTGGATTATTTCCTGTGATGTTTTTCTACCTGGACTATCCCTCCCATCTGTTCATTCCCCTAGTCTATGTTCACCTGGCTAATGCATACTCTGTACTGAATTTCAGCTTAGATATTCCTTCTGTGGGCTGTCTTTTCCTAGCCCATAGCTGTACTTGTCACTGCTTTACTTATTTTCCCCCATCACTAGATCAGAGACCCTTGGCAACAGAAACAGTGTTGTTCTGTCCTTACATGCCCAGTGGCTAGCCAATGTCTGCAACATGGTATGGTCTGAATAAATGCCCATTGATTGAACAATGAATGGGGCTGAAGTGCAATGCAGTGTTCTCACTGGGGGTACTGTCCCAGGAACCCTAACAATAAGAGTGTCCCTGATTTTTTTGTGAGTTGCTTCTTCCTGTACTTCAAGTGTACCATTGAAAGCTGATGTTAACAAAAATCACAAATCGTAGATGCTAATTTAGTAGTTTCAAGTTATAAGTAGTCATGTATAGTGTCCAACAGGAGCACTTTAATACACACTGAGCATCTGACATCTCACCTATGTATCTGTCTTGTGTTAGACTCTGTGAGGATGCAAAGTTAACCAAGATTGGTCCCCTGGGCTCTGTCAAGTCAGTCTCCATTTAGTGGAAAAATGCAAATGATAGGGACTCTACCTGAAGGCAATTTGCTAATATCACTGAGTTCATAAGTGTAGATATGTAGATGCAGATGTGGAGGCTGATGCAAATGCAGATGTAGGGGTAGATGTGGATGCAGATGCAGATGTAGATGCAGAAGAAGAGGTATTCACTGATGCAGATGCGGATGCAGAGGTAGATGTAGATGAGGATGCAGATGCAGAGAGACTCAGATGCAATGCAGATGAAGATTCAGATTTAGATTTAGATGTTGATGCTGAAATGGATGCAGATGTAGATACAAATTTAGATGTAGATGCAGCTGTAGATGTGGATGTGGATGCAGATGCAGACGTAGATGCAGATACAGATGTAGATGTAGACACAGGTCTAAATTTAGAGGCAGATTTAGATTTAGATGTGGATGCGGATGTGGACACGGATGCAGATGTAGACAGGGATGCGGATGTGGAAGTGGCTGTGGATGCAGATGCCACTGTGAATGCAGATGTAGATTATGTAGATGTAGATACAGATTCAGACTGACATTTAGATGTTGATCTGAATGCAGATGCCAATGTAGATGTGGATGTAGATGTAGACGCAGATGTTGATGCAGATTTAGATGCATTTAGATGTAGTTGTAATGTAGATGTAGAGACCGATGCAGATGTAGTGATGTAGATACAGGTGCAGATGCAGAGGCAGGATTAGATTTATTAATTTATTTATTTTTGAGACGCAGCCTCACTCTGTCGCTGGAGTGCAGTGGTGCCATCTCGGCTCACTGCAACTTCTGCCTCCCAGGTTCAAGTGATTCTCCTGCATCAGCATCCCAAGTAGCTAGGATTACAGGTGCCCATTACCACACCCGGCTAATTTTTATATTTTTAATAGAGATGGGGTTTCGCCATGTTAGCCAGGCTGGTCTTGAACTTCTGACCTCTGGTGATCCACTCACCTTGACCTCCCAAAGTGCTGGGATTACAGGCGTGAGCCACAATGGCTGGGCCTCAGATTTAGATTTAGACGTAGATGTGGATGCATATGTAGATATACATGAGGATGCAGATGTGGATGTGGATGCAGATGTAGTTGTAGATATTCATTCTCCAGGCCCTTTATTCTCTGGGTAGTTTCTACATTGTTTGGTCAAGGAAATGGAAGTAATAGTGAAGCAGGCTCACTGTGCACTGGTCATCCACATCTCAGTCTGGTAAGACAGATCATGCATGCAGTAAGTTATATCAGGAGGGTTTATTACTTACAGATAGGCAGTGAGGGACAACAGAAGCCTAGGATCCATGTTGAGCTGGTCCCCAGGCTCAAGAAAGCTGCTTAGGGTAGATGAAGCCTGACTGTGCATGTCCCACTTGCACCACAGCTGAGGAACACTGAAAGGCAGCTTGCCCTGGGTTCTTTACCTCAAGGGAAATGTGACTTGCTGGGCAAAGCTTTAAAGGACACCCTACTTCCAGGGAATAGAGGAGCAAGGCAAGGACAGTCTTGGGCAGTTCCTTCCTAATTCAAGATGGTACATGCCCCAGGAGGGACAGGAGCAAGGCTCAGGACCCTCCCTGCCTCAGGACACTGTATTCCCAGCACATTCTACAGTTTTTCTCGAGAACTACAAGCAAGAAATGGGAGAGAAGCAGGTTACTTCAGGGGTACCTGAAGAACTGCCTTGCAAATAGAAGTAACTGTGTATGGTAAAAACTGTTTACCATAGAGTTTTTATGTGTTTATATGTGTTTAATCTCACCTTCCAAACCAGTTTCCATGGAAACCAAACAAAAAATAAGAAAATATCTATTATATATTCAACTGCTTTCAATGGACATAAATTCATATTTTTATTTTATTTCAATTAGACACCTAATATCTTGACTATGAAAAAGCATTTTGAACCAGATATAGATGCTGAAATATACTAAAAGTTTTCCATCTTCAACCATCATTTGCTAAATTCATTCATTCACTTAACTTTTTTTTTTTTTATTATTTTGTTATATTTTTACTTGACAGACTTATTTATTTTAGTCCTTGCATCCCCCTCCCAGGCTATCTGACATTCCTTACCCCTCCTAACCCCAGGGGCAGCCTGACGCCATTTTGTGCTCTGGTAAGGGGAGACCAGGGCCACTGCACCTTTAGAGTTTATGAACCAGCACCAGGACCGCAGTTAATGACTCACCCCACCAGCTGAGTCTTCCAGAACACTGGGCTCTGGGCAGCTCCTAATCCCCTCCAGAGCTCCAGAGCCTGTACACAAGAGGCGCTACCCCTGTTAACACCACTCGGGACTCTGGGGAACCTACCAAGACGGCAGAGGCACGCCCCAGAGACAGCAAAGCTTGCCGGGAATAAAGCAAAGACCAGACTGCCTCCCTCCTGAGACGCCTCGGCACCGGCAACTGTGCTTCTCCAGCCCAGGCTGCCTCCTCCTTGGCGGCAACGCCGAAGGTCTCCATGGCCAAGCCTAGAGCCACAGACCCTATCCCCTCCCACCAGCCAACAGGAAACTAAAGCCGTGAAAATACCAAGCTTTGTGGCCAGAAAAAAAAAAATTCACCGGAAGTAAAATTTAAATTGAAGCCTAAGTCCGCTGGGCCAGCAGCAAGCAGCAAAGGCCTTGATTTGCAGACACATGCTCTGCCCCCAGCCACACTTCCTTCGTATTTCCCAAGCCCAGGGTCTCCAAAGACAGAAGGAAGGGGCTTTGGGCTGAGTCTGTCCGTCACGAAGAGGCAGCCTTCTGGGAAATCAAGGTTAAGGCAGAGGTGTCCTCAGGGGGTCCCCGGTGTGGGGCACTGAGGACTGTAAACAGGACCTACGTGAGACCGGGTGTCCCAGCCCCGAGGTTGTCTCTGCCTGAAGAACTGGCACTGCGGTGACTAGGAAGATGGGAACAGCGGTCAGCCAGCAGCAAGACGAGACCCCGTCTCCCCTAGGAATACCGGGGGTGGAGTGAGCCAGAAGGGGGCATGCGAGGGGCTGCCTGCAGTTGGAGGGGGCCTCCGGAAGCCATGCACAGCTTTGGGCTGCTTTTTCTCTGCCACTGGGTCAGCGCCAGGGCCTTCTTGGCCACGGGCCAACTCTTGGCCTCCCCTCTCAGAAGGAGCCTGTTTTAGGGTCAGCTCGGGCCAGGCTGCCTAGCCCAGGACTGGAGGTCAGGAGAGCTCCCAAGGAGCCCCAGACCTGCGGGACGAGACTGAAGGATGCGTCCAGGGGAGGCCAGGGGGCCACTGCCTCCCAGAGCAATACCGAGCCTGCTGCTCCTGGAGGCAGGCGGGTGGTCTGGAGCCAGGCCAGTTCCTCCTAGGCCTGGGTTCCTCCCAGTTCCTCCTGGGACAGGGTGAGGTCCGGGTATGGCGGCCACCGCTAACCTCCCTCTCCGCCCACACCGCGGGCCCTGTCAGGACCCAGAAGGACCAGTGCAGACTGCATTTGCTTTTCAGGCCATAGATCATCATCTTTGGGCCCAGTGACTATGCGCGCTGTGGGCCCCGCAAGGCCTCTACGGGGTCGCTCGGGCCAGGCCTGGGCTGCAATTCTTGGGAAACCAGTCCTTAAGGCTCCAAAGGCTCCTCCAGGCCCCACCTCTCCTTAGCGTCAGGCACGACGGTCCCAGAGGCTGGGCCTTCTGAGCCACATGGTCCTAAGGCCTCCTCGGAATCCAGCACCTTCTCAGAGCTTACGCCCGAAACCCGGCCCCCAGGGCACATGGGGCTCGCCTTGACCACGGTTTCCCTGGCGACCCCAGGGGCACTTGGGACGGTTCTCACTGCCCGCGCAGGGCCGGGCCAGGAGGTGGCCGCGCGGCCGGGGAGGGGCTCGGTGCTCCAGAAGGCACCGCGCTCTCCTTGGGTGGGAAGGCACTGGGCCAGCGGGGCTGGGGCGGGCAGCCCCCAGGCAAGGCCGCCAGCACTTCGCCAGCACTGCGACCTGGCCCTGCACCTAGCCTTGCACCCAGCCCCCGGCAACTCCTGGGCGGCCTGCGTCAGCTGCATCGCGCAGCCCTCGCGGATGGGACGCCCAGGGCTCGAACCCGAGGCGGGGTGGGCCGCTGCTGCCTACCCTTCTTGAACTGGAAGCCCGCCGTACCACCCGGGCGTCGCAGGTGGCGTGGAAGGCCAGGCTGCGCTGGCTCTGGGAGTGGCGGCGAGGACGGGACTGGAAGGGCCGGGCCTCTGGGGCCTCAGCTGGCCTCCCAACTTCTGCCCAGCTCGACTCACCTGGTTCTTTCAACGTGAGCTCTGCAGGGCAGGCTGGGCGATCCCGGACAAGCCTCTGTTTCTGCATTTGGGTCATCTTTGCCTGCTCTGGGAGGGCAGGGTTGTTTTGGTTTGAATTCCAGAGCCTGGCATGTAGTAGGTGCTGGGATACCTCGCTGCGCAGGTCTGGGGTGGCGGGTCTGGAGGCGCGGGACCCTGGCCGGACTCACTCTCCGCCTGGTCTAGGTGATATACATATATACTATTTTTATAATGATTATGTAAATGTTGTACATAATTTGAAGGAAATTGAGGAAAGTGAAAGTACGGCATAATAAATACTTGCCCAAGGTCATGGTTTTAGAAAACACCATCTCAATTATTCTGTAATCTCTACTCAAAGTAGGCAAATTAGAACTCCATTTTGGTGAATGCAATACATCAAAAGGACTGGTGATATTGTATATACTGGTAATACACCTTATCTTATTTTATAAATATATAAAATATACGAAAGTGTTCATATACAAAATGTATGAAATAGAAAATTAAAATATTTGAAATGAAAAAGCATTTTAAAGTATTTGTAATTTAAGACGTTCTTGAAAAGAAACAAAATAAAGATTAATAAGTAACCCTGCCTAAAAATTAAAGTAATGAAAAGATACGTTAAAATTAGAAAGCTTTTATTTATTGGAAAACAAATGTGCTCAAGATTGTCATTTACTTGGGAAACAATTCATTGTCAGAAGAACGACAGGCTTCCCATGCAGGGCTATAGAAGGCGGACTGGCCGCCAGAGGGCAGGATGCACTTGTAATCAAGCCGATTCTGTAACTGGTTCTGTTTCTACTACCTCCATCCAAAAGTCTGTGCTGTGATAGATAAAGTCACTTTAAGTATTTGTGTTGTATCTATTGGGAACATACAGCATTTGTTTACTTAACTTTTATTGCAGATATATAGCAGTTATATATATATTTTTATAAACATGAATGATTTGTCTTGAGAAAAAAACAGGAAATGAGTGAGCTCGAAACAGTCTGAGTGTTTCCACAAGCCAAAAATTCATTTTTATCTGGTTTTCAGGGTTTTAAGTGTTGCTATACTTTACTCATGACTACTGTATTTCTAACAAAATATGCTTGTGTGAACAAAACGGGGACAGTAATTTCTTCAGTTTTAATTCCAAGAGAAGTAAATATGTAGGGAATTGCAAGAAAGTCGTTTTATTTTTGAATAATGAAGAAGAGAAAGAGGAAAACAGATATTTGGCAGGAGATAATTCCAGCATCAAATTGTCATCGTTGCTGAGGCAAGTAAAAGAAGTGCCTTGATTTTCAGGCTCTTAATTATAATTAAGCACTTTTAAAGTTGGTGAGGATGACATTTTACCTGTAGTAAGTTCTAGACGGCTGAATTATATCCAGGCAGCTTCATTACACTTAGCTGTTGCTAAAACTGCTATCATCCAATTTTGGAACACTTCATGTGGAACTAAGTGGAAACCACTTTATAAAAGTTACTAATAACCAGAGCACATTGCAGTTTATACTTTTACAAACATTCTCTCATTAAGCCTTGGCACAACACATTTTACAGATGAATAAACAAGCTTAGATTAAGTAATAAACTTGCGGTCATATGGCTTGTGCATGATGCTAGTTCCCAAGGGAACAGCTATTATCTAGGGCTAAATCCTAAATCTCTGAATCCCTAATCAGCTAACTAGAGTGGTTGCATTTAGGACAAGAAAAATGTAAGCACAGCAAAGAAGTTTTATTATGAGCTCAGGGCTTCAGGCTCAAGCCTCATACCTAGTCCTTTTTTTTTTTTCCAGACGAACAAGACTAAGCATAATGTTATTTGTGTTTTGGGAAAGAAACCTCAAATCTCAACCTTATCCAGACACAAATATGTGCTGCTGAATTTATTCCTAAGAGGCGATCACCAGGCATATTGAAAAGTGCCTTTAATCTCTAACTTTGAAGGCATCTCAGGAGTTAGAGGCAGGGATAAGGATTCACCCCGGGTAGGTGCTTTCCCAATCTTTGCTTTTATGACTCCTTCTGGGAACGATGAGTTGAGTAGCCACTTCCCCCATCCACCCAATCCACGAAAATAGAATGGATGGTGACATTAGTTTCTTGCAAGAAGTTGTCTCTGCCCATTTACTTCCCTTGTCAGGCCAGAGCCTGCAGTATTGTCCAACCAAGTTTCTCAGCCAAGATGACAAGGACAGTTTTATTGCCTGACCATATGCAAAATAGAATCAAATATTTTATTGTCATAGTATATTCTTCAAAGTTGTACATGTCATGAAAAAGTGGAAAAGGCACATCTTTATTTGCAGAGATCAAATCTCAAGAAAAATGAAAGCTCCTGCATCTGCATCTCCACAGATACATTAAGAACACCAGTTATGAAACCTGCATGGGAGTGTCTCAGTTTATGTAGTTCCTCCTCTGGCTTGGAGATCTGAGAAGCTCCACCCTGGAGTCTGACCGGGGCTGGGGGCTCTACTTTAGCAACTGTAACCTGGGACACATTTCCTGTGCCTTCATGGAATTCCTGCAGGCCATTCACCCAATTCAGACACTCGATGAATACTTCTTGAACACCAGTTAGATGAACAGGCATCTCGGTTAGGAGCTAGGATTCAACAACAAACAAAACCAGACATGCCAGCACCGTACTACTCCATACTCAAGTCTCTCTAAGTAGTATTTTCTCAAGAGCCAATAAGATTCATGGAACTGTTTCACCAGGCGGGCATTTGGTGAACATAGAAACACAGCCAACTACTCAACCAAATATACCATTCCAGCAACTTACAATCTAAACATCCTTTCATAATATTCATTCTCAGGAAAACCAGCCAACCAATTAACCAACCAACCAACCAGTCAACCAAACAACGATGAAAACCCCAAATCCCGTGTTCTAACAGGCTAATATATAAGTTAGAATCTGGTAGGCAGCATGGCACAGTAATTAGCATATGAGCTCTGGAATTTGGTGAGACGGGTGTGGTTTCTGGCTTTGTCTCTTACCAGCTGTGTGACTTCGTCTTTCACCAGTCTGTTCTGAGTTCCATTTTATTGTAGTGTTTTCTTCAAAGTGCAGTTCATGGTTAATAAGAGTATCTGCTTTTTATGGTTACTGTGAAGATTCAATTTACATAAAGCAGTAGTACTACACTGGCTGTTGTGCAGTGAGTGCTCAATGTATGAAACTATTGTAATTAATAACATCATTACTGCTGTCGGCCACAGATCACATACTTGGGAAGAGGGAAAACAGAAGAGATCAAAAGAGCACTTTCAACTTTTCTAGGTTACCAGTGAGTCTATGCCGGTGGTTCTACAAAATTAAAGATGATTTTGAAGACAGAAATCCTCCAAATTAGCATATCCTAACAAGTCCTTGACTAATGCATAGTCTTTTCTAATTGCGGTTTTTGCCATTGAAAGTAATGGCGAAAACCGGAACTACCTTTGCCCCAACCTAATACTTCGGCAGTGACATCAAGAAAACTTCTATTTGCTGGCTAAATTTGCAAATTTACAATGTCATGGTCTTCACTGAATACCCCTTCTTCCTGTAGAGTAGATACTGTATTTAAAATCTCTTAACTCATCTTTTCATTTTATCCTATCACCAGTGGTCCTAGTATTTGAATGATGGATCGAAGGTGGAGTCTGGTTGAGACAGTTTGCCTTCTTTAAGAATAGGATAACCCATATTTATAAAATTCAGTTGTGGAAACAAAGTCCATGGCTTGGCATTTCCTGCAGCCTCCATCTCTTGATGGGCTCCCTGCTTTTTTTTTTTTTTGTTTTTTTTCCAGACCCACCAGGAACCTTCTCAGAGCTTTAGGATCATGGTGCTACCTTCTGCATTTGATACCCAATTGCTGCTACTGCCTCTGCTCCCGAACCTCTTCTCCTCTTATATCTGTCAATTTGCTTGAATGGGAGAATTATATCAAAATATTTCTGCAAGGAATCTTTGCTCTAGGCTCTTTGTCAGCCTGTCCTTTAGGATCCAGTAAAGGTGAATATGTCCTTTGCCCTGTGATTCTTTTCCCTAAAATCTTCTTTTGTCTCAGCTCATACATTTCCTGTGCAATCCCATCTCTGCAGATACAGCCCAAACATTACTTTCACTGCCTTTACTCCCTAAGGTTTGCTTCTATTTTCCCTAGGCCCTCATTTCCTTGTTTCCCAAATATTCATTCAGTTATTCATTCATTCAGAACACATGCATATCCTGTCGCTGTGCCTGGGAATGGATATGGCCCTGAGGACATTCTGACCAGCAAGAAAGTTCATGTGCCTGAGAGCCTGGCACCTGCAGCTGATTCAAAGGGCTGTCAGAATGCAACGAGCACACAACAGAGGAGCCTGGTCAGCTCTTGGGGCAGGAAGTTAGGGAAGGCTTCCTGGACAAAATGGTACTGCCCCAGTGAGTCTGAAAGAGTGAGTTGGAGTTAATCAGGCCAAGTGGGGCTGCCTGAGATGAGGTACTGACTGCAGGTTATTCAGTAGGAAGTACAGAGTGTGAGAAGCTGTGGGCAGAGACAAACCCCTGTAGTAAGAAGAGCAGGCAGCAGCACTGAATCCCATCCTGGGGTGTAGACCTTGTTCTGAAAGTGACAGGTAGCCAGGCCAAGGCTCTGGTGATCACATTTGTGTTTCGAAAGTCTCTGGACTCGTTTCAGTCAGGCTGGTTGTGTTTCTGATCACCTTCGCTTCTTTGTAGAATCTACCTTGGCTCATCCCGGGGCAAAGGATGCCTGGGTGCAGCTGGATCTGAACACCTTTCTTTTTCAGTTTACCTCTCACAAGTTATATATTGATTGAGCAAAACCGGCTTTCTTCTTCTTCAAGTAATTCTGTTATTCTTTGTATTTCTTTTTTTCTTCTTTAGAGGCAGGATATTGCTCTGTCACCTAGGCTAGAGAGCAGTGGTGCCATCATGGCTCACTGCAGCCTCAACCTCCTGGGCTCAAGCCATCCTTCCCTATCTCGGCCTCCCAAGTAGCTGGGACCATAGGTGTATACCATGATGCAGGGCTATTTTGTTTTCTAGAGGTGGGGGTCTCACTATGTTGCCCAAGTTGGTCTTGAACTCCCGGTCTCAAGCAATCCCCCAACCTCAGCCTCCCAAAGGAGGGATTACAGGTGTGAGCCACCCTGCCTGGCCTTCTCTGAATTTCTGATATGCTTCTTGCAAAGGAAGCACATGCACACATGTGTACTCAAGCACCTTGATGTCCATGAAAACAGTCCCCAAGCCCTTCCCACTCACTGGCTATGGCTGCCCCTCCATCTCAGAAAAATTAGAAAACACAAACAAACACACTTATCATACTTCATCCTAGACCCTGAGTATTCTTGCAACACAAGGTGCTGCATGTCAGGCCATGTGATCCAGAGACTCCATATGCCACTGTCAACAAATTTGGATGGCAGGCATGAGCTGAAATTCTGAAGTTGAATAATTCATGATATAGTGCTGCCTTCTTGAAAAATAGATTTATTTTATCATATAACTTTATGTTATTATATGTATATTTTATATCATTTCCAAACTTTTTACTCTTGCTTCCAAGAATGGAACTGGCTCAAAAAACAAATCCCATGCAATAAATTCCTTATTTATATCCTGAAAGACAAAAGTATTAAAATGTATCAGTATAATCAGATGTCCCCATCCACACTAAATAAATGAAGATCATTCCTTTAAAAAGGGGCACCCCGTGGATCACTTGTTTGGGCCTTGGAAGTTCAGAATCTCCACTTGGGTTAACCATTCAGGTTGAGTGTTTCATATTTGTCTATAATTTCCTCTATGCAAACTCACCTATCCCTGTTCATTCAACATGGAGCTACTTTAACATCAGAGTACGTGAATTCACTTGAAATAAGGTGTTTTTGGTTGATTGAGCTTAATGCTTATGGTATTTCCATAAAGAATAGTTGGGTAACTACAGATGGATCCCTATTGGTGAGATTTACTATATCAGCAGGAAGCTAGTGGTGAAAGATCTGTTGGGCAGGAGACATTTCCCTAATCCACTTAAGCCAGACCATATCAGTGACCAAGTACTTTGCTGACTTGTAGGCAGGCCCAGGGCCAAAGGACAGAGGGCAATTCTTCTCTTCTCGGTTGACACGAATCCTCCTGTGTTGGGCTGTGATTGAGTCTAGAGGTCAGCAGCACATTAATCATCACTGCAGAGAACCAGCCCTGAGGCATTCTTCATAGCCTGCCCTGGTCACTGACCCTGGCATTTTAAAAACCATCTAGTCAGATTCTGGAAGAAGATGCATCTTCATCATTTCCAGATCTTGACCAAAGGATGTGCTTCAAAGGCACAAAAAGACATAGGCATTTAACTAAACAATAGGCTATTAATAAGTGAACACTTACAAATGTATTAAATTATCTAAATATGAGTAAAGGAATAACTTGCAGGTATGTTCAATTTAGTGCCATTTAAATACCTTTTTTTAAAAATAAAAACAGTAATAGTATAAATTGTTTATGGATACATGCACATTTAATACAGTTATAAAAATCCCCACGATAAAAGCGCACACAAACAGCAGGTCAGAAGTTCCTTGGGAAGGAGAGTGGGGAAGGATGTGGGTTGGAATTGTTTGTGTCAAAGTGAAAACATGTTAAACCCTGAAGGTGGGACATACATTTCTTTAGATATTTTTTCTATGCTTAAAACATTTCACAACTTAATTATTTATTTATTAATTATTTTCCCAACTTTATTGAGATGTAGTTGACAGTTTAAAATGGTATATATTTAAGTCGTACAACTTGATGATTTGCTATATACATACATTGTGAAATATTCACCACAATCAAGCTAATTAACATGTTCACCTCACAGTTACAATTTTTTTTGAGGTGAGAAAACTTAAGATCTAACCTTTTAGCAAATTTTGAGCATACAATATCATATTGTTAACTATATTCACATTGTTGTGCATTATCCCTTCAGAACTTACTTGTATTGCATAACTGAAACTGTATTCCTTGGACAGCATCTTCCCACATCTCCATTCCCTGAGCCTCTGGTAACCACCATTCTACACTCTGCTTCTGAGTTTGATATTTTTGGACTCTACATGTAAGTGAGATCATGCTGGATTTGTCTTTCTGCATCTGGCTTATTTCGCTTAACATAATGTTCTCTAGATTCATCTGTGTTGTCACAAATTGTAAGCTTTCATTCTTTTTTAAGGCTGAATAATATCCCATTGTGTACAGGTGTGCACATATGTGTGTGTTTATCAGTTGTTTTTATAACTTTGCAAGCACTGTTCCACTGCTTTTTAGCATACACTTTGATAAATGAGAAGTCTGGAGGCTTTTGGATTCCTTTGTAGAATATTTGTATTTTTTTTTTTTATCTCTGTGGATCTCAGGATATCCTCAAGATCTTCGTTTCTCTAAAATTTCTGTCATTTTTGCATCTTTCCTACTTGCTAGCCAGCCCTTTCAACTTGAATGCTTGTGCCTTTTTCTAATACTAAAAAATTCTTTGTTCATTTCATGTCTTCCATCTTCTCGATTTATAAGTCTCTATTTGCCAGAGATGGTCTGTATAGATCTTTAATTTTTCTCTTGTATTTTCCTTTTCTTTGACTTTTTTGCCTTTTATTTTTGTTTTGATTTCATAGTCCTCCTTGATATTGACACTTTTATTTCAGCAATCCTATGTTTATATCCTAATTCTTCTTATTCTCTTGTTTTATAAATGCAATCACTCTGAGCCTTATTGATGATGGAATTAGACTTTTTACAATGCTTTCTTTGCGGTCTGAATTATTTATGTTTCTGTATGGATTGTTTTTAAATTTATTTAAATCAATTATCTTTAGGCTATTGATTGCAAATATCTGAGATCTTTGATCTTTTACTTACCTTCAAGAGTTGTACACTCTGAGGACACATACATGTAGCCCATTTACAAAGACAGTGATAGTGACGACCTCAGAGGCTGTTTCTAAGAGCAGAAGCATCTGCTAGAACTGCAGAGAGGGACTGGTATGACAATAACTCATTTTCAAATGGACATCCTGAGCATGGTGACAGAGCAGAATTCATTTTAGGTTTTATAGGTTAGAAGCTGTCTGTGTGGATGGGAACTCCCAGCTGCTACAATGTAGAGGGTTGCCAATGCCAGACCCACACTAGGTTACATGGCCATTCCTAGCTAAGGGTTTAAGAAACAGTCCTCCAGTTTATTTTGGGATAACTCGAAGTTTCTAGAGCTATTTGCATAGCAGTAATGGTGGTAGTGGGTGGTAGTAGGGACTTAGGTGGCTCCACAAATAATAAATAAATCCTCATGTTTTCAGATTTACTTTTCACATATGTCTTCTGAGCTCTCTGGAGCTATCACACTAGGGCACCCACTTCTGGGTTATGACACCGCATGCTCAAATTCTTATGTCAGTGTTTTGCACTGTTTTCCATTGTCCTTAAATTAGCTAAAGCCTACCATCCACTGATTAAAATCTGTCTCCTGTTGAGTTCTCTTTGTTGTTTGGGATTTGTCGTTGTTGTTGTTGTTCATGAACATGGAATATCTCTCCATTTATTTAGTGGTACTTTGATTTCTTTTAACAGAGTTTTGTAGCTTTTCTATATAGATCTTGTACAAATTTTGTTAGATTTATATCTAAGTATTTCATTTTGGAGGTGCTAAAGTAACTAGTAATGTGTTTTAAACTTCAGATTCTACTTGTTCATTGCTGATAAGAAAGTAATTGACTTTTGAATATTAACCTTATATTGTCAAACCTTGCTATAATTGCTGATTAGTTCTAGTTTTGTTTCTTTGTTTTCATTTTTTTGCCAATTCTTTTGGATTTTCTACACAGACATTTTTATTATCTGCAAAGAAAAATAAGGTTATGTCTTTCTTCTCAATGTATATACCTTTTATTTTTATTTTCTTGTCATCGCATTAGCTAGGATTTCCAATGTGATGTTGAAAAGCAATAGTGAGGTGGGACATCCTTGCCTTAAGATAAAGAATATCTACAAACAATTGCAGCTAACAGTATTTAATGGGGGAAAAGTTTGAATTTCTCGTAATTAAATATTATGTTAGCTGTAGGTTTTTGTAGGTATTCTTTATCAAGCAGAGGACGTAATCCTCTATTCCTAGTTTACTGAAAGAGTGTGTTCTACATTTATGCTACAACCCCTAAATACCGGAATTATTTCTCTGTTCCTATCACCTTACTAAGCACAAATTTATTTCTTTCGTTTTTATTTCTTACTGTAGGATCCTGACAAAATTTATTCCTATACTTTCACTCTCTCTTAAAAGTACTATGCAATTCTTCAAAATATTGTTCCTCACTCACAAGTGCCTTCACACTTCTGTTATACTTGTTAAGGCTAGTAATAACTCTTATATGCTTTCCCCTGTGGTGAAACTGTTGAACTCTTAGCCAATATATTATAGTGATTTTGAGTATTGACTCTGGATTTAGCTTGGGTTTGAATCCTGACATTACCACTTATTACTGCATTATGTTGGGTTACTTTACCTCTTTAGACCTGTTTCTCACTTTTAAAATTAGGATAATGATGGTACCTATTGTATGAGTTATAAATATTCCATGAGATAATCCATATTAAACAACAGTCAGTGCCTAGTGTGAAATACATTCACTATAAATGTTAGTTATTATTCTACTAACATGTTTCATGGCCCATCTAAAGTGGCTCTCATCTGCTTTCCCTAAACACGAGGGATCCAGCTCTCATTTGAGCCCTTCCAACTTCTTTTCCTTCTCTGTGTTTATGTTACAGTCATGATCATACTGTATTTTGTACAATGTTCATACACTTGCTTCAACTAGTAATACTTTCTAGTAATTGCACTAAACCTCAGTATATTCATGTGTATAAAAGAGAGCAGTAACTAGCTCAAACATTGTATTAAATTCCATATAATGTATGTCTATAAAACCATGTGATTATTAATGGGCTGTTGCTGCCCTAGGGCAGTCCACTAGTCTAACACCCACAGAACATCTGACGTAGTTTCAGCTCATAATATTTATTGAGTAGAATCGATTTTAATAGTCTTCTAATCAAGAAATAATTAAAAGGGCTCTACAAGCTTTTTAATAAGAGAAGCAGTTAGAATACTTTTAGCAACACTGAAGTTTTTGATTAGGGAACATTCCATATAAGGAGACTGAAAGATAAGTGTTAATGTGCTGTCCTTACCCACATCTGGTACAGGCTCATACAGAGCTTAAAATTTTAATCTGCTTTAAATGAAGAACACTTCATTCTTTTTTCTGTCTCCTCTTTCTTCTTACTCTTCTTCCTGCTTTTCCCTTTTCTATTTTTTAAGAACTAAGAGTTAATATAATTATTTACTAGTAATCTATGTGGATTTACAAGCTTGCAACTGAATCCTAATGCCATTGTCCTTTAGATTTAAAAACATCAGTGTTCCTTTACCAAAAGTGTACCTTAGAATATTAACTTTTAAATATACTTGTAAAATCTTCTTTAAGTATAATGAAAAATAAACTTTCTTTTTGAGCAGTAATATGTAATTGAATTGGCAAAGCTCTATGTCTGTTTTCATTCACTAAATGACATGTCTTTTCACATCTGTGGTTCCCACATGAGCACTATCTAATGGATTGGTGATCATTTTTTATGACACATCTTCTGAGTATAATTTAATGAGAAAGTATCAAAAAAATATTTTTCCCCCTGTTTTTTTTCTCTTAACAATTTGGACAAATCACTTAATTGCTCCAGCATTTGATTCCTCACTGGAATATACAAATGTTGAAATACTTGGACTGCACAATCTCTTGCAAATCTGTATAATTTATTCCAGGTTATCTTGTGTATTCTCATTAACGGCTGGCCTAAAAAACAAAGAAATCACATAGCATACCACTCTTTCATAGCTACTTAAACTTGTATTCTTTGCTGAAGTTGTTCTTTCATGGTCCAAAGGGCATTAATATTAAAATGAAGGTCTTTATCTAACAATTGTGCTGAGAAACATTGATAAAAATAATTAACATCTTTGCAGTTTAATGTGAAATACTTCCTTGACTCAGCCAAGCCTGTATTAGGGGAAATAGTAATAAGAAACGTGTTAGGATTTTCTAAACTCTAGTTCAAGATAAATGTGACTTTAGAGCTATGAGTTTTTCAAGTTTTTTTCCCACTTATTTAAAAATTTTATTATATGTTTTATATTTCCTTATTTAATGAACCAAATTGAAATGATAAAATTTTACACTCCCTTTGTTGCTCTTATAGTAATTTACTTCTTCCTACATTGCAGTCCTTAAGTTGTATTTTTAAAATTTAAAATTTATTGAGCAATTGTAGATTCACATGCAGTTGTATGAAATAATACAGAGCGATTACCTATACAATGTGCCCACCTTCCCCAATGGTAAAATTTTACAAAACTATATAAACAATTCTGAGGTCAATGTATTATGCTTGTTCCAAAGGCAAGAGGTCTTTCCTCTTTCCAGATTCTCTCTTGCCAACTAGCTGGCCTAACGTCTATACCTCATCTTAATTAAATTCATAAAGTTACTCCCTGTTACCTTATATTGTAACCTCCACTGTTCTTGTGGGCACCGTTAGTCTTGAGCTTCTCCATATTCTGTTGCAAATGAAGTGAGTTCCACTGGGAAAAGATGAGGAGATATCTGTTTTATGGCTTGCCTCTCCTTCCAGACAAAACATTGAATCAGAGATCTGTAGCTGGGAGCAGGGACAATGGCAAGCTTCTCTCAGAGTAACACCATCACTACAGGAAATGAACACTCAGTCAAGGATGTTGCAGAAGCCTTAGGTCCTCTCAGTTTGCATCTCCTGACATGAAACCAGAATGTCACAAGCCAGGGCAAGGTCATTCAGGGATCCAGTACCCTTAGTGTACCCCAATCAAGGTAACACCTCTGTTCCCCATGTGAGAGCTGAGTAGAAGAACACAGCCTCTACCTTTGACTTCACTCACCTGGGAGTACTCAACAGGCAGCTAGAGGCAGAGCAGAATGCGGAAACGCTGAAATCCTGCTCTTACCTGGGAGTTAGTCTTCTGCCCAGGACCAGGGGAAAGAGGGAGCCCTGTGTTCTTGGCTGCAGCAGTCTCGAGTGGTCTCTGCCTTGCTGAGCCAAAAGGAGGGAAAGAGCAATCTTGGTTCAAGTGCCACAGATTTCTAGCTTTCTTAACCAGCTTTCACAGATTTTCTTGAATATATGTTTGTTTTTTTTTTCATTTGCTCTTTTCCTTTGGACAGAGGCATTAAATGGTTATTTTAAATTATTTTTCTCCACTTTCACTGAGGAGCACGTCAGTGGAGCTCTTGATGCTGCCAGGCTGTATCTCCCCCTTAATGTGTTTTGTAAAAATATTTTATTGATCAAATATAAATTCAGCCTTACAATACTGGGAGAAAAGAAATGTATGGTACAGATATTGGGGCAGAAAGTCAGGAAAAGTCAATGCTATGTGATTGAAAAATAAAATAATGTGTTGTCTTTTTTTAAAACCCTTCCTTAACTTCCAACAGATTTTTGCACATTTAATCATTTAAAATATTTCTAGAAAGCATAATAATACATCTGGAAGTTTTCCAAAGTTATAAACAGGAGAACAGAATAGCAAGATGGCACAGAGTCCTTCTACAATTAAAATATATTTAAGTCTACTTAACTGCATTCTCCACAAGCTACTCTTTCTGAAATAATAAATCAAAGCTACAGAGGCATCAGGAGCTTCTTAGCCATATTGGAGCTATTTTTTATAAAGGACCCAATCTTTATTATTATTTTTCATAGCCAGGGAAGTGACTACAGGGTACACACTTTTTATGGCTCCATGAAATAAAGGTGTGAGGCCCAAGAGGTCCCAGGAAGGATTGGAAAGAAAGAGTAATGAAAGGACACTACAGGTCACCATTTTAGAATGGAGCCAGGAACGCTGCTGGGATGAAGTAGCCTGGAGCTCCTTCCTCCCAGAGATCTGCATTTTTGCCTGTCTGCATTTTTAACTCTGCAGTTCATGTGCTCATTGCTAAAATATAGATATACACTTGATTTTTATACATTTATCTAGTATTCTGCCATTAAATATAACATTAGCTGTAGGGTTTTTGGTTTTCTTTTTTTTAAGATTCCTCTTATAAAGTTAGGATGATCACCTGTATTCCTATTTTATGGGAGTTTTTTTAAACATGAATGGTGTTAAATTTGATAAAATATTTTCTCATCATCAATTAATTTGATTATGATGTTTCTTCTTAGTCGTTGGTATCTTGGATTACATTGATTAATTTTAAATTATAGAACCAGCCTTGTATAATTAGAATAAACCCATTTGTTCATTGGCATATAATTATTTTTTATATATTGATAAATCAAACTTGTCAATATTTTGTTGAGATTTTGTATTTCAGTTCGTGAGGAACATTTGCTTTCTTTTTCCACACTGTTTTGCCTGATTTGTTATCTGGGTAACACAAACTTTAAGAAACAAATTGGGAAATGTTTTCCCCTCCTCTATTTTCTGCAAGAGATTGTGTAGAGTTTGTGTCAATTCTTCTTTAATGTTTGGTTGAAATCTCCAGTTAAAATATCTGGAAATGGCAGTTTCCTTTTTAGAAGCTGTTAATTTATGAATTAAATTTCTCTAATAGGTTTAGAGCTAGTCAAATTACCTATTTCATATTGGGTGAGTTGTGGCAGTTTGTATTTTTCTGGAAATTGATGTATTCCATTTAAGTTATTAAATTTATCTGTGTAGAGTTCTGTGTTGTATTTCCTTATTATACTTTAGATATCTGCAATGTCTGTCATGATATTCCCTCCTTCATTGCTGATGTTGGTAATTCATATATTCTGTCTTTTCTTTTTTGTCAGTCTTGTTAAAGGTTGATCTATTTTACAGATTTTTTTTCAAAAAGAGCTTTTTGTTTCATTTGGTTTTTAAATAGATCTATCCATTTCAATTTAATTAATTGTTGCTCTTATTTTTATTATCTTTCTTTTCCTCTTTGAGTTTGTTTTGCTTTTCCTTTTCTATGTTCTTTAAGTGAGAGCTTAAATTATTGATTTGAGACTTTTCTACTTTTCTTATGTAAACGTTTTGTGCTATAATTTTTTGTTGTTGTTGTTGTTGAGACACAGTCTTGCTCTGTGGCCCAGGCTGGCATGCAATGGTGCGATCTTGGCTCACTGCAACCGCCGCCTCCCATGTTCAAGCAATTCTCCCACCTCAGACTCCTGAGTAGCTGGGATTACAGGCACCCACCTTCATGCCTGGTTAAGTTTTGTATTTTTTCACCATGTTAACCAGGCTGGTCTTGAACTCCTGACCTCTGGTGATCTACCTGCCTAAGCCTCCCAAAGTGCTGGGATTACAGGCGTAAGCCACTGCGCCCAGCCAGTGATATATATTTTTATCTCTTCCAATCTTTTGCTATTTTCTACAGAATTTGATGTACTGTATTTTCTTTCTTTTTTTTATTAATTACACATTAAGTTCTGGAATACATGTGCAGAACGTGCAGGTTTGTTACATAGGCATACATGTGCCACTGTGGTTTGGTGGTTTGCTGCACCCATCAACCCGTCATCTACATTGGGTATTTCTCCTAATGCTATCCCTCCCCTTCCCCCTCAACCCCTGACAGGCCCCAGTGGGTGATGTTCCCTTCCCTGTATCCATGTGTTCTCATTGTTCAACTCCCACTTATGAGTGAGAACGTGCGGTGTTTGGTTTTCTGTTCCTGTGTTAGTTTGCTGAGAATGACGGTTTCCAGCTTCATCCATGTCCCTACAAAGGACATGAACTCTTCTTTTTTATGCCTGCATGGTATTCCATGGTGTATATGTGCCACATTTTTTAATCCAGTCTATTATTGATGGACATTTGGGCTGGTTCCAAGTCTTTGCTATTGTGAATAGTGCTTCAGTAAACATACATGTGCATGTGTCTTTATAGTAGAATGATTTATAATCCTTTGGGTATATACCCAGTAATGGGATTGCTGGGTCAAATGGTATTTCTAGTTCTAGATCCTTGAGGAATCGCCACACTGTCTTCCATGATGGTTGAACTAATTTACATTCCCTACAACAGTGTAAAAGCGTTCCTATTTCTCCACATCCTCTCCAGCATGTTATTTCCTGACTTTTTAATATTGCCATTCTAACTGGTGTGACAATGGTATCTCATTGTGATTTTGATTTGCATTTCTCGGATGACCAGTGATGATGAGCTTTTTTTCATATGTTTGTTGGCCGCATAATGTCTTCTTTTGAGAAGTGTCTATTCATATCCTTCACCCACTTTTTGATGGGGTTGTTTCTTTTCTTGTAAATTTGCTTAAGTTCCTTGTAGATTCTGGATTTTAGCCCTTTGCCAGATGGATAGATTGCAAAAATTTTCCCCATTCTGTAGGTTGCCTGTTCACTCTGATGATAGTTTCTTTATTATTATTATTATTATTATTATTATTATTATACTTTAAGTGTTAGGGTACATGTGCACAATGTGCAGGTTTGTTACGTATGTATACATGTGCCATGTTGGTGTGCTGCACCCATTAACTCGTCATTTAGCATTAGGCATATTTCCTAATGCTATCCCTCCCCCATCCCCCCACCCCACAACAGTCCCTGGTGTGTGATGTTCCCCTTCCTGTGTCCATGTGTTCTCATTGTTCAATTCCCACCTATGAGTGACAACATGTGGTGTTTGGTATTTTGTCCTTGCGATAGTTTGCTGAAAATGATTGTTTCCAGCTTCATCCATGTCCCTACAAAGGACATGAAGTCTTCCTTTTTCATGTCTCCATAGTATTCCATAGTGTATATGTGCCACATTTTCTTAATCCAGTCTATCATTGTTGGACATTTGGGTTAGTTCCAAGTCTTTGCTATTGTGAATAGTGGCGCAATAAACATACATGTGCATGTGTCTTTATAGCAGCATGATTTATAATCCTTTGGGTATATACCCAGTAATGGGATGGCTGGGTCAAATGGTATTTCTAGTTCTAGGTCCCTGAGGAATCGCCACACTGACTTCCACAATGGTTGAACTAGTTTACAGTGCCACCAACAGTGTAAAAGTGTTCCTATTTCTCCACATCCTCTCCAGCACCTGTTGTCTCCTGACTTTTTAATGATCGCCATTCTAACTGGTGTGAGATGGTAACTCATTGTGGTTTCGATTTGCATTTCTCTGATGGCCAGTGATGATGAGCATTTTTTCATGTGTTTTTTGGCTGCATAAATGTCTTCTTTTGAGAAGTGTCTGTTCATATCCTTTGCCCAATTTTTGATGGGGTTGTTTGCTTTTTTCTTGTAAATTTGAGTTCATTTTAGATTCTGGATATTAGCCCTTTGTCAGATGAGTAGATTGCAAAAATTTTCTCCCATTCTGTAGGTTGCCTGTTCACTCTGATGGTGGTTTTTTTGCTGTGCAGAAGTTCTTTAGTTTAATTAGATCCCATTTGTCAATTTTGTCTTTTGTTGCCATTGCTTTTGGTGTTTTAGACGTGAATTCCTTGCCCATGCCTATGTCCTGAATGGTATTGCCTAGGTTTTCTTGTAGGGTTTTTATGGTTTTAGGTCTAACATGGAAGTCTTTAATCCATCTTGAATTAATTTTTGTATAAGGTGTAAGGAAGGTATCCAGTTTCAGCTTTCTACATATGGTTAGTCAGCTTTACCAGCACCATTTATTAAATAGGGAATCCTTTCCCCATTTCCTGTTTTTGTCAGGTTTGTCAAAGATCAGATGTAGATATGAGGCATTATTTCTGAGGGCTCTGTTCTGTTCCATTGGTCTATATCTCTGTTTTTGTACCAGTACCATGCTGTTTTGGTTATTGTAGCCTTGTAGTATAGTTTGAAGTCAGGTAGCATGATGCCTCTAGCTTTGTTCTTTTGGCTTAGGATTGACTTGGCAATGCGGGCTCTTTTTTGGCTCCATATGAACTTTAAAGTAGTTGTTTCCAATTCTGTGAAGAAAGTAATCGGTAGCTTGATGGGGATGGCATTGAATCTATAAATTACCTTGGGCAGTATGGCCATTTTCATGATATTGAGTCTTCCTACCCATGAGCATGGAATGTTCTTCCATTTGTTTGTATCCTCTCTTATTTCCTTGAGCAGTGGTTTGTAGTTCTCCTTGAAGAGGTCCTTCACATCCCTTGTAAGTTGGATTCCTAGGTATTTTATTCTGTTTGTAGCAATTGTGAATGGGAGTTCACTCATGATTTGGCTCTCTGTTTGTCTGTTGTTGGTGTATAAGAATGCTTGTGATTTTTGCACATTGATTTTGTATCCTGAGACTTTGCTGAAGTTGTTCATCAGCTTAAGGAGATTTTGGGCTGAGACGAAGGGGTTTTCTAGATATACAATCATATCTTCTGCAAACAGGGACAATTTGACTTCCTCTTTTCCTAATTGAATGCCCTTTATTTCCTTCTCCTGCCTGATTGCCCGGGCCAGAACTTCCAATATTATGTTGAATAGGAGTGGTGAGAGAGGGCATCCCTGTCTTGTGCCAGTTTTCAAAGGGAATGCTTCCAGTTTTTGTCCATTCAGTATGATATTGGCTGTGGGTGTTTCATAGATAGCTCTTATTATTTTGAGATACCTTCCATCAATCCCTAATTTATTGAGAGTTTTTAGCATGAAGCATTGTTGAATTTTGTCAAAGCCTTTTCTGCATCTATTGAGATAATCATGTGGTTTTTGTCTTTGGTTCTGTTTATATGCTGGATTACATTTATTGATTTGCATATGTTGAACCAGCCTTGCATCCCAGGGATGAAGCCCACTTGATTATGGTGGATAAGCTTTTTGATATGCTGCTGGATTCAGTTTGCCAGTATTTTATTGAGGATTTTTGCATCAATGTTCATCAAGGATATTGGTCTAAAATTCTCTTTTTTTGTTGTTTCTCTGCCAGGCTTTGGTATCAGGATGATGCTGGCCTCATAAATAAAATGAGTTAGGGAGGATTCCCTCTTTTTCTATTGATTGGAATAGTTTCAGAAGGAATGGTACCAGCTCCTCCTTGTACCTCTGGTAGAATTTGGCTGAGAATCCATCTGGTCCTGGACTTTTTTTGGTTGGTAAGCTATTAATTATTGCCTCAATTTCAGAGCCTGTTATTGGTCTATTCAGAGATTCAACTTCTTCCTGGTTTAGTCTTGGGTGGGTGTATGTGTCGAGGAATTTATCCATTTCTTCTAGATTTTCTAGTTTATTTGCATAGAGGTGTTTATAGTATTCTCTGATGGTAGTTTATATTTCTGTGGGATTGGTGGTGATATCCCCTTTGTCATTTTTTATTGCGTCTATTTGATTCTTCTCTCTTCTTTATTAGTCTTGCTGGTCTATCAATTTTGTTGATCTTTTCAAAAAACAATTTCCTGGATTCATTGATTTTTTGAAGGGTTTTTTGTGTCTCTATTTCCTTCAGTTCTGCTCTGATCTTAGTTATTGCTTGCCTTCCACTAGCTTTTGAATGTGTTTGCTCTTGCTTCTCTAGTTCTTTTAATTGTGATGTTAGGGTCTTTCCTGCTTTCTCTTGTGGGCATTTAGTGCTATAAATTTCCCTCTACACACTGCTTTGAATGTGTCTCAGAGATTTTGGTATGTTGTGTGTTTGTTCTCACTGGTTTCAAAGAACATTTTTATTTCTGCCTTCATTTCGTTATGTATCCAGTAGTCACTCAGGAGCAGGTTGTTCAGTTTCCATGTAGTTGAGCGGTTTTGAGTGAGTTTCTTAATCCTGAGTTCTAGTTTGATTGCACTGTGGTCTGAGAGACAGTTTGTTATAATATCTGTTCTTTTACATTGGCTGAGGAATGCTTTACTTCCAACTGTGTGGTCGATTTTGGAATAGGTGTTTTGTGGTGTGAAAAGAATATATATTCTGTTGATTTGGGGTGGAGACTTCTGTAGATGTCTATTAGGTCCACTTGGTGCAGAGCTGAGTTCAATTCCTTGATATCCTTGTTAACTTTCTGTTGCGTTGATCTGTCTAATGTTGACAGTGGGGTGTTAAAGTCTCCCATTATTATTGTGTGGAAGTCTAAGTCTCTTTGTAGGTCACTAAGGACTTGCTTTATGAATCTGGGTGCTCCTGTATTTGGTGGATATATATTTAGTATAGTTAGTTCTTGTTGTTGAATTGATCCTTTTACCATTATGAAGATGGCCGAATAGGAACAGCTCCAGTTTATAGCTCCCAGCATGAGTGACGCAGAAGACAGGTGATTTCTGCATATCCAAGTGAGGTACCGGTTCATCTCACTGGGGAGTGCTGGACAGTGGGAGAAGGACAGTGGGTACAATGCACTGTGCATGAGCCGTAGCAGGGCGAGGCATCACCTCACCTGGGAAGCACAAGGGGTCAGGGAATTCCCTTTCCTAGTGAAAGAAAGGGGTGACAGACGGCACTTGGAAAATCGGGTCACTCCCACCCTAATACTGAACTTTTCCAACGGGCTTAACAAACAGCACACCAGGAGATTGTATCCCGCACCTGGCTTGGAGGGTCCTATGCCCACGGAGCCTCGCTCATTGCTAGCACAGCAGTCTGAGATCAAACTGCAAGGTGGCAGCAAGTCTGGGGGAGGGGCGCCCGCCATTGCTGAGGCTTGAGTAGGTAAACAAAGTGGCTGGGAAGCTGGAACCGGGTGGAGCCCACTGCAGCTCAAGGAGGCCTACCTGCCTCTTTAGGCTCCACCGCTGGGGGCAGGGCACAGATAAACAAAAGACAGCAATAACCTCTGCTGACTTAAATATCCCTGTCTGACAGCTTTGAAGAGAGTAGTGGTTCTCCCAGCACACAGCTGGAGATCTGAGAATGGGCAGACTGCCTCCTCAAGTGGGTCCCTGACCCCTGAGTGGCCTAACTGGGAGGCACCCCCCAGTAGGGGCGGACTGACACCTCACATGGCCAGATACTCCTCTGAGACAAAACTTCCAGAGGAAAGATCAGGCAGCAGCATTTGCGGTTCACCAATATCCGCTGTTCTGCAGCCACCACTGCTGATACCCAGGCAAACAGGGTCTGGAGTGGACTTCCAGTAAACTCCAACAGACCTGCAGCTGAGGGTCCTGACTGTTAGAAGGAAAACTAGCAAACAGAAAGGACATCCACACCAAAACCCCATCTGTACGTCACCAACATCAAAGACCAAAGGTAGATAAAACCACACAGATGGGGAAAAAACAGAACTGAAAAACTGAAAATTCTAAAAATCAGAGCATCTCTCCTCCTCCAAAGGAACACAGCTCCTCACTAACAACAGAACAAAGCTGGAAGCAGAATGACTTTGACGAGTTGAGAGAAGAAGCCTTCAGACAATCAAACTTCTCAGAGCTAAAGGAAGAAGTTCAAAACCATCGCAAAGAAGTTAAAAACCTTGAAAAAAGATTAGACAAATGGCTAACTAGAATAACCAATGTAGAGAAGGCCTTAAATGACCTGATGGACCTGAAAACCATGGCATGAGAACTATGTGAGGAAGACACAAGCTTAAGTAGCTGATTCGATCAGCTGGAAGAAAGGGTATCAGTGATTGAAGATCAAATGAATGAAATGAAGTGAGAAGTTTAGAGAAAAAAGAATAAAAAATGAGCAAAGCCTCCAAGAAATATGGGAGTATGTGAAAAGACCAAATCTATGTCTAATTGGTGTACCTGAAAGTGACGGGGAGAATGGAACCAAGTTGGAAAACACTCTGCAGGATATCATCCAGGAGAACTTCTCCAATCTAGCAAGGCAGGCTAACAATCAAATTCAGGAAATACAGAGAATGCCACAAAGATACTCATCGAGAAGAGCAACTCCAATACACAAAATTGTCAGATTCACCAAAGTTGAAATGAAGGAAAAAATATTAAGGGCAGCCAGAGAGAAAGGTCGGGTTACCCACAAAGGGAAGCCCATCAGACTAACAGCTGATATCTCGGCAGGAATTCTACAAGCCAGAAGAGTGGGGGCCAATATTCAACATTCTTAAAGAAAAGAATTTTCAACCCAGAATTTCATATCCAGCCAAACTAAGCTTCATAAGTGAAGGAGAAATAAAATCCTTTACAGACAAGCAAATGCTGAGAGATTTTGTCACCACCAGGCCTGCCCTGAAAGAGCCCCTGGAGGAAGCACTAAACATAGAAAGGAACAACTAGTACCAGCCACTGCAAAAACATGCCAAATTGTAAAGACCATCAAGGCTAGGAAGAAACTGCATCAACTAACGAGCAAAATAACCAGCTAACATCATAATGACAGGATCAAATTCACACATAAGAATACTAACCTTAAATGTAAATGGGCTAAATGCCCCAATTAAAAGGCATAGACTGGAAAATTGGATAAAGAGTCAAGACCCATCAGTGTGCTGTATTCAGGAAACCCATCTCATGTGCAGAAACACACATAGGCTTAAAATAAAGGGATGGAGGAAGATCTACCAAGCAAATGAAAAACAAAAAAAGGCAGGGGTTGCAATCCTAGTCTCTGATAAAACAGACTTGAAACCAACAAAGATCAAAAGAGACAAAGAAGGCCATTACATAATGATAGTTTCTTTTGCTGTGCAGAGCTCTTTAATTAGATCCTTATTTGCCAATTTTGGGTTTTGTTGCAATTGCTTTTGGTGTTTTAGTCATAAAGTCTTTGCCCATGCCTATGTCCTGAATAGTATATTGCCTAGGTTTTCTTCTAGGCTTTTTATGGTTTTAGGTTTTATGTTTAAGTCTTTAATCCATCTTGAGTTAATTTTTGTATAAGGTGTCAGGAAGGGGTCCAGTTTCAGTTTTCTCAGTATGTCTAGCCAGTTTTCCCAACACCATTTATTAAATAGGGAATCCTTTCCCCATTGTTTGTTTTTGTCAGGTTTGTCAAAGATCAGATGGATGTAGATGTGTGTGGTGTTATTTCTGAGGCCTCTGTTGTCTTCCATTAATCTATATATCTGTTTTGGTACCAGTAGCGTGCTGTTTTGGTTACTGTAGCCTTGCAGTATAGTTTGAAGTCAGGTAGCATGATGCCTCCAGCTTTGTTCTTTTTGCTTACGATTGTCTTTGGTATACAGGCTCTTTTTTGTTTCTATGTGAAATTTAAAGTAGTTTTCTTCTAACTATGTGAAGAAAGTCAATGGTAGCTTGATGGAGATAGCATTGAATCTTTAAATTACCTTGGGCAGTAAGGCCGTTTTCATGATATTGATTCTTCCTATCTATGAGCATGGAATGTTTTTCTATTTGTTTATTATTATTATTATTATTATTATTTATTATTATACTTCAAGTTTTAGGGTACATGTGCACATTGTGCAGGTTAGTTACATATGTATACATGTGCCATGCTGGTGCGCTGCACCCACCAACTTGTTATCTAGCATTAGGTATATCTCCCAATGCTATCCCTCCCCCCTCCCCCACCCCACAACAGTCCCCAGAGTGTGATATTCCCCTTCCTGTGTCCATGTGATCTCATTGTTCAATTCCCACCTATGATTGAGAGTATGTGGTGTTTGGTTTTTTGTTCTTGCGATAGTTTACTGAGAATGATGATTTCCAATTTCATCCATGTCCCTACAAAGGACGTGAACTCATCATTTTTCATGGATGCATAGTATTCCATGGTGTATATGTGCCACATTTTCTTAATCCAGTCTATCATTGTTGGACATTTGGGTTGGTTCCAAGTCTTTGCTATTGTGAATAATGCCGCAATAAACATACATGTGCATGTGTCTTTATAGCGGCATGATTTATAATCCTTTGGGTATATACCCAGTAATGGGATGGCTGGGTCAAATGGTATTTCTAGTTCTAGATCCCTGAGGAATCGCCACACTGACTTCCACAATGGTTGAACTAGTTTACAGTGCCACCAACAGTGTAAAAGTGTTCCTATTTCTCCGCATCCTCTCCAGCACCTGTTTTTTCCTGACTTTTTAATGATCACCATTCTAACTGGTGTGAGATGGTATCTCATTGTGGTTTTGATTTGCATTTCTCTGATGGCCAGTGATGATGAGCATTTTTTCATGTGTTTTTTGGCTGCATAAATGTCTTCTTTTGAGAAGTGTCTGTTCATGTCCTTTGCCCACTTTTTGATGGGGTTGTTTGTTTTTTTCTTGTAAATTTGTTTGAGTTCATTGTAGTTTCTGGATATTAGCCATTTGTCAGATGAGTAGGTTGTGAAAATTTTCTCCCATTTTGTAGGCTGCCTGTTCACTCTGATGGTAGTTTCTTTTGTTGTGAAGAAGCTCTTTAGTTTAGTTAGATCCCATTTGTCAATTTTGTCTTTTGTTGCCATTGCTTTTGGTGTTTTAGACATGAAGTCCTTGCCCATGCATATGTCCTGAATGGTAATGCCTAGGTTTTCTTCTAGGGTTTTTATGGTTTTAGGTCTAATGTTTAAGTCTTTAATCCATCTTGAGTTGATTTTTGTATAAGGTGTAAAAATCCTCAATAAAATACTGGCAAAACGAATCCAGCACCACATCAAAAAGCTTATCCACCATGATCAAGTGGGCTTCATCCCTGGGATGCAAGGCTGGTTCAATATACACAAATCAATAAATGTAATCTAGCATATAAACAGAGCCAAAGACAAAAACCACATGATTATCTCAATAGATGCAGAAAAAGCCTTTGACAAAATTCAACAACCTTCATACTCAATATGAAGGTTCAAACTCTCAATAAATTAGGTATTGATGGGACGTATTTCAAAATAATAAGAGCTATCTATGACAAACCCACAGCCAATATCATACTGAATGGGCAAAACTGGAAGCATTCCCTTTGAAAACTGGCACAAGACAGGGATGCCCTCTCTCACCACTCCTATTCAACATAGTGTTGGAAGTTCTGGCCAGGGCAATGAGGCAGGAGAAGGAAATAAAGGGTATTCAATTAGGAAAAGAGGAAGTCAAATTGTCCCTGTTTGCAGATGACATGATTGTATATCTAGAAAACCCCATTGTCTCAGCCCAAAATCTCCTTAAGCTGATAAGCAACTTCAGCAAAGTCTCAGGATAAAAAATCAATGTGCAAAAATCAGAAGCATTCTTATACACCAACAACAGACAAACAGAGAGCCAAATCATGAGTGAACTCCCATTCACAATTGCTTCAAAGAGAATAAAATACCTAGGAATCCAACTTACAAGGGATGTGAAGGACCTCTTCAAGGAGAACTACAAACCACTGCTCAAGGAAATAAAAGAGGATACAAACAAATGGAAGAGCATTCCATGCTCATGGGTAGGAAGAATCAATATCATGAAAATGGCCATACTGCCCAAGGTTATTTACAGATTCAATGCCATCCCCATCAAGCTACCAATGACTTTCTTCACAGAATTGGAAACAACTACTTTAAAGTTCATATGGAACCAAAAAAGAGCCCGCATTGCCAAGTCAATCCTAAGCCAAAAGAACAAAGCTGGAGGCATCATGCTACCTGACTTCAAACTATACTACAAGGCTACAGTATCCAAAACAGCATGGTACTGGTACCAAAACAGAGATATAGATCAATGGAACAGAACAGAGCCCTCAGAAATAACGCCGCATATGTACAACTATCTGATCTTTGACAAACCTGAGAAAAACAAGCAATGGGGAAAGGATTCCCTATTTAATAAATGGTGCTGGGAATACTGGCTAGCCATATGTAGAAAGCTGAAACTGGATCCCTTCCTTATACCTTATACAAAAATCAATTCAAGATGTTTTTCTATTTTTTTGTGTCCTCTCTTATTTCCTTGAACAGTGGTTTATAGTTCTCCTTGAAGAGGTCCTTCACATCCCTTGTAAATTGTATTCCTAGATATTTTATTCTCTTTGTAGCCATTGTGAGTGGGAGTTCACTCATGATTAGGCTCTCTGTTTGTCTATTATTGGTGCATAGGAATGCTTGTGATTTTTGCACATTGATTTTGTATCTTGAGACTTTGCTGAAGTTGCTTATCAGCTTAAGGAGATTTTGGGCTGAGATGATGGGGTTTTCTAAATATACAATCATGTCATCTGCAAACAGAGACAATTTGACTTTCTCTCTTCCTATTTGAATACCCTTTATTTCTTTCTCTTGCCTGATTAACCTGGCCAGAACTTTCAATACTATGTTGAATAGGAGTGGCAAAGGAGAGCATCCTTGTCTTGTGCTGGTTTTCAAAGGGAATGCTTCCAGCTTTTGCCCATTCAGTATGATATTGGCTGTGGATTTGTCATAAATAGCCCTTATTATTTTGATATATGTTCCATCAATACCTAGTTTATTGAGACGTTTTAGCATGAAGGGGTGTTGAATTTTATCAAAGGCCTTTTCTACATTTATTGATATAACGTGTGTTTTTTGTCATTGGTTCTGTTTATGGAATCAATTATCTTTATTGATTTGCATATGTTGAACTAGCCTTGCATCCCAGCTATGAAACTGACTTGATCATGATGGATAAGCTTTTTAATGTGCTGCTGGATTCAGTTTTCCAGTATTTTATTGAGGATTTTTGCATGGATGTTCATCAGGAATATTGCACTGAAATTTTCTTTTTTTGTTGTGTCTCTGCCATGCTTTGGTATCAGGATGACGCTGGCCTCATAAAATGAATTAGGGAGGATTCCCTCTTTTTCTATTGTTTGGAATAGTTTCAGAAAGAATGGTACCAGCTCTTCTTTGTACCTCTGGTAGAATTTGGCTCTGAATCCACCTGGTCCTGGGCTTTTTTTGGTTGGTAGACTATTAATTACTGCCCCAATTTCAGAACTTATTATTGGTCTACTCAGGGATTCGATTTCTTCCTGGTTTACTCTTGGGAGGGTGTATGTATCCAGGAATTTATCCATTTCTTCTAAATTTTGTAGTTTATTTCTGTAGAGGTGTTTATAGTATTCTGTGGTGACAGTTTGTGTTTCTGTGGGATCGGTGGTGATATCCCCTTTATCATTTTTTATTGTGTCTGTTTGATTGTTCTTCCTTTTCTTCTTTATTTGTCTGGCTAGTGGTCTATGTATTTTGTTAATCTTTTCAAAAAGCCAGCTTGTGGATTCATTGATTTTTTTGAAGGGTTTTTTGTGTCTCTATCTCCTTCAGTTCTGCTCTGATCTTAGTTTATTTCTTGTCTTCTGCTAGTTTTTGAATATCTTTGCTCTTGCTTCTCTAATTCTTTTAATTGTAATGTTAGGGTGTTGATTTTAGATCTTTTCCACTTTGTCCTGTTGGCATTTAGTGCTATAAGTTTTCCTCTAAACACTGCTTTAGCTGTGTCTGAGAGATTCTGGTACGTTGTATCTTTGTTCTCATTGGTTTCAAATAACTTCTTGATTTCTGCCTTAATTTCATTATTTACCCAGTAATCATTCAGGAGCAGGTTCTTCAGTTTCCATGTAGTTGTGCAGTTTTGAGTGAATTTCTCAATTCTGAGTTCTAATTTGATTCCACTGTGGTCTGACAGACTGTTATGATGTCCATTCCTTTGCATTTGCTGAGGAGTGTTTTACTTCCAATTATGTGGTCAATTTTAGAATAAATGTGATGTGGTGCTAAGAATAATGTATATTCTGTTGATTTGGGGTGGAGAGTTTTGTATATGTCTATTAGGTCCTCTTGGTCCAGAGCTGAGTTCAAGTCCTGGATATCCTTGTTAATTTTCTATCTTGTTGATCTGTCTAATATTGACAGGGGGGTGCTAAAGTCTCCTGGTATTATTGTGTGGAAGTCTAAGTCTCTTTGTAGGTCTCTAAGAACTTGCTTTATGAATCTGCGAGCTCCTGTATTAGGTGCATATATATTTAGGATAGTTAGCTCTTCTTGTTGAATTGATCCCTTCACTATTATGTAATGGCCTTCTTTGTGTCTTTTAATCTTTGTTGCTTTAAAGTCTGTTTTATCAGAGGCTAGGATTGCAACACCTGCTTTTTTTTTTTTTTTTGCTTTCCATTTGCTTGGTAGATCTTCCTCCATCCCTTTATTTTGAGCCTATATGTGTCTCTGCACATGAGATGGATCTCCTGAATACAGCACACTGATGGGTATTGACTCTTTATCCAATTTGCCAGTCTGTGTCTTTTAATTGGGGCATTTAGCCCATTTACATTTAAGGTTAATATTGTTATGTGTGAATTTTATCTTGTCATTATGATGTCAGCTGGTTATTTTGCCCGTTAGTTGATGCAGGTTCTTCATAGGTCTTTATAATCTGGTATGTTTTTGCAGTGGATGGTACCCATTTTTCCTTTTCTTGTTTAGTGTTTCCTTTAGGTTCTCTCATAAGGCAGGCCTGGTGGTGACAAAATCTCTCAGCATATGCGGCTAGGCTTGTCTGTAAAGGATTTTATTTCTCCTTCGCTTATGAAGCTTAGTTTGGCTGGATATGAAATTTTGGATTGAAAATTATTTTCTTTAATATTGTTGAATATGAACCCCCAATCTCTTCTTGCTTGTAGCATTTCTGCAGAGAGATCTGTTCTTTGTCTGATGGGCTTCCTTTTGTGGGTAACCCAACCTTTCTCTCTGGCTGCACTTTACATTTTTTCCTGCCTTTCAACCTTGGTGAATCTGACAATTATGTGTCTTGTGGTTGCTCTTCTCAAGGAGTATCTTTGTGGTGTTCCCTGTATTTCCTGAATTTGAATGTTGGCCTGTCTTGCTAGGTTGGGGAGATTCCCCTTGGATAATATCCTGAAGAGTGTTTTCCAACTTGGTTCTATATACTGTATTTTCATTTTCTTCACTTTAACTCATTTTTAGTTTTGCTTGAGACCTTGCTTAGATTATTTTGAAGTGTATTGGTTAGTTTCCAACTTGTTGGGGACTTTCCTGTTATGTTTCTTTTATTAACTTCTAGTCATTTTTATTCACTAAATAAGAGAGTGTACTCTGTGTTATTAAGTTGCTTTAAATTTGCAGAGGATTATTCTTCATAGTTTCTATAAATTACTGAGAGATTTTTGAAACAATTTGGCTTTTGTTTATTTCTCCTTTGAGTTTATCAATTTTTGTTTCACATATTTTGCAGCTCTGTTGTTTGGTTCACACACATTTAGGATTGCAATGTGTTTTTTGTGGATTGCCCCTCTCTCTGTCTTTGATAATTTTTCTGGCTTTGCAGTCTATGTGATTTGACATAACCATGCCTGCTTTCTTTTGACTACAGTTTACAGGTGTACATTTTCATAATTTTGCTTTTAACAACTATATTGATATATTTGAAGTAAATTTTATGTAGACAGTTTATGTTTGTTCATATGTTTTAAGATGCTGTGCCTCTCTGTCATTTAGTTGGTGTATTAAGACCATTTACTTTTATTGTAATTATGGCTACGTGGTAGCTTAAGACTACTCTTTATTTCTTGTTTTCTCTTTGTTCTATTTTTTGTTTTTGTTTTATTTTTTCTACCTTGCTATGGGTTACTTGAACATTTATTTTAATTCAATTTCAATTCATCCATAGTTTTTTTGGGAGTATGTCTTTTTATAGCTTTTTAGTGTTTACTATAGAAATTATATTACATTTATATAACTTATTGAAGTCTACTTTTGTCATCATTTTCAAAGTTTGAATTAAGTATAGAAATAACACCTACCTATACCTTTACATGCCCCCATTTAAAATATAATTCTTTTAAATATTTCTTCTAAGAACACTTAGAAACATTTCACAGTGTTACAGACTTTTTTCAACCTTCTACCATAACTTTGGGAACTCAGTAAGAGAAGGGGGGAATGCATTGTATTTATCCATATGATTACAATTTTCAGTTTTCTTTCTTCCTTCCTGATATTCCAATATTCCCTCTTTATTATTACCTTTTGTTTAAAGAACTTCTTCAGCAATTTTTAAGGGTATGTCTCCTGGTGACATGTTCTGTTATCTGAGAAGGTCTTCATTTCCCCTTCACTCCTGAAAAAAGATATTAATATATTGCTCAAAGAATTCTGGATAGATAGTTCATTTCTTTCAGCACTTAAAAATGCACCACTTCCTTTTGCTCTCTATCATTTATAATAAGAAATCTGTTGTCATTAGAATTGCTTTATTTTTTCAGTAAGATGTTTCTGTAGCTATTTTCAAGATATTTTCTGTTAATTAATGTGTCTTGGTCGGGCACCGTGGCTCATTCCTGTAATCCCAGCACTTTGGGAGGCCTAGCTGGGTGGATCACCTGAGGTCAGGAGTTTCAGACTAGCCAGGCCAATATGGTGAAACCCCATCACTACTCAAAATACAAAAGTTAGCCAGGTGTGGTGGCATGTGCCTTGTAATCCCAACTACTCGGGAGGCTGAGGCAGGATAATTGCTTGAATCCAAGAGGCAGAGGTTGCAGTGAGCTGAGATGGCACCACTGCACTCCAGACTGGGCAACAGAGTGAGACTCTGTCTCAAAAATAAAAATAAAATAAAACAAAATAAAATAAAATAAAATAAAAAAGTGTCTTGATGTGAATACTTCATTTGAGATTTGTTTGAAAATCTTGTTTGGGATTTGTTCAGCTTCTTGAATCTATTCGTGTCTTTTGACAAATTTGGGAAGTTTTAGCTATTATTTATTAGAGTACTTTTCCAGTCCTGCTCTCTTTCTCTTCATCTTTTGAACTTCAATGATGTCAAATATTAGAATTTTTGTTGTTTTCTACAGGTCTCTGAGAGTTTCTTTTTTTTTTCAGTCTATTTTCTCACTCTTGCTTATATTGGATAATTTCTGCTCTATCTCCAAATGCACTGGTTCTCTCCTCCTTTGCTTTCATTTGCTGTTTTTAAGAATTTTGGTCATTGTAAATTTTAGTTCTAGAATTTCAATTTAGCCCTTCAAAATATCTTCTATCTTTTCTGAAACTTTCTCCTTTTTTTTTGCTAAGCCTTTCTATTTTTTTTTTTATTTTCAAGTGTGTTTGCAATTGCTCATCAAATAATTTTTATCAGGATACTTTAAAATCCTTGTCAGATAATCCTAACATCTCTGTTATCTCAGTGCTGGTGTTACCAGAAAGGGGTCTGGATTCAGAGTCCAAGAGAGGGTTCTTGGACCTCATGCAAAAAGAATTTGGGATGAGTCCATAGAGTAAAGTGAAAGCAAGTTTATTAAGAAAGCAAAGGAGTAAAGAATGGCTGGCTACTCCACAGGCAGTGGATATAAGTGAATATACTGGATATAAGTGGATATCCAGTGAATATAAGTGGATATAAGTGGATATAAGTGAATATACTTATAGT
Organism: Homo sapiens; assembly: GCF_000001405.40. Lineage (NCBI taxonomy): Eukaryota > Metazoa > Chordata > Mammalia > Primates > Hominidae > Homo > Homo sapiens. The sequence continues at coordinate 49,008,659 of NC_000008.11, forward strand.
TATTTCTTGATTATATGGTTAACAAGGGGTGGATTATTCATGAGTTTTCCAGGAAAGGGGTGGGCGCTTCCTGGAACTGAGGGTTCCTTCCCTTTTTAGACCATACAGGGTAACCTCCTGACATTGCCATGGCATTCATTAACTGTCATGGTGCTGGTAGCAGAGTCTTTTAGCATGCTAATGCTTTATAATTAGCATATAGTGAGCAGTGAGGATGACCAGAGGTCACTTTCATCACCATCTTGGTTTTGGCTTCTTTACCACATCCTTTCTTAACAGCAAGGTCTTTGTGGCCTGTATCTTGACCTGTATCTTGTGCTGACCTCCTATCTTATCCTATGACTAAGAATGCCTAACATCCTGGGAATGCAACCCAGTAGGTCTCAGCCTCATTTTACTCAGCCCTTATTCAAGACGGAGTTGCTCTGGTTCAAATGCCTCTGACACTGGCATGTATTAATTTTCTTTTTCCATTCAGGTTGAAATTTTCCTGGTTCTTGATATGATGAGTGATTTTCAACTGAAACTTGGAAATTTGGGTACTGTGCATCTTATGTAAATCTTGTCTTTTACCTAGCTTTCTCTGAGAGATTTCTCTGGTAAGGGAGGAAGCTGCTGTCCCATTACTGTCAGGTGGGTGTAGATGTCCAAGTTTTCTGCTTCGCCTTCATTGACATTCAATATAGGGGTCTCCTTATTTCTGCTCAGTGGAGGGAGTTTTGGCAGCCCATGAAGCTTCTACTGATACTAACCTGGCTGGGAGAAGCAGAAGTATCTATTATTTCTCTCCATGTGTCTTCCACAGACACCACAGGGAGTGTGTGTTACCCCTGGGCAGTGATTAAAATTTTCACTCTCACATAGATCTCTTCTGATAGCACTCAACCAGATAGGAGAGGAACACCCTTGCTGTTGGATGTGGATAGGTTCATACTTTTTCTATGGTATCTGGATGAAGTAGAGTGGTTACTGTCTAAAACTCTTCTGTCTGGCTCTTGTTGTTTGACATGAGGAGAAGGTTTTCCTTGGGTTTAGAAAAAAATCTGATTTTCTGGTTTCTTCAACTCCGATTCTGAAATATACGAGGCAAAAGAAAAACTTAAAAACTCACCATCATGTCTTTCCCTTTATTGGGACTTAATGAAAAGGTGGGTTGCTTCCTTAATGGCCAGGGCATGAAAAAGAAATGTATGGTTTAATGAAGATTATAGGAACCACTGATATGCTTATTGCTCAATCTTCAGGTTTATTTTCCAGATGATAGACTCAGCTAATTCCTCAATTTGGCCACAGTGGTCTTTTCCAGCAGATTTGTGATCAAAGCACTACATATTTTTTTCTAGAATCTGTAAGCTACCCTACGAATAGTCCCGTTTGCATGGGATGAGCAATGCACAAGGGTCGGGGGTTGGTGCCAAGTACTCTAAAGACCCTCGAAACCCTTGTCTTGTCCCTATGTCTCATAATCTTTCCAAACTTTCCTATTCTCATGTTACACACCCAGAAGCATTTCCCGCATCTCTTTCCCCTTCAATCATTCATTTTTATATTCAACAAAGTTGAATAGAATATTTACTACATGGGAGGCATATAACAACCGGAAAAACACCAGTAAACAAGACACAGGAAGTTCACATTCTGAGTCTGGTGTAATTGTTTCAGAGAGCTTTTAGAACACAGTGCTGCCTTTTCTTTCCTGCAGGAGGTATTGAGAACAAGCAGGTGAAGTTTTTTGTTTTTGTTTTTGTTTTTGTTTTGAGATGGAGTCTCGCTCTGTCACCCAGGCTAGAGTGCAGTGGTGTGATCTCGGCTTCACTGTAACCTCCACCTCTCCAGTTCAAGTGATTCTCCTGCCTCAGCACCCCGAGCAACTGGGATTACAGGCATGTTCCACCATGCCTGGCTAATTTTTGTGTTTTTAGTAGAGATGGGGTTTCATCATGTTGGCTAGGTTGGTCTTGAACTCCTGACTTCAAGTGATACACCCGCCTAGGCTTCCCAAAGTGCTGGGATTACAGGCATGAGCCACCACGACTGGCCTGAAGAATTTGTTTTTCTTAGCGCTCATTTGATGAAATATGGCACTGACACCATTACATGTACTTGGTCTCATTTGTGCCTTGAGTCTCCATTCCTCCCCCTTTTCACCTTAGAAATCAAAGCACACATTAAAACTAACAGATAGGAGTACAAAAAAAATCCCTAGGCTTAACGTCATCCCATCCAATTTCACAGTAGGCAGTAAAAGAAATGGCAAAATTTGAAAACTCTGATTCAGTAAATGTCTGCAATTTCTTTCAGCATTTTAGACAGACTGGAGATCAAGGGGCCAAAGGTATATACAAAGATACATTCTGGTAATGTAGCAGAGCTGCTGGCCTCTGGAAACATGAACATTCTGGGAAAATCAGCATAAAAGAGAATTAAATTTTATTTTAACTTGCTATTTTTATTTACATAAATGTAGATTCACATGCAGCTATAAGAAATAATAGGAAGATTTATCAAATTTCCCTAAATGGTAACATGTTACTAAACTATGGCATAATGTCACAAACAGAATATTGACATTGATACAATTGAACAACTTTATTAAAATTTCTCACTTTACTTGTATTTGTTTGTATGTGTGTGTAGAAGCAATACAATTTTATCACATACATAATTTCTGTGTTCGCCACCCTAATCAAGATGCTAAACTATTGTTCTGTGTCAAGGTAATGCCAAGTAATACTGAATAATATTCAGTTATACCAAGGTATTAACATCAAACCATGAGAGCTAACCATACCCTATAATTTTATCATTTCAAAATATTATATAAGTGGAATTGTAGAGTATACACGTTTTGGGATTAGATTTTTTCACTCTGGATAATTTCCTGGAGATTTGTCCAAGTTGTTTAGTGTATCAGAATTCAGTCCTTTTAATATCGTTCAGTAGTATTCAACAGTATGAGTGTACGATAGTGTCTGTTGGTACTCAGCTAATGCCATATTTGTGATTAGATTTCACATTCATATATTATTGGCTGCCCTAAAACACACTGTATGTCATTTGATTCTTGCAGCAATGTTTCAAGGTGGGTGCTGTCATTTGATGGTTGCAGACACTGAGGATCAGTGAGCTGAAATGTCTGGTGGGGATCGCACAGCTGAATTGGGTCTGAGCTGCAGCTCACACTCTTAGGTCTAGAATCCACATGGCCTCCTTTAGTACACAACAGAACAGAGTTGGAAATCCAAGGGTGACATTCAGGGTGCTGTGCTTCCTCAACTAGGTAGGACCCCACATCTCATTATAGCAGGGTGTGTGTGTGTGTGTGAGAGAGAGAGAGAGAGGGAGAGAGAGAGAGAGAAAATGAGAGAGAGAGAGAGAAAGAGAGAGAAAATGACAGAGAGAGAGAGAGAGAGACAGATATAGAGAAAGAAACAGAGACAGAGGAACAGAGACAAAGAAAAGCAGTTAGAGACTCTGATTTTCAATGTCCTCAGCATATAATATTTGCTATGCACTTTTTAACTTTAGTCTTCAATGAAAATCTCATATCTAGTATTTTCTACAAATACAGACACCAGTAATTTGATACACACTCAGGCAGATATCTCTAGGTAATTTGTTTATCCAAATGATGCCTAATTTCATGACACTCATTTCTCAACTATATTGCTATGCCACATTTAATTGACTGCCCTGCCATTCACATATGAAATTTAAAGTAAAATTAATGTGCGTGACATATTTATGTTCCAGTATGGCAGCATAGGCCCACAGGGAATTTGTAGGCACTGAGAAATTGATATGTGACCTGGAGACCTTATAAATAAAAAAATAGCATAATCACTTATCAAGCTTTGACATAACGAAGACAAACACCTTTCTATCATTAGGTAGGAAGAAGGAAGGGGTTGCCTAGGTCACTAAAGGATGTGAGTTGCATCCTTATTATCTGCAGGAGACCTCTGTGTTACCATTAGAATCACATCATTGTTATCAGTAGGACACCATCTTTGTTATCTGTGGGATCCCATCCTTACTATCTGTGGGATCCCATCCTTACTATCTGTGGGATCATACCCTCGCTATCTGTGGGATCCTATCTTCACTATCTGTGAGATCACAACCTCGTAGTCTATCTGCAGGATGATGCTACTGTTATCTGAAGATCACATCCTTGTTATCTGTAGGATTACGTCTTTGTATCTGTAGCATCAGATCTTTATCTTTGGGATCACGTCGTTGTTATCTTTAGGGTCACATCTTCATTATCGGTAGGATTATATCATCTTTGTTATCTGTGGGATCACATTCCTGGAGACGTTATTTTATCCTAGCACCAGAGCCATTGGAACAAGTGCATATTAAATTACCTCTATTGACAATGAATCAGGGATTTATAAGTAATTTTTTTCTTTTAGTTTGTGAACTTGGAGGGAAGGAGAAAGGCATAATGGTAATTGAGAAAGAAAAGTGGGGTTGAGAGGAAGCTTGCCTTTTGGAGGAGAACAGTGGTTGTTTCAGACTTGAAACAGTCTGATTGGTATGAGTTGGTATCTCATTGTGGCTTTGATTTGCAATTCTGTAATAATCAATGATGTTGAGCCTTTTTTCATATGATTGTTGGCTGCATAAATGTCTTCTTTTGAGAAATGTCTGTTCATATCCTTTGCCCACTTTTTGATAGGGTTGTTTGTTTTTTCTTGTAAATTTGTTTAAGTTCCTTGTAGATTCTGGAGATTAGACTTTTGTCAGATGGGTAGATCGCAAAAATTTTCTCCCATTCTGTAGGTTGCCTGTTCACTCTGATGATAGCTTCTTTTGCTGTGCAGAAGCTCTTTGGTTTAATCAGATCCCTTCAGTCAATTTTGGCTTTTGTTGCCATTGCTTTTGGCATTTTCATCATGAAGTCTTTGCCCATGCCTGTGTACTGAATGGTATTGCTTAGGTTTTCTTCTAGGGTTTTTATGGTTTTGGGTTTTACATTTAAGTCTTTATCTTGAGTTAATTTTTGTATAAGGTGTAAGGAAGGGGTCCAGTTTCCGTTTTTTGAATATGGTTAGTCAGTTTTCCCAGCACTAATTATTAAATAGGGAATCCTTTCCCCGTTGCTTGTTTGTGTCAGGTTGTCGAAGATCAGATGGATGTAGGTGTGCGGCATTATTTCTGAGGCCTCTGTTCTGTTCCATTGGTCTATATGTCTATTTTGATACCAGTACCATGCTGTTTTGGTCACTGCAGACTTGTAGTATAGCTTGAAGTCAGGCAGTGTGATGCCTCCAGCCATGTTCTTTTTGCTTAGGATTGTCTTGGCTATATGGATTCTTTTTTGGTTCCATATGAAATTTAAAGCAGTTTTTTTTTTCTAATTCTGTGAAGAATGTCAATGGCACTTTGATGGGAATAGCATTGAATCTTTAAATTACATTGGGCAGTATGGCCATTTTCATGATATTGATTCTTCCTATCCATGAGCATGGAATGTTTTTCCCTTTGTTTGTGTCCTCTCTTATTTCCTTGGGCAGTGGTTTATAGTTCCCCCTTGAAGAGGTCCTTCACATCCCTTGTTAGCTGTATTTCTCGGTATTCATTGTCTTTGTAGCAATCGTGAATGGGAGTTCACTCATGATTTGGCTCTCTGCTTGTCTATTGTTGGTGTATAGGAATGCTTGTAATTTTTGCACAATGATTTTTTATATTGATACTTTGCTAAAGTTGCTTATCAGCTTAAGGAATCTTTGGGCTGAGACGATGGGGTTTTCTAAATACAGAATAATGTCATCTGCAAACAGAGACAATTTGACTTCCTCTCTTCCTGTTTGAATATCCTTTATTTCTTTCTCTTGCCTGATCTCCCTGGCCAGAATTTCCAATACTATGTCTAATAGGAGAGGTGAGAGATGGCATCCTTGTCTTGTGCTGGTTTTCAAGGGGAATGTTTCTAGCTTTTGCCCATTCAGTATGATATTGGCTGCAGGTTTGCCATAAATGGCTCCTATTCTTTTGAGATATGTTCCATCAATATCTAGTTTATTGAGAGGTTTTTAACATGATGATGTGTTGAATTTTATCGAAGGCCTTTCTGCATCAATTGAGCTAATCATGTGGTTTTTGTCATTTGTCCCTTTTATGTGATGGATGATGTTTATTGATTTGCGTATGTTGAACCAGCCTTGCATCCCAGGGATGAAGCCTACTTCATCATCGTGGGTAAGTTTTTGATGTGCTGCTGGATTTGGTTTGCCAGTATTTTATTGAGGATTTTTGCATGGATGTTCATCAGGGTTAATGGTCTGAAATTTTCTTTTTTTGTTGTGTCTCTGCCAGGTTTTGGTATCAGGATGATGCCGGCTTCATAAAACGAGTTAGGGAGGAGTCTCTCCTTTTCAATTACTTGGAATAGTTTCAGAAGGAATTGTACAAGCTCCTCTTTGTGTCTCTGGTATAATTCAGCTATGAATCCATCTGGTCCTGGGCTTTTTTTGGTTGGTAGGCCATTAATTACTGCCTCAATTTCAGAACTTGTTGGTCTATTCAGGGATTTGACTTCTACCTGGTTTAGTCTTGGGAGGGTGTATGTGTCCAGGAATTTATCCATTTCTTCTAAATTTTCTAGTTTATTTGTGTAGAAGTCTTTATAGTATTTTCTGATGGTAGTTTGTATTTCTGTGGAGTCAGTGGTGATATCCCTTTTATCATTTTTTATTGTTCTATTTGATTCTTCTCTCTTTTCTTCCTTATTAGTCTAGCTAGTGGTATATCTATTTTGTTAATTTTCTTAAAAAAACCAGCTCCTGGATTCATTAATTATTTTGGAGGGTTTTCCATGTCTCTATCTCCATCAGTTCTGCTCTAATCTTAGTTATTTCTTGTCTTCTGCTAAGTTTTGGATTAGTTCACTTTTGCTTCTCTCACGCTTTTAATTGCGATGTTAGGGCATCAATTTGAGATCTTTCTAGCTTTCTGATGTGGGCATTTAGTGCTATACATTTCCCTCTTGACACTGCTTTAGCTGTGTCCCAGAGATTCTGGTACATTGTCTCTTTGTTCTCACTGGTTTCAAATAAGTTCTTGATTTCTGCCTTAATTTCATTATTTACCCAGGAATCATTCAGGAGTAGGTTGTTCAATTTCCATGTAGTTGTGCAGTTTTTCAGTGAGTTTCTTAATGCTGAGTTGTAATTTGATTGCACTGTGGTTTGAGAGACTGTTTGTTATGACTTCAGTTCTTTTGCGCTTGCTGAGGAGTGTTTTACTTCCAATTATGTGGTGTACTTTAGAATAAGTGCCATGCAGCACTGAGAAGAATGTATATTCTGTTGATTTGGGGAGGAGAGTTCTGTAGATGTCAATTAGGTCTACCTGATCCAGAGCTGAGTTCAAGTTCTGAGTATCCTTGTTAATTTTCTGTCTCATTAATCTTTCTAATATAGGCAATGGGGTGCTAAAGTCTCCCAGTATTATTGTGTGGAAGTCTAAGTCTCTTTGTAGGTCTCTGAGAACTAGCTTTATGAATCTGGGTGCTCCTGTATTGGGTGCATATATATTTAGGATAGTTAACTCTTCTTGTTGCATTGATCCCTTTACCATTACGTAATGCCCTTCTTTGATCTTTGTTGGTTTAAAGTCTGTTTTGTCAGAGACTAGTATTACAACCTCTGTTTTTTTTTTTTCTGCTTTCCAATTGCTTGTTAAATTTCCTCCATCCCTTTATTTTGAGCCTATGTGTGTCTTTGCATGTGAGATGTGTCTTCTGAATACAGCACACTGATGGGTCTTGACTCTATCCAGTTTGCCAGTCTGTGTCTTTTTTTTTTTTTTTTTTTGAGACAGAGTCTTGCTCTTGTTGCTTAGGCTGGAGGCAGTCTATATCTTTTGATTGTGACATTTAGCCCATTTACATTTAATGTATGTGAATTTGATCCATCATCATGATACTAGCTGGTTATTTTGCACAATTGTTGAACAGTTTCTTCACAATGTTTTTGGTCTTTATATTTTTGTGTGTTTTTGCAGTGGCTGGTACTGGTTTTTCCTTTCCATATTTAGTGCTTCCTTCAGGAGCTCTTGCAAGGGACGCCTGGTGGTGATCAAATCTCTCAGCATTTGCTTGTCTGGAAACTATTATATTTCCCTTTGCTTCTGATTCTTAGTTTGCCTCGATATGAAATTCTAGGTTGAAAATTCTTTTCTGTAAGAATATTGAATATTGGTCCCCATTCTCTTCTTGCTTGTAGGGTTTCTGCTGAGAGATCGACTGTTAGTGTGATGGGCTTCCCTCTGTAGGTAACCTGACCTTTTTTCTGGCTGCCCTTAATATTTTTTCCTTCATTTTGACCTTGGAGAATCTGATGATTATGTGTCTTGGAGTTGTCTTCTTGTGGAATATGTTAGTGGTGTTCTCTGTATTTCCTAAATTTGAATGTTGGCCTATCTTGCTAGATTGGAGACATTGTCCTGGATGATATCCTAAAGTATGTTTTCCAACTTAGTTCTATTTGCCTGGTACTCCAATAAATCATATGTTTAGTCTTTTTACATATTCCCATATTTCTCAGAGGTTTTGTTCATTCCTTTTTATTCTTTTTTTCTCTAATTTTGCCTGAATGCCTTATTTCAGCCAGATGGCCTTCAAACTCTGATATACTTTCTTCTGCTTGATCTATGTGGCTATTGATACTTCTGTGTGCTTCACGATGTTCTTGTGCTGTGTTTCCCAGATCCATCAGGTTATTTATCTTCCTCTCTAAACTGGTTATTCTAGTTAGCACCTCCTATAACCTTTTATCAAGGTTCTTAGCTTCTTTGTATTGGGTTAGAACATGCTGCTTTAACTCAGCAGAGTTTGTCATTACCGACCTCCTAAAGCCTACCTCTGTCAATTCATCCATTTCATCCTCCGTCCACTTTTGTGCCCTTGCTGGAGAGGTGTAGAAATCACTTGGTGGAGAAGAGGCACTCTGGCCTTTTAGGTTTTCAGCGTTTTTTGTTGTTGTTGTTGTTGATTCTTTCTCATCTTCATGAGTTGGTCTAGTATCGATCTTTGAGGATGCTGACCCTTGGATGGGCTTTTGTAGGGACTTTTTTTGTTGATGCTGTTGTTGTTGCTTTCTGTTTGTTTGTTTTTGTTGCAATTGTCAGGTCCCTCTTCTGTAGGGCTGCTGCAGTTTGCTGGGGGTTCATTTCAGGCCCTATTTATCTGGTTAGGTCCTGTGCCTGGAGATGTCACTTGAGGACGCTGGAAAATAGCAAATATGGGTGCCTGCTCCTTCCTCTGGGATCTCTGACCTCGAGGGGCACTGACCTGATGCCAGTAGGAATGGTCCTGTATAGGGTGTCTGACAACCCCTGTTGGAGGGTTTCACCCAGTTGGGTGGCACAGGGAGCAGGACCTGTTTAACAAAGCACTTTGTCCCTTGGTGGAGGTGGGTGTGCTTTGCTGGGGGGAAACACACTTGTTTGCACTGCCCAGATACCTCAGACCTAGTAGGAGTAAAGACTAAGTGTGCTGATTCATAGAGACTGTGGCCATCCCTCTCCCTAAGGGCTCAGGTCCAGGGAGATCAGAGTTCTGTCCCTGAGCCCCTGGCTGGAGTTCTTGGAGTTCCTGCAGGGAGGCCCTGCCTAGTGAGGAGGGATGGGGTCAAGGTTAGGCCTGAAGAGGCACTCTGTCTGCAGTCTGACACAGCCGGTGTGTTGAGCTGTGGGGGATACCTCTTGGGACCAAGCCGTCCAGCCTGCCCGGCTCCAGCAAGGGAAAAGCACAGCCTGGAGCTATAGAGTTGGCTGCCACTCTTCCCCTGCCCTGGGAGCTTAGTGTGTTACTGAACTATCAGTCCCTTTGTTGGCTGTTGCCCCTCCCCCAAGGAGCTCAAACAACTTAGACTACAGGCAGCTGCAGCTGTGGTGCTGGTCACCCCTCCTTCTGGGAGCTGGGCAGGCTTAAGCAGATTCTAGCTTAGTGGCTGTTGAGAATCTGTGCAGCTCTGGGGTTAGGACCCTAGGCCCTGGTGGCATGGGCTCACCAGTTGGATCTTCTGATCCGTGGGTTGCAATTTCATGGAAAAATCACGTTTACCAAGGCTGGGTAGCACGCTTACTCACCACCTCTCTTGGCTGGGGGTGGGCACTCACCTGCCCCGTGTGGTTCTCAGGTGGTCCCCAGCATCACATTGCTCTTCCTTTCTCTCTGTGGGTCATACCAGCTGCCTAGTCAGTTCTGATGACAGAACCTGTATTCCTCAGTTGCTGGTGCAAGATTCACACGCTGTTATGGTTCTTTTCGATGGGAGCCTCCAATTACCACTTATTTTAGTTGGCCATCTCTGCCCCAGCCCCATCTCTGTTTTTGATTGATCTTGTCAAAAGACTTAGGTTGTCCATTAAGGTATTTCTAATGACTTCACTTATACAGCTGAGTGCACACAATTACCCACCATAGTGATATGTGTTTATACATTTCACTTTTGACTGATTTCTTTATGACCACAGTTCATCTGATTATAACTGTTACACCCATGTGACTGTCATTAGTATTCTTGAGTGTTTATGTTTGCAAAAATATGTATATTATTGCCTATTTTTTTGTGTAAAGTGGCCTATGAAGTGTTCTGTCATATTTTTATGTTTCTCAAGCAAATCCCCTTTTACAAATGTGATTAAATATTTTTATAGGATTTTTAAAATTATTTTTTCCAGAATTATATTTTTGGGATTTCAATACTCAGGATTATGGCATTGGAGATTTTGTCTTTTGGGATTATGATCAGCTCCCATTCCTTAAAGATTATGTTCATATGTGTAGAGCATTCATTAGAAACTTATCTCTAGAAAGAATTATAGGTATTATCTAATTCATTTGTGCCATTAGTCTGCTCAGGCTGTGTGTTAGGCTGTTCATGTGTTGCTGTAAAGAAATACCTGAAGCTGGATAACTTATAAAGAAAATAGTTTTAATTGGCTCATGGTTCTGCAGGCTACACAGAAAGTGTGGTATCAGCATGTGCTTCTGGTGAGGCCTCAGGGAGCTCACAGTAATGGAGGAAAGTGCAAGGGGAGCTGGCATCTCATGTGGCGAGAGAGGGGGCAAGGGGCAGGGAGGTGCCACACACTTTAAAACAACCAGATCTTGGAGAACTCACTATGGCAAAGACAGCACCAAGCCATGAGGGATCTGCCCCCACGCTCCAATCACCTCCCGCCAGGCTCCACCTCCAACACTGGGGATCACAATTCAACATGACATTTGGAGGGAACAAATATCTAAGCCATATCAGGATGCCATAACAGAATACCACAGATTAGATGACTTAAACAACAACAAAATATTTTCTCACTGTTCTGGAGGCAGGAAGTCCAAGACCAAGGTGCTGGCAGGACACCTTTCCTCAGGGGCCTCACTCATTGGTTTGAGGACAGCTGCCCCTGCTGCCTCTACACAAATTGTCCCTCCGCCCCACTGGCTGATCTCCTTCCGTGACTCCTCCCCACCTTCTTAATCCCCAAGCTTTGCATTGCCTTTGCGCTTTGTCCTTGCTTGGTTCTCCCCTGTATTGCGTCTATACCTACTCCAACAGAGACACATCCAGTCTCATTGCTTGAAATGCCCCCTACCTTACATTTTTATCTCCACCCTGAAGCTCTCCCCTGGTTTCTGGATTGCTTTATACAGTTGTATTATTGATATTTGCATTGAATATCCTTCAGACATTGAGAACTTAACTGGCCTGTCCACACCTGTTTACCTGACATTGCTCCTCAAGCCTCCCTGTCCCCTGATTACCTGACACTGCTCCTCAAGCCTCCCTGTCCCACGCCCTTCTCCATCCCAATTCAAGCAACTATCTGTTTTGATTGGGATTATTGCAACTGTCCTCTAACTGCCCTTGCTTCCTCCAGCCAGAGTAGTCCTAGTAAAATGATATATATATGTATATATGTGTGTGTGTATATATATATATATATATATATATATATATATATATATATATTTAGGGTATTAACTCACATGATCACAAGGTCCCATAATAGGCCGTCTACAAGCTGAGGAGCAAGGAAGCCGGTCCGAGTTCCAAACCTGAAAAACTTGGAGTCCGATGTTTAAGGGCAGGAAGCATACAGCATACAGGAGAAAGATGGAGGCTGGGAGGCTAAGCCAGTCTAGTCTTTTCACTTTCTTCTTCCTGCTTTTTATTCTGGCTGCACTGGCAGCTGATTAGATTGTGCCCACCCAGATTAAGAGGGGCAGTCTGTCTTTTTCCCAGTACACTGACTCATATGTGAATCTCCTTTGGCAACACCCTTACAGACATACCCAGGAACAGTACTTTGCATCCTTCAATCCAATCAAGTTGACACTCAGTATTAACCATCACAAACACCCATGCCCTTCTGTGAGCAGCAGGACCCCCTGCCATGTGCCCGAACCTGTTTTCCAAGGCTCCCCACACTTCCCTGTCCTTCCTCTCTGCACGCTCTGCTCCACTCACTGACCTGCTGTTCCTCTAGCCTCAGGGCTCTTGCACAAGCTATTCCTTCTGGGAATGTCTAGGAATTCTCTTCCCCTCCCATGTGCACACAGCTGGTCCACACAGACGAGTCTTTGCCTTCTGATCTCTTTGGTTGTGTGCCTTTCCCTAAGAACTTCCTTGGCCCTTCAAGGACATGACTTCCGCTCCTTAATTTCCCCTCAGCTTTGTCTACACATTCCTATCGTGCATACCATATAATAACCCATCAACTTTATGCATTTCTTCACATTTCGACAGCTCTGGAATCAGAATGCTCTAATAATCCATAGCATTTTAGCTAATGTGTTATTATTTATTGTTTTTCTTTCTTTGTTGCACCTTAAAAGATAACATCTTAGCTTTAATGAAACAGAGGATTTATCTTGGTATCAGTCTTTCTCTTTGAGAGAGGATTATTGTCATTTTGTCTTCTGTTTTATTCCTAACAGTCAATGTAAAGCTTGATAATCAATGAATCAGTACTAATCATAGAAGACAGGTTTTTGAGCAATGGTCCTCTCATCTTAGGAAGCTTTATCAAGGGGAAAGAGAACTGAATTACAGTGACAACCAGAAGGCCTTTCAGTGTTCTAGATGAAAACTTATTAAGGCTCATGTCCAACTTATGTGGAAGAAATGATAAAAGGGAGGGAACACATATTTGAAAAAGTAGAATCAACTGTACCTTGCTCCTCCAGGTGCCAAGGAAATGAGGCAATGCAAGATCCCAAAGATGGCTGAGATTTAAGCTGGGGGAAGATAACGACTTTCCTTCAGGAGCTGGGGGATTGTAGAAGGAGAATATTTTTTGAGAAGAAAGACAAATATGTTGATTTTAGTTAAAATTGATTTAATTTCCTAGCTAAATACTGTATTTAAGATAGTAACACTCAAAGGATGGAGTGTAAGCTTTGTAATAAAAATACACACGGGGAAAATCAGACTGTAGTTGGCAATTTACAACAAAGTGTCAAAAATGAAAAAGTGATACTACAAGCTTAGTCAGGGATGTGTGGGTTGCAAAGAATGGAAATGCACCTGAGCTAGTCTGGGTGGAAAAGAAATTTGTTAAAGGACAGAAGGATGCCCAATAGAAAAGAAAGGCCATCAAAGCTTTTGGAAAGGAAATCAGTGGAGTGGCACTAAAGACTGTGGATTTAGAAACCAGAATGCCCCTGTCCAGCTACCTGTACTGCCTGGCTCCTGCCTCCTGCTTCTCTCAATTCATGTCAGTTCCACCCCATGCACTCCCTACCACATTTCTCTCTCTCCTTGAGCTGTTTTCAACCAATTGCACTCTGCATCTTGGGTTAAGTAACAATTTAACACACCCCAGTTGCTCCCTTTTACTCTCAATTATACATTTGTTGGAGAGAGAATTGAGTTGGGCCATGGGTAATCAGGTGTTCATCTTGGCCATCAGCTTTAGCAGCAAGAGTGGGTTCAAGCAGTGCATCACGATGGGGGAGGCAGGTCCTTCTCCCAGAGTGCATGCACCACCACACCCTAGGAACCCATATTGGTGTGTGTGCATCACAGCCACACATGCTTGATAGTAAAATTCAAACACTGCATTTGCTGTGAGTCTCTTCCATGCCTGGCCGTCCGTCCACTTAGGGAGACAGAGCCCAGGCCCTGGTTCCTGTGCTCACACCTTGCACTGCGTACAGAGGGACACCTTGTTCTGCACTTTGAGACTGATCTGTCTACAGTTTTTGGAAATATGTTCATAGCAGTAGATATAGTACCCACAGAACTTTCCTTTTTCATAGCTGCAGAGAATTCAGTTTTCTGTTGTTTTCACTATTTATTGATTTATTTTGCTGCATGCATGTGATTACATTAGTCCTGTAATTTTCTGGACTTAGAACTGCTGTAGAAAAGAGGATATGCATTTAAGTATTCTGTGGTTATCATGCTACCCTCCTAAGGGTATGTGCATGAGATAATGTATTCTGTCTACCTTGTTAATATTCTGTAATATCAAACTTTTAGAGCTTTGCTAATATAGATTTTAAAAACTGATTTAAAAGAGCTAAATGTTTTTAATGAGAAATGAGCTTATTTCGTTTTTAAACACTGCTATCCTTTTGTTAGTAATGATTGAATGAACTATTTCCTTAGCATACAGAATATAATGTCATAAATATTATAAATATAAACACATAGTAAGTTAGCTAAAATTATTTGTAATTGATATTCTTTATGTGATACAGAAATTTATTTTTACAGTTGTGTTCAATTTATCAAAATTTTATTTTATGAGCTCTGGATTTTATGTTTTTCTTAGAAAAGACTACAATATAATCAATGCTTATATTGAGATTATTTAATATTATAAATGTTTAAAGTGTTATAGCCTATATGCACTAATATTTAAATTACCCAAGTTACTAAAAGTTTCCACCCAATAAAACATTTAATTCTTTTAAAATATAAATTTGAATTAACATTAGCAGCCTAGCTATAGGAAACTAGTTAATTAAGTACAAAAAAATCTCCCAAATTGTTCACCTTCTCAAAAGTTTGACGAAATATTTAATTATTTCAAAGGTCTTAGTCTCTTTAAATATTTTTTTAAGACTGTGTGATCTAATACTCACCCCTCCCATCTCCTCTCTCCTATTCTCCCTCCTTCCTTTCTTCATATTTATCTTTGCTAGGCATAGACATAAAAAACGTATTTTTATTGATAATATTCTTATCAATAAGGATAAGAAAAGGATAAGGATAATGAAAAGGAAAAGGCTATTCATTTTCATCTATTTTCTCACACTCATTTCTCCTCAATTTAATAAAATCTTCAAGCAGTGACTTGTTTTTAATTGAGCATTTCAAAGACTATATCTGGAAAGTTTAAATGTTGACAATGGAACATAAAGACTTAAACATATTTTATAAAATGTGTGCTATTCAAATTAAGTAGCTTATAGTGAAATTCAACACGTGAAATTCAACACATTATAATATGCCACAAATTGCTAAAATCAAGTAATTATTCATTTCACAATTAACTGGGAATGCCATAATTTAATATAAACTGGTTTAAACACATACAGAGTCCATTTAGGATGATTTAAGGATATATAATATCTCCCAGGGAGCATTAAATCTTTTGACTTAAGATTTGAATAGCTTTTTGTCTCTTCTGTGTCAGATAAATGCTTTTCTGTTGAAAGTTTTTTTTTAAATTTAGATATAAGCTTTGTTTAATAAATCACTTTCAGTTTTCAGGAAATAAAACCAAGAAAAATAAATGTTTTTATTGTTAGTTACAAAGGCTATCATAGAACTATTTTTTGTTTAAATGTTCCACTGAGGTTTTGTGTATTTATTTACTTATTCTAACAAAAAGATTATAGGTACCTAATGTTTGAAGTATTTTGGGGGAGGAAATTCTTTTACATTTTTTTCTTCTTGTAGCAATGAGTGGTGAAGCTGCTGGGCTTCTGGGTCGGGTGGGGACTTGGAGAACTTTTCTGTCTAGCTAAAGGATTGTAAACACAACAATCAGCGCCCTGTGTCTAGCTAAAGGTTTGTAAACGCACCAATCAGCATGCTGTAAAAATGCACCAGTCAGTACTCTGTAAATTGGACCAATCAGCGCTCTGTAAAATGGACCAATCAGCAGGATGTGGGTGGGGCCAAGTAAGGGAATAAAAGCTTGCCCCCTGAGTTCGCAGTGGGAACCCAGTTGGGTCGGCTTCCATGCTCTGGGAGATTTGTTTTTTCGCTCTTCATGATGAATCTTGCTGCTGCTTACTCTTTGGGTCTGCACTACCTTTATGAGCTGTAACACTCACTGCGAGGATTTGCGGCTTCACTCCTGAAGTCAGGGAGATCACAAACCTACTGGGAGGAACAGGCAACTGGACGCATGCTGCCTTTAAGAGCTGTAACACTCACTGCGAGGGTCTGTGGCTTCATTCGTGAAATCAGCAAGACTACGAACCCACAGGGAGGAACAAACAACTCTGGACGCGCCACCTTTAAGAGCTGAACACTCACTGCGAAGGTCTGCTGCTTCACTCCTGAAGTCAGTGAGACCATGAATCCACTGGAAGGAAGAAACTCCGGACACATCTGAACATCTGAAGGAACAAACTCCGCACACACCATCTTTATGAACGTAACACTCACTGCGAGTGTCCGTGGCTTCATTCTTGAAGTCAGTGAGACCAAGAATCCACCGGAAGGAACCAATTCCAGACACAGCAAGAAATTTGAGTTATTTAATTCCTCAGAGAAATGATTATGACTATCAACGAAAAGTGAGTGGAGACTCAGCCAAACATTGTGTGTAATAAATCACCTAGGCTCTAAACTACTTCTCACAGCATAAGTCAGTATCCCCCCACATTCCCCGCCCCACTGGGTGTTGAAATACATTTTCACAGCTTCCTTTCAGTACACACCCAGAATCTTACCGTAGAGGTGGAGAGGGTGCATTTTGCATAAGCATACACTTGCTGTGAAGCACATTGGGGTTTGAGAGCCAGCGTTTCAGATTCATGATCGCTGGAACGTCACATTCACATGGAGGGCAACTGCAAAGTGGCCCACTGCATGCAGAAAGGAAGGATGGGTTTCTACATTTATGTCCATTTTTGCATTACTATTTTAAGGTTTTGGTTTTGCATACATTTAATAATGCATACAATAGACTTGAGCAAGTACATTTATGAAGAATTTGATATATATTTGAAGTGTGCACTCAACACATTTTCAGAGTTCACTTTAGAGATCACTGAAGATTAATTTTAGTGTGATCCCAGCTTAAATTATTGGAGATTTAGATTGGAAGTAACTGGATAATTACCTTACAGTAATAGCTCATTTTGCATACACAGTCTAAATAAAAGCAGTAAACATTGAATTCTGTTTCATCCTGGGGTTAAAGTAGTAAGATCACTCACTAGATTACCTCTGGGTAACTTCAATTTTCTTTGAAGTTTTAGTGCAATGTTGTAACTACTGGATCCAAAGAGCAAAATTTTTAAAGATACTGTACCTCCTTTTCAATGGAACCTGAATATCTCTGCATGGGAGCTTTGTAACTTGGATACAGTCATCTCCAGGGGTTATTGGTGATAACTTGGGTTTCTGATTTAGAAATTATCAATGGCAGTGTTATCAACCTGCTCTCCTTTCATGAAGGAATCTAAAAATATAAAACAGCCACAGAAATGACAATATACTTGGAAACCTTGTGCAACTAGGAAACTCTCACAATGCTATAAAATTTAGGGGTAGACAAACTTAACTGCTGCTTGATCAGAAGTCATTAACCAGCTATTTGTTGAACAATGACTTTTAAACCAGAATGACACAAATTCCCTTTCATTCTATCCTTAGGGGTGTTCTGTCAGCTCCAGAGCTTCCCGTTTTGCATACACGGGGAGACTTTCTCTAGCTTCTGTCCTTCCTGTTTTGTGATTTGTACATGGATGAAGATCTCTCTCGATCATGCTCTGGCAAAGCATCCTTACCTTGTTAAGAGTGTATGTAGAATCCTTTTCATAGTTTAAATCGGATTTCTGCAGCAATAGGCAGCCTGGCTCAGCAGAGAGCCTGGAGAGATTGGAGTTACGAGGTATTCATTTAAGTCTTATCTATACTATGCTGATGTCTGTTATTTGTTGTGATAAGTCCTCGCAGTGTGACCAGCTTTCAGAAAATGATGCACTCTTGCTAAAAGGCACCTTTGAGCAACATTGTTGAGCTGTATATTTGTGCAACCCTAGTGGGAGGTAATCTGGCAATATATATCACAATTGCAAATACATATTCGTTTTATCTAAGGAGTAATGTTTGCTGGTTCTGTGGTGTACATACGCCCACCAGGGATGGCTTCAGGCTTCCCACAGGACAACATTAATGGCATAGCTGGGAGGAGATGGTTCAGAGGACACGTCTCACTCTGGGTCTTTGAGCTCAGCTCCCCTTTCTGGAAAAGGCAACGTTAGGGTAAGGTGATTCCCCAGTTTCTTTTCACCATCAGCACGTCTCCCCAAGTTTGGGAATAATATTCAAAATATTTGGCAACTCTTGTGGCACAGGTATTGGCCAATCAGAATGGTCCCTGGTTATAAATTCCTGGGCTCCTTGTGGAGGGCCCTGCTGAAGGTCAGCCCCACCAGCCCCTATGGAGGGCCCACTGCACTGTGGTTGGTGTCTCAGGTATCTTTCCTGGAATAGTTTGGGGCATATACTAATACTAAAATACTAACATATTATTTTCCTTTGATTGTTTCAACAGATGATGGCATATTACACACCCTCTACAAGATCCTGGTTTTTATCTACTTAATATATTTTGCCTGCCATTCTGTTGTTCCACATGAGTGCCAACATATGTTCCTTTCTTTATTTATTGTCTTACCTTTATTTATTTATAGTTACACAGTATTTTCAGTATTCTCTGGCTTGATCATAATTTATTTAAACAATGCGGTATTGATGAACACAAGTAGATTTCAATTTGCTACGTATTTGAAGTGCTGAAGTGAAGACATTTGGACATATATTGATTCATATTTGTGATGAATAATCAAAAGACGTATGTGGGTTAAATACCCAGAAGTAGGATTACTGGGGCAAAAGGAATATTCATTTGCAATTAGGATATATATTGCCAGACTTCCTTCCACAAGGGTTGCAAAAATATCTGGCCCACCAATGATGATCAAACATGCGTCTTACCAACAGAGTACATCATCAGACTTTAGACTGCAAATTTGGTGAATCAGAGACAGTATCTCAGTGTGGCATTAGCTAGAAATACACTAGTTGAGATTGAAACTTCTTTTGTTTAAGACACATTTGCGTTTCCTGCTCTCTGAACTCTGTTTTCATCTCCTTTTTTTTTTAAATTCTTTCTGCTGAATTCTTGATCGTTTTCTAACTAAACTGCTATATATTGAGGATGTTAGTATTTTGTGATTGAATTGCAAATATATTTTTCCTAGCTTGTCGTGTGCCTTTTTTTTTTTTTTTTTTTTTGATGGAGTCTCACTCTAAAGCCCAAGCTGGAGTGCAGTGTCGCAAAGTTTGTTTTTTTTTTTTTTTTTTTTTTTTTTGAGACAGGGTTTTGTTCTATCACCGGGGCTGGAGTGCAGTGGCATGATCTCAGGTAACTACAGCTTTGACCTGCCTGGGCTCAAGTGATCTTCCCACTTCAGCCTCCTGAGGAGCTGGGACTACAGATGTGAGCCACTGTGCCTGACATCTTTTGTTTGTCTTTGGTGTTTTATGCTGTGCAAAGTTATGATTTGATTTAGTACAGTTTATCAATGTTTTTCCTTTTATGGCTTTGCATTTTGAGGCAGCGTTAGAAAGATCTTTCCCACTCTGAGGTTATAAATAATTCTCTTTCTTTACAGAATGATTATTGTCCCAGGACTATATATTTCTCTCCAGGTCTGTGAGACTGGCTGGACATTTAGATCTATTGTATGGCATTGTTATTTGTGAAAGCCTGGGAGAAGAGGAGGCTGCAAATCATAAGTCCAAATTACAAATACGGTAAGTAGAATGAATGTATGTGGCAGTAGATAATGGTAATGTTAGTAATAACCCAAGCCTAAAAGTCAAAAAATTATGTGTGTGATTGTTCTTATTCTATGCCAGATAATGCCCTGAACACTTTACATGGTTCATCTAATTAAATTCTCAAGTAGCCTCATTGTTATTACTCTTTACAAATGAGAACAATGAGGATTAGACAGGCTAAGTCTAAGATCACATCGCTGTTAAGTGTTGACCTTGAGCAAGATCCAGGTCTGCCTGGCTTCAGCAGCATTACTCCTGGCTGGGCTCCCACAGTCCCATGGAACAGTGAAGCTTCTTCCCTATCTGACTGGTCCTGTGAGGTCTGGGGATTCCCAGGAGAGGCAGAATGTGCAGCAGGCAGGGCTGGTTGTAGGGAGTGGGGTGAAGGTGCAAGATGCTACCCATTGTAGAGAGAAAGAGAAAATTGGGAGATTGTGGAAGTTTGGCGAGACACTTGATCTCTGGACAATGTGTAGAACAGCTTCTGCATTTTGGAGATAGGATACTGATACTGGAGATAGGACACTGATACTGGAGATAGGAGAAAGTGTTTTAGGTTTATGTCAACTAGCTATGGGAACATGGAATGAGAGTTCTAAATTTTTCTTTCTCCCCTCCCTACTTCCCTCCCTTCCTTCCTTCCTTCCTTCCTTCCTTCCTTCCTTCCTTCCTTCCTTCCTTCCTTCCTTCCTTCTCTCCTAAATGGTATCCTATGAATATATTTTATTCCCAGAGACAATTCAACAACACTGGATAAAATATCAATTCCAATTGAGAATTCTAAAAAGTTAAGTAAAGATCAAAAATAGAGAGCGAGAGCGAGCCTATTTGCACATAAAAGTGCCAAGTGCAAGTTGCTTACTTGCAATCACAACCACAAAGGCCCCACAAGCCAAGAGCTAATTATATCAATTATTAAGATGAGCCAAGGTCTTGTAAAGAATTAAGTTAGGAATAGGGGTGCTCCCCTCTGACTATGAGGCTGATCTGTATGGAGTGCTATTGTTCACCTTTATAAGGTATCCAAAGCTCAATCCCTATCAAAACAGTTTCTTTAAGAGTGATAGGGTATATAGACAAGATATTCAACATTGTTAAATACTTGAAAACCACAGATGGTCCTCAACTTACAATGGGGAGCCAAAAATTTCTGTGTCTCAGTTGAGACCATCTACGTTAGCTACAATAGTGCAAGATTGATGGACATTCAATAGAAACTGTACTACAAGTATGCATTATTTGAATGCATAAGAACCATTCTATTTTTCACTTTAAGTACAGTATTCAATAAGTTACATGAGATATTCAGCACTTTATTATAAAATAGGTTTGTATTAGATAATTTTGCCCACCTGTAGGCTAATGTAAGTGTTTTGAGCACGTTTAAAATAGGTGAGGCTAAGCTATGATGTTCAGTAGGTTAGATGTATTAAATCAGTTTTGACTTATGATATTTTCCATTTATAATGGTCTTGTCAGGATGTACTGCCATTATAAGTTGAGAAACATCTGTATGTGTTTCCATCCTGCTATGTATGTAACTGAACCAATCAGGAATAAATATTAATGATAAGGAACAAGAATTCAGTTACATGTTTTTGTTCATTCTAAAGAGCATTACAATGCCAAATTTCCATATATGATGATGGATATGTGTAAATTCATGTCCAACATTCTCAATTGTAAATAAAAGTATATTTTGTGTTTAAAATCTTTGATAGAGAGTTATTTCTTAATTATGAAAATTGGGGAGAAATATCAAAGAAAACAATAGACCCTAAGTGACAGCATATGTTAAAGAAAGAAGCAAAACCATGGGATCAGATGCAGTCATTGATTATACTAATACACAATTTTAGTTTAATGCCCTAAGGTCTGCTGAAAATTAACCAACTCTGTCCATTTTAGTGATAACTATATCTCTTTAAGTATGACATAGAGCAGGGTGGTAAACAGAAAGGAAGTATAAGGAAGGTTCAAGATGAAGGCAGCCTATGAAAACCTAGGTACAATTAATACATTTAAAAACCTCGTTCTCAACATCACTTTAATTCCCCCTTCTTTGCAGTTAAACCCTTACTTTTAAAATAATATTATAAAGGTCTCAACTCAGTTGAAGTTGGTTGAAATACACTGAAATAACACTGGATTTTTTCTGTACTGTTTAGTGAGTTCAATAAAATCTAACTCTGTAACAGACTGCAAAGGAACATTTTATCCCTGGAAAATAAATTATTAAAACATTGACAAAGTTGATTTGGAATAAAAACTATCAGAGGAAACAGCCCTGAATAGCTTTTCCTAAAGTTCCATGGATTTTTATGAACACTAAAGGCAAAGTACTCAATGGTAGTTTTTTTTTAAGCAGTTAACTATAAAAGGCCTTTACCCTTTTTATCTAAACATTGTATGCACATGTGACTCTTTTGGATTGAGAATACGTTGTCTGCCAAATAACATTGATTTATGATTATTGTTTATGTGCTTATACTTTTTAATCATGTGAGAAATAAAAAGTATATTTACAAACCAAAAAATGCAATAATGCTGCCTTTTGTGTTTACCTATGCAGTTCCTTTTACCAGAAATCTTTATATCTTTGTTCTTTGGGTCACTGTCAATTGTTTTTATATTTCTGAAGGACTCACTTTAGCATTTCTTGTAGGGAAGGTCTATTGGCAAATAAATCACTCAGCTTTTGTTTATCTGGGGTTGTCTTAATTTTACCTCTATTTTTGAAGGATAGTTTCATCAGATAAAGAACTCATGATTGACAGTTTCTTCTTTTGGCACTCTTAACATGTCATCTTACTACCTTCTAGCTGCCATGGTTTGTGTTGAGAAATTTGTTGTTGCTGTTACTGGGAATACTTTGTACATGAAGGACTGCTTTTCTCTTGCTGCTTTCAAAATTCTTTTTGTCTTTGGCTCTTTGCAGCTTGATTACAATGTGTCTTAACTTTATTTTGTGAATTATATATTGTGAATATATTATAGTGTGACTCTCTTGGTTTTATGATAGTTGGAGTTTGATGAGCTTATGTTTTTCACGAAATTTGTGAGGAACTGGTTATTATTTCCTCAAATATTTTTTCTGTTCTTTTCTCTCTTTCTTATTCTTCTAAGACTCCAATAATGCATATGTCAATTTGCTTGATAATGTCCCTCAGATCACTTAGGCTGTGTTCACTTTTCTTTATTCTTTATGCTCTTTACACTGGATAATTTCAATTGTTCTATATTCAATTGCTTATTCTTTCTTCTGTTTGCTCAATTCTGTGGTTGAAGCCTTCTAGTAATTTTAAAATTTTAGTTATTGCATACTTCAGCTCCAGGTTCCCTTTACTAATTTCTGCCTCTTTACTGATAGACTTCTTTTGACCATAAATTATTTTCTTGATTCCCTTTAGCTCTTTGAGAATATTTAAGGAAATCAATTTGTAGTCTTTGCCTAGTAAGTCTGATATCTGTGCTTCCTCAATGATATTTTCCATCAATTTATTTATTTATTGGAAATTGGTCAAAATTTCCTGTTTTTTGAATGCCTTCTGATCTTTTGTTGATATCCAGAGAGTTGAATATTATAATGTGGTAACTGATAATTATATTTTTCCTTTTATCCAGAGTTTCTGTTTTTTTATTGTAGATTTCTGCAGTTGTCTATTTGTTTAATCACTTTCTCCAAACTATTTTTTCAAAAACTGTATTCCTTGTCATGTGTGGTTACATAAAGTCTCTGTTTCTTAGCTTGCTTTTAGCTAGTGTTTTGACAGAAATTTTTATTCTTGAGTTCCTTTTTTATTACACTTTTTTTTAGTGGCCATTAAAGTTTGACTATTATCCAGGGCTCTGACAAAGTTGTTTTGGCAATTTCTGCTTTTAAAAAAAAGTTTCTATGATGGATGTGAATTTGAAGTTGCATACTTTGCCATTTTGCTCTATTAGTAAAGTATCTTAATCAAAGAGGAACTGACCTTAAGTCAGAAGAAGGCACTGGAGAATAATGCTTCTCAGAATTTTAATAAATCTGGCCATTGGTCTCTGATATGGTTTGGCTGTGTCCCCACCCAAATCTCATCTTGAATTTTAACTCCTACAATTCCCACATGTTGTGGGAGGAACCCAGTAGGAGGTGATTGAATTATGGGGATGGGCCTTTCCTGCACTGTTCTTGTGCTAGTAAATGAGTCTCACAAGATCTGATAGTTTTAAAAACAGGTGTTTCCCTGCACAAGCTCTCTCTCTCTTTTTGCCTGCTGCCATCTATGTAAGATGTGACTTGCTCCTCCTTGCCTTCCACCATGACTGTGAGGCGTCCCCAGCCATATGGAACTGTAAGTCCATTAAACCTCTTTTTTTCCCCCAGTCTTAGGTATGGTATGTCTTTACCAGCAGCATGAAAATGGATTAATACAGTCTGTTACAATATGGAACCCTAATGTACATTCTTAAGAGAGCATACTTCTAAAATTCACCAGTCAAAATGCTCCAGGATCATTTAGAAGATTTTACATGAGGTGTAGTATAGTTAAGAAAGTAGCAGATAGACAGTAACTGGACCTCTGCTTGTGTCACCCTGGGCATGCTACTTCTCTGGGCCTTGGTATTCTCATCTGTAAATAAGAAATTAAGACAATAGGAGAATTCATTTTGATCTTTTAATCTATAATTATATTTCTGGGTTCCAGAATCTAATTCAATATACAACTTTTCAGCCTGCCTTAAAATGGACCTGAAGTCACTTGTCAGTTATTTAGACATCAATAAATGAAATTTACTGAATAGCATATAATACACAGTTTGTTCTTATTATGTATGTTAGCTATGATCTGTTAAGTCTCCAAAAATACTGAATTACTGAATAGTGAATCATCATTTCTAGTGGAAATACCCTCTAAACCATTGTTTCAGAGGGTCAGGCTCCTCTCAGCCTCTGGCCATAATTTCAACTGATCAATACATAAAATTGTTTTATTTGTGTTTTGGTTGAAAGATGCTGTATTTAATATATATTGTTAATTCATTGACATTGAACTAACAGCCAGCAGCACTATAACTCGTGTCTGAATGAAGCCTATCTAGCATACATATTTTTCCCATAAGTCACATCACCACCTTCTTGCATTTAACAACACTAGCCAGCACTTCAGCACTATGGTTGGTGTCATTTTAAACAGGAAAATTACCAAAATAAAAAACAAAAATGCAAAAGCAACAACAAAAAACAATCTAAAGCATGGCACTTAGTAAATTATAGACAGGACATTTTCACTAACCACTGCAACTATTGACTGGGGGGTTACAAATAAATTTTAGTGAACAAGTTCATTCATGAATATGAAATGCATGAATAACAAACTTCAATATTCCACTGACAGCAATAGACAGATCATCAAGACAGAGAATGAACAAAGCAATTCTGGACTTGAATTTGACACTTGATTAATTGGAGCTAAGAGTCATCTACAGAATACTCTACTCAACAACCACAAAATATACTTTCTTCTCATCTGCCTGTGAAACATGCTCTAAGATTGACCACCTGCTTGGTCTTAAAACAGGTCTTAAAATACAAAAAAAAAATGAAAATTATACTAAGCATCTTCTCAGATCACAGTGGAATGAAAATAGAAAGCATTAACAAGAGGAACTCTCAAAACCACACGAGTACATGGAAACTAAACAACTTGCATCTGAATGAATTTTGAGTAAATAACAAAATTAAGGCAGAAATAAAAAATTATTTGGAACAAGTGAAAATAAAGACATAACATACCAAAATCTCTGGGATGTGGTAAAAGCAGTGTTAAGAGGAAAGATTCTAGTGTTAAACACCTACATCAAGACAACAGAAAGATGTAAAATTAACAACCTAACGCAGTACCTGAATGAACTAGAAAAACAAGAACAAATCAAAGCCAAAGCTAGCAGAAGAAAAGAAATAACTAAAATGGGAGCACAATTAAATGAAATTGAGACCAAAACAACCACACAAAGGATCAATGAAACATCAAGCTGGTTGTTTGAAAGGATAAACAAGAGTAGATCCGAGTAAGCACAATAAAACATGGCAAAGGTGACATTACAACCAACTCCCCAGAAACGAAGATCCTCAGAGGCTATAAACATCTCTATGCATACAAACTAGAATATCTAGAGAAAACTGATAAATTCCTAGAAACACACAGCCTCTTGAGATTGAATCAGAAAGGAACAGAAATCTTGAACAAATCAATAACAAATAAGGAAATTGAATCAGTAATAAAAAACCTGCCAACCACCCTGAAAAGCCCTGAATCAGATGGTTTCACAGCTGAATTGTACCAAACATGTAAAGAAGAGCTGGTACCAATCCTACTGAAACAATTCCAAAAAATTGATGAGGGGCTCCTTCCTAACTCATTCTAAGAGTACGGTATCATCCTGATACTAAAATCTGGCAAAGACACAACAAGAAAAAAACTACACACCAATATCCCTGATGTACATAGATGCAAAAATCCTCAACATAATTCTCAACAAAAACTAGTAAACTGAATCCAGCAGCACATCAAAAAGTGAATTCACCACAATCATTTGGGCTTTATTCCTGGGATGAAGGATGGTTCAACATATGCAAATCAATAAAAGTGACTACATAAACAGAATCAAAAACAAACAGAAATGATATGATCATCTCAATAGACGCAGGAAAAGCATAAAAACCAACAACATTCTTTTATGAGAAAAAACCTCAACAAACTAGGCACTGGAGGAAGATAACTCAAAATAAGAGGCAGCTATGACAATCCCACAGCAAACATCATACTGAATGGGTTAAAGCTGGAAGCATTCCTCCTAAGGACTGAAAGAAGACAAGAATGTTCACTCACACCATGCCTATTCAACATAGCACTGGAAGTCTTAGCCAGAACAATTAGTCAAAGAAAGAAATAGACATCCAAATTGGAAAAAAGGAAGTCAAATTATCTCTCTTCACTGACGATATGATTCTATACCTAGAAATCCTAAAGATTCTGCCAAATCTCAGGATACAAGGATTAGCTTACAAAAGTTAATAGCATTTCCATACACCAATAACTAAGCTGAGAACCAAATCAAGAATGCAATCCCATGTATAATACACACACACACACACACACACACACACACACACACACACACACAACAAAAACAAAAAAAAAAACAAAAATTAAGTACCTAGGAATACATCTTACCAAGGGGTGAAAGATCTCTACGAGGAGAACTACAAAATTGCTGAAAGAAATTATAGATGACACAAAACATTCCATGCTCATGGTTTGGAAGAATCAATATCATTAAAATGTATACACTGTGCAAATAAATCTCTAGATTCAATGATATTCCTATAAAATTATTAACGTCATTTTGCACAGAATTAGAAAAATGTATTCTAAAATGTATATGGAACCAAAGAATAGCCACAACAGCCAAGACAATCCTAAGCAAAAAGAAAAAAATCAGAGGCATCACATTACCCTACTTCAAACTATATTACAAGGCTACAGTAACCAAAACAGCATGGTACTGATACAAAAATAGACACATAGACGAATGGAACAGGATAGAGATCCTTGAAATAATGCCACACACCTACACCCAACTGATTTTCAACAAAACTGAAAAAAAAAAAACTATAGGAAAAGTATTCTCTGTTTAATAAATGGTGCTGGAAAAACTGGCTAGCCATATGCAGAAAAATGAAACTGGACCCTTATGTATCTCCATATACAAAAATTCACTCAAGATGGATTAAAGATTTGAACGTAAGATCTTAAACTATAAAAATCCTGGATGAGGCCGGGCGTGGTGGCTCACACCTGTAATCCCAGCACTTTAAGAGGGTAGTCAAGGTTCTTAGATGCAAATAACAGAAACCAACTAAGGTTGACTTTAACAATTAGCTTTTACTGTGTAACAAACCACTCCAAAATATAATGCCACAAAATAAGAACCAGTGATGTAGTTCATGACTCAGTGGGCTGGCAATTTGTGCTGGACTCATTTTATTGTTGTTTTTAATCTGTGAGACAGAAGTCAGCTATCATATGTAGAATGCCTCAGCTGGGGTTTCTTACCTCTGGATGACAAAGTTGTTCACTGTCCAACAGAGTTGTCAAGGTGCATTCATATTGTGGCTGAAAAGATTTCCGAGATACTTAATGGAGAGCTTGTAAGTCTTCTTGTGACTCTGTCTTCGGAGTAGAAATTACTAAATTCCTGACACATTCTTTTGGTCTAAGCAAATCAGAAGGATAAGATTTAAGGGATAGGGAAATAGATTCCACTTCATGCTGGGAAAAGCTACATATTCACATAGCAAGGACATAGATACACTGAGTTGAATAATTGATCACATGGGCTAAGCAAAAGAAAGGTAGGTCACAACATGACTCAGTAGTTTAGAGAATGAATTAGAGATTTGCCAGGATATAAGGTGAGTTGAGTAGCCAAAATTACAACTAAAAGCACACCACAGAATTAGTCCAATGCCATCATCACTGCTGCTGACCCCTGGATGCTGCAGCCACCTACCTCTACTGATGCTGTGGGTCAATGTCAAGTTCCACCCATGAAACAGGGTATTACTGCCACCCTGATGCCACAACCCCTTGGAATGGATGCTTCACTAGTTTTGTCCTGGTGATGCACTTTTGCTAAATAGGCCGTTTGCCTATGCCCCAGTTGCAAGGGGAGTGGGGAAAATGATTCTCTGGCCCTTTGGGCTTCCGGATGAGGAAAAGTTGCTACATCCCAAGGAGACCATAAGGTGGGGAAGTTGCTAAAAATATTAAAAAGCTTAAGATTCTGGATGAAAGAAAAAAATGTGAAATAGCCAACACGTGTTATCTCAGGACAAGTAGAAAGGGATTGAAGAGTCTAGAACTTAAAGTGTCCTGTCCAAAAACTTGTTTGTTTGTTTTCTCCTTGGAGCACAGCTGGGTGTCACCAAGGCTCACAGTGTAAGTTAGGGATGACAATTTGAAATCCAGTTAGGCATAGTGGAGTGAAATCCCAGCATTGGAGTTTCCTGGCCAAACCATGTTTCACCATGTGGTCACACAATTGAACCTCCTGGTTTGCAGGATGGTTCTTTGTGAGGTCTCACTCTTATTCTGCACCTTATACAGGCAGATGAAGAAGTCACACAACACAAGGCAGACAATGAAGAATGTGTGTGTTCGCTATGGCGGGAGCCCACTGTGGGTGTGGCGTGTGAGCACACAAAGCAGGCACATTGGAGTTCAGGTCATCTACAGGTTGTGTGGCCGAGGGACTCACCACTTCCTGCCTCTGTGTCCCATAAAATGATGACAGCTAGAAGGCACCTACCTCCTAGCTTTAAAGCTCATAACTTGTGAGCATTAAAAATATGTGAGCTGTGCTTATACAGTTGCAGTCAGTGAATGTTCATATTAGTCCTGTTATCCCTGGAGAATCACTTACTTATGTGGGTAAAGACATCAGAGAAGAAAACACAAGTCCAGGGGGCATATAAAACTTCAGCTAAGGTTACTTCTAAACTAATGAGGAAAGTGCATGTTTTTATTATTATATGAAGAATGTTCTTTTCTTTGTGAAGGTATTATGTTTCTTTGTAGAAGAGAAAGCTTTTAAGGGTGTTCACATTTCTATGGCAACAGTAGCATCAAGGGAGTGGACCAGTTTTCCAATTCTATCCCACCTTCATAAGTGATTTTTCTTCATTCCATATGGCTATCACCACAGTAGTTCTCCTTATCTGAGGTTTCACTTTCCAAGGTTTTAGTTATCTGTGGCCAACTGTGTTCCAAAAATATAAAATAGGAACTTCCAGAAATAAACAATTTATAAGTTTTAAATTGTGAGCCATTCTGACTAGTGCAAAGAAAACTCGAGCCATCTTACTCCATCCCACCTGGATGTGAATCCTCCCCTTGTTCAGTGTCTCCACACTGTCTATGACACCCACTGTGACTCACTTCATAGCGGTCTTGGTTATCAGATCAACTATTGTGGAATCACAGTGCTTGTGTTCAAGTCACCCTTTTTTACTCAATGGCCCTAATGCTCAAGAGTAGTGATTTCAGTAGCAATTTGAGTAGCTCAAGCATAGCAATTTGGATATGCCAAAGAGAAGCCATAAAGTGCTTCCATTTAGTGAAAAGGTGAAAGTTCTTGACATAAGAATTTTTTTTTTTTTAAAGTATACTGAGGATGCTAAGATCCAGGTAAGAATGAATTTTCAATCTATAAAATTGTGAAGAAAGAAAAAGAAATTCATGCATAGTACTGTATAGAGAGGGCTCAGTGCTATTCATGATTTCAGGCATCACCAGGGATCTTGGGACATATCCTGCTTGGATAAGGGGGACACTGTAATTGTGCTCTCACTGTGATCCAGGAAGCAGGTCAGACTCTTTACGTGAAGCACATTATTGTCCTTATCATTGATCTCTCTAGCTTGGTGATCTGAGAACTGAAGTGCAGAAGGTTAATAACTTGCCTAATATTAAACAGCTAAGTGGCAGACCCAGGATTCAAACCCAGAGTCTGACTGCAGAGACTTAGTTTTCAAGAGCTGCCCTCACTCTTGAAGCCAGAGTCTCATCTCAGAGCCCAAGACCACCCCAGAGGACCCTGGCCCTAAACTGCTGTTGGCCAATAGCATGTACCCCAGCCCATCTACACAGAGTCTGAAAGAGCCTAGTGCAGGCCAGTGTCTTTCCTAATTGCAATGTTAGAATATCTAGGTCAACTGCTCTCAAAATAGATGTGTCATTGGGCTGCCCCTTTGTCTGCTGTTTACTTCTTCTAAGCACATTCTTCCTGGAAGTTGGTTGCTGTGGAAAATGGGCATAGTGCCTTCTACCTTGGATCATCAGCTAAGTGGCTAAAAACAGAGGTTGTTTGCAGAAACCCAATACTGTATTAATGCAAGGACTTCAGATGGGTGAGCTTGGTTATATGTTCAATCAAGGGAAGAGCATTTGTTTGTTTTAAGTAGATTAGTAAAGGGAAGTTATTCTAGCCTAAATCTTGTGGAATAAGTTGTTAGGTTCCAGAAACACTGTAATTAAGTCCAAGGTCACACTTAAGTCCCTCTCCACTCTTCGCAACTAAGGAAGCTGATGAGCACAAAAGACAAGCACCTCATGATCTCCAAAAAAAATCTAAAATCTAAAAATATCAAGCTCATAGTAGCAGAGAGTAGAATGGTGGTTGCCAGAAGCCAGGGGTTGGGGGAATGGGGAGATGTTGGTCAAAGGATACAAAATTTCAGCTGGACAGGAGGAATAATTTCGGATCTATTGTACAACATGGTGACCATAATCATGACGTATTGTATACTTGAAAATTGCTGAGCAAGTAGATTTTGTGTTCTCGTTACAAAAAAGGGTAAGTATGTTAATTAGCCTGATTTAGCCATTCCACAATGTAGACATATTTCAAAACATCATGGTGTACACCATAAATATATAGAATTTTGGTAAATTTATTTTTATTATTTTTTAATAAGAGCATAAAAATTTATTCTGTTAATTGACTAAAATATTTTATAACTATAGTTTTGATAGCATAAGTTTCTATGTTTTTGTGTATAATTTTAAAGAGGAAAAATGAAAACATGTTCGTATTTTGCTTAAAAGTTATCAACTTAAAGGTAAATACATTTAAAAGAGCATAATTTTTTTTCCTGTAACATACTCATTCTGTATCAAAGTTATTCTCTGTCCAAAAAGCATTTTTCAGCATTGCAGATGGAGTCAAGAGATTTTTTAAATAACTGTACCAGTCATGACTATGAAGGTATAGTCCTACTTCACCCTGATATGGAAAGTTTATTAACTGGAAACACAAAGTCATTTTTTTCCCTTGTTATGTCTGTCTTAGACTGTTCAGACTGCTATAACAAAGTACCTCAGATTGGGTAACATAAAAAATAGAAATGTATTTCTCACAGTTGTGGAGGCTTGGAGGTTCAAATTTAAGGCACCAGTAATATCTGGTTGAGGGCCTGCTTCCTAGATCAGACATGGTGACTTCTTGTTGTGTCCTTACATAGTAGAAGGGGCAAACATGCACCATTCAGGTCTCTTTTATTATTATTATTTTTTTTACCAACCTCAGATTATTCGTTTAATAACATCTTTACAGGTATCCATCATTCTTTTTTTTTTTCTTTTTTTAGTATTTATTGATCATTCTTGGGTGTTTCTCGGAGTGGGGGATTTGGCAGGGTCATAGGGCAATAGTGGAGAGAAGGTCAGCAGGTAAACATGTGAACAAAGGTCTCTGGTTTTCCTAGGCAGAGGACCCTGTGGCCTTCCGTAGTGTTTGTGTCCCTGGGTACTTGAGATGAGGGAGTGGTGATGACTCTTAACGAGCATGCTGCCTTCAAGCATCTGTTTAACAAAGCACATCTTGCACCACCCTTAATCCATTTAACCCTGAGTTGACACAGCACATGTTTCAGAGAGCACGGGGTTGGGGGTAAGGTATAGATTAACAGCATCCCAAGGCAGAAGAATTTTTTCTTATTACAGAACAAAATGGAGCCTCCTATGTCTACTTCTTTCTACACAGACACAGTAACAATCTGATCTCTCTTTCTTTTCCCCACATTTCCCCCTTTTCTATTTGACAAAACCGCCATCGTCATCATGGCCTGTTCTCAATGAGCTGTTGGGTAAACCTTCCAGACGGGGTGGCGGCCAGGCAGAGGGGCTCCTCACTTCCCAGACCTGGCGGCCGGGCAGAGGCGCCCCCCACCTCCCAGACGGGGCAGCTGCCGGGCGGGGGCACCCCCCCACCTCCCAGACAGGGTGGCTGCCAGGCGGGGGCGCCCCCCACCTCCCAGACAGGGCGGCCGGGTGGAGACGCTCCTCACTTCCAGATGGGGTGGCTGGGCAGAGGCGCTCCTCAGTTCCCAGATGGGGTCGCGGCCGGGCAGAGGTGCTCCTCACATTCCAGATGGGGTGGCCGGGCAGAGGCGCTCTCCACATCCCAGATGATGGGTGGCCAGGCAGAGACGTTCCTCACTTCCTAGATGGGATGACGGCCGGGAAGAGGCGCTCCTCACTTCCCAGACTGGGCGGCCTGGCAGAGGGGCTCATCACATCCCAGATGATGGGCGGCCAGGCAGAGATGCTCCTCACTTCCTAGACGGGGTGGCGGCCAGGCAGAGGCTGCAATCTCAGCACTTTGGGAGGCCAAGGCAGGCGGCTGGGAGGTGGAGGTTGTAGCGAGCCGAGATCATGCCACTGCACTCCAGCCTGGGCAACATTGAGCACTGAGTGAGCGAGACTCCGTCTGCAATCCTGGCACCTCGGGAGGCCAAGGCAGGCAAATCACTAGAGGTCAGGAGCTGGAGACCAGCCCAGCCAACACGGCGAAACCCTGTCTCCACCAAAAAATACAAAAACCAGTCAGGCGTGGCGGCATGCACCTGCAATCCCAGGCACTTGGCAGGCTGAGGCAGGAGAATCAGGCAGGGAGGTTGCAGTGAGCCGAGATTGCGGCAGTACAGTCCAGCCTTGGCAACAGAGGGATACCATGGAAAGCGGGAGACAGAGACGAGGGAGAGTGGGAGACCGTGGAAAGCGGGAGACAGAGACGACGAGGGAGACGGAGAGGGAGAGGGAGTGGTAAATTTAATAAATAAATTTTTTAAATGAAGCTGATGGTTAGAGCTGGTCTTTACTCAAAGCATCAGCATATTAAAATTTTAATCACAAAATTACTTTAAAAATGTGTGTGTGTGTGTGTGTATGAAATAACCTAAGTGGATAGATTATTTGTGTCATTTTAAATACTCAGTCTTGTTGAGAACTAATGTTGAACCAATCTTAGGTAGTTTTAAAATCACTCATCACTGATTTGGAAACAGGGAGTATTAGCCCTTTTAGGAGCCCCTGTGTTCTGTTAAAGGATTTAAGAACGAGGCATCAGAAGCACCCATCACTTAAACACAGTGAAGTCAGTGCAGTGCTCAGCTTTCAGGCTGTGCTGGGGATTCCCAGGGGGCTTTTAACCCAGCGGGCCAGTCAGGGAGGTGCCTACCTGGGGGAGATGAGCTTCAGTAGTTAGGCAGGAGTGATCAGGCAGGATCATGTGATGGGCCACTTTTTGTAGGTCAAAAATCATCAGTTTTGCATAGTTCAACCTAATCATCAACATAGTAGTATCTGGACAGAGGACAGAATAGGAGCAGGCAAATGTCTTATTGTCCCTTTCCCATGGTCTGAGCTCAGGATGTGCCTCAGGGTCCTTGGCCTCCATAGAAGCTCACTCCTCTTTCCCCCACAGCCTGTGACTAAAGATGTGGGGTGACTCCTCCTCTGCAAGGGACAGGCTTTTGTTCCTTGTTGAGCTACAATAGCAGTGAGTCTTTCTTCCCTTGTCACAGGTGTGGGCCACGTGTGGCAATAGTAGGAAGAGGAAAGGGAAAACCCCATTAAACGATGGTTGGGTACTCATCCAATGTCAAGAGCAGATGCTGGTGAACTCATGCGGTAGTCATTGCATAATGTGTCTACACACAGGAACTGTAAGCCTGTGGAGGAGGGCTTCTCACAGGAGGCCAACAGATCTCAGACCTTGTTGGCGGTATGATTATGGCTTTAGGTTGCCATTGATATTTGAATAATTTTAATTTCCAGCTTTTACATAGTAACTGCCCCCACGACTGATTGCTTTGTATTTTGTGAACTCGATTCATGTGTTATCTCTCCCAAAGAGCTGCAACTTCCCGAGAGCTTGGGGACTGTTATATTTCCTTGCACCCCCAGCACCTACAGAAGGAGAAGGGAAATGAGGGAAATAAATGGCAATCTAGTGCTAGCACCAGCTATACAGTCTATAAACATTGCTCTCTGTTTAAGTCCTTATGTAGATCCTTGGGAGTGGGTAATGTTATGATCTTAGATAACTGGGATTCAGAGATGGGGGAACTGTGCCTAACATCACAGGTGATAGAGTCCGGATTCAAATCCAGGTCTGCCTGGCTCCAGAGCAGCTGCTGGCTCTCTATCCCATGCTGCCTCCAGTGCAACCACTGCTGTGCAGAAGATGCTTACAAAATGTTTGTTGGTCATGTGACTCAAACTTTCCTTGGAACTGCTTCCAGTTGCACCTGCACAATGATATTTGATACTTGTCATGTGCACACAATATCTTGAGTGTAAATATATTGCAAAATGTGCCATCTTTTTACAATTAGTGCATGGTAAACATTAGGATAAGATGCATAGTCAAGTTAATGAACACTGTGCTGGCCCAGATGGAAAGAAAAGGGGATATTTGAGCTCTGAAAACTGCATTGTCAAAAGCTTTTCTTAGCTTATTAATTTTTCAAATCTGATGAACTATTCTTAGTGCATCTGGATACAACAAAGGCCACTGATGTTACTGATGGGAAGTATGATTTGTCAACAGCTCTTCCAGTAGCTGTGCTATGATGGGGACCTCTTCTGGGGGATGTTTGTGGGGAGGAGGTGGGTTTCATCCAGAATCACCAGCCAACTATCTCCTTTTGACAGGTTAAGCCTGTCTTCCTTCTGAGACTGATGGAACAGATGTCACCCTCTTATGTGAGATCCCCACTTGCACTCAGAGGGGAGTGACTCCCTCACACTCCCTGAAGGGGCAGGCCTAGGAAAACCCAGGTGAAAGGCTAAAGGCTGACCAGTGGGAAGAGCTGGCTGCCCATTGAAAGCCAGCCTTCAAAACCATCACTGTCACTCTGCACAAAGACCTCTGCATTTGACAGTTACCTCTACTGACCACTGTATTTCCTAGATTCAAAGGCAAATAAAACCAACTCTGTCCTTCCGCACTCAAAAGGAAGTCCTGAAGGGGAATCTAAGGCAGCCAGGACAATGAGAATGGGTGCCCTCCTGCCATGCAGCTCTCTCTGCAGGACATGGGAGAGGGATGCAGTGCAGTGGGTACAGAGATGAGAGCAGCTTCCAGCCATGGGCAGAGAGTCTTTCTTGGGCCCACAGGCACATAGCTGACACCAGAGATCTGTGCCTACACAGTATTTTAAGGTTAAACTTACTTGGAACATTTCTTTTCTATGTTTCCACATCTGTGTTAATAATTATATCTTTTTATTTTCAGGTTTATCTTCTTTAGTATGCTGAAACATAGTTTCACTATTAGGTAGATTTTATTGCCCTGGGGAATAAAAATATTTTTAACTAAAATTTCTTGATATTTTCAGAACCATTTCTGGTTGGAATCTTTCCTTGGTCTCCCAACATCTCTGAATTTGGAACTATATTATGAATTTCCAAATACATCTCCATGTCCTTCTCATTTGCATGGGTATGAATAAGTGAGGCTACTTGGAAAGAGAACTAGACATTTGGGGATAAAAAGGCCACCTTTCCACTATGTTTTCCAATTTGATCATGATGGATGAGCCATTCATCTGTCTCAGTGTCTGGCTACATTTGGATCACAGTCAAGGGAAAAGCATGATTACAGCCATCATCCTCCCTTGGCTGAGATAAAGCCACCTGGAAATGCAACGTGACTGAATGCGGAGAGCTCTCTGGGGTTCTCCGTGTCTACGCGTGTGTGTGCATGCATGTGTCTTAATTTAAGTAACAGAAATATTAAGAAAACAACACCTTTCTCTCTACAATATTTTTGTTATATACATCTTTCTAATATCTTTCAGATAATAAAATGACCATGCAGCAGAAAACCAGAAAACAGAAAAGCAGAAAAACAGTTGGTGTTAAATGAAGTTGCAGCTTGATCACTAACTACACTTCGTTTTCTGG
The DNA here is from genome assembly GCF_000001405.40 of Homo sapiens. NCBI lineage: Eukaryota > Metazoa > Chordata > Mammalia > Primates > Hominidae > Homo > Homo sapiens. The sequence goes on from NC_000008.11 coordinate 49,045,512, forward strand.
AAAGTTGTCAATTTAAGTTGCATTTAATTCATTTTACTGAAGGTAAAACTGCCTAACTAAACCATTCAATGCTTAGCGACCAAGCAACATCATGCAAACATTTAGAATGATCAGCAAGGCACAGGCACATGTAAGAAACAGAGAAAAACATTAATATCCTAGAATCTACATCTTCGTGTAACATAATATTCAGAAACGATCAGCTTCATGTCTTCTAGTCATGTATTTGAAATGAAGCCTGTCAACCAGTGGGTGCATCATTCCATGAATTGGGATTTTTAAATGACTTCCTTTAATAGAATGTGGTCCACCCGACAGTGGTTGTAAAATGTGTAACCATGTTGCCCCAAGCTACTGCCTTTGGGAGAACTGCAGTTACACGAGATGATAAGCACCAAGGCAAACATTTTCAAACTGGACCCTATGCAAGAGGTGGTCAATATGGAGAAAGGGATGGAGGTGTTGGCCCACAGGCTCCTGTGTTGTTGGTCATGGACAGCCCCCTACCCATACAGACATACACTACCCTGGCAGCCCTTGGTTCTCTCACCCTGTACATGGGCCGGAGTGGGCTCCACTACCACTCCTCACAGTGAGAGATACATGCTGGAGCTGAGGTGGAGTGCTGTCAGTCAGCTCCTGGCCTGAGGGAGGGGTGCTAGTGGCCTCTAGGGCATGGAGGCCAAGGCTGCTACTGAACATCCTACAATGGGCAGGGCCTCCCCACGTCACAGCTGCAGTGCTCAGGTGGAGACCCCTGGGAATGCATTTGTTAGAGTGGGTCACCAGAACCACACTGGAGGCAAGAGTGGGTAGGGAGACCAGGTGTCAGCACAAGGAGGCATCCATTAGAAAGTCCACACACACGCCACACTGTGGACGCATGGCCGAGAGCGTGGATCCTGGCAGAAAACAGCCCCTTTTCAGAAGAGGGTGTGAAGAAGGCTGCATCCCTCGTTGGTATTATAGGTATACCGAAATGATAGGTAACATTTAGGTATGAGAGACTGGGAAGCCCAGCGAGGATCGAAGGGCTGGAAGGAAGAATGGTGTCCCAGTAAGAGTGTACGAGCTGGGAGGGGCCGCAGCAGCCCCTCCCCAGACGCCAGCGACTCTCCGGCCAGGCAGGAACCTTTCATCAGATACACTGGGTAGGGCTGATTATGGAGGAGGAACGGGAAGTTCTACCAGGAGTCGCTGTACTGTATTCACGGCTCTTGTTATATGATTTATGCTGGCATTATCTAAACTGAGAAGCGGACAATCCTTTATTCAAAGGCGAGCTCCCTCTATTTTGTGTTGCCGCTCATGGAGTCCTAAGGTCGGAGCCCCATAGGAGCTGCCAGCAGAGTCCCAATGGAGGTGAGCGGCTCATTTCAGCTCGGGTGAGTTCCACGTTATTTGACTGTGCCAACCGATGAGCTCTTCTCCCAGTTTTAAGGAATTACTTGAAAAGAGCAGTTGAGATCTTTTAAAAGGTGAAGCATAATTATTTCAAACTCACAGTGTTTCTCGAACCATAATTTTACTGGCCATTTTCTATTCAAATTAGAACAACAAATCCTTTTAGTTGCACATGAAGTGATTTCACAATAGCACCTTCTCTGTTGGGTCTAGTCTTCCTCATTAAAAAGCTAAGGTTAGAGGAGTTCCTCCTGCAGATCTTTTTTCCCTGCGAAGTTCTCATGTCTTTACCCTTCTTTTCCACCACAAATGAGGCTTCTGTGGGTGGAGATGGGGCAGTATTTCTAGGACTGTGCTTCCTCCCAGAATTGAAGCATTGAGGGAGGGACTGTCTGGAACAGTCGCTGAGGCCTGGAGAGGTCTCCTCTGCAAGGAAGCCCCTGGGCGGGGCTCCTCCTGACAGGAGTTTCAGGTGCACAGAACTGCCTGCCTCCTGGGTAAATGTGGTTCCCCAAGGGTGGTGTATGCTAGAGTCGAAGCTTTTCAGACTCTTTCGGAGGGCTGCAGAGTGTGGAGAATGTGGAACCGGTGGCTGAGAGAACCGCCCACAGCCAGAGCCAAAACAGCATGTCCTCTGGAACTGGAAAAGCAGAGGGCTTCAGAGAAACTGCTGTTAGCAGCTGGGGATTAGAATTGGGGAAGAAAGCCAGAGGAAAGATGGTTGAGTGGCAGGTGTACGGATGAGGGACTTTGATGTTTCCATGTTCCCAGAGGAGTGTATGGTGCCAGCCTGTTTTTCTCCAAGCCCCCAGGAGATACTAATGCGACCATCACGCCTCAAGAACCTGGGGTGCTGGTGACATTGCTCCTCTGGTGACCCTTCCACATGTGTTAACAAAGAGATTTCTAGGACATCTGAGTCTAAGGAAAACAAAAGAAAGAACCTGCCGATATGGGTTAGGGCAGTGATAAGAGCAGAGCTAAGTGCTGGCTCTGAGCACAGCATGCATTTCTGCTTGAGTCTCCCCAAGCCAAGTGCCTACAGAACCAGGCTGCGCTTCAGGATGGGAAAGCCATATTTTAGAAAGTACCTAAAAGCTCAAACTGTGGTTTTGCTGCAATTGTTCGAGGTGTCTGGCCATCAGCAGCACAGGTGATCGTGGCTTGGCAGCGGTAGACAGAGGCAGTGTCTTGGGTGTCCGACGCTAGGATCCGCCGTGTGCACCGCTCCTGCACACCGTTTGGCAGGGAGCGAGAGGAGGCCTGGACACGACAGATTTTCTTTTGTATCAGTAGCAACAGGAACTGCCACCTCAGCCCACCAAATTAGGAAAAACAGACATTTGGCAGGGATGATATAGTCCAGAGAAACAGGTGCAGCACTCCTGGGGACTCCAGAATATTTAGGAAGAATTTGAAAGGATGTGGATTTCCAGCAGCATCAGCCAATGCCAGCTGAATTGGGTCTTATTTTACCCACAGGCCATGGGGCTGGTTTGGGGGCCCAGCACCCCCGTATCCTCACAGCTCTCCTCAGTTCCCCAGTATGGGTGCAGCATTGATGGCAAGCAACAGCAAGTAGGGGGTTTAACTCTGGACCCAGGTCGGCATGTGAATGGCAAGAAGGTGCAGAGGGGATATTTACAGATCATCAGCACCAAGTTAGAATATATAAGATCAGGTAGACAGCAGGGAAGAGCCATTGGTTTAGTAGTGTATGTGAAGACTGATATAAAATTGGTACTTGTTTGCTTAATTATAAAATTGACACATTTTATAAACTATAACTTCAGGAAGCATAATGCAAAATGACAATTGTCAGACCACTTAAATTGGTCATTTTCTTACTTTAATTTACAGAAATAGTATTTTTTTTATTATGGAATGATGTAATGGACTTTCTCTCACTTTTCAACTTTAGAAATCATTATCTTCTGAAAGGATAATATAGAAATAATCTGAGGTCCTGGATGTGTTTTCACCATGGCACAAAATAACGAGAAATGGTTTGTGAATTACTTTATGTAATTCAGATTGTAAAGTTATGTTTCCCCTGAAATCTGTGGTTGAATCTGTATTTCCTCAGACATTGTAAGTGGATTCTAAAGGGGTAACTCTTAAAAACACAATACATTTACTAATTACTAATCACTGACAATATTTACGTAGATCTAAAAAATTCACACTTTTTAATATTGTTGTTATAATTTTTGATGTTGCTAAAGGTTTTTAAGGAGTATTAATGTGAAACACACGTCTCTTTCTTTTTTAACTTTAGGAATACAAAGTGCAGCATATCTATTTTAATTTTAATCTTAATTTTAGATTCAGGAGGTACATGTGCAGGTTTGTTACAAGGGCATATTGCGTGATGCTGAGGTTTGGGCTTCTTTCCATCACCCAGATAGTGAACATAGAACCCAATAGATAAATTTCCAGCCCTTGCCCCCTTTTTCCCTCCCACTTCTGGTAGCCCCCAGTGCCTATTGTTCCCATCTTTGTGTCTATGTGTACCCTATATTTAGCTCCCACTTGTAAATGAGAACATGTGGTATTTCATTTTCTGTTCCTTTGTTAATTCACTTAGGATAATGGGCTACAGCTGCATCCATGTTGTTCCAAAGGACCTGATTTCATTCTTTTTTATGGCTGCAGGGTATTCCATGGTGTATGTATACCACATTTTCTCTACCCAATCTACCATTGATTGGTATTTAGATTGATTCCATGTCTTTGCTACTGTGAATAGTTCTGTGATAATATATGAATGCAGGTTTCTTGTTGGTAGAATGATTTCTTTTCCTTTGGGTGTATACTCAGTAATGAGATTGCTGGGTCGACTGGAGTTCTATTTTTAGTTCTTGAGGAATCTCCAAATTGCTTTCCACAGTGGTTGAACTAATTTATATTCTCACTAACAGTGTGTAAGTATTCCCTTCAACATAGCCTTGCCAACAGCTATTATTATTGTCTTGTTAATAATAGCTATTCTGACTATTATGAGATGGTATCTCATTGTGGTTTTGATTTGCATTTCTCTGATGATGAGTGATGTTGAGCACTTTTTCATATGTTTGTTGGATAGTTGTTTGACTTCTTTTGAGAAGTGTATGTTCGTGCCCTTTGCCCACTTTTTAATGGGGTTATTTTTCTCTTGTTGATTTGTTTAGGTTTACTATAGACTCCAGATATTAGTCCTTTTTTGGATGCATAGTTTGCAAATATTTTGTCCTATTCTGTAGATTTTCTGTTTAGTCTGTTGATAGTTTCTTTTGCTGTGCAGAAGCTCTTTAGTTTAATTAGACCCCAGTTGTCAATTTTTGTTTTTGATGCAATTGCTTTTTAGGACTTCGTCATAAATTCTTCCTCAAGGCCAATGTCCAGAATGATATTTCTTGGATTTTCTTCCAGGATTTTTATAGTTTGAGGTCTTGCATTTACACTGTTAATACATCTTGAGTAAATTTTTTATCTGGGTGAGAGATAAGGGTCCAGTTTCATTTTTCTGTGTATGGTTAGCCAGTTTTCTCAGCACCATTTATTGAATTGGGAGTTGTTTTCCCATTGTTTATTTTTGTCAACTGTGTTAAAGATCAGTTGGTTGCAGGTGTATGGATTTATTTCTGAGTTCTCTATTCTGTTCAATGGTTCTATGTTTCTGCTTTTGTTAACAGTACCATGTTGTTTTTGTTAGTATAGCCTTTTAGTATAGTTTGAAATCGGATAATACGATACCTTCAGCTTTATTCTTTTTGCTTAGGATTCTTTGGCTATTCAGGCCCTTTTTTGGTTCCATATAAAGTTTAGTTTTTTTGATTCTGTGAAAATGATGGTGGTGGTTTAACAGAAATAACATTGAACCTGCAGATAGCTTCGGGCAGTATGGACATTTTAATGATATTGATTTTTCTAATCCATGAGCATGGACTGCTTTTCCACTTCTTTGTGTCACTATGATTTCTTTCAGCAGTGTTTTGCAGTTCTCCTTGTAGAGATCCTTCACCTCTTTGGTTAGATGTATTCCTATGTATTTTATTTTTTATTGTCATTATAAATGGGGTTACTTTCTTGATTTGCCTCTCTGTTTGAAAGTTTTTGGTGAATAGAAATGACACTGATTATTGTACATTGATTTTATAACCCAAAACTTCACTGAAGTTGTTCATCAGTTCTGGGAGCCTTTTGGCAGAATCTTTAGGGTTTTCTAGGTATAAAATCACACATCAATAAAGAGGGATAATTTGACTTCCTCTTTTCTAATTTGGATCTTTTTTACTTCTTTCCTTTTTCTGATTCCTCTGGCTAGGACTTCTAATACTATATTGAATAGGAGTGGTGAGAGTGGACACCTTTGTCTTGCTCCTGTTTCTGAAAGGAATGCTTCAAGAATTTGCCCATTCAGTATGACGCTGGCTGTGGGTTCGTCATAGATGGCTCTTATTATTTTGAAGTATGTTCCTTCAATATCTAGTTTGTTGAGGGTTTTTATCATGAAGATTTGTTTGGATTTTATCAAAAGCCTTTTTTGGCATGTATTGAGATGATCATTTGTTTTTTGTTTTTAATTCTGTTAATGTAGTGAATCACATTTATTGATTTGTGTAGGCTGAACAAACTTTGCATCCCGAGAATAAAGACTACTTGAGTGTGGTGAATTAACTTTTACATGCTCCTGAATTTGGTTTGCTAGTATTTTGTTAAGGATATTTTTGTCTATGTTTCTCAGGGATATTGCCCTGTTGTTATCATGTGTCTTTGCCACATTTTTGTATCAGGATGATACTGCTTTCATAGAATGAGGTAGGGAGGAATCTCTCCTTGTCGATTTTTTAGAATAGTTTCAGCAGGATTGGTACCAGCTCTTCCTTTGTATGTCTAGTAGAATTTGGTTATGAATCCATCTGGCCTTGGGCATCTTTTTGGTTATTGGTAGGTTTTTAAATTACTGATTCAATTTCCTTATTTGTTATTGGTCCATTTAGAGTTTCTGTTTCTTTATGGTTCAATCCTGGGAGGTTGTATGTTTCTAGGAATTTATCCATTTCCTCTAGATTTTCTAGTTTGTGCACACAGAGATGTTCATAAAAGCCTCTGAAGATCTTCTGTATTTCTGTGGGATCTACTGTAATGTCACCTTTATCTTCTTCATTGTGCTTATTTGGATCATCTCTCTTTTTTCTTTGTTAATCTATCTAGTGGTTCAGCAATCTTGTTTATTCTTTCAAGGAAGCAACTTTTTGTTTCACTGATCCTTTGTTTGTTTTGGGGGGTCTCGATTCATTTAGCTTGGCTCTGATTTTAGTTATTTCTTTTGTTCTGATAGCTTTGGGATTAGTTTGTTTTTGTTTTTCTAGTTCTTTTAGGTGGATGTTAGATTGTTTATTCGAGATCTTTCTATCTTCTTGATGTAGGAATTTAGTGCTGAACTTTTGTTTTAACATTGCTTTTGCTGCATTCCATAGATTTTGGTATGTTGTGTCTCAGTTTGTATGCTTCTAAGAGTTTTTATTTCTTCCTAAATTTTATTATTCATCCAAACATCTTTCTGGAGCAAATAGTTTAATTTTCATGTAGTTGTGTGGCTTTGATAGTTCCTCTTGGTATTGATTTCTGTTTTTATTGCAGAAAGTGCAATATTTTTTAGTTGAATCACACTTCGGCTAGCTTACAAGGCAACTAATCAATGAGGTAGGATTAGAAATGTGTTTGCTCAAAAGGGAGATTATATTACAAACCTAACATTTGAAAGCTTCATCATAAACCTCATCTCATCACGTGATAAAACATTTGAAAGTGTAGCCACTGAAAAAATTCTAGAATACATCATAATACATAAAAGTACATTGTTAAAAATTAATGTTTATGATAAAAATAATTTTTGATGGATTATACATCTAAACATGAATTTAAAGCTTTAAAATCTCTAGGTGAAAAGGGAAGAAAATGTCTTTGCAACTGTGAAGTATGCAATGATTTCTTAGCAAGAATACAAAAGCGCTAGATTTAAAATTTAAATAAGATTATTAATTGGCCTCTATCAAAATTAAAAATCTCAGCTCATCAGAAACATCATTAAGAAAATGAAAAGACTATGCACAGATGGAAGAAATTTATTCATATGGTAGAGAGGACATGTATTCAAAAATAAAGCCTCCTACAAATCAATAAAGACAAACAACCTAGTAAAAAATGGGCAAAAAGCGTGAATAGACAATTCATAAAATATGGGAATGGGCAATAAGCACATGAAAAGATGCTCACCACTATCAGGATGTATGAGGGAACTTCTTGGTGTGATGAAAATACTCTATATCTTGATTGGAATGGTGGTTACACAGGTATATATATATTTATCAAAACTCATCCAACTATACATGTAAGTTCTGTGCATTTCACTGTATATAAATTTTAACTCAATAAAAAGTAATGACATTTCTAAACAGCAAAAACTATTGATATGCGTTATTTCAACTTTTCCCAAGTATATCTATTAAACTATGAAAAAGGTTGAAAACACAATTGGTATATTCTTGAGCTCAGGTTTTATTGAAATAGGAGGTCTCTAAAATACCCTCAGGAGGGACTGGAAGAAGACTGCATTAGTTCGTTTTCATGCTGCTGATAAAGGCATATCTGAAACTGGGACCAAAAAGAGGTTTAATTGGACTTACAGTTTCACATGTCTGGGGAGGTCTCAGAATCACGGTGGGAGGCGAAGGCACTTCTTACATGGTGGCAGCAAGAGAAAAATGAGGAAGAAGCAAAAGCGGAACCCCCTGATAAAACCATCAGATCTCATGAGACTTATTCACTATCATGAGAATAGCATGGGAAAGATCAGCCCCCATGATTCAGTTACCTCTACCTGGGTCCCTTCCACAACATGTGGGAATTCTGGGAGATATAATTCAAGTTGAGATCTGGTGGGGACACAACAAAACCATATCAAAGACTAACACCCGTTAAGCATCTATGCACCAAGCACTGTGGTAGAAATTTTACAAACATTGTTGTATGTAGTATCTACAACAACCAAGTGGAGTTTGTTTAGTTATCCTCCATCTGTAGATAAGAAATCTGAGTTATGGAGATGAAGTAAATTGCCAAAGGCTACACAGTGAAAAAGAGGGAGAAGTAGAATTCAACCTCAGATTGGCTTGCTTCAGAATCTCTCTTCTTTCTACTATCATGCCCCAACTCATCAATATTTGCAGAAAGTCTGTGTCCCAGAAGAAACTGGTTTATGTAGAAAAAAAAATATATGTATACATATATGCATGTGTGTGTATGTGTGTGTATATACACACACACATACATACGTGGATTTACTTCTGCCTCTGCCACCCCTGAAACAGCATGACTAATCCTCCTCTTCCTTTTCCTCCTCAATCTACTCAGTGTGAAGAAGAGGAAGATGAAGACCTTTCTGATGATTCACTTCTACTTAAGGCATAGTAAATATATTTTCTCTTCCTTATGATTTTTTAATAATATTTTCTTTTCTCTAGCTTACTTTATTGTAAGAATACAAGATACAATACATATAACGTACAAAAATATTTGTTAATTGATTGTTTATGTTATTGGTAGACCTTCTGGTCAACAGTTAAGATATTAGTAGTTAAATTTTGGGGGAGTCAAAGTTGTATGTGGATTTTCGGTTGCTCAGGGGCTGATATTTCACATTGTTAACCTTCACATTGTTCAAGGGTGAACTATATGTGTCTGAGTGTGGGTGTGTTTGTCCGTGTGTGTGTGTATACTCTTACAGGGCTTTCTTTTCTTTCTTCTTGATCACAGTGGGAGGAAATTAAAGATATATCCATCTGTTCTTAATGCACAAATTTGAAGCCAGGTTTAAAAAGTTTGGGAAAGATTAAGACAAGGAAATTTGAAACAGCATTATCACTCAAAGGCATACTTCACATATGTGTCAATATGTTCTCTTAGTTGTCTCCCTTATAATCTTGTAGGGCAGGCTCACTTTGCCCAATATATTCTTTAAATTTTTTGTTGGTGCTCCTCAAAGCTCTATTTTCCGTGTGTGCTTTTAATTCTGGCTGAGGCCAGTCTCCAGTCGCTGTTGAGCTCCATGATGCTTCAGAAACCTCAAGCTCAATATGTTTGAAACTGAACTCATAGAGTTTTCCTAAAATGTGCACATTTCTTTATACTTTCTACTTAGAGAATGGCACTATGGTTTCTTCCTTGGCTGTGGATCAGTTGGTTTCTGGGCTCTATGATTTTACTTTGTTAAGTAGTGTTCATTTTATATTTTCCTCCTGCTCCTAATTGCTACAGTCTTATTGAAAGCCGTCACCATGCCTTTCCTAGACTCCCCATCAGAGTCAACAACAGTGGCTTCCCTACTGTACATCAAAGGTTTCTGCACTGAGGCAGTTGCAAGGTCCTCCTTCTTGCCCCCTTTGTCTCATTTTGCACCTTGGACACCACACTTATAATAATTTCTGCTACTGCACTACCTGCTCAGGCCCCATTTCCTGTGCTGGCTCTCATTCTTCTGCCTGACTTCTAATGTTAGGTTGATATGTCCTGGTCTCAGCCTTTTGTGTTCTTTGCTGGTCTCTATGTACTATACCATCAGGTAATCCCATTTAGACTTTTGGTTTTAAATATGATATTACATTGGTAATTTCCAGGACTTATATCTATGAATAATGAAGTAATATCTGTGAATAATAAATGCCAGGTCTTGCATCTCCATCTACAGCTCTGGCCTCTGTACTGAGCCTCAGGTGACTGTTTCATCTCCATTTGATTGTTTAATAAGGCATTTCAGATTTGACTGTCCAAAGTAAAACCCTTGGTCTAGACACCATGGCATACAAGAAAGACACTAGATTCAATTTGTTGTCAGTCTCTCCTTTACCAGTTGCCTAGGTGGAAAATCTAGTAGCCACTCTTGTTTTTTAAACATACTTTCCTCCCAATGCTAAAAATGGTATTTTGTCAGTTGTATAGCCAACTTACAAAATTTGATCCCTACCACTACATGTGTTCAATCTTTTGTTATCGCTCTCATGGAGAACTGCAATAACTTCCTAATTCTACTTGCTTGCACTTTTGATAACTTCAGAGTCCTTATTCCACAGAACAGCTAGAAACATCTTTTAACCATGAAAACCAGATTGTCATGATTCTGTTGAAAACTCATATAAAGCTTCCCCTCATGCTCAAAATAAAACCCAATCCATATCCCTACTGCCTCTACAAGTAGGAGTTGTTCTCTACTGACTTCTCTGAGTACATTTTCTATCAGCCTCCTCCCTCTCCCTGTCTCACTTGCTCAGCTGAATTCATGGCATTCTCTTCTGTTTCCAAGCATTTAGAGCACCCTTCCTTGCTGTTCTTGTTGTTTGGAACTTTCCTCACATTGATATTATGTTTGAATTTGGTCCTTCTTGCAGGCTCTGCCCAAATGGACCCTCCTCAGAGATGCTGTTTCTTAGACTCTATCTAAATTAGCAGTCCTCCAACACTCTTTCTCCTTGGTTTATTTTATTTGTAGCATATTTCTTTACTGGAAGTTATATTATAATTTATTAGATTACTTGAGTTCAATTAGATAAAAAACTTTGTCTTGTTAACCTTCTGTATTCACATCATAATAAGCCCTGGTGTGTAGTATACATACACAAAAAGTCTTTGAATGAATCAATGGATTGATGAGTTACTACTATCTGTGCAGTGAGCCTGCCAGATATCCAACGGGCATTGAGAATTTACAAAGTATATTGGCTTTCACCCTGCTGATAGAGCAATATCCATAAAAACTAATATCTGTAAATGATAAACACCAGATATATATTCAAAAATGCACTAATCATTTCAATCCCTAACTTTCCATTTTGTGATAGATAGAAATACGACAATCAGTTATCCTTTGGTATTTTTTAAGTCCACAAAATTCTTGGAAATAAAAATTGCAGTAGGGTGTGACATACAGTAGCCACTCATATAAATAGCTGTTACTTTGAACCATACCTTGCAAAATTTTTCACCCTAGTGTGTCATTTGATGATGCACAGATACCCCGTTTCTAGATTAGAAAATAAACTCCCCAGTTTTGTTGCTGGACTTGAAATCACTTGGTGATTATTATTGCAAACTTGGTATTCAAACTTTGTGTTCTTCCCTTAATTTTTTGAAAGCTTGTGACATATGTGCAAGTTATGAAGCCCTTAGTACTGTACCCTAAAATGACAGGCTAAAAAAGCCTTGCCAATATATGCATTGTTTTAGCGAATGCACATTACTGTGGCTCTTGAAACAGTTACAAAGTGTTTCACTTTATGATTTCAGTTTTTGATGAAATATTTATCAACATTTTTATTAGTCTGAATGAAGGGTCGTGAATTTTGGACAATGAGCTAACCCTTTCTTTTCCTCCTAATAAGCCATAAGCACTTTATCTCTTGTATGAAAAATTCAATTAATTAAAAGTTAAAACAAACTATTTCAGTATATTCCCATTAGATATGAAGGAGCAAAATTTTTTATATTTACTTTTTAAATGAATTAAAGATTATATTTTACAAAATAATATGAGTGAGTTTGCAGCCTCTGTATGCATTGATAGCATAAAGCACTGCAAAAAGGGTGTGCTATTTCCATGAGCAATTCTACATAAAATCTCAGATCAAAGATATTTTAGTGATAACTTCAATGATACTTCACTACACTCACCAAAAGGCCTACACTCACCAAAAAATGCTGCTACAAAGTCAAACTGTATTTTAATGATCAAGGGAAGTTAGTTTTAATGAAGTTCACTGAAGGAAGCCCTTCAAGTCCCCTAATATGATTATATACTCTGATGACTGAACTCCAATAGACATGTCTTCATAGAGTTTTGCTAAAAATGGCTGAACATAGTTCCTTACCTTTCACAGATGTCTAATGTACAATCAGAGATTAACTGAAAAGTAAAGGAGAACAGTAATTGGGTTAAATTGGTAACAAGTGGTATAATGCATAAAATAATTTAAAGCTTCCTATATATAACATTTTGAAGAACACTTAAATTTTAATAACACTATTATTATAAGAAAAAATAAAGGCATAGGGGAGACAAATGCTGTTTTCCTTACCTCAGCACATTTAGACAAAATCCAGACTTGAAGGAACACCTCCTACATTTTATTAGCCCTCATCAACAAATGTAAGTAAAAATTATCCATTGTGGAATTAAGCATAAGGAAATTTGTCTTGGTTTATGTGAGTAGCTCAAAGCAAAGTTAGACCTGTAACCTCTGATTCCCAACTTTCAGTCCTAATCTTGAGGTTACATTTCTTCCCCATTCTATGAAATAAAAGTCTTACTTAAAAGATTAACAGTTTATAATTAAATGGTACAATATGCACCATATATTACAATATGCAGTTCTGGGATTTGTTGTTCCATTTCTGTGTTTAGGCATTCTGCTTCTACTGGAGGGCACTCTGCTGGAATATGTGAGGGATGAAGACAGTGAAAGAATACCAAGCGGGAAACTGAATCAATGCATGTGCCATCTTGGAAACCAAAAATTAAAAGATCAGCTTGCTGGAGATATTTAATCAATCTTGCTGTGCATATTAAATGTGCATTCAAAGAAAAATGTGTTTTAATTACAGTTTAAATGCATTCTGAATGCTAATATGACAAGGATTGAAGCACTTTATTTTGTTTAGACCAATATTTTACAGTTAGCACATTGCTTGCAATGGAGTATTTAAAAAGTTACTTCAGCGAAAAGTTTTATAATTTCATCAAGAAAGAAGGAGCCAGATAAGAAAGACAACTGGTTTCTTTATTTAATAAAGAGCCTTAAAGAAGTCTTAACCTCCAAAGTCTCCATTTTCTAGAAATTTGCTTAATTTGCTTGATGCTTGGCTGTCATTGTGCATCTCCTCAGAGGGCTGAGCGCCACCTCCACCCACTTTGATGCCATGCAAAGGTTCTTCTTTCTGGCTGCCTGTTAATAAAATTATCTCCACCAATTGGACTATAAATATCCTAATGGCAGGGATATATGCATCCCCACTAGTGCTTGGAACAGTATATTGCACAGTCGGAGTGGTCTGTAACTGTTGACTGAACAGCCTCTATTCTGGCTGGCTTTCTTAGATATGGACACATTCCCTGAGAACAGTGTCTGTGGCACCCCACTTTAGTTTGAATGGAAACAGTGCAGACAACAGGGGCTTTATATTCTGTCTCAGCTCTTTGATTTTAACACCTGCTCTGTAATGTTAAATGCTATCCTATTTCCAGACCCAGGTCTATATATATTCCGTGTGATGTGGTGTGTTGTGGTGTGGTGTGGTGTGGGGTTGGGTGTGGAGGGTAGCATGTAACAGAGGTAAAGCACAATACTTAAGGCCTTAAATTAAAGAGGGATAACGCTATAGTGATCTTGGTTCATGGTAGGGAATGAGGTAGCCAGGGGAGTAAGGCTTAGTCTAGAAATACTAAAACCTCAAAATACTTATACACATTCACCAATAATTAGAAATGAGTGTGGATTCATGGAAGAACACTAAATCATACCTTTCAGTTCAGTGTTATAGATGCAAAGGTAGAAGACTGACTTATTTTGAGGCAATTCTGTCTTTGGCAAATATTTTAGCAATATTTTCTCTAGATGGCAAGCAAAACTATTGTTATGCAAACACTTACTCTGTAATTACCTAAAATTCCATACCTCTTTGCATGTTTTTGTGATTGAGTGTATATGCGTGAATATATATAGTAATAATACTTTAGAAAATTGTCTATGATTAACATAATATTAATTGCTTGTGTCTTCCTGTACTTAACTATACAGAAATTACCTTCAACTACTGATCTTGTTACATAAAACTATCTTACTATGTTATAATGTATTTGCAATACCAGAGAGTTTTCTGTAGTTTCTGGCAACAGCTTGAGAAAATTTAGCCAAGGTAATGTTTTATTTTGTTGTCTTTTTTTTCTTTCATGTGATGAAACTTATAAAGATATATTGCCCTCCCTGGAGTGAAGTTCAAAAACCATTCCGGGCTTTGGACCATCTGATAAAAGTTAATACTGCACTTCAACTGAAAGTTTAGCAGGGTTTATTTCCATAAGAGGGAAGAAATAGAAGGGAAATGAAAGAACACTGTAGTTGAACATTATATCTTCAATTAGGCATAGAGTGAAGAGTACAGTAAAATAAATATTACTGCTAAAGCTATTCTTTTTTGTATGTGTAGGTCTCAGATTTCAAAATTTTATTTTAAATAAATAACATATAATTTAATGCTTTCAACATGTTAGGTGGACTTGGGCTCTTTGATAATTATCCCTATGTTATTAAAAATGCATCTCCTGTCTCTGCCTCTGAAGCTTATTGCATCTCTGTTTTTTGTTTGTTTGTTTGTTTATTTTTGAGACAGAGTTTCGGTCTTGTTGACCAGGCTGGAGTGTAATGGCAGGATCTCGGCTCACCTCAACCTCCGCCTCCTGGGTTTAAGTGATTCTCCTGCCTCAGCCTCCCGAGTAGCTGGGATTACAGGCATGCGGCACCACACCTGGCTAATTTTGTATTTTTAGTAGAGACAGGGTTTCTCCATGTTGGTCAGGCTGGTCTCGAACTCCTGACCTCAGGTGATCTGCCCACCTCGGCCTCCCAAAGTGCTGGGATTACAGCTGTGAGCCACCGTGCCCAGCCCATCTCTGTTTTTAATTCTGACTAGGAAATTATTTTGTATAAGTTTAGTTAAAGGATCAGCGGAAAAAAATGACTGTGTGAAATTTTATACCAGAAAATATGGATATTACCTTCAAAAGTTGCAATGCATCCATTCATGGGTAAATAAAAATGAATCAAAATTGGCGTAATGGAAGATATTTTATAAAATGGGTAATTCATGTTCAAAAATAAACTTTTTTCCCTTAGCATACATTTCGTGTTTGAAATCTTACTTATAATTGGTAAATTGTCTAAGTGATATCATGATGTAATTGATGAAGAAAGGTGATTTGAACAGGTGATGCTCAAGGACTGTCTCCCTCATGCCTCAGTAAACTCCCCCTACATAGTCCTCATGGAGCCCAGCGAGAGGCAGAAACTCTCCTAGCAGTAGGGCTGGGCTGTTGGAGCTGATCCCCTTCAGTTGGCTGGCAGTGTGGACCCTGTCATGGGTGACAGGTGGGGACCCATAGTCTTTGGCAAGCTCAAGCAGGATGGCATGGGCTATACCGTGTCCCTCAAAACTCAGATGTTGATGTCTTAACCTTATAATAGGACTGGATTTGAAGATAGGGTTTTAAAGAGGTAATTACATTAAAATGAGCTTATTAGGGTGGGCTCCAATGCAATACAACTGGGGTCCTCATAAGAAGAGGGAATTTGGACACAGAGACCCACAGAGAGAAGACTATGAGCCATGGAGAGAGGCTGTAGAAGAAACCAACCCTGTGGACACATTCATCTAGGACTTCTCCTTCCAGAACTGTGGGACATAAATGTCTCTTGTTTAAGTCCCCCACAGTTGGCCGTATTTTATTACAGTGGCCTTAGCAAATGAACACACGGGGCAATTGTCCAAATGCCCACAGATGGAAATTGGAATGGTGCGATGGTGGAAGGGGCTGCTTTAGTGGTTGCACCATCTCCGGTGTTTGAGAGGGTCTGGGGAAAGAGGGTCTGGGGAAACAGCAATTAGAGGGCTGTGGGATGAGCTGACTGGTGCTGGGTGTTGCCAATTCATTGGAGAAAATCTGCCAGAGGAGAGTGGGGAATATTGATGTAAGGAGAAAGTCAGATGGCTCCTTGGCAGCAGGTAAAGGGACTTGTGGCTAAATGATAAAAAAGCTGAGGAGTGAGCTTAATTATGAGAAGCTCAGAGTCTGCTTAATTATGAGAAGCTCAGAGTCTGCTTCTCCAAGGGGAAGGCCTCTCCGGGCAAAAACCAGACACTGAGATTTGTGATGGGGACATTTCAGTCAATGCATTAAATTTTTTTGAATCACAAGATTGTCCCAAACCTTCTACAACTACAGAAATGGCCAACTCCTTCGTTTTAAAATCAGGGCTCTTTCCTTGCTTAAAAGGATGCACCATATGTCCTTGCTGGATCTACACCTATGTTCTAACCTGCCCATTGGACAAATAACCTGCATGAGTTACAACATTAGCTAACTAAGGATTGCTGGCCTGCTAAGGTAGGAAAGGGCCTCTACCCTAAAGGAGCAGCAGGGCTTAGCTAAATGCACATGGGCAAATGCAAACAGAACGGGTTCCTGATGGAGCTGGCTCAAGGAGTGCCAGACATAAAGTTGGTTAAGGGAGAATTTTTTGATAAGGGTGATTTTTCCACCATATAGCATCTAACACCCTGGCAAGGGCACCATGTGAAACCGATATGTTGTGAGGATAATTCTTGGAAGTAACAATAGCCCATACAAAGTGAAATAGAAATTCCTGAATTACTACAGAAGGTGGTTGAAGAAAGGGTAAAAAACCAAAACCTCAGAGTAATGTGCATGCTGGAGTGGGTGTCCTACTTAAGCTGGTTGTGTTTCACAGGGAACACTGTTTTCCTAAAATGAAAAAGAGCACATTGGAGACAAGAGCACCAGTTTCACTGAGAAAATCAGTGAGGCTTATTTTCTGTTTTTCAGGACTGAGGTGCTGTTATAGAGTAGGAAACCCTACTTACAATGGGAATGACAAGATCCCCCAAGAAGGGTCAGGCAGTGGCACTTAATCATCAGAAGCTGGTGAGTGCAATTGTCATGAGTGGTAAGGTCAGAATAGCAGCACAGGATGCCCTGCACACAGGGAGATGGCTTAGAGACATGGTGTTCCCAGGGCCAAGACGGACCAGTGGTCTCAAGAGCATTGCTTCATTTGTACAATAAAAATACAGCCAAGGATTTTGAGGGAAGCTAGATCAAAAAATATTCATGATCTCTGGCCTGGTTTCTGGATCTTATTAGACACTTCTCAGACCCAGAATTTACGGAGTGAAGGAGGGCTGGGTTCCCACGAGTAGGGATCCTGTAACACCACGGGAAGTGCATCTGAAAATCATTACCCTAGTTCTTCCACAAAGGGACCTAAGGGTTGTTCATGCACTGTGGAATTGAAGTACATGACATTTTGAGGACTTCTCAAACAAAAGAACTATGTTGAAATAGATTCTCAGGGGTCAGAAATGTCATCATGACATGCTTGTTAGGGCGGTATGTATAGGAGCCCTGACCCAGGTCTGGTTTACTCTTACTCTATCCACTGGTCGTAATGGCCAGTTCCCTGGTCTGCAAATGTAAAATTCACATGGGCACAATCCATGGCTGGCAGAACAATCATTTTGGTCACTGCCCTGTGATGCAGGAGTGATGTAGTAGGCAAGGCTTGGTGCCAGCTTCCAGAACTTCTCCCTGTCCTTCCACCTGCCCCATGTCATAGCCAAGATAGTAAATGTTTTAAAAATTGCATCCTGGGAGAAATGGCTGATACTAATGCTACTTTTAAAGATATAAAGAATGAGCTGGGCGTGGTGTCTCATGCCTGTAGTCCCAGCACTTTGGGAGGCTGTGGCAGGTGGATCTCCTGAGCCCAGGATTTCGAGACCAGCCTGGGCAACATGATAAAACCCTGTCTCTACAAAAAATACAAAAATTAGCTAGGCATGGTGGTGTGCACCTGTAGTCCCCTACTTGTGAGGCTCAGGCAAGAAGATCACTTGAGCCCAGGAGGTGGAGGTTGCAGTGAGCAGAAATGGCACCAGTGCACTCCAGCCTGGGTGTCAGAGTGAGACCCTGAAAAAAAAAAGTATATATAAAAAATGCATGAGTGGTGGCTGCCATTTAATTTAACTACCAGGCCCCTACAAAAACCAGCTGGATCCAGTAGATAATGGTAGACTTCCAAAGATTCCCTGGATTGGGGGGAAGTCCGGAGAAAATCAGGTGTCACAAGCTTCTAGGTTTTCCTTCCCAGTAGTGTCACATAGGACACACTGAATTCTTCCAGTGAAGATGTGTGACATGTACAAAATGCTACCCATTAAGAAAGTGCACCTGAGCCTCAGAGCCTGAGGTTTTTATGGAGGGTTGGTCATGCAGGCATAGAGCACTTGCCTGACTTTCTTCTGTTACTGAAGCGCCAGATCTCCATAGAACACATGTTGCTCTAAACTAGCCAGACAACTGGTACCATGTGGCTTAAGACCTCAGGAATGCAAAAAAACATTCCAGAGGCTCATTCCCAGGTACAGCCAAGGGCGAGCCATATGAACAGGACTTTCTTGGAACTGCACCTTTCCCACACATGCACCCACAGCTTACAAAAGATGTGTGACCAGTGGTACAGAAAGTTCAAAGATGAAGATATGGGTCGGTCCTCTGGGTAAACCATTTGTCTCAGAAGAGGTGCTGGTCAGGAAACACAGGCCAGAGAGGGTGGGAGTCACTGTGACCTCAAGTCCTCTGCAGTGGCAGGAATTAAACTTCATCCCACTTACCTTCCTTGTATAAGTTTTCCCAGAAAAAGAACCAATCTGAGCCCCTGAGGAGATGCTCCTCAGGGATGAACTTACTATCCAAAGCCAGTGGATTCAAGCAATGCAAAGGCAGGATGTGGGGCCTGGCAGTGCCGCCCAGGTTCCCCCCCAGGACAAGCCCACCGAGGCCCACTCACTTCAGTCCAGCATCTCTCACTGCTCAGCCCTGCTTTCCTTACTCTCTTTCAGCATTTTCCCAAGAAAAGTCTTTAATAAAACTGTGGGCAAATTTGTCTGTCTTCCAGGGAACAGAGCCTGAGTTCCTACAGTCAGATAATCAGATGCACTCTGCATTTCATAGACGAGGATCTGAGGCATATCAAAATAAGCAGCTTCCTCATATTGAGAATGGGGATTTGTGGGGAAATGGGAGTAATATAGATCGGGGGAAAATGGTGTTTAAATTTCGATCTGACATGAAAAGCAATCAAAATTTAAACAAAAAGAATTTGATAATTCTTTGGTCTTACTGATACTATGGAATGTCTGCTAGACAATAAAGGGTGTTCATGTTCCCAATCTGTTTCATAGGCTTCCAAATTATCAGTATATTGACCGTTACTCAGAGTAATTATCCAACTCACTGGGTGTAGGATTTGCAAGCCAGAAACACAGATGTGGCTTGAGCCAGTTATGTTCATTTAGTTACTTTACCACAGGAAGGAGGAAGTGTGACAGTATTGAAAAACAAAAAAACAAAAAAACAAAAAACAAGTGCAGCTCAGAGAATCCTAAACGGAGAACATACTGAGGAAAGGTCTTTGCATCAGAAAGGGGAACTCACCTCCCCCCAGTGTATGAGTTAACATTGAGGCTGAGGTGGAAATATCTTGTTGCTACTAGTAAATTTAACTACCAGAGATATCACTCAGCTGCTCTGTGGCTTTCTAGATGGTGTCAAGGATGCCTATGGAGGAAACCTCAAGAATCCAGACCAGTGCTTGGTAATAATTGATCAAAAAGTGTTTTTATAGCATGATTACTATTTGGCAGCCAGGCAGGAGAGATGCAGGGCAGAGGAGAGAAGACGAAAACTGATATTAATTTGGTTTTTAGTGTTTTCATATTTGCATGATGGGCAACTGACTCATTATTCCATCCAATAGTAATACAGATATGAATCAGGAAATTATTTAACTTAATTTTCTTATGCTTTAAGGGGCTCAGGAAAAAGGGCAAAAGAGAAATACTTGTAAGTTGTGTAAACAATGTAAGTTAGGGCATGTGGTGGGAATGAGGCTGCCACATTCAAGTGGAAGGAAATGACTGGGCCTGCTTAGCAGAGCAAAAGATTTGTGTTAGGATCAAGAACAATAAAACATTCTGGTGACATCAGCCTTTGCTCCTTGGCAGCCCGGCATCTGAAGACCTATTTTGGGGGAACCTAACACTCTGTGCCACTCCCTATTGACGTCCGAGTTGATTTTAATGGTCAGAGTGCAAGCTAATCTCTTATAACAATAAGAACATGATACGGCCTAGAAAGGGAATTTTATTTCATTCTCTGGTACTAGCCCTGAGGTGGGAAAGCTATTCTCACAGTGTAGCTTCTTCCAAGATGGTTTCAGTTAGTAACATTCTCCAGCCAGTAAGCCAAAAAGAAGTCCACGCCAAGTGGCTTGGTCTCTAAGGAGATGATCTTGAAGATAAACAACGCATTTCTCACAGTTCACTGGCCCCGACATATTCCCTGTTGCAAGGGAGGCTGAGAAATGGGTTGCCTAGTCGGGTGGATGATGCCCAATAAATGTTAAAAATGAAAGAAGAGAGTAGATACTGAAAGACAGCAGCTTTTGCTACAAGGATACATATTTTCTCCATATCCATGAAGCTAGAGCCAATCGCCTGGCCTAGGGTTAGCCACTAAGTTCAGCCCGCTGGGGGCTCTGTGTTGGTGGCTTCATCATAGTTGACAGCAGGACCCTTGCCATTTTCTGCCTGTGGTGTGACTTGGGCAAGTGCTTCTCTGCTTAAATGTACTTGGTTCTTGTCATTTTCTAAGCCTGGATTTTTCCTGAGTGACTCCCAGAAGTGCAATAGCTCTCAGGACAGAGTTTACAATATCACGTAATATGGGTTGAAAAACAGGATTTATCGGGAAAGCATATGAGCCAGGGGTCAGTAAGAGAGGGCACTCTGAGCCCCAGTCTCTCATCCCCCAAGAAGAAGGAGGGCAATAATTTTCTGGAGAACATACTGTAATATTATGTTGTTTTGGGCTGCCTTCTTCTAGATAAGAACAACTTTCTCAGCGGATCACTAAACAGCCAGGGTGTAAGGAGGCAGATTTGGGGTGCCCACTGGATTTAGGATGCTACTTTTTAGAGGCTGTCTAGAAGATCCAGCAGCCTGGCCCTTGAGATGTGTGGCTGTGGCAATTTTAGCTCCAGTGCCATGGGAAGTGGTTTGGGTGCACCTCCTCCCGTGTCCTGGCTCTGGCAATTCATGTACCTGATGACCCCCTGTAAGCTCCCAGGATCTTTTCTGGAGAATCCTGCTCATGAGAGCACACTGCTCTATGCTTCCTAATGATTGTATGAACTGACCACCATCCTCCCATTACATTGTTTCCTGATTCTAGATGAGATTGGTTTCTGTTGTGTAAAATCATGACAATTAATGGATAGACTACAGACAATTCAGAGAAATATAAAATTTAAACAAACAATTGAATTATATGTATTGAAACTGAAATGAATTTCAAATAAAGTTTGATATTATTATTTCCTTTTTCATATATCACTTGTGGAGGCCCAGAGATAGTCAATAACTAGTTTTTGGCAACCTTTTCTGCAACAATTATGAAATGAAACAGTGTTTTAATGCAGATTCCCATGTGTTTATAGAGTACATGCTACACATATTCATTTGCAGCATTAGTTATTAGGAGTGACTATGCTATGCTTAATATAGCACATTTATTGGCCTGAATATCATGACACACTTAAAATTCTTGACATCTTACATGGACAATCAGATATTTTATAACCGCAGATTAGAATAAGATCTAGACACTTTAAGTCTTCCAAGACAGTCAGATATTGATCCTCTCATACTGCACACATGGCCAGTGGTCTGTGACAACACAGGGCCATGGTGAATTATTAGCAAGTTTAGTCATTGTTCTTGCCATGGATTTCCATGCTCCAGAAAGCAGCAATCTGATATCTATTTACTACTGCATCCAATGTCAATAAATTTAGAAAGGGTAATAGTATCTTACATGTGATAAACAGATCATCTCTCAGAAGGGTTGCAGTTGACTAATTAGAACTTAGTCTTTCTGAATCCTTTCTCAACCATTTAAGAGGCTGATATCTCAGTAGGGCACATCCTACAACTTGTCTGAACAGGAGTGTGCAGAGGACAGCTCCATTTTCCCTGCTGGTTTTCAGCATGTCATTGGAATTAGACAGTCACTCTCTTCTTGTCATTATCAAATAAAAATGTTAGCACCCTCGACTCTAGGACAAAAGACTTGCTGAGCATGTGATTGTGATTAATTTTAGTACTTGGATATTTAAAAAAAAACTTGAATCAGCAATCAGGTAAAAATTACTCTAATTATGTCAGTTATAGCATTTAAATCTAAGCCCTGTTGTGACATTTTAATTATTACCCGAGGATGTAATCCTTATTACCAGGCAAAGAAGGGATGCATTAGTTTTATTACATTTTTAGAACCTAAACTACCATATCTGTCAGGTTTTGTGCTGGGCATTGCTGAAGCTGAAATGAATAGAGGTACCTCCATCTTTGACCTGCTCACAATTTAATATGTGAGAGAAGTAAATAACTTAATAAAATGTGAGTAGTGTTATGATTCAAAGACACAAAAACTAGGGTCAGGTGAGAGTGGTACCTGAACACCATGATGCCACTAGCCAGGAGAGGTGGGATGGCCTAGTGGGTGGAAGAGTACAGAGGACAGAGAGAACACTCGAAATGAACCTGCAAACTGACAGCCAAAACTTATGAAGAAATCTCCTGCTAAGAAAGCCAGCCAACAGAGTCACAACTGTGACAGAATGCACATGGAATGATGCTAATTTCATAGAGGGTTTCAACCAAGACTTCACAGTAATCATGTTAAAGAAGGTCAGAGAAACAAATGAAAGAATTATGAAAAACAGGACAGAAATAAAGCAACAAAATTTAAATAGGTAAATACATATACATACATATGTATGTATTTGTGTGTGTGTATACATACACACAAGCTAAATTTTAGGTAAGACATAGTTAAAAGGAGAAGTAGTAAATTGGAAGAAACACTGTGGTACTCACTCAAAATGCAGTACAGACAATAAAGGATAAATTAACTAAATTTACATTTATATTAAGGTTTTAAAGTACACACATGCATACATGTGGCTGAGACATAAAAATTATGTAGAAAGATCTCAACCTCTAAAGTTCAAATTGTGAGTCATTCCAATACATATTAGTGGGCTAAACTCAAATATTTCAAAAAACAGATATCATTAGGAAAAAATACAGTTAAAGGATACTTGTAAGTGATTGTTGATACAGAGAGAACAGCAAGTTGAAAATTAAGGGATACAAAAAGATATACTTTATGATTACTCAGATAAAAAGCTGGTACTACAATATTATATTAGGCTAATTAAACAAACAGCACAAAGGTAAAACGTTAGTAATGATAAAAGAAGACAAAGCAAATATCCACTCAGACAATATTATAATCGTGATTATTGCGTGCCCCATCCCAAAACTTCAAAATTCATAAAACAAAAATCAATATAATTAGATGATATACAGGAAACTGGTAGATCAAGCAGTAACACATTGGTAAGTATAAGAATTATTTGCTTAAAATGTTAAGTAATGCAATCTAGCAGACACATGTAACATAATGGCAGTATACAGTAAATAAATAATGTTTGTTATTCTCAAGTGCATAGAAAGCCACTTCCATAGACTACTTCAAAAATGAGTAAAAATCAGAAATTATCTCATGACAAGGCAGAAGGTTTAGAAATCATCAATTAAAAGATAGCACTTAGAAAATAATAGCTGCTGGCAAGGTTGCAGAGAAAAAGGAACGCTTATACGCTGTTGGTGGGAGTGGAAATTAGTTCAACCATTGTGGAAAACAGTGTGGCAATTCCTTAAAGACCTAAAAACAGAACAATCATTTGACTCAGCAACCCCATTACTGGACATATGCCCAAAGGAATATAAATTGTATCATAAAGACGCCTGTAATCTCAGCACTTTGGGAGGCCAAGGCGGGCAGATCACAAGGTCAGGAGCTGGAGACCATCCTGGCTAACACGGTGAAACCCCATCTCTGCTAAAAATACAAAAATTAGTCGGGCATGGTAGTGTCTGCCTATAGTCCCAGCTACTCAGGAGGCTGAGGCAGGAGAATGGTGTGAACCCGGGAGGTGGAACTTGCAGTGAGCCGAGATCGCCCACTGCACTCCAGCCTGGGCAACGGAGGGAGACTCCATCTCAATGCACATGTATGTTCATTGCAGCACTATTCACAATAGCAATGACATGGAATTAACCTAGATGCCCATCAGTGGTAGACTGGATAAAGAAAATGTGATACATAGACACCATGGAATATTATGCAGCCCTAAGAAAGAATGAGATCATGTCCTTTGCAGGAAGACGAATGGGGCTGGAGGCCATGATCCTTAGCAAACTGACACAGAAACAGAAAACTAAATACCACATGTTCTCACGTAAAAGTGGGAGTTAAATAATGAGAACACATAGACACATCGAGGGGCACAACAGACACTGGGGTCTATTGGAGGGTGAAGGGCGGGAGGAGGGGGAGGATCAGGATAATAACTAACGGGTACTTGGCTTAATACCTGGGTAATGAAAGAATCTGTACAGCAAATGCCACAACACGTGTTACCTGTGTAACAAACCTGCACATGTACCCTTGAACTTCAAAGTTAAAGAAAGTCTTACACTTTTGGAAAAGAGGAAGCATTCCTAAACACTCAAGAAATGTGATAATTGTAGTTATAAAATATTTTGAAATAAATGACAAGAAGTGTAATTTTGGAGTAACTAAAAGGAAGAAGAATTAAAGCATAACAGAAAATAAAGAAATACAAAACCAAGAGACAAGAGAGGATTAAATATTTCTTTGAAAAAATTGGCTTTAGTAGACAAAGGTGTAGCAAAACTAATTATTAAAGCAGAGAGGGAGAAGAGGCCTAAATAAATGATATTAACAACAAAAAGGAAGGACGGTCAGGTGAAGTAGATATTTATTATTTGTTTATTTTGTTTTTATTTAATTGTGTATATTTAAGATGTACAACATGATATGACATTTAGAAATATCTATACATGCTAAAATGATTACTACACTCAAGCAAATTAACACAGCCATATCATATGGTTCTTTTATTTTGTATGTGTGCATGAGTGTGTGTGTGTGTTAAGAGCACCTGAAATCTGCTCTCTTGGAAAATTTCCAGTACGCAGTGGAACAGTATTAGCTACAATCCTGCTGTACATTAGATCTCTAGAAGTATTCATCCCACATAACTGCAGCTTTTGTACCCTTGGCCAACATCTCCTGACTCCCCGATCTCCCTGCCTCGGGTAATCACTCTTCTGTTGTCTGTTTCAGTTTTTTAGATTCCACATGTAAGTGGGATCATGTAGCTGTCTTTTTGTCCTGTGTCTGGAGTAATATTTGAAAGGAACCATGATGGCATACTACAGTAAATGTTTTGAATACATTTGAAA
Organism: Homo sapiens; assembly: GCF_000001405.40. Classification (NCBI taxonomy): domain Eukaryota; kingdom Metazoa; phylum Chordata; class Mammalia; order Primates; family Hominidae; genus Homo; species Homo sapiens. The sequence goes on from NC_000008.11 coordinate 49,071,201, forward strand.
ACCTAGCTGACATGAATAATTTTTTAGCAATGTATACGCTACAAAAATTGTGTTAGGAATACACAACCAATAGCCACTGAACAAATCGAATCAGCAATGGCCACAATCACCCCTCAATGTAAAGGGAGCCACAATTTGATGCGTAAGTCAACTGAGTCTGTGAAAGGGCAAAGCAGGCCGGGCGCAGTGGCTTACGCCTGTAATCCCAGCACTTTGGGAGGCTGAGGCGGGTGGATCACGAGGTCAGGAGATCGAGACCATCCTGGCTAACACGGTGAAACCCCATCTCTACTAAAAATACAAAAATTAGCCAGGCATGGTAGCGCGTGCCTGTAGTCCCAGCTACTGGGGAGGCTGAGGCAGGAGAATGGCGTGAACCTGGGAGGCGGAGCTTGCAGTGAGCCCAAATCGCGCCACTGCACTCCAGCCTGGGCGACAGAGTGAGACTCCGCCTCAGGAAAAGAAAAAAAAAAGGGCAAAGCAATCTATCCGAGAAATTTGTTACTAAAATCAGAATAAAATTTAGCTTTTGTATCAGTAAATGATATTGATACAATGTCATAAATATCCTCTTATTACCCATGATTTCCATTTCTCTTGTCATTCCTGCTAGAATTTCTAACTCACTGTCCATCTGTCCATCAAGTTCCACTGACTCTGTCCCACTTTCAGGAAGACTTCAATGTTTCCTAGAGTGCTTTCTTGCTCCGCTTTGACCGTGGGACTCTGCCTTGCCTCACTGAAACTGTGGGCAGGTATGTTCAGTCTCCCCAGCCAGATAGCAGGCTGCTTGTACATCCCACACGTGCCCAGCGTGGTGCTGCAGGTGGAGTGTGTGATTGTATCTAAGGCTGAGGAGACACTTGTGTATCGCCTCCCTCTCTGTAGTCACCAGCGGTTGTGATATTAAAGAGGCTGAGTCCAAAAGAGCATTGGGCCAAGTCCTTCCCTGCTGACTGCAGCCAAACTTGGCAGGCTGCTGCGTTCGGAGGGCCTTTGGCAGGCTGGAGGGCAGACGTGCAGAGAGTGCTTGCTTGCTGCCTCTGGCTGGCTGTGTGCCCACCTCACTCCGAGTCACCCACAGCTCAGGTTCCAGCCAGCCTGGGGCTTCTAAATATAAGGTGTGCTCAGGGGTCTCCCATCACGGACCTACCACTGGCCCTGCGTATGTGGTGCAGCCTCTCTTCAATCCCTAAGAACTGGTTCTTTCAAAGCATGTATTTTCTGAAGAAACTTTAGAACCACGTTTATTTTAAAAGAACGAATTGGAGAAAACAAATCGGTGAGTGACTACCTCATGGCTGAGTTAACACTTCTCTGACCTTTAGGTCTGTTTTAGATGGAGTAAGTTCTGTGCATTGTGTATAGTTGGATGTATAGTTTTTCTTTTTCACCTAAATGTACTACTTAATTGCATCTTTTTATTGCAGTATATTTGGTTGAACTTTTGTGTAAACATTTAAATTCCTTTTATCATATATTTATTACATGGTAAATGATAATACTTTGTAACAGTCACGTGGAAAAAAGAAAAGGAAACTCCCTGTTATTCATATCAATGTCTCTTTTCTCTGTCGCTGTTTCAGATTAATGCTCACAGCTTCTTGGGTGCTTTCTCACGGGTAAAGCCATGGCATCCGTACCTTCCATTGGTTGCCTTCTAGCCAGAAATCAGTATTATCGAAGTAAGTTGCATCATCATAGAGACGTCCCTAGATAATATGATTTGAGGTGATGTTTGTGGGATATTGTTAACACAGGTATCATGTTACCTTCAGAACTTAAGGGAGAGAACTATTGGTGACAATGAAGAAAGCAGGAGGCCTCAGGGACTTCTCTGATCCAGTGCTGACAGGCACTTCTTTGTTCTAGCTACGCTGTATCGTTGAAGCCATTGACACTTAAAAATCAGTGAACATCGGCTTATGTTTCATTAGTACATTTTAATTTTATGTACCTTGCATTCTGTAAGATTCACTAAAAACTGATAATTTTACATAAATAAAGTATTATTCAACTCCTTAGAAAAGAAAAGATAGCATGACTTTGCTTCAAAAATTTTCTAATTTCCATCTTCTGCTATGGATAATAGGCCAACTTCTATCTGGCCAGTTTTATTTTTATTAATCTATCCATCTGTTCATATTCATGGCCAAATAGAAAATTGTAGCTTCTTAGAGAAGATTGAGAAATTTCATAAAATAAAATAAGCATTTCAGAACCAAATTAGTAGTTATTACAAGTATCTATGGCAACAACACATAGAAAACTCTTCTTTCAAGGGTTGTTTGTAGTATAAGTGTTAGAGACAACTACTGATTTATTCATTTTACAAAAGTTTACGCTCATTTACTTGGTGTTATTTATCCACAGGAGTTACTTTTATATTCTGATCTTATAAGAGACATAGGTTTTAAATACAAGCCTAATAAGACAAAATGTTTGTTCTTTCCAAATAATTCCTTAATTTCTAGATTTGATGACTTCTGTAGAACTTTAAATATACATATATGTAATATTTCTAATGTAGTACAACAATATTTATTCTTGGTCTTGTTCTTTCTTAGTTTTTGAATCTGAAAACATTTATAATACATTTTAAATTCAACATTGATATCCAAGGAGAGAGTGAGTTTCCTGCCTTGGAAATGAGTATATCTTATCAGTAGAACATAGTATTTCTTAATATAGCAGCTTTCTATTGATTGGTAATTTGATCAGTTTTTCAATTCATGAATTCACAAGCCAGGAATAAATGATTTCAAACCATGCTACTTGACAGTTTGTATATAAATGATGCGGATTTGCTTGTCTGGTTGCCAGTTATTTATTTGTTTAATATCATTTGTTTCCTACAGAGTCCAGTGTTTCTTCAGTTAGTTCTTTAACTAGCTCTGATTCTGTTAACTTCATAGATGACGACAAACCACAGCAAGGTACTTAGTTATTTCTTTCAGTGTCATCCTTATTATTTCTTTTTATTTTCAATCTCAAATTTGTTTGATAAGGAGTAACATGAATTTTATTTAATAGGGTTGCCTGAAGTGGCAGAATCCACCTGGTGGTTTAAATCGTTTTTCCATTCTGAACCTGTGCTTTCAAATGTGAGAATAAAAGATCTGTCTGCTACTGGGTGAGTTTTAGCCTTCTCTGGTAAGGGCAGTTCTTACTTAGTGAATGAAATAATGCATATGGTATGTGTTATGCTACTCACTTAGGGTACATAGTTGTCTCTTGAGAGCAGTGAGCCTTGCCTATGAAGCGCACCTGAGGGATGAGGGTGGCACTAACAGAGCTCCCTCCTTGCAGGTCGCTGTCAGGAAGATCATAGCACCCTTTCCAGTTCAATCACTCAAGAGTGGTGGAGAAGTCATATGCCAAACTGTGTCATTGTTTGGCGGGGGATGGACTGAGAATCAGAGGAAAGGGTCTAAATTTGTTTTGCTCATACCTTCAGGAAAAGAATAACCATTGTCTAGTTGTTGTCTTAAATAACCTTAGGATAACACTGCTGATTTTGATTAGCTTCTGTGTGGTGCAAATTACTAGACAGGTTGAATTGGGAGTTTGTGTGCAGTTGTTTTCAGACATTTTGAACTCAAACACACTGACTAGCACAGTTGTAATTTAATATATTTAAACTACTTATTTTGGATTTTAGACATTTGAATGCCTAGTAACTAAATGGAATAGAAAGAATCTATAATAAAGGGATTCATAGATGCCAATGTTGAAATATAGTGATTCTGATGAATTTCCTATCTAAGACAAATTTAGAATCATTATTTAAAATTAGAATCATTATTTAAAGTATTTTTAAAAGCCAATGCAAGATTGATTGTTGGAAAGATGTTTTCTTGACACTCTTTATCAAGTTTATTCATTTGAATTATCTGGACAGTGTTTCATTTATTTATCCCCTCCTCTCTGACTACTATAAAATCAACCCAGATTACAGATGAGCACTTTGTAGCTGATCATCTTTGCACTGCCATTTGATGAACATGTTGGTAACGGTTGCCTGCCTTATGTAGCATGAACAGTTGATTCTGACAATCAAGATCCTCTGCCTGCTGCAGTGGTCCATACATGAACAGCTCCCCTTCAGCGCCCCAGCTATTCCAGGACTCTTCTCCATTGTAAGAAGACAGAAATGTGTCTGAGATCTCATTTATGAGACAAGATCACAGCAGCCACTGATATAAAAAAAGTTTAGGCATTTTTCTCAACACAAAGACTATCGCTGGAAGTGGCACTTGCTACCTGGTGCATCTTTGAAAAGTGTGCCTTTAGAAACAAGACACCCTTTTAAAGTAATATGTCTTCAAATGTTGTGACTTACATAAAGTAGCTCTTTCATTTTTTATATCATTTTTATTAAAAAAACTTAAGTTAGACTCTTTTTCTGTCTGTTGAGTGATTTATTTATTATGCCTTAAAACTGACTTGTCAATGTTTCACATAATGGTTTAAAGGGCATTGAATTCGAAATTTTAGAAAATAATTGTAAAAATTCAATTTTTTTAAAAGAATGAAGGTTGGAAATAGCATATGTATCATTAAGTATATTAGAGCTAATCAATTGGTCATTGTATAGACTTTAAAATTTATGACTTTAAATAATATTTAATAACATGGAAAATTATATTATGGCATTAAAAATTAGCATAATACACCATATATGGTACAATCGTAGTTGTATTAAAAAGTTACATATGCATAAAGATAGACTGGAAGGAACTGTACCAAAATGCTGACAGGGCTATTTCTGGAGATGGGATTATGGGCGTTTTTCATTCTCTTTTTAATATATTTTTCCATATCTCCCAATTTTTCTAATATGACAAGTATTGTGCGTAATTAGAAAATAATAAATGTTAATATAAAAAAGCACTGAAATTTTCTGCATAAGTATATTCCCTACATTGAGTAGAATAGCTCTCTCTTCTTTGAATATTGGGTAGATAATACTTAATAAGTTTCAATTGATAAGTTTCTGTGTATTGCTTGCAAGTAGTTTTCAGTATAAGATGTAAGACTTAGATATCAGGGATACTCACTCACTTAGAGGTAGACATCACTACAGTCATGGGGCCAATGCTGACTTAAAAATCCAGTGAAGCACACATAACCCTTAGTAGGATGGTCTTCCTGCCCAACCACATAACCATGACAGAGCATCCAGGCTGGCCACTGGCAGTGACAGATATTGCAGACAGATCATTTACCTGTTCCGAATGGGAAAGGCATTTCTTCAAGCTTGTGTCCCTTTATCACGTAGCTATTAATGAAAGGACTCAAACATCCCTTTGATCCACATCACCGTCTACATGTGATGGTTTTCCTGGTGGCTGCCAGCATGAACACATTTTCTCTATTTCTAGAAGAGGATTAAATTTTAGGAGTATATATATATTTACTTGATTTTGGTTCAAATTAAATCATAGTAATTAAAAATGGAGTTTTTTAAGTGAGAGAAAAATATTATGAAAAAAATGATAAACTGTGGAAAGGTCCTGTTTCTACTTTAATATCATCAGCAAATTCTTTTTTTTCTTAACTACTTGATATATGTATGAACAGATTGCTTGTTTAGGTTACTTGATGAATTTTGCAAAATAGGTTAGCAAGTTGGCATTTATTTTGTTTACTGAGAAAAATACCATTTGTTAAATTACCTTATTTGGGAGGGCTTATGTATTTGTAAAAATTACAGCTTTTATATTAGTTTAGACTAGTGTTGCTCTTTCTGAAAGTTATTACTATTTAAAGTAATGGAATTTTACATAAAATTTTAAGTCAAAACTCTGAACATATAGAGTAATTAAATATTTTAGAGTGGTTACACACACATATGTGAAGATAGATAGATGAAATAGATAGATAGATATGTTAAAAAAAAAGAAGAAATCTTTCCAGAAAGTAACATTAAGTTGAACTCACAAAATGATTTAAAAATGGAAAGAATTTCTGCATACTATCCCAGAGTTTCTACAAAATTAAAATAATAGAAATAAATAAAAGGAACAAAATATCTTCTGGTTAATTCCAGATAATCTTTCTCGATGTATCAGAAGACATTTTTGCACTGCCTTTAAAAAGTACATCACAAATAGATCTCAGCATAATTTTGCTTTATTTTAGATAAAATATCTCCTGTCTGGCTCTGTTGCTTGTTGGGTAGACAATCAATAGTGAAGGCCAAGTGTGTTGGGGAGGTGACATCAATCCAGATGAGTTGCAATGAGCTGTGAACATTCTAACCTGATATTACGAAATGTTATTTGACTGGACTTGGATGTCTGTATTAAATGCAGTAAGATTTTGATAATTTAGGCTCAGGTTCTATAAAACTGTGTGTTGGTATTCCGCTATGTTTTTTTGATATATGGTTTTGATCTCAGGTATCAAGTTACTGATTTTATATTCTTTACAGATAAAACCACCAACAGCCCATCCCTCAATTCTCACTACCGTAAAAGTTCTTGAGTTGGTGTTTAGGCCTTCTTGGTGCTTCACACAATATGTAGAATTTAAAGTTGTAGAAAACAAAACTGCAGGCTTCCATTTGGCTATTAAAGAAAGATGATAAACAAAATTATTTTAAAGAGTGAAAGTAATTGGCCAGGTTGAATTGAATAGGGCTAAAACTCTAACTCATAGAAATTCAAGAAGTGTAGCAAGTCATAATTTATTCAACCTCCCTATAAAATCTTCTAACCTAACACATCAAAGCCAAGTTCATGATCTCTATACCCCACCATATCTCCTTGTAGTATCTTTGCTTCAGATAATGATGGCAGCATTAATCAACTCAAATAAGTAGCAAGTTGTCCTGTTTTCTTTCCTATGCAATCTAACATCAAGTCCTTTCAATTGTATATCTTTAATGTTTCTGGGGTCTACTTACTTACTTTCTTTCCCAAGTGCACTACCTGAATTCAAATGTCCATCATTTGTCCCTGGGGTACTGCCATGACCTCCTAAGTGGTCCACTTACACTATTTTTATCTCTCTCCAGTCAACTGTCCTCTACAGAATAACCATAACCATCTTTAGAATTTACAACCTGATTATACTCCCCTGTGAACATTCACACACACACACACCCTCCCACATTTGCACACACAGAAGACTCAATCGCTCCTAATAAATTAGGGGTAAAGTCACAGCTCACCAGTCCCAGCTCTGGTCCAGCCCCTGGTGACCCCTATGATCCATCCCTGCAGCCTGCTCCCCACAGCTTCCTGTGTTTCAGCTGCATCTGCCTTCCCGCAGTCCCTTATGTACATCATTTTTCCCTGTTGCCCCAGGGTCTTTCCATTTCCCTAAGCTTAGAATCTCCTCACTTAATGTCTACTTATCTTTGAAACCGTAGCTCTAAAATCATTTCCACTGAGAAACTTTCTGACCTCCTTGACTCAATTAGATTTTCCATTATCCACTCAGCTAGTGCATGTCTCTCTCCTTCCCAGCACTGATCACAGATGTAATTTTACAATTGTTTGTGTAGTTATTTGATTAATATAGGTTTCATCCATTACACTGTAAACTACAAGAAGGTAAGATCAAGGGTCATGTCTGCTTTCCTGAACATTGTGTACCCAGCCTCTGACATGCAATAAATATTTGCAAAGGAAGGGCAATAGTTCTTTAGCCAGGACTGGTCACAACCTCAAGAAGCATTACTTTTCAGCGGGAAGAAGGAAACACTAAATCAATAAAGAAATGAAGAAAATGTTTTCTAATAGTGATACGTGCTGTAAAGGAAATGAAGTGTTTTGTGGGAGAGTGATGAGATAGGGTGGAGGTAGAGGGAGGGCAACTTTGATTGGTGAAGTTAGGAAAGGACTCAGTGAGAAGCTGGCTTTGGGGTGGAGTCCTGAAGGAGGAGAAGTGACCAGTTTTGTGAGAAGTACTCTGGGCAGAGAAAATAGCCAGTGGGGCTTGCTATGCTCTGCATTGTGTATATCGTCTCTCGTTACACTGCTGTCAAGAGGCAATGGCTTTGGAAGAATTTTGCATTTTCCATGTGGAGGTCAAATTGTCAACAGCTTTTGTTTCCAACTACACCCACACTGAGAAATGGCAGGGTATGGGGACTATGCCCTTTCTTCTTCAAGTCCCTCAGGGTAATCTATAAATTGTCCCCAATAACACTGCACAGTAGCATGCATACAAAGTAATCCAAGTCCAGTGGGGCATGCGCTCAGGTGTCTCTAGTCCTTGAAATAATTCTCTAAACTAACAAGGTAAGTTCTACCCTATCATTTCCTTTCTACCCCTCATACCAAGTGAGTAAGTGCACTGCTATTAAAGATTTGTCTCTAGTTTCTTTTTGACAAACTATATTTCTAGAAAAATTTTATATCAAAGGACTAGAAAAAAGGGAGAGCTACACTATCACCTTCCTTACACAATAATGTAGAAAGAATGTATTTCAGTTCTGGGGTCTGAAAAGTTTTCTCCATTATAGTCAAATCACTTGGTTCTCAAAAGGCTAAGAAAAAAGCTTATGATGTGTTTCTAATACATCTTCAAACAACTTTTACTCAACTTTTAAATACCTTTAAATTAAATTCATTATAACCAAATATTTATTTCATTTATTCAGAAAAAAACATATTTCTGTTATGGTTTTATCTGACTAAGAGGGTTAGACCATACAAGTTTTGCTTCATTATTTTTAGTTAGGTGTATTGGAGTTTGTTTGCCTCCAAATTATAAACCCCAAATATATTAAATCCTTTGCATTCTAGTAATTATTTGATTAACAGCCAACTGAAATTTAAGCTTAATGAATATTTTATCCTTTTCTCATGCTTAGCAGAGGTTTTTGAATTAATGAAAGAAGTTATTGGAAGGATGATTTGTATGTCAATACACTACAAAGGTTAGTGTTTTAAAATTCTTTTTCAGGGAAGAATGACTAACATTTTATTTTCAAATAAACTACCTTTGAAAATATCTGTTCAATCTTAAGAAGCATATTTAGAGAGCTGCTTATCTTCAGATTTCAAGCTAAATTTCACCATGAAAAAGGAAGACAGATAAAACTCGTAAACTCATCATTTTACTTTGTTCTTTTTTATCCTAGATGGATTTCACATATCCACTTATCTTCTGTTAACCGCTGCTGATACAGCTTAATATTCTGGAAGAAGACTGTATCGTTTTCTCTCTATTGTGCAAAAGACATCCTTTTACCTTGATATGTTTGACTGGTGTTCATGGCAGTCCCTGAGTTAGGAGCATATTTGAGTCTGTTTGATGGTGAATGTAAGATCTCAATTGGTCCTGAATTCTGGACTCTACAGGAGTAAGGGTTTTGAATTGAAAGCGAGGTAGGCCTCATTTAAAGGAGCAGTGTAGGACTGGAATAAGAAATGGGATCTGTGGAGGTGAATTAATTACTCTTACACATATTTAAAAGTTTAACAAATCTGTAACTGGCCTATTAATTCCAAATCAATAAACAAGTATTTTCTTTCTGGAAACATTTTTTAAACACTATTCCATATGCTTTCCTTTTTCAAAATTCTAGAACATGTTAAATTTCAGAGAGTCAAATCGCTCTCCAGCTAATCATTCTAATTAGTTATTCATAGCATTTGGGTGAAGCATACCTCATATTTCTTCAGATAGCAATAATGACTTCTCTAATGTTAAATAGTTAAAACATGGTAAGGCAGCGAGAAAGGCTAGAAGTGTATTACAGCAGTGTAAAACTCCATAAGCACCTTATTTGCTGTCCAAACAAGCAGCAATTTATTTTGGCAAATCTGCAGCCTTTAAATTCTCACAATTTGATGTGTCTAAGACTCGTGTGGGGAGTTTGAGAAAGTGCAGATAGGAGGGCTCCCTCTCCAGAAATCCCGCACCCATAGTCCTGAGTTGAGGGCTAGGAATCTCATTCTTCAATGAGAGCTTCTGGAGATTTGTTTCCGGTACAGAGAATAACATTTCTTTACACTGCCTATGGGCAAAACTGCCACTGTCCCTCTGCCCAAAGTCTGGGAACAAGCTGCTTCTGTTAAGCTATGGTGGTAATTTTGGTGTGGAAAAATGCACAATGACCTGGGAGAGCAAGTGAGTGATTCTGGAAACAAAAATCATGTAAAATAGTGAGGTTATTTCAAATCAGGAAGGGTTAGAAGTTAAATATACATAAGCAATCAAGTTCACACATTGTAGGAAAAGTTGGAGTTCAGAAAGACTATCAAGTTTTGTAGGTAGTTTTCTTTCACATCCTTAAATGTTAATAATTACAGACAGCTGTTAATTTTAAATTAAAACGTCCTTTTTATTTTTTTAGGTAATAATTCATTCATAACTTCCATTAAAGATGAATGCAATCTTAAAAATGATATTTTTTTCAATTTATCTCCATTCATATAAAATGTATATTGTGTTTATGCTTACCTGATAATAATGTATATTTTCTTCTGTCATTCTGCAGTGTCATCATGGCTTTGAAAATGAACACAGAAGGCCTAAGAAACACATTCTGAAATAGAATAATATGGGCCATCACGTGTCTCACACTTATAATCCCAGTATGCTGGGAGGTGGAGGTGGGAGGATCACTGTAGCTTGAGGAGTTTGAGATGAGACCAGCCTGGGCAACGTAGAGAAATGTCATCTCTGTAAAAAATACAAAAAAGAAATCAGCCAGGTTTGGTGGCACCTGTGGTCCCAACTACTTGAGAGGGTGAGGCCAGGTGTAGAGGCTGCAGTGAGCTAGATAATACCACTGCACTTTAGTTCAGCCTGGGTGACAAAGCAAGACCCTATCTCAAAAGAAGGAAGGGAAGGGAAGGGGAGGGGAGGGGAGGGGAGAAGAAAGAAAGAAGAAGAAGAAAGAAAGAAAGAAAAAGAAAGAAAGAAAGAAAGAAAAAGGAAGGAAGGAGAAAAGAAAAAGAAAGAGAGAGAAGGAAGGGAGGAAAGGGAAGCATTACATGATTGGAGAAAGGAGATGTGTGCTGATGTCCCAGGGGGCTGTCTGTTTTATTTATGCAATGATGATTTCTTGCCTATCTCCCATGTGCCAGATTCTCAGCTGGATTCCAGTCTCATCATACTCTCATTTCACAGGAGTGTCAGGACAGAGAACATTCCACCTGGGACTCCAGGGAAGGCAGGTAATCTCACTTGCTCTCCTGTAAAGAAAGAGCCAGCAGAGGAGGCGGGGTGTACGGGGGCAGGGGGTTGGTGGTGAAAGTCTACTAAATGCCTGCTAAAGAAGTTTGCGTGTTATAGAAAGGTAGAAGGGAAGAACAACTAGTATGCTGACGTTAACAATTGCTGCTGTGGCTTTAAACTTTAAGAAAATTCAACAGCAGAAATATTTAAAGCAGCCTTAAAGAATGAATAAGGAAAAGCTTATATATTTGTGATCTTTATTACTGCACATATCGTCCTAATATATTTTATATTTTAAGAACAAACAATCTTTTTTATAAAGAATTTGGATTGTTTTGCATTCCTCCAGATGGTAAAATGTCTAAGTCACACACACCACGCTCATCTAAGGGCTTCCAAAAATGGAATCAGCTTTAGCAACAGTTTTGAGAAGTGATCTGTAAAGCATTTGCTTTTTATTTTGGAAAGTGTTCACACAAAGCTTTCAAATTAATAACAATCACCATTATTTACTTTGTTACTTCAATGAGTAATTGTTGCAGTGTACTCTAGTCCACACTATATTATAATCACAAGCTCCATTCAGTCTTACTTTTAATAAAAGTTTTTAAATTATCGAAAACTAAAATGTTTGTAGAATTTCAAAGTGACTCATTCATACTAAGCATTCTACACATGAGAGGTCCTGTTTTTATTAGTCAAGTTAAGATTATGTGCTGGGCCAGGCGTAGTGGCTCACGTCTGTAATCCTAGCACTTTGGGAGGCTGAAGCAGTTGGATCACTTGAGGTCAGGAGTTCAAGACCAGCCTGGCCAATATGGTGAAACCCCATCTCTACTAAAAATACAAAAATTAGCCAGGTGTAGTGGCATGCGCTTGTAATACCAGTTACTCAGGAGGCTGATGCAGGAGAATCGCTTGAACCCAGGAGGCAGAGGTTGCAGTAAGCTGAGATTGCACACCACTGCACTGCAGCCTAGGTGTCTCAAAAAAAAAAAAAAAAAAAAAAGATTCTGTGTTGGCCTGGAATCTCCTGACTGCTTGTGAGGAATTAGAAGGTCCCTTCACTGGGTCAGGGATGAGAAGGATAAGAGTGTGTGTGTCTCTAGGTGAGCAATGACAACACGTGATATTAGAATGAAGTTTCCTCCTAACTGGAACTCATGATCAAGGACTGACTGGTTATTCTTAAATGTGTACAAGTACAGTACAATACTAAGTGTATAACACTGTTCTAGGCACCTAGGATACATCAGGGGATGAAACAGGATTCTTGCCTATCAGGAGTTTCTAAGAATTCGAAAGTGTGGCACACTTTATAAAGCAGTCACAGCTTTTTGTAGAATAATAATTTATGTAGAATAAATACTATGTGCATATAGTATACATAGTATACATTTCAACTGAAACAAAAAAGAATAGTTTAAAAAGCATATCTCTCCTTCTGTTTTAACTCCCCAAATCCAGTTCCTAGTCTCTGAAGCAACAATTGTTTTAAGATTTTCATGTGTACTTGAAAGAATATTTTAGACACTTTACAAAATTATTCAGTTGGTGCAAAAGTCATTGCAGTTTTTGCCATTAAAAGTAATGACTTGTGCACCAACATAATACAAAAGGTAGTCACTGGGAGGATATGGAGAAACTGGGTCACTGGTTTATTGCTGGTCAGAGTGTAAAATTTTACAGACACTTTGGAAAATGGTTTGTCAGTTTCCTATAAAACTAAACACGCAATTAGCTTAAGACTCAGCAACTGCAATGGAGCATCTATTCTAGAAAAATGAAAAGTCAGGTTCACACAAAAACACATACACCGATGCTCTTAGCAGGTTTATTCATAAACCAACTTAGCCTAGTTGGAAATATATCGTTCAATGAGTGAATGACTAGACAAACTGGGATACATATAGTCTGATGGAATGCTACTCAGCAATAGGAAGGAATGAACTATTGATACATATGACAACATGGATGAATGCCCAGGAAATCACAAGTGAAAAACCCAATCACAAAAGGTTACATAACGTATGACTCCATTTGTATGTAATTCTCAAAATGACAAATTATAGAGATGGAATCAGATTAGTGGTCACCGGTGGCTGGGGTGCTAGGTGAGGGTTGTGGTGTGACTATGGGGTGGTTGGAAGCAGGTCTGTGTGGATATGGAATAGTCTTGTGCTCCTGATGGTGAATGCTGGTTAGTGAATCTACACATGCTGTAAATGACAGCTATAAACACGCATTCCACCAATATCAGATCCCTTTCTTTGATATTGATGTACAATTATTTAAGATGTAACCATTAAGGGAAACTGAGTGAAGGATGTGTAGAGCTCCTCCACATGATCTTTATAAATTTGTGTTGAAGCCATATCTATTTCAAAGGAAAAGTCGCCAACATGTCATTTCATGGCCATTCCACCTTTAGAGACTTCCCCTTTCAGCAATTTAGGGCTACAGAAAGAAACAGCCATGGCATCTGCACACAACAAAGAGGTTATTTCAAACCCAACTTAAGGCCAGGCTTCAACCCTATAAAGCAACCAGTGCCACAGGGAATGCCCTAACCCTGAAAACACTCATTTGAGGCTCTCTGGAGAAAACAACTCAGAAATAGGGTAGGGTAGAGAGGGACTACCCTGAAGTACCCTCCAAAAAAGGAGGGAAGGTAGGAAGAAAAAAAAGATCCTGAGTACAGGAAGGGAAACAAAAATTGAAACAGAGATCCACAGTTTGATCCAATTGGAAAACTAAAATTTATCTATGTTTTAGCGTAATGTTTTAAGCAAAAATTCTGATAAAAGGTCTAGTATTGACTCCTGCACCTCTCTCTAGGATAGGTTCTGAATTCCTGGTGATCCTACTAAAATTAAACAAAGTACCCCCCATAATTTTAGGGGAGCTCTTGAACATAAAGAGATTACAAACAGGTATGCCTCACCTTAAGTATTGAAATTTCCCCATGCTCAAAACACCCATTTCCTTAAAATATACCATAGTGGGCATGGGTGCTCTCATGCAATGAGTAATAAATTAAAATTAAATGAAGTCTTTGCCACTTACAAATTATCATAAAAAAATGAGACTCCATGGACCTTACTCCCAGTAACACCCTTACTCCTAGGGACTTCAAGGATTAAAACCCATGACACAAGATGTATCAAATGAGAGGGTGATTATTCTTATGGCTTCTCCATTTAATAGCTCAATTTGGTCTGCTCTTAATCCTGGAAAGAATAAATGGTGCCTGATTCCTGCACTCTTAATTCTGCGGTTCCACCCACTAAGCACCACCCCCATACACACAATATTATTGAAATATAGAAATTGGTAAATATTTCGCTATGCTGGATTTGGTCATTATCTTCTGCTCAGTGCCTCTTTTGTCAGCCTCTCAGCTGCAGTTTGCCTTCACCTCTAAAGGGACGTGATAACCTTTGCTACATAATGCATGGGGTATTCCGGCAGCCTTGCCACCACACACAGCCTTTGCAGGTCAATCCTATTTGCATCTACCTTTCTCCAGAAGCACAGGTATGACACTATATTGTAACATCCCCCTCTAATGAGATTCATATGACACACTCATTCAGAGCACACAAATACAAAGGAGCTCATAAAAAGGGTGGGTCATTGCCCTACACATAGTGCAAGACTCCCCCATCTTGGATACATTCTCGAAAATTATTTGGTAAGCCAAGGGCTGCTCAATCCCTTACACTGTCAAGAAACAGCTGGGTCAATAAACTCTCAGCACCCCCAATCTCTTTTAGGCATTTGGGTTCTAGAGGGAACATATTCCTCATTTACAAATTTTACATAAGGCCGTGTATGCTGTCACTTGCAAATCAGCCCACATTAAATGGAGCCTCCTCTAACAAAAGATTCTAGAATCTGTCCAAATTGGAATCCAACAGGCCCTTCCATTCATGCCCCTTACCTCTGGAACTCCTTCACAGTAGGGGACTTAGCAACCTCCTCCCATGCCTGTCTGCTTTCCTATTGCAGAGGCAGACAGAGAGAGGCCTCTCTCTGATTTCTGCCTTCTCTGTCCTATAGACATGGTTTTAATGAGTTATCCTAATTAGGTCAGGCCCACCTGAGATAATCTCTCCTGATTAACTTGAAGTCAACTGATTAGGGACCTTTATTACATTGACAGAATACCTCCACTTTTGCCATATAAGGTAAGATAACCACAGGAGTGATAACCCATAACGTTTGTCTTATTTTATTGTTTAGAAGCAAATTACATATGTCTTCCATGCTTTAGGGGGTGGTATTATACAGTGGTGTGGGTCATTGGAGTCTTCTTTATATTTTACTTTCTATACATCTATGAATTGGATTTACTCAATTATTAATTATTTTTGGTTTTCTCTAAGCTTTTATTTTTAATTAGTTTTATCTGCCACAAATTGGGAGGTGAATTACAGTCTCCTACAACTAATATTTTGTTTTTCCTTATTTTCCATGTAGTTATTGCTGTTAGAATATGGATGCTATGCTCTTCTCACATAAGTAATCATAACTGTTAAATCTGCATTGTGGATTATAATGTTTATTATTGTAAAGTGCCCTTCTCTGTAACAGATATTTATTTATTTATTTATAATCCTGAATTCAATAATTTGCCTTATTAAGGTTATGATATCCATATTTTTGTTTGTGTTTTCATTTGCCTGGAATGTTTTCTGTGCAAACTTTTTGAATTACTTTATTTACATGAATATTGCTTGTCTGCAACCTTATATTCAATTTTATTTTCAATTCCAATTTTTCATTTTTTCTTTTAATATACAAAGTTAGTTCATTTATCTTTATGTAATGAACAGTAGATATGTCTGGTACTATTTCATCTCTCATATGTTCCGCTGTGAATTTTATTTTTAGACCTTTCAAATATATTTTACATACATCTGGCTTTCTGGATTTCCTTCTCAAAAAAATGGTTATATACTACTACTTGCTGTAATGGTTACCTAAGATAATATTAACTTTAAAAAATATCTTTAAGCCTCTTTAGATAATATCTATATATTGTCTATGCTATACAATTATGGATTTACAAACATTCCTTAGCCCAAACCCTGTTCTGAAATCAAATTATTTAGGTTTTTCCAAAACGACAGTGCTTACACTATGTATTACACATCAACATTGGAATTAACCACACTGATATTACTATAGCAAAAGGCATGGTTATTCACACAGTGCAAAAAGATTTACTTCTCCTGTGTACAATGCTTTCTTCTTTAATCTCTACCAACATATTAACTGATTGTATTACTTTACTTTTTAAATTTTTACACCTTGAAATATACTTATATTTCCTCCATATAGCTAACAACTTCTAATTATATCTGTCAACCAGATTTTTTTTAAAAAATTGAGAAAATCAGAGATGGAGATGTCCATAAACTCCCACACTTTTCCCCATCCCCTTCCAACTTTAGAAATTTTATATTATTTCTACATCATCAGGGTTTACAGTTTTTTACATTTTTTTCTGTAAACAAAATCATCATATTTATTTTAAACTTTAGTCATTTCATGTAGTCAATGCCCAGTGCTGAAATTTTGCTCAATAATTTTGTTTACTAATTGGTTTACTGAGATTCATCCTCTAATAGTTTCCTAAAGAATCACTTACAAAAACAGTGCTCCCTGGACACCCACATGCCTATTTGTTCTTTAATGTTGAGTTTGTGCTAGCATTATCGTTTGGCTAGAAATTCTTGGGCCATTCTGACTCTCCCTGATGACTTAGTGGGCCCAAGGTAGTCTGGAATTGCATGATATATAAATTGCTGAATCCTGCTTTTTAATAGGGAGTTTTATATTTTATACAACTGTTCAAGTTATTATTTTTCCATACATTTATTAGAATATCTTAGAATTATTTGCTTTGTGTCATTTTCCCCTCTCTCATATACAGTGTTTCTTTGAAATGTAAAGATTTGAAAAACTCTTTATGTCTGAAAGTTTTTCTTTACTGGTTTATGCAAATGATATTTTTCTGTTTCATTGTTCTGATTGTTTCCTTGCACACACTGATTATGCATATGGTTGAGTTCCATTTTTCTGCATATTTTTAAATTTTTTCATAATCCTATTAAAAATTGAAATATGATTTGTATACCATAAAGGAGACTTTTTTAAACTATACAAGAAATCAGTTATTTTTTATATATTCACAAGTAGTGTAACCATCACTGCTAATTCAATTCTAATTAATTCCAATTTATTACCCCCAAAAGAAATCCCATTCCCATTAGAACTTGCCCTTCAGGCGGGGCACAGTGGCTCACACCTGTAATCCCAGCACTTTGGGAGGCTGAGGTGGGCTGATCACGATGTCAAGAGACTGAGACCATCCTGACCAACATGGTGAAACCCCATTTCTACTGAAAATATAAAAATTAGCCAGGGGTGGTGGTGATTGCCTGCAGTCCTAGGTACTGGGGAGTTTGAGGCAGGAGAATTGCTTGAACCCGGGTGGCAGAGGTTGCAGTGAGCCGAGATCGTGCCACTGCACTACAGCCTGGAGACGGAGTGAGACTCTGTCTCAAAAAAAAAAAAAAAAAAAAAGAACTTGCCTTTCATTACACTTTCTTCCCAGACCCTGGCAAACACAAATTTACTTTCTGTCTCTATGTATTTGTTCGTTCTGCATATTTCATATGCGTTGAATTCTACATTATAGGGTCTTTTGTGCCTTTCTTCTTTTACTTGCATTTTTATAAAGGTTCATCCATGTTGTCAGGTGTATCAATAATTTAGTCCTCTTTATGGCTGAATATTATTCTATCTATTGATTTACTACAATTGTTTCATTCATCAGTTAATGAACATGAGTTTTTTTCTACTTTTTGGCTATTGAGAATAAAACTGCTTCAAACACATGTACAAGTATTTGTGTGAGCTCAGAGTGAAATTACTGGGTCATATAGTAACTCTCCTATTTAACTTTTTAAAAACTGACAAAATGTTTTCCAAATAACTGCTTCATTTACAATCCCACAGGAAATGTGTGAGTCTTTCAAAGTTTTTCCACCTCCTTGCCAACACTTGTTATTGTCCATCATTTTTTTTATAGCCATTCTAATGAATGTAAGGTGGCATCAAATTGTAGTTTGGATTTACGTTTCCCTAGTGATTAATGTAGAGCATTTTTAAAGATGTTTATTAGACATTTGTATATTATTTTTGCAGAAATGTCTATTTAGATTCTTTGTTTCTTTTATAATTGGGTTATTTGTTTTTTTATTTTCTAGCTTTAAGTATCTTATATGTATTCTGGTTACTAAACCCTTATCAGAGATATGATTTGCAAATATATTTTCTCATTTGGTGTGTTGTCTTTTTACTTTGTTAATAACCTCCTTTGAAGCATAAAATGTTTTATTTCAATCAAGCCCAACTTACCCTTTTTTTTGGTTGCTTGTGCTTATGGTGTCATACCTAAGAAACCATTGCCTAATGAACATATATACCTGTGGTTCTTTTAAAAGTTTAGTGCTTCTGGGGCAGAAGGGTGGTGATGACCACCGTATAAGGTCATTGCCAACACACCATAACAAAAAACAGACTAACAAGAGAAAAACAAATGTATTATGTGCATATGTGTTCATGGCAGTCATGCAAAACAAGAAGTCAAAGAGGAGCCAAGATGATTGAGGCTTAAATGACCTCTCCATAGGGGAGAGGAAAATGGGAGAATGAATAGGTCAGACAATGGTCAGTAAATAATTCTCTCTGCTTATTATGTGGTTAAAGTTCCCCAGGTAATCTCCCAGAACCCCCCTCAAAAGAATAAATGAAGTCTGTCGGGTATGATGAGGACTCCCAGTGTCTTCTCTTCTGGGGTTAGTCTTTCTTGGTTATTTGATGAGATTCCTAGAGAAGGAGTCTTAAGACAATTGCATTTCTTTTGGAATTAAGCTTTCTTATATAAGGAAATTCCAGAGAGTCCCTCCTGGTGCTTTGGAAAAGAGGAGCAGAGACACAGGGAAGCAGGCAAAAGGTTAGAGACAGACCTCGCTTCTGAGACTTATTTCTGAGGCCTTTTCATATTCAAAGCATGCAACATGCCAAAGTATCATATTTTCGGGAATCGGTTTCTGCAGCCCCAGCATTGTCTTCTAAAGTCTAAACCATGTGTATGCATGTGGCATTCCCAGTTTTATATATCAAACTTATCAAAACTTTCCAGAGCTTCTATTGACCTCTTTTTTTTCCCCCAGCTTTCCTTTTCAGGGTTTCCCCATTGTTTTTTGGGTGGCCACGATATTAGACAATTCCATCTAATTTTTTTTCTTTTTTTAATGAAATACCTACAAAGAAATGACTGTTTATACTGGGTGAGCTTTCTCTGGGCAAGCTCTGTGTCAGATCAAATAAAAATAGCCTTGAGAGCCAGGTGCTCCAGAGAACCACCCAACAATTTGAATAATGGCAATTTTTTTAGAAATTGAGCTTTGCGGCCATGGTCGCTCATGCCTGTTAATCCCAGTACTTTAGGAGGCTGAGGCAGGCAGATCACGAGGTCAGGAGATCGAGGCCATCCTGGCTAACACAGTGAAAACCCGTCTACTAAAAATGCAAAAAAGTAGCTGGGCATGGTGGTGGGCACCTGTAGTCCCAGCTACTCGAGAGGCTGAGGCAGGAGAATGGCGTGAACCCAGGAGGCGGAGCTTGCAGTGAGCTGAGATGGTGCCACTGCACTCCAGCCTGGGCAACAGAGCAAGACTCCAACTCAAAAAAAAAAAAAAGAAAAGAAATTGAGCTTTGTAGGAGTTCAAACCCTGTTCTGTCATCTCCAGTGACAGCCAGGCTACTAGTTTTCACCGTGATGGCAAACTGACTGTTTTCATGGCCACTGTGGAACTAAAGAGAGGACTATGAGAATGGAAGTTAATATGCCACACAACTCAATGTTCTTACCAGTATTCAGTCATTTTTTTTAAATAAATATTCTGGATTGTTGTAAAACTTTGATTAATTTCTGAAGTTCTGAAGAATTTATTCTGACAATTTTTGCAGTATTCTCATTGCTTCTATGAAGGAGAGTATTTTTGGAGGTCTTTAATCTGTCATTTACACTAACACCATGGAGGAGATCAAAATATGCCACCCCAAAATATACCTCTTTGGCATAAGGACTATTTTGAGCTGATTATTTTGAGAAACTGCTGACACAGGAGAAACTCTGAAAATAGAGTAGAAGTTACCCTTTTGTCAAGGAAATGTAAATCCATGAAGGAAATTTTTGTTCGTAAGTGTGCTCTCTCTCTGCAAGAGGGAGAGAAGAATGGCTGTAAATCACCAGGACTTACCAGGAGAGAAGGCACTGACTTATATCTGCAAGCACTAAGCTTTTCCTGGTATCTCCGCATGGGTAGTGCTCCCCACAGGCTTCTCTCTTTGTTTCTGTGGATGATGGCATATAAGCCATCTCACAGCCACCTCTTTCAGAACCACTAACTTCCTGGGTATTTCCCATGAAGAAAGAACATGCAATATCCATGTTAATAAACTTCTATTTGTTTTTCTCTTGCTAACTTATCTTTTGTTATAGGGGCCTGTTCCAACTAATAATTCAGAATGTGAAAAGAAAAATTTGTTTTGCCTTCCCTACAATCACTTCCCCAGAATGGAAAGAAACGTATTCATTTTCATTTCATTTTTCTTGTTTTTCTCATTCCTCAATTCCATGTTTCTTGCTGTTTTCATGATTTTATTCTCCTTTAAGCTGTAACTACTGGTCTTGATTATCATAATTATTTTAATTTTTCTTTCTCTTGTGCTGACGTTTCATCTCTTTTGTTAAATATTTATAGCACATTCAGTTCTTTTATTTGTGCTTTTTGATTCTGTTTTATGGAGGTCATACTTTCTTTTTAAAAAAATCATTGTCAATGTATTTGGTAAAATTTCCATCTGCTCTTTGGTAATTTTGTAATTTTGTTGTTTGCGTACTCTTGGCCTGCAATTTGTTCATCAAAGCTCCTTCTTAGAGAATATTTCAAATAGTCTATGCTTGCTCTTTTTAATATTCGTAATCAATTTTAAATAAAGTTATTTCTAAATAAGTTTCTTTTTCCAAAGAGTTTTGCATGAGTGAGCTGGAGTTGTGTGTTCTGGGTGACCAGGGTTCTTCATTAGCCAGGTGTAGTGTATGCATGCGTGTTCTTTAAGCCATATTCTCCCAGTGCAACTCAAAATTGTCACTGCAGAGTTGTTTGCAGGATGAAGTATCCATTCTCTACCTATGTTTTACAAACATGTTGTTCCTTAAAAATATGGCTTTTCTGTGTGTTTTTAAAACTTTTCTATCTTCTCTACTTTTTGCAGCTCTATGTTAAATGGGAACCAGGGAAGTGCTCCTAACCAGCCTCACATCTGTTGCTACTATCTGTAACCCAAAAACAAATTTCAACATCCCCTGTGCCCCCCCCATCCCCCGCTGCTCCCTGTGCCCCACAACCATCTGAATGGACTTCCTCCTTGGCCAGGGCACTCTAAAATTTAACCTGAAAGACTGGTTCAGGCCATGACAGGAAACCTCATTATTCCCCTCCAGCATTAACATTAACACAGACCTTAAGTCTGATAGGAAACATTTACCATCTATTTTCTTGGAAGCCTGCTACCTGGAGGTTTCATCTGCATGACAAAACCTTGGTCACAACCACTTATCTTAATGCAGACATTCCTTTCTGCTGATAATAACTCTTTCAACCAATTGCCAATCAGAATATATTTAAATCTACCTATGACCTGGAAGCTCCCCAGCTTCGAGTTGTCCCACCATTCCAGATGGAACCAGTGTAAACCTTACATGTATTGATTGATGTCTTATGTCTCCCTAAAATGTGTGAAAGCCAGCTGTACCCTGACCACCTTGGGCACATGTCATCAGGACCTCCTGAGGCTGTGTCTTGGGTGGGTCCTTAACCTTGGCAAAATAAACTTTCAAAATTGACTGAGTCTTGTCTCAGATATTTTCAGTTCACATATTAAAGGAAAGAATGATAACTTTAAGCCTCATTTCCTGTGCTTTGGGGTGACCTACTCGCTTTATCTGAAACCCACAACTATACATATCTTCTCTGAAGGTTTTCATACACTTTTATTTCGTCTTCACTGTTTTTTTTCCCTTGTCTGTCTTCCCTCATTTTTTGTGGCCCTTGTTTTAAAAATTATTTTAATTTCAATGGAGATTGATTATTCAGTTCTGTTTTTTATTCTATGAGTTATCTTAGATGAATTCTAGGAAAAGTAATGTTAAGTTGTGACTTTATATTGCTATATAAAAACTGGTGCATTGAGTTTTTGCATGTATTAACTTCATATGCAACTAAAGAAGGAATAATTAATTTCAGTTTTTGCAATAAACATACACAATATTATCATACTAGAATGCGTGCTTTTATTTTATTCATCACAGGATTAATTTAAATTATTTGCTTAAAATATATTTCTAGGTCCCTGGGGACCAATAATAATTATTTAAATATCATCTTTTCTGGGCTAGAGCTTAAGCCTGTAACTGAACATCAGATCGCTTACATGAAGATGAAACATACATGTAAGCTTAGGCTGCAGTTTGGCTTTGGAGCTATAAAGTTAGATTGCATGGATTGAAATCTTACCTTTAACACTATTTCAGTGACTTTTAGCAATTTACTAAACTTTAAATATCACTTTTCTAATCTTTAAGATAAGAATAGTTTTTTTAAAAAAAGTATGCTTTGGGTTTATTTCAATGATGTAATAGAGTATGTCCATAAAGCTTTAACACATAGAATATGGCATGCAATATAATAGATGCTTAATGCCTATTAGCTGTTGTTAATTAGCACTTTAATATATGCAGAACATACATAAGAGTGCATGCTTAAGAAGTGAATTTAACTAGCCAAAGAGACTTTTAGCTATGGAGGTTTCCACTTAAATGCTGGTCAAAGGGTAAAGTTTCAGTTAGACAGGAGGAATACATTATTGAGATCTGTTGAATAGTACAATGACTATAGTTCATAATAATGTATTGTTCAACTAAAAATTTCTGAGAGTAAGTTTCAAAAGTTCTCACCATAGATATTGATAAGTATGTCAGGTGGGGGATGTTAATTAGCTTGATTTCTGTAGAAAGTAGAAAAGTTCCTCTTCAAAGTGCATCTTGGTTTAAAATTAAATTGATAGACACTAGGAATAATAGCTCCTTACTCTAAAGCCTCCTGTCAACTCTTAGTTCTTACACTTTAGCCCAGTTAGTTGCTTTGGCTTACTCAGGCATATCTGGACAGGCCCAGGAAAGTCTTAGCTCATAGCTTATGCCCCTTCCTTATTTGGAAATGTTATTGCTTCCTTAAACCTTTTGTAAGCAACTTTATTTTCTTCTTTGTTCTCCCTTGCACTTACCTATTTAGGAAAGTTTTAGGTTATTATCAAATCGAGTATCAGTTTAAGACTGTGAGGTCCAGCTCCAGCCAATGGATGCAGGATACAGCAGTAAGGATGACCCAAATGCATAAGGGATAAATATGTCTGCTTTTCCTTTGTTCAGGTGTGCTCTTGCCATTGTTCCATCTGTGAGGGTCACCCTTTCTGCAGAAAGTAAAGATTGCTTTGCTGAGAGATCCTTTGTCTCTGTGCTGACTTTTCTTCGCAGCACTGATGATCTGTTTCTAACAACTTTTGGTGGCATTCCAAACAGGGATACATTCTCCTCTGGGGGTGGTCTCTAGTCCTCTCTCATGAGGAGGTGCCCTGCTGCCTCTTGCGGTGGCCTCAGAAGTAAGGAATTGAGTCCTACCCAGTGTGACAAATAAACCCTGACTCTCAGCAACGTGGAAAGAAACTAGCCTGCAACCTGGTGTAAAGGATCTTCACATACTGTGGCAACAACTCTGTGCACAGACCAAGGAAGGAGAAGCCACGGCAGCCATTAAAGTACTTCCTTGGTGGTCAAATTCTGGAGGGCTGAATGTGTGTGTGCATGAATGATCACAGACAACCCTGCTTGCGGTATTGTTTTGTGGATGGTGGCAAGTCCTACTGCTGGATGGAGTGAGTGGGTCCTCTCTGTGGTTCCGTAGCTACCTCATATGGCTTAGGGCGGATCCTGCTGTGGGATTTATACTGGCATGCCAATGCTAACAGGGGCCTAATTCTCCCTTGGGGGAACAGCCAAAGAGGACAACATGAGTGGGAAGTGTGCAAGGGACCTTCCGAAGGCGAAAGGGAGGAAACAGGTCAACCTCCTGGGACAGGCAAGGCAAGACATTCCTGGTTTAAGGGGTCGAGACTTCCAGGGCAGGCAAGCAAGACATCCTTGGTTTGTGAGGTTCAACTTTCCACAAATTTCAGGAGATTGAACCTTCTGCAAATTTCAGGAGATTGAACCTGACCAGTACACAATATGGGAAACATTTGTAGTAAAACAAGGACAGGGAGTAAAGTTGACTCAGGGAGAGGTGAAGGTGATCAGATTCCTTCTGATAGTCCTTTAGGGTATATGTTAACATATTGGAAGGATAATGAAAGGACTAAGCATAAGAAAAAGCACCAAATGATAAAATATTGTTGTTTCACTTGGACCAAAGAACTGATCCTCAAGCCTGCAGTTATCTGGCCAAAATTTGGGTCAGATAAGGATGGGGTCTGTCAACTCTTAACAATGTATGTCAACAACAAAAGCCCTGTGTCCCAAGAAGAAATAAATTATGCTCTCTGTTGGCGACAGGGGGCCAGTTCTCCTTCACCCATTAAGAGGAGGACGAAAACAATCAGAGATCAGAATAAAGTCGGGAGTAGTCTCACCTGACGAGAGTGAAGTTTTTATCCACAAGCAACCCCCATGCAAGTGGGACCCCTTGGACCATCTTCCCTTATTTCTGTCGCCACCTGGGGAGCCTCCAGCTCCTGCCGGCACCGGGTCTGCTCCTGCTGCCCTTGCCCCTACTGTTCCTGCAGCACAGCCCCCATCCCTCCCTCCCGCTTCCCAAGTGGTGGCCCTGGAACCTGACCCAGATTTTCCTAGCCTCCTGTATAATCCAGGCTCTTGGGAGTTAGCACCTCAAAAGCCTGATCATTGCCAGCCTGAATGTTCCTCTTTAAATAAAGGGCTCCGGCAGGAGGTAGAACAATGTAAAAAGGATATTCAAAATTTTCCATTCCCCTCCTCTAAGGAATCAGGTTCAGCTTCAAAGCTTTTTCTTTTAAAGGAGGTGCCACAGGGAGGAAGCGCGATTGGCTTCCTAAACACTCCTTTAACTGCTTCTGAGGTCCGTAGCCTAAAGACAGAACTTAAGCCATTATTAGACGAACCTGATGGGGTAGCAGAACAGATGGATCAGTTTTTAAGCCCTCAGTTATACACTTGGACCTAGTTAATGTCCATTGTAGGTATTCTTTTTTCAAGGGAAGAACGGAACATGATCTGCAGAGCTACTATGGCGGCCTGGGAGCATGACCATCCTCCAGGCCAGGATGCCCCAGCAGCTGATACTAAATTTCCAGCTCAAGACCCGCAGTGGGACAATAATATTGCAGCCCACCCAAATAACATGAGAGATGTAAAGGAAATGATTGTTCAAGGAATTTGAGAGTCAGCACCCCAACCTCAAAATCTCTCTAAAGCTTTTGATAAACAACAGGAAAAGATGAGGAGCCCATGAAGTTTCTAAATAGATTAAGAGATCAAATGAGAAAATATGCTGATTTAGATCCAGAAAACCCCGTTGGGCAAGGGATGTTAAAGCTGCACGTTGTTACTGATAGCTTGCCAGATATTGCAAGAAAGTTGCAAAAGCTAGAAAACTGGAAGAATCTGTCAATAGAAGAGCTTTTAGGAGAAGCCCAGAAAGTATATGTAGGGAGGGATGAAGAAAGGCAAAGGCAGAAAGCAAGATCTTTTGGCAAAATTCACTGGGGCAAATGATGCCAGGGGGCAAATTTAGACCCGTGCCAGCACAGTTTTCCAAAGGCAGTGAGAGAGGAAGTCCCTGGAATTCTGGAATGCAAAAGGAGAGGAGGCAGGGTCAGTATTTCAAAGGAGAAAGTCAAAGTAAGTGTAAAAGTTGTGAATGTGAGAGGAAGGAAGAAAGACAGAGACAAACAGGTCCTGGGCTAAGGAGAGGAGAGCAGGATAGATGTTACAAATGTGGAAAAACAGGCCATTTCAAGAAAGAATGTCCTGAATTGAGGAGTGCAGAGGAAGCTTTTCCACTCATGCCTACTTTTGAAGAAGAATAGGGGGGATCAGGGGCTCTCTTTTCTATTTCGAGTCCCACCAGGAGCCCTTGATATATTTAGAGGTGGGACCCAACCATGAGTTAATCACCTTTTTAATTGACTCCAGAGCTGTGTGTTTGTCTGTTTTACCCCAGCTGATTTAACTTGTTCTCCAGAGTAATTGCTAGTCTCTGGGGTGAAAAGAGGAGGATTTAAAATAAAGATTTTAGAAAACACAGAGGTGAATTATAAAGATTGGTCAACTTGTATTCAATTTTTATTAATTCGTGAAGCAGGAACAAATTTATTAGGGAGAGAGATTTAATGCTAAAATTAGGCATAGAGTCTACAATTTGGCCCAAGAAGTTTCCAACTTCTCTAAATTTGCTGACTATGGCAGATGAAAAGTACATTCATCCTGATATTTGGTCCAAGGAGGGAAATCGAGGGAAGTTATGAATTCCCCCAATCCAAATCAAATTAAAGATTCCAGGGGAGATAGTAAGGAGGAAGCAGTACCGTATCTCTTTAGAAGGACGGGTGGGGTTGAAACCTGTGATTGAAGGACTTATCAAGGATGGGCTTCTCAAACCCTGTATGTCTCCATATAGCACTCTCATTTTACCGGTCAAGAAATCAGATGGGTCATATTGATTAGTGCAAGACCTTAGAGCTATTAATGAAATAATCCAAACCACTTATCCTATTATGCCTAACCCATACACTATTCTTAGTAAGATTTGCTACAGTCATCAGTGGTTCACCATCATAGTTTTAAAAGATGCTTTCTGGGCATGACCTTTGGCAAAGACAGCCGTGACATATTTGCTTTTGAATGGAAGGGTCCTCATATAGGACAGAAACAACAATATAGATGGACAGTTTTGCCCTAGGGATTTACAGACTCACTAAATCTTTTTAGTCATGCTTTAGAGAAAATAGAGAAGGCTGCTGTTCCAAAGCAACTGAGTCTACTTCAATACAT
The DNA here is from genome assembly GCF_000001405.40 of Homo sapiens. Taxonomy (NCBI): domain Eukaryota; kingdom Metazoa; phylum Chordata; class Mammalia; order Primates; family Hominidae; genus Homo; species Homo sapiens. The sequence goes on from NC_000008.11 coordinate 49,098,571, forward strand.
GGATGATATTCTTATATCTGGGGAAGACACAGAAAAAAGTAACTGAATTTTCTGGATACATTCTAAATCACTTACATTCTGAGAGGTTGCGAGTTTCAAAAGGAAAACTTCAATTTGTAGAACCTGAAGTTAGATACTTAAGTCACTTAATCAGTGCAGGGAAAAGAAGAATAGAACTCGAATGGGTTGAAGGAATTGTGTCTTTGCCATTGTCCTGGACAAACAAGAACTTAGAAAATTTCTAGGGTTAATTGGATACTGTCATCTATGGATTGATTCATATGCATTGGGGAGTAAATTGTTATATGAAAAATTAACTAAAAGAGTGCCTGATCTGCTTATATGGTCCTCTGAAGAGGTTGATCAAGTTAATGAGTTAAAAGAGAGACTAATGTCTGCTCCATCTTGGCTTTACCTTCCTTAGAAAAACCATTCCATCTTTTTGTTAATGTAAACAATGGAGTAGCTTTAAGAGTGCTTACTCAGGAACGTGGTGGTTGCTGGCAGCCAATGGCCTTCCTGTCTAAATTTTTAGATCCTGTCGCCTGCGGATGGCCTCAGTGCATTCAATCCATTGCAGCCGCAGCAATATTAGTAGAAGAAAGTAGGAAGCTAACCTTTGGAGGATAACTGACAGTCAGTACACCTCATGAAGTCAGAGCCATCCTGAACCAGAAAGCAGGAGGATTGCTCACTGACTCTAGAATTTTAAAATATGAAGCTATACTATTAGGAAAAGATGATTTAACCATAACCACAGATAATTCACTTAACCCAGCAGATTTCTTGACAGGAAACCCATTGCTAAAAACAGAACACCTATGTCTGGATTTAATTGACTATCACACAAAGGTACAACCAGACTTAGTAGAAACTCCCTTTAAAACGGGGAGACACTTATTTACAGGTGGATCCTCCTGGGTATTTGATGGAACACGACATAATACGTATGCAGTAATTTCTGGGGAAACTCTCAAAGAAATAGAATCAGGAAGATTACCTAATAGTTGGTCTGCTCAGGCTTGTGAATTACGTGCTCTCAGTCAGGCTTTGAAATATTTAGGAACCAAATAGGAACCATCTATACTGACTCTACATATGCCTTTGGAGTATCCCATACATTTGGGAAACTTCAGCTGAACGAAGCCTCATTAACAATACAGGTCAGGATCTTGTTCATGAAACATTGATAACCCGCATTCTAAATAATCTCCAGTTGCCGGAGGAAATAGCTATTGTCCATGCTCCTGGACATCAACATGATTCCTCATTTGAAAGCCGAGGGAATAATCTTGCAGATCAAGTAGCCAAGAAGGCTGCAGTCTCTAAGACACCCATTTTCCATTTGACTCCTTATCTTCCTCCTTCCACTATAGTTCCTATTTTCTCTCAGGCTGAGAAAGAAAAATTAGTGGAAATTGGAGCTCAGGAGAATTCAGAAGGAAGATGGATACTCCCAAATCAAAGGGAAATGTTATCCAAGCCCCTTATGAGGGAGGTCTTATCTCATCTGCATTAAGGGACTCATTGGGGCCCCCAAGCTCTGTGTGATGCGGTTCTCAGAGTTTATAGGTGCATTGGAATTTATACCTTAGCTAAACAAGTCACAGATGGTTGTTTGATAAGTAAGAAAACAAATAAACAGGCCCTAAGAAAATTACCTGTTGGAGGAAGGACTCCAGGGCTAAGACCATTCCAAAGTGTCCAAATAGATTACACTGAAATGCCCTCAATTGGCTGTCTAAAATATTTATTAGTAATAGTAGATCATTTCACACACTGGGTAGAAGCTATTCCTCTCTCAAAGGCAACTGCTAGTAATGTGGTGAAGGCATTAATTGAGCATATTATACCTAGATTTGTAATAATAGAAAATATTGTTTCAGACAATGGGACCCATTTCACTGCACATATTATTAAGAAATTAGCCTAAGTGTTAGACATAAAATGGGACTTTCATATTCCCTGGCAACCCTCCTCCTCTGGAAGAGTAGAAAGGATGAACCAAACTCTTAAAAACCTTTTAACTAAATTATTTTGGAAACATGGTTGCCATGGACCAAATGTCTTTCCATTGAGTAATTAAGGATTAGGACTGCTCCCCGGAAGGGTATTGGCTTATCCCCATATGAAATGTTATATGGATTACCTTACCTACATTCCTCAGCTAATGTTCACACATTTGAAACCAAGGATCAATTTCTTAGAAATTATATATTTGGTCTCTCTTTCACCTTCTCTTCCCTTAAAACAAAAGGTCTTTTAGCACAGGCGCTGCCCTTGGAGTTCCCAGTGTATCAGCAACAGCCTGGAGATCACGTTCTCATCAAAGGGTAGAAAGAAGGGAAACTCAAGCCACCCTGGGAAGAACCCTACCTTGTGCTGCTAACCACTGAGACTGCTGTTGGCACAGTGGAAAGGGGATGGACACATCACACCAAGTCAAGCAAGCACAATTATCATCAGAATCATGGGCCATTATTCCTGGATCAAGTCCTATCAAATTAAAGCTAAAAAAAGATTAGTCTATCTATCTTTTTCTTTTCTTTCCTTCCCTCTAACTACCCCTCATCTTGTCATCAATATAACCAAATCAGATTCACCACAGGTTATAACATTTGATGCTTGCCTTTTTATACCTTGTGGAGGTTTGCAAAGACAGAGACAACTCTCTACTTCGGGAAAATACCTCTGCCCCTCCAGGGAGGCCACTGCCACCCCTGCAGCTTGCTTCTGATGGGGGTACCAAGATACCCCAAATTGGAATTTATATGGTCAGTGCGCAGATGTCATCTGGACTACTAAAGATTGAGGCTGGACCTCTGAGGAGGGATGTGCCGACTTAAAGCCATCTCAACCTTACTGAAGGGATTGCCCCCCTACCCCGCAATTGTCAATCCCACCAGTGTAACCCCGTGCTTATAGCCATTACCATTCCTACCACTAGCAACTCTAAACCCACTTAAGAGCATTTCTGTGGTTTAGGAGCAGAGGCCACTGGAAATGATCCTATAGGCTTACTTAAGATGCACTTTGTTCTCCCTCTTCCACCTCCTACAAGTGCCCCTTTCCCAAACCTACAAAATCAAACTCTGAGTCACCTCATGCCAAATGACAAAACCAAGGTCTCAGTAGAAGAAATAGGGAACTGAAGGCAAACCATAGCCATTGAAACAGGGTATAAAGATGTAAATGCCTGGTTAGAATGGATTAAATATTCCATTTGCACTTTAAACAAAATGACTGTTATGCTTGTGCACATGGTAAGTCAGAGGCCCAGGTTGTTCCCTTTCCACTAGGATGATCCTCAAATCAAGCAGACATGGAGTGCATGATAGCTCTTTTTCAAGATTCCACTGCCTGGAATAACAAATAGTGCCAAGCTCTTTCACTGCTATTTCCTGAGGTTCAACACCCTGCGGGTCAGCCCCTGAGGGCCATCCAGCCTCCATCTTCCAAGACCAATTTTACCTCATGTCTCCAACGACAAGGTGAATAAGTTGGCATTCCTTGGAGACTTAACAGGATGCAGTGAATCAGGCACTTCCAAGAGCCGACCCATCAGTCTGCACTTATTCATCCCCAAGTGTATGTGTGGTGGTATTGTGTCCCGAATTGGTGGGTTCTCGGTCTCACTGACTTCAAGAATGAAGCCGCGGACCCTTGCAGTGAGTGTTACAGATCATAAAGGCGGTGTGTCCGGAGTTTGTTCCTTCTGATGTTAGGATGTGTTCGGAGTTTCTTCCTTCTGGTGGGTTTGTGGTCCCGCTGGCTGAGAAATGAAGCTGCAGACCTTCGCGGTGAGTGTTACAGCTCATAAAGGCAGCGTGGACCCAAAGAGTGAGCAGCAGCAAGAGTTATTGCAAAGAGCGAAAGAACAAATCCTCCACAGTGTGGAAGAGGACCCGAGTGGGTTGCCACTGCTGGCTCAGGCAGCCTGCTTTTATTCTCTTATCTGGCCTCACCGACATCCTGCTGATTGGTCCATTTTACAGAGAGCTGATTGGTCTGTTTTACAGAGAGCTGATTGGTCCGTTTTGACAGGGTGCTGATTGATGCATTTACAATCCCTGAGCTAGACACAAAAGTTCTCCACCTCCCCACTAGATTAGCTAGATACAGAGTGTAGATTGGTGTATTTACAAACCTTGAGCTAGACACAGAGTGCTGATTGGTGCATTCACAATCCCTTAGCTAGACATAAAGATTCTCCAAGTCCCCACCAGATTAGCTAGATACAGAGTGTCGATTGATGCATCCACAAACCCTGAGCTAGACACAGGGTGCTGACTGGTGTGTTTACAATCCCTTAGCTAGACATAAAGGTTCTCCAAGTCCCCACTAGACTCAGGAGCCCAGCTGGCTTCACCCAGTGGATCTCGCACCGGGGCCACAGGTGGAGCTGCCTGCCAGTCCCACGCCCGGCACCTGCACTCCTCAGCCCTTGGGTGGTCTATGGGACCGGGCGTCTTGGAGCAGGGGGCTTTGCTCCTCGGGGAGGCTCAGGCTGTGCAAGAGCCCATGGCCTGGGTGGGGCGCGGGAAGGCTCAGGCATGGGGCACTGCAGGTCCCGAGCCCTGCCCCACGGGGAGGCAGCTAAGGCCCTGCGAGAAATCGAGTGCAGCACTGGTGGGCTGGCACTGCTGGGGGACCCGGCACACCCTCCGTTGCTGCTGGCCCGGGTGCTAAGCCCCTCACTGCCCCAGGCGGCAGGGCCGGAGAGGCCAGCGGGCGGCTCCGAGTGCGAGGCCAGCCAAGCCCATGCCCACCTGGAACTCTAGCTGGCCTGCAAGGGCCATGTGCAGCCCCAGTTCCCGCCCATGCCTCTCCCTCCACACCTCCCTGCAGGCTGAGGGAGCCGGCTCTGGCCTCGGCCATCCCAGGAAGGGGCTCCCACCGTGCAGCAGCAGGCTGAAGGGCTCCTCAAGCATGGCCAGAGTGGGCACCAAGGCTGAGGAGGTGCCAAGAGCGAGTGAGGGGAGTGAGGGCTGCCAGCAGGCTGTCACCTCTCAGTATTATGGAGGACCTTTACTGGACATTCTGCCAAATAATTAGAGCAGTACTTGTGCTGTAGTTCAATTGACTATCCCTTTTAACCTGGCATTTCATCAACCAGAAAAAGAAAAAAAATCTAGCCTCAATTCTTACCTCTTTAACAATTGTAATAAGTATACTACTTCTTCTTAGGTGTTATGTAGTACCATAAATCCAGGAGTTAACGAAAACAACTAAGCCAAGACATGTTAAGCAAGTTTGAAGAGGAACTGTAAAGCAAAAGAGGAGGGAACTGTAGAGCGTAGAAAAGTTCCTCTTCAAAGTTAGTCTTGGTTTAAAAATAAAATAATAGACACTAGGAATAATAGCTCCTTACTCTAAAGCCTCCTATCAATGCTTAGTTCTTACACTTTAGCCCAGTTAGTTGCTGTGGCTTACTCAGGCATGTCTGGACAGGCCCAGGAAAGTCTTAGCTCATAGCTTATGCCCCTTCTTTATTTGGAAATGTTATTGCTTCCTTAAACCTTTCATAAGCAACTTCCTTTTCTTCTTTACTCTTCCTTGCACTTACCTATTTAGGAAAGTTTTAGGTTATTAGCAAATTGGGTATCACTTTAAGACTGTGAAGTCCAGCTCCAGCTGAAGGATCCAGGACACAGCAGTAATGATGACCCAAGTGTGTAAGGGATAAATATGTCTGCTTTTCCTTTGTTCAGGTGTGCTCTCACCATTGTTCCATCTGTGAGGGGCAACCTTTCTGCGGAAAGTAAAGGTTGCCTTGCTGAGAGATCCTTTGTCTCCATGCTGACTTTTCTTCATGGCACCAATCATCTGTTTCTAACAATTTCATTATTTTATAATGTATACATATTAAAATCTCATGTTGTACCCAAACAATTATTATTAGTCAATTAAAAATTTTTAAAAAAGGAATATAATGACAGTAAAAAATTTCTATTTTTAGAGAAATAAAATAATCTTAATGTTTGAAGGAAACAAGAGTGATTTATTTACAGAGGGATTTCCAATATATTCTTTGATCTTCGTAATCCAATGAGATATACAGATCAGATTGAATAACAATAAATCTCTCAATTTTTTTCTATGCAAATATAATGGAGTGATGACTTTTACTAACATCAAAATGAAATTGGAGCCAGTTAGCAAAGTGGAGGACATTCTTTCTGGAGGCAGAGAGAGCAAGATCTAGATTTGTCAATTGCTAGCTGTGTGATCTTTAGCATTACCTAACATCTATGAATTCCACATATTACATTATAATAGTAACAAGACTGTCTCATCCTATAAGGGTGTTCTAGAGGTTAATTCAGATAATTATTTGTTATTTTTCCTTACTCTTTTGAGTTTTGCACTACTAATGCTTTCAAAGCAAGCATTTTTATGTAGGTTTTTTTCTGACCTTTATGACTAGGAAAGCCATAGCTAAAATAATTCATAGTTACATAGGTCATGCCAGGAAAAGTTAGAAGGTTCAGTATTTCTTTAAATATTAGTAATCTAGACTACACTTCCTGAGGACCAGGTCTAGTTCATTTTTTTATATAAACATCTAGCAGATGTTACCAAACTGATCTTGGTCCTCCCTGCCTGGCACAGCCAGAGCAAACACTGATATTGGAATTGCAGGCAGAGAAAATGAAGAATTTATTGTAGGGCACCAAGCAAGGAGAATCAGGGAGCTGATGCTTAAGACCCAAACTCCCTGATGGCCTAAAGGCAAGGGTTTCAAAGGCAGAGAGGCAGAAGTTTCAGGCAAAGGCATGCATGCAGAGTATCCATTGGTTTGCCATAAAAAGGTGGGAGATCTCAAGGTGGGGTCCAGAGGTCATAAATAGATTGAAAGAGTTCTGATTTGTGATTGATTAAGCTTTGTCTAAAAACCTGGGGTCAGCAGAAAGGAATGCTGAGCTCTGGCCTGTGGGCATGACTTTCTCCAAGTCCCTCAGGAAGAAATTTAGAACAAAGGGCAGTGGTCTGAGTTCAGTCCTCAGTTCCCCTGCATCTGGGGTCTACCTGCCAGCAGGCAGGATTTTCCACTTCATGGAGGTTGGGTTTCTGAGAAACAACTCAGGGACATATGTTAAGATGTTATCTTTAGTTTCCATGAGAAATCAAATATTTTGAGCCTCTGATTTCCTTGGTTATTATTTTAAGATACTATTACCTTCTTGCTTATTTACTCCTCAAGACTAGGTAAGTGTCTGGAACTTCCTTTGAAGGAATTTAAGATTTTCCTTTCCCTTATTTCCATGTTTGGAGGGCCCAGCAGGCTCCTAAGAGGCATCCCTCATCCCTGCTCCATCTCATAGAGAGCTTGGTGGTGCTCTCTAAATGTCTGTTGAATTGATAGATTTGCTTGTCAGGCCAAGGTTAGCTCAAGACTGTGACTAGGTAGATCAAGTTTGTCCAACCCACAGTGTGTGGGCCACATGCAGCCCAGGCTTTGAATGGGCCAACACAAATTCGTAAACTTTCTTAAAATATTATGAACTTTTTTTTTTTTTTTTTTTGCTCATCAGCTATTGTTAGTGTTAGTATATTTTATGTGTGGCCCATGACAATTCTTCTTCCAATGTGGCACAGGGAAGCCAAGAGATTGGATACCCCTGGGGCAGATAAAACTGAACTCCATGGGTTCTTCTATGAAGATGCTGATTCGAGGAGCAGGTGTTGGGTGTAACTCTTACCAAAAGTGTTTGTGGGGGGTAGAGGTGTTGGGTACTACTGTATTGAGAGGGGTAAGAAAAAAAGAGGAATCTCCTATCTTCATTTTCTGGGGCAGTCTTAGCAAATCAACACAAACTTGATGGCTTAAAATGACAAAAATTTATTCTCTTCTGGCTCTAGAGATGAGAAGTCCAACACGAGGCTAAGGTCAAGGTGACTGCAGGACTGGGTTCCTTCTGGAGGTTATAGTGAAGAATTAGTTTCCTTGCCTTTCAGAGTTTTAGGGACTGCCCGCCCACCTTCCATGTCTTCTCCATCTTCAAACTCAGCCACAAATGTTGAGTCTCATGATGAGTCATTCTGATCCTTCTTCTATTCCTTTTCCTCTTTGAAGGACCATTGCTTGCAATTACATTTGAACCACCTGAATACTATAGGATAAATTTCCCATCTCTAGGTTTTTAACTTAACCACATCTGCAAAGTCCCTTTTTCGAAATTTAAGATAACATATTCTGAGGTTACAGAGATTAGGATGTGGACATTGATGGGGTGATATTATTCTGCTCACCACAAAGGACTTCCACCAAAGATGAATTATGTAAGAATACAGCCTGGGTACAAGGCAGGTCATTTTCCTGCTCCGCAACAGGCAAGGCTAGCTGCCATCCCTACGCTTGTGGCAGGCCTCAATTATTAATTCTCCTTTCCACCAGTGCAGCACTGAAAGCTCTGACTATCCTCATAGGCTTAAGGATCCTTGCTTGTGCACCTGTCACATTCCAATGTGTTTCTTCCTTTTGCTCCAGATTTAGCAAATGGCTAATGCTTAAAGCAAATTTATTTAAAACAATTGAAAGTGATTTTTACCTTGCCGTACTTGTCAGGAATATATACGTTGAAAAGAAAGGGTTGGGCACAGAGGTGCTTGAGAAAAGAACTTCATTTTAGGGCAGATTCCTCTGGTCACAGTCTGCCTTCCTGTAAATAGATGTCTCCTGCTAAGCTCAGGGTGGCTTGTGCACTGCATAAGTGCTCTCTCCCCATTGAAAACTGCACGTTGAAGCCCATGTCTGTGAGCTGTGCTTCTATGACCCCCTTCTCAGGCTCCCATTTCCCATTAGGGTTAGAGAGACAAGGAACTCATACCTCTGAGTGTTCAAACAGGCAGGAAGTAAGCACTTTCAGGATTCCTTTGAGGAGCCTGAGACCTAGCATTAGCCTCTCTGCAAAAGAAGCTAACCAGAAGCACAGATTTAAAGTAAGGAGTTTTGTTTTTTTCTCTGCATCTGCCATAGGCTTTTTTAACCTCCCTTCTACTCTTGTTTCATTTTTGCATGCACGTACACATAAATGCATTTCACTCCCTGGCCTAACCCTGGGTCAGCACAGATCCACTCACACACACATTCTCCTTCACTTTTAAAAGGCAATGCTTACAAAGTATTCATTCCTTTTGCTTTACATTGTAAAAAACAAAACCAGGGGCAAATCCTTATTGAATGTAGCATTTTTTTTCCCCTTAGTTGTAGGATAAACGCCAAGAATTTAAGAACATTGGAGTTTTAGTTAGACTAGGTTTCAAATAGTAAATTCAATTTTTGTTTGTTTATTTAGCAACAGAGGATAAAGGAGCCAAGAGAAAACCAGACTATCTCTACAAGCATTAATCAATACTGTTTCATCAAAGCCTTTTTGGTTCATTAAGAGGGACAACCTGGCTTACTCTGATGCACTGCTCCCTTTTGTCAAAGCAAGTTAACAATCCAAGGCCCAGTCATCTGAAGTGAGTTTAAAGTGTTTTGTAAATGAAGTCAACATACAGTTGGGAGTAGTCATTATGACCAGATAGTTTTGGATAGGATCAAATAGTAATTTGTTATAATCTGTTTTAATATGAACCACTCTTAAAATATTTAAAAGGATAGTGTCAAGTCATTTTTGCAATCCTTCCCTCCTCCAGTATAATTTATTTCCCTTTCTGTGATAACCTCAGAATTACATTCCTCCTTATATTTGTGGCTTCTTTTATTTCTGGTGAGAATTGCTTTCATATAGACTCCCCCTTTCAGACAACTGTAAACCAAAAATAAAATTCTAAGCCACCACCACTGACTGAACAGACTCCCTCTGGGCTAAAGAGAACCCAGAGAAAACTGAATTCCTGAGCATGACAGGAAGGGAGGTTGGACACACCTCCTGATCTCCCTCCCTTTTGGGGCTTAGGCATGATTGACCAGCATTAACATTAACATAGAGATCATGAAAGTGACCAAATATTCTTTGTGGCAATAAGATACAAAATTCCAACCAGACTCTGGTATACCATCACACGACAGATAGCAGACCCTGAAGGGAATCAAGGCATTTTGTCCCCAAATATATATTTTTGGCATTTTTAGAAATGGCTGCCACAGGGCCAGCAGACTGAAATGGCCCTGCCAAGCTGTCTGTTGTGGGAGAAATTTGCATCTGTAGAGAATCTCCATTATTGCAGCCATACTTTCCCTTTCTAGGCCTTTCTGAGATCTAGGAAAGATTAACTGAGTGCCCGACACCTTTTTAAGACCTTAAAAGAGATGTTTACCATCTTTTCTTTCTGAGGGTTGATACCTATGAGGCTTCAGCTACACAACGAAAAAGTTGACCTCCACAGCCTCCTTACCTTAAGTCAAGCATTTATTTCTAATGACTTCAAGTCTTTAGTCAAAGCTTAACTTTTTCAACCAATTGCCAATCAGAAAAACTTTGAATTCGCCTGTGACCTGTAAGACCCCACTTGAAGATGTCTCACCTCTTTAGGCTGAACCAATGTACACCTCCCATGTGTTGATTTATGATTTTACCCATAATTCCTGTTTCCCTAAAATGTATAAAAATAACTGTAACTTGATCACCTGGGACACACTTTTTCAGGACCTCTTGAGACTGTACCATGGGCCATGGTCATTCATATTGGTTTAGAATAAGCCTCTTTAAATATTTTACAGAGTTTGGTTTTTCCATTAATACAACCCATATTCTGGATGAAATATTCACTTTAAACATTACAACTTTGGCTCTCTGCCCCTTTTTCAGAAGAAAATTGTTATTTACATGCCAGTGTTATTACATTTGTGAGTAAGATTCCCAAGCATTTGTAAGGCATTTGTTCTTCAGTTGCTTTGAATCAACTGCCATTAGAGAGAACATGAAGTCTATACACTGGATGTGGTGAAAATAATAATAATAAAGTTGTGTTCATGTTTGAAGAGGTATTTTATTAGTAAAACAACAGGGTAGAAAGATAAATCATAATCCATATGCAAGTTAAATTGGATGACCTAATTTAATGGCAATTTTAGTAATCTCAGGTGCTAATAAAAACACACATATTCTGATGTGACTAAAGATAATATTTATTTCTGGAAAAATGGAAAGCGACTTTATTCTGTGGGGGGTTATTCTGTGATTCATTTTAAAACTTTTTTTTCTATCTTAATATAAAAACATCCTTCAATAGTTTGCACCTCTTCTCTTACCCAACAGCAGAAAAGCTATTGATTTGAGACATTTTTGAACAATTCTTATTTCTTATGTAGAGGATGATAAGGATAGCCATCCCAGAATAACAAAATAACAAGTTAATCAGAGGAGCACCTGAAGTGCAGGGCACCAAAAGTGAGTTCCTACCTGGTGTTGAGGAGGACCATGAAGACATTGTCACTATTGCTTGCAAATGTGGTGCGGTGGCTCATGCCTGTAATCCCTGCACTTTGGGAGGCTAAGGCAGGTGGATCACCTGAGGTCAGGAGTTCAGGACCAGCCTGGCCAACATGGTGAAACGTTGTCTGTACTAAAAATACAAAAATTAGCCGGCCATGGAATCTCAGCTACTGGGGAGGCTGAGGCAAGAGAATTGCTGGAACCCAGGAGGCGGAGGTTGCAGTGAGCCAAGATTGCATCATTGCACTCCAGCCCGGGCAACAACAGGGAGACTCTGTCTCAAAACAAAAACAAAAACAAAAACAAACAAACAAACAAACAAAAAGAATGACCCTGGCTTGACTCACAAAAGCAGAAAAAAAATTGTGTGAGAATGCTCATTTCTAGCTAATAATGTTCATCCTATTCAAGTTTTTTTTTTTTTTTCTGGGGATGAAATTGCATATCCTTGTGGTTTTTACTTGTGTTTCTGAGAGAGAAGAAAGGAAGAAACTTGTCAGGTGGTTAGGGTGGGTCCTTGATTGAATTCTTTCAAACAAATGAACAGCCTGAAAAATCAAGCTGCAGGCACAGATAAGGGAATTTACACAGGAGGGCTTGCCTAAGACATGCCCACAGCTGCACAGATAAGAAAGGCTACATAGGTGACTTGTCCAGACATGCCCGCAATGGAAAATTCCATCCCCTAACACATGTGCCGTAAAGGGACCAAAACAATATGGAGTAACTCAAGCTAAGGGCCCTCATGAGCACTAGGAGGATAGGGAAGAGCTACCAGAAATTCACACCTTGTGCAAATGAGACACCCAGCCCTCACTGGTTTCTCAAAAAGCCCTTTGCATTCATTTGTTTAAATGGCAACCCATTCAGGCCCCCTCTCTGCTGCGGGAAGCTTTCTTCCTTTGCCTGTTAAACTTTTGCTCCAAACTCATCCTTTCTGTCCATGCTCCTTAATTCTCTTGGTTGTGAGACAAAGAACTCCAGGTGATAGATACTTCACAACATGATACTGCTGCATTGTGGTGCCTTGGTGAGACTGTAACATTTCCTTACTCAGTAGTAATGCAGAGCACCTTCATGTACTTATCTCCTGTATTCATAGTCTATACACACATATGCAACATCAACAAATAATTATTCACATCTCATTTTTACTTCACAACATGCTATTGAATATCAAATTATTGAACCAATTCTTTGCTGTTGAAAATTAGGATTTATCCAATATTTCACCCTCTAAGCAAAGCTGAAACAAATGTAATTTTAGATACTTTTTCAACAATGAATATATTTCTAGGAGTGAAACTACCAGGGCAAAAGTTATGAATATTTTAAAGCCTTTTGATTTATGTTACCACGCTGCCTTTGAGAAAATCTACATCAAATTGTACTTGCATCAGGAGTGGTGCATTTCATTAAAAAAGTCTTAAATTTTGCAAAACATCTATATTATTATGTATAGCACTATTCAACGAACTTAAATTTCCATTAGCTAGGACTCATTCTCAACTCTTTTGGCAGACAAATTATTTAACTATAAACATCTCCCTAAATTTATCAAAATATAATTTGCTTCACATAATTTATAGAGATCTCAATCTGTTAATGATGCCTGTCCTCAGTACTGTCCCTTCAATATGACCTTAAGAGTTGTTTAATAAATTTGTTTTCTTTAATTTTAAAGTTTATATATTTGTCTATTTTCTATTTTATTTCTTCAGTTTAAGATAACTTTTCCCCCACAGGGATATTTACTTTTCTTTATTCTTTTCCAAGGCCAATTATGAATAGAATTGTGTTTTAAATATCTATTTCCTCATACAATATGAGTATTCCCCCCACGGTCTAGAATATTATTGATATATTCTCCATCTGTACTTAGCTATTCCATGTTTGGATAGCTCTAATTATTTAATCAAATCTATGGTAATATAAATGTCCCCTGTATGTCTTTTTTATTATTTTTCCTAGTTTTATACTCATAAGAAATATAAAACATGTTTAATCATACTTTCCTTTGCAGCTCTTAAACTATTTACAATTTTAATTTTGCTTAAATTGTGTACCCATACTAAATATCCCTAATTTCTTTTTCCATTTCCCATATAAAGATATTGAACCCATCTGTGTAGCTTGTCACCTCCCCAAGGAACACTCCAATTTGCCTTTTAAAATCACAGTAAGAAATAAACTCATGTTCTCTGTGGCTTAACAAGGAGAGAATATACTGGACAATCACCTTCCTCTTTTACTTTTCAAGACAGCCAGCATCATCTACAGCATTCCTTAAACAGATTAATAATTAATCAATAGCAACACGTAAGAGTTGAATAGTATGGGGATTAAAATCAAATCTTTTTCTCTTTTCACTTTTTTGTGTCAGTAAAGTTGTGCTTCTTCAACTCTGTGGTGATTGTACTTTGATTACGTGCAGGAATTTAGCTATAAGTATTAAATATTATTTAGTTACATTCAATACATTTATGAAGCCACTGACATCAGTAAGTAAACAGATCCTGTGAACCCAGTGTGGCAGAGACAGTGCTAAGAGAAACCTGGGCATAGCTTCTTTCCTCCACACATATGTGTGGATTTGCTGAGGCTGGTTTGCTGTAAATATTTTCTGTTAAAAGCTTAGACATGTGGGTGGGGTGGCTATTTCCTTAATATTAATAGTAATGTATGCTTTAATTATAGGAAGGACTAGAGAGAGAATACTATTTTGAGTGAGGTTATACTATTTCGAGTAACACTATTTTTAGCAGTGAGCCAACATGTCCTCTAGAACAAGTAGGAAAGCTGGATTAATTTCAAAATCATATAGCAAAGGCATCAGAGAGCTACAGAAACAAGGGCTAATGTATTAATGGCCTGAATACAACAAAAACAGAGGAAGGGCAAGTTTGCTCTCAGTGCTCCAGTGAGGACCTTCATCTTCTCCTGCCCTGCGACATTAGTGCTCCCATCTCTAGGGCCTTTGGACTTTGACCAGGACTTGCCTCTTGGACTTTCCTGGTTTAGCCTTTGTGAACTATGGCACCACATTTCCTGGGTCTCCAGCTTGCAGATGGCAGATAGTGGGACTTTTCAGCTTCTAAAATCATGAGAGCCAATTCCTATAATAATTCTTTTTCCATATATATAGATATCCTATTGATTCTGTTTCGCTGGAGAACTCTAATACATATGACAAACCAAAAAAGTGAAAGAATATATTTGTAATAAATATGTCAGACAAATACTAATATCCATGCTGTATAAAGAGGTCTTACAAATGGAAAAAGAGAAAACAATGTGGGAAAAACAGGGAGGAACACTTCACAATAGACACATCTCAATAGCTAATGAATATTTTTAAAACTCACTCAGCTTCCTTAGTCAGCAGATTATGCAAATAAGACCACATTGAATACTACTACATACCCACCAGAAAGTTAAACTTTAAAAGGACAGGAAATACTAAGCTTGAGGAGTACATAAAGTAAATGGAGCATTCAAACATTGCTGTTAGGACTGTTAGTTGATCCAGCCACTTTGAATGACTATTTGACAGTGTTTGCATACGCTGGACGTAGTCATACACTGCGGCTCTGTACTGTTGTAATAGTCTGAAGCTTCACATGCAACTCAAAACAGATAAATTAAGGCATATCTATATACTGTAATACAAAACAGCAATAAGAATGAACATACTATAGGTATGTGGTATGTTGGTGAATCTTCTAAACATGATGTTAAATAAAAAATTACAAAAAACGAGAACACATACTATTAATATATGATTCCATTTACATACAGTTACAAAATAAAATGAGCAACACTAATTTATGAAGAGAGAGGTCAATAGTGGTTACCCTTGCAGGATCAAGTGTTCAGTACTAGGAAGCTACATAACTCGGGCTTATGGGATACTGTTTTTATTCTGTTTCTAAAACTGGGTGATAGATGCAATGAATTTGGAAATTAATTAAGCTGTGCACTTATAATTTTTGCACTTTATTGTGTTTATGCTATAAATCAATGAAATGTAAATTAATTTCTACTGCACAAGGAAAAGAGGGAAAAAAAAGACACGGTGATTTAACTTTAAACTTCTTAGATTCAGCATGACCATACTTGATGGGCAAAGTCGCTAGTATGTTGGAAGCTCCTAATAGCAACTTTCAGAGCTCTGAAATGTTTTGCTGGGTTATGTGCTCCTAGTCCTGTGACCACCTCCATTCTTCTAGGATTCTGTGCTCATTTCTAAATGAATTGGAAACTTAATCTAACTTTCAATGTGTATGTAAAAGATGTGTTCTATTGCCAATTCTTGGAGCTTCTGAAATGTTGCAGCAAATGTTTTGATGCTATCATCAAATGAATTAGCAAGCCCAGCTTTGCTTCCCCTGCAGATGTATTGAGCATTCTGTTTATGTTCATATTTCAGGCAAATATTAATCTGTAAGTCAGTGAGGGCCAAAGAAAGACCCATATAGCTCTTCACTAGTGACCTCATTAGGAATAATATAAATTCAATAATTTACTCTTGCAAATGTCTGTGCAACCAATCATTAATTTATTCAGTAGCAATAAGATAAAATAGATTTTTAATATATTTAATATTATCTTCCCTGTTCTATTTATGTGCAATCTCATTATGGAAGAAAGACTGAGCAGCAGAGCACTAAATGTTTATTTTTTAGGAAGGCTGATTTCCAGAATGTAAAATATAATATTTTGTATTCTCTTTTTTTGTGGCATGTAAAGCTTAGATAAAATACTTCTTAAGAACAGAATGTAGTGTTTTTATTACTCACTCTAAGGAATCTAGCACATAATAAGCCCTTGTGGAAATAACAAATCAGGTGCTATCTTCATTAATGATTTGTGCAGGACAGTTTTCCAGATGGCTCTAGACTTATCCAGTTCTCTCTTCTGTCTCATTTGTAGTTCTCATGAATAATTTTATAATGCTCTGGAAATGCAATGTCTTGAGATAAGGGGGAGCTGGCCAGAACACCTGGGCTCTATTACAGTCTCTCCCTAGAAAAAGTATATCTTTCAATGCTTTAGCCCAGCAGGTCATTTTACCCTGGGGTATCAAATCCAGGGCAAGTTGCCTTTTGGGGTTCCTCAGCTGTGGAGCAAGGGTGGCTGGTGTGTGCAGTCAAGTCTTCATCCACCTTGAGCAGCTTTCCTGAGGTAGAGGACCAGCTCCTCATGGATTCTAGGATTCCGTTCTCCCTCACTGACTATCTGTAAGTAATAAACCTACTGCATGTAATTGTGCGTGTGGGTTTTGTTTTTGTCACTGGACTCAAAGACAAGTCGGTAATCAGTGAATGTGGTTCACAATTTACAATGACATATTAAAATAACTAAAAAAAAAAAAGCCATGATTTCTAGGGGATTGGTTAGGTGGGTCCTCCACGGAAGCTCACAGTGAAGTGAAGAGATATTAATATTCACTAAGATGGGACATTGATTACTTCAGTGAGTTCAATGATACTGAGTATAATTCTGGTTTTGTTATTTTCTTAACTTACAAGATATTTTTGCCTTTTTTTGCTCTTAAATTGGATTTTTAAAGCTGAGAGAAAAACTGTGAATCAAAGATTGACTGATTTCTCAAGACTGTACTTTCAGGTGATAGTCAAAGTAGGCCCAGAACCCAGATGTCCCTGTGTTGTGCACATTGTACCATATTCTACCATCAGTGAGAGCAATTTTATTAAAATGGATCTGAATCAACCCATGTACAGCACATGCATCACGCTCGAATCTGTTCTAAAATACTAACAAACTCTGAAGAAGATCTTTCTCCCTAGTAAATGTAACAGTGAGATTTGGCAGGATTTCTCGGTATGTCTATTATGGAACAAGCACTGTCTGAAATGTGATGAGGAAAATAAAAAATCCACCAAGAATCATTATCCACTGCACACTGTCAACTTATGCCTGGATACACACAGATAGCAGTGTAGTATCATTGTTCGAAAAGTGTAGGTTAACGCTGGAGCCACACTGCTTGTCTTTAAATTCTAGCTCTTCCTATCAATAGCTCTGAGATCTTGAGAATGTTACATAACCTCTTTGTCCTCAGTCTCTTTATCAATAAAAATGTATTAACTTCATAGGATTGTTGTTAGGACAAGTCATCACATGAAAATTTATTAGCATAGTACTTGGCTTGTGTTTTTAGTATCCCAGAGTAGGAAACTTTTTTTTTTTTTGAGATGGAGTCTCACTGTGTTGCCCATGGTGTAGTGCAGTGGTGCAATCTCAGTTCACTGCAGCCTTTGCCTTCTGGGTTCAAGCAATTCTCCTGCCTCAACCTCCCAAGTAGCTGGGGTTACAGCTGTGTGCCACCACACCTGGCTAATTTTTGTACTTTTAGTTGAGACAAGGTTTCTCCATGTTGGCCAGGCTGCTCTCAAACTCTCGACCTGAAGTGATCCACCCACCTCAGTCCCCACAAAGTGCTGGGATTACAGGTTTTGTTTTTTAAAAAAATTAAGGGAAATTACCACTCAGTTAAATACACCCCTTTTCACTGAAGTTTCGATGATTGTACACAACCATGTAACAACCTCCCAAAGTAGAAAGCAACCCACCATGCCATGGAAACTTACCTGTACCTCTTCCCAATCCCCTCCCCAAGTCTGGCAATGTATTTTTAAATTTCAATCACATAGATTAGTCCCATTTGTTCTTTTATGTTTTCATGTATAACAACCTTACTGAGCTGTAATTTATATAACATAGAATTTACAGAAAGTATATAATTTAGTGGTATTTAGTATGTTCATAAAATTATTAAATGATCACCCTAGTTAATTTTAGAACATTTTTATCACCTCCCCCAAAGAACCCCAACCCCATCAGCAGTCAATGCTTATTTCCAGCTGGCCACCCTCCCCGGCAGTAGGGAGCCACCAATTTACATTCTACATCAATCTGCATTTTTGAGATAGATAGATCCAACTAATAATTATTAATGAATAGTGAATACCTGTTGGATTCAGTTTGCCTATATTTTGTTTAGTACATTTGCATTTATATTCATATATAACATTTTCTTGAAATAATTTCTTATACTTTATGAACCTGGTTTTGATATGAAGTTTTTGCTAGTTTCTTAGAATTGGGGATCTTTTTCTTTTTTTTATTTGAAAAAGTCTGCTATGATTTGAATCATGTATTAATTATACATTAAATGGGAACTTTTCATAATGCAGCCTAACTTGTTGTCTTATTTTGGGGAAGATTTCTTACCTATTAGTTCACTTTTTAAAGTAGCTGTGATTATTTCTTAATTTTTTTCTTGATCTAATTTTAAAATATATTTATCTCAGAATGTATTATAGCTTTTTTACATAGATTTAACTAATTTGTTCATAATATTCTCCTATTTTCTTTTTAATGTCATTTGTATTTATATTAGCCTTCTAGGGCTGTGTATTAGTCTGTTCTCATGCTGCTGATAAAGACAATACCTGAGACTGGGCAATTTACAAAAGAAAGAGGTTTAAGGGACTCACAGTTCCACATGGCTGGGGAGGCCTCACAATCATGGTGGATGGCAAAAGGCAATTCTTGTAAGAAGTGGTGGCAAGAGAGAATCAGAGAACCAAGACTAAGGAGTTTCCCCTTATAAAACCATCAAATTTTGTGAGACTTATTCACTACCATGGGAACAGTATGGGGGAAACCTATACTTTTCAATTCAATCACCTCCCATGGGGTCCCTCCCATAACATGTGGGAATTATGGGAGCTACAATTCAAGATGAGATGTGGGTGTGGACACAGCCAAACTATATCAGGCTGCCATAAGAAAATACCACAGACTGGGTGGCTTGAACAATAGAAATTTATTTCTCACAGTTCCAGGGGCTGGAAGTTCAAGAACAAGGTGCCTGCAAGTTTGGTTTCTCCTGTGACCTCCCTTTGGTTTTTAGACGGGCCTTCTCACTCCATCCTCACATGGCCGTTTCTCTGTGTTTGTCTTCTCCCGGGGTTCCCTCTTCCTCTTCTAGAAATACCACCCTTAGGACTTCATTTAACCTTAATTCCTCTTTACAGGCTCTATCTCCAAATGCAGTCAGTTTGGTGTTTAGGCTTCCACGTATGAATTTTGGGGGATCACAATTTAGTTCCTAACACCACCTATAGTAGCATACTCTTGTAATTCCTGAGAGTGTTATTTGTAACCTTGTTTTAAATTTTCTGTTTTAGCATTTTTATTTTGAGGTAATTTTACCTTTACATGCAATTGTAGGAAAAAATACAGATATCTCTTGTATGGTTTACTCAATTTCCTCAATGGTATTATCTTTATTGTGTACTATATTTACATAAAAATGAATATAGTTTGCAAATAAATTATGGTGTGTGTATATAGCTGGCTGTGTATACACATGCAATATCAAGGTACAATATTGGCACTGATATAATTTTTTAAGATTTCTTCAAATTTGCTTGTACTCATTTGTGTGTGTGTGTATTTAATTCTATGACATTTTATTACATGTGCAGTTAATGTATCCGCAACTACAGTCAAGGTACTAAGCATTCCCAAAAGCCACATAGATCCCTCATGTTATCCTTTTAAAACCACATCTCCTTCCTCCTAGCCGTCTCTTACTTAACCTTTGACAATCAAGAATCTTTTCATTTCTGTAATTTTGTCATTCCAAGAATGTTATATAAATAAAATGATACATTACTAAATTTTTGGACTTTTTTTTTACCAATCATGATTTTCCAAAAAGTAATTTAAGTTTTTGACTATATGAATGTTTGATATTTTTACTTGCTGATAGTATTTTATGATACAAATGTACCACAGTTTGTGAAACCGTTCACCCACAGAAGGACATCCAAATTGTTGCTGGTTTTTGACCATCGTGAATAAAGCTGAAATAAACCTTTGTGTGTAGAATTTTGAGTGGGTAGAAGTTTCACTTCTCTGGGATAAAGGATCAAGAATAAAATTTCTGGACAGTATGATAATTACATGTTTAGTTTACAAAGAAACTGTTAAACTGTTTTGAGAGTCACTGTAATATTTTACATTTCTACCAGCAATATACGAATGGTTCAGTTTCTCCACCTTCTCATAAGCATTTATTGCTGTCTCTATTTTTTTCACTTTAGTCATTTTGATAAAATGTCTTGTGTTATTTTGCATTTCCCTAGTGGCTAATGAAGTTGAACATCTTTCATATGTTGTTCATGTCTTTTGCCAATTTTCTAATTGGATCATTTGTTTTTTGACTGATGGGTTTTCAGTTTTAAAAAATATATTTTAGATATAATTCCCTTGGTAGATACGTGGTTTGCAAATATTTTCTCCTGGTCTGTAGCTTCTCTTTTCACCCTCTTAACTTAATGATTCACAAAGCAAATTTTAAAATTTTGATAAAGTTGAATTTATCAGTTTTTTTTTTTGAATCATACTTTTAGTATTAAGTCTCATATCTTAAAGATTTCTCCTATTTTTAAAGTTTTATAGTTTAATGTTTTATATTTAACTTTATTATCAATTTTGAGTTAATGTTTAGAATAAGATGTGAGATTTAAGTCAAGATTCACTTCTTAAATATGGATGTTTGATTATTTTGGCACCATTTGTTGAAAAGGCCATCTTTCTTCCATTGAATTGCTTTTGCCTCTTTGTTAAAAATCAGTTGAATGTGGGCCGGGTGCGATGGCTCATGCTTGTAATCCCAGCACTTTGGGAGGCAGAGGTGGGTGGATCATGAGGTCAAGAGATCGAGACCATCCTGGCCAATATGGTGAAACCCCGTCTCTACTAAAAATACAAAAATTAGCCAAGCACGGTGGCAGGTGCCTGTGGTGCCAGCTACTCAGGAGATTGAGGCAGCAGAATCACTTGAACCTGGGAGGCAGAGGTTGCAGTGAGCCTAGATTGCGCCACTGCACTCCAGCCTAACAACAGAATGAGACTCCATCTCAAAAAACGAAACAAAACAAAACAAAACAAAACAAAATAGTTGAAAGTATTGTGTGGGTCTACTTCTACTTCTGGGTTCTATATTCTGTTCGATTGACTTATGCATTTATCCCTCCACCAATGCCATACCGTCTTAATTATAATAATGGTTGTACTAATTCCTTCCACCTCATTCTTTTAAGATTGTTTTAGCTACTAGCAGGATTGTGGCTTTCCATATATCTTTTAGAGGAAGCTTCTTTAAGTATGCAAAAATACTTTCTGGGATTTTTTTCTAGAAATTTCATTAAACCTATAAATCAATTGTTGTAGATGTAGACATAGATATTATTATTTGAGATTTCTTTTTTATTTATTAGTTTGCCTACCTTTTTGAAAAATCAAATTTACACCTTTTATACAATAACCAACTTTTGGGATACGTTTACCCCATTATCCATATCTCACAATTTTTTCCTGCATTTTAGGTACTTTTTGTCCTTACCTTCCAAATCTCTAGTTATTTCTTAAGCTCTGTGTGTTCGCTAACCCATCAAATGAGTTTTAAATGTAAATTATTATATCTTTCAGTTATAGGTATTATTTGTTATCCTCTTTTAAACATTTTTGGTCTTTGCTTTCTACTTTTTTAAACACATATATTTTGTTTTTGGAGTTAAATAATTCCGTTATCCAAAGATTTTGAACCTTTCTTCTTCTCTCCATTATTGCTGTTTATACTTACATGCATTTTTCTTTTGTGCATTTTGTGATTTTTGTCTTTAAAGTACTCTTTTTATTTAGAATGTCTTTAAATGAAATCCACTGAAGCCTTTGTTGAAACTGGATTTTTCTACAAAAGATTTCAATTTTTTCTGCCCATTTTCTAGAGGCACTGCCTCCTGGGTACCTATTTAAATTATTTGTTTGATATTTTTTGAACTATATAGTGTGATTTTGGAAAGGCAAAATTGTGTGGATACTGCCTTAGATTTTCTTGTTTTTATTTTCCTCCTGTCTACTTCAATTATCAACATCAAGACAGTTAATTTTTTTTTACCCTCATATTTCTGAGTGACTTGTTTTTCATATATCCTTAAAATTAGTATATAATCCTTTGATCATTCAGCTTTTTAAGAGAATAGAATCTTTTAATTTCTTCAGTTTGCACAGATTTGGAACTTTATGTATACATATCTCTATCAGTAAACACTTATATTTTATACTTTTTCAGCTATATAAATATACTATCATTAAGTAACATTTCAAAACATAATTTGTACATCCATAATCAATTATAATTATTTACATTTCCATTATAAATTATCTTGGTTATTATAAATATTTTTGGTCTGAATCTTATTATATCATAAAAGTTCTTAATTTGGAATGTATCTAATATACAGTTCATTCAAAGACAGAAGAATGTCAGATCTGCTATTTTCTAGTTTGTACACTTGCATTATTAAAATTATCTTTGATCCACAGTTGTTTTTTTTTTTTTTTGGTAGGGCATTTTTAGCTACTTGTCTATTTTTTGACGTTAATTAAACCTAAATTAGAAAAATAATCAATTTATAAACTTATATAATCAGGCATGTGTAAACTCTAATTTCACATGACGTGCTGGAAGAGAATGAGTCAATGGAAGTGACCCAGTCAACACTTCAGGAATGTGAGCTCCCCACTCTCCTTCTGACTTACTATACTTGGCACAGGACCATTGGGGTCAAATAAAGGAACAAGTGTCAATATACAAATTAAATATTAGAAAAACTGACTTAAATTTTATGTAGAACTAAATATAAATTGGGTACTTTTATTTATTTACTTTTTGGACTCCAACAGCTTACTTGTGAATTCATTGCGGTTTGTGGACCATACTTAGAGATAAGATGACTAGATTCCCTGCAGTTAAGCAGGTTGGGTGTTAAAAATATTACATGTCAGACATAAGGTCACAGGATAATGTGACCTTATAGGCTGGAAATGTTTGGGAAAATTAACATAAAAGCCCTGGTTTTGTAGTCTATTCTCATTTATTATTTTAACATGCTCAATATTTTTAATATTTTAAGTTAATTCTCTTGAATTTGCTAATTATTGTCACATTTCTAAGTAACATAATTATATTACCTCCTTGAAATACAGAGATTTATTTAAGATGTTGAGATTAAAAGGAAAGGAATAATTTGATTAGTATCCAGAGGGAGATATCTGGCCAAATGAGATTTGTTTGTGTAATTGCTTTAAAAAGGACAAGATGGGAATATGTGAAAATTGTGAAGAAAGAGGTTTCTAATTCAAAGAAACATTTTAAAAGCCTTTAAGATATTTCCAGTTGTGCAGCTTGAACTTTTCTTACTTAAATCCCATTTGAAATAAAAATTACCTACAATAAACAGTAAAATAAAATATATGTTTTCTCTAAATTGAGGCTGGATCAGGTACAACACAGTTCTTTTCTGAGGCTTTGTAGAATGGAATACACATATTGTATGATATTTTCCATACAGTTTTTCTAGTAAATATAAGTTAACCTAGGGGAACAATGTAAAAACTATTTGAAAAGTAGATTGAAACAGACATCCAAGTCTACTTAACTGGTGTAGATATAAAATATATCATGGAAATGTCAGAAGGGGAATGAGAAAAGCAATCGTTTGGAGTAGTATATAAAGTAGAAATAAAATCTCTCCATAGTGACGGTCTTGGAACCAAGCTTGCTTTCAAATTCTAACATAAAATGAGGGTTTCTTATAGGGCAATGTAGACTCCATTTGCACAATTTTCTACATTGTATAAGGCATTGATATGAAATTATTCACTGAAACCTGAGTGATGGAAGAAAGTACACATTATATAGTTAATGATTACTTAGCGACTGCACAGGAGAAAAGTAAATTTGAAATAGTTAACCAAAAGAGTATGTGGCACATCTGAAAAATTCAAATAGGAAAACAACAGAAAAGGTGCCAATCGTTTTAATCATACAGCATAACAAGGAATCAAATATTTTATTTTCCTCAGCTATTATTAATAAATGATAAATAAACTAAAGTGTTTCAGTTTAGTTTAGGGTGGTTTCTCTACGTGAGTGTGGCACCAGAAATAATAATGATTTTTAAAGAAGGACATAGTTGCCTAGTAGTCAGCTAGACACAGAATTCTAACACATGTTCTTATTACTCTAAATGAAATTGAATGTATTGCTTAGTTTAGAAGACTTTTTGAAAACATCGATTCAATATCGATAGGAAAGCATCATAAAAATTAACAGTAATTTCTGAGCCACTGCCTAGATCTCTTGTGCTGTTTATTAAATATTCTGTTGAGTCATTGTTACATGTCCATCTTCATGCTGAATTCAGGGAATACAGAGATGGATAAAGCACTATATCTACATGGAAGTGTTTTGTATGTTGGCATACATGTAAGGGGTATAAGTGCAGGTTTTATAGTGGATATATTGCATATTGGTGAAGTTTGGGCTTTTAGTGTAACCATCACCTGAAAAGTGGATTTTGCATCTATTAAGTAATTTCTCATCCCTTTCATCCCACCCTGTCAAGTCTCCCATATCTATTATTCTACACTCTATGTCCATGTTTACATATTTTTTAGCTCCCACTTTTAAGTGAGAACATATGGTATAAGTGAGAAAATGGGGCTATTTTTGTTGTTGTTGCTGAATTGAGTTCCTTTTAAATTCTGAATATTAGTCCTCTGTTGGATGCATAGTTTGCAAATATTTTCTCCCATTCTACAGGTTTTCTGTTGACTCTTGATTATTTATTTTACTGTGTAGAAGCTTTTTAGTTAAATTAAGTCCCATTTGTCTGTTTTTGTTGCTTGTGCCTTTGAAGTCTTAGTCATGAATTCTTTGCCTAGACCGATGTCTGAAATAACTTTCTCTAGGTTTCCTTGTAGTGTTGTTATAGTTTCAGGTCTTACATTTATGTCTTCAATCCATCTTGAGTTGATTTTTGTATATGGCGAGAGATAGGGGTCCAGTTTCATTCTTCTGCATATGGATATCCAATTTCTCCAGCACCATTTGTTGGATGGTGTATGTATGTTTCCCTTATGTATGTTTTTGTAGACTTTGTCGAAGATCAATTGGCTGTAGATATGTGGATTTATTTCTGTGTTGCCTAGTCTGTTCCACTTATGTTATATAGAAGAGTTTAAAGTTGAATGAGAGATAAATGCATAAATAAATAAATGATATACTAATATAGCAAC
The DNA here is from genome assembly GCF_000001405.40 of Homo sapiens. NCBI lineage: Eukaryota > Metazoa > Chordata > Mammalia > Primates > Hominidae > Homo > Homo sapiens. Next base: position 49,124,142 of record NC_000008.11, read on the forward strand.
ACATAAATAAATTCTGTGAATGGTCATTGGAGGATATCACTATTTCCAAATTAATCAAAGTTACTTTTCTTCATGAAATTTCATCTTATTGTTTCCTTTAACATGAATATGAATTGGGTTATAACTTATATGTAATCAGAAGAAGGTCTGTAATCATGAAAATATTTGTCTACCATCTTTACTTTGTGCATCTCTATGGTACTTACAACCAACGTACCCTGGGTTTTCTTTGGCATTTTCTACCTATAACATGTTTCATTTGCATCTTCTATAAACAACACCTGTCTTCTAAATATACTGATTTTGCTTTTGTACTTTATTTTTATGCTTCATGTCCAAATGGCACAGAGACAAGAATACTCAATTTGTATACAGTATGTATTAGTGTGCTTCCACATATATGCCATCCACATTCTATTATGCTTCTAGAAAATCTGCCAGCTTCATCTATAAATTCTATTCAGTTCTCTGAAGCACCAGAATCAATATTCTTTTCTTTGTTTTCTGAGTTTGTGATTTTATGTGAACTTTTCAAAATAAATTACCAGTGCTGCATATCACTCATTTAAAAAAACAATAAATCAACTTCAAATGCAAGCACATGTCTGGGAGATTTAACAGCTTTAGAAATAATAAGAACTAATAATTTTTTTACTATTTTTTTGTTTCAAATCTCTGTACCATAATTTTACATTATATGGAAATCCTTTGTAATAAACTTGGAATTTATCACAGTAGTTGTGTATTTTTTTTTTTTTTTTTTTTGAGACAGAGTCTCACTCTGTCATCCAGGCTGTAGTGTAGTGGTGCGATCGCAGCTCACTGCAACCTCCGCCTCCTGGGTTCAAGCAATTCTCCTGCCTAAGCCTCCTGAGTAGCTGGGACTACAGGCGTAAGCCACCACACCCGGTCAATTTTTGTATTTTTAGTAGAGACAGGGTTTCACCATCTTGGCCAGGCTGATCTCGATCTCCTGACCTCGTGATCCACCTGCCTCGGCCTCCCAAAGTTCTGGGATTACATGCATGAGCCACCGCACCCAGCCTGCATTGCATTTTTTTATTCAAAACTGTGAATTTGTTCAGAGAACAGCCTTTAACATCATCATTGTGTTTCTAATGTTAGCGCACAGGTGCTTAATATTTCCTGAATGACTGAATGACAAGAAATGAATCAATATGATAGTAAAAATGTTTACTCAACCAAATAGTGACAGTTTCTCATGCATGAGAATATGTTAACTTAATTACTGCAGTCCTGAAAACTTCTCTACATTGGTGGTGTGACTCTTTATCTGTGTTTGCAGCTTTGGTGTTGCCTGCTTCAATCTCCCTTAGGAGACATTCTGTTGCTAGATGGGTCTTACAGCTGACTGCCTCCAGCTGCTGTCACTGTGGAACCTGCCACGGAGTTCGAGGAGGCCATGTTCTTCTGGGATGTGTCCTGTTAATGACTGAGCACAGTGGCGCAGGGAGCTGTCCCATTTCCACCTGACGCAGGAGTCCTATAACAGACAAGCAAGGCTCTGGGGCTCCCACTGGACTGGCTTAGGCTGTCTCAGAGCTGCACTGTGCTACCCGATCCCTTCCTGCTTCTCCTCTTCTCAGGGGTCCAAATGGCCTCTCTTCCTGTTCCTGCCCCCCCATACATCCTTTGGGCACCGAATCCCAACTTGGCGCCTGTTTCTCTCAGTTGCTGAATTGATAATGTATCTGGAAATATAATGCATGGGAAGCTGTGGCATTACAACAATAACTTACTTTTGTGGTACTTTATAATTTTCAAACTGAGTTTATTCAGAAGTGGGCTATCATATCTCAGGCCATTTCTTGTTAATTTGAACAGTAACATTTCAATCATTGCTGATTCACAGAACTTTAATAGTGTAGGGTGTCTAAGGACCATTTATTTTAAATCTCCCTGTGTTACAGATGACGAAATTCGGAAGCTTAAAAGTGATTTGCTCAAGGGCAAATAACAAATTAGAGACAAAATTGAACCACATGAGAGCCCAGGAGCCCTTTCAGATATGATGTTGCCTATACAAAAATCTTAACTTCAGTTTAAGTAAAGCAATTATTAAAACAATTATGCAGTAAAGATCTAAATGTTATATTTGTTGAGTCATGCATTGAGCACTATAAAAAAGATACTTTGATTCTCTTCAACTTCAGTGATGCAGTCCTTATCCTATATACCATAATAATTTTGAAAGTAATGAATTAATTTACATTAACTTAGAGAACTTTTAGATGCACCAAAATATTGAGCAGAAAGTGAAGAGTTTTTATATTACTTTGCTAGAGCTGCCCCCACAGCCTGTGTGGCTTAAACAGTGGAAACTTATTATCTCACAACTCTGGCAGCTAAAGTCCAAGATCAAGGTGTCGGTGGGGATAGTTCCTTCTAATGGCTGTGAGAACCTCCCTTCTAGCTTCAGATAGTTTGCCCGTAATCTTTGATGTTCCTTGGCTTGTAACAGAATAACTCTAATCTTCACATTACATTCTCCATGTGAATCTATAGATGGAGTTGGGAAGAACTGACATCTTGGCAGCAGTGAGTCTTCTTATACTCCTGGATAGAAAAACATTGAGTATTTCTCCATTTATCAAATCTTTGACTTTGATCATCAGAGTTTTGTAGTTTTGTTTATGTAGAAGTGCCAGTTCAATGATGTGTCTTTAAATTAAAATTCCATTTTCTCATTATTGGCATATTGGAAATCAATTGACTTTTGTTAATTAACCTTTTATCCTTCAACCTTTGTGTAATCATTTATTAGTTCCAGAAATTTTTCTTGATTTTTTGGGATTTTCTACATAGAATTCAAATCATCTATAAACTAAGGCAGTGCATGTCTTCCTTCCCAATTTCTTTATGTTTTATTATCTTTTTTGGTCTTATTGTATTATGTAGAACTTCCAGTAAACTATTGAATACAAGTGTTGTGAGGGGACATCCTTGTCTCGCTCCTGAGCTGAGAGGGGAAGCATCTAGCTTCTCACCATTAAGTGCAATGTTAGCTGTACATTTTTGGTTGATGTTCTTAATTAAGTTGAAGAAATTTCCCTTATTCCTAGTTTGCTGAAAGTTTTTATCATGAGTCCATGTTAAACTTTGTCAAATGCTTTTTCTGCATCTATTGATATGATCATATGAATTTTCTTGTTTATCCTATTAATGCATTGAATTATATTATTAATTTTCAAGTGTCAGATCAGCCTTGCATACCTGGAATAAGTTTCACTTGGTCATGACATATAATTCTTTTTATACATTGTTGGATTCAACTTGCTAATGTTTAGTTGAGTAATTTTGTATTTACATTCATGAGAGTTCTTGGTCCACAGTTTTCCTTTTTTGTAATGTTTTTGTCTGGTTTTGGCATTAGAGTACTGCCAGCCTCATAACATGAATTAAGATGTGTTTTCTCTGCTGTTATTTCCTGAGAAAGATTGTAAATAATTGGTATAATTTCTTCAGATAAGAATTTACCAGTAGAATTTACCAGTAGAATTTACCAGTGAACCCATCTGGACCTGATGCTTTCTGTTTTGGAAGGTTATTAGTATTTATTTAATATCGATTGGCTTATGTAGAATATCTACTTCTGATATTGTTCAGAAACTGGATCATTTCATCTAAAGTATTCAATTTGTGAAGATAATAATATGTTCATAATATTCACTTATTATCTGTTTAATCTGTTTAAAGTTCACACGATCTGTAGTGATGGTTCTTCTTTCATTTCTGATATTAATACTTTGAGTCTTCTCTCTGTTTTTCTTAGTTAGCCTGGCTAGATATTTATCAATTTTGTTGGTCTTTTCACAGAACCAACTTTTGCTTATATTTAGAGGTAATCAGTTATCCATATAGTAAGATCAGGGCCCATTTTATGTATTTTTTATTCTCACATATAAACACAGTATGAGCTTTTCTATGGTAAAAATAAACCAGTAAAAACCTAAGACCTGAAATATAGACCCATGGAAATAGTTGCTGAATTCTAGGCAAATATGGCATGTCATAGGGAGGTAAATCTGAAAAGATATTTGGCACAGTCTGAATTACAGAATTAATTTTTTTATGATAATCAAGTTAAAATGTACTGTTCAGAACAGAGCAATCCTCATATTCTTGGTTCTATTATTTGCCTCTATTATTTTTATATCTCAAATATTTCTATATGGTTCTATTTTGGGCCAAATATTGAACAATGGCAGAGATAAATGTGGTTTTAAGGATTGAAAGACTAATGGGGGTTAAAAATACTTTTCAGGATTAAACCTAAAATAATGTGATGCTCTGGGTTGATTCTAGATTGAAACATTATAGAGACAAAAACATAAAGAAAGTGTCCTTTGAATTGCTTTCAGTAGTAACAACTTATTAGTAAAAAATTAATTATATAAAAAGGAAAAATGAGAAAGATGATATACTTGAGAAATCAAACACATCAAGTTAAAGTAATTTACACTCAGTACTGAGAATGGTAGTAAAATTAGCTAAAATATATCACATTTTACTGGTTGACATCATAAGCACACAAATGCATTTTAAAAAAATCCAGTTTAATCAAGATGACTTCCTTGTTAAAGAGAGAATACAGAAAAGTCCCGAAAGTTATAACCTTGGGTGGAACATATAACTTATTTTGGATTTTAAAAATGGAACACATCCCAGTTTCCTTCCGCATGGGCTACCGCCTGCCTGTGCAAGCCTCCTTACCTGGGATTGCAAGAACTTCCCAACAGGCTTCTGCTCTCTGATCATGACTCTTTTCTAGATAAATCTTAAAAGATAGGGTCATCTTTTAAAATGCATGAAGGGCCTAGTCCTCTCACTGCTTATTAAAATCTTCTGTGGCTCCCCATTGCTCATAGAGGAAAAGCTGACCTGCTGTGCTTTATTGGCCAAGCCCTTTGTTACTGGTCCTTTCTTGCCTAGTTGTCCCCCAAACCTCTCTCCCTTGTTAATTTTTCTGTATAAAGTACAAAAATGAGATCACCTGATAAATTTTTGCTCAACAAGTATGAATTAAAGCTATAGGAATAAACCAGAGACATTACAGATTTAAAGAGGGGAGATTATTACCTGAGAAGGCACATTCCAGCCAAATATCCTATTTTGGAAAGAAAAAAGAAGGAACATTTTTTTCCCCTAAAACTTGGCTGCATTTACATTGACAAAATATTGGAAAATGATATTGCATATATTAATATATGCAATGTATTTCTTTTGAGAATCATGATATCTAGTGTTTTTAATAGCATTCCATGCCTATTTAACATTGTTTTAGAGTGGCTCTTTTGGAAGCCTATATCATGAATTGGTGGATTTTATGGATATTTGCTTATGATTTGAGAAGTTTAGTAAACCAGAATAATCCAAATTGCAGTTATATTACAATTATATTTCTTATTCTAAATGAAAGTGGGTAGCTTCATTTTCTGCAAAGTCGCTATAAACTGGTTGAGTTTTTTCAAGAGGTATATAATACATTCATCCTCTTGCTGACAAATTCAGTTTTTCAAAGGGGAAGTTTAAGAACCAGACCCTGGACTTGAATGAATACACAGAGATAAAAGTCATGCCATGAAACACTTTTGGAAACATCATCTAAAATTTTTCAAGCTCTGGTTTTGTGCGTGTGTGTGTGTGTGTGTGTGCATGTGTCTGTGCGTGTGAGAGAGAGAGTGAGAGAGGAGAAGAGAAGAGAAACAAAGCCAGGCTGGCGTCACTCAGTGCGCACGAATCAGACATTTTTGGAAGCAACACAGGTAAAAATAGAAATGATGGTGTCATCAGATTATTGGCGAGCCTCCAAGTCTAGTCGTATGACATAATTACGTCATTGGGAACTTCTGGATTTCAAAACCCTTGAGAAATTGAACATGATCAGTAGCTACTAAATAAAACTGATAGCTATTATATGAAATTGCACTGGGTTGTTAAACTGGTAAAATATTATGTGTTTATATACTCAATAAATTGTTTATTTCCTCTACTGGCGTTCTAGATTCCATGGTCAGTAGTGGGGATATAGTTACTGAGAGGATGTGCTCAGAATCCCCTTGCCCTTGCAAAAGACTCTATCACAGTTTGAAGTTTTCTTGGAAAGTTTTCATCTCTTTTAGGCACTCTGCTCATTGTAGCCCAGCCAGGCCTGTTTTTCCTTGAAAATACCCTTGAAAGTGGCATGCTCTTTCATCAGAATTCTCATAAATTATCTTTCCTCTTTCTTTTTTCTACTTCCATTACCTTTTTCCTTCGTGACTTGAGATTTTTGGTAATGATCTATTAAATGACATACATTGTATTAGATTCTGAGATAGAGAAAATGATGAGACAGTCTTTGCCTTCCAGGAGCTCTTATTCCAAGTACCAACTACCAAGGTTAATAAACTAATACATGTGAGTGTTCCAAAGACAAATTCTAGCTTATCTTGTAAATTCTTCTACATGTGATTTTACTTAAAAGAAGACAATGTAGAATTAGGAGTGAAGCAATTTTGTGACAATGTGCAAAAGATGCTACCAGAGAAAATGCTGTGTCATAGACGCCAGGGATGGGAATGTGTGGGTGTATTTGCTATCTAACTATCTAGTCCCTCTGATCTTGGTGTAATGAGATTCTACTCCTAATAAAACTGAGAGCAAGTGTCTTAGAAAAGTGTAACACTAATCATTCATTAACAAAGCTTTTACTTTAGGACTCTAATATGAGCCTGATGTTATTCTTCACTGGAAACTCTTCCTATTGTGAAAATGGTCTATGTAAAAATAATCAAAGGACATATATTTGGCTAATAGATAAGTGAGAAATTCAGGAAGTCTTTTGGGAAGAGTAAAAAAGAAACAACCCAAAACTTGGTTTATGTCTTAGGTCAGTTACCCTAGAAGTAGAGTTAGATTGGAAAAATATTTTCAAGTTATTTATTGGGCAAGTGTTCTCAAGAAAAGGGAAGCCAGATAGAACAGGAGAAAAAGTCTAGCAACAATGTGGGCCTGGGAGAGAATGCCACGGAGCCTAAACAAATGTCATGATAGAAAGTTAGACTGCCACACTCCATAGAGTCTCTGAAAAGGCTAGCTTTGAAAATGAGAGTTACCAACTCTCTGCTGAGTTGTAGATCTCATACTATGTTTAAAATATAGATTTCTAGAGTGAACAGAGTTTTGTCAAGTCTAGGATTTGTATCCCTTTGGATTCTATACTTTATATATGATTTTTAAAAGCATACCCACCTTCTAATGTGACTCATGCATCAGTACCTTCCTCATCTATTTAATGTCATTTTCTGTTTCTCTACTCCAGCTTTTTGGTCACCTACTTGCATTCTGCCTCTGTTTAGGAGTGACAGAGAAAATCATAACTCTTTATTACCTCTTTCTTTAGCTTTCCCACTGCCATTAACATAAAAGCTGTGTAAGGTTAATTTTCACTGGGATCTTGGAGAAAATAGATAAATAAACAAAATAAAAATAAAATAAAAACAAAGCTAAAAACTGGATTTCAATAATAAATATTCCCATATTCCAAAGTAAAAGGGAAAAAAGTTAAGCCTTTCATTTTAGAGCCCATGTTGTCTCTCAATTTCAATCTTCCTTGCCCATTTAAAGGCTAGTCCTTCTTCTTTCTCTGAGAGAAACCATTCTTTAAATTACCCCCTTGTCCTCATTCCTCACAGCTCTTATCATAGGTTCCATCCCTCTGCTTGCACAGAGAACTTCACAAGATTAGATCCTCTGCACAGGCAGATTTTCAAAATTCTTTGGAACAAGGCAGTTGACATCCCAAGCAAGGTCACCTCGGGGTCTCTCTACACTCAGGGAGAGTGACAAGTTACCTGGTTTCTAGCAGGTAACTCTTGGAGGAAATGCATCTATTCACATACCATTCTAAGTCTCATTGCTAATTCTCAGGCACAGGCCAGTTTACACACATATTAAAGGAAAACATTTTTCTTGAATGGATAATCTGCTGATATTCCACCTCAAAATATGAAAAATAAATGTAAGTCAGTATAGCTTTTGCTACGCTCTTTTGTTCCCGGCCAAGGGCCTAAACCATTTGCGTGTATAAGAAACATGACTTGTAACTTTGCTTTGCCAACTATTTAAACCATCTTTGCCTGGTTGGAATATTTAATTTTACAAAGATCCGGTGGAAGCTAAGAAAGTTAAGTTTTTTTTCCTTTAATTATGAAGCAGCCTAACTTCTTTTTTGGGTTATTCTATGTCCTCTTCTTCTTTAGTCACTGCCTCTCATCCCTCTTCCTCGAATCTAGAGGCCCAAATGGTTTATAATACCACTGTCCAGCCTCAACATCTAGACAGAGGAACATGGTGGGGTGAAATCTGACTTTTTGACTTTACTATAATTGAACAAATGCTACGTTAACTGGCTTGTAAGAACTTTTCCAACAGTTTACACACAAATAGCTTTCTTTGGTAACGGATCTTGGAATAATTATTAATTTGATCAGTAGTTCTGCTATGCATGGCACACATGGAATCATTTATTTAAAAGCAAGCATGTAGTTAAAATGAATGTTGAAATGTAAATATGTGCTACTGTCAAAATTCTTCAAGATACTGGTTTGGCATTAACGTTTAATAGTCTACAGAGTTTTACTTCAGTTTCTGTTGTATTCTCTGATTTGTTTGCCTTCTGAAACTCTAGATATTTTATCAAACATTGATAATGGCTTCTATTTTAGCTGTGTTCAATCTTTTAAAAATGACTGACAGAATATGCTCAAGCTAAAAAGTTGTGTTGGCATCTGGAGTTTGTGTCCTGCCAAATATGCAGCAGACATGATCTTCTGGGTGGTGGCATTGCTGGAAAAGATCAAAGCTGTGGCCAGAGACTGTGACTGCATGTGTTCGGGCCTGGAGTATTTGGCAGGAGCTGTGTTCTATTAATATTTATTGGGATCTTGCAATCAATTAACTTTTCTGGTCTACTTTTTTCATGTGGTAAAAGGCAGAGGTCACTTTGTAATCTGCAGTGTCTCTTCTATTCTTCACTATATCCAGTGGCACATGGCAGCTCTAGGGTAGATCGCTGCACTAAGGCAGCCACACAGCAGGAGGGACTTGAAGCAGAAGCCAGCAGTATAGAGGAACCCAGGGTGTGCTTGCAGCCCTTGTTTTCGGAAGGAGTAGAATGAAGGAGGGGGATAAGGAGGAAGGATTGTAGACCCAAATAAATGGGGTACATTATAAAAAGTCAGGATCGACTAGATACGAGGGCATAACGTTAAGGGAAGAGAACAGATCCAGTAAATGAAGAATAAAATAGGTTTCTAAGGGAGGAGTTAAATAAGAAACATGAAGGAACCAGCATACAAGGTTGAAATTAATAAATTCTAGAGCAATTTGAATTTGGAGTTGAACTCCTAACTTTTTTTTTTTTTTTTTTTTTTTGAGACGGAGTCTTGCTCTGTCGCCCAGGCTAGAGTGCAGTGGCGCAATCTCGGCTCACTGCAAGCTCCGCCTCCCAAGCTCAAGCAGTTCTCCTGCCTCAGCCTCCTGAGTAGCTGGGATTACAGGTGCCCGCCACCACATCCGACTAATTTTTGTATTTTTAGTAGAGACGGGGTTTCACCACATTTGCCAGGCTGGTCTCCAAGTCCTCACCTCAGGTGATCTGCTCACCTCGGCCTCCCAAAATGCTGGGATTACAGGTGTGCACCACTGTGCCCGGCCCCTAACTCAGTATTTTACATGATTTCTAGTGCAAAAGTCAGAGCTGGAGCACACACACCTTAAAGTACACAAGATTCCACAGAGGACTGCTTGCTAACAGAGGGTATTCCAGGATCTCGGTACCAGAGATTCCCACAAGTATACTTAGGGTTAAGCTCGGGAATCTTCTTTTATGACACTGCATAATGTTGTATGTTGACAGTAGAGAGAGGAAATAGTAGCAACCAACAACACCGACCATTGTGAGATTATACAGTGACACTTGGTCTAAGATGCTGAACTGTTACTCATCATTATCATCATCTTCCTTTCTAGTATTTAATGACGCTGTACTTCTTGAAAAGATGTTAACATTATTCTAAGTAAGTTAAAATAAGAAGACATTTTGTAAAGGCAAAGATCAAATAATAATTTTAACATTCTTTGAAGATTTGTTTCATATATCAAAATAACATTGCTCTGTCAAACTTGCTAACTAAATTATAATGGATCACTTTTGCTGAGACACCTATAAATGAACCTCACTCTTTTAATAACATTCTTTATCCTGCTCTTAGAATGCATTTCTATTAAGGCACCCACTAATTTACCACCATATTTATGTATATCTTTGCAATGCCTTTATTTGTTCTAGTGAGGTAGTTATCTGTCAAATTAAAATTATGTGAAATTAAATAAGAAATAATTCCAAATGGCTTTGGAATTCAATTGGTACACTTTAGCCAACATGAATTAATTTTCTTTCTTTTTTTTTTTTTTTTGAGATGAAATCTTGCTCTGTTCCCCAAGGTTGGAGTGCCACAATCTCAGCTCACTGCAACCTCTGCCTCCCAGATTCAAGCAATTTCCAGATAACTTTTGCATTTTTAGTAGAGATGGGGTTTCACCATGTTGGCCAGGCCTCTACTGCAGCAACTGGGAATGTGCCATCTTTACTGCAACAGATCCACAGAGCCTTTGCTGCTTGCTTTATGCTACTGATATGGCTTTCTTCTCAGTACTCATCGCTGAGAGTAATATTAATCAAACATGGTTTTTACATGAAAAAGGCAAAACATTCCACTACAATAGACTGAATTTAATATGAATTAATATAAATTTAAATCAATATGATGCGATTCAAAATATCATTCAAATGTGAATCAATATGAATTAATCATGTTGATATCCCAGAGGAAATCTTGGTGGTACACTATAAGGATGACATCCTGCTGTTGATATGTTGACCAGGAAGTGACAAGTTCTATGAATACCTTAGAAAGCTTGCATGGCAATGGTGAGCCATAAATCCCATTAAGATTCAGGCTCCTTGATATTAGTGAAGATTTTAGAAGGCCAAAGGTCTGGGACATTTAGAATAAACTGAGGCAGGAGATGGCAAATTAAAGCCCAATGGCAGCAGTCTTAGTTTGGTAAATAAAATTCTCTTGGAACACAGCCATATTCATTCATTAACATGTTGTCTTTTTAAAAAATTAATTTCTTTTTTCCTATTAAACTTTTTCCAAGTTTTATTTTAGATTTGGGGGTACATGTGCAGGATTGTTACATGGGTATATTGTGTGATACTGAGGTTTGGGATTCTACTAATCCTGCCACCCAGGTACTTAGCATAGTCCCCAATAGTTAGTTTTTAAACCCTTAACCTCTTTCCTCCCTGTTCTCTCTAATAGTCCCGAGTGTCTACTGTTGCCATCTTTATGTCCATATGTAACCAATATTTAGCTCTGACTTATAAGTGAGAACATGTGTCATTTGATTTTCTGTTCCTATGTTAATTCATCTAGAATGATGGCCTCTAGCTGTATCCATGTTGCTGCAAAGAAACATCATTTTATTCTTTTTTATGGCTGCATAGTATTTCATGGTGTATATGTGCCATATTTTCCTTATCTAGTAGACCTTTGATGGGCAGTTAGGTTGATCTGATGCCTTTGCTATTGTGAATAATACTGTGATGAACATATGAGTGCATGTGTCTTTTTGGTAGAATGGTTTATTATCTTTTGGATATATACTTAGTAATGGGATGTCTGGGTCAAATGATAGGTCTGTTTTATGTTCTTTGAGAATCTCCAAATTGTTTTCCACAGTGGTTGAACTAATTTACATTCTTACCAACAGTGTATAAGCATTCCCTTTGCTCCACAGTCTCACTAGCATCTGCTGTTTCTTTGACTTTTTAGTAATAGCCATACTGACTGGTGTGAGATGGTATCTCATTGTGGTTTTGATTTGCATTTCTCTGACGATTAGTGATGTGGAACATTTTTTCATGTTTGTTGGCCATTAGTATGTCTTCTTTTGAGAAGTGTTCATGTCTTTTGCTCACTTATTTTTGGCAGGGGGGACAGAGTCTTGCTCTATCACCCAGGCTGGAGTGCAGTCCACGATCTCAGCTCACTGCAACCTCTGCCCTCCTGGTTCAAGCGATTCTCCTGTTTCAGCCTCCCGAGTAGCTGGGATTACAGGAGCCTGCCACCACACTTGGCTAATTTTTGTATTTTTAGTAGAGATGGAGTTTCACCACGTTGGCCAGGCTGATCTCGAACTCCTGACCTCAAGTGATCTGCCTGCCTCAGCCTACCAAAGTGCTGGTATTACAGGCATGAGCCACTGCACCTGGTCTTTTGCTCACTTTTTAGTGGGGTTGGTTTTTGCTTGTTGAATTGTGTAAGTTCCTTATTCAGATCTTTGTTGGATGCATAGTTTGTGGCTATGATACTTTCTTCTATTCTAGAGGTTGTTTGTTTATTCTGCTTATAGTTTTTTTTTTGTTGTTGTTCTGCTGTGTTTAGTTTAATTAAGTCTCACTTGTCAATTTTTTTTTGTTGCAATTGGTTTTTAAGACTTAGTCATAAATTCTTTATCAAGGTCAATAACTAGAATGGTGTTTCATATGCTTTCTTCTATGATTCTTATAGTTTGAGGTCTTACATTTAAGTCTTTATTCCACCTTGAGTTGACTTTTGTATTGGTTAAAGGTAAGGATCCAGGTTCTTTCTTCCGCATATGGCTAGCCAGCTATCTCAGCACCATTTATTGACTGGGAATCCTTTCCCCATTGCCTATTTTTGTTGACTTTGTCAAAGATCAGATAGCTGTAAGTGTGTGAAATTATTTCTGGGTTCTCTATTCTGTTCCATTGGTCTATGTGTTTGTTTTTGTACCACTACCATGCTGTTTGGGTTACTGTAGCCTTTTAGTATAGTTTGAAATCAGGTAATGTGATGTCTCCAGCTTTGTTCTTTTGGCTTAGGATTGCTTTCCTTCTTTGGGCTCTTTTTTGGTTCCACGTGCAGTTTAGAATTTTTTTTCTAATTCTGTGAAAAATGATGTTGATAGTTTGGTAGGAATAGCATTTAATCTTTAAATTGCTTTAGGCAGTATGGCCATTTTAATGATATTGATTCTCCCAGTCCATGAGCATTAGAATGTTTTTCCATTTGTTTGTGCCATCTATAATTTCTTTCAGCAGTTTTTTATTTCTCCTTGTAGAGATCTTTTACCTCTTTTGTTAGATACATCCCTAAATATTATATTTTATTTTATTTTGTGGCGTTTGTAAGTGGGATTGTGTTCTTGATTTGACTCACAGCCTGAATGTTACTGGTGTATAGAAATGCCACTAATTTTTGTACATTGCTTTTGTATCCTGAAACTTTATTGAAGTCCTTTATCAGTTTTGAGAGCCTTTTAGCAGAATCTTTAGAGTTTTCTAAGTATAGAATCATATCATCAGTGAAGAGAGAGCATTTGACTTCTTCTTTTCTATGTGGGCGCCTTTTTCCCAATAAAAGCAAGGGGGACATAGTGACCAAAATTGTCAAAATCTACTTTCTTTGAACTCTGGAAATTCACCAAAGGCTTGCAACATTCTGAGGACCAAAAAGGCAAGAAAAACAGCTGAATATTGGTAGGAAGAGCAATCACTGAAGCATTTAAAACTTGCTCTATTTTGATCCCTCCTCTGAACTCTATGGCAGCCTTGAAAACCAGTTGCCTCAGAAGCATGGTGATGTGAAAACCAGCAGCCTAGCAGCCACTGGAAAGAGTGGAATAGGTCCATAGTTTCTGATAAAATCCCATCCCCAGAAAGATGTATCTATTTGATCTGAGAGCTCTCCAGAAAAGTCCCATTCACAAACTGTCTATAGTTCACCTGACACAAAATTCACTCAATGAGAAAGTCTTTTTTTTTTTTTTTTTTTTTTGAGACAAAATGTCACTCTTGTTACCCAGGCTGGAGTACAATTGCATGATCTCAGCCCACTCCAACCTCTGCCTCCCAAGTTCAAGCGATTCTCATGTCTCAGCCTCCTGAGTAGCTAGGATTACAAGCGCATGCCACCACACCTGGCTAATTTTTGTATTTTTAGTAGAGACATGGTTTCACCATGTTGTCCAGGCTGGTCTCCAACTCCTGACCTCAAGTGATCTACCCGCCTTGACCTCCCAAAGTTCTGGGATTATAGGTGTGAGCCACCACACCCGGCTGAGAAAGTCTTATCCTCTGAGTACTTGTTGAAAATGATTGGTGAACCAGGCACAGTGGCTCATGCCTGTAATCCTAGGACTTTGGGAGGCAGAGGCAGGCAGATCAACTATGTAGTGGTGGTGCTACCAGTTGGGTAAAACAAAAGACCTGAAAAAAAAATTTACTTCAAAAATAAGTTAAATGAGATATACTTAGGGTTTTTGAAAAGTTCTGATCTGATACAACTCTGGAGATCTATAAGACCATACATATGTGCATATTAGCATGCACAAGAAATACCTTAATGTCTCAGCAATGAGTGACCTTGAGGCTCCATGAAGGCAGAAAGCAAATGTCTGGGAAGAACTGTAAACTGCTGAAATATTGAAGATGTGAACCAACAGATACACAGAGCCCATTGGCAAAAGATGATGTGCTTGCTGAAAGGCATTTAACAAAATCTCTGTTCAATCGTTAGCTGACTAGTAAGCTAACTGAGAAGAGACATCAGAGGCAGCAGCTGAAGAAAGAGAAATACTTTATAGAATGAGTCTTCAAAAGTCATTAAAACCCAAACAGGAACAAAACCAATTCTTAGGAAAGAGGGAGATCTGATTTCCACAATTGCCACATTATATTTTTTACAATCTTCAGGAAAAAATATAACACATGCAAATAAACAAGAAAGTATTGTCCATACACAGAATAAAAGCTGTCAATACAAACTGTTTTTGAGGACAGTTGTACTCACTAGACAAAGACCCTAAATCAGCTATTCTAAATCTATTAAATAACAAAAAGAAACCTTGTACAAAATATTAAATGAAAACATTAGTGCAATGTCTCAACAAATAGATGTTATAAATAAAGAAATAGAAATTATAAAAAAGAACAAAATAGAAATTCTGGGGTTACAAAGTACAATAACTGAAATTAGAAAGAAGTTCTCTAGATGTGTTCAATAGCAGATATAAGTAGACAGAAAAAAGAATCAGTGAACCTGAAGATAGGACAACTGGGATTATTCATTCTAAAGTGGAGAAAGAAGAAAGAATTAAAAAACAAAGACTCAAAGAAATGTCAGGCATTATCACATGTACCAACAAACACGTAATGTGGGTATCAAAAGGAGAAAAGTGACAAAGAGGGGAAGAAAGAATATTTCAAGAAGTGATAGCCATATTTGGCCAAAACATTGCACCTCCAAGACACAATGAATTCCAACTGTAATAATCTCCCCAAATTTAGCATAAACCCTTTAGAATCACTTTTTTTTTTTTTGAGATGGGGTTGCATTTTGTCACCCAGGCTGGAGTACAGTAGTGTGATCATAGCTCACTGCTGCCTCAAATTCCTGGGATCAAGGGATCCTCCTGCCTCAGCCTCCCAAGTAGCTAGCACAGGTGTGCACCACCACACACGGCTAATTTTTTCATTTTTTTGTAGAGATAGGGGTCTCATTATCTTGTCCAGGCTGATCTTGAGCCCTTGGACTCAAGCAATCCTCTGACCTCAGCCTCCCAAAGTGCTGGGATTACAGGCATGTGCCACTGCACTCGGCCCAAACTTTTAGAAAGCCAAACACACGGACAGAATCATGAAGGCATCAAGAGAAAAGTGACTCATCAGACAAGAGATTCTCAATAAAACTAATAGCTGACTACTTATCATAAACCATGGAGCTCAGAAAGCAGTGGGATGATATACTCAAAATGCTGAAAAAGATTTGTAAACCAAGAATAGTTCAACCATCCCTCACAAATGAAGAATACATTAAAACATTTCCAGGAAGCAAAAACAAATAACCTGGAGTCAATAGACCTTCCCCACAGGGTGTAATATAGGAAGTCTTTCAGGCTGAATAAAATAATAGTAGACAGTGCTGTAGACTCCAAATCACAGGAAGAATAAAGAACACCAGTAAAGGTAACTACATAGATTTTTTTTTTCTACATGTCCAGTCTAAAAGATAATTGCATAAAGCAATCATTAAGAAGCTGTGTTGATGGACTTATGATATAAAACAATCTAATTTTTATGACAATAATAGCATAAAGCAGAGAATAGGAAACACAGCTATATTAGACCAAAGTTTTTGTATATTTTTGAAATTTAGTATTTAAAAACAAAATTTGGGCCAGTCGCGGTGGCTCACACCTGTAATCCTAGCACTTTGGGAGGCCGAGGTGGGAGGATCATGAGGTTAGGAGATCGGGACCATCCTGGCCAACACGGTGAAATCCCGTCTCCACTAAAAATACAAAATATTAGCTGGGCGTGGTAGCGGGCGCCTATAGTCCCAGCTACCAGGGAAGCTGAGGCAGGAGAATCACGTGAACCCAGGAGGCGGAGCTTGCAGTGAGCGGAGATCGCACCACTACACTCCAGCCTGGGCGACGGAGCGAGACTCAGTCTCAAAAAAAAAAAAAAAAAAAAAAAAAAGTAAAATTTAGTAATCCAAGCCAGAATGTTTTCTGTTAAGATGTTACGTGTAATCATCAGGACTATAACTAAGAAAACAACACAAAAACAAAAAGTAAAAGACATAACAAGGGAATTAAAGTTTAGACCAGCAAATATCTATTTAATGCAAAAGATTTCGTAATTGTATAAGAGAGGGAAAAAAAGGCTTAAGACATTTAGAAAACAAAGAGCAAAATGGCTGACAGAAGTCCAGTCTATCAGTAATTACATTGTATGTGAATGTGTTAAACACTTCAACAAAAGGACTGAAAATAACAAAATTGACTAAAAACAAAATATATGATTTCACTGTATGCTTTCTAGAGAAACACCTGATAGATTCGAATACATTAACAGGTTCAAAGTGAAAGGATGAAAAACGATACACCATGAAAATAATAACGATAACAACAAGAAAAGTTGGAAGGGCTCTAATAATATGTGACAAAATACACATTAAGACAAAAAAATTTACTGGAGATAAAAAGGACACTTTCCAATGAGAAACTGATTAATCTATTAGGAAGCACATCAATTATAATAGTGTATGAAACTAACCACAACAATAAAATAAATCAAATAAAGTCTGACAGAATTGAAAGGAGAAATATATAATTCAACAGTAGTTAGAGATGTCATTACCCCACTCGAATAAAGATGCAACAACTAGACAGAAGAGGTACAAAGAAATAGAATAGTAAAAAAGGCTAAATCATGCAAATCTAATAAAAGTAACTTCACCTTGCAAATACAGGATGCATGTTCTTTAACTTTCACAAGAAACATTATTCAGGATAAATCATGTATTAGGCCATAGAGTAAATTTTAATGCATGTAAACAGATTAAAATGATACAAAGTATGTTGTCAGGCCAAAATACAATCAAAATAAAAATTAATAAAAAAGGCAATTTGCAAAACTTACAAATGTGTGGAAATTGAACATTATACTTCTAAATGAGTGGGTTAAATGCAAAGTCTTCAGGGATATCAGCAAATACTTTGAGACCATATAAAAAGAAAACACAATATTGAAACATATAGAATGCAACTAAAGCAGTGCTTAGAGAAAAATTATAGCTGTAAATGCTTATATTCTAAAAGGAGAAAAATCTCAAATTGATAGCTCAACTTTCCATCTTAAGAAACTAGCAAAAGTAGAGAAAACTTAATGAAAATTAAGCTGAAGCAACAATGTAATTAAATTAGAACAAAAACAAAATAAATGAATAAAAATAGAAAAATGAAATCAAGTTTTGTTATTTAAAAAATAAACAAAAATGATAAACTTTCATTTATATTGGCAAAAAAGAGATGAAACTTTCATATTACTAAAATAGAGATGAAAATGGTGACATTCCACTGACTGTATGGAATTTTTTTTAAAAAAGGATTGTAATCAACACTAAAAAAATTTGAATTAAACTAATTTGATAACGTAGATGAAATTGACTAATTTCTAGGAACATAAAAACTACCAAAACTGACTCAGCTAAAAAAGTATAAAATCTGACTAGATTTATACCATGTAGTGATGTTAAATTAGTAGCTACAAAAATTTCTCAGGCACACAAAGTGCAGGTCCAGGAGGTTCTATTGTGAATCCTACCAAACAAATAAAGAACAATTAACTCCAATTCTTCACAAACACTTCCAGAAAACAAAAAGGCAACGGCAACCAAAATAACATGGTACTGCTTGGTACCAAAGCATACATATAGACCAATGGAACAGAACGGAGACCTCAGAAATTACACATCTACAGCCATCTGATCTTCGACAAACTTGACAAAAACAAGTAATGGGGAAAGGATCTCCTATTCAATAAATGGTGCTGGGAAAACTGGCTAGCCATATGCAGAAAACTGAAACTGGATCTCTTCCTTACACTTTATACAAAAATTAACTCAAGGTGGATTAAAGACTTAAATGTAAAACCCAAAACCATCAAAACCCTAGAAGAAAACTTAGGTAATATCATTCAGGACATAGGCATGGGCAAAGACTTCATGACAAAAACGCCAAAAGCAATTGCAACAAAAGCCAAAATTGACAAATGGGATCTAATTAAACTAAAGAGCTTCTGCACAGCAAAAGAAACTATCATCAGAGTGAACAGGCAACCTACAGAATGGGAAAAAATTCTTGTAATCTATCAATGTGACAAAGGTCTAATATCTAGAATTCACAAGGAACTTGAACAAATTTAAAAGAAAAAAACAACCGCATCAAAAATTGGGTGAAGGATATAAACAGACACTTCTCAAAAGGACATTTTAATAAATCTGTTAAAAAGTTAGTAGAACTAAAAAGTGAGTTTAGCAAGGTCCCAGGTTACAAGGTCCATATACAAAATCAACTATATCAACTACCTTAGACAAATCAAATAGAAAAAAAATCTCAAACAAAAACATACAAATTGAAATAAAAATGCAATTTCATTTATAATAGCATCTCTGGGAATAAAATATCTAGAAATAATGTATAAAAATATGTGCAAGACCTGTACACTGAAAACTACAAAACTTCTTGTAAAAAAATTAAAAAGCCTATGTGACTTGAGAAAAATATTCATAAGTTGAAACATGCAAAATTTTAAAGATGTTGATTTATTCTAAATTCATCAACAGATAAAACAAATCCAATCAAAATTACATCATGTTTTAAACTGACAAGCTGATTCTCAAATATATGTGGAAGTGTGAATGGCCCATAACCACCAGTAAAATATTAAAGTGAAAAAGCAAACTTAAAGAATTTATATGATCTAGTTTTAGTTCTAAGTATAAAGCATTTTTACATTAAAACAGTGTGGTGAAGGATTCACATATACATAAGTAAAATGGAATAAAGTTCCCAAAAATAGACCTATACATATAAGGTCAGTTTATTTTCTATTAAGCTGTGAAAGCATTTCAATGAGAAAAGGAGTGTCTTTTCAACCAATTGTGCTGGAATAACTGGATAGTCACATAAAGAAACTAAAAATTTACCTTATATCACTTCATCTCAAACCTTCATAGGCTTAAATGTAAATGCTAAGCTTATATAACTAGTGGAATAAATACCTGTGAACTTGGGTTAAACGAAGACTTTGATAAGACACAAAAAGCAAAATCTACAAAAGACAAAAAGATAAGTCAAACTTTATCCAAATTATGACTTTTGTTCCTTACAGGACACAATAAAAAATAAAGCTACAAATATATGTATACATAAATTTGTGTCCTGAATGAAAAAAATAAAAAGACAAGCTTCTATAACTCAATAGTAAGGCAAAAAGCCTAATAAAAATGGACAAAATCTTTTCTGACAAACACTTCACTAGAAGAGATGTATGAATGACCAATAAGCACCTAAAAAGGATGCACATCATTCCACATTGGAATGCCACTATGTGTAGTAGCTAAAATAAAATACTGACATACTAAGTGGTGGTGAAGAAAACGTGGAGCAACTGGTGCTCTCATACCTTTTGGTGAATAGGAAAGTTTTGGGCAGTTTCTAAAAAATTTAAATACACACTTATTACATAACCAAGTCATTCAAGTCATAGGTTTGTCACCAAAGGAAATAAAAATAAATGTTCATACATAAACCTGTGTTCACATTTTTGTAGCTATTTTTCATAAAATCACCAAATTAGAAATAAGTCAGATGCCAATGACTTTGAAATGGATAAACAAAATGTAGTATATCCATACAGTTGAATACTAATCAGCAATAAAATAAAACAAATTACTGACTCACACTACAACATAGATAAAACTTAAAATAATTAATAGAAAGTATCCAGGCCCAGAAGTCTATACAATGTATTATACCACTTATATGAATTCTAGAAATTTGAACTATTCATCATGGCAACAACAGATCATCCTTCACTTGAGGAGGATGTTGGAGGGATGCATGGACTAAGGGGCACAGGAACTTTGGGGATGAAGGAAATGTGTCTTTTAATTGTTGCTGCCATTTAGTGACTGACTATAACTGTCAAAACTTATGAAATTGTATACTTTAAAAGGATGCTGTTTCTTGTGCAAAAATGATATCCTAATAGAGTTAATTAAAACAGTAAAAGAAACTGGTAATCTGTGCCTCATTCAATGTCAAAGTTGCTATGAACCTTGTTTGCTGCATGCTTTGCTGTTTCCCTCTGTTGCTGGGAGGTTTCTACTGTGTTACTCCTACATCTCCGATTCAGAGAAATGGCGTTTGAGGAGTTTCACCTCAGGAACAAATCCAAAGAGCTTCATCTGCAGTTGTTTTGTTCTTCTCCTGGTATAATAAGTGTTTCTAATAAAAAACAATGAACAAATATTAATAAGCAATCAATTAGTGAAAGAACATCACGATGAAACATGGAGTGGCCCTGGCCCATGGAAGTCATCCTTTTTGGAGCAGAGTGCATTAAGCCTAGGACTTGAAGGTGTATAGGATTTGAACAATTGAAGGACACGGAAAGATCTAGACAATGGTGACAAAGGGAAAAAGCAGAACTCGAACTAATGTGCTGGGAAGTAAATAGCAGATTGCTTGAGGAAGAATAAATTTGATAAGCTCATCTGCATCTCAACCTAATTTTGATGAGAAGATCCTTGGTCTTGGCCTCAGCCTCAGCCTGCTGTTGCTGCAGGCAGTGGAGAGATGCAAAGCACTAGCTACCCCATCACTCCTCAGAACCAGGGGAAAGCATAAAGGATTTGCACTATTCCAAGCCCCTCAGCATTTCTGAGTGTATTGACATGCACCAGTAGATAACTGGAAGACACTCTTCTGTACAGACTGCTCTACGTCTCTCCTCTCCTTTACCATGACAGTTTAATCAAAGAGCCATTTCTGTATTTTCTGTTTCCATTTTCTCCTATTTGTTTACTCTCAACTCTTCTCAAATGCATTCCTGTCCCATCATTGCACTGAAACCCTCTTAACTGAGATCAACAATCACTTTTTATCAAATAAGACATATTTTTAATTTCGTTAGTATTTTAGCTTTCCATAACATTAGGCAATATCGACGTTTTATTCTTTCTTGAGACACCCTTCCCTTGGCCTCTATGTCATAATCTGTCACAGTTTTTAAATTTGCTGTAGCTGCTCCTTTTCATATGACCCCGCTATCTCTTCCTTCCTACAAGACATTTAGATATCAGTTTTTTAACTTTCGGCCTCAAGCCCTCTTCTCTTCTTGCACTATACTCTATCCATCCACAGCCATGCTTTCAATTACCATGTATAAGTGACTTCAGGCCACTCCACTGAGGTCCAGATCTATTTAGCAGCTGCTTTTCCAATATCTATACTATCTGTCTCAAATACATGTCATAGTCAACATGCTCAGGAATAAAGTCATGCTCTATTTCCTCAATAATTACTTTTTCTTGTGATCCCCAATTTCATAATTGCATCTATTTGGTTTTGCTAGCCAGAAATTTAGAAGTCATTTTAAACATTTATTTGGCCTCCTCTTTCACATTGTACCAGCACCAAGTTTCAGTAACTTTTTTCTGTTTCTGTCTACATCACCCTACTCCAGTTTTTCTCCACTGGAGCACTATTAGCATCTTGGGAGAAGATTCATTTGTTGTAGGCGACTATCTTCTGCAATGCAGCACATTTAGTGTCTCGGCTGTCGCTTAATAAATGCTGTTAGATTTTGTATCCACTGTGACATCCAAAATTCCCACACTCATTTGTAAACGTCCCTGGAGGAGTGAGCACCTTTCTTCTGATTGAGAACTGTTGTCTTGTCCAAGTTGCTGACATTTCTTGCATGCATTTAAATAGCCATTTGTGTCTTCCCTTGGTCATTTCCCCAACTCTGTGCTAGTCTTCTCCCTACACTGTAGCACTGATAGTTTCAAAGGTTAAAACTGATAATATCACCAATAAAATCCTACCTGCTTAAAAATTCTTCCACTGTTGCCAATTGTCATTAGGATAAAGATCTCTGGCCCAGGATGGGTGTCCACTGATGCCATCTGTGAGGCAACACACTGAACAATTTCCCTTCCTTGACCACACTAATGCTCCATCTTTCATGGAACTTTCACATGCAGATATGTTTCTTCTCCCTGAAACATGCGTTCCTCCCCCTGTGACTAGATTACCGTTAAATATTTTATATCTCAGCTTATTACCTCCTCAAGAAGGCTTTTCTAATTCCATAGTTTAAATACTTCCATAAAGCCATGTTTTATTTTTCTTTAGAGCAATTATTTCAGTTACTTATTTTATAGTCATTGTGATTACTAAATTATTAAATTTTAATTTCCATAGAAATAGGGATCATGTCTATTTTTCTTCACCAATTTTATTCTTAGTCCCTATCTTGTTGTCCCTTAGCCCCTACCTCACTGATGCTGACCAAATGTTTATGGAAAGAAATCAATATGTATTTGTAGGAAAGGTAGACCACCTCGAGTTCCTTTCATGATTGTCATTGTACAGTCAGTATTTCTCAGGCAATTGAGAAATTGCCTCAATTCCCTCTATTTCTCAATATTTCCATTGAGAAATAGAAGATTAGTTGAAACATCTCTTAGAGGAATCTCACAATGTAAATATCATATGTATTGAAATGTAGAAAAAGTAGATGAAAGGAGAAAAAACAGTGGGTGTGTCAAGGATAGTTTTTGAAAATTATACTTGTTCTAATTTGATTGACTAGCAGCTAAAAAAGGGTATTTCACACTCAAGTGACCAAAACCTATAACTCATGCTCTAAGAATTTAGGCTAAACTGAATAGAAGCTTGTTTCCACTGTGTGTTAGTATATTTAATCTGTAGGTGGAGATGTTCTTTCATGCCGAGGTAAGAGCATATCATAGAGATATGTGTTTTGATTTGATTATCACGTGCCGATTCTTCCGTGAAATGGTATATAAGGCTCTCAGTAAGGCAGCTGGGGACCTGCAATGTGCAGGAAAGAGATGTATTCCTCACTTTGTTCCTGAGGCTGAATATAAAGACATCTTCATTCTCTAAACATTATTAGCAAGTTACTAAAGGAAGCAAACATAGCTATAGAACCAGATGGATGTTTACATAAAATAAATACAGAGCTTTAAAAATGTACACATAAAACAATTACTAGCTCAGAGAAATGTAACAGTGAAAAGTAAGCTCCTGAGCCTAGTGGGTTTAATTAAGACCGTGTTTCCTGAACCTAGGGGCTTCAGGATCACTGGGTTGGCAGAGGAGGGACGGAAGGAAGAGAAAAGGGAAATATTTTGATGAATAGGATTTCAGTTAAATTGGAGCAGTACTTAGGGCTTCATTTCGATAAACACAAATAAAGGGGGATTTTAAAACATGCCAGTAGATCATTGTTAATATCCCTTCAAGGATTCCATAAATCTGTAGAGATGGATAACAGTGTTTGGAAATTATGAAGAAGAAAACTTTTCATTTGCATCTGGATTTATGATATGAAATTTTCTTCCTATTCCTTCTTTACTGGGGTGTGTGTGTTAGTCTTATTGTGACTATAGATGCTGGTGCAACAAAAATACCCTAATTACTGCTGATTTTTAGAAGGAATGTTAATTTATTTTACCATTGTCACTGGGGTGGAATTGAAGAAATTATGGGTAATTAGTTAATTAACCATATAATTGGCTATATTGGAAATAATATTGTATGCTTTAATTATAGAAAGTTTAGGCAAATACGTTAGTTGGGAATACAAATTTATAAATAGCTGCTGAAAATGTAAGTATGAAAGAATACAAACTCATACAATCTATATGCAACATACTTCATGCAGCTTTGTGAACAATTATTGTTAGCTTAGATCAGGTATCTGATTGTTAAGTCCTGACAGGTTGAATTATATATGCTGTAGGATATGTCTTGTTTCATCTCAATCTTCCTTTCCAAATTTCTGAGAGCTGCTTTCACAAATAGGGATTCCCCTGTTCCCAATCCAATGACTGCACTACTAGCTTCCTGCATCCCTTGTTTTTATTTTTTTATCACCATGCTAGGTATGGCTGTGCCTAATAGGCTCTGACTTTTCTGCTGACTCCATGAGACACTTTCAGTGTAAATTTGACCTTAAATGATTTTTGGCAAAGGTGAGACCCTGATGCCACTCTATCTCTGAATCTTAGAGACAGTTGAGAATTTTGCTCACTGAATTTGTTTTTGTTCATAGATTCTCTGCTCATTCTTCTATTCCTTTGTTTACTTATTCAATAAACATTTGCTTGGTGTCCACTGTGCACCTATAGTGTGCTCTAGTCCCTTCCCTTAAGGAGGTTATATTCTTTGTGTGTACTGTGAAACGCAGTGTGTGCAGGTGTGATGTGTGTAGGTGTGTGTGTGTTGGTGATTCTGTGTTTGTATGGGTAAGAGTACAGTGCTCAGACATACACAGCACATTGCAGTTGAGTGTGATCTTTTACAGAATTATAGGAAAATGGTGCTGGGGCAGCATTCTGAGGTGGGCACAGACCTATGTTTTGGAGAAACCTAGAAAGTGCATAGAGAGGACTTCATGGAAGAAGCAAAGCTTGAGGAGAACTCAGGCAGACACATAGGGTAGCCTGGGCTGGAGGGCAGGGGGAGAGGCATGAACGTATGTTACCTTTGAAGAGTTGGAAGCCGTTCAGCACAACTTGGAGACACGAGTCACTCCTTACTGGAGAGGTTATTGGGTGGAAAGATGAACATGAGATAGACAAATCAACTTTAAAAATTTTCTCTTTACTGGCAAATGGTGATTGCTTATGCACTATATGTCAAGCACCATGCTAAGCATTTGGGTCCCTTGTCAGAACAACACAGTGCCCACCCTCTAGTGGTGATGTCAAATCTCCTCATACACGATACAAATATTAGGAATTTATCATGTCGGCCATGGGAACTATTGAAGAATTTTTAACCTTTGTATGATTTAATCAGGATTATATTTTAATAATACAGAGGGGGCCTACTCTAGCAGTATGGGAAAGGAAATGGGAGAAACATATCTAGAACCAGAAGACCATTTTCAGAAGGTACTTCCAAGTTCTTGTTGGGAAATAAAGAAGTAATGGCAGCAATGCTCAAGGGAAGAGGGGACTAAGAGGCCTAAGAGTTTGGATTGACAAGACTTGGTTGAAGTGGAACCATCCATAATTCATATCTATGTACATGTGTATAACACCGATCTCTCTAGCAATCAGTTTGGGATGATTTGGGTAGGGAGTGCATTTGGGCAACAAATATATTAATTAATTATTTAACTCAACAAATATTTATGGAGCATTAAATATGTGTCAAGAACTTCAGGAAGCTGAGGCAGGAGAATCGCTAGAACCTGGGAGGTGGAGGTTACACGGAGCTGAGATCACACCACTGCACTCCAGCCTGGGCAACAGAGTGAGATTCCAAAAAAAAAAAGAAAGCAAGCAAAGCAAAGCAAAGCAAAGCAAAGCAAAGCAAAGCAAAGCAAAGCAAGAAAGAAAGAGAAAGAAAGAAAGAAAGAAAAATGCTCTAAGCTCTGGAGACACAGCAATGAAAATAAAAATGGCCTACTTACCTTACAGGAGGAATAAAAACAAGTGAAGACAGTGTCAGTGGGTAAGTGCCGTTACAGAAAACAAAGAGAGGTGAATGCCACAGCAAGTGCCAAGGGCTGGAGGAACAGCTATTGTATACCAGGTGACTGGCGAGGAAAGGCCATTTAGTAAGACAGCATCTGATTATGTACTTGGAAAAAAAATGAGAATCACTACACGGGGAGCAGAGGAAGGTGGAAAACTGAGTGATAAGGACTCAAGATGAGAGTGGAAGCCAGAAAGGATACCATGGGCCTGGCAGGAGTGAGAAAAGAGGCCGGTGGAGGAGAGGCGTTCAGAGAGTAGCAGGGCCTGTATCCACTATTGGGAAGACTGGGTCTTCCTGAGTGCCTGAGTCAGACTTGGGGGATTCTGAACGGAGCAGTGACATGATCTGGCATTTCAAAGGGACTCCTGTGGCTGCTGTGTAGAGAAGAGATGATGGGTGTGCAAGAGGAGAGGGAAGCACTGAGTGGAGCAGATGTTGCTGTTTTCCAGGCGACAGGTTATGATGGTTTTGACCCAGGAGGGCAAGGTGGCCCTGAAGGTTCATATCATGAATGTTTTAAAGTAGGACCAACAGAATTTTCTGAAGGATTGGATGTAGAATATTAGCAAGGAATCAAAGAAAAACATCAAAATTTTTTCCTGATTGTTCAGGTCAGAGAGGAAGAAGTTGCCATTTACTAACATTAGAAAGATATGAGAGTGTTAATGCTGGGGAATTTTGTTGCAGTCATTGATACGTTCAAGTACAGGAAGCTGGGGTGGCTTGGGGGGTAGTAAGTAGTACTCTGGTGGTTGGTGACATGCAGTCTGCGAATATATGGAAGGGGATACCCAGTCTGGGTGGAGGCATTAGCATTAGACCAAAGCTCGCACCTCTGCCTCTGAAGAAGTGGAACTGAGCAAAAAACAACAGGGCTGCAAGTAAAACCGGAGAGTGACTGAAAAAGTTCATACGATACCATCCATATCTCCTTGAAGTCCTAAGCAAAATTATCTTCTCACATTAGAGACTAGAATATCTTAAAATGCTTGAGAACTAATGAAACTTTCAAATAAAAGAGAAAAGCAGAAGAAAGCAAGACTTGGAGCTTGTCAGAGGCCCTGTGAGGGAATGTGGAGTTGGGTAGATATCCTGTTTGATGGAAGGCCCTGTGGTCGTAGACACAGCCATGAGCTGGGCCACTACAGAAAGGAGCAAGAAAACAAATTCAAGTGGTGGTGCTCCTGGAGCGTCCTGTGGTGCTCCCCTGGTGCTCCTGTGGTGCTCCCATGGTGCTCCTATGGGCCCACAGCTGCAGCAGGCCAAAGCTGGAGACTGGGACAGGCGAGCAGTGGAATGGGCCAATTCTGAGGTCTCTGGTGCTCCAGCTTTGGTGTGGCAGGAGTGGGGCTGACAGACTGAGGAAAGGGAGGGGTTCCAAGTTGGGTGAGGGGAGCACCTGCATCCAAGAGCAGGAGGCTGGAGGAGGGGACGGTAGACTGACTGCAAGAGCTGTGGGTTCACCATGCACACCCTCCTGTGTTCTGGCCTGATCTGCCTGGAGTTCTATTATGAAGTCTTCACAATTCCTTCCCTCTCCACTCCCGTACTCCCCTCCCCTTTCCTCTTCTCACCTTTTCCCTTTTTTTTTTTTGGGGGGGGGGTTTAAATTAACCAGAATATGTTTCTGCAATTTGTGATTTAGTTTTCTGACTAGCAAACTGTTGAAATGTTTTAGAAATATACTTTATTTTTTAGAATGGTTCACGGCAAATTGAGGAGAAGATAAAGGGTTCCCATCTACCCTGTCCCCACACGTAGATAGCCCTGCCACTATCAACATCATCCAGCAGTGTGGCATGTTTGTTACAACTGACGAACCTATTGACACCTTATTGTCACCCAACGTCTGTAGTTTATATGAGGGTTACTCTTGATGTTGTACATTCTATGGGTTTGGAAAAATGTATAATGACACATATCTATCATTATGGTATCACACAGAGTAGTTTCACTTCCCTAGAAATTCTCTGTGCTCTAGCTATTCATCTTAAAAGTTTTTATGGCTTTATGTTCCTCTCAGATAAAATATCAAATTAGAGGAAAATCTGAGGTCCTTTTGTGGTGTGGCCTCTGCTTCCCTCTTGATGGAAGGACCTGTGGTCATAGAGACAGCCCTGAGCTGGGGGCACGATCGGCTGCCTGCTCCTCTCCTCTCCCCAGCAGGCTACAAGAATCCTGAGGACTTTCAGAAGCACAAAGCCATCTTAATCTTCTCACACTCAGGCCACTGAAAACGCTGAGGCCAAACCTCTAAAAGCCATCTGATCTCACTTAGGAGATGAAAAGTGCTATTTTGTTCTTGTTGGACTCAAAAGCTAACTGCCAAGGGACTATGGGAATGGAATTTCATTATTGTTTAGAAAAAAATATGAATATTGACTTAGGAAAATTAGAAGATGTTTTTTACTCTCATTCAAATTATCGTAGGAAAGGGAAAATTATCATTTTATTTATTTTATTTTATTTCAATAGTTTTTGGAGAACAGGTGGCGTTTAGTTACATAGATATGTTATTTAGTGGTGATTTCTGAGATTTGATGGCACTCATCTCCCAAGCAGTGTACATTTACCTAATGTGTAGCCTTTTATCCCTCACCCACCTCCCGCCTTTGCCGGAGCGTCCCCAAAGTCCATTACATCATTCTTATGCCTTTGCATCCTCATAACTTAGCTTCCACTTATAAATGAGAACAAATGATATTTGGTTTTTTATTCCTGAGTTACTTCACTTAGAATGATCATCTGCAACTCCATCCGTGTTGCTGGGAATGCCATTATTTCATTCCTTTTCAAGGCTGAATACTATTTCATGCTGTACACATATCACATTTTCTTTATCCACTCATTGGTTTATGGGCATTTAGGCTGGTTCCATAGTTTTGCAATTGTGAATTGTGCTGCTATAAACATCCATATGCAAGACTCTTTTTAATATAATAGCTTCTTTTCCCTTGGGTAGGCACCCAGTAGTGGGATTGCTGGATAGAATGGTGGTTCTACTGTTAGTTCTTTAAATAATTTCCACGTTGTTTTCTATAGTGTTTTGTACTAGTTTACATTCCCACTGGCAGTGCAAAACTGTTCCCTTTTCACTACATCCACACTAACATCTGTTATTTATTTTTTAATTATGGACATTCTTACAGGAGTAAGGTGGTATCTCATTTTGGTTTTTATTTGCATTTCCCTGATAATTAGTGATGTTCAGCATTTTTCATATGTTTGTTGGCCATTTGTATATCTTCTCTGAGAATTTTCTATTCATGTCTTTTGCCCACTTTTTGATGGGATATATTTTTTTCTTGCTGATTTGTTTGAGTTCTTTATAGATTCTGGATATTAGTCCTTTGTCAGATGCATAGATTGTGAAGATTTTCTCCCATTCTGTGAGTTGTCTGTTTACTCTGCTGATTATTTCTTTTGCTGTGCAAAAGCTTGTTAATTTAGTTAAATCCCATCTATTTATCTTTGTTTTTGTTGCATTTGCTTTTGAGTTCCTGGTCATGCACGCTTTTCCTAAGCCAACGTCTAGAGGAGTTTTTTTTTTTTTGATGTTATCTTCTAGAATTTTTATAGTTTCAGATCTTAGATTTAAGTCTTTTATCCCCCTTGAGTTGATTTTTGCATAAGGTGAGAGATGAGGATCGTTTCATTCTTCTACTTGGGGCTAGCCAATTATCCCAGAAACATTTGTTGATTAGGGCATTCTTTCCCCACTTTGTGTTTTTGTTTGCTTGTTGAAGATCAGTTGGCTGTAAGTATTTGGCTTTATTTCTGGGTTCTCTATTCTGTTCCACTGGTCAACATGACATTTTTATACCAGTATCATGCTGTTTTGGTAACTATAACCTTGTAGTATAGTTTGAAGTAAGGTAATGTGATGCCTTCAGTTTTGTTCTTTTTACTTTGTCTTGCTTTGACTATGCAGGCTCTTCTTTGGTTCCCTGTGAATTTTAGGATTGTTTTTTCTAGTTCTGTGAAGAATGATGATGGCATTTTTATGGGAATTGCATTTAATGTATAGCTTGATTTTAGCAGTATGGTCATTTTCACAATATTGATTCTACCAATTTAGAAGCATGGGATGCGTTTCCATTTGTTTGTGTCATCCCCTGAGTTCTTTCAGCAGTGTTTTGTAGTTTTCCTTGTAGAAATCTTTCACCTCCTTGGTTAGGTATATTTCTAAGTATTTTATTTTTTTGCAACAGTTGTAAAAGAGATTGTGTTCTTGATTTGATTCTTTGCTTGGTTGTTGTTGGTATATAGCAGTGCTACTGATTTGTGTACATTGATTTTGTATCCTGATAATTTACTGAATTCATTTTTCAGATCTAGGAGCTTTTTGGATGAGTCTTTAGGGTTTTCTAGGTATACAGTCATATCATTGGGGAACAGGAACCGTTTGACTTTCTCTTTACTGATTTGGATGCCCTTTAGTTATTTCTCTTGTTGATTGCTCTGACTAGGACTTCCAGTATTATGTTCAAGGGATAAAAGTAGGCATCCTTGTTTTGTTCCAGTTCTCATGGGGAATGCTTTCAAGTTTGCCCTGCTCAGTATAATTTGGCTATGGGTTTCTCATAGATGGCTTTTATTAACTTGAGGTATGTCCTTTCTATGCCAATTTTGGTGGGGGTTTTTATCATAAAGTGATGCTGGATTTTGTAAAATGCTTTTTCTGCATCTATTGAGATGATCATACTATTTTTGTTTTTAATTCTGTTTATGTGCTGTATTACATTTATTGACTTGTGTATGTTGAACCATCCCTGTATCCCACTTGATCATGATGTATTATCTTTTTGATATGCTGTTGGATTTGGTTAGCTAATATTTCATTGAGGATTTTTGCATCTATGTTCTTCAGGGATATTGGTCAGTAGTTTTCCTTTTTTTTGTTATGTCCTTTCCTGGTTTTGGTACTAGGGCAATACTGGCTTCACAGAATAACTTAGGGAGGATTCTCTCTTTCAATATCTTTTGGAATATTTTTAGCAGTATTGGTACCAATTCTGCTTTGAATGTCTGATAGAATTCAGCTGTGAAATCATCTGTCCCTGGATGATTTTTTTGGCAGTTTTT
The DNA here is from genome assembly GCF_000001405.40 of Homo sapiens. Classification (NCBI taxonomy): domain Eukaryota; kingdom Metazoa; phylum Chordata; class Mammalia; order Primates; family Hominidae; genus Homo; species Homo sapiens. The sequence goes on from NC_000008.11 coordinate 49,155,480, forward strand.
AAAATTACCATTTCAATTTCGCTACTTATTATTGGTTTGATAATTGGTGTTCCTGAGGATAAGATAAATTTAAAAGTTTGGAAAACTTATTTGAGAGAGTTCTTGAGGAACTCTTCCCTGGCCTTGCTAGAGATCTAGACATCCAAATAAAAGAAGCTCAAAGGACACTTTGGAAATTTATCACAAAAACATCATCACCCAGTCATATAGTCATCAGGTTTTCTAAAGTCAAGATAAAGGAAAGAATATTAACAGCTGTGAGGCAAAAGCATTAGGTAACCTATAATGGAAAAGCAATCAGATTAGTTGATTTCTTGGCAGAAACCTTTACAAGCCAGAAGGGATTGGGGTTCTATCTTTAGCTTCCCCAAACAAAATTATTGATAGTTAAGAAATCAGTATCCAGCGAAACTAAGCTTCAGAAATGAAGGAGAGTTAGTCTTTTTCAGAAGAACAAATGCCGAATTTGCCACTACCAAGCTAGCACTACAGGAAATGCTAAAATGAGTTTGAAATCTTGAAACAAAACCTCAAAATACACCAAAACAGAACCTCCTTAAAGCATAAATCTCAGAGGGCCTATAAAACAATACCACAATGAAAAAAAAGTTATTTAAGCAAGAACTAGCAGGATGCATAGAATAGTACCTCACATATCAATACTAACATTGAATGTAAATGACCTAAATGCTCCACTTAAAAGATATAGAATGGCAGAATGGATAAAAATCCACCAACTAAGTATCTTCTGTCTCCAAGTATCTTCTGCATGTCAAACTGTTACCTTCATTCTTTGTCTTTTCCTAATGGTCTTCTTTGTCTCGCAGTTGCCCCATATCCTCCTCCATCTCCATCCCTTCCCTCCATTCTCTAGCTAATATTAGTCATTCTTAAACCAGTAATCTTCCTCTCTAGGATGCCAGGCATACTCTTTTTGTGCTTCCCCTGAGTGCACATCTTTTTATTGAAATTACTGTGTTTCCTTTGTATTTGTACAGTTGATGTCATCTCCTCAAAGAGAGCAATTGCACCTTGTTTACCGTTGAATCCCCATTGCCAAGCAAAATGTTGAGTACATGGAAAGTACTCCAGACATATTTGTTGAATTGAGCTCTCCGCAGTTTGTCTTTGGTGCAAAGAAAGCAATTAGAGTCCCCCATGGTTACATGAGCCCCGCTTCGTCTTCCTCTGACCAGAGGCTTCCCTGGAAACTCTTATTTTTGCTTTCTTCTAACTTTCCTTTTCTATTGCAAAATGTCTAATGTATTTTCAAAGTCTTGGTTTCTTTTCTAAACACTGCAGGAGTCTGCCAATTTTAGACTGTCATGTTTGCAAGAGTCATCTAAAAAGGGATGAATTGTTTCTTTTTTTATCATTTCAAAACACATTAAAACACAATTTGTGAAAGAAACGTAGAATAGTTTTTTTTTTCAAAAAGTTAATAGGAATGAATTTTGCTTTTTACTGAGATTGCATGAAATCACATCACAGGATGCCTTAAGGGGAGGGGTGGGAAGCAAGTAGCTAGAACAACTTTTGCTTGTGAGTTTTATTTTACATAGCAAGAGTGAACAAAGTCACTCACCTTTCATTTTTTCTCTAACACAATATGCTCTGAATGTTCTCATCCTTCTAATCCAGTAGCAAACTCTGTCTCCTAAGCTAATTTGGATTTCCATCTTCTCCCTGCTCACTCCTCTGTGGTTATCTGAAGCCCAGGGGGACCTCACTGTCCATATCCAGGAGTGTTGGTCTCAGGATGGTTATCACTGACCTTAGACTCTTGAAGTTGGTAGTATCACTGCTCCTGGGCCTACTTTGGGCAGAAGGATGTTTTTTAGACCAGAGCCCAGAGCCCAGAGCCCAGAGCTGTGCATTCCTAAATTAATTATACAACAATTCCCTTCTGAGGGCTTTGCATCTCCTCATGCATTCAAAAGTGTGGGACAGATCAACTCCATGTTGAAACATTTTGGACATCTGTCACCTTTCCAGTATTGGGAGGAATTTCCTCAAAAAGCTACATGTCCCTTCTCCCTCTTTGAGACTCTAGTTCTAATGTTTTACCTCTAGGATAATTCGGCTCTTTCTGAAAATAAAAGCATTTCACTATGATGAAGGTTATAGACAGGAAGTTCCAGAGGTCTACAGCTCAAAAGCCTGCTATCCTCAAATCCCTCCTTACACTCCAGAAGTATAGGGGAGCAGAGTAAGGAGGGAAAAATATTCATTCTTTCTGATATTTCTACATTAGTAGGAATTAGTATTAATATTTTACTGAGACACCGATTATCCTGCCACATGACAATTTATTGTATACCTACCATGTTTCAGAAGTTTCCTTAAGTACTTTACATGTTCCTTATCTTGGTGCATTCTGTGTTGCTATGAAGGAATACCTGAGGCTGGGTAGTTTATTGAAAAATGAGGTTTATTTAGCTCACACCTCTGCAGGCTGTACGAGAAGCATGTCACTGGCATCTGCTCAGCTTCTGGTGCGGGCATTTGTGCAGAGACAAAACATGGCAGAGAAGGTCAAGGGGAAGTGGGCTCGTAGGAAGAGGGGCCAAACCCAGGGCATCCTAGTTTTATAAGATCTCACTTCCACAGAACTAATCAATTCCCTTGAGAACCAACCCAGTCTCACAAAAGTAAGAACTCACTCACTACCATGATAGCAGCACGGAGCTTCTCATCAGAGATCCACCTCTATGAATCAAATACCTCCAGCTCAGCCCCGCCTCCCAACACTGCCACACTGAAGATTTAATTTCAACATGAGATTTAGTGGGGACAAACAACCATATCCAAGCCATAGCTCACCTCATGTAAGACCCATAACAAATTTACAAGGATACTGTATTGGTGAATAAACCAAAATTTCGAGAGGTAAAATTGTGCAAGATATCACAGTTGTTATTGGTCAATCTAAGAAACAAATTGTGACTTTAAATTTGGAATCTCATAAACTGAAATACTCTGCTAGCTAGAAGTCTGGCGAACCTGAAAATAACATGTTTTTGCACAGAAATTGGATCTTCAATGATGGAATAACAGTACTGCTCTATGTGGCCGAGCGCAGTGGCTCACGCCTGTAATCCCAGCACTTTGGGAGGCCGAGACGGGCGGATCAACGAGGTCAGGAAATCGAGACCATCCCGGCTAACACGGTGAAACCCCGTCTCTACTGAAAAAAATACAAAAAAATTAGCCGGGTGTAGTGGCGGGCGCCTATAGTCCCAGCTACTCGGGAGGCTGAGGCAGGAGAATGGCGTGAACCCGGGAGGCGGGAGCTCGCAGTGAGCCGAGATCGTGCCACTGCACTCCAGCCTGGCGACAGAGCGAGACTCCGTCTCAAAAACAAAAACAAAAACAAAAAAACCAAAACAAACAAACAAACAAACAAAACAAACCAGTACTGCTCTATGTATAATCCTAGGCAAAGGCCTTTCCTTTTTCAGTGTGAAAGATAATGGATTTTCAGAAGGGGAATTTTTATTTAAGATTTACTGTTTGTATGTTCTTAGCGTCTTTCCCAGAACCTTGGGCATTGCAAATGTTCCATGTTTATATAAATGCATAAAATGTTTTTATTGAAGAAATTTATCTCTAATGGTGGTTAAATCATAGAATTTCAAGTTATTTGGATCTCAACAGGGAAAGGGGTTTAGTGGAAAGAGCATAAGTTTTAAATCACTTCTCTTGGATTCTGGCTCAGCCACTAGGTAATCAAGTCCCGGTTACTTTGCAGCTCTGAATTAGATTTCCAGCTCTGTAGAATGGAATTAATGACTGTTGTCTATGAAGGGTGTTATGAGGATTAAACTCTCAGTCTATGTGAGTCTTTAATACACAGCAAGCATCCAGGGAGTTTCTTTCCTCTTTTATCCTCCCACTGGCACAGGCAATCATGCCTGGCCACTCATAATCACGTAGATTCACGGAATAATATGGGCCTTCATGTATTTTTTAAGGGTGGGCTGCATCTTCTGGTAACACACCATCACTGTGTGAATTCTATCTGCCCTCATCTGACTCCCAGTCATTGATGATGGAAGGCAGTTTGGTCAGATTCTGGGAGAAACACTAAAAAACTCAATAGTCAGAGATGCTGGTTCCCAATGACTTGCAGCCTGATAGCCAAAGAAAGGTCATTTACTTCAATATCTAAAGTATATGAGAGGAAAGGAAGGAGCTAATATGAGTTGCATATAAGGGGCTGGAACATTTCATGGCAGGGAGAGAAGAAAGTCCCAGTTGAGGGTTCACTAATGCTTTTGTGGGAAAGAGGGAAAGAGGGCCTTCAGGTCTTGAAGGGCAAGTTTGATTAGGGGAGGTCAGAAAAAGAAAACTAAAAAAAACCTACAAAGAAAAAAAGTATTTGTTATTGTTAAACCAAAATCATCTCTATGAAAATCAACTTTAAAGACCAAATAGTTATCAGCAATTAATCTCCATAGTGAAATGCCTCACATTATCCAGTTCACATGGAATACTTTTATAGTAACCACAGATTCTGCTTAAAGTGGATGTATACTCTTCCCCCTCCCTTCCAAACTAGTTCCATGCTCCTGAAAACATTATCTGTGAAATATAAATATAATTGGTGGGATACTCTAATGGAAGTAAAAAGAATCAAACTCAATTTCCTTAAAAGCCAATTTCCAAGGCACATTCTCTAAAAGCAGTATCCACTGGAGGGACTTGGCTGAACTGAGGGAGGCAGAATGGAAAAAAACAATGGCCCAAGCAGGGAAATGTTATTAGAAAAGTTCAGCTGTGTCTAATCCAGGTGTCGGGGGTTAGAAGAGTGGTTGAGGGCACACACTATAGTGCACAAATTCCACCTTGCAGAAAGCTGGTCTGACTTTGTACCATGGTATCAATTAATTAGTTGTGGATGCTCCAGGGTATGCGTGAGTGGAGGGCTTTCATGGGGTGTAAACTCCCAGGCACGTGGGGTCAGGGGACTCCTCTCTGCAGTGGGCAATTCTCCAATGAAAGTTGTGTAGGTGAAAGCCATGATCTGCAGCATTTGCAGCAGCTAGGTGAGGGTGTCCCCAGGAGCAAAGAAAAATCTGGGTAGGACACTAACAACATCTGTTGTATTCTTCTCTTTAAATCTCTCACATCCACTTGATTATCATATGAGTTCTCTCTATCCAAGTGTAGCATTCCCAGGATTCTCTGGGAACTTACCAGAGGAAGGTTGGTGGGACAGACTATAGTCTCCAAAGCTACAGTGTGTCACGAGACTACAGCTAGTATTCAACACCACTCTCCTTTCTCTACCACCCTTTGTAGATTTGGCTCCATCTCAGCTAACACTTCTCTGGTCCAGGTTAGTTTTCTTCTGTAAGGGGTGGGAGCCTCTGATTTGCATGCACTTATCAGCCTGTGGCTGCTGTACTTGCCCAGTGACAGTTGGGTCTGGGAGCACCAAGAGATGCCATCATGGAACACTATAGTGGGAAACATATTACCTTTCCTGCCTTTATTACGAGTTCTCACCACTCTCCCTGTGGAAGGAAGTACATGAAATGTGCTTATCACCAAATGGCCAGCTGGTCTCCAAGAAGAATGGTACCATTTGGGGGACTGACACCTGTTCTTTTTTGCTGACATGTCAAAATTCAGTGAGGGCAGTGGCTACACAATCCCTGATGAGAGGGAACTCCAGTTATTGGGCCCAGCACAGCCTGCACCTCTGCCACCATAGCAGTGGTATTCATGAGCCCATCTGTAAGCATGGGAGTATCAAAGAACAAAGGCAAGTTGACATCAGTCAAGCAATCCATCCTGTCTACGTGGTTGTTTAGTGACTACTCTGCAGTGGATGCTTTCTGGTAGGAATTAACATACAATAAAAATATTTTCACACTTTTTGTCAATTTGTAAGTCTATCCATATAATCTTGCCTAATCAAGCATCATTCACTACTGCCCATTGGGACATATATGTCTCTACCTTGGATTATTTCTGCTTCCACACAAAGCAGATGATGTGGTGCAAGGCTCAAGCCCCTAGCCCTTAGAGCATTTCCCTCATCATAGTCTCTTAGGGAATTTTTGAGTAGGGTCAGGGCATAGCAGCAGTTCTGGCTTGCACAAACTTGCTGAGCTGACCCATCTGTAAATCAGGCTTGGGCATTTGCTTCCTTTTTTAGCTGGTTGTGGGGAACCCCTCATGAGGCTACTGGTGTGAATTGAAAGAGACCTATCAAGGCAACACTGGCCAATGACATGGAGGCCTTAGCCACCTGTTTCTGAAGCCTAGGTCTTCCCTTTGCACTATGTAAGCCCACTGTCAATGTTTCACTCCTACCTTATAACTGATGGATGCTGCATGGCCTGACAATAGAAGCCATTGTATGCAACAGTACGGATCTAATGGTGGGCAGTGACAGCCTTATGGGCAGTTTGGTGTGCTGTATCCAGATGCTCTCTTTCTCAGGGCCTGGTAGCATGCCAGAAGCTGCTTTTCAAATGGTATTTGGACTTTGCTGCAGGCAGCCTGGTCTTACTCTGAGAATCTAGGGCCTGCACTGTGCCTCTCTTATTGACTCTTGCTGGAGGTGCCACATGGTGTCTTTTCCCAACACAGAAACATTTAGTACCAGGGGTTCTGCCAGGCCATATGGCCCAATTTGCAGAGACGGCTGTAGAGCAGCCAAGACCTGCTGCTGAAATTTGCTTTAGACTCCACTCAAAACTAGCAGTTATCATATCATCTAAAAAGTGGGTCCGAGAAGTATTCCTAAGTATGGAATATGCTGCCTCTAAAACTCAGAGGCCTACCAGTGGTTGTGATTCTTTCCTAATAGTTGAGGTACAAGTTGCAATACAATAGAGGATATGGTGGTTGTAAAAATATATCCACAAAATTTTTGATACTCTTCTCAAAAGATGAAGCTTAATCCCAGCAAGCCAGCCCTGTTGTCATGAGGATATCCAGGAAGCCTGTGGAAAGGCCTGAGGAACTGAGGTCTGCAGCGATAGCCATGTGAATGTGCTTGGAGGTCAATCCTAGCCCAGGCAGGCCCTGAGGTGTCAGAAGCCCCAGTTATTGGTTACACAGCAACAAGTGACTAATATAGGAAAGAAATGTTTTGGCAGGCCCCAGATACCAGGATCCAAAAATCTTTATCAATGCGGCCTCTGAGTCTTTGTAGAGTTTCCTTCCCATAGTCTGAATAACATGAGTCTTACCAAGATATATCAATACTTGTCACATTCCAATGACCATGATTCCGTTAATGCAATGAACCAATGAGATATTTTTAGGAATTTTAGATGATCCAGGAGAGAGCAAGGGAGATACCACAGACTTTCCATTCTATGCCCATTTCATGTTAGGATACATTGCTTCTGATTCTTCTGCCTATGAGTAAGAAAAATAATAATTTCCCAGACCAGTAACTGTATAGCAGGGACATGAGATTAGGTTCGTCTACTCCAGCAAAGCTACCATATCCTGCATAAGAGCTGTAACTCACTGTGGTAATTTATGGTTACCTGCCCTAATTCCACATGGTAGTATAAACCATCTCATATTTTGCCATTTTGCGAGAAAATGGTAAATAATTCATTAGCATTTGTTGTGAGGCATTAAAAAATACCACACTAATATATTAACTGAGCAAGGAAATGAGAGAAAAGGAGTAAAGTAAAATCAAAAGATAATATCACTGATGCTAATTTCCTGATTTTATGTGTTTTAGAGATTAATAATATGTCAAGCATTGTGTATTTCAAAGATTATTGAGAGCAAAATGTAATTGTGTAAACTTTTTGTTTAAATTGTGTAAACTTTTGTGGTAAAGTACTAAATCATTTTGTTGGGATATCTTGAAAACAATTTTATCCTACTGGAAAATGTTTATCTTCTTTATGTTCTTTAAGAGGCATTTTAATCTGGGATCTCAGGCTGTACTGTGTGCATTCCAGCAGTTAAAAAAGCCATTGGAGCAACAGACCATTGAAATCATCGCTGTCCTAAAGATACAGTTTAACAATGGCAAACAAAAACAAAAACGAAAAATGTACTGCAATCAGACCACAGTGTATAAAAGAGAGCAAAGACAGTGGCTGTAATTTCAATTCCAGAGATTACGTAGTAGAAGAAATAATGAAGACACTTGATACTGATGAAAACCTGTGAGGACAACAAAGAAACCTGAGTATTACTTGTATTAGAAATGGAATTTTAGTTAAGTTAACTGATTGGTATCTGACAGGAGATAAATGATAGAATTTTAGTATCAGTGTCTTTATTTTCTTGATGAAGAAACAGATGACCATGGATTGGGTCTTGTAGCAAAATAGCAGGCCTTGTCAGTAGGAAAACAGCATGGCCATCTGGCTTCCTGGTGCTGTGCTGCCCTATCTGTTTTCTTACAAGAAGGCTGTCTAAAAGAAGGGCAGCAGTCACAGCCAAGGCAGGCCGTGCATGGACGTCTCTTTGCCAGTTACCTTAGTAGTCTTCCACTGAGTTAGCTTTTGGTTACCACCTTAAACAAGCAATTTGGGTAAACAAGCAATATCTCTTTTAGATATAATTTTAAAACAATTTATTAGATTTAATTGGCATATGATAAATTGCACTCTTCAAATGCACAAGTGGATAGCTTTTGATAGGTGTACACCTGTGAAACTATCAAAGTATAACGAACATCAATAATGAACATCAATATTGTTCATTGTTAAAGACAATGAACATCCTATTTATCATTCCCAAAAGAATCTCCTATCCTTTGGTAATGCCTCCCTCTTGAGTCTTCCTGACCTCTCCTCATTCCCAGGCAATGATGTTACTTTAAATAAGTTTGCATTTTCCAGAACTTTATGTGAAGAGTACTGTATATACTATGATCTTTGTATTTCCTCTTTAACTAAATAGTTATTTTGAGATTAATATATGTGTTTGTCTGTTTAATAAATTATTTCTTGCTATTGCTGGGTAGAATTCCACTGAATGGATATACAGCAATTTATCTATAATTTCATCTTTTGGGCATTTGGATTGATTCCAGTTGTAGGTAATGACAAATTAGCTGGCTACAAATATTTGTCTAGAAGTCTTTGTATGGCTATGGACTTTAATTTCTCTTGTGTAAATACCTAAGAGTATAATTCCTGAGTCATATAGTAAATGTATGCTTAACATTCTAGTAGAAACTTGTATTGTTTTTCAAAGTGCTTGTACTGTTTTACATTCCCACCAGCATTGCTTGGGTTTCAGCGCATGCTTGCTAACACTTTGTTAAGTAAGTAACTATGAGTTTAGACATGGTCGTGGATGTGAAATCCCATTGTGGTTTTAACTTTCCCAGTAACTAATGATTTTGAGCATATTTTCATGTTTTTTTTTTGCAATGCATATATCTTTTTTTGTGTAGGATCTATTCAAATGTTTGTCCACTTTTAAAGTTATGTTTCTTGTTTTCTTATTGTTGAGTTTGGAGAGTTTATTTTCATATTTTGAATACATCATTTATGTGACTTCATAATCCTTTCTTCCAGTCTGTGGCTTGTCTTTCATTAATTAGTTTAACACTGTATTTTGAAGCCAAGAAATTCACAATTTAAATAACACCAAATTTGTGATATTTAAATTTTCTTTTATTCATGCTTTTGCTATTCTAATTTTTTTTTTGCCTGACTCAAGATCACAAAGATTTTTTCCTGTAATTTTTTTCCAGAAATTTCATATTTCTACATTTAATATTTGGGTATTATCTATTTTTATTATTTTTTGTTTATGTTGCAATGTATAGATCAAAGTTTTTTTCTATATATACTTACAACTGATCATTTGTTAAAAAGATTATTCGTTTTCTACAGATTTGTCTTTAAACTTTTGTCAAAAACAAATTGACCATATTTGTGTGGGTGTACCATGTTTGTATGGGTGTACTTTTACACTATTCTGTTTTCTTGATCTGGTTTTCTATTTTGATGCTGATATCACACCTTGATTATTGTAACTGCATAAGTCTTGAAGTCAAATGTTGTTTCTTCATCTTTTGAGATGACCATTGTTTTTAGTCTGATTATATGGTGAATTATATTATTATCGGCCTATTTATTGTCAGCCTTGCATTTTTTTGTATTATCCTTTTTTATATTGTTTGATTAGACTTATCAAAATTTTGTTAAGGATTTTTGTACCTATGTTCATGATGGACACTCGTCTACAATTTTCTTGTCATGCCCTTGCCTAGATTTTATATAAAAATCTTGGTGGCCTCATTGAATGAGTAGATATTTTCCTCCTCTTTACAATTCTACAAGATTTCATGTAAAAATTATATTATTTCTCAAGTAATTGGTAGAATTCCTCAGCAAAATGATATGGGTCTATGGGTTTATTTGTGGGAACTGAAGTTTCGATTTCTGTGATTGATGTAGGGCTATTCAGATTGTTTATTTATTTTTAATGAGCCTTGATGATTGTGTTTTTAAAATAATTTGTCATCTAAGTTGTATAACTTACTGGCATAAAGCTGTTCACAATTTTTTTTTGTTATCATCTTAATATGTCTAGAATCTGTAGTGATATCAATTTCATCATTCATAGTATTGGTAATTTGTGTCTTTATTAACTTTCTAAAAACCACAGCTTTGAGATTCATTGTTTTTTCTCTACTTCTTTTTCTGTTTCTTATTGATTTTGATTACTACTACTACTGTCATTATTGTTATTAGCTTCTGGAATCGATTTGCTCTTTTTTTGCTTGTTTGTTTTGGTTTTATTTTGTTTTAAGGTAAAAGCTGATATTATTGACTTGAAACTTTTTTCTTTTCTAATCTTGGTGGTAAGGCTGTAAAATTTTCCCTAAGGTCTGTTTTAGCTATATCCCACAAAATTTAATATATTAGCCTTTTATTTCTATTTATTTAAACATAATTTCTAATTTCCCTTTCAATTTCTTCTTTGCTTCATGGGTTATTTAGAATTGTGCTATTCAGATTTTGAATATTTGGGGGTATTCAAAAATATTTTTTGTTGATAATTTCTAATTTAATTCTGTGGCAGTCAGAGAACTTACTTCTGGTGGTTTGAATCCTTTAAACGGTAGTGAGACTTATTTATGGTCCTGAATTCTTTTAAACATATTGAGACTTGTTGATGGTCCATATTAGGTCTCTCTTGCTAAATGTTCCATGTACTTTTAAAAATAATAAATTTTCTGCCCTTATTGGATGGAGTGGAGTAATCCATAAATGTCAGTTAGTGCACATTGGTTAATGGTGTTGCTTGAGTATTCCATATTGTGCAAAAATGGTTAATGTAGCAGAGCTGAGACTGCCTATCCTTAGAAACTTATTCTTGAAAGGTTTACCCTTGACTGGCATCTGGGAACTTGATCGGTAAACATTTCCCTTGACTGATATAAAACTTTCTTTGAATGATAAGAGTGGCTCATTGTGCATAGACTGTTTGTGAAAATAATATGGCTTATCCTGAACACGTAATTTTTTCCTGGGAGTTTGGAATTTCGGTACATCCTAGGCAGAAGGTACCTGTATGACCAGCTCCTAATGAAAATGTGGGTACTGAGTAGCTAATGAGATTCCCTGAGTGGACATATTGCACACATGTATTTGTATTGCTGGGGGTAATGTACTCTGCATCAACCCTTACAGGAGGGAGAGAGGATAAAGTAGCTTATTTATTTTAATTTCTATTTCTCTAACTTCTTAAACATATGAATTGCAGTTATAATAACTGTTTCACATTCTCATTTAGAAACGTGTTATTTCTGGCTCAGCTTCTATTGACTGATTTTTATATCCACTCTGTGTTTCATTTTCCTGCTTCTTAGCATGCCTAATAATATTTGAATTTCACATTAACTTTAGGATCAGCTTGTAATTTATGTGAAAAATAAAGGTGGAATTTTGATAGAGATTGCTTTTTCCAGCTTTTGATAAATAAAAATTGTATATATGTTGGGTATTTAATGTGATGTTTTGATACATGAACAGATTGTGAAATAATTGCCACAATCTCTCACCTCACACGATTATGATTTTTGTGTGTGTGGTGAAAACATTTAAGATCTACTGTCTTATAAAACTCCAAGTATAAAATATAGTATTATTGACCATAGTAGTATTGCTATCTTAACAGCATTAAGACTTTTAACACATGAACATAACATGTTTTTCCATTTATGTAGATCTTCTTTAATTTCTTTCAACAATGTTTCTAGTTTTCTATTTACAAATGTGCATTACATTGCACATTTTTGGTTGAATTTATTCTTAATATTTTATTTTATTTTCTATTGTAAGTATAATAGTTTTCTTAGTTTAGTTTTTGTATTGTTCATTGATACTATATAGAAATGCAACTGAGTTTTAAATATTGATCTTGGTGTGAAACAGGTTAACTAATTACCAATATTTTCTGAGATCAGACAAGATCACACATGTTCAGACTGGTATGACCATGGTGACTAATTACCAATACTAAGGAAGGACTCCCATTGCATGGAGGATAACAAAGATCATTGCTATGCCAACCACCAGGAGCAGGATCCAAACACTTTTGTTCACTCCATCCTGGGCTGCACCTTTACTATTCACCCAAGTTCAGTTAGATACAACACTCACATTGTACAAGTTATATGGAACAGGATTATTACTTACAGATAGGTGGCAAGGGACAACAGAAGCCCAGGATCCACAGTGAGCTGGTCAGCCGAGGCTCTGGAGAGCTGTCGGGGGTGGATGGAGTCCTGACTGAACATGCCACACTTGGACTGCAGCTTAGGGATCCCAAAAGGCAACCCACCTTGAGTTAACTCAGGGGACATGTGAGTTGCTGGGCTAAAGCATTGAAGGGCGTCTTGCTTCTAAGATAAAGACTAAAGCTCAGGCTATCCTGAGCAATTCTTCTCTAACTCAAGAAGTTCTCTTCCCTAGGAGGGCAAATAACAAAGCCTGGTCTATTTCTAGCAGTTCCTCCCTGTCTCAGGATATTGCATGCTCACACATGCTTCAACTATTCTGAGAACTACAATCAACAAGACAGAAGAAGACTAGGTCTGTCAAGGCTATACAGAAACTGTCCAACACTTGGACTTTGCACTGTTGCTGAATGTGGTTATTAGCTCCGAGAGTTTTTTTTTTAATATTTTGGGGTTTTCTTTATAAAGGATAGATCATCTACAAATACTTCTTGCTTTTCAATTTAGATGATGTTTCCTTTCCTGCCCAATTTATCTGGTTAAAACGTCTGATACACTGTTGAATAGAAGAGGCAAGGGCACATGTTCATGTCTTGTTCCTGATATTGGGAGAAAGCATCCCGTTTTTCACCAGTAAGTATGATATTGGCCCTGGTTTTTCTTAGATTGCTTTAATCAGATTGAGTAAGTTTCATTCTATTCCTATATTGTTGAGAGTCTTATCATGAAATAATGTTGGATTTATCCAAGTATTTTCTCTATTGAGAAAATTATGTCTTTTTCCCATTTATTCAATTAATATTACGTGTTATGTTTACTAATTTTTTCTATGTTGAACCAAACTTGAATTTCTGAAATAAATCTAATTTGATCATTGTTTCTAATCTTTTAAACACGTTGCTAAATTAATTTAGTTTGCTAGTATTTGCTGGCAGAATTCACCAAAAAGTCATTTCATCTTGGGTTTTTTGCTGTGAAATAGTTTTAAAATTACTCTGTCACAAGCCTATTATATTGTCTATTTCTTCTTGGGTTAGTTTAGATGGTTCATGTCTTTCTATAAATGTATCTATGTCATTTGATTATCTAATTTGTTACCATACAATTGTGCATAGTATCTTCATAAAAATTTTATATCTGTAAGGCCAAGAGTAATGCTCCTCTTTTCATTTTTGATTTCAGTAATTTGAGTCTGCTCTCTGTTTTTTGTCAATCTTACTCAAGATTTGCTATTTTGTTGTTCTCTCCAAAATGTTACATATTTGGTTTAATTTTCTCTATTGTTTGTCTAAGATTTATTTCATTTCTTTCCACTTTAATATTTATTTTTTCTTTCTTTCTGCTTGTTTTGTGTTGAGTTTGCTCTTCTTTCTGTGGATGGTGAAAGGTTTATTTTAGATCTTTATTGTGCTGTTGTGTAAATATTTAAAGCTATAGATTTCCTTCTAAGTACTGCTTTTGATGTTCCCCATAAGTTTTAGTATCTTGTGCCTTTGTTTTCATTAATCTCAAGGTTCTTTTTAATTTTCTGTGTGATTTCTTTCTGACCTATTGTTTATTAGGTGTGGTGTTTAATTTTCACATATTTGTGACTGTGAAAATTATTCTGTCATTGATTTCTAATTTCTTTACATTGTAGTCATACTCTTGTACAATTTTACCATCATTTTAAATTTATTTTGACTTTTTTATGGCCTAACATATGGTATATCATGGTGAGTGTTTCATGTGTACTTGAGAAGAATGTGTATTCTGCTGTTGCTAGGTGGAGTGATCTGTAGATGTCTGTTAGGTCTAGTTGACTTACAGCATTGTGTAAGTCTTCAATTTCGTTACTGATCTTCTGTCTCCTTTTTCTATACACCATTGAAAATGAGGTATTGCAGTCTTATTATTGTGAAATGCCTACTTTTCCTCTCAATTTTGGCTTCATGTACTTGTAGCTTTCTTTTTAAGTACTATATATCTTAATATTATTTGTGCTTCTTGTTGGCTTAATCATTTTATCATTAAAAATGTCTTTCGGCTGGGTGCAGTGGTTCATGCCAGTAATCCCAGAACTTTGGGAGGCCCAGTAGCCCAGTCGGGTGGATTGCTTGAGCCCAGGAGTTTGAAACCAGCCTGGGGTAGATGGTAGAAACCCCATCTACTAAAAAATAGAAAAATTAGCTGAGCATGATGGCTTGCACCTGTAGCCCCAGCTACTTTAGAGGCTGAGGTAAGAGGATCTCTTGAGTCCAGGAGTTCAAAGTTGCAGTGAGCCAAGATTGCACCACTGCACTCCAGCCTGGGTGCCAGAACAAGATCTTGTTAAAATAAAATAAAATAAAATAAAATAAAATAAAATAAAATAAAATAAAATAAAATAAAATAAATAAAATAAAATAAATAAAATATTTCTTTGTGTCTAGTGACAAATTTTGTCTTAGAATATATTTTGTCTAATATTAGTTTAGTCACTCCAGTTCCTTTGTGATAAGTTTGTGTGACATAACTTTTTTCTATTTGTTTACCTTCAAACTATTTGTATATTTGATTATAAAGTGTGTCTATTGTGATAAATATTTTGTTGAGCTATTTTTTTAGGCATTTCAGCAATATTTGCCTTTTAATTAGAGAGCTTAAATAATTTACATTTTATGTAGTTACCAATAAGTAGAATCTATGTCTATCATTTTCCTATTTGTTTTCTATATGTCTTATGCCTTTTTTCTCCCCATTCTTCTATTATTGGTTTCTAGTTTTCAGTAGATACCTTCTATGGTACCATTTTAATTTATTGTTTAATATGTATTTTTTAATATGTATTTTTTGAGATTTTCTTCAGTGATTGCCTTGGAGATTACAAATAATATTTTAACTCCTTACAATTTCGTTTAGATAAATACCTGCTAAATTTTCATAGTATACAGAAAGTTTTCTCCTATATAGCTCCATTTTCTCCCCTCCTTTACGTTATTGTTATACAAATTACATCTTTACACGTGTGTTTATATCAGAACATGCATTCACCCAGCTGTCTTTTAAATTACATAGGGCAAAAATACAAGTCAAACAAAAGTTATATTTATACTGTCTAACGTTTACCTATGTGGTTACCAGTAAGGTGCACTTTATTTCTTCATGTGTTTCCCACTTACTGTTTACTGTCCTTTCCTTTCAACCTGAAATACTCTCCTTTGAATTTCTTGTAGGGAAATTTTTCCAGGGACAGATTCTCTCAGTTTTAGTTTATTTGGGAATGTCTTAATTTCTCCTTCAATTTTGAAGAGCAGTTTTCTAGATACAGCATTGTTTGTTGAAAGATTTATTTATTAGTATTTTTATTTGGTTCTCTTTATGGGACCATGGAAGTCAGAAAGCAGTGGGGTGACACATTTAAAATACTATTAAATATAGCTGGTTTCGTTTCTATCTCTTTACTGATATTCTCTGTTTTGGTAAGACATTATTCTGATACTTTCTCCTAGTTCTTTAGAATGTAAACTTTCACTCTTTGAACATACTTAAAATAGCTAATTTAAATCTTTGTCTAATAAGGTCAATATCTGATATTCTTTAGTAAAGTGACAATTATTATTAATTGCTTTTTTTCCCTCCTACAGGCCATGGTTTAAAATAATTTTTTATATGTCATTAAAAAATCTGGACATTTAAAATGATATAATGTTTCAATTCCAGAAATAATAATCTTTCATTTCTCTCTGGTTTGTTGTTGTTGCTGCTTGCTGTAGCTTTGTTTGTTTAGTGAATTTTGTTATCTAATTATTTAATGTCTGCATTCTTTGGCATGTGTAGTCATTGATGTCTCAATTCATTTAGCTTAGTGTTTAGCTATTGACTAGGCAGAAATATGCCTCCATTTCTGGAACCATTAAGTCTCTCAGTTTTTGCTGAGAGGCTTTCTGTGCATGTTGGGGCATGCTTTCAACATTCAGCTAGACACCTTACAGCTCTGCCTGAGCTTTCACTTCTGGCTTGTGCAGTGTCACAAGGTCAGCCAGAAGTGACAGCTTAGGACGTTTTCAGGCCTTTTTTGAGAACACCATGTATACCAGCCTGTGAATGCACACAGTCCTATGCATGCATGTGGACTTCTAGATTTCTAAGGGTATATCAGAGCTTTTAAAAGCCCTTATGGGCATCTCATTCCCAACATTTTCTCCTAAGCTTTTGGTTACTCTATCATTTGCCCAGACTGCTATCTGGCATCTGAGGCAGTGATGAAGTTAAAACACTTGCCCGTAAATGATTTTGACAAATGCTCCCTTTAAAGAGATTTTCACACCTGGCAAGTGCCATGTCAAGTCAAATACAGAAAACCTTGAAAGTGGGTCTTCCTCAGAACCACCAGACAGTTCAAATGATGACAATTCTTTGGGAATGGGGCTTTGAAAGAGCTCCAGCTTCCTTCTGCTTCCTTTTGCTTCTTTCCAGGTTGATCATGCTGTACCAGGAATGTGTTCTATTATTTTTCAAGGATACTGGGGTGATGGAGAAGGGGTAATATGACTAGAGTAAGCTAAAATGCCAAAAAGCTCACTCTTACTGAGATTCAGCAAGTTTTCTTGTATAAATCCTCCTCTGCTGTAAAACTTTGGTTAATTTCTAGAATGCTAAAAAAGTTTATTCTGATCTTTCTCCTAGTTTTCTTTTGATGTATGAAGAACAAAATGTTCAAAAGTCCCAATTTCACCATTTTTTTGATATCCTATTCATTGTAATTTTTTATTGGATGTCAGACACAGAATTTTACTTGCTGAGTGCTGGATATTTTTGCCTCTCTGTGATATTCTTTAGCTTTGTTTTGATGCAGGACAACTTCTTGAAACAATTTTGATCTTTTTCAGTCTTTATTTTAAGCACTGGTTAAACGAGGTCAGAGCAGTGTTTATTCTAGTGTTACTTTCTCCTCAATACTAAGACAAACTCTTAGTACTCTACCAAATACCCAATGAACCATAAGGCATTTTAAAATTTGAAAATGCCTGTGTTGTCAACAGGGCTATGCTCAGATCTGTGTAAACCTCATGTACAGTTCTCTTTATCAATTTTGCTATTTCTTTCTTCCTCTTGGATATTTTCCTCACATGTATTTATTTACCAGTATTCAGGTGAAGAGTTAGGGGGATTCTTTGACGTCTTCAGTTTTCTGTGCTGCTCTTTCCTCTTTGGTACTCAGTCCTGTGGATTCCTGATATTTTGAGATCTCCGGGCTCCCAATTCCTTATTTCATGGAGACTTGTAGGCTCTTACTGGGTTTCTCCCTCTCTTTATAAGATCTTTAAACTTTATCAGTTTGTAAGCTGGGAAAATTGTAGTACTCCATTCTTTAGTTCCTCTTTTTGTAGATATCACTGTCCTTCTTTGACTGTTACAATTCAATATTTTAGTGCCATTAAGGTGTATATTTTCTCTTATCTTGGTAGTTTTAGATTACAGGGTGACTCTAACTTCTCTTATTCATTCTTGACTAGAAAAAAGTAGTCCTAGGTAAGGTTTTAAAATTTGAATATGCTTGTCCAGTGCTCAGTTAAACCCTTTCTTGCTTAAAATATAGCCCATCATCTTGAAGCCATTAACAATAATTTTTGTCTGAGGCAGAATTCTTCAATTACTTGAGAGAGGATCTTTAATAGAAAGTAACTAATAGTTATGCTCAGAGGTTTTATCTCCTCCTAAAACTGCATTTTCAACTACTATTATTCATGCCCTATTTAGTGTCTGGGAACAGTTTTTCATACTCTGTACCTTCAAGGCCTGACATTTTAGTCAATTATATTTCAGAATATATGCAATGTATATGTATGTTGGCAAAAATATATTTCTTTTCAATTCTGTTTATATATCACATACCTATATATTTTATTTGTTTAACTCTTTTGAATTAAAAGAGAAAGCAAAAGTGGTCAATCCAAAATTCTGATTTTATTCTGCCACCTGCTCTGAAACTACTGTTATCCTTTATCAAGGGATACTTTCCCTCTTTTAACATCAATGTTTTCACCAATGACTATCCTCCAGTGTGGCTAAAAATCAGGTTTGTATTGTTAGGGAAGTCAAAGAGAGTAAACCTTGGGTAATATTTTGAAGTCTGACAAAGTGACTAAATTAGCCACAGAATCTGAACTTAGTAGACTAGTTCAGTGAAATATATAAAGAACTCAATGACAGCATGGTTCAGGCAATGCCAAAGCTCTTGAATCAAATTGTAGCCAGTGCCATATCACTATAGAAGGCTTATTTCGATTAAGTAGTTGTGGTAGTTTTTGTTCTTATTTTGCTTACTACAACCATGACTAAATCTTCAGCATTTATTCTTATCAATTATAATTTATTTCATCTTTTGATACCCCCATTTCTTCTAGAATTTTTTTCAAATATGCTCTTTAAAATACATATTTTTCTCTGTACACTCCCTGTAAATTATCTACAATAGTATATAGAAAAAAAGTTAGAAATTATTCTGAAGAAATTTTACTTAATGTTGTTTTAAAAGTATTTCTAGTTTGCACAGGGGTAGAGCAAGATGGCAGAATGATTGTCCCTCCTTGTAGGGACATTAAATTAACTATCTACACAAAATATCACCTTCATAAGAACCAAAAATCAGGTGAGCACTCACAGTACCTGGTTTTAACTTCATATCAATGAAAGAGGCATGGAAGAGGTAAGAGAAACTGTTTTGAATCGCTAATGCCACTTCTCCCCAACCCCTGGCAGTGGGGGCATGGTGTGGAGAGTGATTCTGTGTGCCGGGAAGAGGGAGAGCACAACAATTGTGAGGGACTGAACTCAGTGCTGCCCTGCTATACCAGAGAACAAAACCTGACCAAACTCAGCAGAAGCCCACCTATGGAGGAAGCATTTAGATCAGCCCTAGACAGAGGTGAATCACCAATTCCAGCGGTTAGATATTCAGTTCCTGCAAGCCTTGCCAGTGTAGGATAAAGTGCTCTGGGAACTTAAATAATCTTGAAAGGAAGTCTAGCCACAAGGATGGCAACTCCCAGGTGAGTCCTAGTGCATAACTGTGCCCAGAGTCAGAGGACTCGTGTTGGGGGTGGGCAAGCAACCTACTGAGACACCAGCCCAAGTAGTCTAAGATGTAATGGCATCACCTCTCCCCAACCCCAGGCTGCACAGCTCACAGCTCCAAAAGAGACCCTTTACTTCTGCTTGAGAAGAGGAGAGGGAAGAGTGAGGAGGACCCTGTCTTATATCTTAGAGACCAGCTCAGCTACAGCAGGATAGGGAACTTGTCAGAACTGTGAGGCCCCCTTTCTAGGTCCTACCTCCTGAATGACATTTCTAGACACACCGTGGGACAGAAGGGAACTCACTGCCTTGAAGGAAAGGACCTACTCCCAGCAGGATTTATAACCTGCTAACTGAATAGCCGTGTGCTCTAAATAACCAGCAGCAATAGCCAGGTACTACGTCGAGGGCTTTGGGTGAGACCCTGAGACTTGCTGGCTTCAGGTGAGACTCAACATATTTCCAGCTCTGGAGGCTATGGGGGAGGCTCCTTTTCCTTCAGAAAAGTGGAGAGAAATGTAAAAGAGACTTTGTCCTTTACCTTAGGTAGCAGCTTGGCCACAAAGAGTAGGGCACAAGTGAGCTCTTGGGGTCCCAGATTCCAGGACTTGGCTATTGGATGGTATCTCTCTGGATCTGCCCTGGGCTGGGGGTGAGGGTGGGGGCACTTCCATGAAGGGTGAGTCCTAGGCCAGGCAGCATTCATTGCAAGCTGACTTAAGAGCCCCTGAGCTTTAAGGGAACATCAGCAGTACTCTGGCTGCACTCCCCATGGGCCTGTGGTGGTGGTGGCCATGGGGTGAGGGTTCTCTGTCAATGGAATGGCAAGGGAAGAGTGGGAAGAACTGTCTTGTGGTTTGAGTGTCAGCTCCGCCACAGTAAAATAGAACACCAGGTAGACATTAGACTTAATCTGCACTATATACCAAATGGATCTAATAGATATTTACAGAACATTTCATTCAACACCTGCAGAATACATGTTATTTTCCTCGGTGCTTGGATTATTCTAAAGGATATACCATATATTAGGTCACAAAACAAGTCTCAAAACATTAAAAAATTGAAATAATATCAAACATCTTCTCTGACTACAATGGAATAAAACTAGACATCAGTAACAAGAGGAATTTTAGAAATTATACAAACACATGGAAATTAAACAATTTGCTCCTGAATGAACAGTGGGTCAATAAAGAAATTAAGAAGGAAGTTGAAAAATTTCTTGAAACAAATATTAATGGAAACACAATATACCAAAACTCGTGAGATACAGCAAAAGTAGTATTAAGAGGCAAGTTTATAGCTATAAGTGCCTACATCAAAAAAGAAGAAAAACTTCAAGTAAACATCCTACTGATGCATTTTAAAGAACTAGAAAAGCAAGAGCAAACCAAACCCCAAATTAGTAGAAGAAAAGAAACAATAAATATCAGAGAAGAAATAAATGAAATTGAAATAAAAAAATTAAAAAGATCGATGAAACAAAAAGTCGGCTTTTTGAAAAGTTAAACAAAATTGACAAACCTTTAGCCAGACTAAGAAAAAAGAGAGAAGATTCAAATAAATAAAATCAGAGATGAAAATGGACACAAGCGATACTGCAGAAATTCACAGAATCATTAGTAGCTACTATGAACAACTACAGGACAATAAATTGGAAAATCTATAAGATATGGACAAATTTCTAGACACATACAGCTTATCAAGATTGACCATGAAGAAATCTAAAACCTGAACAGACCAATTACAAGCAACAAGATCAAAGCTGTAATAAAAAGTCTCCCAGTAAAGAAAAACCCAGGACACAATGGCTTTACTTCTGAATTCTACAAAAGATTTAAAGAACTAATAACAATCATACTCTATTCTGAAAAGCAGAGGGGGAAGAAATACTTCCACAATCATTTTATGAGGCAAGTATTACCTGATACCAAAACCAGAAAAATACATTGAGAAAATAAAACTAAAGGCCAATTTCTCTGATGAATATTGATGCAAAAATTCTCAACAAAATGCTAGTAACCCAAATTCAACAATACGTTAAAATGAGCATTCTTCATGAACAAGTGAGATTTATCCCTGGGATGCAAGGATGGTTCAACATATGCAAATCAATCAATATAATACATCATATGAACACAATGAAGGACATCAACCATATGATCATTTTAATTGATGTTGAAAAAGCATGTGATACAAATCAACATCTCTTAATGATAAAAACCCTAAACAACTGGGTATATAAAAAACATAAATAAACATAATGAAAGCTATATAGGACAGACCCACAGCTAGTATCATACATCATGAGGAGAAATTGAAAGCCTTTCCTCTAAGATCTGGAACATGACAAGGATGCCCACTGTCACCACTGTTATTAAACCTAGTACTGGAAGTCTGAGCTAGAGCCATCAGACAAGATAAATATATAAAAAGCATCCAAATTGGAAAGGAAGATGTCAAATTATCCTTGTTTGCTGATGATATGATCTTATATTTGGAAAAACCTAAAGAATCCACAAGAAAACTATTAGAACTGATAAATAAATTAAGTAAAGTTGCAGAATACAATATTAACATACAAAAATTGTAGCATTTCTATAAGCCAACAGTGAGCAATCTGATAAAGAACTCAGAAAAGTAATCCCATTTACAGTAGCCATATATAAAGGTAAATACCTAAGAATTAACTTAACCAAAGAAGTGAAAGTTCTCTACAACGAAAATTATAAGACATTGATGAAAGAAATTGAAGAGGACACACAAAAATGGAGGCATGTTCATGGATTGGAAGAAGCGATATTGTTAGAAAATCTATAACACCTGAAGCAATCTACAGATTAAATGTAATTCCTATGAAAATACCAATGACATACTTCACAGAAACAGAAAAAACAATCCTCAAATTTATGTGGAACCACAAAAGACACAGAATAGCCAAAAGTATCCAAAACAAAAAGAACAAAACTAGGAGGAATCACATTACCTGACTTCAAAATATACTACTGAGATATAGTAACCAAAACAGCATGGTACTGGCATAAAAACAGACACATAGATCAATGGAACAGAATAGAGAACCCCCAAACAAATCCACACACCTACAGCAAACTCATTTTTGACAAAAGCGCCAAGAACATACACTGAGGAAAAGACAGTCTCTTCAATAAATGGTGCTGGGAAAACTGGATATCTATATGCAGAGGTATGAAACTGGAGCTCTTTCTCTTGTCATATACAAGATCAAATCAAAGTAGATTAAAGACTTAAATCTAATACTTCAAACTATGAAACTACTACAAGAAAACATTGGTGAAACTCTCCAGGGCACTGGTCTGGGCAAAAATGTTTTGAGTAATACCCCACAAGCACAGGCAACCAAAGCAAAAATGGACAAATAGGATAATGTCAAGTTAAAGCTTCTGTACAGCAAAGGAAACAACAAAGTGAAAAGATAAGCCACAGAATGCAAGAAAATATTTGCAAACTAGCCATCTGACAAGCGATTAATAACTAGAATATGTAAAAAATTCAAACAGTTCAATAGGAAAAAGACTATTAATCCCATTTAAAAATGGCAAAAGGTCTGAATAGACATTTTTCAAAGACAAGTGAAACCCCATCTCTACTAAAAATACAAAAATGAGCTGGGTGTGGTGGCGCATGCCTGTAGTCTCAGCTACTCGGGAGGCTGAGGCAGGAGAATCGCTTGAACCCAGGAGGCAGAGGTTGCAGTGAACTGAGATCATGCCACTGCACTCCAGCAACAGATCGAGACTCCGTCAAAAAAAAAAAAAAGACATAAAGATGGCTAACAGACATGTGACAATGTGCTCAACATCATTGATCATCATAGAAACGCAAATCAAAACTTCAACGATGACAAGTGTGGTGGCTCATGCCTGTATTCCTAGCACTTTTGGAGGCTGAGGCTGGTGGACCACTTGAGCTTGGTACAACATGGTGAAACCTCATCTCTGCAAAAAGCACACAAAAAAATTAGTTGGGTGTGGTGGCATGCACCTATATTCCCAGCTACTCTGGAGGCTGAGGTAGGAGGATCAATTGAGCATAGGAGGTCGAGGCTGCAAACAGCTGTTATCACACCCCTGCACTCTAGCCTGGATGGCACAGCAAGACCCTGTCTCCAACAACAAAAACAAAAATAAAAAACAAAAACAAAACCCTAAATAAACCTTCCATGAAATACCACTTCACCCCAGTTAAAATGGATTATATCCAAAAGACAGGTAATAACAAATGCTGGCAAGGATGTGGAGAAAAGGGAACCCCTGTACACTGTTGATGGGAATGTAAATTAGTACAATCATTATGGAGAACAGTTTGGAGGTTCCTCAAAAAACTAAAAATGGAGCTACTATATGATCCAGTAATCCCATTGCTGGGTATATACCCAAACAAAGGAAATCGGTATATTGAAGAGAGATTTGCACTCCCGTGTTTGTTTCAGCACTGTTCACGATAACCAAGATTTAGAAGCAACCTAAGTGTCTATCAGCAGATTAATGGATGAAAATAAATGGGGTGCTTATACAAAATGGAGTACTATTCAGCCATAAAGAAGAATGAAATCCTGTCATTTGCAACAATATGGATGGAATTGGAGATGATTATGTTAAGTTAAATGAGGTATAAACAGAGAAACATCACATGTTCTCACATATTTGTGGGAGCTAAAAATCAAAACAATTAAACTCATGGGCATAGAGAGTAGAAGGATAGTTTCCAGAGGCTGGGAAGGGCAGTGGGAGTGGAGGAGGTAGAGAAGGGAGGTGGGAATGGTTAATGGGCACAAAAAATAATTAGAAGGAATTAATGAGACCTACTATTTGATAGCACAACAGAGTGATTATAGTTAACATAATTTAATTGTACATTTATAAACAACTAAAAGAGAATAATTGAATGGATTGCAATGCAAAGGATAAATGCTTGATGGGATGAATACTCAACTGTCCATGATGTGATTATTTCACATCACATCCCGGTATCAAAACATCTCAGGTACACCTACCATGTACCCACAAAAATTAAAAATGAAAATTTGTTCTAGTTCTATTATGTTATTGTTGTTAAATCCTGCAAGTACATTTTCTATCCAATTTAATAATCTCATCTGGACTATTATTATTTTATACATATTTTACTTATTTACTAACAAATATATAAACTATGAGAAGTAGGTATTAAACAAAATGTATTTGTTTTATTAAAATAAAAGCTAGCTTCATTTTGCAGAAAAAGAGGTGTGCTATGTTATTAGGAACAGGGAAAATTGCAAACATATTTATATTGTTAGTATTGCCTCTTGTTTAAATAATCATTTTTCAACAAAATGTACAATGGACTACTGCATTTTAAAACAATTCCAAAAGCAAACTTAAAACTTAACAAGAAAATTCTTATTATATATATATTTTTTAAAAAAAGCTGAATGCAAAAATAAATCTAGCACCCTACTGACAAGAAACAGCCAATATTAACATCATTCTCCAATAACAGTACCAACTGATTTTAGGACTGGGGAAGGGATTATAAAAGACAGGCCCGGACATCTTGTCTCAGAAAGGAAGAAAGTGCCCAACACACACACATGCACATCCACACGCACACACACTTTGATGCGGGTACTTCAAAGGAGCACACCGGCCCCCTGAAATGAGCTCATAATGGCCAAACCAAGAAATATTTGAGCAAAACCAAAAAAAAACAATTCAATAGTATTAAATTATAGCCCAAAGTATAAAATAAATATCCATGAGCACATACAGATACAGATAGACATATAGGTAGGTAGATAGATAGATAGATAGATAGATAGATAGATAGATGATAGATAGATAGAACAAATCTCCCAATGTAGAAATATTCCAAGTGATTTACATAGACATTCTGAATTCTGCCCTCACAATGGAAAACTGTAACTCTGCATTCTCCGCAGGTGTGGACTGTGTGCATAGGCACTTCTTATAAAGCCTACAATATGGAAAGGGGAATAAAGAGTACCTTTCCTGTGGAGAAACATGACAAACACTACCTCAGTTAAGTGACCTTGGTCAATACCACTGGCTACACATCATGTTGATAGCATGCACTCTTGAGAGGATAAGATGGAATGGGCACTTATCTCTGGGCCTTCCTCCCAGTACCCTATAATACCAGTCTTCTTAAAACAAAAATATTAGAGAAGTTTTAACAGAACACCTTGTAAAATATCTCACCAAGGCTCCTCAAAAATATCAAGGTTCTTAAAAACAAAACAAAACAAAAATTGAGAAACTGACAAAGCCAAGAGGAGCCTGGGAAGATATGGCAACAAATTACAATGAGGTAACCTAGATGGGATCCTGGCACAGAAAAAGGACATCCTTTAAAAACTAAGGACACTTCTATAAGGTGTAGGCTTTAGTTAATTAGTTAACAATAATGTACCATCATTTGTTCATTAATTAAAACAAACGTGTCATAGTAACATAAGATGTTAATAATAGAGAAAACTGAGTGTAGGATGTAGGGGAACTCTGTACTATCTATAATTTTTTTCTTTTATTTATTATACTTTAAGTTTTAGGGTACATGTGAACAACATGCAGTTCTGTTACATATGTATACATGTGCCATGTTGGTGTGCTGCACCCATTAACTCGTCATTTAACGTTAGGTATATCTCCTAATGCTATCCCTCCCCCCTCACCCCACCCCACAGCAGGACGTCCCAGTTTTTTTCTGTAACTCCAAAACAGTTCTAAAATTCTGTGTATTAAAAATTTAATCTGTTCTATGGTTTCAGTTTGAGATAAAAATATAGTTATGTATATCACCCTGGTGAACTCTGGATGCTGGGATTTCAATTTTTAAATCTCTTCTGTATATCTTTCCTGTAGTTTACATTTTTTATAGTTTTCAAATTTGCCTTACAATGAGATGTATTAATTTCATTATTATATAAAGCAGTAAACATGTTTTAAAAATTCTTAGGTCCTTAGAAAATGCCAATTATTTGCTCTAAATTTTAATAATAATGTATTTACAATACAGTATTTTGCAATATGCTTCAAGAAAAATATATTTTTGTTATGCCACTTTTGTTTAGGTTTTAAACCATAAGTTCATCATTATTATCTTAAGCATTTTATTGGCTCTAGGAATTCTTATTTTATTACCAATCACATTAAGCGATGTGTCCAGGAATCAATGTTGTCTCAAATGCAGAAGTATAGTCTTCATCTAAGGTAAGCCTGGCATGAGCATCTATGGTAGGATCTCTTTAATGACCACAGTGTTATACTTGACACGTGCCCAATTCTGTCCCCCTAGTTTCTAATTGCACATGAAGTGGTTTATCATGAATGAAACATCCTTAAATTTAAATTTAATGGGAATATAAAATCTGATAAAAGCTAAATGTTGGGACACACGGAGGATAGTTTATGAACAACTATTTAAGTACTGTGGAAAAATACTGTTATTATAGTTAAGAGTATTTGATGTTCTTAAGATCTTGCATGTATTTCTAGTCAAAATTTGTTTTCATTTTTGTCATACTTATTAATCTGAATGGTTTAGTGCCTGGCACACTAAAGATTCATTAAATCATTGTTGGATAAATTGGTAGATATAAAAACATAATCACGGCTCAAATATGAATTATATGTGAGACTTTTATGCTATAGAGTAATCAGTAGAAAACATATCTTATTAGTTAGTGTAAATATTCAATTTTAAGCAAAATTAAATGTTGATCCTTAAAACATAATTTATTACAATTATAATACTTCATGAAGAAACTGCCAATCAGCTCATATGGAAGTTTTTATGTATTTTATATATTCCTTAGGCATAAAATCCATTTTTCCAATTTCATGTAAATGTGCTTTGATTTTTTCTGTATATCTAATTTAAAGGAAATAATTAACACATTAAATACCAACTTACATCTTCTGTGGAAAATGAGACTTTGCTTCTTGATAATTGTACCTATCTCAAAGTTTATTCTGAGGCTATCTGTTGAGCCCCATCTGAGAAAAAATAAATAGAAGCACAACACAAATGAGTATTTTAGGGTATTAATACTATTAATCTACATATTTCATAAGATACCATCAGATCTTATACTTCCTCATGTAAATTATCCAAAATGTGATTATTCTGAATCTCCTTTTGTTGCTTTTGTTAAAGACATTTAATTAACGTTAACTTTCATTACATTTACTTATTTTTTCTTTTTATAGTTATAAACAAGGTTCTTAAAATTAAGATATATCATACTCTTATGGTGATATTTTTATACTTTCATATGCAATTTTGAGCTGGGCACTCAATGCAGTTTTTGGTTGGTTTCTCAGTAAAATAAAATATTATAGTAACAATTATTTACTTCCCCTCCAGCAGTGTTTTAAGTGTTCTTCCATTAGTAAATTGGTGTAAGAGAAAAATTTCCACATAATAACAAAATAATTTTATTGTAAATTCAATTTATCACGGCTCAATGTCTATATAATAAGTTTGTTTTCTTAGTATAGGGTATATTTTGAAGCAATATTATTATAGCATTTATAAATGTTACCTGGACATAAGGCTCATTTTCCACATAGTGTATTATAATTTAAAGCAGTAAGTTTATTAATTTTTTAATCTGATCATCTTTAAAATGATATTAAAATACAACAGTTAAGACTGCACTTGTACCCCTTAAATTTATACAAATAAAATATAGGACAGTGGTTAGATAATTTGTGTTTTTTTCTTTCTTTCTTTTTTTTTTTTTTGAGATGAAGTCTTGCTCTGTCACCCAGGCTGGAGTGCAGTGATACAATCTTGGATTTTGGCTCGCTGCATCCTCTGCCTCTTGGGTTTAAGCGATTCTCCTGCCTCAGCCTCCCAAGTAGCTGGGATTACAGGCACCTGCCACCACACACGGCTAATCTTTTTTTTTTTGTATTTTTAGTAGAGATGGGGTTTCACGATGTTGGCCAGGCTGGCTTTGAACTCCTGACGTCAAGTGATCTACCTGCCTCGGCCTCCCAAAGTTCTAGAATTACCGGCGTAAGTGCCTGGCGGTGATTAGATAACTAATGGCTAAAGTTAAGTGAAGAAGATGTATATAAGCAATGAAAAATGAGCAACCTTCAAATATGGAATCTAATGATAGAAATAATGGTTATTTAAATAACTACAAGGGTAATAAAAGACATGATGGTTATTTTGGTTTTTTTATTTGCAAATGCCAGGATCTATAGGCTTCTGGATGATGTGATCCAGACAAGCATTTTCCTTTCTTATTTGATCCCTTAAATGTGACACTGATTACACAACGGATGTATTATATGACCTCCAAAATCATACATTTAGGGTTTTTTTCTCCTCCTGTGATACAACACTTTATTAATAGGGTTATGTAAGGAGAGTTCCTCTGATCTTTAAACAGCTAAAACATGTGAGTTAATTGAAGATTACTTTCAGAAATAGACCCAACTGGGATGTTCATTCTAAAATTTCTGAGGAAAGAGTGTAAGACAAGCTGCTGAGACTTAGTTGTTTCTCTGCTCCACAGAGTGCCAACATCCAGGAAATGGGGTAGTGATATGGTTTGGATATTTGTCCCTTCCTAATCTCATGTTGAAATGTGATCCCCAGTGTTGGAAGTGGGACTGGTGGGAGGTGTCTGGGTCATGGGGGGAAATCCCTCATGACTGGCTTGGTGCCCTCCTCACAGTGATGAGTGAGTTCTCACTCGCAGTTCATGTGAGGGGTGGTTGTGTAAAATAGCCCAGCATCACTTCCTCTCTTGAGCTTCCTCTCTAGCCATGTGACACACCTGTTCCCCCTTAGCCTTCCACTATAATTGGAAGCTTCCCAAGTCCTCACTAGAAGCTGAGCAGATGCTGTGCCCTGCTTGTACAGCCCACAAAGCCATGAGCCAAATAAACCTCTTTTCTTTATAAATTACCCAGTCTCAGGTATTCCTTTATAACAAGCAAAACGGACTAACATAGGTAGCAAATCAAGAATCATTCAACCATCATACATTTACCATCACAGTGATTCAGCAGCTGAACTTCAAACAGGGAAGACAGATACTAATAATCTGTAATAGTCCTCTATTCAAGGAGTTTTATGTAAGGCAAGTGGACACAGATATGCAAATAAGTGCATTTTCCCCCTGTGTTTTGCACATATCCACCCAGTGCAATTCCAGAAGTGAAAGTCATGGATGAGTCCTTTTTAACCTCTCATATTCTTCACCCAAACTCATATCCAATTCACTGATGCAAACTAAAATGATTTTTCGATTTCATTAAAAAAAACTCATCTACTAAAAAATACACTGATATTTCTTTGATCTTCTCATCACAATCATATCATTAATCATCACTAAGTACTTGATATTTCTCTTAATCCATTCACTTTTGCAACCATTCCTTAACTTGAGCTACTACCATCATCTCTAGTCAAATTTAAGGCCATGGCATCTGAACATGTCCTCATTTGTATGCCATTGCATCCTATCCCTGGCCAGGTGATCACTGATTCTCTACAATGCAACTGAATAATTAATATCTAATCGTATGTGCAAAATTACAAATCTTAAGTACACAGTGCAACAAATTTTTACCAAATAAACACATTCTATAGGTTTGTCAACCATGTTAAAATCCTCTATACTCACACTGATTGTTTTGTCCATTGCATCATTTGAGGTTTACTAAAATCCCCAAGTGTGCTACAGACTTATCTGTTTCTTCTTTTGTACTGTTAGATGTTACTTAATAGAGTTTTGAGGTGGTGTTATTATATGCATTAGAAATGAGGAAAATACAGGTCTTCTTGTTATACTGACTTTTGTCATTATGTAATGTCCCTCTGTCTTCAGTAATATTTGTAATCAAATTGCATTTTGTATGATATTAGCATAGTTTCGATTAATTAATTTTTAAGGTACATCTTATTTTATTCTATTATTTCAAACTTACCATGTCCTTTATTTATGATATGTCTCTGGGAAGCAGAATACAAGGCTTTCTTTGAGGTGTATGTGTCCTATTTTAATTGTATTTTTATCTATCTTGACATTATTGTATTTTAGTTGAGCATTTAGTCCAATAAGACTCAATACAATTACTAACATATTTGGCTTAAATTTAAAGTCTTAATAGTTTTCCATTTGTACCGTTTTTCTCCTTTTTCTTTTTTCTCCTTACTTGCCTATTATTGGGTTGAGAAAGTATATACTTTCTTCTGTTATTATTATTATATTTTCCCATCTGTTGGCTTTTTAGGTATGCATTGCTTTTAAACTCTTAGTGTTCAACCCAGAGCTTACATGTTATATTGTTATTTTTGTTTTAATGAGTCACTCTAACAAATTTAAAAGAGCAGAAATCATACAAAGTATGTTCTAAGACAACAAAATATGAAAATTAAATACAATAACATTAAGATAATTGGAAAATCCACCAAATATTTGGAAATTAAGCTAAAGACTTCTAAATAACACATAATCTAAGGAAATCTAAAGATATATTTAAAACACTACTATGAGCATAATAAAAATTAAAATAAAACATTAGAGTACATGGGAGGCAGCAAAAGCAGTGCTCAGAGAGAAATTTGAACATTTCTATTTAAAGATGATCTAAAATATAAAACCTTAGCTTCCACCTTAGAAAATTAGAGGAAAAAAGAACATATCAAGCCCAACTCAAGCAAAAAGACAAATCTTATTAAAGGTTTGCACACAAAATATTAAAAAAACTCTAAAAACTGAGCAATACAAAAACAATCCAATTAAAAATGGGCAAAAATTTTGTAAAGGCCCCTCACCCAAGAATACAGATGACGACTAAGCAGGACAAAAGATGTGCAACATTGTTTGTCATTCTGAAAATGCAAATTAAAAACAAGATACCACTCACACTTATGAGAATGTTTAAAATCCTTCAAATCTGATGTTGTTGAGAAATATGCAGAGCAACAGGAGCTCTCATTTATTATTAATAGGAATTCAAAGTGATGCACTAACTTTGGAAGACATTTTGGCAGTTTCTTACAAAGCTAAATATAATCTTATGCAATCAGGCCATTGCATTCCAGGTATCTACTCAAGTTATTTTAAAACTAATGCCCACAAAAATACTGGCATGTGAGTATTTATAGAAGCTTTATTCATAATAAAGCTGGAAGCAACTGAGATGCTCTTCAAGAGATGAATAAATAAACAAATTGTGGTGTTCCATAATAGAATATCATTCAGCATTGAAAAGAAATAAGCTATTAAGCCATGCAAAAACATGAGTTATATATGCTACATGAAACAAACCACTCTGAAAAGACTAGGTACTGTATTATTTCATTTATTTGAAATTCTGGAAAAGGTGAACAGATCAGTGACTCCTAGGGTTTATGGAAGAGGGTGTTTGAATAGGCGAGGCACGGAGAATTTTTTTTAACGTGGTGATCTATTCTGTATGATACTATAATGGTGAATGCATGTCATTGTGCATTTTTCAATTCCCATATAATTTACAGCACTAGAGCAAATCTTAATATATGTAAAATTAAAAAAAATAAGAGGTAATGGGATCCTAGAATGAAATGCAGAATGTGATAAAAGGATCTAACTGTATTACAAATATATGAAACAACCTCAATAAAAGAAATGTGGGAGAGTGTGCTGACCTAAGTGACTCTGCAAATAAATGAAGCCTGTAAGATTAAAGGTACAAGGAAATGTACTGAGGCATTGTATTGTACTGTAGCTGATAAACTTGTTTTCCGTGGGGTTAACAATTCTAAAACCACTACACATGTACAGCGGATTTGAATGATTATGTAATGGTTGGGTGTGGTGGGAGCCAGGTCTCTCACTTCTGGAGTGAGAGGCTACTGACTGGCAAGGGAGAAAAAGTCAGTGTGAACTCATCTCTACTTTGATATAAACACAGATTTACACATAACTAATATTCACAGATAAGTTTACACACACAGGCAGCATACGGCTACTTGTTGAAATGACTGATTCTAATACTGCATCAGGAAATACGTAAAATGAATCTGTAGTATTTTGAGGTTCCAGAAAGTAAGAAAGTACAGAACACACACACACACACACACACACACACACACACTTACTGTGCTACGCCAATGAGCATAGGGGCCAACTGAGCTTCCACATGGCCAAAGCTGAAACTATTTGAACAAAAATAAGTAACACAATTTCAGATTATTACCCATAGTATAAAATATATGTGTTGGGTTGAAACCCAATATATAAAATAAATGCCTGTGTGTGTGTGTGTGTGTGTGTATATATATATATATATGCATTTATATAATTAATTAGTTAATGAATGAAGAAGACCAGATGTATCTGTCAAGTAGAATTCAATGTATTTAGATACTCTGCCCTCAAAGTGGTGGACCCTAGGTCCCTCTTCATTAAGTATGGGCTGCACATAGTTATTTGATTAGAATGTATACAGCATGGAAAGGGGAACTTTATAGTGATTTTACAGTCAGAAACCTAAAAAACCCTCCCTTGGTAATCAAAGTCAATATGAACAGTGACAATTCATTTTGTTTGTTCCCTGACATGATGTAATTAGAATGACCCCTTACCTCTGTGATCATTCTCCCTAAGACCCACAGCCGCTGTCTGACTGTGTGAAACAGACAAATGCCAATGAAGGGATAGTCTAGAAAATATGTCACCTATACTCAAGACTGTTCAAAGTCATTAAAAACAAGGAAAACCTGAAAAACTAAGGAGCCTGAGGAGTACCCTAAAGAAACATGTTGACTAAGTTTAAGACAATATTTTACATGGAATCATGTATTAGAAAATAATATTGGGGGGCTGGGTGCAGTGGCTCACGCCTGTAATCTCAGCACTTTGGGAGGCCGAGGTGGGTGGATCACGAGGTTAGGAGATCAAGACCATCCTGGCTAACACGGTGAAACCTCGTCTCTACTAAAAATACAAAAATTAGCCGTGCGTGGTGGTGAGCGCCTGTAATACCAGCTACCCGGGAGGCTGAGGCTGAAGAATTGCTTCAGCAGGCGGAGCAATGCTGAACCCGGCATTCGGAGGCTTGAACCCGGCAGGTAGAGGTTGCAGTGAGATGAGATTTCACCACTGCACTCCAGCCTGGGTGACAGAGCAAGACAAAAAAAAAAAAAAAGGAAAATAATATTAGGGGAAAACTTAGAAAATCTGAATAAAACATGAGCTATAGTTAGTAGTAATGTATTAATATTCATTAATTTGTGACAAATTAATCATAACAATATATTATGCTAATAATAGGGTAAACTGTGTGTGGGCTGTATGGTACTTTCTATACTATATTAGAAACTTTTTGATAAATCAAACTATTCTAAAATAATGTTTATGAAAACAAAATAAATTTCAGTCAATAGAAATAAGCACCTTAAAATAGAGTAGATAATGTAATAGTGGCTTCATGTTGAGATGAGGAATGAGCCGTATGTTTCTTAGTGAAAATAATTTTACATGTTAAAGTATTTATATTATGGGAATGACTGATATGTGTTGTGTGTTTAGATAACTGAATTTATGATATACTCTGGAGTTTTCTTTTTCTTCTATTAATTTTTTGTATGTACACTATACCAATAAAATCAAGAGGTTCTTTTTTTAACATTTCCAAAGTAAAATAAAATGCTAAAGAATTGTCTTTCATATGTTGTCAATGGGCAATATGGCATTCTTCCTTTTGTTTTGCAGGAAAGGAATACATAAGAGAGAAGTGCCCACCAGTGTAAGACTCTGCTCTAATTTCAGTTCTGTATTTATTGTCTTGAAATAAGTTAATGCAAATACGCAAATAAAAACACAGCAATGAATTCAAAGGCATCACTAAAACCAATGATAAAAAAGAAATATAAATGATATTATAAGACATTAGATTAAATGGAATCATTAATAATATTTAATTAAAATTAGAGAAGGCAAAATAAAGATGGAGGTGGGGTGGGGTTAGGGGTGGGGAAGGGAAACAAAGTATAAATGCAATGAATAGGAAACAGTTATAAAGATATTAGATATTAATACAAAATGCTAATATCACTTTAAATGTGAATGGTCTAAATTGACCAATTAAAAGACAGAGAATGTCAGAGAGGATAAATAGGACCCAACTCTATGTTGTCTATTAAAATAAAGAAGTAAGGAAGTAGAGAATGTCTCAAAAAAGGAAAACACCCAAAAGACAAAATCCAAGGTGGCAAAGAAGAAAATGGCTGAAAAAAAATACCTTGGATTTAGCTATTAAGAATTCACGTGTGATCTCTGTATTAATCATGTTTGTAGACTCTTAAGAGGAGAAGTTGAGTTGTACTGGATTGAGGGGATTGAGGAGTATAAGACTACTAAGTGGAGTCAGTGAATACATTCTTCTTCGGAATTTTTTGAGGGAAAAATGAAAGATCAGACAGCAGTTTGAAGAGGAGTCCTGGTGAAAAAGTTTCTTCCATTTATTTTGACTCTTTCCTTCCTTCCTTCCTTCCTTCCTTCCTTTCTTCCTTCTTTCCTTCCTCCCTCCCTCCCTCCCTCCCCACTCTCCCTTTCTTTCTTTCTTTATTTGTTTTCCTTCTTTCTTTCTTTCCTTCTTTCTGTCTTTTTCTTTCTTTCTTTCTTTCTTTCTTTCCTTCTTTCCTTCTTTCTTTCCTTCTTTCTGTCTGTCTTTTTCTTTCTTTCTTTATTTCCTTCTTTCTTTCTTTCCTTCTTTATGTCTTCTTTCTTTCTTTCTTTCTTTCTTTCTTTCTTTCTTTCTTTCTTTCTTTCTTTCTGTTTTTCTTTCCTTCCTTCCTTCCTTCCTTCCTTCCTTCCTTCCTTCTTTCCTTCCTTCCTTCCTTCCTTTGTTCTTTCTTTCTTTTTTGAAATGGAGTCTCACTCTGTTGCCTGAGCTGGAGTGCAATGGTGCAATCTCATCTCACTGCAACCTCTGCCTCCCAGGCTTAGGTGATTCTCCTGCCTCAGCCTCCCAAGAAGATGGTATTACAGGTACCCGCCACCACACCCAGCTAATTTTTGTATTTTTAGTCTCGAACTCCTGACCTCAGGTGATCCAACCACCTCAACCTTCCAAAGTGCTGGGATTACAGGCGTGAGCCACTGCAACTGGCCTATTTTGAACTTTCTGGTGTGGGAAATGATGCATGAATGTGATGTATGTGGAAGAAATCAGTATTATGTAAGATTCAGAATTCAAGATGTACAATGACAGATGAAATAAGGTGATGGCACAAGGAAGGTTCTGAGAGTATGTAGATATATTTATGCAAATTATATAAGAAAACTGAGGGAATTCATTTCTTGACATGTCATTTTCTCAACAAATTATGAGATGTATACATGTTCTCACTCGTAAGTGAGAGCTAAGCTATGCATACACAAAAGCATATAGAGTGGTATAATGGACACTTGAGACTCGGAAGTGGAGAGGCTGGAAGGGGGTGAAGAGTGAAAAACTACCTATTGGATAGTAAATGTACACTATTTGGGTGGTGAGTGCACTAAAAGCCCACACTCCACTACTATATCATTCATCCATGTAACAAAATGTCATTGTACCCCTAAAATTATTGAAATTAATTTTGTAAGTACATGATGTCTCATTAGATTTCAAAAGAAGAAGAAGCTTGAAATGGAAGTTTGGGTCTGTTGTAATAAAACAGAATATATACTTTGAAGTGGCTGTCATGTCTCAGTGTTTATGGGAGCCTAAAAAAGTCAAACTCAGAAGTAGTAAGTAGCATGGTGACTACCAGAAGCTGGGGTGAAGGTGGTGGGCGGGGAAAGAGGAAATGTTGGTTAAAAGTTTCAAAGTTTCAGTTAGACAGGAGGAATCATCTCTTGCACAGCAGAGTAATTATAGGTAATGGCGTATAATTTCTAAATGCTAAAACAGTGGATTTTAAATGTTCTTGCCACAAATAAATAAGTATGTGAGGTGGTGGATATGTTAATTAGCCTTATTTGATCATTCCACAGTGTATACATGTATCAAAACATCACGTTGTATCCCATAAATAGATACAATTAGTATTTGTCAATTAAAAATGAAAAAAGAAGACAATGGTAATTGTGCTCAATGGTTTCATACTCTAGAGGGGAGTGGGATGTAAGACAGTATAGAAACCAACATTGTATAAGGCAGAATATTTAAAAATAATACATCATATTAAAACCAGCTAAGACTTTCGGAGTAAAAGATTATGACGGCTGTTTACAAAGACCACAGCAGGGAGTTCCAGGTAGTTTCTGTCTAAGTAAGCTTTAACCACTTAGAAACTGGGAGTGTGAAAAGGGTCTTTCTGCAGGCTGACTTTTTATTGGATACATTCTAGA
Organism: Homo sapiens; assembly: GCF_000001405.40. Lineage (NCBI taxonomy): Eukaryota > Metazoa > Chordata > Mammalia > Primates > Hominidae > Homo > Homo sapiens. The sequence goes on from NC_000008.11 coordinate 49,192,610, forward strand.
TCCTCGAGTTGTAAAGTCCAAGGGTTATTTCCTGAATTCTTGCTCTAAATTTGCAGCATTCATTTCTTAGTGTTTATTTTACATTCAGATGACAGCCACATTTGCCAGAATCAAGACACTTCTATGACTTTTATTCAATTACAGCATATAGATACATAATATGTTCTTTTATATTGCAAACAAACATATTTTTCCATCCTTGATGAATCTTTCGATCTACTTTTGTAGCCTTGCTGCTTTCTGATTGAAAAGTCAAATTTTAACATGTTTAAAATGTGTTTCTAGGATGTGTTAATCATATGATGGCATGGTGATTAATTGAGAGATGTCCATGTTGTAACAAGTTTTTCCAATCTTCAGTTGTTATTCTTTTAGTAATTAATGAGTCTATAAAGAGAGGACTTGCTAAAGGTAAAGCTTGGATCGTTAAGGTGACATTTTGTTAAGGTTAAAGCAAATTATATAATCCTCTGAAGGAGCGCTTCTGGTTTTCCCAGCTCTGGCCAGGACAGCCTATCTGTGCAGGAGGCATTGCTGGCACCCCGTGGGGACTGAGGACCAAGGAGGAGCTGCTCCCCCACACACGGTTCGTACTTCTGCTCTGTGAAGAGAGACAACTGTGCCCTGTCACCTTCACTGAACTATGAGGTGTGTCCTGATGCTGTGCATGACATCTTGGGTTTGCAGAACTGTTCACTCTCTCCCTGGATTTAAAATGAGTTCAAATTATAAGACCTTCATTTTATTGGTAATATATTAAAATTTGGGGGAAAGAACTAGTTTTAAAACTTTCTATTAAGCCTAAAGTAGTGGCAAATTTCATAATTAGATTGCACAATATTGGATAGCTTAAAAATTTCAAAATTGCCAATTTGTTACTTGTCTGTATTTGATGTATACTGTAAAATACAAAATGCACTTTATGTTTTCCATCGTGCAACAGTGAAACACTGGAGATTCATTCAATCATATAACGGGTATTTATTGAATGTCCATGATACGTCAGGCAACTTGGATTGCTAAGATAAATAAGATGTTTAAGTAGTGTCATTTAGTGTTACAGATATGATGACAGAAGTATGTGCTGTATATATTAATGCTTCTGAAGCAAAGTGTGGGCAGGCAGATTACTTTATAAAAAGAAATAAAAGTCATCTCAATTAGAAGGAAAGAAGTAAAACTAGCTCTATTTGCACTTGAAATTATCTTTCACATATAAGATCCTAAAGCAACCAGAAAGAAGCCATTAGAATGAAGAGCTGGTAAGTTTAGCAAGGGTTTGGTATACTCAGTCAATATACAAAAATCAATCTGCCTTTATGCACTAGCAATGAAACAATCCAAAATTTAAATGAAAACAATTCCATTTACAACAATAGCATCCAAAATGAAATGCTTAAGAACACATTTAGCAAAAGAAGTGCAAGACTTCTACACTGAAAACTAAAAAACATCGTTATGTGTGAAGGGGAGGGAAGAAAGGAGGCTAGAGGATAACTTAAGAATTAAGGGCATCTTATTTTGGGTTGATAATGTTGAGGATGCTTATGACTGAAAGGGAGTTATTCATTCTTCAGTGATTTCTTAATTTGAAATATGGAACCAATGTTTCTGCATAACATAAACATACAAATGAATTAAAGTGAAAATTCTAAGGTTCCCATTATTGCTATGCTTATGTTTATGAGAGAATTTTAAGATTTTATCAAGTTCCCAAAGTACTCGAAAAAGAAAAAAAAATCATGGTGGGTATTATATAGCTTAAACATTCCAGTTTGCCCAGTCTTGATAAAAATCACTTAAAAAAACAGAAAAAAATTGAATTTTTTTAGGTTTGATTTGGTTGTTGTCATTTCAAAATCAAGGTTCCCAATCAGCTTTCTGATTGCTATCTGATAAAGGTAATTAAAAATAGATACATACAGCACATTAGAGCATTACTGCTTATGAAAGGATTCCAAATAAAGTGTTCAAATACAGGGGTTATCTTAGTCTAGAGATGTTAATATTTTATAATATCAAGCTCCATGGTACATATAATTCACTTTATAAGCTATTAAAAAGATATAACACTTTATATGTTTTATAAATGATTTTCCCCAAGCCCAGATCACTTACAGTAATAAATACATAAATACACAAACATGTGTATATATATATATACACACACACACACATACACACACACGCACACATACATAGTAAAAAGCTTTCTGATTTTCCCTAGGATTAATACTTTCTGAAGAGCCAAATTTCTCAAAAGGCACAAGAATTTACCACTTCAAGCTCAAAAACCTAAAAATAAAATTAGCAAACAAATCACCATGCTTTATTTTGTGGTAAATTTTTCAAAAATGTATTTCATATCATTCAGACTTCTTAAACCAAAGAAAAGTTTAAAATATTTTGTCATTATAAACATTATTATGTTTTGATTTTAAACATTGAAAAATTTCAAATATTATTAGAATTAAGTGACAAAAAGTCCACATAGGACCAGACCAAGCTCTTGTAGCCCTTTTTAATAAAGCATATGATTTCGATTTTTCTTATTTTTTCATACTTTCTTATTTCTCAGTCTATTTCTAAGAGGTAAGCTGGCTGTAGGGGTGAGGGGCGAGTGTATGCACTGTATAGCTAGCAGGCATTGCAAAAACCTGGCATAATTTCTGGACAATGAGAGTGTCATGCCTTTGCGATGTGCAGCGTAAGTAGAGCGGATGCCTATGACGGCCCTTCCCATGGCCTGGGCATCAGAACTGCTTCAGAGTCCAAGGAGGGGTCCTAGGTCACCCGTTATTGTGTGTGGAGGATTGTCCTCAAAAACACTTTTTTCTCCCTTTTAAATAAAATTGATATCTTAGAATTGTTACTATATAGGGAGACACAACTATACCAAATAGTTGTCATCTGCTTTTTGACTATGTGAGCATTGAATAAGTATAAAAACATTTCAGAATAAAAGCAAATGTAAAACAGCCTGGGGAATACCTTAAATTTGGAATGAAAACCCGGCAGCTATTTGCAGGCGTATCAATATGGAAGATAACTTGAAATTAAATTGTTCTCAACAAATAACACAGAGCTTTAGGTGCAATTGACTCTTAAACGTATTTGAATGAACTTGGAGATCATATGCTATATCAAGGGGCAACTCTAAGATAATCAATAGAAGTTTTAAAAGATGGAGATTTTTGTTCAACAAAAGAAGAAAATTCTAATGATGAAAGTTTTCATTGTAATAGACCCCTCGGGAGCTGGGCACTGTTCTAATGGTCTTGCAGCATTAATTTGATCTCAATCCCCATGGGCAAGACCTCAGTACATGTCTATATCAAAGCGATAGCTAGAGGAAGAAGAAGGGGAAATAAGGTAGGGAGAGAATGGGCAGAGGAACAGGAGAAATACCTTCAGGAATGGTGAAACTGAGTCACAGAAAGGTTAAAGCAATCACATGGGTGGAAAGTCATAGGGTCAGGGTTTGAACCTAGGAAGGCTGAATCCAAAGCCCACAATCTCAACCTATAAGCTATGATGCCACCCAACTACGAGTTTATACTGAATATTCTAAAACAAACTCTCACGTTGTAAACCCAGGTATGGGAAATATTTACCAAAACTGGCCCAATTTTCAAAAATAAACAAGTTTTTTCTCCTGCAGCTTACAGTTCACAGGACGTGGCCTCCTTTATGCATAGCCCAGGAGGTGCACTGGGGTTAGGATCAGCATGCCCTGGGCAGTTCCATGTGATCACAGTGCTGCCTTGCTTTCTGGCAGCCTCCTTCTGGCTCTGCTTTGGGTTTGTAATCAGGAGGGGCTACATTAAACCATATAAAAATAAAGCCTACAGCTGTTATGCTCATGGGTGATGACTGGTAATGAGACCTAGAAAACCCTCTAGCAAGGCTGCCTTCCATATAGTGGGAAATAATTTTTTTATATAAAGCACTTAGCCTAAAGTGTCTCTGTGTGTGTGTGTTTCACATCCATTTGTTCATGCACCCATTATTTCTTTTGCTTTCCAAATAAGGACATTTGCATATGTGACCCCCTTTTTCTTGGAAGGCTCTTCTTCAACATTTCTCCTTTTCTTTAGTTTTCTTCTTAAGCGGCACCTAGAGTGAGAGGCCTTCCCTCTCTATCATTCTCTCACACTTTTTCTTGTTTGTTTCTTTATTGAGTTGATTTTTTTTTTTAGGCTTCTGTTTGCTTCTTTTCATCTCTCTCCCCATAAGAATGGAAGTTCCAGGAGGCTAGGGTCCACTCTGTCTTGTTTCCATTGTATGCCCAGCACCTGACTCACAGTCTGGTACACTGTACAGCAGGGGTCCCCAGCCCCCATGCAGTGGATGGGTGCCAGTCTGCAGCCTTGTTAAGAAAGGAGCTACACAGCAGGAGGTACTGCCTGAGCTCCACCTCCTGTCAGATCAGCGGGGGCATTAGATTCTCCTAGGAGTGCAAACGCTGCAGTGAACTGTGCATGTGAGGGATGTAGGCTGAGCACTCCTTATGAGAATCGAACTAATGCCTGATGATCTGAGGTGGAACAGTTTCATCCAGGAACCAACCCCCACCACATCGGTCAAAAAACTGTCTTCCATGCAACTAGTCCCTGGAGCCAAAAAGACTGGGGACTGCTGCTGCAGAGGATAAATACATGCTTGTAAATGGATTTAAAAAGTTTATTGGATACTGCTACACATCAATTGGCAAAGAAAGAAATTAAAAGGATGGTTCCTTCTCTGTGAAAACTTACAGTGTAATTCTAAGTCAATTTACAATGCCATATGACAGTGATGTGTGATATGTACCGGAAACAAAATGGACAATGTTTGACAAACATTATATTTATCTGGGGGAGTCAGAGAAAATAACCTGAGTGATGCCCCACTTCGGAGGATGCTTCTTTGAGTAATCTCTGAGGCATTTTCCATGGCCAAAATGTAAAGCACTGATAGAGAGAAATCATTTCTGCCTGTCTGGAAGACACAAGTGGCTTTGTCTTACTGCATGCCCATGCATCCATGGATCTATTAACAGCTTCTGAGGTGTAGCCAGAGACATAATAACACACAACCCAACAAACAAAAACACATGACAGGGGCTCTATGTATAAATTTATATTCACCAGATTTGCAGAAAGAAAAACTGAGAATTCTCTGCAATTAATATAAAGCCCAGGGCCAAAGACCTGACCATGTTAATGCACATAACTTTGGAAAATAGACGAGGTGTGATAGACTCTTCTAAGAGTTTTAGTAAGTCCCAAATAGGATAAGGCAACAATGAGTACCTCACTGCATACTTTTAGTAGGTTACAGCATGCAGATAGTGATACATTTAACTAAGTAACTATATATAGTTCATACTATGGGCTTAATCATTTTAGAAGAATCTTATTTTAAAATTTTCTGCAATTTGAGCAATGAAGTGCAGGTTGGGTGGTGCAGTTGGATGAGCTGCTCCCTACAAATGGGCTTGGAAAGGTCAGCACCTATCTGGTGGGAAATCATATTTTTCCTGACTATTTGAGACAGTCAGGGTGGGGGCCAGTTGGGCTGTAGAAGATTGTCTCCCTTCAATGTCTGTGAAAGAGCTTCTAAGGAGAGTGAGAAGCCTTTGGCATGCAGCAAAATCTTTACATTGGAGAGAACATAGAGTCATTGGAAATTAAAAGCCACTTCTAGAACACTAGGAACAAGCAAAATAGAACTGCTGAGTTGCAGATTTTTGTTTTTAAGTTGAGGATATCTGAAAATTTTTGAGGTAAGCTAAACACTCTCTGGCCTTCCGACTTCCATCTTCCCACGGCAGCCAATCAGACCTCAGAGTGCCCTGTGAGCTTCTGTAAGCTGCTAAGAAACCACCTAGGAGCTGACCACTTCCTCATCCAAATAAGCCTGCTTGCTCTTTTCATCTTCCTAGATACTTAGCCTATTTTGCTTATTAAACAAATAGAGAATATGATGATACCATGATTCTGATTCCACAAGCCACATGTAAAACCTACTAATCTCAAATTTATACTTGTTAACACTGTGCATGCCCCAGCATTGTGCTAAGGTGTATTTACAAATTCGCTGATCTGGAGGGAATTAAATACACTGAAGTAGGATCTAAGTGCTAATAATATAACTCAGGAGAAGATTTATACTGCACCAAAGAAACAACTGGAGCCCAATGCTGGGTAGGAACTATGTCACAGTCAAAGATGCAAAGAGCAGCTGAACATAAGGAGGGGCTCCGGCTTATAAGCTTCCCTCTCAGGGCTCTGTCCAGGCACTAACCATGAGCAAGATGTGGATCATCCTCCCCTGGGTTTCACACCAGTGTGTGCTGGCACCACCCTATTTTTCATTCTTTATTCTCTTTACTCCCTACATTTATTCCATGAAAAACGGAGACGATTTATTGTTCAATATGTTTTCCTGTGTGATCCTATTGTGAAACTTTTGCCATTGCATGTTTGTTGTGTTTTATGTGTGACATTTCATGCCTTCAAGTGCCCTATGACATAAACAGAAAGAATACATTCAATTTTTTATAAAAGAAATCAGGCTCAGATGGTTCCTCTGGGTTCTGCCCAGTCCACACAGCTTGTAAGTAACCAAGATGGGTGAGGACCCAGAGCTTCTCATGTCCGTTCCAGCCATCCACATGGACCTGCCTCCTACCCTCAACTTGAGTAATTATCTATTTTCTTTAAGACATAAATCAGTTTTCAAAGGGAATGCTTCCAGATTTTGCCCATTGAGTATGATATTGGCTGAGGGTTTGTCATAAATAGCTCTTATTATTTTGAGATACATCTCATCAATACCTAATTTATTGAGAGTTTTTAGCATGAAGGGCTGTTGAATTTTGTTGAAGGCCTTTTCTGCATCTGTTGAGATAATCATGTGGTTTTTGTCTTTGGTTCTATATGATGGATTACGTTTATTGATTTGCATATGTAGAACCAGTCTTGCATCCCAGGGATAAAGCCCACTTGATCATAGTGGATAAGCTTTTTGATGTGCTGCTGGATTTGGTTTGCCAGTATTTTACTGAGGATTTTTGCATTGATATTCATCAGGGATATTGGTCTAAAATTCTCTTTTTTTGTTGTGTCTCTGCCAGGCTTTGGTATCAGGATGATCCTGGCCTCATAAAATGAGTTAGGGAGGATTCCCTCTTTTTCTATTGATTGGAATAGTTTCAGAAGGAATGGTACCAGCTCCTCTTTGAACCTCTGGCAGAATTTGGCTGTGAATCCGTCTGGTCCTGGACTTTTTTTGGTTGGTAGGCTGTTAATGATTGCCTCAATTTCAGAGCCTGTTATTTGTCTATTCAGAGATTCAACTTCTTCCTGGTTTAGTCTTGGGAGGGTGTATGTGTCCAGGAATTTATCCATAGGATGCCCTCTCTCACCACTCCTATTCAACATAGTGTTGGAAGTTCTGGCCAGGGCAGTCAGGCAGGAGAAAGAAATAAAGGGTATTCAATTAGGAAAAGAGGAAGTCAAATTTCCCTGTTTGCAGATGACATGATTGTATATTTAGAAAGCCCCGTAGTCTCAGCCCAAAATCTCCTTAAGCTGATAGTCAACTTCAGCAAAGTCTCAGGATACAAGATCAATGTGCAAAAATCACAAGCATTCCTATACACCAATAATAGACAAACAGAGAGCCAAATCATGAGTGAACTCCCATTCACAATTGCTTCAAAGAGAATAAAATACCTAGGAATCCAACACACAAGGGATGTGAAGGACCTTTTCAAGGAGAATTACAAACCACTGCTCAATGAAATAAAAGAGGACACAAACAAATGGAAGAACATTCCATGCTCATGGATAGGAAGAAGCAATATCGTGAAAATGGTCATACTGCCCAAGGTAATTTATAGATTCAATACCATCCCCATCAAGCTACCAATGACTTTCTTCACAGAATTGGAAAAAAACTACTTTAAAGTTCATATGGAACCAAAAAACAGCCCACATTGCCAAGACAATCCTAAGCCAAAAGAACAAAGCTGGAGGCATCATGCTACCTGACTTCAAATTATACTACACGGCTACAGTAACAAAAACACCATGGTATTGGTACCAAAACAGAGATATAGACCAATGGAATAGAACAGAGCCTTCAGAAATAATACCACACATCTACAACCTTCTGATCTTTGACAAACCTGACAAAAACAAGAATTGGGGAAATGATGCCCTATTTAATAAATGGTGCTGGGAAAACTGGCTACCCATATGTAGAAAGCTGAAATTGGATTCCTTCCTTACACCTTATACAAAAATTAATTCAAGATGGATTAAAGGCTTAAATGTCAGACCTAAAACCATAAAAACTCTAGAAGAAAACCTAGGCAATACCATTCAGGACATAGACATGGGCGAGGACTTCATGTCTAAAACACCAGAAGCAATGACAACAAAAGCCAAAATTGAGAAATGGGATCGAATTAAACGAAAGAGCTTCTGCACAGCAAAAGAAACTAACATCAGAGTGAACAGGTAACCTATAGAATGGGAGTTAATTTTTGCAATCTACCCATCTGACAAAGGGCTAATATCCAGAATCTACAAAGAACTTAAATAAATTTACAAGAAAAAAATCAAACAACCCCATCACAAAGTGGGCAAAGGATATGAATAGACATTTCTCAAAAGAAGACGTTTATGTAGCCAACAGACACATGAAAAAATGCTCATCATCACTGGCCATCAGAGAAATGCAAATCAAAACAACAATGATATACCATCTCACACCAATCAGAATGGCGATCATTACAAAGTCAGGAAACAACAGGCATTGGAAAGGATGTGGAGAAATAGGTACACGTTTACACTGTTGGTGGGACTGTAAACTAGTTCAACCATTGTGGAAGACAATGTGGCGATTCCTCAGGGATCTAGAACTAGAAATACCATTTGACCCAGCCATCCCATTACTGGGTATATACCCAAAGGATTATAAGTCATACTGCTATAAAGACACATGCACACGTATGTTTATTGTGGCACTATTCACAATAGTAAAGACTTGGAACCAACCCAAATGTCCATCAGTGATAGACTGGATTGAGAAAATGTGGCATATATACACCATGGAATACTATGCAGCCATAAAAAATGATGATTTCATGTCCTTTGCAGAGACATGGATGAAGCTGGAAACCATCATTCTGAGCAAACTATCGCAAGGACAGAAAACCAAACACTGCATGTTCTCACTCATAGGTGGGAATTGAACAATGAGAACACTTGGACACAGGGTGGGGAGCACCACACACTGGGGCCTGTCGTGGGGTGGGGGGAGGGGCGAAGGATAGCATTAGGAGATATACCTAATGTAAATGACTAGTTAATGGGTGCAGCACACCAACATGGCACATGTATACATATGTAACAAACCTGCACGTTGTGCACATGTACCCTAGAACTTAAAGTATAATTAAAAAAATAAAAAAGACATAAATCAAATCCCAGCTCCTCTATGAAGACTTTTCTATGGCTTCTGGCTGTGGTTATAAACTCCAATTTGTATCTGTGCTCTAAGCCTTTCCTGCTAAGAGGTCTTGGACAGGTCACTTTTTTGATCTGAGATGCAGTTTGTCATCTGCTATATAGTGTAAATAAGCTGAATCAACACAATCTTAGTATTGAATAGACACCTTGTTATCATAGGCAGATAATCATAAAATGATGGTCATAACATCCATGTCCAAACATGCATTTCCAAAATAGTCATATTCAAGTTTCCAAGATCCAAGTCACAGAGATGGATTTTGTTTTATTTACTTTTTATTTTATTTCTTTTTTTTTTTTTTTTTTTTTGTGAGACGGAGTCTCGCTTTGTCACCCAGGCTGGAGTGCAGTGGCACGATCTCGGCTCACTGAAAGCTCTGCCTCCCGGGTTCACGCCATTCTCCTGCCTCAGCCTCCCGAGTCTGGGACTACAGGCGCCCGCCACCACGCCCGGCTAATTTTTTATATTTTTAGTAGAGACGGTGTTTCACCGTGTTAGTAAGGATGGTGTCGATCTCCGGGCCTCGTGATCCACCCACCTCGGCCTCCCAAAGTGCTGGGATTACAGGCATGAGCCACCACGCCTGGCCTATGGCCTATTTTTTTAAGTGTTAGAAAAAAAAGAAGCTGGAAATAATGTGAAAGTTGGTAGCACAGTTGACCCTTGAACTACACAGGTGTGAATGGCTGGGTCCACTTAAATGCGGCTGAAATGAACACACAGTATTAGTGGGATGTGAAATCTTGGATGTGGAGGGAAGAACTATCTCACCTGCTGGTTCGGCAGCGCCGACGGCGGAACTTGAATATGTACAGAGTTCGGTAACTGCGGGGATCCAAGAACCAATCCCCTGCAGATACTGAAGGATGACTGTAAGTAATTTGTACAAAGTTTTGAAAATGAGATTTATCCTTTTTTGTTTTCTGCCCATGGTCACAGACTTTGGTGGACCTCCACTGATAACAAAATAAACTGTTAATATTTTATGAATGCGTTTAAGATCTTTTGTTATTTGAACCCAAAAGCTATTTTTCTCATTTTCTCTCATTCTGTCTCCAATACACATAATAAATCTTTCACACGACAGTAATCACTTCTATCAAACACCCACACTTTCTCCCATTTCTGCCTTTTAATACTCTATTATCACCCTTGGAATATTTGTGTATAAGCCCATTGACATCTAATCATATATTTCAAAGTTTTGCCCAATTTTTAACCCTAGACCATTCTTTTAGCAAAATTAACTTCAGTCCTTCTGTGCTCTAATAGTGCCTGTCTTCCATCTTGATTAGATCTCCTCTCAATTTAAATAATGAGAGCGTGTTTAAACCAGCAAAATCAAAAATGGAGACTTCATTGTAAAAGTACTGGTGTCTTAGTCAATGCAGCCAGATGGTAGGTAAGGGCTAGAAGCAGGAAGCCACAGGAGTTAAGGCCTCCCGGTGTGCTTCCCCTGTCTCTCCTGCCTACTTTCTGTGTCTGTTTGCAGTGTCCACCATACCGTGGGCATGCAGCAGCTGGCCATGCTGGCACTCCTGTTGTCACATTCTAGTGATCCACTCAAACTTGAGTCTGGACTCTCTTAGTTATAACTTCAAATTCCCAGGGAGAGACCTTTCCTTTGCCAATGGGGTCAAATCTAGTCAGATATTATGTAAATTTCCTATGGACTGAGAGAGGGACAGTTATTGTTGGTAAGGACTGACAAGCTATCCAAAAATTTTCCGGTGGAAATCTCCAAAGGAAATATCATTGACTTTTCTTCATTCAAGAGAGCATCACATGCTATATTCTTTGCAACAGTGATATTCTTATATTTATAGTAAGATTCTTCTAGTTTCTGGAATGCCAGTGCTGAAAAGCAGAATGCTGAGAGAGATTAACTATAAAATAACTTTAAAAACTAGATCTTTTAGTGCTTTTCATTGCTGCCATTATAATTGTTATCTTTATCATTGTCATTATCACCATCCCTAATAGTCATGGATACTTTGCCTTGATCTGGTTTCAGACACACAGCCATTTGTGCCATACAAATAGGAAGAGTGCATTTAATAAATTTAGTTTAATAAATAAGTTTCTGTTAGCTTCAGTAACTAAATAAGAATGAGTAAAGATATATTTTTGATCTGTGTCCCGACCCAGAAGCCTCCCCGGAGGCAGAATAGCTATGCTTCCTGTACAGCCTGCAGAACCCTGAGCCAAGCAATCCTCTTTTCTGTATAAATTACTCAATCTCAGGTATTTCTTTATAGCAATGCAACAATGGCCTAATACAAGTAACTTTTAGAATATTAGAACATGTAGATGTTTTTAAAGGCATAAATGTGATGCTGAGGAAAATAGCTAATCTTTTTTAACTTTGAAGATTCCTTGAGAGAAATTGTTGATGCAAACTTTTTTTTGTATTATTAAGTTTTCTCTGAAATAAAGCATGATTGATATTCTCTCTTCTGAATTCTGAGCCTTTCTTTCTTTTTCTTTCTTTCTTCCTTTCTTCCTTACTTTCTTTATTTCTTTCTCTCTTTCTTTCTTTCTCTTGAGATGGAGCTTTGCTTCTGTCACCCAGGCTGGAGTGCAATGGTACGACTTTGGCTCACTACAACCTCTTCCTCCTGCGTTCAAGCGATTCTCCTGCCTCAGCCTCCGGAGTAGCTGGGATTACAGGCACCTGACACCACTCCCAGCTAATTTTTGTATTTTTAGTAGAGACGGGATTTCCCCATGTTGGCAAGACTGGTCTCGAACTCCTGACCTCAGGTCATCCACCTGCCTCAGCCTCCCAGAGTGCTGGGATTACAGGCGTGAGCCTCTTCTCCTGGTCTGGGCCATTATTACAAAGTGAGATAATTTGGGAGGGCAACCGTGTTCACATCAATGCTTTTCACACCAATGCTTGTTGCACATGGGAATACCTAATTCCTGTCTCAAGTGAATATTTATTTTATCAAACTGTTCCTAAATTATGAATCAGGTGCTTAAGCAGGGACTGAATTATTAACCAGCAGTAATTTCTTTAAGTCACATAGAAGCAAGGCTGAAAGCACTCTTCAAAAAATTATGCAAGCAATTACATTGTTGTCCTAGAGTACGTGGTGTATCTAGGTTCCACAGAAAGCAATGTGACACTTAGGGAAGACATTGTGACATATTTCACAGTGTGTTCGTAACTTTAAATTATAAATATAAAAATTTCTAATTCAAAATAAGAGTTGACCACAGAATTTATATTGGTGACAGAGCAAGAATCTTCCTTAAAAAGGGGCAGCTAAAATTGCTAAGAATCAATCTTGATATCAGCTTCATCATGGGTTGAGAAGAATTAGGCTGTTAATGCTGCTACTTCTACTAATGGTGCCTATGATTTATAAAATTACACCACATTCCATGCTGCATATGAATGCTTTAAATATATTATTTCTAATACTTTTATTAGTCTTGCAAGAGGCTCCATTAATCTTTATTTTACAAAAAGGAAAATGGAGGCTTGGAAAGTCTTAATGATTTAATGATTTGCCCAATGTCATTAGTTAAGTGTGGAGTAGGAGCTGGGAGTCGAACCACACCTCTGTATGTCCTCACCTGTGTGTTCCCAAGGGCAAAGTGACACAACATCATGTATCATTTTTGCATGCAGCCCTCCACCCAGTGACCACAGGTAAATGAGTTGGCTGGGCCTACAGCCCACATTAACTTGGGTTCCACCTCCTCTAGCAGAATTGAATTGGACATCAGCTTGCTCAGTTTGACATGCAATGACTACCCACAGGTGCTAGGAAAAGCTAGCATTTTCAAACATGTGTCCCTGCTATGTACAAATCACCTGAATATGATCCTGTCTTCCACCTAGGCAATGACTGCATGGGTTTTTTCTTATTGAGGTTTGAACAGAACTGAGACTGAAACACAGCGTTCCAAATAAACGGCCTGTCACAGTTTAAGAATAACTGAAGTATTTAGCATTCATGCATTTTCAGAATTGTTAGGGATTAATTATAGTGACATAAAATTTCTGGGAGTTTTATGAGTAAGAAGCAAATTGAAACTTCATTGTTTACTTCCCTTTGTATTTTTCACACACTTTGTCCTTTATGAATCATTATCACAAACTGACTGACATATACATTCATCTTACGTTATTGAGAATTTTGCTAATCTTTTACATACTTTTATAATGTCACTGTTGTAAGAGCATTCTATGTGGAGATTTTGTTTTGAAATTTATCTCTTATTTATTCTGCAGGTGTCTGCTGAACATCTAATTTGTGCCAGGACCATAGTTGAGACTGAGGGGAACAGACACTCTCAGAATCCACTTATGACAGCTCCAAATATCTATGCTCACCTTTGTCTCTTTTCCACTGGTCTCTGTGGAAGATATCTCCTTTCACTTTAAGGCTAATCCTTCCATGAGTAGGTCCTATTGATTTTAACAGTCTTTTTCTCCCCAGTTTGTTCTATTCCCTGCAAGTTCTACTCTTTCCTTTCTCCCATCTGTTCAACCCCTTATTACTACTGCAATTCCCAATGTCCAAGCTACAAAATGTCCCCAGTCTTTCTCATTCTCAAGCCCACATACCCACACGCCGGAATTGTTTCTCTGTAGTTCATTGCTATATGCTCATAGCTTCTCAATAAATATTTACTGAGTTTAATGAATGGATAACATAAGGCAATATAAAGGTAGGTAAATATCTGATTCAGAGGAAATTTTTTTAATTTTTAATTCTATTTTTAGGTCTGGGGTAGATGTGTAGGGTGTGCAAGTTTATTACATAGATATCTGTGGGCCGTGGTGGTTTGCTGCACCTATCCACCCATCACCTAGGTATTAAGCCCTGCACGTATTAGTTGTTTTTCCTAATACTCTCCCTCCCCCCATACCAGCCCCCAACCGGCCCCAGTGTATATTGTTCCCCTCCTTGTGTCCATATGATGTCATTGTTAAGCTCCCACTTATAAGTGAGAATATGTGGTGTTTGGCTTTCTCTTCCTGCATTAGTTTGCTGAGGATAATGGCATCCAGCTCCATCTGTGTCCCTGCAAAGGACATGATCTCATTCCTTTTTATGACTGCATAGTATTCCATGGTATATATGTACCACATTTTCTTTATCCAGTCTATCATTGATGGGCCTTTGGGTTGATTCCATGTCCTTGCTATTGTGAATAGTGCTATAATGAACACATGTGGATGTATTGATTGCTGGGTCAAATGGTATTTCTGGCTCTAGATCTTTGAGGAATCACCATACCATCTTCCGTAATGGTTGAACTAACATACATTCCCACCAACAGTGTAAAGGCATTCTTATTGTTCCACAACCTGGCCAGCATCTGCTGTTTCTTGACTTTCAATGTTGGCCATTCTGACTGGCATGAGATGGTATCTCATTGTGGATTTCATTTGCATTTCTTTAGTGATCAGTGATGTTGAGCTTTCTTTCATATGTTTGTTGGCTGCACAAATGTCTTCTTTTGAGTATCATCAGGGTGATAGGCAACCTACAGATAGGGAGAAAATTTTTGCAATCTATTCATCTGACGAAGGTGTAATATCCAGAATCCACCAGGAATGAAAACAAATTTACAAGAAAAAAAACAAACGACCCTATTAAAAAGTAGGCAAAGGACCTGAACAGAGGAAAATATTTTATAAATTTATGGGCAACATTTTGGTCTAGTCTCTAACAAGTAGCCATTTATTCGATAATTTAAAATATTATTACCTAAAAATGCATTTTCATAAATTTTGTTTAAGGTAGAGTGATCACTTGACCTCTTTGAGGGCAGTCTCTTGTCTAATTTGGTTTTATATCCTTATTTTCTAAGTGGTTTCTTACCATGGAGTAGGCATTCAACAAATATTACTCAAGTAAATTGTATTTGGATTATTCACTTTTAAATATTCTCTTTGATATGACATTATAAGCCCAAATGATGAAAAAGCCTTCAAGTTCGCCCAGGTATTCTGTGACTAGAACTTCTATGTAAATCTAGTTGCTACACCTTTCTTCCGATAAATCATAAGCAAATGTCTTTAAGAGTGAGCTGCTATCTGCACCCAAGAGGCTACCACATCACCACGTAGGTGATCATACAGGAAAGTCGTACTGTAGCAGAGTCTTCTACCGTCATTTGCCTTTATGCCCTTGAGTCTGCTTGGAATGTCAGGGTTTCAGACCTGGCTAGAGGATCCATAGCAACTCCATTCTTTCCTTCATGTCATCAGTGCCTGGACTTTGCTGAGTCTTATTTATAGCAGCCCTGTAGGAGATACAGGCAAACATATATAACCAGTTACCTGAAGTCCATGCCTGCAGAGGACCATTTTCAGGAAGTCCTTGTCAGAAGTTGAGATCTTCTTACAAAACATGAGTATACATGTTTTTCCTAGATAGTGTTTATTATCTCTCATTCAGACTGCTGCTCTGGAAGGCTCTGTCCAGGACCATCCTATATTTGCTTTCTCCTACTATAGGCTAGTTTTCTTTCATTTATGCCCTGAAATATGGGCCAGAATCTTCTCTTTTTTTCTACAGTGCAGAACATGGGAGCTCTTTTACAGAGCAGATACTACTCCAGCGGCTTTACACACGTAGTCGTCATATCTACGCTACAAGGTGGGCATTTGTGTCCACATTTATACCGATAAGTAAATAAGATTATGAAAGTTTAAATTACTAAAAAGTGTTAGAACTGAGATTCATATGCTTTAAATTCTATGTATTTCTATAGCAGTTATTTTTAATTAATGGCATATTTATTGTGTCAGAATAATAATAGCAATTTGGATGAAAAATGAATTAACTCTATCAAACATGTCTACTTTAATTATTGGGTTCTATATCCTTGATTCCTAGGAGAACAGCTGTATAAAAACCAGGGATTTATGAGCTGTTTAGAAAAAAGTAGTGAAAACAATTAGGTATAACACTCATATAACATTTCTTTTAATTCCATTACTTTGCTAAAAATTATGTTAATTATAGAAAAAAGAAGTAATTTTTAAAATTGCTAGTGAATAGAATTTCAAACTAAAGGAAGGGTGAGGTTCTATTTTATATCTCTTAATTGTCAAATAAAATCATGCCTAATTATGTGATGTACTGGGAAAGCTGTTGTACGAGTAGAGTGATTGATGTGTGTTACCAGCTGGCAAAATCACATGCTACAGAATGACAACACTGTATTCTTATGAATATATATAACTCACATATAGAATATGGTAGTATAATTTGTATTATATATATATATATATATACACGCACACACAAATTGTGACCTAGTTATTTTACTCTTGGCTATGCACTTTAAGAAAATAATTCAAAGAATATTAAATTAACACCCAACAAAATGGTGTTTCGGTGTTACAGAAGAAAATAATTATACATATATAAAATGAAGATTAGAGATTTATGATGTTTAAATTCTATGGATTATTAAACAACCATTAAAAAAATAAATCCATGAAGATGCAATTGTCTGGGACCTTAGGAAGCTGACTGCAAGGGGGCTGACTTATGGGAGGCTCTCAGGGTGTGCTCTTGAAAAAAGGCCAAGGAAAGGAAAGTGGGAAGGACAGCTGGGCAGAGGAAGAAGGTGTGCTGTGAAGGTAAGCTCAGTGGAGGCCTCAGCCAGTACCCTGGGAGTTCTGAGAGTAGGAAGACTCTCAAGATCATCCCTAGTTGGGGTGAAAGGGTGGGAATTTACATACCCAGGTTGGTTAGTGGTTGGATGTGACCACACCAGAAGGGGCCTGGGCCTGGCCATGGCTGCCACAACTCTCCTTAGCTGGGCCGTCCCTGTGGAGTGAATGACTGAGGGTGTTCTGCTAGAAGAACTCCAGGCACCTGGGGGAGAAAGTCTTCCATTCCCAAAGGGAGGTCATCACAGCACCTGCTGTGGAAGATTATGGGGCAACATGATAAACATAAGAATTGAAATAGAAAACAAAATAGAAGCTTTCATTAAAGCTATATTGAAACTTGTATTCTTATGCATCAACTGCGAGGCAACACAAAGGAATTGGTGAAGCTGAAACATATTTCTTTGTACTATTTTCATAATTATACTTTAGTGTAACATAGGCTAGTCTGAAGGTTTTATCTATAGTCTTTATTGATTTAAGGAGTTTGCTTTCTGTGTTGCCTCACAGTTGATGCATAAGAACACAAGTTTTGATAAAGCTTTAATGAAAGCATCTATTTTGTTTTCTATTTCATTTCTTGTGTTTTTCATGTTGCCCCATAATCTTCCACTGTAGGTGCTGTGATGAACTCCCTTTGGGAATTCTAATAGATTCCAATAGATTTTTCTTATGATTGGGTATTGAATTTCATCGCATGATTCTGAGATTATTACATGATTTCTCCTCTTTCTTTTATCTGTTTATGAGATGAGCTGTTATTGATTTTCTTATTTTAAATCACCCTTGCTTTAGAGGAAAGAACCTGTTTAGTCAATAGATCGTATCATTTAATATATTGTAGAGATTAATTTGCTGATCAGTTGAGGATATTTATATCAATGCTCATGGAAGGGCTTTGATTTGTAAATTTTCCTTTCTTGTCCTTTTCAGGGATATGCTGACCTCGTACAAAGTTTACAAATGTGTTCCTATTTTCATTCTTATCTGTGGAATTTGTGTGTGGTCAATACTATTTCTTCCTTTAATATTTAAAAGAATTCACTGGTCAGGCCATGTAGGGCTAAAGTTCTTTTGAGGAAAGGATTGTAAGAATAGTTGACAATAGGAGCATTCAAATTTTTATTTCTCCTTCTGTTAGTTTTGATCAATTATGTTTTTATCATAGCATAAAATTGCAGTCTATCATAATGTTCTTTTATTATCTTTCCAAATATCTGTAGGTCTGCAGTGATATTTGCTTTTTCAATCCTTGTATTGATAGTTTCCTGTCTCATTTTTAAAAATCAATTTTGCTAGAAATTTACAAATGTTACTAATTATTCCAAATAATCAACATTTGGCTTTTGTGATGCTTGTTTTATATTCTCTAAAATATGCTTGTTTTATATTCTCAAAACTGTGTTTTTATCTTTACTAGTATTCTTTTCTACTTTGTGTTAGGTTTGATGGTTTTTTAGCTTACTTTTTGATATGAGCGTTTATATTATTTATTTTCAGCCTTTCTTTTTTCACAATATATGCATTTAATACCACAAATTTTTCACTAAAGTGTTGCTTTAGTTGTGTGCAACAAATTTTGATGTTTTGCTATAATTATAATTCAGTTGAAAATATTTCTAGCTTCTGTTATCTGTCATAGATTATTGTTGTGATTTATAAATTAATTAGAAATGTGTTGTTTACTATTTAACAAGTTTCCTATTTTTATAGTTTTATTTTTGTTATTAATGCCTGGCTTCTTCCTACTCAGCGAATATACTCTGATGAAGTCTATCGTTTGATAGTTATTGAGGCTTTCTTTATAGTCCAGCATATGGTCATTTCGTTAATATTCAGTATGTAGATCTAAAGACAAATTCTGTAATCGTTAAATTGTTCTATATAGATAAATGAGGTGAAGTCTCTTAATTGTATATTCATAGTTATGTTACATAATTTCTTGATGCATCAGTTTCTTCACTGTGTTACTCAGATTTTCTGTATCAATGAAGATCAGTCTTCCTGTTCACTTATTTTCTCGATTATTTTAAGACATATTAAAATCTCCCAAAATGATCACATACTTGTCCCCGCTCCCTTGAATTCCCTAATTTTTGCTTTATTTATTTTGAAACTATATTATGTAGATTTAGAAGTATTATATCTACTTATCTGAAGCTATGTTATAGAGATTTAGAATAGTATAGCTATTTAGAAAAGTATAGCTTTATTTTCCTTTATAATTTAGAATAGTCTTCATCTCTAGAAAGTCTTTTTACCTTTAAGCACATGTTTTATTAGAATCGTGACATAAGCTTTCGAAAAGTATTTTTATTGTTTTCCATCATTTTAGTTTTAAACTTTATTTTTTATTTAAAACCTGTCTCACACATGTATCATTGAGTTAAATATTTAATATTTTTATGGCATTACATAGTTTGGGCTTCCTGAGAAGACCATGAGATGAGGATTTTGATATACAGAGTTTATTCAGTGATGATCTTATGCTTCACTGACACGCTTCACTACATTTTAGTTGGCAAATTAGATAGGGAAGGAGAGGAAGCCTCTGTTGGTAATTTGAGCTTAATCTGACCAGGGTCAATGACAGACAGCACAGAAGGCACACCTCAGAGATAATTTCCACACTCCAAAAAATGAAGTGTTTAGGCTGTTCATTTTCTAACTCTGAGGAGTCGTTGGTTGAAGGTTATTCCTGGGAGGCACACAGGTGTAGAGTAGGATGCTATAGCCAAAGAAGGCCTCCAGCCAAACGTGCACAGGGGTAGGAGAATAGAGACTGGACCATTATGAAAGAAACAATAAAAGCTGGTTGATATGGGCAGATAATTAACACTAGCAGCTATATCCAGTCCTACAATGTTTGTCTTTAATTAAATTACTTAGAACATTTATATACTTAGTGTAAGTATATATGCATAGGAATTAGTTAAAATTTGCCATATAATGAATTGGTTTTTATTTTACTCATTGTTTATGTTTCTTTTCCACTCTGTTATTGTCTTTTATGGATTAATCAGATTTTTTTTGCATTTTCTCCTTGTATTAACTTGTCGTATTTTCTTTTACTCATCTATTCATAATTACCACAGGGAGTAGGATTATATCATGTAACATAAAATTATGTTATTACTTCTCAAATAATGTCACAACTTTAGAACATGTTAATGGCATTAATTTCCTCCTAACTTTTACTTAATTGATATTATGCATGTAAATGCCACATATTTTTCTTACACTGTATACAAAAATTAACTTAATATAGACTTATGTAAGATCGGACACTCTAAAACTGTTAGGAAGAAGTCTAGTAGAAAAGTTCTACGACACTGGTCTGGGCAATAATTTTTTGTGTTCTAACCTCAAAAGCAAAAATAGACAAATGGGATTACACCAAACTAAAAAGCTTCTTCACAGCAAAGGTAACAGTGAACAGAATGAAGAGACAACCTCCACCACAAGAGAAAATATGTGCAAACCATACATATAATGAGGGGGTCATATTCAAAATCTATAAGGATCTCACAGAACTCAGTAGCAAGAAAACAAATAACACAATTAAAAATTGAGCAAGGAACCTGAAAAGAGAATTCTCAAAAGAAGACATACGAATAGCCAACAGGTATATGAAAAATTGATCAACATTACTAATCATCAGGGAAGTGCAAATTAAAACCACAATGAGGTTTCACCTAGCAGCTTTTAAATGGTTACTATAAAAAAAAGATAAAGGTTGGTGAGGATATGAAGGAAAGTGAACTCTTTCACACTATTGGTAGGCATGTATATTAGTAGGGCTATTATGGAAAACAGTAAAGAAGTTTCTCAGAAAATTAAAAATAGAACTACTATATGACCCAGCAATCGCACTTTTGGGTGTATACCCCCCAAAAAAACAAAAACAGACCATCAGAAAGATATTTGCACTCACATGTTTATTGCAGCATTATTCACAATAGACAAAATATGGAATCAACCTATGGGTCCATCAGCAAATGTATGGATTAAGAAAATGTGCTACATGTACACAATGGAACCCTTACAAAAAAAGGATATCCCATCATTTGCAACAAGATAAATAAACCTGTATGACTTTCTGCTAAGTGAAATGAGCCAGTTACAGAAATACACACACTATAATCTCACTTATGTGTGGAATGTAAGAAGTCAAACTCACAGAGGCAGAGAGTAGAGTGGTGGTTACCAAGAGCTACAAGGTGAGGTGGGGATTGGGAAGATGTTGGTTAAAGATACAAAATTTCAGTTACACAGGAGCAATAAATACAAGAGATCTATTGTACAACAAAGTGGCCATAGTAACAATATATTTTAAACTTGAAAATTGCTAAGAGAATAGATTTTAAGTGTTGTCACCACACACACACACACACACACACACGCACACATTGTTAGGGAGCCAGATGCAGTGGCTTGCACCTGTAATTCAAGCTCCTCAGGAGGTTGAGGTGGGAGGATCTTTTGAGCCCAGGAGGTCAAGGCTGCTGTGAGCTATGATCCAGCCCAGTAAATATTTGAGGTAATGCATATGTTAATTACTTCTATTCAGTCATTCCATAAGGTACATATATGTTGCAAAACATCATGTAGTATAACATAAATACATACAATTATTATTTGTCAACTGAAGAGAAGAAAAAAACACTAATTTGGCATAATTTTAAGTCTCATAAAGATTGCTATTATTGCCTTATAAGTAAATATTTAGTTAATTTTTATTTAAATTTACTCACACATTTACCCATTATATTCCTCATCCTTAACTTCTGAAATTTCTTCTTTTAACCTGGAGTTATATTCCATATGCATAAAATATTCTCCTTGATAGTTCTTTAAGGTCAAATTTAGTTTTCTCAATTTTGTTTGTCTAAAAATACATTTTTTTCACATTCATTGTTGCAGGATATTTTTATAAGACATCTATTTCCCAGATGAGATATTCCCTGACAAGTTTTAGGATATCATTATGTTGTCTGCTGGCTCATCAACTGAGAAATCAGCTGCCAGTCTTATTGTTGTCTCTGTAAAGGAATGTGTTTTTCACATCTGGCTACGGCACTTACCCAAGGTAAGGACCTATGTGAAGAAAGGCATGCACGTATTACATAACATAATACTAACTACTTCTCTCATGCAGATATCTTGTTTGAGCATTCAGAACGAAATTAATAAAGTTGAACATTCAAAACCTAATAGTCATCCTCTCCTTTCCTTCTGGGACTCACAATAAACCTATATTACACTTTTAGCTGTGTCCTATATATCTCTAATATTCTTTTTGCATCATTTATTGTGTTTTTCTCTGTGTCTCAATTCATCATTTCTAATGAACCATCTTCTGATTCTCAAATCCTGTTTTCTGCGTGTCTAATCTGCTGTAAAAACACTTTAGTTATTTCTTATCTTCAAATATTATTATATTTTTTAGATTTTAGAATTTCAACTTAAAAATAAATTCTACTTAACTGATGAAAATGTGCATCTTTTAATTTATTGTTTAAAGATTTTCCTCTATTTGTAAAGTTTGCTTCTGATACTATTTAAAGGCCATTGGTAGTTCACATTGATAGTTGGATCAAACAGAGGCTTATTTTTATTATCTCTTTTTTCTTTTGTTTTCATTCTGTCCTTCTGCCTTTTTGTATAATTAGTGTGCTGTTTTCCCCCTTAGGGGAAAATCCTTGCTTGTAATGGT
Organism: Homo sapiens; assembly: GCF_000001405.40. Taxonomy (NCBI): domain Eukaryota; kingdom Metazoa; phylum Chordata; class Mammalia; order Primates; family Hominidae; genus Homo; species Homo sapiens. Next base: position 49,215,502 of record NC_000008.11, read on the forward strand.
GCTGTATTTTTTCTTTTTAATTGATATGTAATAATTGTATATATTTATAGGTATGTGTGGTATTTTAATACATGCATACAATGTGTAGTGATCAAACCAGTGTAATTAGGATATACATCACCTTAAACACTTATTTCTTTGTGTTGAAAACATTTCAAATCTTCTCTTTTAGCTATTTTGAATTATACAATAAATTATTATTAATGGTAGTCACCCTATTGAGCTAACACTAAAACTTCTCCCTTCTATCTAACTGAATGTTTTTACATTAACCAGCCTCACTTCATTCCTCATCCTCCATTTCCAGCCTCCAATATCCATCATGAGATCAACTTTTTTAGCCACACATTTCCATGAGATCAACTTTTTTAGCTACACATTTGAATAAGTACATGTGTCTTTCTGTGATGACATGACAAGAACATGTGTCTGTCTGTCGTTCTGTGACTGGATTATTTCACTTAACATAATGATTTCCAGTTCAGTCTATGTTGCTGCAAATGACAGGATTTCATTCTTTTTTAAAAGTGAATAGTATTCTATTGTGTATATCTACCACATTGCCTTTTTTCATTCATTCATTGATGGACACTTAGCTTGATTCCGTATCTTGGCTATTGTGAACAGTGCTGCAATAAACATAGATGTTTAGATACCCATTAGTGGGATTGCTGGATTGTATAGTCGTTCTATTTTTAGGCTTTTTTTCTTTTAGAAATATCCATTAAAAAATGACTGTGATAATTTACATTCTCACCAGCGGTGTGTAAATAGTTCCTTTTTCTCTGTATTCTTTCCAGCATTTTTTTGTCTTTTTGATAAAAACCATGCTAATTGGGTAAGAAGATATCTTCTTGAGGTTTTGATTTCCAGTCCCCTGATAGTTGTTGATGTTGAGTATTTTCTCATATATCTGTTGACCATTTGTATGCCTTCTTTTGAGAAATGTCTAAGCATGTCCTTTGCCCACTTCGTAATGGGATTATTTGTTTTCTTGCAGTTGAGTTGTTTGAGTTCCTTGTATATTTTGTATATTACTTCCTTGTTGGATGAATAGTTTACAAATATTTTCTCCCATTTCATAGATTGTTTCTTCACTCTGTTGATGGTTTCCTTTGCTGTGCAGAAGCTTTTAAAATGTAATATAGTCCCATTTGCCTATTTTTTTAGGTTGCCTATTTGGTTGCCTTTTGAAAAGGCCAGACCAATGTCTAAGCTATTTTCCCATGTTTTCTTCTAGCAGTTGTATAGTTTCAGGCCTTACATGTTAGCTTTTAATCCATTTTGAGTTGGTATGGTGAGAGATAGGGGTCTGTTTTCATTCTTCTGCATAATGAGTAAGTTTTAATTGCATGCTGGGCATTACATACAAAAACGTTCAAATGTTATCTTTCTTTAGAGAGAGTTTGCTTTTCTCTAGGTGAGTCTGATAAAGGAGGATGCGGTCACTTTAGTCCACTCGGGGACTGTGTGCAGTCAAGGCTGGTCTGTATGTTTGATGAGACCAAGTCTGCCTCTTATTTCCATTGTCCCTCTATAGTTTTAACTAGTAGTCTTATATTTCCTCAAGGTCTCCATTCTTTGTTCTTTCTAACTACATAGTTTTTTCTCTCAAGGCTTCTAGAAATTATGTTGCACAAACTCAGGATAAAAGTGGCTGCACAAGTCAGATCTCCTCTTGAAGTTTGTTTCCTCTCTCCAGCTTCCTCTGTCTCAGCAGCTCTCTATTGATTTTGAACAGATGATGTCATACTTTACTGGCTGTCCTGTGTGTGCTTCATAAGAGTGGTGGTTTCCTACTAACTACTCTGTCCTAGCATGGATGTGCAAGCACAGATTTATTTTATGATCATTATGTTTGCACCATGCCCTTATAGGTATTCATTTAATAATGTTCAATCAGGCAAATTCTACTTGAGTTTGGCAGATAGTTGGCCAGAAGCCATTACCAGTTTACTAGCAAGAGAATTTCATTTTACATAATCTACAATTAGGTTACTGTTTAATTAGTTTAATATAATATTATAATTATATGTGGATTAAATTATTGATAATTTATTTCATTATTTTTAAATTTAAAAAATCATCTCAAATTGTCTTATTTAGGTATATGAACTAGGAAAATCCTAAATGACAGTGGTACTCTAGAACTCTTGAACTTAAGACTGTCTATAACCAGGTAAATAACATCAGTAAAGAAATACTGTCTAAATGATGCCTGATAGAAATGTATTGATGCGGAGAAAAGAAGTGGGAAATTGAAGGGGAAGGCTTCTTTTTTTTATAAGAAGTTAAGAAAATTGGAATAAGAAACAACAGAATGGAGAGTACTTTATAACACTGAAGAGAACAGAAATGTATTGCATTGGAGAAGATATTTTAAGATCAGAAGTAAACATATTAAGTGTTTTGTTAGAGGGTTTTAAAGTGTAATTATGGCCGGGCATGGTGGTTCATGCGTGTAATCCCAGCACTTTGGGAGGCCAAGGTGGGCAGATCACCTGAGGTCAGGAGTTCGAGACCAGCCTGGCCAACATAGTGAAACCTCGTCTCCACTAAAAGTACAAAAATTAGCCGGGCCTGGTGTCACATGCCTGTAATCCCAGATACTTGGGAGGCTGAGGCAGGAGAATCGCTTGAACCAGGAGGCAGAGGTTGCAGTAAGCCAAGACCACACTACTACACTGCACCCTGGGCAACAGAGCAAGACTCCGTCTCAAAAAAAAGAAAGTGTAATTATATAAATTTTGCAAGGTTAGAAATATCCCATATGATTAAGGTATAGTCTACTAAGTCAGTAAATTTAAGAGAGCCCCAACTTGCCACAATATGGGGCTTCTACCTCATTATGCGGTGTTAGAATGAGGAAATGCACATAGCAATGCAGTAGGCTATAATTAGGGAAAAAGTGACCTGAGGAGAAGTTGGAGAAAGGTTTACCTGTGGTAAATGATGATACTGAAAGAGAACAGACATATGTATATTAATTAAACAGTTTAGTTTTGAAGCCTTGAGTGCTGGAACTTTCTGAATAATGGAGATACGTTGTCTTCCTCACTCTTGTATTTATAGTTTATGCAAATAAACTATGTGTTCGTAAATCAACATTTCTTACCAGTTCAACATGGTGTCCTTATCTCTTGGAGGGAAACTTGAACTGGAAGAGAAAAGTCATAATTATAATTGCTAGAGACAGCAGTAGTTAATTTTAATGCTCCCTTTCTGTGATAGATGCTACTCTATTATATACATTAAATAATTGTCTCCTCATAACAACACTAGGCATCTGTGTTACAGATGAGGAGATGGAATCATAGAAAGGTTAAAACTAGCCCAGGGACACCAAGTTAATGCAAGCACTAGATGTCCAGAGGAAGCACTAGATGTCTTCTCTGTTGGGCAATATCTTTCCCAAGATGTATGTTCTGGTCTCAGCTTAAACCTTAATGCTCAGGAGGTCTTCTGTGAACCCTGTCTGAAATAGCTGCCTCATCTGCCACTATCCATCATTGTATTTCCAATCTCTACACATTTCCAGTAACAAAAATTTGTTTTTATTTGTTTATGTAATTATTTTCTTTGTTAATATTATATACCTGCTTTATTTATTGCCATAAAATGTGAGACATTTCATTTCTTGTTTCCTTCTGTATCCACAATAGGTACTTAATAGGCACTCAACAAATATTTGTTGAATGAAAGAATTAATGTCAAATTGGTCAGTTGGCTTGGGTACAGCAATTGTAGTGTCTTGCTGCTATGATAATCTTTCCTAGTAGCCACAATTGGCAAGAAAGGCAAAGGACACCAAATGGAACTCAGAATAGGTAGACAGGGGGATCAAGAAGGATTATTCCTCTCTGGATTGTGTGCCAAAATATGAATACTTCATTGTCTAATCAGCACAGTAGGTGCAATGGTCAATATGGTTACACTAGAATTATCTTTTCACTGGAATCAAGAGAAGGCAAGACACACTTCCATATTGAGATTAGTAAGTGGGAAGTTGGAACAAGATATATTTTTGAATGAGCAATATTTTTCCAGCATATTTGAAATACAGAAATGGATCACTAGAGACACTGCCTAGAGTCTCACAACCAGGAACATAAATGCCGGTGTCAGACAGCCCTGCCAGCACTGTGCTTTACCGAGTGTGTGAGCTTGGGCAGGTTACCTAATCTTCCTAATTACATCCTTGTAAATTGGCAGCAGACAGCATGTTTGCTAAGTCTTCATGGTTGTTTTCATAGGCCTCTCTTATGTGATAAACTGTGAGGGTTTTTACAATATACAACAGACATTTCAGGAAAGGTTGATGTTCAGATATAATTCATTAAAAGACACTGTCAAAGGGGGTAAAAAAGAGTTAGATACAAACCACAGAAATTTGAACTTGCAGTATCACTCAAAGAGCATTTCAAATGGGAAAAAAGTGAAAAAACAATGCTTTCATGTCTTCCCATTTCCCATCACTTTACCAGAGGAATATGAAGTCTCATAAAACTGCAAATGGAAAATAATGTATCCTGTCAAGCTTGGTTAGGTATTGGGCAGTTAAATGTCAGCTCAAAATATTTATCTTAGAGCATTTCCTAGTGATTTATTCCTTGCAAAAATGCTATGTGTAAGTATAGTAAAAAAAAAAAAAAGCCCTTTGGTATGTTGTCTGTTGTCATAAATACATCTTCTCTCTCATTTAGCACCATTATACCTTCCCTTTCATTCCTGTTTCTCACTTTCTTTTATGTCTGAGTCTTCTAGGTTTTATCTCTAACATCCCTACACTTGGTAATTGGATGTATATGTCTGAGTATTAATATATATTGAAGATTGTGCTATATTTTGAAATAGCATGAAAAAAATATGGCTCATGATTGCCACTTAAGACACCCAAAATGCAGGTCAAGCTTCATGAAGCACATGCAAAACTGAAGAACAAGGAGGGGAGTGACCGTCAAGTGGAGATTGATAATCCCCTTTTGCTGAGGAGCAGCATAGCATTTCGGATTGTAGGCACTGGCTTCAGCAGGCCCAGAGCTTATCACCTAAGCCTGTTGCTTATGCATGAGCTCTGGAGAGTCTGTTAACTTTCTGACTCTTAGTGTCCTTACGTGTAATAGAGTAGATGTTAATACAGTTACATTAGTGAATGACATAAATGAAGCACTTAGTTTGGTATCTCATTCTTGTAGCTGCTCAATAACTAATATCAATTGTTAGTAGTTTGAATCCCTGTTACTTCAAAACTACTGGAATCAGTAATAATTTGTGTGTGTGTGTGTGTGTGTGTGTGGTTTAAATTCTGCTTGTGTGTTCATGCCACCTATGTGTACAGGAGAAATAATTGCCTGTGCTGACTACTGAGTCTAGAGTCCCATTCAGGCCCCCATACCCATTTTGGCCTTTGTCTCGATTCTACCACGGATGGTTTTTGCTGCTGTGGAAAAGAGGGCTGCTATTTACTTGTGTGGCACTCCCTGGATTTGCATAGTCTACCACACTCATTTACGTGCATGGAAGCCCCCTTAAGAGTGCACTTTCCGGATGGCAGTTGGGCTTCTCTCAGGGAGCAAAGACACATTATGTTTCTTCAACTACACAAGAAAGTAGCCGGAAATGTCCATGCTCAGTGGGCTGTACCTGAAGTTTATGCCATGTGTCATAGATATTCCTTAGGCAGAAAATAATTTATAGAGCTCAGATTTTTCATGTTGGCATATGAAACCATGACATGTTAATATGTCATATATAAATTATATGTTATCCCATATATTATATGATATATGATATAATACCTTTTTTTATATTGGCAGAAAAAATAGTCATATAGAATAAAGAAATATATTAGTAGGTGACAGCAGATGAAGTACTGAGATGTATTATGAAAAGCACATTTCTATTTAAATGAAAATATGTGATCTTGTAATGAAATTCAAAAGGACATAAATTCTTTCACTTCTTTGATTGAAGGATCACTGTAAAATGATCTTTACAAATTGGCATGAGTAGATCAGTTACATACAATTTTGCACTTCTAAATTTGAAGTTCTCATAGAGGTTCCTTCAACTTTTGTCTGTAAATCTCTCAAGGGTAGAATCTGTGTCTCCTTTTAAGGGGTGATAATAAATATGTTTATGATTAATATAATTAATTGCTGACATGATTAATGATATTCAATAAATAGTTGAGTTAATGAATTGTTCAAAAGTGGTTATTTAATAGTTGTGTCTGGTATATTTTTAAAATAATATTTGTTCAAAAACTATCTGTATGTCCTTCACTGATTTTACTGAACAATCAATTATATATCACTTATGATATGTCGGGTAATATTCTAAGTCTCTCACATGTATTAACTGGTTTAATTCTTATGATAACCAGAAAGTAAAAAGTTGGTGCTTTTATTAACTTATTTAACAGAAGAAGAAACTGAGAGACAGAGGCTGTAAATTCTTTGTCTAAATTCTCATGACTGTAAGCAGCAAGCTGGAACTCATACCCAGGCAGCCCCACTCCAGACTCAGTGCCCTTCTAACAACTCAGCTGCCTCTTGTGGATGCCAGCTAAGAAAGACCACCCTGAAGACACTGGATTTTGATATTTCAAAATCCTTAAAAAGTACTCCTTAAAAAGTACAGTCTAATTTAAGGAAATTTCTTATGCATTGGTTCTTGTAAGCCAGTCACATAATTCCTTCTTGGGAGGTATTTGAGGATGAGAGAGATTTAACATTTTTTTCTGCCTCTATTTGGGTCATGCCAAATATGTCTATGTACAGTACAGTTTCAGAGGACAAGTCATCACATTTCATTTCATTTTTGGTGCATAAATGAGTCCTGTCTCTCCTACAGAGTTTTGGGTGGTGGAGGGAGTGGAAACTGCTAGAAAACATTTGTATAGAAGCTTCAAGGGGATGGATAAGGTAGGAGAGAAAAAAATAATGCTCATTTTTATGGACACTAAGGTGCCCGAAATGATTTTCTGATTAAACTAACAGTGCATGCTGTCAACTCATGTGTTCAAAAAAGGTTGCTTTGGTAGCAAGCAACAACCATAGTTTTCATAGTCATCTTCAAATGAGACAAGATATAAATATTCTTAATATTTTTAAGATACTAAGTTATCTCACAGAAAGTTACTTTATCTTCATAGCACTTTACCAGGATTATCCAAAAGAAATCAGGAGTATTTGGTGAAGTTTTTTCTATGCTTACTTGGTGGGAGAACTCCTTTACTTTTAGTAAGTGATATCATAATCGCTGACATGTCTTTGCAAATGCATGCTTTTTAAACAATTTTCTCTATTCTATTTTTAAAAATTATTTTAAACTTCTTATTGTAATACTTTCTCTATTCACGCACGTAACATTTTTTATTTAGGAAACAGGCATGAATGCCACTTTTGTCCTTTTGCTTTTTATAAAAATAACATCTTTATGTCTTTTTTTTGGCCGAATTCGTGAGTGAAGTTTTCTCTTCATAACAATAATGTGCTCCACTGCCTTAGAATTCCATGACATCTAAGAAATATCATGTATTTATAGCAGTTGCAGTAATAATGATACCTACATGTAAGTGGTATCTTCAGTAAGTCACGTACTGCAGAGAGCACCCTGCGTATGCTATATAAAACAATCTTTAAAGGTCACTCTTGTTATCCTATTTTACAGACAGAGAAACAAACCTCATAAGTAACTTATGCAAGGTTTTGAAGATTGTAAATTGCAAAGCCAAAGGTTTATCTCAGCCTCCCCTTCAATAGACATCCCCATTTCACACCTTAACATTTGGCAATATTTTTACATTCTTTGTCTTTTTTCTTTTCCATAAAGTGTTTTGAGAGATAGGAAGTGCATTGACTAATAAAGAAACTGAGGTTCTGTGAAGTTCAGTGATTTTCTCAAGTGAAAAATGCTAGAGAGGTAGTTAAAAACCTGTGTGCTAGTAACCATTGACCTTTCTCCTTAAAGACAGAAGTGAGAAGTTTGAATTACAATTGTCCTTACGTGCCATGCCTTGCATTCTCTCTTTTTTTTTTATTATTGTTATACTTTAAGTTTTAGGGTACATGTGCACAACACTCAGATTCGTTACATATGTATGCATGTGCCATGTTGGTGGGCTGCACCCATTAACTCGTCATTTAGCATTAGGTATATCTCCTAATGCTATCCCTCCCCCCTCCCCCTACCCCACAACAGTCCCTGGTGTGTGATGTTCCCCTTCCTGTGTCCATGTGTTCTCATTGTTCAGTTCCTACCTATGAGTGAGAACATGCGGTGTTTGGTTTTTTGTCCTTGTGATAGTTTGCTGAGAATGGCGGTTTCCAGCTTCATCCACGTCCGTACAAAGGACATAAACTCATCATTTTTTATGGCTGCATAGTATTCCATGGTGTGTATGTGCCACATTTTCTTAATCCAGTCTATCATTGTTGGACATTTAGGTTGGTTCCAAGTCTTTGCTATTGTGAATAGTGCCACTATAAACATACATGTGCATGTGTCTTTATAGCAGCATGATTTATAATCCTTTGGGTATATACCCAGTAATGGGATGGCTGGGTCAAATGGTATTTCTAGTTCTAGATCCCTGAGGAATAGCCACACTGACTTCCACAATGGTTGAACTAGTTTACAGTCCCACGAACAGTGTAAAAGTGTTCCTATTTCTCCACATCCTCTCCAGCACCTGTTGTTTCCTGACTTTTTAATGATCGCCATTCTAACTGGTGTGAGATGGCATCTCATTGTGGTTTTGATTCGCATTTCTCTGATGGCCAGTGATGGCGAGCATTTTTTCATGTGTTTTTTGGCTGCATAAATGTCTTCTTTTGAGAAGTGTCTGTTCATATCCTTTGCCCACTTGTTGATGGGGTTGTTTGTTTTCTTCTTGTAAATTTGTTTGAGTTGATTGTAGATTCTGGATATTAGCCCTTTGTCAGATGAATAGGTTGCAAAAATTTTGTCCCATTCTGTAGGTTGCCTGTTCACTCTGATGGTAGTTTCTTTTGCTGTGCAGAAGCTCTTTAGTTTAATTAGATCCCATTTGTCAATTTTGGCTTTTGTTGCCATTGCTTTTGGTATTTTAGACATGAAGTCCTTGCCCATGCCTATGTCCTGAATGGTATTGCCTAGGTTTTCTTCTAGGGTTTTTATGGTTTTAGGTCTAACATTTAAGTCTTTAATACATCTTGAATTAATTTTTGTATAAGGTGTAAGGAAGGGATCCAGTTTCAGCTTTCTAGGTATGCCTAGCCAGTTTTCCCAGCACCGTCTGTCGCCCAGGCTGGAGTGCAGTGGCGCGATCTCGGCTCACTGCAAGCTCCGCCTCCCGGCTTCACACCATTCTCCTGCCTCAGCCTCACGAGTACCTGGGACTACAGGTGCCCGCCACCAGGCCCGGCTAATTTTTTTGTATTTTTTTTTTTAGCAGAAACGGGGTTTCACCATGTTAGCCAAGATGGTCTCGATCTCCTGACCTCGCGATCCGCCCGCCTTGGCCTCCCAAAGTGCTGGGATTATGCATTCTCTCTTTACATCACAGTAAGTATTTTCAAAACCCATTCATTCATTCATTGAATACTATTTTCATCTAAAATGCCATGAACTATGGCAGCCACTAGACTTACAATGAATCACATAGCCTTGTTTCAAAGGGTGCATATTCTAGTAGGCATGAAAAGTATACAAACAGCTATAAATAAAGGGTTTTGTGTTGGAGGTGTACACAGAACACTGTGAACACAATGCGTGCACTTTACTTTGATTGAGTCAACTCTGTACTACATGGTTATACTTTTATCTTATCCTGTAGTGTGTCAGCTAAGGAAGTAACAATCCGCAGAAAATGATAACAACTGTCATTACATATGCACCTAACAAAAGAACTCCAAAATGCATGAAGGAAAATTTGACAAAAATGAAGGGAGAAATAAACAATTAAAAAATTAATAGTTGGAGAGTTCAGTATCCCACTTTAAATAATGAATCAAATTATAGGAAGATAATGGAGAAATTAAAGATTTAAACAATACCATTTAAAACCAACTAAACTTACTAACTTACTGTTTAAAACCAACTAAACCTAATAGACATCTAGAGAACCCTCCACCAAATAATCCCAGAATATGCATTCTTATCAAGTGCACATGCAACATTCTTCAGGGAAGGCCATATTATATTTATGTTATAAAATAAATCTCAGTAAGCTTAAAATGATAAAAATAACGTTAACTATCTTCTCCAACTAAAAATAAATATAATAGGAAATCAATAACTGCAAAAAATGGGAAACTCACAAATATGCAGAAATTAAAAGTATACTCTAAGAAACCAATGCTTACAAATAAATATAATAGGAAATCAACGACAGCAAAATATGGGAAACTCACAAATATGTGGAAATTAAAAGTATACTCTAAGCAACCAATGGTCCAGAGAGGAAATCAAAAGGGAAATTAGAAAATACTTTGAGGTAAGTAAAAATGAAGACACACATATCAAGCCATACCAAAACTTATGTGGTCCTGCTAAGGCAGTGCTTAAAGAAAAAGAAATTATACTTAAATGCCTAATTAAGAAAGGAGAAAAACTTAAATCAACAACCTAACTTTTTAGCTAAGACCCTGAACAAATAAGAGAAAACTAAATCTAAAACAGAATAAAAAGAAGTATAAGTATTAAAGTGGAAATTAATGAAATGGAGAACAGAATAACTAGCTGAGAAAAATCAATGAAAACAAAGTGGACTTTTTGAAAAGAGCAATGAAATTTACAAATTTTTAGCTGCATGAACCAAAAACAAAGGAGGGAAGTTTAAAATTACTAGGATCAGAAATAAAACAGAATGCATTACTCCTAACCTTACATAAATAAAAAGAATTATAAAGGAATACTATGATTAATTGTATGAGTCAAGAAGAGATAGACAATATGAAAAGATGTATAACAAATAGAGATTGAATTAGTAATTAGAAAAAAAGAAACTACCCATATAGGCTTTTCATAGGGAAAGCCCATTTCTGGACAGCTTCATCAGTGAATTCCATGCCAAATGATTAAGCAAGAAGTAGCACCAATCTACCAACTCCTTCTCCTGGAAAAAAGAGGAAGAGAACACTTCCTAACTCATTCTGAGGCCAGTAGTACCATGAGACAAAAACTCTGACAAGATACAAACACTATAGAGTATATATTTTTTATGAATATGGATGCAAAAGTCCACAACAGAATACAATTGACTCTTGAATAATGTAAGGACTAGGGGTGCTGATTCACTGTGCAGTTGAAAATTCACATATAACATTTGACACCCCCAAAACCTAACCACTAGTAGCCTATTGCTAATCAGAAGCTTACAAATAACAGTCAGTTAACACATATTTTTTATGTTATATGTATTATATACCGTATTTCTTACAATGAAGTAAGTGAGATAAAGGAAAATGTCATTAAGAACTCATAAGGAAGAGAGAATACACTTACAGTATTCTACTGTATTTATCAATAGTGTAAGTTTATGTAGTCTGTTTACTAGACAAGTTGTCTGTCTGAAATGGCAGGTAGTTACAGCTACAGACCTGGATCTACAGTACACATCAAACAGTTGAACTTTTTATTTGAATGCCATGACTTTTCTCTCCTTCTTGGAAGCACTTCCAGTATCACTAGTGACACTTTGTATGGGTCCCATGGTGTTAACGTTTATACTATTGCACTAAACATGATGAAAAATACTGGACAACCAGGAAAGATCACTTTTTACTTTGATGTGCAATTTCCTAGACAAAATGAACTGCTCACACAGAGATGATTAGAGTCGCAAGGTGTTTTAAGCAGATACAACACTCAAGCTTACCACGATATCAACAGGAAGTGGCTAAGAAATGATTACAGTGGTACAGTATGTTCATTGTATGCAGTAATGATTTAATACTGCATATTTACATTTGTTTACATCTCTCTTGACTGCGAATGGCATTATGTCTTATCTGTAAGCATTTGTGTGCAAAAGTCTTAATAAATGTTAACATTTTATAATAGATTTGTGTATATTTTATAGTAGTAAATCATAAAATAGGCTAATATCTACATATATTTTATGCATTCATGACATATCTAAATTTTTCTTTTTTTTTTTTTTGAAATTTCTAGGCTACATGGTTCAAGAGCAGGTTTTTGTAAATTGTCACAAAATTCCAAAAATGTCCAATGTATTTATTGAAACAAATCTGTGTATAAAAAATCTTAGAAAAATCTTATTCTAATTTCTAACATCTGAAAATTAATGCAATGCACAATAGAATAACAAACAAAAATCACTTGACTTCTTTAATTGCAGAAAAAAGATTTGACAAAACCTAATATAATTTTATGACAAAAATATTGAACAAATTAGGAATAGAAGGAAACATCTTCAACCTGATAAAGGGTATCTGTGAAAATCCTGCTGCTAACATTATACCTAATGATGAAAGATGGAATATTTTTCTTCTAAGTTTAAAATGACAAAGATGTTCATTCTAGCCACTTTTATTCAACATTTTATTATGTTTGTTTCTCCAGAGAATTAGGCAAGAAAAAGAAAGAAATTTTTCTATATTGGAAATAATTAAAATTATCTCTATTTTCAGATGACCATGACCTTGGATATGGAGTCCACTCAAAAGTAATCTGAACTAATAAACAAATTCTGCAAGGTTGAAGAATACAAGGTCAATAAAAATAATTAATTATATTTCTATGTGATACAATAAACAATCTTAAAATTAAGAAAAAAAATTCATTTACAGTAGAATAACAAAAAAATACTTAAAAATAAGTTTAATCGTGAGATACAAATTGGTACCCTGAAAACTACAAAACATTCCTGAACAATATTAAAGGTCTAAATAAATGGAAAATTGTCTTGTGTTTATGGATCAGAAGACTTAACAATTTGAAGATGGCAATACTTCCCAAATTGACACACAGATTTAATGCAATACCTGTCAGAAAACTAGCTGACTTTTGTGAAAATTGAAAACTGATTGTATTATTTTGGAATTGCAGGAGATATGGAATCACCAAAGAATACTGACACAGAAGAACCAAGTAGGAGAGTGTGCAATTCCCAGTCTCATATCTCATTACAAAACCAAACTAAACAAGGCATTGGCACAAGAATAGACATACAGATCAATGGAACAGAACTGAGACCCCAGAAATAAAACCAAGTGGTCAGCTGACTTTTTGAAAGCTTGCCAAGACCATCAAATGGGGAAAAATTTTTTTAATATACGTTGCAGGGATAATTGGATATAAACATCCAAAAGAATGAACTTGGATGCTTATCTTGCACCATATGCAAAAATAACTGAAAATGAATTCAAGGCTATAACTATTAACTCAGAAAAAAAAAATGAGCTGCATTTTCATGATCCTAGGTTTGGCAAAATACTCTTAAGTATAACTCCAAAAAAAAACCCACCAAAAAACCTAGATAAGTTAAATTTCATCAAAATTAAACATTTTGGGCATCAAAGGGCATCATTAATAAAATGAATAGACTTACTACAGATTGTGAGAAAATGCTTGCATATCATACGTCTGGTAAGCAAATTGTTTCTAGAGTAATATATTAAAAAACTCTTACAACTCAATAAGAAGAAGACAAATAACACAAACTAAAAACTGGCAAAGGATCTGAATAGATCTTTCTCCCAGCAAGATCTACAAATAGCTGATAATCACATGAAGAGGTGCCTGGCATCATTAGTCATCAGGAAAATGCAAATCAAAAAACCACAGCTAGGTACTACGTCACACCCACTAGGATGGCCAGAACCCAAATGACAGATAGTAGGTATCAGAAAAGATATGGAGAAAGTGGAACCCTTATACACTGTTGGCAGAATTTGAAATGATACATCCACCTTGTAAAACAGTTTGGACATTCCTCAAAGGATTAAACATAGAGTTACCATATGATCCAAAAACCCTACTCTTTGATACATACACAAGAAGAATGGAAACGTATATTCACACAAAAGCTGAAACATGAATGTTTATAGCAGCATTATTTATATAGCCAAAAGATAGAAACGACCTAATTCCTGCCTGCGGTTGATGCTGATAAACAAAATGTCCTAAATGTCCCCAACTGCAGTGATGGTTGCATAGTTCATGAATATACCAAAATCAATTGACTTGTTAACTTTCTAGTATGTGAGTCATATTTTAATGAACTGTTAAGAAAATTTAAAAACATAATGAGTAGGAGAGACCTTCATGTTAAGAAGATGAGAGGCTGCCAGGCGCGGTGGCTCACGCCTGTAATCTCAGCACTTTGGGAGGCTGAGAGGAGCAGATTGCCTGAGCTCAGGAGTTTGAGAACAGCCTGTGCAACATGGTAAAACCCTGTCTGTATTTAAATACAAAAAATGAGCCAGGCATGGTGGCCAGTACCTGTAATCCCAGCTACTCAGGAGGCTGAGGCACGAGAATTGCTTGAACCTGGGAGGCAGAGGTTGCAGTGAGCGGAGAACATGCCACTGCACCCCAGCCTGGGCAACAAAACAAAACTCTGTCTCAGAAAAAAAAAGAAAAAGAAAAACAAACAAACAAACAAAAAACAAAAGAAGAAGAACAAGAATGGGAGAGCCTTGATGTGGTTGGAGCAACTGAGGTGCAGAGTAGGGAGTGTGAGTGTGGGGAGGTGAACAGGTGGCAGCAGGTCCCCAGAGGCCTTGTGTCTGTGGTAAGGAGTTTAGAGTTTATTCTGAGAAGGAAGGGGTAAAATGCAAACATTTTTAAAAAGGGAGTGACTTAATCAGCTTGATGTGTTATGACAGACTCAACATGGAGAAGGATGGTTTGATAAGTGGCCAGGTTGGAGGCAGGAACACTGAAGAAGTAATCCAGGAGAAAAGTGATGAGGGCTAAATATCAGCAAGGAGACGGAGAAGAATGGTGTAGTTATAGGAGATTTAAGGTATGAAATGATCAGGCCCTGTTGATGAGGTCAGGAATAAGGAAGACTTGAAAACCTGGGGCTCTGAGGACTCCTGCAGGTGACAAGCTGAGTGGCGACTCCCTTCCCCAAGGGTGTGGCAGGGGAGCTGGAGGTCATCTGCAACCCCCACTTGGCTCTTTGGCTGGATCTAGAAAGCAAATTGACACCAGACATATTAAGAAGACAAAAGTATACCTAGATTTCATTAGTTTTACATGTACATTATGCTCTTCATAAGAGAGTAAGGTCTGAAGAAGTGACCAAAGCAAGATGTTTTTATACATTTTAGACAAAGAACAATACATTTGAGAAGAAATGAAAGAACAAAGAGAATCTGGCTGGGGCAGTGAATTTCTAGGGGAGTTGACTAGGAGATATATGGAAGTGGGGTGTAAAACTAGCGGAAGATAAGAGTTATTTGGATAAGTATAATTATTCGGATCCATTGCAGCCACCCAGTTCTCAGTCTCTGGTGATAAGGGCTGTTTCCTTGCCCTAATATGGTGAGGGCACCCCTCCCAGAGGAATCTTTATGGCTTGCTGCATGTAGGAAGAACAGTGAGCTCACCCTATCTGAAACTACAATTTCTCTAATTTTTTCAGCTTGAAATAATCAATATGCCAATTACGCACATTTTGGGATGGTAAGTTCTTCACTTCTTCAGTGTACTTGTTTGCTCCCTTAGGGTCCAGGTGCATTCTCTTCCATGCCTTAATTGCTGACACTACTTGGGAGAATTTATTCTTCAGTTTGTAGCTCATCTGTGAAGGGAATTGAAGAAGGAGTTGCAGTAACATTTAGGTAAGAAAGTGGATGGAAATTGGCGACAGGCATTATATTGAGTAACTGCTTACAAGTCAGTAAGAAACAACACTGCATACTGGCAGCCTTAAGTAACTTTCTGGCAAAGAAAAGAATCAGTGATTCTAGTTATACAGCTTTATTGGAAAATGTTTTTAGAAAACTGTAATCAGAAAAGTACATTCCTTTAAGTTAGTTTTTCAAACCTTTTTTAAGGCAGCTCGCAATACTTTAAAAATTAACATACGTATTTATTTTGAATAGCAGCTTATACATTGATTTTGCATACATATTTCAATTAGTAATTCAAAGAAAACCTTTGATTTGAGCATACTCAAATAATAATAATATTATTATTACTATCATGTTCCAGAATAGGAAATTGAGATTCAGAGATATGAAGAGACTTCAGCTACTGAGTGGTGAAGTCAGATTTGAAGTTCATGACTTCTAGCCAGAAACTCCATGTGGTCACACTATTTAGGTGATATTTTCCTGTCCCTACCCATCCTATGTATTTTTATTAGCCAAATGTTTATTCTTTTAAAATAAATAACAATATCATAAATACAGGGTTGTGTTTGTCTTTAAAGTAATCTAAGAGTCGCTTAAATCTATAGCCTCAGAAACTTCTTTATTGTTGCCCTATGAAAGGCAATTTAACATCCTTTAGCTCACCATCATGTAGCTATGTTTTGTTTTCTTAGGAATGCTGTAATTAGGTCTATTGTTGGTATTACTTACTTTTCTCTGTCCACTTTCACTATGTAGGCAGAAAACTGAGCTCTTATAATGAGAAATAATTTCCCATGGAGATTAAGCTCCACAGTAGTTTTATAGATACTGAGTCGAGAATAGCATGTTTTACAGATTGAGGAATCAGGCAAGTGGGTAAAAGAGAGCTTTCTCTTTAACCAATAATCAGGATTTTGAAGATAAATAATGCTTTAAAGTTTGTATTGAAAACTCCTTATGAAGTTTCGTCTCAAGAGTGGGAGGGAGAGCTTTAGTATTGCATTGTGAAAGTCAAGAATTACAATTTATACCAAAATACAGATCATGATGGACTGATATAATGCAAAAGCAAGGGCAGCCAGTTTTCCAGCTGACAGATAGAGTTTCAAGTGGAGGCAAATTAGGCCTATAACATATTCCATCCTGAAATAGCCAGATGAGCCTTTCTTGGCCAATGATAAGTCTATGAGAACCCAGGCAATTATTTCCAGCCTGAAAAATGAGATGACTTTGAAATGTATGAGCCTCACTGGCTGCACATCTCATCCGTGCCCACGTCCTGTGCATTATTTTCCATCCGTGACCACGTCCTATGCATTATTTTCCTAAGGTTTTCTGGAAATTCTTTTTTCCAGTCTGTACCTTTCTGTTGTACTCTAGCTAGTGTCCAATTCTCTCCACTCTGATCTAATCTTCACATTACATTATTTACTTTTCCTGAACCTTAGAAAAGTCTCTCTTTCACCCACACTCCTTTCAATAACAAAATGTGGAATGCAAGACAGATACTTTATCTGTCCAAGTGACTTTGAGAAACACATTTAGCTCTCAAAGTTTCCGTTTCCTTATCTTTAAATTGAGGGAAAGACAGAGAAATCAGAAAATGCTGCAAAGTTAAAGGATGCAAATTTACACAATAATTTTCTAGATACTTGACATTTTGATTCATCATTTTCAAAACCGTTGAAATTAAAAATACAGTTTTTAGTGCATTCTTTTAAAAAAGAAATAATTGGCAACACCTGACCAATATCAAATACGGAGGTGATCTGTTTTGGCTTATTTCCTCTGTAACATTTAAGAGTGGCTTCTCCTGAGTTCACTGGCATCCCAAAACACGAGACACATTGATGGAGCTTCAATGTGAAATAATCATGTGGAAAATCTTTCCACCTTTCTTCCTTCTTGCTCCTTAAGACACTTCCATCTTGTGACCTGGAGTACTGCCAGTATAGTAATTGCATCTCAAATAGACTGTTAGTATGCAAGCATTGCAGATGTTTACCTGTGGTACAATAAGGAAGCTGAGGATATTAAAGCGATAATGTATGAGGAGCTGGTGACATTAGATGACTTGATGTATCTGTTAGAAAGAGGAAGGCACAGGCAAGAACATTCTTTATATCTACATTTCCTGCCAGGCTGTGAAACACTTCACTTAATGAGCATCTTTCCCTGCAGAGTAAAGTGACATCAATTAGAAAATAAGCTTATAATTGAACCTTTACCTTTGAAATAATGTATTTGCACAATTCCCAAAGGCAGCGTGTGCATAAACCCAAGGCTTGTTTTCCATCTAAACAACTTCTGATTTTACTCATTTACTAAAGAAAGGCAAGAAGCACCATCAAGGGTTAGGTATACAGGTTAAGTTTTGTTAGCTCATGAAGGTTGTATGTGATGGTTTTTCAAAGCTGTGTTTAGCAACTGCAAGAAGATCCCCTGGTTTTACATGCACAAAATAATTTATCTGAATCCTTCTATCCTCAGAGAGCAGCATCAATACTGTTGCCTATTTGGCATCAAATGGGATTTATGCAAATCCCTCATCTGTGCAGAAATCTAATGATTTTTAGTGTCAGTGTTTCTAATTCTTCGTGGTGTTCCTTATATTGGTTTCTGGAAAAATTACTGCCTAACCAACCATGCTTTTCTTCCAGATTGATTTTCTTCGCTAAGTAACCATGAAGTGTATCATATTGCAGTATAGCCTATTCTTAAGTGCATTGTTAGAGTGCCACTCTCCTGAATCACCCTGAATGCCTTGTTTTCAAAACTTCTAGGTTGTGACTATCGTACAAAAAAAAAAAAAAAAAAAATCATTCCTGTAGGATAGCTATCTCCTAACCTTGACAGCTTCTTAAGAACAGGCAGCACTGCAGCTGTTAGGGATTAGGAAGGTCATGGCCAGACTCACCCTCCATGTTGAACCTAAACAGTATTGTTGGGTAGGAATATCTTTCATCTCAAAGACGTTGTAACAAATGCAGATACGTTTAAAAAGGCTGTGAGGGACTTGAAGCTTTTTAATCTGCAAATTTGCAGAATGCTTTTTTTTTGGCGTTTTTCTGGGATGTATTTTATATTCCACAATGAAAAGTAAAAGGTTTGAAGTACAAAAGAATTGATATAACCTAGAGCCAATTATGTGCATAAATCCCAACCATCATTCCTCTCTTCTTCTTCCCTTTTATATTTCATTTTCTTCCTGCTTGTTTTACTTTTCCTTCTTCTTTTCCTCACCCTTTCTTTCTTATCCTTGCCTCACATTTTTCTTCCCCTCTCTCATTTACTACCTCTTTGACATGCTGTGCACCCCACAGTGGAGACATCATAGTATGAGGTAAAAAAACAAAATTAAATATGTTATGATGCCTAACTATGTTTTTCAGGGTCCCCTAAAGCATTTCTCATACTTTTAAAAAAAGTATTTAGATTTTAATTTTTGTGAGTACATAGTAGGTGTATATATTTATGGGATACATGAGACACTTTGATACAGGCATTAAATGTGAAATAATCCCATCATGGACAATGGGCTATCTATCACCTCAACATTTATTCTTTGTGTTTCAAACAATCCATTTACACTCTTTTAGTTGTTTTAAAATGTACAATTAAGTTATTATTGACTGTAATCACCCTGTTGTGCTATCAAGTAGTAGGTCTTACTCTTTCTAATTTTTGTACCCATTGAGCAACCTCACTTCCCCCCTAACCCCCTACTACCCTTCAAAGCCTCTGGTAACCATCCTTCTACTCTATGCCCATGAGTTCAATTGTTTTGATTTTCAGATTCCACAAATAAGTGAGAACATGCGATATTTGTCTTCTTTTTGTGCCTGGCTTATTTTACTTAACATAATGATCTCCAGTTCCATCCGTATTTGTTGCCAATAATAGAATCTCATTTTTTATGGCTGAATAGTACTCCTTTGTATATATGTGCCACATTTTCTTTATCCATTCATCTATTGATAGACACTTAGGTTGCTTCCAAATCTTAGCTCTTGTAAATACTGCTGCCACAAACATGAGAGTGCAGATATCTCTTTGAAATACTGATTTCCTTTCTTTGGGTATATACCCAGCAGTGGGTTGGCTGGATCATATGGTAGCTCAATCTTTACTTTTTTTGAGGAACCTCCAAACTGTTCTCCATAGTGCTGGTACTAATTTACATTCCCATCATCATCGTAGAAGGGTTCTCCTTTCTCTACATCCTCACCAGCATTTGTTATTGTCTGTCTTTTGGGTATGAGTCATTTTAACTGGGGTAAGATGATTTCTCATTGTAGTTTTATTTGCAGTTTTTTGATGGTCAATGATGTTGAGCACCTTTTCATATGCCTATTTGCTATTTGTATGTCTTCTTTTGAGAAATGTCTATTCAGATATTTTACCCATTGTTTGATCAGATTATTTGATTTTTTCCTATGGAGTTTTTTGAGCTTCTCATATATTTTGGGTATTAGTCACTTGTCATATGGGTAGTTTGAAAATATTTTCTTCTATTCTGGGGTTGTCTCTTCACTTTGTTGTTTCCTTTGCTGTGCAAAAACTTTTTTAACTTGATCTTATCCCGTTTGTCCATTTTTGCTTTGGTTGTCTTTGCTTGTGGGATATCACTCAGGAAAATTTTGCCCAGACCAATGTCCTGGAAATTTTCCTCAGTGTTTTCTCATTTTCTTAAGGTGTCTAGTTTGATTTGGTTTTGTTTTTATTGTACAAGTTTTCTGCAGTAAAAATAAATACTAATGCTTCTAGATATTCATAATTTTCATTAGAATGCACAAATCTCTGGGGAGGAGTCTGCACTAAAGATAGAAGGCATTCAGGATTGAATAAATGTATTTGATCTCAGAATCTTTTTAAACAACAGTTAGAAACATTTCAAGGAGACAATTTTCCTAAAACATTTTGGGAAACTTTTGCTGTAGTTCAGTCTACTCGAGAAAAACACAGCAAGAATGCATTCCTCCTGGCCCACACTACACCATCCAGTAATCAAAACATGTGGCAGCACAAGGCAGTATTTCCTGAATTTTCTAGAAGTTTGAAATCTCTTTCTCAAATTGAGCCAAAAGCCTGCTTTCTAAAATTTTCATTAATACCTTGCTTCAACTTTTTCTACTTCTGCCAGATATATAAAATCTCTCTTCCACATGGAAATTACTGAGGCATGTAAAAGCTATTATGTCATCATTTCACTGAATTAACTATCTCCTTGACAAAACATTACTGATTTCTTCATCTGTCCTACATATGATATAGTAGAAAACTCACCCCACCACATCCATTACAATTCCTTGTATAAAAACATCATTTTTATAGATATAAATATGTCCCACTTGTAAATATTTTCACTTAATCTGTCAATTCAACTGAAGAAATTTTGGGTGCTTTCTAGATAACAAGTGTTCTGTTTTAGTCATGGGTACCACCATTAAGAGGTTCACATACACAAGCACAGGGTGACATATGAGATCACGTGCTGATGATCTGTTGTGTGTGTGAAGATGATCTCTTGGCATTTAGCATCCATTCTTATCTCTCTTAGTGTGTTCCTCCACTGAAGAACGTGAAAAACAAAAACTCATGCTCCTATATTTCTTGGCAGCAAGAGTTCTAGATGAAAATTACATTTCAACAATTAGAATCATCCTTTGAGATTTGGAAGGTAAAGATGAAAAGGAAGCCATATTCTGCCTTCCTTTGCTGTTTGTAGCTACAGAACAGGGTTCTGGAACCACATTTTCTGCTTGTGTGTGGTTTTGCTTTGCCCCCTTTTTCCTGCAAGAGTATTCCAACATCCAGTTTCTCATGCCCAGGGGTCAAGAAGGAAGTAGCCATACTCAGATTTCCAATAGAGGCCACCAGCTTCACTAGTGGTGGAGAGAAACACGTGTTTCCAATATGGCTAGGCTCTCTGATTCTGACTTTCGATCCTTGAATTTTGGTTATTGTGCTGCCTTCTTCAACTCATCTGCTTCAAAAGCAGCCTCCAGATGCTCCAACCTCATAACAGTGTCATAGATTGCAGTTCTGATGTGTTCGTTTCTGGGAGCCTTTCTTTCCCAGCATAAAGGCTGGTCACACTTCTCTTCCAAGGGCTTTGTAAGCACAAACGTTATTTAGTGCTTTAAATAAGTATAGTAAATTCTGTTTCTGGCATGAAAACTTAGTTAATAAAGTATTTACTACCAGAGCAGTTAATAGCCAACATTTTAAATGATAAGATTCTAGGGTAGTCAAAATAGAAATGGGATAAAGGGACTGGGCATGGTGGCTCACGCCTGTAATCCCAGCACTTTGGGAGGCTGAGGCAGGTGGATTGCCTGAGCTCAGGAGTTTGAGGTCACCCTGGGCAACATGGTGAAACTGCATCTCTATTAAAATACAAAAAAAAAAAAAATTAGTCTGGTGTGGTGGTGCATACCTGTAGTCTCAGCTGAGGCATGAGAATCGCTTAAGCCCCGGGAGCGGAGGTTGCAGTGAGACAAGATCACACCACTGCACTCCAGCTTGGGCTACAGAATGACGCTCCATCTCAAAAAAAAAATAAATAAATAAATAAAAAAGAAAGAAAAAAGGGATAAAGGAAGTGAAGATATATATATATACTGTTGAATAGCAAGAGTCTGATGGTCTGTCATACACAATGGAAAAAGTAACTCAAATTATTGCAGTTGTTCATCCAAAATGAGTCTCCTATTGAAGATAAGGATTTAGGAGATCCATTGGCTACTAGAATAGAAATGGAAACTGAAATTGGCCTACACTTAACTCTGGAATGTTTTTTCAAAAGGATATATATGTATATATATCCTCATTAATCAAGCATGGTTATATAGATGTAGGTTCTGTAAAAGCTCAACATTAGCTTCCTGGGCCCAAAGATGACCTGGCTAATACAACTGCTAGAGCCCAAATTGCCAAAAGATGACACCAATATGAGTCTCCAGCATGGAAGCTGAAAATATAATTTTTCTCTTCATCTGGATACTTTTGAGAGGACCGGGATAACTCTTAATAGTTATACCAGGAGAACAAATATAAACTGAAACTCTTCCATGAAAAGTTTCGGTCGCGTGGCACTGAAACCAACATCAATTTTAAATTGAATTAAATTGGGCCCAATATATTCTAGAGGGAAGAGCAGTTTCCTCCCCTGAAGTGGAAACTTTTTCTGGATATGGGTTTACACTCAGTGTCCACCAAGCTTCTAGCAGCACATCGTGGACGTCCTGAATGCTTGTTCATCACCACAGTGTTCCACACATCACCACTTCTGTCCTACAGACTTAACAGTAAAAGAGATGACGCTGTGGCCACCAAATACCATGCTCTTTTATGTATTCAGACCTTACAGAACAATAAAATGGAAGATTCAAGACCACTTATGTCACCAGGTGGGAGGTGGTGCCTTCTAAGATTAGGGTTCCACCCTGCAACTTTCTCTGAAACAGTGATTAATACATTCTGTAGTTTCTCTCATACTCAAGAGTATTAGAGTTCTGGATGAGAAGGGTAGAGGCGAAGTGGCATCTGCTACTATTATATTTAATGATCACCACACAAAATTTTTCTTTCTGTATCCATGAACTTGGTTTACACTGGTTTAGTGATTTTAGTATCTAAGAGCAGAGTGTCTCCACCGGGGGAACTGCAATGCTTCCACAGAAATAAAAATTTACCATTTGGAATTCTGATACCCTGAACCAACTAATAAAAAAGTGGGCTGGGCGTGGTGGCTCACGCCTGTAATCCCAGCACTTTGGGAGGCAAAGATGGGTGGATCACGAGGTCAGGAGATTAAGACCATCCTGGCTAACACGGTGAAACCCTGTCTCTACCAAAAATACACACACACAAAAGCTGGGTGTGGTGGCGGGCGCCTGTAGTCCCAACTACTCGGGAGGCTGAGGCAGGAGAATGGCTTGAATCTGGGAGGTGGAGCTTGCAGTGAGCCGAGATCGCGCCACTGCACTCCAGCCTGGGCGACAGAACGAGACTTCCATATCAAAAAAAAAAAAAAAAAAAAAAAGGGTGGGGGACTCCTCTGTTGTCTGATGCTGGGTTTATAAAATACAGGTGCATATGACTGCAACTATGCAATGTGCTTAGAGAGGGATATATAGAGATCCCAGCGAGTCCTCTGGGATTCAAACTAGTACTGCCATTTTTGGTAGTAAAAGTTAATGAAAAACAAGGGTAACCCCATCAGTGAAGGCTTAGGACCCCTTAAAAATGAGAGCTTAGTAGGCCGGGCCCGGTGGCTCATGCCTGTACTCCCAGCACTTTAGGAGGCCTAGGCGGGCGGATCACCTGAGATTGGGAGTTCAAGACCAGCCTGACCAACATGGAGAAACCCCGTCTCTACTAAAAAATGCGAAATTAGCCGGGCATGGTAGCACATGCCTGTAATCCCAGCTACTCAGGAGTTGCTAAGGCAGGAGAATCGCTTGAAAAAATGAGGGCTTAGTAGCCCACCAGGTAAAAAATGCTGACCTGTTAACTTTCTAGTTGAGGGTAAAGGATACGTGGAATGGAGAGTGGAGGAAGGAAGTGTTAACTGTGGCCACATGAAGCAAAGATAGCACTAACAGTCCCTTGGTCTTCTTGTTCTGTATGTATTTATTACTGTCAAACAAGATGCTCCTCTTCTCTCTCTTTTGCTACTATTTTACATAGAGTATATTGATGGTTACTCCTTTTAAAATTATTTTTTAAGTGACATGATGTTAATTTGCAAATTAGAATTAACAAAAAAGTAACAAACATCCCTTAAAAAAAAAACACAAAGACTCCTAGTACTTTGGGGAGGAGGTCATGTTTTCCTTATAAAAACAAAATTTGGATTGTGTTAGGTGGAGTGATAAAGTTGATGCTATTAGTAGCTTTATTTTTCATTGTGGTAAAATAGGCATACCTTTTTTTTTTTTTTTTTTTTTTTTTTGAGACCGAGTCTCGCTCTGTCGCCAGGCTGGGTGCAGTGGTGTGATCTTGGCTCACTGCAACCTCCGCCTCCTGGGTTCAAGCGATTATCCCGCCTCAGCCTCTCGAGCAGCTAGAACCACAGGCGCATGCCGCCACACCCAGCTAATTTTGTATTTTTAGTAGAGATGGCTTTTCACCATATTGACCAGGATGGTCTGGATATCTTGACCTCATGATCCACCTGCCTCGGCCTCCTAAAGTGTTGGGATTAGGTGAGCCACCATGACCTGCCAGGCATAACATTTTTTAACCATTTATAAATGTGCAATTTGGTGGCACTGAACACATTCACAATGTTGTATAATCATCATTGGTATCTGTACTCAAAACAACTTCATCATCCTCAACATAAACCGTGTACCCACTAAACAATAACTTTGCATTCCTCCTCCCGCCTGGCCTCTGGTTCCCTCTATTCTACTTTCTGTCTCTATGGCTTTGCCTATTATGGGTACTTCACGTAAGTGAAATAATACAGCAGTTTGCCCTTCTGTTTCTGCCTTACACCACTTAGCATAATATTTTTAAGTTCCATACATGTTGTAGCACATAAAATTGCTTTCCATTTTATGGCTGAATATGAGTGCATTATATGTGTACACCACACTGTGTTCATCTGCTGATGGACACTTGGGTTGTCCCACTGATTTTCAGCTATTGTAAATAATGCTGCTATGAACATTGTAAATATTTTTGTGAGTTCTTGCTTTCAATTATTATGGATATTTACATAGGAGTGGAAATGCTGGGTTCTATATTTGACTTTTTAAGGAATAATTAAAGTATGCAACACAGATGCTGCGCTATTCTACATAGTGCAGAAATCCGTGAAACTTCCAATTTCTCCCCATCCTTAGCAATGCCTGCTATTTTCCATTTAGTTATTCTTATCATTATTATTATCCCAGTAGGTGTGAAGTGGCATTTTATTGTGGTTTTGATTTGTAACTCCATATTGACTAGTGATGTTGAGCCTGACCCCCGTGCTTATTTGTCATTTGTATATTCCATGTGTTAATGAATCATTTGCTTATCTTCTATGGAGAAATGTCTATTCAAATCCTTTGCCCATTTTTTAATTGGGCTATTTGTTCTATGGTTAACTTTTTAAATTCTTTGTATTTTGGATATTAACCCATTCACAAATACTGATTTGCAAATATTTTCTCTCATTCCATGTATTGGCTTTTCACTTTCTTAATAGTGTCCTCCAATACACAAAGTACTTAATTTTGACAACGTCCAATTTATCTATTTTTCTGTTGTTGTTAATAGTGCTTTTGGTGTCATATCCATGATATCATTGCCAACTCCAAAATCATGATATTCCTCTGCATTTTCATCTAAGAGTTTCATATGAAAAGCTTTTATGTTTAGGACTTTGATTCACTTTGAGTTATTATTTGCATATGTTGCATGGTAATGGTCTAGTTTCATCCTTTTGCCTGTGAATATTCAATTTTCAAAGCACCATTTCTTGGAAAAAAAGTGTCATTTTGCTATTGACAGGTCTTGTAAAATCAGCTTTATTAAGGTAAAATTATATTAAAAACCCCTGCACATGTTTAGTGTATGTAATTTGATACATCTGGAGATAAAACAGAAAAACACCCATGATATCATCAACAGAATCAAGGCAATAAATATATTTATCATCTCCAAAAATTTGCTTGCTTTTCTTTTATTTGTGGTAAGAATAATTAACATCCATACACCTAACAAATTTTTAAGTGCATAATACTGTACTGTTAACCACACGCACTATGTTCTACACAATTTATCTTGCATACCAGAAAATGTATTCCCAGTGAGCAATAACTTTCTATTTCCCCCTCCTCCCAGTCCCTAGAATCCACCATTCTATTTCCTGCTTCTGTTAGTTTGATTATTTTAGATACCTCTTATTACCAGAATCACACAACAGTTGAACTTCCGTGACTAGCTTAGTTCACTTAGCTAATCCCCCAGATTCATCCATGTTGTCACCAATTTCATTGTATGTAAATCTTACATTTTCTTTACCTACTCATCCACTGATGGACACTTAGATTAATTCCATATCTTGGATATCGTGAATAATGCTGCAATAAACATGAGATCGCAGATATCACTTTGACATCCTGATGTCAGTTTTTTTGATATATGCACATAAATGGGATTTCTAGATGATATGATATTCTGTTTTTATTTATTTTTATATTGTTTTTAATAGCAGCTGCACAATTTTACATCTCCTTCAACAGTACACAAGGGCTCTGATTTTTTCACAATCTCATGTGCACTTGATATTTTTTTTGTCTGTTTGTCTTATAGCCAGCTTAATGAGTGTGAGATGACATCTTATTGTGGTTTTGCTTTGCATTTCTATGATAATTAGTGATGTTGAGCATCTTTTTATATACCTAATGGCCATTTGTATGTCTTATTTGAAGAAATGTCTACTAAAGGCAATTGTCCATTTTTAAATAGGGCTATTTGTTTTGTTTTTTTTTTTTGATGGCTATTGAGTCACAAGAGTTTCTTACATATTTGGATATTAACCCCTCCAGATAAATGGTTTGAAAATATTTTTTCTTATGTCATAGGTTGTCTTTTTACTTTGCTGAGTGTTTGCTTGGTTGTGCAGTAGCTTTTTAATTTGATGTTGTCTCACTTGTCTAGTTTTGCTTTTGCTAATGACACCAAAAACCAAATGAATCTAATGGGCATATTCGAAAGATTTTACCAAAGGGCAGCAGAATACATATTCTCTTAAGTTCTCATGGAATGTTCTCCAGGAGAGATCACATGGTAGACCACAAAACAAGTTTTGACATATTTTAGAAGATTGGAATCATATCAAGTATCTTCTCTGGTCATAACAATATGAAACTAGAAATCGTAAGAGGAGGAAAATTTGAATATCCACAAATACATGAAAATTTAAAAATACATTCCTGAATAATCAATGGGTCAAACAAGAAATCAAAAGGGAAATAAAAAAGTTATTGTAATGCAAACAAAGATGAAAACACAACATGCCAAAAGTTATGGGATGCAGCAAAAGTAATTATAAGAGGAAAGTTTACAGCAATAAATGTCTACATTAAAAAAGAAAATCTCAAAGAATTAGTTTAACATTATTCCTAAAGAAAGTAAATAGGGAAGAACAAATAAAACCCCAAATTAGCTTAAGGGAGAAAATGTTAAAAATTAAAACAGTAATAAATCAAACAGAGGTGACAAAGACTATAGGGAGAAAAAAACAATAAAATTAATAGTTGACTTTTTTGAAAAAATAAAATTGAGAAATTCACAGCTAGTCTAAGAAAAAAGAAAGAAGATTCAAGTAAACCAAATCAAATAAATTATAACAGTTACCCCAAAATAAAAATAGTCATAAAGGAAAATTATAAGTAATTATATGCCCACAAATTGGATAACCCAGAGAATATGGATAATTCCTATAAAAACATAACCTGCCAGGATTGAGTCAGGAGAATTATAAAGACTGATGAGATCAATAACAGACACAGGAATTAAAGAAGTTATCAGAAACCTTCCAACAACAACAAAAAAGCCCAGGACCAGATGGCTTCATGCCTAAATTCTACTAAACATTCAAATAAAAATTAATACTAATATTTTAAAATGCTTTCAAAAAGTACGGCTAGAAGAAATCCTTTCAAATACATCATATGAAACCAGAATCACCTTGATCTCTAAGCCAGAGAAGACCTCACAAGAAAAGACAACTACAGGCCAATTTCTCTGATGACCACTGATGCAAAAGCTCTTAATAAAATATTAGCAAACCAAATCCAATAACACATCAAAAAGATTATAAATCAAGACTAAGTGGAATTTATCTCTGACATGAAAGACTGGTTTAACATACACAAATTAATCAATGTGATACATCACATTACTTAAATGACAGATAAAAACTACAAGATCGTCTTAATTGGTGTGGAAAAAGCACTTGATAAAGTCCAGCATTCTTTCTTGATAAAAACACGTAACAGTTTAGATATAGAAGGACATTTCTTCAATATAATCAAGGACTATTTTAGTGGGAGAAAAGACATAAATTATTTAACCTGTGTGTATGGGAGGCTTCAGAATGAAGGCCCACGCCCTCAACAAGGTACAGAAGCTTATGTACCATCTCAGAGATGCAGAAAGAATGCAGGTTTAAAGCATGGGCAAAAACAGATTATGTGGCTAAATCAGGTTTAGTGCAAGACAGATTATGACAGGGAGAAAGGAAGAGGCCTGGCTAGCAAAGGTGGCTTTGTTATGTAGATGAAGTCTCATAAGCAGCAGCCCTCAGAGAAAATTGATGGTAAGTGTTTCTTTCCAGGCTTTTAAAGGTGTCAAACTCTCAGTCTCTCTTAGATCCAGGAAAAGCCTAGAAAGGAAAGACCTGGGTGCATTAGTGGTGATTCTCTACAGATGCATATTTCCCCCACTAAAGACAAATTTGCAAGGCCACTTCTGTCTGCTGGCTCCATTGTAGCCATTTTAAAATATGTCAAAGAAATATATGTTGAGGTAAAATATTTTGATTTCCTTCAGTCCCTACTTTGAAACTTAAAAAAAAATTTCATATATTAAAAGCCCACGTGATAGCTTTGGAAAGATTTGGATTAGAGGTTGTTAGATAGAGGTAGACAAAGGAGTGAAAAGACAAATTGAAATAAACAGAAAAGAACAAATTTAAATATGTTGTTCTATATCTTCTTCTAGTCAGTCCTGAGAATAGACCAGTTCAGTTAAACCACTGTCTCCCATTCCAGGAGGTGCCATTGCATGGGCTAGGCCCCTATATATGATGCAGGCGAACAAATCTTTAGTAAGAGGTTATTTCTAGAGAAACAAGAAAAACAAAGGTTAATGTGCAGAGCAGTCAGTCTATAGACTGTTTTTTCTAGTCTCTGAAGCATCTTCAGTTTGCAGTGGCAATATGACAGTTTTCTAGATTATAGTTCAAATCAGGCATTCAAATGAACTTTCTGGGGAGTCAGTACATCAACAGGCAGGCATGAAGGTTGTATATTTCTGTATATATGTTTCTGTTATTTCTCCTGAAGTTTTTGTCTACCTGCAGTTTGCAGGGCTTTAAGAAAACCAGTTTTAATTTCTAGTGATTCCAAACCAGAAAAATGGAAGAAACATTTGAAATCATTAGTTTGGAGACCTGTAGACAGGAAAGAATTCAGGATCCAATCTAAATTGTAGACAAATAGTAAAAACTCAAAAATAATGAACAATGCTAGAATCTAATAGCAGGTATACTATAGTTTCTTTTGAAACATAATTTTTCTCTCTCCAGTCCCCCATTTTTACCAACAACAAATCATAGTAGGACTAATTGATTTGGAAAATCAATTTTAGTCTTATTATATTTGGCCTGATTATTTGCATAAAGTGCAGAAAGAATAATTATTGGCCACATAGACTCTTTTATGTTGCTTTTGCAAGAACATTTTCATGAGGAATTGCTTTTAGTTCATGTGATGTTAGTAATCTTTAATAAATAAAATTAGTTTCAAAATTATCTTCAGTAACTTAAAATCTAAATGTTATATTAAATTAAGTAATCCTAAGTTTATCACTGGAACCAGGGTTACTAAGAGTTAGAATAGTCATTATTTATGTAATTAAAACTATTAGATATGAAAGAAGCAATTCTATATGCAAAGGCTATTTTTAAAAGTAAGATTTATCTTTGGTAAAAAGTTTAGAAGAAGACATAGAAATGTAGTTTTTATTGAAAGAGAAAATAAGTTTGCCTAGTTTAGAGGTTTTTTAGGATTGTTTGAAATTGAAGGACTACAAAGAAGGATGGATATAAACTAAATAGATATAAAAAGTTGGGGAAAAGAATGGGACAATTATAAAAGTTTATGGAAGATTTATAGAAATCTCACCAGATGGATTTGTTTATAAAATTTCATTAAAATTAGCTTTAGTGTTAATATACTATGCAAAGGTAAAATTTGATTTTCTCTTTCAAACAAGATTTTTGTGTAGTATTAAGAGATAGTAAAGAATTTTTGTTTACCTTTTGAGTAAACTGCAAAAAAAAAAAAAAGAAAGAAAAGAGGAATGAGACAGACAGATCCAGTTTGGCCTATGCTATCTTTATTGGGTCTTATTATTGGGAAACTGTCTCCTTGATATCAAAGGGTAAAGGTTCTATGCTTTATAAAATCTTTGGATTTCCACTTTGGCTAAACAAGTGACTTATTTTACAGTGACTTGTGATTCTGTAATACTTTATAATATCAAGTGTTTTAAACCTTTGATATTTCACAAACTTTCCAAATTCTAAGTTTAGTCTTTTGACCTCAAACTAAGTTTTGTATATTAGGGCCCCTGAAGTCCAAGGCAGACATATTTGACTTATTTGATATGTGAAAATCATACAGGAAGCATTGTCAAACATGAAATTGTTTTTAACATTCTTTGGGTTATATTTATATAAATGTGTTAATAATATGTGTTCCAAAGTTGTATGAGACTCCTATAATTCTGATATGTCTTAGCATATGCTATCAGCAATAATAATTATTATGTTCAACTGTTGTGTGCCACAGAAATAGCCAAATTTCCTTGTTAATTTTGTCTTTGGCCTTTTTAAATTTTGTCTTGGACTTTTTCAACCACAGACAGTTATTGTTTTCTTTCTTTCTTCTCAAAAAGCAGTTTGTGGTTAGCTACAGTCCAATTCTTGCTTCTTTGGTGGAGTTCATGGAAAGGACCCTGACAGATTCTCCTGAATGCAGGATTCTGATAACTTTAGAGTTTGTGCCATTTGACTACACAAGAAACTTCCAGGACTCTCATTGGAGAGTTGATGTGTTCATGAGGATTGCGGATCCAGTATTGGACAGAGCAGTAGTTAATTGCATGGGATCGAACTAATAGAAAACTAAAGTAATTGTTTGGACTTTTTTGCATAATACATTACTGCTGGCATGTGAGGTGGCTTTACAAATTCTGCCATATGCACTGCTGCTTTTAAATGTCCTAATGTTTGGCCTGGGTGCCAAAAAAGATAAAGAAATAAAACAGGTGCCGTTCATGTAAATCCCATGGAAACTTCCAGAATCTGGAGATGAAGCAATGACAGCCAGGTTCTCTGTCCTAACCTCAGCAAGCAACAGCAGCCATCAGCAGTCAGAACACAAAACTCCAACATTTAGAGGACAAGGTCCTGAATTCTCACCCTGGCTCTAGCAAGCTGCACCAGAAAGATAGGCCCACTTGCCTGCCAGAGGGCTGTGAGGTAGAGAATGTGTAGTCACTGCAGTTGACCAAAACTAACCACAATTTCCCAGCCAAGCCTTCCTCTGGAAGCTGAAAGCATTAAAATATACTCCAGAGGTTCAATCGCTACTTCAGACAGTTTCTGTTCAGTATAATTGTATTCAAGGTAGAAAGACGGATTCATAGTGTCTCCTCCTCTGCCATCTTCCCTGACATTACTCCTTACTTGGGTTTTAAGTGCAGCTAGAATGATCTTTGTGCAGATCTAATGAATCTTTATTCATTAGAATGCCAAATCGCCAAACTGGACTTGGGAATATGGTTGATTGGCACTTATGTCCTTGTAGTGCACCCTCTGCTGCAGAATCTGAAAGCTAAATTTTTTTACAACTCCTTGGCAGCTCATATTCTGGATCCACCAATTAGCTGCATTTCATTTGAGACTTAGAAGGGGAAATTGAGGCAAGTGCTATACAGGCATATGTTGTTTTACTGTGTTCCACTTTATTGTGATTCACAGATATTGTGGTTTTTACACATCAAAGGTTTATGTCAACTCAGTATCATGCATGTCTATTAGCACCGTTTTTTTCAACAGCATGTGCCCAATTTGTTAGCATTTCTTAGCAATAAAGCATTTTTTAAATTAAGTTCTATATATTGTCTTTTTAGGAATAATGTTATTGCACACAATACAGTATAGCACAAGCATAACTTAATATGCACTGTGAAAACAAAACATTCAAATGATTCACTTTATTGTGGTGGTCTGAAACCAACCCCACAATATCTTCAAGGAATGCCTGTGTTGTATCTGTTCTTAACATCTTTGGTTATCAACAAGGTTATGTCATATTGTTTTCCTGTGGTGTTGTATCTAGTTTCCTGGGTAGTAAATTTGGAGTCTCAGGTTCCTGCCACCTGCAGCTATGTTAGTGTTGGTAGCTATGACAGCTTCTTGGATCACAGGTTGTGCAGTGGATTTGCATTGTGTAGGTCTTGAGAACCCCTACTCCAGGCTGCAGAAGTGTCAGTTGTCTGAGATTCTGACAGTCTCCCAAGAGGTCCTGAGTAAAGTTCCCTCTTTCAGTCCTTCTGGAGATCTTAAAAAGCACCTTATTCTCTGATTAAATACCCTCCCGATAACATGCTCCCATGGGATCTGTTTCCTGCAATGATTCTGATTGTCACTTGTGTGATAGATGAAACAATTAGGTTGCATTACAACCTGTAGGAAGAGCACAGAGGAAGAAGTGATGGAGTCCAATGAAACTTCTTCATCCTAAGTAAAGTATTAATCAAATTTTACGTGGATCAGATAAAATACTAATATTGAGCTCCACTTCCAGATATTTTATCTCCATATGGTGATTTGAGCTCATGTATTTCCCTTTTTACCCAGCTTGATTAGAAACTCTAAGAGGAGAACTGCACATTGTATGCAGGAAAATTGATCCCATGACCTGTTTTTAGAAGAATATATTCTAACTTCATAGGAATAGAAAAAATGAGTTACTTGAACTCATATTGCTCTTCCCTAAGTGTTAAGTAATTATTCCATTTTATTGATAATTTATCTATGCCATTCCAGGAAGCATAGCACTATATGTCTCTGACAATTTCATCTATTACATCCTTAGAATAGTACCTGGTATTCTAATGTCATTGACCAATAATGTTAATTAATGTTATTACTATCACTATACATAGTTCACCTAATTTGATATTACAAAGCCCATGATTTCTGCCCAATGGGCATGGTGTAGAAATTATGTATTTTAAGTTGCTGTGTGTTACTCTGGTAACCTAATCAAGTTGAATGGTTGATTATAGTTTCATGAATTTACCATCTGCTGTTATTTGATCCAGGTTGTGTTCCATTCTATCCCCAATGTCCTCTCCAAATTTTTCTGTGTTGAATTAAAAATGACTTTGATCCTAGGATTCATTGATCATTTCCATTATACAGAGACTGTGTGTTTATAGTAGCATTTGAACCAAATAATATTTTGGGGGGATAGATTCTTTTATATTTCCTTTTTTTTCTGCACTTGATCCTCACAGAAATTCTGTAATATAGATCAGTTATTTATTGTTATCTCTATTTTAGCAATGAAGATGATAAAGTGTATACCGATGAAACAATTTGTAGAATGTCACACAATTGAATATGAAAGAGCCAGACCATGGCCCACACCTCCTGAGTCTTGGTCTAGTACTTTCTGATATAACCACATGGCTCCCTGGGAGTCCCTGGCTTGCTAACTCTCCTGGACTCCCAAAGAGTCCAAAAGAGACTGGATGCCCAAAGAGACTGGTAGGATGTGTAGGTTTGAATCCACCATGCCACTGATCAATGCCTTTCCTGCTGGCACTGAAAGGCAATGAGCTGCTATGTGCCAGTGTGCCAAGTTCTGGGGTAGGGTGTGGGGAGAAAGAAGAAAACACAAAAGCAGAAAATAATAGAACAAATGTGGTATAAGTTGAAGAGAGTCATTTTCTTCACCTAAAACTGAGCATTCTTTATGTGACAAAGAAAGATGGTTATATATACATATTTTACAAATAAATATATATTTAAATGTATGTACACATATATGTACACACATATATATGTACATTCACACACACACACACACACACATATAATATATGTTATATGTTATATGATGTGTAACACCTACAAGGTTTGGGGTATTTTGGGCTAAAGACTATCTTGAAAATCATTGTGAAGTGGCTTTTTCCCCAATACCCCATATTTATTCAAAATGAAGGCACTGATAGATCAAGAATCCATCAGTTAGAGTCTTTTCTCAGCACAGCTCTAATGTAATCTGGACTTTCAAAATTCCTCCCTACCTCCTCTTTGAGTGATTTGTACCCTCAGTATTACAATATTTGGTTCAATTAATTCAGTTTAATCAATGCCTATTGAAAGTTTATCATAACTTACAAAGGGCTGATACACATTATAGACTAATTGTTTGTAATATAGATAATGAAATATACATATATAATTTCATATATCCTTCACTATATGCGTGTCTGCATATATATGAGATACATATAATATATATATAAATGAATGTTTCTTTTTGTCATTTTATAAAATTTTTTAGTTTAAAATTTCTATAGAAAAGTTGTTTTGTTTATGTTTTACAGTGCTATTTATGTGGTCTCAATATAGGCTTTTTATTTATTTGTTTTTATTATTCATTGTCAAATTATAGTTGTATGTATTTATGGGGCACAAAGTGATGTTATGATTTTGGAATACAATGTGAATTGAAAAATCAAGCTAATTGATCTATCGATAACCTCAAATATTAGATTTTTTCATGATGAGACCATTTGAGATTTACTCAGTGATATTGCAGTGTAGAGTACTAAATTGTTAGCTATATTCACCACATTGTGCAGTAGATCTAAAAAAAAATCAACCTTATTCCTTCTATCTAACTGAGGCTTTGTACCCTTTGATTATCATCTCCTCATTTCTTCCACTCCCCAGGTTTTAGATTCTACATATAAGTGAAAACACACAGCATATTTTTCGGTGTTTGGCTTATTTCACTTAACATAAAGTCATCCAGTTTCATCCATGTTGTCACAAATGACAGACTTTTTCCCTTTCTTAAGGCTGAATGGTATTTCACATTGCGTATATATACTTCATTCTTGTCTTGTTTCAGTCATTTTCTATTTCATTCAGCAATCTCAAATCTATCACTTTCTTCATCATCATAAGTGCATTCAATTTATTCAATCAAATTAATCAGGTGCCTTCATATTCTTAGGTTATAACTCAGTTCCACACTAGAAGTAGAGGTTTTTGGGTTGAAATATTGGTTTGGAAGAAAAGCTAGTCCCTCAGGAAATAATTCAACAAACGGAACTCATATGAAGATGTTACCCTGACCTGTGGCCCTCTCCTTAACTCTGCAGAGCCAGTAACAAATTTTGGTGAGTCATAGATTAGAGCAGACTTTGGCCAATGATTCAGGGCATAAAAGACTTCATTTTGAAAAGGAAAGATAGGAGAACCAGAAAATCCTCATGGTCAGCACTGCTTCTTCTCAGTGTAGGAAAATCTGCACAGGAAAGCACATGTGGTCATAATTAGAATGGGGTGGGCTTTGTGATAGAATAACCGGAATCACAGGATGTGTGCGTGTCTCTGAGCCATAGTCCGTCGTCCCTGGGGCTGCACACATCTGCTGCTGCTGCACACACCTGCTGCTTGTCACGCACCTTCTTCAGACAGTGCCAAACACACATTGACTTGCTTGTGTACAGGTTTCTGTAAGCCTTTGCTTTCTTAGCTACAGTCATCTTTAAATCTCACCTCCCTGAGTTTAAAATCATGTTTATGAATCCTAAATTGTTAGACATAATTTAGCCTCCTAGTAAATTTATATTTGACCTATGAAATTGTTCCTCCAAATATCCCTGATTCTATACTTTTATTAATTTTGGCTAAACAGTTAATGACACAAAGACAGGTGGAGATGAAGTCCCTCTCACACAATACTGGAAGGAAGCCACAACTGTGTTTCCAATCCTCCTTTATCTCCTCAACCAGACTGCCCACTTGGTATTGACAAGCAAGTGCAGCTCTTGCATATGCACTTACAGACTATTTTTAAAAACTGGTTTTGAAAGTTCTAATGATTGTTTTCATGAGTAACTTATGCTTTATTCTATGGGTTAGGAAATTATAAATACATTTTGAAAATGCATTGCTGATTGAAAGTGCATTACTGACAGAACACTGATTAGTAGAATTGTTGTAGGATGTTTTTCTGAAGTGAGCACTTGACAACTGACTGTCTTCTTTTGTCTATCAATACCAGCTGGGTTCTGGGAATATTGTGTAGTATATAAATATGGAGGTGCAGTTCAGGTACTGCAATGCAAGTCTACAAAAGTAGTTAGTCAGAGACTGTAATTTTGGTTATAAAACTACTTTCCTGTGAAGCAGGTTTTAAAATATGTTGAAGCAATATGAAATAGATTTATATCAAAGATCTTCTAGTCCAACTCCTCCCCATGCACATACAGTGCAAATCAGATACTAATTGTAGAAACTTTGCCTTTTGAATACTGAAACATGGTAGCTAATTAACAAGCAAAGTATTTTTGAGGGTAGATGAGGAGACAGAAAAGGACAATCATATGCAGTATAATTTCATGTAAAGAAGAGTTGCTGAAAATAATGAATTTTATAAAAGTTTGAAGAAGTTGCCAACAGTGAGGCTGGTGGTGGCTGTATTGTAATAAAGTTCAGGGGAGGCCTCTGTGAAGAGGGATTAGGCCAGTAAAGACATGAATATGTGAGGGCACAACCCATGTGGCTATCTGGGGGTAAATATTTCATGGGAACCATAGAAGCAAAGGACTTAAGGCAGAAATGAGTTTGATGATTTGTGCAGGAAGGAGACCCACATGGCTGCAGTGAAGCTGGGCAAGGAGACGAGGGGAAGAGCTGGTTCCTGAAGGTCCCTGTTGGCCAAAACAAGATGTTTACATTTTATTAAATGTGTGAGACACTGTTAAATAATTTTGGAAAAAGAAAATTGATTTCCTAATTTATTTTATAAGATTATTTTGACAATACACTTACTTATAGGAATAAAATTTTTCTAAATATTAAAAGAAAAACACTCTGCAAGGTGGGGAGTAGAACATGTGGAATAGGCAATTGTGGAGGTGGAGGACCACAGTGGAGGCCGTTTTAGTAACAGCCACAAATAATTAGGGCATGGACTGTGGTGGAGGGCAGAGAGGTAGTAAAATAGCCAAATTGGGGGAATATATTCTGAAGGTAGAACTGACTGATTGTAAAGTTTTTTGGTAATGATATACTAAAACAATCAAAATACCTCATACATTTCTGTCTGAGGAACTTGGTAAATAGTAATGACATTTACCAAGATAAAGAAGAGAAAGAGAAGAGTGATTTGGTAAGGGAAGAGAAAGAAAAGGGAGTGACAGAGCAAGGGTGCTTGTTTAATCACATCAGGTTTGGGTTATTTATTAGGTTTCAGAGTGGGGATGGTGACTAAGTAAGTAGATACACTGTTCTGGAATCTCAGTGGGAGCCTCACATCACACCTATATTGATGTACCGAAGGCCTTTGAAGCTGTAGAGCTGAATGAGTTCTTTGTAAAGAGTGAGTGTAGATTGAGAAACAGAGTTCTGAATATCCAACTGTGAAACATTGTGTATTCCAACATTTAGAGGTCAGACCAAGGGACATCCAGCAAAGACTGAGAAGAAATAGCCAATGAGGTAAGAAGGAAAGCATCAAGAAAGCAGTGTCTGTGAGGATAGTAAAAATGTATATGAAGACAAGGAGACAGTAAACTGCTCACTGTTTCTGAGAGGCCATTAATAGAACCCTTATGATTGGCTGTTGTGGGAAGTCAGGGACCCTGAACGGAGGGACAGGCTGAAGCCATGGCAGAAGAATGTGGATTGTGATGATTTCGTGGACATTTATGAGTTGCCCAAATTAATACTTTTATAATTTCTTACGCCTGTCTTTACTGCAACCTCTGAACATAAATTGTGAAGATTTCATGGACACTTATCACTTCCCTAATCAATACCCTTATGATTTCCTATGCCTGTCTTTAATCTCTTAATCCCGTCATCTTCGTAAGCTGAGGAGGATGTATGTCACCTCAGGACCCTGTGATGGTTGTGTTAACTGCACAAATTGTTTCTAGAGCATATGTGTTTGAACAATATGAATTCTGGGCACCTTCAAAAAAGAACAGGATAACAGCAATGTTCAGGGAACAAGAGAGATAACCTTAAACTCTGACCACTGGTGAGCCGGGTGGAACAGAGCCATATTTCTCTTCTTTCAAAAGCAAATGGGAGAAATATTGCTGAATTCTTTTTCTCAGCAAGGAAATCCCTGAGAAAGAGAATACATCCCTGAGGGTAGGCCTCTAAAATGGCCGCTTCAGGGGGTGGCCATCTTTTATGGTCAAAGCTGTAGGGATGAAATAAGCCCCAGTATCCCGTAGTGCTCCCAGGCTTATTAGGACAAGGAAATTCCCGCCTAATAAATTTTGGTCAGACCGGTTGTCTGCTCTCAAACCCTGTCTCCCAATAAGATGTTATCAATGACAATGCGTGCCCGGAAACTTCATTAGCAATTTTAATTTCACCCCGGTCCTGTGGTCCTGTGATCTCGCCCTGCCTCCATTTGCCTTGTGATATTCTATTACCTTGTGAAGCACATGATCTCTGTGACCCAAACCCTATTCTTACACTCCCTCCCCTTTTGAAAATTGTTAATAAAAACTTGCTGGTTTTACGGCTTAGGGGGCATCAGGGAACCTGCCAACATGTGATGTCTTCCCCTGACACCCAGCTTTAAAATTTCTCTCTTTTGTACTCTGTCCCTTTATCTCTCAGACCAGCCAACACTTAGGGAAAATAGAAAAGAACCTATGTGAAATATTGGGGGTGAATTATGCCTGATAATTGGCCATTGGTTTCGACATTGTGCGGTCATTCTTAACTTGGACATGACCCCTTTCAATGGAGAAAAGGTGACAGTAGCCTGATTGAAATGGGTTCAAGAAATAATGGGCTTTAATGCAGCAGTTAGGATATACAAAGACAGAGAAGACATCCTACCTTTTCATAAAAATAAGAAAAATCTAGATCAAATATCTGTGAGTGACACAGTGAATCATGGTTGAAATTAATTCCAGGAAATGAATCTCTTCATAGGGGAGCAGAAAACAGCACAAACTACCTGGGGGCAAACTCAGGCTCTGTGTTCAGTGTTACAAATTAAAAAGAAAGGTTGGCAAAGATTAGAGACTTTACTGGATTGAGGGGAGGCCAGCCAATCTAGTGGCACTGGGAGGATTTAGCAGGGTAGGTTAGTGTCTGGGAAAGATACAAAGCATTAATAGTTCAATTAATTCATCAATTCAACACTCTTCCTCTAATTTTGCTGAGAGGCTATCAGTACAAGCATGATAAAACTTGAATAAATAATTTATGTAAGTTTGTGCATAAAGGGCCCTGCTGTAACTGAATCAAAGGTGAGTCTGAGGTTGATGCATGGACCAACTCTCTCCAGTTTAAATACTAGTGGGATCTGAGATTCAGCTACTGTAAGCCTTAAATAACCTGTTTTTCAAAGCTTATATCCTGAATGCAAGTCTCAAACTCTTGAAATATGCCATTCAAAGCCATGTGTCCCAGAAGTGTGATTTTGCCAGTGTATCAGTGGTTATTATAGTTATAGGGGGCAACACATATTTCAAGTGAGTTGCTTGAAATAATTTAGAAAAAAATGGTGCTTTAAGTTAATATGAGAGGGGGAAATGATTATTTCTCTCATCTGTGCCACACTCCAGCACTAAAAATCTGTGTAGAATTGAAATTCTTATGTGATAGAGTGGATAAATTGCCTCAGAGGAGGTAGAGATATGGAAGACACTAGAAATGCCTTCACATGGATGAAGTAAGTAGAGCTTTTCAACTCAGTCATGGCCTGTGGATAACTCTTTAGTGAGGAAACTGCCGTTGCTGATTTTTTTCTCCTCTATCCCCCACACTCACATCCATGTACCCACTTCTTCATGTTTATCTTCTTACTATTGGAACTGGATCATTGCATTATACTTACACATTCAGTAATGAGGTGCCGTATGCTGTGTGGACACAAGAGCCACCCCACTTAGCTCCAACAGTAAGGAGCAGCAAAAGCATGTTCCCCCAAGGATAGCAGCTAGGTAATGGGAAGCCGTGTACCTACACATAATTCAGTGTCAGAATTAATGGCTACTGACTTAGAAAGCTCATTTCTTTGCCTTCTAATGCTTATGGTACAAGTTTGCTACAGCCGTCATAGCAAAGAACCACCGACTGGGTGATTTAGAGAACACAAATTGTTTTCACTCAGTTTTGGGGGCTGAAGGTCTGAAATGGAGGAGTTTCCAGGGTTGGCTTCTCCCAGACTGCTCTCCTTGGCTAGCAGATGGTTTTCTGTTCCCTATGTCTTCATGGACTTCCCTTTGTCTGTATGTCATCTCATCTCCTCCTCTTGTAAGGCACCGGTCATATTGGATTAGGGCCTGTTCTAAGGACATCATTTTAACTTAATTATCTTTTTGAAGACCCTGTCTCCAAATATGCAATCAGATTCTGAGGAGCTGGGGAGTTAACACTTCAACATTTAAATTTGAGGGGCCACAATTGATTCATATGTTTATATATAGATGCAATATATATATAATTGCATAATAAATATTATTCATTGAATTATTCATAACATGATTGAAAGTATATAATTCAATGTTATTCATTTATTATGTGATTATATATATTTTGCATCTATATATAAATATATGAACTGTAAGCATGTAGATATTTTGTTTACAGGTTCATTGCTTGCATCTGGACATTGAGAAACAATGTAATGGAAAAAATAAAAGTACTCATATGAACACTAATTCTTAAAGTAGAGGATGTGTTAAATTAGTGGTTGAGATAATTCATTCAAATTCAGAAATTTATTCTACCCATCCATTAATAAGTGATTACATGCCAGGCACTGTGCATTCACAATTGTATTCAAAGAACTCATGGTCTAGATTGACAGAAGGATACATAAACTAAATATTTTAATATAGATTACTAATATGAGTATTAAAATAAAAGGGAAGTGCTACGTTTAATCCGAACTTCTGAGTTCTAAAAAGATATTCAGGAGGATGTGAAGTTCATACCAGATCCTTAAAGATGAATAAGCTTTATCCTGGTTCAGGACATTGACAGGCATAAAAGAAGGGAGAGAGAAAGGGATTCCAGTTGGAGTCACAGCATGAAAAAGGCATGGAGTCCTGAATCAGCTTTGATTATTAATCAATATTTCCTGATTGATTCTTTAAAGGGCTCACCTTTGACATAATGAAGTTAAGTCTGATTCCTTAGCTCAGCGTCTGAAGCCTTCCAGCTTTGGGCTGCAGCTCAGTTTTCTAAGTTTATCTCACTATTCTCCAGAAATATATGGTATGTATAATTAAGATGACTTCCATGTAAAAGCCTTGTTTTTTCCTGGCCTTTGTGAGTTTTTTTAGAATTATTTATGTATTTATTTTTTACTAATAAGTGAATGAGGAAAAATTGTTCTGTCTTCTTTATAACACAGCTCATTTCTACTAATCCTTAACCTAACATATCCAATGCTTTCACCTCCATAAACTTTTGTGCACCCCAAACAGCTAGATCTCCCTATCTTGACTGTTCACATTCACTATTATTTGTGTTTCCATAAACTTTGGCCTCTGGCTGGACTCCCTGTCTCAACATCCACCTCTACCATTTCCTGGCTATGCAACCTTGGCTAGATAACTTCACTGGCCTCAGATAAGCAAGATATGTAACAGGGTTAATAAAAGTCTCTGTATCAATGAAATTTTTGTGGTACATGTTATTTCTTTTATTTTGAAAATTGAATATGCTAACAGATAATGGGCGAATACCTAAGAAGTATGTGAAGTACTCAGGAAGTGCTATGAATTTTTGCTCTCACAGTATTTTTGTTCTGTTTTGTTTTTTCTTATAGTCCTTAGATAGTGACTTCCATGAAATGAGAAATTAAGGTTTGAGAGTTTGTGTGTACTGACTCAGGCTAGCTGGTTTAGGAAGCCTGGTCTGTGCATGGAGTCAAGGAAATCCAGGTTTATATCCAAGCTCTGC
The DNA here is from genome assembly GCF_000001405.40 of Homo sapiens. NCBI lineage: Eukaryota > Metazoa > Chordata > Mammalia > Primates > Hominidae > Homo > Homo sapiens. The sequence goes on from NC_000008.11 coordinate 49,258,309, forward strand.
TAATAGCTGGCTGTGTGACCTTGAGGGTTGCAGTAAACCTCACTGATTCACAGCATCCTTACCTATAAAATAGGAGCAATACAACTTTCCTTTCAGGAAATTAAGTTAATTTTATAGTACATGTAACATTATGACTCATAAACAATGGATGGGTAATAAATAACCTTATCATTATCAGTTCCCTTTTGTTTTAGTTGCATTACTAGTATTGGTAGTAATCATTGCTGTTCAATAGCACACACTCTAAAAGATATCGTGTGGGGGGGATTATAAGACAGACACCCCCACAGTCTCACAATTTAGGGTTTGAACCCTAGGCTTAACAGTTAAGCTTTGGGGAGATTTTTTTCTTAATCTGAGTATCAATTTTCTCTTCTTTGACAGGTAAATAATAATACTTATGTCTCAGAGTTTTCTGAGGGTGAAACAGGATAGTGTTTGTAAATCCGTCAGTGTGTGATAGGAACTCAATAAGCTTCTGTAGAATGAATGTCAGGTCTCTAGAATGAAATGCCAAATGATCTAATTTCTGTTTTCAAATTTGCTACTATTAAAGTGATTGTGTGATTTTAGAAACATTATTTCATTTCCTTGTCTAAAATATGAATGAATTCAACTAAATTATTTTTTTAACATTTTTAAGTTTTTTTTTGTTTTTATAAATGTATGTGGTACAAGTGTCATTTTGTTACATGAATATATTGCATCGTGGTGAAGCCTAGGCTGTCTATGTAGCCATCACAGAGTAAGGTACATTGTACCCATTAAGTAATTTCTCACCATCCACTCACCTCCAACCTCCTCATTTTCCACGTCTTCCATGTCTATCACTCCACACTTGATGTCCACGTGCACATGTTATTTGGACTGCACTTATAAGTGAGAACGTGCGATATTTGTCTGTGTCTGAGTTGTTTCACTTAAGATAATGGCCTCCAGTTCAATCCATTTTCCTGGACAAGACATGATTTCATTTTTTTTATGACTGAGTAGTATTCCATTACATACTTTTTAAAAAATCCAGTCATCCATCGAGGCACACTTAGGTTGATTCCATAACTTTGTGATTACGAATACTGCTGCAATAAGAATACAAGTCTTTTTGATATAATGATTTATTTTCCTTTGGGTAGATGCACAGCAGTGAGATTGCCAGATCAAAAGGGAGTTCTATTTTTAGTTCTTTGAGGAATGTCTACACTGTTTTCCATAGAGATTGTTACTAATTTACATTCCCACCAATAGTACATTACATTCCCTTTTCTATGCATCCCTGCTAACATCTGTTATTTTCTGTCTGATTGGTGAAAATTTAAAAAAAAGAAGGAGGAAAGGAAAAAAAAAAAAGAAAAAAAAAAGAAAAGAAATTATCCCTAACATTCTGTGGTAGATATGGTAGGTTGATAGTTAATATTTATTTCACCATCCTTATAATACAGGCTTATCTCTTTCCAGAGCAAAAGAAACGTTACCCAACAAAATCCCCTTTGCTACTACACTCAGTTAGCACTCCTTCAAATAAAATGCCTGTAACAAATGTGAAAATATAAATTAGAATTGAACAGAATAGTAGATAGAATAGAAAATATCTGGGTGCTTCACACCTAGGGAGAGTTAGTGTTATTTTAGAACACATGTATGTAAATATACTTGTATGGTGATAATAATGACTAGGTTTCTAAGCTACACTTTCTTTTATTGAAAATAAATGGAGGTGTCCAGGGTTGAAAAGGAAAAGCAAGGCTGCTGCTTATTTCACGGACATAAAACACTTAAATTCATCAGAGAACGCTCAGGGCATAGGGATTAGCCTCCTTTATTGAAAGGGCAATTTTAGTTGAATGAGTGGTAAGTACAACAGCAAAAAGGATTTTGTCTATCTGCGTATGTGGATTTATGTGTACTGCATTGTCATGTAAAGTATGTTCTCTCTCTCTCTCTTTTTTTTTTACAACCAAATATGTTTTAAAAACAGACTTCCAATATGCTTTCCTTTACTGTAGAAGCTGGATAGTTAAACATTAAGATTTACCAGATTACCTGGTAGTTAGGATTCCATATGGGATTTGGATTCAAGGAATCAGACGCTGATGTGAGATACAGATGAAGGAATGAAGTAAAGGCTTTGATGCTGTTGGAGATCACATGCTTTTGTTCTGGTAGGTGTGAGAGAACAGGCATTGGGTTTTCCTATGGAAATGTTGGGTCCTAACTATCTTGAGCGTTGAAAAGACTTGTGCTGTTCATTTCACGATGGAATTTCAACACAGGCAGGGTGCAGGTCTTGATCCTGGCTGGCAGTTCACAGTGAGCTTCATTCCAGAGGCATATATTCCTGGTTCCTCAGTTCATGAGTGTCACAGATTTCACGTCTCCTCTGGCAGGCAGCATCATTCTAGTATAATTTCCGGAAGTAAAGCATAGAGTAACTTCTTCAGCCCTTCCAAAATGTTGTGGGCAACCTCATTCTCTTTTTAATTCCTTTAAGCTTCAAATAGGTCAAATGTTCTAGGTTATTTGCAGCAGAATCCTTGCTAATGTAGTTTGTTTCATTTTTAATACCCTGAGATGATAATGATGGTGCTCATAGCAGTGATAATAATGACTGGATTCCTAAGCTCAATTTTCTTTCATCCAAAATAAATGGAAGTATCTAGGGTTGAAAAGGAAGACCAAGGCTGCTGCTTACTTCATGGAAAAAACATACTTAGTTATTTGTATCAGAGAATGCTCAGGGCATAGGTATTACCTTGCTTTGCCGAATAGGCGTTTTATTTGAAGGAGTGCTAACTGAATGTAGTAGCAAAGGAGATTTTGTTGGGTAATGTTTGTTTTGCATAAACACAGGAGAGAGAGGCATCACGTGGGTCTGAGGAAGGATATTAGTGCTCCCGCTCAATGCTTCCCTGGGGCTTTGATGGTGTACAAACTGCTGCAACGTAACAGACAGCATTTTGGAATAAACTCAGGGTCTAGCACATTTTTTATTACATCTTTGCAGTTGTGTAAATTAAAGCTGCTAAAATGGCCTTCATTTCTGTTTTAATTTAAATCCAGTCAAAAGATGTACTGCTCTAGCTGCCATTCAGTATAATTCTGTATCAAATTATATTTCTCAGCAAAATTATTATAAAATCCTAAAAACAGAGGTTTATAATAGCAAATGCCAGTTTCATTCATGGAAGCTCAGAGAATCACAATGATGTGAATTTCTTCAGGGAATTAGACTCCGTCTGTGGCAGCTAAAAGTATGCGTGAATGGAAGGAGCGCCAAGGAAACGCGTTTATGCTGGAAGAGCCAGCACACTCTGCTCCTGTGCCTCTCTAGCCACAAAGAAATCACTTCTAGGCTTTTTGCTAAACCACACATAATGTTCCTAATTGTTGTGGCGGGAAAATTAAAGACAGGCATATGTTGAAAAATAAGGCAACCCGGATAGCGGGGAAGTGATTAACACGATAGCGTGATTTCCGCTGGTTAGAGGCCAGGACCTACTTGAAGGTGAAGTCTTCTAGTTTGAATTAAAAATTTTCTTTCTGAATAAGCATTTTTACTTGTTTAAATATTTAAAATATCAGTGTCTGTGAGTTCTCAGCAATAAGTAAATGGCCAGTAGTTACACTTTTAATGTGAGATGTAAAAACACATAATCTAAACATAGAAACATATGGGCACAGAGATTCAAATGGTGGATAATGTCTTTTTTGCACAAGATTAAAGTATATTTCTTATGATCTTGAAAAGCCATGTTTAAAACAAAGTGTTTATTTAAATGGCAGATATTTTCTCATTTAAGTGTCAACGAAATGAGGTCCACTCAAAGAGAAGAGAAAGGTTAACATATATACATATATAGGGACAGTTGTTGAATAGTACATTAACCCTAATTATAGTGGATCAACATGCTTGTTTAAACATTAACTTCACAGTTCATGTTATCTTTTTGCATCTGTCTGACATTTATTTGACATCTATGGTTTTCCTGGATAGGGTACATTGGGTTGATGTCCTGACATGGCTTACTGAGGGCAGAATAGGGTCTGGAGAAAGGAAACCTAAGGTAGATTCATGCTGACTTCCTAGAACTCAATCAAAAGGAAAATTCCAACTTTCCACTCCTAAGTAACAAAAGGACTCTTTGCAACCTTCCCCTTTCTTTCTGCGTGGCAGTTGAAAAATTGAAAGTACGTCTTCGTATCTTCACTTCAGCCTCTGATTGGTCCCCTCCAGCAACCAATCAGACTGATCATGGGCCACTACTTCATTTACATAGGGTGTACACCAAGTAACCAATGGGAAATGTGTTGAGGATATTTAAGGCCCTGAAAATTCTGTAACCAGGCTCTTAACCACCTTAATGGGACCCACTTCTACTGTGCAGAGTGTACTTTCATTTTTCAATAAATCTCTGCTTTTGTTACTTCGTTCATTCCTTGCTTTATTCGTGTGTTTTGTCCAGTTCTTTGTTCAAGATGCCAAAAACGTGGAAACCCTTAACATAACTACATTGTTACTTAATGGGACAGACCCTTTCTCATGTCATGCCTCATGCCTGAGCTTAGTAGATGATAGGTATATGTTCAGCTGAGGAAATGGATTAATTCAACTTCATTACATGTTTTTCAGGTCTAATTTCTTTTAACTTCTCAATATTTTAGCAAACATACTTATTGTCTCACATATTTTTAGAACACTTCCATTCATCAGCTCTTCACTGACTTTAAATCCTTTTATTGATTCAAAGTTTATTGAGCAACTTCAATGAAATACGTTACAATATGATACCTGCATAAAGAAGACAATTTTCTGCCTAAAAGTACACAATGGCATAACAAGGTTTTGGGGTTTTTAAAAATGTGGATCACATTATTATGGAAACTGAGGAGAGGTATTGAACCTACCCTGGTATGACTGAGAGGTCAGGAATTCCTCCACATGGAACTGATACACAGGCCTGATTTTAAAAGATGAAGAGAAAAATATCTGGCTATAAATCTCCATCTTCTGTGGCGACCTCTCATAAACACCTTCCGTGGCTTTCCTCAAATTAATGAATGAATCTTTTCAGATGATTTACAATGAGATTCCTTTATGATACTTGTCTGACTCTTTCCTGTGGCACTTGTAGTTTATTTATATTACTACAGTGTATAAAAATTTCCCTTCCAAACAGATGCCCATCTTAATATTTTCTGCATCCTGAAGTCTTTTTCATGGTACATCCTGAGTAGTTCCATGTGTCCTTGTGTCACAGTAAAGCAGTTGGCCTCTCTTGGATAGAGTGTATGATTATTGTCATATTCCATATTCTTTCTTGCATGTTGATTATATACCCCTGCGCTGTGGAATCAGACATGCCTATATGACTTGCTTTGGCCAATAAAACATAAATGGAAATGATATTTGTCATTCCAGGAAGAAGCACTATAAGAAACCTAATGTGGTACACTATGTTGTCTTTTACTCTCTGCAAAGGGCAGAATAATGCCTCCAAAGATATCCGTACCTTGATCCCAGAATTTGTGATTATGTTATTTTACATGGCAAAAGGGACTTTGCAGCGGTGACTAACATAAGGACCTTGAGATGAGGAGATTATCCCCAGGAACATAATCACATGAGTTCTTAAACACAGGGGACATTTGCTAATGATGGCCCAAGGGAACTGACTATAGAAAAATGGAAAGAGAGTTGCTTATCAGCGTAAGAAACTTTTGGCCTGAGACGATGGGGTTTTCTAAATATAGGATCATGTAATCCACAAACAGAGATAGTTTGACTTCCTCTCTTCCTATTTGAATACACTTTATTTCTTAAACACAGGGGACATTTGCTGATGATGGCCCAAGGGAACCAACTATAGAAAAAAAGGAGAGAGAGTTGCTTATCAGCCTAAGAGGCGTTTGGGCTGAGACGACAGTTTTTTAAATATAGGATCATGTAATCCAAAAACAGAGACAGTTTGACTTCCTCTTTTCCTATTTGAATGCCCTTTATTTCTTTCTCTTGCCTGGTTGCCCTGGCCAGAACTTCCAATACTATGTTGAATACGAGTGGTGAGAGAGGGCATCCTTGTCTTGTGATGGTTTTCAAGGGGAATGCTTGCAGCTTTTGCCCATTCAGCATGATATTGGCTGTGGGTTTGTCATACATGGCTCTTATTATTTTGAGGTATGTTCCACCAATGCCTAGTTTATTGAGAGTTTTTAACATGAAGGGATGTTGAATTTTATCAAAGGCCTTTTCTGCATGTATTGAGATAATCATGTGGTTTTGTCTTTAGTTTTGTTTATGTGATGAATTACATTTATTAATTTGCATGTGTTGAACCAGCCTTGCATCTTGGTGATGAAACCAGCTTGATTGTGGTGGATAAGTTTTTTTAATATGCTGCTGGATTTGGTTTGCCAGTATTTTATTGAAGGTTTTCAAATTTTACATTATTTTAAAATTAATTTTTCCATAAATTATTGGGGTACAGGTGGTATTTGATTACGATTAAGTTCTGTAGTGGTGATTTGTGAGATTTTGGTGCACCCATCATCCAAGCTGTATACAGTGCACCATGTTAGTAGTCTTTCAGCCCTTGCCTCCCTCCCAGTCTTCCCCCCAAGTCTCCAAAGTCCATTTTATCATTCCTATGCCTTTGCGTCCTCGTAGCTTAGCTCCCACATATCAATGAGAACATATGATGTTTGGTTTTCCATTCCTGAGTTACTTCACTTAGAATAATAGTCTACAGTCTCATCCAGGTTGCTACAAATGCTGTTAATTCATTCCTTTTCATTGTCGAATTGTATTTCATCATATATATATTCATATATAGATGTGTATATATGTGTATACACACACACACACACACACACACACACACACACCCCCCACAGTTTCTTTATCCACTTGTTGATTGATGGGCATTTGGGTTTGTTCCATGATTTTACAGTTGTAAATTGTGCTGCTATAAACATGCATGTGCAAGTATCTTTTTTTGTATAATGACTTCTTTTCCTTTGGGTAGATACCCAGTAGTGGGATTGCTGGATCAAATGGTAGTTCTACTTTTAATTCTTTAAGGAATCTCCACATTGTTTTCCATAGTGGCTGTACTAGTTTACACTCCCGTCAGCAGTGTAGAAGTGTTCCCTGATGACCACATCCATGCCAATATCTACTGTTTTTTGATTTTTTTATTATGGCCATTCTTGCAGGAGTAAGATGGTATCACATTATTGTTTTGATTTGCATTTTCCTGATAATTAGTGATGCTGAGAATTTTTTCATGTGTTTGTTGGCCATTTGTATATCTTCTTTTGAGAATTGTCTATTCATGTCCTTTGCCCACTTTTTTGATGGGATTTTTTTTTTTTTCTTACTGATTTGTTTGAGTTCGTTTTAGATTCTGGATATTAGTACTTTGTCAGATGTATAGATTGTGAAAATTTTCTCTCACTCTGCTGGTTGTCTATTTTCTCTGCTGACTGTTCCTTTTGCCTTGCAAAAGCCCTTTAGTTTAATTAAGTCCCAACTGTTTTCCTTTGTTTTTATTTCATTTGCTTTCAGGTTTTGGTCATGAAATCCTTGCCTAAGCCAATGTCTAGAAGGGTTTTTCCAATGTTATCTTCTAGAACTTTTATAGTTTCACGTCTTAGATTTAAGTTCTTAATCCATCTTGAGTTGATTTTTGTATAAGGTGAGAGATGAGGATCCAGTTTCATTCTCCTACATGTGGCTAGCCAATTATCCCAGCACCATTTGTTGAAAAGGGTTTCCTTTCCCCACTTTATGTTATTGTTTACTTTGTCAAAGATCAGTTGGCACTAAGTATTTGGGTTATTTTTGGGTTCTCTATTCTGTTCCATTGGTCTATGTGCCTATTTTTATACCAGTACCACACTGTTTTGGTGACTATGGCCTTATAGTATAGTTTGAAATCAGGTGGTGTTATGCCTCCAGATTTGTTCTTTTTGCTGAGTCTTGCTTTGGCTCTGCAGGCTCTGTTTTGGTTCCATATGAATTTTAGACTTGTTTTTTTCTAATTCTGTGAAGAATGATGGTGGTATTTTGATAGGGATTGCATTGAATTGGTAGATTGCTTTGGGTCATTTTCACAGTATTGATTCTACCTATTCATGAGTATGGGATGTGTTTCCATTTGTTTGTGTCATGAAAGAAATATGATTTCTTTCAGTAGTTTTTTGTAGTTTTTCTTGTAGAGGTCTTCTGACTCCTAGGTTAGGTGTATGCCTAAGTGTTTTTGTTTGTTTGTTTGTTTGCAGCTATTGTAAAAGGGTTTGAGTTCTTGATTTGAATTTCTCCTTGGTGGCTGCTAATTTGTGTACCTTAATCTTGTATCCAGAAACTGCTGAATTCTTATATCAGTTCTAGGCGCTTTCTGGAGGAGTCTTTAGGATTTTCAAGGTAAACAGTCATATCATCCTCAAACAGTGACAGTTTGACTTCCTTTTTATCGATTTGGATGCCCTTTATTTCTTTCTCTTGTTTGATTGCTCTGGCTAGGATTTCCAGTACTATGTTGAAGAGGAGTGGTGAGAATGGGCATCCTTATCTTGTTCCAGTTTTCAGAGGGAATGCTTTCAACTCTTCCCCATTCAGTATTATGTTGGCCATTGGTCTGTCATAGATGGCTTTTATTACACTGGGGTATGTCCCTTTTATGCTGATTTTGCTGAGAGTTTTAACCATACAGGGATGCCAAATTTTGTCAAATACTTTCACTGCATCTATTGAGATGATCATGTGATTTTTGTTTTTAATTCTGTTTATATGGTGTATCACATTTGTTGACTTGCATATGTTAAACTGTCCCTGCATCCCTGGTATGAAACCCACTCAGTCATGGTGGATCATCTTTTTGATATGTTGTTCTATTTGGTTAGATGGTATTTTGTTAAGGATTTTAGCATCTATGTTCATCAAGGATATCAGGCTGTAGTTTTCTTTTGTGGTTATGTCCTTTCTGGTTTTGGTATTAAGGTGATGCTGGCTTCATAAAATGAATTAGGGAGGTTTCCTTCTTTATCTATCTTGTGGAATAGTGTCAAAAAAATTGGTACCGATTCTTCTTTGAATGTCTGGTAGAATTCTGCTATGAATCCATCTGGTTCTGGACTTTTTTTTAACCAGTAATTTTTAAATTAACATTTCAATCTCACTGCTTTTTTTGGTCTGTTCAGGGTATCTAATTCTTCCTGATTTGTGCTAGAAGATTGTATTTTTCCAGAAATTTATCCATCTCTTCCAGGTTTTCTAGTTTATGTGGGTAAAGGTGTTCATAGTAGCCTTGAATAATCTTTTGTATTTCAGTGGTGCCAGTTGTAATATCTCCTGTTTTGTTTCTTAATGAGGTTATTTGGAGTTTCTCTCTTCTTTTCTTGGTTAATCCTGCTAATAATCTATCAATTTTATTTATCTTTTCAAAGAACCAGCTTTTTGTTTCATTTATCTTTTGTACTTTTTTTGTACAATTTCATTTATTTCTGCTCTGATCTTGGTTATTTCCTTTCTTCTGCTAGGTTTGGGTTTGGCTTGTTCTTGTTTCTCTAGTGTCTTGAGGTGTGACCTTAGCATGTCAGTTTGTGCTCTTTCAGTCTTTTTGATGTAGGTGTTTAGGGCTATGAACTTTCCTCTTTAGCACCACCAAGAGGTTTGAATAGGTTGTGTCGTTATTGTTGTTTAGTTTGAAGAATTTTTAAATTTCAATCTTGATTTCGGTTTTGACCCAATGCTCATTCACGAACAAGTTATTTATTCCATGTATTTGCATGGTTTTGAACATTCCTTTTAGAGTTGATTTCCAGTTTTCTTCTACTGTGGTCTGAGAGAGTGCTTGATATAATTTCAATTTTCTTAAATTTATTGAGGCTCATTTTATGGTCTACCTTGGAGAAAGCTGTATGCACTGTTGAATATAATGTGTGTCCTGCATTTGTTGAATGAAATGTTCTGCATGTATCTGTTAAGTCCATTTGTTTAAAGGTATAATTTAAATCCATTGTTTCTTTGTTGACTTTCTATCTTGATGACCTGTCTAGTGCTGTCAGTGGAGTATTGAAGTCCCCCACTGTTATTGTGTTGCTGTCTATCTCATTTCCTAGGTCTATTAGTAATTATATTATAAATTTGGGAGCTCCAATGTTAGGTGCATATATGTTTAGGATTGTGATTTTTTTGTTGGACAATGCCTTTTACCATTATATAATTTCCCTCTTTGTCTCTTTTAACTGCTGTTGCTTTAAAGCTTGTTTTGTCTGATATAAGAATAGCTACCCCTGCTTGCTTTTGGTGTCCATTTGCATGAAATGCCTTTTTCCACCCTTTACTTTAAGTTTATGTGAGTCCTTATGTGTTAGGTGAGTCTTTTGAAGACAGCAGATTATTGGTTGGTGAGTTTTCATCCATTCTGTGGTTCTGTATCTTTTAAGTGGAGCATTTAGGCCATTTACATTCAATGTTAGTATTGAGATGCGAGGTACTGTTGCATTCATTATGCTATTTGTTGCCTGTGTACTTTTTTTTTTTTTTGCTTTTTAACTTGTATTTTTGTTTATAGGTCTTATTTGATTTACACTTTAAAGAGGTTCTGTTTTGATATGTTTCCAAGATTTGTTTCAAGATTTAGAGCTCCTTTTAGCTGTTCTGTAGTGCTGGATTGGTAGTGGCAAATTCTCTCAGCATTTGTTTGTCTGAAAAAGACTGTATCTTTCCTTCATATATGATGCTTAGCTTCAGTGGATACAACATTCTTGGCTGATAATTGTTTTGTTTGAGGAGGCTGAAGATAGGTCCCCAGTCCCTTCTAGCTTGTAGGGATTTTTGTTGAGAAATCTGCTGTTAATCTGATAGGTTTTCCTTTATAGGTTACCTGGTGCATCTGTCTCACAGCTCCTAAGATTCTTTCCTTCATCTTAACTTTGGATAACCTCATGACAATGTGCCTAGGAGATGATCTTTTTGCAATGAATTTCCTGGGTGTTCTTTGTGCTTCTTGTATTTGGATGTCTGGGTCTCTAGCAAGGCCAGGGAAGTTTTCCTCAATTACTCCCCCAAATATGTTTTCCGAACTTTTAGATTTCTCTCTTCTTCAGGAACACTGATTATTCATAGGCTTGTTTGTGTAACATAATCCCAGACTTCTTGGAGGCTTTGTTCATATTTTCTTGTTCTTTTTTCTTTGTCTTTGTGGGATTGGGTTAATTCAAAGACCTTGTCTTCAAGTTCTCAATTTCTTTCTTCTAATTGTTCAATTCTATTGCTGAGACTTTCCAGAGCATTTTGCATTTTTATAAGTGTGTCCAATGTTTCCTGAATTTTGAGTTGTTTTTTCTTTAAGCTATCTATTTCCTTGAATATTTCGTTCTTCACTTCTTGTATTGTTTTTTGGATTTCTTTGCATTGGGCTTTGCTTTTCTCTGGTGCCTCCCTGATTAGCTTAATAATTAACCTCCTGAATTCTTTTTCAGGTAAACAGATATTTCATCTTGGTTTGGATCCATTGCTGGTGAACTAGTGTGATTTGTGGGGGGCGGGTGGTTTAAAGAGTCTTGTTTTGTGATATTACCAGAGTTGGTTTTCTGCTTCCTTTTCATTTGGGTAGGCTGTGTCAGGGGGAAGGTCTAGGGCTGAAGGCTGTTGTTCAGGTTCTTCTGTCCCACAGGGTGTTCTCTTGATGTAGTACTTTCTCTCTTTTCCTATGGATGTGACTTCCTGTGAGCCAAACTGCAGTGATTGTTGTTTCTCTTCTGGGTCTAGCCACCCAGCAAGTCTACCCAGCTCTGGGCTGGTACTGGGGGTTGTCTGCTCAGAGTCCTGTGATGTGTACCATTGATGGGTCTCTCAGCCATGGATACCATGTTCTGGTGGAGGTGGTTGTGGGGGTGCAATGGACTCATGAGGGGTCTTAGCTTTGGTGGTTTAATGCTCTATTTTTGTGCTGGTTGGCCTTCTGCCAGGAGGTGGTGCCTTTTAGAGAGCATCAGCTGTGGTAGTATGGAGAGGAACTGGTGGTGGGAAGGGCCCTAGAACTCCCAAGAGTATATGCCCTTTGTCTTCAGCTGCCAGGGTGGGTAGGGAAGGACTATCAGGTGGGGGCAGGGCTAGGGATGTCTTAGCTCAGACTCTCCTTGGGCGAGTCTTGCTGTGGCTGCTCTGGGTATGGGGGGGTGGTTCCCAGGTCAATAGAATTGTGTACCTAGGAAGATTATGGCTACCTCTGCTGAGTCATGCAGGTGGTCAGGGAAGTGGGGGAAAGCTGGCAGTCACAGGTCTCACCCAGCTCCCATGCAAACTGAAGGGCCAGTTTCACTCCTCTTGTGCTGCCCTTAACAGCCCTGAGCCTGTTTTCAGGAGGTGGGTGAGATGGGCTTGAAAACTTGCCCCAGGCTACCTGCCTCCCAGCTGCCAAAGAAAAGGGCTTGGTTTGTCCTCTGCCTGTGGAGTTTGCCCACCAGTTTCACACCCTCCCCCGACTTCTGGTCAAGAGGTATCTCACCCTGTTCAAATTGTCACAAAGTTCAGCTGGAGATTTCCTTCTTTCCATGGTGTTCTCCCCTACTCCTCTGGCCACCTTCCCAATGTATCCCTGTGGTGCCACACAGGAATAGCCTGTTTGGGGACCCAGTGAGCTCCCAGGGCCTTCTGCTACTTCCTTACCCCTGTATTTTGCTCAGCTGTCTAAATTAACTCAGCTCCAGGTAAGGTCAGAAACTTCTCCCGCAAACAGACCTTCAGTTTCTCCAGTGGCAGTGTGTGCTAGGGAATGGATGGTCTCCTTTTCCCACTTCTGCAGTTGGGACACTCACAGTATTTGGGGTGTCTCCTGGGTCTCGCAAGGAGAAGTCCACTACTTTCAGAGGGTCTGTGGATCCTCTCCAGATTGCTGGTTTGTTCTTGCAGTCTATCAGGAGCTAATATTCACAATTCAAGCCTCTGCATGCTGTTCTGTCCATCTGAGTCAGAGCTGCAATCTAGTCCTGCTTCCCATCTGCCAGGATGACTCCTGGTTTCTTAATGAAAATTTTTGCATCAATGTTCATTAGGGATATTGGCCTGAAGTTTTCTTTCTTTGCATCTCTGTCAGGTTTTGTTATATGGATGATGTTGGCCTCACAAAATGAGTTAGTGAGAAATCCTTCCTTTTCAGTTGTTGAGAATAGTTTCAGAAAAAATGGTAACAGCTCCTCTTTGTACCTCTGGTAGAATTCAGCTGCAAATTTGTCTGGTGCTGGACTTTTTTTGGTTGGTAGGCAATTTATTACTGCCTTGATTTCAGAAGCTGTTATTGGTCTATTCAGGGATTCAACTTCTTCCTAGTTCAGTCTTGGGAGGGTATACATGTCTAAGAATTTATCTATTTCTTCTACATTTTCCAGTTTATTTGCATAGAGGTGTTTACAGTATTCTCTGATGGTTGTTTGTATTTCTGTGGGGTCAGTGGTGGTAGCACCTGTATCATTTTTATTGTATCTATTTGGTTTTTCTCTATTTTTCTTCTTTATTAGTCTAGCTAATGGTGTATTTTTTTTTCAAAAAAACAGCTCCTGGATGAGTTGATTTTTTGAAGTATTTTTATTTATCTATCTCCTTCACTTCGGCTCTGATCTTGGTTATTTCTTGTCATCTACTAGCTTTGGGGATTGTTTATTCTTGCTTGTCTAGTTCTTTTAGCTCTGATGTTAGGGTGTCAATTTGAGATCTTTCTAGCTTTTTGATGTGAGCATTTAGTGCTATAAATTTCCCTCTTAACTCTGCTTTGGCTGCATCCCAGAGATTCTGGTATGTTGTCTCTTTGTTCTCATTGGTTTCAAAGAACTTCGTGATTTTTGTCTCATTATTTACCCAGAAGCCATTCAGGATCAGGTGGTTCAATTTCCATGTAGTTGTGTGGTTTTGAGTGAGTTTCTTAATCTTGAGATCTAATTTGATTGCACTGTGGTCTGAGAGACTGTTTGTTATTATTTCAGTCCATATGCATTTGCTGAGGAGTGTTTTATTTCCAATTACATGATTGATTTTAGAATAAGTGATACAAAACCAATGTGCAAAAATCACAAGCATTCCTATACACGAACAACAAACAGAGAGCCAAATCATGAATGAACTCTTAGTCCCAATTGCTACAAAAAAGAATAAAATACCAAGAAATAAAACTAACAAAGGAAGTGAAGAACCTCTTCAAAAAGAACTACAAACTACTGCTCAAGGAAATGAGAGAGGACACAAACAAGTGGAAAAAACATTCCATGTTCACGGATTGGAAGAATCAACATTGTGAAAAGACTGTCCAAAGTAATTTATAGACTCAAGGTTATTCCCACTAAACTACCATTGACATTCTTCACAGAATTAGAAAGAAAACTACTTTAAAATTCATGTGAAACCAAAAAAGAGCTCATATATAGTTAAGACAATCCTAAGCAAAAAGAACCAAGTTGAAGGCATCACACTACCCAACTTCAAACTATACTACAATGCTGCAGCAAACAAAACAGTATGGTAATTGTACAAAAACAGACACATAAACCAATGGAACAGAATAGAGATATCAGAAATAAGCCCGCACATCTATGACCATCCGATTTTTGACAAACCTGATGAAAACAAGCAACTGGAAAAGCATTGCCTACTTAATAAATAGTGCTGGGAAAACTGGCTAGCCATATGCAGAAAATTGAAACTGGACCCCTTCCTTACACCTTATAAAAAATTAACTCAAGATGAATTAAAGACTTAACTATAAAACCCAAAACTATGGAAACTCCAGAAGAAAATCTAAGCATTACTATTCAGGACATAGGCACAGGCAAACATTTCATGATTAAAAACACCAAAAGCAATTCCAATAAAAGCAAAAATTGACAAATGGGATCTAATCAAACTAAAGAGCTTCTGAACAGCAAAAGAAACTATCATCAGAGTGAACAGACAACCTACAGAATGGGAGAAAATTTTTGCAATCTATCCATCCATCAAAGGCCTAATATCCAGAATCTACAGGGAACTTCAACAAATGTACAAGAAAAAAAACAAGCTACCCCATTAAAAAGTGGACAAAGGACATAAATAGACACTTCTCAAAAGAAGACATTTATGTGGCCAACAAACATATGTAAAAAAGCTCAACATCACTGGTCATTAGAGAAATACAAATCAAAATCACAATGAGATACCATCTCACACCAGTCAGAATGGCAATTATTAACGATTCAAGAAAGAGCAGATGCTGGCAAGGCTGTGGAGAAATATGAACGCTTTTACACTGTGGGAGTATACATTAGTTAAACCACTGTGGGAGAAAGTATGGAAATTCCTCAAACACCTAGAACCAATACCATTTGGCCCAGCAATCCCATTACTGGGTTTATACTCAAAGGAATATAAATCATTCTATTACAAAGATACATACACACATATGTTCACTGCAGCACTATCCACAATAGCAAAGACATGGAATCAACCTAAATGCCCATCAGTGATAGACTGGATAAAGAAAATGTAGTACATATACACCATGAAATACTATGGAGCTTATAAAGAAATGAGATCATGTCTTTTGGAGGGACATGGATGGAGCTGGAAGCCATTAGCCTCAGCAAACTAACTCAGGAACAGAAAACCAAACACCGTATTTTCTTACTTATAAGTATGAGATGAACAATGAGAACACATAGACACAAGGAGGGGAACTACACACACTGGGACCTTTTCAGGGGTGGTGGAGGGAGAAAAGAGAACATCAGGATAAATAGCCCTGTAGGGCTTAAAACCCAGGTGATGGGTTGATAGGTGCAGCAAACCACTATGCCACACGTTTATCTATGTAACAAACCTGCACGTCCTACACATGTATCCCGGAACTTAAAATAAAATAAAATTAAATTATAAAAAAAGAAAAAGGGAGAGAGAGAGCACTGCGAGAAGGACTCGATTGCCATTTTTGGCTTTGAATATGAGGGATGAAGGCAGGGAGGTAAGGCATGTAACAGTGTTAGTTTCTCAGGGCTGCCAGAACAAATCGCCACAAAGGTAGTGTCTTAAAACAACAGAAATGTATTATCTTACAGTTCCAAGCAACAGAAGTCCATGAGTATCAGCAAGATAGATCCTTCTGAAGACTCTAGAGGGATTTCCATTCCTTGCTTCTTCTAGTTCCTGGTGGTTGCTGCTGTCCTTGTCTTACGCCCCATCACTTCCATCTCTGCCCCCATCTTTACCTCACCTTCTCCTCTGTGAGATTGCTAAATATATTTCTGTGTCATGCTTATAAGGGGCACTTATTGGATTTAGGGCACACTCAGATAATTCAGCATAAGTCTCTTTTCTCAAATCCTTAATCACATATTTTTCCATATAAAATAAACTTTTTCTTTTTATTTTTTACAGTATCTGGTAATATTCACAGGTTCTGGAGATCAGGATGTGTGTACACCTTTTGGGGGGCCACCACTCAGCCCACTGGCGTGCGTGACAGCAAGTACCTGGGAAAGGTGAGGAAACAGAGTCTCCCCTGGGCCTGCAGAAGGAGCACAGCCCCGCCTGCCTCCATCTTAGCCGGCTGAGACCCAGGTGAGTCTTCTGGCCCACAGAACTGTGAGATCATAGGTTTGTGTTGGTTTCGTTCACTAAGTTTGTGGTAATTTGTTACAGCAACAATACAAATTAAGACACTGTGTGCTGGCAGCTGGCAATGCCCTAGACAGAGGCTGCCGCTTCGCCTGAATGTGGTACTAGCCCTGAGAGAGGCAGAGCTAGGCAGGGGCCACGCGGCGGAGTTTCCGGTTGCAGACTGCGGGCACTGAGGCGTTTGGGACTGCAGCCTGCCTTAGTCTGTCCTGCATAATGAACACCTCT
Source organism: Homo sapiens (assembly GCF_000001405.40). Classification (NCBI taxonomy): domain Eukaryota; kingdom Metazoa; phylum Chordata; class Mammalia; order Primates; family Hominidae; genus Homo; species Homo sapiens. The sequence continues at coordinate 49,275,176 of NC_000008.11, forward strand.
TTCGTTTTTAGCCTTTATAAAGCTGAAAAGTTTAAAAAATAAAACAAACAAACCACACAAGGTATTTGAAAACAGGTAGAAATAAGTTTTTAAATGGCTCTCCTACTTGTCCTTAGACATTGGATTGATGTCTTAATCATTTTGTTCTTTGATTTTCATTTTAGTTTGTAGAACGGAAATGAAAATAACAACTGAATTTTCAGTTATGTTTAAGCTTAACATTTTCGTGGGACTCTTATTATGCGAGCTGTTACTAATCGTTCCTCCCAGATGCTGAGTTACTCTCTACGCTTTTCGTGTGGAAATCAGGGCTGCCTAGTTTATTCTCTTCATTTCGCTCTCATGGTCCATGGCATTATTATATTACTAGTCAGCAGGAGCTTGTCAATTTGTGCTTATTCTACCTATGAAGGCAAAGATTCTGCACAGAATAAAGTAACTCCTCTCTGCATTTTTCCTTACATGCATAAATATTCTTGGAGCAAAGCCAACAGAACAGCATGATTATTACCCGATCGATTCCGTTTTGAGTATCTGCTATCATACTCCTATTGGGCTTCTGTGAAACATTATAGAGTCTCAAATTCACTAAATATCTCTTTGTTTTCATAATCCTTAGAGTTACTTTTCTTTTTGATTTAAACTTCAGGATCACTTCCCAAGGCAAGGCAAACTATATGTGATAAGCCATTATTATGGCCCCTCACACATGTAAGATTATTCAATCAGTCCATTCCTTGCAACTCAGAATGAAATTTCTACTGTCATTCCAAAAAATCTACATTATCGAGGACTCAATAAAAATATCACTGAATGCAAAAATAGGGAATTTGCAATATTCCCCCTATAAAACACATGTACTCTTCCCTTTACTGGAACTTTTTTGATATGCTCCTGTGAAAAAAAAAGAAATCACATATATTAATTACTGTAGCTTTTCTAACTATTTCGGCAGGATGGTATATACCAAAGATAATCGATAATTTAGATGACATTGATTTTTTTAAAAACCTGTAAAAGCATATTTATTTTCCCAAAGCTTTTAATGCTATGGCCACAATTCTGAAGCATTCACTGATCTTTTCAATGAATATTTTGAGTTTATGTGTGGGCATTCAGACATACATTTAGATGAAAAAGAAGTATTGATATTATTCTAACTCCTTTGAAAAGTAAATGTGATTTTTTTGCATAATATATATTCAGACGTATGTGGGATTTTTGGTGTTGTTTTATTATTTCGTCTTCTTTCAAAACATTGATGTTGATTATTTGTAACCATCAAAACCAATAATTGGAAGAAATAGAAAAGGCCTCTGAGCTAGCAGACATGTTAATACATGTTATTAGAAATAGAATTTTTGTAACACAAGAAAAAGCTTGAAGGCAGGGTAAGAAGTGATATTACTGATAAATGGAAAACATCATTTACTTGGTCTCAACAAAGTTAAAAAATGTCCTTTTTGGTGAATATGAGATATATTCCTGTACAAACTCCTCATAGAGTTTTCTAATGGGAAATAGTTACTTGGAATGAAATCTTATTGAAAAAAAATCATTTTTGTATGTCCCATAGGAACTAAATATAAAATGAAGCATGATAAATGAGTTAATTTTAGCACCACTTAAAGGAAATCTATGAACAGGTAATTGTATGAACCTTGAATTGACTATTAATGCCAAGAATAATCAGAATAACTTAATTACATATCAATGGGTTTCTCTTTAAAGCATTTAGATACAGTCACTTGGCTTTATTCACTTTGCAAATACTTTTTTTTTCTTTACAAATGGAAGGTCTGTGATAACCCTGCATGGAGCAAGTCTATCAGCAACATTTTATCAACAGCAGGGAGGCACTTCATGTCTCTGTGTCACATTTTGGTAATTCTCACAGTATTTTGAAATTTTCATTATTATGATAACTGTTATGATGATGTGTAACCAGTGATCTTTGTTGTTAGTGTTGTGATTGTTTTGAGGCGCCACAAACTGCACCCATGTAAGACAGCAGACTTAATAGATAAATGTAGTACATGTTCTGATTGCTCCATCGACTGGCTGTTCTCCTGTCTCTCTCCCTCTCCTCTGTCCTGCCTATTCTCTGAGACACACAGCATTGAATTTAGGTTGATTAGTAACCCTACAATGGCCTCTACGTGTTCAAGTGAGAAGAGAATCGCAAGACTATCACTTTGAATCAAAAGGAAGAAGTAATTAAGCTTAATGAGGAAGGCATGTTGAAAGCAGAGATAAGCCAGAAGCTAGGCCTCCCTCTTACAGTCAACAGCCAAGTTTTCAGTGCAAAGGAAAATATCTTTAAAAAGATTAAAAGTGTTACTCCAGTAAGCAAGTGTATTATAAAAAAGCAAAACATCCTCATTGCTGATGTGGAAAACATTTTCATGGTCTAGGTAGAATATCAAACCAGCCACAACATTCCCTTAAGCCAAAGCCAGAACAAGGCATTGTTTTCAAATCTATGAAAACTGAGAGGTGAGGAAGCTTCAGAAGAAAAGATTGAAAGGAGCAGAGGTTTAAGGAAAGAAGCCATCTCCATAACCTAAAAGTGCTAGGGGAAGCAGCAAGTGCTGGTGTGGAAGCTGCAGCAAGTTACCCAGAAGATCTAGCTAAGATAATTGATGAAGGTGGCTACACTAAACAACAAAGTTTCAGTGTAGTTAAACAGCCTTCTATTGGAAGAATATGCTCTCTAGGACTTTTATAACTAGAAAGAAGTCAATGCTTGGCTTCAAAATTCCAAAGGACAGGCTGACTCTCCTGATAAGGGCTAATGCAGATGGTGACTTTACACTGAAACTAATGTTCATTTACCATACTAAAAATACTGGGACCCTTGAGAATTATGCTAAATCTACTCTTCCTGTGCTCCCTAAATGGAAAAACAAAGCCAGGATGACAGCAGATCTGTTACAGCATGGTTTACTGAATATTTTAAGCCCACTGTTGAGACCAACTTCTTAGAAAAATATTTCTTTCAAAATATTACTGCTCATTGACAGTGCACCTAGTCACTCAAGAGGTCTAATGGAGACATACAAGGAGATTAATGTTGTTTTCATGCCTGGTAACACAACTTCTATCCTGCAGCCCATTGATCAAAGAGTATTTTTTACTTTCAAGTCTTATTATTTAAGAAATTCATTTTGCAAGGCAATGGCTGCCATAGATAATGATGAAAGAAGGTCAAAATATCAATATTAACAGGGGTTTAGAGAAGTTGATTCATCCTTCATGGATGTCTATGAGAGGTTCAAGACTTCAATGGAAAAAGTAAGTGCAAATGTGATGGAAATAGCAAGTGAAGTGAATTAGAAGTGGAGCCTGAAAACACGAGTGAATTGCTGTAATTTCAGGATAACACTTTAAAAGATGAGGAGTTGCTTTTTATGCATGAGCATAGAATGTGGTTTCTTGAGATGAAATCTACTTCTGATGAAGATGCTGTGAACGTTGTTGAAATGACAACAAATGATTTAGACTATTCCATAAACTTAGTTGATAAAGCAGCAGCAGAGTTTGAGAGAACTGACTTCAATTTTGAAAGAAATTCTGTGGGTAAAATGCTATCGAATAGCACTGCATCCTATAGGGGAGTTTTTCATGAGAAAAGTCAATCAATGCAACAAATTTTATTGTTTTCTTACTTTAAGAAATTGCCAAAGCCACCACAACCTTCAGCAACCAAACCCTGATCAGTCAGCAACTTTCAACATCAAGACAAGACCCTCCACCAGAAAAAAGATTATGACTTGGTGAAGTTTCAGATGATTATTAGCATTTTTTTTGGAAATAAGGTATTCTTTAAGTAAGGTACATTGCCCTTTTAGACATAATGATATTGCACCCTTAATAGACTACAGCATAGCATAAGCATAACTTTTATATGTACTGGGAAGCCAAAAATATAATGTGACTTCCTTTATTGTGATATTTGCTTTACTGCAGTAGCCTGGAACCAAACTCTCAATATCTTCAAAGTATGCCTGTACCTACATTCTTGTAGCTTATGATTTATCTGCCTGTGTGTTATTTTATTAGGTTGATATTGAGTTGAATGAAGAAATAAGTGCTGGTTAAACATCATTTGGCAGCTTTTAAATCTTAATAAACAGTATTAAATGCCTACTATTCACCCTCTGAAAACATCAAGCTTTATTAGCAACCTGCAACATGAAAGGTTAAAAAAAGCTCAAAGGCATTTATACTTTCTCCATTAATGAAGAATGAAAACATATAATCATATCTTCATTGTATATATTATTCATGTGATTTTTTAAAAAATTTCAATATAGAGATACTGTAAAAATTTTCTACAAAATAAAATTACCTTCATTTACACTTAAATCTCTACAAGCAATTCATAATGGTCTTCTATAAGCCAGAGATAGAGAAAGCTTTCTGTTAGAATGCTGAAAGTGAGTGTTTTGTGCTACAGGTACATCATAAACATATAAGGGCAAAATTCCTGATCTGGTGGAGAACTGAGGGAATGACTCAGAAATATGTATTTTTTAAATGTACAGATTTTCAATTGTTTTCTAATTAGAATATATAGTCCATTAATATTTAATGTAATTATTAATATGTTAGCATTTATGGTTGTGTTTTCATCATGTATTTTCTACCAGTATTTTGTGTTCTTCCATTCCTCCTTTCCTGTAGATAGGATAGGGAGATCATGATCTTTCCACCTACAATCAAGGTGTGCTTCCAATAGAACCAACAGAAAATGAAATAGCCTGACAACTACTGGCCATCTAAGAGGGAAGGTATCTATTGCTTAATCTGCCTCTCTGCTCCACCAAAAAGAGCGGTGAAAGGAAATGGAATTTCCTCCTCATAGTGGGAGAATGCATCACTACCTTTTTCACTTTCAACTCACCCCAATACATACTCTGAATTTAGAGCCACTGGGATAAAACTGAGGATGGCACTGGGGTTTGGTGGAAAGGAGAAAGACTTAGACTCCATATGGAATAATTGTGTTGAAATGAATAGGACTGAATGTAAATCAAATGAAAATGCCTTTTAACATTTTATTGTGAAAATTTCAAGTTGTACACAAATGATTTGAGAACAGTATAATTAAACCACGTCCTTAAAACTCATCCTCTATAATGATGAACATATGTGTTCAAATACATATGGATAATTGTGTTTCCTCTATAAACTGATGGAGCTCAGGACATGCTACCCCAAAATATGGCACCGTGGCATTTAGGAAGCAGCAGACCTGGAGGGTCACTCTCATCTTCTCTTCACCCTTCTTCCCTGAAGCAGGTCATAAAAGAATTCTCTGACCTTCCTCTGAAGTAGGTCATAAAACTTTCATTCCAGAGGTGCCCTCTCTATTATGCCTGGAGAAAAGAAACGTTCTTATTCTCGAAGACTCAGAGACATACAGAAGAATCTGAACAAACCCTTGTTAGGTTCCCTGCAGTTTATTACCATTAAGTCATACCCTCTTTGTCCAATCATGCTTCTTCATGACTGTCCACTCAAAAAACTCGGCGTGAAGATACACAGGTTTCCCTGTTCTTCATTTTTGAAGTCACCTAAGACTTAACATTAAACAAACGTGTATGCTTTTCCATTACTAATCTGTCTTTTGTTATAGATGCCTCATCCATAAACCTTGTGATGGGTGAGTAAAAGATATTACTGTTGACCCTTGAACAATGTAGGAGTTAGGTCAGCAACAATGTGTTGACTCTGAGCAGTAGAAAATCCAAGCATAACTTTTGACTCACCCCCAAAACTTAACTCTAAATAACCTACTGTTTACTGGATGCCCTACCAATAACATAAGCAGTCAATTAATACACATTTTGTATGTTATATATACAACAGAGTATTCTTACAATACAGTAAACTAGAGAAAAGGAAATGTTTTTAAGAGAATCATAATGAAGAGAAAATATCTTTACTATTCACTAAATGAAAGTGGATCATCATAAAGCTCTTCATACTCATCATATTCACGTTTAGTAGGCAGAGAAGGATGTGGAGGGGTTGGTTTTGCTGTCTCAAGGGAGGCAGAGGCAGAAGAAAATCTGGGTATAAGTGGACGCACATAACTCAAACTCGTGTTGTTTAAGGGTCAACTGTACTTTTTCTCTCTTACAGCTCTGACTTCCTAATTTTTTTCTTTCAATTTTTTTAACATGACTTCAATTTAATCTGTAAATACCTCAGTGTATACCTCTAAGAGAAAATACTTTTTAAAAATATAACATTACTATAGTTACAACTAAAAGTTAAACAATAATTTCTTAATGTTATCTAATATTCCATCCGTGTTCAAATTTTCTCAACTGGATCACAAATATATTTTGTCACCTATTAGGAGACCTATTTAGGAGAAGGACAGTGCTGCTAACACCATTATCTCATTTGGAAGTCAGGATTGGTTCACAATATTTATAGGAAAGCACCACAGTAGATGGAAACTTCCCAAATTAGTAAGTGCCAGATTCATCTCAGCCCAGGATTGGATCAGGTGATTCCTCACCATTGTGTCTGGCTAATAAAGTAAAGGCTGAGCATTTGTGGAAGAAGGTATTACATTGAACCTTGCTTATACATATATCTGGCAGCCTATCAATTCCTAGACACATAAATAATATGAATTGTATTAAAAAGCCAAAAAAAAAGAAAACACAGAAGATAGAAATATATCTGCACCTAATTCAGATATGGGGCTAGCAACAAGGACTTTAAATAACTATCATTAATATCTACAAAAAATAGGAAGATGGAGAAAATGTGTGAAAAGAGAATTAGAATTTGTAAAAATTTTAAATGAAAATTCCAGAATTTAAAAATATATTTACTTTAATTATGAGCTCAATAAGTGGATTTAGGAGATTAGACACAAGAATATGTCACTTGCAAAGTAGAAGACATGTAGAAAATATTCAACAGAGACATGTAGAGAAAGAAAAAATATACAGGAAATAGAATAAGGAATATGTGGGGAAAATGTTATATTGTGTAATTAGGGTTTCAGAAAGAGACTCCAGAAAAAAATATGCAAAAGAGCAGAGATAATGGCTAAAAATTTTGCTAAACTGATGAAAATGATTCACCCACAGAGTTAAGAAGCTCTGCTACTGCCAAGCAGAATAAATATAAAGGAAATAGTTATAACAAAATGCTGAAAGGCAAAGAGAAAACCCTACAAATAGATTAACAAAAGAAGACATATTACCTTCAGAAGAGCAAAACTAAATCTAAAGCTAACTTCTCAGTGAAAATGATGGAAAGCCAGACGATGAAATGACATCATTCATAAGCTGGAAGAACAGAATCTACATTTAAATCATGGGAAAATTAAAATATTAATAAGACATAAAGATGTTTTCAAAAAATAAATTGAAAGGATGGTACACTAAGATAGTTACAAAAGTTATTACAGTGAGTGCTTCAAGTGAGAGATAAATGATTGCAGATTTGAATACAGAAATGCATAAAGAAAGAGGAACAGAAAGGGTAACTTCATTACATGTAATGCAAATATATGTAAAAGAAGAACACATAAAATAATTATTTAAATTAAGGGGGTTAAGTCAAATAAAAGTGTTTTAATATTTTAACATTGTTAGGAAATAGAAATCCAAAATTTCTTAAAAGTATAACAATGAAAATCCAACAAAATATAAACATATACTGCATTAGGAAAACAATTTAACTACAGAACACAGGGGAGAAAATGAAAAAACTGAATTTTCTTCTTTATAACCTACACCAAAATCAACTGCAGTTTGATTGCAAACCTACTTATGACAAGCATAACTACAAACTTTTAGATAAAAATAATAAAAGAAAATTGTCATAACCTTGGGTTAGGCAAAGAGAAACATTAATTGTAAGTTTAGACTGATATTTCCAATTCAAATTTAAGACAGCAGTGTTTTCAGTTAATACTTTATTTTCATAGTTTGCCTCTATTTTTCTTTAGCAAAAAATTCTGGTTTCTAATGTCTTTAAAAGAAATTATGATTGTTTTACTACGGTTTCAGAAAACTATGCCATATTCTTACTGAATATGATTACTGAATACACTTCACAATTTCTTTGGACTTTAAATGTCTCTTCTTTGTGTGTTTTAGCCATCAACATGATATATGATCAGGTTTAACTATTTTATTTTGTTGTATATTTGTGGGGATTCTTTTATTTTTATTATTTTTTAATTATGTAAATTGTTTAGAAGTTTTAAAATCAAAACTATTAAAAATTCAGAGAAATGTAGCTTCCATCCATGGAGTGCACATACATATATATGTGAAATTCCATCTTAATAAGCAATTACTTATGCTGTTTTTATCACTCTTCCCCTATGGTAGTGTACCAGGCCCACTATTCCACACCTTGCTTTTTCACATGTGGGCTATATCTGGGTATTCCCCCACAGAAGCAATCGGAAATACTGAAAAAGTTGTAGGAACATTTGCCTTTAGGGACGCTTACAATCCAGAGAGAAATAAGGAACAGTGGTTGTTGACAGAGAGCAGGGTTTGGAAGCAGTTTTTATTTTTTAATTAAAATTGGTCTAGGTTCATATTGAAGGTCTTCAGGCAAACATGCTATACCTGAAAAGGCCCCTACAGAATGAGGCTCCCTCAAAAGCTATCCTTTGGTCTCCAGACATTGGGTCTTATAACAAGAATGGAGTAAAACTTTTGTGGGTTTCTCAGTGCTCCTGTTAGAAGCCCCAACCTCCTGGACTCTAGACATATTAAAAGGATTAGGTCTAGAGACATTTGTCCTGTCAATAGCTTTTTTCCTAGAGCATAATAAAACTTCTCAGATCTTCCTAAGAAGGGCAAATATTCCAGCCCAGACTAGGTCTTCAGGTTAAGCCCTAAGGTCCCTGGGACAGAAGAACCTTCTCCTTTTAGGTACAGTCATCCCTCCATGTCTGTGGGTTCCACATCCATGGAAGTCAACCAACTGGGGCTTGAAAATATTTGAAAGAAAACAGAAGATAATTACATCTGTACTGAACATGTAGAGATTCTTTATCTTGTAATTATTCTCTAAACAATATAGTATAAATAGTATCTATACAACATTTATATTGTTTTAGGTATTATAAATAATTTGGAGATGATTTAAAGTATACTGGAGGATGTGAATAAGTTACATGCCAATACTCCACAATTTTATATAAGGAACTTGAGTGTCCATGCAGTTTGATATCTAAGGGGTCCCTGGACACTCCCATGGATACTGAGGGATGACTGTATTTACAATTCAAGGAGGAAAGAGGCTTGGAAACTTGGAAACATGTCTAGGTGGTAAAGGGCCCACTACATGGGACAATCTGGCTCCTCCAGAGGTTTTATTTCCCTTCAAAAGGTTGGAGTTTGACTCCAGCACATTATACTTCTAAGGGGGGCCCTGCTACTTGTGCAGAACACTTGACCTGGCTCTTATGGCACCCCAGGAGACATGACTAGGGCAAGAGGACCCACATACTTATTGTTTACTGTGAGATTTTAGTAAGAAATCTGTCTCTGACCCAGACAACTTCATGTGCATAATTAGGATAATTTTAATAAAGATGAATATTAAATATGAATATCTATTACTTTTCCCCGTATACATATACTATAATATAAATGAAAATGCTTTAATTATTCCTTGCCTTCGGATTAAATCTAAGGGGAAGCCTTCTTTAATTAGGCTGATGTATAAAACATTCACAGATTCATAAAATATAAAATGAAAAATTTCATGTCAAGTAATGACTCTGTTGATCATTGGGGAAAGGAAAACTCCTTTTAAAAGTATATTTTTCAATCTAGGTTGATGCTTTTAAGTCCTTTTTTAGTCTAGGAGAGACAGCTAATTACTCAGGCAAGAGCTGACTCCTTTAAGATTGGAGGCAAAGGATAAACGAGAACACAGAGATTTGGGCCATGCAGAGTTGGAAAAGTTTACTGTTTTGGGGCTGCAAACATAAAAGGTAATATTGAAAAAGACTTGAACAAAAAGGCTCTGTAGGAATTAATTGGTTAAAATGGGGACACAATTCTAGAACAGAGACCAGATTTAAGCCGATTCATTCTCAACTAAGTCTTGTTGCTTCAGATGGCATGATGGTAGCCAAAATTCAATTGAAAGAAAAAAATGCATGGGGATGGAGAAATAATGAGCAAATGTGGGCTTAAGGACAATTCCTAGGAAATAACTTTAGGTGAGTGCAGGCACATCAAATTGACAGGAAACAAACGAATCAGAAGTCTATTCCTTCTTTTTATTGCTTACTAAAAAATTCTGTGGGTATCAAGACTGCTTGTAGGTCCATTTTCCCAGCAGAAAAAAAGGTGGTAAAAGCTGCTTACCCTCCACCAAGGACAAGATCCCCCCAAACCCCATCAGATGTGGCCCTGGGAGATGATGTCAAAGGGAGGGCCCCCACAGAGGGTCAAGCCAGAGTCAAATGATGTCACACAAGGGAATCTCCCCAAATAGAAGGACTGGAGTCTAATTGAGGGTCTTTCCACATCCTTCTGGGAAAAGGGTGCCTTCTACAACTTGGCCATCAGGTTTTCATCATTGCCGTAGATCAGTGACTGCAGCATGGACCCCAAGCTTCCCTTTCGTCAGTTGCAGTTTTTCTTGTGATTATCGTAATCATGCCCCACCATTGTATACTTGGTATATACATGCAGGAGGCAGATAGCTTGTTTTTAATTTTGTAAGCAAGTGGACCAAAAAGATGACATGCTGATGGAGAGAACTTTGTCATACCCACTTTGAGCTGTCACACCCACTTTATTGTTGGACTGTCTCTTGGGGAGAAAATGCATGTGTTTTACATGTACGAAAAAATGCATTTAAATAGGTGGTGGCCAGAGGAGTGGACAGAAATTTGTATTGTATCCTCCATAATATGCGGTTGTTACTGGGAAATGGCTGCAGGTTTACAGCAGCTATACTTACTTTAACAAATACTTGTAATGGCAAGTATTGATTATGAGTAACAAAATACAAATTTCATTATTAATTTCTCTATGGTAAGGTATTGAAAAGAGCTTGTGATATTCTTTCTCAACTAAAGAAGGTACTTTGAATTTAACTATCTAGAATAATAGTACAGTCTCAAATTTCCCTCTGTCAATTTGTAAGTCAGAGATGCCAAGAACAGAAAGTGAGTTCAGAAAACCATCTTCTTCCTTTCATATTCAGATTTAGTTCTATATCTTCAGGATACCTTGGGAATCTACACACTTCTTGTTATAATGGCCATAGATAACATGTCAAGAAAAGGAAAATGCAAGAGAGGTCAATTCAAAAAATGTTTCAGGAAACTATTGCATAACCTTTAGCAAACTCATGTAGGGCATTTTCCAAAAATAAATAACCACCTATTCTTAAAGACCTGAAGATCTGAGAAACTACAAAGGCCACTAACACTGCCCAAGTATTAGTTTGTCCAACTCCCCTACATTTAAAAATGACTGAATTATGTGGCATGACTAATAAATCAGTAAATCTTATGTATGAATGAAAGGGATGTATAACAAAGTAAGTATCAAACAAATTAATTGTTAGAGCTACCAATGTTCCTGTAAAATAAACTATGATCATAAATCTTCACAGCATAGTAAGTGTAAAATTACCTCATGTATATCATTACAAATGTTTGGTGACCTTAATAAATCATTTCTTAAACATAAGTAATGAGAATTTAAATTCACACACAGCTACTTAAAATGATCAAATGTAAAAAATGAGATTTTACTACAAATAATATATTAAAGGCTGTGGGACCATATTATAATACTGAGAATTGAACACTGAGTCACTCAACTTGCAAAACATATGGGCAGAACCTCTCAGTAGCCTTGAAAGGAAACCTCAGCTGTATCTTGTATAACTTAGTGATGGCCATATGTATCAAAATATCTGCTCTAGATGATGGGCAATAATTGGGCAATTTAAAACATTGTCACTTTGAAGTAGTTTATTCTTCCTTATGCCCAAAGCAATAACATTGGGGGCAGGGACAGGGATTGGGGTTATAGAAGCCTTGATTACTCTCTGTGAAATATACAACTGAGTCAAACATTTGCAACATGTTAAAGTTGTTGGCAACTAAAGGGAAATCAGGAAAAAATCAAAATGCCATTTTTTTTAGCAGTTTCAACAATGAAAAAAGGGAACCACTGTATTTTATGTACAAAGCAGGAAGACCATAATTATCTCTCTGCCCCTTTCTTTCTCTCTTCTCCTTCTGGAACTTCTACAATGAGTATGTTGCCTGCTTGAGGCATCCCACAGGCTCCTTAGGCTCTGTTCACTTTTTCTTTAATCCATTTTCTTTCTGTTCCTTGGCCTCAACAGTTTCCATTGCCCTATCTTTAAAGTTTGCCAATCCTTTCTTCTGCCTGCTCAAATCTATCTTTGAATCCTTGTGAATTTTTATTTTAATACTTTTTAGCTTTAGAATTTCTTTTGGTTTATTTTTAGTTTTTTTCTATCAATTTTTGTTATTTCTATTTTATTCATGTATCATTTTCTTGACATTCTCCATGCCTGAGTATCTTTGTCAGTTGTTTCAAAGTCTTGTTAGCATGTTTACCATCTGGTCCTACTTAGTGTCAGTTTCTGTTGTTTTTGTTAATAGGTTATAATTTCACGTTTTTCAATATGTCTTGTGATTTTTTTGGCTAAAAACTGGACATTTGAATATAATAATGAGGTAACTCTGGAAATCAAATTATCCCCTTTCCCCTTTGTTTTGTGTGTGTGTGTATCTTGCTATTTTAAAAAATTGTTTTGAATTGCTATGGGCTCTCTCTGTGCCAAGGATCAGCCTGAAGAGTAAACTTCAGGTCTTCTTAGGTTATTTCTGAGGTAGTGCTTTGCACAGTGTCTTTTTTTTTTTTTTTTTTTTTTATTGTATCTTGTCCTGTCACCCAGGCTGTAGTACAGTGGTGGGATCTCTGCTCACTGCAACCTCCACTTTCCAGGCTCAAACAATCCTCTCACCTCAACCTCTTGAGTAGCTAAGACCACAGGTGTGTGTCACCATGCCTGGCTAATTTTTGCATTTTTTTTTTTTTTTTTGTAGAGATAAGGTCTCACCATGATAAGCCAGCTGGTCTTGAACTTCTGGCCTTAAGTGATCCACACACCTCTGCCATCCAAAGTGCTGGGATTACAGGAGTGAGCCACCTTGCCCAGCCTGCACAGTGACTTTCTAATTTCTCCTATAAATATAGTTGCTTTCGAATATTTTTGTGTTTCATGTCTGACTCCCAAAAGGGGGAAAATAAGAATGACAAAGAAGTGAAAGGAGTGCTCAACCTTTAAATACCCAGACAGTCACTTCCACTGGAAAGGAAGGGGCTTCCAACAATGAGAGGAAGTGCAAAAATAGCTCATCTTCTTTGTCTGCACCGCTGTAATCAGAAGCCCCAATCAGTGATTAGATTAGATTAAAAAAAATTCTTGATATTTGGAGAACGTGGTCATTTATCCCACCTTGATTACTGCACACTGTGTTTAGGGTGCTCCAGGAACATGTGGCCGGCTTCCAGCCATGGGGCTGGGATAGAGGCTGTGTAGCTGCTTCTGGGCTGAGAGCTGAAATTGACTGCAATTAACTGCACTTTACTGTCCAAGCCTTCCCCTGGAATTTGCAAGCCGTCCAGAGACTCAGGAGTTCCAAAATAGTTACGTCCGACAGATTATGCCAGTGCAGTTGCTGTCTAGGTGGGCAGACAGATTCCTGGGGCTTCCTACTTTACCATACTCCAGATTCCACACACTACACGTCTGTAGTAAGTTAGAGATACAATATGTGTACTAAATCAGTAAATTGTAATTGTGAGTCCGTGCGGAAACACTGACCTTTTGAAAAATATTTTTCACCATTTTCATTTTGATAATGGAAACATAATTATATTTATAGCCAAAGCTAACAAAATGTGAATTTTAGTTGCTTTTTGAAAGTCATGTTACAGGGAAAAAATTTTGCTTTCAGATGAAAACTCATTGGTTGCCATGCAGAATAGAGTTATCTAAGAAAAAAAGCAGATGAGTTATAAGGGTTGAAAAGTAGATTAAAACTCTATAATTTATAGAGAAGGCTATTTTTGAAGGCAAGCTCAGAGCACAATCCTGTTCCAGAAGATTAATTTTTAAAATTAATATATCTATTTATCACCTGTGATCCCTGAGGGCATGAAGAAGTTCCCAGAAAGCATAGTTAAAATGCAGAAAGACTGAAAGAAAATTGATGCTTACTTGGCATTGCTCTTTATGAGTGGTGATTAATATTTTGTGAAAGGCCATGAAAAATTGTATCATAAATGCATAACACACTATATTATATCTACTGTGTCCACTTACTCTTTTATAATATATAAATGGGAGAATTGCTATTTTGGAGGAAAAAAAGGTGGAGATTTTTCTACATCTATTTAATTGTTTCAAAGTCGGTATATCTGAAATACAAAACACAGCTTATGTCCTTCCTCACCTAGAGAAGTCCAAGTGCCATTTACATTTGTCTTACAGGCAGAAGTTGAGGTAGAGTAGAGGCAGGGATGAGAAAGAGATTCCAAGGGCTCTAGAGGAAGTGTCTCATCTTTGCTCCGTCATGCTCCTGCCTTCCAGCAGGCTGTGGATGTGTTCATTCATTTCTTTAGCCCCTGATAGCCAAAAATAGCCCTTTGTGAGAAGCAGGAAGGTTAATAATGTCATCACTAAAAAAGAAAAAAAGAACAATGCATGAATGGATGAGAATTTAAATTGATTTGGCAGATATTATTGTACTAGTCAGAGTTTTCCAGAGAAGTAGAATCAGTGGATATAGATACAGATATACACATACAGAAAGAGATGTATTGTAAAGATTGGCTGGCTCACACAATTATGGCAGCTGAGGTCTTACAGTTTGCTGTCTCTGAGCTGGAGGCCGATGAAAGCCAGCAGCATGGTTCCCGTCCATGCCCAAAGGCCTCAGAGAGAACCCAGGGAGCTGGCTGGGGCTTCCCATCACTGTCGAGGGGAGGGCTCCCATTCACAGTGGTCTTTTTAAACTCTCCTACTCTTTCATGTTTACACACACAGATTAACTCTTTGTACGGTGACAACCAACTTTTCTACCTGCCCGGATTTCAGTCAATAAAGATGTGAGAGGAAAACATAATAATTTCCCACAAACTAAATAACAATACTGGGTTTGGGTTTCTCTACCCACATTTCCCCTTTCTGGCCGTTTTTTTTTTTTTTTTTTTTTTTTTACTGTGTCTCTCTTCTCTTCCTAGTAATGGTCCTTGTTAAGTCTTCTTCAGCCATCTCACCACTATGCCTGCTCTAACCCGAGTGGTCTGGGAAGCTGCGGGAGTGGGAAGTGTCAGGCTCCTAGTGAGGTCATAAGCCCCTTGCTGGTTTGGGATCCTAAAAGAAAGCCCCCACCCCGGGTGACTGGCTTTTCTGAAGGATTTGGATGTTAACTGCATTGATCGCCTCACCTGGAGTACATGCATCCTCATGTGTCATGTCCCACACCGGTCAGGCCACATCAACTTTCCCAAGCCATGTTGGAATCCTGGCACTTTTTTTTTTTTTGGCTCCATATTTTCCCAGTCCTTCAAAGTTACTGCTCAAAGCAAGTGACCAGTTTTGTGGAAGAAGGGATCTATTTGCCATTCTTGTTTTACCATTTTACCTTCCTTGCTTCAAGGCATAAATAAAAGAAAACAAAAATTTAAGAAGTAATGCAATGATGGATTGGTCATCATTATCTCTCCATCGTTGGAAGGACCACTTCTGAACTATTTGGCAACATTCCTCCACTTCTGGGTTTCCCTGGTTTCCTGCTTGACGTATTTGGTTTATCTCACCATATTTTCCTTAACATGGAATACATTTCGTGTTTGGATATGAAATCTTCTTTTGATGCTATTTCAAACTTTATTCTTCTCAGTTGCCTATGACACCGCAAGCCCTGGGAGCTGAATGCTAGGATTGGTTGGAGGTCTGCGGAGGCTGAGCCCTCTGAGGACCAAAGCCCTGTGAAACAGATTCTGAGAGATGTATGTGAGGCAAACACGTTCATGTCTGTGGGTTTTAGTCAATCTCCTTTTTCTAGATCAAATCCATTTCTTTTATTCTCTGATCTGTCAAAATCCTTTTGACCCCTCAAAATAAACTGTTTTCTTAATAAAAATAAACACTTGGTCTTTCTCAACACTCACTTATGCCCCTGAGAGGTCGTGATTATGGTCTACTGTCTTAGTTTTTTAAATGTCTCTCTCCCTCAATTGCTGGATCCTGGAGGAATAAGTTCTGATTAATCCCTATGCAATCCTTCCTTTGCCCCTCTGAAGTGTTCTGCAGCCCCAGTTTTGTAAGGCACCTGTGCACAATCCAGACCTCTGCTTAAAATCTTAGAATTTCTCTCTTATGCCCAAAGGAGAATGCCTAACTTCCTCACACGGTGTAGCAAACCACTCATAATCTCATCCTTGCGAGTATTTTTAGCAACACTTCCTGTGCTATACCTTGAAATATACTCTGAGTCACGAACAATTACTTGCCATTTCACAATACACCATATACATCTTCACAATACACTATATACATCTTCAGTCTGTTCCTGAAATATTTTTCTATTTTCCAAACTCTCCTTCCCTCACTGTCTTTTTTCCTTCCTTTTTTCATCTCACCTTCCTTCTTTTTTTTTTCTCACATACAATCTTCTTAAACATCTGCTCTCCCACACATATTCTCCGATGATGGGGATACTCACACGGGTCTTATATTCCTGCTTGTTCCAGATACATTTAATCATTTATGCTTCCAAGATGTCTTCTTGTCATGCTACACTTATTACTATGTTGGTTAATTGTCACATAGCTTCTGTTTTGTTTATTTTTTCTTGATTCCTCATGGGGCTGTGCTTATAATTCCTTCACTTAGGACAGTATTTGCATAATAGAAATGTAACTGGTTTTTTATTCATCTCATCAAAGCTCTTTCCTCTGGGAATCTAGCATAGTTCCTCAACATAGAACTTGTTCAATAAATATTAATTGAATAAAACATGCTTTGTAAAGAAAGAGATACCTTTTTGAAGGAGTGTGGATCAAGAGAGCAAATATTGACTCCCATTTTTGTCTCTTGAGAGCTGTAGCCGTATCACCTTGCCATTCATTTTCTTCACCCTCGTTTTTCTCCAGTGGAAAATGAGGGGATTGCTTTGGTTTGCTCTGACATCCCTTTCTTCTACAATTCTACCAAGTGATTTGATATTGTGTGGGGTTAACTTTGGTTTCCATCTCTTCATTTTGAAATCTAAAGAGTTTTGGAAATAACTAAATAGAAAAATAAACATGTAATCATTATATAGTTTCACTGTTTCTAGTCATTTTAAAGATAAAATAGTCTTAAATTCATGTCTAGTGCCATCGAGACTGACTTAATCATTATTTTATTCACTAAGCAGTAGTTTTTTTAAAAGTAAAAATGTTTTTCTAAAGGAAAAAATTAATAGTCATTGAGGAGACATATTGTGTTGCTTAATTTTGCTTTTGTTCCAGTGTAAAATTAAAATGGAAAAATATAGGTAAGGAAATTGAAACATTTTCTTAAACATTTCTGCTATGAGTTTATGAAAGTTTGATATAAAACTTTTCTTTGATGAATTATTCTAGTTTCAATGACTGGAAAAATTGATATAAACAGGAATAACAACCACTAGCCCTGGCTTCCAGAACCTCCCAGGCATGTGCTTCCTATAGTCCTTCTGTCTTATGGGATACGGTTCTGTTCTCTGTCCCCACCTAGATCTCATCTTGAATTATAATCCCCACATGTGACAGAGGGACCCGGTGGGGGGTGATTGGATCATGGGGGCAGTTTTCCCCATGCTGTTCTCATGATAGTGAGTGAGTTCTCACAAGAACTGAGAGCTGATGGTTTAAAAGTGTGTGGCAGTCTCCCCCTCACTCCTTCTCTCGCCTGTCACCTTGTGAAGAAGGTGTTGCTTCTCGTTCACCTTCTGGCATGATTGTGAGTTTGCTGAGGCCTCCCTAGCCACGAAGAACTATTGTGGGTCAATTAAACCTCTTTTCTTTATAAATTACCCAGTCTCAGGTAGTTCTTTATAGCAGTGTGAAAACCGACGAATACATTGTGGATCTGAGCCTTAAAAAAATTAATTTTTGTTTCATGCTTTCTTGAGAAGGAGAAACTTGAAAGTCCTAGTGAATACAGCACTTCTACCCTTAACTTGGTGACTAGCCTGCTCACAAGCTGATGTTTTCCAAACTTCTCTGAGTTCAGTGCTAAATATAATCATTGCCATTATTCTTTTGAATTGTTTCTATCATAGATGCAAATATTGATTCAGCATACATTATTTATGTTGTCCTTTATTGAAAAATGCACATCTCTGTGTCAAAATCTTATTTCCATTTTGAACATTCCTATATCGTTTTGATTTTATTTATTTTACTATTTTTTTTTTATTTTTAGACAGAATCTCAATCTGTTTCCCAGGCTGGAGTACAGTGGTGTGATCATAGCTCACTGCAGCTTTGAACTCCTTGAACTAAAATAATCAGCCTGCTTCACTGTCCAGAGGAGTTGGGCCCACTGGCATGAGCCATTACACTTGACTAATTTTTTTTTTTATTTTTTGTAAAGATGGGATCTCATTATGTTGCCCAGGCTAGTCTCCAACTCCTGGCCTCAAGCAATCTTCCTGCCTCAGCATCCCAAAGTGTTGGGATTACAGGTGTAAGCTACTCTGCCTTGACTGAAAGTTCCTATTTTAAAATTTATTTTTAACATGTATTAATGGACTGCTGCCAAATTTACAGAATAAATGTAAGTGACACGTTTAAGAAATGATTATTTTGGTAGTAAAATAATGAAAGCTAAGTTGCAATTAATTATTAGTTTATCCCTTTTGTACAGTTTGGCAAAAGACTCCCACATACTGAAGCAATAGTATCCTTGATTATCTTTCTAAATTTGTCAGGTAATTCCCAGATGGCTTGAACAAGTCATTTTGGTTCTTTTGGTTACATTCTATCACCTATGAAATGAAGGGTTTTGACTAAATGTATGAGATTCTAATATTCCACATTTAATCACTAAATGTGACATTGCTTAGGACTAAACACTTAGAGGAAAATTCAATATGAGGTTGAAGGAAGTGAAGAGAGAAACAAATACTAAAGACAGGAGAGAAAAATGATAGAGAGATAGACAGATTAGATAGAGAGATAGATAGATAGATAGATAGATAGATAGATAGATAGATAGATGATACATTTTATAAATGTGCTCAGAATTTTTCTTAGGTTACTTTGTCTTATATATTTTCTCTTTCTTTGGAGAGCCTCTGAACCAACCACATGAGGAAGCAGAAGTGTGTTACAGCTGACAAATGCAGTCAATTCAATCATGAATAACAATCAACTGCTTGTCAGCCTCAACTTTAAAAGTTTAATTTTAGAATCCCACATGGATATTGCTAGTCAGAAGAAAAGAGAAAACCAGATTTTAAGGTCTTACAAATTATCATATGACATATATAACCTAAAATTTAACCAGAAGCAAGATACAACATTAAGACTTCCTAATCCTTTTCCTCTTTTCCCCCTAGAAACATATTTATTATGGTATCAAAGTCGTTTTCATACAACATATCAGCCCCTGATGGAAATATAGTAAAATGTCTATAATCTGTGGCACTGAGAATTAGGAATGACAGGGAATATTAAAAGTTACTGGTATTCAGATCCTTTTTAAACATTATGTATTGCTGTTGCATCATAATATTGCATTGTGTCTTTCAAACAAATATTATTTCCACAGAGCAGAAATTATTCTGGTCTTGCTAATAATGAATGACACCATACTTGCTAATTCACAAACTCTCCAAGTTTTATTGTCCTCCATTGTGAAGTGGGATTAGTATGAAAATTAAAACAGACATGAAAAGCTCTAAGGATAGGACCCAACACACAGGCATGTAGAAGCGTTTTTATTACCATGTTGTCAGTCAAACCCAGAGAATTTCAATGAACTAACTAAAATTGCAGTTTGCTAGTGATGAGGTTATTATTAGAATTTAGGTCACTGTCTATAATTTCT
The DNA here is from genome assembly GCF_000001405.40 of Homo sapiens. Classification (NCBI taxonomy): domain Eukaryota; kingdom Metazoa; phylum Chordata; class Mammalia; order Primates; family Hominidae; genus Homo; species Homo sapiens. The sequence goes on from NC_000008.11 coordinate 49,295,333, forward strand.
CTTCTTTTTGCCCACAAATGCTCTCCTGGTTACAAGACAACTGAGAGAGGCAAAGGCTAAGTGTAGGTATCTGTGAGGGAAAAGAGAATGGAAAAGGTAAAAAGAATGTAAATGTGGATTTTCTACAAAACTGGAACCCACCATCTGGTAACTGAGAATAGAGTAGAACACAGGTTATAAAAGATCACAGCAGATGGCAAGGCCTGGTTGTGAAGCACGACTATTATTCATAAGGAAGAGCTGAGTATTTCTCCATCAGCTATTTAGGTTCTGAAGCATGCTCCAGTGCTGACTACTGTTGCTGAGCAAGGCCTGCATGTTCCAGGCCGTCTTGTAGGGGTCAGAGTCCTGTGCAATCTTTCGGGTCGTCTGTTCGAGGGGTCAGCTCATTTGTCCCTTGCAGCCAGCAGCACCAGCAGCACCCAGAACCTCGCTCCAGAATCTGCCCACCAAATCCAGACTTCAGCGGACCCATTCAGGAGATGCTGGAATCGGCTCAGCACCAGTGATTATTGTTAGTCCTCAACTTTTTTGAACCTCTGGGATGTTTGTCTGTTTGGCAAGGTTTCCAGGTGTACAGAATGAACATCTTGAACATTGCCAGATTCATTGGAAAAGTCGACAATATAAATGATGAAATTGTCTTCTGGATATAGAAATTAGAAAATCAAAAGTTTTCAGAGCATTTCCTTTTGTTTCATGTTAGAGATGTACGCTGTTGCCAGATTGCAGTGTGTAATATCCTGTGGGGATCTCACCAAAGCTTGTTCACAAGTTCCCACCTGGAGACAGCCAAAGTGCATAAATTAAATGATGAATGCAAAGAACCAGGAACAGCCTGGAAGAAAGAAACAAGAAACCTAAAAATGATATTCTTGGAGTATAGTTTAATAATTCCTGAGCCAAAACATGCCTTAGCATTCTACAGATTCTTGCAAATCCACCCATAAAAGGGGATATAGTACACCCATCCTTATGGGGGAGAGCAAAAAATAAAACACTTAAATTAATTTTACAGGATCAGTAGTGCATTATGTTTTTGCATTTCATTAAATTGTAAATGTATACTAATGTGAGTGAAAATCTAACATTTTAAAATATCTTTGTTATGAGTTTAGGTGTCAGACAAAATTATTAAATGGGTATTTATTAAAACATTACTGGGCTGGGCACGGTGGCTTATGCCTGTAATCCCAGCACTTTGGGAGGCCGAGGTGGGCAGATCACCTGAGGTTGGGAGTTCGAGACCAGGCTGACCAACATGGAGAAACCCCATCTCTACTAAAAATACAAAATTAGCCAGGCATGGTGATGTGCACCTGTAATCCCAGCTACTCAGGAGGCTGAGGCAGGAGAGTCGCTTGAACCTGGAGGTGGAGTTTGCGGTGAGCCGAGATTGAGCCATTGCACTCCAGCCTGGGTGACAGAGCAAGACTCTGTCTAAAAAAAAAAGAAAAAGAAAAAAATAACTTAAATTAGCCAGTTACTATATACATTTCTTTTCAAATTTTATAACTTTTAACATTTCTCTACTTATTATGAATAAATTTATTATGTCAGTAATAGCATTATAATCTGGAAGTTTTCATTTTCTCAGAATATTTATGGAAGTATTTTTATCAAAGAAAAGGTTTCCTTTGACTACACATATGCTGTTTCCTGTTTTATGGCTAATCAATTCTCTAAGTTAATTTAATGAAAAGACCTATAAAATAACTTTATCAAAGTCCAAGTATTGAAATATATGTCAATTAAGAAGGAACTCATTGAACTTACGTAACGAGTTTCCTTATGATCTAAAATTATTATTTGAGTTATTTTAGCACTCTTCACCCAAAGCTCTAAAACCAACAGTGAATTATAACTGGGTAAGTAACAAAATGACTAAACATCATTTGCAAACACTGGACTGGATGCTGAGTTGAGTTACATAAAGTGTGAAATGCGTGATCCTACACTCCCTGTGAGGTATTTTATAAGGGGCTACAGTCTTAACACACCCCAGTGCAAACACCCAAACCACCAATTCAACAACAACAAAAATCAAATCATACCAAAGTCAGTGAGAGACGAATCAACAGACTTTATGTAATATGGAGGCTGATAAGTCGAATTTTAAATATGTTTTTAGAATAAAGTGTTTTCTTTTAAGAGTCAGCAAGTGTTGCTTCTAGGGAAACAGGCATTTGCAAATCTTGATGAAGGTTGCTGTTTTCTGAAACTCTGCTCTAAATGCTTTCAGAAAGTGGTGAGAATATTTTCACAGGAGCTAACTTCTCTAGTGAAAAATGGGATGAAGGTTTTTATTCGTTTTGTCGTGAAGATCAATGTAGGTAGCAAGGCTTTCATGAATTCTAATAGCCCTGACGGAAGTCATCTGACACCAAGAATGCACATTTATTTTAAAAGAGAAACTCATTTCAAAGTATGTCTTTTTATTTTTTATTCTATTTTTAGTTTTTGTTGTTTCCTTCTTAAACAAGTGCCTTGGGCTCAATATCTGAGCATTCTCTTATGGGAGAGTTGGTAAAGGGGTGTCAAGGTGTGGTGTGTGGCTGCTTCTGGAGCTCCTGATGACAATCATGGGCCATGGCACGTTGGGAACAGCATGAATCCAAGTATGTTTGTGTGTGTGAGCTGGTGGGGGTACAAGAAGGGGTTAAAAAAGAAAAGCCAAATTATAAAGAACAATGTTATTATAAGTCCAGATGAATTTTGCCATAAACAACATTGAATACTTTGGAATTGTGGCCTTCCTCAGAACCAGTGAGGAAACGCATGGTGTTTTGGCATCTTCAATGGAAAAGCAGCAAATCAGAAGTTTGCAGATATTTAGAATCTCCCAGTTTCCATTTATTCCAGACCTCCAGTGTTGGTGGTGAAAATAGTGTGGCAGTATACCTGGAGCCTCAGCACCAGTGGTAGTTGTGGCAGCTGAGTTCTGCTAATGAGGACAATGTACAAGGCAGCTGGACTAAGCCCTGAGGTTGAGTGTTCTAATGTTTTTATAATGTTGCAGAAAGGATCTGAAAATGGAGGAATGAACTGCACACTAACCTCACCTGTGGGGCTCAGAAGCACTTTATTTCAAATATTAAATGAAATGCAGCCTTATTTTTGTATCTCAATCTGGTGAGATGCCTCAAATTTGATAGGCATACCAACCAATGTTTATGGATTCTACTTATCAAAATTAGGTTCCTTAGAATTATTAGCCTAAGATGCAATTAATTTAAATTTATTCAAATAAAAGACAATTTCTGAAAGTGTCTTGCAAGCTGAGAGAAGAGAGCCAGTAAAGGCGTGGAGGCAGAAGTGCATCAGCCACAGCAGGTGGTACAGGTGGTGGGTGTGGGGGCGGTAAGGGGAACTGAAGCCTGATTCTGGAAGAGCTTATGTAATACAGCTGGGTGTGTGTACAGGCTAAATTTAAGTGCTCATAAAAGAATCTTGGATTTGGAGGTGTCATGATAAAAGTTATAAAACCCCCATATCCTAAAGATAAAAATCTTTAGGATAAATCATCTAGCTAGTGATATGTAAAACTGCAGTGAGGAGAAAGGAAACATAAATAATAATACTGTACTTTTCTTAGATTTATGTTACAAAAAGGTGATGTCTATTGACAGTAGTAATATTGGTATGTGTGTATATATATATATGGTACTTTTCTTAGATTTATGTTACAAAAAGTTGATATCTATTGACAGTAGTAATATTAGTGTGTGTGTGTATATATATGGTGGTGAGCTGGGAGCTGGCCTCACTCTTGCAGCTGGCCTGTGGTGTTGAACAGAAGAAATTTCACATGACACATTAGACAACAGCACTCCAAACTGTCATGCAGCAGAGCAAACAATACCCGCCTCACAGTGCTGCCTAAAAACATGTAAACAAGGAGAGTGCAAACTAGAGAAATGACTAAACACTACTGGCTTAGTCAGTTTGACTAATACCTCAAACAGGGTGATTTATATATGGCAGATATTTATTTCTTATAGTTCTGGAGGCTCTAAAGTCCAAGATCAGGGTGCCAGCAGATTTGGTGCCTGGTAAGGGCCTACTTCCTCTTAGATTTTGTCTCCTAGTTGTGTCCACATGGCAGAAGGGGTGAGAGGGGTCTCTGGGGCCTCTTTTATGAGGGCACTAGTGCCATTCAGGAGGGCTCTGCCCTAATGACTTAGTTACCTCCCAAAGCCCCTACCTCCTGTGCCATCACTTTAGCAATTAGAGTTCAGCGTATGAATTTTGAAGAGACACAAACATTCAGACGATAGCAACCCTATTCTGAGCTATTATAAACAATAGGTACTTCTTTACCAAGTCCATGTTTAATCCCACTCCATGCCTTCCACCTTTTAGATAAAAATTGTATGGATAACTTATTATAGAAACCCTCTACAGAGAGCACCCTATCTAGAGCAAAACAATGATTCCTTGATTCTTCACTCTAATCCTCTAATTTCAAACCCAATTCTATAACAAGCCCTTCCTAATGGGCTTGACACCCCATGGTTTCTGATCATGTGAAATCTCTGTTGTTGCATCAGCTACTGATAAACAGAAGTCTGTTCAACTACAGAAGTGTCCTTAAGACCTTGGCTGGCCAGCACTGGCAATAGTAACATTCTAAAAAGAGGTTAGGCATTGTCCCTACAGTCTGTTACTTCTACAAATGCCATGAGGAGCTACTACCATTTATTGAGAGCCTATAAAATGTAATGAGTTTGAAAAAGTGCTTAAGAATTGTTACATTTAACATGTAAGTCATAACATCATAGGAAATTGTTTTCAGTGCTTTGTATATCATAACACATTTACTCCCACCACACTCCTATGAAGTAGGTATTTTACATTTTATAGAGGAAAACATATTAACTAATTTCATCCTATTCAACAGCTCTGTGAGGATAATATTGTGTTTTTGTTGTTGTTGTTGTTGTTTTGAGATGGAGTCTCGCCCAGGCTGGAGTGCAATGGCCATCTTGGCTCACTGCAATCTCCCAGGTTCAAGCCATTCTCCTGCCTCAGCCTCCCGAGTAGCTGGGATTACCGGGGCCTGCCACCACGCCCAGCTAATTTTTGTATTTTTAGAAGAGACAGGGTTTCACCATGTTGGTCAGGCTGGTCTCACACTCCTGACCTCAGGTGATCCACCCGCCTCGGCTTCCCAAAGTGCTGGATTACTAGGGAGTAAGTTCACTAGGCAGAAAGGTATGACTGAAAATCCCATTCTTTGGATCTTCAAAACTCACATTTACTCATTTAAATTTCCCTCTCTGTTTATGTTTGGGTTCAACTCAATGACCTAGTTACTTCTACCTATTGTCATTTAAAAAATTATGCACCACACCTAAGGCTTGAAAGAACAGGAAAAGGAAAATTTGTTGTGAGAAATCACACTACTCACTGACACCAGCATGGAGTCTAAATCCAAAGCAGAATTCAACTGATAGCCAAATGCTGAAAATAGGTGAACTTGAGTTTCCTGGACTATCACTCAGTAACATAATTAATAAGGCTATTTGGTGATCATTTTGGTATTTTTGTGTTTAGAGAAGTTGCTGCAACAAATATACAAAATAACTTCCCAAATTTATATGTAAATCACAGATGACTGGATGGAAGACCATATTGGTTTTAAAGGTTATTATAAAAGTGTCACAAAGAAACATTGCTCTTAATGTGTTACCCATATTTTCTTCTTGCTTTATAAGTTGTACAGTCTCTTCATTATTCTTGAAGCATTCTTGAAGCACTATCAGCAACACATGTCAGGTTTCAGCTAAAATCAAATTTATAGAAAGCCTCAGTGAGCATAAGATATTTAAGAAGGAAGCCATTCAACAACATGTCTTATCAAGGGGCACAGGGCAGATTCCTGGCTGAGTTCCCATTTTAAAAGGATGGGAGAGTTCCCCGTATGTTCTGAAGGTTGTTTAGTGTGTAAATTTCAATGTTCCCAACAGAGGGAGCTAGAGATTTTCCTCAGATGAAGAGTGAGCTAGGATTTTTGGATGTTTTAGCATAAGGGATTTTTTTTCTTACATTAGTTGACATTTGCTCAAAGACTTCTCTCAAGCTTGTGTACATGGGTAAGATACATTAGACCTGAAGATTGGTATCTTTGGTAAGCACATTTGAATGATCAGTGTGTACTTTTCCATATTGGTATTTTTCTTTCTCACAAGAATTTAACTATCTTCATGGATTATGAATGTTAATGTTTGATTATTATTCATTTTATAAATAAGGGTAGGAGCATAAAAGAGACATATATTTTTTCATTTTCCAATACTTCTGTTAACAATCTTTTTCCAGGGATCTTTCTGCAACTTTTAACACTGTTTATTATTTTTTCAAATCAGAAAATAAATTTTAAAAAGAAGTTCTGAGATGTAATATAGAGTGTTCTCATTTGTTTTTTTGAGAAGGCTATATTCTCAGGAACAATCTTCTGGTACCACCTGCTCTTCTAGAATGTGACCTTGCCACTTCCCCATGCGCTTGGACCAGGCAGACCTGCTCCTGTTTCAGCCAACACAGTATGGTGAAAGTTATCTGGGTGATTTTCAAGGCTGTCAGAAAAGGCCATGCAGCTCCCAATTGATTTTCCTGAGGCCTTGACAGCAGAGTGAGATGTCCTTTGTCATGCCGGAGGGTCCACAGGGAGGTGCTGATGGACATCACTGTTGTTTCCCAGAAGCCATCAGCTCTGTGAGGGAGTCACCGCTTGCCCTCAGGACCAGCCTTCTGCCAACCGAGTTCCAGGCGTGGTATCAGCATCCAAGAGGAGCAATGGAGCAGCCAGCTGATTCTGCCAGACTCCTGAGCTTCTGGATCCATGAGCATAGTAAAATGCTTGCTGTCTGACACCACTAAGTTTGAGGTAATTTGTTACACAGCAGCAAGAACTGAAAATGTTTGCTCATGAAATTAGCAAAAGGTTTTAAAATAATGATATTTAGCCTTCATTGGAGTGCACATTGCATCCGTTCAGCCTTGATGAAAAATAACTTCATAATGCATTAAGGGTCTTAAAACCTCCAGACTTTTTGACTCTGTGGCACTATCCCAAGGATATGATCAAATAATGTGTACATTATTAATGCCTATATTATTTATGATAATGGTAGTGGCATATAAACTCTTCAACATTAAGTAAATTATTCAACAATTTTATTCAATTAAGTCATAAACTTATTAATTTGTACTATTTAAGAGTTTTTAATAGCATGGGTGTGAATGACTGTCCAACCATGAAACAGAAGCTACTCCATGTATTTGAACACAGTTAAGACACAGGGAAATTTATAGAGAATTAGTTTCACTGGTAACGTAAGAAGTGAGAAGCCAAGCAGGGGATGCAGAGCTCAGCAACCTCACGCTGAAGTGACATAGGAAAGAGTCCCTGTCACCAGCACCCAGGATTGGGGTTACCTAGCAAAAATCAGGAACACAGCAGGCCTGTCAGAAGGATTTGCAGGCACAGAGGGCACTCTCACATGGCAGGTTTTGCCATCTGTGACAGCAACAGAGAAAGGAGACATGGCCTGGATTCTCTCAGCCCTTATCCTCCATTCAAACTCACCTAGAATCTTACTGACCTAGGAGACAAGCAAGCACGGGACTCAAAATAAGCCCTCAGAGGTGCATAGCAGGGCGGCAGAAGGACAAGCAAAGTCTAAGGAAAGAAGCCTAGGACCAGCAATACAAAGTGAATGCAAAAAATAGAGTGAATGCTTGAAGGCAGGCTGTAACGCGCACACCTGGACACTTGCTTTCACGTGCCTGTAAGATGATTGGAGAACAGAACTCTAAATGGTGGATTATTCAAAAGTGATTTAACTCTATGGTAACTTTAACTTTGCAAGTTTGACTTCCAAAATCTTAACATAATTGTTGATATTGGTGAACTTTGTTTCATAAGGCAAGATTTCACTAGACCAATTAATTTTTTATAAATTCTCATCACAGAAAAAAAGACAAAATTTTAACTTAAAAATATATTGTTGACACATAATAATTGTATATATCTATGGGGTAAAATGTGACATGTTGATACATGCATGCATTGTGTAATTATCAACTTTAGGTAATTAACATATCCATCAGCTTAAAATAATCATTTCTTTGTGATGAGAACATTCAAAACCTCTCTTCTAGCTATTTTGAAATACATAATGCATTAGTTTTAACTCTAGTCATCCTACGATGCAATAGAATGACAGAACTTATTCCTCCTTGTCAACAGTACCTTTGGACCCATTGACTAATCTCTTCCCCACTCCACTCTCCCCTCCCTTTCCCATCCTCTGGTAACCACTATTCTACTCTCTACTTCTATGAGACCAACTTTTAGATTCCACATATGAGTGGGATCATGCAGTGTTTGTCTTTCTGTTCCTGGATTATTTCACTCTCAGTAGTGGCTCTCCACTCCTAGAAGCCTCTTTCCACTCCTAGAGGTCACCCTTCACTCCTAGAGGTCGCTCTCCACACTAGAGGACACCTTCCACTCCTAGAGGTTGCCCTTCACTCCTAGAGGTCACTCTCCACTCCTACAGGCCAACTTCCACTCCTAGAGGCAACTTTTCATTCCCAGGGATTACCCTCCACTACCAGAGGTCACTCTCCACTTCTGAAGGCCACCCTCCACTCTTAGAGGCCAGCATTCATTTCTGGAGGCCACCCTCCACTCTTAGAGGCGACGCTTCACTTCTGGAGGCTACCCTCCACTCTTAGAGGCTGCTCTTCACTCTTAGAGGCCACTGTTCACTCCTGGAGGCCACTCTCCATTCTTAGAGTCTGCCCTCCACTCCAAGAGGTTGCCCTTCACACTTTGTGGCTTTTCTCAGCTACCAAAGGCTGCCCTTATTTCCTTGCCCCATAACTTTCTTAGCCATTACCAACCTCATTGAGCCAGCAAGAAAAATCTCCAGAATGAGAGTTCTACAAGACAGAGTCTTATATAGGAAGATAATTGTAAGAGTGACATCTCCTCACCTTTGCTATATTCTCTCGGTAGGAAGCATGCACTCAAAGAGAGTAGATCCTACAAAGGTGTGAACACTGGGAGCTGTGGATCATTCAGGGGTTGACTTAGAGTCTGTCTGTAATAGATCCCGTGGGTAAGATCTACATACACTATTTATGGCACAACTGTATAGCTAAAAAGGAAATATGTTCAAAATAGGTGGTCCTGAAAATAGAAAACCATAAGTAAGAACTTTTAAATATTTTGTCCCATGGCCCAAATGAACATCCCTCAGAACCACATTAACTTAGAGTTAGTTTTCAGGAGGGTATTCTTAATTATAGCAGTAATCTAAAATAAATAACTGGCAGATAAAACAGAAACAAGTACCCCTCAACAAAATCCAACATTATTCCTCTCTCTCTCTCTTTTTTTTTTAGACGGAGTCTTGCTCTGTAGCCCAGGCTGGAGTGCAGTGGGGCAATCTTGGCTCACAGCAACCTCCATCTCCCGGGTTCAAGCAATTTTCCTGCCTCAGTCTCCTGAGCAAATGGAATTACAGGCACATGCCACCACACCTGGCTAATTTTTGTATTTTTAGTAGAAACTGGGTTTCACCATGTTGGCCAGGCTGGCCTCAAACTCTTGACCTCAGGTGATCCAGGTACCTCGGCCTCCCAAAGTGCTGGGATTTCAGGTGTGAGCCACCATGCCTAGCCTATTATTTCTCTTTTGACACACAGATATATTCCAAAGTATATGTAAGCATCTGTATAATTGCTATAACAATTTCACAGTTATTTATTATGAAGTTAATGTTAATTAATTTATTCTGCTGTACATATCTACATGATGCATCCACGAAGGGAAGAAAAACAATTATCACACCAACCTTGACCACTTATTATTTTAATTTTGTAATTGATTTTACTTTTTAAAGCAGTTGTAGACGCACAGCAAAATTAGGAGGAAGATGCAGAGTTCTCACGTCTCCAGCCCCACATGTGCACAGCCTTTCCCATCATCAACTTCTCCCACAAAGGGGTCACATTTGTCCCAGTCAATGTAACACATCATTATTACCCAGAGGCTGTAGTTTACATTTGAATTCACTCTTGGTGTTGTACATCCTATGGGTTTGGAGAAATGTACAATGCATAATGACAGTGTATAAAATCATATGTTGACTTTTTCTTAGGAAAAAAAATCCGTAAAATGAATGTAGAAACTAAAAGGAAATGCTTTTGACCTAGTATTATTATTATTTGCTTGCATTCGACCCTTGAAAGAGAAAACACAATGTCAGGATCTTGAAAAAAATTGGCAGCTAAGAAGGTTGTGTCCTTGGAACAGGAAGTAAACATTTATGAGGGACAAAATAAAGGATAGTTATTTTTGTTATTTATACTTTATCCCTGGAAATCAATCTATCATGTGTTTCATTTCTTCTTTGTCTCTCCTTTTGTTTATTTGACAAGTGTTCATTTTTTTGCTGGTTGGTTGGTTATTGTCATTTTTGCTGTTAGAATTGTAAATGCATACAATTTTAATATTATATATATGTATATACATGTATGTGTGTGTGCGTGTGCATGCACGTCCGTGTATTCAAATGTTGGTAGAGTCACCTTAAAAGAAGGGGGGTTGTGTTATCCAAGCTAATAAAATTGAGAAACACAACTGAGTTTCTTGTATTTTTTTAATTGGGGAGATTTTGGTGATTTCCTTGTTAGTATTACTCATTATTAAAAACATCAGCAAAATCGGTACCCATCCAGAAATATGAGTTGCTTTCTGTGTTCATAAATATTTATAACATCAAAACACTCAGGAAGAAACAGAGAACATTTTGCAAAATGAAAAGAGTGGACAAGTATAATCTTTTGCTGAAGAAATTAGAAATAACGGTAAGTGACCGGAATGGAAATATCTGAAAGTTCTTGTTAGAAAATTCCACTTGCCCCATCTCCCAACCAGCCATACTGTATTGTGGTCAAATATGTATGTATTCTGAATTGAATAACCAATATTGAGAGGTGACAATGCGCTAGCAGCCCTAGCTCACTCTCGGCGCCTCCTCGGCCTCTGCGTCCACCCTGACCACACTTGAGGAGCTCTTCAGCCCACCACTGTGCTGTGGGGGCCCCTCTCTGGGGCTAGCTGAGGCCGGAGTGGCTCCCTCTGCTCCCAGGAAGGTGTGGAGGGAGAGGCGCGGGCACGGCGCTCGCGGGTGATCGAGGAAGACCTCCATCTGGGCTGCCGGAGTGCCCGCGCTGGGTGCCTCAAAGTCCCCCAGCAAGTACCAGTGAGAGGTGAAGCCGACTGGGCTTCTGGGATGGGTGGGGACTTGGATAAATTTTCTGTCTAGCTAAAGGATTGTAATGCACCAATCAGCACTCTGTGTCTAGCTAAAGGTTTGTAACCTCACCAATCAGCACTCTGTGTCTAGCAAATTGGGTAAGGGACTTGGAGAACTTTTGTGTCTAGCTAAAGGATTGTGAATGCACCAATCAGTGCTCTGTGTCTAGGAAAAGGTTTGTAAATGCACCAATCAGCACTCTGTGTCTAGCTAATCAGGTAGGGTACTTGGAGAACTTTTGTGTCTACCTAAAGGATTGTAAATGCACCAATCAGTGCTCTATGTCTAGCTAAAGGTTTGTAAACACACCCATTACTCTGTCAAAACAGACCAATCAGCTCTCTGTAAAATGGACCAATCAGCTCTCTGTAAAATGGACCAGTCAGTAGGATGTGGGTGGGGCCAGATAAGGGAATAAAAGCAGGCCACTCGAGCAAGCAGTGGCAATTCTCTCGGTTCCACTTGTACAGTGTGGAAGCTTTGTTCTTTCCCTCTTTGCAATACATCTTGCTGCTCCTCTCTTTGGGTCCACGCTGCTTTTATGAGCTGTAACACTCACTGTGAAGGTCTGCAGTTTCACTCCTGAAGCCAGCGAGACTAGGAATCCACTGGCAGGAATGAACAACTCGTGAGGCGCCACCTTTATGAACTGTTCAACACTCACCACAAAGGTCTGCAGCTGCAGTCCTGAAGCCAGCGAGACCACGAACCCACCAGGAGGAAAAAACACCTCCGGATGCGCCGCCTTTAAGAGCTGTTACACTGACTGCGGAGGTCTGCGGCTTCACTCCTGAAGTGAGCGAGACCACAAACCCACCAGAAGGAAGAAACTCCGGACACGTCCTAACATCAGAAGGAACAAACTCTGGGCACACTATCTTTAAGAACTGTAACACTCACCACGAAGGTCCGTGGCTTCATTCTTGAAGTCAGTGAGACCAAGAACCCACTAATTGCGGACATAGTACGGTTTGAAAGTGAATGAGTGTGTGTGTGTGTGTGTGTGTGTGTGTGTATAGTATTTGGTTAAATATCTTTATGTAAAGAATGTGGCATTTGGTGTGAACTTTTAAAGAGCTCTTGAGATCACACTATATACAAAAAGAAATTAGACTAATGATTTGAGTTAGACTATATCCTTAATTCAAACAAATTTAGAAAAAATTGAAACCTTTTTATACATAGACATAACCTATCTATTTTGACTATTGGTCAATTAAGATTTTTAAATTATCTTTTTAAATCCAATATATGGTGTTTATTTTCTTTTAACTTAACATACATCCGGATTTATTGTATTGCCTTTTTATGCTAACATGTTGCAGAAATGCAAACATTTCTGTTATGGTGAGTTCGTTTATACGCTTTTGTGTTTATCTCAAGGAAGTCGGAAATGTCTTAATCTTTTAGACAGTGAAGTTTATGTCCTGTCACAAAGACACAAATGCAAACTAAATGTTAAGTGTTTTATTTAAATTTTGTCAAATTGCCGTAATAATTCAAAGAACTTAACAAAATTTCATGGGAATTTTCAAAATTTCTCTGGGGAAGGTTTTAGTACAAGAATTACATTTTTATTTATTATAAGAATAAACTTTAATTTTAAATGCTTGTTATGGGCTCTAAGTAAACTTAGTATACTCTATCTTTTACAATTTGAAAGGATTTAAACAGTAACTTGGTAAACTTATTTTGGCCTTTTCTCAAAATGGTGATAGAACTTGCAATTTTCTATATACTCTTGCCTATTGCCAATTAGGGAAAGGAAAAGAGAAAAGGAATTACTAAAGAGATGATGGAATCTTTTAATAATTTGAACAAAAATTTTCAGAATTAAAATTTATCTAGCTTTCCAAAAGTGTATTATTTGTGGGCTATCCCCTAAATCCAAAGATTTTAAAGTAGAAACAATAAGAAAATAAGATACCACTTAACACTTTCAATTTGTCACCAAACTGCCAGAGATTAATATGATTAAAAGAGAAATAGAAGTAAAACTCAAGTAGAATTTTGCTATGACTGTATTCCTGAAAAATTAGAGAATTGAAAAATATTTGTATTTAACTTAAATTGAATATAGATTTTTTTTTTACTTTTTGCAAATAATATAAACTTTAATGATGATATTCCATTATATGTCAGACACTGGTTAAGTATTTACACAACAAATTAACTTTTCAGACTCACTTTATAGTATCCACCACATGGCTGTGTTCTATCCAAGAGAGTGTGAGTTGATTATGTACACCACTGTCACGCCCTGCATATAAATACCTTCCTCCTCTTTTGACTAGACAGAGACAAATACAGTATCTTGGAAACTATTTGTTGAAGACGGTCATCCCTCCAGATAGAACAAATGTGGTCACTGACTCAGGTCTTGAACAGAGCTTTTGTTAATCAGGCACATCCATTTCGGAAGGAGTTGGAAATGAGCTTTTCTTATAAATAAGTAAGAACAGATATTAACATATCATAAAATTTGGAGTTTGTGTATTTTGAATTGTTTTGAACTAAAATGAAGGCTAAGTAAAATATTAATAATTTCAGAATTAAGTGTAAAACAATGAGGAAATGAACATATTTTTAAACATTGTAAGAACAATTAAAACAATTTATTAGCAAAATCCAATGGTAATTAATAATACTAGATAACTTGGAAGTATAGTACAAGAGAAACACCAGAAGTAGTAGTCAATATCAATAGGTTTTCGTTTCTATCTCAATTACTATGCAATTTTTTGTAAGTTACTTAAGTTTTTTGTAAGTTACTTAAGTTACCAACTCCCAGTTTTCTATATGATAAGAGTAATAAGACTTTTAAATTTGATTCCAATGAGAATGGAATGACATAGCATGTATCTAATCAATTGCAGTGTACAACAGAAAAATAGTTATTAGATAAATTTTAGTTCCCCTTTAAATAAGGTAAAGTTTTTTTTAGTATCACAGCCTATGTAAGACTGTATCTCTCTACTGACTTTAACTTCATTTGTTAACATAAAAATTCAGTCTTAATTTATTTTAGAAACAATTATGTACTGTTACATTCTATAATTATATTTTAGAATTTATACTCTGACTGTTTTTATACTGATGAATGCCCATGACATTTTCTGAAGATGATTACTTCAGTTTTACTTTTCTTATGATCATTTTAATTTTAAAACAGTGATAAAAGTAATAGCTAATGTAGTTACAGGTATTAACATAATACATTTATTATCCTATTTAATCCTCACAACAACCCAAGCAAGTAAGTGTCATTATTCTAATTTTATAGAACAATTAACTAAGATTTACGGAGACAAAGTAATTTATGTTATATCCACTCAATTAGTAAGTGATAGAGCTGTCTAGAATCATATTACTTTCCACCATCTTTTTCAATAAAGTCATAAGTTTAAATAAAAATCCAGGGACTACTACATGAGTAGGTATGTGTGGTAATTCATTTTTAAGGGTAAATGACTGTTGGGTAAAATGCATGTAGACACAAATAATTGGATGCATTAATATGACACAATTATTCTGAAATGTGACTGAAGCCTACAGTTTAGACATGGCAAGGAAAGAGAACCTTACAAAGGCCCTAAGATGGAAACAGCTTTCATTGTGCTTGAGAAATTAGGATAAAGCCAGTGTGCTCAGAGCATAATGGCTGATGTGCTGGAGGTATTTTAAAGGCAGCTGTATAATGAGAGGCTCATGCAGGCTATGATCAGCCTACATAAAATTTTGTTTTGAGGGAAAAATTTCTAATTTCAGAGATGAATGACTTTTCTAGGCCAATGACAATGTCTTTTCATCTTTCTAGTGATTCATCTAAGTTTGGTGCTGATTGGAATGAGGTAGCCCAGAGGGAGAGAGGGAGGGTTAGAAGATGACAAGGAGAGTGAAAGCCAGAGAGTGCATGCAGCTGATCAGGAGACAAAGAAGATCCACAAAAACAAAGCTCTGCAAATGCCAGAAAAAGATTCAAGCAGGAGAGGAAGGTAAGTGCCTGACAGGAGAAAAACAAACCCTTCACTCTTATTCAAGGGAAGATGAAGAAAGCTGACAGTGGTTCAGACGGATTTGTAGAGTGACATTGAGAAAATGAAAGAGGAATCCCTTTTTCATTTTACCAAGCGGTATGCAGTTACCTGTACACAAAGAGAAAAAGAGAGAGGAGGGGGTTGGGATGGTGAAGAGAGAGAGAGAGAGAGAGAGAGAGAGAGGGTATATAGATATGAAGAGACAGGGAAGGTTAGAAAGATTTGTTTCAGAGAGAGAAAGAGAGGTATTTAGAGAAACATTCCCAGAATGGCAGATCAAAGACTTTCAAAATTCACCATTATGGAAAAACCACTGAGAACATTGTCAAAAGTGTCAAATTCAACATGTTCATTAAATTAAAAGCTTGAAACAATGCAAGAAGCCTTTAAAAACAAACAAACATTGAATCCAGATAAAAACAGCAAATTTTGTAGCCTCTTAACTTGCCCTATTCCCATTCAGTCTTTCCACATAACCACAATCAACTTGAAGACCAACCTTACATTGACAGTAGCTGTGAAAACCAGCAGCCAAGGAAACACTGGAAGATGCACAATGAGCTTGGAGCTGTCCAAAGGCTACACCCCACAGAATCTCAGGGGTTGTCTTTATTTGATGCAACTCAGAATTTAGTTTATGTAAACAAGTCTGTGCTGAGAGCATTTGTCAAAAATAAGGAGTGCCAAATGATTAATATTACAGATGCCTGAGGTGGCAATTCCAGTTGGAGATACCAAAAGGCTGGCCAGAATCCTTCAGAGGAAAACTAGGAATGAGATATCAATAGGATGCAGCAAATAGGTCTGACATATTCATAGGACTCAAGAAAGACATGTACATGTTCAGGGCTGGAAAAGACTCAAAAAGGCCCTAAGCTCTCACCTCTGGCTGACTTTAAGGTCCTGTACAAACATATAATATGACAGAATTATAAACTGTTTACTAAAGTATTGAAAAACGCATATAACACACACACAAAGCTATTTGACAAAAGCTGGGAGACATATTGATTCAAGGTCTTTAAGAAAATTTTTGCATTGTGATTACTTAATTCCTTAACTAAGAGAATTTAACAACCATACTGGAAAAAAGAATAGACACCCTAAAAATTATTTCAGGAATCTAACAAAAAACAACAGCAATAATGAGAGCAACAAGAAATAACAATACTAACAAACACTAGCAGGAGGGTTCATTTCAAATGATACCACATTACATTATTTAAAATTTTTGGTTTTAATGAAAAGAATTATGGTGCATACAAAGAAACAGGAAAGTTTGTCCTGCATACAGAAAAATAAAAACAAGTCAATAGAAACTGTTTCTGAGGAAACTCAGACACTAGACTTACTAGATGAAAACTTTAAATCAATTATTACAAATATGTTTAATGAAGAAAGGGAGAATATGTTTACAAAATTGTAAGAATGTATGAGAATGATGTATTCATTAAATAATATCACTAAAGAGAAATAGAAATGAGTTTTAAATGAAACTAATAGATACTCTGGAGTTGAAAAATACAATAACTGATATTAAAAATTCACTAGAAAAGCTTAATAACATTTAAGAGAGTAAAACAATCAGGTAATTTGAATATAGATCAATTGAAATCATCTAGTCTGAAGAACAGAAAGAAAAAGTAATGAAGAAAAGTGAACAGAGCCTCAGCGACCTGTGTACCATAATAGAAGTCCAGGAAGAAGAAGTAGAGAGAGAAAGGGGCAAAAAGATGGCTAAAAGTTTCCAAAATTTATGAAAGATGTTAATCTACACATCCAAGAAGCTTAATTAACTCTAGCATACATTCAAAGAGGTCCACATGCACATGTATCATAGTCAAACTGTTGAAAACCAAAGACAATAATAGAAGTGACTTACTGTGTAAAAAGGATTATCAGTAAGATTATCAGCTGAGTTCTCATCAGAAACCATGGAAATCATAAGGCAGAAAGGTGACATGTTCAAAGTGCTAAATAATAATGTCAACCAATAACTTTACGTCTAGTAAATCAATGCTTCAAAATGAATGATGTATTGACATTCCCAGATAAACAAAAACAGAGAATTCTCTCTAAGAAGACCTAGCAGATGTGTCATAAAAAAATTATAAAAGGAGTCCTTCATGCTGAAATGAAAAGACACTAGACAATAATTAAAATCCACTTGAAAAAATAAAGAGCACCAGAAAGATAATGATGTAGGCAATTATTTTTTTAAATACATTTTTGTTTGTAATTTTTTCCTCTCCTATCTATTTTTTTAAAGCTGCACATGTGCCAAAAGGTGAAAATTCTCCCCCTCTACATGAAGCAGCAGTGTTACCAAATCCAATAACATGCAAGCCATAAAGATGTCTATATTAGGGTGAGTAAAGAGGATTTGCTGGAAACCACTCCCCTGGAGAGCAGCAGGAGAGGCATATTCTGTGTCCTGGAGATAGACAACAGTGTGTGTCTGAAAAGAAACTCATGAGCCCTGGGATAGGGGTGTGATAGTGAAACAGTGTTCTGGTCTTTCTGGGAGGTGGAGCTAGTGCAGACCCCTTACCTCACCCAGAGACATAGGTCATTTCACCAGAAGCTCCCCCAGGCACTCTAGTCCATGCTGGTACCTGTGCTTGTCATTGAAACATCCATGGGCAAGCCAGGTGGTCCAGCTGTGCCTAGTTGCATCTCACCTTCTCCTCTGCAAAAATGAAGCTCAGGGCACTGGATGTTGTACAGTCCAGCACATCATCTGAAACAACAGAGAACACCTCACAATAAACAAAGACCAAGTACATACCCATCTGCTCTTGTCTCAGCTGCCTCTTACCCATAAGCATCACCTACTGGCCTGTAGGTTAAACTGCACAACCCAATATAAATCTGGCTGATGGAAGAACAGAGGGCTACAGAAGCAAAGCTAAAATACCCTACCACAAATCCTCTACAGTAACACCCTTGTCAGGGGTTGAGGGCACAAATAAATCCGTGAATAAAATTAGATAAAAAACCCAATCTAAATAAAAGTAAATTCAAAACCAACAAGTGTCAGCTTCTCCAGATGACAAGTAACCAGTGTAAGAATTCTGGTACCATGAAAAACCTGAATGTTGTGACACCACCAATGGATCACACTAGCTCTCTAGCAAAGAACTCTAACCACAATGAAAACTCTGAAATGGCAGATAGATAATTCAAAGTATAGATTGCAAAGAAGATCATTGAGATCCAAGAGAAGGTAGAAAGCCAACACAATGAAACCACAAAAGCAATCCAGGAAATGAAGAAAGAGATAGATATATTTAAAAAAAAAAAAAAAAAAGAACTACTGGAAATAAAAAATTCACTTAAGGAATTTAAACGTGTAGCTGAAAACTTTAGCCATAGAATAAACCAAGCAGAAGAAATAATTTCGTAGCTTGAAGATCAGTCAAATCTGTCTTTCAAAGTAACCCAGTCAGACAAAAATAAAAAAAAAATAAACCCAATGCCTTTGAGAAATGTAAAATTATTTAAGTGATCAAACATATAATTTACAGAAATTCCTGAGGAAGAGGAAGAAAAATAAAGAAATTTGGAAAGCATATTTGAGGAAATAATGCAGGATTTTTTTTTATTTTGCTAGAGATGTAGACATCAAGATACAATAAATTAGTCAACGCCTGGGAGATGTGACACAAAACAAATGTCAAAAAGCATATAGACATCAGACTATCTTTCTTAGATATGCCACTGAGAAAGAACATATCTTAAAATCATCTAGAGAAAAATGATGAATCTCCTATAAGTGGAATCCCATTATACTAATAGCAGACTTAACAGAAACACTACAAGCCAGGAGAGATTGGGAGCCTGTTTTTTGCCCCCTTCAAAAAAATTGTCAGCCAAGAATTTTATATCCTACCTAACTAAGCTTCTTAATTGAAGGAGAGATAGTCTTTCCCAGACAAGCAAATACTAAGCGAATTTATCACCACTAGATTGGTCCTATAAGACATGCTCAAGGAAGTTCCAAACATGTAAACAAGAGGATGCTACTCATCATCATAAAAAGACCTGTAAGTATAAAGATCACAGATTTTACAAAGCAATTACACAATTGAAACTCCAAGGCAACTAGCTAACAACATTATGTCAGGAACAACACCTCACATATCAATACTAACCTTAAACATAAATAGCCTAAATGTTCCACTTAAATCCTGCAGCTAAAAACATGCTTAACAGTGAGAGACTGAATGTTTCCCCTTCAGATGAGGTAGAAGACAAGGAAGTCCACTCTTGCCATTTCTATTCAACATTTTACTGTAGTTTTTGCCAGAGTAATTAGGCAAGAGGAAAAAAAGTTACCCAAATGGACAGAAAGAAGTAAAATTATCTCCATTCTCAGATAACATGATCTTGTACAGAGAAAACTTAAGAAATCTGCATCAAAACTATTGAGTTAGTAAATAAGTTCAGCAAAGTTGTGGGATACATAATCAACACACAAAAGGACAATGCATTTCCATACACTAACAATGTACAATGTGAAAATGAAGTTAAGAAAAACAATAGGATGAATAAATTTAACAATGAAGTACAAGACTTGTATACTGAATACTATAAAACATCATTGAAGAAAATTAAAACCTAAATAAATGTAAAGACACATTACGTTATTATATCAAAAGACTTAACATTGTTTATGTGATGTTTTAGTCAGCTAGGTCAGCCATAAGAAAATACCATACACTTGATGTCTAAAACAACAGAAATTTATTTCTCACAGATCTGGAGTCTTGGAAGTCCAAATTCAAGGGGCTGGCATAACAGGTTTCATTTGAGATCTCATCTGTTGGCTTGTAGGTGACTGCCATTTCACTGTGTACTCTCATGATCTTTCAATTGTCCACGCAAGAGGAAAATTAGTGATTTCTCTCTTCCTTTACTTATAGGACTATTAATCAGACCAAATTAGGGCTCCCATCCTTATGACTTCATTTAACCTTAATTACCTCCTTATAGACCCTATCTCCAAATAGGGGTCACATTGGGGATTAGGACTTCAACATGTGAATGGGGAGAGGTACAATTCTGTCCATAGCAGATGGCAATACTTCCTAATGAATCTACAAATTCAGTGCAGTTCACCTCAAATTTCCAGTTGCCTTTTTAAACTTGTTTATTTATTTTATTTTATCTTGCAGAAATTGGGAAATTGACTCAAAACTGGGTTTTGGAAATTAAAGGGACACAGAGTAGCCAAAAAAATCTTGAATAAAGAATAAGTCATAGAGGACTCACAGTTTTTTTTTATTTTAAAACACTAAAGGCTTGAATGATCAAGACAGCATAAGTGTAATATTGGCATAATAGACATATACATACACAATACAGGTAGGTCAGTGGAACAAAATTGAGAGTTCAGAAATAAATCCTCACATTCAGGGTCAATTGATTTCCAACAAGCATGTCATGACAATTTACCAAGAAATAATAATATTTTTAACAATATTTCTGGTTTCTTAAGGGAAATAAAAAATGTTCTAAAGTTAGGCATGATGGTTACACAATTGTGTGAATATATTAAATTACTAAATTGTACACTTTAAAAGAATGGATTTTAAGGTATGTGAATTTTGTCATTAAACTGTTATAGAAAGGAAGAACGAAAGATACAAAGAAAGCTATTAGTGAGATAAACAGTTCCAGACAGTGTTAAATGTTTGATGTACTCTATCGGAAATTTAATACAAAGGGAGTCATCCTGGCTTTGTACTTTTTCAAAATATGTGTTCAAATATATTTGTGCTTCTTTGGAGAAGGCCAACTGCTGGGCTCAGCCACAATGTTCTTACATTTTCATTTTTTGGAATGATAGCAAAATATAGGAAAAGTCTTCCGAGGTTATTTGCAATCAATTTAGTGCAATAAAAACCATGACATCTAAGTAATGCTGGGAGAGAAAAGAAAACAGGAAAGATTGCATGAATAATAGAAAAAGTTTGCATCAATGAACTGGAAATATAAAAGGAGGTGATGAGTGGTTAGCAGAAGGGTTGGAATTAGTATTTTATTTTATTTTATTTTATTTATTTTATTTTATTTTATTTTATTTATTATTTTGAGACAGAGTCTCACTCTGTCACCAGGCTGGAGTGCAGTCACGCGATCTTGGCTCACTGCAACCTCCGTCTCTCAGGTTCAAGCAATTCTCCTTCCTTAGCCTGCCGAGTAGCTGGAATTACAGGCATATGCCACCTCACCCAGCTAATGTTTGTATTTTTGGTTGAGATGGGGCTTCACCATGTTGGTCAGCCTGGTATTTTAGTGCTGATGCCATTTCTGGCTGGGCTGTATCCTAGATACGAGCATGATAGTGGGTTTCTGATATAAAGTGAAGAGAAGGCCACAGGGGATGAGAAAGCCAATGAACCAAGACACTGGGATTTGGAATGGGTTGTCCTATGGCTGCTGCTGATGACAATGTTGGCAGGAGTTGAAATGCAGTAGACAGGTGCTAACAGTTTTTAAAAATAAAGAAGTGACTGTGATGAGTTGTACAGATGGCAGCATGGGGAGGAAAGCATGGCAATAAGTTCTGAGAGAGGCTGAAATAGCAGGTCATTTTGGAGGATTGTGGAGTGGGCAATGCTTCAAAGATATGGCAGGTAAATTTTAAAAAGAACACTATGTCACCTTAAGATCCTGAGATGAAAGGGCAAATGAAGAGAGAAAGATTAAATGAGCCTTGGGATAAGACCAGGTTTCTCACAAAACAGTCAAGACAATGCTATGAGAAGGCGAATAGATGTAAGAGAGTTTGCAGATTGTAAAGCATGATTTCTGATAAATATATCAAGATATTTCTGATGAAAGAGGATGCAGTGGAGAATATCCAAAGGGTTGTGTGTGGGCTGTAGGATGAAGCAGCACTATAGAAGATAAGCATGTGGATGATGACGGGTGGCCACTGAGATTTGCACCTGAAGTATACAGAAGGTAAGGCATAATGCAATCATTCAGAAAATATCAACAGCAAAGCGAAACTCTGGTAAAAGAAGATGAGGTTTGAAAAATGTTCAGTCAATTTAAATTCAGGTAGGTTATTGGTAGTTGACAAAAGCTTTTGAAATGTACTCTTAAGATGTGAAATTATCCAAAATATATTGAGGAAAAGGTCATACTCAAATGAGTGTTCATTTACTGCATATATAACTAATTCTGGCCCAGCTGACTATTTGATAACTGGTGGTTTGCTTTGCAGCAGGCTCTCCTTCCTCTGCTCCTGGGGCAGAGTGAGGAGTAACATCCTGAGGCAGAGGAGAGAGGTCATCCTCCTCGCCCCCTGTTATCCTCACCATAATTATGTTAAATTATAGTTAAATGATTCCTCTTATTAGCATCAATTGAAATTAATTATTCTGATATATTCTGCTCGTATCTGAGATGGCGAGAGCAGAGAATGTTGAGTTTTCCTATTGGCATCACCCTGAGAAACATTCATAAAGTAATTTTCTGTATCTTCATTAATATTAAGTGCAGACAAAAGAAGCAAAGGACACACAAGTAATACATTTTAAATACCTGACACATGCATAGAAACATGTAGGCTTCTTTCTGAAAGGATGTGAAGGTTTCTTTCTTGTCAATGAGTGAAGCATTCCTGATAGTTTTGTTGTTGACACTATCATGAAGAGTTTGCTAGGTCTATTATCTGGTAGAAAAAATTGAATTGTTTTGAAGCATGAGATTATAATGCCTGACTTTACTTGTTTTAAATACATTGAAATAAATGTACTTTTTCTCTGTTGAAAATTTAAATTTCAGTGTTTCTGGAGCAAGGATTGTAGATCACCTACAAAACTTATTTTCCTGACTTCTGATAACCCCTCTGAGAGAACACAGGAGCAGAGCCAGGACAAGACGCTGTGATTTCTCATGGATCTGGAAATGTATTATGTTAATATTTTCCTAACAGGCAAAATGTCTGTAGTTTTGTGAAAAAGAAACTTGCAGAAGTGGAAGTGAGTAGATTTTAAAAGAACAGTTTTCAACATTATAAACTTGAATGACAAATGCTGTTGTAGTGTTGTTGAAAGAAACTCTTTTAGATATGAATATGAGCCCCCATTTGCCTCATCCACACAAAAAATAGATATGTATTTTTTTTTTTGAGACGGTATCTTGTTCTGTCGCCAGGCTGGAGTGAAGTGGCACGATCTCAGCTCACTGCAAGCTCCACCTCCCAGGTTCATGCCATTCTCCTGCCTCAGCCTCCCGAGTAGCTGGGACTATAGATGCCTGCCACCACGCCCGGCTAATTTTTTGTATTTTTTAGTAGAGACAGGGTTTCACCATGTTAGCCAGGATGGTCTCGATCTCCTAACCTTGTGATCCACCAGCGTCGGCCTCCCAAAGTGCTGGGATTACAGGCATGAGCCACTGCGCCCGGCCAAAAATAGATATGTATTTGTTTTTACATAAACCAATATTTGGAATTTGAACCTTGGGCCACCTCCCATGCATTTCTGCTGTATCCAAGGATAACATGTTAGAAATAAAGGAACAACACGGGAGGAAAAGGGCCAGAGGCTCTCAGCTCAGAGGACCGTATTACTGGAGGGTAAGTGTGAGCTGTGATTTCATAGCTAAAGATCACCCGGGATGAGGAAACTTAGCAGCCTGGGAGCCCTTGTGTTCTCAGAGTGTCTCTGACAAGCAATCCTTGACAGCAAGTCTGCACTTCCAACAAATGGTAACCACTGTTTAGGTGATGAATGGCAGCGGTAGTTTCTTGGGTCTGCCAAGAACAAGGTGAGCCAGCTGTTCTCTGGCATCACAAGTCAGAAGGAATCTTGTGCAAAGTAAAAAACAATTTGCATGCTTTTGCTTTTTACTTCCCTGGGATTTCTTTTTGCTAGTCTCATGACCACCATTTTTTCTTACTGCAAGAAGTAAACAAAAAGAAATAGAAGTTATTAGAGAACTCGAGGGGCTTATGAAAATCTCAGTAACTCAAGTATGGTGGGAAATTTTCTTTTGAATCTTTTCTATAATTTTGTGTTCAGTTTGTATATACACCCAAACACACACAGACGCACACACACACACACACACACACACACACAATACAGTTGACCCTTGAACAATGCAGGGGTTAGCAGCATTGATGCCCCCTCCCACATAGTCAAAACTTGGTGTATAACTTTTGACTCCCCAAAATTTTAACTACCAATTGCCTACTGTTTATCAGAATCCTTACTGATAACATAACCACTTAACACATACTTTGTATGTGTTTATATATATATATATACATACTGTATTATTATAATAAAGTAAGCTAGAGAAAGTAGAATATTATTAAGAGAATCGTAAGAGAAAATATACTTACTATTCATTAACTGCAAGTGAATCATCATAAAATTTTTCTCCCTCATCGTCTTCACAGTGAGTAGATTGAGAAGGAGCAGGGAGAGGAGGGGTTGGCCTCACTGTCTCAGGGGTGGCAGAGACGGAAGAGGTGGAGGAGGTGGCAAGGGAGGTGGGAGAAGCAGGCATACTTGGTGTATATTTTATTTTTAAAATTCCATGTATAAGCGGACCCACACAGTTCAATACCTTGTTGTTCAAGGGTCAACAGTATATATAATTGTTTAAACAATTTCTTGTTTCTTGGGCCTCACAGCTCTCAATAATAAAGATCACAATCAAATGATTACTTTACTCCAGCTTCTTCCAAAGCTCCTGGAATTCCAAATCCAGTCGTCCTTCCTTCACTTCCCTGGTTGATATTCACATTTGCCCTTTATGAAGGTCTCATTCTTCAATTACATTATCTTGCTGAGTTTTCAGGAAAACAAATGTGAGGCAATGCAAGACGGATTATATCTCTTGGGCCATGGCATCTCCTGGGCTTTAAACGAAATCCTGTAAGTCACCACTTTGATCTGTGATACTAGAGAAACACTGGTTATTTTTCTCCAAGTGGACAGTAGCTTAAGAAGAGCATACGTTTTAATCAACTCTGGATGCACTGAGAACTCCGTGTGACACTGCTCTTCCCCAGTGTGAGGGGGAACACAGGACCCTTCACAGTCTGGCTCTAACCTTTCTACCTCAGCCATTTCCACTCTATCCACATACCCAATATTTCTCTCCCGCAACTTTTTCCACCATTCCCTAGTCATATCAGGGTCTTTGTTTACACTGTTTCTGGTCTTTCTGCCTAGGCTGCCTTCTGTCCCAATCTTCATTCAATGACCTCCCACACATCATTTTTATGCAAAAATCCTTCCTAGATTCTCTTTAGGGAAAACCAGCTAGGCAGAATATCCTTGTCACCAAATAAATGCATTTTTATTCATTAGATGTCCCTGGGAAACAGCTTTTGAGGCAGAGATTTAGATGCAAGAGGTTTCATGGATAGTGTTTTCCGGATGCTTATAAGGAAAAGATAAAGCTCAGCTGGGCAGGTGATGAAGTTGAGCTGTGATGGAGTTGCAGTAGAGTGCTTAGTTGATCCTAGCAGGGGTCTGGAGTTGGGATGGCTTTTCAGAGTTGTCTGGAATAGAGGCAGAGACAGGGTCTACACATCAATAATTGGATGTTGGCTGCCCCGGGGGAGAAGCATGGTTTGTGTTGAGGCTGTGCTGTTTGACCAAGAAGCATAAGCAGGGGCCACACCGGGAGCATCAGCTGAAAATATTCCTGGCAGAAATTGTGGAAGGCAACACACTACAGTCCATTCATGTGTTCTTTGGTTCCATATTCTCCCTCTTGGAAAATGGATTTCCATTACCAGATGAATTCTATTGAGATGAAGTATGCTCATTACTCTACTCCCATTCATCTTCTTGAAGTCATTTTCTGCCACTACTCTCACCATGTTCTATTGACGTCATCTTCAATGAGCATTTCTGCTGGGTACAATGGATTACCTGGCTGAGTGATCCAAATCCTTATCATCAAGGGATCCGCAGCACCGGTCATGATGTCTTCTCAGAGTGTGGCGGCTTCGCCTTTTCACTTATTGGCAAACATGGACCCAAGGGTACAAAAGCTGTTCTCATGTTCTTCTCAGGCTTCATATGTAATACCAGCTCTGTGTTCTCCTATGACAAGGTCTACTATGCCTGCCAGGGTGGGGACCTGTGTCCTTGCCTGCTCTTAACATGAAGAGCCTGAAGTGACTAAGTGGAAGCCAGAAATTTGAGTGCAGAGGGACTCTTCCTGTGTGTCCTAGGAGAAGCCATCTCCATCCTGGGACAAACCTGCACTGCTCATGTCTTGAGAGTGTTATTCATAAAGAGGACTATTGCTTGTATTTCTGAGGAAACCACAAAGTGCGGAGGGGAACATATTGTTATAATGAGAGCTACTCCAAAAGTGGATGGTAATTTCCTCTAATATCTATCAGGTACTATTTAAGTTCATAGCAAATTTTAAATACATTTCTTTCTCTTCATGCGGTACTCTTTGATGACATTGAGAGTATCTGACTAAATCTTCTACTCCTGTTTCATTTTCTCTTTTTGACTATGGCAACTAGAGATAGAGTTTGTTTATGCTGGTGCTGGAAAAAAGTGGAGATGACTAGGACACACAATTTCTTCTCTTTTTGTTGTTCTTCAGGTATCTTATGCATTAGGGGAGAAATTTGAACCATATAATTCTCCATATAATTTTTGCTATATATGCATAGAAAAATATAAATAAAACTAAAAGTTAGGCTTAAAATTTTCATTGATAGAATAATTGATTTTAGTCATACTAAAATCATACATTTTTATATTATAGAGCAATGAGTAGATATATCATTTGGGAATCAACTATCTTACTGTGCATAGGAAAATAGAAATATGGTTTTAATGAAAGTGGGAAAAACCTTGGTGTTAAACTGAAATTAGAGTTATTGGTATAAACACATTCTTTGAATATTAACTCCTTTTTGTCAGACTTTGTACATCATGGCAGACAAATGCTCTTGGTACAATAGTTAGAAAAACTGACTAAAATGCATAAATCACATTGTAATGACATTGCATATCTGAAAACAAAGATTTGGTAAATTAAAATTTGGTAATTTGGTAATATCTGGCTGTTTTTCCTTTGTAGGCACTTTCCTATATTTTGGGTAAGGACAGCTTTGCTTGTATAAGACAGAAAGATTCTACTGGGAGAAAGAGAAATCAGTAGAGAGTTTTCATTCATAAGGGATCGGAACTAAAAAATTCAAAACCTGCAGGGATTCAACACTATGGCTAGTTTTCCCTGGAACACTTGCTGAGAATAGGGGCTGCACAGGAGTCCAGGGAGCTAGAAACCGAAAACTTCTACATGTCCAAGTGAACCAAACCTGCCCCATATCAATTTCTCATTGGAATGAGATGATCAATCCCTCATCCTATCTATTTAGCACAGGAAAGGGGTGTGAGTTATATTATCTGGGATCTCCAGAGTTCTTCTATGTATTAGGTATGGTATACAATCAAAGGTTCTAGAAATATGTAGAGGCAGAACAATTAGGCAAAAAACAAAAGCAAAACAAAAAAGCTGTGGAGAAACTGAATTTACAGACAACAAACAGACAGACCACCCAAGACACTAGAACTCTGACCAACACCTCTGCAGCAGCCAGCCCAGGGTGCCAACTCAGAAACCCTGCAGCAGCCAGTTTAGGAAATCAACCACCAAAAACTATAGCTATCAGCTCCAAATGGTCAGGACTTGGTCAATGACTGCCAACTTCCCTAATTTTTATCCCTGCTTCTATCTTAGGACCATCCAGGGAAAGCCAAATATGGATCTCTAGCCAATCACATAGAATGCTCCTTCAAGTTAGCCACCTCCAGCTTCCCCAGGCCAATAGCCTCATCACAACACATATTTTCTACTATAAAACTTTCCACTTTCTTTGCCTACCTGTGAGTCTCTGTCAAAACAGAGTGAGTCTGGCTGCCTTCCTTCCTGTAGCAATCTCTGCATTAACAAGTTTCTCTTTTCTCATTTAGGTGGTCTTCTTTTATTTCTATTCCAATAATGTTACAATAAAATAATTGATAAATGAAAACATAATAAAGATTAATACAAATATAAAAGGGCAAAAAAGGAGGACTAAAGAAGCAAACAACATATGGAACAAAGGAAAAGCAAGTAAGTATACAATATGTAGAGCAGTAATTACATTAAATATAACTTAACTGGACAAAAAAATCTAATTCAAAATCAAAACCTTGTCAGAGAGGGTTTTAAAAAGGAGGGACCCACCAATATGTTAATTACAAGTTAAATATAATTACATTTTGAACAAAGGGCACACAACTTGATTGAGTATAAAATGGTAGAAAAATATATATTATGCAAAACGAAGCAGAAGAAATATGATGTGGAGAAATTAATAGCAGTTAAAATATAATGTATGTTTAATAGAAGTGAAAGTATTGCTAGAAATAAAGAATTATAATTCATGATGAAAAAGAATCTAACATAAATACATAATGCCTCTAGATTTGTATGCATCTGATATGGTTTGGCTCTGTGACCCTACCCAAATCTCATCTGGAATTGTAATCCCCATGTATTGGGGGAGGGGCCTGGTAGGAGGTGTTTGGATCATGGGGATGGTTTCCCGTTTGCTGTTCTTGTGATAATGCATGAGTTCTCATGAGAGCTGATGATTTTAAAAGTGTTCGGCTGTTCCCTCTTCACTCTCACTCTCTCCTGCTGCCATGTAAGATGTGCCTTTCTTCCTCTTCACCTTCTACCATGATTGTACACTTCCTGAGGTCTCTCCAGCCATAAAGAATTGTGAGTCAAGTAAACCTCTTTTGTTTATAATTACCCAGTCTCAGGTAGTATCTCTACAGCAGTGTGAAAACAAACCAATACAGCATCTAATAATATATCTTCAAACATATATAAAACAAAAATTGTCAAGAAAAGCAGAAATAGACAAGTGTATTTGGAGATTTTAACATACCTTTCACCATAACTGATGTAACATACAGAGAAAATTATCATAAAGACATAAATTGAGCAATGTGATTAACTGCCTGGACCTAATTGACATATGTTAGTTATTGTAAAACACTGTAAAATGCACATTTATTCCAAGTGCAGTTGGGAGATTTACCTGAGCCATAAAACAGGCAACAAATTTCAGATGATTTAATTCACAATGAGAATGTTTTTTGGCCAGAGTTGCATTAAACTGGAAATCAACAGAAAGTAAACTAAAATAGCTCCAAATTTGGAAATTAAGCACACCAATTCTAAATAGGTTGTGAACAACAAAAAGTACTCACGACAAAAATCTTCTA
The DNA here is from genome assembly GCF_000001405.40 of Homo sapiens. Classification (NCBI taxonomy): domain Eukaryota; kingdom Metazoa; phylum Chordata; class Mammalia; order Primates; family Hominidae; genus Homo; species Homo sapiens. The sequence goes on from NC_000008.11 coordinate 49,325,000, forward strand.
AATTTTGAACAGGATTAAAAAAGGATGCATGAAAACACATAGGGCATTGCCAAAGTAGGGATTAAAGGGAATATACTGCTTTTAATGCGTATATTAAAAAGAAAAAGTTGCAAATTAGTGATCAAAACTTCAAGTCATATTATTCTCTATGTCAAAAAGTAAGAAAAAAAGAGCAAAAAAAAAAAAAAAATCCCCAAAACAGAAAAAAGGAAGTTGTAGAGATAAGTATGTAAATAGAAGAAAGATAAAACATTTAAATAGAGAAAATCAACAAAGCTGAAGGTTTGTTTGTAAATTATCAGTAACATTGATGAACAACTATTGAGACTAATCAAAGATAAAAAGCAAAAGCAGAAATGACCAATATCAGAATCATATATGATCATCATAACATATCCTACAGACATGAAGAAGATTTACAGAGATACTATGAATAATTTTACATAAATTTGATGATGTAGATAAAAATTTTAAATCTATGAATTAAAACATATACCTGAAACAAGAAAAAAATGAACAATTTAAATTTTCCTATGACAAATAAAGAAATTTAATTTGAAAAATAAAGTTTTCTTTAATGGAACTATTAGACCCAGAATGGAAATATTAGACCCAGATGTTTTCACTGGTGAATTCTTTAAAAATTTAAGAAAGAAATAGCTCTTATGTACAAAAATCTGTCCAAAATCTAGAAATAATTACTTATTAATTTTCTTCATGTCAACATAATTTTTATTTCAAATCCAAAAATTATTGTAAGTAAATGAGAAAGGAAAATTGAGAGTGAGGGAGAGAGGGAAGAAGGAAGAAAGACAGAAAGGCAAATATGTTATTAGGAACATAATGTTTAAAAAATCAAACAACAGCAATACATAAAAATGATAGTACACACTAATCAAGAGTTGTTTATTCAAGAAATACAAAGTTGGTTGAACAGTTACAATACAAATTTTGCTTAACAGAATACTGATTAATGAAATTTGCCTCATTAAAAACATAATCATCTCAATAAATGAAGAAAAACTAGATAAAATGAAATGCCCATTAATAACAAAGACTTTAATAATCTAAGAAATGAAAGGAATTTTAAAAATCCGACTAAGAATATCATTAAGCACATTCGCAATGAACCTGCAGCAAAAGTGTTTAATGGTTGCAGTGGAGCCTGTGAACTTTCTTTCTTACCAAACAGTAGTGGGTAGGTGTTAGTTGTAGAAAGTGATTTATTATTTGCCTGATATTTATAAAGATATAATTTATTTCCATTCTGGGAGAGTATATCCATTTTGAACTGAATGTTTCTCAGATGCGAATAGCTACACATGGTATCTCAGGAAAGGTTAATTACTAATACATTTTAGCTCCACTTAAGTTCATTTAACATCGAATTAGAAAGACAGACTTCCTATTATGGAGAGCGCGGCCATTGGACACATACTCTACTAAGAGCTCCACAATCATTTTCAGGTAGAAATGAGAGTTGTGCAATTTTTGTTGAAGTGATGGTGAGGGGAAGAATGCCAGCTGTTAATGAGGGGCATCATTAGCTGATGTTGTAATCCAGTAAATATGGATGCTTCTCTAATCAAAGTCTGATATTGCCTTCCATTCACATTCTCCACTTGTACCATAGCATCATCAAACATCTTTATTATTTGTTTTACAGTCAATTTCCCCTGATAGCATATGAAGTTTTTGAGGGCAGAAACTTCACGGCAACTAGTTTAATGCTTGGCACCAAATAGGAGCTCAATGGAAATTGCTGAAATAATTGCAAACCTGTTGTTACTATGAGTCACACTGAAGAGAACTGTTTTCATGTATAGGAATCTTTTCTATCAAACCACAAAACCATGATAAACATACATTATTCTAATCATATGATCTTTGTCCCATATAGGAGATTACTTAGAAAACTTACTGCACTCTTTAAATATATAGGAAAGTATTATCATGCCACTTTTTAGCCATAAGTTTGGCTAATAGACAAAGATGATAGACACCTCATTCCAAAGAGATATCTGACACCACCATCAGCACTTCCAAGGGTAGGGAGATAAAACTGATTTGTACTTTTAGCCTACAGCAGGAGGAGAAAGTCTGAGGTAAGAAGAGACAGCTGTGGGTCTTCTGTGATTCCATATATCCAAGGAAAAGGGATGGAGAACCCTGTTACTTTAGCTGCTTAGTGAAAGGGGCAGTAGTTGGTCCACTTCTGACAGCTTTTGCAAGGTGGATGCCATGATAGATTTCTAACCTATACCTGAGAAAAGACCAACAGGCTCTGCTGATGGCAGGCCTAGGAGAGGTGACTGTGTGAGGATCTGTTATCCTGTTGTCAGGAAGATGGCTGGGGCAAAGAATAAATAGGAAGGTTCTGTAGATCAGTGTGACTCGTGTAGGCTGCTTGCATGAGAACTGGATGCAGTTACTCAGATTCCATCCAGGTGGTCCACCAGACTTGTGGAAAAGGACAGTTCACAGGGAATAAAGCAAGAGCCCAATAAGAGGAGGTTGACAACCCTTGTTATTTTCTCCCTGGACACAGAGGAAGACTACATTTCCTTGAATGCTTTGCAAATATGTCTGACTTTTGAAAAATAAATTTATTTATGTTTTATTGTACATATTTAAGATATACAACATGATGTTTTGATATACATAGTGAAGTGATTACTATAGCCAACTAAATTAACATGTTATCAGCTCACATAGTTTTCCCTTCCCTTTTTGCTTGTGGTAAGAGTATGTAAAAATCTACCCTCCTACAATATTATGATCTATAATCCTTACATTTTAGATTAGATATCTAGACTTATGTATCCAATAAAACTGCATCTTTCTACCCTTTGACCTATATCTCTCCATTTTCTCCATCCCCAACCCCTAGTAAACACATTCTTCCCTCAGTTTTTATGTATTTTATTATATTTTAGAGTCCACATACAAGTGAGATCATGCAGTATTTTTTTTTCCGCCTCTGGCTAAATTCACTTAGCATAATGTCCTCTAATTTCATCCCTTTTGTTGCAAATGGCAGGATTTCCACATATGTATGCATGTTATATATGTATACAGATGTGTATATATGTATACACACATATGCATATATATGTACATATATGTATACACATTTTATATATGTAGACACATTATATACATATGTGTATATACACATATGCATGTATGTGTACTAGTTTTATGTGTATATATACATACATATGTGTAGATATGTGTATCTATACATATATACACATAAATATGCACACTTGTTTTTATATTTTATTTTATTTTTTGAGAGAGAGTCTCACTCTGTCACTCAGGCTGGAGAGCTGTTGTCACAATCTCAGCTTACTAAAACCTCTGCTTCCTGGGTTCAAGTGATTCTCCTGCCTCAGGCTCCTGAGTAGCTGGGATTACAGGTGCGTGCCACCACGCCCAGCTTAATTTTTGTATTTTTAGTAGAGTCAAGGTTTCACCGTGTTGGCCAGGCTGGTCTCAAACTCCTGACGTCAGGTGATTCATCTGATTCAGCCTCCCAAAGTGCTGGGATTACAGGAGTAAGCCACCTTACCTGGCCTATTTATATGTGTACACACACACACACACACACACACACACACACACACATATATGTATTTTTTTTCCTATACATTCACCCATCGATGGACACTTAGGTTGTTTCTATATCTTGGCTACTGTGAATATGCTGCAATGAACTTGGGAATGCAGATAGAATACGTTCTGCTCAATGAAAGATGGACAGAAATGATAAAGACTACTTTAAGATTTAGCTTTTAAAATATCCCATAAATTATTCTCCAGTCAGGGCCTTGAAGGGCAGATGCTTTAGGTGATGTTCTCACATAGGTGCCTGGGCACCTGAGTTGAATGTGTGGAGCAGAGGCTGTTAATGTTCACATCTGATTTTTACACAATCTCATAAAACTTGTGTGTGCGTGTGTGTGAGTGTGTGTGTTAAGCCACTGTGATTTGGTGTTTTTACAGAACATGACATCGGTGATCAGCTGGAAGAGAGAGAATTCTTCTAACTAGGGAGTTCCAAGTGAGAGAACCCTAGTAATTTTGGTGGCAGAGAGAATGAGTGTTGAAAATTCCATGAAATAATGCTAGGAGGGAATGTTAACACGAGACTAATGAGATCTGCAGATGCAAATGGAGAATTTTATTCTCTAAAAGCAACCTGCAGATTGTGGAGATACAACTTCTGGTGCAAAATAAAAGTGTGCTCTGAGTTGGGGTGGTGGTCAGAGAGTTAGAGGTTATAAAGGCAAAAACCTTGCAGGGCAGGAAAGAGGAGTCAGCGGTGTAAGGACAGGGCCTGGATTAGATGGTCTTTAAACCTCAATCACCAGTGTTTCGTAATTGGCTACTTCTAGGTGTCTGTTGGTGGTCAGCTCAGAAATTTCCAGATGCAGTTGTTTCCAGAAACTCTTTTCTGATTGGTTGCTGAAAAACAGGTTCTTCAACACTTTATAAGAACACAGAGAGTGTGGCCACTCCCTCACCCTTCCATGGCCTCTTGGGTCTGCTTTTGACTTTCGAGCCATAGGGAGTTCATATTTTCTACAACTGGGGGCATGATTTGACCAGAGTGAATCTTTTTTTCATGTTTGTGAGTCCCAAAGAGCCTGGTCGCAGCCCCTTACGAATATAGCAGGAGGGACAAAAACACTTCCATCATACCTCACACCTTTAGCAGGGTGTGAGGCAGAGGGTGGCTCTGAATGTAGTTTAAAGTTATGACCACGTTTAGTTAGATATATTTGTTACTGCATGGAGGGCCTTTCAGTATTTCTAAGGAACAAGAAATAATAGGGTTCATTATTTATTGCGATTATTGCATATCAGTCCACAGTGTTTTCCCCTTAGAATCTGATGCTCTAGTCATAAAAATTGATGACATATTTAAGGACTGAGAGAAAGACAACAGGTGAGATATAGGAGGGTCACATTAGGCACTGAGAGAGTCTTCTGTAACCCTAGTCCCCATTTGCAACTCTGTAAAGTATTATCTCAGGGCACCCACACACTGACTTAGCTCTTATACACCAAACCTACAACATGGGGGCTAGCTACATAGAATTGATAGCTCAATCCAGTCATGCAGAGACATTACTTACCCTAAAATGTACATGCCCTGAATTTTATCCAGGGTCAAGAGAAGAGCTCTTTAAAGAGAATATATTGGATGTGAGGGTGATCTGGCTGCAACATCTGTCACCCCATTGATCGCCAGGGTTGTTTCAGCTGATCTGGCTGGCTAGGCAGGTGTCCCCTTCCTCCCTCACTGCTCCACGTGTGTCCCTCATGAAGCTGTGCGCTTGGTCGAAGAGGATGACCATCCCCAATAGAGGAGGACTGGTCTTCTGTCCAGGGCATACAAGTTACTGAGCTCCCCTGATAGAAACGCCAAACAAGCTCCCAAGAGAATATATTTAAGTGAACAGTTAGGGACAAAAATAAAGTTGCTTAATGATTTCACTGCATGGGTTTGGTTGCTCACTATAGCAATTAGCAGTAATTTCTGTTGTTGCTTTGCAAATATCATTATATCTAGAAGACAAAGAATTCACAACATTTGAAGAAAAGTATTCAGTTGTTCAATATAAAAAAGCATATTTTCCATTTTAGTAAAGCCTCTAAAACAAATGCTAATTTATTAAAATTGAGTGTATTTTTCTTTGAAATCTTTTGGATTTCATTTACTTATGTTGTCTATAGGATTGTGGTAGCCCAGTCATATTGGAAAATAATTAGAACATTGATGCCATTAAAATCTGAGGTAGTGTTTTTCCTTTGAAGTGGTGGTAATGATAAATATCACCTTATTCCACAAGCTTTTCAACTGAAACTGTAGAAGACTCTAATAAAGCTGGCAATTTTTCAAAAAAGTGAAAATGTTATGAAATGTAATGTCAGGTGTTTTATTTCTTCACAGCACTTTCATCTTCTCCCTGCAACCATCAAGTCTTCATAGCACACCTCATGGGTAAGGACACTTATTACTGTTATTTGTTTTTATTTTATGTCTTCAAAGTTATTCTAGCAAAGTGTTGCTGGGACTAAGACTTCGCTACCATTGCTGTCATATTAAAAATAGAAAAAACATTTTAGAGAGCAAATATTTTTGAAAAATATAGATTACAATGCACCAATTTCCTGAGTATTTGCAGCCTAATATTAATATTTTTGATATTTGTTTTTGTCCTGTATTAGACTTCTCTAAATGTTTATAATAGTAATAACTTCCATTTACTGGGTTCTTCATATGTCAGGAATGAGCCTAGGAGCTTTGCGTACATAGTAATATAAAAAGTCAGAGAGCTCAAGTATCTTTCCTAACCGTGAATTTTGATGGAACTGGGACTTGTATGGAACTCTTACTTCAAGGCTACTATTTCCTGTTCAATATTCACCTCACTTTGATGGTCAAGCTTAAGAATTTTACACCATCAATTAATTAACTTACTTTAGATGTCTAAAAAAATTATTTGAAGAGTATTGCTCTATAGTAATTTATGTGATAAACTTACAAAAAATTAACTCGTGCTACAACTCAGTTACTATAAGTCAGTTGTGTAGAGAAAACATAGGTTCCTCAGGAGGCATTATATGTTTAATATCAATAAGAAAAGGGAAAAGAATGATGAGGAGGAAGAGAAAAGTTTATATAGTTCCACCCAGTAAACTTATTGGAATAAATATAATTCACACTTTTGTTTTAAGAGATTCAGCTCTGACTCTTGAATCTCTGCCTTGTCTGTCATCCAACCCACTTCCTTGTGAAAATTCCTCTTCCCCTTCTCCAAATAGGGACTTCAGTCCATGCCACAGGGAATCACATGACTGGTCTCAGGTCTGGGTTCCGTGTCTTGGATCCTAACTGAGCTATTGATTCCATGTAGCAAGTCCCCAGGTCATAGTTGAGTACAGGAGGTAAATCAGCAGGTGGGTGCCCAGAGATAATACTTTAGAGAGTTGTAAATAGGGACTAGGGATCCAGAAGATTCTCTCATTGCTTAATGTGACCCTCCTATATCTAACCTATTGTCCTCCTCTGTGTCCTTGAATATGTCATCATTTTTCATTACTAGATTATCAGGTTCTAAAGAGAAAAAACTCATGCATTGCTATGCAATAATCACTTTCTCACAACATCTAGTACAAAAATTTCTGATGCTAATAATACTTACATGTGTTTTAAAGTGATTATATAAACCTAGAGAATACGGCTTGAATATCTCACTCTTTGATGCTGTTGTTGTTATTCCTATAAACTGATTTTAATTTCTCGAATATGTCACATTACCTAACAACCTAACAGGAGCTGAAAAAAAAAAAGAGGTAGAGCTGCTAGACAATATCAGTGCCTCTATTTTTTAATACAGTTTTTAATAAGTACTGTCTTTTCCTCTTCTGTCTTCTGAACCAACAGATTTTGGGCTCTTCGGATTTATATCATGCATCAGGACTACAGGATTGAAACTTGCATCATTTAAATTATAGTCAATACCTATTAGGTAAGATTATAGAATGTAGTCTGTTAGGTGTCATAACCTATCCTATCAAGCCAAAGCCTGACTTCATGCTAGGCCACAAGCTTGAAGGAAAGAAGGTTGATTCTCCTGAAGAAGGTGGACATACAGCCATATTGCATAGGGATAATGAGGTTTATAATGACAATAAGAATTGATATAATATCATTGATTATAAACACAGTTTGCTTTGTGGTGCTGAGGTGAGAAAGTTGTAACTTGTCAATATGTGTTTACTAAAAGATTAGTTTGAATGGAGAAAATTAACTGAATTGGAGAATAATGAGAAATAAAGACTGAGAGGCCAAAACAAGAAATATTTAACAGATGAACTTTAACACAAAGCAACAGACTTTATACATTCTTTTATTACCTAAAAAGAAAAAACTACCAAATGGTAAGATATTTTTAGAGAACAGTGCAGATAAATATTATTTTAATGGGAACTAAAACAATTCTCCCTCCCCTCCCCTCCCTCTCTCCCTCACTCCTTCCCTCCCTTCCTTCCTTTTTTCAATTCAATTATTGGCAATTTTTTGTCAAGATGCTGTTAACATGCTGCATATAATTCTAGGTGCTTGGAATAAGATGTTAAAAAGTCAGATTTGGTCTTTGGCATCTGTATAGTGAATGATTAACTTTACCCAAAGAGATATCTGGCTTATGTCCAGGCTCCTGGGCGGTAACTTGTAGCCCTTGAAATTTCCTGAGATAGAAGTTTCACCCTATTCACAGTGGATCCCTCAGATCATACTTAATCATTCATGCTAACAAGATGACTCTGGGTGACACCAACCAGAAAGACCAATCATGTGATTAAAAACCATGGAATACTATGCAGCCATAAAAAATGATGAGTTCATGTCCTTTGTAGGGACATGGATGAAATTGGAAATCATCATTCTCAGTAAACTATCGCAAGATCAAAAAACCAAACACCGCATATTCTCACTCATAGGTGGGAACTGAACAATGAGATCACATGGACACAGGAAGGGGAATATCACACTCTGGGGACTGTTGTGGGGTGGGGGGAGGGGGGAGGGATAGCATTGGGAGATATACCTAATGCTAGATGACGAGTTAGTGGGTGCAGCGCACCAGCATGGCACATGTATACGTATGTAACTAACCTGCACAATGTGCACATGTACCCTAAAACTTAAAGTACAATAAAAAAAAAAGATTAAAAAAAAAAAAAGTTGAGGCTTTGGAACAGATGAAATTGACTGGCCTTTGGGGGCTGGGGGACTGGAAATGGAGTTTATCCTTGTGGACAGGTCCTGAGTCATCTATGCCTATGCAACGAAGCCCTAGTGGAAGCTCTGGAGCCTGGGCAGCCTGGGGGCTCCTGTGTGCAGTCCTCTGAGTGCTGCTGCGCATCCACACTGGGAGGGGAGGGCACCCTGAAGACACAGGAGCATGGCAAGGGAAACCCCCGGCCCCAGATTCCACCCTATGCATCCGTTCTTTTGCCTGGTTCTGATTTATATTCTTATGGGACGATCAAATCTTAACTGTAGGTGTTGAGGCTCAGAAGACGATACCCCAAAGTACGGCACCTTGGCGTGCTGAACACTTTGAACTGAAGGAGACCAGAAGGGCCTCAGAAGCAAGTCTGTCTGACCTCCCATTGCCCTGTATTTCGTTGGTCTTTCTCCCCCAAAGCAAAAGATAGAAATTATCCAAGGCAGGTCATAGAAACTAGAACTCCTCTTCCCCAAGGTGAGTCATAAAAAAAAGTCATAAAAAAGCCCAGAAAAATCACTTTCTTCTTTCTCTCTTGAAGACCATCATGCAGAGAAGTTCTGCCCCATATCTGGGTGGGGAGGAAGAAAAGCTATACACAGAGACCAAGAAGACTCTGACCATACAAGCCTTGTTGGGTTTCCCCTTCCGTCTATTACTGTGAGGTCATACCCTTTTGTCCAATCACATTTCCACATGACTTTCCATTCTTTGTTGAATCTAAGCATATAAATAGATACTTTCCCCTGGATCTTTAGGTCTCCATTTCTCACAGTTCCCTCATCATGTATAACTTTGATTAAAGAAATTTGTTATGCTTTTTCTTTTGTTAACCTGTCTTTTGTTACAGGGCTGTTGGCTGTGACCTTTATGGTGGGTGAGGAAAGGTGTCATACCTTTCTGCCCCTACATAAATACAGCACTTTCCTGGGCTCTGGGTCATTCTAGAGAAGTATCAATCATCATGGACTCTGTGGGGCCCCCATAGCTGCAGCCAGTTAGTCAGAAGTGAGGGTGGCCCCAGGGAACCCTGTACCTACAGCTAATATCAGAAGAATTGCCCACGCCTGGCAGCCTGGAGGACTGTCCCTTAACCTTGAGTTGGGCTAGCTCTGGATACTTCACAGGCCTTTTAAAGTAGTGAAAAACAGAGAGAATTGGTGCAACAATGACAGGATGTTGGGTGAAACTGTGAAGTGATCACACAATGATGAATGCAACTCTTGTATCCTCTGCTAAATGTTTTTTCCTCTTTTGAGTAGACTATTTATCCCCTTTCTCTATTTCATGTAACTTCAGGCCATAAATAAATCTACCTTGCCCAAGCATTTTAATGAATTTTTGGAACCAACAGCCACAATTAGATGTGGTTTAGCTTTTCTCAAATACTACCTTTACTTTGGAATAATTTGCCTTTGTGGTTTGTCAGGGTTCTACAGTATAATATTTATTAATATTCTTTTGTCTTGGCTTGAAATAGTTGCTAGCTTATTATAAGGTTAATGAATTGAATTAATAAATAGTGAATTGCAAATATGCAATGTTTTGATAAAATTTTATTTTAAAGTTTAATTCTTAAAGAAAACTCCAGTATGATAAATTCAATTAATTTTACATCTGATAACAGATAGCTTAGAAGATGTGTAGTTTTTTTTTTGAGATGGAGTCTCGCTCTGTCTCCCAGCCTGGAGTGCAGTGGTGCTATCTGGGCTCACTGCAAGCTCCACCTCCCGAGTTCAAGCCATTCTCCTGTCTCAGCCTCCCAAGTAGCTGGGACTACAGGCGCCTGCCACCACCACCGGCTAATTTTTTGTATTTTTAGTAGAGATGGGGTTTCACCATGTTAGCCAGGAGAAGATGCTTAATTTTTAAACGAAATGTTAACTAATTTTTGATGTCTTTTGTGGTCTCATTCTGTTAAAATGAAATGATTTGTTTATTGCCTTAACATGATGTTTTAAATGCAATGAAATTTATAGAAAAGGTAAAACTTTGAAGCTGCTGTAGGGATGAAGGGAAAAGTCCCACTTCACCCTCTGAAGGGTCACAGAAAATTAACTGACAAAAGGCAGTTTCATAGGAGAAAAGGCATCTAAATTTATTTGATCATAGTATTATGTGACATGAGAGCCTTCAGAATGAAGACCCCCACATACAGGGGAAACTGCGCATTTTTATGCTTAGGTTCAACAGAGTATAGATAGCTGTATGGAAACCTGATGAGATGAAAAGGTAGGATCTAATGCAGATAGACTGAGTGGGGACCCCTGGCAGGGTCTGTCTGTCTCGATTCTTCTTGGCCTCTCTGAGTAGCTTTCCTTCCGTCTGGGTGTGAGGCAGGTCTCTATTTGGAATGGGAGTCCTATGACCCACAATCAAACAAGGTAGGTCAGACAATTTTTTAAGGCCAGTTTTTACACAGAATTGGTAGGGAAAGCTAGAGTAATTTTTAGGTTTCATGGCTGGCTTTGGGGAAAAGAGGCTTAGGTTTCCATGACCCACCTTGAAGAAGAGAATTTCTCCTTTCTAGGACTGGCCTCAGGGGAGAATGAGGGGCCGGACACAGGATGGCAGGAAAGAAACCTCAGCTGCTGAGGTTGCTTTTGAGGCCTTCATTTTGAGGTATTCTGGGCCCCAGCACTGCCTAAGAGGAATACTCTTCAGAAGGTATGTGCACCTGTATCATTCCAACCAAGATGGGGCTGTTGAAATAGTGAAACCTGCCATCGAGTCACTGTCAAGGTGGAAGAGCTCCATTGCTATTAAAGAACAAAACCAAGCAGATATATGAGCCCCACATTGGGCTCAGCTCTATGGATTAGTTTGTTAATATATTCTTTGCAGGACCACAGTGTGCAATCTGAATATACAGCAAGAACAGCCGTGTTTGGATAATACGTGCCATTTCACCATGATTATTTATTTATTTTTGAGCTAAATAGAGGAATCACACTAAACTATTCTTGGCATAAATCAGGTTTGTACTCAATTATAATTCAAAACAGTTTCACCTAAAATATTTTACATTTTATGCAAAAATACCTTTCTATTGCATCTCAGTTCATCTGCTAATGGTGCTTTCTTTATGCTAGATCAACACACTTTTTCAAGAGCTGAAAAGTTAACTGTTTGAAATAGTCACTTAGTGAATTTCTGAGATTTGGCATACTTTCCCCTTTGTTGGCCTCTTTTCTCCTCCTGTACTTATGATGGTGGGCGGGACAGGGACAATCGGACAGGCTAACAATTAACATTAAAAAATAAATTATGAGAACTTTGTTTACAACAAAATTTACTTAGGTGTGGCATTGTCATTTGACTTCACAGACTCTGTTGTCTACCAAATAAACATTGCAAATGATTCTGCTTACCAAATTTTTCTGTGACTTTCTCATTGTAATAGCTCCCAAAACCTTAATTTGTTCGTCTAAAATATGCTAAATTGTATTTCAGTATGTTCATAAAATTTAGTATTTCTTATAGTTAATACTTTTTAAAATTTCTTCTGTATTAAGTAAAAAACACCTTGTTATTTCATTTTTCCTCATGGATCGTAATCTTTTTTTTTTTTTTTTTTTTTTTTTTGAGACAGAGTCTCACTCTGTCACCCAAGCTGGAGTGCAGTGGCACGATCTCAGGTTCAAGCTGTTCTCCTGCCTCAGCCTCCTGAGTAGCTGGGACTACAGGTGCCCACCACCATGCCCGGCTAATTTTTGTATTTTTAGTAGAGACCATATTGGCCAGGCTGGTCTTGATCTCCTGACCTTGTGATCTGCCCCCATCGGCCTCCCCAAGTGCTGGGATTACAGGCGTGAGCCACCACACCCAGCTGTAATCTTTAGTGAGCTAGTAAAATGGTTTGCCTAAGATTAAAGCCCTGGTTTGTACCATTTTCCATTCTTCATGATGTAAATACTCCCACTAGGCAGATTTCAAACTGTATATGTAACATCACTGAAGCTGAGAGGTTGAGAAGAGATGCTAACAATCACCTTTCTTAAGCCTCTTCAAGCTGGTTCCAGCACATCACTCATCGAAATTTAGTTACCATAGAACCAGGGATGGCAGAACTTCTAAGTTGCAATTGAAAAAATATATACAGAAATACAGGCATCTTGGATAAATGTTAACCTTTCCTAAATCAATACCTTATATCTGGATAGTAAGACAGGGTAAATGCTAATTTGGTGACTGTATCATTAAATAATCTATGTTAAATTAATTTTCGAGATGAAAGTAATTAAAAACAACCTTAAAGGAGAAGCCCTTCTAGAAGCTTTTATTAGCCACTAATGAGAAACATTATGATCCTGGGAATTAACATATAAATCCAGAATAAAATGCAGATTCATATTGTAAATCTTTTTTATTCTTATTTTCTGGGAATTTGAGAATAAAATTACCAGTTGTGAGAAAATGTAAATTGAAATACATTAAAAAGGTTATTGAAGGCTGCAATTTAACACTATTAAATACAAAGCATGAAGAAATTGGCCATTATTATATTTCTTGTCAGTCAACGAAAAAAAACCTGTTGGTAGGCAGATTATATCTGACAAATGTGTAGGGACTTTTGTTTTATTTATGCTTAGATCCTGAAATAATCATTGCATAATCCATCAGAAAATAAAGCTTTTTATATTAATAAGGAATAAAAACTGGGGACAAATGCCATTATGAATGATATTTATTTATTAATTTTCAATAAATAATTAATTAATTGATTATGGTAATACTGTGTTTTAGAACCATGCGGAGGAGAGGTTTCTAGTTTTAGGACTAGGTAAACTTGAATTCAAATGCCTTTTCTTCCATTTCATAGGCAGACAACTACCTGATAACTCCGAGTTTGTTTCCTCATCTGTGAAATGGAAATAATGTCTTCCATTTGTGGAGTTATTTTAAGGATTATAGAGAGTGTTTGTAGAGCTCTTGGACAAAGAGGAATAAAATAGAGGTTCAGTTAACAGCAGCTCATAATAATAATGTAGGTGGTTAGAGCTGGAATAAGCAATTTGAAGTGAAAATAAAATAAAATCACTGAAACCATTGCTTGTCACCTCTTTGACAACGTATTTGTTCATTAATAAATGGCTGATCTTTTAAATGATTTGTATCTTTAATTGAAATACAATATTTGATTTTTCTTATCTCTATAAAACAAAAAAAGAGAAGAAGAATTCTTTGGAAAGGCTTAGAATGTCAGCTTTTTTTTTTTTTTTTTTTTTTTTGAAATACGCACTACAGAAAGAACAACACCTTGAACTTACCCGGGAAACTTCCGCAGACTTTATTAAAAAGAACTTGGTGGAAATAAATACCACAAGTCAAAGAGATGTAACGACCCCATGGTTCTGTAAGCGATCTGAGTATTTTACAATCTCCCCTGAGCTGTGAAGTACTCTTTTGCTTTGGTGTTATGAAATGTGAAGAATATTTTATGCAAACACTTTGGTCATCTTTTTATAAAAGTAATCCCATTCTGCTAGGCTGTCCAGGAATCTGACTTTTGCTTATAATATTGCCTATAAGGAAAAATGAATCCATATAATCATATTTGCAATGTGCATTTAATGGCATATAATCCCTTTTAAACTTGAGCACTATGCATATTTGTTATCTATTGCTATAATAACCTGAAAACATGGATTAAAACAATAGATTATTATTACTTAATAGTTCATATTGGTAAAGAATGTGTTTAGCTACGTGCTTCATGGCTTAATGAGATTCCAGACAAGGTGTCAGTTGGAGTTTCAGCCATCTGAAGTCTTGAAAGGGGCTGACAGATCTGCTTCCAAACTCATTCATTGGTTTCTGACAGGCTCAGACCCTCCCTAGCTGTTGGCTAGAGATACCAATTCCTTCTCACACGGACTTCTCCATAAAGTTGCTCTCATTATGCCAGCTTGCTTCTCCTTTTGTAAGGTATTACAGAAAGTAAGAAAATGAGCATGGAGAGAAATTCAAGGCAAAAGCCACAGCGTTTTGATAACCTAACAAAATCAGTGGCATCCCAGCATTTCTGCCATTTTGTATTTTTCAGTAAAGAGTCACTAGATCCAGCCTACACTGAAGTGGTAACGATTACACAAGGGTATGGATTCCGGGAGACAGAACACTGTGGCCCATCTCAGAGTGTGCCTGCCACAGGCACTGGCTATAATGATAAAATAGAACATTGAAGAAGGAATGAGTGTACTGGATGTCTGTCTTTTATCCTACTAGTTTTATTTTCATACAACTCTTGGAAATTGAACTGTGGAGTCTAATACAGTTCAAAACTCAACTGCCAACTTGATTTCAATCTCCTGTTGCCTTACTCCCAAAGCAGGCTGGACGTGTCCAGGGCCTTCAGGTGAGGAGATAGGTGGGGTTTTCTTTCACTCCTTACTCCCTTATTATCTTAAGTCTAGCCCACCCATCCACTCACTCCTCTGTTACGTGAGTTAAATTGGGAGCTATAAACAGTCATAGTAATAGTAAAAGTTTTAGACTTATAATTTTAATTAAAAGCATATTCCCAAGATTATAGGCCTCAGTAAAAGAATTCCCTTTTCTCATTAGGGGCACACTGGCATTGAATCTATTTCTGTCTCCTTATTAAGTGACTCCCAGAATCCCAGGAATTGTCATACCATTATTTACAACATCTCCTTAAACCAAATTTGCTACTCTTTCACCCATAGATGGTTAGCAAACATTCTGCTTTTGTTATTTTCCTAAAAGCATATAATAAATCTTTTATGGAAGGAAAGGAAAAAGAACAGAAAAAAAGGAAGGCTATAACAAGCAAAAGACTTTCATTATTTGAACTACTTTCCAGTGGCATATTTCTCTTTCTTCATATACATTTTCATTCTGGGGAAATAATGTCTTATATTCATAGAAGGCAGACTAAAGGCCCACAAGATGCCATATGTACTCCATGGATATTGTGAATATAAATAAATTAACCCAGATGAGCTCGATATGATCACAGAGCTCCTAAAGGCAGGAGAAAAAGGGCATTTTAAGAACCAGAAAGGCCCCACATACAAAGCCTGGCTTGATGATGATGAAGAGGCCACATGGAAAGTGTGGAAAGAAACTGAACTTTGCCACAACTAAGGATTTTAGAAGAGGACCCCACACCTCAGATAAGAACAGCAGTCCACACTGACACCTTGGTTTCAGCCCCACGTAGCCCTGGGAAGAGAATCCAGCCATGCCATACAGGACGTTAGACCTAGAGTAATGTAAGCTAATGAATGGGTATTGTTTTAAGATAGTAAGTAAGTGAGATTTTGTTAGGGGACCAATAGGAAAACCTATACCATGTGTTTGTTTGTTTTACTTGGATGGCTAAATATATTTATAACAGAGAGTGTGCATAGATTGAGGGGTATAGACCCTGGCTCTTTCTATGGGTGAAAATGTGAGATCGAGATAGATACTCCTTTGACCCTGGGCAGTGGTTTGCACCTGTGCATGCACAAGAATCATAATCACTTTATAATCAATTCTGCATTGATTGGCCTGTTCCATTGAGAAAATTATCCACTAAATATTTTTTTTTCACTTGACGTAGTTGTATCATGTAATACAGCAACGATCTTAGGCTTATTTCCTGTTTTCCTCTGCCCATACCTGGCTCACCTAATGTGTCATAATCCCCCATCATATTAAGTGTGTGTTTAAATACTTAACATCATTTCCTGTTTATATATTTGTTCCTACAGATCCCTTAACCTCCTGATCATACTCTTGAAAGTTAAGAGATGTGTATTTTACTTACATTGATACCCAGCACTTTGCATGGGCGACTGTCATGTGTTCAATGCTTATTTAATGAATGGTTTATTTAATGAATAATTGCATCTTAGTTTTATAAGCTATAAAGTGTGCTTTTTTATTTACTATCTCTCTATATAAATGCATTTACTTTTTTCTTTTTCAGTTCCTAATTTTGAGAAACCATGTTTTCTCTAGACCAGCTGTTTCAAGTTATTTCTATTTCAAATAGGAAATTTTAAAGTTTCAATGTCAGGAATAATAAATCTAGGTTATTATAATAAAAAACATTAGAAAAGTATTCACTTTTGATACAACGTGTGGCTTTATAAAGTTTTATCTTATAAGATTTGCACATTTAATAGATGACAGATCTTTAGAAAATAGTAAATGAAATGAAATGATATAAATTTTTGTCAAAGAAAATAATTCTATAATGACAAGAGAGATAATTAAAATAACTAGTAAATGTTCCTAATTTATGCTGTTTAGCAGATGTAGTTCTAATAAAAAGAATTAGATATATGCAATTAGCACTAAAATTCTAACTTGTTTTCAGAATATTAAAATAATTGCCAAGAGTTTATAGATATGTCAAGTCATGATGGCTTTTCTCTAATTGTGAAATTGTAATACATATGTCATTGCAACGTACATTTTGCATACAAACATAAAGCACGTGTAGTTGACATGGAAAACAGGCTTAACAGCTGCTAGAGTAAAATTAATGTCTTCAAATTCTCAGAAGATGAATATTTTCCTCTTGTGCACTCATAAAATCTGATGGAGTTTAAGATCTCAGTTCTGGTAACTAATTTGGACAGATGTCGGAAAAAAGGATCTAAGAGACATAATTGGGTGATGTCACAGAGCATAGCAATAAGCAGATGTGAAAGTCAGAGTGTCCTCCTGCCACCCCCCCGGTAAGAAATACCATGGCTATCGGTGCCTGCACGGGAGAACTTGCCATGTGTGAATCATGTGGACAACTGCTTACTCAAATGCTGCTAAAATTGTATGCATCATAGTTGCATGGAGAAATGCTAAAACACCTTTCTTATGAATATGTATATATACCCATGTAATTATGTATGATATAAAATGATGTGTCATATACAACAAGCATAGAATACATTCTATTGGTGTTACCATGCTTTATGTTCATCACTTTATGTATCCACACCCTTGTCCACATGACACTGCAGTTCCCCCATAGAAGATGATGTGTACTTCTCAGTTCCATAGATGTTTGATTGATCTTTGTCCAATGGGATATCAGCAGATGTGATGGGAGGAAAGGACCAGTTTACACTTGCCATCAACTTGGGAACATACATCAGGTAACCCAAGGTCTAAGGTATGAGAGAGAAAGGTGGAGGCACTCTATACCCAAGCTGCAGCTTGGAGCCAAGCCCAGGCAATCCAATCCTAGGTCAGACAACCCCCAGCCAGCACAGCTGTGTGAGCAAGAATAAATGATTGTTGACTGGGGCAATGAGCTTTGGGGTGACCCGTTACACGGTATTGTTATGATAACAAGGGACACAATGCCTTCCGAAGTAATTAAACACATGCACAGAAGGATCCCCGAATATTCAATACATATCCAGTTAACTTTAATATAGTTAAAAAATGTTGATAAGGATGATTTCCTCCAAGTATTTCCACTGTGGCTGTATTAAAGCCAATAGAAAGACTTATTGGCAGTAACTGAAACCTCAAATGTTCATTTTCCTTTCTGTATGCCATTCTGTTTTTCCCTTAGGTGAAAACGCAAAAACAATTCTGGGAACAGCATAGGAAGAAAAACACAGACACAATCTAGATTTTCTGACAAGTTCCCCATTATATTGAAAGCAAAATGCTGTATTTTACAGTCTTGTCACACTATGTAGTTACTAGCAAGTACTCTGGACAACATTCAAGCAAAGAAAGCAGGAAAAGGCACATTGAACCACCTACTGTGAGGACTGCAGGAGTAGAAAACTCTCAGCTGTAGATATTGAAGGAAGAAAGCCTAGTTTAAGGGCTGGAAAGAGTTTTCATTTTGTTTTGTGATGTTGTAGATTATACTCTTGCAGGTGTTGTGAACACACCTACACGTTTTACTAGTTCTGTCTGTTATGATTTTGTAAGTCAAATATTTCTCTTCCAAAGTGCTTCATTATTTGTATTTTATTTCCCATGTATTAATCACACAACTCAGATAAACAAATATAGCAAATCCAGTCAGATCAAATAAATCTAGTTTGCTAAAGACAAAGCATATGGGATCTTTGACCCTAAAGAAGTTAATAACATTCTGTTATTTCATGCCTCAAAAAGACAAGAAATGAGAACCCCGCGGCCAAAGTATTAGGTAAAGGTTTATATTCATAGTTGTTGCTACGTGCAAAAAAGAAAAAGGAAATTCTAAAATGAAAATGAGGTCATTATTAATAAATAATAATTAATTAACCATTAGTAGCCACTGGTGCAACCTCATAAGCTAATGTTCTTCTAAAACTTCACTTTGTTTCTTTGCCTGTTCTTTCATAATTGCACAGGATATTTAGTTTACGTTTTTCCTTGTATGATAACTTTTACCCACACTTGTGCAATAGGGTGTATATGCATTTAAAAATGAAACAGCTGAAGTTGTTCTGAAAATGTCAGTAAATGTTTTGCATTTGTACATACATTTAAAGACAAACTTGGAACTAACAGAAAGCCTTTTATTTATTTTTTGTTGTTGTGACTTATTTATTTTTCTTTTTTGATTGTTTGCTAATACCATATATTTAATTAAAAAACTCAATTTAAATGTGTGACTGTTCTAAGAATTTATAACTATACTGTATCAGTTTTTTCATGACTGAAATTAGCTTTGTTGTTTTCAAGTTAAAAAATTAATACACGGTCATGTAAAACATTTAGGATAATATTAAGATCCCAGGAGTAGAAATAGAAACAACTCCTAATGTTTTGATATAGAGCCTTATAAAGGACATCAGTTTGGAACTTAATTTTAATGTGCTGTGTACTTTTTAAATGGATCGCTGTACCTAGGAAAAATAGTAAAATAGGCCAGGTTTATTGATTTGTCTCAAGTCCTTTTCCCTTCATTTCTGGGATAGGCAGCCCCGCCCTCTTTTAAAGGCATATCATATCCTTCCTACAGATGTCACAGGCCCTCCTCTGAGGGATTTTGACGTGTTAATGCCATAGCTTTTCTGTGTTCCACCCCCTTTCTCTTTTTTATAGTGATTTCTAATCAACAGGTTTTTTAAGAGTGCTTTTTTATGCTTCTGTTTGTTAATATAAGAAATTATGATTTGTAATAATTATACAAATCAGAATATACACAATTCGTATAATTGTGGTAACATGTCAATATATATAAGATAGTGTTGCTCATTTACATGTTAAGTTTCTTACTTCGGTTGAGACCTTACTGAATCTAGGAAGTAAGTGGTAATATGGGGTAGGAACTGAAAAGTTTTTCTACAAAAACAAAATATAGCAGAGAGTGACTGTTGTTATACAAATGCATTTTGTTGATTAAAAGCCTTTACATTAAAAGAAAATCTAGCACAGATAATTTTTTCATAATTTTTACAGCATTGTTTTGGTGAAAATGACCATAGAAAACCTGCAACTCTAAAAATATCCATAGTCAATAAATGTTTACTGAGTGCTAGTGAGCAATATAACACAAATGAGAGACTCCACTTTTTAGCCTGAAAGACAAACATAAATTTTATATTTTTAGAATGCCCCTCGGGAGATAAAATAAATATAAACTCAGAAGTAGACACTAATAGCTGCTCTTCCAATATCCATTCTCCCCTCCAACTTTTTAGGCAGTGCTGTGCCTTACCATAAAATGACCTTTACTGGCTTTCTTTATAGATAGGAGTTGTCCTGTGAAACAATTCAGGCCAACTGGAAATGAGTTGTTGGAGTCGGGCACGATGGCTCATGTCTGCAATCCTAGCACTTTGGGAGGCCTAAGTGGGCAGATCACCTGAGGCCAGGAGTTGGAGAGCAGCCTGCCTAACATGGCAAAACCCTGTCTCTACTAAAAATACAAAAATTAGCCGGGCATGGTGGCGGGCACCTGTAATCCCACCTACCTGGGAGTCTGAGGCAGGAGAATTGCTTGAACCAGAGGGAAGGAGGCTGCAGTGAGCCAAGATCGGGGCATTGCACTCCAGTCTGGGCAACAAGAGCGAAACTCTATCTCAAAACAAACAAACAAATAAACAAACAACAGAAAAAAAAAGAAAAAGAAGAAAGAAAAGAAAAGAAATAAGTTGTTGGGAAAGGCTTCTTGAATGCTAATGCTATTTAAAAAGGAGTAGGCTTAAATAAGGTAAAGATGTCACTGGTCCTTTGCCCTTTTCCTTCCAGGAATATGGATGTGATGGTTTGGGAGACAATTCCCCTGGGTCGGGCATTTCTGCCTGTCTTGCAAGCAAGGCTCCGACTACCATCTGTTCCAGAATATCTTTTCAAAGGCCTTTGTTAGCAAATGGCCTTGGAAGATATAGTGTCTCTCTCCAGAGTAAAGGACAAGGCCTAATCACGGAGCACAGCTCAGAGCTCAGCGCCTGTAACATAACCCTGTGCATGTGCAGGCCTCCCTCTGGGTCCACCTGCATGGGAGTCGAAGGCAACAGTGATGATACTCATGTTGCCTGCTGAGTCCTAAAGTACTTTTTCATTCACAGGAGACTTGTGACTTCTACCAGCATCTATAAAATGATGACAGGGTAAATTGTAATCTTGTAAGCAGGGTAGAAATCTCAGAGCTTCAAGTATTTTTAGCAGGTGGCTGGGGCAGAAAAGAGTTTTATAGAGATAGCATTATGATTTTGTCTACAATCCATTTTGATTTAATTTTTAATTATGAAGTGACGTAGCATTTAATTTTTTTTTTGATGTAGATAGCCAGTTCTCCCAGCACTATGTTCAAAAAGGCTGCTCTTTCTTCCATTGACCCTTGTTAAAAATCAGTTGACATTACATGAAAAAGTTTATTTCAGGACTCTCAATTCTATTCCATTGATCTATATGGTCATCCTAAGAGTACCATATTTCTTGATTACTTTTGTTTTATAGTAAGTTTTTAAACACAAAGGCATATGCCCTCCAACTTTTGTTCTTTTTGTTCAAGATTGTTCTAGTTATTTTGAATCCCGTAGATTTCCAAATAAATTTTAAAATAAATGTCATTTTTCTGCCAAAAAGGTCGCTGGAATTTTGATAGGGATTATGTTGAATCTGTACATCAATGTGGGATGCAATGACATCTTAAAAATATTGTGATCCAATCCATGAACATGTGATATCTTTCTATTTATTTGTCTTCTTTAATTTTTTTCAACATTTTGTTGTTTTCAGTTTAAAAATCTTATGTTTATTTCTTAAAATTTATTCCTAAGTATATTTTTGATATTACTTAAGTGAAATTATTTTGTTTCATTTTTATATTTTTATGACCAGTATATGGAAATATAGTTTACTTTACTTTTACATACTAATTTTATGGTATTTTTTATTTGTGGATTCCTTAGAATTTTCTGTACATAAGATCCTATCATCTGCAAATAAAATATGGCTTTTTCCTTTTCAATTAATACATCTTTTGTATCCTTTTCTTGCCTAATTGCCCTGGTTAGATTCACCAGTACAGTGGTGAATAGAAGTGGCCAAAGCAATAATTCTTGGCTTATTGCTGATCTTAGGGAGTAAATATTCTGTGGATTACAATTAGGTAAAATGTTAGTTATGGGTTTTTCACAGATGTTATCAGGTGAAGAAATTTCCTTCTATTCTTTGTTTCTATCATGAAAGAAGGTTGGATTTTACAAATATTCTTTCTAAATATTGAGATTATCATGTGGTTTTGTCCTTTATTCTATTAATAGAGAATGCTTCATGTATGTATTTTTATAATAAAGCAATCTTACATTCTTGTGATAAATCCAGTTTTTCATGGTGTATCCTTTTTTACATGTTGCTTTGTTTTGTTAGCATTTTATTGAGGATACAGTTGTCTATATTTTTAAGGGATTCTGGTCTGTGTACCTTTTCTTTTCCTGTGGTGTCTTTATCTAAATGTTTAAAGAAGAATTAACATAAATCCTTCACAAACTTTTGCAAGAAGATAAAGGGATTTAACACTGCCAAACACATTCTATGAGGCCACAGAATAAGATGCCAAAACTAGACAAATCATCACATATGAAAAACATTTTTTCATTGATTTTTTCCCACTGTTTTCTAGTCTCTGTTTTGTTGTTTTAATGCTAAGCTTTATTTCCTTCCTTCTGCTTGCTTTGGGCTTAGTTTGCTATTCTTTGACTATTTCTTAAGGTGAAAGTTTAGGCTGTTGATTCGAGAATATGAGGCTATTGATTTCAGTTAAATATGGCAGGTTTTCATTATACATGCATACGTAAGCCCTTATTTAGCAGTATTCCATAAATATGTTTGTTGTGTGTTCAATTTTCATTCATATAAAAGCATTTTCTAATTTCCATTATGATTTTTTTTCATTGATGTGTTAGTTACTTGGAAGTGGAAGTACTTTAATTCATTGCTTAATTTCACTATATCTGTAAATTTCCCAAACTTTCTCCTACTGTAAATAGACATATTGGAGTGCCAAGGTACTAGAGAAGCACATGCGAGATAACAGGCAGCAGTTTATGTTTCCTATTCAATCACATCTACATAAATGCATTCTTTGTTTGATATAACAAATTATAATAAAAATTATAATTTAATAATACAAATATGGGATTCTAAATTAGGTCACTTAAGCCTAAGGACATTTAGGAGGGTCAAAACCATCACAGTGTATTCTCACAAGGACTGAATGGAAGAAAAATATTTAAAAAATAGTACCATAAATATTTTCATAAATCAAAATGAGCTTTGCATAATTATTTCTGTTCTGTCTTTACAGGGAACTGTTTGCATAGCCATAGATTATTTTAAAAATAAGGCAACATAAAGGGGATGAAATATTCTGTTCCTATTTAAAAATATATTTTTGTTATTGCTAGAAAGTATAAACTGAAGGCAAAATGATACTTCACTGGTGGTATCTGGGAGAACACAGACGATCTAATGAAGAAGAGTTCGAGAGCTTCGGCAACCCACATATGACCATCTCCACCTGCAGAACTTCATAAAAAGATATATTGAAAATATGAATAAAAGATAAACAACACATCAAACCTTTTGAGAGTATTTAGCGATTGGACAGCTACATGATTGATAAATTTATTGCAATGGTAATGACAGGAAAGAAAGAACATTAATCAATATATAATTCCTTTAAGCTCAAATCTTTTATATAGCTTTCTCCCCAGGATTTTTTTTGAATACAATCAAAGCCAGTTTCAAAAACTGCAGCAAACATATTGTGTGCTGTGCTTCACCAATAACATTACACAGCCCCTTTTGCTGGTGTCATCTGATATCTAAGCATGATGTGTTGCAGTTTGTCTACTCCATCTCATTTCTACCATCATTTCTCTTCAGTGTCTACCACGTGGTAGGCACTATTCTAGGTACAGAATTCTGAGCACATATAGTTAGGATTTGAGTGGTTTTTGGGGTTTGAGTTAGTGAGTGGAATTTGGTAATAAATAATTTTAAATGTAGGGACGAAGTGCAGCTGAAAGGAATTTTTTCTCTTTACATCTCTCTTTCTTTGGAATGCTTAGCTCTCATCACATGCCAGGCCCCACGTGCCAGCCCTGCTGTCTCAAGCTTTGCCGGAGGTTGGACATTGTCATCTGTGCCACTGCTCTGGAAGCAGGGAAGCAGAGCAGCCACAGGTCCCAGCATCAGAAGGGCTTCTACAGAGGAATCTATGGACTCTTCTTGAACTTGGTATATATCCTTAGCCAGCACAAGGGCATAGAATAACAATTTCAATCTGATTAATTCTAGATGTTGTTTTACTCCTAAACCTTAGGGTATGATAATATAAAGAAGATTGAATGAGAGGTTTTCATTTGTACAACATGAAATCTGATAATTCAGGAATGATGTTGTAAATAATGTAGACATTTTTCAAACTGGCAGTTGGTGAAAAGAAAGTTAATAGCAAACCAAAAAATAATAAAGAATGAAATGAAAGACTGAATAAATATGAAAATAATTTGCTTTCTGGTAGTTTCTTTAAAAGATCCCCAAATTGCAAGAATCTTACTGTATTAAATTTCATCACATTTTGTTCTTTTGAGTAAATATCAAGAGTTTTCAGAGGTCCTTTGAGACTGAAGTAAAGGTAATGATTAGTTTGATTAATGTCACTAATTTATATAAAAATGCAAATATTGTAATACTCCATAACACTCTCCAAAAGATTTTGCTTCGCTTTCATTATGTAACCACTCTTATTTTCAATTTTCTTTTGCCCCATCAAGCACGTTTTTCTCTCAATATGTTATGTTATCACTCTAAATATAATTTTGTTTTATAAAAGTTTCACTGGGATTATTTTGACAACACATTCACATTTTTTCATTCAATCCCTATTTCCATTGTGGTAATTGTCATGAGACTTGCATTTCTGGAGAGGAAGAGTGGAAAGCACTCTATTATTACAGCCCAGAAAGAGTGTTGAAGTCACTTTTTCCAGAGAAGCACAGCACAAATACACGGATTGCTCATGTTAAAGGGCAAAGCCTCAGCACATTGGGCACCTTCATAATTTTGTGATAATGTAAGTATTGTTAAATATGTTTACTGGGGCTTTGTAACTGAATGTTGCCCTCAAAGTCTAGACAGAATTCATGTGTGGCAAAAGCAGTAGAGCAGAAATCTTAAAAATATTGTTTATAAGGCATATTTGTATCTAGTTACAGTGAGTATAACATACAGTATTACTCTTGAAATGCCACTTTCTTAAAGGCATGTCCATAAAATTACTCCAAAAATATAATATCAGGTGTTAAAACATCAGAGGATATTACCTTAGTTTCTTGTGCCAATGTAGCATTGTGAACTTGAAATTTTGCAGTGTTCAAAATATAGGAAATGCAAAGAGAATCTATCAATCTTCAACAAGTTAATTCTAAACTGACATTGATATAATAGTTTCTAAAAAAAAAATTCTGAAGTTTTTTTTCTTTACATTTGGGAAGATAAAGTTTTCAGAAGAACATTTCATATCCATGAAGAGAAGTATTTGCCCTGCAGAAATTAGACTAATTTTCATTTTAACTGGTCTCATATTCCATTCATTCTAAAGGGTTTCACACATATGTCTCAATATTGTACTAATTATGTTACATTTAACATTTGCAGTTCTCCTAAAAAAACTACATGGTTTTCTAAATAAAAATTACTTTTTTTCTAATGAGGAATCTTTGAATGTTTGAGATATTCAACCCAGATATTAGGTCTCCTAGTGAGTCATAGGATAGGACAGATTCTTGAAAGCCACCACAGAGGTCTTTTCTCATTTTGTTTTAACTTTTTATCTATGGAAATGTTAAAGCTAACACAGAATTACAAAGAATATATAATGAATTCTCATGTGCTCGACATATAACTTTAACAATTGTGTACATTTGACCAATTTTGTTTCATTTACATACCAACTACATTTTAAAAATATTTTGGCTCTGGAATTTTTTTTTAACTCACAGATGATGTCATTTTATTGATAAATAAGTATTCATCTATAAATACATTGTTTTTACTGAAACTAAGTTATTTTTTCTATAAAATTTTACATATTCTTGATCTGCCCCATTTCATCTCCATGATGTCATTGTTCATGTTCCTTATACTCTACATTTTTTTGTAAATTTGTTGATAAATCTAGAGGCTTAATCATATGTAGTTCTGATAGTTAAAAGAAATTATTTTATAGGTGATCCTTATTCATTGCCTCCATCCATTTTTATTTTCCACTGGGGGCTGAAAAAACAAGGTATCCAAATGCAATCACTCCTTCTGCATGCACTAGCTGGAATTCTTCTATAAAGAACTTCCCATCATCAACTACTTGGTTACCATGGCTACACTGCACACAGTTCTGCTGTGTCCTCCTTGCGGAGAAGGCTCCTTCTGGCCTATAAGTTGAAGTTTAAAGAGTTCTTCAGGTCTTTACATTTTTCTAAAATCTGATTCTACATTTTTTAAAAAACAACGTCAGTTTCCATTAATCCCCAGAACTTAATGTTCCAGTGAAGAAAGATCCCTCATACATATATATTTTTCTGCTTTTCTCAATTTTAATGATGCTGTTATATCAGTAAGAATTTTGTTTTCTTCCATATTCTAAACTTTTGCTAAATTCCTAACTTATTCATGAAGATCCACTGATATTTCTCGTTTGAATTCATCCTATCCTTATGATCAATATTAGATCATCACTTCTCATTTATTTGATATATTAGCTATTTATTTGCAACTGAATAAAGATTCCGAAAATGACCATGCTTTGTAGACCTCAGCACTCCTATTACACCTCTTGTCCCATGGTTTTTAATAAAAACTTGTTATATTTATTTATTTATTTGTGGGGAGAAAAAAAGCAGCAACATTTCTGAGTTACAAATTTGATGATATCACTGTTACAGTATGCTATTTACATTATTTAGTTTTTTTATTCTTTCTGAGAGCTTAGAATGTATTTATTGGAACAGAAATTTAAACATAAGACCCAAAAGACTACTGTGACAATACTTAATCTTTGAAATGTAATTTTTAAGTCTACTTATTTTGTATTAATAATTTATGAAATGTTCCATATTTTTGTGCTGTAACTTTGCACCAAGGAGAGGTTTTCAGCTTTGAACATAAAGTGATTTTCTCTAAATGTTTTTGTGGCTAGTGGTTTATTTGTCTTGCTCAGGATAAACTGGAGATTTGGTAGTGCTAAGATTCATTTCAGGACAGATAAGAAGGATAATCATCATTAATTGAATCTGAAGAAGCAAGAAATGGGTGCAGTGGCTCCATTGCTAATGTTATAAGAGAAAATGATTCCAATATCCAAATCCAAACAAATGTCTATTTGGAGTAACCAGAAGGTAGTTAAAGGCACATTACTGGCTCAGAGGAGCTTTTTATTTCTCAAAACCACAGTCCACAGCCAAGTTCTGAAGACAGCAGAACTTCCTCTTGTCGATTAATAGATTCTTTGCAAACACCCAGATCCCACGATTTGCTTGTCCCCACGTCCACCTCCCAGTAATGGTATCCAAAGGTGAACCGAGGGAAGCCTATTGACAATGACTGAATTACAAATATCTAGTAATAATAGGGAAGGTACAGTTAAAACTGGCATAAAATTCATAAATCTTTGTGCATTAAAAATACTATTAATTGAGTTTCTATTCATGTTATTAAAACTTATAGGAATAGGGAGACTTTAAAGTCCATTAAAACTGTCATATCTAACTCCTTTTTTAAAAAATAAATAAAGTCCAAAATCTGAACATTTTTTTTCTTCTGCTTATTTTTTGAAAAGATGTCTGGATAGGCATTGCAGTGTCATTGACAGGCAGAGCTGCACCATTGACTTATTTCATGTGTTGTGATCAGCATGACCAGTCTGGACAGCTGCTTTGGTGTTTACCTTATAAAACTATAGGCAATATTTGCTTGAAGTACAAAGTAGTCTAACTTTATAGTAGCATAATTTTGTCCAGTAATTTTGTCACAAAATAGATAAATGGAATAGCAATTTAAATGCATAATATACTACTTTATGCCAATACAGTAAATCTCATCAAATTTAGGAGATTTTCTTAAACTTTTTTACCTTTCTGTATTCATTGAACAGAACTGTCTTCTACTATATAATGATGCTTGCATGTGTCTGAAATAACAGATTATCTGAAGGTGAATTGCCCAGTATTACTGCAACAATGCATAGTTTCTAGTTTCTATTATTAAAAATAGATAAGTTTAATTATTTCATTTCCATTTATACGGTTTTAATATATGATCATATATTCTGTTCAATTCATTTTAAGAAAGACCACGAGGAAAACATGACAAGAATGGAGAGGAGGGCAGACTAAAAGGAAAAAAGCTGCAGCAAAAGAGGAAGGAATGTCTCTCAAAAAAAAAAAAAAAACAAAAATTGAAATATTATGCACCATATTAAAATACAAGAAAAAGTAATACAGAATGTATACGGTGCACAATTTAACACCAAAATATTTATCATCCGAAATAAATACATGCAATTAATTAAAAAATAAAGATTAAGACACTACATATGAGTCTATTTAAAATAATAGTAATATTTAAATATTCTACGGTACAGAAAGGTAAAAAAATTTAAGAAGAGTTACTCTTTTGTTATAAACTGTTAGATAGATTCATGACTCAGAGATAACTCTGAGATTGCTTATTTACAAAATTTTAAATGCATCCTATTGTAATAATAATAAATTGCAAAAAGAATAAATTGCAAACAAATGACAATACAATCACAGATTGTAAATATGAATTATTATATGTAAAGAAAAAGAACAAAATGGACACCAGAGCAAACCTTTTAAACATTACTTATCTTAAATACACAAAGCAATGCAAAAGGCTAAGAAATGAGATACGAGTTACAACAATTTGAAAGAAAGAAACAAAACTCTCATTTTGTGCAGATGGTTTCTACCTAGAGAAACCTAGATTATGTATAACTTTTTGTTCATCTAAAATGAGTGAATATTTCTCATGAAGAAGGCTAATAGAATTTAAGAATAGATACAAAGCAAACAATTGCAATGTGATACTTTATTCAATCAAAGTATAAAACTCATGTAAAATATTAAAATTTATAAAAATTTGTGATTCACATATTTTTATAATTTACTTGTATTTTTGGTCAGACTATCTCATAATGTGAAAGAAAAATTAATCATAATGGGTTGAAACATTTCTGATGAGAATAACAATATAAAATTACATAATACTAGAAAAACTTCAAGATATTTACAAAGATAATTATGAAACTATAATGAAAGTCATATAATGAAGCATTTAGCTGAGTAGATATACCTTGTAGTGTCAGAGGTAAATACTCAATATTTTAAATATTATGTTTCTGCCAATTACTCTTTAAACTCAAACAGAATTTCAAAAAATACTTATGGATCTTGGCAGTTGTTGCCACAGCTTATCAAACCAGCCAAAAATTAAGAAAATTCAGTAAGTATGTGTCTGTTATCTCCTTACAGAAGACAAAAGCTTAAAACTGTAATAGATTGTTTTCACATTGTTATATTTACAGCACGTTAGTAGGATTAGGTAGGCTAAGATCAATAGTCTGTTGGAATTAATTCAGTTTACATTTTCCTTTTTTAGGGAGATTCAATAAGATAAAACTGGACTTTTGTAGGCTTTTTACTTACAAAAGGATCTTGGCTGTATCTCTTTAAGATGTAAATGATAGCTCCTATTTTTGTGCAGGCTTTTAAATTATTGAAATTCTGAAAGTATGATTAGAGTAGGCAGAATATTTATGAACTGTTGATGTTGATAATTATTTAAGACATCACATATTTCACAATATCTGACTTCATAAAAATAGACTAATTTTTTTGGAGCAGTTTTAGGTTCACAGCAAAATTGACCAAGAAATACAGAGGATTCCGATACATGCACTGCCCTCACAAACACACAACCTCCCTTGCCACCGACATTCCTCTCCAGGGTAGTACATTTGTTATAATCAATGAACTGACACTGATACATGATTATTACTCAAAGTCCCTGGTTTACATTAGGGTTCACTCCAGTTCTGCTATATTCTATGAGATTTGATAACTGCATAATGACATATATCCATCATTGTTGTATATCATACAGAAAAGTTTTGATGGCTTAAAAATCCCCTCTGCTCTAACTATCCATTCCTTCTCTCCCTCAGGGTTAGAACCCCTGGCACCCACTGATTCTTTTTTTGTTTTTGTTTGTTTGTTTGTTTTTCACATGTCTACATGTACCACAGTTTATTCACTTACTGAGGGACATTTTGGTTGCTTCCAAGGTTTGGCAATTATGAATTATCTGCTATAAACATCCACGTGCAGGTATTTGTGAGGAATACGTTTTCAACTCATTTGGATAAATAAACATCAAGAAGCACAATTGCTGAAATGTATGATAGAATACATTTACTTTTGTAAGAAATTTGACTAGCTTTAAAAATTTATTTTTCCATTCTTCCAGAGACTAAATTCTGACACTCAGTCAGTTGCAACTTAGTTTTTCTTGTATCTGCAATGTTTTAATAAATGGCTTGTCTAATTATAAGCATAAAAATAAAAAGGTTGCTTTTTCTGAAATTCATGTCTCATATTACATATAAAATATATCTGATACATAGCAAACATGTTAACTTTTTATCTAAGTTATTAAAATATGAGTGATTATATTTATAAAGTTAACATTGATTAAGCAAGATCTTAAAACAAAAACAGTATTAAAGAAAGAAAAATAGTTTGGAATTCCTAATAATTATAAAATTTATATCTCAATTACTATAACAAAAGGTAAATTACTAGTGAAACACTGTAAGAAGATATTTGCAAATTACTTAAGGTAAATTTGACAATTTCAGGTATGAGTTTGGATCAGTCTTGCCCCTTTTAGACAGTTTGTACTGAGAAAAGCCTGGGACAAGTACATCTGAGGATTGGAGGTAAACTCAATGGATACTTGGTTTCAGAAAAATTGCACGTAATACCTGGTGCAGCAGCTCATTTCTAAAAGGGGTCAAGGTGCTTAATTCCTCATTCTATTTGTCTAACAAAGGGAAATAAATGTCCTTTCCAGAGGAAGCCTCTGCAGTTACTTTAATTGCAATGTTCAGACTACAACAAAGGGTATGTTTGGGCCTGCAAACATGCAATAAATATAATTATAGTCAGGAATTATTGGGAAATACAGTTAAGAGAATGAACTCACAAATTATTCTGATATTGCTGTTAACAAATACCTTGAAAGTCTGTGATTTTATTGTTTAAAAAACAGAAAATAAATATGCAAAAGAAAGAATGCAGATTTTCACCAGAAAATTTGAATCTATATAAAAAATAAAATTATAAGTAGAAAATTAAAGTACCTAAAATCAAAAACTAAATGGAATAGTGAACAATAAAGCAGTTCAATGGAATGCAACTAATTTGAAGCATAGAGAGACAAAATATGAAAAAAATGAACAATGCATTAGAGATGTGGGAACAGTCAAAAGATATACCACATTTACAAGTGGACTTGTAGAAAAAAGGAGTAAGAGAAATGGGACACTAGCCACATTCAAAGAGGTGATGGTTGATGATTTTTGGAGGCTGATGAAAGGCAATAACCCACAGATTTAAGTTATCTCAATTTATATAGTAAAGTAGGGAAACAAAGAACAATTAATGATCATTTTAACAGATGTAGAAAAATCATTTTATAAAATTCAGTAACTATTCATGATAAAACATTTAGCAAACTGGAATAAAAGTGAAATTCTTTAATCTGATAGAGTATCTGTTAAATAGAACAACATATTTTCTTCATAATAAAATTTCTATTGTACTGGAAGTCTCATTTAATATTCAAAGTTATAGTCATTACAATTAGACAAATTATTTTTAAAGGCATAAGGACTTGGAAAAGAATAAATAGAATTATCATTACATGCAGAAGACCTAGTTGTGTATACAGAACATTCAAAAAATCAATAGACATACTAGTGGAATTAATAACTAAAAACAAAATCTTCATTTATGTAATCCATACAAATTTAAAAAAAAAAGAGCAGTTTTAACTTCACATCAACTCAAGAGGAAGGTATAGAGATTTCCCATATACCTTTTATCCCCACATACACACAGTTTCACCCATTATCAATATCTCCCATTAGAGAGATGCATTTTTTTTTACAATTAATGAAACTGCATTGGCACATCATACTAACCCAGAGCCCTTAGTTTACATTAGGATTCACTCTTGGTTTTGTGCATTCTATGCATATGGACAAACGCATAATGATATGTATCCATTGTTATAGTATAGTACAAAGTATTTTCATTGACCTAAGATTCCTCTGTGTTTTTCCCACATCCCCATCTCCAACTCTTGGAAACCATTGATTTTTTTTTTAATTTTTTTTTTTTTAAGATGGAGTCTCACTCTTGTTGCCCAGACTGGACTGCAATGGCGCCATCTTGGCTCACCGCAACCTCCGCCTCCCAGGTTCAAGCGATTCTCCTGCCTCAGCCTCCCAAGTACCTGGGATTACAGGCATGCGCCACCATGACCGGCTAATTTTGTATTTTTAGCAGAGACGGGGTTTCTCCGTGTTGGTCAGGCTGGTCTTGAACTCCTGACCTCAGGTGATCTGCCTGCTTGGGCCTCCCAAAGTGCTGGGATTACAGGCTTGAGCCACTGCGCCTGGCCCCACAGATCTTTTTACTCTCTCCATAGTTTTGATGTTTCTAGAATGTCATATAGTTGATATCATATAGTGCATTGCCTTTTCAGATTGGCATCTTTCACTTAGCATTATGCATTTAAGATTCCTCTTTGTGTTTTTGTGGCTTGATTCCTCATATATTTTTAGTGATGAATAATATTTCAATGTCTGGATGTACCAAAGTTTATCTGTTCCCCTAATGAAAAGACATTTTGGTTATTTCCAAGTTTTGCAATTATGACTACAGCTTCTGTAAACATTTGTGTGCAGGTAGTTTTGTGAACAAGTTTTTTGTTTTTTTTTTTGTAGATAATTTCTCAACTCCTTTGGGCAAATACTAAAGAGTACAATTGTTGTATTGTATGGTAAGAATATGTTTAGTTTTATAAGAAACTGCCAAACTATCTTCCAAAGTGGCTACAGATTTATATCTGAGTGTTTTATTTTGGAGAATGCTTATCTAAATGCTGTTGTCTTTTAATTTCAAATTCCACTTGTTCATTGCTATTTAATAATATACTAAAAATTGATTGGCTTTGTATATTGACCTTGTACCCTTCAAACTTGCTATATTTACTGATTAATTCAAGGAGTGGTTTGTTGATTCTTTCAGAATTTTTATGCAATCATGCTGTCAGAGAACAAAAATAGTTTTATTTCTTCCTTCTCAATTTGTACACATTTTGTTTTCTTTTCTTGTCTTATTGCATTAGCTATGCCTAATAGTAGGATTGTGAAAAGAAGTGGTGAAAGGGGACTTTTTTTGTCTTGTTTTCATCATAAGTATGATGTTAGACATAGATTTTTGTAGATATTCTTTATCAAGTTAAGGAAGTCCCCCTACTATTCCTAGTTTACAAGAGAAGTTTTAATAGCTTTTAAAAGCATTGTGTGTATTTTACCATATTGGTATATTTACCATTTTGGTAAAACATACATACCATAATATTTACTATTTTAACCATTTTCAAGCATACAACTCCAGGCAATAAATACCTTTACGTTACTATGCAAAAATCACCACTATCCACTTCCAAAACAATTTCATCATCTTAACATAAACTATGTGCCCATTAAAAATAAATCGCAATTACCTCTTCCCCCAGCCCCTAATTGCCACTATTCTATGTTCTGGCCTTAAAAATTTTTTGCCAATTAAAACATATAAGAGCAATAATACAGTACTCGGCCTTTTAAGACTGGCTTATTTCACTTAGATAATGTTTTATAAATTCATCCATATTATATCATGTATCAAATGTCACTCCTTGTTAAGGCTTAATAGTATTGCACTGTATGTATGTGCCACATTTGGGTATACACATGGACATCTGGATTGTTTCTACCTTTGGAGCATTGTGAATAATGATGCTACAAACACTCATGTACACATATCTGTTCAAACCCCTGCTTTCAATTATTTGGGGTGTATACTGAGAGGTGGAATTTCTGGATCAAACCTTGCAAAATTTTTAAAATTTATTGCAGAGATGGGGTCTCACTATGTTGCCCAGGCTGGTCTCAAACTCTGGGGCTCAAGTGATCCTCTCTCCTTGGCCTATGAAAGTGCTGATATTACAGGTTTATTTTTCTTTCAGCACTTTGAATATATCCCCTACCTGCCTTCTGGCCTCCAAGGTTTCTGATGAGACATCTGCTGATAATCTTATTGAAGATCCCTGTAATGTGATAAATTATTTCTCCCTTTCTGCTTTCATTTTTTTGTCTTTGGTTTTCAAAACTTTGATTATAATGTGTCTTGGTTTTTATCTCCTTTTGAATCTTATTTTGAGTTTGCTTATATTCATGTCTTTCATCATATGTGTGTTTTCGGTCATGATGTCCTAAAACATCCATTCTGCCCCTTTCTCTCTCTCTTCTTATTCTGACACTACCATACTGCATACATTGCTCTGCTTGATGGTGTCCCACTTGATGACTCTGTTCACTTTTCTTTAACCTTTTAATATTTCATCATGTTCATTGTCCTATTCTCAAGTTCACTGATTCTTGCTTCTGTCTGCTCACATTTGCTTTTGAATCCCAGAAAAGCAGGAATTCAACATTGACTCAGTTTAATTTTAGTTATTGTACTTTTCATTTCCAGAATTTATTTTTGGTTTCCTTTTTCTTTTTACTGACAACACTATTTTGTTCATATATCATAAGCTTGACTTTCTCCACACCTTCCTTTAGTTAGTTGAGCATCCTTAAGATAGTTTTAAAGTCTTTAGCAGATCTACCATCTGGTTTTCCTCAGTGAAAGTTTTTGTTTATTTCTTGGAATGGACTATACTTACTTGTCTTTTCTATGCCTTGTTATTTTTTGTTGAAAAGTGAATGCTTGAATTCTAATAATGTGGTAACTCATTTCCCCCCTTTTCTAGGTTATGCAGATTCCCTTCCCTTCCCAGGGTTTGCTGCTTTTTGCTTTTGTTTTTGTTTTAATTGTATGCTGTTTTGTGCTGAGAATTAGCCTGAGACATAAATTTAAGGTCTTCTCAGGTCTTTCTCTGAACATGAATGATCACTTTCTAATTTTCTCTCTGTGTGTGTGTGTGTGTGTGTGTGTGTATTTAATACCCTGATCTTTTTAGTTTTGTTTAAATATATTAAAATATTTTAAATATATATTTTTATGTATAATAAAATATATAGAGAAAATAAATATATATTTGTATATACAATAAAAATACATATTTAAAACATGTTTATAATAAAATTATACATTTTATATATAATAAAAACATATATTTAAAATGTTTATGTATATATGTTGTACATATTTTAGGATACATGTGATATTTTGATACCTGTATACAATGTGTAATGATCAAATCATGGTAATTGGGATATCCATCATCTCAAACACTTATCTTTTCTTTGTGTTGGGAACATTGCAAATCTTCTAACTATTTTGAGGTATACAATAAATTTTTGTTAACTATAACTTCCCTACTGTACTATCAAATGCTAGAACTTATTTCTTCTATGTAACTGTTTTTGAACCCCTTAACCAACTTCTCTACATTCTACTCCTTCCCTTCCCATCCTCTGGTAACCACCAATCTACTCTCTACTGTCATGAGATCCAGTTTTTTAGTTCCCACATATAAGTGAGAATATGCAATATTTGTCTATCTGTGCCTGGCTTATTTTGCTTAATGTAATGACTTCCAGTTTTATTCGTGTTGCTATAAATGACAGAATTTCATTCTTTATAGTGAATAATATTCCATATTTGTATATATTGTAAAGAATCCACACTTTCTTTATTCATTTCTCTGCTGATGAATATATAAGTTGATCCCATATCTTGGCCATTGTGAATATTGCTGCAATAAACATGACAATATAGACATCTTTTCAATATAATGATTCCTTTCTTTTGGATATATACACAGTGGTGGGACTGCTGAATTTTATGGGAGTTCTACTTTTAGTTTTCTGAGGAACCTCCATACTGTTTTCCATAATGGCTGTACTAATTTACATTCCCGTCAACAGTATATAAGTGTTCCCCTTTCTCTGTGTCCTTATCAGCTTGTTATATTTTGTTTTGATAATAGCCATTCTGAGCTGAGATGGTATCTCATTGTGGTTTTGATTTGCATTTCCCTAGAGATTAGCAATGTTGAACATATTTTCATATATCTGTTGGACATTTGTGTCTTCTTTTGAAAATTGTCTATTCGAATCGTTTTGACTATTTTAAAAATCAGATTTTTTTTTTTTTGCTGCAGGTTTATTTGAGGTCCTTATATATTCTGATTCTTAATTGTTTGTTAGATGAATGTTTGCATATATTTTCTCTCATTCTGTTGGTTGTGTCTTCACTTTGTTGATTTTTTCCTTTGCCGTGCAGAAGCTTTTTAGCTTGGTGTAAACCCACTTGCCAACTTTTGCTTTTGTTGCCTATGCTGTTGAATTCTTTACCTGAAAAATCTTTGCCCACATCAATACCCTGTAGCATGCCTGCAATATTTTCTTTTGGTAGTTTTATAGTTTCAGATCTTTAATGTAAGTCTTTAATCCATTTGGAGTTGCTCTTGTATATGGTGAAAGATGGGGATCTAGTTTCGTTCTTGAGCAAGTGGATATTCAGTTTTTTCAGCACTTCTTTTTAAAGAGACAACCTTCTTCCACTGTATATGCTTAGTGCCTCTGTCAGAAATGAATTCGCTATAAGTGCATGGATTCATCTCTCAGTTGTTTATTCTGTTCCATTGGTCTATAAATCTGTTTCTATGCCAGTATCATGCTGTTTTGGTTACTATAGCTTTGTAGTATAATTCAAAACTAGGTGATGTGATGCCTCCAACTTTGTTTTTGCTTACAGTTTTGTTTCATTTCTGAGATGGGGTTTCAGTCTGTCATCCAGGCTGGAGTGTAGTGATGTGATCATGGCTTACTACAGCCTCAAACTCCTGGGCTCAAGCTGGGCTGATCCTTCTGCCTCAGCCTCATAAGTAGCTAGAATAACAGGAATATGCCATCATGCCTGGGTAATCTTTTAAAATTTTTTGTAGAGATGGGGTCTTACTATATTGCCCAAGGTGGAGTTAAACTCCTGCGTTCCAGCGATTCTTGATCTCCAAAAGGACTAGGATTATAGGAATGAGCCACTGCACCCAGGTAGTTCTCAGGATTTTATTAGCTATGTGGGGTCTTTTGTAGTTCCATATGGATTTTAGAATTTTTTTTTCTATTTTTATAAAAAAAAGTCATTGGTATTTTGAGAGGGATTGCATTGAATCTGTAGATTGCTTTGGGTAGTATGAACATTTAAACAATATTAATTCTTCCAATCCATGAATATGGGATATCTTTTCATATGTTTGTGTTCTATTTAATTTCTTTCCAATAATTTCCTTTGTGGAGATCCTTCCACTTCTTTGGTTAAAGTTGTTCCTAGGTATTTTATTTTATTTTTCGTAG
The DNA here is from genome assembly GCF_000001405.40 of Homo sapiens. Taxonomy (NCBI): domain Eukaryota; kingdom Metazoa; phylum Chordata; class Mammalia; order Primates; family Hominidae; genus Homo; species Homo sapiens. The sequence continues at coordinate 49,362,953 of NC_000008.11, forward strand.
CTATTAACAATGGGATAGTTTTCTTGATTTCTTTTTCAGACTGATTGTAGTTAGTGTATATACACAGTGGTGGGACTGCTGAATTTTATGGGAGTTCTATTTTTAGTTTTCTGAGGAACCTCCATACTGTTTTCCATAATGGCTGTACTAATTTTCATTCCTGTCAACAGTATGTAAGTGTTCCCCTTTCTCTGTGTCCTTATCAGCTTGTTATATTTTGTTTTGATAATAGCCATTCTGAGCTGAGATGGTATCTCATTGTGGTTTTGATTTGCATTTCTCTAGAGATTAACTACTCATTTTTGTGTTTTGATTTTAAATCCTGCAATTTACTGAATTCGCTTATCATTTCTAAGAGTTTTCTTTTGGTGGAGTCTTTAGTTGATTCTAAATATAAGATTATGTCATCTGCAAACAGGGGTAGTTGGACTTCTTCCTCTCCAATTTAAATGCTCTTTATTTTTTTGCTTGTGTAGTTTCTCTGTTTGCAATATAAATGTTGAATATAAGTGCTGAAAATAAGCATCCTTTTACTTTTCCAGATCTTAGTGGGAGAGCTTTTAGTTTTTCCCCATTAACATACCACAGTATGATATTACATGTGGGTTTTATATATATATATATATATATCCCTTATCATGTTGAACTATGTTCCTTCTATAGCCAATTTGTTGGAAGTTTTCATCATGAAGAGATGTTGAATTTTATCAAATGTTTTCTCCACATCTACTGGAATGACCATATGGTTTTTGTTCTTGATTCTGGTGATGTGATGTATCATGTTTATTAATTTGTATATGTTGAACAATCCTTACATTTCTGAAATGAGTCCACTTGATCATGGTGCATTTTTTAATGTGTTGTTTGATTTGATCTGCTACTATTTTATTTAGGATTTTTCATATATGTTCATCAGAGATACTGTCTTGTAGTTTGTGTATGTGTGTCCTTGTCTGCTTTTCATATCAGGTAAATGGCTTTGTAGAATGAGTTTAGAAGTGTTACTTTTCTTCAATTTTTTGAAATAGTTTGAGTAAAATTGGTATTAATCATTATTTAGACGTTTGATAAAATTCAATAGGGAATCCATCAGGTCCTGGGCTTTTCTTTGATGGGAGACTTTATTATTTCTTTAATCTCATTACTTGTTATTGGTCTGTTCAGGTTTTCTATTTCTTCATGGTTCAATCTTAAGAAATTTTATATGTCCAGGAATGATTCATTTCTTCTAGGTTTTACAATCTGTTGGCTTATAATGTGGCTTATAATTAATTATGCTAGTATCTAATGATACTTTGTTTTCTCTGGTATCAGTTGTAATGTTTTCTTTTGTGTCTGATTTTATTTATTTGAGTTTTCTCTCTTTTTTCATAGTCTAGCTATAGGTTTGGCAATTTTGTTTATTTTTTCAAAAAAAATTTGTTTTATTGATTTTTTAATATTTTTTGTTTCGATTTAATTTTTTATTCTCCAATCTGTTTGTTTGTTTATTTATTTATTTATTTATTTATTTGAGACAAGGTCTTGCTCTATTGCCCAGGTTGGAGTGCAGTGTGCATTGGCACAATCGTGGCTCACTGCAGCCTTGACCTCCCAGGCTGAAGTAATCCTCCTGTATCAGCCTCCCAAGTAGCTGAGACTACAGGCTAGCACAACTATGCCCAGCTAATTTTTGTATTTTTTTTTTTTGTAAAGATGAGCTTTTGCCATGTTGCTTGGGCTGGTCTCGAACTCCTAGCCTCAAGCAATTAACCTGCCTCAGCCTCCCAAAGTGCTAGAATTACAGGCATGAGCCACAGTGCCCCACCTTACTTCTGTTCCAATGTTTATTATTTTTTCTTTTACTAATTTTGCATTTGGTTTGCTCTTGCTTTTCTAGTGCCTAGAGGTGCATCATTAGATTGTTTATTTGAAGTCTTTCTATTTTTTATGTAAGTGTTTATTGCTATAAACTTTCCTTTTAGTAGTAATTTTTCTGTATGTACAAGTTCTGGTTTGTTATTAGTTATTTTAGCTAAGAACATTGCTATCTAAAATAAAATCAAATTGTTTTATTTTTCTGTCAATATTACTGACCCATTATTTCAAAAAATAGTTGATATAGGATGACTCTAGAATAAAGGATAATACTTAAGTGTTTTGGTCCGCATTTCTTCAAATATTTTCTCCCATCATATATATTAATACAGCTCCAATGCAAATCGATAATTCCATATTATCCAGGTAATAGTTTGGGATGCTATTTGTGATAATTCAAGCTTAAAAATTTAAGAAATTTCAAAGATAGATTTTGATATTTGAGCCAATTTATATACAGTCTATTAATTGAGCAGTAATTATTTTAATTGCATGTTACCATAGTAATATTATATATACACACATGTATATTTGTGTGTATATATATGTGTCTATGTATATGTATGTATGTATACACACATATATATACACACATATATACATGTGTGTCTATATATATAGACACACATACTTACTTTATTGATAATTATTTACTGAACCAAAGCAACTTACACTATTCCTTAATTTTTTAATGTTATATCATATAACACTTCATAACATATGTTAAGTTTATATAGTATTCCATTTAAACAATGTTTAAAACAGCTTTTATTTTTAATATTCATGATACTAACACTATAGAGAAGGAGAAAAAATAAAGAAGGAAATAGAATATATATTTTAATTTTTCTGTGGAAATTAGCCACTTTCCCTACAAAACTGATAGTTGTATTGGTAGCAATTGACCAACATCTCTTTGCTCTGGGTTAAAAACTGAATGCAGACCTAAGTGTTTCAGCAGACAATATGAGATGTTTTATATTTTCTCTTACCTTAGAAGATAAGTATCTCTACTCCAAATTATTAGAGGCTTTTTAATAGGAAGTTGATAGGCATCTGGCCTAAGCCATTTTTATATAAAATATAATTTCAAATCCTGTGCTATATGTATGGTTTTCCTACATTTTTGTTTTGCAGATGAATGCAAATACACTCACACACATACAATATTTCTCAATGCATGGCATAAATTTAAAATAAAACAAGAATTTATCAAATTGTAAGTATCATTAACCTATGTAATGTATCCTGATATCCGTACCTAGTTTATTTTCTAAAAGAATTTTGGCCACAAGTCAGCACTGTAATGACAAAATAAATTAATGTAGATGTCCAGAGTGTAATCTGAAAGATGATACCCTCAATAGCACAGTGCCAAACTATACGGACTCCAATATCAGGAGGCCTCCACAGCAACATGTGAACCTCTTCTCTAAAAACGTTACAACAATAGTAATTTTGCCTTTATTACTGTGAACATTTATTTAACATCTAGGATACTGTAGTTCTATGATGATAAAGGCTGTGCCTTTATTTAGGGGGATACTTTATCATTTTCAAAACTTATAAGCACTCAATTAATATTTGTTGAAGGAATCTTTGATTCTTTTCTTTCTCCCACCAACTACATATAATTATTCATTAAATCTTGCCTGTTATTTATTCAAAATATATATGAATCTGTTCTTTTTCTTTCATTTCCAGTATTACCATCCTAATCGACATTATTTTCACTTGTCCATTGCAACTGTTTCCCAAATGATCTTAGTGGTCTCATTCTTGGCCTTTCTCAACTCTTTTTCTAATCATCAGAATGCTATTAAAACATAAAATTGATCTCAAGCACTCCAGTGTCTTTGCACTGCAAGTGCACAAATACCTAAACTATTCAATGTGGCTACTATGTTCAATATAATCTGATTTTTACCTGCATCAGCTAGTTTTTGATCCATAGAAAATCCATTAAAAATTACCCTAGAGCACATTGGCTGAGAACAACATTTTTTGAGTTCACAACACTGTTTTTGCTAAGTTGGGCTGGGTTCACAGAGGAGGCTCTGCTGATCTGACGCAGGTTCATTTCCTCTTGGCTAGGGCTCCCTCCTGCGTCTGTGGCCAGCTGGGGGCTAACTGACTGTGAGCTGGAGCAGCTAGTTTTCCTCCACATGGACTTCATCTTTCAGCGTGGCAGCCAGTCCTTTTCACACGGTTTTCAGTCAGAGGGAGTAGAATTGTGCAAAGCTATGTTTGGAAATGTTACAACACTTCCTCTGTATTCTATGCCCAAAGAAAGTAAAAAGTCAGGCCAGATTAAAGGGTTTAGAAATAGACTTCACTTATTTATGAGAGGTGCTGGAAAGTCACATTGCAAAGCAGCCTGGGCACAGAGAGAGGAATGATCTTACACATTTTTGCAAACAATTTGCTGCATTATCCAAATCTCTTACCTGTTTGTCCCTCACGCTTGACTATCAGTCACCTCTTGCAAACTTGCTTCTGGCCACACTGGCCTTATTTCTATTCTTCCAAAAGGCAATCCCATTTCTAGCTGGATTGTCTTTGACCAAGTTTTACCCTCTGCCTAGAGCACCATTTCTCGAGACTGTCACACAACTGGCTCATCTCATTCAGGGTCAAGATCCGATATCCCTTTAACTCACCACTTGACAAAGACTTTCAGTTTTTTTCTGATAGCTAAAACCTATGATACAAACTCCTCCAGTCTGAAGGGTAAAAAGAGAAATCTAAAAATCATTATTAAAACATCAACCACTATACATAATACACTGGCTCTAGGATCATCAATTCCATCAGACTGTCAACTATTTGAGGACAAGGACTGAGCACATCAACACCAAAGCTTCACACATACACCCCTACCTGGTAGTTATTTAATACATGTTTACTGCCTGAATTTTTAAAGCCAACCTACACAATTACTTCAGACTTGAAGCAATTATTTCAGGAAACATTACTTTAGGGAAAAAAAATAATTCCCTGATACTGTCAAGAGTTAAAGTACAAATGAATTTAGGGCTCGCCTTGACAATCAGAAACCCTTTGTGAGCATCTGCTGGGACTTGGCTGTTTAATTATCCTTTTCCTCCCACAAGAGGAGAAGGTAATTACAAACTCCTGTGCTTAATTACGAGCCTGGCGCCCAGTGCATCTGGTCCTGTTCCTGCATCTATCGCAATGCATCGCTGCTTTTGCTAAGAGAATTGTGTGAGGAACCAGAGCTGTTGTTTCATTTTCCTCACTAAGTTATGGAAAAAAATCACGGTACTGTGTTGCCTTCAAAGTGTGGACGTCAGCCACCTACCCCTGCGTGCTATCTTGTCTCTCTGCGTCGCTCTTCTTTGGAGTACCATTAAAATAAAGAGTCATAGCAAGACTTCTCTTGTTTTAATTTTTATTCTCTATTTTTGTTTTTAGTGTTTGATGGAGATAAATCTGGACTTCATCCATAAATATGGCAAACACATATGCCCAATTCATGGCTTCTCTTTATTTCTCCTTCTGGATTTCTGACAGTGACCTCAAACTTAACATGTTCAATTCCAAATTTAGTATCTTCCACCCCAAACCTGCCTCTTCATCTTCTGTAATCTCTACCTCATTTAATACTAACCCCTCCTCACAATATGGCTGCAATAAAACGTTCCCATCTCAAATGGGGCTGCTTCCTACAGTCCTTCAGCCGAAGTCGTTTACTCACTACTCCTAAACAGCATGCTCTTCTTGGGCAAAGCTGCATAACTAACACGGCAGAACAAGCATTTGTTAGGGTACCAGTAAATAAGGACACGGAGATTTGTAAAGATACTGTCTTCCAAAAAGAAAGCATCCCAATAGTCATTATGGAAGGACTATGAAAAAAATGCTTGAGTTTCTTTGCCTATATTTAAACAGATTGGCATTAATATGTTGTGAAATACCTGAATTGAAGAGATTGACACAAAAATGTTTCAGTATTGACAGCTGCTGAAATGATTTAGCTGATTTTGTTTCTGGGATCCCCCTACCTTCTTTCTGAATCTGATGAAATCTTCTTTCTTCATGAAAAATAGCACCTCCTCTAGCAAAGCTGCCCTGACCCCCGAGGTAACTGCTGCTATGTCCTCTCTGCCTCAGCACAAGTAGGCTGCATCTTTGCTGCAGCAGTTACCCTTCTCTCATGGCAGGGCCCCATAACATTCATCTCTGTGTCCTTTCTGCTCAGGCTGAGTGCAGTCTGGCACATAATTAGAAACTTACAAATATTAACAAGTAAATGTTTATGAAGGTCACACATTCCTTTTTCATTTCATATGGAAAATAAATATCTAACATACAATCACTCAAGCAGTAAGTTAAGTTTGCAGCCAAACAAACTGACTTTCTGCTAAGTGAGTGACATCATCTGCTTCTTAAAAACAGAACACATTAGAATGTGCAAAATATAGCCTGAAATATTACTATAAATTTTTTTAAAACCCAGTATTCATTAACTGGACAGTGCTGGCTAAAAGTAGTATAGAATCTAGAATTTGTAAGTTTACTAAGAATAAATCAATGGCATTTTGTTAACATGGGGCCATTTAAAAAAATTAATTCTACCCTGAAAACCTTGTTAAGCCTTATTGCTTAGTATCCATTTATCATGCCTTTTATTAATTTATCTATTACTTAAAATATATTTATTAATTATGTACCATGGTCAAGAAATTATTGTATATGCTGAGGATAAATTCTTTAAAGTAATTAAACACAGTAGTCTCTTCTTATACATACAGGCAACCTTTTAAGACCCCCAGAGGATGCCCAAAACTACCTTGGAATGTTTCATTTATGGATAAGGGGGGACAACTATATCTACCAGGAATGCCAACCTCATCAACTTTTCACCTTGCCAATTGAGCTGTTAATCATTAATTCAGACACCATCTACCTCACTTAAGAAATCCATCCTCAGCACTTCTCTCCCTATCTTTATTCTGCCTATTATAGTTGCATCCCAGCACTTATAATATTGTATTGTCATAGTCCATTAAATTGTCTTGTAATTCAAGTTCAAAAATTCCTTGAAAGAAGAGCTAGATGATACAAATAGTCCCCACTTAACCTCTATCATAGGTATGCATGTGAAGAAAAATACATAGTATATATAGAGAGTTCGGTATCATATCTATAAGAAAGTTTAATTTACAAATCAGATACAGAAAGATTAACAACTAAAACTAATAATAAAATAAAATAATTATAAAAGTATGTTGTAATAAAAGCTATGTAAATGTGGTCTCTTTCTCTCTTTCAAAGTATCCTAATATTTTCAGACTGTGGCTGACTGCCAGTAACTGAAACCATGTAACGTGGAAACCATGGATAAGGGGGGACTATGTGTATCATATAGCTCTTCTTTCAAGGGATCTTTTAACTTGGATTATAAGGTGGAATTTAATAGACTATGATAATACAGTGAGGCTCCATCACTGAACAGCTTATGTGGCATTCTTAGAGTTTCTTCCTTGTGCTTTGTATTAGTTTCCAATAAAAGGTTAAAAACCACTGGCTGAATTGTAATTAAGCTACAAGAGTTGAAGCTCTGGGCCAAGAAGAGTGCTTGGAGCAGGATCACAAACTGGCAGTTCAGTTTGTGAAATCAATGCAATAAACCTATATGCTTGATTTAACCCATAAGATACTCGTAATTCATTAGAACTGAGTGATAACTTTTTTCCCCATGTTTATTTACCCTTTGCAATATATCCTTGGAAGTCATCACTCTCAGTCTATTAAAATTTCCATTCTATTTTATAGCTCCGATAGTCTACTATGTGGATAAACACAGTTTCTTTAATCATTCTCCTGAATATTGATTTTCCAATATTTTCCTATTATAACCAATGTCACAATTAATAACCTTGCACATATGTTGTTTTGTATTTGAGAAGGTATATTTTAGGATAAATTATTGGAGCTAAGACTGCTGTGTTAAAAGGTAAAGGCATATGTAATTTTGCTAGATGTCACCAAATTCCCCTCTGTACAGGTGAAAATTTTGCATTCCCACAGCAGCCTGTGGAGACGTGAGAAATGGTAGTGCTATAATTTTATTACTCCCTTTATTTTATCAAAAGTAAATTTGGGCATCTTTTCATATATTTAAGTCTACTTGTGTAATTTTTGCAACTGGCCAATTCATATATTTTACTCATTTTTTTTTCTTTTTTCTTTTTGTTTTTGCAGACACTTATTTTAGAAGTTTTATTGATGTATAACATTATACACTGAAATACATAAATAGTAATTTTTTGGCTCAAATTTTTAGAAAACATCAGAGAAAAAATACTGTATGTACATATGTATGTTATTTACTTATTTATTTATTTATTTTGAGACAGCGTTTCACTTGTCACCCAGGCTGCAGTGCAGTGGCATGATCTTGGCTCACTGTCACCTCCGCCTCCTGGGTTCAAGTGATTCTCCTGCCTCAGTCTCCTGAGTAGCTGGGATTACAGCCATGCGCCACCATGCCCAGCTTTGTATTTTTAGTAGAGACGTAGGTTTCACCATGTTGGTCAGGTTGGTCTCGAACTCCTGACCTCATGATCTGCCCACCTCAGCCCCCCAAAGTGCTGGGATTACAGGCGTGAGCCACTGCACCCGGCCTATTTTTATTTTTTATTGTGTTTTCTTTATTCCTGATGTTCTAAGATTTCTTCTTTTATCATTTCCTTTCTTTTGAGAGAACGTTCTTTAGTTTGTAGGATAGGTCTGTGTGTGACAAATTCTATTAGTTTTCCTTCATATGAAAATGTCTCGATTTTTCCTTCATTCCTGAAGGATATTTTTATTAGGTAAATGATTAAGGACTGTATATTAGTCCATTTTTATGCTGCTGATAAAGACATATTCGTGACTGGCAAGAAAAAGAGGTGTAATTGGACCTAAGTTCCACATGGCTGGGGAGGCCTCAGAATCATGACGGGAGGTGAAAGGCACTTCTTAACATGGCGGTGGCAAGAGAAAATAAGGAAGGTGCAAAAGCAGAAAACCCTGATAAAAATCATCACCTCTTGTGAGATTTATTCACTACCCCGAGAAGAGTCTGGGGAAAACTGCCCCCCGATTCAAACTATCTCCCACCGGTCCCTCCCACAGCACATGGAGATTATGGGAGTACAATTCAAGATGAGATTTTGGGGGAGACACAGAGGCAAAACATATCAGACTGTAACTTTTTTTTTTCAGCTGTTAAAAAATTTTGTGTTTTCTTTATGCCTTCATGTTTTCTGATGGGATATGTGTTGTCCTTTGAATTGTTTCTTGCATAAGGAAAAATTTCTCACTGATTTCAAGATTTTTCTTTGTCTTTTATCTTCCTTTGTCTTTTTCTTCTTTTTTGGAAGAATTGGTGCATATCATTACTACTTAGTACTCAATTACATGTGCACACCTAACTGAAAGGGAGGCTAGAAAATGCCATCCAATTCTGTGACCAGCAAGAAGTCAGTCTTGCTGGATATCCAGCCAGCCTTTCTACACTATGGTGCAGTAACTTATGAGCCTTGTTTCTCTTCCATACCTAACTTGCAAGTCTTCAATCTTTAATCTATAAAGCCATTAATTTTCTTTTCTCATGGGATGGGGCTTCTCATGCTGCTAGAAAAAAAAAATCATGTTTTGACTAAGCAGTGCTTCTAAAACCTTTTGACCACCAACCTCAGCTACCCATTGTGGATTCACTTCATTCATGTGAAGTTCAAATCACTGTTCTTAATTACAGAGCAGCCTTCCATGCAGTCATCCAGAGATCAGTGGTGTTAATGTAGATAATCAGTTTTGTTGAGAAAATGAATGTGAAAGAGTGTGGAGATGCCAATTTTTGGTCAGAGTGGGTTCTACATGCCTATGAAGCACCCTGCGTAAGCATAAGCCCACATCATAAACAAAAGAGAGAAAGCAGAGGGACATTGGGAGAACTGAACAGAGAAGCAAGAACTAAAAAGAAGATAAACGAGTATCACATTTTCTAAAATAAGTATACATTGCTAATTATTTCTGAAAGAGGAAAGAAACCATATTTGAAAAATTTCTAGAAGAAAAGCTGTTGACTGAAAAGGAAAAGGACAATACAATGATTGAAAAATGTAAGACATAATTATCATTTTTCATATAAAACTCTTCTTTAAATATGTGAACCAGCAGCAGGCCAACATTAATTGGAAATGATTCAACTGAATAGATCATTTGTATAAGAAAGGTAGGGCTAATGAAGCCAGTGTGATTTTAACTATTTGTTACTAAGTTTCCCAAAAAGCCAGTTCTGAGAGGTAAGAGCTTAAAGTAAATGTATCCAGTTACTCTTAACGGAAAATGTAACAGTTTAAACTCTGAATAAGTAGGAGTCATGCTTTTGTTTTCAGGTTTTTGTTAAATGGCTGTATTAGTTATTTGTTCATTCTAGTTCCCTATCACAATATTGGAAAGTTTTGACATTTTGATCTATGATTCATTTTTTTCTTACAGATAAAACATATCTTTTTTTAAGTAGGCATTTTTGTAGGTTGCACTTAGTTTAACATAGCAATCATGGCAAAGTGGGTGTAGGCATGAGATTGAATCACATCTTTGATATACCACTGTCAGCACATACATCTGAACAGTGGGATATCAAAGATGTGACTCAATCTCAGGAATGAACACAATAAAAATTCTTACAAATGCCGTTATTTTACAACTAGATGCACACAATATAAAGCTTATCGAGAGAGCAGTATTTATTTGATTAAAATTTATATTAAGTATTAATAAAGAAAAAATTCAAAATAATACTTTATATGTATAAAATATATAAAGAGCTAATATATTATGTATACTATATAAATGTGAAAATGAATATAAGTATTTTTTCTATTTTGTTTTTATGTGAAAATCCTATGTGATTTTTCAAACCAAATAACATTTTCATGAAATGTAAATATATCTTGTATAGTTTTTCAGTGGGCTGCTCTGGAAATCATGCCAGTTAATAAAGAAGTCTAAAATAATTGTACCAATATTAAGAAAATTGTCATACATTTAATCAGGTTTGACACTTTCATTATAGGTAAGAAGTTGCTTTTAAGGTAATGCTAAGATCTTTCAGAGTCAAATGAGTGAATATATTATAAGTTGAATAACTCAAGTCCGTTCTCAGAGAAAAGAAATTTAAGAATGCTGTATTTTGAGAAGAAAAGTCAAATCTGGCAAATACTGAGTGTGTGCATTGCTGATGTGAGCCTAAAAGAGATACCTTTTATTCTCCTAGGTCCTACTTTTCATCTGGTATAAGCTTGGGAGCAATATGTTCTCCAGTTTTAAAAGTTTATGTCCTCTGTGGTCTTGTTTCTGTTTCTGAATATACAATTAAGAAAAAACTCACATGTGTTCTTATGAGTCTCCCAAAAGGTCTATAACATGTTATCACTATAATTGATTGTCAACATTGATTAATTTTAATAATTCAAACACCTCACAATGGGGGTTCAAATCCTAACTTCATTATCACCACTAAATTATTTTAGTCATCTGCTAACTGATGAAGTAGTCAAATATTCTATGTTTCAAACACACCCTGCATAGCACATAAGAAATAAAGTATTATTTAATGTACTAATTAATTATACTATTTAATGCCTGAATTATAAAAATATACTATGTAATAGAAAAAAGAGAAGAAAAACACAGTATCTTGATAGACACAGAACATCATTTGACAAAATCCAATACTCTTCAATAATTAAAAATCAACAAATTAGAAATGAAAGCTAAATGTCATTAAAGTCATATGTGATAATCCCATAGCTAACTTTATACTTAATGGTGAGAGACTTAATTCTTCCCCTCAAAGATCAGGAAGAAGATAAGGAAGTCCACTCTTATCACTTCTATTTAGTATTGTAATGGACAGTTTAGCAAAAGCAATTAGACAAGAAAATGAAATAAAAGGCCTCCAGATTCAGAAGAAAGAAAAATATCTGTTTTCAGATAGTGTGATCTTACATATAGAAAATTATAAGGAATACACACAAACATATACAAATGATTTGAATTAATTAATAAGTTTAACAAGGTTGCAGGATACAAGATCAATATACAAAAATTAATTGTATTTGTATACACTAGCAATGCACTATATGAAAATAAAATTAAGGAAATACTTTCTTTTACAATAGCAACAAATTGAATAAAATACTTAATATAAGTGTAACTAAAGGGCAAGATTTTTACACGAAAAACTAAAAAGTTATTGAATTATGTTAAAGATTATTTAAGCAAGTAAAAACATGTCTGAAGTTTATAGGTTAGATAAATTAAGAGTATTAAGATGCCCTCCTCATATTAATCTACAGATTAAACACAATTGCTGTGAATAGCTCAGCTGCCTTTCTTCTAGAAATTGACAATCTGGTCCTAAAATCAATTTAGAAATGCAAAGGATGTTGAATACCAAAAACAATCTTGAAAAATTAACACTCTCACTTCTTGTTTTCAAAATTTAATGCACTTTTAAAACAAGACAGTGTGGTACTGGCATAAAGAAACGATGGAAGATAATAGAGAATCCAGAAATAAACTCTTCTGTTTATTTTCAATTCATTTTCAGCAAGGATGCCAAGATAATTCAATGGGGAAAGAAAAATTATTTCAATAAATGGTTCTGAGATAATATTAATATGAAAATAAATGAAGTTGGATGCTTATATACAAAAGTATTTTTAAAAGATTGATAAATCTAAATGTAAGAGCCCTTAAAAGTAAACATAGTAGTAAATCTTTGTGACCATTGCTTAGTCAATCGTTTCTTAGATTTAACACAAAAAGCACTCAAAACAAAATAAAAGCCAGTAAACTGTACTAAATCAAAATTTTAAATGTCATACTATACACGACACCATCAAAAGAAGTGAAAAAAAAGCACAGAATAGGAGAAATATTTACAAATTTGTATCTGGTAAGTTTACAACACAGAATATACAAATCACTTGTATAACTCAATGAGAAAAAGATAACCCAGTTTACAATGGGCAGTGGATTTGAGTAGGTATCTCTCCATAGAATATATACAAATGGACAATAAGATACTCAACATTACTAAACTTTGGATAAACAGAAATAAAACTCACAATATAATACCACTTCACAGCCATTAGGACAGGTGTATTAAACATGATAGATAATAGATAGAGAGGGAGAGAGAGAGAGAGAAATTAGAATCTTCATACATTGCTGGCCAGACTAATAAAATCATGAAGCCACTTTGTACTATACTTTTGGGGTTCCACAAAATATTGAACATTAGATACTGTATGATTCAGCAATTCCACTTTTTGATATCTATGCAAAAATACTTTAAAAATACTAATACACACACACACACGTGCACAATTTACACAAATGTTTATAGCGATACCCAAAAGTTGGAATACCCAATACCCAAAAGTTGGAAACAACCCAAATGTCCATGAACAAATGAATGGCTGAAGAAAAGATTATATATACTTACTAGAATATTATATGGCAATACAAAGAAATATAACACTGAAACATGCTACAAGGATGAATCAGGAAATCATTATGCTAAGTGAAATAATACTAGATATTTTACATAATGCCTAGATATTTTAAGGAAGGACTGGAAGGATAACATTTCAAAATGCTAAAGGAACATAAAAATGAATTTATTTAAACAAACAAGTGGCCTTTGAGGAGTTTAGGAAAACAGAAAAAACACATTGGAGACTAAGAAAATATCACTCTGATTTTGAGAGAGGAAAAGGATTGATAAAAAACATTGTTATTGTCTGTTGATTGTGATCAAAACTCTTAAATGTTGTCAGTGGTGCTGGGGGGAAATGATGAATTCAGGTAAAGAAATGCTGAGCATGTGTTTAAGGAGCATCTAGGTATAGATGCACATTATGCTGCTGAATATGTGATTCTGGGGTGCAGGCAAAGGCATTTGCTTAGGCATTTGATTGGAAATTGTCCTCATGTGGATGATGTCTGATGAAGTATGAAATCATCCTCACATGGATGGGATCTGATGCTGTAGTAGTAGGGGAGGCCCCAGAGAAATCAAGCAAAGGACACATGAGGGCTGAAGAGAGAAACCTGAAAAAAAGTCTACTTTAAGGCTATAAGCAAAAAAGAAGATACAAAGGAGTTTGGGCATGGTAGTCATAGAGGCAGGTGGAGTAACAAGCAATGTCACAGAGTTCTAGAGATGTCCAGGAGAAAAGAGCATTCCAGGAAGAAGTGGTCCAGAGTCAAAATGGGCCAGGCATGGGGGCTCACGCCTGTAATCCCAGGATTTTGGGAGGCCAAGGTGGGAGGTTCACTTGAGCCCCAGAGTTTGAGACCAGCCTGGGCAACATGGCACAACCTCATCTCTACAAAAAATACAAAAGTTAGCCAAGCATGGTGACACATATTTGTAGTCCCAGCTACTGGAAAGGCTGAGGTGGGAGGATCACTTGACCCATGAGGCAGAGGTTACAGGGAGCTATGATCACAACTGCACTCCAGCTTGGATAACAGAGTCAGAACCTGTCTCAAAAAGAAAAAAAAGAAAAAAAAAAGAGTCAAAGGGCCACACATACAAGAGAGTGCATAACCTAAGAACTGAATATTGATTTGAAAACAAATGGAATTATTTTCCTCTGGTTACAGTAAATGAGACTGTGGGTAGAGGTTTGCAGTGAGACATCTAGGGCAGCAAGTGTATGCACCACTGCTTTTTAATTTGGGGTCTGGAGAACACTGTGGGTGGGGGTATCTTGCAACTTTGGCAGTGGGTTCAAGAGGTCCAAGCTACTTTAACAAAAATTGAATGCTATTATTTGCCTTTTTTACATTCATTCTCCAACAAGTGCACAAGAGAGTTTTCTAGAGTCTCCATGAAGCATGTTATGTTATTGTAGTGATGGCTAATGGAATGTGTGCTTGGGTACTCTTGTATTTCTTAGAATTTTGTAAGATAGTTTTTTAAAGAAATACATCAATATTTGGAAGATCTGCATAACTTAGGAAACCAGTATTTTCTCAATGACCAGTATATTTCAAAATCATGCATTTGTAAAAGAGCCATTTATAACCCAAGATATCCCAAAGAATTGAAATGAAACAGGGTAGGAAATGTTTTTCAATTATGAATTAAGTCCACACTTAGCTAAACTTTGAGAAACTACAACTTTTCAAGCTTAGTGTAGTTATCAATGAAAAAAATCGACAATTATCCAAATTGGTTATTAAAATACTCTTCTTCTCTCAACTGCGTATCAGTGTAGGCCTTATTTTCACTGCTCCAGCCAGAACCACATCCTGCAAAAGGTTGGATGCAGAAGCACACATCAGAATCTAGTTGTGTACTAGTAAGCCTGACATGATAGAAATTTGCGAGAGTGTTAAACAGTGCCACTCTCCACTAATCTTTGGAGGAATCATTATGGTTTATTTCAAAAATACCTTATGCATGTTAACATGTAAATTCCTTATTATTGTCATTAAACCTTTTTAATTTTTTGAAAAACTTTAGTTTTAATTCAGAATATAGTGAATATCAACCCCTGTAATTCATGTACATAAAATCTTTTGGGGGTACTGAGTAATTCTAATATGTGTAAAGGGGTCCCAAGAACACAAAGTGTAAGAACCACTGATTTAGACCACCCACACTTTCAAGAGTTTAATAATGAAAATGGAAGAGAAAATCGGAGTGATAACAGGTAGGGATAACTGGTAGTGATACAAGATTTTTTACTCCTTAGCTCAGCTAGGTTCAGGTTCTTGTCTCTTGCCAGGAAACATTAGGTGTGTGGACACCAGAGAGTGAGTGGTGTAGAATTTTTTAAGCAAAAGGAAAGCTCTCAGCAAAGAGAGGAGTCCTGAAAGCAGATTGTTGGTTGCCCCTCACAGTTGAATACAAGGGCGTATATAAATATAAGCTGATGAGGCTGGGTTCCCTATTTGTATAAGGAATGAATTCTTGGTGGCTCCACCCACTTCCCCCAGTGTGCATGCAGGCCCTTAGTCCTCTGCAGGCATGTTTAGGCAAGCCCCCTGTGCAAGTGCCCTTATCTGCATAAAACATCTGACGTAAGCACTTTTGGGGCAGGTCGGAGGTTCTCCGGAGACCCTTCCCTTACTGTATGCTTAAAGCAAGCTGGCTAACTTCTTTCAGTAGGGATATAAACTTCTTCAAAATAATATTTATTTTTGTCTTTAAAGGTAGGACAGACTTAATTATACTTGAATACCCACGGGAAGGAGCAAGTAGAGAAGAAGGAGCTAAAAATATAATAAAAGAGGAGGAAAACAATACATGACACTTCAAACTCCTCGAAAATTTTATTATCCTGAGCATACCTGGCATCCACACCCTCATGTGGTTTCTCAAATCATGCTCCAGTGAAAGGAACCAGAGTTCTAACTGGCTCAACTCAGGCTGGTTGGGAAAAATGCAAGAGTCCAGGGCACCCTGTGGCAACAGAAAAATAAGGAAGCACTCATAAAAGGATGGGATGTTAGAGAGCTACAAGAACCAGCCTGATAGTACTCCCAGTGGCCAAACCTGGAACAATTTGGACCATAAAATAAACAATGGCAATACTGGATTAAAACCTATAGAGTACATAAAACTGAAATCCAGGAATCCAAACTGATTTAAATAAGTGATTGAATAAATAAATAAATAAGTAAGGGAAAAGGGATATTTCTCCTGTTTATGAGCATTCTATTAAGAAACATGAAGAATGAGAGAAATTAAAATCACCATCTCGGGCAGAAACAAGATATTTGCAGTCTCAGAATATCTGCCCCCAAAATATTATTAATTACAGAGTGAAAATATTTACTGTACAGTTGAAGAGCCCAGCAGATACTTCCTTGTCTATGTCAGCAAGGGTACATTGTTGGTACTGTGAATTATGCCTCTGATGTAGTGAGCATGTACATCATCTGTTGGTGATATTCTTTCTAGTAAATGTCGAACCTGAATTTAGTCATGAGAAAACAGCAGACAAATCTATATTGAGGGACACTGTACGAACTAATTGAACAGGACTATTTAGAAGTGTTAGTCATGGAAAACAACATGGTGAGCGGACCGCCCCTCCCCCACATGCATGCCCTAAGCCCTGGATCCAGCAGATGTGAACTTACTTGGCAACAGGGACTTGGCAGATGTGAAGCTGTGAGATTACCAGCCTTAAAGTGGAGAGGTTTTTCTGGATTCACGAGCTATAGCCAGTCTAGTCACATGGATGTTTAAAAGGTCAGAGCTTTGTGCACCTGTTAGAAAGCTGCTACAAGTGCAGGACCTAAGGTTGGAGAGACTCCAAGTGTGAGGAGGATTTGATGCACTGTTGATGACGCTGAGATGACAGGCTATGTGCCAGGACCAGCGAGAGATCACCAAGAGTTCAGGAGAGCCCCCTGCTCACAGCCAGCAGGGAAACTGGCCTCAGTCTTACAACCACAAAGAGGTGGTTCCAGCAACCACCTAAATGAGCTTGAGGCTGACTTTTCCCAGAACCTTTCAGTAAGAGCTGAGCTTGATTTTCACTGGTAAAATCCAAGCAGAAGAATCAGTGGAGACAACTTACCTACAGAACTGTAGGAAAATAAATTTGTGTTTTTAAGGTGTTAAGTTTATTAAAAGTTCTAATAGCAGCAACAGAATATAAATGCAGACCAGGGAAGACTGAAGAACTGTCATGGAATGGGAGAGACTGAGGAGACTTGATGATCACATGCAGGGTAGGGTCCTAGACCAGAAAAGAGCATCAGTGGGAAGAAGGGCAGAATCCAGACAAAGTCTGTAGTTTAGCTGATAGCGTTATACCAACAGTGAGTTCTTAGTTTTGACAAATACATCATGGTTATAAAAAACGTTAACAATAAAGAAAGCTGTGAAGCATTCACAAGCGTTCTCTTCACTGGTTTCAACATTTCTATGTCTAAAATTGTTTAAAAGTAAAATGTTAAAAAAGTCTATTATTCCAAGTCTTAAGTTTCCTGAAGACATCCATGACCCCTGAGACCCTTCCCACTTCTGAACTCCTTATATTTTCATTCTTAGACTGTATATTCATTGAACTAACTTATTACATAAAGCACTTTAAGATGAATAGTGCGGAGACTCTCATACAGTTTCTCCTTTTAGTGAAATAATATTGTTTGCATAAACACCCTTTGGCAAAAAGGTGTGTTCGTTTGAAGGCTGCTCCTAGTTCCCTCCTCCCGGTAAGCCCAGTCTTGCTAATAATGCAGGCTTCTACACAGATGGTTTTTATTCACATGTCAGATGGAGTCATTCGAGTAACAGATTTAAAACATCTGCACCTCTTTAAAGGGAGTTATAGATAAGAGTAATAGATCTATTATATGTTTGTATAGTTTTTTATGACAAATAAAGGTAAATATTAGATAATTTTAAACAGTTAAACACAGATTGGGACCTCTTATTTGTAAGGCTTTTGATATGATTTTTTTATTCCAGACGATCTGCTACGATTTGCTTACATTAATCAGTAAATATTTATTTAACATCATTTATTCAATGACCAATAGTTAACCCAACTTTTAAAAAGATCAAAGAGTATCACAGTATAAATTTACTGATTACTTGAAGACAAAACATCTAAATTAGTAAAATAGCTACGTTGTGTAGTTGTTTTTAGGATTTTGATGGCTATACCTTCCATGTTGTGAATTCTAATTCAAGTGTTGATCTGCTTATTTAAGGAGTAGTATCCTGCTGATCCTTGCCAGCCCATGGCTGAGGCCAGATGACAACAGAGCACAGAGACTAGGCTAGAGGAATGTGAGGGTCCCGGGCACACAGGCAGGACTGCATCCAGGTACAGATTTTAACCAGCACAGACCTGTTGAGCACCAAGGATCTGAAGGCAATGATAATATAGTCGCTTTCTTTCAATGCTTTATAGCCCAGGGAGGAGACCTACATGTGAGCAGATGATTACATTACAAAGCAAAAAATGTTGTGATAAGGATTTAATTAAGGCACTATGGCAGCACAGTGGGGACAGATGCCATCAGGGATGTATCCAGAAAGAAGAGGAATCTGGATTGCATCAAAGGATGAACACGGGCCATCCACACAGAAAGGGAAAGAAGCATGTCGCAAGCATGCCTGAATAGGGAGAGCTGGGCCGCAGCCTCACTCTTGCTTGCAAAGAATCTTGCTTGCCATGGCAACAGCAGGAGCCCAGGCTTAGAAAAGAATGTATGAAAACAGCCCTCCCCGTGGCCAGGTGCACCCCTGGAGTCATCCGGTCCCTGGAATCTTGGACTTTGACTTCCCTACATTTGATACAACCATAAACAAGGTATAGAAATCAAGTTATATGAGGGACAGTATAGATCAATGCATCTATTTCATGTGTCAGATGCAAGGAAAGGTCAGTGGATTCACAGATATCGACTCATCCTACACCCATATGATGCATCCTGGGAAGACAGAGGAGCAGTGGAATTCCCAAACAAATAAGCTAGGCCTAAGAAAGTGAAAGTAGACACCTATTGGCTAAGGTGAGGCAGACGTCCTAGATTGGGAGGCAGGCAGCAAAAAGATGCTTGGCAATGTGACAGTTGTAACAGGCTGACAATTGCCTCCAACTAAAATGTTTCTGGAGTTTAAGAGGAATTCATTATCTATTGCTTTGGGGTGTTTTGCATCTACACAAAGTGATAAACTGGGTGGCCGAGTCATACTGCAAAGGTCCCAACACTTTGCAAGGCCGAGGCGGCTGGATCACCTGAAGTCAGGAGTTTGAGACCAGCCTGGCCAACATGGTGAAACCCAGTCTCTAATAAAAATACAAAAATTAGCCGGACATGGTGGCGGACACTTGTAATCCCAGCTACTCGAGAGGCTGAGGCAGGAGAACCACTTGAACTCGGGAGGTGGAGGTTGCAGTGAGCCGAGATCACACCAGCCTGGACAATGAATGAAACTTTGTCTCAAAAAAAAAAAAAAAAAAAAAAAAAGGAAAAAGAAAGAAAACACCCACACTAGGAGAACCTAGGGAAATGCAGAAAGGAATCCGGTTCAAACCCAGCCTAACTGCTAGTAAAGAACATGAAAGCAAGTAATACCAAGATTTGTGATTACTCTGAGTAATCTATGCTCATGTATCAGTGAGTTTTGGGTTTTGCTAAGCATATTTGAAATCTGAATTATACTTGAAATACTGTAATAAACCTTTTTTTAAGTATAAGGACTAAGTCCTCTAAAAATTATCCTAATTTCATACTTCTGAATTTTAGATGAATGGAATTTACAATAGTCAGATCAGTGAATAATTTGTCAATTCTATCATTTAAATGAAACATTAGCAAAGGAAGGGGATATTTAAATATTTCAAAGTCAGTACATCTCACACGTTTTATTCAAGGTGCCCTTATTTAACAATATTAAATCTGAATTCTTAAGCAAACAAAAACCAAAGGAGTGTTCACCAAAGTTTGGGTAACTCGTTTTTGTCTGCCTACTATGTGAAAAGCCTTGTGCCAGGCAATGTGGTTGATTAAAATGTGATAATCATAAGTACAGTCTCAAGGACTTGAGAATATAATGAGGGAGATAAAATAATACTTATACTAAATCATGATTAAATCAGATACTTCTTGGCATGAGTATTGTAAGTAGGGGGAAAGGGTCATATTTGTCACAACAGAGGCATATAGCAGTGATAAAAAGAGAGATAACAGAAGGCTTCAGAGACGTGGCATGTAAGATAAGCATTGATCCATGGGTAGAACTGTGGAAGGAGGAAGAGGAAAGGCATTCCAGAAAGGGAGAAGAGTTTGAAAACGCATGGTGAGTTCCGCAAATGTTGAGTAGCCCAATGTGGCTAGAATATAAGATTAACAGAGAGATTAAAGAGGAGATAAAATGGGAAGGTGGAAAGGGTCACATTTTAGAAGAATGAATATCACCTTATGAAACAAAACTTACATTGGAAAGAATAAATTAGACCAGAAACATCGGAGGTCAGCAGTAAGTTCTGTGTTCATCCATCCTTTTCCTCCAGCAATTCACTATGAAGATAAACAGTTGGAAGACAGGAATGCACAGACAGCAGGTTTTGGGAAAACATTAACACTAGATTTTGTAATTGGACAAAGATAAATTAAGGATAAACAAATAAGAAATAATATGCTTGAAGGCCCATGTGTGTATTTATGTGGATAGGCCTATGTACCCTTATAGTTGTCTCATTAAAACCTCGTAATTTACTCAGGTAGTTCTTCCATGTGTCCTTTACTCATCTTCTAGGATAGCTTAAACTTTGTACTTTAACTGTAAAATGCTTTCCTGGATGGGGTCGCTCCCTCCACCCTTTTTAATCTGCTCCTGTTTCCTTTGGGTCACTGCTTGTGCCCAGTCCCTGCAGAAGGTGGCCCAACACATTGTCCACGTTCCCACCCCCGCATAACCTCTTACCCTCCACATGTGATCCAAATTACTCCTGCCTCACTAAAGTGGCTGGTATTCCAGGGATGGGCAGTAATACAGTGTGATGGGAGTCTTTTTCTGACTGGATCTGAGTGTTTAAAGAGAAATAACCTCTTTTCAATAAAGTGGACTTCTAGCGTGTGAATGTGGACCCTCAATACTCACTTTCTCTACCAAATGAGAGTTCTGCGTCATTTACTGAATACAGCCAAGAGGCAATCAGCATATATCTCTCTTCCTCACACCCCTGCCTCATACCTGTCCAACATTTCTGAGACACCGGGATAAGTTTGATTGAATCCAGGCCACCCCTGAAATGTTCCACGTTATGGGGCATTAGAAATGTGGTCCATTTTTTTAATCATAAATTTAGGTTTTGATATTTACATTTGCATCCAAGAGAGTTCTAAGTAGTACAAAGCAGCATCTTTTCACTCCAAATTTGTTTCCAGTCATTTGAAAATCTAAATTATTATCTGTATTGTGACACAAATAAAAATAAACAGGAGCTTTGTTTTGGCCATGTTTTTATTTGCTAGTGTTGCTGCTTGCTTACATTTATGAATGGATGATGATGTTCAAGTAACTTATTCATCAAAGTGATTTGACAGACCATTCAGAAATGCATAATAAAACATAAGATAAAAATAAAAGGACATAAATAAATTATTATAGAAAAATTCGATGTTGGGTATTGATATGAAATCTGGTGTAAAGTTAGTGCAGAGAAATGTGAATATACAAAAAACTTGAATCATTTGCTAAAAATTTATCTCTAGCTTTGCAACACTCAAAACACAAATAAAACAAAACCATACGATATAGTTCTAAACATTATATACAATAGTAACATCAACTTGTGAACGACTATAAGTCTCTGTGAAGTTACATATGCACACATTTACTTGTCCTAATCTGTTTTATTTATTACTATTCAAAATGAAATAGAGAATCTACTCTTTTGAATTTGACAGCTGGTTTCATTCAATGGAATGTAACATATGAGTTATTAAAGAAAAAAATTTTCCCCATTTTGAAAGGAAATTTCTAACAAAGAGATATAACCAAAGAGTAAATTGTGATTTCAAGTTGGCAAGACCTGAAGATGTTTTTTAAAAACATCAAATATAATTTATTCATCCCAGGAGTAACTGACTAAAGCAGCAAATGCTAAAAAAAGTATTTTGTTTGTTTATGTGTCATTTATTTGTTTTTAAATAACAGGTTAGGGTAATGGGTGAAGGTCAGACAGAAATGTAACAAGGAATAAAGTAATCAGATTAGGTATAGTAATGCATAGTACAAAATGGACAAATATTTTTAATTAAAGCAGTATTAAAAGTCAATTTATTTAAAGTATCTAAAATTGACTTTATTTAATTTTTTTAACAGTAATAGCAATAGTAACAGTTGACATTTAGTGGATTTTTGCTGTTTTATAAACTTTTTTTTGCATAAAAAAGCCATGGATGAATACTCTAGGATGCCTGGTTAATTCATGAGGAAAAGGAGGCTGAGAGTCTCACACCTAACAAAGGATAGAATGGCAGGTAGCACACGGGTGAGTCAGATTCTGGAGCCCCCTCCTCCCCGCCTCCTACACTGCCTCTGAAAGCTTGGATGGCTCATTCTCTCTGAGGCATGGAGTACTTTTAAATAAGAACAAAAATGAACCATTTTATCATTTTAATTAAGGTTTACAAATCAAATTCAATTTTATATACCATGGCACAATTCTGAGGTTGCTGTGTCATCTAGTAACCAGCACTATCAAATGATTACAGCTGCCCTTGCAGAAACAGCTCTTGGGAAGCAAGTCCTACAACCCTTGATTTAATTTCAATTTCTATTATGCTGTTATCATAATTTTAAATGAAAATACAAAAATAGCATCTGATGAAATTCACTCACATAAAACTACTCTTGATTAAATGCCCATGTGAAAATTATGGATAGAACTGAAGGTAAAATATGCACATAATGTTTTTAAGAAGGACTCAATAGGAAGTATTACATCAACCTACATTGCTCTGAATGAGGGTTATTAAGCATCAGAAATAGTCCCCATTTGAGGTGGGAGAGAAGATGTATTTCATCTGACATGATGCCATGGTTTAAATACAGATTTAACTAAACAATGTAGCATATGTATTTTTTCTTTTAGTTGTTATATTCTTCCAGGCATCCTTATTTGTCCTTATGTGCTTGAGTATACAATTCATGCATGAAGATATGAAGGAAGAATTGTCCATGCTTGGAACTTCCTATTTTGGGGAAGACATTTATTTCTTCTCTTCCTGTGGTAGGCAGAATTCCAGGATTGTCCCTGAGATTCCTGCCTGTTGTGTGCACTCCCTGTATCATTCCTTCCCCTCCAGTGTGAGCAGGACTGTGAAGATGATAGGAAGTCACTGTCATGGTTATATCACTGATATGGTTTGGCTGTGTCACCTCCCAAAGCTCACCTTGAATTGTAGTTCCCATAATTCACACTGTGTCCTGGGGGGACCTTTTGGGAGGTAATTGAATCATAGGGGTTGTTACCTCTATGCTGTTTTTGGGATAGTGAATGAGTTCTCATGAGATCTGATAGTTTTATAAGGGGCTTTTCCCCTTTTGCTTGACACTTCTCTCTCCTGCTGCTATGTGAAGAAAGACTAGTTTGATTCTCCTTCCACCATGATTGTATGTTTCCTGAGACTTCCCCAGCCATGCAGAACTGTGAGTCAATTAAACTTCTTTATGTTATAAATTATCCAGTCTAGGATATTTCTTCATAGCAGCATGAGAATAGACTAATACAGTGAATTGGTACTTCAGAGAGTGGGGTACTGCTATAAAGATACCCGAACATGTGGAAGTAACTTTGGAACTGGGTAACAGGCAGAGATTGAAACAGTTTGGAGGGCTCAGAAGAAGACAGGAAAAGGTAGGAAAGTTTGGAACTTTCTAGAGACTTGGAGGGCTCAGAAGACAGGAAGATGTGGGAAAGTTTGGAACTTCCTAGAGACTTGTTGAATGGCTTTGACCAAAATGCTGATAGTGATATGGACAATGAAGTCCAGGCTGAGGTGGTCTCAGATGGAGATGAGAAACTTGTTGGGAACTGGAGTAAATGTCACTCTTGCTATGCTTTAGCAAAGAGACTGGTGACATTTTGCCCCTGCCCTAGAGATCTGTGGAACTTTGAACTTAAGAGAGGTGATATATGGTATCTGGTGGAAGAAATTTCTAAGCATCAAAGCCTTGAAGAGGAAGCAGGGCATAAAAGTTTGGAAAATTTGCAGCCTGACAATGCAATAGAAAAGAAAAACCCATTTTCTGAGGAGAAATTCAAGCCCACTGCAGAAATTTGCATAAGTAACAAGGAGCCAAATGTTAATCATCAAAACAATGAAGAAAATGCTTCCAGGGCATGTCAAGAGACCTGCACAGCAGCATCTCCTATCACAGCCCTGGAGGTCTAGGAGGGAAATATGGTTTCCTGGGCCTGGCCCAGGGCCACCCTGCTCTATGCAGCCTTGGGACATGGTTCCCTGAGTCCCAGGTGCTTCAGCTCCAGCTGTGGCTAAAAGGGGCCAAGGTACAGCTTGGGCCATTGCTTCAGAGGGTACAAGACCCCAGCCTTGGCAGCTTCCATGTGGTGCTGGTCCTGCAGCTGTGCAGAAGACAAGAAGTGAGGTTTGGGAACCTCCGCCTCCATTTTAGACGATGTATGGAAACGCCTGGATTTCCAGGCAGAGGTGTGCTGCAGGGGCAGAGCTCTCATGTAGAACCTCTGCTAGGGCAGTGCAGAAGGAAAACGTGGGTGGCAGCCCCACCACCCCCGCCCACAGAGTCCCCACTGGGGCACTGCCTAGTGGAGCTGTGAGAAGACAGCCACTGTCCTCTGGACCCCAGAATGGTAGATACAATGACAGCTTGCACTGTGCACCTGGAAATGCCACAGGCACTCAATGCCAGCCTCTGAAAGCAGCCAGCAGAGGTCTGTATCCTGCAAAGCCACAGGGGTGGAGCTGCCCAAGGCTGTGAGAACCCACCACTTGCATCAGTGTCACCTGGCTGTAAGACAAGGAGTTACGGAGATCATTTTGGAACTTTAAGGTTTAATGACTACCCTATTGGATTTAAAACTTCATGGGGCAGCACCTTTGCTTTGGCCAATTTCTCCCACTTGAAATGGGTGTATTTACCCAAGGTCTGTACCCCCATTGTATGTTGGAAGGAACTAACTTGTGCTTGATTTTACCAGCTCATAGGAGGAAGGGACTTGCCTTGTCTCAGATGAGACTTTGGACTTGGACTTCTGAGTTAATGCTGGAGTGAGTTAAGACCTTGAGGGACTGTTAAGGAGGCATGTTTTGAAATGTGAGGACATAGAATTTGGGAAGGGCCAGGGGCAGAATAATATAGTTTGGCTGTGTTCCCATCCAAGTCTCTTCTTGAAATGTGGTTCCCATAATCTCCACTTGTTGTGGGAGGGACCAGGTGGGAGGTGATTGAATCATAAGGGCAGTTACCCCCATGCTGTTCTTGTGATAGTGAGTTCTGATGAGATCTGGTTTTATAGGGGGCATTATCCCTTTGCTCAGCACTTCTCTCTCCTGCTACCATGTGAAGAAGGACATGTTTGCTTCCCCTTCCACCATGACTGTACGTTTCCTGAGGCCTCCCCAGCCATGGGGAGTCAATTAAACCTCTTTCCTTTATAAATTACCCAGCTTCAGGTATTTCTTCATAGGGGCATGAGAACAGACTAATACAATCACTAATTAGTGACTTTGAGGTAGTCAAAAGGGACATTATCCAGGTGAGGCTGACCCAATCAGGTGAGTTCTTCTGAGATATTGAGCCCTCCCTAGAGCCAGAGACATGGTGTGTGAGGGAATGACAGAGCGGCATCTGGTCCTGATGGAAGTCCCTGCCCAATAGCTAACAAGACCCTGGGACCTCCAACCTACACACACAAGGACATCAATTCTGCCAGCAACCCGAGGGATCTTGGAAGTGAACTGTTCCCTAGTTGAGGCTTCAGATGAGAACACAGCCACCTGACATGTTGATTTCAACCTTGTGAGGCCCTGAGCAGAGCTCCCACCCCAGACCCCTCACCCACAGGAGCTGTGAGAGGGTAAATGCATGTTCTTTTAAGGGGCTAAGTTTGTGGCCATTTGTTATCCAGCAATAGAAAATGAATGTGATTCCATCCAAGTCCTGCCTTCCTGACTTTATGATACTCCTGATAATCTCATGCTGATAACTATGTTTTCCTTCTTAGGAAAAATGTAGACATTCATGAGCACTCTATAAGTCATCCAGTTTGTTGTCATTTCTAGGATAAACACTGGCCACTTTGTCTTTCTATTACCTCTTGGTAAGAGACTAGCTTCCTTTAGCCTGTCTCTACAGCTGATTCATATTCCTCAGGAGAAATTCTCTTTGGCTGCTGTACTGTTTTACAGCTCTCTATTTGAACCAATTCTATTATTTTCAATAGCCCAACCTAGACTTGAGTTCACATGCCTGTATGCATAGATCCAAGGTTTTCACAATGTTTGTGGCTAGCATTTCTATACTTTACCACAATCCTACAGAGGTTTGTGCAAAAATGCTTACCTCTGGGCCAGGTGCAGTGGGTCATACCTGTAATTCTAGCACTCTGGGAGACTGAGGTGGGAGGTTAACTTGAAGCCAGGAGTTGAAGACCAGCCTGGGCAACAAAGAAAGACCCCCATCTCTACAGAAAAATTTTAAAAATTACCCAGGTGTGGTGGCACACCTCTAGTCACAGCTATTCATGAGGCTGAGGCAGGAGGATCACTTGGGCCCAGGAGGGCACTGCTGCAGTAAGCTATAATCTCACTGCCACTGCATTCCAGTAGCCTGGGTGACAGAGTGAGACCCTGTCTCTAAAAAAAAAAAAAAAGAAAGAAAGAAAAAAAAAGAAAAAAACAAAAGAAAAAAGAAAAAGAACAGAAAGCTTCTCTGTGAATCAAAATTAGGAGCTGCTAGTTTCTGGAGTGCAAGTTTTATTCTTCATGGGAACCCTTTGAAGTAAGTGTGAGTGTTCTCACACTCTTTATACAAGATGAAACTGTATACACTTTATACAAGTATACACTTTATACAAGATGAAACTGTAAGCAAGAGAGAGAAAGCTACTTGTTCAACAATACTCAAATAGAGAAAGGCAGAGTGTTCACTGGTTTCCAGATCTGGCTGATTCCAATACTTGTGTCTTTTCAATTTTCTAAATTGGCAGCATAGGTAAAGGTAAAAATGGAATGAGAATTGTATAATTTACCATCTAAGAAGGAAAAGAGCCTTTCATATTTGCAGGAATCTAAAAGTTATTTTTTTTTTTTAGATTGAGCCTTACATTTTTTTAAAAGTCTCAAACCACAAAATATTTAAAATAACTATTTAGACTTTGGACAATGAATGTAGTTGTTAACTCCATTACATATGGGGACTAAAAGCTGTTTTATATACACAAGTTTTTTTTTTTTCTCACGCTCCTAAAATACATCACCATGAAAGATCTGTTGGGAGCAAGCCCCCAAAATCTGGCCATAAACTGGCCCCAAAACTGGCCATAAACAAAATCTCTGCAGCACTGTAACATGTTCATAATGGCCATAATGCCCAAGCTGGAAGGTTGTGGGTTTACGGGAATAGGGCAAGGAACACCTGGCCCACCCAGGGCGGAAAACCGCTTAAAGGCATTCTTAAGCCACAAACAATAGCATGAGTGATCTGTGTGTTAAGGATGCTTTCCTGCTGCAGTTAACTAGCCCAACCTATTCCTTTAATTTGGCCCATCCCTTCGTTTCCCATAAGGAATACTTTTAGTTAATTTAATATCTATAGAAACAATGCTAATGACTGGTTTGCTATTCATAAATATGTGGGTAAATCTCTGTTTTGGGCTTTCAGCTCTGAAGGCTGTGAGACCCCTGATTTCCCACTTCACACCTCTATATTTCTGTGTGTGTGTCTTTAATTCCTCTAGCACCGCTGGGTTAGGGTCTCCTCGACTGAGCTGGTCTTGGCAAGATCTGACTGAAAAAAAAGGCTGTGGACTCACAAAAGTGCTATCTATATAAAGGCTTCCCAAAATGCCCTTTAGCATACTTGTCCTTGCATTCTTGCATTCAACTAATATCTAGTTCACACCTACTTTATTCCATGTACTCCTCCAAGTATTTGGTAGATATTAAAAATTGTCACTGAATACAATTGATGTTCCAAACATCCAATACAGAGATGTTTTTCTCTGTTTTCAAAGTTTACACTTTAGTTTTTATCCTTGTGGTTGTTCCAAAGATTATTATGGTTTTTGTAATAATATAATAAGTTCATAATATTTTCAGGCAGAGTTTTGATTTCCTCAGATGTATTCATCTGTGACCTATCTTCCCTTATTAAAAAAAATGGTTTCTGGCCGGGCACGGTGGCTCACGCCTGTAATCCCAGCACTTTGGGAGGCCGAGGCGGGTGGATCATGAGGTCAGGAGATCGAGACCATCCTGGCTAACAAGGTGAAACCCCGTCTCCACTAAAAATACAAAAAAATTAGCCAGGCGCGGTGGCGGGCACCTGTAGTCCCAGCTACTCGGGAGGCTGAGGCAGGAGAATGGCGTGAACCCGGGAAGCGGAGCTTGCAGTGAGCCGAGATTGCGCCACTGCAGTCCGCAGTCCAGCCTGGGCGACAGAGCGAGACTCCGTCTCAAAAAAAAAAAAAAAAATGGTTTCCAACAAAATAGACACAGGACTAGGTATTGTGATAACCAATGATATGTTTTCCCATTGTTTAATTTACATTCTGTCCCCTTAGCTTGAAATACATAAGACCTAATACTTAGGTGTGTCAGTGTCCTTATTGTCCTCTCAGTGGCTGCCTGCAAACAGATAGGGTGGAGTTCTTGTTTTCAAGTCCTAAGTCAGTGTGTTCCCGACCAGGTCACATCCAACATTTCCCATTTTTAGGTGCATTCCTAAAGATTCTTTGAACTAGATGACAAGTACAATAACGACTACAATGATCATAATTACAGTGAAATAATTCCACACTGTGCTTTTGTGTAATCTATGGTAATCAGTATTACACATACTTGGAATTATAATAGTGTAAAACTATGAGATCCCTGTCCCTTCCATCTCAAAGGCAATTTTAACAGTAAGTATATGTATTAGTCTGTTTTCATGCTACTGATAAAGACATACCCAAGACTGGGAAGAAAAAGAGGTTTAATTGGACTTACAGTTCCACATGGCTAGGGAGGCCCCAGAATCATAGCAGGAGGCAAAAGCCACTTCTTACATGGTGGTGGCAAGAAAAAATGAGGAAGATGGCCGGGTGCGGTGGCTCATGCCTGTAATCCCAGCACTTTGGGAGGCTGAGGCAGGCAGATCACAAGGTCAGGAGATTGAGATCATCCTGGCAAACACAGTGAAACCCTGTCTCTACTAAAAATACAAAAAATTAGCCGGGCGTGGTGGCAGGCACCTGTAGTCCCAGCTACTCAGGAGGTAAGGGAGGAGAATGGCGTGAACCCAGGAGGTGGAGCTTGCAGTGAGCTGAGATCGTGCCACTGCACTCCAGCCTGGGTGACAGAGTGAGACTCCATCTCAAAAAAAAAAAAAAAAAGAAAAAAAGAAAAAAATGAGGAAGATGAAAAAGCAGAAACCCTTGATAAACACATCAGATGTGATGAGACTTACTACCACGATCACAGTATGGGGGAAACCACCCCTGTGATTCAAATTATCTCCCACCAGGTCCCTCTGACAACATGTGGCAATTATGCGAGTACAATTCAAGATGAGATTTGGGTGGGGAGACAGAGCCAAACCATATCAGTATACTATTGTTAATTTTTTTTATTTTAAAAATAAATATGGCCGGTCATGGTGGCTCATGCCTGTAATCCCAGCACTTTGGGAGGCTGAGGCGGGCAGATCACGAGGTCAGGAGATTGAGACAATCCTGGCTAACAGGTGAAACCCTGTCTCTACTAAAAATACAAAAAATTAGCTGGGCGTGGTGGCGGGCACCTGTAGTCCCAGCTATTCGGGAGGCTGAGGCAGGAGAATGGTGTGAACCCGGGAGGTGAAGCTTGAAGTGAGCTGAGATCCCGCCACTGCACTCCAGCCTGGGCAAAGGTGTGAGTCTCCATCTCAGAAAAAAAAAAAAATTAAACATTTGAGTCTTCAACTGGAATGGCCTCTCAACCTTTAATGCTCTCATGGTATTACACAAATATTGACAACAAAATCTTCTGAAATCTAACGACTCTAATATTGGCTACTTCATCAGAATATTTTGTTTGGGGGAAAAAGTGTTTTTGAGTACTTATCGTGTCCTAGGCCTATGTAAGTATCTTTCTATGTGTCATCAATGTAATTTAATTTAGCATTCACAGTAGGATTATGAGTTGGGTATTTTATCAGCATTATTTTATATTTTGTTGCCAAACTAGGCAATTGCTCATATTCTGTGCTTTGTACACAGTAGTTCTAGGATTTGATTAACTGATGTTTGACACTTAGGTAAGGATTTTCTTTTTCCCCCTCACTTATCTGACTGTATCAAAGAGTGGGTCACTTATGTTAGGTTAAGATGTGTGGATCTGGTGACACCAATGCTATGTGTACCACCATTCATTAAGGTTAACTTGAACATTGATCATCTGCTTCTAATTCAAAGTCTCTTCACTACATCATTGCTACCCTTAGCGGAAGAAATTATTAGATCCAGGCTTGTGAATGTCACGTGGAAATACATGGTAATTTGCTAGAAATGTACAGCAAATGTATGCTTCATTATATACTTCATGTTATGTCACGTCACCCTTTTGGTTGTGAGCACTGGCCTAACCTGGCAGCAACACACACGTTGTTCTTCACAAGCACTTGCTTGGGTTGTAACAGTGCCTGCCTTTGTTGTCATCCAAAACACACTGGATTATTAAAAATAATCAGACTAATAGGTATATTCTTACTAGATCACAGAAGCTAGTATCTCAGACTTGAATCTGTGTTCTTTTAGCTTTCATTGTAATTTATCTGTGAGAAAATGGAGTAAAAGAATATAAAGTGAAAACATGTTTTCCTCTATATTTTCTCAGTACAGATATTGTTATTCTAATCAGATTTGTAAAGTCTACTTAACAAACAACTAGTATCCTCAATTTTAGAAAATTATTATCATACCAAATATGAAGTTTTGATTTCCTCTTGAAGCAAAAATTTATAATTGGAGTATCAGAAATTGCTCAGAAGCTTTAGGAGAATTTCATTTTTGTCTGAGTAACCAGCTAAATTACTGATTAAGTGAGAATTAGAATCGAATATAACTGAAATATTATCAGGAAAGTGACACAAAACAGAACAAAAGAACAAAAGAACAAGTTTACTGGCTCTGCAGGCTTCATTATCATGTCTGCTCAATTTGACTTAAAATGTCTTACTATTGATATGGTGATAATACCTCAGCTCTTGTTAAAATTAATCCCAATGAATATCAAGTGCAAGGACAAGTGACGCATCATATATAAGAGCATAAGCCTATTTACAAGGATTGCAGCCACTGAGCCATATTCTCAAGTCCAAAGGTTCAAATACCATCTTGTTCCATTTGCTGAAGAATCACAAATTCAAATGATAGAATTTTAAAACATGAGCTAGGCAGGTGAATAACCAGACAACTGCCCAGAAAACAGAATGCTAATTGTACTTAATCGTGCTCATAGCTTTGATTAAGTGGCCCTCTACCTGGCTTTCAAAACTCCAGAGTCCTCCAACACTGTGCTGAGTCCTCAGCTTCAATTTTCCTGAACAAGCCTTAAATTATGGAGCTTTCCTACTGAAACATCTTCAGGGGCCACACCCTGCACAAAAGTTTTCTATCAAATATATTATATTTTCACATTCTTGTATTTGGGGCTTTCAAACTGCATGATCTTCCCATGCCCTCCATTACAGAGCATGCATGATAGGCAAATTGGAAACTAGCTGTTACCGAAGGAGAGCTCCAGGGGTGTGACTTCCTGGCTTTACTGTAAAAACTCCGTCACCAGACGAGCCCCCTTCCTAATACCCATGGTTCAAAATCCACCATGTCCTGGAAGACCCACCTAAAATTCTCTTTCTGTCAAGTGGCAAACTCTTCTAGCTTTGCTCACCGACAGTGACACCTCTTGCAGCTCCAACCTCACTTCCCTTCAGGTGTGCAATCTGCACCTGAGTCCTGGTGTGGTGGTCGCGGTACACTTGCCTCATATCCCCTAATGGATTAGAAGCTGCTGAAAGGCTGCGACTGTGTCTTAGTCATCTTCGTGTCCCTCAAGAGTCCACCACTGTGCTGTACACATAGTAGGGCCTCAGAAACCTGTGAGAAAAAAAGTACATTGATTCCCTGCAACAATTTCTGCAATTCCTGATAATAAGCATTTTCACAGGATAGATATTTTCTATTCATTAAAGAAAAATACAATTTGATCAGGCACAAAGGCCAGGAAGGGCCATGGCTGCAATATTATGCACAGTGGGGGAAAAATCACCCCCGTTGGAAGACCTTTATAAAAACAGAGAATGTGTTCCTGGTGTAGCAGCTATTTATTTTTCTCATATGTAGTATATTTTAAAAAATGCAGTAATAATCAGAAGCAGGCCGCACTGCTTCAGTTTTTGCCACTCTCCTGATTCCCTGTGCTTCCCTCTCCCCACCCTCTGGTAAGATCTGTGAAAGGGCAGCCCGGACCACAGTCAGATGCTGCAAAAGTGTTTTAATTATGCTGGCACGACAGCTGGACATCAGCAATGATATACTTCTGATAGCTACTGGAGACACACACCAGTGACATTCAGGGGAAACCACTTTGTTCTGATAGACAGTGTTCATTGAAATATCAAATAAATGATTCCCTATGCAATCAACATAATTTATTGGCATTTACAAAGTATATAATATACAATTACTCGTAAAGTTAATCAGGACATTAATCATTTCATATTGATAGTATTTATAATAACACCTACTAACTTTGATATATTTATTGAGCAATTCAAAGCATGTTACAAAAACCCTTTTTATTTTCTATGGAAGTGTACATTGCTGCTCTTACTATAAATAGGATACATGTATATAGCACCATCCCCTGCATCCTTCCATTAGCTTAGTGAAAAAGACAGACTATTACCGTTACATACAAAATTATTATGTATGCATTATTTATCAATTATAGAGCACCACTTAAAATGTATTTGTTGTCTGACATTATCAGTGCATTGCCAAATTTATTACATGAACAAAAATAGACTGGTACATGACCACAAAGTATAAATGACAAAGAAGGCTTCACTTCAGAGGCTGGCCTGCATGGTAGAGCAGCTTGAGGGGAAAGCAAATAAAGGCCAGAGAGCGGAGACAGGCTGGCGGGAGAGCCTTCTCGGGGCTCAGGATCTGAAGGCCTCAGATTCTGCTGACCTCTGGATGACAGGCTGACAAAGAGGGGGTGAAAAACACCATTCTTGCCTGAAAAGATTCCTGCCCTTATATTTTATTCCTTTTCTGTGTGAAGAAGGGCAACTTTCTATTATAGCTCAGTTTTATGGCTTTTTTTCTTTATGTTCCCTAATTTTGCTTACTCCTCTTTAATTTTCCCAAGGAGAAAAATGATTTTCTTTTTTTTTTAAGTGGTGACTGCTACAGTGAACTGTTAAACTCTAAACACACACTGAGCATATATTTGGACGTTAATTAGACGCCTTGAATTCCCAAAGATCATTGTGGCAGAGTTGTAAGTCAGCTTTTCAGTATTGCTCCAGTAGAGTAGAAGTTTTTGTTTAATAAAGTCATAAGTTTAAATTAAAATACATATAGGAAGTGCCATAAACATCATCTTCACACTGTAAAATTTCCAAATGTGTAAGCAGAGGATAATAAAGGCGTATATTTCTGTCCTATGAAGGCCGATATATTATTTCCCTTGAGCTTATGCCAATGTCATTCACAGTGCTGAGAGAATTAAATGTGGACTTCAATACTCCAGGCTCCAATGTCAAGATGTTTCAGGAAAAGAAGAGTAGATACTTCCCTATCTATCGAATAATATTAATGGAGGCAATTAAACTAATATGTATATCCAGAATGCTAATGTATTATTTAACATTAGCAATAAGCACTTTCCTTGATATATGAAACGAAGCACCTGCTAAGCTTGATGAGAATATTATTTTCCCATAGTCAAGCACTATGAGAAGACAACCATTGTTAATTGTGTCTCTGTAAGAAAAATGTATCAAAATTAAGCTTTTTCATGTCCTCAGTGCAGTTTCCAACACAGCAAAGACAAATTAGATGTTTGCTTTGGTTTGTAAAAATGGATATTATAGTTATTGAAGTCTTAATTTTAAAAACACACGTCTTTAAGCTTTTAGGCTCAGCTTATAAATCCTCTTATTCCAAATATGAATCTAGCAACTTTTAACATTGCATTAATCGAGGTCTTTATTTATAAGTTCAGTTATCATTTTAACTACATTTATAAAATGTACTTGATTTTATCTTTAAGTATACCAATTTTCTGCCTGATAACATTTTCTTAGTTTTTTCACAAGTCTTACAATTTAATGATTTAATATCCTTATATTTAGTAAAAGTCTATATTCTAAATTTATTAAAGTCTGATTTCTTTTTCTAGTAGGCTAATTTTTCTTAAAATGTTCAAGAACATAAAATACAAAATGTTCACAGATTTCTAAATGCCTGGATATTACCATCTCTTGACTGTAATTACATGAGACTTGATATTACAGTCTCATGACTTACAGTCTCTTGAACATTCTATTTAATATTCTAAATCTTCCTGAGACACAGTGGACCGCTAGCTTCATGGTTCATTGGGCTCATGAATCAGCGATTCTGGCTGAGTTGGGATCTGGAGCTGGAGCTCCAGGACAAACACTCTTACCACTCAGGCTGTGACACTAAAGCCTTCACTAAAGTTGCCCTTCATAAGCTTCTTAGGATGTGGGTGGACCTGACTTGCCCCTGAACTCTTGTCTCTCATGGCTACCTGCAAACACACAACATATTATACCACTGTCACATTTGATCAGATTTTGTAATTCTTTGTTTCTTAAGTTACATAATATATTTTCTTAAGTTATTTAAATATATTTCTAATACTAAAGCCATTGGAACCTGACAGAATCCAAATACAGAATCATTTGTAACACTGCATGACATGTATGAATAATGAAGTGATACGCTGCTGAATTCAGTATCTCTTATGACTTTGTATGAGCTTTTTATCACCACTTGGATTACCTACTGCCAAAAAGAATGCCACGAGACTGAGTATTAAATCCTAAATGACCCTGGTAAGAAATATTAATCATATTGAAGAAATGTCATGGAGAATTCCTTTACCTTAGTATGCAGGTACATGGTCCCAAGCCTCTGTGGTCTCTCCTTGGCCGGGCTAGTCCTTGACTTTCGGACCACTTTCGCTCAGATTCCAGACACCAGTTTCTCCTGTTACTGGCTCCTGTTTACACTTCTAAGTGGCAGCTGGAGGAAGGTGCCTCCCACACAGGAACAAGCTGGAGAACCACCTATGCCTGAGTCATGTGGCTTTTCTAATGCTAAGACATTCAAAGTGGAAGACTCTACATAAAAACCTCCCAAACCAAAATGCCGTCCAAAGAAATAAATTAGACAAAGAAAAATGATTAAGTCTATTTTTAGGTGTGATCTCTGCTTTGTGGCTAGAAACTCCAAGGCTGGGACACTGGCCCAGGTACATGACTGGAAGCCACTTTGTCCTTGTTTCACACAGGGTTCTTTTTTCCTAGACAGTGACTATAATGAAAGGTAAGGAAACTATTGAAAGTCTACCAGAATTAGTTTTGTATAAACACTCATATATCAGAATGCCGAGTTATTTGATTAAATTTATTTATTTATTTTTGAGACAGCATCTCACTCTGATACCTAGGACAGGATGCAGTGGTGTGATCACAGCTCACTGCAGCCTCAACCTTCCGGGACTCAGGTGGTCCTCCCACCTCAGCCTCCTGAGCAGCTGGGACTACAGGTATAGACCACGATGACAGGCTAATTTTAGTATTTTTTTTGTAGAGATGTGGTTTTGCCATGTTGCCCAAGCTGGTCTTGAGCTCCTGGGCTCAAGTGACCCTGACCCGCCTACCTTGGCCTCCCAAAGTGCTGTGACTACAGGCATGAGCCAGCCTGCCGGGCCCCAAGTTATTTATTTTAAATGAGATGCAAAATAGTCATAGGAGCATGATTTCACTGGTCTATAAGACCAGATTATTTTTACATTGTAAATACATTTATTTTAATAGGCAATTCACACTCTGATAATGGACTTGTCTGCATAGAATTACCAAAAAAATTTCATAAAAGATTTTGCATGTTCAATCATAGCATAAAGAGATAACAATATGAATAGCCTTGCAAAGGAGTAAGGAACCTGAAAAGCTGCTAGATGCAGGATGTGCTTTACAGGAAGTGGGTCTGATTTGCTTCCTTGTTATCTCCATTCCTGTGGCTAAAACAGTGTCAGCCCTTTGCAGGGAATTGCTAAGTTTTTATACAACAATATCATAGAACAGTATGTAACTACATTTGCCTCTACGACTTAGATTTTCTGAGCTATATATATTGGCCAGTGACTTTTGACAAAATTTGACTAGATATGCTAGTGATTTGATCAGGTTACAGGTAAATTTTTAAAGCCTGAGAGTCACCTTCACTCATGAAGTTAACTTTGTGTATTTCCAATCAGATGGATTATTTACATCAATTTTCATCAGCTCACAAATAAAAACTGAGTACTTACCATAGGCCAGATACTGTTCTAAGTCTCAGGAACAGGGTTATAACTCTCCTTGGCCTTCAGCTATGAACAAAACAGCCATGGTTCCTTCTATCAGGGAATTCTTGCTTCTTGGTTGAAGGGTGTAGTCAATAATCAAGTCAACATGCAAAAGAAAAGCACAATTTAAGATGTCTATAATTGAGTGGCAATCAGTGGGAAGTCTTAATTGTACAGATGAGATGTTTTAGCTGAGTTCTAAATGACAAGTCATCTTCAAGTTCAGCTTGGAAGTAAAAATATAGTTTTCTATAATTCTGAGTTCTTAGGGAAAGTATGTGCAAAGTATACAGTTATATAAAAATACACAGTCACATACCTTTAAGTATTATAGCATCAATTTGAATACACATTTTAATTAAAATTTGATTATTATATGCTTCTATATACTTCTATAATCTACATAGAATGATGTTAATATTCCAAATTAACATTATTTTCATTTATTTCAGGCAATCAAAATCTACATGTTTATTAAATCAAAATATATTTAAAAGTTTTAATACTTAATTGTGACCCATGTAATCTCTTCCTGATACTGGGACTAAACAAGGATCTCCTGCCCATTCAAAATGTACAGAGATTCTGGGCAATTATCATAAGGCAAGAGCAATAAATTCACAGCATAAGTAATGAAAGAAAGGAAGTGTCACTTTTTAAAGATAACATATTGTGTTGTCTGAACACAGAAAATCCAAAAAGATCTACAAACGATATTGTATTTCTCCACAAATTATAGGTTCAATACAACCTTAGGAAGTTTTTCTTTTTTTTTTTTTTTTAGTTAACCATTTGCAATTTGATTCTAACATTCATGTAAAAAATGCAAATACCAATAACAGACAAGTCCGTCTTGTAAGGAACAGAATGAGGCCGGGCGCAGTGGCTCAGGCCTGTAATCCCAGCACTTTGGGAGGCCGAGGCGGGTGGATCACGAGGTCAGGAGATCGAGACTATCCTGGCTAACACGGTGAAACCCCGTCTCTACTAAAAAAATACAAAAATCAGCAGGGCGCGGTGGCGGGCGCCTGTAGTCCCAGCTACTCAGGAGGCTGAGGCAGGAGAATGGCGTGAACCCGGGAGGCGGAGCCTGCAGTGAGCCGAGATCGCGCCACTGCACTCCAGCCTGGGCGAAAGAGCGACACTGTCTCAAAAAAAAAAAAAAAAAAAAAAAACCAACAGAATGGGACATCACAGGAGCAGACGCCAAGACAGTTATGGTAACCGCAGGCAGGCAGCAGGAGTGAGCAAACCAAAGCGAGAGCGGACTCCGGTGCTGGAGGACAGAGCCTCGGAATCCAGCTCACCAGAGCACTATGGAGGAACAGGAAGTAACGCACCGCCCCCCACTCCCCGGCAAAGCTTGTCTGCATAGTGAGACCACCACAGTCGCTCACACACGAAGAGGTATGGAAAGCTTTGCTGCTTACATAATGAGGACCCTGGGGAGAGCGGGACACGCCCCTCAAGCAGGTATCAGAGAGAGCAGCTGGTTGGTTTTGTTGTGATTAAGGGCGGGGCCAGCATTGTAGGCTCATGTTTGAATGCCCTGCTGACAGCAAAGGAGGGAGCAGCTAGGCTTTCGTAAACGTGGGTCATAGGAGAAAGGAGGGGCAAGGCTGAAGAGTTCAACATTTAAAAAGTGG
Organism: Homo sapiens; assembly: GCF_000001405.40. Lineage (NCBI taxonomy): Eukaryota > Metazoa > Chordata > Mammalia > Primates > Hominidae > Homo > Homo sapiens. Next base: position 49,401,871 of record NC_000008.11, read on the forward strand.
AGTCAGCTTTAAAGAAAGGTAACTAATAAAACGACAGCATTCATTTTTAAAAGTTACTAAAATGAAAGCAAACAAAATAAATTGCGTTATATAAATACTGACGGAGATAGAAAAACCTGATGTTTGTTAGTTTACATTTAAATTCTGAGTTTAGAGGTAATTACCCCTATAATCAAAAACTTTTGGCCAGGTGCGGTGGCTCACACCTGTAATCCCAGCGCTTTGGGAGGCCGGGGTGGGCGGATCACTTGAGGTCAGGAGTTCAAGACCAGCCTGGTCAACATGGTGAGACCCCCCCCGCCCACCACCAACCCCACCGTCTCTACTAAAAAAACATAAATAAATAAATAAAATAAAATTAGCCGGGCGTTGTGGCGTGTACTACTTGGAAGGCTGAGGCAGCAGAATCGCTTGAACCCGGGAGGCAGAGGTTGCAGTGAGCCAAGATCACGCCACTGCACTCCAACCTGGGCGACAGAGCGAGAAACTCCATCTTAAAACAAACAAAACCCCAAAATAACTTTTAGATGTATGCATATAAATTATTTGATTGGTTTTCGATTGGACACAACTTCTACTTAGCATGCTACACTTTGCAAAAATAATAATAATTAAATAAATGCTAAAATTTCTGAAAAGAATTGCCTGCACCTCATGAATTCACCTCCCAGAACCACTTGATTCTTCTATCCACGTTCTTTGCTGATCTTCCAAATCATTCCACTGAGATTGTGCTCCAGGAGATCACTGGTGAACTCATCTCTTCCTGCCAGTGCTGACTACCATGGCTGGCGTCAGCTGAACAGGACACAGCTTCAGCATGCCTTCAGTTTTGAAATTCCTCAGTGCATGAAACTGCATGATCCTGGATTTCTTTCCACGTTTCTGGCGACTCATTCCTTCTCCTAAACTGTCTCCTCTTCCACTAAAATGCTCAATATTAGTGTTCTAAGGTTTGGTCTTGAGCCACGTACCTTTCTTTTACATTTCTTTTCTCTAGATCAGGGATTATCAAAATACAGCCCTTGAGCCAAATCCAGCCTGCCATCTGTTTTTGAATGCTCTGCAAGCTAAGAACAGTTTTTAATACTTTAAATGGTTGAGAAAAGTTAATAGTCAATTATATTTCGTTGTACCTCAAAGTAAAATTTCAAAGTCCACAAATAAAGATTGATAGGAAAGCAGCTGTACTCATTAACTAGTTATTGCTTTTAGGGCTGTTTTACCACTATTACGGCAGAGTTGGGAAGTTGCAACAGAGATGATATGAGGTGCTCTAATAACTGTACGCTGCTGCTTGACACCCTAAAAATGAATTTTTCCGTTCATCCATATGTGGTACAATGACAATTTAAGATACACAGAAGAGCACTAAACTTATGCAGAATTACCAAAATTATATAATTTATATTTTGTGGCTCCTACATGCCTGCATGGTATATTTGTACCAGAACAGTGGAAATACCTTGTCATGGCTGATGTGGGGTGTCAACTTGACTCAATTAAGGGAGACTCAGATAGATGGCAATCCCTTATTTATTCTCAGTTCTTCAGTAGGTAATGAGCCTGTCCCTAGTCTGCTGAAAGAAAAACACAGGTGGTTTTACTCTTTATTAAATGTTGGTCTGCCCCAGGTGTGTTTGTGAGGGTATTTCTGGAGGAGACTGGTGTGTGAGTCAGTGGACTGAGTAGGAAAGATCCACCCTCAGTGTAATGGGGCAGTATCTCACCATCTGTGGGCACTGATGGAACCAAAAGATGGGGGAGGAATGAACTGCTTTCCTGGAGCCAGGACTCCTTTCTTCTGCCCTTGAATATCCAAACTCCAGGTTCTACCATTTTGGACTCTGGGACTCACACGAGCAGTCCTCTGGGTTCTTGGGCCTTAGGCCTTGTACTGAGAGTTACATCATCAGCCTTCCTTGTTTCTGAGGTGTTTGGACTTGCACTGAGCCAGCTGCCAGCTTCCCTGGTTCTCCAGCTTGCAGATGGCCTGTCATGGGATTTCTAGCCTTCATAAACAAGTGAGCTAATTCCTCCAGTAAGTCCTCCTTGTACATATCTCTCTATATCTATCTCCAATCAGTTCTGTTTCTCTGGAGGACCCTGACTAAAACACATCTCATAAAACTAACTCAACTTTTTATTCTAATTCTGGGTATACTTACATTCCACCAAAATGCAACCATTGACTTGCTGATGAGTAGGGAAGCACAAAAAGAAAGGAACTGTTGTTTGCCTCATCTTTCCCTTTCCTTCAGTGTCACCATTTCTCAGCATAGTCAGTTGGTGAATATAGGAACTTGGCTTGAGTAAGGAAGGGTATGATAATGTCCTTTGATTGTTTGTGTTTCTCTGAATGTCATTGCCTCAGAGCAAGTTCTAATTTGAACAGAATGTGTGGTCTTGTGGGCAGTCAGCATTCCACTTAGTTGCAGATGTAGCATGCTTATCTTGTACTTGCTTTGAGTCTCACTCAGCTCTCATACATTATGCGTCCCCTGTGTTCTTGAGGCATCATGAAGACTATATGCAAAAGGAGTGGCAAGGAACAGCAAATATGAATATTTTATGCATCTCAAGTTGAAAGAAAAAAATATTTAAAATCTCAGGACTATGACAGCAGCACATTAAACCAACTGCTGGACCCTTCTAAGTGTGAAGCTCTGTGTAAATGTGTACAACACACACCTGTGGAGACATCTTTGCCATCATGTCTAATGCTGCTTGAATTGAAGGAATGTCAACCTGCTTTGAACATGTCATGGGCTGTCTAAAGTTAAAACAGGAGGAGCGGTCTCCGTACCCTCACATATCATTTCAATGGATATATTTTCAAGTTCAGACTCCAGTTCCAGCATTCCAGGTTTCATACATCAATGCAAGTGCAGAAGAAATATTCATATTTCAAATCTTTTGAAGCAAGCAATTGAAGAGGTGTCATTTAGCCTTTGTTTAGAAGTTAACCTACAATGTAAGGGTATGCTGAAAGTCAAATATCAAGAGAAGAATAATAGAATTCTATAATTGCTTTCCAAACAATGAATGTACTCAGCTAAAACCAAATGCTCATGAACTGACATCAGTATTTGACAGTCTTTACCTGTGGGAAAAGACATTTCAAAGATGAAACATGTAAAATCTCATTCCAGGTCAGCATTAAAAGACACATATCTGCAGTTGATTTTGGAGATAAAGAACACTAACTTTTAATCTTAATTAAGTAACAGAATATGCCACGAAAGATTCCATTTTTCTTATCAGTTGATCTATATTACAAATATATATACTTATTATTCTATTATTAATTATATCAATACATATATAAGTACCTACATAATATTCTTATTTTACATCTTGGTCTCTTTCTGTGTATAAGTGTAGATATATTTATATATATATTATATATTATTTTATATATTATATATATTTTATAATTATATATATTTATATTTTTTATTTATATATATATATATATATATATATATATATATTTTGCTGTTTTTTGAAAGAAAATTTTGTCAACTCCACGTTTAGAAGACTGACTACTCCCATGTTTTAAATTAGAATTTAAAGCTATATCATGATGGTGCCTAAATTTCCATTTTTAGCTGTGACCTCTCTTTTGAGATGCAGTCTTTTAGATATGCATCTTAACATATTGTATTGGGTGTTTAATGGGTATGTTAAAACATAAAGTGTCCAAATCAAAGCCATTGATCCCTTCCCTTTCAAACATACTGTAATAACTTTATCAAAATATAATTCATATAGCATAAAATTCACTCTTTTAAATGGTAAAATTAAGTAGTATATTTACAGAATTGTGCAACCATAACAACTATTTAAGAACATTATCACCTCAAAATGAAACCCAGTACCCATTAGTATTTGCTCCCATTTTGTCATGCCCCCAGCCACTGGCAAACACAAATCTACTTTCAGTCTATATGGATTTGCCTATTCTAGACATTTTATACAGGTGGAATAATTAGTACATGGATGTTTTGTCTTGTTTCTTTCATGAGCATATATAATGGTATCAAGGCTAATCCATGTTGCAGCATGTACTGGTAGATCTTTTGTTTTTATTGATAAGTAATACTCCATTCTGAGGATGGGTTTGAATCATAATTATTATTTTCTTTATTTGGAAATTAAGTACGGTTTAAGGAGATATGTGTAGGTGCCCAGTTGACAAGGGGTGGACTCATAGACATAATTCTAGGTGTCAGCTTGACTGGATTAAGGAATACCTAGAAACCTAGTAAAGCATTTCGCTATGTATTTCATCTTCACATCATTGCCCATACTGGAGATACAAATTGTGTAGGGACTTTTAGGCATTTTTTTTTTTTTTTGCAAATCTGACTCCACGAAAGTGCATTATCACAAAGTCAACTTTATAAGTATTGTGCATGTACAGAACAATGTTAAAACTTCCTTGATAAATAAAGAGATGTCCTTTGTGGACATCTGAATTTGTGAAAGATAAAATTTCTCAAGATCTCTGCTATTTGGAGGGCTGCATATGCCATGGTGATGCATCCTGGTTTTTGATTGATCTCATCAAATGACTTAGGTTGTTTTGTAGATAACCAGTTATAAAACTGGGTGCACCCAATTACCAATCACAGTGATATGCATTTCTACATTTCCCTTTTTGACCTATTTTTTTGTGTATATGGTTCATCTCCTCATAACTGATATAACCATGTGACTTGGTGTTTATGCTTACAAAAATACATGAGTTATTAATTGCCTGTTTTATTGTGTAAAGTGGCATATGAAGTGTTCAGTTCTGCTTTTGGATGTTTCTCAAATAAATTACCTTTTAAAGATATAAATAAATATATTTTAAAGAATTTTTAAATTGCCTCCTTTTAGATTTATACTTTTATGATTTTGATCTTTAGAGATTGTAGCGTTTGGGATTGTGGATTGTGTCTTTCAGGATTATAATTAACTCTCTGTAAGGACATATTCCATTTTGTCTATGCATTTCTCAATTGATGGACATTTGAGTCGTTTCCACATTTTGACCTTTTTTCAAGGGTATATACCTAGAAGTGGTTACTGGGTCATACAGTAACTATATGTTTATCATTTTGGGAAACTATCAAATCACTTTCCAAAGTTGGTTCATTATTATACATTCCCACCAGTAATATCTGGTGCTTCTAATTTATCCACATCCTAGCCAAAATTCATTATTGCCTATCCTCAAAATTGTAGTCATGCTAGTGGGTATGAAGTGGAAACTCATGGTAGTTTTCATGCACATTTTCCTAATAATTAATATTGAGCATCTTTGTGTGTGCTTATTGTCCCTCATATCTTTTGCCAGACAACTGTCTATTTAGATTCTTTTCTCATTAAAAATATCAAGTTATCTTTTTAATATTGAGGTTTAAAAGTTATTTATATATTCTGGATACTAGACCCTCATTACATTTCTTTTGCAAATATTCTCTTCCATTTTGTGCTTTTAAAAAAAACCTAAAACATTTCCTTAGTGGTATTGTTCTTAGCTCAAACTTTTTAAGATTTTTATCAAATCTAATGATCATTTTTTAAGTAAATTATATTTTAGAATTGTGGCTAAGAAATCTTTGCCTCACCCAAGATCACAAAAATTTATACTTATGATTTTTTCTAAGAGTTTTATAGTTTTAGTTCATACATTTAGTTCTATGATACATTTTGGGTTAACATTTGCCAATGGTATGAGGAAGGTGTATTAGGATTCTCTGGAGAAACAGAACCTATAGGATGCTATAGGATGTAAATATATATATATATATAGAGAGAGAGAGAGAGAGAGAGGTTTATTTTAAGAAATTGGCTCATGCGATCCCTGAGGGCTAACAAGTCTGAATACGGAAGGGCAAGGCAGCTAGCTCAGGACCCAGGGAAGAATTGGTGCTGCAGATGGCTAAAGGCGGTCTGCAGGCAGAATTCCTTCTTTCTCTAGGGACCTCAATTTCATTCTCTTAAGACCTTCAACTGATTGAATTTAACCCACCCACATTATGGAAGGTAATTTGCTTTACATAAAGTTTAATTATTTAAATGTTAATCTCATCTAAAAAATACTTCCACAATGGCATTAAGACTGATGTTTGACCAAATATCTGGGTGTCATGGCCTACCCAAGTTGGCTACAAAGTTAACTGTCACAGAATGGGACAAACTTCTTTTCTTTTTTCTTTTTGCATATGTATTTCCAGTTGTTTCAGCACCATTTGTTGAGAAACCTATTCTTTCTCTTTTGGATTGGCTTGACATCCTGTCTGAAAATCAAATGACCATGCATAGAAGGCTTATTTTTGGACTGTCAGTTATTTGCCATTGATCATATATGTCTATCCTTATGCCTGTACCACACGTCTGATTATTGTAGCTTTGTAATAAGTAAGTAAAAAAAGTGGAAATTCTGGTTCTGCTCCTGATATAGAGGAAAAGGTACTCCATCTTTCACCACTAAGTACTATGTTAGCTATGCGTTTTTCAAAAATAGACTTCATAAGGCTGAGGAAGTTTACTTCCATTCTCAGTAGCCTGAGTACTTCTATCATGAAGAGGTTTTGGAGTTTGTCAAATGCTTTGTTGTTTGTTTGTTTCTATCAATGTGATCATGTGTTTTTTGTTATTTCTACTAATAATATAATGTATTACATTGATTCATTTCCAGATATTCTGCTACACTTGCATTCCTATATATACTTCCTTTGGTTGTGGTGTACAATCCTTTTTAGATGTTGCTGGATTCAGTTTACTATTATTTGTTAAGAATTTTTATATCTATATTTATAAGATATCTGCAGTTTTCATGGGATGCAGATTTTTAAAAGTTTGGTATCCAAGTGATGCTGACCTCATAGAGTAAGCAGGTTCCAATCTTTACTATTTTGTTTTGGAAAGGTTTATAACAATTTGTGTTAATTCTTCTTCATACATTTAGTAGGATTTACAAATAAGCCATCTGGCTTTTGTTTTTACTTTGTGGGAAATTAACTATTAATTTAACCTCTTTCCATATTATAGATATATTTAGATTTTTAAAAAAAAATATTTCTGAATCAGTTTTGTTAGTTTGTGTCTTTCTGTGAATTTGTCCATTTCATCTAAGTTTTCTAATGAATTGGCATAGAGTTATTTATAATATCCCCTTATCATTCTTTCTGTAAATTTCTATAAGCTTATGTTCCCACTTTCATTGCTGACTTTAAAATTTGAGTTTTCTGTCAATTTTCCTTGGTCATTTAGCCTAGTTATTTTCCAATTTTGTTTATCTTTTCAAAGAAGCAAGTTTGAGTTTCATTAATTTTCTCTATTGCTTTTGTATTCTGTACTTCATTCATTTCCACTCTAATCTTAATTTTTATTCCTTCTTTCTACTTGCTGTGTCTCTGTGTTTAGCTCTTCTTCTTCCAATTTTGTAGGTGGGTGTTTATATTCTTGATTTGAGACTTTTCTTTTTAATATGTTTTCCATACATAAATTTCTCTCTGAGCACTCTTTTAGTTCCTTACTCTTAGGTTTGTCATATTATGTTTTCATTTTTCTTCATCTCAACCTATATTTTAAATTTCCTTGTGATTATTTTTGACTCATCAATTATCTGAGTGTGTTGTTTAACTTCCACAAATTTTAGAATTTTCTAAATTTCTTTCTGTTAATGTTTTCTAATTTAATACTATTTTGGTCATAAAATATACTTTGTATGGTTTTTATAGTTTTTAATTTATTCTTGTATATGACTATACCTGAGAATGTTCCATGTGTACTTGAAAATAATGTTTTCTGCTGTTATCAGTTGAGTATCTATAGATATCTGGTGGGTCTCATTAGCTTATGTTTTTGTCCTTGTTATTTTCTGCGTAACTGTTCTATCTTGTACTGAATGTGGGTTATTGTCATGCAATTGTTCCTGAGTTATTTTATTACTGCCTTTATTTTACAAAAATATAACATTTTGTGTAAAACACAGAGTTTATAGTGTACCATTTTAATCCCCCCTTTTTAGTCTCTATATTTTTTTAATTATCTTAATGGTTGCCTTAAGGATGCAAATGAACATTTTAGATCAAATCAATCTGGTACAAATTAATAGTGCCTAATTTTAATAATATACACAAATTTTGCTCCAATATAACTTTGTTTCTTACCTCCTAATTATTGCTATTATTGCTATAAAAATCATATCCTTTGCAATGTAAAACAATCAATACAGATTTATAATTATTACTTTATGCATCTGCCTTTTTTTGAAATGGAGTCTTGCTCTGTTACCCAGGCTGGAGTGCAATGGCGCAATCTCAGCTCACTGCAACCTCCGCCTCTCAGGCTCAAGCGATTCTCCTCTCTCAGCCTCCCGAGTAGCTGGGATTACAAGCATGCACCACAGCACCTATCTAATTTTTGTATTTTTAGTAGAGACGGGGTTTCACCATGTTGCCCAGGCTGGTCTTGAACTCCTGACCTTAGGTGATCCACCTGCCTTGTCCTCCCAACTTGTTGGGATTACAGGCATGAGCCACTGTGTCTGGCTGCAATTGCCTTTTAAATTATTTAGGAGAAGAAAAGTATTACAAACAAAAATGCATTTATACTGCCTTATATTTGCCCATTGTTACCATTGCCACTGCTTTTTGTTTCTTCATGTGGATCAGAGTTACTGTTTAATGAATTATTTCAGCCTGAAGGACTCATTTTAGTATTTTTTGCAAGACAATTCTATGAGTTATGAATTACTATTTTTGTTTATATAAGAATGTCTTAATTTCTTCTTCACTTAATTTCTTAATTTCTTCTTCACTTTTGAAGAATAATTTGAAGAATAGTTTTGCTGGGTATAGGATTTCATGTGTCCTATTTCTTCCACTAATCATTTATTAAATACAACATCCTATGCTTTTCTTCATGATGGTTGCCACTCTTTGGCATTCCTTTAAAAAATTAATTAATCTACCTATATGCGCCTCTCAGCTGCAGTTACTTATCTAAACATGAAAAATTATGAGTGACTAATTTCCCAAATTTCCCAAAAATAGTACATAACTAATGCCATGTAGGTGTATATATTTCAAAATAATTCATTACAAACAATTTATATCATTGGATATTGGGGCTTAATTTTCTTGTGAGACTCCATTGAGATGGGCCAGTTAACTGTATATTGAAGTATAAATATACATTCCATGAAAGTAGTACCATGTATGACTGGACTATCCGTCTTTAGTGGCGAAAATAGTGTCTGGTTCATACCTGATGCTTATATTAATTGCAAATGGACAAAAATTGTTTTTATAACTAAAGTTCAATGCCCTGTTAAGACAGAGAGAGAGAAAAAAATTAAATTAAATTTCTGGAATAAAAGTGCAAAAACTGAGCTTAAATAATTATCTGTGACAAACACTGCTGGTTGCTTAATCAGTACTCATTTTTCTTTTCTTGCTTACTGAATATAGATTTTATTTGTGTCAGCCCCTTGCAGCTAGAGACAGTCATGTTCCATATTCCAGGCCATAATCTGTTAGTAGAGGCTACAGGACTTCCAGGAAAGCAATTCTGTGATTACTAAAAAAGAATAGGCCTAAGTAACACACATTTTTTTTTTTTTTGAAACTGGCTCTTGCCCTTTGCCTTCTCCACATTCATCTTCCTTCTTATGCAGATGAAATTAAAACAATAAGAAACACAAAATAGCAGACGTGGTGAAGTGGGAGTGGAATCCATATGACACTGATGGTGCTATCAAATTATCACAGCAGCCCTGAATTGCCAACCTTCAGAATTCTTGTTATGTGAGAAGAAACAAGAAAACCTTCCTGTTTTATTGTGTCACTGTATTCAGGTTTCTCAAAATTCAGCAGAACACAGTCATGATTGAAATAGTATTTTTTCCAAGCATTGTTAAACTAAGGCCCATGGTCCTATAGATAGCCCCTATTTGGGTTTAAAGAGTTCTGCAAACCCTTCGAAACAGTATTGTTCCAAAGCATACTGAAACAAAGAATGGTTAAAAATAACTTGCCTAATTTTACACAGTTGGTGGCAAAGACAAAAGATGAAAGAACTGAGGTTTCCTGAGCACCTTCTGTACTGCTTATTTGTACAAATGAGAGAGTATCGAAACTCTCTCACATTTGTAAGTTTATGGATATAAAACTTCTGGGCATTTATTCATAATTTGTCACCTTTAATTTCATATATACTTATCTAGATAGATTTGTTATTTACTTGAAAGCATGCTACTTTTAGAAAAAATCATAAAATTCCATAAATTCCAATTATAAGTGAAAGAAGTCAGAATAAAAAAGAGACTGAACTCTAATAAGCAGTATCACTCTGTGCCCCCAGAGCATATACTCATGGGGGCAAAGAAAATAGCAGTACTTGAAAGGAGATGATACAATGAATACTGGTGATCACATCGTAATAGTTGTTGCTGAAAATTCCTTTGATTATTTTTGTATATACTTCTAGGGCTCACCCCTACCCACGTCTCCTGTCTTTTATGCACATAAGATAATTATAATTTCCTACCTTCTTTTTCTGTTGGCAGTGCCATGTAACTAGTTTCGGCCAATCAGTTATGATTAAAAAATGGCACAGGTTCCTTCTGTTTTGGAACATTTAACTGCTTACCTGAGACCCTACAATGTAACTCTGTTCTTAGCACATCATCATGTGATTGTTTAGGAGCAACGTGACTGAAACCCAGAAGATTCTCTGGAACATTGTCTTAGTGTTTCCATATGTAATAAGTTCTAATACAAAATGGCAGAGTGACTGGAGATGTAGACCATTTCGGAATAAAAGTTTGGGTCATTCCATCATATAAAGAAACAAGAATGGCCAGGCATGGTGGCTCATGCCTGAAATCCCAGCACTTTGGGAGGCCGAGATAGTAGGATCACTTGAGGTCCAGGAGTTCGAGACCTGCTTGGCCAACATGGTGAATCCCTGTCCCTACTAAAAATAAAAAAAATTAGCCAAGCGTGATGGTGGGCACCTGTAATTCCAGCTACTTGGGAGGCTGAGGCAGCAGGAATCTCTTGAACCCAGGAGGCAGAGGTTGTGGTGAGCCCTGCCATTGCACTCTAGCCTGGGCTACAAGAGCAAGACTCCATCTCAAAAATACAATAAATAAATAAATAAATAAATAAATAAATAAATAAATAAATGAAAAGGAAAAAAGAAATAAGACCAGCAGAGGTTCTGACTGAATGTGAGAAAAATATGGAATGTGTAATGGAAGAAGGAAGCAATAGATATTAACTACAGCTGCTTGAGCAATTTCAGATATGAGGGCTCTTGTAGCTTTGGATATTTTCCTTTATTGTATATGTATATGCTTATTTATGCAAGCTATTTAGTTTTCCTCTTCCTCTCTCATTTTTATTCTATTTCAAGTATAACTTTACAATCTTGTCTTTAAGTAATAGAATATTCATTGGGACTGCAACAAAATTTTAAGAGTATTTAATATAGCCAGATAGATACAAGAAATTTTGGGACTGTGCTTCTCTTCATCTTAGGAAAAAATTAAAACTTCACTTATAAAAAGGATAGCTGTATCTCCTAGCTGATAATATTGAGGTGTACAGGAGTTTCAATTTGTGGAGAAAGGTGTGTATAGAAATTGATTGGACTGTTGTAATCATCAGTTTATGGTGACTGATCTCCAAATCCGCCTTTCATCACCTGCTGTGCAATAATAAAGTTGTATGCCTTGCATTTCTCCTTCATGGAAAACATTCTGTTAAGCTTTGTTCATTGAGAGCACTATAAGAACACTGCAAGAGAAAGGATGTTAGTATTTCAGTTCTTGCGTGCTTCTGTTTTGTTGCTTGTGGCTGTTGATGCATGGCTTCCAAACTGGTGTTTGGGGATCTCACAGAGCTGAGTGCTGTGTTCCAATTTTGCACCCAGAGCTCACATTCCATTGGTGAACTCACAGTCCTGGCCCTGGCCTGTGGAACACCTCACTGCATCTCTCCAAATACAGACCCACACTTTCTGGGGCTTATATCTCCTCTCCAGCAAACCAGTTCCCTATTCTCTGTGTGTGACCCTCCTCCCAGTACCAACCTCAGACCACCCACACCCCAGAAGTGTTTTTTTTTTAAATATTGACCTTCCTAATAGAAATATGGAGCACCTCAGTACTTAATGCTACCCTGCTAGCCTCACAATTGCGGACAATCTCTGCCTCAGATGATGAGTTTGAAAGTGTCAAATGTCCAAATTTGGATTTGAACCTTGGCAATCTGGTTCGTGGAAATGTAATTACTTTATATGACTAGTTCCTAGGAATACTAATGGCAGACAAAGATACATACATTTTGTCTTTTAAAAGCTTATGGTTTGTAGACCAGAAACATCTGCAAACAAATTTTCAATATAATGTTGTAATTATTGTGGTAGAAAAAAATCTAGGTACTACAAAAACAGGAAGGGCGCTAAGCTAGTTTGGGAGTTCAGAATCAAATGATGCCTGAGCCAAACCTTAATGTTGTTTGGCTGAATTATGATAACCCAGTCCTCAAAACTTAAAGGATGAGTAGGAATTATTTGGATGAGCAAGTTAGGAAAAACAGAAACCATATATAAAGAAAAGCATTGACTTATTTGTTCAACAAATACATATTTCTATTCTAGGCTCTATCACAAGGCCAAGAATATTGCAGTGAAAAAAATAATGATATAAAGAATACGATGTTTTAAGGGTTTTTTGTTTCGTTTGCTTTTTTTGTTCTAAAAATAAAATAAACCCAGGTGGTTATTAAAATTGATTATTGATGTTTGTTTAAAAGTCTGAAATCAATAAAAGTCTTTGATTTTATAGGCTCATTATGAGAAGGAGGAAGAAGAGGAAGAGAAAAGCTCCAAATGGAGAAGAAAACATTTATTCCACAATTGAAATACAGTTGGAGTCATGATGTAAGTGTGCAGTTACGCTTTTAAGAGGCTGAGGGCAAGAGGCAGCACAAGCATGAGGACTGCAAGAAATAAGTCAGGCTCGCTGAGGGTGGGGGCAGAGGAGAGTTCAGTGTCCTGTTGCCCCCAGTCCATCCCATCTTTGATGACTATGCTCAATTTATTTCCACATCAGGGGCTGACTTGGTGGGATCATCAATCAAGGGGCACAACCCTCCTTTAGCTGAGTGGTGACACATCATTTTATGCTTCTCTCAGGATTTCTAGTCATGAGATAAGTGATCCAAGAAGAGGAAAATTGTTCCATACCATGTACTCCACTGGGGACATCCTCAAATTTAAATAGTGTTTGCTGTGAAGCCCCAGGAGCTTCCCTGCTCTTTATTATTTTTTAAAGCTTGGTTCTTTGCCTTCCCATTGATCCATGAGCTTCCTGATATGTAAAAAGTCATCTCCTATGTTCATTAGCCAGACTAGTTTTCTGTTTTTTTGCAACTCTAGAAGCATCAGCAATACAGAAGGAAGTATGACCTTGGAAGGATTCACTGTTCCATCCTCATGAGGGTGCCCATGTTTTTGGAAACCACTACTTCAAATGCGTTGCACAGCTCTTATTTATCAGCAACTATTTTAGATTGAGGGAACTGGCAGTCCAATCTCGTATCATGTCCTAGCATGCATAAACCTTTCTTAGATCATGTATTAAAGCTGTCACCTACTTCTTGATTTCCAGTATTGCCCTATAAATCTGTTATACAACCAGAAACTTTTATTCAGGCACAACAATATCTTTTTTAGGTATGAATTTATACTTAATTTTATAAATATGCATATTTTAGCTCTGAGTTATTACTTCTAGTAATGTTGAAAATAAATGAAATAATCCTCCTACATCTTAAATGAAGGAGTATCATTTCAGACCCAGTCTAGGAATAGATCCTCAAGTGAGAAAAATAACATCTACTTATTTTTTTATTTTTGTTTTTCTTTATTTCTTCTAAAAAGAAAAACAGGATACATGTGCAGAACGTGCAGGTTTGTTACATAGGTATATGTGTGCTATGGTGGTTTGCTGAACCTATTACCCGTCCTCTAAGTTCCCTCCCCTCACTCCTCATCCCCCAACAGGCCGTGGTGTGTGTTGTTCCCTTCCCTGTGTCCATGTGTTCTCATTGTTCAACTTCCACTTATGAGTGAGAACCTGTGGTGTTTGGTTTTCTGTTCCAGTGTTAGTTTGCTAAGGATGATGGCTTCCAGCTTCATTCATGTCCCTGCAAAGGACATGATCTCATTCCTTTTTATGGTTGTGTAGTATTCCATGGTGTATATTTACCACATTTTCTTTATCCAGTCTATCATTGATGGACATTTGGGTTCATTCCATGTCTTTGCTATTGCAAATAGTGCTGCAGTAAATATATGTATGCATTGTCTTTATAGTAGAATTACTTATATTCCTTTGGGTATATACCCAGTAATGGGATTGCTGGATCAAATGGTATTTCTGGTTCTGGACCCCTGAGGAATCACCACACTATTTTCCACAGTGGTTGAACTAATTTACAATCCTACCAACAGTGTAAAAGCATTGTATTTCTCCACAGCCTTGCCAGCATCTATTGCTTCTTGACATCTTAATGAGTGTCATTCTGATTGGCATGAGATGGTATCTCATTGTGATTTTGATTTGCATTTATCTGATGATCAGTGATGTTGAGCTTTTTTCATATGTTTCTTGGCCACGTAAATGTCTTCTTTAGAGAAGTATTGGTTCATATCCTTTGCCCACTTTTTGATGGGGATTTTTTTTTTTCTTGTAATAACATCTATTTTTATTTGTGATTCAAATGTTACAAGTTTGGAAAAGTTTTAAAATGCCTAAGATAATGTTAAGCAAGAGAGAGTTCTTCACTGAGATTTTCTATTACTCATCATTCCCGTCTTCAATCTATCACACCTTACCAGTCAGCTCGGCCAATAAACATTTGTCAAACTTCCTTGGTCATGTTCTTGTGCAGTTAATGGGAACCCTTCATGTCACAAAGGATGGAGTTGCTTCAGAGTACAAAATGGAAACATCGCTCATTACTACAATTTTAAATATTGTAGTGGCTTGGAATATTCAATATGAATATTTTGAATGCAGACTTTAAAATACACATTTGTCATGGCCTCTTACTCTTCTTGAATTTTCTACTTTTTAAATATATAGCTCTGACATCAGAAACAATGACTGAATCCTAAAAATGTGACTATTCCCCAACTACAGCTGAAACCAACCTTCTTTGATATAATGATCCTCATGTTTGCATGGAAAATGTCCTCACTTAATGAATCCAGCTGTCAGTCATTACAATTTAATAAACATTTTCATATCAAGTGAGCTTTTTCAAACCACTTATTTTTTAATTTACTGAAAAAGCTTTATCCTTCACAGCTACCCCAAATTGAGTAAGTACGAATTAAATTGATGTCTCAAGATCATCATTCCTGTGATTTGTTTCTATTTTGCCAATAGGGGGTGGGAAAGAGAAAGGAAAAGAGGGAGAACACATTCTCACTCATATGCCATAAAAATGTGTGTGTATATATATATACACACACACACACACACATATACACACACATATATACATTTATATATATTTATATATTATATATAAACATAAATATATATATTTACTATAAATATATACTATAAATATATATACTATATACACATATATATTTACTATAAATATATACTATAAATATATATACTATATACACATAAATATATATATTTACTATAAATATATACTATAAATATATATACTATATACACATAAATATATATATTTACTATAAATATATACTATAAATATATATACTATATATTTATATATACTATAAATAAAATATGCATATAAATATATATGTATATATAAATATGTCTATAAGATAATTTTGTGTCTGGAAAAATTTTCTCATGCTTCATGAAGTTAATATTTTAAAAATAATTTTGTAATTAGGAGTATTTTATAGAATAAAAGTTATAAAGGAGAAAAATAAAGACTAGGTCCAGCTTCAAAGGCATAAAATATATCAGGTGCAAATTAGATCCATTATTTCCCTAGACTTGTGACTTGGGAGTTATGCAAAGGAACCTCGGAAAGAATAACCCTCACCACGTCGTCACGTACCTGAACCCATCATGTACCTGAGGCTTTCCTGTGCCTCATCTTATGAGTCATGTTTTGTTATTCTCCAAGCAATAATGATCCTATTTTTAATTTTTAATGTACAGCTATGAAACCACCATTGCAAAATTGTAACTGAGACAGTGAAAGAGATCTTACCTAACTGACTCCGTCTTGCTTCTAACCTCCAAACTCCTTGTTCAGCCTGGGGGTAGGTTGAACTAACTTTGAGAGGAACTTAGTTTATAGTTTAAAACAAAGATTATATTAATTACAGGCCTGTCCCAAGACAAATCCCTTTCTTGCTTGAGGACTAGATGAACAAATTAGCCATAAGATTAGAAATTATAGTTTAGGAGTCATGTAGCTGGATGCTACAAGATTCTGATCTTCCTTACACTGCTCCGAAGATCAGTGCTTGATATATTTTGCAGACCTGGCACTTGATGGATCAGCTGGCACCACCGAGATTGATAAACTGGCTCATCTCATCTTGTGGCCTCCACCCAAGAATTCCCTATTATTTCATCTCCAACCCAGCCAATCAGCACTCTCTACTCACTGGCCTTCCTGCACCCACCAGATTATCCTTAAATACTCTGTTCCCTGAATGCTCCAGGAGACTGATAAAACTCCAGTCTCTCACACAGCTGGCTCTGTGCAAATTACTCTTTCTCTATTGCAATTCCTCTGTCTTGATAAATTGGCTCTGTCTAGGCAGTGGGCAAGGTGAACCCATTGAGCGGTTACAGCTACTTGAAAGTTTGTGCTAAATTGTGGGCCTAAGAAGGTTTTTATTACTCAGCCTATAAAACAATCAAATTTTCTGTAAGGGTCTCCTTTATGTGCCATAACTCTAAAGCTAAATTTGAATTAGAAAATGTCCCTCTCAATTGTTAGTTAAGAGAATTCTACCTCTCAAGCCTAAGTTAAGGCTGGTATCTATGCGACACTGTAACTATGATTTACAACACAAACAAAAATATAATAGGAAAAAAATTCACAATAGAGAATGTCTGTTAACTTTTTAAGGTTAGAATATCTAAGCTGGATTTTTTTTTCCCCAAAGAACTGTTGTCACTGTCATAGGATTTCAGAATGAACAAAAGTTGATGATTCAGCAAAAAGATATCGTTTTTCATAACTGCTAAGGATAATCTTTATCCTCAAGAACAACAGAAACAAGAAAAACAAACATTCCCAATCTGCTTCGTTGAAATTTGAGATGAACACCTGATCTTGTTGGGCAACACTGAATGAGAAGGGAGTATAAACTTCAATTACTTAAGCTTGACCAGCAGGAGGTAAATATTCCCTTTACTGGATTCCTCATTTCTACTAACTGCTCTCCTATAAATTGATCTGTATATATAGATTCTTTGACATTTTGTCCAACTTATAATTACAGCTGATTGTGAGGTTGAGTTGCAAGTGATGATTTATTTCTGGGGAACTCCCACACACACTGACAGATGAACCTCTATTAAAAAAGAGATACCTCTGCACCAGAATTCCAGGTGTCTAGACAAGGTAGGCTGTTTTTGTCAAGCCAAGTATCTGATGACATAGAAGATCTATTATTCCACTTTGAAATAATGTGGCCAGAAGCTCAAATGTTTTAGGGGCATTTACAAAATATAAGTTTAGGAGCAAAAGGCTGTGAATTTATACAGTCTATGTAATTATCAAATTTGTATCAATAGCAATCATTAAAAATGTATAGATCATTATTTTTAATGGTCTGCTTTGTCATTTTTATTTTTTGTTACAATATAGTGTACACAGAAGAAGAAAATGTCAGGTCTCTGAGCACAGGCCTGCACGTATATATCCAGATGGCCTGAAGCAAGTGAAGAATTACAAAAGAAGTGAAAATGGCCAGTTCCTGCCTTAACTGATGACATTACCTTGTGAAATTCCTTCTCCTGGGTCAGAAGCTTCCCCACTGAGCACCTTATGATGGCCACCCCTGCCCGTCAGAAAGCAACCCCCTTTGACTGTAATTTTCCACTACCTACACAAATCCTATAAAATGGCCCCACCACTATCTCCCTTCACTGAGTCTCTATTTGGAC
The DNA here is from genome assembly GCF_000001405.40 of Homo sapiens. Lineage (NCBI taxonomy): Eukaryota > Metazoa > Chordata > Mammalia > Primates > Hominidae > Homo > Homo sapiens. The sequence continues at coordinate 49,420,073 of NC_000008.11, forward strand.
TCAGCCTGCCTGCACCCAGGTGATTAAAAAGCTTTATTGCTCACAAAAAGCCTGTTTGGTGTTCTCTTCACATGGACTTGTGTGACATTTGGTGCCATGACTTGGATCCGGGGATCTCCCTTGGGATATCAATCCCCTGTCCTCCTGCTCTTTGCTCCATGAGAAAGATCCATCTATGACCTCGGGTCCTCAGACCAACCAGCCCAAGGAACATCTCACCAATTTTAAATTGGGTAAGCGGCCTCTTTTTACTCTCTTCTCCAACCTCTCTCACTATCCCTCAACCTCTTTCTCCTTTCGATCTTGGTGCCATCTTTCAATCTCTCCCTTCTCTTAATTTCAGTTCCTTTCCTTTTCTGGTAGAGACAGAGGAGACACGTTTTATCCGTGAACCCAAAACTCCAGTGCTGGTCACGGACTTGGGAAGTCTTCCCTTTGTGTTTAATTACTGCGGGGATGCCTGCTTGATTATTCACCCACGTTTCAGAGGTCTCCAATCACTGTGGGGATGCCTGCCTTGATCCTTCATGCTTAGTGGCAAGCACCACTTTCCTGGGGGGCAAGCACCCCCCACCCCTTCTCTCCATGTCTCTACCCTCTCTTTTCTCTGGGCTTGCCTCCTTCACTATAGGCAACCTTCCACCCTCCATTCCTCCTTCTTCTCCCTTAGCCTGTGTTCTCAAGAACTTAAAACCTCTTCAACTCACACCTGACCTAAAATCTAAATGTCTTATTTTCTTCTGTCATACCACTTAACCCCAATACAAACTCAACAATGGTTCCAATTAGCCAGAAAATGGCACTTTCAATCTTTCCATCCTACAAGATCTAAACAATTCTTGTCGTAAAATGGGCAAATGGTCTGAGGTGCCTGACGTCCAGGCATTCTTTTACACATCAGTCCCTCCCTAGTCTCTGCTCCCAATGGGACTCATCCCAAATCCTACTTCTTTCCCTCCCACCTGTCCCCTCAGTCCCAACCCCAAGCATTGCTGAGTCTTTTCAATCTTCTTTTTCTACCACCCATCTGACCTCTCCCCTCCTCCCCAGACTGCTCCTCCTCAGGTTGCTCCCCAGCCTGCTGAATCAGGCTCCAATTCTTCCTCAGCCTCTGCTCCCCCACCCTATAATCCTTCTATCACCTCCCCTCCTCACACCTGGTCCTGGGTTACAGTTTTATTCCACAACTAGCCCTCCCCAACATGCCCAACAATTTCCTCTTGAAGAGGTGGCTGGAGCTAAAGGCATAGTCAAGGTTAATGCTCCTTTTTCTTTATCTGACCTCTCCCAAATCAGTTAGCATTTAGGCTCTTTTTCACCAAATATAAAACCCAGCCCAGTTCATGGCTTGTTTGGCAGCAACCCTGAGATGCTTTACAGCCCTAGACCCTGAAGGGTCAGAAGGCTGTCTTATTCTCAATATGCATTTTATTACCCAATCCACTCCTGACATTAAATAAAGCTCCAGAAATTAGATTCCAGCCCTCAAACCCCACAACAGGTCTTAATTAACCTTGCCTTCAAGGTGTACAATAATAGAGTAGAGGCAGCCAAGTAGCAACATATTTCTGAGTTGCAATTCCTTGCCTCCACTGTGAGAGAAACCCCAGCCACATCTCCAGCACAAAAGAACTTCAAAATGCCTAAGCTGCAGCAATCAAGCATTCCTACAGGACCTCCTCCATCAGGATCTTACTTCAAGGCCAAAAATCTGGCCACTGGGCCAAGGAATGCCCACAGCCTGGCATTCCTTCTAAGCTGTGTCCCATCTGTGTGGGACCCCACTGGAAATCAGACTGTCCAACTCACCTGGCAGCCACTCCCAGAGCCCCTGGAACTCTGGCCCAAGGTTCTCTGACTGACTCCTTCCCAGATCTTCTTGCTTAGTGGCTGAAGACTGACACTACCTGATCACCTTGGAAGCCTCCTGGGCCATCGTAGATGCTTTCAGTAACTCTTACAGTGGAGGGTAAGTCTGTCCCCTTCTTAATAAATATGGAGGCTACCCACTCCACATTACCTTCTCTTCAAGGGCCTGTTTCTCTTGCCTCCATAACTATTGTGAGTATTGACGGCTAGGATTCTAAACCTCTTAAAACTCTCCAAATCTGATGCCAACTTGGACAACATTCTTTTATGCACTTCTTTTTAGTTATCCTCACCTGCCCAACTCTCTTGGGTCAAGGGAGTTGGGTCAAGACATTTTAACTAAATTAACTGTTTCCCTGACTATTCCTAGGCTACAGCCATACCTCATTGCTGCCCTTTTCCCCAGTTCAAAGCCTCCTTCTCACCTTCCCCTTGTATCTCCCCACCTTAATCCACAGGTATGGGACACCTCTACTCCCTCCTTGGTGACCGATTATGCACCCCTTACAATCCCATTAAAACCTAATCACCCTTACCCTGCTCATTGCCAATATCCCATCCCACAGCACGCTTTAAAAGGATTAAAGCCTGTTATCACTCACCTGTTACAGCATGGCGATTTTAAAGCCTATAAACTCTCCTTGCAATTTTTAAAGCCTATAAACTCCCCATTTTGCCTGTCCAAAAAACGGACAAGTCTTACAAGTGAGTTCAGGATCTGCACCTTACCAACCAAATTATTTTGCTTATCCTCCCTATGGTGCCAATCCCATATACTCTCCTATCCTCAATACCTCCCTACACAACCTATTATTATTCTGTTCTGGATCTCAAACATGCTTTATTTACTATTCCTTTGCACCCTTCATCCCAGCCTCTCTTCACTTTCACTTGGACTGACCCTGACACCCATCAGCCTCAGCAACTTACCTGGGCTGTACTGCCACAGGGCTTTGCAGACAGCCTCCATTACTTCAGTCAAGCCCAAATTTCTTCTTCATCCATTACCTATCTTAGCATAATTCTTCATGCAAACACATGGATTCTCCCTGCCAATTGCGTCTGACTGATCTCTCCAGCCCAATCCCTTCTACAAAACAGCAACTGCTTTCCTTCCTGGGCATTGTTGGATACTTTCGCCTTTGGATACCTGGTTTTGCCATCCTAACAAAACGATTATATAAGCTCACAAAAGGAAACTTAGCTGACCCCATATATCCTAAATCATTTCCCCACTCCTCTTTCCTTTCCTTGAAGACAGCTTTAAAGACTGCTCCCACAGTAGCTCTCCCTGACTCATCCCAACCCTTTTCATTACTCACAGCCACAGTGCAGGGCTTATGCAGTCAGAATTCTTACACAAGGACCGGGACCATGCCCTGTAGCCTTTTTGTCCAAACAACTTGACCTTACTGTTTTAGGCTGGCCATCATGTCTCCATGCGGTGGCTGCCACCATCCTAATACTTTTAGAGGCCCTCAAAATCACAAACTATGCTCAACTCACTCTCTACAGTTCTTATAACTTCCAAAATCTATTTTCTTCCTCACACCTGATGCATATACTTTCTGCTCTCCAGCTCCTTCAGCTATACTCACTCTTTGTTGAGTCTCCCACAATTACCATTGTTCCTGGCCCAGACTTCAATCTGGTCTCCCACATTATTCTGGATACCACTCGTGACCCCCATGACTGTTTCTCTCTGATCCAGATGACATTCACTCCATTTCCCTATATTTCCTTCTCTCCTGTTCCTCACACTGATCACACTTGGTTTATTGATGGCAGTTCCACCAGGCCTAATCGTCACTCACCAGCAAAGGCAGGCTATGCTATAGTATCTTCCACATCTATCATTGAGGCTACCTCTCTGCCTCCCTCCACTACCTCTCAGCAAGCCAAACTCATTGCCTTAACTCGAGCCTTCACTCTTGCAAAGGGACTATGTGTCATTATTTATACTGACTCAAAATATGCCTTCCATATCCTGCACCGCCATGCTGTTATATAGGCTGAAAGAAGTCTCATCACTATGCAAGGGTCCTCCATCATTAATGCCTCTTTAATAAAAACTCTTCTCAAGGCTGCTTTACTTCCAAAGGAAGCTGGAGTCATTGACTGCAAGGGCCACCAAAAGGCATCAGATCCTATCGCTCAGGGCAATGCTTATGCTAATCAGGTAGCTAAAGAAGCAGCTAGCGTTCCAACTTCTCTCCCTCATGGTCAATTTTTCTCCTTCTCATGGGTCACTCCCACCTACTTTCCCACTGAAACTTCCACCTATCAATCTCTTCCCACACAAGGCAAATGGTTCTTGGACCAAGGAATATATCTCCTTCCAGCCTCACAGGCCCATTTTATTCTGTCGTCATTTCATAACCTTTTCCATGAGGGTTACAATCTGCTAGCCCATCTCTTAAAACCTCTCTTTTCCTTTCCATTGTAAAAATCTATCCTCAAGGAAATCACTTCTCAGTGTTCCATCTGCTATTCTACTACTCCTCAGGGATTGTTCAGACCCCCTCCCTTCCCTACATATCAAGCTTGAGAATTTGCCCCTGCCCAGGACTGGCAAATTGACTTTATTCACATGCCCCAAGTCAGGAAACTAAAATACCTCTTGGTCTGGGTAGACACTTTCACTGGATGGGTAGAGGCCTTTCCCACAGGGTCTGAGAAGGCCACCGTGGTCATTTCTTCCTTCTGTCAGACATAATTCCTTGGTTTGGCCTTCCCACCTCTATGCAATCTGATAACAGACCATCCTTTACTAGTCAAATCACCCAAGCAGTTTCTCAGGCTCTTGGTATTCAGTGGAAACTTCATAACCCTTACTGTCCTTAATCTTCAGGAAAGGTAAAATGGACTAATAGTCTTTTAAAGACACACCTCGCCAAGCTCAGCCTCCAACTTAAAAAGGACTGGACAGTACTTTTACCTCTTGTCCTTCTCCGAATTAGAGTCTGTCCTTGGGATGCTACAGGGTACAGCTCTTTTGAGCTCCTGTATGGAGGCTCCTTTTTATTAGGCCCAGTCTAAGTCCAGACACCAGCCCAACTTGAACTGCACCCCAAAAACTTGTCATCCTTACTATCTTCTGTCTAGTCATACTCCTATTCACCATCCTCAACTACTCATAAATACCTTACCTTTCTTTACACTGCCGGTTTACACCTTTCCTTCAAACCATCATAACTGATATCTCCTGGTTTTACCTCAAACCACCACCCTTAATTATCTCTTAAAGTGGATAGATAATCTTTGCTGACAGGAAGTACACTCCAATACTTTCACCCTGATGAAGTCCTATTCTTTACTTTTATACTCACTCTTATTCTCGCTCCCATTCTTATGCCACCCTCTACCTCTCCCCAGCTATCTCCACCACACTATCAATCTCGCTCGCTCTGTCCTAGCCATTTCTAATCCTTCTTTAACAAACAATTGCTGGCTTTGCATTTCTCTTTCTTCCAAAATCGCCGAGGACTCGACTTACTCACTGCTAAAAAAAATGAGACTCTATGTTTTTAAATGAAAAGTGTTTTTACCTAAATCAATCTGGCCTGGTGTATGACAACATAAAAAAACTCAAGGATGGAGCCCCAAAACTCACCAACCAAGCAAGTAATTATGCTGAACCCCCTTGGGGCACTCTCTAATTGGATGTCCTGGGTCCTTCCAATTCTTAGTCCTTTAATGCCTGCTTTATTCCTTCTCTTATTCAGACCTTGTGTCTTCCATTTAGTTTCTCAATTCATACAAAACTGCATCCAGGCCATCACCAATCATTCTATATCACAAATCCTCCTTCTAACAACCCCACAATATCACCCCTTACCACAAAATCTTCCTTCAGCTTAAGCTCTCCCACTCTAGGTTCCCACATCACCCCTAATTCCACTCTAAGCAGCCCTGAGAAACATCACCCATTATCTCTCCATACCACCCCCCAAAAATTTTCGATGCCCCAACACTTCAATACTATTTTGTTATTTTTCTTATAATATAAGAAGACAGGAATGTCAGACCTCTGAGCCCAAGCCTGCACATATACATCCAGATGGCCTGAAGCAAGTGAAGATTCACAAAAGAAGTGAAAATGGCCGGTTCCTACCTTGACTGATGACATTACCTTGTGAAATTCCTTCTCCTGGCTTGGAAGCTCCCCAACTGAGCACCTTGTGACCCCTGCCCCTGCCTGCCAGAAAACAACCTCCTTTGACTGTAATTTTCCACTATCTACCCAAATCCTATAAAACGGCCCCACCCCTATCTCCCTTCACTGACTCGTTTTGGACTCAGCCCACCTGCACCCAGGTGATTAAAAAGCTTTATTGTTCACACAAAGCCTGTTTGGTGTTCTCTTCACATGAACATGCATGACAGAAATTATTTATTTCCCTCTAAATATACCATGACAAATCTTAGTCACTTATTATTTATGCATTATTTTCTGCAAAGATTTGGGGAAAGAATGTGAATGTTTCAAGGAATGCTGTCAAGGGTTCTCCTCAAACCCACACAATTAGAAATAAATTGGTATAGATTGAGTTTAGGAACACGGAAGCTGAGTGTTATGTAGTGGGGAGTCCTATACAACAAGAATGAACTACTTACATGAGGTTTCCTGGCTGGTCTCTGCCTTCACTTTCTTAGAACTCTTTGTTTCTTGGGCTCTTTCTTCATCTATCAAATGATGGTGAGAGGTGAAGCTGGCTGGGCTTCTAGGTCAGATGGGGACTTGGAGAACTTTTCTGTCTAGCTAAATGATTGTAAATGCACCAATCAGCACTCTGTTTCTAGCTAAAGGTTTGTAAATGCACCAATCAGCACTCTGTTTCTAGCTAATCAGGTGGGGACTTGGAGAACTTTTCTGTCTAGCTAAAGATTGTAAACACACCAATCAGCACTGCGTGTCTAGCTAAATGTTTGTAAATGCACCAATCAGTGCTCTGTGTCTAACTAATCAGGTGGGGACTTGGAGAACTTTTCTGTCTAGCTAAAGGATTGTAAATGCACTAATCACCACTCTGTGTCTAGCTAAAGGTTTGTAAACACACCAATTAGCGCTCTGTAAAATGGACCAATCAGCTTTCTGTAAAATGGACCAATCAGCTCCCTGTAAAATGGACCAATCAGCAGGATATGGGTGGGGCCAGATAAGAGAATAAAAGCAGGCCAGCTGAGCCAGCACTGGTAACCTGCTTGGGTCCCCTTCCACTCTGTGGAAGCTTTGTTCTTTCACTCTTTGGAATAAATCTTGCTGCTGCTCACTCTTTGGGCCCACGCCACCTTTATAAGCTATAACTGTGTGAAGGTCTGCAGCTTCACTCCTGAAGTCAGTGAGACCACGAACACACCACGAGGAATGAACAACTCCAGATGCACCACCTTTATAAACTGTAACACTCACTGTGAAGGTCTGCAGCTTCACTCCTAAAGTCAGCGAGACCACAAACCCACCAGAAGGAAGAAAGTCTGGACATGTCTGAACATCAGAAGGAACAAACTCCAGACACACCATCTTTAAGAACTGTAACACTCACTGCGAGGGTCCGCGGCTTCATTCTTGAAGTCAGCGAGACCAAAAGCCCACCAATTCCAGACATATTTTGGTGACCACAAAGGGACCATTGCCTATTGCCAAGTGGTGAGACTATCACCTATCGCCAAGCGGTGAGTGCCATCAGACCCCTCTCACTTGCTAGTCTGTCCTATTTTTCCTTAGAATTCAGGGGCTAAATACTGGGCACCTGTTGGCCAGTCAAAAGCAAGTCTTTAGGCTGCCAGACAAAAGACACGGGTGTCAGGCTTTCTGGGAAAGGGCTTTCTAACAACTCTCAACTCTTTGGAGTTGGGAGCATTGGTTTGCCTGGAACCAGCTTCCACTTTTCCTCTACTTCTGGGCTGAACTGAGGGTCATCAGAGAGGAAAGGCATTCAGCTCTGGAGTCCCAACAACAAGTTAGTTGACCCTGAGGCCATGAGTGGAACTCTCAAAGTCATGCCGCCCAAGCAAAACTCACCAATCTATCTTATCTATCCTGACCCTTGTCTCCTGGGTCTTAATGCCTGTCAGAAAAACTTCCTCTCACCTCTCTTCTCCAAGGCTAGTCCTGTTTCTAAAAACCACTCCCTGTCTCTTGTGCTTTTCCAGTTTTTCCTGTAAGAATGATTTCTAGTATAAACTCCAGGACTCTGTTACCTTCTTTAGGCACCCAGGCTCACCAATCAGAAAGACATAATTTTTGCCCAAAGCCCCATCATAGGGGGGACTATCTGGAATTTTAGGACCCCTCAGATCTAGCAGGCCTAACGAAAGCTATTCCTGAAGCTACGATATGGGGAGCCTCAGAAATTGTATCCTTCCTATTCATATAAGTAAGGACAAAAGCTGTCACTCTCCCAACCCTGGAGATCACTTCCCTCCCTCAGGGTATGGCCCTAAACTTCATTTTTGGAGCATAACATCTTTATAGGACATGGGTAAGGTCCCAATACTAACAGGAGAATGCTTAGGACTCTAACAGGTTTTTGAGAATGTGTTGGTAAGGGCCACTAAATCTGGTTTTTCTCGGTCCTCTTTGTGGTCTAGGAGGACAGGCAAGGGTGCAAGTTTTCGAGAATGTGTCAGTAAGGACCACTAAATCTGACCTTCCTCAGTCCTCCTTGTGGTCTGGGAGGAAAACTAGTGTTTCTATTGCTGTGTCAGTGAGTGCAACTATTCTGATCAGCAGGGTCCAGGGGCAATTGCGGGTTCTTGGGTAGGTGTTGTTTCTTTAATGAAAAGAATGTGGCTTTGGCTGCAGCCCGAGAGTTTGGAGATACCTGGTATCTTAGTCAAGTAAATGACAGAATGACAGCTGAAGAAAGGGGCAAATTCCCTACAGGTCAGCAAGCCGTCCCCAGTATGGATCCCCACTGGGACCTTGAATCAGATCATAAGGACTGGAGTCGTAAACATCTGTTGACCTGTGTTCTAGAAGGACTAAGGAGAATTAGGTAAAAGCCCATGAATTATTCAGTGATGTCCACCATAACTCAGGGAAAGGAAGAAAATCCTTCTGCCTTCCTCGAGTGGCTATGGGATGCCTTAAGAAAATATACTCCCCTGTCACCCGAATCACTCAATGGTCAATTGATTCTAAAAGATAAGTTTATTACCCAATCAGCTGCAGATATCAGGAGAAACCTCCAAAAGTAAGCCCTGGGCCCTGAACAAAATCTGGAGGCATTATTAAACCTGGTAACCTTGGTGTTCCATAATAGGGATCAAGAGGAACAGGCCCAAAAGGAAAAGTGAGATCAGAGAAAGGCCCCAGCCTTAGTCATGGCCCTCAGACAAACAAACCTTGGTTGTTCAGAGAGGACAGATAATGGAGCAGGCCAATCACACGGTAGGGCTTGTTATTAGTGTGGTTTACAAGGACACTTAAAAAAAGCTTGTCCAATGAGAAATGAGCCACCCCCTCATCCATGTCCACTATGCTGAGGCAATCACTGGAAGGTGCACTGCCCCAGAGGACAAAGGTTCTCTGGGTCAGAAGCCCCCAACCAGATGATCCAACAACAGGACTGAGGTTGCCCAGGGCAAGTGCCAGCTCATGTTATCACCCTTACTGAGCCCTGGGTATGTTTAGCCATTGAAGGCCAGGAAATTGACTTCCTCCTGGACACTGGCATGGCCTTCTCAGTGCTAATCTCCTGTCCCGGATGACTGTCCTCAAGGTCCGTTACCATCTGAAGAATCCTGGGACAGCCTGTAATCAGGTATTTCTCCCACCTCCTCCGTTGTATTTGGGAGACTTTGCTCTTTTCACATGCCTTTCTTGTTATGCCTGAAAGTCCCACACCCTTATTAGGGAAGGATATATTAGCCAACCTGGAGCTATTATCTACATGAATGTGGGGAACAAGTTACCCATTTGTTGTCCTCTACTTGAAGAGGGAATCAACCCTGAAGTCTGGGCATTGGAAGGGCAATCTGGAAGGGCAAAAAATGCCCACCCAGTCCAAATCAGGCTAAAAGACCCCACCACTTTTCCTTATCAAAGGCAATATCCCTTAAGACCTGAAGCTCATAAAGGATTACAGGATATTGTTAAACATTTAAAAACTCAAGGCTTAGTAAGGAAATGCAGCAGTCCCTGCAACACCCCAATTCTGGGAGTATAAAAACTGAACAGTCAGTGGAGACTAGTGAAACATCTCAGACTCATCAGTGAGGCAGTAATTCCCTATATCTAGTTGTACCCAACCCCTATACCCTGCTCCCTCAAATACCAGAGGAAGCAGAATGGTTCACTGTTCTGGACCTCAAGGATGCCTTCTTCTGTATTCCCCTGCACTCTGACTCCTAGTTTCTCTATGCCTTTGAGGATCCCACAGACCACACGTCCCAACTTACATGGACAATCTTGCCCCAAGGGTGTAGGGATAGCCCTCACCTGTTTGGTCAGGCACTGGCCCAAGATCGAGGCCACTTCTCAAGTCCAGGCACTCTGGTCCTTCAGTATGTGGATGATTTACTTTTGGCTACCAGTTCAGAAGCCTTGTGCCAGCAGGCTACTCTAGATCTCTTGAACTTTCTAGCTAATCAAGGGTACAAGGTGTCTAGGTCAAAGGGATACAGCGAGATAGCCAGGCCCCTCTATTGTCTAGTCAAGGAGACCCAGAGGGCAAATACTCATCTAGTAGAATGGGAACCAAGGGCACAAACAGACTTCAAAACCTTAAAGCAGACCCTAGTACAAGCTCCAGCTTTAAGCCTTCCGACCGGACAAAACTTCTCTTTATACATCACAGAGAGAGCAGGGATAGCCCTTGGAGCCCTTACTCAGACTCAGGGGACAACCCCACAACCAGTGGCATACCTAAGTAAGGAAATTGAGGTAGTAGCAAAAGGCTGGCCTCACTGTTTATGGGTAGTTGCGGCGGTGGCCATCTTAGTGTCAGAGGCTATCAAAATAATACAAGGAAAGGATCTCACTGTCTGGACTACTCATGACGTAAATGGCATACTAGCTGCCAAAGGAAGTTTATGGCTATTAGACAACCACCTACTTAGATACCAGGTGCTACTCTTTGAGGGACCAGTGCTCCAAATACGTATGTGTGTGGCCATCAACCCTGCCACTTTTCTCCCAGAGGATGGGGAACCAATCGAGCATGACTGCCAACAAATTATAGTCCAGATTTATGCCGCCCAAGATGATCTCTTAGAAGTCCCCTTAGCTAATCCTAACCGTAATCTATATACCAATGGAAGTTCATTGGTGGAGAATGGGATATGAAGAGCAGGTTATGCTATAGTTAGTGATGTAACCATACTTAAAAGTAAACCTCTTCCCCCAGGGACCAGTGCCCAGTTAGCAGAACTGGTGGCACTTACCCGAGCCTTAGAACTGGGAAAGGGAAAAAGAATAAATGTGTATACAGATAGCAAGTATGCTTATCTAATCCTACATGCCCATGCTGCAATATGGAAAGAAAGGGAATTCCTAACCTCTGGGGGAACCCCCATTAAATACCACAAGGAAATTATGGAGTTATTGTACGCAGTGCAAAAACCCAAGGAGGTGGCAGTCTTACACTGCCAAAGCCATCAGAAAGGTGAAGGAGAAAAGGTGGAATGAAACCGTAGGGAAGATGCTGAGGGCAAAATTGCTGCCAGGGAGAACCTCCCATTAGAAATACCTATGGAAGGACACTTGGTATGGAACAACCCCCTCCAAGAGATTAAGCCCCAGTATTCCCCAACTGAAACACAATGGGGACCTTCATGGGGGCATAGTTTTCTCCCCTTGGGGTAGTTAATTATAGAAGAAGGAAAGGTACTTATACCCAAACACAGCCAGTGGAAAATACTTAAAACCTTCCACAAAACTTTTCATATGGGCATTGAAAACACTCATCAAATGGCCAAATCCCTATTTACAGGGCCAAATCTCCTCTGAACCATCCAACAGGTAGTCAAAGCCTGTGAGGTGTGCCAAAAGAATAATCTCTTGGTTCATTGTAAGGCCCAGAGGACTGGCAGTTAGACTTCACCCATATGCCTAAGTCAAAGGGATTTCAATACTTGTTGGTCTGTGTTGATACTTTTACAAATTGGATAGAGGCTTTCCCCTGCAAGACAGAGAAGGCTCAGGAAGTGATTAAAGTCCTAATTCATGAAATAATTCCTAGATTTTGGCTTCCCCAAAACTTGCAGAGTGACAATGGTCTGGCTTTTAAAGCCACAGTAACTCAGGGAATTTCCAGAGTGCTAGGGATACAATATCACCTTCACTGCGCCTGGAGGCCACAATCCTCAGGGAAGGTTGAGAAGGCAAATGAAACACTGAAGAGGCACTTAAGGAAACTAACACAAGAAACTCATCTCCCATGGCCTACTCTTTTGCCCATGGCCTTGTTGAGAATCTGAAATTCTCCTCACAAAATGGGGCTCAGTCCATATGAAATGCTGTATGGACGACCTTTTCTCACAAATGACCTCCTACTTGATCAGGAAATGGCCAACTTGGTGAAAGATGTAACTTCTTTGACAAAATATCAACAAAACCTTAAAAACCCACCTGAAGGTTCTCAGAGAAAAGGGAATAGAGTTGTTTCAACCAGGAGATCTAGTGTTGGTCAAATCTCTCCCCTCTACCTGCCCATCTATGGACTCTTTGTGGGAAGGACCATACTCAGTAATCATCCCTACCTCCACTGCAGGTAAGATGGCAGGAGTGGAATCTTGGATTCACCACACCCAAGTTAAACTTTGGACACACCCTGAGGAACCTGTGGGGCCGTCAGCTCAGGAGTCCCAAGATCAGCCAGACTAGCCTCCAATGGTGAACCACTGGAGGACTTGCATCTATTTCAGAAGGAAACATCCCAGACTAAAAAGGCTCCTACTACTGATCCTCAGGAAAAAAAACCCTTCTTCCTTAAGAAAGATAAGTGAAAACCTACATAATCTTTATCTTTAACACCTCTCCTTGCCCCTTTAATGGAATCCTTTTACTATTTCATCATATTATTAAGCAGTATAATAACCATACTCTTTGCAATAGGAATATATACTGTAGCTCCTGCCAGGATGAAAATTCTAATCACATCAACCTTCTTTCTATCTTCCTTCCTTTTGACAGCAATTCACTCCTACCTTTAACTCAGACTGGATAAAATGATCTCTTCTTCCAGAGCACCCTCTTTACTGTCCTATTTACTCTTTGCCTATGTATCCCTCCTGCTTCCTTGGATACCTCATACAATCTTCCCTCCCCTTCCACTAGCTCCTAATTAGTCTTGTAGCTCCTCTACAAGACTCTCAACTTAACCCACTCTCTGTTAAACCAGTCCAATCCTTCCCTGGTAAATGACTGTTGGCTTTGTATCTCTCTATCAACCTCGGCTTACATTGCCACTCCCATTCCCACAAAAAAAATGGGTCTTTACCAACTTAACCTACCACCCTCATTATGAAGCAAAAGACCCTTTCTGGGCTTCTAAACATGCAATCATTAGCCAACTTCCCCATCTCTGATAGGACCAAGAATACCCTAACAGGACGTGCAATCCAACTTTTACGTTCCTAGATTTCCAACCTCACCTATTTACACAAGCAAGGAAAAGCCCATACACAGACCTGTAATTATGAATACCATCTTAACTTTCCAAGTCCCTTTATGCATCCAATGCAACCTGTTATCAGGCCTGCCCCCGGGGCACCTACTACTCCATCAGTGTAATTAAACCCCGCAACTTCAAGCCCCAACTGATCATAGTAACTTCCGAGTCACCCAAACAGCTCCATTCAGATGGCTTGTCTGCTTCTCAGGGCCCCAAAAAATCATCACCTCCTCCCTGCTTAACAAACAGTCCAAGTTTTGTAATGGCAAACATACTCCTTGCATGACCATTCACCCCTGGACCCCCTGCAGCAGTGCCCCTACCACTAGTGAATGCCTTCTCATCCTCTCTTTCAATCACTCTCTCGATTGTTTCTTAGTAGATACAAAAAGGTTTTTTCTCCAGTGGGAAAATAGAACATAGGGAGCCACTCAGTTTGCTCCCAACACCCCTTTCCAGCCACTCACTGGAGCTACCTAGGCAAGTACTCTAGGAGTATGGGAAAATGAAAGCAACAAATTCACACACCTTTTGAACATACACAACCAATTCTGTCTACCCAGCCAAGGTATATTCTTATGTGGAACATCGACCTATATCTGCCTCCCCACTAACTGGACAGGCACCTGCTCCTTAGTCTTTCTAAGTCCCAACATTATCACTGCCCCAGGAAATCAGACCTTATCAGTACCCCTCAAAGCTCAAGTCCATCAGTGCAGAGCCGTACAACTAATATCCCTACTTATAGGGTTAGGAATGGCTACTGCTACAGGAACTGGAATAGCCAGTCTATCTACTTCATGATCTTACTACCACCACACACTCTCAAAGGATTTCTCAGATAGTTTGCAAGAAATAACGAAATCTATCTTACTCTACAATCCCAAATAGACTCTTTGGGAGCAGTGACTCTCCAAAACCATGGAGGCCTAGACCTCCTCACTGCTGAGAAAGGAGGATTCTGCACCTTCTTAGGGGAAGAGTGTTATTTTTACACTAACCATTCAGGGATAGTATGAGATGCTGCCTGGCATTTACAGGAAAAGGCTTCTGAAATCAGACAATGCCTTTCAAACTCTTATACCAACCTCTGGAGTTGGGCAACATGGCTTCTCCCCTTTCTATGTCCCATGGCAGCCATCTTGCTGTTACTCACCTTTGGGCCCTGTATTTTTAACCTGCTTGTCAAATTCGTTTCCTCTAGAATCGAGGCCATCAAGCTACAGATGGTCTTACAAATGGAACCCCAAATGAGTTCAACTAACAACTTTTACCGAGGACCCCTGGACCGACCCACTGGTCCTTCCACTGGCCTAAAGAGTTCTCCTCTGGAGGACACTACAACTTCATGGCCCCTTCTTCCCCTATATCCAGCAGGAAGTAGCTAGAGTGGTCATCAGCCAAATTCCCAACAGCAGTTGGGGTGTCCTGTTTGGAGGGGGGATTGAGAGGTGAAGCCGGCTGGGCTTCTGGGTTGGTTGGGGACTTGGAGAACTTTTCTGTCTAGCTAAAGGATTTTAAATGCACCAATCAGTGCTCTGTGTCTAGCTAATTGGGTGGGGACCTGGAGAACTTTGCTGTCTAGCGAAAGGATTGTAAATGCACCAATCAGCACTCTGTGTCTAGCTAAAGGTTTGTAAATGCACCAATCAGTGCTCTGTGTCTAGCTTATCAGGTGGGGACTTGGAGAACTTTTCTGTCTAGGTAAAGGATTGTAAACACGCCAATTAGCACTGTGTCTAGCTAAAGGTTTGTAAACGGACCAATCAACTCTCTGTAAAATGGACCAATCAGCTCACTGTAAAATGGACCAATCATCAGGATGTGGGTGGGGACAAATAAGGGAATAAAAGCAGGCCACCCGAGCCAGCAGTGGCAACCCGCTCAGGTCCCCTTCCACTCTATGGAAACTTTGTTCTTTAGCTCTTCGGAATAAATCTTGCTGCTGCTCACTCTTTGGGTCCACAGCACCTCTAAGAGCAGTAACACTGTGAAGGTCTGCAGCTTCACTCCTGAAGTCAACAAGACTACAAACCCACTGGGAGAAATGAACAACTCCAGATGTGCTGCCATTATAAACTGTAACACTCACCGTGAAGGTCTGCAGCTTCACTCCTGAAGTCAATGAGACCACGAACCCACCAGAAGGAAGAAACTCCAGACACGTCTGCACATCAAAAGGAACAAACTCTGGACACACCATTTTTAAGAACTGTAACACTCACCATGAGGGTCCACGGCTTCATTCTTGAAGTCAGCAAGACCAAGAACCCACCAATTCCGGACACAATGGCAATAATATAATAGTAAAAGCTACCTCTGTGGCTGTTGTTATTTTTAAGTGAAAATAATGCTGGTAAAACACTCTGCCCAGCATAGATAGTAAACAACAAATGTTAGCCATTATGATTGTCATAATATTACTACCTTTGATATCAGGCATGGGTTCAAATATTGAGTCTGCTTATTATTAAAGGAGTGAAATTAGGGTAGCTATTCAAACACTCTGAGAATGTTCCCTGATTTGTAAATTACATATAACATTGACACCATAGTATTGTGTTAATAACAAGTATTAAGTGAGATGGTTTATCACACACACACACACACACACACACACACACATAATTTACCATGCCCCTGCAGAAGTGTAGAGTGTATGTGTGTATACATCTGTGTGTGTGTTTGTATACTGCATGATGCCTGGGATGCAACAGTTGTTGCAGTTAATGTTAGTCTCTTATACCTCATACACATATTGTTACAAAAAAGTGTTCACTGTAAATTTGGATTTTGGGGGGATTGTTGACCAGACAACTAGGAACATATCCAAGAGTCTTCCAAGGAGGTGACAGAAATTGGAACATTCCTTCCCAGGCATTGATGCAGTGGGACATAAGAGTCATTGTGGACTAGTAAGTAGACATTGGTATGATATTGAATTTAAGACACCAAGCTAGAATTAGAGAAACACATTCATGCATCAGAATTTTTAGTTCAAGAGAGATGAATGTTACTCTTCCCCCACACACAATTGTATCAGACAGAATTGCCTGAAGGACTGTGATCCCGGCAATAGGACTGGAATGATTTCCTTTCCAAACAAAGTCAAAGAATGTTGGCAATGTCAATGGACCATCTTGATACTTAACAATGCTGCATTTAATTTTATCCAGCACAGGAAGAAACACTACTGAAGGGTGAGTCGATTGTCGCATCCTAGCCTTCTCAATGCTCTGAACTGCCTTGGATGACCTAGGAAAGTGCTGAGCAGCTCTGCTTCACAGTGAACACTCTTTTATGCTGTTGTAAGAGCTCAACTTTTGGAAAGAAAAGTTTTTCAGTTGTTAAGAACAGTGAAGTTATTTTGTGAAAACCCCTCTCCATTATTTGGACTCTTGCAAAGCAAGGGCAGAAAAACATGTTCTCCAAAATTGCAATAATGTCTTACGCTTCCTGGCTGATGTGAACGGGCTACAACAGGAGCACAGTGCCTGGCACAACGTGGGACATTCAGAAATATTCAATTAATTTGCCCATGTGGTGACTGTGGATTGAAGTTCTTGAGGCCCCATTCAGGTGAAAGAAATTCAAGATTGCGTCTACTTTTCATGTATTTGGCGAATGAGATTGGAACAGGAAATTTATGTTGTTTTTCACATGTGCCTTAAACATTCTGGCATACTTTTATTCAAATATATACCTAATTTATTTTTTTTTGAGGGGAAGCACATCCAATTTAAATTTGTTTGTTTTTTACTGGCTGAAGAAGTATTCCATAAAACCTAAAACGAGACAACTATAGCTAAGTTAAGGAAATAGTTTGCATTTTTAAAATGTGTACTTTCTTTTCAAATGAGGTAATACATTTTAAGCTATTGAGAATCAAAAGCTTAAAAAGTAATAATTTCCATGTTCCTACAAAACTAACAAACTAAAATAATTTCTTGTAGCCATGGTAACATGTGGCAATCAGAAACACTTAACATTGTAGATATAAATACAAGTTTCTTGGAAAACTAGAGCTGCATTTTCATATTTACTCTGATAAGTAAATGTTTAAAATATTTGTTAGAGAAGAATGAAATAGACCAAAGAGGAGGTCATACAGATAATGAGGTTAAAGGTGAGTTACAGCCTCTCTCCTTAGGGAAAGCATAACACTAAACAACAAATACCAAAAGCAACAGAAAATCCTGGGCTTAAGAACTCACTAAAATGAACCCCTGGTAAGATTTTAGAAATTAAAACAAAGCAAAATGAAGTGAATGTGGGAAGTTCCTCTGTTTCTTCACTTGTAGAATGGGGAAGTAATAGTCCCTGCTTTATAAATAGAAAGGGCACTCAGTAAAGGTCACCCCCACTTTCTGCATGTCTTAGATCCATGAAGCTTTCTAAACAGGGCTGCTGTGATCATCTAAACATTGTCACCTGTGTCAGCCTCCAATCCCAACCCTGCACCCTCATTTACCTTGTTACTATCTATGTTCTTCTGCTTCCATTAAAATGTAAATCATACACAGATAGGGAGTTTTTTTGTTTGGTGTGGTTATTGATACATCTTGAGTAACCAGAAGAGAGACTGGCACAAAATATGTTATTAATATTGTTTAATACACAAATTAATAAATGAGTGTGTAAATAAATGAACAGATGTTAATTATTGTTCTTAGTTTTAAATTTCCTTTAATATTATCTATCAGAATCTCAGGGTCTAAATGTCGCATTCACTGGTGAGCTTTAACCATATGAAGATTCTTGCCTCAAAACTCAGGGTGACTACCAACACATGCATTTCAAACCTACACGATTTTAAGAGTTCAGAACCCAGTAAACACTAAATACAGCTCTTCATCTCTTAATTTATATTCACAAGAAGAAACATCATATATTTTGTCTTTGATCAATCAACTGTATCCAAGCTTGGAGAAACAGTCAGGTGCAGAGATGTGGGAAGCTGTGCATCTCCCTGAGCAGGGTGTCTGGTTGGCAGGTCTCAGGAAAGAAAGCTGCCTAGGAAGACCTGAAACATGCCTAGTGTCTGCTGCAGTCCCTCTGATTCTAAGCATGCATATTGTTTAAAATCTTCCATTGATTGCACATGGTTACTGATGTTAATTTAGAGTTTTATTTTTGAAATCACTATTTTTGAAACCTTATATGATTCCAGGCACAGTAAACGAAAAGGGGCTATGGAATATATCAAGGCAGGGAAATGCTGTGCTAGGGTCTCCAGAATTGGAGGAAGTTGAGACCTACTCTGAGCTGAGAGAGGTCATTTGTAGTGGGTGCTTCAATTTTAACAAAATCAAATTAAAAATGGCTTATATGTATAATAGATTACAAGTGTATACCCCACATTTAAATATCAATATGTTCATTTAAGTGATGTGTATACATTTATGCATATGCATCATATTTTTGTGTATTAGCATCTTGTCTATATATATCATGATCTAGCTATATTTATAGTTATATCCATGCCTTTATTTAGAGGTAGATTCATGTGTATTTTAATAAAAATTTACAATCTAATTTTAATAAAAACTTATAAACAAATCTATCTAATTTTAATCAGTTTGACCATAAGGTAAGGTTTCCATAAACTTTTTTATAACCTTTTCAAATTTTCTATTACAGAGCAGATCAATGCTCCATAAAAACCCTGTTATTCCAACACATGGGCCCAGATGCTGGCCTTACAACAGTGTGATTTTGATATAAATATTTAATTTATAGAAAAAGTCTGAACTAATCTTATCCCCCAAAATCAGTGTTTACAATCTCATGCACCCACTTCTTTTGCAACAGTCCTTGGGCCTAGAGGGATTTAACGTTTTAATTTCTGGCTTTGTGTCTCACAAACACAGTTCATTTTGATTGTCACCTTCTCCGGGTCCGAAGACAAGGCTTTAACTGATGTCAATGCTCAAGATTTAGCAGGGGTTGGTGCCTTTTTCAGACCCAAGAGTCAAATGCCTGTAACTTAAGGCACAAAGATTAGTTAATAGGATATTTATGTTACAGAATGTCCTATCATTCTAATATGCTACATAGCAAAACAATGTGATTTGGTGTTTAGGAGTTACCACCCGCAGCACTTCAAACCACTGTATTAAAATACTTAGGTTACACATTGTATTTGTCTGATTGATAGTATTCTGGTGACAGAACTGTGACCAAAAGCATAAAAAATGTGATAGGTCCTACGCTAAACTTATCAAAGTAAGACAACTAACTTTTCCCTCCATCATTAAGAAAATGGTAAATGCAGATATCAGTTTTGAAAGTTCAAAATGAGTATAAATAATCTCCTTTCACATAAATACCATACAATGTAACAAAGTAAGAACAAGCATACAGTAATTTCTTTTCAGTGATTTAAAAGAGCATTATCACACATTTCCAAGATTGATTTCTAGATACAGTACTGACAACTGATTAGGTGAAGATTTCACCACCAAAATCTTCAGACCAGTGCAACACTTGTGCATATTTTGTTTTCAAGTACACGCATGAAAGCCCATCAGTGATAAATGGCTGGAGATCAAAAATTGCTAGAAAGTCTCACTTTTTTAAATTAATTACTACTTAATCCACATGAATGTCACTTAATTTTAATAATGGTCAACATAACTAAAGTAGTTTGAGAGAAATCCCAATCAATATAATTTCCTTAAGGACAAGGCCAATCTTTCCTGAACATTAAAATTTTGTACCCATATCATAGGTTTTTCCTCATTAAGAGAAAAGATCTGAAACCAACTTAAAATATGGATTGAACTAAATTACCTTGGTAAATAAACACCATTTTAATATTTCTATTCTCATCTACTTTTCCAAATAACAAAATATGGAATGTACTATTTCTGTTCTGAACTTGTAAAAATAAGTCTTTTATTTTTTGCCAGAAATCTTAAAGCTCTTGTAGCTCTCTAGATCATCTGAGCTAAGTAAAATCAACAAAATTTTAAATGTCTAGTATGCTCTGTCAGTTTTTGTAGGCTTGACAAATTTAGCTTAGGAATTCTAGATAAATAGAAGAAAGGATGAATTATTAGAAATGCCTAAGAAACAAAATGACTATTCATAGAACTAAATAAAAGCCTCTTATTAGAAACTGAAAAAATGGTCTTATATATGTATATATAAGTAAAAACCAAAGGAGAACAAAGGACAAATAAACAATAATTAGAAGCAAAAACAAATAAACAGAAAACCAGTAAATTTTTTCTCCTACTCAGTTTACCTTGAAGGCTAAAGTGTCACCTAGAGTCTAGAGGAAAACTCATGATAGGTATTTCATTCCTGGTACATAAATTAATGACTCAAAGTTCACCAATACCATTGTTCATTTTATGCAATTAAGAAATTCACTTTAGGCAAATGACCAGTAAGTACTTTAGTGCTTAGTACTGTCTATGAAGAAGAGCACATACAGTGTGAAACAAAGCAACACCAACATTTGTGTGGAATTTGGCTTCGTGTTAAATCTGGCTTCATGCCTAACTAGATTAAAAAAGAACTGTCAAACTGTGAATGTATTTCTTTACAATATTAATTTTACCTTCATCAAAACTAAGAGCTTTAACTATGAGCAATGTTTATTAACCAAATTTCCCCAATTTTATGTTAGTTTTTAACAGATAATGCCTAAACTTTTTCAAGTTTCTATTTGCTCTGTATGTGCACAAAGATAGACCATACAGAGAAACAGGGGGGAAAAAAATCCATGACTTACACAGACGAGCTACGACATATTTGGACTTTTTGTTTTGTTCTAAATTTTCTTCTTTATATCCCCCCCAATTAGTCTTTTCATTCTAGGACAAAAATTCACCTTACAAGATTCTTTCTCATACAAATTTATTCTCTCTTTTAAGCCTCCTTGCCAAAAATACACCTTCATATACATAACTTTCTTCACATCTTTCTTCCATACTTACTGGTTCCTTACTACCTTGTTTTCTGAATAAATTTTTCATGTCCATAATTTGAATTAATTTTTAGATAACTTTTGAATTAGACAAAATTATTATTTTTCTCACTAATAACACATACATACATAATTATATATTAACTTTAATTTTTATTCTTACTAACCTTAAATTTTAGTAAAACCCTAGGAAGCAAGAAATCCTGAACTATTGGATATTAGTACTTTATAGATGAGAACAATTTTACAAGTTTTAGAAACATATTTTTCCATATCATATCACTTTCTAATTGGAAATGATACAAATCATTCAAAGATTTAAATGGCACCAGTTTTTAAACATGCATCTCATTTACAGGTACTCAATTATTTCATTTTTAACAGTTGGTCTAGATTACTTTTGAAAACTAAAATATTATACACCATCACTTAAAGTTAATCATTTCCTTGTTTATCATTTTTTAAATACTCACTGAATATCAGGTGCTCATTTAAGTAAGAGCCTCAAAGTTAATTTCATAGGTAAATTTGCCAGTAACTCAGAAGATTCCACTAACAATATTAAATTGGTCTCAGTTGTCAAAGAAGGCACACAAAGCAAGGCCATTTTGTTTTGGATGAGTTTATAGTTTTACAACCTCCTGTGCAAACCCTGATATATCAAAATATCTAGCAAAGGCAAATATAAAACCCAGACAAAAACATATGCTGACAATTCTGAAGACATCTCTATTTTTATTTTACCAATAATTTTAAAGCCAGCTTGCTTAGTAAAGACTTATTTGGGTCATGTGAACTTGAAAAATACTTTGGACATCTTTATCTATGAGGTGCTCTTTAATTTTAAGCCAATTTGGTAAACACAACATATAACTTAATAAATATACATACACATAAACACATTTAGACATGTATACACACACATAAACAAAGATCCAATAGCTTTTACACTGGAACTCTAGCCATGAGATAGCAATATAGACTCACCCCCCTACCAACAGGTTCACGTGACCGAACTTCATTACCACCAATAGGTAATCCAGTGAAGGCTGTTAACAAAAACTTTGGGTAAAGCAGTTGCCATGGCAGTTTGATTTTTAAAGGCCAAGCATCCCCAATCTCCAAAGAACACTGGGGCTGAAGAGCACCACAGAAGAACACCACCTGGAACCTACTAACCAGGTCCAACCCTGCTTAGAATAGCAATATAAAAGCCTGAATACATAGCCCACTTTTCCATTCAACAGCAAACTTCAGATTCCAAAGAACACTGGGGCCAAACAGTATTATAAAAGAGTATCACTTTACTGAGCTCTAATTTCCTATGACTATATCACATGCATGCTTATACCAAAGCACAATCCAACTGCTGCTGCAACAAACAAGCCCCCAAGAGTGTCCTAATTGAAATAGTCAAGGTGCTTTCCTCTTTCCATCAGTTGGGCTTGTTTAACCTACAAATAAAAATTCTTTGAAAAATTTCCCAAATTGAGAGGAGCAGATTCTGCTGTCTTGGCCCACAAGGACACTCACCCATCTGATGCAGATATCAAATACCAAAGGCAGTTATTTTGAGGCAATTAGGAACATGGTTGAGGCTGGCTGTGGCAGACCAGAGAGAGAAGAAACCCACCTTCAGCCAAAATTGTGCAGGCAGCTGCTTAGGAGGGCTTGTGAGACACCAGGGCTGTGGCAGCTGAGCCACAAGAGCAACACATTTGCTTGTCAGGGAACCAAAATGTGTTACCACAACACCAGGGGTGTAGGGGTGTGGTGGCTCATGCCTGTAATCCCAGAACTTTGGGAGGTCGAAGCAGGCAGATCACAAGGTCAGGAGTTCAAGACTAGCCTGGCCAATATGGTGAAACGCTGTCTCTACTAAAAATACAGAAAAAATTAGCTGGGCATGGTAGCACGTGCCTGTAATCCCAGTCATTTGGGAGGCTGAGGCACAAGAATTGCTTGAACCTGGGAGGTGTAGGTTGCAGTGAGCCAAGATTGCACCACTACACTCCAGCCTGGGTGATAGAGTGAGACTCCATCTCAAAATAAAACAAAACAAACAAACAAACAATAAAACACCAAGGCTAGGTCCTGCTGCTCTCGGCACAGAAAGCCAATGACTGAGATAAGTCATTGGCTCCATTTCAAAACAAAACAAAACAAACAAACAAAAAAACACCAAGGCTAGGTCCTGCTGCTCTCGGCACAGAAAGCCAATGACTGAGATAAGGATTCTTGCTAAGGAAGAAGGCTTTAATTGGGTGCTGCAGCCAAGGACGTGGGAGCTCAGTCTCAAATTCATCTCTAAAACCAGGGCTTTATATAGCAGGGAGGAAATGTAACAATGTGTAAGAAAACAGGAACTAGAGAGGGGCAGGGAAGCAATGATGATGAATGAGGAGCCCTGACATCTCATTGTCTGGATGTGGTGACCTGGTGAGTTTCAGTTCTTTGATATTTTTTTGAGAGACCTAAAGGTCTTTTCCTGAGGAAGGAACTCAGATAAAACAAATGTAAGTTTAAATCTTTAAGACCAGAAGGGTCAATTTCTATGATTATTTAAAAAAAAAAAAAACTATCTATGGAACTATTGAGTGAGTTTCAATGTGACAGACATAGATATTTTTCCAGTACAGAAAAACATAAAAACTCAGATAGTTGTTTAGAAACTTTGATTTTACCATCTGTACCTAGCAGCATAAATCTCTCCAATAGAATATGGAATTTGAATTGCTTTTAATATTGCTAAATTACAAAATGAGCCTCTTACATGATGTCACCCTAAGTGCTAAAAGTTATGCATTTATTAAAGGATTTATACATTAATTATTTAGTTATAATTGTTAAAATGATATCAAAAGAAAAAATATGCATCTAAGGAAAAGAGAATGAATAAATAAATAGATGAGTCACATGTAGTGACTGAAGGCAAGTGCACCAAAGCATTATAATTCCTACCAAAACTGGCTATTTAATTATGGAAACTGTGAGGAAATTCAAGTGTGAACTCTTTGAAAAAAGAGAAAGAAAAGACAAAATCAGGAAAACAAAATATCAACCTTATACTTTTGTTTCACTACAGCTTCATTGGCAGATTACTTAAATTTCATTATGTTACTTTTTTGTATAAAAAAGACATGAAACCTTAAATGACTTTTCTTATGGGAAAATATTATTAATGAAAAAATGTACTTCAACAAATTTTTAAGTAAAGGGATTTTTAACATAAACTATAAAATATTAATATAAATTAGATAATTTATGTAACACACATACATAAAATGAGTTATTCATGTTGAAAATTATACTCTCATTACTGATATAAAAGTTTTTACTGGGATTTCCATGACAAAAACCACATTGTACTAGGCATGGTGGCTCACACCTGTAATCCTAGCACTTTACAAGGCTGAAGTGAGAGGACTGCTTGAGCACAGGAATTTGAGACCAGTCTGGGCAACATAGGGAGACCCCTTCTCTACAAAGAAATTTAAAAATTAGGCAGGTTTGGTGGTGCATGCCTCTAGTCCCAGCTATTTGGGAGGCTGAGGCAGGAAGATTGTTTGAGCCTGGGAGGTCGAGGCTATAATGAGCTATGATTGCACCACTGCACTCCTGCCTGGCCAGCAGGATGAGACCTTGTTTCACAAAAACAAACAAATAAACAAACACCCATATTGTATTACACTTTTATCTTCTACTTTGTTAGTAGGTTTATATGTATTCACCTAAAGACAATTCTTTGAAAATTATTTGTTATATGGAAACATGTATGGTCTTATGAAAGCAAGATTTCACTATAAGCCTATTTGAATGCCAGGCTTCAAAACTAAAAATCTTTTAAATGTTATTTGATTATATTAATCTGAAATATTTTCATAAAATAAAATTTACAATTCATGTCAAATAAAGCATAACATTTAAATCCCTACAACTAAAATCAAGCAAAGACAAGGAAAAATTATTTATACCTTTGATATGGTTTGCCTGTGTCCCCACCCAAATCTCATCTGGAATTGTAGTTCCCATAATCCCCACGTGTCATGGGAGGGACTAGGTGGAGATAATTGAATCATGAGGGTGGTTTTCCCATCCTGTTCTTGTGATAATGAGCTCGTTCTCACAAGATCTGTTGGTTTTATAAGTGGCTTTCCCCTTTGCTGGGCACTCATTCTTTTTCTCCCTGGGACATGTGAAGAAGGACATGTTTGATTTCCTTCCACCATGATTGTAAGTTTCCTGAGGCCTCCCCCACCATGCTGAACTGTGAGTCAATTAAACCCCTTTCCTTTGTAAATTACCCAGTCTCGGGCAAGTCTTTATTAGCAGCATGAGAACAGACTAATACACCCCTTAATCTTTGCCCGAGCATAAGCAATCAAAACGTATTTTAAATGAAGACTAAAACAAAATAGAATTTTCTCTTTTTGCGATTTGGTGTAGGGTTTCATTTCACTTCATCTAACATCTAACATCGAACGCCACCATCAAAAACTGACTTTCAGCAACTGATCCATACCACCCTTTTGCATTTGCCTTTTACTTTGCAATTATTCTTCTTCTCTTTGGCAATTTTCTCTTAATTAGAATTCACTGGAAAGTCGTTATCATAGCCTTTGAACCTCTTAGCTATCTAATTTATTTTGCTTTGCTTTCAACATTTTTGCTCCCTTGCTCGAGTGCTTTATCTGACTATATTTAAAACCAGGCCTCCAGTTTCCAAGTCTGTCTAGTCCCTGTTTTGCATCACCTAATGGGAAATTGCACAACTTACAGATCATTGAGCTTCCTCAGGGACTGACAGTACTGGGTCACCAGGTGCCCATGGTGCCACCTGGCATCACTGAGACTTCTGGATAAATTTGCAATTACCCTAGTTCTGGGTATGGAATGTATGACTGTGTTCAATACTAGTAAAACCCTGTTTAAATCTTTCCTTCAAAACAAGATAGAGTTAGAAAATGTAGAGATGATGCTTATGGGCTCTGATTTGGCTTCCATGGTTCATAAAGCTGAGTTTTAGTCAACAGACTCCTCTCTTAACTTTGAAAAGTTACTTTGCCTTGTATCCCATTTGCTTTTGTTGCAAGCCACATTTGCATGGCTGCAATTCACCCCTGAGGTCAGTGTGTCTCACTCCCACCAGCACCCTCATATGGAGCTATACTCATGAAAATTAAGGCAACATTTGATCAATGTTCAGTAATGGTTAATGTTCTGAATTCATCCATGAAAATAAATTCCTTTTTCATATTTTTAATTGTACTAAGTGGTTTCAACAGAGTTGAAATTCTCCCTTGTCTTAAATTAGTAGGCTCATTACTGAGGAAAGCTTTGGGTTGATTGCTGCTGTTTGCAACTTACTATTCTATCCTCATTTCCATATGTAAACTCCCGCCTCTGTGTTTTCTTACTGTCATTCACTTGGCTCCATAGAAATGCTTTCTTTTTTGGAATATTGTAGTTACCTGTTTTTTTTTTTTTTGAGACCAAGTCTCACTCTTGTCCCCCAGGCTGGAGTGCCATGGCACGATCCCGGTTCACTGCAACTTCCACCTCCTGGGTTCAAGCAATTCTCCTGCCTCAGCCTCCCGAGTAGCTGGGATTACAGGCGCCTGCCACCACGCCTGGCTAATTTTTGTACTTTTAGTATAGATGGTGTTTCACCATGTCGGCCAGGCTGGTCTAGAACTCCTCCCCTCAGGTGATTCACCCATCTTGGCCTCCCAAAGTGCTGGGATTACAGGCTTGAGCCACCATACCCAGCCTACTTTTTACAAATCTTATTTTTAAATTTTATTTTACTATACCTTTTGTCTAAGGCAGGTGTCCAATCTTTTGGCTTCCCTGGGCCACATTGGAAGAGGAAGAATTGTTTTGGGCCACACATAAAATACACTAAGACTAATGATAGCTGATAAGCTAAAAGAAAATTGCAAAAAAATCTCATAATGTTTTAAGAAAGTTTACAAACTTGTGTTGGGCCGCTTCAAAGCTGTCCTATGTTGTGGGTTGGATAGGCTGTTTTCACAATTAAAGGAGGTAAGACATAATACGTTAACCTTTCCCTATCCTTTTACAAGTAAGTCCAGTTAACTTATCACAGGAAAACTTCTGTTAATTACTATGCAAAGAAAAAAAACAATTATGGGGTAGTTTCTAAAGAGGAGTAAATTTAATTGAAAGAGTGTGTTAGGGCTATCAATAGCATGAACTATTGCTCATGAAATCCACCTCAAAGGTTGTAAATCATAATAATATAAACCTTATTTATTTCTAAAAGGATAATGATACCAGTTTACTAAAACTTTTCCTGCAATAGATGATATGAAGGAGGTAGTCAATTGACTAAGTGGACACTACGTCACAAGTCAACAAATGGTACCTCTAAAATTTAAATATTCTTGGAGAGAGCCAAGATGGCCGAATAGGAAGAGCTCCGGTCTACAGCTCCCAGTGTGAGCAATGCAGAAGACAGGTGATTTCTGCATTTCCATCTGAGGTACCGGGTTCATCTCACTACAGAGTGCCAGACAGTGGGTGCAGGACAGTAGGTGCAGCACACCGTGCGTGAGCTAAAGCAGGGTGAGGCATTGCCTCACTTGGGAAGTGCAAGGAGTCAGGGAGTTCCCTTTCCTAGTCAAAGAAAGGGGTGACAGACAGCACCTGGAAAATTGGGTCACTCCCACCCCAATACTGTGCTTTTCTGACAGGCTTAAAAACCGGCGCACCAGGAGATTATATCCCGCACCTGGCTCAGAGGGTCCTATGCCCACGGAGTCTCACTGATTGCTAGCACAGCAGTCTGAGATCAAACTGCAAGGCAGCAGCAAGGCTGCGGGAGGGGCGCCCGCCATTGCCCAGGCTTGCTTAGGTAAACAAAGCAGCCTGGAAGCTTGAACTGGGTGGAGCCCACCACATCTCAAGGAGGCCTGCCTGCGTCTGTAGGCTCCACCTCGGGGGCAGGGCACAGACAAACAAAAAGACAGCAGTAACCTCTGCAGACTTAAATGTCCCTGTCTGACAGCTTTGAAGACAGCAGTGTTTCTCCCAGCACACAGCTGGACATCTGAGAACAGGCAGACTGCCTCCTCAAGTGGGTCCCTGATCCCTGACCCCCGAGCAGCCTAACTGGGAGGCACCCCCCAGTAGGGGCAGACTGACACCTCACACGGCCAGGTACTCCTCTGAGACAAAATTCCAGAGGAAAAATCAGACAACAGCATTCGAGGTTCATGAAAATCTGCTGTTCTGCAGCCACCGCTGCTGGTACCCAGGCAAACAGGGTCTGGAGTGGACCTCTAGCAAACTCCAACAGACCTGCAGCTGAGGGCCCTGTCTGTTAGAAGGAAAACTAACAAACAGAAAGGACATCCACACCAAAAACCCATCTGTACATCACCATCATCAAAGACCAAAAGGAGATAAAACCACAAAGATGGGGAAAAAACAGCAGAAAAACTGGAAACTCTAAAAAGCTGAGCACCTCTCCTCCTCCAAAGGAATGCAGCTCCTCAGCAGCAATGGAACAAAGCTGGACGGAGAATGACTTTGATGAGTTGAGAGAAGAAGGCTTCAGATGATCAAACTACTCTGAACTACAGGAGGAAATTCAAATCAAAGGCAAAGAAGTTGAAAACTTTGAAAAAAATTTAGACGAATGTATAACTAGAATAACCAATACAGAGAAGTGCTTAAAGGAGCTGATGGAGCCAAGGCTTGAGAACTACGTGAAGAATGCAGAAGCCTCGGGAGCCGATGCAATCAACTGGAAGAAAGGGTATCAGTGATGGAAGATGAAATGAATGAAATGAAGTGAGAAGGGAAGTTTAGAGAAAAAAGAATAAAAAGAAATGAACAAAGCCTCCAAGAAATATGGGACTAAGTGAAAAGACCAAATCTACGTCCGATTGGTGTACCTGAAAGTGACAGGGAGAATGGAACCAAGTTGGAAAACACTCTGCAGGATATTATCCAGGAGAACTTCCCCAATCTAGCAAGGCAGGCCAACATTCAGATTCAGGAAATACAGAGAACACCACAAAGATACTCCTGGAGAGGAGCAACTCCAAGACACATAATTGTCAGATTCACCAAAGGTGAAATGAAGGAAAAAGTGTTAAGGGCAGCCAGAGAGAAACGTCGGGTTACCCACAAAGGGAAGCCCATCAGACTAACGAGAGATCTCTCGGCAGAAACTCTGCAAGCCAGAAGAGAGTGGGGGCCAATATTCAACATTCTTAAAGAAAAGAATTTTCAACACAGAATTTCATATCCAGCCAAACTAAGCTTCATAACTGAAGGAGAAATAAAATACTTTACAGACAAGCAAATGCTGAGAGATTTTGTCACCACCAGGCATGCCCTAAAAGAGCTCCTGAAGGAAGCACTAAACATGGAAAGGAACAACTGGTACCAGCCACTGCAAAATCATGCCAAATTGTAAAGATCATCAAGGCTAGAAAGAAACTGCATCAACTAACGAGCAAAATAGCCAGCTAACATCATAATGACAGGATCAAATTCACACATAACAATAATAACTTTAAATGTAAATGGACTAAATGCTCCAATTAAAAGACACAGACTGGCAAATTGGATAAAGAGTCAAGACCCATCAGTGTGCTTTATTCAGGAAACCCATCTCATGTGCAGAGACACACATACGCTCAAAATAAAAGGATGGAGGGAGATCTACCAAGCAAATGGAAAACAAAAAAAGGAAGGGGTTGTAATCCTAGTCTCTGATAAAACAGACTTTAAACCAACAAAGATCAAAAGAGATAAAGAAGGCCATTACATAATTGTAAACGGATCAATTCAGCAAGAAGAGCTAACTATCCTAAATATATATACAACCAATACAGGAGCACCCAGATTCATAAAGCAAGTCCTGAGTGACCTACAAAGAGACTTAGACTCCCACACAATAATAATGGGAGACTTTAACACCCCACTGTCAACATTAGACAGATCAATGAGACAGAAAGTTAACAAGGATATCCAGGAATTGAACTCAGCTCTGCACCAAGCGGACCTAATAGACATCTAGAGAATTCTCCACCCCAAATCAATAGAAAAAGAGGGAATCCTCCCTGACTCATTTTATGAGGCCAGCATCATCCTGATAACAAAGCCGGGCAGAGACACAACCAAAAAAGAGAATTTTAGACCAATATCCTTGATGCACATTGATGCAAAAATCCTCAATAAAATACTGGCAAACCGAATCCAGCAGCACATCAAAAAGCTTATCCACCATGATCAAGTGGACTTCATCCCTGGGATGCAAGGCTGGTTCAATATACACAAATCAGTAAATGTAATCCAGCATATAAACAGAACCAAAGACAAAAACCACATGATTATCTCAATAGACACAGAAAAGGCCTTTGACAAAATTCAACAATGCTTCATGCTAAAAACTCTCAATAAATTTGGTATTGATTGGATGTATCTCAAAATAATAAGAGCTATCTATGACAAACCCACCGCCAATATCATACTGAATGGGCAAACACTGGAAGCATTCCCTTTGAAAACTGGCACAAGACAAGGATGCCCTCTCTCACCACTCCTATTCAACATAGTGTTGGAAGCTCCAGCCAGTGCAATTAGGCAGGAGAGGGAAATAAAGGGTATTCAGTTAGGAAAAGAGGAAGTCAAATTGTCCCTGTTTGCAGATGACATTATTGTATATCTAGAAAACCCCATTCTCTCAGCCCAAAATCTCCTTAAGCTGATAAGCAACTTCAGCAAAGTCTCAGGATACAAAATCAATGTATAAAAATCACAAGCATTCTCAAACACCAATAACAGACCAACAGAGAGCCAAATCATGAGTGAACTCCCATTCACAATTGCTTCAAAGAGAATAAAATACCTAGGAATCCAACTTACAAGGGACGTGAGGGACCTCTTCAAGGAGAACTACAAACCACTGCTCAATGAAATAAAAGAGGATACAAAGAAATGGAAGAACATTCCATGCTCATGGGTAGGAAGAATCAATATCATGAAAATGGCCATACTGCCCAAGGTAATTTATAGATTCAATGCCATCCCCATTAAGCTACCAATGACTTTCCTCACAGAATTGGAAAAAGCTACTTTAAAGTCCATATGGAACCAAAAAAGAGCCCGCATCACCAAGTCAATCCTAAGCCAAAAGAACAAAGCTGGAGGCATCACACTACCTGACTTCAAACTATACTACAAGGCTACAGTAACCAAAACAACATGGTACTGGTACCAAAACAGAGATATAGATCAATGGAACAGAACAGCACCCTCAGAAATAATGCCGCATATCTACAACTATCTGATCTTTGACAAACCTGAGAAAAACAAGCAATGGGGAAAGGATTCCCTATTTAATAAATGGGGCTGGGAAAACTGGCTAGCCATATGTAGAAAGCTGAAACTGGATCCCTTCCTTACATCTTATACAAAAATTAATTCAAGATGGATTAAAGACTTAAACGTTAGACCTAAAACCATAAAAACCCTAGAAGAAAACCTAGGCATTACCATTCAGGACATAGGCATGGGCAAGGACTTCATGTCTAAACCACCCAAAGCAATGGCAACAAAAGCCAAAATTGACAAATGGGATCTAATTAAACTAAAGAACTTCTGCACAGCAAAAGAAACTACCATCAGAGTGAACAGGCAACCTACAAAATGGGAGAAAATTTTTGCAACCTACTCATCTGACAAAGGGCTCATATCCAGAATCTACAATGAACTCAAACAAATTTACAGGAAAAAACCAAACAACCCCATCAAAAAGTGGGCGAAGGACATGAACAGACACTTCTCAAAAGAAGACATTTATGCAGCCAAAAAACACATGAAAAAATGCTCATCATTACTGACCATCAGAGAAATGCAAATCAAAACCACAATGAGATACCATCTCACACCAGTTAGAATGGCAATCATTAAAAAGTCAGGAAACAACAGGTGCTGGAGAGGATGTGGAGAAATAGGAACACTTTTACACTGTTGGTGGGACTGTAAACTAGTTCACCCATTGTGAAATTCAGTGTGGCAATTCCTCAGAGATCTACAACTAGAAATACCAGTTGACCCAGCCATCCCATTGCTGGGTATATACCCAAATGACTATAAATCATGCTGCTATAAAGACACATGCACACGTGTCTTTATTGTGGCACTATTCACAATAGCAAAGATTTGGAACCAACCCAAATGTCCAACAATGATAGACTGGATTAAGAAAATGTGGCACATATACACCATGGAATACTATGCAGCCATAACAAATGATTAGTTCATGTCCTTTGTACGGACATGGATGAAATTGGATATCATCATTCTCAGTAAACTATCGCAAGAATAAAAAACCAAACACCGCATATTCTCACTCGTAGGTGGGAATTGAACAATGAGAACACATGGACACAGGAAGGGGAACATCACACTCTGGGGACTGTTGTGGGGTGGGGGGAGCGGGGAGGGATAGCTTTAGGAGATATACCTAATGCTAAATGATGAGTTAATGGGTGCAGCACACCAGCATGGCACATGTATATGTATGTAACTAACCTGCACGTTGTGCACATGTACCCTAAAACAAAGTATAATAAAAAAGTTAAAAAAATTTAAATATTCTTGTTATACTGCACCTTTACACCTTAATCACAATTATTTAGCACAGCTCAATACCATCTTCTAAACTCTTCAGAAATAAGCTGCTTCTCAGTTTCCTGAATATGTTGTATATGTGTGTTTAATTTTGTTGCTGTGTGCTAGTGTGTGGTCATTCGTATTGTGGTTTCACAGCAGCAGACTTTGTACTGATTATCTACACTATTAAAATTATGTATGATTCCATAAAGCTCAAACCACTGGACCAGAAAAAATAGTAAACCATTAGTCCTGGCCTTATGAACCGTATTCATTTTTTCATGCTAAAATTTTACTAGTTTTCAACATTTTATTCTGTTTAAAAAAAACTTTTTATAATGTTACTTTTTCGCATTTTATTCCATATAGTAGCTAAAATTTAAGATTATACTTCATGAACAAAAACATTCTATTGGGCATCCAGAGGTGTTACTAATATTTGCTCTGCTTGGGTCTTGTGCATTTATAATTCTATCACTTCAAACACTTCATCTCCTACTTGAAGCTGATTAAATCAAGGCTCTGCTAAAAGTGAATGTGTTGATTGTAGCCAAGGATCACATTTTCAGTGACTTTCTCTCAGCCTACTTTCCAATATTAAATCTTTTTGACCCTTAGCAATATATTCCTTTTTCAGAAACTTAAGATTTCTGTTTGCTTATTACAACAGGCGTCTCTGAAAAGGAATTCAAAATGTCACATTTTTATATATTCCTAAACTAGGTTCTATCTGTAAGAATTAACACCATAGTTTTATATAATAAAACCATGATAAATGTTTCCCATATTCTATTTCTCATCTTATATTGCTATTAACATTTCTAATATACGTATTTTTCATTCTTATGGTTTCCTCATATGCTGGTTCACTGGTTTTTATTACATGCTCTATAAAAAATATTATCAAAAAACTGCTTGTGTTTCTAATATTTTAGTTTTTATGGAAAATGAATTAATTCTTTTTGTTTTTAGAATGATCTCCAAGAGCTCCTACTGCTTTCTAACCTATTTAAATGGGTTCTTTCCCTGAACAGCTGGAAATTTTCCTGTAAGAGGAGTTGAAGTATGTAGGCTATTAAAAATAAAGGTGGGTGGGTCTCCGCTCCAAATGTGCAGGGCATGTCCTTGGCCCCATAGGCTACTGTGAAGCCCTGACTGACAATATCACCTGAGGCAACATTTATTGTGTATGTAGTATTTGCCAAGTACCATCATAAGCAGTTTTATTTATTAATTTATTCAACTATCTGAGTTAGAAAACACCAATAGTCTCAATTGACTGAGGAGTTGACAGAGGTACAGAGAAGTGCAATATTTGAACACTGCCACACACCTTGTGCGTGATACAGCTGTGACTCCAACTAGGCAGCCTTGCTCTAAAGCTTACGTTACTACGTTATGACCCACTGTGTGTATGTGAGGAGTGTGTGTGTGTGATTTCCAGGTGACAAAGATTGGAAGCTATAGGTTTAGTTGGCACTCCTACTCTCTTTTCCTTTGTGCACTATGGATAACCTATCTCTTTTAGAAAAAGAAGAAAATAATAGAGAGAGAGAGTTAAGAAGAGTCATATGGAAGGTAACAAAGGCTTAAAAATATTCAAGTAAAATAAAAGATATATGAGACTAAAAGAAGCAAGCTTAAAGTATAGAGAATTTGTGCCCTGAAAAACATGGCTTAAAATAAATAGAGTTGAATCATTCAAGAAGACTTTCTTACAGTGAACTTGAAACTTTAAAACAATGAGACGTATCCTGATAAAACACTGGACTTTCAGAACAGGGAAAAAATTATATTCATCTGGGCAAAAACAATCAAGTCATTCATAAAAATAAAATTGAGCCTCCCTTTCAATTACTTCCAGAGCAGCATTCTAAGCTAGAAGGCAGAGGAGAGATTCTCACTAGGTGCTCTTGGATTCAAACGTTCTGCTGGGCCTTCTCCTTGGGCTGGTGGGGGCTGCAAGGCAGTGGGGGCTGTGCATGGAGCTCACTGAGGGAGTCCCCTGCTGGAAGCCTACAGACTTTCAGTTATAAGACTGGCAGTGATATGCTGTTTGCTCACAAAGCCTATCTTGTTCTTTTCATCTAGTTTTCTCCACTTGTGCT
This sequence comes from Homo sapiens, assembly GCF_000001405.40. NCBI lineage: Eukaryota > Metazoa > Chordata > Mammalia > Primates > Hominidae > Homo > Homo sapiens. The sequence continues at coordinate 49,455,262 of NC_000008.11, forward strand.
TATTTAATCTTCTTTTAATCACCTTTCTGTTTCTTCTTGCCTACAGTCATCATCCTTCCCATTTTCAGCTGCCTGTTTGGCCACAACTGTCTTAAATCTCAGGTTCATGACCCTCCTCCCTACAAAATCGGCCACTTCCTCCTCCTGTTTCTCACCAGCTCCTTCCTCTGCCCAGTCTGCCTGGATTTCAGTTTCTTGTTCCAGGTTTTTCTTTCAACCAGTCCCATTATCTGGTGCATTTCTTTGTTTCGTCTTCTGATCCCCTACTTCCTCTACTTACACACTTTGTGGAGACCTAGGCGTGATGACTAAAGTTTTAATGTGTTAATATATATGATGGAAACTTGATCTCCAAGGCAACTGTATTAGGAGATGGGACCTTAAAGAGCTGATAAGGTCATGAGGGCTCTGCCCTTATGAATGGATTAATGTCCTTATTATTGCAGCAGTGAGCTCCTGACAAGAATGATGACTTTGGCCTTCTTCCTCTCTCTTTGTGTGTTCTCTTGCCATGTGATGCCTTCCATCAGATGTGGGCCCCTCAACCTTGGACCTCCCAGTCTCTGGAATGATGAGAAATAAATCTGTTCTTTATAAATTACCCAGTCTTAGGTAATCTGTTATAGCAGCATAAAACAGACTAAGACAGTGACTAAGGGACTGTCTGGCAAGGTATGGTATACCAGTGATCCAAAAGCAATGCATTAACATGAGTATCAAGGTCTAAAGGCTCAGGCTAAAATAAACAGTAGTGATTGGAGAGGATTGGATAGAATTTAAAAGGAAGAGACTAAGGTGCAAACATGAAGTCAACAGTATTATACAAGTAGGAAAAAATAGTGGCATTGATTTGAAGAGATATTATAAGAATGAAGAGTGTTTTTATGATGTAGAAATAATATTAGAGTCTTAAATAATTTTGAAATTATTTTTGACTGGATGGCTTATATCTTAATTTAACCTCAACCCTTAAAATGGGCTGAGCCTTATGCATAGGATATTTTTTAATTGTAATTTTGGAAGTTATCATCTAGGACTTTTAGATATAACCTATGCATCCATATGTATCTTCTGACAAAATAATTACCCTACATCTGGTTCTAGAATGCATTTGAACCCAAGGGTTGGTCTTTTTGTGAAGTAGCCCCAAGGAAGACTGAGATAGGATGAAATGTTGTCCAAAGTGAGCCAGACTTTTTGGAACCTGTGATAAACCAGGAATTCTGGCTTGAGAAAAATACATTATAACTGCTGGAGAACTCTCTTGGCAGTGACGCCAACGAGTTAAAGACATTTACAAAAAACTCTACTAAAATTGCTAACAGAGATTTTGCTTTTATTATCCTCTGTGGATAGCCAGATTTCTAATGAATTATATGGCAGTTTTGATGCATAAAGGAGGCTAATGCCATGAACATAAGTAATTGGGAAATACTGCTTAGTAGAATAATCTACATTTTTAACGCTGTTGATGTGAATCTGGATGAAAAGAAAAAGTAATTCATGTGCCAGAGCAGAGCAGGGCCAGGGAGCTCAGATCTAGGATGTCTCTGTGGATTTAGGGGTGAGAATCAAGAGAGGGGTAACCTCACCTGAAACAGGACAGGAAGGTTGAAGAATCTCATGTTGTGGACTGTCTACCAGCTTGAGGTCTATCTTGGGCCTCGCTTTGCTTGTTCCTTGCCAATATAGTGCAGTACATCATAAGTTTTGATGTTTATCCCCTCCAAATCTCACGTTGAAATGTGATCCCAATGTCGGGGGTAAGGCTTAGTGGAAGTGTTTGAGTCATGGGGACAGATACCTCATGCATGGCTTGGTCCCCTTCCCATGGAGATGAGTCAGTTCTCCATTCGTCCACATGACAATTGGTTGTTTAAAAAGAGCCTGGCATATCCTTTCTTGCCATGTGACAGGCTTGCTCCCTCTTCACCTTCTGCCATGATTGGAAGCTTCCTGAGGCCCTCAGAAGAAGAAGATGTTGATGCCATGCTTTTTGTACAGGCTGCAGAACTGTGAGCAAACATAAAACTTTTTTCTCTATAAATTACCCAGCTTCAGGTATTTCTTTATAGCAACTTAAAAAGGGGTTTAAAAAGTGCACCTTAAACAGGACCCATGTGTCATCTGGTACTATCAACATCCTCTGGAGTCAGAAAGACTTTAATGTGGTAGTATAATCCCCTAATCTAGGGGATGATTAATTGTCCAAGCTTGCCTCAAGAATGACAAAGATATCCTCTTTCCACTAGCCATCAGGTAGTATTCAAGGTAGAAATATATATGCTAATATTACTGCATTGGAGCTTGAAGAGATCTGCACTATTACATAGGTACAATTCTTGCAAAGGGCAAGATGGACTCTCACAGCAGCAGCTCCTGAGTCAAAGGTAGTTTACTCTCACCGTTCCAATACAATAAACAGATACGAGGGAGGGGAAGCCTAGGCTGATGTTACATTGCATTGTCATGAAAGGCCCTCCAAGATGACGAAGATAAATACTGGGTATCATTGATTATGGAAAATTACACATAGCAGGACAGAAAAGATGTGGAGGAGAACAGGAGAAAGAAACATAATGGCCAGGCGCGGTTGCTCACACCTGTAATCCCAGCACTTTGGGAGGCCAAGGCAGGCAGATCACCGAGGTCAGGAGTTTTGAGACCAGCCTGGCCAACGTGGTGAAACTCCGTCTCTACTAAAAATACAAAATTTAGCCTGGCATGGTGCCACACTCTTGTAATCCCAGCTACTCGGGAGGCTGAGGGAGGAGAATCACTCAAACCCAGGAGGCAGAAGTTGCAGTGAGCTGAGATCGCGCCATTTCACCCCAGCCTGGGCAACAAGAGTGAAACTCAATCTCAAAAAAAAAAAAAAAAGAAAGAAAAGAAAAAAATAAAGAAACATAATGAGATTAATCAGCTCCACATTAAAATAAAGAGTTGGTAAAATAGGATACAGAAAGGAAAAAAGAAAAATATTGTGAGAGTTGGATTTTTCATGTTAGTAGATGAGAGAGGAAAATATTTTATTTTATTTTATTTTTTTTGAGACGGAGTCTCGCTCTGTCACCCAGGCTGGAGTGCGGTGGTGCGATCTCGGCGCACTGCAAGCTCCACCTCCTGGGTTCACGCCATTCTCCTGCCTCAGCCTCCCAAGTAGCTGGGACTACAGGCGCCAGCCACCACGCCCAGCTAATTTATTTATTTATTTATTTATTTTGTATTTTTTAGTAGAGACAGGGTTTCACAGTGTTAGCCAGGATGGTCTCGATCTCCTGACCTCGTGATCCGCCCGCCTGGGCCTCCCAAAGTGCTGGGATTACAGGCGTGAGCCACCGCGCCCGGCCGGAAAATATTTTTTAAACCATCTCCGAGATGTGTTTCTTTTTCCTGATGTTTGAGAAATATGATTTCCAAATTAATTGCAATCAATTTGAATATGTTTTCAGCCTTTGGAAGAATGTTTTCTTGCAACAACATTTCTTCTATATTGAACTAATTTATAAGTGCATTCTGCAGTCAATTATGCACTCAATTTATCTCTGTTATTAGCTTACTAGGCCTTTGAGGATAGAGACCATATTTTAAATATACATGTATTGGCCATGATGTTCATAAAGTGCTTTGAATTTATGAGTGCAATTCAGAATTATTTTATTATATTGGACTGGATTTTAACAACTTGATTCTATAATATAAATTTAATATAGGACATGTTTGGGGAAGAAAATGATAATATTTACGTATCAATTTTGACTAATGTAAATCACTGTGGATCATCTATAATTGAAATACAAAACAAGCTCTAGGCATCAGTAGTGTTTTCTGTAGGTGAAACATCAGTAAATATTTAATAACTAAATCCTGAGATGCTTAACATTTGAACTACCAGGGATAATAAGAATGACCATCCTGGCTAACAAGGTGAAACCCCGTCTCTACTAAAAATACCAAAAAAACTTAGCCGGGTGTGGTGGCAGGTGCCTGTAGTCCCAACTACTCGGGAGGCTGAGGCAGGAGAATGGTGTGAACCTGGGAGGTGGAGCTTGCAGTGAACTGAGATCTCGCCACTGCACTCCAGCCTGGTCAACAGAGTGAGACTCCGTCTGAAAAAAAATAAAAAATAAAAAATAAAAGAATGTTCAGATGTGCTATTATTACATATACCAACCTATTAATTCAGACTATTGGAACTAGTTGTTCCAGTGAAATACTGTATTGTTGCAAGACCATGCAATTTTTTATCATGCTTCTACCAACTCTATATTGTAAATCATCAAAAGTTCTCTTGGCTGTATTTTAGGATAGGGGATTCTATAAAATCTTTGGCTTGGGCCCTGTTGAGTGTTTGCATGTTTCTACAAGCCATATGCTTTGTCTCTACCCATTTTATACAGCCTTGTAAGAAGCTACTGTGTGTGGTTATCCAAATTTTAAGAGCCAATGTAAAGCACGTAGCAGAGTTTCATTTGGAAATATTCCTATAGAACATTGTTATGGCTCTTTCCACTTGAGAAAATAGGAGAAGAAATTTATTTTAGGGATCAGAGAGTGATTATGTTTTGGCCTAAACTCTAACCTGAAATGTATTATTTTGTATGCATCAGTTCACCCTAGCCATAGAAATGATTTCATTTTGGTTATTACCTCCACACTATCTTTCACAGTAAGATAGAGTGGTTGAGAAAATAATTTTAAACTACCCATTCCTCTCCCTGTATATCTTAAAAGAGAAGAAACTAGTGAAAATCTTTGACAGCCCTAATTGGAAGAGGGATCAATTAATAAAGGATACTCTGTGTGTACGTGTGTGTGTGTGTGTGTGTGTGTGAGAGAGAGAGAGAGAGAAAGAAAAAGAGACAGAGACAGAGAGACCATATGAACGATAATACCATCATTCTACTGTTCTCCTATTTTTTTCCTGTCCTCAACCCTGTGACTCAGCACAATGATGAAAACATAACAGATGTATAGCAAATATCTTTTCATTTATAGAATCAACAGAAGCATTGTTTACATGCAACTCAGAACTAGCAAGACACCCTCTTTTTAGGCCGGGTGTGGTGGCTCACGCCTGTAATCCCAGCACTTTGAGAGGCCTAGGTGGGCAGATCACCTGAGGTCGGGCATTTGAGACCAGCCTGACCAACATGGAGAAACCCCGACTCTACTACAAACACAAAATTAGCTGGGTGTGGTGGCACATGCCTGTAATCCCAGCTATTCAGGAGGTTGAAGCAGGAGAATCACTTGACCCTGGGAGGCAGAGATTGAGGTGAGCAGAGATCGCACCATTGCACTCCAGCCTGGGCAACAAGAGTGAAACTCCATCTCAAAAAAGAAAAAAAAAAAGGTATCCTCTTTTTAAATATGACCATCAAATCTTAACTTTTAGTCAAACTAAGGTCTTGAATGAATTGGATTGATAAAATTATGGTGTTTTATTTCTTGTAGTTGTTGTTCTTTTAATTGGTTTTATTTTCTTCTTCTTATATTGGGCATTTAGTTCCTCTTGATCTATGGAAGGGTTTTTGGTATGGTTTTGTTTGATTTTTAGGCAGTCTTACAAATGAAAAAGATTAAATATAGTTCATGAGTTGGTTTTATCTCATCTGCTATTTCATCTTAAATGGAATAACAGTCAGAGTTCCATTGAAAATGTAAGGCAGATGTGCTCTGGATAAATAAGTGGCATAAGATTGTTGCTGGTGTTTTCTACAACCGATGTAAGGACACAGTGGCCATCACCACCCCCAGAGTGCCAAGCCTGCTGTTCGTCACCATCTTCATGGTTCCCCGCTATGGGTTAGTCATTTAAGGAGTGCAATGACTCATAGCTCAGTGCCCTGAACTCCAGGGCAAGCACCTCAAAAATATAGTAGCAGACAAATCGATGACAGTATTTTGTCCTTTGTGTCTTCTTAAAAAGCATGTTTTCTTTAACTCACTTACTGAGGTTTTATTATCTATTTTTCTATATAAGTATGATTAAGCTTCTAATTTTTTGCAATTTTAGTGCTCCATTAAAAGTACTATAAAAATTCAGCTCAACTCACTAATTTTCGACCTCATATTTTACAGACAACTTGACCATTCACCTGGGAAATTCATTACACTTTGCAAGACATCTCAAATAACAATTACAGTGCTTACCTGGGTATCACTATTAGACCAAATATACACTGATAACTTCTCACTCTACAAATAAATTTATGCAAAATTGTTTCTTCTATCTACTTTTAGGACTATAGAGAAAACACCTTTAAAATTAGATTATTTATTTAAAAAATTGATTATTATAATAATATACTTAAGTATATCTTTGTTTTTTGCTTAAGTTGAATAATTAGTTTCATCAATCTAATTCTTCACTAGATTTTAAACAGAAGACCTGCACCAAAAATACTACCACCAAAACGTTTTGATGAAGAAACACATAAGAGGAGGATGGAAGGAGAAAATGGCAAAGAGAAAATGGAAGGGAGAGAACTAAAAGGAAGGGAGGGAGAGAGAGAAAAATACAGGAAAGTATCTTGAAACAATTTTACATTCGTTTTGGTGTTATGTGACACAATTCCAGAAATAAGGATGTAACAATCTGGATTAGAATGCTCTAACCTCTTTAAAGAATGCCAGGCATCTAGTTGGTGTGCAATAAACATTTATCAAATGAACAGCTATGTATTATAGTAAACCTTCTATTGACTATAAACAATTACAGGTGAATCTGTACAAATTCACCCACAGGAGGGAAATTTTTGGCATTAGATCAGACCTCATGCTACCCACCAGTAATGCTCCGTTTCTCACTCCTCCCACCACCATCTTCCACAAGCACCATACCCAAAATGGAAGATTTTACCTTCTTCAGCGGAGAAAAAAGGAAGTCATTTCAGAAATCACATTCATTGGGGTATATATGATAAAAGTTACTCTGCTGGGCATTTTCTGTGCCTTCTTTGATTCAAAGGCCATTGGAGCACAGTGAGATAAAGGTTATCATTCTCATTTTACAGATGAAAAATGGCTGTGAAAGGCCTACTTTCCTCACCTTAGGAGAGCCACACCGCTAACTTGTGGAGGAAATTTAACTTCAGTCAAGGCCTCTGTATTTCCAAAGTCTCCTCTCCTTGCACTCTGCCATGATATCTCCACATAACATAAGTGTTCTCTTTTTATATCCCACAGTGGGTAATGTCTACTTTGATGATTGTTTATGCTTAATAAATGTTTGTTAAACAACACGATAACTTCTTGTGTAAGAGTTGTGAAATACAGATTTTTCTTAACTTCTGTAAATTTTATACATAGAAAAATTAGATCTACAACTTTTTTTTTTTTTTTGAGACAGAGTCTTGCACTGTTGCCTGGGCTGGAGTGCAATGGCGAGATCTCAGCTCCCAGCAACCTCCGTCTCCCGGATTGACGCAATTATCCTGCCTCAGCCTCCCAAGTAGCTAGGATTACAGGCACACACCACCAAACCCGGCTAATTTTTTATATTTTTAGTAGAGACAAGGTTTCACTATGTTGGCCAGACTGGTCTCGAACTACTGACCTCATGATCTGCCCGCCTCGGCCTCCCAAAGTGCTGGGATTACAGGTGTGAGCCACCACACCTGGTCTAGATCTGCAACTTTCTAAGTGATTTTAAGTATAGTCTGCCCTCTCTGTCCACGAAATCCATGAATTCAACCAACCATGAATTGAAAATATTCAGAAAAAGAAATAAAAAGTAAGAATACAACAATAAAAATACAAATAAAAATAACTATTTACATAGCATTTACGTTGTATTAGATATTATAAAAAATCTAGAGATAATTTAGTGTATAGAGGATGATGTGCATAGGTTGTATGCAAAGATTATATTATTTTATAGAAAGCACTTGTGCATCACCAGATTCAAGTATTCAAAATGGTGTCCTGGAACCAATCCCCTGTGGATTCCAAGGAAAGGCTGTAAATTATTTAAATTGATGTATCAAAATGAAGAAGTCTGTATAGTTATAGATATAAAGTTTTAATGTTCCAGAAGTTAGATATTCAAAAAGAATTAGAGTAAAATACTCAGGTTGTCATATATATATATGTGTGTATATATGTATATGTATACATATATAAAATGTTTGTGTGTATATATATACACACAAACACACACATACACATGTATACATGTATATACAATACACACATACACATATACAGAGAGAGAGAAAATTCAATTGTTTGCAGTAGTTATTTGCAAAAACATTATTTTAAATGTCTTAAATATCCTAGGATTTTCTTAGATTTCCAGAAAACATTGCTATTTTTCATATATAGAAATTTATGAGCTTCTTATAAGTATCTCAAATCCTTTGCTATATAAAAATTAGATAATTTAGTATTTAGAAAAGTAAAACTCCTGGTTTCAGAAAGGATGTGATTAAAATAAACAGTGAGCATATGATAGGTAATGTTTGAATCATGTGATAGTAAGAGACAGAAGATAAGCCCCTTATATGTTATCTATAATTCCCAGTGCTCCTCCTGTTTACTATGAAAAAAATCAACATATTGTAATCCACAAAAGCATCAAAATATCCTTCCTAAAGGGAGATGTGAGGTGTCAAGTGCATCTGTGTCACTGATAACTTGGATTTGAGAAAATAATATAATTTTCTGAAGTATTGTATTGAAGTTGTCCAGGGAGACAGAATCAATAGGAACACGCACTCACATATGCACCCACACACACAGAGAGAAAGAGACAGACAGAGAGAGAGGGAGAAAGAAAGAGAGATATTAATTATAGGAATTGGCTTAGTTGACTACGGAGGCTGAAAAGTCCCACAATCTGCCATTTGCAAGCTGGAGAACCAGAAAAGCCGGAAAGCCAGTGATACAATGCACTCCAAGTTCAAACAAAGTCCTGAGAGCGGGCAGGCACTAGGGTGATGGTGTAAGTCCTGGAGTCCCAAAGGCCCCAGAACGAGGAACACCAATGTCCGAAGCAGGAGATGATGTCCCAGCTCAGAAGAGAGAGGGAGAATCCTCCTGCCTCCATCTTTTGGTCCTATTTGAGTCCTCAAGGGATTAAATGCTGTCTGCCCACAGACTGTCTTTATTCAGTCTACTGATCTAAATGCTAACCTCTTATGGAAAAATCCTTACCCTGAAATAATGACTTTCCAGCTCTCTGGTCAACCTTAGCCCAGCCAAATCAACACATGAAATTAACCCTCACAAATACTGTACTCTCCATGCTTGTGCAGTTTCTAATTTAGCCTTATACTCTTAAGTGGAGCTGCTGGTCAGGATAGGATGAATTGGAGGACCTTACTTGCCAATGGGGAAAGAAATGCTACCCAAGATTCTGTGGAATAATATTATTTTCCCAGGGAGGATTAGATAATATGTTAGTGATGCAGGAGAAGGGAAAGAAAGGGTGTGGTCTCTTTAAATGATGCAGAAGTGGGGAAGGAAGTGCTGGGTAGAAGAGGGCATGGTCTCTGGCTAGGGCTCCACCCCTGGGCCGGTGTCCATGGACCTAGGTAAACAGGCATTTTTGTTTTGCTGCCCAAAAGTTGCATTTCCCAAGACCACCCTGGCCTGCCACGCCCCCATCCTGTGCCTATAAAAACCCCGAGAGCTGCAGGGCGCGGTGGCTCACGCCTGTAATCCCAGCACTTTGGGAGGCCGAGGCGGGCGGATCACCTGAGGTTGCGAGTTCCAGACAAGCCTGAACAACATGGAGGAACACCGTCTCTACTAAATATACAAAATTAGCCCAGCGTGGTGGCGCATGCCCGTAATGCCAGCTACTCGGGAGACTGAGGCAGGGGAATCACTTGAATCCGGGAGGCGGAGGTTGCGATGAACTGAGATTGTGCCACCGCACTCCAGCCCAGGCAACAAGAGTGAAATTCCGTCTCAAAATAAAACAAACAAAACAGAACAAAACAACCCCTGAGACCCTAGCAGGCAGACACACAGGCGGCTGAACATCGAGGGGAGCACACCAACGGAGAAGACACAAGTGGTTGGACATGGAGAGGATGTCGAGGGGAGGATGCTGGCAGAAGAGCACATGACAGACACCTGCATGCCGGCAGGCCATTGACTGGCGGAACAAGGCAGAGTTTGGCCTGGGCAGTAGGAGGAAAGCCAGGGCCGCTGAGCGGCCAGACTCCAGGGGGGAACCTTCCCACTCCATTCCCTCTGGCTTCTCCCATCTGCTGAGAGCTACCGCCACTCAATAAAACCTTGCACTCATTTTCTAAGCCCAGGCGTGATCTGATTCCTCCGGTACACCAAGGCAAGAACCCGGGATACAGAAAGCCCTCTGTCCTTGTTACAAGGTAAAGAGTCTAATTGAGCTGGTTAACACAAACCGCCTGTAGACGGCAAAACTAAAAGAGCACACAGTAGCCCACACCCACTGGGACTTCAGGAGCTATAAACATCCACGGTGAGCTGCTGCCGTGGGGTCAGAGCCCCACAGCTCCTGCCGGTCTGTATGCTCCCCTAAAGGTTTGAGCAGCAGGGCACTGAAGAAGTGAGCCACTCCTCCTGGTCGCACACCCTGCGAGGGGCACAAGGGAACCTTTCAAGCCATTTCATTAGGGACTTGGGAAAAAACAAACAAACAAAAAAACCAGAATTATTTCTAGGGGATTAATTTCAATTCTTCAATTAGCAATATGTTACCTAAAAACTTGATACAGTGACACATCATACACAAGTGCATATTTTCTTCAACTGACTCTATGCATGTGCATGTAAATAATAATAAATTTAGTTCCAGTGAAATTCTAATAATGAGAATGAACAAGTCAATTATAATTTATTTTGTTGGGGTGACAGGGAAACATGTCCGTAGAAACACATTACTTATTAGCAAAATATTTAAAGAAGCTCATTTGTGGTTCCATAGAGCTTGAATAGGAGCCTCAGAGATACCCAGGCTCTCAGTCCTTCAATCCCACTGTTCTGGCAGGCTGGCTTTCTTTTAGCCTTCAGTTTGTTGCTTCATTATCTCATGATGGCTGTCACAGATCCAGGCATCACTTCTTTATAACGCTGATGTGAAAAGTAGGAGACATAGAAGTTACAAAGAATGCTCTTGACGTGTTTACTTCCATTGACCCAAACTGGGTAGCTAGTTGTCGCTAGCTGCAAAAAATGATTTAGAAACTCAAAGTTTATCATGTTTATTTGTTATGATGGAAGGCAGATTAAAACAAAAAGCAAGGCTATGTAATAGAAGTTGGGTAGCCTTTCTAAGATTTTAGTCCAATGAAGAAATGGGATTAGCAGGACAAAATGAGGGAAGAGGGGGAAAAGAGTAACAGAAAATGAGGAGAAGAAAGGTATGATTATATGAAAAGAAATACATGTTACAATTTTTAAAGTTACAAATATATCTCATGCCATTTCTAGAGTAATCCTTGTTTTTTATTTATTTTATCATTTAATATAGAACTGTAATTAAGATGCTCAAAAATTTTATATTCATAGGTATAAACTATTGAAAATTATTTAAACTAAGGAACTTTAAGGAATGAGAAAGGCACACAGTTGTTGAGTATCACATGATTTTTGATTTTTGTTTTATCCCTGCCTTGAGGGTTCTTATTTGAAACAACTGCCCCAATATTGAAACATCTAATAGGTAAAGGCTGAGTCCAAGCATAGATATGGATCCAGTTCCTGAGGGTTTTCATTTCTTAGCAATATGCCTTGCTGTCTTGCATCTGGGTACACATTCGTGAGTTCTCTTTGCAGTTTAATGTTATCCATTTGGCTTCATAAATTGCTAGGACAATCAGCCCTTTGCCTCTACCCTCTAAAATTGTAGGTGAGATATACACATAGCTGCAATCCCAGCATCCACTTGACATCAGTTTTACCAGCCACTTGCCACCACCTAAAAACGATGGCCAATGCATAGCCAGGATGAGGACCTCCAGGACATTTCCACTTACTCAAGTCCCCATTTGAGCATCAACTATGTAATAACAACTACCACTATCAATTCTGTTAGACAACTCTATTTCAGATACAAATGAGTGAAATGCACCTTCAGAGCACTCACACACAAAAAAGAATTTTATTGACTCATTAAATAAGGAAGTTCAAGCTGTGAATTTTCAGGAATTTACAGTTTCAAATAATATAACCAGGAATCTGAATTTCTTTATTCATTCTGCATTCTGTATTGGATTATTCTCAAATTAACTATCCTTTGAAACAAAAAAGGACAATAGTGTCTATTGGCTCCTATTGTCTTTCCAATCACCTTTTTCTTATTATCCCACAGAAGCCGTAGACATGTCTTCCAATTTTCCTCTCTAGGTTGTATGATGAACATCAAACCAATGACCTAGTCCAACATTATGGTCTCATCTTTGTGGCCAGCACTGGGTTATGTGCCTCTCCATATATAGCATGGATATAGGGATTTTCTAATAAACCACAAAGGAAAGTGTCTTCAATAGGAAATATGTATTCTCCTATCAAAATACATGGAAAAGGAAAAGCGAGATGAATCGATAAAAACAACAGCAGCTATATTCACCAAACTTCAAAAAGTGTTAAGATAAGGTGAAATGTATACAGATTCTCGGAGTAAAAATATATATAAATGTTGTAAAGTTATTGATACTGTGTTGTGTCTTCCTTTATCTGTGATCTTATTGAGACTCAGTGGCAAAAACACAAAACAATAAAGAATGCTCTTGAAAAACAGTTTTTAACTGTCAGTCTGTGGCAGCTGTTTAAATTAATAGACCTACAAGATGTTTTATAAAGATAAGCCAGTCCATGCCACATAGAGTTATAGACTTCATTTAGCACTATTGAACTCTATAGCCAATAAAAATGAAAGATCATCCTGGAAACTATATATAAATGACAGATTTTTCTGAAGGGTCTGTGAGTGCGTGTGTCTGCATGTCTATATGAAGTGTTCAAGTGTCAGAGACTATAGAAAGGTATCCCTAAAGAATAACTTTTCATTAAATATTTGGTTCCACATATAAATGGCGAGTGTTGTAAGGGAATCAATACATTCATTTAAAGTCATCTGTTAAATTATAACAACTAAAGTTGTACCTATTATCCAGGGGAAGATCAATTTCCAGAAATACAATCAAGAACAAGTTAACACATTCCTAGTTCTGAAATAACACTCTTATCTAGTCTGTCTAATAGCTTTCAATGTTGTATTTAAGAAAATCAAGAGGTTTTTAAAGAAAGATTTTTTTTCCATATCAAATATACTACCTTCCATTCAAAATGGTTTTTGAGATACACATTTTTAGCACCGTTCTCTCTCAAAGTTCTATTGAAATAAATGACTACACAAAAAAATAAAATTTAATTTATTTCACCATTTTAAAACTAGGAGGAGTGCCACCAGAAGACCTGAGCAGTGAGGAATTAATGGACCCAATAAAGCAGGCAAGAGAGAAAGGACATAAAAATATGTTCACATTCAAGTAGAGCCTGGAAATAGAACTGAGGCAGGAAGCAACAGAGAGGAGGAGAGCTCAGGGAGAAGTCAGCTATGCACGGCTGGCCAGCAGCTAATAAGAAGGGGCAAATTGAAAGTATGTCACGTTTTGTGGAAGGCATAAAGATGGGATCATTATCCTGCGTTATTCATATGGGCCCAATATGATTATGTGCTCTTACAATGAAAGGATGAAGTCCAGGGAGTCGCGCAGATCAAATTATAAAAGCCTAAGTTGGAATGATGTGGCCATGAATTCAGGCAGCCTCCAGAAACTGGAAAGGGCAGGAACAGAATTGCCTCCCGAGCTCACAGAAGCAACACCGCTCTGCAAACACCTTGACTTTAGCTCCACAAAATCCGTTTCAGACATCTGACCTCCAGAACTGTAAGACTGGAAAAGATAATAAATTCTGTGTTGTTTTAAGCTACTAAATTTGTAATGATTTCTTAGATCAGCAATAGTAAGCTAATACGAATCTCGACAACAAAAAAGAGTTATCAGTATTTGTACTTGAGCAACAAAAAACAGGCTTAAGTTGGAGTTCTAATTCTGGAAAGTTCCATATGGTTGTGTTTTTATTGTTTAGATCAGAGAAGCAGAATAGTGTTCTACTTATTTTACGGCCATATGGGGGCATGCCCCTACCAAACATATCATCCTACTGTGGACATCCTGACTTGGCTGAAGTCCAGTCCTCCCACATAATCACTAGAGTGCAACATGGACACCAGGGCCCTGCATATATCACAAGAAAACAAAAATGTCTCATCTGGGTGTAGAAAATATGCCCATATAAAAAAAGTTTATTTTCTTAAAAGTATAGATTGAACAGAGTCTATATTCTAGACTTTTACATGTAAATATAAATAATCATACCAAACAATATCTGCAGAACACAAACAAAATATAAGGGAGACACTAAATCCAATGAACATTACATATTTTTCAAAAACAGAATTAGTACAGGAGAAAATGAAAAAAATAAAGTTTTCTTAATACCCAACTAAATTGCACTTGATAATGTTTATAGTTCTACTTCCTTTCTCCTAGAGTTCTCTTTTACCTAATCTTGACATGGAAAGCTGTCTCATTTAATGTGGGTTTGAAATATTACTTCTCAGAGACAATTTCCTGAACACATTAAAAACAAAAACCCTCTTGTTTATTGTTTTCTCTTCCTTTTCTTTATATTTTTTCTTAAAATTTATTATTCCCCTCATTAAACTAGGAGTGAAGAAGAAATTTCTTAAAAAGAACATTTACAAAAACCCTGCAGCTGACCTCATACTTAATGGTGAAAAACAAGATACTTTCTCCCTAAGGTTGGGAACAATGCAAGCACATTCCCTCTCATCACTTCTATTCACACTATACTAGAACACCTAGATAATGCAGTAAAACAAGCAAAGAAAAGAAAGGTGACTCATAATGAGAAAGAAGATATCAAACTATTTCTGTTCACAAGCAAAATACAAACTTTAATAAAAGAAATCAACAATATTCTAAATAAACAAAGAGAAATTCCGTGTTCATACATAAGAAAAGCATATTTTCAGGATGTCAGTTCTTCCCACTTTGATCTATAGATCCAATGCCATCCCAATCAAAATTCCAACAAGTTACTCTGTTGATATTGATAAACTGATTCTGATGTTTATAAGGGGAGGCAAAAGACTCAAACTACCCAGCACAGTAGTTTGTATAGAATTGTACCTCTCACTTAGCAGGTGTCCAATATTTGTTAACTATTTCGTCATACCTTTAGTAAAAATAAATGACTACAGTCATATGAATTTTTTTTTGTAATTTATGTGTGATGGGGTTAAGTGGGAAAAAAAAAACCAATTTATAATCTAGGTTGTAAGTAGTATTATCTGTTCCATGCCCTGACCCCCTTCCAAAGTGTGGTCTTAATGAGAATTATTTGGGTGAGATTTGCTACATCTAACAGATTCATGCTAAAACAGAAAGACAGCAAAACATGATACGAGAAGTGAAGATAAAGGACAACTTCAACTGACTAATAAGCTCTAAAATATTGACAATTTCTATTTCTCTACGGAAAACAACAAACATTGCTGACTTTGTGTTTAATTGTAATTTAAACTTACTACTTTTTCGTGTGCTGCCTAAAGCCCAGTTATATCTTGTCTTAATAATTTAATGCATTATAAAACCTACATCATTTTATACTTTGATAAACTGCTTGAAATTACATATTTCTCTCAAAGTCCAGTATAAGTACTTCACATGAACATTTTCATAAATCAGACATAATTACAATAATAAAATTGCTAATCTCTACCTTGTATTCATACTTTTGTTCACTAATTCTGCTTCTTCCAGGCATATGCTATTTTCTTCATTGTATCACCAGGGCAGTGTGCATTAATACAACATGTTGGATGTTGGATAGTATCAACATGCTGTGCTGGAAAAAGGAGAATACTACCTATGGGGTCATAAGAAGGTGATTTACAACAGCAACATATTCTAATGTGTGTTTTAAGATATTGACCAAGTCTGGAATAGACTTAAAAGTTGACAACACAATTTTAGTTTATTGTTTCCTAATTATAACGGCATTGTCAAGCCAATTGGAGGTTAGAATCTGAGACAGAAAAAGGACATATTTCAAGAAGTAACCAATGAAAATACTGTTTACTAATATTTACTGAAATGCTTACCTTGACCAGGCATTCTTCTGTATGATTTCCATACATTGACTATTTAATTTTCACAGCAACTTTATGGGATAGGTTTTTTTAATTCGTATTTTGCACATAAGAAAATCAAAGTTGGGAGAGTTTCAGAAGCTTCATCAGAAAGTGGAGGAAGTGGAAAAGCTAATGTTGAAACCAGTTCATCTGAATTTTGGTTAATGCTCTCAACATCCATACTGTTCTTAAATGTTTCTCAAGATAAAGGATGGCTGTGATCATTTGAAGTGAAAAAGAAGCAGTATTAGAAACAAATATATGTAAATAAACATTGTTTACCATTATATAGGAAAGTGTAGTCCAAACTGAGGATTTGTAACTTCAAGTTTATGCTGATGTCTTGTTTAGAGCCCAGACAACAAAAGAATACCGACACATTAACGGGATCTGAGTCTTGATAGTGGGTTTTTGTGCTCTAAAGATGGAACCCAAATATTTTAAAAGTTGAAGTGTTATTCACTCTAAGACACTTTGACTAATGTGACTAATGTGTCACCTAGAATATTTTACCCTGCCTTCTAGGGCAAGGTTATTTTAAATGGAAATTTAAAAAATAGAACTATTACATAGACTGTGGAATTGGAGTAATGTAAACATTTTCCTGAGATCAGAAATAAATGGGAATAGGCCTTGCATGACCTGACAGGCAAGAAAATAAAAATAAAAAATAAAAAGAAATAAATAAGGTGAGAGATGAGGATCCAATTTCATTTTCCTACATGTGGCTTGCCAATTATCCCAGCACCATCTCTTGAATAGGGTGTACTTTCTCCACTTTATGTTTTTGCTTGCTTTGTCGAAGATAAATTGGCTGTAAGTATTTGGGTTTATTTCTGGGTTCTCTATTCTATTCCATTGGTCTGTGTGCCTAATTTTATACCAATACCATGCTGTTTTGGTGACTATGGCCTTGTAGTATAGTTTGGAATCAGGTAGTGTGATGCCTCCAGATTTTTTTTTTGATACAAAAATCAACTGTAAGATTAAGGACTTAAATCTATGACCTGAAATGGTAAAAATTCTGGAAGATAACATTAGAAAAATCCTTCTAGACATTGGCTTAGGAAAGGATTTCATGACTAAAAATCCAAAAGCAAATGCAATAAAAACAAAGATAAACAGTTGAGACTTAAGTAAACTAAAGAGCTTTTGCATGGTAAAAGGTACAGTCAGTAAACAGGCAACCCATAGAGTGGGAGAAAATAGTCACAATCCACACATCTGACAAAGGACTAATAATCAGAATCTACAACAAAGTCAAACAAATCAGCAAGAAAAAAACAATCCCATCAAAAAGTGAGCTAAGGACATGAATAGACAATTCTCAAAAGAGGATATACAAATGGCCAAAAAAAAATAAAAAAAAGATCAACATCACTAATTATCAGGCGAATGCCAATTAAAACCATAATGTGATACCATCTTACTCCTGCAAGAATGGCCACAATCAAAAAATCAAAAAACAGCAGATGTTGGCATGGATGTGGTGAACAGGGAACACTTTTACACTGCTGGTAGGAATGTAAACTAGTACATCCACTATGGAAAACAGTGAACTTAACTTAAAGAACTAAATGTAGAACTACCATTTGATCCAGCAATTCCACTACTGGGTGTGGAAAGGAGTCATTATATGAAAAAGATATTTGCACATGCATGGTTATAGCAGCACAACTTGCAATTGCAAAATCATGGAACCAACCCAAATTCCCATCAACTAATGAGTGGGTAAAGAAACCATGGTATATTTGTATGGTATATTTATATTCCATATAAACATATTCCATATATTCCATGGTATATTTATATTCCATAAAAAGGAATGAATTAATGTCATTCACAGCAACCTGGATGAGATTGTAGACTATTATTCTAAGTGAAGTAACTCAGGAATGGAAAGTCAAATATCATATGTTCACACTGATATGTGGCAACTAAGCTAAAAATGCAAAGGCATAAGAATGATAAAATGGACACTGGGGACTTGGGGGGAAGATTGGGAGATGGGCGAGGGATAAAAGACTAGAAATATGATGCGGTGTATACTTCTTGGATAATGGGTGCACCAAAATCTCACAAATCAGCACTAAAGAACTTATTCATTTAACCAAATACCACCTGTAACCCAATAACATAGGGAAAAATAAAGAAGAAATAAATAGGAAGACATGAAGTGAAGCAAAAAGTGAAGCACATCAGCCAGGCTCACTAGGGAAACAGGCTAATAGTAGAGATATCTAGATGTACATACATAGGAGAAATTTATGCAAAGGAATTGTCTCACATGATTGTGGGGGATGGCAAGTTTGAAAGTGGTAGAGGCTGGAAACTCAGGCAGGATTAATGATGCCATCTTAATGCAAAATTTCTTCTCTGGGAAATCTCAGTGTTTGACTTTTAAGGCCTTTCAATGGATTAAATGAGGCCCATCCACACTATTGAGGATATTGGACTCCTGCTGTCTGAGTCATTTGTTTACTTGCTGTGTTCATGAGATCCAGCCCCAGCTCTAGCAGAATGCAGAGAGAATTCACAGGGTGTTTCATGATGAGGACGGTATCCAGAAGCCAAATGACCTGGGAACATCATGAGTTTTAAAATTCTATTCCTATGTGGCAACATCCTTTCTTAATCTTTAAGCAGAATAGAAGGAGACTCAATTTGGTGGCACTGCTATACACCTTGGAGCATGAGCAGGAGACGTAAAGCCATAACTAAAGATCACAGTGCCTCTGGTCCAAGGCCAGATCTAGTTGCAGATGTTAACCACATCTAGAAAGTACCCCCACAGCAACACTTAGATTGGTGTTTGGTTAAATAACTGGGTAGTGTGCCTAGCCAAGCTGACACATACAACTAAACTAATATAATAAGTTCCAAAGATTGTACTAATTACTAGTAGATTAATACATATGAAATAATGAATGTCTGTGTCCAAACATCTCTTAAAAAGGTGACAGAGTAACAGAAAATAAATAATTTACCAAAGAACAAAATGAGAACTAATCTTGAGCCTTGAGCAATGGAAGCAGAGAAGAATAAAAAAGAATTAGGTCCTCACAGCATAATACAAATAGAAATCAAAATTAAAAAAATATTTCTCAAATACATGCAATTACATGGAAATTAAACAAACTTCCCCTGAATGACTTTTGGGTAAATAATGAAATTAAGGCAGAAATCAAGAAGTTCTTTGAAACAATTGAGAACAAATATACACCATACCAGAATCTCTGGAACACAGCTAAGGCGGTATTAAGAGAAAAATTAATAGTACTAAATGCCCAAATCACAAAGCTATAAAAATCTTAAATTAACAATATCACAACTAAAAGAATTAGAGAAGCAAGAGCAAATGAACCCCAAAAGTATTAGAAGACAAGAAGTAACCAAAATAAAAACTGAACTGAAGGAGATCGAGACATGGAAAACCATCCAAAAGATCAATGAATTGAGGAATTTTTTTTTTGAAAAAATTAATAAGATAGGCCACTAGCTAGATAAATAAAGAAGGAAAGAAAGGATATTCAAATAGACACAATAAGAAATGAAAACGGGGATATTACCACTGAACCCACAGAAACACAAATAACCATCAGAGACTACTACGAACACCTGTATGCATACAAACTAGAAACTCTAGAAGAAATGAATAAATTACTGTACACATACACCCTCTCAAGACTGAACCAGGAAGAAATTGATTCCCTTTACAAACCAAAAATAATGAGCTTCAAAATGGAATAATTAATTAATAGCCTAATAACAACAACAAAAAAGGCCAGGACCAGACAGGTGCACAGTAGAATTTTAGAAATGTAAAAATTCTAAATTTTTACATTTACCACATGTAAAAAGAAGAGATGGTACCATTCCTACTGAAATTATTCCAAAAAATTGAGAAGGAGGGACTCCTCTCTAAGTCATTATATGAGACCAGCATCTTCCTGATACCAAAATCTGGCAAAGCCACAACAACAATAACAAGAAACTTCAAGCCAATATTCTTGATGAACACTAATGCAAAAATACCCCAACAAAATACTTGCAAACTGATTCCAGCAGCACATCAAAAAGGTAATCCACCATCATCAAGTAGGCTCTATTCCTGGGTTGTAGGGTTGATTCAACATACACAAATCAAAAAATGTGATTCGTTTCATAAACAGAAATAAAGACAAAAATCACATGATTATCTCAATAGAGGCAGAAAAGGCTTTTGATAAAATTCAACAACGTTTCATGTTAAAAACTCTCAATAAACTAGGTATTGAAGGAGTATGCCTCAAACTAGTAAGAGCCATGTATGACAAACCTACAGCTAATATAATGCTGAATGAGCAAAAGCTGGAAGCATTCCTGTTGAAAACCATCACAAGACAAGGATGCCCTCTCTCACCACTCCTATTCAAAATAGTGTTGGAAGTCCTGGCCAAAGCAATCAGGAAAGAGAAAGAAATAAAGGGCATCCAAATAGGAAGAGAGGAAGCCAAACTATTTCTGTTTGCAGACATGATTCTATATCTAGAAAATCCCATAGGTTCAGCCCAAATGCTTCTTCAGATGATAAACAACTTCAGCAAAGTTTCAGGATACAAAATTAATGTCCAGAAATCACTAGAATTCCTATACGCAAACAACAGCCAAGTCAAGAGCCAAATCAGGAGTGCAGTCCCATTCACAACTGCCATGAAAAGAAGAAAACACCTAGGAATTCAGCAAAGGAGGGAGGTGAAAAATCTCTACAATGAGAATTACAAAACAGTACTCAAAGAAATCAGAGAAGACACAAACAAATGGAAAAACATTCCATGCCCATGGATAGGAAGAATCAATATAATTAAAATGACCATACTGTTCAAAATAATGTACATATTCAATCCTATTCCTATTAAATTACCAATGACATTCTTCACAGAACTGGAAAAAACTATTTTGAAATTTCTATGGAAGCAAAAAAGAGCCCTAATAGACAAGGAATCCTAAGGAAAAAGCAAAGCTGTAAGCATCATGTTACCTGACTTCAAACTATAATACAGGGCCACAGTAACCAAAGCAGGATGGTACTGGTACAAAACCAGACACGTAGACCATACCAATGAAACAGAATAGAGAACCCACAACTAAGGCCACACACCTACAACCATCTGATCTTCAACAAAGCTGACAAAAAACAACCAATAGGGAAAAGGATTCCCTATCCAATAAATGGTGTTGGGATAACTGGCTAGCCATATGCAGAAGATTGAAACTGTACCTCTTCCTTACACCACATACAAAAATAAACTCACAATAGATTAAAGACTTAAATGTAAATTCCAAAACTGTAAAATCTCTGGAAGACAACCTAGGCAATACCATCCCGGTCATAGAAATGAGCAAAGATTTTATGACGAAGATGCCAAAAACAGTTGCAACAAAAGCAAAACTTGACTAATAGGACCTAATTAAACTAAAGAGCTTCTGCACAGCAAAAGATACTACCAACAGAGTAAACAGACAACCTACAGGATGGGAGAAAATGTTTGCAAACTATGCATCTGACAAAAATCTAATATCCAGCATCTATAAGAAACTTAAACAGATTTACAAGAAAAAAATCTAACAACCCCATTCATAAGTGGACAAAGGACATGAACAGACACTTCTCAGTAGAAGACATACATGCGGTGAACAAGCATGTGAAAAAAAGCTCAATATCACTGGTAATTAGAGAAATGCAAATCAAAACCACAATGAGATACCATTTCACACCACTCAGAAAGGCTATTACTAAAGAGTCAAAAAATAACTGTTGCTGGTGAGGTAGCAGAGAAAAGGGAACACTTATACACTGTTGGTAGGAGTGTAAATTAATTCAGTCATTGTGAAAAAGTGTAGAGATTCTTCAAAGAGCTAAAACAGAACTACCATTCAGCCCAGCAATCCCATTACTGGGTATATATGCATAGGAATGTAAATCATTCTGCCATAAAGACACATGCTCATATACGTTCATTGCAGCACTATTCACTAAAACAAATAGAATTAATCTACATGCCCTTCACTGGCATATTGGATAAAAACAATATGGTACATATACACCATGGAATATTATGCAGCCATAAAAAATGAGCTTATATCCTTTGCAGGAACATGAATGTACCTGGAGGTCATTATTGTTAGCACACTAATGGAGGAACAGAAAATCAAATACCATGTATTCTCACTTATATGTGGTAGCTAAACAATGAGAACACCTGGACTCAAGGAGGGGAACAATAGACCCTGAGGGAACAATAGACACTGAGACACTTCACGCCCTATGTTGGGTGAGGGAGGCGATCAGAAAAAAATGACTATTGGGTACTAGGCTTAGTACCTGGGCAGCAAAATAATTTGTACAACAAACCCCAGTGACATGAGTTTACCCACATAACAAACCTGCATTTGTGCCCCTGAAAGTAAAATATAATTTTTTTTGTTAACAACTAGATCCTAAAAGAAGTGACTGGTAACTAATAGGGAATTCTATACATTCACTTTGAAGAGATTTTTACACTTAAGCATTTGATTAATGTGAGCTGGTCCTAGATGAGGACACAGCCTGACAAATATTTGGTCACTTAGTTTTTTCTTTTTCTTACATCAGAAGTATTTTCACGGTATGTAATGACTTTCACAGTTATCTATGGGATCATAAAACTATAGATACTTTTGGGGTAGAAAACAAAGGAAAAAAGGCCAGGAGTGGTGGCTTGCACCTGTAACTTCAGCAATTTGGGCAGTCGAAGCGGGAGGATTCCTTGAGCCCAGGAGTTTGAGACCAGCCTGGGCGACATAGTGAGACCCCCCATCTTTATGAAAAATATAAAAATAAATTATCCAGGTGTGGTGGTGCCTGCCTGTACTCCCTGCTTCTCTGGAGGCTGAGGTGAGAGGATTGATTGAGCCCAGGAGCTCAAGGCAGCAGAGAGCCATGATCACACTACTGCACTACAGCCTGGGTGACAGAGTGAGACATGCTGTTAAACTAGCATAGTGAAAGCATCCTTAAATGAGCAGCAATTAGAAAAAAGGTGAGCTTATTTTATGAGAACTTTTTATAATTAAGTCAGTGGATCCATCCTTACCTGATGGGAAAACAGATAATATTTACTTTCTAATGAGAGATATAAAATGTGGATTTTTGAAACAAAGTGGCTTAAGATCCTAAAATATGAAACAACATTTTAAATTAAATAATCTCCAAAGGTTTGGTAAGTCATTTAAACAGATTTGAACTCAAACTCTCACTCATAGTAAATTGAAGCTATACACTAGAAATAAATTTAAATTAGTGCATTTGGTTTAAATGCCTTATATATTATTTTTATACCATATAATTCACCAAAGAGTACAAATTGAGGTTATCTAGGATTAGCAAAGTCGTGCAGCCAATAATGCTATCTAATTTTACAATATTTTCATTATCCCAAAATGGGCTAATTTGCAGTTATTTTCTATCTTCTACCCAACCCTTGGTAAACAGTCATCTACTTTCAGTCTCTGTGTTCTGGAAACTGTACATAAATGGAGTTATTTATGGAGGATAACATCAGAGGCCTTCTTTTGCAATTTCTGCTGTGGTCATTTTTTTTTTTTTTTTTTGGGGATGGAGTCTCCCTCTGTCACCCAGGCTGGAGTGCAGTGGCTCGATCGTGGTTCACTGCAACCTCTGCCTCCCAGGTTCAAGGGATTCTCCTGCCTCAGCCTCCTGAGTAGCTGGGACTACAGGCCCACACCACCACACTGGGGTAACTTTTATATTTTTACCAGAGACGGGGTTTCACCATGTTAGCCAGGCTGATCTCAAACTCCGACCTTAGGCAATCCTCCTGCCTCGGCCTCCCAAAGTGCTGGGATTACAGGCATGAGCCACAGCGCTGGGCCAGTCACTTTGTATTTTACTTGTAAACATTCTAAATGCATGAAGAAATGTCTGGGTCAGCAGTCATTGCTAGTCATACACACCTATCTTGGCAATGTTGCATATATACCCCTCACAAATATTTCAGACTACATGTAGACACAGAATGCAAGAAGGCAGTATATCCACCTACAGCTTGTATTGATGTTTGTGCAGGACGACAGTGGTGTACACAGAGGACCACGTCAGGAGATGTGGCTTCTCTGTGGTGCCGCAGGTCCCAGAGTCCTGGGACTGGGATGCTGCCACCAGAACTGGCTGGAAATAAGAATCTTTGTATAAATGTTTCAATCAGATTATGAGTTTAAGATGAAGGAATAAAAAAACTAACAGTGCAACAAATGGCTGTTTTTGGAAATCAAAGCTCTCTTTTCAAGTGTGCACACTGTGTAGCAAATAATCATCGCACAAGGGTCTTTTCAGTAAATACCCCACACAGAGAATAATTGCAGTCAGTAGTGTTATTGCTCAAATAGGAAGGACAGCAATATAGTATTGGGACGAATTCTCAAAGCAGAAAGAAAATGACTATCATTATATCATCTGGCTTCAACCTGAGTTATTCCAGTCCATTTACTGATATTTTTCAAATGTGGACACACATTCGTTTTCTTTGTAATATTTTAAATCAGTTTTCAGTGAATTGAGAGCATCTGGCTTGGGGTTAAGGAAAAATTATCATGGCATTCATTTTTGAATTCCATCTAAATTCGCTTGCAACAGGAAAAATAAATTAGGCCCTTTTCAGGGAACAGATGATAAAGACTAGGCTTGTCTATTTCCACAATAATAAAGAAATTGGTTATTCATTAACACAAAAATTGTCCTGACCATGCATATAGTTTCTGACCTGCTTTTCAACACTCCCTCAAAATAAATACAATCTGTCAAATTACTTCCCAACTCTATTCTAGATAAGAATAAAAACAGATAACAATCATTGTGTGCCTGCCTGATTTTAGGCCCTGGGTGAATGCTTTCCTATATTATTTCCTTTAATAGTCACATAAATTCTACAAGGCAGATATTTTTAATTCAAATTTTCTATATGCGTGGGAGGGTCTGTGACCTATAAAGGATAAATTATCTGACACACAGACAATAAATAATAGAATAACATCTTGAATCCTGATGTTTCATTTTTATTCTGTGTTCCCCAAAATTATGCTTAATTGTGGAGCTTATCATTGTCCCTTTAAACATCTGTGAATGAAAGTGTAGCAAGCTGATTATTTCCCAGAATAGTCACAGAAGAAAATATTCATCAGTTTCTACAGTCACCACTTTTTGAGGTAAGGGATTGAACAATAAAAAGAGTGACAGAAATGTAAATGTTTAGGTCTCATTTGCAGTCAGGCTGACAGCTACTAATGTCAGTTTAGGAACTTTATTTAACCTCCTCACACCTTAGCTTCCTGTTCCAAAGTGGAATTTAGGAGCCTTCTAATTTCACTTAACATAGAGGTTCAAGCATATAACTTAGATGTAGGATGTCTTCAAAAGTGGATAAAGTTTATTTCTCTTATTTAGGAAATAATTGCTAACCTTCTAACAACTCTGCCATTGTAGCATGTACTTGATTTTTTTTTTGACAATTATTTCTTCATTTTGATAAATAATACTTGCAAAAATGGTATTTGGGGATTGGAGGG
Source organism: Homo sapiens (assembly GCF_000001405.40). Taxonomy (NCBI): domain Eukaryota; kingdom Metazoa; phylum Chordata; class Mammalia; order Primates; family Hominidae; genus Homo; species Homo sapiens. The sequence continues at coordinate 49,481,087 of NC_000008.11, forward strand.
CAGAAAATAAAGTGGTTTTTTAGGAGAAGAAGTGATACTAGTTTAATGCATCCTTGATAAAGAAAAAACTTTGCATTTCCCTTCTTTGTGGAGAAATGACAGTTTTAAAAAGGGAAAGTAAAGCTAAAAGAGTACGCTTCTGTATTTCAATGTATTCTTTACATGATAATTAGAATTACATAATCTTGAAAATCAGAGGAAGATTTTGGAAGATTTCTAGACCAAGATACCAGATTTGTCCAATTTTCTTTCTAGAAATGCTTTAGTTTGTATAATTTTTTAAAAGTTAAAGTGAATTAAGACATAGTTTTGGAAAAATGCCCAAGTCCTGCCAGTATTTCTGTCTTTGATGAAGAAATAAAGTTATTTAGGGAGAAGGGCCATCAATAAGAAGTCACAGCATTGAGTTCGTTGGATGAGCTGAGCCAGGGCACAAAGGCTGGGCTACTGAATTCTGGTGAGAATGTTGACTTGGCACAGGCCCAAGGTTGTTCTCATTTCAGTACATGACTGATCCACTAAGAAAGACCTCACAAAAGATACATGATACAAATCATACAGGTCTATGACAAAGTTACCTGATATCTCCCATAGTTCTCATATATGTGCTTTCAAATTAAGCAGCCAAATTAGATTGTAATACAACATGTCAGAAGATAATAGGGTATTTTTAAGCAGTTTGCCTACTAAATACCCGACTAGGTGAAACACCATACTAGCATACAAAGTATACCTGCAAACATATAAGGCATTTCTTTTGACTCACTGTTGCATCATTTCACATTTTATTTTAAACTGTGTCATTTGTCTTCAGCAAGCCTGTAATGACCATCAGTGTTGGTTGAGAGCTGCCTTTAAAGGGTATGAAGAACATTGCTAAATAGATGAATAATACTGTTTCAATTAAAACCACAAAAATGTAACTCTGAGGAGGTTTTTCTGATTACTCCCATATTCTCAGAAATTAGAAAGATGCCTAACACATAGTTACCAATAAATATTTGCGGATTGACAATTTCCAAACTGGATTTGTTGTTTTTTTTTTTTGAGACAGGGTCTCACTTCGTCACCCAGGCTGGAGTGCAGTGGCACAATCTTGGCTCACTGCAGCCTCCCCTTCCCAGGTATAAGAGATTCTCCTGCTTCATCCTCCCAAGTAGCTGGGATTACAGGCGCACACCGCCACATCCAGCTATTTTTTGTACTTTTAGTAGAGACGGGGTTTCACCATGTTGGCCAAGCTGGTCTCAAACTCCTGACCTCAAGGGATCTGCCCGCCTCAGCCTCTCAAAGTGCTGGGATTATAGGCCTGAGCCACTGCGCCCGGCCGACAAACTGGATCTTTTCCAAAAAATAATTAAATAAAATCATTAACCTTAATAATTGTGAAAGATTGTGCTTTCCAAAAATGCTATAGCAATATTTCTAATACTGTTTGTCCTTCCAAAACCTTGCCATTCTTCATCAAGAAGCAGTGTCTATTTCTACTCCACTTCAAACTGGATGAGTTTACGACAGGGTTGGGCATAGAGGATGGTGGAAAAGATGCAACATGACAACCAAGGCTGAATCATAAAAATGGTAGAGCTTCCAACCAGCACTCCTCTCTCTCATTTCTCTCTCTCCCATGAGTGTTCACCATTGGAAAGTAGCCAACATGCTGTGAGGAAGAGGGAGCTACATGCAGGAGCTCAATATAAGTGTTTTGAGACAGCTCAGCCAATGTCTCAACTGCCAACAAGCATAACCACCCAGCATAGGAATGGATGAATCTTTATTTCCAGTCCCTAGGCTTTGACTCTTCTGGCTGAGGATTCAGATACAATGAAGAAGAGGCATACTGTGCCCTGTCCAAATTCCTGACCCATAGACTCTGTAAGTATAAGTGGTTGTTTTATACTCACCAAGCATTTTTTGACAGTTTGTTCTATAGCCATAGTAACTGGAAAAATGATTAATATAATTTACAAAGACTCATGAACACTAGACACAGAAAAAATGGAAAATCTAAATTCTGTTTGTCATTAACTAAAGATATTAACTTTCACAGTGCTATTATAAATATTTTGACATAAAAGTTTTATAAAATTTTTACAGTTGACTGCTCAAGCTCTTTGTTTAAGCTTCAGTGTTTTAGCCATCCTAGTGTTGCATGTATATGTGTCTAGATGTATGGCTTTTATTATTCTCATCACTCTGACTGCAGTATAAGCTCCTGAACGTAGCGATGATATCCATTATTTTGATCAACATTGTATTTTCAGAGTGCTTGAAAAATAGTACAAATTCAGTACATATTTTTTAAGCAGAACAAGAAATATCCTTTTGTATAATTTCTATATTTTCTTTTCTTTCTATAGTTTCTTTTTTCATCTAAGGTTGTAAACTTAATTTTTGAAGAGTTGACTCCCCACCAAATTATGCGTTTCCTCATTTTTCAACTTATATCAGTGGTGAATCCTAGTCTTCCTAAGAATTATAGTTGAATTTTTGTAAAATTGTCTGTATTTTTTATGGTTTTGCTAGGATAAATTATTTGACTTCTTTGCTAGAGGAAAACTGTGCTATTCTCTTCCAGTAAGTATTCTCGGTTGGAGAAACCACTTCTGATTTACTCCTAGGCTAGTTAGAGACCAAATGGTTGGCCATGGGCTGCTGTGTTGCTGTGAGGCCTGAACTGCCTGCCTGTCATGAATGGCATTTGTCCAACTCATGGAGCATTTCATCAAACAGGCGAAGTTATGCCTGAGATTGGGCACAAGTAAATAATTTTCACCACTAAATGACTCAGATTCCCAGAGCATATACTCCTGGTGCATTGTTTTCCTTCTCACAACCTGCATCAAGTATTCTCTATGAACAGTTTACTGAAGACGAAAAAATTGCTCCTGGCTTTCAGACTGGTCTCCACAGTATTCTGTTACTATCCAGCAGCAGACATCTGAAGGACTGCAGTCCCACTCTGGTGTCATCCTGAAGAACAGTGATGGGGGAAATGCTCTGCATCCTCTATCATGTGGGCAGCACTTTTGAGCAGGGCACTGAGTGATTCTTTTTACCTAGAAAGAGAGATAGCCATAGGGATCCTCACTGATTCAGAAACAACAGACCATTGTCTGGCTCAATCCTCAGGAAGTTGGAGGGAATATATTTGGAAAGTTGGGGAAAAGGTTTTAAGAAAAGGTATAGAATGACCTTTCCAAAGCGGCACAGAGAGTGAAAATACTTGCATTTTATGTAAATACTCACTAAATAGCAGTCTTAGTAGCAAAGAGTTTTAATAGTCAGATGGACAAGATGAGCTGTTAAGTAGATGCTAGGGAGCTTCTTGCATCAGATGCCCCTAAACTCAGCCAATGGCCTCATGAGCAAACTGTGCCTGACAACAGGAATGGGCATTACACATGGACTCAGCTACATGGATTTCCTTTCTCAAAATCAATCTGGTTACCACTGTGGATTGCTTAGCTTACCAAGAGCAAGCCCACAGCCCATGAATGGCACCATTTTCTCAGTAGACAATCCAGCCACTTAGCAGGTTTATTACATTGGGTAACTTTCTGCAGTGAAATAGATACTTATTCTAGATATGGCTATGCCTTCCAGGTTGATTACATTGGGTAACTTTCTGCAGTGAAATAGGCACTTACTCTAGATATGGCTATGCCTTCCTTCTTTGACCAAAGTACTTCTGCCAAAATCTCCTTCTGTGAGATTATCGAACACGTTATTCAATGTCATCGTATTCCACACTACATTGATTCTGAACATGTGAGTGATTTTGTACCAAATGAAGTGCAGCACAAGCACATGTTCATGGATTTACTGGTCCTACCATATTCTTTATCATTTTGACATAGCTAAACCAATAATAGAATGGTGGGAGGCCTCTTGTTTATTTTTTCTTTTAATATTCAATGAGTTTCAAAATGTGATTTAGTTTAGGTAAGTTTTAGATTTACAGAAAATTTGAGAGATAGTACAGAGAGTTCCCACATCTCATTTCTCCCATTATTAACATCTTCCATATAATACATTTGTTACAATGAATGAACTAATATTAATAAATTACTGGTAACTAAATTCATGCTTTATTCAGATTTCCTTATTTATTAGCTTCCTCAAGTGTTTTGTCTTTCTGAATGACACTAGTGGCTGGTGACACTTTGTGAGACTGAATCAGCACTGAGAATGTGGTGCTCGTCCTCCCATCACTGGGATGTACTTGTGTGGGTTCGAGATGTGGAACTCAGAGTGGCTCCTTTTCTCATTACCCTAAAGACCTACCAGCAATATTTTTGTATCCCATCTTTGCGATTTTGGACTCTGCTGATTTCTCCCAAAGATTAAATGCTTTGACCAGAAAATACAATGGTTTCATTAAAAGCTCTGGAAGGATTCTAGTCAGTAGGCTCCTCAGGCCAGTGAAATCAACTGGCACATATAATTGCTGCATAGGTTAGAGTGATTGTTCCTTGGTATCAGAAGGAAGTTGAATCTCTATTACACAGTAGGAGTAGGAAGAAGCCTGGAACTCAGGAAATCCTTCTTAGTTCTCTCAGGTCCTTTGATAAATGTAAATGTTAAATTATATTAGCCCAATACAGGCAGAACTTTTAATGAACAGACCCATCGTTGATGAAAGCTTTGGTTACTTCTCCAGGTAAAGAACCATGACCAGCTGATGGACTTTCTAAAAGTGAAGGGAATATGGATAAAGAAATAATTTATAAATAATAACTACAACCAAGTGAATAGTTATAGAAATGAGAACTATAGTACTTATGAATATTTGTTCGCTGTTTTAATATGAATATGTTTGTGTGTATACCAATTTTCTTTCATTTTCTCTCCTTCATGAATCTATTTTTAACCTTATATTTGTTAAAGTGGATCATCCTATATCTCAGTATATATGTTGTATAATATCAAATGACTCAGCTAGAAAAATGAAAATCACCCGATGATCATGTCACAGAACTTTACATACCCTTTCTTTTATTGCCATGTTTTTGATTGTATGAGGGATAAATATGTCATAAGTAATTGAGCATAATTTTACTATTGTCATTGTTTGAAAGTTAAAAATTGTGGAAACAGGTACCTGGATGCCATCTTAACAGAAGTTGGGCTATACTGGCTCATTCTATTATTGACTTAATTTAACTAGAAATTATATTTTCCAGAATTGCTTTTACTGTTTGATTCCAAGTCACAGTTGTACCAAAGAGGAAGCTACGTCTGATGTGGAGGGGCAGAAGTTATGCAAGAGCAATTACTCTTGGAAGGTTGCCCTGATTCCATGGGAAACTTGACTGAAGCCAAAGTTCCAGCTTGCCTCTCCCTTTTCTGCAATACTCCCAGGTGATCAACAGTGGCCCAGACTTATTACCAGAAACCCTCCTCTGAATCACAGAGGCGGCAGCTTCCCAAAGACCACTCCACCAGCAATTTATTTGAAGTCCCACTTCAGCAGTTAGACAGCCTGGGCTTCTTAGTTTGCTTTATTGGTAACTCCTCTTACACCCTAAAGTCTCCATTTAGATTTCCTCTTTACCAGGTTTTCCAACAATTTCAGCAAGCAAGGTCTAAATCCTTTATGAAATCCATTATTGAATATCCCATATATGTTCTACTTTCTTGACTGAACCTTGTCTATTGTATGCATGAAAGAATGCAGATCACTTGCAAGGACAAATGTGTGGGTAGGGATCAAGTACGTTTGACTAAATAAAGCAACACTAATAACTATGTTTTACGGGTTTTATTACATAAATAGTAACAGAATATCTATGATAAGAATGGAAAGGAGGGATAACAATAAATGGAGGAAAGTTTCTTGATTCATTTAGGAAATGGTAAAAGTATCAATTTAAAGAAAACTGCAATGAATCAAATGTGTATACGAAATTCTCATGAAGCCATAATATAAACACTAACCCAAATGAGGAGATAAAATAAAATAATTTAATAAAAACTTGCATTATCCCAAAGGAAATCAGAAAAGAGGGGAATCAAAAAGAGAGAGAAGGTAATTTTTAAAAATCAATGAAAATATGATACAGTTAAAACCAATATATATCAATAATTAAATTAAATGTATCTAAATTAATTTGTCAAAAAAAAGACAAAGATTGTCAGGTTCACTGTCAAAAAAAGACACAACTGTTGGTTGTTTATAAGAAACACAATATAGAGGACACAAATAACTGAAGTAAATACATGGAAAAGACACAGCACACAATATTAAAAATATGTTTTTGTGACTTTATTAGGAATTGGGCACAGAAGACTTTAAAACAAACAGTATTAGTTATAAAGACAGATAAGTTACAATGATGAATGAGATAATTCAAAAGAAAAATATTATAATCCTAAAATCTTAAGATCTTAAAATCATATCTTCAAATTTTGTAGCTAAAATTGTCAGAACGAACATAAGAAATAGACACACACACAGACATTGTTGTAAATTTTAACACATTTCTCTTAATAACTGATAAATGAAGCAGAAATAGTAGTAAACATACAGAAAATTGAAACATGATTATTGTGTTAACCTATTTGACATTGAAATAAAATCTCCAAGATGCATTACTTTCAATTGCAAATGGAACATTTACTGAAAGAGACTACATACTGTACCGCAAAACAAATATCAACCAATTGAAAAGAATAGAAACATACAAAGCCTGTTTTCTGATTACAAGTGAAATAAACAAAAAAATGAATCAAAAAACAAATCCTAAAAGTACTTCATATTTAGAAATTATGCGACACCTTCCAAATAATCAATGAAAAATGAGAAGACGAAGTAAGAAATATGGTGTACTAATTTTAAAAATAAATAAAAAGTAGGAAAACAAATGTGATGTGGCCAAAACAGTGGCTAATATAATAAATTTGCAGCAAGAAGTATAAAGAACAAAAGAGGATGAATACACATTACTAATATAAGAAATAGAAAATTGGACAAAAATATGTACATATTAATATTACATGCCTATTAATAATCTGGGACAATTGTAAAGAAGCTTTTGAGTGAAAAACACAACTTAAAAAGTCTAATAAAAATAAAAACAGAAGGATCTGAAAAAAAGTATGTCTGTTAAAAAATTTTAATTCCTAATTAAAACTCTTTCCACAACAAAATCTCCAAGATGGCCTGATTTCTATCAAACATTTAAGAAGCAAATTCCAAAGTCACACAAATTCTTCAAGAAATTCATGGAGGAAGGAACACTTCTCTACTTGTTTTATGAAGCCAGCATAATTCAGATACTGATATATGAAAAGTAGTTACAAAAGGAAGGAAAGAAGGAGGGAAGGAAGGAAAAGAAAAGATGGAAGGAAGGGAGGGAGAGAAGAAAGAAGGAAGGAAGGAAAAAAGGAAGGAAGGGAGAGAAAGGAAAAAAATTACTGACCAATATCTCTCACCAGCATTAACTCAAAAACACAAAATATTAGGAAAATGGATTCACAGAAATATCAGAAAAGTAGTACACCAACTGTTGCTTTTCTTGGCAATGCAACTGAGTTTAACATTGAAAAACAATCAATCAGGCCTGGCGTGGTGGCTCATGCCTGTAATCCCAGCACTTTGGGAGGCCAAGGAGGGCAGATTGCCTGAAGTCAGGAGTTTGATAACAGCCTGGCTAACATGGTGAAATCCCGTCTCTACTAAAAATACAAAAATTAGCTGAGCATGGTGGTGCATGCCTGTAATCACAGTTTCTCGGGAGGCTGAGGCAGGAGAATTGCTTGAACCTGAGAGGCAGAGGCTATAGTGAACGGAGACCTTGCCACTGCACTCCAGCCTCTGTGACAGAGCAAGACTCTGTTAAAAAAAAAAAAAAAAAAAAAAAAGAAAAGAAAAGAAAAGAAAGAAAAAAACGAAAAATATCTATCAGTGCAATGCACCACATTAACAGAGTATAGAGAAAAACACTCAACAGGTTCTGAAACACATTTTCTAAATTCAAAACATATTTTTAATAAACCCCCATAGGAAAATGGAGATGGAAAGAGACTTTCTTATTTGATAGAAGTATCTACAAAAGCTACAGCTATCATAATTGTGAAATTGTGGTAAAAGGACAAAGATGACTACCGTGGCTTATATTAAACTTTGTGCTGAAGGTCCTAACCAAGGCAATAGGACATGCAAAATAATTAAGCAGTATAAAGATAGGCAAGAAAGCACTAAATAAATCTTTATTTGTAGTTGATATGGTTGTTCACATGGAAAATACAAATGAATCTTAAAAAAACTGGTTATACTTAATAAGCATCTATAAATTCACTAAATGAGTCAATTCAGCAGAGGTACTGGATTCACAGTCAATATACAAAAGGTAATTCTAACTAGCAAAAATAATGGGAATTTTAAAAAACACTATTTATGATAGCATTAAAATTTTAAAGACCTATAATTCAGCCTGGCAATGATATGCAAAATTTATATATTGAAAACTACAAAACATCACTGGGAGAATTTAAAGAAGCTATCATCTTGATGGATTGCAATATTCAGTCTTGTTAGGATGTCAAGTCTCCCCAAAATGTACTTATATATTCAATGAGATCCAAACTAAAGCTCCATCATAATTTGGAAATTTACAAACTGTTTCTAAAATTTGTATGGAAATGCAAATGGTCTAGAATAACCCAGAAAATATTGAAAAAAATAGAAACAATAACAAAGTTGAAGGACTCACAGTATACTTCACAACTTATGTATAACATAATACATAAATAATATAAATAATGGCCCATGTGCAGAGATAAAACAGATACTGAATAACTTAAGAGAAAATTCTGGGGAGCTATTAGGCTTCCAATATTTGCCGGCATGTTTTTTCATTTGTTCGTTTGTTAGCTGTTTTTTTTTTTCCCTGCTGTTTTGTATCTGTTTTCTTTATAATAATGAAAGCTTACCGTGAGTATGTTCTGTGGAATTTCTGAGCTTCTTTTTTTTAATTATCTGACCCATGCAATCATTGCAAGACTTAAATAAGCATCTAAAAGAAATATAAAAATTCTCAATAGGCATTTGAATAAGTGTCCAGCATCATTAATAACCAGGAAAATGGAAGTTAAAACCTTGATGAAATGCCACTATAAATACATTATGAGTAAAACAAACATGCCCAGAGCAAATTGAGAATATCTTTTGGTGGCAAGGAGGAACTGGAACTCTTCTATATTGTTAGTGGGACGATTGACTGGTACGACATATTGGAAGCCTGTCTGACAGTATCTATTAAAGAAAAATATATGTCTATTGTATGTTTCACCAATCCCATTCCTATATATATATGAAAATGGGATAAGTACCTCCCAAAAGGTCTTTACAATAATGTTCCATTGCTTCATAATATGAAGAAATTGGAAAAGTTCCAAATGCCTAAAAACAAGTATAAAATAAATTGTGATATATTCGGTTACTATAATGCTACACATTCTATGGATAAATGCGTCAATAAGGTTGATTTTAATGATACTATGTTAAACCAAAGGAGTTAGACAATTGAGTACATTGATAATTCCATTTATTCTACTTTTAAGAACCAGCAGAAGAAGTTGAGTCATAGAAGTAAGAATAGATGTAAACTCTGACCTGGGGGTGTTCACTAAAATGGGGCAGGGGGTGAGTTCTGGGTTGCTGGAAATAGTTTATATTTTAACCTAAGTATGGTTAAATAGATTGACTTCCATCACCATAAATCAAGTAATATTATATAGATTAAAGTACTTAAAACAAATACCTTGATATTATAACAGGATGAAACAAATCAGTGAAACAAATAAAAGCAAACAAATTAACACGTTATGCTAGCATTATTATGAGACATTTCAATTATGTGGGAAAAATTATTTAAAAAATGATTTGGGGAAAACCAGCTGTCATTTAATAATATAAATTGTCATCACTCAAGGTAATATTTTCATTATATTTAAATACTAATAAAACAGTGGTCAAAGCATCAGAAAAATAGAGAATGAACTTTTTTAAATCAAATAACATACCTAAAAACAAGTTCTATAATACAAGTTTAATCAATTTTACCACAAGAAAGCTAAGAATAATCTGTACAGTGAAATACACCATTAATAAAATATAGGCTATTGATATGCTGAGAGAAAATATTTGCAACGGTGTGTTACAGATTTTTGGAAATATTTACCTGCTAGCCCCAAGCAGCTGGGAAAGTGAGTACCTGGTCTTGAAGAAAGAATTCAGACAGTACAAGAAAACATCCACCAGGCATGTGGGAAAAGGTGTCCAAAGCCACACAGGTAACTACAGGAACTAACACATTAATACCAGTCACCTTTGTCCAAAATTACTTCATTAATATAATTACAAAACTACAATGGCCCAACAATTTCTCTTGTATATGTGGTACAATTTTATATAGTGGGCTAATAAGTATATGCTCAGACTACTGCTCTCATAGGAGTCAATGTGAAACATAAAAGAATGATTTCATTGAACATGGCCTTCTATAATATGTATGTTTATAATTAATGAGAATGTCACTATTCTTGCTAGTGTTTTATAAAACTTAACTCCTAAGTCTTTACATTATCATTGTGAGGAAGGTCAAGTCCATTAATTTTGTTCTTCTGTTCTGAGAAACTGTATCATAGGGAGAGAACAATGATATATTTTATGCCACTTATTAAGACATAGGTGAAACAAGAATAGAAAGGTTAACTGACTCTTATTCCCTAGGCAATAGGAACCTTTATGCATGTAATGCCATTACAGAGGTACTCATGGTGCATTCTCATTTATTTTCACAGAATCCCTCTATCCTTGTATTACCATTTCTAATTTTAATATCTAAATGTTCAAAAAAGTTACTAAGAACTTCCTAACAGTCATACAGCTTATCAATGAAGCACCACAACACTGACCTCCTTTGTATTTCATTTCCTGATTCACTGTCCTCTCTTAACGTTCTGATTGTATTCTGCAGAGGCAGCAGAATTCATCATACTTTTATTGGTTACACATCTCTGTAAAAGATAAACAACATGAGTGTAAGCAGAATTGTTTCATTGTTTTAAAATTACATTTTGACACACTGATGGATTATTGATTAATTTTCTGGTATTGCCACCAATGTTCTTTTCATTTATACAAATTATTAGCTAACTCCTTGAAGTCAAGAGTTATATCTATGATTTAGTGGTGGGTGCAGTGGCTCATGCCTGTAATCCCAGCACTTTGGGAGGCCAAGGCAGGCGGATCGCTTGAGGCCAGGAGTTCAAGATCAGCCTGGGCAATATGGTGAAACCCTGTCTCTACTAAAAATATAAAAATTAGCTGGGTGTGATGGCATGCACATGTCATCCTAGCTACTCAGGAGGCTGAGGCATGAGAATCGCTTGACCCTGGGAGGTGGGGGCTACAGTGAGCCTAGATTGCACCACTGCACTCCAAAAGTTGTATCTATGATTTCCCGTAGTTAGAAAAATTTAAGATCGCAAATTGGATTTGGCAAACTAAATGAAAGCTATATTTAGTTATCATATCACTGGAGCACTGTATTGAGAATATTGTAAGCAGTTAAATGCGGCTTGGTAACAAAGAAATTGATAATACATTCGGACATCAGGAGAAAAAATATGGTCTGGAGAGTTCAGGTGTTGACCTGAGGCATTCATAGTCACAATCTTCACTAATCATCTAAAAAGGTGTGTAGAACATAGGAAATTATGTAGTCACGTAGGTAGATGATATTGACATGGCTATTTTAGGGAGAAAAGCAACGTATACATGGTTATTTGCATTTCAGTTAATTGCCAAGTAACAGCTCTAAATTAAAGATTGAGGCGTTTTTAAGCAATTATTTGATTTTCTTTATAATGTGCTATCTGAACTGCATCTAACCTAACCTTCCAAGAACCCTGGACAATGTGTTCTACATCTGCCAGATGGCAGTGCACTTGGCTCAGGAAAGTATTTGGAGAGGGAGACAGCACTGGATGTTGAATATCTCTTGATGCTGTATTATGACTGGAATGCTGGGGATGCTCCTAGGAGGAACGACAGCAAATCTGCGCTAGAGCTCTTCTTTTCCAAACTAGCAGGAGAAAATTAATGTTTGTCTGTGACGCCATGAGAAGTAGGGATGTTGCCTCAACACAGCGTGCACAGATCATAGCCTCTCAGCTGGTCTGTTCCCTTCTGAGAATCAAAGAGACTAATTTTAGAGTCTGTGACTCTGGACTCTCTTTCAAATCCTGATTTATTGTATGAAATGACCAAAGATAACACATTTCTCTCTAACACTCTCATTATAGTATCATTTGTAAGTTTCTTTTTTCTTTCTTTTTGTTTTATCTGATCTTTTATTTTATTTTATTTTTTCTTGAGACAGAGTCTCACTCAGTCACCCAGGCTGGAGTGCAGTGGTGCGATAAAAGCTCACTGCAGCCTCCACCTCCTGGGCTCAAGCAATCCTCCCACTTCAGCCTCCTAAGTAGCTGGGACCAAAGGCATGCATCACCATGCCTGGCTAATTTTTTAAGTTTTTATATACATATTCTCTATTTTTGCAGAAATGGTCTCACTATGTTGCCCAGGCTAGGCTTGAACTTCTGGTCTCAAGTGATCATCCTGCCTCAGCTACCCAAAGGGCTGAGATTACAGATGTGAGCCACCTACCCTGTCACATTTATAAGTTGCATTCCCGTGTTATGAATGACAGAAATGATTTTACCTCACATGTAATTCTTTTTGTAGCTTCGCATAAAGGGATACTTGTTATTTGTTTCATATGCTTTGGAAGATAGCACATGTTTATATTATTTCATAGTTACTTCCCAAATGAAAAAATTTAAAAATTATATTAGTCAAATACAATTATTTACACAAATTAAAGTAATATTTTATTAAAAAATAGACTCCATAAGGCATTTACTTTTGATTATTAAAGAAATATTAGAACAGACCTGTAAATTAAATAAAATGAATTATTTCAACACCTCTGAAAATAATGATTTTAAAAATTTTGATGGATACCTTTATAATCTTTGTACATGCATAATAATATACCTTTATCTCATGATATTCATATTTTTGGCAGAGACTTTTAAGAAAAAAATGCACAACCAGTCTCAATACAAAATATTAAGTGTGCTTGGAACTATAACTAAAATAATATTTGTTTATGTGTTTATCTTAGAAACAATCTAGACACATCATGAAAGAACTAAGATTAAAGTTTTAAATTTTATCTCGAGATAAAGAGAAGTAATATAAGATCATTTTAAAACCACTTAAACCCTTATGTTCAAACCAAAGCTATTGAAAATTAACATGAAATTACCAGTTTATTTGGTCAAAAGATAAAAAAATTATCAATAGCACATTTTGTAAACATTAGATTATTTCTCAGGTTAGAGTAGTTATATAAGTGATAAGAAGTCAGCTTGAAATAATCGTTGTAAATCATATATCTGATTTAAAAATATTATCTCCAGAATATGCAAAAAATTCTTAAAATTCAACAGCAACAAATACCCTAATTAATAAATAGGCAAAACGATTTGAGAAGACATCTCACCAAAAAACTATAAAGATGATAGCAAATAGGCATTATGAGAAGACACTCAGCATTCACTCATCATTAGAGAAATGCAAATTAAAACAACAATGAGATATCACTACGTATTTATTGGAATGGCTCAAATGCAAAAGTCTGATGATAACCACTACTGACAACTCTGCAAAGCATTGGAAACCCTCATTTATTGCCAGTGAGACTGTAAATTTGTCCAACCATTGGAAGACATTTCTACAGTTTCTTATAAAACTGAGCATAGTCCAGTATTTGAATTTCCAGTTATTTACCCAATTGATTTAAAAAAACTATGCCAATATAAACTTCCATGCATGAATGTTTGTAACAGTTTTACTGATAATCATTTATTCAATTTATTCATAATTTCCCCAAATTTTCAGCAACAAATACATCCACCAATAGATGAATGGATAAACTAACCGAAGAATAATGATTTCTTGAGTTTTCTGGAATCCACCCATTTCTTAATGAAAATTATCATTTTATTTATAATCCCCAATCCTAAATACAGCATGTGGTGAGAATGGGTATTTAAAAAGTATTTTTAATACCAAGCTATTTGAACATTATGCCACTAATGACACATTAATGTCTTAAATTAACTCATTGCTCTAGCTCACATTTATTACTCCCTTTTTACATGTGAAAACTCTATTTAGTGACTTCATCCAGATCAACTGTAAGAAACTAATGTCCTGAATGAGGCAAAGTTAACACTAGATCCTTCTCAATAATTTCTAAATCATTCTATGTCTGCTGCCCAATGCCACTGTCCTCGTTTTTGTTTCCACCTTGCATTTGGACTACTAAACTGGTGGAATAACTAGTCTTATTTGACCTCAGGTTACTTCTCAACCAATCTCTTTTCCACATGGTTCTAGATTTTATCCCCCTAACTTTCACTGCTGTGCTGGAAAAACCTTCAATTAGTTTAATCTCCTTTGTGGAGTACTCAAAGTTATTTAGAATCTGACCCACCTTCATGTAATGCCTTTCACCACTTTTATACCCTTCTCCTGTCTCTGAACCCAGTGTTCTACTGATATATCATTGCTTTCCAATTTTCCTATTTTAGAACACTTTTCTAAAAATCCTTTATGAATATTACTGCTATTGATTGCGTCTCATTCTTCTAAGTTAAGTTGAGAAATCATCTCCTGCTTTAAACTATCCATGATTACCTCATTGGAATTGTTTGCTCACCCTTCCTCCTAGAGTAAAATTTAAAACAAAATCATTTATACCTTTAACGACCTTTATTACTTGCATTAATAATCAGAGGCGAGACTGCAGCAACACCGGTGGTGCCTCTGCAATCACTCCTGAATTTTGTCTTGATAAAGGAAATGATGAGGGTGAGATGAGTGTTGGGAGTGTCTTTTTGACATGTGTGCTTTTAGATGTTTAATAAATGCCTGAGGTGAAATTTGAATAAGCAGTTTAGGATATGAGTGGCAACCTCTTAGGAATGTCAAGCCTAAAGATGTAAATGCAGAAGTCATTAGCTGTGGATAACCATGTGAGGACACTGAGTGTGTGAACATGGAAGGCAGACTGGAGCTGAGGACTGTGTGGGGGAGATTTCAACATTTAGAGATTAGAAATGGGAGACACTTGTAACTAAAGTGGAGAATAATGTCGGTGAGTAAAGAGGACAACCAAGAATGTTTTGAGAAGGAGGAAGTGATCAACAGCCTCAAAGGGTTCTGACACATCTGATAAGATGAGGATGAAGGCAAGATGGAAGTCACTGTGATTTCTAAAGCAAATTCAGAGGAGTGATGAGATAAACCTATCTGGCATCAAGTTGGTGGTGAAAAAAAAAACAGATAATGAGGCATTGAAGTAAGAATTTATAGACAACCCTTGTTGTTTCTGTGCTGATAAAATACAGTTGAATCTCTTGATAAGGTTTTATATACAGAGAAGTTTTTTTTCTGTTTGAATGGCAATATTTAAAAAAACCTCAAAATATATGTTTTTGACAAGTCTCCATAAAACATTATTCAAACACTTTCCATATATATTAAGTATCACCTAACCCATGAATCCCCAAAACAAATGATGGCAACATAGGATAGTCTTATTAACTTTATTCAGCAGATTAGGAAAAGGAGGCACTGGGTGGCAGTTTTCCAAATATCACAAATCTCATTGGTGGTCCTGAATGACTGGAGGGAGATGGAAACAACTCAGGAGGCGCAGAACTGCTGTGGCAGAAAGACAGATTGACATTGCAGGACATGTTTACTGGTTGAAATGAGTAAACAATTTGTGGTCCTATCTCTCACCTACAAAAGAGAGGAGGGAAAATAATCATTCCGTTTTCTAATAATGGATCACAGAATTCACCTTTCTCCAAAAAATACTTAGTAGCTTTATTGAAATATAATAGACAATAAATTGCACATATTTAAAGTGTATGATGTGCTAAGTGTTGGCATGTGTATACCCTTGTGAAGCCACCATCAAAACCACATCACAAGCTTCCTCATCCCCCTTCTTATCCTTCCTTTTCTTCCCCACACTCCCACTGCTGGGGACTCACGGACCTACTTTCTGTCAATATAAATAGTGCAGCATAATTGTGTTGATATATGCTTCATATATTAATAGTCATTTCTATTGTTAAGTAGTATTCCATTGTATGAATATACTACCAGTTGATGGGCACTTGAATTACATATGGTTTGGGGCTCAAAAATAAACTTGCTACATACTGATTATTTTTGTTTATTTATCCAACCAATTGTTTAGAGAGAGATGTTAAAAATATCTGACTATATTTGTGAATTTGTCTATTTTTCCATAGTCTCTCAGTTTTTGTTTCATGTTTTGAAGCTCTCATATTAGCTATGTAACAATTTAGGGTCATTATGTCTTATTTATAAATCTATCATTTTATTATTATACTATGACCCCTTTTGGAGCTGGTAACATTTATTGCTCTGAAATTTACTTTGCTGATATTAACATAGTCAGTCTAGGTTTCTTTGGATTAGGGTGATATGTGGGGTTTTTTCCTTTTACTTTTAACTTATTTATCATCTAAAATGGCTCTCCTGTAGAAAGCACACAGCTACGTCTTAGCTTTTGATTCAAACTACAATTTCTGCCTTATAATTGGTATTTGGAACATTTAAATGTAATGTGATTATTGATAAGATCTTGCTATTTGTTTTCTCTTTCTCCATTTTGTTCTTTGTTTATATCTTCCTCTCGATCTACCTTTTTTGAGTTAATTCAATGTTTCTGATTTCTTTTTTTGATTTGATTTCATTGACTTATTAACTATATATTAACTATATTAACTACATAACTTATTGTTTTGTTTTGATTGTAAGTTTAGAGTTTATAATATATATCTTTAATTTATCACCATCTGCCTTTAAGTGATAGCATACTATTTCACATATTATATAACAATCTTATAATAATATATACTTCCATTTCTTTCCTTTTGACCTTTATGGCATTATTTTTCATTTTCTGAAGTTCTGCATGATTTTACACTACCACCAACAATACGCAAGTAATCAATTTTCTTTGCATCCTGATATGGTTTGGCTCTGTCCCTACCCAAATCTCATGTTGAATTGAGGCTCCCATAATCCCTACATGTCATGGGAAGGACCCAGTGGGAGGTAACTGACTCATGGGGGTGGATTTTTCCCACTCTGTTCTCATGATAGTGAATAAGTCTCACGAGATCTGATGGTTTTGTAAAGGGCAGTTCCCCTGCACATGCTCCCGTGCCTGCCGCCATGTAAGATGAGATATTGCTCCTCCTTTGCCTTCCACCATGATTGTGAGGCCTCTCCAGCCATGTGGAACTGTGAATCCATTAAACTTCTTTTTCTTTATAAATTACCCAGTCTCGGGTATTTCTTTATTACGTATAAAAATGGGGTAATACACATCTTCACAAGTGTTTTGTGTTGTCACCATTTAAATTTTAGTTACAATTTGAAGCAATATCTAATTTTTTTATTTAAGGAAACTCAATATGAGAAGAAAAGTTTATTGTATTTACCGTTATCTTTATTCTTTCCGTTATTCTTTCCCCACTCCCAATGTTTCAAAATTTCTTTTAATCATTCACTTTCTCTTTGAAGAACGTTAGCAGTTCTTATAGGATAGGTATTCTGATGACGAATTCTGTTAATTTTACTTCATCTCAGAATGATTGATTTCCCCATCATTCCTGAAGGATATTTTCACTGGGTATGAATTATGGGTTTAGAGTTCTTTTCTTTCAGTATTGGAATCTCACTGTAGTAGTTTTTTCTGGCCTCTCTGTTTTCAGATGAGAAACATGCTGTCACTCGAATTGCTCCCTTTAGAGGTAAAGTGTTATTTCTTTCTTACTACTTTTTCTTTTTTTGTTGTTTTTCCTTTTTTGAAACGGAGTCTCACTCTGTAGCACAAGCTGGAGTGCAGTGGTGTGATCTCGGCTCACTGCAACCTCCACCTCCTGGGCTCAAGCGATTCTCCTGCCTCAGCCTCCCAAGTCGCTGAGAGTACAGGCACGCACCACCATGCCTGGCTAATTTTTTGTATTTTAGTAGAGATGGGGTTTCACCATGTTACCCAGGGTGGTCTCAAACTCCTGAGCTCAGGAAATCCACCTGCCTTGGCCTCCCAAAGTGCTGGGATTACAGGCTTGTGCCACCGCGCCTGGCCCTTTCTTACTACTTTCAAGGGTTTCTTGTATCTGGTATTCAGAAGTTTGTCTATGATATATCTTGGTATATGTTTCTTTGTGTTTATCTTATATGGAGTTTGCTTAGCCTCTTGAATTTGCAGGTAAGTGGTTTTCACCAACTTGAAAAACTTTTATCCGTTATTTCTTTGAACACTTGCCCTAACCGATTCACTTTGGGGACTCTGATGAAACAAATATTAGACATTTTGTTATGGTTCAACAGGTCCAGAAAGTTCTGCTCATTTCTTTTTCCTGCCTATTTTATTTCTCTTGTTCAAATATGGTTATTTCTATAGTTCTCTCTTTAGATTTTGTGATACTTTTTTCTATCCTTTTCATTCTGCTGTTGAGTCCATCTATTGAGGCATATTCAAATATTTTTGATTATAGCAAATTTCAGTTATAAAAATTCCATTTTCTTATTTTTTTACTCCATTTCTTTACTGCAAATTTCTGTTTCTTCATTCTGATTTTTTATTTTCTAATTTGTTTCAAGCTTTTTAGTAATTCCTTGTTGAAGCATTTATATGATGGCTGAGTTAAAATCATTGTCTGATCCTCATCTGTATCATCTTGGTATTGGCATCTGTTGAGTATCTTCTGTTATTCAAACTGAGATATTTCTGGTTTGTGGTATGACAAGTGGTTTTTAATGGGGACCTGGATATTGGAATATTATGTTATGGCATTCTGGGTCAGTTAAACCTGCTTCATTGGCTTTGTCAGACACTGCCCTGGATGGAAGGTGGGCACTGCCTCATGACTGCCAGGTGGGGTAGTAGTTCAAGTTCCCACTAGATTCTGTTGACATCCATGTGTCAACCTTTTTACTGCTGGTTGGGGGTGTAAGCTCTGGGTTTCCTACAGGCTTTCACTAATGCTACCCTTTGGTAGGAGTGCTCCTTGTTACTTCTCTCCATGTGGCATCCACCAACAGCCGAAGGGGGAGGTGGTCTCAATACCTCTCTGCAATGGTGAAAATCCTGACTCCACTTGGCTTCCTCTGACACCACCCCTTGGGGAGGGGAGAGGCTTCTTATGGCAAAAGGTGGAGGTGAAAGTTCACACTACTTGATATGGTTTGGCTCTGTGTCCCCACCCAAATCTCATGTTGAACTGTGATCCCGAGTGTTGGAGGTAGGACCTGGTGGGAAGTTATTGGATCATGGGGGCTGTTTCCAGTGGTTTAGCACCATCCCCCTAGGGCTCTCTTGTGATGGACTTCTCATGAGATCTGCTTGTTTAAACACATTTATGTTTAATGTTCCATTATTGGAACACTGAGCATGTTGGAGTTATTTATATCCTACTGCTCAAGGCCATTGCCAAGGTCTGATTTTTTTCAAACTCAAAAAATTGCAACCTCAGGAGTAAATGGGTTAAAAGTGTATAGCATCTCTCCCCTCTTTCCTGCTCTGCCGTGGTAAGATGTGGTTGCTTCCCCTTTACCTCCTGCCATGATTGTAAGTTCTCTGAGGCCTCCCAGCCATGCTTCCTGTACAGCCTGTGGAACTGTCAGTCAGTTAAACCTATCTTCTTTATAAACTACCCAGTCTCGGTAGTTATTTATAGCAGTGTGAGAATGGACTAATACACTAGCCACGTGATCTCCACTAACACCATGGGGCTGGGGCCTGTTGTACCCAGCAGGGATGAAAGTTCCGACTCCTTCCTAGGCCCTCCTTGAGACCACCTTAGCAGGGGAGTTGGGACACTTATACTTTTAAAAAAGTTAACTTAATTGCTACTATTTCTAAATTAGATTATATTGAAATGCATAGAAAATAAATACTAAACATCTCTTCCCTTACAGCAATCAACCATGGCCTGTGTTTGCACAGCTTCACAGAATAAAAATGACCTTTACATGTTTGAAGGTATTTTTTAAGAATATGCAACAGAGGCCTTTGTTGCCTGCAAAGCCTACAATATTTACTGTTTATTCTCTTATCATTCACAAGGAAATGTTTGCCCTGTTGCCTTGGAGGAGAAGAAAACAAATATGCAAATAAACAAGAACAAAACATCAAAACATACCTACATGCAAATATCATGAAAATATCATGATGCTTCATTTCTAGTCTTAATTATAGCTCTATAGTGTGTGAGAAAAGTAAATAAAGGCCACAATGCAAGACTCTAAGTTCTCTTATTTGTTGATTCTAATAGTCAAAGGCAAGTGGGCACAAACAATGCATTAAAAGTTCAAGCCTATTGACCTGGGAGCAGAATAAATAGGAGTAAGTCCAATTTGTCTTTCTACCTGCTCCTTCCATGAACTGAGCCATTGACATTCACCCCACTTCCCAGCCCTCCTTCCCATTCTCCTGTGATGTATTAGGATCTGCAGATCCCTGTCTCCATGTCCACTTTAAAAGAACTCAAACTAAGACACCCATATTCCTTTATTCAGACCTGGCAAGTAAAGAACAACTAAAGTCACAGTTTTGCAGCCTCAGACAGCAGTTTGTATTAAATGTTATTAATTCAGTGTCTGGAAAATAGCAATTGTTGATGCAGGTGCTTTAACAACCTAATCGCTGAGATGTCCATTACATCTTGTTATATGAAGACAGGTTAGCACATATTTATATGTTATTACCAGAACATTTGATTTGTCTACAGTTATAAGGTCTCTTTGCACATTAAAATTGATTTTCTGTCTAGTTCTGTCTCATGGAAAGGGAACAGGACTATGCTTAATAAATAAGCATTTAAAAATAGTTCTAAAGGACTTATAATCTTGAGCCTATATATTTGATTGTTGAAGACCTACTTATGAGGAAGTTTCTCATAAATTAAAAAAAGAGAAACACTTAGCAAAAGTTACAAGTTATGCTCCTGAAACTCCTTGGTGAAAAATAACTCGATAATTATTTGGACCTAATTTGCTTGGTTCATAAAAAGGAACTAAGGAATTTCTCTAAATCATTATAAATCATATGACATTTCCAGTTCCTTAAATATACTAAAATTAAGATGATATGATTCTAACAGGTTCATGTTAAAACAGAAAATTTTGAAAATTGAAGTTGCATTACTACAACCCTATAGGGAACCAACAGGAGGGTGTCAATAGATGGTTAGTAATGTACTGACTCATTTGCCACTGGTGCATCTCTGTGTGTTCACTGGCTCGTTTACTCAGAGAAGAGACTAAGCGTGCTTGGTGTGATCCATTCTCTGTCTCTCCCTCCCTCCTTTTCTTGCCTCGAGTGTTATCTCTGCTTTGTTAGCATCAATGCTATAAGCAGCATGTCCCTGCAGTGAAAGTCCACAACTTTATATTCATGTCAGGGACTCGGGGAGGTTGTGGGCCTGAGTCAAACTCAGAGTTTGAGGAAGCCCACTGAGGACACAATTCTCAGCAAGGTTCCAAAATCATCCTTAACAATAAAACTGACTCTTTTCTCTCAATCTAGAAGGTCTGCTGCAGACTAGATGTTATGTCCTTTACAAATTCATATGTTGAAATTTCACCCTAATGGTGATGGTGTTAGGGCATGGAGCTGGTGGGAGGAAATTAGGTCATGAAGGCAGAGCCATCATGGATGGGATTAGTGCCCTTATAAAATAAACTCCAGAGAGACCCCTTGCCCTTCCTACCATGTGAGGACACAACTAGAAGATGGCTGTCAGTGTCCCAGGAAGCTGCCCTCACCAGACACTGAATTGGCTGGCACTTCAGCCTTGGACTTCCCAGCCTCTGGAAATGTGAGAAATACATTTTTGTTGTTTACAAGACATGCAGTCTAGGATATTTTTGTTATAGCAGCCCAAACAAGCTAAGACATGATACCAGTATCTAATTTTCCACTGACTTCTGAATTTGCTATTGAAGAGGACAGGAGAATATTATTTATTGGCTCACTGAAATCGCAAGAGGATATAAATAGATTTTAAGAATTCACACAGACATAAGAAACTATGCATAGTGATCATCAATTTTACAGGGGAAAACAAATAATTATATTTTAAAATTTTTCTTGTATTTTTTCCTTCTCTATAATGCCTTCTTTTGTCCTTCTCAATGCTGTTTCTTATTCTTCCTTAAATGTACTTGCTGATAAACTCTCCTAGGTCTACTATAGGGCAACACATGTTCTTATGATTTGTAATGTTTAGGGAGGGGAGGTTTGTAGAGGCGGGGATGCAGTCAGGAACCAGATTTTATTGATGTACTCTACATTTTGGAAGACAAGATGAGGCAAAGAATCTTGAGTGGATGTAAGAACTGAAAAGACCCGGGCCTAAAATCAACCTCCAAAATATGCTAGTGGTGTTACCTCAGATTGCTCAAGTTTTCCCATCCCTTTCAAGTGATTCAGAGCTAACATCTCAATATACCAAACTGATTAAATGCTTAACCTTTAAAGTCAAACAGACCTGGGTTTGAAATTAACAATGCTAATTATGAGCTGAGTCATTCAGGCAAAAATTATAGGTAATTAACCTCTCTGTGTCTTAGTTTCTTTTCTGTTATATAATAGATCTTTTACTGGGCCTGGCACATATAAAGCATTCAATATATTTTAAGTGATAGAATGGTGATTTTTAATTCACATCATTAGGTTTCTCTTAAGTCTGACTCCAATATTTTAAAAATTCAAATAATTTTATAGACTAAAATTTGGAGAAGTCATGGGAAAGCAAGAAAAGGCAATTATATGTATAAAAAATTATAATTGGGAAAATGACATTTGCAAAGCTAATTTCCCTCAGAACTAATTTTACTGCAGTTTAGAAAACCAAAAGTAAACTTAAATTATGCATATGCAAAAAATTGGCTTGAACTCAATATGAAATATAATAAAAAGTTACTGCTATAATTAGAATAATGTTTTATCTTTGTTTTCAATCGATTTGGTATTTCATCTTTCTCAGATAACTTATAATTTTGCCAAAGTGTTAAGAAGTTATAAAAATACAGTGTAACAAGAACTTTCCATGTTGACATAATTGCCCTGAGCAGATACTGTGCCCATGAAGAAGTAACTTATCATAATTTACAAAGAAATAGGAGTGCCGCTTTGCAAATACATTGACACTTTTTTTTTTTTGCATTCAAATACCCCCTTTTTCAGTGATTATTTTCTATTGCTTAGGTAACTTTGTTTTTCACTCTGATAATATGTAAGGGTTATTTCTTTCTTTTCTTTTTTCTTTCTTTCTTTCTTTCTTTTTTTTTTTTTTTTTTGATATGTTGTCTTGCTCTCTTGCTTAGGCTGGAGTGCAGTGGCATGATCACAGCTCACTGGAAATCTCGACCTCCCTGGCTCAGGTGATCCCCCTAACCCAGACTCCCAAGTAGCTGGGACTATAGTCATATGACATGATGCCCAGCTAATTTTTGAGTTTTTTGTCTAGATGGTGTATTAGTCTGTTTTTAGACTGCTATAAAGAACTACCTGAGACTGGGTAATTTATAAAGAAAAGAGGTAAAATGGCCATACTTCCCAAGGTAATTTATAGATTCAATGCCATCCCCATCAAGCTACCAATGACTTTCCTCACAGAATTGGAAAAAACTACTTTAAAGTTCATATGGACCCATAAAAGGGCCTGCATTGCCAAGACAATCCTAAGCCAAAAGAACAAAGCTGGAGGCATCACGCTCCCTGACTTCAAACTATACTACAAGGCTATAGTAACCAAAACAGCATGGTACTGGTACAAAAACAGAGATATAGACCAATGGAACAGAACAGAGCCCTCAGAAATAATACCACACATCTACAACCATCTGATCTTTGACAAACCTGACAAAAACAACAAATGGAGAAAAGATTCCCTATTTAATAAATGGTGCTGGGAAAACTGGCTAGCCATAAGTAGAAAGCTGAAACTGGATCCCTTCCTTACACCTTATACAAAAATTAATTCAAGATGGATTAAAGACTTAAATGTTAGACCTAAAACCATAAAAACCCTAGAAGAAAACCTAGGCAATACCATTCAGGACATAGGCATGGGCAAGGACTTCATGTCTAAAACACCAAAAGCAATGGCAACAAAAGCCAAAATTGACAAATGGGATCTAAAGAAACTACCATCAGAGTGAACAGGCAACCTACAGAATGGGAGAATAATTTTGCAATCTACTCATCTGACAAAGGGCTAATATCCAGAATCTACAAGGAACTCAAACAAATTTACAAGAAAAAACAAACAACCCCATCAAAAAGTGGGAAAAGGATATGAACAGACACTTATCAAAAGAAGACATTTATGCAGCCAAAAGACACATGAAAAAATGCTCATCATCACTGGCCATCAGAGAAATGCAAATCAAAACCACAAGGAGATACCATCTCACACCAGTTAGAATGGCGATCATTGAAAAGTCAGGAAACAACAGGTGCTGGAGAGGATGTGGAGAAATAGGAACACTTTTACACTGTTGGTGGAACTGTAAACTAGTTCATCCATTGTGGAAGAGGGTGTGGTGATTCCTCAAGGATCTAGAACTAGAAATACCATTTGACCCAGCCATCCCATTACTGGGTATATCCCCAAAAGATTATAAATCATGCTGCTGTAAAGACACATGCACATGTATGTTTATTGTGGCACTATTCACAATAGCAAAGACTTGGAACCAACCCAAACGTCCATCAATGATAGACTGGATGAAGAAAATGTGGCACATAAAACCATGGAATACTGTGCAGCCACAAAAAAGGATGAGTTCATGTCCTTTGTAGGGACATGGATGAAGCTGGAAACCATCATTCTCAGCAAACTATTGCATGGACAAAAGACCAAACACTGCTTGTTCTCACTCACAGGGGGTATTGAACAATGAGAACACTTGGACACAGGAAGGGGAACATCACACACCAGGGCCTGTCATTGGGTTGGGGGAGGGGGGAAGGATAGCATTAGGAGATATGCCTAATGTAAATGACGAGTTAATGGGTGCAGCACACCAACATGGCACATGTATACATATGTAACAAACCCGCACGTTGTGCACATGTGCCCTAGAACTTAAAGCAAAATTTAAAAAAAAAGAAAAAAAGAAAAAATAAAAGAGGTTAAATTGATTCACAGTTCTACAGTCTCATGCTGGGGGAGGCCTCAGAAAACGTATAATCATGGCAGAAGGCAAAAGAGAAGCAAGGCACATCTTACATGGCAGCAGGAGGGGAGGAGGGGAAGTGTTACACTTTTAAACTATCAGATCTCATGAGAACTCACTATCTTGAGAACAGCATGGGGAAAACTGCCCCGATAATCCAATCACCTCCTACCAGGTCCCTCCCTCAACACATGAGGATTACAATTGGAGATAAGATTTGGATGGGGACACTGAGCCAAACCATATCAGACTGGTTTTGTCATTCTGCAAAGGCTGGTCATGAACCCCTGTGTTCCAGCTACCCTCCAGCCTCAGCCTCCCAAAGTGCTGGAAATAGCTCACCCAAGGCTATTTCCCATGAGGATAATTTTGTTTGAAAGGGATATTTAGTAGAAAACTTAAAGGAAGAAGACCGGGCACAGTGCCTCATGCCGGTAATCCCAGCACTTTGGGAGGCCGAGGTGGGCAGATCATTTGAGGACAAGAGTTCAAGACCAGCCTGGCCAACATGGTGAAACCCCATCTCTACTAAAAATACAAAAATTAGCTGAGCATGGTGGTGGGTGCCTGTAATCCAAGCTACTGGGGAAGGTGAGCCAGGAGAATAGCTTGAACCTGGGAGGCGGAGGTTGCAGTGAGCCGAGATCACGCCACTGCACTCTAGCCTGGGCGATAGAGGGAGCCTTTATTTGAAAAAAAAAAAAAACAAAAAAAAAAACTTAAAGGAAGTAGGCACACATCAAACCTACAAATCAATTAAAATCATGCAAAGAAAATACTATTATGCACAGTAATTGAACTAATAGGAGTTCTGTTACATCTCCTGGTAATACATATGAACTGTAATAAAAATTAGTTTCTAAAATCCATTTAACCTTACATCAAGGAAGTTTGTATGAAATTATGTATACTTCAAGGAAATCATTATTTTATAAACTGCAAAGTGAATATGTATATGGACATTTCAAAACTATGACTTGGTATATGAATCAAGTGTTACATATGTTATTTTAACTTATTAGTATTATTTATGTGATATTTTATTATGATGGAAGCAATACGTTAAAAATCTAGCTAATATTGAAAACACAAGCAAATAAATTATATTAATACGAACTACCTAAAGAAGTTATTTAAGAGCAAATATTTACTGATTTACTAATAAATTTAGATTTTTTACTATAAGTAGTTTTTTATTTGTAAGAAACTATAGAAAAGTATTAATAAATATTTTAATATATTATTTTAAACCTAGAATTATGTCTTACCATACACTAGAAATCAGCTTTGTCATTATTCTAAGGATTGTGCTTTAAAAGCTAGTAAAATGTATGAATTTTATTAACTTCTTTCATTCTGAAAGTTAAATGTATATTTGTGAATTATAACAAATATATTGTATACTTTTAGTTGTAGTAAAATATATATAACCAAATTTACCATCTTAATCATTTTTAAGTCTACAGTTTGTAGTGTTAAGTACATTAATATTGCTTCACACCCACTCTCCTAAACTTTTCATCTTAAAGTTAAAACTCTACTCATGAAACGACAACTCCCCATTCCTTCCTCCCTCTCTGTAGCCCCTGGCAACCACCATTCTACTTTCTGTCTCCATAAATTTGACTTCTCTAGGCACCTCATGGAAGTGGAATCATAAAGTATTTGTCTTTTTGTGATTGACTTATTTCATTTAGCATAATGTCCTCAAGGTTCATTCACATTGTAGCATCTATCAGATTTTCCATCTTTTTCAGACTCAAAAAGTGCCCCACTTTATGGATTCTGACATTTTGCTTTTTCATTCATTTCATTTCATCCATAGATGGAAGCTTGTGATCATGGGTGTACTAACATTACTTTGAGCCCTGCTTTCAATTATTTTGGGTATATATCCACAAATGAAAAAGCTGGATCACATCATAATTCTGTTTTCCATTTTGTGAGAAACAACCATATTGTTTTCCCTAGCGTATGCACCATTTTACATACCCATCAACAGTGCACACATGTTCTAATTTCTCCACATCTTTGTCAAAATGGGTTACTTTCTATTTTTTAAATAGTAGCCATCCTAGAGATGGTATCTCATTGAGGTTTTAATTTGCATTTTTCTAATTAGGGGTGTTGAGCATCTTTTCACATGCTTGTTGATCATCTGTATGTCTTCTTTGGTGAAATATTTATTCAACTTCTTTGCCAGTTTTTGAATTGGGTTGTTTGGGTTTTTGTTTTTTTTTTTTTGTATCATTGAGTTGTAGGAGTTCTTTTTACGTTTTAGATGTTTACCTTTTATCCACCGTGTGATGTACAAATATTTACTCTCATTCTGTTGGCTGCCTTATCATTCTGTTGATTGTATTCTTTGATTCACAGACATTTTTTAATTTTATGTAAACCAATTTACCTATTTTTCTCTGTTGCTTGTGCTTTTGGTGTTGCATCCAATAAACCGTTACCAAATCTAATGTATGAAACTTTTCACTTTTGTTGTCTTCTAATAGGTTTAGCCATTTATGACCAACACACAGCTATCACCATACTCGATGATAGGACACTGAAACCTTTTCCCGTAAGATCAGAAAGAACAAGACAAGGATGCCCACTTTTGCCACTTCTATCTAACACAGTACAGGAACCCAGAGAAGTTAGTCAAGAAAAGGAAACAAAAGGCATTCAAAGCAAAAAGGAGGGTGAAAATCTTTTTTCTGTTTGCATATGACATGATTGTATATGTGGAAAATCCTAAATAATCTAATAAAACATTGTTTTAACTGAAAGAAATTAAGCAAAGTTTCAGGGTACAAAATCAACAAGCAAAAATCAGTTTTTTCAATACTATTCTAATTCATCAACAGATTCAATACAATCCATATCAAAATCCCAAAACGATCCATGTCAAAATTCGGAAGGTATTTTTTTTTTGCAGATATAGAAAAACATCCTAAAATTCACATGGAATCTCAAGAGATTCCGAATAGCCAGAACAATCATGAAAATTCAAAGCAAATTTAGAAGACTTATACTCTCTGATTTTAATATTTATTTCAAATCTACCAGAATCAAAATATTTCTATAGTTTTATATTCTCTATTTCACTTGCTTCTCTCCTAATATTTATTATCCCCCTTCTTTTGCTAACTGTAGATTTAATTTGTCTTCTTTTTCTTGTTCCCTGAATAAGGTTTTTAATTTGAGATTTCAAAATTTATTTTTAGTGTTAGCTTTTGCAGCTGTATATTTTCCCTGGTGCTGCTTTCACAGTGTTCCATGTGTTTTAGAATGTTATATTTTGCTCTCATCTGCCTCAAGGTATTTTCTAGTTTCCCATGTGATATCTTTTCTGCCCATTGGTTGATTAAGAGTGTCTTGTTTGATTTCCATAATTTAGTAAATTTTCCAGTTCCATCGGATACTTAGTTCTAGTTTCATCCCATTGCAAGTAGCAAAGAAACCTTGTATGATTTCATTTTTTAAAAATTTATTAAGACTTGCTTTTTGGCCCAACATTTGCTCTATCATAGAGAATGTTCTATATGTACTTGAGAAAAATGAGTATTCTGATACTGTTGTTTGAAATGTTTTGTGTATGTTTGTTAGGTCTAATTTATTTATACTGTTTTCAAGTCTTCTGTTTATTTATTGATCTGTCCTTTTCATTACTACATGTGAGATATTAAAATTTTCTACTATTTTATAGAGCTGTCTATTTTTTTCTTTCTGTCAATGTTTCTTTCATATATTTAGGAGCTCTGATGTTGGGTGTATATATAATTGTTATATTTTCTTAGTGGCTTAATTATTTTATCACTAAATAATGTTCTTTGTCTCCTCTAACAGTTTCTGGCTCAAAATTTATTTTGCATGACATTAGTATAGCCACCCCTGCTCTCTTTTGATGGCTATTGGCATAGAATACCTTTTTTCATCCTTTTACTTTTAACATATGAGTGTTCCCAGATCTAAAGTGAGTCAGTTGTAGACAGCATGTAGTTAGATCCTGTGTATATATCTATTCTGCAAATGTGCATCTTTTGATGGGGAATTTAATTCTTCTGTATTTTATGTAATTCCTTAAGGGAAAGAATTCACTCTTGTAATTCTGTTAATTGTCTTCAGTATTTCTTTGAGCTTTTTGTCCTTCATTTCTTTCCTTATTAACTTTCTTTTTGTTAACTTTTTTTAGTTAACTTTATGTAGTGATACATTATGATTTGATTTCCTTCTCATTTCCTTTCTTGTATATTCTATAGTTATTGCTTTTTGTTACCATGGGGATTACATAAAACATTCTAAAGTTACAGCATGCTGTTTTAATCTGATAACAACTTAACTTCAATTGCATATAAAACTTTACTTCTTAACAATTTAATTTCCTCTTATTGTTGTTGATGTCAAAAATTACATTTTTATATGTTTTGTACCCATTGCATCAATTTATGCTTTTGTCCTCTAAACCTTATGAAAGAATTAAAAGTGGTATTACAAACCAAAACTAAAATAATAAAATATTTTTGTCATGATAATTACCTTTACCTGAGAACTTCATTTTTTTTTTGTATTGCTTTAAGTTACCCTCTGGCATTCTTTCATTTAAATTTGAAGGACTCCCTTTAGCATTTCTTGTACACTACATTTGGTAGTAATCAATTCCCTCAGCTTTTGTTTCCCTGGAAATGTCTTAGTTTTCTCTCATTTTTGAAGACCAGTGTTGCCAGACATAGTGTTCTCAGAATTTTTTTCCTTTAACTTTAAATATATTTTATATTAGTTCCCATTGTCTTTTGGCCTATAAGGTTTCTTGTAAAAAATCATGATAATCTTATAGGGCTACCATGCACAAGGTAAGCCATTTTTCTCTTGCTACTTTGAAGTTTCTCTGTCTTAACTTTTGGCATTTTGACTATAATGTATCTCAGTGAGGGTCTTTTGGTGTTTATTTTACTTGGACTTCCATAATATACATGTTGGTTGGCTTGATGGTGTCCCATAAGTCCCCGTGGCATTTCTCAGTTCATTCTGTTCATTTCTGCTCCTTTGACTCTGTAATTTCAAATGAACTGTCTTTAAATTTGCAGATTATTTCATCTGTTTAATTCTGCTATTGAATCCCTCTAGTTAATTTTGTAATTCTGTTATTATATTTTCTCAGTTCCAGAATTTCTGTTTGATTCATTCTTATAATTTCAATATCTTTGTTGATATTATTTTGTTCATATATTGTCTTCCTGCTTTCATGTAATTCTCTTTCCCTTCTCTTTAGCTTGTTGTGCATACTTAAGACAGTTATTTTAAAGTCATTGTCAGGACCTATGTTTCTTTAGGGTTAATTTCTAGACACTAATGTTGTTCCTTTGAATGGCCATATTCGCTGTTTCTTTACATGACTTTTAATCCTTTTTTGAAAACTGCGCATGTAAAACACCAAGAGAAAAACAGAACAAAGCAACAACGGCAAAGCTAACCACTTCTCCCATCCTTTGCAGACTGGCTCCATGCAAGGGCAAATACTCACTAATCAGCCCCATGTACACACGCATTGTTGTTTCAAGCCTTTTCTAGAAATGACTCATCACCGGGTGACAAGTCACTTTTGTTCCAGTTCATCCATTTACACAATTGCTTTGAAATGTTTTAATTTCCTTAAGAATCTCACCCTATTTCTTCTTGGAGCCATAAGCATTTTATCGTGTTCCTCTTCCTTGATCTCTTGCCTTTAGGTGCCTGCAGGTCTCCAGTTGCCTTTCAGCTCTCTTCACCATGGCAATCACCACTGCTTTCAGTGGCCTCCAACCTGATGTCCTAACAATGCCACCATTCCAATCAACTCTCCAAGTCAGGTGACACAGAGACGAGTCTCCTGGCAGTCCCTAGACAAGCCCAAATGCTGCAAGTTCCACTTATTTCCTTCCAGATTAAGTAGGTATTGGACAACTTTCTCTTGACTGTGTCACGCTGCTCCAAGGAGTGAATGGAGCAAGGAGAAGCAAAAATACTACAAAATATTCTACTATTGTTATTGTGGCTGTTTCTTTTGGCATTCACTCGGTTGATGCAACTTCTAAAGTGGTTTTTGAAGCTCTAAAGTCATTTTGGTCCATATGTCACTTTTCATTCTGTCTTACCATGGGTGAGTGAAGGTCTAGAGCTTCTTAACCTGCCATCTTTCTAGTATCACTCCAGAACAATCGACTTTTTTGCCCTAGTCTACTTCTTGGTAGTACTAAAACTTGCAATTCCCTATCTTTTGTTGAATATACTTAAGGATAATTTACTAGGCACAACTGACAATAACATAACTCACTTTCAAGAAGCACAGGTACATAGACACTTCCCTCTTGAGAGAAAATCATACTGACACAAATGTAAGTTTAAGAAAATAATATCTTAAATTTTATAAACTGAAAAAAATGTACTAATATCTCCTCACAGAATATTGTACAGACATATACTTAATATATTACTTTACTCATTATTACATTCCTTTGGTTAAAATACTGTAAAATATGAAGGAATCAACAAATATTATTTCCTTCCTCTTTCCTACTCTGCCTATTTTTCACCATGATTCCCTCCCTTTTGCACACCGTTCTCTGCTGCAGTGTTAACAAACATGTTACAATCTCAGTAGTAGGCAAACTCTTTGAATTCTGATGTTTCTTCCCATTTATTTTATATAACATGTGTTGACAAAGCATACATCTATTAAAAATTCATGTACTCCAGTTATTTTGGTATGATCACTTTGATGACTAAATTATAATAGATTGATGTAATGCTTTTAGTAATATGAACATAAAAATGTTCTGACCTTGAGATTATAATGAACAATGATTGGCACAGTTTACTATTGTACATAACCTGTTATAATGCAAAATGTACTCTGATTATAATTATCATATGTTGAAAAAATAGAAAATGACTTTTTTCTGGCTCTATAATGAATTAATAAAATTTACCTCTGCTACTTCTGGTGATTTATACTCATATTGGAGTCACCACAGGGGCAAGATCAAGACAGGATCAGAGTCCTTTCTGATTTTATCTGTGGAAGTTAGGATTTTATTTTACTCTTTGTTTTTAAGAGACAGAGTCTTGCTCTGTCACCCAGTCTAGAGTGCAGTGGCACAATCATGGCTCACTGCAGCCTTGACCTCCTGGGTTCAAGTGATCCTCCTATCTCGGCCTCCTAAGTAGCTGGGACCACAGATGTGCACCACCATGTCTGTCTAATTTTTTAAAGATGTTGCCCAGCCTGGCCTCAAGCAATCTTCCTGCCTCAGCCTCCCAAAGTGCTCAGATAACAGATGTGAACCACCATGCCTGGCCTGTTTTACTCATCATTATACAGAGTCTATCTGACTTAACCTCCATGGCCTGTTTAAATAATTTTCTTAGGTTTTTGTTCTTCCTTCAAGTATTAACACAGTGTAGTAACTGGAGTTGGCTAAAATAAGTTAAAATGGTTTCAATTGGGTTAAAATATATTAATTACCTGCTAATTAATCAGCTTTGACACTAAAGAACTTAAACTGCTTTTTAAATAAGCACAATAATGCTAATTTGTGGAAATTCTTTACTCTTATTTTGATTATTTTTTCTGAGTTTACAACATGTGTAGCCAAACTATGGTTAAGATCAAGTAAATAGAATCTTCCATTAAAACATTATTGAGTAACTATGTATAGAATTTGATACAGTTTACAAGGCCCTAAAAACACATCTAACAATTTTTGTTACATTAATTAATATGCATATGTATAGAAATCACTGTGATTGTCAATAAAATTGACTTGTGGAATAAGAGCAAGAGAGTTATTATTTCTCATTCTCTACTAATGCTTTAGGCACCACTAATATTAAAATCGTATTTAAATTTGGTAGATATTTTAATTAGGATTTTATTATTTACATTTACAAATGGCCTAATTATATATACATGTCTCTAGATAATATTCATTACTTGATAATGAATTAAGATTAATAATTTCCAAATTAATAATAGAGAAATAAAGTAGGAGTAATATATAAATTTGACCCTTCAAGTTCCCTTAATACAAAAGAAGTGCAGACATAATGCAAATATTCCTTTGCGAACTAGACAAAATGTTTTGGGAATTAAAGACTTTTATTACAAAGGTGAAACTTCTTTGTAGCATCTGCATATTAATGTATCTTATTGCCTTTATGTTGCTGTTCTTTTTGTTAGTTGCAGTCTGGCAGATACAAAATGTAGAATATTTAAGTCTCCTTCAGGAACAATATGAGGTCCTTAAAAATGAGGACAATAAAGTTAAGCAGGACATCTGGGAACATGAAGAATGTGACAAGGTGATCAGAATGCTCTATCAAAATGCGAACAATGAAGAAAGATTGCTAATGACTCCCTAAAACAGACTTACTGAATGACATAAAGTTAAAATACCAAACAGAATGAAAACTGTTTCTTTCCCTGGCTCATCCATAGCATTCATCTTCTGGCATTGTTGTTTCACATTTCTGTATTCCTCACAAAATTTTGAGCTATTTGAGGACAAGGTCTGCATGTTGTTTTTCATTTTTCTTTCTTTTTCTTATGGCTTATTATACAATGTCCAACACATAATGAATACTGAATTAGTATTTTGAATAAATAAGTTAATGTTCTGCTACACACATCTTCTACTGAAATAATAAGCATTGGTCAATTGGAAAGAAGTGATTTATAAATACACAATCAGGGAGAATTGGCAGAGTTCAAAGTATTCTTTTGAGTACTCTAAGTTACTGACTTGGGCAGATGTTACAAAATTGTGTGACAAAAATTACTTAGATGCACCCTAAGATTTAGGGACCACTCCATGTAACTGATGAAATTGCATCTTGGATATTAGACTAAAAGTGAGAATATCAGAATTGAACATGTCCCAGAAAGAATTGGGAAGAAATATAAGTATTAATATACCCAGATTAAATCTGAATTATATATGTAAAGACTGACTGAGCTATATCCAGGTTTTTCTATTTGTTGTTTCCTGTATTGTTTGATTTGGCCAATTATGATGACAACAATGTTGGTAATGACAATGAAAATGATGATGATGATGATGAGTGTGTGGTGATTCACAGAAATACGATTTACTTTGATAACATACAAACTGCTGTGATAATTTAACAGGTAATGCAGCAATAATTTCCTCTAATCTTGTTGAGAAAATAGTATGTATTAATTTTCCATGTCTACACATGTAGCAGTTTAGTAATCTAAAGCTTAAAAATAGGATGTAAGGCTGAGTGCAGTGGCTTACACCCCTAATCCCAGCACCTTGGGAGAGCACTTGAGGTCAGGAGTTCGACACCAGCCTGGCCAACATGGTGAATCCCTGTCTTTACTAAAAGTTCAAAAAAAGTTAGCCGGGGGTGGTGGTGGAAGTCTGTAAGCCCAGCTACTTGGGAGGCTAAGGCAGAATAATTGTTTGAACCCATGAGGCGGAGGTTGCAGTGAGCTGAGATTGCACCACTGCACCACTGTACTCCAGCCTGGGCAAGGAAGCAACATTCTGTCTCAAAAGAAAAAAAGAAAGGATGTAAACTAGGATAATAATTTAGTCTAGAAAAATCAAAGCACAAAAAGAATTAAATTCTGGTTTGGGGGACAGGGATATTTCCCAGAGGATTTAAGTTTCCCCTTAGCCTTTTAAAATTGAGTATAATTCTTTTTTGTGAATATGCCATTGCCCATGGTCTTGCCTTTATGTAGTCTTAAGCCTCCCAAACTGGATTTTACTAAAAAAAAAAAAAAAAAAAATTGGAGCTAGAATGAATACTTACCTAATTTGTGAATCTGGTACAGTAAATCAATGTGTCTATTTATTGATTTGACATAAGGTGTATTACTGAAGCATGGAATAAAATTCTCCTGATGATATAAACAGTCCATTATTTCTCTATAGAGGAGAGTGAGTTAGCTCAAGTTCCTCAGAAATAGACCCTGAAATAAAGATTTGGATGCATGTGGTTGATTAAGAAGCTGTTCTCAAAGAAATGAGTAAGGGAAAGATGATATGGGACAGGAAAGTAGGGGACTACTGGGTCTCCAGGGGCATCCCATGATGTTTGGAGCGTAAGTTAAGCGTCAAAATTGTCTCATCCCAAGCGATGTAGGCAGGGCTTCCATGCTTCTGCACCTGTCAATCACTAGCTCAGACTCATTCCTCTAGGGACAAAAAATCTCAGGCAATTTTGTTCTCCATGCATGCAGTTAAGTAAGGGTCAGGGGGCCTTGGGTAGTCTTTCAAAAATAACAAGTTACAGGTACAGGCTGCTGGAAGCAAAACCACATCAAAGTTTTGAGGATATACACAATGTTTTAAAAGAACCCAACAGTATCTGGACAGACTACCAACATAGTCAGCTCCACAGACATGTGTGGGAAGCTAAATCATGTTTTGTTTATAAAACAAAACAAAACAAAACAAACAAAACACTGCAACAAAATTGTTCATGAAAGTCTAGATCATTTCATATTTTGGGGTTAAGAGCTCAAGACATCAGCACGTATAGGAAGGATGCTCTTTCCCATAAGGGAAGAATATTTAAAGAGCTAGTTGCCAATGTTTCCCAACTTCTGAAAAGATCTGGATAAATCAGGAAAATATTTGCCTTTGTGATTATATATAATTGTTATTTCACTTTTTTCTGTTTCTCTTTTCTCTTTCCTTTCTCTCTCTCTCTTTCTTCTCTCTTTCTCTTTTTCTTTCTTTCTTTTTGCATAAGTCAATCTTCTCCAGATTAACTTGTTCTGCCTTTGGGACTGTCAATAATTTAAATCAGAATGCAGTCAAGTTTATCAGGTGAGAAATTTATCCCATAGTTTTAACATATCACTGAATTTCTTTTAATTTTACAACTTAACATTCAAAGGGAAAAATTGATTCCAAGTTTTTGGTTGGGGCCTGCTATAGTGTTCAAATACTAACAACAGATACACATAACTAATGCTACCAGCAAACACTAATACACTCCATGTTATTAATTTTTGTATAATTGTGCATAAATGTAATTAAACAATTTAGTTATTTTACATTGACTAGAGCAAAATAAAATAAGCAAAAATATACAAAACAAAATAAACAACAAATATAAATAGTATGAGAATTTTAATGCATGTTGCCATAAAATAAGTTATGTTAAATTAAAAAATATGCACTATAAATATTTTCTCCTATTCTGTGGGTTGTCTATTTGCTCTGTTGATTATTTCTTTCACTGTGTAGAACACCTTAGTTTAATTAATTTAATTCATCTTTTTTTTTTGCATTTCCTTTTGAGGACTTATTTATGAATTCTTAGCCTAAACCAATGTCCAGAAGAGTTTTTCATAGGATTTTAATAGTTTCGGGCCTTACATTTAAGTCTTTAATCCACCTTAAGTTAAGCTTTGTATATAGTGAGTGATAGGGGTCCAGTTCCACTCTTCCATATATGGATATCCAATTATCCCAGCACCATTCATTGAATAAGTGTCCTACAAAAGGCTAATATCCAGAACCTACAAGGATCTCAAACAACTCAACAAGAAAAAAACCAAATAACTCCATTAAATAGTAGGCAAAGAATATGAAAAAAACATTTTTCAAAGATATGCAAATGTCAAGCAAATATGAAAAAATGTTTAACATCACTAATCATCAGAGAAATGCAAATGAAAATCACCGTGAGATACCATCTTATAGCAGAGAAAATGGCTATTCTTAAAAAGTTAAAAAACACCAGATACTGGCAAGGATGTGGAGAAAAGGGAGCAATTATTCACTGATGGTGGGAACGTATATTCGTACAACCTCTGTGGAAAACACAATGGAGATTTCTCAGAGAAATAGAACTCTCCTTTGACCCAGCAATCCCACCACTGGGTATCTACCAAAGGAAATATAAATTATTACATAAAAAAGACACCTGCACCTGTGTGTGTATCACAGCATTATTCACAATAGCAAAGTCATGCAGTCAATCTAAGTGTCCCTTGACAATGACTGGAAAATAAAGTGTGGTGTATATATGCTATGGAATATCACATAGCCATGAAAAAGAATGAAATCATGTCTCTTGCATCAATATGAATGAATCTGGAGGGCATTATGCTTATTAAAATGACTCAGAAAATTAAAAACCACATATTCTCAGTTATAAGTGGGAGCTAAACAAGGGGTACACATGGACATACAGAGTAGAATAATGGACACTGCTCCTCCAAATGGTGGGAGGATTGCAGGTCTGAGGGATGAAATACCACCTATTGGGCGCAGAGTGCGCTATCCAGGTGATGGGTACACTAAGAGTTCAGAGTTCACCGCTACACAACATATCCATGTAACACAACTGCACTTGTATTCCTAAATCCATAAAAATAAGCAATTTAATTTTTAAAAATATGCATATATAAACTTATAGTTTCAATTTTCTCCTGTTTAAAAACTTTACACTTTCTGGTTCTAGCTATGTTGGCATTAACTCTCACTCTAAACACTGGAGCCCTGGATAAAACGGATGACAGCACTGTTTAAAGGAACCAAACAGCGAGTGGCACAGGGTCCTCATGCGTGGAACTGTGAAAAGAAATGAGGCTACCCAGACTGTCTGCTGCTCTCAGGAGGCATGTTCCTCTGGGCCTCTGCGCAGGGTGAGGATCCCACCCAGAGAGGCTAAGTGCCTGGTCCTGAAAGAGTGGCGGAGGTGTAGTCAGGAAAAAGGAAGTGGAAAGAATGTGAATGGCAGAGTAACAAAGGGAGGGAACTCTGCAAGGAAAGAAGCCCACAAATGTGCATGAAGGATCCCTAAAATGTGCCCTGTTACACAAAGTCCCACATGAGTAGAGTGAACATCAGGTGGCAAGGCGACGAAAGGCCTAGGAACTATAATGACGCCGTGAGCTCATGCAGACTGGAAGAGGTTTGGGTTCTGATTATGCGGTGAGGTTAAGGCCCCTTCCTTGTTCAACTCTGTGCTTTAGGGACAGACTCTGGAAAGTTACTAGTGGAGCTAACCTATTCCTCCCCAAGCTGAATTGAAAAGTAAGCCTTGGACGACTTTC
This sequence comes from Homo sapiens, assembly GCF_000001405.40. Lineage (NCBI taxonomy): Eukaryota > Metazoa > Chordata > Mammalia > Primates > Hominidae > Homo > Homo sapiens. Next base: position 49,519,543 of record NC_000008.11, read on the forward strand.
GTTTAAATTAATATGACTTTCTTAAAAAGAATCCAGTGATCTAAATTCCGCGTTACCAATAATTTTCAATCTGTAAGAGCTTTTTGGTTCTTATTTTATCTTTCTTAATATTCACATTTTCTTTATTTCTTTTGTTTTGTTTTATTCTTGAGACAGGGTCTTGCTCCGTTGCTCAGGCTGGAGTGCAGTTGATGCTCATTGCAGACTTGAACTCCTGGGCTCAAACCACCCTCCCACCCTGGCCTCCCACAGTGAGGGGATTACAGGCGTGAGCCACCAAGCCCAGTCAGTATTCCCATTTTCCTATTTAACATTATCCTGCTCTGTAGCTGGATGTCATTCTGCCTTTCTGCTGACATTTTTAGTAGAAAAATACCTTTTATCTTTGCTATTTAATCTATTTCTCACCTTGTTTGTCAACAAATTATAGAGTAAAATAGAGGTTTTCCTTACTGGAGCCACATTAACTTAAAATAATAAATGATATATTGTTATTATGAATATTTATTTTGATAAAAGTCAATGAATTTGATTATTTTTGGAAAAGTCTCTATCAAAAATACTTCCTTTCCATTATAGTTCACAACAGACATGAATCTCAGCATGATGTATGAATTCTTGCTTTAGTACTAGAAAGTGCTGGCATAATCACCATACACACAGTGTCATTCCTTTTTTCATTACCTGTGAAACTATAATTATGGAAAATATTGTGTTTGCCTATGCATAACATTTCCCAAGTGAGAGATAAATGTCTAGAATTCTGCCTGGTACACTTATGTTTCATCTGGAATATTATCATGTTTATTGAGTATAATGTGAGCAGGGGTGGCTGTGTATAAAAATCAAGGCCGTGCATTTTTCTCTAAATTTAATTAATCACACAAAAGCATAGTTCTCTATTTCAAAATATAAATGAAAAGAAATTACAATCTCCCATTCTAAAAATCATCTTAAAAATCTTTTGAACAAAAATATCTAACACATTTTTTTTAAAAGAGCAGAAGCCGGGCACGGTGGCTCACGCCTGTAATCCCTGCACTTTGGGAGCCCGAGGTGGGCAGATCACAAGGTCAGGAGATCGAGATCATCCTGGCTAACACGGTGAAACCCCCTATCTGCTAAAAAAAAAAAATATACAAAAAGTTAGCTGGGCATGATGGTGCATGCATGTAGTCCCAGCTACTCAGGAGGCTGAGGCAGGAGAATCACTTGACCCTGGGAGGTAGAGGTTGCAGTGAGCCGACATTGCACCACTGCACTCCAGCCTGGGCGACAGAGGGAGACTCCATCTCAAAAATAATAATAATAGTAATAAAATAAATAAACAAAGGAGCAGAAAATGTAACTGTTCGTCTTAATGAATCATCACGCCAGGAAACCAGCATCTAGTCCAAGAAATTGGGTAGCGCTCAGTAAATTATGGTCCCAGTCACTGTACCTTTTTTCCTCCCTTAGAGAGAGTACCTACCAGTATAATTTATAAAACTCTAGTCTACTAGTTTTAGGCTTCATAGAAATGGGAACATACACCATACAGGCTTTTGTTTCTGTCTTCTTTTATTCAATATTGTGTTTCTTGAAATTTATACACATTGTATGTATAGCTGAGTTTCATTTTCATTGCTGTATAGCATTCAGTTGTATAATTTTACCACAGTTTACTTAAACTATGTACAGTTGATAAACATTTGGATTATTTTAACGTTCAGATTTTACAAAAACTGTCAATAGCAATATTGTAAGCTATGTTGGTTGGTGAATTTATATTTGCTTTTTTCTTGGGTATATAACTAGAAGAGAGGTTATTGGATCAGTTGCTATGTATAAATTCTACCTTAGGCTAGGTTGTTCGTTCCTTCCTTCCTTCCTTCCTTCTTTCCTTCCTTCCTTCCTTCCTTCCCTCCTTCTTTCCTTCCTTCCTTCCTTCCTTCCTTCCTTCTCTTCTTGACAAATTCTTGGTCTGTTGCCCAAGCTGGAGTGCAGTGGCACAATCTCGGCTCACTGTAATCTCCCAGCTCAAGTGATTCTCATGCCTCAGCCTCCCAAGTAGCTGGGATTGCAGGCATGCACCACCACACCCAGCTAATTTTTTTTTTTTTTTTTTGTGGAAATGGGTTTTTGCCATGTTGGCCAGGCTGGTCTCAAACTCCTGGCCTCAAGTGATCCACCATCCCAAGGTGCTGGGATTAAAGGCGTGAGCCACCGTGTCCTGGTTGTACTGATTTATATTTCTGCTGGTAGCATATAAGTATTTCAAATAAATGAATAGCCTTTCCTATTCTTGTTAATTGATTTATCCATTTTAAGGAATATAGCATTATACCTAATTGTAGGTTTAATTGATATTTTCCTGATTACTAAAGAGTTTGAGAAATTTTAAAGTTCTTACTATTAATTAATTTGTATATTCCTTTATTTTTAGTACTGTTTATGTCTAATTTAAGAAAAAGCAATGCTAACCTAAGATCATGAAATTCTTTCCCTGTATTATCTTCTGAAAACTTTATCATTTTTCATTTCAAAATTAGATCTTCAATCCACTGTTATTTAATTATTTGCATGCTGTGGGTGGGGGTGATTTCATTTCTTTTCAGAAAGGTATACTATTGACACCACACTTTCATGAAGGCCAGCCCTTTCCACACTTCTCTGTTCAGCTTCCTCTTTTGGAAGGTTAAGTGTTCACCTATGTGTATTTCTGTTTTTGGACTCTGTCTCATTGTTCTGTATTTCTAAATCTTCCCACCAATACTGTATCTGTATCATATAGAATTCCACAGTTTTATAATAAAGTCTTGGTATGTAGAAAGCTAGAAAGCAACCCTCTAAATTTGTCTTTACTCTTAATGGCATTGAGATGGACAGAATAAGGGTCTCCACCAAACATGTCCAAGTCCTCAATTCCATAACTTGTAACTATGTTATTTTACATAACAAAATGAAACTTTCTGGGTGTGACTGAATTAAGTTTCTGAGAAAGAATTATCTGGGTTGGCACAATGTAATCATAGCAATCCTTACAAGAGAGAGGCAAGAGAGTCAGTTCAGAAAAGGACAGGAGTGATGTGGGGCCATGAGCCAAGGAGTGTGGGCAACCTCTAGATTTTGGAAAAGGCAAAGAATGCATTTTCCCTTCGTGCCTCTGGATGGAAGGCAACTATGGTGACATCACAATTTTAGGGCTTCTTACTTCCAGAAGGGTAAGTGAATAAACTCATATCATTTTATTCTGTTATGTGTGTTAATTTGTTACTGTGGCATAGAAAACTAATACACATCTTTGCTTTTATTATAACATTTTTATATATTTATAAATTTGAAATTGTATTGTCAAATTCCAAAAAACTTTTATAGGGAACTGTTAGAATTTTGGTGAGGATTGCATTAACTCTGTGGACCCAGTTTGAAAAAAACTAGGTATTGAAATTTCTAATCTATAAACATGGTATCACAAACAATTTATTTTGTATTTTTTTAAAGTTCTCCCAAATTGAGTGTAGTTTATTAGTTTTTTTATTACTGGTGACCAATTCTGCAAGTTTTAATTTGTCTGACATTGTGATTATTTAACCTTCATTGTTACATAATATTTCCCTGTTCTAAATTCTAGTTTGTCCTACTTTTCCTTTAGTACTTTGAAATATACTTTTATTCTCTTCTGGCTTACATTATTATTTTTGAAAATCCAGCAATTAGTCTAATTTTTCCTCTTGATCCTGACTTTTATTTCCTCCTGCCTTTCTTGACAATTCCTCTAATTTCTTTTTTCTGTTTTTTTAGCAATTTAACTATGAGGTGCCTAGGTGTGATTCTCTTTGAATACAATCTACTGTGATTCAGATGCCTTCCTAAATTTGTTGCTTGATAGTTTTCAGTAGTTTTGGAAAGTTCTCCTCCTTTATTTCCTCAATATGTTTTTTGCCTTATTATTTCTCCCTACTTTTCTAGAACTCCAAATGCATACACACACACACACACACACACACACACACACACACACTCACACACATATATGTGTATATTTATTTATAATGTACATATGTGTATGTATATATCATGCTTATGATTCTGTTCCTTTATCCTCTACGCCTTTTGTATGCCTTTCTGCATTTTCTGGCTTTTTGTTTTGTCTTGAAGCAGTTGTTTTTATAGATGTTCAGCCATTTATTTCTTTCTAGTTCTCTTCTTTGAAAGAACATCTATAACTAAGCTAAAGAGAATTTAGCCTATAGATATTTCATATCAATTTTTTTCTCAAGTTTCCAAGCTCTGTAACTCAGCTTATTCTTCATCCAGAATGAATTAATATTTTAAATTTTATTAAAAATAATTTACGACCTCTTCAACATCATTTTCCAGAATAATACAATAATATGAGCATTAATTTTAAGGTAAATATTTTTAAAAATGTTATGAAGAGTGGAAATGCAAGCTTTATGTATATTTAAGCATGATTGAGAGTAGCATTGAAAAGTCTGTGAGAATGGGAGAAACACCTATTATTGCAAGCTCAGTAAATAGCTCTTGAATAGGCATTTTTTTCTAATTCTAAAGACATCATGGAATATTTTAACAATAATCCTATTGGAAATTACTGACTAACTATGGGAACATTTGAGTACATATGCAGTTATAGGGCTTACTATATACACCTTACTTTGAAATATAGCTTTGGAAAACATTGTAAGACTACAGTAGATTGAACACAAAGAGGATCAGGATTTATTAAAGAAAAAAATAAAAAATCCAAAACAAGAAATATATTACTATCTCAAGAATATCAGGCTTTTAAAACATTTCTATTGCTTTCTATAAGAATTAAATAAAGAAAGCTCTTTATTAATAGACAACAAAATCCCTAAATAAACCAATTTATTGAGCAAATAGACAAATTGATAACTTGATTTTTTACTTTAAAATTTAAAATTTAATTTAATTTAAGGAAATAAGGTGATTCTGAAAAAGTTTTGTGAGAAGGAAATGTGACAATATTTTCTATTTTGCAGAAATTGTTTTACTATAACTTACCAGTGGTACAAAACATACCTTTTTGCCACCACAGAATGATATTTGCTGGAGAGCATTTCACTTGCAATATACACCTTCATCTAGTTTTATAAGGGAAAACTTTGGAATGTTTAAATGTATTTAAATAAGACTAATTGAGCTTGATCTATCTCAGCTGCTGTTAATTGGTGGACATGTCTCTGAAAAGTAAACTATATAAAAGTGTAGACAGTGAATATAATCCAATTATTTGTAGAAAGCATATACTGAAACATTGTTAATTTCCAATAGAATTGTCGTTTATCAAACATGCCCTCATACTTTACCATAATTACCATACTATTCATGTTATATGCATTCTTTGGGTGGTAGTCAATGGGGCAGGATATAATAAAGAAATAATCTTTTTTTTTTTTTTTTGAGACAGAGTCTTGCTCTGTCACCCAGGCTGGAGTGCAGTGGCACGATCTCGGCTCACTGCAAGCTCTGCCTCCTGGGTTCATGCCATTCTCCTGCCTCATCCTCCCAAGTAGCTGGGACTACAGGCGGCTGCCACCACGCCAGGCTAATTTTTTGTATTTTTTAGTAGAGACGGGGTTTCACCGTGTTAGCCAGGATGGTCTCGATCTCCTGACCTCGTGATTTGCCCGCCTCGGCCTCCTAAAGTGCTGGGATTACAGGCGTGAGCCACCTCGCCCAGCCAATAAAGAGATAATCTTTTACAAGTTTAAAGATTTTTCATTTCCAGAGAATGCATGACGTCCAGGTTGTATGACAGCTTACATTCAGATGTGTAGTTGATATCTCCAACAAGGGAAAAGGTATTTTTCTAAAATTGTGAGAACCAGATATGTGAGGCAACCTGACAATAAGACTTGGTGATATCCTTTCGTATGACACTATGAACTCATATTTTTCTTCTGATATTCAAAACCGTCAAACCCATTCATGCAGCCCCATGTGGCCCAGCTATCTGACCTGGCCTAGCAGAGAAAAGGGCTCTTCCAGTACATTAAGGACACAGCCTCATGCAGGAGAGCCAGGCCACAGCTGAAGTGCACTGTGAGTGCGCACTGTTCTCTGCTGGATTTTCCTGAGGGAATGTGACTAAAAAGAAGTTTGGGAAGCACTTTATTTTGTTTTCTTCTGCTAATTAGTTAGTTGCTTGGACCATGGTTGTCATATTTGGATCATTCATGTCTTTTGAGTCTTTTGAGTTTCTTAGTAGGCAATTAGCACATTGTTCAATAAATAGTGATATTCTCAGACCTTTATTGTTTTGACTGCTGAAGAAAAATGCTCTAGGGATAATATAAAATTTTACTCAATTTGAATAACAGATATGATGTAAAACTTAATATGTTTAATATTCCAGGCATCTCGAGGGGAACATCACACACCAGGGCCTGTCGTGGGGTAGGGGGCTAGGGGAGGGATAGCATTAGGAGAAATACCTGTTGTAGATGACGGCTTGATGACTGCAGCAAACCACCATGGCACGCTTATACCTATGTCACAAACCTGCACGTCCTGCACATGTATCCCAGAATTTAAAGTATAATAATACAAAAAAGTGTATATAAAAAAAAAATCCCAGGCCTCTCTTTAAGATAAAATCTAAAACTCTGTAGCCTAAAATACATATTTAGAAATATAACCTTGATCAAAACCAGGATAAAAGCATATATATATTATACACAGAAAATGATTTAGTATTAGATATGTGCCTCTGATACATTAGATGTGTTATCTCATCTGTATCTATAAATAAATGTAATCTATATTTAAAATCTTATATAATGTATTAAGAATTAGCTCTTTGCTGAATTCAGGATTTTCTTAAACACGATATGATATGACTGAGAGACACAGGAAGATGTGTGTGTTACTTTATGGCAGGCAAACAATAAAATAAAACTCAGAGCAGGACCCAAAAAGATTCTCAGCGACTGAGTTTCTAAGGTCTTCATAGCCTATTTAAAATGGCAAGAGACTGTCACTGTCTGCTATCTGTGATGATCCTGTACAGCCTTTTCAGATAAATTATGTTTGCTTTTTTTAAGAGTATTTTTATGCTCTGACTCCTACGAATGTCCTGGAGAAACTGGCTATGCCTCATTCTGAGGCCAGAGAAGCCCAGCACCTTCTAAGTGTGCGTTGTCCTGACCATATTAGCCACCCATTCATCCTGCAGGCCCAAGGCCAGCCTGCCAAGCCAAGTCCTGATTAAACATAGTTGTAATGTTGCCTGCAATCAACCATGGCACAAAAAGTATCAGAAAAGGAAGAGGAAGCTGTCAGGAATTGGCTTTCAGCAACGGATTTGTATAGCTAGAGCCAAGTCTTTTATTATTCAAGTAAAAGAGAAAGCCACCACCTACCCTTGGACCATTCATCTAAGATCTACATTGGAAAATGGATGGAGATTTATTAATTTTCTACTTTCTTTTCCCCAAGCTCCACTTTGAACAATATTGTAAAGGTATTATGTGTAAGATTCACTAGAATTAGAGTAGAACAAAAAAGTGGATCATCTATGAAATCCTCAATTATTGCCATGTTTTTAGATGCTGTAACATTAGTTCTCCAGCTGATTTATCTTAAACAATCACCTTTCATAAAGCACCTCCAATATGAATATTCTTATAAAAAGAACAAAAGGCCATAAGAATACAAAATCAATAAATGAGGTTTGTTGAAGAAGGAGATAAAGGCCTTGTTATCTTTAAATATCTATTCAGTATCCCTTCTGTACTATATGCAAAAAGCACAGTATCTGCTCCCTAAAAGCTTACATATTAAGTCATTCATTTTTTACCAACTTCCTGTGAAGTTTATTTAGCCTAATAATATAAAATTCTATAAGTATGTTAAACAAAATCATCATTCATGTTATTGGCTTTGCTGTGGTCTGAATGTTTACCCCCAAATTTATATGTTGAGACTTAATGGCCAATGTGATATCATTGAGAGATAGGGCTTTTAGAAAGTGATTAAATCATGAAAACAGAGCCCTCATGGATGGGATGAGGGTCCTTAGTAAAGGACTGCAGGGACCGGGTTTGCTGTCTGCCGTTCAAGGACAGAGTGGCCATACCCTTTTGCTCTTTTCATTCCTTCCCCCTCATGAGGACACCCAGCCATCGCCATTCACAAGGAAGGGGCCTCCTTCACCAGACACCAAACCCGCCAGTCCCTTGATTTTGTACTTCCAGCCTTCAGACTGTGAGAAATAAATTTCTATTGTTTATAAATTGCCCAGTCTCAGGTAATTTATTATAGCAGCGAAACGGACTAAGATATCCTCATTATAAGATAAGTGGCTGGATGTACACTTTAAAAGTCCCGAGTGGGTGTAAGTGAATACACACATGCTCTACCTTAAATGCCAGTCCTCTTCATGGCTTCTCTGTCAGTCGAAGTTAATTATTTTATTAAGAAGTGGTAATTAGGCAGAGAGGTTAATGAGATTCCCCCCTCAAATTGAACTATATTCCCTCCTAGATTTTACAAGACACTTATAAATAAGTTCACATTTTGGGAGAAAATGTCTCTGGCATGTAGAGCAAGTGAGGAAAATGAAACTGTCCCAATGAAACAGTAAGATAACAAGGCCAGAGGGAAACTAAGAAACATCATTTTGTATATTGATGTTTGTTTCTTCCCTCTTTGATGTCTGGAAATTCTGGAGTATTACTTCAATTGCATTTTGGTCTTCATTATAATTTTGTTTGAGATTTTTTTTTTAATTTTTAAATATTACTGACTTTTATTTTCTACCATGTACTCTCCCATTTTCTTTGTTAAAAAAGATTTGCACATTTTTTTTTTGCTGCTCTTTGAGTGAGGCTTCAGAAGTAGTGATAATCATGTTTCACAAGCAGTCCCTCTATTATAACTTCTTTTTAATTTATTAAGTAGCTGCTAAAAGAGTTCATGGACTAGTCTTTCATGATTTTTTTCCTTTTTTTAATTATACTTTAAGTTCTAGGGTACATGTGCACAATGTGCAGGTTTGTTACATATGTATACACGTGCCATGTTGGTGTGCTGCACCCATTAACTCATCATTTACATTAGGTATATCTCCTAATGTTATCCCTCCCCCTTTCCCCACCTCATGACAGGCCCCGGTGTGTGATGTTCCCCTTCCTGTGTCCAAGTGTTCTCATCGTTCAAGTCCCACCTATGAGTGAGAACAGGCGGTGTTTGTTTTTTTGTCCTTGTGATAGTTTGCTGAGAATGATGGTTTCCAGCTTCATCCACGTCGCTACAAAGGACACGAACTCATCCTTCTTTATGGCTGCATAATATTCCATGGTGTATATGTGTCACATTTTCTTAATCCAGTCTGTCATTGATGGACATTTGAGTTGGTTCCAAGTCTTTGCTATTGTGAATAGTGCCACAATCAACATATGTGTGCATGTGTTTTTATAGCAGCATGATTTATAATCCTTTGGATATATACCCAGTAATGGGATGGCTGGGTCAAATGGTATTTCTAGTTCTAGATCCTTGAGGAATCGCCACACTGTCTTCCACAATGGTGGAACTAGTTTATAGTCCCACCAACAGTGTAAAAGTGTTTCTATTTCTCCACATCCTCTCCAGCACCTGTTGTTTCCTGACATTTTAATGATCGCCATTCTAACTGGTGTGAGATGATATCTCATTGTGGTTTTGATTTGCATTTCTCTGATGACCAGTGATGATGAGCATTTTTTCATGTGTCTGTTGGCTGCATAGATGTCTTCTTTTGAGAAGTGTCTGTTCATATCCTTCGGCCCCTTTGTGATGGGGTTGTTTGCTTTTTTCTTGTAAATTTGTTTGAGTTCTTTGTAGATTCTGGATATTAGCCCTTTGTCAGATGAGTAGATAGAAAAATTTTCTCCCATTCTGTAGATTTCCTGTTCACTATGATGGTAGTTTCTTTTGCTGTGCAGAAGCTCTTTAGTTTAATTAGATCCCATTTGTCAATTTTGGCTTTTGTTGCCATTGCTTTTGGTGTTTTAGACATGAAGTCCTTGCCCATGCCTGTGTCTTGTATTGCCTAGGTTTTCTTCTAGGGTTTTTATGGTTTTAGGTCTAACATTTAAGTCTTTGATCCATCTTGAATTAATTTTTGTATAAGGTGTAACAAAGGGATCCAGTTTCAGCTTTCTATGTATGGCTAGTCAGTTTTCCCAGCACCATTTATTAATCAGGGAATCCTTTTCCCATTTCTTGTTTTTTTTCAGGTTTGTCAAAGATCAGTTGGATATAGATGTGTGGTATTATTTCTGAGGGCTCTGTTCCATTCCATTGATCTATATCTCTGTTTTGGTACCAGTACCATACTGTTTTGGTTACTGAAGCCTTGTAGTATAGTTTGAAGTGAGGTGGCATGATGCCTCCAGCTTTGTTCTTTTGGCTTAGGATTGACTTGGCAATGTGGGCTCTTTTTTGGTTCCATATGAACTTTAAAGTAGTTTTTTCCAATTCTGTGAGGAAAGTCATTGGTAGCTTGATGGGATGGCATTAAATCTATAAATTACCTTGGGCAGTATGGCCATTTTCACAATATTGATTCTTCCTATCCATGAGCATGGAATGTTCTTCCATTTGTTTGTGTCCTCTTTAATTTTGTTCAGCAGTGGTTTGTAGTTCTCCTTGAAGAGGTCCTTCACATCCCTTGTAAGTTGGATTCCTAGGTATTTTATTCTCTTTGAAGCAATTGTGAATGGGAGTTCACTCATGATTTGGCTCTCTGTCTGTTATTGGTGTATAAGAATATTTGTAGTTTTTGCACATTGATTTTGTATCCTGAGACTTTGCTGAAGTTGCCTATCAGCTTAAGGAGATTTTGGGCTGAGACGATGGGGTTTTCTAAATATACAATCATGTCATCTGCAAACAGGGACAATTTGACTTCCTCTTTTCCTAATTGAATACCTTTTATTTCTTTTTCCTGCCTGATTGCCCTGGCCAGAACTTCCAATATTGAATAGGAGTGGTGAGAAATGTCCTCTCTGTCTTGTGCCAGTTTTCAAAAGGAATGCTTCCAGTTTTTGCCCATTCAGTATGATATTGGCTGTGGGTTTGTCATAAATAGCTCTTATTATTTTGAGATACATCCCATCAATATCTAATTTATTGAGAGTTTTTAGCATGAAAGGTTGTTGAATTTTGTCGAAGGCCTTTTCTGCATGTATTGAGATAATCATGTGGTTTTTGTCTTTGGTTCTGTTTATATGATGGATTATGTTTATTGATTTGCATATGTGCAACCAGCCTTGCATCCCAGGGATGAAGCCCACTTGATCATGCTGGATAAGCTTTTTGATGTGCTGCTGGATTCAGTTTACCAGTATTTTACTGAGGATTTTTGCATGGATGTTCATCAGGGATATTGGTCTACAATTCTCTTTTTTTGTTGTATCTCTGCCAGGCTTTGGTATCAGGATGATGCTGGCCTCATAAAATGAGTTAGGGAGGATTCCCTTTTTTTCTATTGATTGGAATAATTTCAGAAGGAATGGTACCAGTTCCTCCTTGTACCTCTGGTAGAATTTGGCTGTGAATCCATTTGGTCCTGGACTTTTTTTGGTTGGTAAGCTATTAATTATTGCCTCAATTTCAGAGCCTGTTATTGGTCTATTCAGGGATTCAACTTCTTCCTGGTTTAGTCTTGGGAGGATGTATGTGTCCACTAATTTATCCATTTCTTCTAGATTTTCTAGTTTATTTGTGTAGAGGTGTTTATAGTATTCTCTGATGGTAGTTTGTATGTCTGTGGGATCGGTGGTGATAACCCCTTTATCATTTGTTATTGCATCTATTTGATTCTTCTCTCTTTTCTTCTTTATTAGTCTTGCTATGAGTCTATCAATTTTGTTGATCTTTTCAAAAAACTAGCTCCTGGATTCATTGATTTTTTAAAAGGGCTTTTTGTGTCTCTATCTCCTTCAGTTCTGCTCTGATCTTAGTTATTTCTTGCCTTCTGCTAGCTTTTGAATGTGTTTGCTCTTGCTTCTCTAGTTCTTTTAATTGTGATGTTAGGGTGTTGATTTTAGATCTTTCCTGCTTTCTCTTGTGAGCATTCAGTGCTATAAATTTCCCTAAACACACTGCTTTAAATGTGTCCCAGAGATTCTGGTATGTTGTGTCTTTGTTCTCATTGGTTTCAAAGAACATTTTTATTTCTGCCTTCATTTCGTTATGTACCCAGTAGTCATTCAGGAGCAGGTTGTTCAGTTTCCATGTAGTTGAGTGGTTTTGAGTGAGTTTCTTAATCCTGAGTTCTAGTTTGATTGCTCTGTGGTCTGAGAGAGAGTTTGTTATAATTTCTGTTCTTGTATATTTGCTGAGGAGTGCTTTACTTCCAACTATGTGGTCAGTTTTGGAATAAGTGTGATGTGGTGCTGAGAAGAATGTATAGTCTGTTGATTTGGGATGGAGAGTTCTGTAGATGTCTATTAGGTCCACTTGGTGCAGAGCTGAGTTCAATTCCTGGATATCCTTGTTAACATTCTGTCTTGTTGACAGAATCTGTGACATTATCTGTGTAATGTTGACAGTCGGGTGTTAAAGTCTCCCATTATTATTGTGTGGAAGTCTAAGTCTCTTTGTAGGTCTCTAAGGACTTGCTTTATGAATCTGGGTGCTCCTGTATTGGGTGCATATATATTTAGGATAGTTAGCTCTTCTTTCTGAATTGATCCCTTTACCATTATGTAATAGCCTTCTTTGTCTCTTTTGATCTTTGTTGGTTTAAAGTCTGTTTTATCAGAAACTAGGATTGCAACCCCTGCCTTTTTTTGATTTTCATTTGCTTGGTGGTTCTTCCTCCATTCCTTTATTTTGAGCCTATTTGTGTCTCTGCCAATGAGATGGGTCTCCTGAATACAGCTCACTGATGGGTCTTGACTCTTTATCCAATTTGCCAGTCTGTGTCTTTTAATTAGAGCATTTAGCCCATTTACATTTAAGGTTAATATTGTTACCTGTGAATTTGAGCCTGTCATTATGATGTTAGCTGGTTATTTTGCTCATTAGTTGATGCAGTTTCTTCCTAGCCTCAATGGTCTTTACAATTTGGCATGTTTTTGCAGTGGCTCGTACTGGTTGTTCCTTTCCATGTTTAGTGCTTCCTTCAAAAATTGAAATGTATTAGGAAAGATAAACTATCTTCGCAAACATCCAATAAGAATGGTTGGGTGTATTTAAATTAAGATTCAAGAAAATGAACAGCAGTGTGGCAAAAATAAATGTTATGTTTTGCTTTATTAAATATTTTTAAATTACATTATAAATCACACAGAAAAGTGTACAAAACATAAATGTCCTGCTGGATGCATTAACGCAAAGTGAATATACCTGTGGAACTAGGCAGAACATTACCAGTTGCCCAGAATCTCAACTCATGCCCCTGTTAATCATTAACCCCTCCCATCTCAAAGATGAATATCTCCCTGACTTCTAGTGGTAGAGATTAACTTACTTGTTTTGAAAATTATATGAGTACAATCATGCAATGTGTATTGTTTTATGTCTGCCTTCTCTCACTCAGTAGCATGTCTTCTGTGAGTATCTTCCATATAGATGCATAAAAGGGTAGCGGTTTTTTTTTTTTTTTTTGATAGGGGCAGAGTAGCCCCATAGGTAAAGCATCACATGTAGGTAGGAATTCTGCTCTTAGTCAATATTTGAATTGTTTACTACATTGACTTTTATAAATAATGCAGCAATGATTATATTTTTACATATTTTTGGTATACATACTTACTGCATTTTTGTTGAGTGTATTCATCGAACAGTGTGTTGTTTTTTTCCTAAGTTATTGTCCCACAAGCAAAATGTTTTTACTCTGTAATAAAATTACATTTTTAAAACTATGGTAAACTATAGATAAAAGATTTGATTAGTTACTATGGATTACACTCCAAAGGGTGTAACATTGTGAAGAGGTAACAGTCACAAGGGTCTCTATCTCCAATGTCACTTGGTCTATGTTTGAGTAAAGAATAAGGTGCATGGTTAAGGTATAACATCTCAACACAAAGGTCAAGAAGCAAAAGTCATGCAGCAGAAAAAAAAAAAAAACAGCTGTGTCATATAACTCCAGGGCTTAACAATTTCCAGGGCTTAACTTTTCCCCTTGGCATAATAAATTTGAAAAGTCCTAAAATTTTCTTTTCTTTTCATAAACTCATTAAAAGTTCACAGTTACTCTAATCATGAAATAGTTAAATGAGGTGCTCTTTGTGACAAAGTGGATGCAATTTTATCCTAGGAGATGAGAGCTTCTGTTCATCTTTATCCTCTTAAGTCCCTTTGGTCTTTTTAATCCACTTAACACTGTTCAGGTAAATTGATCATGAAGCATCATAAACGACAGAAAGAGGTGTGCTTTTGTTTTCTATTCCTCACCATTTTCTGATTGTTTCTCATCCATTAAAAAAGTTATATTGGAAGAGTATAGATAAATTCAATGAACTCATTTATCCCTAAGTGACAGACAGAAGAGCAGGACTGTATTTACTATTAGCTCACCTATTTTTATCAAATAATATATTTACTAAATCAAATAATTACTTGGATTCTATCTGTTTATGTATACAAAATGAGCTCTCATTGATTGCATATTTTAAAATAACAAATTTAAATACATAACAAAGTCATGAAAAGTATATATTTGTTCTTTTTTGTCCAAATAAAGACGATTTCATAAGTATAATATTTTATACATGTTTCCTTACACAGACTGGCCAACAGTACAACCACTATCAAGCTGAGATGATCATCAAAAAATGTGCAGGTCTCCTCTATAATGTGTGAACCTCACCTCTCACTGGGGCCAGGTCTCTTCATAGCTGGGTTTCACAGAGGTTACAGCAGAAACACTGAAACCATCTTTGCGAAATTTTGACAGTAAGAAAAACTGGGCACAGTTGACTCCATCTCTCTTCTGAACTCCAAGCTGTCCTTGATCATTTCTGGTATAAGCCAAGCCTAACTTTGGGAGGAATTTAGTTTATAGTTTAACTCGAAATGAAGGATATCAGCCCCTCCCTGAAACCAACCCCCTCCTTGCTTAGGGACCAAAAACTGTAAGACTCATGAGGCACCACAAGGTTAGGATTGTGGGAAGGACCTAACTCTGCTAAAATGTAGGCATGGTTTCTATAAGCCCTTGCTGCTCAGGAATCAAATGGCAAGAGGCCACAAGATTTGTGACTTCTCCAATTGTGCCTATAGATAACATCACAATTGTAGAACCTAAGGCTGGTTTTTAGAAATATTTTTCAGACTGAGATTTATGACCACCCAGATTTATGACTCACGACTCAACTGGTACTGTGACTCCAACCAGAGGTGGATTCAGTGAATGAGAACCATTTTCCACACCCCTATGATTTCACCCCCCAACCAATCAGGAGCACCCACTCCCTAAACCCCTGCTTACCCTTCCCCCCAAAACTGTTTACAAGAACCCTAACTTCTGAGCATCTGGGGAGAATGATTTGAGTGATATCTCTAGTTCTCCAATATGGCTGGCCTCACACCAGTTCAACTCTTTGTCTACTGAAATGCTGTGGTCTCAGTGAATTGATTTTGTCTGTGCAGCAGGCTGGAGGAACCTGTAGTGCAATTACAAACCACATCATCACATTCTGTACTGTATTTTAGGATAGCGTCATAGGACTTGATAGACAGAAATAATTTGCCCCTCATCCAAATCATCTTTTCCTTGAATTTGCAGGCTGGACATCTTGGAATTTATCATTGCAACAGAATGGCTGCATTTACATGGTGGCAATGTTGCTGTCGCTTTGCAAGCTCAAGCTGGAAAAGGATCTTGCACGGGATCACTGTTTCCCCCAGGCGTATATTTTGAGTAGCTTCTACAACATGAATAGTGATTTCTGACTTTTGAAAATATGTTGAAGAATATTAATTACCATGTAATAAAGTTATTTTTATTAATATAATCATGAATCAAAATCATGGATCAAAAAATATATCATGAATCAAAATCATGAATCAAAAAAGCCAATGTAAGGGTTGTATCTTTTAGAGGACACAGTACAGGAGCTCTTTACAGACATAGGCACTTGTGGAGAGATGCACCTGGCCATGCTCCCACAAACCCCAGGGGTCCTTTTGGATTTCAGGATTCCTTTAAGAGGACTCCAGTGGAAGAGTCTGAGAATCTCTGTTGAGTTGATTTCCGCATTCTTTCATCTCCCTTAAACTTCCTGTAACTGAAAGTGACTGAGGCAGATATCAATGAATTAGAGATTTATTTTACTAAGGTTGAGGACACACTTAGGAAAAAGAAAATCGAGTCCAGAGGTATCTGTGACCTGTGCCTTTCCCCATAGAGGGTTTTTGGGAAATCCAATATTTAAAGGAGAAAGAGCAAGCAGGAAGGGAAAAAAAAAAAAAAAAAAAAAAAAAAGAGGGAGGGTAGGCACTGAGGCAAGTGGTTACTTTCTTGTTTGAGGCTCTCATTAGCACTCAGTAAATCTACAGTTTACATTAGATAAAAGAGGCATGTGAAATTACAGCTTTATGTTTGGGAACAAAAGAAAGGCCGTTGTATGTGACTCAGTTCTCAAGCTTAACGTTCCCTTTGGGGTAGTGAGTTTGGGGTCCTGAGATTCTGTTTTTCCTTCACACTCCTTTATGAGGATCCTCTTATCACAATTTGCCAAACCCAGCTTTTAGCACACTACCATGTTTCTCAGGACATAATAAAAAAAGACATGATAAAATGAATTCATAGTCAAGTTCTAGAGATAACATTTGTATAAAGCATAATACAGAGTAATAAAAAAACAAAATGTCACACATTCCCAATATATATTTTTATTTGTAAACAAATATTCTGATGTAATTTTTGCAGCTTGTACCTTCCAAGGATCATTCAAATCACATCATAAATGTAACTGATCTTGATTTCTGAGTGTAAAAAAGATATATATATTATATATATTTATATATATTTATATATTTATATATATTTATATATATTTATATATTTATATATATTTATATATATTTATATATTTATATATATTTATATATTTATATATATTTATATATATTTATATATTTATATATATTTATATATTTATATATATTTATATATATTTATATATTTATATATATTTATATATTTATATATATTTATATATTTATATATTTATATATTTATTTATATATTTATATATTCATTTATATTTATATATTTATATATTTATATTTATATATTTATATTTATATATTTACAAATATTTATATATTTACATATATTTACATGTATTTACATATATTTATACATATTTATACATATTTATATATTTATATATTTATATATATTTATATATTAATATATATATAATGTGAGTGTAAGAAAGATGCATTTCTGTAATGACTCCATGATAATAAAAGATGTATGAATTTCTATTGGATCATAATAGCCATATAACTTTTTTTGGAGCATCAGTTGCATTTTTTAATACTACATAAAATTATTAATGTACTTATCATTCATTATTCAATGTTAAATATAAGGACACTGAAGAACAGAGAAGTTAAGCTACTTCTGGGAACTCACCAGTCTTGAGTTTTGTGTTGCAGAGTAAATATTTGGACACTGTTGTGTCTGATTCTGGAGGCTTGCTTTTAACCAGGAAGAAATAACTGTAGTTATCTAGAATAATAGACGAGAATTTAATGATAGTTTGAGAACTGTTATGGTGCAAATAATTAAACTTTGATCTTCATACTAATGAAGTAATCTTTTTAATCTCAACAGAAGGTGTGTATATAGGAGTGGAGGATTAGATTAACCAGTCTAACATTGAATATTTAAATCCTGTCGAGAGTTATTAATTTTCTTATCCTGTTTGGAGAGATAAATATAAATGTAACTGATCATTACACACTTTTGGAGATTTGAAATCCACAATTTTGTCTGCTCTAATACACGTGAGATCCTATAACTTCAATGTAAGACAACGAGTTTGCCCTGATTCCCTTGGTCAGATTTGGAAATCAATCAGCTGAACATCTGGCAGCTAAATGCTTATTTTAGCTGCTAGAGTAGCAGCCACTCTGAAAAAGTCAAATTTATTTGTTTTTATTTTTGCACATCCATTCTAGAGTCAATTTTACTCCTTCTAAAGACAAGCTGTTTGAAGAGAAATGTAGCTCTATTTAAAGATGGGGAAAATTGTTCTAACAGGTTTATTTTCTATTAATTTTCTCATCTGCTGCTTCTTTTATCAGAATAAAAGGTGAACTGGATATAATAATGAAAGTATTATCTGAATAAGAAAGAAAGAGGGTGTATTTTATACACTGTTGTGTATAAATTAGAGAAAATTAGGAATTTCTATCTTTTAGGAATTGTGTAGACTGGAAACAAAAAAATAAGATATAAAAAAGAATTTGTTTAGGAGTGGACTAAAGAAAATGTGTTTTGGAGCTTCTGAAAATAATAAATAAAAAGGACACTTTAGAGTTTGAAAATTACTATGAATAAGTAGAAAACAAAGTGTGAGGGCAGCTGTCCAGGAAAACACAGACATCAAAGAATAGTGAAAGTTCTAGAGATAACTTATTTGTATTAAAGCATTATATAGAGAAATAAAAAACAAAATGTCCGGCCGGGCGCAGTAGCTCACGCCTGTAATCCCAGCACTTTGGGAGGCCTAGGAGGGCGGATCACGAGGTCAGGAAATCGAGACCATCCTGGCTAACACGGTGAAACCCCTTCTCTACTAAAAATACAAAAAATTAGCCGGGCGTGGTGGCGGGCGCCTGTAGTCCCAACTACTCGGGAGGCTGAGGCAGGAGAATGGCTTGAACCCGGGAGGCGGAGCTTGCAGTGAGCTGAGATGGCGCCACTGAACTCCAGCCTGGGCAGCAAGTCGAGACTCTGTCTCAAAAAAAAAAAAAAAAAAGAAGTCACACATTCCCAATATTTTTTTTTTATTTGTAACAAATGTTCTGATGTAATTTTGGCAGCCTGTAACCTTCCAAGGATCATTCAAATCACATTGTAAATGCAACTGACCTTGATTTCTCAGACTGTAAAAAAGACGTATGATATATATATATATATCATACATTGTTGCTGTCAACAATGCCATTTATTCGAAGGTGAAATAGCTGTCTCTAAGCACCCTGTGTGTGTATGTGTCTGTGTATGATTCATTGGAAGTTTTACCTATGAACAGAATGGTGTGGGTGATTAGGTACATAGTCATTTGATCAATAAAGATCAATGGTCTACGTCTTTTAGCACTCATCTCCTTTGGGTCTTATTGTAAATAAATCTTGGACTCCATCCTTGTCAGTTCTTCTCCTTAAAGCCATTTATGTTGCAGCTTCTTCTATCTACAAATTTGCAGTGTGTGTGATAAAGATAATGCCAGTTCAGGCATTAGCACTGCTGCTGAAAGCCCTAAGGGGCAACTCAATATCCAGGAAAGAAATGTGTCTGAAGCTCTGAAGCCACAGAAGAGTTCTACTAAAATTTTGTGTATTTGTCTTGCTTAGCCGGCCTAATGAAAAACCGCCTTAACTGTTAATATTATTTTTTGGTGTATTTGAAGGTTATTAAATGATTATTGTTATTTAACACTTAAACTCTCAAAGTTTTTAAGAGATTTTATGAAAGAAATTTGGTCTTTATTTCAAAACAGCTCATTAAACAAAATTACTAATAATCAAGAAAAAGTTCCTATGTTATATAATCAGATTTTAACGTATCAAAATTATATATTAAATGTAAAAGTTCACAGTCATCTTTTTTCTCTTTATATTTTTCCTTTTTAAAAAATAAAATATCTCAAAACTAACCAAATAAATAATTCCCTAAATATTTTTTTCTCATAACAATCACTATGTTTGTCAGAGTCTACATTTATCTCAGTTGAAAACCTTGAGATATTTTTATAAATAAACTAAACAATGCTTTTCAACATCTCCTATTTACAAATTACTTAGATAGGCATTGTAAGGGATGTGTTGTTTAAAATACGATGTGTATCCTTCATGTAGTCTTGTAATCTAGTGGGAGAAATAAAAGATATGCACATAAGAAAAAACTAATATTCAATCCATAAACTATAAAAGATAAATTAACTGTGTGGAAAGTTGAAATGTGTTCTCTGAAAACATCCTTTATTTTTCATGTACCTTCAGTTTTACTGCCCACTGTTCTTTAGCACCTAATTTGTGTACATTTATAGTTGTCATTTCCACTCTCACTCTTCTCACGTCTAATCCATCCAACATTTTAGAGCAGAAGAATTTTCCATTAAGAGTATTTTAATTGTAGACTTTTGCAGATGAAAGTTGTCTTAGCAATCTAATTTAGGAACTGCACCTTGCACATCTTTGTACTTACTACAGCACTTAAACTATACATTTTCACAGGGTAAAAACAATTATTTTCATTTGCTAAATTGGGTGGCTGGGGTAAAAGAACCTTGTCAACATTTTTCTATGATTTCCTATTGTTTTCATGATTTGCTCAAAATTACTGAAACTGAAGTTTAGGCCAGTTATTATCTGTACACAAGTTATTTATCTCAAATTACTCCACCAAAAAACACTTGGCCATTTCAACCAATCCATTATCTTCATTGTTCTTTGAAGACTTTATTTTTAAAATTTGGTGTTCTCCACCCTATGCTATGCCTATCATAAGCTCACCTGTCCTTTAACAGAAAAAACAAGGGTTGTTGCTTGTAAAGGGTTGTTGAACTAATGATTTCTGTGAAGCTTGGAGGGTATTATCCTGTATATATTAATTTGGTACAAACATTATATACCATTTTATTGTTCATTTGATTTGTACTAATTACTATTTGTTGTCTTATTATGTGCAAAACTTTCTGAATATAGCAAGAAATAAAATAGCTATGACATTTTACAGATGTTACATTTTATTGGGAAACACATTGAACAAATAACCACATGAAAAATTTATAATAATTTTTACTTTTCTTTTTTTAATTTGTATTTTAAGTTCTGGGGTACATGTGCAAGTTTGTTACATAGGTAAATTATGTCATGGGGGTTTGTTATGCAGATTATTTCATCACCCAAATATTAAGCCTAGTACCCATTAATTATTTTTCCAGATCCTCTCCCTCCTCCATCCTTTACCCTCTTGAAGGCCTCAGAGTCTGTCATTCCCCTCTATGTATGCGTCCACATGTTCTCATCATTTAGCTCCCACTTTTAAATGAGAACATGTGGTATTTGGTTTACTGTTCCTGCGTTAATTTGCTAAGGATAATGACCTCCAGCTTCATCCATGTTCCTGCAAAGGACATGATCTCATTCTTTTTATGGCTGCACAGTATTCCATGGTGTATATGTGCTGTATTTTCTCTATCCAGTCTATAATTGATGGGCATTTAGGTTGATTCCATGTCTTTGCTAACTGTTTTTACTTTTCCTTCATAGCTCTTTTAATAATTGATGTCTATGAAAAAAATAATTCATTGTTTTAATTTGGATTTCTCTAATTCTAGTAAAATAGTCATTTTTAAATTGATAATTGACTTTTTGATTTTTGTAAACTAATAGGAATTGATTTTTTCTTTTGTAATTTTTACTTTTAAGGATAGAAAATCCTCCTTCCAATGCTTAGATAAAATATTTATCTATTCCAACCTTTTCATAATTTGAAGTGGAGGAGTTAATTGTGATTGTTTGGTTTTATATTTAGCCCTATAAAAATTAAAATAATAGGTCTGAGGTAAGGTTTTAAATACATACACACTGTATGGTGTGTGTGGTCTGAGTTAAGGTTTTAAATACACACACAAACAAACACACATATATATATATATAAGTTCTTTCATTACTAACCTATAATCCTAACAGAAGACTTTTAAAATAAATGTTTATTGTAGGACAGTTTTAGATTGACAGAAAAAAATTCAGACAGTACAGAATGTTCATGTACCCCATGTCATTTCCCTCATTAGTAACATCTTACATTAGTATGTACATCTGTTATAATTAATGAATCATTGTTGATGCATTATTATTAATTAATGCTTATTTTTATTCTGGTTTACCTAGTTTCTAATCTAGCATTTATTTTCTTCCCCAGGATCCCATCCAGGAGAGCAAGTTACATTTCTTCTTGTCTCTTAGGCTCCTCTTGGCTGCTACAATTTTTCAGGCTTTCTTTGCTTCTGATGACCCTAATGGTCTTGAGGGGACTGGGCAGGCATTTTACAGAATGTTCCTCAATTTTTATTTGCCTGATGTTTTTCTCATGGTTAGATTGCATTTATGGGTTTGGGGAAGGAAGACCATAAAGCAACATTTTCATCACATTATTTACATAATCTTCCCCCTTGACATAGAATGTTGAGAAAGGAGAGAAACTTTTTATCTGAGGAGTGTGAGCCCCTTTAAATTATCAGGCCCAGACAGGCATTGAGGCCGCTTGCTTTTGAGGCCGCTTGCTTTGAGGGCTCTAGAGTGACTGACACCAAGCAGTCATAAAATTAACCCAACAGTGCCATATGCTGAACATCGTAACTCACACCGTATAGTGAGTGATATACAACCAACCACTAATCAACGCCATTTCTGTAAACCAACAAGAATTCCTGACAAACGACTTTGTACAGCTCACTCCTTGTTCCCTTAGGCCTGTGAAAACCTGCTTCTAACAAAACACCACAGGGAACGCTTTTGTTCATTCTGATTTGCATTTACTAATTTGCTAAAAATCTGTTTTTATAATGTTCTTTAAATCAGAACTGTTATAAACTCTAAGTAGACTGTTCCATCACTAGTCTGAATTTATGAGGAGCCTATACATGGGCTGGTCACAATATTAATGACATATGCTCAAAGTGAACTTTCAAAATAATAGATGTTATGAAGTTGCCAGTCTCTAAAAATGGAATGGGCCAGGTCATGACACTATATCCCAGCCACAAGGAACTCCTTCTGGTTGACATATGCAAGATACTGTTACCTAAAATGCATTCAGCACCCATGACCAGACTTTCTTGCTGTATTTTTTTTTAGCTGAACAATCTTAGGTGTATTTTCCTATCAGAGAAAAAATTACTCTGAGTAACTTCGATAATATATCTTTATTTCTATAAGAGATTTTCAGCTTTCAAAAAAAATGAAATCTTAAAATGAGCTATTTTTAAATGAGGTTGTTGTTAATAATAATTTAAAGGTACTAACTAAGTTCACCAACCACCTGTCATTCATTCCTTGGAGCCACAGTGACTTGCAGTCACCTGCCCTTTACTGTAGGAGATGCGGTCAGATAACTAGAATACAATGGATAAGAGATGAAGGTGGGTTGTGTGCTCTGAACAGCAGGGCCATCTCATTGTTGCAACTTTGCTTGTGTGGAGTAGGGGGAGGGAAGCCTGAAGAGAGGAAAGTGCACTTGAAGGAGGGCTTGCACAGAAATTGCCTAAGATTGTTTAACAAGGAAAACATAGCAAGAAGGCCTGGTCATGGGTAGTGAATGCATTTCAGGTAATAGTATCTTGCATATGTCAATCAGAAGGTGTTCTTATGGCTGGGATGTAGTTTCATGACCTGGCCCATTCCATATTAAGTTGGGGTAAGTTCATCATTTTTTCTTTCAATTCTAAGAAATTTAGATTATTATATTACAAGCGATAGAAAAAACAATGTTTGAAGGCAGGAGAATTACAGGAATTAGAAAAATAATGCTAGTAATTATTTAAAAAGTTCAACAGGAAGAGGGAGCGACAGCCACAGTACCTATCAGGAAACAGTGGCACTGGGATAGACAGTGATGATGCGACAGGGAGGAGGAGACAGAGTCCACAGGAAATCAAGGGAGTGAAGTGGGCAGGCCTGGTGACTGCAGTAATGTGAGGATTACTGGTTCCAGTTTGAGCAACTCCCACTTTTAACCCTGTGATGCACAAACACACGCACACACACAAATATATATACACACATATGCATGCACACACATACATAATGTGTCATTATATACTATAATTATATGTATATGTAATATATTATGTACATATTATATATGTATACATTATCTATGTATCATATATGTATATTGGTTCCCCGTTCCTGACTCCTCTAGCCCTGGTTATAATGTTGGGGCACTCTAGGCCTCAGAAAACAGAACCCCTCTCTCTGACCTTCTCTTGCCCTCCTTTCACCTACCCAAGGCAATTGCCTTCTGACTGTGGGTCCTAAGACCCTCATTTCAGAGGAGATCCTGCCCCATACTCTGAAGGGAGGAATAATTCACAGAGAGGCCAAGAAGAACCTGGACAGGACTAGCTAGGTTTAGAACATACCCTTTCAGGCCAAGTGGGGTGGCTCATGCCCATAATCTCACCACTTTGGGAGGCCGAGGCAGGCAGATCACCTGAGATCAGGAGTTCAAGACTAGCCTGGCCAACATGGTGAAACCCCATCTCTACTAAAAATACAAAAATTAGCCAGGCGTGGTAGTGCATGCCTGTAATCCCAGTTACTCAGGAGGCTGAGGCAGGACAATTGCTTGAACCCGGGGGGTGGAGGTTTCAGTGAGCTGGGATTGTGCCACTGCACTCCAGCCTGGGTGCAGAGTGGCACTCCAGCCTGGGTGAAGAGTGAGACTCCATCTCAAAAAAAAATAAAAATAAAAATAAAAGAACATACCCTTTCTGTCCAAATCACACTTCTACACAGTTGCTAATCATTCCTATCAAGTAAGTCTCCATACCCTTTCTGTCTAAATCACACTTCTACACAGTTGCTAATCATGCCTATCCAGTAAGTCTCCATAAAATGCAAAAGAGGGCAGGGTTTGGTGCACAAGGAGGGTGTATTAGTCCCTTTTCACGCTGCTGATAAAGACATACCTGAGACTGGGAAGAAGAGGCTTAATGGACTTACAGTTCCACATGGCTGGGGAGGCGTCACAATCATGGTGGAAGGCAAGGAGGAGCAAGTCACCTCTTACATGGATGGCAGCAGGCAAAGAGAGAGCGCCTGTGCAGGGGAAGCCCTGTTTATAAAACCATCAGATCTCATGAGACTTATTCACTATCATGAGAGCAGCATGGGAAAGACTTGCTTCCATGATTCAATTACCTCCCACTGGGTCCCTCCCACAACACATGGGAATTCCAGATGAGATCTGAGTGGCCACAGAGCCAACCATATCAGACAGCATGGAGGCCCTGCATCCCCTTCCCCATACCTCACCCTACTTTATCTGTATCCTCTGTAACATCCTTTACAATAAACCAGTAAACTTGTTTCCCTGAGTTCTGTGAGCTGTTCCAGCAAATTATTTGAACCCAAAGTTGGAGTGAAGGGAACCCCAACTTGAAGCCATTCAGTTCTGGAGGCCTGGACTTGTGACTTGTGCCTGAAGTGGGGACAGTCTTGGGGACTGCGTCCTCACCCTGTGGGATCTGATGCTATCTCTAACTAGATAATATCGGAATTAAGTTGGAGGATGCCCAGCTGGTGTCCAGTTCTTGGTGTAGGGGAAAACCCCCATGCATTTCGTCCCAGAAGCTTCCTTGTGTTGAAGATTGTTGCTGTGGTAGTATGAAAGCAGAGAATAAACACAGTTTGAGTTTTTATTATAAGCAAACTAAGCTGGAGACCATGGTAGGGGAGGAGGTGTAGGGAGTAAGAAATAGTGAGTTTTTTTTAGTTATATAAAATATGATGTGCTTGTATAATGCTTGATGGAACTATGGTGTACAAACAACAACAAAAAATTTAGGTCTCTGAGCATCATAGGCAAGAAAGTATGTCAGCATAACAAACTTTCCAATAAAAAGGGGGGGACTGTGTAATAAATAAGTCTTCATGACTTACTTATTCTTAGCCACATTTCTAGCAAGACTTCTGATCCCAAGCTAATTGATCTGTCATCTCTTAACCTGCTAGTGAGGTTGGGCTGTGCAGCCTTTGGAAGCAGCAGAGTGACTCTAACGTCCTGGTTGTGAAAAAGCACTCTGCAACTCCATGTCTATGCACTATCACTTTGTGTCTCCTTCAAGTTCATGTCTTTAATACTGTCGTATGTTCACAGTGGATAACTGTCACACCTTACACCTCTCCTCTGACTGTTTTAGGTCTATGTATCCAACTGTCTACATGATACTACACGATATATTCTTTTTTTTAATTGCTTCAGTTAGACTGTATTTTCTCTAAGAATTACAAAAAAACGGGACCATAAACAGTTTAAAATAAAAGACTGCAAATCAAGAGGTAGGAACAGCTTCAGGGTTGGCTTGATTCAGCAGTTCAATAGTGACATTAGACACCTAGTTTCTTTCTGTTTCTTGCTCAGCTTTCCATCCTAAGCTGGTTTTCTTTCATGGTCCCCAGATAAATACCAGGAAGTAACCATGGTGCTCTGCTTTGTGTTTGGGGAGAAAAATTTGAGTTTATTCTCTTGTAGAGGATCAGGAGAGTGCCAAGGTTGTTGCAGCTTGACTTTGTTCCTATTTCAATGACCCTGAGACAGGCTTCCTGTCTTCTGATGGTTGTTCTTCTTGGAAAAATGAAAGCATTGCATTCCTAAAAGAGAGTATCTTCTCAGTCTTACTTGCTGTTAATGATGATTTTCAAGTACTTTGATGAAATGCATTGAGACTGCTTTCTAGTCTGTGCCAGCAAATCATGTGATGGCAAAGATTGAGTGTGGACCAACTTCTCTTCAGACAGAATTTAACTGATTCATGTGAGTGATACTTTTTCCCACCCAGAGAGAGGAAGAGTTGCTTTTAGTAGCTTTTTCAGAAAATAAAGAAATTTCAGTCTGCATAAACCTTCATTAAAAGTTATCTCTAAATTCATTGGCCAAAAATGAGTCATATGTCCAATAGCAAAACAATAAATTGTAGCAAGAAATAGATTTTCTGATTAGAGTAGGCTTAGTCTATGTTTAACTTCTGGGTAGAGGCAGACATAAAAATAGCCTCTCAGAACAACAAGAGCTATGTCAGGGAGGCATGGAGCTGACCAACAGTTAGGGTGCTTATGAAGGCAAGGGATTTGGGCGTTGAGAAGGTAACACCTAGAAAATTAAGTAATAGGCAAATCTAACTGAATAAATCTAAAAGTTTATGTTTTCCCACAGTTAGTCTTTCTCATCTTGGTCAATGACAACACAGTCCACCTAGTTCTACAATTACAACAACAATAACAAAAACAACTAAGCAGCACTCTCTTCTTTCATTGTATTGCTACTCTCATATGGTTGTATGCGAATCCACACGGCTCCTGCTCTAATATACTGACACCTCCCCATTCAACCCCTTCTAGTGACAGGTCATCTATTACATGGTTTGTCATATAACTTCCTAACATGCTTCCACAAGGATGCTGTCTGGTCCATTCTCCAAAGATCCTCTCCCTCCCAGATCTTAGGTATAGCTGGCAGGATCAAGATTTGGAAATTAGGACTGTGTAGAAGTGGACTCGAGATATAAACTATAGATTTGCCTGCTGTTCTATCGCCACTACATGCAATAAATAAAAATGGCCTTATCTTCTCTATTTATGACAGATTTCCCATTCAAATGAAAATGTGTCAAAAATATTCTACTTGATGAGTACTGTTTTTCAAAACTGATCAAGGTTACAGATCATCCAAGTCTTTAAGTTATTTGATTTGTTTGCTAACTTCATATGTGATGAAAGAAATTTTCTTTCTTCAGAAGAGTTTAACCACTACCAAATTATAAAGCCATTCAGGAATGTCTATATTGATTGTAGTGCTAATATTATAAAACAAACAAACGAAAACAAAACAAAGCAAACTCAATTAACTATACTTCTCAGAAATTATTAAACAAAAGAAAAACTGTTATCAAGGAAAATAACAAGAGGTCATGAATGCTGACTAGACCATTAAG
This sequence comes from Homo sapiens, assembly GCF_000001405.40. Classification (NCBI taxonomy): domain Eukaryota; kingdom Metazoa; phylum Chordata; class Mammalia; order Primates; family Hominidae; genus Homo; species Homo sapiens. The sequence goes on from NC_000008.11 coordinate 49,547,475, forward strand.
ATTTTAAGCTTCTATTAGAGTATTATAGCGAAACTGACTCCCTCTAGCATGTGTGTGAATTTCAGTGATTCCACATCTCTTCCTGTTTAATGATGATGTCAAAATGATTGTTTATACGTCTGCATTTTACTGGCTATATTGTTATCTGTCACTGTTCTTGATGTCAGGAAATTGTAATTCTGGCTCTAGCTTTTTAAATACCAGGTACGTGATTTGGAGTGATTTGTTAAGCGTTCCCGGACTTTAGCATGTGTAATTGTTTATGTTCTTCCAGTGTTCCAGTTGTTGTAACTCAATAAACATGTTATGTTTACAACTAAGCAAACACTGAAGTCCTTTTGCAATTGTTTCATATTATTTTAAAATCGTATTTTTTTATATTTGGTATCTATTTTTTTACTCCTTGATTTTTCTTCTTATTTTCAAGATTTTCATCCTTGATTATGCTACTACAGGTCTACATTATTCACCTTAAGAGCCATGTAACACTGGATGAGTAAGGGCAGGCTGAGGGAGAGAGGGTCTCTTTACTTTTTGGGTGCTGTATGATGCAATGTAGATTTCTTTTAGAGGTCACTTCATTTTGTATTTTTCCAGCAACATTTCTTTTTCACTTATACTGTCACTGCTGCATTCATGTTACTATTTCAGTAGTATTTTTTATTTTTCCATGTTATGAAAAACCAAAGGATTGAGAAGAAACCTTCTGTATATTGGTTGACTAGTATTTTATGCACCTCAAGATATTTTCTTATTTAATAATTGAATTGTCCTAGAATATTGGCATCAATAGCTTGAAGTTACATATGAGAAAGTAGGTTAAGAGAAATTGATTTGTTAAAGTGAAAATAGCCATATGCCCTGTGGCATGATCAGAATTTTAACTGTTTTGTTTTCACCAAAGAAAATACTCTTTTTATGACTCTGAATAATGGAAAGAAAGGAAGCACTTTGGTGTCTCTTCAATAAGGACACTAATCATACAGAATCAGGGCCCCACTCTTATGACCTCATTCAACCTTAATTACCTCCTTTAGGCCCTATCTCCAAATACAGTAACAGTGTGGGGTAGGGCATGAACATAAGAACTTTGAAGGGACACAATTCAGTCCATAACACATACTGATGGACATTTAGGCTTTGAGGCAGGAGATAGCAGGAGCCATATCCACGAAATTTGTAAACTGTCACATTGCTCATTGGAGTGTCTTTTTTTTTTTTGAGACAGGGTCTTGCTGTCACCCAGGCTGGAGTGTAGTGGTGCAATCTCAGCTCACTGCAACCTCCTCCACCTCCCAGGCTCAAGTGATTCTCGTGCCTCAGTCAGCTGAGTAACTGGGACCACAGGTGTGCACCACCACACCTGGCTTAGAGATGGGGGTTTCACCATGTTGCCCAGGCTGGTATCAAACTTCTGACCTTAAGTATTCCACTAGCCTCAACCTCCTAAAGTGCTGGAATTACAGGCATGAGCCACCATGCCTGGCCAATTTGGTGTCTTTATGTTAATAAGCAGTGAGGGTCACTAAAGGTCATTTTTGTCCCATCTTCTGATTTCCACAGGCTTCTTCACTGCACCCTGTTTTGATCAAATCCTGCTGGGATCAGCAAGGTTGCCAACAGGGTGGGGACCAGTGCTGGAAAAACAAGGCTTGCTGATCCCCTACCTATAAAAGCCTAATACACCTCTATCTACGAATCTATCTACATCTATCTATCTATCTAGCTATCTATCTAGCTATCTATTTTTTTTATTTATTTTTTTTTTTACTGCTCATGGGTTTTGTGTTCTATCTACCCCAAAGTAATCAAAATATTATTTTTTTTCCCTTTGGTTGCAACTTCAGCATTTTTGTCTAAGGTCCAGTTTGAAAAGCATTTTCTCCCATCTGTTCAGTTTTCTTTCTCTTAGTAGTCCTTTTTGAAGACAAGTTTCTTGTTTTGATGAAGCCCAATTTATCTGTTTGTTCCTTTATAGCTCATGCTTGGTGCTGTATCTAAGAAATAGTTGCTGAAACCAATGTCACAAATATTTTTGTTCTAGAAGTTTTATAGTTTTATTTTGTTGTAGAAGTTTTATAGTATTGTTACCAAAACACCAGGGATTTGGTCCAGGTCCTGCTGCTCCCTGCACAGAAAGCCAATGACGGAGACAATGATTATTGTCAAGGAAGAAGGCTTTAATCGGGTGCTGCAGCCAAGGAGATGGGAGCACAGTTTCAAATCCATTTCCCTGATGGACTAAAACTAGGGGTTTATATAGCAGGGAAGAAATGTAACAACGTGTAAGAAAACAGAAAGTAGGGAGTGGCAAGGAAGCAATCATGATGAATGAGAGGTCCAGTGTCTCATTGTCTGGATGTGGTGATGTGGTGAGTTTTAGTGCTTTGATACTTTTTTTAGAGGCCTGAAGGTCCTTTCCTGAGGAAGGAACTCAGATAAAACAAATAATAAGTTTTGACCTTTAAGAAGAAAAGGGTCATTTTCTATGTTTATCAAAAGAAACAAAAAACTAACTATGGGACTAGTGGGTCAGTTTCAGTTTTAGGTGCCACATTTAGATCTATGAATATTTTTAGTTAATTTGTACATGTGGATTAAGATTTGGATTGCAATTATTTAGTTTCACATATATGTATATACATATGGATCTACTTCTGAATTTCTATTATTTTTCTTCATCTATTTTTTCTATTTTTTTGCTATTTATCATTCTGTCTTGAAGACTGCAGCTTTATAAGAAAGCTTTGAACTCAAAAGTCTTGCAACCTTGTGAAAATCACTTATTTATTCTAGTATCTTTTCTTTTGGTATATTGCATTGGGTTTTCTAGATAGGTGAGCAAGTCATCTGCAAAAAACACAATTTTACTCCATTCTAAACATGTTAACATTTCTTTCCTTGGCTTATTGAATTGATTGGAACCTCCAGTTACCGTGTGGAATAGAAGAGATGAGAGAAAACATCTCTATTTGTTCCTAATCTTAGGAATTAAACATTCGTTCTTTCATGCTAAGGATTCTTAGTTGCAAGTTTTTTGAAGATGCACTTTATAAAGTTGAGAAAGACGTATTGTATTCTTATTTTGTTGTGAGTTTTTATCATGAAAGGATGATAATTTTTTTAAAATGATTATTCTACATATATCAAGATTACCATAGTTAGAGTCTCATTTTTGGTTTTTAAATATGGTACATTATATTGATTGATATTTTACCATTAAACCATCCTAGCTTTTCTATCATAACCCAAAATTAGTTGCAATACTTTATCCTTCATATATAATTATTAAATCCACATTGTTAAAAATTGGATTCGTACTTTTGCATCTCTGTTCATGAGAAATATTGTTCTGTAGTTTTCAGTAATGTCTTTGCAGTAGTGATATGAGGGTAATGAGGCCTCAAAGAATGAGTTTAGGATGTATTCCATCCTCTTCCATTTTCTGCAAAGGTTACCACAGAATTTGTATTATTTCTTCCTTAAGTTTTGGGTAGAATTCACCAGTAAAACCACATAGGCCGGAAATTGTCTTTGTCAGGTTTTACTGCAGTTTCTTTAATAGATTTGGGGTTTCAGATTATCTATTTCTTTGTCAGTTATCTTTTTTAGTTTGTGTCTTTCAATGCATTGGTGCATTTCATCTAAATTATTCAATCTGTAGGCAATTGGTTTCCATAATACATTCTTATTGCATTTTTAATACCTGTAGAATCTGTTGTAGTGTTACCTCTATCCCTGATATTGCTTATTTTTGTATTCTATTTTTATGCCTTATCTAGTCTGTCTACAAGTTTATTGATTCTATTGATCTTCTCAAATAATAAGTTCTCAGTTGTCTTGATTTTCTCTGTTTTGGTTTTGTACTTCATTTATTTTTCTGCTTTGGTTTATATAATTTTCTTTCTCTTGCTTTCTTCGGGTTTAATTATCTGTTTTTAATACAGCTTTCTAAGGAGGAAGCTGAGGTTATTACATTTTGATATTTCTTTCTTCCTAACATAAGTGTTAAGTGTTACAAATTTTCTCTAAGTCCTGCTTTAATGGCTTCCATTGATTTCTGAAATGTTTTGTTTTCATTTTTCCTCAGTTCAAAATATTGTATTTTCTTTTTCATTTTTTTCTTTAATCTGTGGGTTATTAGAAGTGAGTCAGTAGTTTCCAAATATTAGCAAATCTTCCAGTGATTTTTCTTTTTTATTTCTAATTTAATTCTATTGTGGAAAGAGAACAAAATCTGCATGAAAAATCATCTCAAATTTATTGAAATATGTTTTATCCAATAATATGGTCTTTTTTATTTTTCTCTGTGCAAGATTCTTTATTTTGCTACTGTTTTTGCAGTGTTCTATAAAAACAATTGGGTCAAGTTGTTTGAATATGTTGTCTAAGTCTTCAATACTCACTTATTTTGTGTCAACTTGTTGTATCACTTTTTGAGAAACAAGTATTAAAAGCACAAAATCTAATTGTTGATTTGTCTGTTTCTACTTTTAATTCTGTCATTTTTGTTTAACATATTTAGTGTGCTTCATATATTTTAGGTGCATATATATTCTTAATTATTAACTTATTGGAGATAGTATGATTCTATGTGGTATTATTTTTATGATCTGTTACACAGGTCTGGAGCATTTCTCAGTCTAGGACAAATTATTCCCTTTCATTGAAACAAGGCTTATTTGTAAACTTCACCCAACCACACTTTTGTGAATTATAAGTTTTCTCCTTTTAGCTGTTGGGAATAGGCACTATCTCTGGCCCTGTGTGAGTAGCAGATGCTACTTTTATTTTTTTGCTTGGCTCTTTTCCAGACCTAAGGTATTTTTCTCAAATGCATTTACTGATCGATTTTCTGCTAAATACTTGAGGGAAATCCGCTGCAAATCTTCAGGTTATCTCACTGTTTGGTCTGTTTGGTCTAGGTGCTCTTTGGTCTAGGATTTTGTCTCAGAATCTTTTGCCAGCCTGGTTTCCCCAGACTTCCAGCTCTATCTCCTCAAATCAGGAAATTTGCCAGACTGTGTGTGGATTCCTCCATCCTGTGCCTGCAAATGCTCTCAAAATAATAAACCAGGCACTAGGGGCTAACATCATCTGTTGATTATGTCTCCCGGCTCACTGTCTGGCTTTGTGTGACTCTTGTGGTGGTTGATTTGAAACCAACCCCATAGTCCAATAGACTGGTCTTTTGGATAAACATAGAAAGTGACCTTTCTGGTCTTAAGGCTTGAAACTCATAGATGTTTATCTGAGTTCCTTTCTCAGGAAACAACCTTCAGTTCTTTCAGAAAAGTATCAAAGAACTGAAACCAGATCACTGCACCAAATGCTGGTTCCCTCATTCACCATGATTACTTCCTTGCCCCTCCCAAGTTTCTGTTTTCTTACATATTGTTACATTTCTTCCCTGCTATATAAACCCCTGGTTTTAATCAGCGAGATGGATTTTAGATTGATCTCCCATCTCCTCAGCTGCAGCACCCAATTAAAGGTTTCTTCCTTGGCAATACTTGCTATCTCAGTGATTGGCTTTCTGTGCGGAGAGCAGCAGGACCTAGACAAATTGCCTGGTGTTTCAAGAACAGGTTTTCCTTTTCCTACATAATTGCACTATCCAGGAAATCCAATAAAATGATGAAAAGTAGTGGTGACAGAGGACTACATGGCCCTACTTCAATCTTGTGAAAACTGCATTTTATGTTTTACTATTTAGTAACATGTCAGCTGCAGATTTCTTTGTGGATATCTTCTACTATATTAAGGAACTTCCCTTCTAGTTTTGGTTAATCAAGATTTTAAACAATCATGGATGTTAAATATTTAAAAAATTGTTTTTCTTCATTCATAAGATAGTCTTATGATTTTCTCCTGTAATCTCTCACTATACTAATATTGAATAGTTTCAAACTTTCAACTAAACTTGCACAACTTGATTAAACTTCATCATGATGTATTATATGTTATAAAACAATGTGAACCGATATACTAATACTTTATTAGTAATTTTGTGTATATGTATAAATTGTTAACTTTGTGAGTCTGTAATTCTGTTCAACTGTAATGTCAGGTTTTTGTGTAAGAGTTAGACTAGTCTCATATAATGAAGTAAGAGTTTTTTTTTTTTTTTTTCTGCAGGAAGTGTGTACAAGGCTTCTGATTCCTCTAGTGTTACCTTGTATTTGGAGCACTGTTTTGCTTGTGAAAGTTTTGCTTTATTGAGTAATCCTGTCTTACTTTCTGCTTTAAGTTTTCTCTATGAGATTGCACTTCAAAAAGGTTCACTTTCTGTATGTTTTGCCATACACAGAGGTAGACTCCTGTTCTTCTGTTCCTTGTTCCCCAATGCATACCATCATTGGTCATTCATGTACAATTTTCCATTTCCACTAGTAATATGCAAGAGTTAAATGTACTTTTTGAAAAGCCAATTTATATTTAAAAAACGATAGTGGATAAATGGTAAAATGTAGAAAAAATTAGAGGGTAAGGCCTTGAAAATTTTTTTTTATTTGTTAGATACACCAAAATATATTAGTAGCCAGTGCCTTGTTGAAATACAGTATGTTCAATCCATTGTTTTTAAATTGAATAAGTGAACAATCCAGAAAGGAAATCTTTTCTAAATTCTTGGGTTAGAGGTCATGTATTTCTAGTTAAACCTTAATACGTAAATAAAACATTTTATAAACTGACTATGTCTACTTAACATTTTGAAGAATATTCAAATATACTTCTAAAATAGGCATGAGTAGCAGATTCTTCATGTAAAAATGAACCTGTTTAAGAAGTATTTTATGAAAACATTAGTTGGGTGTTGGATTCTACCACCACAATCAGACTCTTACCAGCCCCAAGATTACTCAGCTTACACTCTCTTGCATCTACCTGTTCATGCTCCTCATAATTAGGAAGCAGCTGTTTCTGGCCTTCTTCCACAGCAACTGTCAACTGCAAATGGGATATAGAAGATCAGGAAAAGTGAAAGATTGCTTCGTGCCAATGACAGGATACCTTTAGTCTTATAGAGATATAGTATCTACACTTTACATCAGAACCTTATAATTGGTTTATTTCTGTCAGATGGTGAGTCACTGTCTTAGGCCATTCAGACAGCTTTAACAAAAACAACATAAACTGGAAGGCTTATAAACAATAGAAATTTATGTCTCACAGTTCTGAGGGGAATTTCAAGATAGAGATCCCGCCTGTGTTCTAGTGATGCCCACTTCCTCACAGACACCTGTCTTCCCACAGTGACCGCACATGGCACAACTGGCACTGGGTCTGTCTTGTAAAGGCATTGATCTCCTTTATGAGAGCTACACTCCCATGACTTAATCACATCTCAAAGGCCCCACTTCCTCAGATCATCACCTTGGGAGTTACAATTTCAGCATATGGATTTTTGGGAGACATAAATATTTAATCCATCTCAATAAGGGGCTTATAATTTTCTTTTAGAATAAAATCATGGGTATGTGAGTAGGCATATATCCAGCTATAGTCCATGGTCTCTCTATATTAAGATCAAATATTAATAATCAAGTGATATATTTAAAGCAATGTGAGTTATTAATGAACAGCTATGTCAGGTTCTTAACTATATGACTTCCTTTACTTCTAAATTACACAATACAAAATGAAGGTATATACATCAACTCTAGCCTCACTTTTAAATGAAGTAGGAGAATGATTACTAGGGCTTTCTTTTACAATGTTGTTTATTTTGCCTTTAAACCCATTTACGCCTAGTGTTTCATTATTGGAACACTAAGCTTGTGGGAGTTATTTATATGCTACTGCTCAAGGTCATCACCAAGGTCTGATTTTCCACAAATAAAATTTGCAACCTTTGGTATAAATGGGTTAAGAATTATACAGGGGAAGGAAAACCTGAGTGACAGTTATATGGCGATTTAAATATTTATAAAAATATCAACTATTTTATTTCAAATTCATGCATGAATTATTTATTTAACTGAGTTTAAAACCCAGGAAATGTAAAATTAATTGAAGCAGTGATCTGTAAATGTTAAGCCTCCACAAATTATATAAGATTTTTTTTTTCTCTACATAAGCCCCAATGGCTGAGAAGAAAAATACAATGAAGTGAATAACATTCAACTGAAATATCCCATGGGAGAGGCAGCATTTTATTATTTCTGTTTAATTTAAATATTTGATACTTTTTTTCTCATTCTATAAGTTAATAATGGTGGAATCCAATTGGATTAAAAACAACCTTTTCAAAAATCAGGGCACAAATACTTTTCAACAACAAATATTACACATAATAAATGTGATTATCTTGAAAATTGATACAAATGTGGAGAACTTATGTGGAATGATATTTCACTAGCTAAATATACAGTAAAATATCCACGGGGTGGAGTACCAAGGGTGCCGTTACAGGTTGAGGAGTCTACAAGTGACTGCAATATTATCAACTTGAGGGAGAATATAAAATTCAGTACAACTTTAGATTTGGTTTATTTTATTTTTATTTGATTTATTTACTATTTTTATACTTGTACAGTAAGTCGAAAGATTCTTGGAGCATAATATTGTGATGAAAAATGCTCTAATAAAAAGAAAATATTGCTTCATTTAAAAATTTCTCAGAGTAATCTTTAGAATTAATATTAAAAATATAAGTCAGTGGCTCTTGTCATACTACTCTTATTTGAAACTTCTATGTTAACATGGTTCGTAGTCACAGAAAAGTGACAAGAATAACCCCATGATTTTCCACATACCATTTACCCAGCTGCTCCAAATGTGAATATTTTATGCATGAACTTTATTATTCTGTCCATCCACCCATCCATCCATCCATCCATCCATTTGTCTGACATCTCTCTCCCTCTCTCATTAATAATTTATCTTTTTTATTTTTTTCTAAACCATGTGAGAATAAGTTGCAGGTCCACTTTCTGTTTACCTTAAATACTTTAGTATATGTTACCTAGGAACATAAGTGTTTTTTCATAAAACAATAAAATTATAAAAATCAGGAAACTAACACTGATATAATACTATCAAACAATATGTAGGCTTTATAAAAAATTTTGTCATTGATTAACAAATGCATTTAAAGGCAAACTCACTTTTTCCATAAAAGAGAACATTTAACTTCTATTTTAAATATTCTCTTTTATTTTCAGGAATTTTAAATTTTTTTCTGTCTAGTTATTTTGGTAACTGGAAAATTGATCAGAATAATACAGTTCTGCATGACATCCTCATAGTACATACCAGGCAAGATTCATGTTACCAATTTTGGCTGCATTAAAACTTCCATCGTTCTTCATGCACCTTGTTTCCAACTCACAGGATTTTTCTGTCATTTAGAATAACCAGGTCACACACAGATTTAGGGGGTTAGGAAGTTTCAGTGAATAGCCTTTTTTTTTTTTTCCTACCTGGATTCTGAATACATAAAGAAATACAAGGAGGCTGGGAATGGCGGCTCATGCCTGTAATCCCAGAACTTAAGGAGGCAGAGACAAGCGGATTACTTGAGGTCAGAAGTTCGAGACCAGCCTGGCCAACATGGTGAAACCCTGTCTCCACAAAAAATACAAAAATTAGCTGGGCATTGTGGTGCTTGCCTGTAATCCCAGCGCTTTGGGAATCCATGGCAGGCAGATCACTTGAGGTCAGGAGTTTGAGACCAGCCTGGCCAACATGGTGAAACCCTGTCTCCACAAAAAATACAAAAATTAGCTGGGCATTGTGGTGCTTGCCTGTAATCCCAGCGCTTTGGGAATCCATGGCAGGCCGATCACTTGAGGTCAGGAGTTTGAGACCAGCCTGGCCAACGTGGTGAGACCCCATCTCTACTAAAAATTAAAAACTTAGCTGGGTGTGGTCGCATGTGCCTCTAATCCCAGCTACTCAGGAGGCTGAGGCGTGAGAATTGCTTGAACCCAGGAGGTGAAGGTTGCAGTGACATGAGATGGTGCCACTGCACTCCAGCCTTGGCGACAGAGCGAGACTCCATCTCAAAAAAAAAAAAAAAATAGAAAGAAATACAAGAAGATTAAAGAGAGCAATGTGTCACTTTTTAATTAACGGAGTCTACACTGGGGAATGTGGATTTAAATCTACTAGTCAACTGAACTTGCTAATAAATGTCCCAGAATTAGGAAAGCCTAGTACTCTAGTAACAAGCAAAGAGGGACAACCGCATGCCTTTTTGTGAGGGGGAAGTCCCTTTAAAAACTATCACATGGCCTTTTGACACTTTGGACATAAAACATTAACCATTTTAGGAAACATTTTTCAAAAAAAGGTAATTAATTGCTGGACTGAATTTGCAAGCAATTACACATTGAATATGATTCTGCTGAGGAGAAAAATCACTAGAATGGTAAATAGAGCAAAAGCATTTATCACAACAGAGAAAAATTCACAGAAAATCAGATGTAATAAAGAATGTGATTCTATTTTTGACGCTTGACTACTGATAGATTCCAAGCTCCACTTCTCCTACTTTCCCTTTTGCCCCATATGTCATCACAGTAATTAGAAAGTTCAGAAGCTCCTTCTTTGAATGCCAGAGAAGAACTTCAAACAACACAAATTGTGCTTGTGAGCCCTTGCCTCAGGCCAGACCCCAGCCATAAGAAAAACAGAACCACGGTACCTTTCCTTCAAATGAACCTCCATGGGAGTCTCACGACTTCATAGTCTCCTTTTTTGAAAGGATGGTCTTCAAAAAATGATGCTGGGAAAACTGGAATTCCATGTGCAAAAGAAAGAAACTGGACTCTTATCTTACACCTTATACGAAAATTAATTCAAAATGTACTGAAGACCTACTGGTAAAAGTTAAATCATAAAACTCCTAGAAGAAAACATAGAAGAAAAACTTTTTAACATTGGACTTGGCAATGATTTTTTGGATAATGACATAGAAAGCACAAACAACAAAAGCAAACAGACAAATGATACTGCATCAAACTTAAAAATGTCTGTGCATCAAAGGAAAAATCAACAGAATGAATAGAGAACTCACAGGATGGAAGAAACATCTGCAAATCATATGTCTGACAAAAGCTTAATATCCAGAATACATAAAGCAATCCAAAATATATATTAGCAACTTAACACCAAAAAAAGCAGATAACTAGATTAAAAACTGGGCATTTGTCCACAGAAGATATTCAAAAGACCAGCAATCACATGAAAAGGTATTAAAAATTATGAATCATTAGATAAATGCAAATCAAACCATGAGACCCTACCTCTCACCCATTAGGATGGCCACCATCAAATAAACAGGACATAACAAATGGTGGTAAGGATGTGCAGAAATTGGAACACTTGAACACTCTTTGGGGGAATGTAAAATGGTGCAGCAGTTGCTGCAGCAAACAGTTTGGAGGCTCTTTTAAAAAGTAAAGATAGTATTATCATATGATCTGGTAATCCTATTTCTGGGTATATATCCAGAAGAATTGAAAACAGAATCTCAAGGAGATTATTTGTGCAACAATTTTCATTGCAGTATTATTCACAATAGTTAAGAAAAAGACAACGTGCTAAGTGAGATAAGTCGTACACAAAAAAATAAATACTGAGTGATTGCACTTATATGAGGCAGCTAAAGTAATCAAAATTATAGAAACAGACAGTAGAATGATGGTTGCTGGGTGCTGGGAAAGGGGAAAATGGGAAGCTGGTGTTCAATGAGTATAGAGAATCACTTTTGCAAGGTGAAAAAGTTCTAGAGATCTTTGCACAACAATGTGAATATAGTGAGCATTACCAAGCTTTACTGAGCATTACTCACCACAGTTAAGAAAACAACAGCAACAATTTATGTTTCAGCATGATAGAATATATCCTTGGGTCCCACAATACCTGTGGTCTGCCCAGGTGGCTTCTCTCTGAGGTTTGTATTGGTTGGATCACCATCAAAGCTATCACTTCATCCAGAAGAATTTGATTGTTACCTACCAGGTATCAAGCACTGTTCTAGGTTTGGAAGTTATGCTGTTAAACCAGGCAATTCTCTAAATCTATTACGAATACACTGTCAAACCTGTAACACTATACTTAGAATTCCTCTTACTTGTTTGACAATCTTAATCACCCAAAGTTTCAAAGCTCCTACTTCTTCTGAATTGTATCCTTACTATTTCACACTCTCTTTTGCAATCCTTTACATTTGAACTAATGCACGTTGAACAAATTATTTATGTAACTACTGGCTTTAGGTGCTGCAAAAAGCGTTTAGTTACCAAAATTGTAAATAGAAAGTTTTAGGAAAACTAACAAAAACAACAAAAAAACTTTTCTCAAGGTAATTAATGTTCACCAAAAGGACTTTCATCATTCACAAAATATCATCCATGCTCTTGAAGTTTGAAGATTTTTAATAAGGAATGACATTAAGCTCTCTTTTTGTTTCTTTTCTCAGCTTTGTTTGGATACATCTGTGATATCACAGCAATTGTAAAACAAAATACTTGTCTTGACATATCGCATTAGTGGGAGAGAGAGACAGTAAGCAATTAAATTTTAAAAATTGATTTCACTATGTAACAAGTATATAAGGAAATAAAATTACATGGCAATTTTAGAAAACATTGAGGAATCCCTTTCCAAAAACATATTTGTGTTAAAACCGGAGCAAGTAAAGAGCCATTCATTGAAACAAAAACAAAAACTAAAACCAAAAAAAAAACACTGGAAAATAGTTTATAATAAATGTAAAGTTTTAATAATATTTTGAAAATATTGGAAACTTTTTTAGCTCCTTTTCTGAATTTTCAAAATTTTATTTGATGAATCTGTATTACCTCCTATAATGTAGAATCTTACATTTAAATTAGGAAAATATATTAAAACTTTATAATTTAACTGCTACTGTTTTTGACAAATACGATTCCTCGTTAACAGGGCTTAGATATTAACGATGCTTTATCTGTCAGAGTGCGTTATTAAATGCATGCTTATCCATGCCATGTATATGCAAAATAAGATTTCGTTTACACAGGAAATCTTAGAAAATCTGTTTTTTTCTGAAACTTCTGTTTCAAGAGGCATTTATTGTCTGATATGTTTGGCTTGTCCAAAAGGAATTTCCTTTTGGAAGAGACAAAAACTGAGCCTTTATACTATGTCACCACTGCTACTGCATATATATTGTGATTCTTCTTTAGTAACCTAGTTCTTCCATGCAATACAATGTATCTTGAAATTGTATTTTTAAGTTATGTCTTTATGTTTACTGAAGTGAATTATGCTTTTAAATTAATGAGCTAAAAACATCTGAAGGACACTGACAACATGCCTGCACTGGGTTAGCAGAGCTGGATGTGCCAACAGTGGGATCACATTATTCATGTGACAAATGTCCTCTCTTGAAGGTTTCTAAGGAAGCTTACTTCCAGATTTACTTTTTAAATCTGTTTGAATAATACTATATAAAATTTATCAGCAAAATATTTAGATTTTAGATTATTCAAAATGTGGATAAAAGAATAGAAGCTTATTTATCGTATAAGTCCTGCTTATAATTAGTGTGTATCTGCTTTTTTATTGCAATTTTTCTCTGAAATTATTTTATATTAATAGATCAAATTAATTCACATTTAGTGTTAACAAAATTAATATTTGAATTGTATATTGATATAAGAGATTAAAGGAGTATTTTACACTTGAGAAATAAGGACATTTTCATCAGCTGAAAAAATTATAAGTGACAGAGAATTAATTCAGATGTTCATTTATTGATTTTTAATTGACTCAACAAATAGTAAATGCTGCATCATTTTAATTTTCAAAAGGAATCTTACTTCTCATTGAGAATATTAATTGGAACCAATAGTCAGAAATTGTTTTAGCATAAATGCTGGTCATATATTGTTCTGAACTTATATAACCAATATATAGAATTCAAAAGACAAATACACACCAAATATGTTATACAACTTATCTTCTAGCAATAAAGCTTGTGTAGAGAAAACAAGCCCTCTTTCAATAGATTCATTATGACTAAGAGTATTTTAGAAATGGCAAAACAGGAAATTGTGCACTTTCCCCTCATAAACTGTAATGCAAATTTCATGACTGAACATCAGTGAAAACCTTTTGATATGACTGAATTTGCAACGTTCTGCTGTTACAGCTATTCAAGGTAACTACGTGAAGTTAGAACTGTCTCTGGTGATGAAAATGATTTTCAATATACTTTCATGTATAAAACTATATTGATGGATATTATCTATTCATTTTTCTTCATGAATCCACAGATATTTATAAAGAGCTAGCTATGCAAAATTACTGTGTAAATATCATGGTTTAAATTTGAACAAAGCAGACAAGATCCAGCCAGCCAAGGTCAATTTGACCACCAAATTGACACCAGAAATTTCTTTTGAAGTACAATGTCTCCTTCAATCTCATCCCACATGTGTGCAGAGGTGTGCCTGGGAGAAGGTAGATGCTATTCTCTGGGATGCTTTGTGCTAGGGAGGCAAATAATATCTCATATATGAATGCCATATATGGGGGAGGCATGGTGGGTGGTGGACTGACTGTTGGTGGCAACGTTGCTATTTCTGAAATGTCTTGATAAACTGAAGTGGAGGGATCTCCACATAGTGTGCCTATGGGTGTCAGTCTTATCATGTGTGCCAATAATTTACTGCATTGGAATTCAGTCACAGTTATGGCACAAAAGGAAATGTCCAACCGAACATCCTGCTAATGAAGGCAGAGTTGGTTTCAGAAAATAGTGGATGCAGAGATAAGAAATCTGGGAGCAGCTGTTTTTACCACTGGCTGATGATGCTAGACCCCAGGAACACATGGTGGAGACCTGGGTGGTGGAGTTGCAGTGTTTGGAAACCAAATGATTGAGAACAGCTCATTCTTAGAAGCAGACAGCAACATACAAGAGCTTCTCTAGGTTGTTGCGGAGGAGGTACCAATTCAATAATTTCATAAGTCCTACTTTTATCTTGCCATATAAGTTGATATTAAGTCCTCAAAATATGAGGAAAGTTGGGTTTGTATGAATGAACACCCTGCTGTACACTTCCTTTTACAGCTGCAGCAAGATATTTTTTGTGCAAATGTGTAACAAAGACTGGCAAAAGGACTCTCTCTTCTCTACCATGTGTACTCCGCATCTGACCCCACTTCTCCATTTCACTTGGTCTTTCTGCTACAGTATAGTGGGTTTTTATTAAGTTTTTGCCTTGGTTCATTTTGTTCACACTCTGCCACATTCTTCTGCCATCTTCTCCACAGCTGCAGTTTCTTATTCTTTCAATGGCAACAGTAAAGTGAGCCGTGCCTTGATTCCTTGTGCCTTTGTTCATGATTTTTTCAATTTAACTCATATGTTTCAAAGCAGAGACCCATGGTCAACTGAGTTCTTAATACATGTAAAAAGGTTACTTTGAAACCATCAAATCCTTGTCTGTCATGAACCTTATAAGATAAACTTGAAGCAAATACCTTGGAAGCTAGTGCACACGCATGTAGTTGATTTGGAAGGACTGATATGACCAGAGACTCATCTGTATCCATGTGGACACCAGCAATGGTATTACCATGTTTTCTTTTATTTTTCTAATTTGTATTGCTAATTTGTACTCTTTGGAAAATTTGTGTCTTTGGACTAATATTATCAATTTTATAATTGTCAAATCTTTATCTTATAGAAGAGCCCAGCCTTGGAAAAATTTTGAATAGTATAATGATCCAAAATAATTGGTTTGGTATATTTGCATTGCAACACTATCTGAGCACACCAATATATGTATAACAGATTAGACAAATCCAGTTTTTTCTGGGGATGTGTGAAAAAGAAAATGAATTTGGAAATAGTGAGACAGGTAATTGCCAGAGCATCTATGTTTTAGTATTGTTTCTTGCTTATCTACCCATAAAGAAAATTGAAATTGGCAAGTAAAATTCCAATACAGTTAGATAATTGTAATACAGCATATAAATACCTAAAAGCCATATGCAAAGTTTGGTGATTTAAATAGAACTGTTGTACAAACACTACTGTTGTACCAACAATGGCTCTCAAATAGCTTTCAATCCAATTACCTCACTTTCATTAAAGATTCTTCATTTTTAAACTTTTCTTTAAATTATTTTCTAAAGAAATCAAATCTGTATAAGTTTAGTAGGGCTGCCATAACAAAGTACCTCAGAATTAGTGGCTATAAAAATAGAAATGTATTTTCTCACATTTCTGTAGGCTAGAAGTCTGAAATCAACGAGTGGGCCAGGTTGGCTTCTTCTGAGGTCTCTCCTTGACTTGTAGACGGCCATTTTGCCCTGTGTCTTCATAAGGTCTTTCTTCTGTAAATGTTAGTGTCCTAATTTCCTCTTCTAATAAGGATACCGTTTATGTTGAATGAGAACACCTGCTAATGACCTCATTTTAATAACCTCTTTAAGTACCATATCTCCAAATACAGTAACATTCCAAAGTACTGGGTATTAGATTTCAATGTGTGAATTTTGGGGGAAGTGATTCAGCCGTTAACAATGATATATGCATATTTTAAACTAAAGCTTAAATGCCTGAATTCTACAAGCACATATATAACATAAGATCATGTGCGAATATGTGTATATTATATGCATCTACACAAACCCTGAACTGAAATCCATTAGGTAAAGAGCAACTGCTAGAATGAAAATGTTGCCAAACAATGTAAACTTAGCTAGAAGGCAGAATATAAAATTTTCAACCTACTGTGCAAATGGTATTATAGATGGCTAGATGATTATTCTATTTTAGTTGGTCTTATTCTCCTTATGTTTTAAAAATTCTGATAAAATATTAAACAACTATAGACATAACACACTCTCAGTAATTTTGAATTTATCATTAAGGATTGGATCTATGTTTCTCTGAAGACAAATGGAACTTGATGACTGAGCCTTAAACTTTGCAGTGTTAATAGCATCTTTTTCAAATTGATATGTGCTTTATAATATCAGAGAAACAAGAATCTTGACAACTACTCTGGTGCTTTCTCCTTTAAACCAGTTGTATGCCTACAAAGCTAGTCAGATTCCTAGTGAGATTATCTCCACAAATAGTTATGGCTTTTATTTTAGGCACATTATCTTTGTACTATTGGTAGAGTCTAAATTCTGTATTTAATTGCACCATAAATATTAAAGGACTTCTTGTTCTATTAAAGTTAATTTGTCATAAATTGAAAAGAATGATCAGTGTCCCCTGTGACAGAGTGAGGAAAGGCTGTTGTTCTCTACTATGGAAAAAAAAGTGTACAATGTCACCTTCTCTGTGCCCTCTGTAGGCAATTATCGAAAGCTTTAAAATAAGCATATGCTTAGATCAAGAAATTCCAGCAGAAGAATCATCCTCCAGAAGTCTTATGCAAGTGTGTAGACAAATAGATGATAGATAGATAGATACATAGATAGATACATAGACAGGAAGAGAGAGATTTTGCCACAGTCCATTTTTGTTTGTTTGTTTGCTTGTTTGATTTTGTTTTTGCTTTTTGAGACAGGGTCTCACTCTGTCGCCCAGGCTGGAGTGCAGTGATGCGATCTTGCATCACTGCAACTTCTGCCTCCTGGGTTCAAGCGATTCTCCTGCCTCAGTCTACCAAGTAGCTGGTATTACAGGTGTGCACCACCACACCCAAATAGTGTGTGTGTGTGTGTGTGTGTGTGTGTATGTGTGTGTGTGTGTAGAGATGGGGTTTCACCATGTTGACCAGGCTGGTCTCGAACTCCTGACCTCAAGTGATCCTCCGGCCTCAGCCTCCCCAAGTGCTGGGATTACAGGTGTGAGCCACAGTGCCAGGCCACAATATTGTTTTTAGAGTGCAAATTTAAAACAATTCAGTTTCCAAAGTAGAGGATAGGCTAACTAGACAACTATATACAATAAGTACCTCTATGTAATAGATTGTCTTGCACTCATTGAAATTAAAATAGCTATACATTTATAAAACATCTTAAGTTGTTTATTATATATTATTAAATTAAAATTAAGACAGGCTAAAAACAAAACACTTAATACTCTCATACTATATAGTCTAACACCACACATACATATACACAGACATACATATATACAGAAATGTGTGTATTTCTATTTATATAATTATGCATATATGTGTATATATATGTATGTGTTTATGTATTTATCAAGATAGTGCAAGAGAAAGATGGGTTTTGTTGAGCAAGGGATTATTTATAATTTTTAAAGTTTTTTTATCTGCCCTCCCATTTGTTTTATAAAGTGTGTGTGCATGCACAAGCTCTAGAATTACACTTGCACAATATTGTATAAAGAAAATGTACGTGTCTAAAGAAATAAGTAAAAGTAAAGTTAAAATACTTCTTTAGATTTGTGGCTGTTGGTCAATGGAGATTTATTACAGTAGTATTGACTTCCGAATGAATTGAGCCTATGTTCAAAATCCTTATCATGGTGTTGGAGCTGCGACTGATCTGATGCCTCTCGTCAGTTCCTTAGTTCCTTCTCATCATCAGCAGTACACTTCAGGAAATATAACAAGCTATTTCTTACCTTTAATATTTCACACATGCTATTATTTTTTCATAGGAAAACCTTTCCTATCTTTACACAAAACTAAGCTCTACCAATTATTTTGTCTTTCAAATAATATGTTCAATTTTCAAAGAGTAGCTTACTGATTTTCCAATCTAAATTTAATTTCATAGTAATGATCTTATTTTTTTAATATATGTTTTTGTTGTGTGAATAATTTGTTAAGTAGCTGCTGTACCCACTGGATTATAGACTCAATTAGGGTATGGATATGCCTCATATTCAGCATCAAATCGAATCTGCCATACAGAAAACAATAAATGTGTATTTGTGGGGGAAACAATTAATGGAATAATTTTGTTAACTTCATGCTTGAAGTTGCCTTCAGGCTGTTATAGAACACAAAGATGTAATTGAGCGTCAAGTATTTGATGTTCATATCTGTTCATCTTGATCATTTAGCTAAGGAAGACACCAAACTTTTTTCTTACATGTATATGTTTCTAAAAATGGAATTCATCCACAAAATATGAAAAGCTATCCTTAATTAGAATAATCACATAATTTTCCATAGGCTCTAAGTATAATTTCCAAAAGTAAGGTTCAAACATGTTTGGGTATATGCAGTTTTGTTCCAGGAAGTGAATCATATTACATGTTTTCTGATGCAACCATGTTGAAGGACCAAACACTGATTTGCATATTACATTCTGGAATATTTGTATTACTTTAAGCTTTTACATATGTACCTACGTATGTAGCTATATACAAATATATAACCCATTAATATTTATATTTCACTGTCTGGGAAATAAATAAGCCATCTAAACTTAACGTATAACATGGACTCGTGGTTTACTGTTGTTTGAAGGTTGTTTATTTGTAAACTCTGCAATATCTTTTCAGTTCTTCCAAATTAAATTGTCATTTCCTAAGACAATCTTTAAAACTGAGAAAAAAACATACATAATTGCAACCATTATCCAAATCTTTCAATATTGATCATTGTAGTTGGAATGTTACCATCACTATCTGTTGCAATTTAATAACTAAGCCATAAATATATTATTTTAAATTTCTCAAAAAGTGAATACATTTTATCATTTTAAATTTCCTTCCAAGATAGTGAACTTGGTTTCATTATTTCCAGGTTATATATAACATTATAGCATTATAATTATAAGTTAAAATAAATGTTTGTATACATTTATAGTGTTTAATATGTTCTGTAGTAAAGAAAGTATTGAAAATTTCCATAGAACTTTATGACTGCTTATGTTATTTGATAATAAAAGTCAATTCAGTAAAATCTTTTGTTGTGGCAAGTAAACCTGCCCCACAATTACAAAGAAGAAAACCATGTACACATTTATTAAATTGTATAATAAAATATTTGGCCAACTTCTTGCTACCTTTCAAAGATAGCAATTTTGCAGCAACTTTCATTATCACATTTTTTAAACTTTAAGCTTGTAATTTTAGAAGAACTAGTCTTTTCTTAAATATAAAATGATATAATACACAGGTAAGTTCAAATGATATTTAAGAAGTGCCTATTAAGACTAAAGTTCGCGGAAGGTATGAAATAATAAAAATCAGAGCAAAAATAAATTAAATAGAGGCTAAAAAATAACACAAAAGACCAAAGTTTTAAAAACAAGTTTTCTTAAGAGATGTTACAATTGTGACTAAATGACGTTCTCTATTAAGGAAAATGATCCTAAAAATTCATCAGATAACGCTCCAAGTACAGATGCTAACAACAATAAGTCCTTAGAATCATCATTTGCAGTTAGTTATTTCACAGTAATAGCATGTATCTTGTGATCACAGGCTAACATTAGCTTTACAATTCAATAAAAAACCTTCTAGTGAAATCTCTACAGTAACAATTTTCCAAAATGTGGTGTATATATTTAAGGTGGGGAAGGATAATATTATGTGATAAATCTTACAAATTGTAAATAATAAAATTTTTAAATGTTTTAAACAGGTATTTAGATGTGAGACTTTTTTCATATGATAATAAACAATTGGCTTATCAAAGCTTGAAAAATATTTAAACAACATGTATAACAAATATAGTATGTCCTGTTTTTTAAGTGCCTTATCTTTTTATTTCTCAAGTAGTTTTAAATTCAAATATGCAATTAGATATCCATTGACAAAACAAAAGAAATATCACAAAAAGCCTCAAACTAAATTTTATGCCTGTACAAAAATTAGCATAAATCTTCTATTTGATTATGAAATGTAAAACTCTACAACTTTTCAGAGAAAACACAGAGGGCAGCGTTGTGAACCTAGTATTTGATAAAGAGTTCTTCAATATGAGACAAAAATCACAGGGCATAAGAGAAAAAGACTAGATAAATTGGACTGCATAAAAATGAAAACTTTTGCTTTAAAAATAGTCTGTTAAAAAGATAAAAATTCAGGATAAGTTTGGGGAGAAAATATTTGCAATCTACATATATGGCAAAGAAAGCCTATGTAGAATGCATAAAGAACTCTCAAAACTCAACATTAAGAAAACAAACAATCTAATTACAAAATGGGCAAGAGTCATGAACCAAAGAATATATACGGATAGCAAATAAGCACATCAAAAATATACAAAATTATTAGTCATGAGGGAAATACAATTTAACACTACAACAAGGTATTAATATATATCTATGAGAACAGCTGATATATATCTATGAGAACACTATTTTAAAATAGTGCAAACATCAAAAGATGGCTAAGATGCAGAGAAACAATCCCTCATACATTGCTGGTGGAAATGTAAAATAGTAAAGACAGTCTAGAAGATAATTTAGGCAGTTTCTTTAAAAAATCTATTCTTACCATATTCTTACCAGCTATCATAATCTTGGGTATTATCCCAGAGATATGAAAACATATATACATACAAAAACATTCACACTATTGTTCATATCGGCATTGTTTGTAATAGCCAAAAGCAGAAACCCCTGAAATTTCTCCAGTAGGGGAATAAACAAGCTATGATACATTTATAGCGTGGAATACTATTCAGCAATGAAAAGTATCAAGCTATCAATATGCACTATGCAAACTTGAATGGATGTCAAGGGCATTTATGCTGAGAAAAAAAAAGTCAACATAACGTTTGATTTTAATTGTATAAGAAAACATAGACTTGTGTTATATATGATTCTACTGATAAAACACTCTTGAAATGACAAAATTATGGAGAAAGGGAACACATCAGTAGCTGCTAGTGGTCAGGGATTTAGGCTGGAGGGAAGAATTGGGTGTGGCTATAAATGGGTAACATGAAGGAGACCTTTGTGCTGGTGGAATAGTTCTGTGTCTTAATTGCACTGGTGGTTATACACATCTACACAAGTGATAAAATCATGTAAAACTGGACACATATATTGTACCAACTCCAGATTCATGGTTCTAATATAATTATGGATGGTATAACCATACTGAGAACCTGGATGGAGGGTGTATGAGACCTCTGTCTATCATCCTAAAATTTAAAAATAAACAATGTAAAGGCAAATATATTGGTTTTTTGTCCAATGCCTTGGTTTTCTTTAAATCCATTTCCCTTTATGTTGTTCAAGCTTTTTTTTTTTTTTTTTTTTTTTTGAGACGAGTCTTGCTCTGTCGCCCAGGCTGGAGGGCAGTGGCGCCATCTCGGCTCACTGCAAGCTCCGCCTCAGGGGTTCACGCCATTCTCCTGCCTCAGCCTCCCGAGTAGCTGGGACTACAGGCGCCTGACACCGCACCTGGCTGATTTTTTGTATTTTTAGTAGAGACCGGGTTTCACCGTGTTAGCCAGGATGGTCTCGCTCTCCTGACCTTGTGATCCGCCTGCCTCGGCCTCCCAAAGTGCTGGGATTACAGGCGTGAGACACCGTGCCCGGCCATGTTGTTCAGCTTTTCTACCATCCTAGTTTCTTCTGGCTGCAATTTGTGTTTCTTGTTGGCATTTGTTTTCCACAGTTATTGTAGACTATCAATATTAAACATTTTTGTGCACTGGCGATTATAAAATATGACTTTGCATTGCTGTGAATCCTGAGGGAAGGCAAGATTTGATTACACTCCTCATCTCGGGACCACTGTCAGATGCAGCTTTCTAGACACTTGGTTCTTACAGCCTCATTAGATCTGCATTGAGGGCTGTCTTCTTACCCAAGGCCAAATACCTATTCCTGTTCTGGTGCTCTAGGATGATCATTGCCTGACTGGGAGACCACTGACCATTAAAGGGCCTGGGTTGTGAAACGTCCTACATTTAAAATTACTGGCTGGCACTTAGTTCAAGAGAAGAACAAGGTCACACAACAAAAACTGATGCATAGAATCTACCAGTTGACTAGGGAACCATCTTCTCACAATTTTCTTTCAATTTGAACAGAGTCTATGCCTTTTCTTGGGATTCTTTCCATCCTTCTTGGATTGTTACAGTTTTGTGAATCTACCTCATCCTCTTGAAATAATGCCACCCACATTTTTCATACTGATTCCCACCTTATTTCATATCAATTTTGAAGTAGTGAGATAATTCAGTAACATCATGTTCCTTTTTAAGCTTTTTCTGTGCTACAAATTCTTCCCTCACAGCAGTGTTTTGATTAAAGCGTAGGAAGGAATGCTGTTATAATTTACACTTTCAATTCTCAGGTACCTTATAAAGGTGATATCTCTTAAAGTATTCATACTGTGCTTTTCAATTTTCAGTCTTTAGAATTTATAATCTGGCCTTTTTTTATAATTAAGTATTGTATAAATTTCTGAAGCCAAGGGTTAAAATGCCTCATTTAAAAAAATTCACATTAATAGTCTCATTTTATTAATGGGAACTTGCAGTTTTGCAACTACAATGTACATGCAGAATGTATTGTTAACAATAAAATAATTCAAAAACTGTTCCTTGCCTGGTTTATTTCTGGTTATTTAAATTTGCTCAATTTCTTAATTCTAAGTCTAGGTTGACATAATTGAAAAGTCATGTGTGGCAATTTCAGGACACGTGGATTTTTCTCTTCCTGTTAAAGGGGCTGTGTGATGATATATTTCTATACTTTAGACAATGCAGAGCATAGTGCATACTCTATATAGTATGCATACTCTGTAGAGTATAGTATGTATTTTCACCCATTTGCTGACTCCCCAAGGCAACAAAAAAGCAGTGATTTCACTCCTCCCCATCCACCTGTCATCCTCAAGAGGTACAAAGCTCAGATAGACAAGAAGATTAGGTTGTGAGATTAGCTGTACACACCAGGGTGGCTATAGCCAATAACAATATATCATATACCTCAAAATATCTAAGAGGGTAAAATTTAAATGTATCCCCATAAAAAATTGTAGGCAAGCAAGGTAGTACACATGTGAATCAGCTTGATTTAGTCATGGCATATTTTCTCTCTCTCTCTCTATATATATAAACATCATATTATATCTTATAAATATATACAACTATGACTTGTCAATTTTTTATTTTTTTGGTGGAGTCTTGCTCTGTCGCCCAGGCTGGAGTGCAGTGGGGCAATCTTGGCTCACTGCAAGCTCCGCCTCCTGGGTTCACACCATTCTCCTGCCTCAGCCTCCTGATTAGCTGGGACTACAGGCGCCTGCCACCACAACGGGCTAATTTTTTTTGTATTTTTAGTAGAGACGGGGTTTCACTCACTGTGTTAGCCAGGATGGTCTCAATCTGATCTTGTGATCCGCCCGCCTCGGCCTCTCAAAGTGCTGGGATTACAGGCGTGAGCCACCCTTCCTGGCTGACTTGTCAATTTTTTTAAAGCTGTGATTTAATCAATGTTTCTTGAAAAGATGTGTATTGATATGTATCTGACAATCTTCAGTAATGAGAAAAAATACGTTTCTCACCTTTCTTATCTCCAGTTCTCTGGTCCACATTCCAAACACTCTCTGATATCTACCTGATAATAGTTTCCTTACCAAACAAAAAATCTCCTGATTGTTTCTCCTACTATGGACTCCTTTGGTTGGGGGTTGGGGGGAGCTGTGGGTAAAAAAAAAAAAAAAAAAAGAAACTGAAAAATACGGCACATTTAAATATTCTTAACTTTCTCACCTCCTCTAGGCTATTAGTATGTATAAAAGATGGCAACCTTTAAATATCAGATAAGATTGGCTTAAAGAACCACAGCCTTATTTGGGAGAACCTTAAAATACTTGAAGTAATTTCTACATGCAGCATAGGTTCCAAACCTAACTGATAAGTATTTTTATATTCTTCAAAATTTCCACATTTTTCATCTAAAAAATTGAAATCACCTTAAGTAAGTCCAGGATGCAACATTCCACCTAAACTTCTCTAATATCATTCGGCAATAACTAAAGGAAAAAAAAAATCACAAAAATATTTCCTTCACTGGAATGTCAGAGAACACATAAAATGTCCATCAACCTGCCTCTCATGAAACTAAATAAGGGATCAACACTATATTTAGAGGGTACAGTTTTAAATGTAGAGTGAATTGTTGCATATATTTATTCTTTTTCTCAAAGAGCATTCCAGGTTTCTATGACAGCAAATATGCTATGGTTACTGAGTAGAATCCCCTACTGAGGTAGCACCAGCCACTGATGAGCAATTGCAAGGTTGAATTTAGTTAAGGCCACCAATTTTCAATAAATCCATTTGCTAGAAAATATTTTAAGGACATTGATTACACTAAACCTTTGCAAAATTCATGAAAATGTCTAGCTTGGAAGAAAGTCTCTATAAATAGTGAAAGATATGTATTCTCAAGTTCATATTTATAACACTTCTGCACTAGATTATGTAATGTTATGAATTTGTCAATTAATTGGCTTCAACCTAAGGTAAGTCAAGTATCCCATTCAAAAATTCACAGTACAGAGAGGGTCAATATATTGCATGAGAATGTGCAGATCATCTAGAATCTAGATGAAACTGGTAAAGAATCTACCAGTCAACACTTGACACTTGGCTAAAGTAAAACTGAATGTCAGAAATGGACTGTGGTGGTTTATATGAGGTGCCATCTTGACTGGATAGAGGGATGCCTAGATGGCTGGTGAAGCATTGCTTCTGCTGTGTATGTGAGGGGGCTGCCAGAGGAGACTGACATTTGGGTCAGTGGACTGGGAAAGGTAGCTTTCCCTTCAATGTGGGTGGGCACCATCGAATCTGCTGCCAGCACCACTAGAACAAAGCAAGTGGAAGAAGGGGAAGGAGCAGCCCACTGTGTCTTGGGGCTCCTCTCTCTTTCCCATACTGGGGTCTTGCTTCCAGTCCTCCTGCCCTTGGACATCAGATTCCAGGTTATTCGGCCTTTGGACTCTAGGACTTGCACCAGTGGTCTCCCAGGGGCTCTTGGGCCTTCAGCCTGAGACTGAGGGCTGCCCTGGCTGCTTCCCTGGTTTTAAGGCTTTCCAAATTGGACTGAGCCACCATGCTACTGGCTTCTTTCTTTCCCCAGCTTGCAGACGTGCTAGCGTGGAATTGGCCTTTTAGTCCTATGGGCCAGTTCTACTTAATAAGATTCCTTTTATGTATACATTTATCCTATTTGTTCTGTCCCTATGGGGGACCCTGACTAATACATGAACCTCCATCAGTAAAATCAGTGGCATGTTCATTATCATGACTGATGAGTGTTCAACATGTGCTTTCATTGCTGAGTTGAATAACAGGATTTCAAAGCACATGGACACACTCTACTTCTGCATAAACAAGGATAAAAATCCAGCAGAGGTCATAGTGGATATATGCAACTATGCATCTTTCAAAACCTGTAGAAATTTACAGCACAAAGATTGAAACTTAACATATGTAAAATTTTTAAAACATCATTTAGAATGTTGAGGAATACCAGTTTGGAATGGACAGTCACAAAAGAATCAAACTTTATTACACATTTGTGAAACAATCACCAAAGGTGATGAGGGAAAGATGCTGACCTAAGTAACTTTTGGACATAAATGTAGTCTAAAAAAACTGCCCATAATCCCTGCACTATAGTTGACAAAGTTACTTCCCATGCGGGTATAGATGGGAACTATTCAAATGCCACTATACAGTCATGCACTGTTTAATGCCAAGAATGCATTCTGAGAAATACATTGTTAGGTTATCTTATCATTGTTTGAAATCGTAGAGTGCACTTACAAAGTTCTAGATGGTATTGCCTATTTCACATTTTGGGTACATGGTAGAGCCTATTGCTCCTAGGCTATACAGCTGTACAGCATGTTACTGTCCTGAATCCTGTAGGCAATTGTAACACATGATAAATATTTGTGTATTTAAGCATATCAAAACGTAGAAAAGGTACAGTAAAAATATGGTATTGTAATCTTATGGGACCATTTTGTACATGTGGTCTGTCCTTGACTGAGATGTTATTCTTTACACTGGAATGGAACAATTAAATGAATAGATGACAGATGGTGCGAGGCAGGGTTCTCACTGTTGGTGCGGGAAGTTATGGACAAGCAAGGGGAGACTGAAAATGCCTATGAAGTATAAAATTGGAGCAGCTATATCAGCAGGAACTCATGTGTTGATCTACCTATAGATATGGTAGATATACATTAGAATGTATATAGACATGTCTATACGCACAAGTTAGGAAATACATGTATATCCTTGCTCTGCTTAGAGGACCTAGAAGCAAAAGCACATCAGTAAATTAGCACAATTACTATACTTTCTCAGTTTCTAATATCATTCTCTTCGGAGAAATGGTTGATTCCAGAGTTGGAACAAGGAATATATAAGATGAACCTGGAGCATCTTGAAGCACCCCAAGTAAGGAAATGTTAAAAAAAAATGATGTCTTATGTCAAAGGAATTCAAATGCAGCTGAAAGATCTCCAAATGGCCCTAACTGAAATACTTCGAAATATTGTAGTGTTAAATTATAATACCAAGTATGATATAAATATTTTTAGTTCCAAATTGGTATAAATAATTGAATAAATAAATGAAGAGAAGAGACACATTTTTATGCAGAATAATTCCAAATAATTTACTTCACTGTCACAGTGAAGTGTTACAGCTCCCCTCTCCCTATGTGTGGACTGCACGTAATCCACTCCTTCCAAAGAGTACAGGATGGAAGGGGAAAAACAGTAAGAGTAACTTTGCAGTGGAGAAAACTGACAAATACTATCTTAACCAGGAAATAAAGGTTAACATCCACAGAGACAAGTCATGTTGATAGCAGGTACCATTGATATTATGTGATGAAAATAGCACTTTGCCTCTGAGATCTTCATTCCAAAAAAAAAAAAAGCCATATCTCTAGCCTCATCATGAGAAAAACATTGGACAATTCTCAGTTGAAGGACATTCTATAGAAGATATGACCAGCATTCCTCAAAATTGTCAAGCTCAGCAAGAGTGAGTAAAACCTGAAACACTGTCATGGTCTTAATGAAATGCTCACCAACACAAGAAATGACACAGCCGAGTGCTTTTTGTGGAGGGCGAAAGGAAAAGCTCATGCAGTGGCATATTCATATTGGCACCTGCTTCAGGACATAAGCTATGTATTGTCCTTTGTCTCTAGAACGTCTCTAGAACGTCTGTGTTTGGGAGTGTATATGGTACAGTTGACCCATGAGAGTCTCATCATTTAATGTTATTAAATATTTTTTAATGTTATGCTTTATATTACAATCTACTAATTTCTAGATATGTGAGGAAATATTTTTTAGAGTCCTTAAACATTTAATAGGCAGTTTATGATTATTTATTGGAAAAAATTTTATGAGAAAATTAGGAAGGACATAGAGCCTAATTAGCAACTTTTAAAAATTTTATTTATTTATTTTTGAGACGGAGTCTCGCTCTGTCGCCCAGCCTGAGTGCAGTGGCGCGATCTCGGCTCACTGCAAGCTCCGCCTCCTGAGTTCACGCCATTCTCCTGCCTCAGCCTCCCAAGTAGCTGGGACTACAGGGGCCAGACACCACGCCTGGCTAATTTTTTTGTATTTTTAGTAGAGACGGGGTTTCACCGTGTTAGCCAGGATTGTCTCGATCTCCTGACCTCGTGCTCCACCGGCCTTGGCCTCCCAAAGTGCTGGGATTACAGGCGTGAGCCCCCGTGCCCGGCTAATTAGCAACAGATTTTATCAACACTCCCTTGGCCTCAAACTATGTTTAGGCTACAGGAAAACCACTGCTATTTTCCTCTTGAAATAACATAACTTTCCATGTCATGCAAGGTCAGCAAGATAAAACTTCTTTTGTGTTCTAATACCTTCAGGCAGAAACCTTCAGAAGTTTTCAAGTGTTGATCTCACTCTTGCAATTTTATTTTTGGAATAAGATATGCCACCAAAAAGGTGTCTTATTGGTACTCTGTCTAAATATAGCAACCTAAATGGAAAGGAGTCTTTATAGAAATACAACCAAGTATGCTACAAGAAAAAGACCCCTAAATCTCAGACCCTTTGACAGAACATTTTTAAATAAATTCTTATTGCAATTAATCAATGTGTTTTAGACCACTGCTTTGCGAAAAATGCTATCATTATGTATATCATAATGTTTGTTTAGATAAGTAATGACATGCACATTGAATGCAGTGTGCAGAGTAGAAACATAAATCGAAGCATGACCTCTGATCTACATGTTTTGGATGATAGAATAGATGGATTCTATGATATATGCAACTGTCTGGATTAGAATTAAATATCATTTGCATAATTATGTCTTGGATTTATTCTCTTTATTTTCTTACATACTTCAAAGATTGCTTGTGAAAGTCATATGGTTATTACATTTGTGTAACTTATAAAATTGATAAAAGATTTATAAGTTTTTCATTTTAATTATCATACAAAGCCAGCTGTTTGGAGACTCTGTTTGCAAAACAAAGTGTCGTATTTTACATTAGATTATTAATGAAAAAAACAGCAGAAGATGGTAGAAGGGACACCTGGGTGGACTTCTGCTATAGTGAACTAGCAAAAATTATGTTACATTTAAGTGTTAAAGTTAATTGTATATTAGTCACTAAAATAGTTTTCATATTTGGAGGTTAAAATCGCTAATTATAGCACTTATTTTGTTCATATGGATATCTGCTTATTGTTTTAGTTTTCAAGACTTACTTCATTTAAACATTTGAAACACTGAAGCTCTTCACTCAGAACCCCTACCAGAAAAATGCAGTGTCCAACAGGGCAAACAGAGGGGATTTGGTTCAGTGGTAGGACAGTGCACAAAGCACGTTTCATCCAGCTTG
Organism: Homo sapiens; assembly: GCF_000001405.40. Lineage (NCBI taxonomy): Eukaryota > Metazoa > Chordata > Mammalia > Primates > Hominidae > Homo > Homo sapiens. Next base: position 49,577,256 of record NC_000008.11, read on the forward strand.
AGCAGTGGGTCCAATAGCATGGCTCTGAGTCCCCAGGGATAGTAAGTCCTCAGATAGCAACAGTGACAAAAGATGGAGGTTTCAGAATCTACCCCCACAGAATGGCTGAAAAAGAACTGCTTGAGCCTCCAATTCCAGCTGGTTTAGATTTAAGAAGGTGTTGAAGAAAAAAGGCACAATGAGGTGTAGAATTTAGGGTTTAGTTCCCAATGCCACTGGCTAATGTTGATTGCAGAAATCACAAATCAGCTCTGCAAGCCATAGAAATTCTAGATCCAAACCTTATCAGGATTACTACATACTACAGAAGGTGATTACTACAGAAGGTGATGCTGGCTCATTCTCTTTCTCTGTCTCTGTCTCTCCCCCTCTCTCTCTCTTTCTCTCCCTTCTTCCCTCCCATTCCTCAGCATTCATCTCCAGAGATTGTTTTTTACTACATATGAAGTTTGAGTCAGTCCTGCTTGAATACTTCTCTGACCCTAAGTGGCATGAAGAGGGAAACACAGCCTTGTTGTTCCTGAGCCTCAAGGAGAATCACTTGGGTCCTTTAAGTTGCTCTTACATGGAATGGTTTTGATTTTGATAGATTAACTTTCGTGTTATTGGATGGTTGGAAAAAATTCAGGTGTAAGAGGAAACATTAGTGAAAATATTTGATGAATATCTGTAGCACTCCCTAAGTTACCTATTTCTGATTCATTCTGATTTACCAGGAGAATACCTGATAATCTAGGAAAAAGTTTCCATGAATGCCTGTGCCCATAATACGCTCTTCCTGGGACTTCTCCAGTGGCAGAGAAGCCACTGGATATTCAGGATCCTGACAAACAGGGCAAATAACATTTCAAGACTGCCTTCAGCATTAGCTAAAGTGACTTGTTAGGAAAACAGAAACAAAACAAAACAAAAACAAAAACTAAAAAGTTCTGTTCAAACATAATTTAAGATTAATAAAAGAAATTAATCTAATTAACTGTCTCTAGTATTTGTCTTGAATTATTTTTAAGATGATAGTAAAGAAATTGTAAAAGCCATCTCTTGTCACCTTAAAATGTACGACCTGAAGTATAAGACAGTTTGACTAAATGTGTGATTCTTTTGAAACCAGTAGGTAACCATGATTGCCTGTGGCTTTATTAACCCATAATCTAATCTTATTAACATGTAAATTAAAATCTGTTCTAAATTGCTTTACATCAAAAGGACTGTGGAGGAGGAGAAAGAAAAGTTATCTCTGAAATCAGAAGTTCACATCAGTTTCCTCTGAACATGGATTGAACCTAGTGCCAAACAGGGTGCAACCATTATCTGCTTAATTCCAAGTAAAAGAAAAAGAGAAATTAAAGCATAAAATCAAAATAGTTTTAGGCAGCATTTTCAAATGGACTGGGGAGAACCCTGTCACAGATAACATGGGGAAGAAAGTAAGAAAGAAACCAGATGTACAAGCTCAGGCTCCACCACCACTTTTCGTCATCTGCTCAAAAAGTGCTTTGTTTTGAACACTTTGTTTCACGGATGATAGAGTAGATAGATAGATGATAGATAGATAGATAGATAGATAAATAGATAGCTAGCTAGATAGAACATTTTCAAACCACTGCCAACCATTCAAACATCTTTTTTGTTTGGTGATCTTTCTGTTTGGTGATCACAAAGCCATTGTCTTGTGTGAACAGATCACCAAACAAAAAGATGTTATTTCATTGCCTACAAATGTATAACCAGATCTTTCGTATTGTCTTTCCAAAAGTGAGGGAACTCTTCTAATGTCTTAAAAATAAATAACCATGACTCACCTTTGGCTTTCTGTCCCCCAAGCAAAATTGGTGGAATGGGCCTCAATTTTGAAAATTAATGGGAATTAGTTGTGCCTTCTCATAGTTCCTCTGCAGAGGGCTTAATGGGAGAGTACCACCATCAGGGAAAACAAAGACATTTTTGTAAATTGCATTTTTCCTCTAAATTCAGCTGATCATGACAATTTTAATATCAATACTAATTTCAAATTGAAATACATCCCAGATCAGGGATTTTTGCCTCAGGATAATATGTAAAAGATTAATGTACCCACAAACAGCAATGGAAAAGCCAGATAAATTTAGAAATCATATACTGAAGGCTGCAATGAGCTGTCAAAATTGTGAAAACTAGATAGACTAAAATTCTAGAAATAGGAGAAATATTTCAAGATGAGCAGAGGAAAAAGCATTTGTACCAATGCCAGGGCCTGGGCTAAATGACATGGGTTGAAAACTGGCAAAGGAAAAATATAATTACTAGAAAAAAATACTAAACTGCTTGAGGTCAGGAGGGTTGAGTATGGAGATTTGAGGAGCCACCATCACGTGAACAGTTCTTACAAGACACTACTGAACCCTTAGATTGTGCAAGAGGCTTCAAAACTATCCTGAAAACTCTCAGAAATCAGAAAGTCCTGTGTTCCCATGATGTTCAGAAAACAAAGAAAAGATAAGCACTGTCCTGAAAGAAAATAGGTGAATCATAGTGGGAGTGGTGAATTGGCATGGAGGACCTGCAGTCACTTTTACCAAAAGGAACTTTGAATTCTGGGTATAGCTAGAAGATGCAAGACTGGGCCCTCAAATCCTAGACAATGGCACTGCTGCAGGACAGAAAAAGACCAGGTGTAGTGGTACTCACCTGGGCTAAAGTGAGATGAGACTTAAGCTCAAAAGTAGTCAGTTTTTAACTCAACGTAATGACAAAATTAGAAGCTTTGTAAAGTGGAATCATAAAGAGTTAACTTTAAATTCTTGAAAGGAAGAGCTGATTTTTCCATAGTCCTTTAAGGCTCAAGAGACAAAAACCTGCCAAACTTTCACTTGAAGGACCTAGAAGACTACCACCTAAAAGAGAACTAATTAAAGGCAGACTGAGTTTTAGGAAAACTACTACTGTGTCTTGATCCAGCCCCATTATAAATTGGATACCATAGCTAGACAAAGACATCATAAAAAAAGAATACTACAGGCCAATATCCATAATGAATACAGATGGAAAAAATCCTCAACAAAATACTAACAAACCAAATTTAACAACACATTAAAAAAAATTATTCACAGGCTGGACACAGGGGCTCACGCCTGTAATCCCAGCACTTTGGGAGGCTGATGCAGGCAGATCACCTGAGGTCAGTTGTTCAAGACCAGCCTGGTCAACATGGTGAAACCTTGTCTCTATTAAAAATACAAAATTTAGCCAGGCATGGTGGCGTGCGCCTGTAATCCTAGCTACTTGGGAGGCTGAGGCAGGAGAATCACTTGAACCTGAGAGGCGGAGGCTGCAGTGAGCCAAGATTGCACCACTGACTGGGTGATAGAGTGAGACTCCATCTCAAAAAAAAAAAAATAATAATAATTCACTATAATCAAGTGGGATTCATTCCTTGAATGTAAAGATGGTTCGACATACACAAATCAATAAGTGTGATATACTACACTAAGAGAATGAAGGCCAAAAACTATACAATCATCTCAGATGAAGAAAAAGCATTAGACAAAATTCAACATCTTTTCAAAATAAAAACACTCAACCAATTAGGTATAGACGTACAACAAAGTTTTAGTAATTAAAACAGCATGGTACTGGCATAAAAAACACATTGAACAATGGAATGGTATGAGTAGCCAAGAAATGAACCCACACTTATACAGTCAATTGATTTTTCATAAAGGTGCCAAGTATACACATTGGGAAAAGAAAAGTCTCTTTAAAAAGGATTGGGAAAACTAGATGGCCACATGCTCAAAAATGAAATTGTGCCTTTATCTCATACTCTATACAAAAATCAACTCAAAATGGATTAAAGACAAACATAAGAGCTGAAACTGGAAAACTACTAGAAGAAAACATAGAAGAAAAACAGTACACCAGGCAAAAATTTTTTAGATTTGACTCCAAACGCACAGGCAACAAAAGCAAAAATAAACAAATGGGACTGCATCAAACTAAAATACTATGATTTTTATACACTGTCTAGAATGTAGTGAAAAAAGAAGTATAGCATTAAAAAGGAAGATCATGTGATCAACAGTAAGAGAAACAAAACAGAAAACAGGAGCAGAGCCACAGATAATTCAGGTATTTAAATTAACAAAGAAGAAATTTCACTATAATTAATATCTTCAAGAAAATATAAAAGATAGACAATGTGGGCCCAGCACAGTGGCTCATGCCTGTAATCCCAGCCCTTTGGGAACTCGAGGTGGGCAGATCACCTGAAGCCAGAAGTTCGAGACCAGTCTGGCCAACACAGTGAAACCCTGACTCAATTAAAAATACAAAAATTAGCCAGGCATGGTGGTGCATGCCTGTAATCCCAGCTACACCAGAGGCTGAGGCAAGAGAATCACTTGAACCCAGGAGGCGGAGGTTGCAGTGAGCCAAGATCGCACCATTGCACTCCAGGCTGGGTGACAAGAGCAAGACTCTGTCTCAAAAAATCAAACAAACAAAAATAGACAGTTTGATTAAAACAATAAGAAATGAAATCATAGAATTTAAATCAATGAAAAATACATTTAAATCTAGAAATAAATAAATACAATATTTGAAATAGTTTGCTGAGTGAATTTGAAAGCAGATTGAACATGCTTTGAACAAATAATTTAACTGGAATATAAGACTATAGAAAACGCGGTCACTGAATCTGAAATAGAAGAAATAACAAAATACATAATAGAATAGATTGTCAGAGATATTAAAATCATGCTCAAAGGGTCAAACATATTTGAGCCCACGACCTTCAAAGACACACAAGTAAGACTTAGAGGTGACAGAATGACAAGCCATAGTGATGGCAACACGGGCCCTTCACAGTGCGGAGGCGCGGGTGGTGGTGGCAGGAGCGGCTGGGGGAGCAGCAATGGCTCGGTGGGTCTCCCGTGCCCCGCGTCCCGGAAGCAGCCGACTGAGCTGCCCCCACTGTCCGGCAGCTGGGCTGACCTCATGGGATCCGCCTCCCCCCACCACCCCACCGCCCCCCCACCCCCACCAACCTTCCCCGCCCAAAGCCCAGAGCTTCTGCAGTCTGGACCCTGGCCCCACGTCACCTCTCTCATTGGCCTTTGCTGAAGGGAGGGTGCAGGGAGGAGGCAGAGCTGGGGCCATGCTTCCAGGCGGTGCAGGAAGTGGGAGCGGCACCACTTCGGGGACCTGGCCCGTGCGTTGGTGCCAGGTTCCTGCGCCTCAGGGGAGGCTCTGCTCAGGGCCACCCAGGGCTGCGTCCCCAGGTCCGCCCCTCATCAGGGTGACCACCAGGCCTGATACTCTACATGGCAGGGCCTGGGCCCACAATCTGCTCCCAGAGACTCCCCGGGCAGGGCTGAAAGATGAGTAAGGCGGGGTAAGGGGGAGCTCGATACCAGGGAGACAGGGGAGCTCACATAGACGTTGTCCCTTCCCAGGACACCAACCTGGGGCCAAGCGAGGACCTGGAGCCCCTGCCCCAAGCTGCAAAGGGGTATGACCGGGGCTGCACACTCAATGGAACCAGCTGGAAGCCGGAGGCAGGCCGCAGCTCTGCCCTCCTGTGCAAGTCAGGACTGTGGCCTTGAGCCTCTCTGCACTCTTGGGCACCTGGAAACCACCCCCACCCCTTGCCCTTGCAGGCTCAGAGGTGTCTGCTCCCACTGCCAGGCCTCTCTCTACTCCTGGAGCCCACTCCAATTTCAGGGTAATGTTGGGGTTGAGCCTGGGTGCTGTCACAGCCCAGCTGGGTGTGTGCACACTTGGGCTCTGCTGCCTCGGCCCCCTCCAGACTTTGAGCACTGACAAGCATGACGGGGGTGGACCGGGGTGGAAGCAGGGGAGAGAGGTGCAGGTGTAAGGAGCCTGGGCACCATGGATGGTGGCAAGAGGCAGATGGGCTCCTGGGCAAAAGGGGGTGGGGCCCAAGAGAGGCCCCTCCTTCAGGCCAGGGAGGGCCTGGAAGCTGTGGACCAGGCTGCCAGTCCCGCAGACTGGAGTGGGGACTTGTGGGGTCTTCTCTTGGCCGCCCATGGCCGCACATGGACCAATCATTGCACACTTCCTACCCTCTGAAGTCTATAAAAGCCTGGGGCTCAGCCAGAGCAGAGGATGGACAAACAAGGGACAATCAGCTGCAGAGAGCACTTACCCTCTCAGCAGAGAGCTGCAGACAGGACAACCTGCCTGCAGAGAAGAGCCACCTTATCTAGGGCCTCCTCCCTGCCAAGCAGATGGGAGGACCAGCTACAGAGAGGTGGTACTCTCTCTGCTGAGAACTGAACACTTGTAGAAATGATAGGCCTGCAGAGTGCAACTACCCTGTCTGCTAGGAGCTAAACACTTGTCAGGACACCCTGGCTACAGACAGGAGTTGCCCACTGAAGGTCTTCTCTGAGCTGTTCTATTGCTCAATAAAGCTCCTCTTCATCTTGCTCACCCTCCATTTGTCTCCTCATTTTTCCTGGGAGCAGCACAAGAACTCAGGACCCGCGGAATGGCGAGGCTAAAAGAGCTGCTGTAACACAGACAGGACAGAAATATGCCCCTTGCTTGCCGTGTTGTGAGTGAAGAGGAGTGAAGAGCTGTAGCCCTTTGGGGAGCCCAGACCTGGGAGTTCCCCAAGCCAGGGCTGTGATTACCTCTTTGGGACCCGGTAGTTTCTGGTATCGCCAACCTTCCGGGTGCCACCGCATTCCCTGGTGCTAGCCAGGGAAGATGCCTGCAGTGTGCCTGGTACCGCCACAGCCTCACAGAGAGCTGGCACCCATGCGAACACCTGGAACTGCTTGCCCCCTGGCAGCAGCCAGTGTGTCTGACTGTGCAATAGCCAGACCCCATGCTCTCTTACACACAGCCCTCGACACTCCATGCCTGACTCCAGTCTCCCTTGGTGGTATGGGATCCAGGCTGGTAGCATGAGCTGAACACAGCCTGCCAGATAGAGTGGGCAGAACAGGCCCAGTGGGCCCAAGAAAAACCTGGGCAAAGGCACCACTGGCCACAGGTTTTCAGGCAGCAAAGTGACACCTCAAAGAGACTGTAACAAGAGGAAAATGGAATGAAAAATAGGGAGAACTGGACCAAAAAAAAAAAAAAAGCCACTTTAAAATTCTACACCAAGCAAAAGTATCTTCCAAAATAAAGTTGATTGATTTCAGGAACCAAAACTGAAGCAAATTTATATAATCAGTTCTGCACTAAAAAGCAAATTAAAAGAGTATATCAGACAAGAGAAAAAAGGGCCAGATGGAAACAAGAAAATGCAGGAAGAAATAAAGTACGCAAAGAAAGAATGAGAAGGTTAATATATATAAATGAACACTGATTGTACTAAACAAAAAAAGTAATGCTCCGTGTAGGTTGAAATTCATTGATAACTAAAGTGCATGGCAACAACATGGAAAGAGAGAGAGAAAGCAAATGATATAAATGTAAATTCAAGTAGAAGTGAGTATATGGTAAAAATAGTAACTTGTTTTAAACAATTCAAGCCAAGAATCAATGCTGTCATCTCTAGATAACCAATTAAGGAAGAAGAAAATATAGCTAACAAAATCATAGAGAATGAGAACAAAATACTAAAAGTAACATGGGCCGGGCGCGGTGGCTCACACCTGTAATCCCAGCACTTGGGGAGGCTGAGGCCGGCGGATCACGAGGTCAGGAAATCGAGACCATCCTGGCCAACATGGTGAAACCCCATCTCTACTATAAATACAAAGAAATTAGCCAGGCGTGGTGGCAGGCGCCTGTTGTCCCAGCTACTGGGGAGGCTGAGGCACGAGAATGGCGTGAACCTGGGAGGCGGAGCTTGCAGTGAGCCGAGATCGCACCACTGCACTCCAGCCTGGGTGATGGAGTGAGACTCCGTCTCAAAAATAAAATAAAATAAAATAATAAATAAAAATAAATAAAACTAACATTATATTTATACAAAGTAGGAAAAAGGAGCAAAAGAGAATCATCCAAAAGTTTGGCAAAATAGAAAACAAAGAATTTTAAAAGTTAATAATGAGGAGGAAAAGAGTTAAAGTGCGGATCACGAGGTCAGGAGACTGACACCATCCTGGCTAACACAGTGGAAAACCCCGTCTCTACTAAAAATGCAAAAAGAAATTAGCCGGGCGTGGTGGCAGGCGCCTGCAGTCCCAGCTACTAGGTAGGCTGAGGCAGGAGAATGGCATGAACCCGGGAGGCAGAGCTTGCAGTGAGCCGAGATCGCGCCACTGCACTCCAGCCTGGGTGACAGAGCGCCACTGCACTCCAGCCTGGGTGACAGAGCGGGACTCTGTCTCAAAAAAAAAAAAAAAAAAAAAAAAAAGAGTTAAATAAGATCCTAGAAGAATGGAGAAAATGCTAAAATTAATAATTTTTATGGGTTAAGGATCAAAGTTATTAAGATAGTCACTAAAAGAAGAGTAAAGAATGTATAGCTAAAAGGTTACTAAATAATAGGAATGGAATGCTAAAAATAATGTTTCATCAGTATGAAAGAAGTGAAGGAACAAAAGTGGAACATAAATAGATTTGTCAAGTATAAAGCTAATAATAAAACTAAGTTCAGAAATAGGCATTTAATGTACATAATAAAGAGAACAATTCAACAGAAAGTAATACAACCTAGAATAATTTTCACTGAAAAACTTGACTTCAAAATTGTTTAAAAACTCCCAAAATGAGAAAAATAAATCTGAAATCATTGTGAGAGCTTTCACGTAACTAATAGCTCACCAGATCAACAGAAAATATATGAGTAAGGACATAGGAATTGAGTACCACAATTACAAAATAATTTAATTAATATATTTAATACATAATGGAAATGAATTCACATTTTTAAAGTACAAATGAGAAATTTACCACATAAAGAAAATAACTGCAAAGTTCAAAGAATCAGAAACATTTAATGTATCATTTTTATCACAATTAAATTAATGCAGAAATTAATAATTTAAAAAGACCATAACTTAACAAAGTATTCTTAAATAAGTCATAATTCAAATGTAAAATCGACAGATGAAATAAAAACTAAGAAATGTAGAGTCAAAGAAATAAACAATTGAGAAGAAAATGCAGTAAAATATGTAAATACATATCTACTAATGTATTAAACATAATGTAGTATACAGATGTAGATAGATATCTAAAAATAGGTATGATAGAGAAAAAGAGCAAAGTTAAAGTAGTTTCCTTAAAAAGAGTAGTAAAATTGACATTGTCCAAGGTAACCGTATTGTAGGGCTACAAAACAAGTCTCAATAAATTTAAAAGGACTGAAACAATACAAAACATCTTATCTGACCAGTGTAATGAAGCTTGAAATCAATAACATAAGGAATAATGGAGAACTCACAAATATTTGAAAATTACACAAGATGTTCTTAAACAACCAATGGGTCAAAGAAAAAAAATCACCAGGAAAATTAGAAAATAGAGATGAGTGAAGTGGTGACACAGCATGCCAAATTTCTGAGCTGCAGCAAAAACAGTAGAGTTCAGAGAGAAATTTATAGCAGTAAACAGGCATATTTTAAAAAGAAAGAAAAACATCAAATCAATAACCAACTTTACATACACCTAAAGGAAATAACATTTTAAAAAATACAAACTAAACCCAAAGCTAACAGAAGGAAGGAAATAATAAAGATTAGAACAAAGGTAAACAAAATAGGAAAAAGGAAAGCAGTAAGAGGATTAATGAACCTAAAAATTGGTTTCTTGAGAAGATTAGCAAAATTACAAGCTTTAGTTTGACTGTCCAAAAAATAAATAAATACAAAATACACAAATAACTAAAATCAGAAATAGAAGTGGGACAGTGACAGTCAGATTTTTTTAAAAAGATTATAAGAGAACACTATAAGAAATTATATGCATCATCAGGCCATGCGCTTTGGCTCACACCTGCAATCCCAGCACTTTGGGAGGCCGAGGATGGTGGATCACAAGGTCAGGAGATCAAGACTATCATGGCTAACAAGGTGAAACCCGTCTCTACTAAAAATACAAAAAATTAGCCGGGCATGGTGGCGGGTACCTGTAGTCCCAGCTACTGGGAGGCTGAGGCAGGAGAATGGCGTGAACCCGGGAGGCGGGGCTTGCAGTGAGCCGAGATTGTGCCACTGCACTCCAGCCCGGGCGACAGAGCGAGACTCCATCTCCAAAATAACTAACTAACTAACTAAATAAATAAACAGAAATTATATGCATCAAATTTAACAGCCAAAATGGCATGGTCAAATTTTTTAAAATATGTAAATTACCGAAACAGACTCAAGAAGAAAGAGAAGGTCCGAATTGATCTATAACAAGTAAACAGATTGAATCAGTAATGAAAAATATCAAACAAAGAAAAGACCAGGTGGCTTTACTTGTGAATTTTACCAAATACTTAAAGAATTAACAACAATCTTTCTCAAACTCTTTCAAAAACTACAAAAGGAGGGAACACTTCCTCACACAGTCTATAACACTTCCTCACACAATCTTTAAGACCCTGATACTAACCCAGAAAAGAATATATTAAAAAAAAATCAGAGATCAATATTTTATATGAATATAGATGCATAGTTCCTGAACAAAATACCAGTAAACTGACTCCAATAGCATATTCAAATGATTATAACCAATGACCAGGTAGAATCTGTCCTAGGAGTGCAAGGGTTCAACATATGAAAATCAATCATTGTAATGCACCATAATTATAGAACAGAGGGGAAAAAAAGCACACATCATCTCAATTAACTAAGAATAGTCATTTGACAAAATCCTTCATATTAAAAACAGTCACCCTCCCTCCGGCCCCTGCAGGAGAATACAGAACTGAGACCCCAAAGAGAATAATCTCAACATGATAAACTACATTTATAGAAGCCCACAGCTAGCATCACACTCAGTGGTGAAAGTCTACAAGCTTTCCCCCATGATCAGGAACAAGATGAAGATGCCCACTTTTACTAATGTTATTCAATATTTTTACTGGAAGATTTAGTGAGAACAACCGGGCAAAAAAAATAAACAAATATAATCAAAATTGGAAAGGAAGAAGTAAAACTATCTTTATTTACAGATAAGTGATCCTACACACAGAAAATTCCAAAGATTCCTCAGGAAGATTGCTAGAGCTAATAAAAAAATTCAGTAAGTTTCAGAGTACAAAATCAACATGGAAATATCAGCTGTGATTTTGTTCAACGGCCATGAAGAGTCTGCAAAGGATATTGAGAGTAATTACATTCATAGTAGCATCTAAAAGATTATACCTGGGAATAAATTTCACCAAGGAAGTGAAGTACGTGCACACTGAAAATTACAAAACATTACTGAAATAGATTTAAGAAGCCTAAGTAAATGGAAAGACATCCTGTGTTGATGAATAGGAAGACTTACTATTAAGACACAGAATACCTATTAAATTTCCTATGGCTTTTTTTGCAAAAATAGAAAAGCCATTGCTTAAATTAATATGAAACTTTGTAAAAGAACAAAGTTGAATACTTACTTCCCTGATTTCAAAATTTACTGCAAAGTGAAAGTAATCGTAACAGTGTGATACTGGTAAAAACAGAGACATGAGACCCATGGAACAGAATTGTAAACCCAGAAATAATCCCGTACATCTGTGACCAGCTGATTTTCGACAAGGATATCATGAACACTCAATGGGTAAAGCATAGTATTTTCAACAAATGGTGTTGGCACAACTGGATTCCACATGCAAATGAATGAAGTTGGACATCTACCTCATATCATATATAATAATTAACTAAAAATAAATAGATGACCTATATATAAGATAATAACATATGATGCTTAGGAGAAAATATAGGGGTAAATGAATCTTCGTGACCTTCGATTTAGAAGTGGATTTTTAGATATGATACCAAAAACAAAATAAATAAATATTAGATAAATAGAACTTCATAAAAACTTTTAAAAACCTTTTATGTAGCAAATAACCTTATTTTAAAAAGTGAAAAAAAACAGCAACAACCTACAGGATGGGAGAAAACATTTGCTAATCACATAGCTGATTCTATAGCTAATCATATAGCTGAGTTGAATACCAGAATGTGTAAATGACTCCCACAAGTCAATAACAAAAAGATAAACAACCTAATTTAAAAATGGGCAAAAGGCTTGAATAGACACTTCTCATAAGATATACAAATGATTTAATAGGACATAAAATATGCTCAATATCCCTAATTGTTAGAGAAAGTCACATTAAAACCATGAAATATCACTGCACTCTATGCAGACAGTTACATTATAATTAAAAAAAAAACAGAAAGGAACTAAAAGGAAAGGGAGAAAAAAATAAGTGTTCATAAGAATATGGAGAAATTGGAACTCATACATTGCTGGTGAGAATGTCAAATAGAGCTGCTCTGAAAAACAGTTTAGTAATTCTCCATAAATATAAAATTACCATGTGACCCAGCAATTCCCAGCAAGGGTACCCTCAAAAGAAATGAAAACAGGGACCAAAACAGATACTTGTCTGTAGCATTATTCACAAGAGCCAAATGGTGAAAAAAACTCATGTCCCTGAACAGATCAATGGATAAACAAAATGTAATAGATAAATACAATAGACTACTATTTGACTATAAAAAAGGAATGAAGTTCTGAAATATACTACAACATGAGTGAGTCTTAAAAACACGATGCTACATGAAATAAGCCTGACACAAATGAACAAATATTGTATGAGTCTGCTCATATGAAATATCTAGAGTAGGCAAATTATTAACTAAATATACTATAAGTTACCAGGGGAAAATGGAGGGGGCAAAAGAAGAGGTATTCCTTAATGGGTGCAGGGTTTCCATTAGGGGTAATGAAACGTTTTGGTAATAGATAGCAGTGATGGTTGCAGAACATTACAAATGTCATTAATATCGCTGGAACTAACACTTAAAATGTATGAAATGGTAGGTTTTATGTTATATATTTTATTTTTACCACAGTAAAGAAAAAGAAACTTTTAGAAATTAGCAATATAGCATATTAATAGAAAAATTGAGAAAAAATAAAATGAAATTATTGAAAGATACAGTGAAAGAAATCAACAGAGTTCAGCAAACATTCAAGCTAAGAATTCTAACAAGCAGAATTAAAACACATTTTCTTAATCACAAAAAATATATCAAGAGGAACAAAAAATTACAACAAATAATGCTAAGCAGGGACATTCTAAAAGCTTTATTTGTGATAACAGATGTCTAATATCATGTATATCATTTTACTGGATATCTCTTAGGGTATAGGAAAACAACCACACCACAATAATAAAATCTCAAGCACTGAAAAAAACAAAAACAGAAACAAAAACAAAAACCTTTTTATTTATATATGACATAATTTTCTCTGAAGAAAATTCAGAAAAGTTTGCAATCAACTATTAGAATTCATAGCATGAAAATAATTTTTTAATAAAAAGACGACTTGAAGTAGCAGATATAAAACTCAATCCTAAAGCAACAGTAATGAAGATAATATGATATTGGCCCAGCAACAGAGTCATACATTTACAGAAACCTGATTTATAAAATGTAATATGGGAGTGCTATGAGGGGCAAATTGTCCTTTTAACAAATTGCTAAGTTGATGGGATATCTGTACAGAAATAAATATATATGGATCTTGATTATTATATCATTTCATACTAAAAATAATCAATTACACACATTTTGGAGGCTCAAATGTGAAAGGTAAAGAGATAATGTTTCTGGAAGGAAACAGATAATTATCTCTGTGATCACGGAATATAAAAAGATTTCTTAAGAAGAGTTCCAAGGTATGCCAAATGTAAAGGAAAAGTGTCTAAATTGGGCCATATTAAAATTAGTAACTTGTGCTTATTGAAAAAAATCATTAGTTCATTTAGAAATCAGCCAATAGAGTAGATGAGAAAATGAAAAGGTCACACACACACTGTATAGTGAGCACCTGCAAAACAATAAGAACATTATGAAGAAGCAATAGAAAAAATGAAATATATAAAATTGTGAGAAGATATAAATATGAAAATATGGTCAATTTCATTAGTTATAAGGGAAATAAAGATTAAAACCTCCATATTATACATGTCCCACTGTTAACCAGCATATATAGTGTCTAGAATTCTCAAACTGATGATTAAGATTTTCTATATATATAATACAAAAGAAACAAAAAAGAATTGATAATCAAGAAATAAAAGTACAATAAAACCCCAGAATTAGACACCGAAACCTTGCACTAAGTACAAAAGAGATGTCAAAGCAGATACTATAAAGATGTTTGAGGATATAAAGATAAGCATAATCTTAAAGAATTAATAGGTCAAAAATCTCAGCATAGAAAACATAAGAAAGAACTAAACGAAAATTCAGAACAGAGTGGTACTAAAAATATTTCACAGGGTGTAGTTAACAGAAGATACTTGACAAGAGAAGAAAATGTCTAAAGATAGATTAATATAAATAATATAATCTGAAGAGCAGGGAAAAAGATTTATGAAAAATGAGCAGAGCGTCAGGAATGTGTGGAGCAATGTCACATAGAATAGAGCTCCTCAACAAAAAAAGGAGAAAATAAATGGAAAAAATCATGGGATAAAACTTTTTAATTTTGATGATAAGTATGAATTTAAAAGTTCAAGAATCTCAACAAATCTCAAGCAAAATATTATATATTATATATATATAAGAGAGATCAGAGCGGGAAGGAGGCAGAGAAGTAGAAAGACAGAAAGAGAAAGAGAAAGGAAGAAAAAAGAAAAGGAATAAAGGAAGGAAAGAATGAAAGAGGAAAGGAAGGAAGAAATAAAGACAGGAAGGAAAGAAGGAAGTAAGGAAGGAAGGAGAAAAATCTAATCAAGGAACATAATAGTAGAACTGCTAGAAACAAAGATAGAAAATGTTAACATCACTCACGGATGAAAGATACATTATACACAGAAGAACAAGTATGCATATTCCAAGAGATTTCTTAACAGAAGTTACAGAGGCATGGCAGAAAGTGGAATAACATTCTCCTGCATGAATCAATAATTTATTCATTTTTGTTTGTTTATTCATTTATCTAGTGATGAATATTTGGGTTGTGTCCAGTTTTTGACTAGAACATTTGTCTACAAAACATTGTAAGAACATATGGTTTTATTTCTCTTGGGTAAATAATTAGAAGTGGGATGATTGCTCATAGGGTAAGCATAAGATCATTTTGGAAATTGCCCATCTGTTTTACAAAGCGGTTATACTTTTCATGGGTGAGAATTTCAGTTGCTTCACATCCTTTCCAGGACTTGCTATTGTCAGTATTTAAAAATTACACATGTAAATAGTGTAATTTTACACTACATTGTGGGCTATTATATTTTAATTTGCATTTTTCTAATACATAACTATGTTAAGCATCTTTTCATGTACTTGCTAACCACCTATATATTTTCTTTTGTGAAATGTCTGTTCAAGTGTGTTGTTTGCTTTATTATTAAACTTTGAGTTTTAGGGTTTCTTCTAGTTTCATTTTGTTTTTTGTATATATACAGAATATGTCCTTTATCATATACTTGAATTGCAAATATGTTCTCCCCACGTGTCTTCTCTTTTATTCTTTTAGCAGTACCTTTCAAACAATAAGTTCTTAATTCTAATAAAGTCCAATTCACCAATTGTTGTCTACTATGGATTATTATTTTGGTGGAATATAAGGAAAATTTTTGCCTAACATAAAGGCACAAATATATTCTCCTAGGTTTTCTCCAAGTGGTTTTGTCTTTAGGTTTTGCCTTTAGGTCTATGAGTCATTTAGTTTTTGTAATTGATGGGAAGAATAAATCACTTTTTATGTTTATGAATATCCAATTACTCTAGTACTATTTGTTGAAAAGGCTACACTTTCTCCAACTACTTACCTTTGACCTCTGTTGAAAATCCAGTGACCATATATGTGTGTCTTTTCCTGGACTCTGTATTCTGTTTCATATCTACTTATGCTAATATCACGTAACATAATAAAAAACTAAGCAAAAATCAATAAAATAAAAATAAGGAAAAGAATTGAGCAAATTTAAAAAGAAGCAAGTTGGCTTGTGGAAATATGGATTAAATTAATAAACACCTAGCAAGAATAATGAAAACACAAAGATTTCCAAATCAAGACCCAAATAAGACATAGTACGAAAGATCCCACAGATACTAGAAAGATAATAAGGAAATAGAAGAACAATTATATAGCAATAAATTTGACAGTGTAGATAAAATTTACAAATGATTTTTAAAATAGGAAGTCTTATGTAGTAAAGACTATGAATGTGTAATCCACCATCTTCTTACAAAGAAGTCTAGATCTAGACACTTGCACTTTGAATGCCATTAAACATTTTAAGGAAAAATAACAACAATTTTATGCAAAATCTGTCAGAATATAGAAAAGGTTATGAGACCGCGCATTTCAGTGCTCTGGATGCAGGTGTGTAATTGACCGGGCTACTGCACTGTGAAATCAATCACTGCACTTGTGGAAAGGTTCTTTCCCATGGGCACTTCCAAACCAGCACCTGAACGTGGAAGGGTTGCTGAGGGAGACGCATTGCCAGGAGACTCCAGGATTCTCTGATGGAGGGCAAGTCCCCAATGTCCTCACTGAAACTCTTTAGAATGTCACCGTAGTCTAAGAAGCTTTCCCTCATTGTCCTTCCTTTTTCACTCTTCCCCACTCGAACTCAGACGTTCATTGCAGTCTGATGGCTCTCCCAACCTCTTCCAGGTTTTTCAGCATTTTCTCTCACAGGGATTTCACCTAATAAACTGCTTGTGTGTTTAATCCCTTCTTCTTCTTGCCTTAAAGAGGCTAAAACACTAGGACTAAAATGAGTGACACTAGGAGTGGTCTGAGGAAGCAGGGGTAGTTGTGTGCTGACAACCTGGGCTCATCTATAGCCTAGCAGACAAAGAGGACGGTGCCGTGTCTACTAAGTGGGAAAGAGATGGTCCCTGGAACAATTTGGTGGTTTCACTTAAAATCAACTGGGAAAACATCCTAGTGGAGAATATTGTGGCAAGTAAGATAATTTTTACTTGAAAAATTATTCAAGGAACATAGGCAGAAAGAGCAGAATTGGGTGGGCTTTGCCAGGTTGTATGTATGCCCTGAAGGAAAACTGGGAGACACTGAAGGCTGCTAAGAACAATGGCTGAGGGCTGGCGTGGTGGCTGACACCTGTAATCCCAGCACTTTGGGAGGCCAAGGCGGGAGGATCACGAGGTCAGGAGATAGAGACCATCCTGGCTAACTTGTTGAAACCCCATCTCTACTAAAAATACAAAAAATTAGCCAGGCATGGTGGCGGGCACCTGAAGTCCCAGCTACTCTGGAGGCTGAGGCAGGAGAATGGTGTGAACCCAGGAGGCAGAGCTTGCAGTGAGCCGAGATCGCACCACTGCACTCCAGCCTGGGCGACAGAGTGAGACTCTGTCTCAAAAAAAAAAAAAAAAAAACAATGAGTAAGTGTGGAAGCCACAGGGCATCAGTAGCAACTCACAAAGAGCCTCTGTTCCCTGCATATGACAGGCAGAGACAGCTGGGCAGCATGCGGCCACCTCACGGTTAGGGTCTCAGGGCTCAGGATATTTGAATGCCCAGCCATGACAGGAGTGTTATGAACATAGCAGGGCCTGGGGGGAAAACCTGATACCCTAAAACTTGGGACACTTGGATGGATGTACCCTGGGTGTTGACTCTGCAGTTCCCCTCTGGATCCCCAAGAAGTGCAGAGGCAATCCCACTCACCTAGTAGGAGCTGCACTACTACTGTGATGGCAGGGGCATGCAGACAAAAACAGCAATGGAGGCAATTTTTAGCCATTGACACTCACAGCTACTGCAAACACAGCCTCAACTCTAGCCAGAAAAACTTTCTCCAACTACTTACCTTTGACCTCTGTTGAAAATCCAGTGACCATATATGTGTTTCTTTTCCTGGACTCTGTATTCTGTTTCATAGCTACTTATGCTAATATCACAGTAAAATAATAAAAAACTAAATAAATAAAAAAAACCCACAAACAGCCTATTTACCCCAGTTTCTTTTATGTAGTACATCACTTCCAGGTATCAACAAAAATTCCACAGTGCTATAAAAGAAAAAACACAGTTTGAAGAGATGGTAAGCATCAGAACGAGGCTCAGATATGAAAGAGATGTTCATGTTATAAGACCAGATATTGAGAACAACTATGATTAATATGTTAAAGGCTTTAATGAATAACATAGACAGCATGCAAGAGCAGATGGGCAGTGAAGCAGAGACACAGAAACTCTAAGAAAGAATCAAAAGGCAGTGTGAGAGATCAAAAGCACTGCAACATAAATGAAGAATGCCTTCCATTCAAAAATGTGCAAAGAACCCTTACAACTCAACAATAAGAATACAAACAAGTGAACAAAAACATAAGCCAAAGACAATGACAGGCACCCCATCAGAGAACATATACAGATGGCAGATAAGCATATGAAGAGGCAGTTAACATCATATGCCACCAAGAAAATTCAAATTAAAATCAGAATGAAACTGGAAGCCATTGTCTTAAGTAGAATTCAGAAACAGAGAGTCAAATAGCATATGTTCTTACCTATAGCAGGGAGCTAAATAATATCTACACATGCACATATGGAGTGGAATAATGGACACGAGACTAGGAAGTGTGGGGGCAGGTGAGGGGTGAGGAATTACCTAATGGTTACAATGTACACTATTAGGGTGATGGTTACACCAAAAGCCCAGACTTCACCACTATGCCACATAACCATATAACAAAATGACACTTGTGCCCCCTAAATCTATAAAAATAAAAAAATTAAAGGAATGACATACCACTACACACCAATTAGAATAGCCCAAATCCAGAACACTGATGACACCAAATGCTGGCAAGAATGTGGAGCCACAGGAATGCTCATTCATTGCTAGTGGGAATGAAAACTGTTCAGTCTCTTTGGAAGACAGTTCAGCAGTTTCTTACACAACTAAACACAACCTTACAATAGGATCTAGCAATCATGCTCCTTGATATTTGACCAAAAGAACTGAAAAGTTATTTCTATGATAAAGGCAGGAGGCACAGAACTCTCCTATATATTTAGGGGAGGGTCCCTGGGGAACCTCTGACCCACCCAGGCCATTATGCACAGGGGTCTTGCCGAAACATGCCCACAGTGAAAAATCCCATCTCTTACTACATGCATAGTAAGGGAAATAAATCAATGTGGAGTGGCTCAGACTAAGGGCCCTCATGTGCACTGGAAGGGTGGGGTGGAGTCAACAGGAATTTGCTCCTTATACAAAGGAGGAGCCTGGCCTCTTCGGCTCGTGTGTGGAAATCCTGGTACTTCATTCTGAGGGGGAAACCTGCTTGGAAAACTCCTCTCTTTGCTGAGCGCTTTCCTTTAGCCTAATAAATTCCATCCTCCTCACCCTTCAATGTGTCTTTGTGCCTAATTTTTCCTGGTCATGAGACAAGAACCTGGATTTAGCTGAACTAAGGAGCAAAAATCTTGCATCATCCATGCAAAAACCTGCACTTGGATGTTTATAGCTGCTTTGTTCATAATCGCCAAAACCTGGAAGCAATCAAGATGTCCTTCAGTAGGTGAAAAGATAAATAAACTGCTACATCCAGACAAGTGGATATTATTTGGCACTAAGTGAAAATAATCTATCAAGCCATGAAAAGTCACAGAGAAACATTAAGTCCATGTTACTAGTGAAAAAAACAATCTAAAAAGCTGCATACTATAGGAATCCAGTTATATGACATTCTGGAAAAGCCAAAACTATGGAGATAGTAAAAGAATCAGTGATTGCCAGGGATTGGGGGTGAGGAAGGGATGAATAGGTGGAACACAGAGGATTTTTAGGGCAGTGATATTATTCTGTACAATACTCTGATGGTTGAGATATGTCATTATACATTGTCAAAAGTCAGAATAAGCAACACCAAGAGTAAACCCTAGCATAAACTACAGAGCTTTAGTTGATAATCTATCAACATTGCCTCATAAATTATAACTAATGTATACTATTTCATAATTTTAATAAAAAAGGAAACGGGGAAAATACAAGTTGAATTGAAATTGTCTGTATTTTCTACTCATTTTTTATGTAAACCTAAAACTGCTTTTAAAATAATTTTTAAAAAGCATGGAAAAGCCATCTTAGCTCACAGGTCATACAAAAGCAGGTGGTGGACCAGATTTGGTCCTGTTGTAGATCCTGGCAGACTTTGGCAAAGAGGCTTTGGGACCAGATGGAGTCTCCTTACTAGAGTACTTTAATAAGGTCAGGTACAGGGTCTGTGGCCATTAATTTAGCAAATGTTCTCCTTTCTGTTTCAATTAGAAAAGACGATTCAAAGTGATTTTTATCCATGAGAGACGAAAAACATTGTTCATTTAACTCAGGGCTAGATTTAGTCTTCTACTGGCATCATAATGTAGTGTGAAGTGTTTGGGCCCTCTGGTCTTCCCAAAGGCAGCTCTCAGATCCATTGTATTGACAGCATCCTGCTGATTGTATAGAAGGAGCAAGATCTGAATAGCACCCTGGAGGCCCTGGTAGAAAACATGTGCCCAGTGGGTAGAGATAAACTCTTCAAGGATTTGAGAACTGACTTCATCAATGAAGATTTAAGGGCCCTAGGGGTGAGGGGTATGCCAGGATAGCCCCTTCACAGTAAAGACAATATGTTGTATCTTGTACCCTTAACATAAAGAAAGAGCACTATGGCAGGGCTTTGTGGACTCTAGGGGCAGCACATTGTATCTCTAGAAATATTGCTCTGGCCGTAGAGGGCTGCCAGCCTTGTGTGGGACCTGGAGGAGGGAAGGGCACCATTGATGCCATCTGCTCCTTGGGCCATATGACCTAGCCAACACTGTGGGAAGACAGCAGAGTGGACTTTACTTACGCCCCAGTAGGGGAGTCACAGTGCAGGACCGGGGTCTAGGCATTACATCCGTCCAGCGTTACATGCTTCAGAAAATATCTTTGGGTGGGTTCCTGGACCCTGGTGGAAATGGGTCACATGACCATGTATTACAATGTATGCATGCATCTAGAACTGTCCATTTTGAGCTGGGTCCTGTCAAACCTGGTAAGTTGCCAGGCCCAGAAGCAGTCCATTTTAAGTGAAAGATGAAATATCCCAAATGTATGCAGGCAGAGTGCACGGACACACCGCATGAACCACAGACCTTCTACCACACTGTCCCTAGCCCGGCTAATATCTGTGGACATATAGGGTAGAGTTCTTACACAGTAGGCCAGAAGAGAAGGAAAGAACCCTGCACTTGGTTTGAAGATGTGTTGACTTGTGTGTAGGTGTAAACTGAAAATAGATAGGGATGCATTGTCGACACATGCAGAAGTGACCTTGAAAAATGAAAGGAGGACATCTTCCCATGGTCAGAACTGTGAGCAATGCACCTAGTCATACACTATTGTGGAAAGTGAAGTGGCGGAAGATAAGACTCCATGGAGATTTCTGGACAATAGCCAATTACTTGGCCATGTGATGAGGTGTTTGCAAAAAAAAAAAATTACTAGAGAACAAAGGAGTCTGGGATAAAGGAATGTGGAGGATATAAGATGGGAGGTAAGGCACAAAGGGGAAAAGTGCTCATATCCTTTCCATTATGTCTGCTAGAAAGCATCGGCCATGGAACAGGCACTGAACGACCAAATCGACACTATAACCCCGCCAGCTGATGTTAACCAGCCTTTGTCGTCCCTCTTGCCAGAGCTGGCACTATGGACACAAGAGCTGAGCACAAGGATGGAGCTGCATGTGGACCCAGCCCAGTGCTTCCCTGAATGTTAACCTTCCTGCAACAGAGACCAACATTGACTCTCTAGTGTGACACAGCTCTTGAGGACACCAGCTAGCCTCCTGATGGTAAGTTAGCTACACTGAGCTGGGGTCACATTCCTCCTCTAAAGGACATATAGACGCCAGCTCCACCAGCTTCTTCCCGTTTTCTCTTACATATATTTTCCACAATACGTTTCTCTCCTGTTGAGAACTGTCTTGATGTCTTTTCTTCTCAGGGGCCCTGAACTAACACAACAGGGGAGAAAAGAACCCATCCCAGAATGTTTTAATGAAGTCAGCAAAGCCCTGACTCCAAACCCTGGCAGATACATTACAAGAAATGAGAAGCACAGGACAATATTTTTACAAACATACAATCAAATATCATGAACAAAATCCTACCAAATTAAATCAGGCAATATAAAAATAGAGAAATCCATCGAAATTTAGTGAGGTTTATTCCAACAACACAAGGTTTGTTTAACATTGGAAATCAATAAAAAGAATATTCCACAGTAGCAGAGTAAAAAAGAAGAAACATATGATCAACCCAACAATGTAAAAAATCATTTGACTAAATTCAATAGTCATTCATGACAAAAAGTGCTCAGCACATTAAGAGAACTTCCTCAAGTTGATGAAGGGCAGATACTAAAATCTACAAGTCACGTAATATTTAATGTTGAAACACTGAGCTCTTTTACCCCAAGAGTGAAAATAAGGTGAGGATGCCCACTCTTGTCCCTGTCCAGCACTGTCAAGGAGGACAAAGAAGAAAAGGATAGAGCTTAGAAAACTTGAAGAAAAATTTCATTAATAGATGACATGATTGTCAATATAGAAAATCTTAAGGAATTGAGAGAAAGAAAAACACCACAGAATAATAAAGCAATTTAGCAAGTTAAGAGCTTACATTGTGAAAATAACAAATTCAATTATATTTATATGCCAGCAACAACAAATAAGAAAATTAAATTTTAAAAGATACCATTTGCAGGCTGGACACGGTGGCTCATGCCTGTAATCCCAGCACTTTGGGAGGCCGAGGCGGGCGGATCACGAGGTCAGGAGATAGAGACCATCCTGGCTAACACGGTGAAACCCCGTCTCTACTAAACAAAATACAAACAAATTAGCCAGACATGGTGGTGGGCACCTGTAGTCCCAGCTACTCGGGGGGTTGAGGCAGGAGAATGGCATGAACCCAGAAAGCGGCGCTTGCAGTGAGCTGAAATCATGCCACTGCACTCCAGCCTGGGAGACAGAGCGAGACTCTGTCTCAAAAAAAAAAAAAAAAAAAAAAAAGATAACATTTACAATAGCATGAAAAAGCCTAGCCTAGTAGACATTAATTTTGTAAAATTTTGTATATCTCTACACTGGAAACATGAATAAAAATATTTAAATTTAAAAAGGACCTATATCTTGTTCACAGATTAGAAGACTCAATATTGCTGAACTGTCTAATGTACCAAAGTTTATTTGAAAATATTATTGATTTAAAGTTTATTTATTATGTATTTAAATATTATTTATTTAAAAATCTATCAAAATCAATATGCTGGAATGGGTTCTTTTCTCCCCTGTTTTGTTAGTTCAGGGCCTCTGAGAAGTAAAGGCATCAAGACAGTTCTCAACAGGAGAGAAATATATTATGGAAAATACATGTAAGAAAAAAATGGGAGGAAGGTGGTGGAGCTGGCGTCTATATGCCCTTTTGAGGAGGAATGTGACCCCAGCTCAATGTAGCTAACTTACCATCAGGATTTATTTAATCAATATCCTTACATGCTTTTTATATTTTTAATTTTTTGGTAGAAGTTCACAGTGTTATTCTTCATGAAAGAACCTGAAATTAATCCCTAGAACATAATATTGAAAAACAAGAATTAAGTTGGAGGACTTAAACTCACTGATTTCAAGAACTTTCCAAAGCTACAATAATGAAGAGACTCAAATAGTGATATAAAGATAGATGCATTTTTCAACTGAGGAGAATATACAGTCCAGAAATAGATCTGAACATTTACTATTGATTTTTCTCAAAAGAGCCAAGATAATTCAATACAGAGAAGTGATATTATTCTGTATAATACTCTTTTCTTAGAAAATGTGTTAACAATTTCTTATAAAATTAAACATTCAGTTGCCATCTGACCTGTTATATCCACTCTGAGGTGTTTAATGAAGATAAATGGAAACGTATGTCTAAAAAGAGACTTACGCAAGAAAATTTGGAGTAACTCCAATGGGCATATGTGGATACCCAGGTGAATAAACACACAGTGGCATAGCCCTGCCATGAAATGCTGCTCAGCAATGAGAAGTAACAAAATACTGATACGAACAACATGAATGGTGCTCTAAAACTTTATGTTGTGGAAAAGAAGCCAGACACAACAGAGGATGTACAAAATTGTATATTTGTGTTGTGTCTCTGGCAGGCAAACTAATAAATTATGGTTGAGAACAGAGCAGTAGTTTCCAGGGCTAGGCATAAGTGTGATTACTGAAAGAGTCAGGAGGAAAGCTTCTGGGATCACAGAAATGTTTGTCATCTTAATGGAAGTTGTGTTTATAGGATCAATATATTTTTCATAATCAATGAAAATGTACACAAAGTGCTTTAATTATAATTGTATGAAAATTTAACATCAGTCAAGTTGAGCATTTGAAAAATAACTGAACATATGTACACAATATTTCCCAGCAATTTATTCATGGGTAATTACATATTCTAAAATATTCTTATTATTTTTATTCAGAATACCTCCAAACTGGAAACTACTCAAATGCGCATTAACAGTGGCATGCAATCTATTGTATATCATGGTGACTATAAGTAGTAAAAGAGTATTATATACTTGAAAATTGCTAAAAGAGTAGATTTTAAGTGTTCTGACCACACACGCACACACACACACACACACACACACACATACACAAGTATGTAATGCTGAAATGAACATGCGAATGCAGAAATCTCTTTGACATACTGTTGAAATACTGATTTCAATTCCTCTGGATATACCCAATTTTGTATAATTTTATAACAATTTTTTACACATTCATACCCAGAAGTGGGACTGCTAGATCACATGGTGGTTCTATTTTTTGTTTTTTAAGGAACTCCCATACTATTTTCAAAAATGGCTGTACTCATTTACATTCCTACCAATAGTGCACAAGAGTTCCATTTTCACTACATCCTCACCAACACTTGCTATCATTCTTCTTTTTGATAATAGCCATTCTTACAGGTGTGAGGTGATATCTCATTGTGGTTTTAATTTGCATTTTCCTGATGATTAGTGATATTGATTAGTGATGATTAGTGATTTTTTCATACAACTGTTGGCCATTTTCGTGTTTCTTTTGAGAAGTGTCTGTTTAGATTCTTGACATTTTTTGCTGAGTTTTTTGTTTTCTTGACTGACTTGTTTGAGCTCCTTATATCTTTGCATTATTAGCTCCTTATCTGATGCATGGTTTCCAGATGTTTTTTCCCAATTCATGAGTTGTTTATTCACTCTGTTAATTGTTTCCTGTGCTGTGCAGAACCTTTTCAATTTGGCATAATCCCACTTCTCTGTATTTGCTTTTGTTGCCTGTGCTTTTGGAGTCCTATCCAAGAAATCATTGCCCAGACCAATGTCATTTAACTTTTCCCCCATGCTGCATTTCCATATTCATCGCAGCACTATTCACAACAGCCAAGATATGGAAGCACCTAAATATCCATTGATAAACAAAATGTGAGATATACCTATATATGCAATGGAGTACCATACAGCCTTTAATAAGTAGGAAATTTTGTTCTTTTTGACAACATGGATGGAACTGGAGGATTTTATGCTAAGTGAAGATAAGCTAGGCACAGAAAGACAAATACTGTATGAACTCACTTATATGCAGCTCACATAAAAGTTGATTTCATAGAAACAGAGAATAGAAAAGGGGTTATCAGAGGCTAGGAAGGGGGTAGGGATGAGGAAAGGATAGAGACTGATCAAAGAGAACAAAGTTTCAGTTAGACTAGAGGAAGAAGTAATTTACTGCACTGCATGGTGACCACAGCTAATAATAACACATTGTATATTTCAAAACTGCTAAAAGAATAGATTTTTTAATGTTCTCACCACAAAAAAAATAAGTTTATGAGGTGACAGATATATTAGCTTGATTCTTTCTACAAAGTATATGTAAATAAAACATCACATTATACCCCATAAATATACGCAACTATTATTTGTCAATTAAAAATAAATTTTAAAAGTATGGCAGAAAATGCTTGTTAAGTAATTTTATTTAGCCATTTCACAGTATATACATATACTAAATCATCATGTTGTACACTAAAAATATATACAATTTTTGTCAATTTAAAAATAAAAAATACATAAAACAGTAGAAAGCATTAATAAATTGTGATATATCCAACCAATGGCACAATGAGTATGACCGAACTACTGCTACTTGCAGTAGCATTGATGATTATCACAAGCATCATGTTGACTAGACAATTTACACACTAACTTGTATATACTGTATTATTTCCATTTATGAAGTATAAAAATTATTAAATTAATAAAATTCAGAATAGTGGCTACATTTGGAGTAGTGGCTGGCAGAAAAAGTGAAGGGGCCTCCAGGATACAGATAATGTTCCAATATTTCAGTACAAATTTCACCTTTCCCCAGCCCCTTCTCAAATTACATTTTCAATACTGCCTTCTTTGCCACACTAGTCACTGTGTCCTCCCTGTTTGCACTTTCTTTTTTATTTCATGAAAACTATAAAACTGGTGCTAAAAAGTCGTGTAAGCAGTGATGCTGCTTTGAGGATATGTTTCAATATTTTGCATTTCGTTTCATCTGTTCAATAAAATTAAAATGTCTGTGGCTAGAAATCAAGTTTCTTATTATTTTATTCCCAGAGTACTCAACATAGTATGAAGTACTCAGCAATGATGCAGAATGGAAGAATTAACACTGGGTTACCCCTTTCTCTGTTGTCAGCAGGGCCCAGTGGTGTGTGGAGCCCCCACCTCCCTAGGACATGAGTCGGGCAAAATGTGGGGTGAGAGGTAGGGCTCTTCATGGCCTGCTTCCCCCTCCCTACTCTCTTGGTATCAAAGGGGCCTGGAGGGAGCTTAAGTTATGCCTTCACAATGTAGCCACAGGGGTGTGACAGCCCTCTGTTTTCTTCTCCCCAGAGGCAGACAGAAAGAACACAGAGAGAGCTTAATACAGAGAGATCTTACACCCTCACTTAGAAACCGCAAGACAGTGAGAGCAGGAGCCCCACTTTAAGCTGCTCTCACTCCAGCTGTTTGCAATGAAGCCATGTGAGTCAGTACCCACATTTTCTGTGATGATGTCAGTGTTGATAGTGAGACACAGAAATTCTAGGCAGACAGGGGTGGGTCCTGGTGAAACCCCACCCTCAAGCCCAAAAGCCTGAAACCCATGGCCCAAAGTGAGAACTTCCATCCCTGTTTGCCTGCTGTCTCCTGATTGGGTCTTTCTAAATAATGTCTTTTAACCAATCAAAAATTGCCTTTT
Organism: Homo sapiens; assembly: GCF_000001405.40. Lineage (NCBI taxonomy): Eukaryota > Metazoa > Chordata > Mammalia > Primates > Hominidae > Homo > Homo sapiens. Next base: position 49,604,678 of record NC_000008.11, read on the forward strand.
CCAAAACTACCTATGGCCCCCCACCACCTCCCAATCCTGTGCCTATAAAGACCCCAGACTCAGTCAATAGAGGGGAAAAAGTCGCTTGACTAGAGAAAGGCCAATTAACTTCAGAGGACAGTTGGATTTCAGAAGAGAGGTGGCTTAAATTCAGAAAGATGGCTTCACTTCAGGGAAGAGCCATCCAGAGATGGCCAGACTTCAGGAGAAGATTACCTGTCTGTCCCACTCCCTTTCCAGCTCTCTTCTCCACTGAGAGCCATTTCCATCACTTAACAAATTTCTTCGCTTTCACCATCCTTCAAGTTTCCAAACAACCTCATTCTTGGATGCCAGACAAGAGTTCGGGACCCACTGAATGTCAGTACCCAAAGAAAGTTGTCATGCTGGCCCTTTGCCCTTCCTGGTGGAGGGGGCAGCCACCCCACAAGATAAGGTGAGGGTCCCCCGATCTGATAACATACAGCTGTCCATGGATGGCGGAGCTAAGAAAGCATTGTAATATTCCTTCTGGTGCTTCAGGGTTTGCAGGCACCCCAACCTGGGCACTGCCATGGAGCTTGCTCATTTGCTCACTCCCACAAGGGGTTGAGTGTGGCAGCCTGAGTAAATGGGGCACCTCCATCACAAGTCCAATGAAGGGGGAGAAAAATCCTGCATCAGTGTGATCCAGTTTGAAGATAAAAACATGCAGATCCATCTAGACCTTGTGCTAAAAAGGAAAATTAAATAGGACTCACAGTCTTCTAACATGGAATTTAAAATGTCCAGAATACAATTTAAAAATCACTTATGATACCCAGAACATGGACAATAACAATAAGAGTGACAAAAGTCAATCACCAGATAACAACACAGAGATAAGCTGGATACCGAAATTAGTTGACAAAGATGTTAAAACAGCTAAAAGTACAAATACAATTCAATGAGGAAAGAACAGACTTTCTAGCGAGTGGTTCTGGAACAACTGGATAGCTACAAAAAAAGAATAAACTTCACCTCTTATACAGAGAAGAACTCAAAATGAATCATAGGTCATCAATGTCAGAGCTAAACCTATAAAACACACAGAAAAAAGATCATGAATAAATTTTTACAACTTTATTAAACATGATACCCAAAGTACAGTGAAAAAAGTGAAAAAACAGATAAATTAGACTTTATTAAATGAAAAACGTGTGTTTCAAAAGACACCATCAAAAAGTGAAAAGACAGCTCACAAAAATGGGACAAAAACTTGTACAGTGTTCATAGATAAGGAACTTGTATTCAGAATATCCTGAATAAATAAGGAATTCTTACAACTAGACCGTAAGATAAATAACACAAATAAAAGTGGGTAAATGACTTGACTGTCCATTTCTCAAAAGAAGATATACAAATTGTCACTAAGTACATGAAAAAATGCTCAATATCACTATTAGGAACATGTAAATCAAAACCATCATGATATACAGCTTTATACTAAGTAGAGTGGCTAAAACCTATAGTAGAAAGACAATAACAGGTGTTGTTGAGTATGATGAGAAATTGGAATGCTCATACTTTGCAGTGTAACTTTTTTTAGGCTACAAGCTACCAACAAGGCAGGGAACAGACTTTAAAGAACCGGTCCAGTAAAATTAATAGCCAAATAAACAACAACTATGGCAACAGAAAAAAGAAACAGCAACACAGCCCAGAAAAGAGAGGAGATCTGATTACCAGTGCTGACACATTATATTATTTAAAACGTCCAGATTTTAATAAAAAGTATTGTTTGATTCCATTTTTATGGAATGTCCAGAATAGGAAAAAAAACTAAATGAGTAGTGGACTGGGGCTGGAGCTGGTGGGTGAGTGGGGTGGGGAGGATAAGGAGAATTACACATAAATTTTAGGGTGATAAAAATGTTCTAAGATTAGGTTGCAGTGGTAGTTGAATAGCTCTGTTACCATATTGAAATGATTTAGTTCTATTTTAAAATAGGTAAGCTTTATGATATTAAAAGTATACTTCAATAAAGCTGTAGAACACACAAATGAAAATTATAGAACTCAAAATAATGAAATAAAAACTAAAACTAGTTGTTTTATAGCTACAAAAAAATTTCACTGCATGATCTCAAGAGCAGAGTGGAGATTACAGAAATAGAATTAGTAAATGGGTGGACAAATAAATGTATTTAATCTGATTAAGAGAGACAAAATAGGTTATTTTTTAAATGATAACAGAGTCTCAGAGACCTTTCAGATAATAGCACTACAGCTAACTTTAGTATTTTTGGCATCACAGAAGGAGAGGAGAAAGAGAATGCTACTTTAAAAAAAAAAAAAAATGAAGAGCCAGGAACAGTGGCTCACGCCTGTAATCCCAGCACTTTGGGAGGCCGAGGTGGGCAGATCACGAGGTCAGGAGATCGAGACAATCCTGGCTAACACGGTGAAATCCCGTCTCTACTAAAAATACAAAAAATTAGCCGGGTGCGGTGGTGGGCGCTTGTAGTCCCAGCTACTTGGGAGGCTGAGGCAGGAGAATGGTGTGAACCCAGGAGGTGGAGCTTGCAGTGTGCAGAGATTGCATCACCGCACTCCAGCCTGGGCAACAGAGCGAGACTCCATCTCAAAAGAAAAAAAAAAAAGGATTCAGAGTATATTCTCTGAATGCAATGAAATCAAACTAAAAATCAAAGAAGAAAGACAACAGGAAAATCTCCATACAATTGGCGATCAAGCAACAGACTTCTAAACAGCCCATGGGTCAAAAAGAAAGTCTCAAAGTAAATTTTTAAAATGCAAATAATCAGTTGAAAACGAAAATGTAAGATATCAAAACATGTGTGATGTATAATTTAAGCTCCTATCTGCTTCAAGAAACCAGAAAAACAAGAACAAAATGAATCCAAAACATTTTACACTAATAATAAACCTGTGAAAATGAAAATTAAATATATAATGTCATTTATAATTCCTCCAAAGAAAAGTAAGTACATAGGTGTAAACAATACAGCATGTACAGGAACTATATGTTATACATATATACAACTGTATGTTGAAAATCACAACATGCTGATGAAAGAAATTTGTTTAAAGTCTTCAGTAAATAGAGACATTCCATGTTCATGGATTAGAAGACTCAGCTTAGTAAAGCTATCAATTTCCCCCAGGCTGATAGACAGGTTTAATATCAGCAATGTTGGTACACTATCAATATGCCAGTAAGATTTTTTTAAAGATAAGCATATTTATCCAAAAATATATATGGAAATACCAAGGGATAGCTCTGGAATAACTAAAACAATATTGGAAAAGAAGAATACAGTGTAAAGAATCACTGTACTCAATACTAAGTCCTACATTTAGCTAAAATAATCAAAATAGTATGGTATTGCAAAGGGATAGTCATATATATATATTGACATATATGTATATATAGACGTATATATAATATATATACATATATACATTCAGATCAATGAAACAGAATCCAGAACTTAGAAACAGCCCCACACAAAGACTACCAACAGAATTTTGACAGTGGTACAAAAACCATCAACGGAGACATGACAGTCTTTTCATCAAATGATGTTAGAGCAATTGGACATCCACAGGCAAAAATATAAACCACAACGCTTACATTCACACCTCAACCAAATTAAAACAAATCACAGTTTCGATGTAAAATATAAAAATCCATAACATTTAGGAAAAACACAGAAGTTCTTCAGAAATCTAGGTCTATTCAGAATTCTTAAACTTGACATCAAAGGAATAATCTATAAAGGAAAAAGATGATAAATTAGACTTTAATAAAAGTTAAACACTTTTGTTTTCCAAAAGTGCCTGTTAGGATGCTGGATGTTAAACTACAAAGTTAGATTTGTTTCTCATTGTTAATATTCTTTTTTAATTTTGCTTTTTTCAAAAATTTATAGAATAGTAAATTTTCCAAACATTTTTGTTTTTACTTGCTCTATTTCCCATATCTTGTAAACTCCATCTAGATTTGCTTCTCTTCTTGTTTGATTGCTGCTTGCAAAAGAATTTTTGGAATGTAAAACTTTTACAGTTTTCCATGCCTTAGGATATATTTGTTTTGCCTTTCTATTTAAAGTTTATGTTAGCTCAGCATAAAAATATAGATTTGGAGTTGTTTTCCTTCAATTGAAAATACAGCTTTATTCTCAGTTATTATTTTGTCAGATATTTCCTCCTATTTTTGTGTCTTTATGAGACTAGTACTAAAAAAGATGTTGACATTCTGTTTCTGCCTTCATAGTTCTTTCCCTTTCTTATTTTGTTCCTCCTTGATATCTTTTAATTAATGTTTCTACCTGACTTCTCAGCTTTTTTTATACATTCCTCCATTTTGTCCATTCTGCTTCATACAAAAGAGGTTATTCCATATATTATCTTTCTCTTGATACTAGCTACACTCATGAGATGACTCATTACTTCTCTCTGATGGGGCATGATTCTTGGGGGCACTATCACCTGAGCTGATGTGACAGCCTGAGTCCTAGTGATCTACCTGATGGATTTGGGGCATAGAGAATGAGGAGGAACACATCCAAGGGCAGTATGTGGCATTAAAATCAGCAGCTTCATATTATCATTTCTGTATGGAAGACAATGAGGTTGGCAAAAAAGAGCAGGGGACATTACAAGATAAAATTTTTTTACCACTTACAAGGATTCAGACTTTGTACTGTTGAAATGCAAGAGGACTTTCTTATCTGTAAATATCAGCACTTAGTCTTGCTCGACTGTGTCTATAACATTTTATCATTAGAATAATGAAATTCTTATTCTGTACACACGTACTTTATATGACCCTTCATATCTGAGTTATTTACCACACAAAATAAGTCAGAAAAAAATAGAACTGCCAAATCTAATTTTCTGTGAATATGATGTGGGAGATAAATTAGAAGATAGAAAATGTATGCTTTATAATATTTCCAAGTTCATTTTTCTTTCTTATGTTTCTAGCTAGTTTGTTAAATCATCCACGGAAGAGGCAACCCTGACCAGTCTGAAGGCCGGATCATGGCCCAAAACCCCAGGAGCAATTTTTCTCCCTGCACAGTATAAACAGACATGAAAACATTTCAAATAGAAAATGTAATTGTTCTTGTGATTTTTGTTATAATACTGTTATAAAAAGGTATACTATCATGGTTACATTAAATATACCTTTTTCTGTTTTGTTATCTTAACTGACTTCTCTTTTCAGGTTTTCTGAACATGAGATACTTAGGTTTCAGGACTAGCTTCTCTCTTTATTTCTCTTTGTATATCTACCAGGCCTGGGAGATTTTGTCAATTTAGGGATGTGTGAAGGACACTCTACGGTAATATAAAAGAGGCATGCATGAGCAGAGAGGCATGCCACATATAATATTAAAACAAACAAGCAAACAAAAAAACAAGAGACAGGGAAGCAACATAACCAAGTGTACAATAGCAGAGATTTACAGTTCTATTCTGAAATTTATTTATTTAACCAAAATCTGCTGAATATTAAAAATCTACTAGTCTTTCCCTCATGGAGTTAATTTTTTTTTAATCATTTCGACATGAAAGTCCACTAAATGTGAAGTTCTGTGTGTGTGTGTGTGTGTGTGCGCGTGTGTGTCTTTTGTCAGCTAAGAGTTAATAATGCAAAAAAGAACAACGGAAATGCATTGCTATTGTAGAATCCAAGGGAGTTAATCTAAATAGCTTAGCACAATGTTTTTAAACAATGTTTTACAGTGGATTGCAACAAAAAAGTTGCAATTTTTTAATTAAAAAAACAACAAAAGAAAAATAGTAAATTTCACAATGTTATAATAAGTTAAAATCAAGTTTTACTGTTATATGTATGTTTGTTTACACTGAGAGGCAATAAGTACATCTGCAAGTAAGTATACTGCAGTTATAGCAAACTAGCACCAAAGTCACTGAATGGCAAACTATGGTACACGTTATGCTGCATTTGGATTTCAAGTGTAAAATCTTGTAAGGAGGATTATTTCCTCTTGCTATTATTGTTATAATTCTGATTATTGTATCTGTCGCAATATATCATCTTTCATATGGAGTAAGCAAACAATCTTACAGAGCCTTTACAACTAATGCAAATCTATTAATCACAGTCACATATCATCAGTAATTCCAAAAATGTTAACAAACTAAACCAACAATATTAATTTATAGGGATATTCCTAAATGTGAGATAGAACAATTTAAAAGATACCTAAAATAATTAAGTGAAATATTAGTACATGCTACTGGAAAGCACATGGATATCACAATGTGCTGATAAGAAAATTTTGATACAAATGACCCATATGTTCTTTTATAGTACTTTTGTACTATACTTTTGGCTTTGTAACCTCTACAAAACTGTTCAAATGCTGATAATTTCAAATATTTAATAATATTGAGCATTTACTGTATGTCAGACAATAATCAGTATTTATATGGATTATTTTACTTAATACTTACACACCTTATGAAATTGGTATTATTTGTGTGCTAATTCAGATGAAGTGGCTGATATGGCATACATTGAGACATAGAGAAAAAATATATATACTATATGATCTAAAGCCGTACACTACAAGATGGTCTCTTATAATAATCTCGAATACCTTTTATAGATTTAAAGATACACAAATCTACAGATATAAATTTTTCCTCAAAAGGACCAAATAATAAATAATTTATGCCTTTTGGACAGTGTCAGTTTCTGTTGAAAAAAATTCGTTTTCTGCTTTTTAAATAATTTTTTAAACTGTAAAAATTATTTTTGACTCATGGGTCATATAAAAATAAAGGTCATGGGCTGGATTTAGTATAAATGCAATAGTTTACTGGCCCCTAAGACCGAAGTCAGTAAACCCCTACTGTGTAGAGAAATATCATACTGCATAGAAAAAAATTCCGCATTTATCATCATTGTAAAATTACTTCTAAAATGGGAACAAGTAAAGAGTCAGAATGACTTAGCACAATCTTAACATTCTCGCTTCTGATCAAGGTGCAGTTACAGGGATTAGCTGTACCTGGCCACCTGAAACAAATGAAAAGCCATATAAGAGATATAAAATACTAGTTTTTCAATATATTGAACATAAAGCAAGGAAAGTTAGTTACCCCTGAGATATGGGAATCTACGTGTTTGTGTTGAGCACTATGACTGCAGCTACTGCCTAGAGAAAGTTTCTAGCCTGGGATGCAGGGGTTATAATAGTACTGTGTGAGCCACTGCTACTCTTCCTTCTAAGATGCGTGAAGGGGAAACCCTGGTGAAAGTGAGAGTCTCTTGCTAGACTTATAGGCCCAGGCATGTAAGTCTAGCTCTCTCCATCAAGGAGAGAGCTAGAAAGAGAGCTAGCCCTGGAGATCTGCGGAGTCATCCCCACCCCCCCGCCCACCCCACTCCCTCTGGCTAAGTCTTCAGTTGAGGAATGATCAATGAATGCATATGAGGAAACTACCTGAAGTCAGAGAAAGAACACCCCAAGAGGATTAGAAGGAGCAATAGCAGGGGCTCACAGGACTATCATAACTCCTGTTCCTAGCAGCCGGAGTGGAAAACCTTATCATTTATGATGCATCAGGTAAAGCTGACCTCAGCAAACTTTTTCTCTAAAGAGCCAGAGACTAAATATATTAGGCTTTGAGGACGACGTGCAGTATTTTATTTTATACAAGTCTTTAAAAATGTAAAAATCATTTTAGATCAAAGGCTATAGAAACAAACATAAGCCAAATCATCAAGAACATTTGTAGAAATACAGAAATACCCAGCACCCCCCAAAATTAAATCAACAATATCTGGGAAGCAAGCAAAAATGACTAAGCATATATCATCCAAAAGACCACCAGGAGGGCTACATAGTAGAAAGGAAAGCTTTATTGGAAATGTTAGTTTTCAAACCAGGTAGAGACAGTATCTTGCATGGATTGAAAGTGCTATCTCTTCACAGAGGGAAATGACAGGTTGACTGTTATGCCTCATAAAGTTCATATTATACAATCGAGTCATACATATTTTTCAGATAAGGAGAAAAACTATATATTTATGAGAGGAACTGAGTGCATGTGCAATGAGTAAACATATATGTAATATATATTTCGTGCTCACTTTAGGGCAGGGTTTCAGCATTAAAATGAGGTGGAATTTGACTCTTTATATCAAAAGATGAACCATAGGACACAAAGTTTGTGCATGGTCTCTACAAGCTACTGAAACTGATGTAAGCTTTGAGTTGCTTATGAGAAAAGAATATTTGTAAGGACGGTCCTCCACCAAATAAGAGCTATGGTGGTCTGGGTTGTAAATCAGATAGGAGGAGTCTGATACTTCCTGTTCTTAGGGATTTCAGCAAGAGTGTGGGGTTTTTTTGTTTGTTTTTGTGTTTTTTTCTTGTAGCTGTAGGATTTTAAAAATTTGCCATAACAGCCAGGCCCTGAATCCTTGATCCACAGGTAACTTTTTTTAAAAATTTATTTTAACCATAATGTCTGTCTTAGGTGATAACAGTGAATTTCAGATCAGACATGCAAAAAAAGGTGAAAAACACAACCAATAATTGGGAGAAAAATCAGTCAATAGAAAATGATCAAAAAGTGGTACGTATGATTGAAATAGTTGACAAAGTCTTTAACAGAGCTATTTTAATTTTATTATAGACATTCACAGGATTGGAGGAAAGATCGTCATGTTATCTAAGGAGAGAAAATATATAAAAGACTCGAATATAGTTCAAGAGATAAAAACAAACAATTATGAAGTAAGAAAATACACAAGGTAGATAGAATAATCAGTAGATTAGTTATAGAAACGCATAGTAACTTTGAGGATATAGTAATAGAATATAGTATTAGAAAGTATTCAAAATGAGAGAACAATTCTGAAAAAAAATAAACAGAGCATCAGCATGTTGTGAGACAAGACCAAGCAGACTACTGTTTGTGCAAATTAATGTTCCAAAGAAGATAAGAAAGAAGGAGGGGTGGAAAAGCTGTTTGAAAATATAATGGTCAATATTTTGCAAGTTTGATGAAGGCTATAAGCCCACAAATCCAAGAAATTCAACACAACCTAAGCACAAGAAAAGTGGCAGGGCGGGGCGGGGAGCTACAACAAAGCAAATTATAATCTCACTTCTTAAGAACAGCAATAAATCAAAGTTTTTAAATAGCCTGGAGAAAGATATCATGTGCACAAACAAACATAAGAATGACAGCAGACCTATCATCAAAAAGGATTTAAGCCAGAATGCACTGGAATAGCTAGCTTTAAAATAATGACAGGAAAAAAAGAAAAAGTCAACTTGGAATTCAATTGCCAATAAAATATCTTTGAAAACTGAATGTGAAATGAAGACTTATTCAGACATGTAGAACCTGAAAGAATTCATCATAGACCTGACTTACAATAAATATTAAATAAAGCCCTACAGGCAGAAGATAAATGGTAACCTACAGAAATCTGGTTCTACTCGAAGGAATAATGAGGAATAGAAATGGTAATTACTTGGGTAAAAGTAAATGTTTAAATCTGTTTTAGAGATAATTGAGCATTCAAAGCAAAATACAATAACATCATTGTGGAGTTTATGGTACAAGTAGAAGTGAAATCTATGGTAATATGCAAAGGTCAAATAGGAGAAGGTGAACTATGGTTTGATAAGCTAGATTGTATGTAAAGCAACATAAAACTACTTGAGCGAAGAGGGCAATAATAAGTTAAATCTGTAAAATGTAAACTCTAAACATCTATTAAATAAAAGTTGTAGTAAATAAGCCAAAAAAAGGAAGATATAAAAGGGACATATAAAACATACTTAATTCAAAACAAAAGGCAGAAAATAAACACACCAAACAATAACAACAACAACAACAAAACCCAGAACAGATTAAAAAAATAGAAAACAAGGAGAAAAGAAAGGAATTTAAACTCTAAGGGTTAATAATAACATTAAATGTAACTTATGTAAATATCCCAATTAAATAACAGAAATTATCAGATCAGATAAAGAAGCAAAACCCAACAAATTGCTTTCTACATTAAACTCATTTTAAATATTAAGAAAAATATAGGTTAAATCAAAGGTTGGAAAATATACACTGCTAACATGAAGCAAAATAAAGATGAATGACCCATATTAATATTAAATAAAGTTGATTTCAGGGCAAAAAATATTACTAGGAATATTGGTGGTCACTTCATAATGAAGACGGAATTAGCAACTGTTTTAGTAACAGAGCTTTAAAACTAATGTAGTAAAATCTAACTGAACCTCAAGAATAAATAGACAAATTCTCAACTATAGTCACAGATCTCAAGTCTTTTTTAATGATTGATAGAAAGTCAGATATCGAACAGGTGAAGGGCATTATTCTCCAACTTGCTTTAATTGACACTTATGGCACAGTCCATTAAACACTAGCAGCGTGCATATTCCTTTCAAGTGCGTAATAACTTTTACCAAGAAAGACAATATTATTTGCCATAAAACCAACCTTAAAAAATTTAAACAGATTCCAGTCATACAAAGTATGTTCTCTAACAACAATGGAATAAAATTACTGTAGGACTGTCTCCTTAGTTCAGCTAAAAACAGGATTATTGTCACACAACCGTGAAAGATTAGGCTCACATACACTTTAAGGGGTGAGAAAAATGGAATTTACTGGACAAAAAAGAAAAAAAAAGGGAAACAAGGACTCTCAGAAAAGTAAGAGTTCTGCTAACAGGTTTCCCTCCTTGCAGATTGAATCCAGGTACATATGTACCCTACTTGAACCCCGGAACAGGAGAAACCAGGCTCCTCCCCGCTGCAAATGGCATGAACTTCCCGAGGCTCCACCCCAGTGCTCACTCCTCCCAGTGCACAGGCCAGTCGGAGGCTCTGCCGGGGAGCCCTTTTTACTTGGCCGTCTCAAAATTACTAGCGAATAATAGAAAGGCACATTTTGGAATCTACAAAAGAGCTGGTAGAACTAATAAGTATATTTAGGAAGTTTGCAGTATACAAATACACAAACCTCAATTGTATTTCTATAATATTAGCAAGAAAACATCAGAAATAGTAATTTTAAAATAAAACTATTTGCAATAATGTCAAAAATGTTAAATACGTAGACTGAATCTGACAAAAGTGAAAGATCCATAGACTGACAAATTGAAAACCCTGCTAAGAGAAAGTAAGGAGAGCTAAATAAATGGAAAGTTGGCCTCTGACATCATGGAAAGACTCAGTATTGTTAAAATGCCAGTTCTCTCCAAATTGATATACATATTCATCACCACCCTAATCAAAATGCCAATGGGCATAGTTTGGGAAGTTGAGAAGCTAATTCAAAATTCATGTGGAAATGATGAGGACTTAGAATAACTGTAACAACTTTGAATAGAAAAGAACAAAATTGGAGAAATTACGTTAATTGGAGGATTCAGGACTTATTATAAATCTACAATATCAAGACAATGTAGTATAGAATAAATATAGATTAATAACTCAATGGGAACAGGATAAAGATTTCAGAAATAAATCACACATATGGGGTCAACTTTCAAAAAGGGCTAACAACAACCGCAATTCTAGCACAATTCTTGACAAACATATTACAATCATCAGATATCCCTATGCAAAAAAGATGAACTTTAATCCATAAATTGCACCCTAAAAATTAAATCACAGTCTAGATGTGAAACTTATGAGAAAACATAAAAGACAAACTCTGTGAACTTGGGTTAAGAAAAATTTCTTAGATATGATACTGAAACCAAAAATTTGTATTACACTTTTTTAAACAATTACACTTCCTGATATTATGAAGTATATAATTGAATAAAATATTCACATAAGTCTAAAACTAATATATCCTATAGGATATGAAACAAAAAAAACAAAATTAAATATTTAACCACTTCTGTATGTATAAAGAATTATCCATGTGTCAATAAATTTAAGTGGTGTTATGTCTGTAATCATGTACCACTCCTGTTTACTTTCTTGCTTTTATAAACTCGTTTCACAAATATTTTCTGCAATTGGAATTAGAAAACTGTTTTGAAAAGATTGAGGTTTATATTTGCAAATCTCCCTAATGGCACAAAATGTCATATAAATGCTAATTTTCTTAGGTATTTATTAATTTTAAAGCAAATCTCAATAACTCTTTGCATTTTAGAAAAGCTTCTTAACACAAAAATTCAATGTTCATTTTCAACATTAATTAAATCTGAAAACGTGCCTAAGAAGTAGAAAATGAGTGTATTAAACCAGTTCTCCCAGTGCCTAAAGCACTCACTGTTAGTTAACAAGGCAGCTTTGGAAATTGTTAATTCCTATAAGCTTATGAGCACATTACTCAGGATGCTGGGAAAGGAACTTGCTTATCTGTGCTCTAGACATTCAAAACAAACAATGCAGAACTTGCAAAAGACTGTTTTAATTATTAGAAATTTCAGAATCGATTTATTATTTTATCCTATGATATTATGTATTTTAGTGGTTAGGCATGAATTTGGACTTTGTTAAGTACAAGCCTTTTTATTGGTGTTATTTTATGTATATAGAATTACATGATTGTGGTGATGAGTTATTTTAATTCGTTGTTTTAAATAGTAAATCGATGTGTGTTTGTATTGTGTAGTGTGTGTTAAATAGCATTCAAAAGGCACATGTATTGAAAATAAGTCTTTCTATTCTGTGTCCTAATCACTGTTCCTTTCCTTTGTGATTTCCCTTACAGATGGTCATGTGCTGAAAACTGTTCTCCAACTAGGTTGGATCCCTTCCAATGTATTTTGAAGGTGTTTCCTTATCAGTTTGTATAAACCTACCTCATTCTTTTTAGGTGGCAAAGTATGGCTGTAGCATAATTAATGCAGCTAGTCTCTGATTGATGGGCATTTATTTTGTTTGAAATAATTTGCCAGCATAAGCAGCACTGCCCGGAACGTTGCTGTGTACATGTGCACACATAAGAAAACTGAAGATGTTTGAACCAGGGAATGAGTCTCTGTTCAGAAAGGCAAGGCATCCGCTCGGTGCCTTTGTCAAACGGTGGAACAGGAGCATGCCTGTGGCAGTCCGCGCCTCCCTTCCCCAGCCAGTCCTGGAAGGAGGCCATGCCGGTCTCCATACCTGGGAGAAACCCATGAGGACGAAGCTCTGATTTTTTATTTTCCCCAAATTCCTACCTAAGGGGTCTAGGGAGTCATGCCCTGAAAACCATAAATTCTCATCAGATGGGTTTTATTTGACCCTATATATCGTGACTTACTTTTCAATCTGACTGTGGTATATAACATTATGAGACAAGGAAAAATTATTTAACCCCAAAATATATTTCCTTGCCATACCTTGAAATTGACCTGCAAAGTCTCTTGAGGGAAAAATCCACATTCTATAGAGAATCCCCATTCCCCTTTGTTTTCCTTCCTTCCTTTCCAAATCCAGGAGATAATCAACTAAGAGCCAGGCACCCTTTTAAGTCCAATAAGAAAGAGTTTACAACCTGCTGTCTCTGAAGTCTGCTATCTGAGAGCTTCCTCTGCACAATAAAACTTGGTCTCCACAATCCTTTATCTTAACCTGAACATTTCCTTTGATCCCAGATCTTCAGATAAACTCAACCATTGTCAACCAGAAAATGTTTAAATTTACCTATCGCCTGGAAGCCCCTGCTTTGAGTTGTCCTGCCCTTCTGAACAAAACCAATGTATTCCTTAAATGTATTTGATTGATGTCTCATGCCTCCCCAAAATATATAAAACCCAGCTGTACCCCGACCACCTTGGGCACATGTTCTCAGGACCTCCTGAGGGCTATGTCATGGGCCATGGCCACTCATACTTGGCTCAGAATAGATTTCTTAAAATATTTTACAAAGTTTGACACTTTTCATTGACACCTGGGTGCCAATCTGGATGCCCTCAAGGGTGGCATCAGAGCATATCTGGGATTGGTCAGAGCTGGGAAAACAGCTCAGGATTCACCGACAATGTTTGTGACAATCATCACATTCTCAGTCAACTAGAAACTCCCAGGGCAGGAAAATGACCACAGAAGTTCCCCTCCTAAGGCTGCTGCTCTTGGGTCACTGGGTGCAGAGTGTGAGGAAAACGTGGGGACTGCGATTTTCAGTCCTGATGGCTCAGATGAGCTGGTGACTGTCGCTTAAGCTGACTCAAAGGGAGGTCATCTCATTTTCCCTTCATTCATTGCCTCACAAAGTAACTGATAACCCCAGTGGTTAAGAGCTCATGAGCAAACATAGAAAGATTTTTGAGAAACACAACATATTAAAACTTTAAAAAACAACCAAACAAAAACAACAATCCTGTGTGGAATGCTGTGGTGCATCCCCAAGATCTCCCTGCAGGACTAAGGTGATCAGCTTTCCAGGTGCTGGGAGAGTTGGGAACTGACTGGTCTTCATGGAGCCCCCGAGGAACTAGCCACCTGTCAAAGGGAGTTGACATGGCCAAGGTTACAGCCCCTTCCTGCCGGCAGGAAAACTCAGATCCTGGCCCCCTTTCATTTACTTTTCTTGTGCACTAAGATAAGGGAAAATCGTTGCCTATGCTAATGGAGGGAACCTCAGAGCCAAGCCCTAAGCCGCGTGGCAGGAATGAGAAGGACACTACGCCTTCTCATTAGAGCCTCCGCCACCCCCCCACTACTTTAAAAGGATAAGCTGGCTCACGTAGCAGGTTACATGACACTAGGTCGCCTGAAAGCCTCAAGAAAATTTCCACGCAAAGAGGAACACTGAAAACATTGTATAACCCAACCCAGTGGCGTTTACCTTTTAGTTTTTTATCTCAGCTCTGAGAAACCCAGTGAAGCAGTTACATTATCTGGGGCAAATACCCAGGGTTTGTCATCTCGAGCCACGAAAATTTAGGACACGGACACACACGAGGAGTTTAGGAGTGGAAGTTTAATAGGCAAAAGAAAGAGAAAGGAAAAGAGCTCTCTCTCTAGTGAGAGAGAGGGTACTTCCGAGAGGAAAAGGTCGGAGGTGGATGAGCCAGATTTTATAGTCCGGCTTGAGGAGGCTGTATCTCATTTATTGTAGGGCTCACAGATTGGTTCAATCAGATGTGACGTTTACATAGTCCTGGGGGAAGGCTGGTTACCCCACCCTAATCTTACTATGCAAATGAACTCACCTCTTGTCTCTCAACTTGTCAGCTTTTTACTGTACAGATGGCTGGCAGAGAAGGGAAGATGGAGCTGCCATCTTGAACATGTCTAGTCCCAGGTAGTTCTTTCCTGGCGACATTCACCTGTGCAAGCTCCCAGCTTCCTTGTCTATGTCTGCAGCTCGACTTTACAGGCTACTCTTTGTTAGAAAATGATTTGGGGCTTCTTTTCATTAAAAGGAAAACCTTCCCGAGGACTTCTGTACCCTCACTATCTGCCTAAGTAATTTCTTCTTAACTCCTGTATCACCAAGATTCAAAGTAAAATGGGGATTCTTAATTTCTAAAGATTCTTGAATCTTGAATCCTGAATCACCAAGATTCAAAGTAATAATGGGATTCTTAATTTCTAAAGAACCTAGTGCTCTATCTTCTGGCTATGCCTTGGAAGCTGCAAATACACAATTCACTTTGGTAAGTGAAACCTTACTAAAGATAATTTTGAATTACAGTACCATTATGTGTGTTATAGTAGGTAGGTAGCCAGACATGAGCAGGGAAGAAGAGGGCCACCACACCACCAGGAGTGTCAGGCAACTGTGAGGTGATGGTCAGATCGTTGTTAAACTGTCTCTCTACAATAGTAAGTGGTCACAGCCGGCTCCAGGGAAAGGCGTTCTCCTAGTAGACAGAAAACACCTGAAGATGATAATCAGCAGCTTCCCTATAAGATCTCAGGAGTTGGGCTGGGCGTGGTGGCTCATGCCTGTAATCCCAGCACTTTGGGAGGCCAAGGTGGGTGGATCACCTGAGTGAGGAGTTCGAGACCAGCCTGGCCAACATGGTGAAACCTCATCTCTACTAAAAATACAAAAATTATCCGGGCATGGTGGCAGGTGCCTGTAATCTTAGCTAATTGGGAGGCTGAGGCAGGAGAATCAGTTGAACCCGGGAGGCAGAGGTTGTAGTGAGCTGAGACCACGCTTTTGCACTCTAGCCTGGGTGACAGAGCCAGACTCCATCTCAAAAAAAAAAAATCTCAGGAGTCAGGTGAGTGGGCTCAAGCATGCACACTGAAAAGCAAAATGGCAGAGTTTAATTGCTCTATGACCTTCCTCTAGGAAACACTCAACTGACAGGGGAGGAATGCCTCAAGTCAGCAGGTGAACAACTCCAGTAAGCACACTGTGCACGCAACCCCTCCGAAGTGCTGACAAGCCACTGCACATATGGGTGCCTACCCCAAGGGAAGAATCAAGGAACATAACCCTGGAAGCCTGTCAATGTAGTAGACCCCAAGTCAAAGGTCAAACTGCACCCTTGAGTTTTTCAAGTCACCAGCTTGGTCCTCTTCCAAGTGTACTTTACTTCCTTTCTTTCCTGTTATAAACTTTTTTTTTTTTTTTCATGACAAAGTCTCGCTTGTTGGCCAGGCTGGAGTTTAGTGGCATGATCTCAGCTCACTGACTGCAACCTCTGCCTCCTGGGCTCAAGCAATTCTCCTGCCTCAGCCTCCCTAGTAGCTGGGATTACAGGTTTGTGCCACCACACCCGGCTACTTTTTGTATTTTTAGTAGTGTTAGGTATGAGTTCTAAATTTCTTTTCAAAGAATAAATATGTCAGTATGTTCAATTCTTTGCCTTCTACTTTTAAACTTAACTTCCTCATAAAGCAACCTTTTTCGATTACCTGCTCCACACTGACTCATTCTGATTACCTGCTACCTGCTCTGCCCTGACTCATTCTCCACCCTGTATAACCATTTTTTTCCCGCCAAACCACTCACCCCGTCACTCTCTTTAAATTAGCCAGTCGGAATTAGTTTAGCCTGTGCGGTCTAACCCTAGCCAATAGGGAAATGACACAGCAGCAGGGGACACATGCATCAGGGATAAGAACCCCTTTCCCTCCCTTCTCCAGGTGTGCACTCACCACTGCCCCATCTGTAAGGGCGTACCCTTCTATGGAAGTAACCTGCCTTGCTGAGAATTAAAAAGAAAAATTTATATTCGAGTGCTATTTCTTTTGTGGCACTGAAACTTATTTATAACAGTAGAGGCGGGGTTTCACCATGTTGGCCATGCTGGTCTCGAACTCCTGACCTCAGGTAATCCACCTGCCTCAGCCTCCTAAAGTGCTGGGATTACAGGTGTGAGCCACCGCACCTGGCCTATAAACTTTTTAATAAACTTTCACTCCTGCTCTAAAACTTTCCTCAGTCTCTCCTTCTGCCTTATGTCCCTTAGTCAAATGTTTTCTTCCGAGGAGGCAAGAATTGAGGTTGCTGCAGACTCACATGGATTTGCTGCTGCTAATGTGGAACATTTCAGATGGACAAGACTATTCATTGATGAAGTGCATTTGTAAATAAGGGCTCCCAAATTAGACCTATCCAGAGAAGCCTATTTTAATTGATGTGCAGAAAAGTCTAAAAAAGATTTTTTTTTAAAACCGCCTGTTTAAAAGACTCTTTACAAAAGGCAAATGAAGTGCTTAAGCAACTAATTGATAAGAACAATTAAATCTGATAGTGTTTTTAATTAGTTGCCATGGCTCCCTGCAGAGAAAGAGAATGCTAGATAAATGTTTATAAAAGTGAAATCTTCAGGTTAACTGGGTTTGTTTCTTTAGCTACCCTTACATCCTCCTAAATTCTTGGTCAGAGCCATCTATGCTGACCCC
This sequence comes from Homo sapiens, assembly GCF_000001405.40. Taxonomy (NCBI): domain Eukaryota; kingdom Metazoa; phylum Chordata; class Mammalia; order Primates; family Hominidae; genus Homo; species Homo sapiens. The sequence goes on from NC_000008.11 coordinate 49,622,500, forward strand.
AGGGATAGTAAATGCTTGCTAATGAACTCTGCTATGACTTTAGTAATCTAGTAAAACATGGGAGCTGAACTGGAAAGCCTAGAATTTCACATAACATTGCCTTTGCTGACCATCTTGTCTTAACTTCGCTCTTCATGCCTTTCCTTATCCCAGCAAACTGTGGCATTTAGAACCAAAATCTAAATTCTTTGCCTTTGAAATGTAAATTTTCTAGCTAGGACTCATCCCTTTGGAAATGACAATTTAGGGTGGTCTAGCTCACAATTGCTTAGGGCAATGGAACAGACAATTGAAAAATTGGTAATCTCAAAGGGTAGGAAAAAAATTGGAACTGTCAAATAGAAAATCTTAATTAAAACTTTAAGATCTTTGCATCTATCTGTATGTTTATGTATGCACATCTGTTTGTATATGTGTGATATTTTTCTGCTTCCAAATAGTGTACAACTAATTTATTAAATTCTTTGAAGGAGTTCTGTTCAAATTGGCTTAGGGATAAATGAGTTCTCATACAAATTAAGTATTTACAAAACCTTCAGAAAAGTAGAAACTGACCCAATATTTTCCTACATTCATGTGATTTGGTTTAATTTTTGGCAAATAAAAGCTGGTTTTAACATTTTAGTAAAATAAAATAGAAATGTCTTCAAAATTGTCAGCATTAAAAACGCACGCACACGTCCATTTTTACCTAAATTTACTATTAGTCAACAAGCTTATGGTATCTCCTAGATGTCTCAGGTAATAAAACTATAAATCCAACCTAAGAGCAGAAGGCAGAGTTAAAATAAATTATTTGATGAATGTGAGTCAAAAAGCAAAAAGATGGTGGGAAAAACTGTGTTTACAGTTTTATTTGGGGGACCTTGAGAAGGAAAGAATTCACCCAAATCTTCAGGTGTTAAAAATAAGTTATTTGATGCATTTCAGTCAAGGAAGTAAAAAGACAGAGGAAAGAACCATGTTTAAAGTCTTATTTTGGGGGCCTTGAGAAGAGAATTCACCCAAATCTTTAGGTGTTGCAAACACAGTATGATGGCAAGTCTTTGGCTTGGCTTCTTAACCTCAATAGGCTTTGAAATATCTAATCTGAAATTCCTTGTCAAAAGTTCCAGCAAAGCACACTTAAAATGTTCCCATATAGGCAATCACTATTCTTGGTACACTTAATAATCAGGCTATGTTTAATGAGACTAGTCCTATTTTGCAGACAAATTGGTCTTATGTGGTTATCTTCAGTAGGATTGGCAGTGACAGTAAAGAGAAAGATAATGTTTCAGAAGAAAATGGTACACCTGTTACTAGATTTAGCCCTGTTCATGGTTTTGAAGCTTTTTATTATTTACCTGTAAACTGGACTGGACCTGAACCCTTCTGTTTTCCTACAGTCCCGTTTTCTCCCACTTGGCATCTCTGAGAACAAGAACTGCTCTGTCCCTGAAGCCCTACAGGCTGAAGCTGGACAGCTTGACGTAAATTTCAGCGGCTTGTGCCTAACCTGCAGTTCACTCAGAGAGTTCACCAAAATGCTCAATGCCATAACTGGAGATTGATATGGTTTGGCTCTGTGCCCCTACCCAAATCTCATGTTGACTTGTAATCCCCAGTGTGGGGGGAGGGACCTGGTGAGAGGTGATTGGATCATGTGGGCAGATGTCCCCCTTGCTATTCTTGTGATACTGCGTGAGTTCTCATGAGGTCCGGGTTTTTGAAAATATGTAGCACCTCTCCCTCTGCTCTCTCTCCCCTGCTCTGCTATATGAAGATGTACTTGTGTCCCTTTGCCCTTCCAGCATGATTGTAGGTTTCCTGAGACCTCCCCAACCACTCCTTCTTACAGCCTGCAGAACTGTGAGTCAATTAAACCTTTTTTCTTTATAAATTACCCAGTCTCAGGCAGTACTTTATAGCAGTGTGAGAATGAAGCAATACAGAGATATTCAACCTGCAGAGCAGAAAAATATTCCTCAGGCTCAAATCCAAAAATTTCAACTGAGCGCCCTCTGGACTCAGAGACTCAATTTATAGTTATTTTCATCATTAACTTTTGTTTTTCTTTTGTTGATTTTAGTTTGTTTTACTCATGAGGACCCTGGCTAAGGAGCATATGCCAAACTCTTGAAATTATCCTCCTGATAGTCATAATAGTAGTCTCCCTGGTGCACTGTCACCTGTCAAAAAGTTTTAAATACCTGCACACAGCCATCTGCTTAACACCAAATGGTCTCCCTCTGTCTCAAGTCACAAAATCTCAAAGAAACATGTGATAACATATGACCTATGAATGACATGTTGAGACCAAAACCCAGAATGGTGGCAACTGAGAGTAACATAAGGTCCTATGATTCACTCACATGAGTGTCTGACCAAAAGAGGGGAGTTTGAACAACATTTTTGGGATATCATTATTTTGGACTGGGCTCCTGTACTAGGACCCAACAGACCAGACCAAACCAGAATAGAGTCACTCATGCTAGGTGCCATGTATTCAAACTGAAATGGGCCAGTTTTCAAAAAAAAAAAATAAAGAAAAAGAAAAGAAAAAGAAAAACAGGAAAGTCACAGCAACTAATCAGAAGGGGCCCATTTTCCCTGAGCTGTCATGACAAAGAAGTACCCTCTATTTTAACTCTATAAGGCAAGTAACTGAAATGACCTTATTTCTGCTTTCTTTAGCCTTTTCTTTCTCCAATGCTAATCCCCTCTGCTCAGCTCATCAGAATACCTATTCTATTTGATACAATGCGATGTTGCCTGATTCTAGAATTGTCAATAAAAGCCAATTATATCTTTAAATTTGTTATAATTTTGTCTTTGACACATCACAGTTGACCATTATCTCCATGAGAAGATTCATAGAGTATCCAAGGAAAAACCTAACTTAAATGTTACAGTAAGCTTTAAATATATCAAAGACAAAGAAAGCATTCTAATATCTTTTAGAAAGAAGGAACAATTCACTTACAAAAGCATAACAATCAGACTGGCATATTTTTTATCATCTTTCATTCAAGGTGCTTCAAGGCAAGCCCTTATGTCACCAGGAAAGAATGATTAATTTGCTTTTTTCCTGAAACTTCTTGATACCTTTTATTTTTCTCATCTAATACTAGTGTATAACTCCTAAAATATTAACGAACAACAATGGTAAACCTTCTTAACTTTAAGTATGAGAAAAATGGAAATCGGAAAAGTTAAGAAATGTATAGAATGCCATGAAAATAGTGGCAGAGGTTTGGCTAGAACTAATCTCTCCAGAACCCCAGGGCAGTTTTGCTTTCTTTTCGTTTTTGCACCATGCTGTGATGCCTCATGCTGGCCTTATTCATCTAAGCCTGCACTCTCCTGTGGTGGTTGCAACATTCTACACTTTAGGCAGACTTAGTACCAGAGGAGGAAAGAAGAAATGAGAGAGTGTAGTGAGGTATCCCAGCTGTTCCTTCCTCATAGCCGGTGATGGATTAGCCAACAGATACAAGGCAAGATTGCCAAGAAATACCTACTCAGAAATGTAATGCTTCCTCGGGTCTCAATACAGGTCAGTCTCTGAGTAATGCTTACCACAAATGGTCTATCGTATGCCTGGTAGGTTTAGAACTTTAACCCTTTTTATATTACTAAATCTTCATAACACATTCCATGGATAAATTAACTAAAGTTAGGGAAGCTGTCAGGTTTGTCCAAGGTTACATAGCTAGTAAGGTTGCCAGGCAGTTTGACTGAAACAAAAACAAAAACAAAACCCCCTCATTCTGAAGCTTAGCAGCTGCCTTCTACTTTGCTAGAGTGTGGGATAAAAGTTGTCCCACTTCAATGGAAAATTACATGTTGTTCTGTTAAAACTTTATAAAATATTAATAATTCAAGAACTTCATAAGACATCATATATAAGGGAATACACATTTTTAACTATTTAGTATTTCAAATTGCACAAATTATATCTAATAATTTAAGCATTTTTTAAAAGTTATGCTGTATTCATTTGACAGATAATCTTACATAATATCATTTTAGAAGGACAGTGTTAAGGTAATTGATCTGTAATTTTATTGCTACTACTGCAATGAAAAATGTTAGTAATCTAGCTCCTGGGTATATTAATAGAATAAGTATATTTAGACAAATTCAATATTTTTAAATAATCATTTCCCCTTCTGCCAATTTTATTTTTTTCAGATCCAATTAATTAAGCCTCCACATTCCTATAATATGGCACAGAATCCACATTTCCACTTTGAAAGGATTTATAAACTGGTTTGCAAACAGCAGTTGGCAAGAGTTCTACAATATCTAATCACCCCAGTAGCTTGCCCTGCTTTTTTTGTTGTTGTTGTTTGTTTGTTTAATGCTCCTTCTACAATATAGTGTGTCCTAAATGCCCGCTGTCAGGGTTGTTCTTGCTCATCTGTCCATTCTGCGGGGGTAGTGGTGTCTCCTGTTTCTCTGTTTACACTCCAGTGTTCAGCCTCTGTTCTTTTAGCTACATGTCCAGAGCACAACTACCATGCCAGGATTAGCAGATCTACGGTTGCTAAATACAGTGCATGCTGCCAGGGAAATAAATTCACACTACACACTTAGTATTGAGCCTGATACCTCTTCATAGCATGTTTAATTGTAATGTAGGACCCTTTCCTGCCAGCAAGTCAGACAAGTTTTGATAATATTAAACTTCAAAATGAAAAGGGAGGGTTCTCAATGTCTTTCCTCCCCAGGTATTATAGAAATACACACATAAAGAGCATATAGCTGTAGATGATAGGTAAGTAGGTAGATAAATAGATAATAGGCACAGACCCTATGATAAATATAAGTAATGTTGCCCTCATTAGCCTTATAAAAAGTGGATTTCAGGTCAAATATTTGTGCATGATTTTACCCCAGAGAGAACTAAATCTCTAAATAGTGATGTACATGAGTTCCTCAACTCTAGCACCTGCAACGATTTCTCTTTTTTGATTTACCCATCTATTGCTCAAACATTCTACCAAACTAAAAAAGCAACTCTAAGTAACTCAGGCTTTCTTTTGTGGTATATTAAACTCACAAAGGCAGTATTTCATGGATTGTCACTATTGCACATCTCTCTCCTTTCAATTCTCATGACTGTTTCTTAAAATTTTCCTGTAGTATTGGCAAAGACACACAGACCACAGAAGACAGTCATTTTGCTAATGGGCAGACTTGCCTTGTGGCTGTTACTAGGGGGCGGTTCTAAAGTTTCAACTGCAGTTGAAGTAGATTTTTTTTTTTTTACATAATACTTGCCATATTGGGACATTCCCTTTTTTGCTCCTAGCTTATTAAGATGTTTTATTTATTGAATTTCATCAAATATTCTCTCAGTATCTAATAATATTTTTTCCTCTAGTGTATTAGTATGATAAAAACAGTGATTCATTTTTTCTGTTCTTGAATAATGTTTATATTGGAATCAGACCAATTTGATCATAACACATTGCTGTTTGATATATATGTCTAGACTTGTTTAGTTAATATTTAGTCATTTATGTCTACAAATTGGTCAGTTTTATTTTCTTGTATTATCCTTATACATGTATGTGGATTTGGAATCAAGAATATAGTAGCCTCTTAAAAGAATCTGAACAGCTTTCTATTTTTCTTTTTCTATTTTGTGAGACAAAAAGTTACAAAAGGTAGGAATTAATTTTTTGGAAGAGATAAAATTTGGGAAGGGAACAACTTTTCTTCCCATAATTTCATTTTTGTAATAGCTTACTTTTGGTCTATTTACATTTTTTGTACCAATTTTGGTGCATTATAATTTTCTTGGTACTCATCCACCTAATTTAATTTTCATTTTGTAGTATTTTGTCATTATTTTAAATTTTTTTGTTTGGTTTATTTCTCTTATTTGGTGATCAACCTCATCAGATGTTTATATTACTGGACTTTTCAGAGACTATGGCTATATAACTATGGTTTTGTTCTTCTTATCTGTTTTTTTCCTTCTGCTCCAGTTTATTGATTTTAGTCATTGCTACTTTTCCTTATTTCTTGTTTTCTATTTTTTTCCAGCTTCTACAGGTTTAGGATTAGCTCATTCATTTCTAGTTTCCTGATAATTTTATTTAACACTATTAATTATCTTCTAAGTGACATTTTAACTTGATTCATTTTTATTATTATTTTGCACTTATATTTCTTGATTATTTTTCTGATCCTCCTGACTCAGACGTTGCTTAATAAAATGCTATTTAGTTCCCAATCTCTTAAGCTTATTCAATTAACTTTATTAATTTTTAATCTGAATGCTTTTTGGTTACAGGAACTTTACTGCATGACATTGAGAATCACAACTCTGTTTAACTCTAGGAAATCTCAGTTATATTCTACAGGAAAGGCACCCACTGAAGTGAGTACAACATTATGGCCCTGAACATTGTTTTTTGGAATTTGTTGAAGTTTCCTGTGTTAAATACAGATATGGAAACATTTTGTAAATTTCTATTCCTGATTAAAAAATGTGTTATCCAAAAGGTAAGAGCTTGAATATAATATTTCTATCATTTATATCTTTAATAGCTCTGATTATTGTTATTATCCAATTAATCTCATAGTTTTTTGAAGAGGTGTACTAATAATCACCAACAATTTTTGATTTTTCTATTTCTTTCCATATTTATTTCAGTTGATGCTTATTTAGTTCCTATATTTACTTGAGCTTGTATTTTCAAATGAATATATTTTTAAGATAGGCCTCCTAAGAATACAAACACACATACACACATACACACACACACACACACACACATCTTTAATGGTTAAAGGTTTCTAGCAGTTTAAAATTACTATAAAAATTATTATTTTTATTTTAAAAGTGTAGATTGTATAGTGCACTAAGAAGAATTTGGCACCACGAATGCGAAAACTATGTTCTTATCTGTGCCGTGTTGAAGAACTCAGTCTCTCTTAACAATAAATATTTTAAAACCAGGCTCCATTAATGCAACCACCGCCATAAATAGGTTTTTCCATTTTCTATAGTTCATGACTGCTACATTTTTTATTTCCAGATACCTAAAGATGCAAGATGGCTGATGTTTTGTTACAATAGTTTTTTCTATTTAATAAAGCATTTACCAGATGTTTTTCTACCAACATAAATAAATAAACCAATAAAACTCCTATTGTTTTACAAATGTGTTGTTTTCAGGAAAAAGAAATTAAATAAGTATTATGAAATGAGATTTCATAAACTTTGTTCTACAATAAAGATTGTTATTGAGTATTTTGTGGAACTCTATTACTTCTAGACATTTGTTAAACCTGGCTCCCCAGATATCACCGACACAAACTGCTAAGACAAAGCCAAGTTTACTTCTCACCGAGGTAAGGATGAACACCGCCTCACAAAGCTGTGCCAGTCCCTGGTGGCAGGGTTTGCAGGGAGATAGTAAGATGGTAATTCCTTGATAATTGGAAGTGTGATATAAAGCATAACTTTCAAAACAGGTGCTTTATTAGGACTGGGTATGGATCATGATCCAACAGCTCAGGATTGGTGGATATAACAACAAGGTGGTGATTTTGAGAGGAGGATTAAAAGAATCCTCTGGCACATGCTGACTATTGATGCTTCCCATGGAAAGGTTGATGGGTCTTTCTCAACATTCCTGGAATGAAAAATCAAACATGTGCTGGAGCTGCACAGTCCCTGAAAAGGAGACCCACTGAAGACAACTGAATAGCCAAGTCATGTTAATGTAGACAGTAAAATGTGCTTTTGCTTCTCAGGGTCCAGGATGAGTGTGGATAGCTTGGGTCATCAAATGTATTCCCTTATTATTCTTCTATAACAATGTCTTCTTATGCTAGCATACCTTTAATTTATCTCTGAGTAAATTTGGCTCTTTCATTACACAGAAGATCTAAATTTACTCAGGAAAACAGTGCCAACACAGGGAAGAAACCCTAGACCAAGACACATGGCTGCAAGTGTCAGCATGTACTGACACTGATCTCCTCGTACACAACACTCACTCCCCTCCCCGTTCCTGACCACGCTGATTACATACAGAGCTCCTTGTGGTGACAATCTCCTATCTCCTAGCCCAGGTCACAGCAGCTACCAGAGGACTCTTTGTCGGTCACTCTAACTTCCTGCATGCATTTAATTTCCCATTCATATTGCTGGGTTTGCTCTGTCGGCCTCAGAGTTTCATCCACCAACCACTCACTCTCCCCGCATGGTCATCCAAATGTACCCGCTGTATCCACATAAAATTCATTACAATTTTAAGATGTGAGTCTTCAAATTTGTTTATTTGTTTTCTTCTGTCTTAACTTCTGGATCCTGAGGCTTACCTCCCACTTTGAACAACTCTCACTCTGATTCAAGAAAGAAATTATCAACCTAATCAAACAAATGTTTTGTTTTGTTTCAGAAAGGAAAGCTCTTCAGTATTTTTAGACTTTTTGTATTTTGGAATGTTGTTTAAAATTAAATATTTATTGTAATAAATTTTTCAAGTTTTCAACTAGTCACACCATTTTGTCAAAAAAAATCAGATATGAGTGTGATTGTTTACTTGTTCAGTCATCTTGGAATTTGCACTTTCTACTTAACAACAATCCTAAAACACATTGTTGGATGTTTAAATCTGTCATTCTGAATTGTTCAGACATTCACTTAATATTTTGCTTTTATAGAGTACACAGGAAAAAAAAATTCCTTTTACTCTATATCGAGAAAGTATTTATAAAAGTCCTCAGAGTTTATAGGAGCTGCATACAGCTCTCTTGATTTGTCCCCCAGGGCAATCCTGTGAGAGCCAGGAAGATGCAAGGACCCTCTTCTTGAAGATTTTGCATCTGATGAGGGCCCTTCTCTTGAGAGATTAAGAGATCACAAATTCCCACAAGAAAACTTCTCAAAGCTAGAACTGAAAATTAAATATTTGTTTTAAAAAAATAAACACTGAATGAGGTTGGGTACATATGCTCTTCTCATTGGAAAACTGCTCTTCAAATTTCAAGAATTTTTCTTCATAAGTTAAAAAATAAAAATAAGCAACATAGCCTATTTTTCAGGATTTAGATTTTTCTCATTTGAGAGGTTTAGATGAAGTTTAGAGAAGTACATTTTCCCCTCAACTTTATGTGATTTGATTTCTTCAAACACACAATGTCCATACATAATTTCCTTTTGTTAGGTTAATGGCTACATTAAAATTCTAAATTTTGAGCTAATGCCTTCAATTTTGAAAAATTGTAACAAATAAAATAATTAAACTCTTTAATCCACTGCCAAGCCAGAATATAATGTTTTTTATTCTGTCATTATTTACTCTGGCCTCATATATTTCAGTGTCTTCACTTTTAATTGCTATTGCTTTATTCAGAAAACATCAGTCACTTTATGTGCTAACAAAATCAGCATGTTGTTCTCCCTGGAATGTGTTGGATTACATTAAAAAACAATGATAGCAATTATGTGATAAATATTTGATACCCTAGTTTTATATATTCATAACATTTATCTAAAAAGTTATATAAAAATAAATGCATGCTTCCAAAAGCATATCACTTACAGTTTAAAAGCCATCCAAATGTCCATTTATTAATCATAATAGTTACAAGCACACTACTCTGATTTTTGTGTCTTGATGGTAAGTGCTAGCATAAATGACTTTAGATGCTTAAAAAATTTCTAGAAGTTAAATCACTTAAGATTTTTTTTCTTGAAAACTTGTGAAAGTATCTGTAAAGTAAGATTGATTATCTGTAGTTAAAACGTGTGGGTTATTGTGGAGAAATGGCATCCACTGACACTCGTAAAATTTGCGGGGGGCATTAAGACTGCTAGCTGCACAAGGGAGGTGTGAGCCTCTCCAAATGCATATCACTGATGTCACTCATGATTTCTACAAAGAAAGGAGTTGTGACAGCCGTCTATGGAGACTTGAAGATGTGGAAAAAGTCACTGTGTCAGCGAGCTCTGCTCTACGACTTCTCCCACTGTAGGACGCTCTTCCTCCAGGCGATGCTGCTGGTCCTCAGACACTGAACCTCATTGTGCTGGAAATGAAGAGGCACTGGGAACAAACCTGGTGGATTTTGACACTTTGGGGACCAGTGGAAAGCAAAACTTACAGTTCAAATGGGAAAAACAGGAAAGAAATTTGTTTTCAGTCCACCAAATATAATCCCACTGGCCAGCTACATTAGATGTGCTGGAGGTGGGGAGGTGGGGGAGAGGGAGAAAAATGGCGACTGGAGGTGAGCACGAGGATGCGCAGGTCCTCCATGCTCCAGCGTGCTGGCATCTGCTTGGTAGCAGAGTGGAATTAAAGCATTATTTCTGCTTGCACCCTCACCTAATTGAACAATACACTTCCTTCAGCATCTGTCTACTTGATTTCAAAGCTGTGCCTCAGCCACCGAAGGGAATAGATCCAAGGAAGCTTTGCATCAGGTTTATTGCCTAAACCCCTAATTTTATAGTCATATTATCTTTTACATTCAGAGGGATCTTTTAATAGTCATATTATCTTTTACATTCAGAGGGATCTCCCTTTTTTACTCTCTTCAACAACTTTGCACCTTTAATTACTTTACCTGTGTCTACAGATAAAGTCTGAACATATATCAGGCCACGTATAAAAGGATAAACTCATCTGAAGTCATGAAGTACATTAAAGTGATCTATTCTTCCATGAGTTCCTGTAAAGCGTTCATTAACAAAGTTCCAGTTACGAGGTGTGTCACGGTCATTTAAGAAAATGTTTAGAGAGTGCAAGCTCTATTCTAACCTGTTACTGAGAATGCCTTTGGGCATTTTGTCTGAGATTGCAAGGCTATCTATGTCCCTTACACTGACTGACATGTCCCTCTGTATTTACTGCAGAAGAAACTTCATCCAGCAATGAGAGTCACTCTGCAAAAGGTAACTCTGAGGGGTCTCACCTGAGGGGTCTCACTGAACACTCCTTTCCCGGGGGCTCCTTTCTCCCAGGGCACAATGGCTGCTTTTTCCTTGAAAAGCCCAAACAAGTTTCTACCTTTGCACCTAATTTTATTTTTTGCCGAGAAGCATTTCTCTTGTCATATGAGAATCCTCATGTTCAATTCAGGTAGCATTTTAACTATTATCACAGGAGGATCTATATGATCTATGCAAAGATGCTCAAGCTGCATCCTTCATTTAAAATTGCTTACACAGTTGTTACTATTAATTACTTTCTTGTTGACTCAACTGTTTCCCTTTCCCCAAAGAATATAAGCACCATGATAACAGAAGCGTATTTGTCCATTCTGTGATGTGCTTTTCCAGGGAGAATGTCACTTTATTTAACTGAGTTGCTGGATCTCTGTCACCGAGGAATTGTTCTGAACCTGATTCCTACAATTTGGAGTCCATTGCAACATCATCTTGTTCTTTGCACTCTCTTTATTCTCATCCATCTCTGCATGAAAGCTGCACAAAGCTCGCCTGACTTCACCTCTTGTTTGCAATGTTTTCAAAGACTCTCACTCTTTCTAATCACTGTTGCTATGATCAGAGCGTCAGGCAGCATGTGGTTTTCCCTCTAGCTATTATATGTCTGACCATAGATTAGTCAAAGATTTCCTCCTGTATAATACAGATCCTCTGCTTCCCAGGCTGGAATATCTATTCTTTTTCTATCAACTGAATACCCAGTGCTACTAAGCCAATACCACTTGCTTAATTTTTTTAATTTTTATTTTTAGCAACATGCCTTTCATGATATAAATTCCTGTATTTGCTAAGGTAGACTAAGTGTTGTACAAAATAAACATCAGCATTTCCATGCATGGTGACGTGGGGGGAAGCCACGGTAGTGGCGCCATCTCAGTTCATACTACAGCCCCGACTGAGTGCTGGAGAGAGAACACCAAAGTCTTGATACGTCTCTAGTCTCTAACCTCTGGCTTTTTCCTGATGGAAAAAAATGTGTTATGAATTTGTTATTTTTGTGGATTTTACTTTTTACATTGTGGTCTAGTGCTTTGGTGTCCCGTGGTTTACCACAAAATGTAATTTACAAATACATAGTTATAGTCTATACCATAGGCACACCCACGGTGTATTTTGGTCTATTCATAATTTTAGATATTTGCTAAACAGACAACTGAGAACATACCTGTTGTTTTCTTTCATTATCTGCCATCTCAGGCATTTTCCAAATGTTCCTGGCATGTACCAATGATATCTTGGAATTATTTATGGAGATGCTATAGGGTTTCTAATGTAATGTGACTATGGGATTGGAATTGGGGTTGTATACTTGTGCTTTTGGTGAATTCATCCTTGTGGAGAAGTTTTTATTTCAGAAGCAACAAACACTTTGAAAGGTCAACTTTGTAAATTTTGATATTTTTACTATTGCTTTGATTTTTTAGCATTAATTTTGAGCTAATTTTTCAATAGTTTGGTTTGGGGAATATCAAGGGTATTGTGCCACTGACATAATAGTTATTTTTATGCATCCTAGGGTCTCTCTAAAATTGAAACTGAGACAATAAATTTTTTCAGAAAACCTCAAAATTTTAAAATATGCATTTGCTATATATCTAAGCTGTTCATCCAAAAACAAAGAAACAAACCCGGACAGCATTTTCTTCATTCATAAGCTTTTTGGGGCAACTAGGCTGAGGTCTGGAACAAAGAAATAAGGTATTATTGAATACATTCATATGTTGGAAAACAGCTGTAGAATGGAAAAGTGAAATAACATTAGTCAAAAAAATACTAAATAATCTTAAGCAGAAGGAACAAAATGATAAACAATAATGCCACTTATAATTTTTTAAATGAATAATGTCATAGAGGAAAGGAAAAATACAGAAAAGAAAGTCAAGTCTAAAAAAATATTCTGAGCAAGATTTTGAGAATATTTCTCCATATCAATCTTTTCATTATAATCTTATATGAAGTGTCTGGGAATTTTATTTGTAATATCATACATGCCACACTTGACAATTCTTGAATAATTTTTCTTTCCAGTGCTTTGTTTTTGAGACAGTACAAGGATCCTGCATATCTTGGGGGCAATTCCAAGATAATTGGGACAAAGTTTGTGTAGAAGAAAGACAACATGGAGACTTCCATAGGCAGCGTTGAAATTCAAAGACATAATTTCTCATGTTAATATATAGTGTGATAAACAGAAGTTGCCAGAGACATAGAAAACTAGAGTTAAAAAAGAGGGAGGTATGGATTGCTAAGAACTAATATGAGAACATGCTTTAACACTGCAGAGTGAGTCACAGACACTGGTGTGAATTGTGGACCTTGGTTGTTGATCCAGGCCTCTTTTTCCATCTCTGACATACTATGTGTGATACCTCTTCTCTTTCCACTTTACTTACCCCTGTGCTCATTTGGACCAATGTAATACACTGCCTTACATCCCAGGTTTGACTTTAAGTATTATTTTCCATAAAAAAGATACAGGGACCCTTGGGGAAGAAGGCAGACAGAAGAGAGGGGGCTGCGTGTGGCCAAAAGCAACAACATAATATGCAAAAAGGGAAGCCATGATGACAAATCAAAGGAGCAAATTCTATGGTGGGGAGATGTTGGGTGAGCAATGCTGAAGTTGTGTGACAGACTTTCACACCCTTAGGACTCTCTAATATCAGGGTATATTAAGCAACCCTATTATGCAAATCCTCTAAGGTACTGTTATATAATGAGTAGGACATTAACAGCCAAACAAGTCATTCTTATGACTGAGAAGCAACAATATTTATGTAACTAGTGTATTAATATGTCATTATTTTTTGAGTTATAAAGGTGAATGTTAATTTTATTTCAAAAACTGCATCCCTAAAATGTGATGACTAAATCTTACCTTTCTTCTGTTGAGTGGTAGGTCACTTAAAAAGTGAATTGCTAGAATGCATAATTTTTTTTCAGTTTTGAATACTATAAATTACTACGGCATTATTTTATATCTTATACTAGGGTTGGGCATGGTGGCTCACTCCTGTAATCCTAGCACTTGGGAAGGCTGAGGCGAGAGGGTCACTTGAGTTTAGGAGTTAGAGACCAGCCTGGGCAATATAGTGAGACCTCATGTCTATAAAGAAAATAATACTAATAATAAAAATAAAAAATAAAATAATATTTTACACTATTTCATGATTCATGATTTTAACTTCAAACATGCTTCAAGCATTGTCTCCTCTTCTTTACCTTTTTTTTTAAAAAACAAAAACAAAAACGAAAAAACCAACCCCAGTCTTCTACTCATTAAATGGGAGAGGCAGCTTGAATTTATAGAAGAATGTATCTGTTATCCTTACATGTGATACATAGTCTTGTCATTGAAAAGGGGTGAGTTGAAAGACACATCTAAAGCCATTTTTATTCTTTAGAGAATTATCATTGCTGCATATAAATATGATTTTATTTAGGGCATAGATGATAAAATTATAGAAATGCAATATATTTGGTATTTTTAATACCAAAATTATATATTTAAATAGCACCATATTTCTAAGCACATAAATAAAATACCTTTTGTTTATTTAAAGGATACAAAAGTAAAGCCCAACAAACCAAACAAATGCAACTTTTAAATATCAATTATTCCAAATGCTTTAGTTATTTTTATTCTATTATTTTTCCTCTTAAAAACTGAAAACTGTACATATATATCATCCACTACACAGTTAATGCTCCATCATATGAATGTACCATATTTTATTTTTCATTTTACTGTCCATTTGCCTGTCGATCATTGACATTTTTTTTCTTGTTGGTCCAACAACTAGACTTATACATGCTCCTCTCACTCATGTGGATACTAGAATGGTAAGTATGAGGTTACAGGGTCTGTCCAGCTTCAGTTTTACTACACTCTTCCTAATTATCCTTCAAAGTGATAGACCAATTCACACTGTAGGCCAAAAATGACCGTTTCCCTGCTCCACTTTATCACCAACACTTAGTATTGTTAAAGGGCTTATTTATGTCAACAATTGAGAGAATACATTAGCTCGTTATAATTTTAATATCCAGTATTCCTTTGTCTAATAAAATTGAGCAACTTTTTATTATTGCACTGGTCATTTTGGAGCCATGTTTTTTGAATTTCCTGCTCATATATATATATATATATATATGTATATAAATATGCATATATATGTGTGTATATATATCTTGCCTACTTTTCAACTTATTTTTATTTGAGTGCTTCTAATTAGCTTGAAATGCCATTAGAACTGATTCCAGATGTAAATCCCTCATATATATCTATTTTCAAAATGTTTTTACATTTTTCTTTTAGCATTTGCAACTACATACTATTTTGTGCTGAATGCTTTTTAAAAGTATAGTTGTAAATTTATTTTGCTGTATTATTTATGATTATTTTGAAGTGTTTGAAAAAATGTTCTTACCCAAGATAACAGGGATTTTGTAATGCTGTTGTTTTGTTTTATTAATTTATGTCTTTAATGCATATATATCTATATATAGAGAGAGGGAGAACATAAAATTTAACCCTTTTTATATAGTATTATAAACATGGCATTAAATTATTCCCAGTTTATTGGATAACCTAATTCTATTTATTTAAGTATCTTCTAATTTCTATTGCAACCAGTAAGGTTGTTGAATCACTCACCATCTCTCTCTTTATTACACTTTAAATTCAGCTTATCCACAATGGAATGAAGTATTAAGCTGCATAATCCTAGTAGAATCAATGCTAAGAACAAATAGAATGGCAAACTAATAATAATGATAATAATGATTCTTTACAGTAATCATATTGTTAGTGGTGGCATTCATATTTTTAGTTTCTTTCTTTGACATGAGGGTGTGGGATAAAACAAATTTAATAATTTTGTTGGTGTCATTTGGAACTGTAATTTTCTGTAGGGAAGGAAATAAGGGTGTCAATGTAAAGTAGATGAGGTTATATAAAAATACTCTAGTCCAAAATTTGAATTACAAGTATCATTGTGAGCTCATGAGATATTTTATTTCATACACATATATACAGTAGACTTTCACTGGTGTCAGGGGGAGAAGCTAGTGGCACAGCAATACTCATGCCAAGAATAACTCAAAGAGTAGACTAAAGCACAGGCATGTTTCCGTGAATGGCCAAAGTCTGTGGAAGCAAACGGCGCTAAAAAGCTAAGGCTAGAGAGGGAGAAAGACTGCCCAGGTGAGGCCACAGTCCTCCCTTGCTTTTCTCCCTTGACATTTACAGATGTTGAACACAACTGAGTATCCAGATTTGCACCAGGAGACGACGGCTGCTGGGGACAAGAGACCAGCAAAACTGTTGGAAATCTCCCAAAACTGCAGAGAGAGACAGAGGCTTGGGGCTTGTGCCCTGGGATATGTGCTAAATTCTGCATCTGTACAGGAAAGAAGATGAAAGCTAAGCGAGAAACTCTGAGAGGCATATCAAAGCTTTGGGGGTCTCAGGTTGAGGTTTGGAGCCTCTAAGAGAAGAGATCAGGCAAGCAGCCGCTTGGACCAGCATCAATTCCATTGTGGGAATATTTCTAAGGACCTCCTTGATTGGAAGGGAGAATTGTGTGCCTGCTAATCACAGTCTTAAACAATCCAGACCCACATTTCTGGAATGTAAAGCTTCCCAGGTTGTAGATAGCAGAGTGTAAATCAGAAAACATTTCCACAGTTGTCTGGTGAGGGTTTTAGGAGTTTACCTGGTATGTACTCAGGCTTTCTGTGACCCCAAAGGGCATAGAAACTATTTAGCTAAACTATTTAGCATCTGGGCCAATGTCATAGCCAAATTAATGACAGAACCACTGAGGTTTTCAGAGAGTTCTGCTATTCTCAGTTTCATCATGCACCATGCACAGAAAACCCCACAGCATGTTCTGACCAGTATTCCTGTGCTTCTTTCTTAGAAGAGGGTTTTATGTTTCACCTCTCAGAAATACTCAAGGACCTAGTCGCTCACTAATCTAGTCAGAGGCACATTATCCTTCTCTGAGATTTGGACAACCTGGCCATCCACATCTAGGAGGACACTGGCTGACCCTGGCCATGCGTCATGTGCCTCTAGGACTCAAGGACACTGGGCAGCCAGTGACCAGCCCTCTTCAGGAAGAGAGGCAGTTTGTTGTTGGCATTGTTTTCTGGTTAAAATGTTACTGTCTGGAACAAGGGACATGAAGATCCACCCTATTGGTGCCTTCTGACTGTTTCTTCCGCCGTCACCTGCATCCACCCAGATGTTTGTAACACATTTGGTGCAGCTCCTTCAGGCTCAGTCTCATTATAGTCTGGTAGTGGCCACGGAGACCCTCTACCTTCACTCCTATTGTTTCCCTGATTAGATCACAACCTTTACATCAGGATCATGCATTCCTTCACAAGAATGTGGTTTTTTAAATGACTGTTTTCCAAAGAAAAAAGAAAAAAGCTTTTCCAAATTCTATGGATTGATTTTCAGAACAGGACTGAGGATGCAGTTGAAATTACAGCCCATGAATCTGCAGTATCCCCAATACAAAGGCACGTGTGTGTGTGTGCATGTGTGTGTGATTGCACTCAGCAACTCAGCTACAGGAAGAAAGAGAAGGCACAAAAAGAAAGATTCAGGATGAGAGTCTGGGCAGGTATGAGACATTAGGGAAAAGGAGGCCAAAAAGTTGACATTGGAAGCTACCACATCTAATTATGAGGGAAGATGAGAGCGGGAAGGCCCAGTCAAGTGGGAGTGAAACAGCATTCAGTATATCACATGGATGTAAGCAACCATGATACGCTTCGCTTATCATTTATGAATGTAAACTAATATATTTTGCTTGAGGCACAACTTCAATCTCACTTTACACTGGGCCACTTCATTGGGAATATTTTGGGCTAGAAAACCCAGCCTGTAAACTCCTAAGAAACCCATCATGATATGCTGATTCAAGAATTAAGAAAGGTACAGAATATATAGCCAGTAAATTAAATTCCTAAGGAGGTGGAATTAACATGTCAACAATTTGAAAGATCTACCCACAGAGATTTATTCAAGGGAAAAGTAAGTGTCATTATGGAGAAAAACCATGGCTTTTCTTTTCATCAAGTTGGCACAGGATTTTATCATGGGAAAGCATTAACTAGAAGCTGTGCTTGCTGATCTGGAATTGATTCTGGTATTAGAAGTATTTTAAAGCAATATGAATACTTAAAGTAACTAAAGACAGCTGTTCTTCAAAGAATCTGTATTTTAGGTCTGAAAACATATTAATATCTACCCTAATACCTGTGTAATAGCTAACACTTAACAATAATGAGCTCTGGAGATTGTTACTAGGGACTCACATCTGCCTCCTACCCTGTTAAAACAGCTTGCAGCAGACAAGTACTCCCACTAAAAATAGCTAGAAAAGTCATTTAAAGTGAAAAGAAAATAATAATTATGACCAAGTTATCAAAGATGTTGAGATTAAACTTACAAAGAGCTGTGATTACCATGTCCTATAAGATAGATTACAGAATGAAGAATGTAATAATTAAGGATTCAAAGGATAAATTTCATAGCAGAATGGACACAGTAGGGGAGAAAATTAATGAATTAGAAGAAAGGTAGTGAACATGTTTCAATAAGAGCTATTAGATTTCTTCAGTTATTACCAGTACTGAATGCAATGTGAGAAAAACTTAACTGATGTTTTACATTTATATATTTTACTTGATTATAAAGAATGCATACTTAATTCTTGTATCTCTATTTATTTTTTTATTTTATTTTTTTGAGACAGAGTCTCACTCTGTCACCCAGGCTGGAGTGCAGTGGAACCGTGTCAGCTCACTGCAACCTCCATCTCCTGGGTTCAATAAATTCTCCTGCCTCAGCCTCTCGAATAGCTGGAATTACAGGCACCCACCACCACGCCCGGCTAATTTTTGTATCTTTTAGTAGAGATGGGATTTCACCATGTTGGCTAGGCTGGTCTCAATCTCTTGAGCTCAGGTGATCTGCCCACCTTGGCCTCCCAAAATGCTGGGATTACAGGCATGAGCCACCACGCCTGGCCCCTTGTATCTCTATTTTTTGAAATCACCCAGATTCTTTAAAAAATAAAGGTTATTAATAATTCTTTTTTTTTTTTTTTTTGAGACAGAGTCTCATTCTGTCGCCCAGGCTGGAGTTCAGTGGTGGGATCTTGGCTCACTACAACCTCTGCCTCTCAGGTTCAAGGGATTCTCCAGCCTCCGTCTCCTGAGTAGCTGGGATTACAGACATGTGCCACCATGCCTGGCTAATTTTCGTATTTTTAGTAGAGACGGGGTTTCGCCATGTTGGCAAGGCTGGTCTCTAACTCCTGACCTCAAGTGATCCGCTGTCCTCAGTCTCACAAAGTGCTAGGATTAAAGGTGTGAGCCAGTGTGCCCAGTGAAAGTTATTAATAATTCTGAAAAATGATTACGTAAATGTTGATATGGTTTGGCTGTGTCCTCACCCAAAATCTCATCTTGAATTGTAATCCCCATAATCTCCACATGTCAAGGGCAGGACCAGGTGGAGGTAATTGGATCTTGGGGGCAGTTTCCCGCATGTGTTTCATGTAAGAGTGAGTGAGTCTCATAAGATCTGATGGTTTTATAAGCATTTGGTATTTTCCCTGCTGGCACTCACTCCCCCCTGCTGCCCTGTGAAGAAGGTGCTTGCTTCTCCTTTGCCTTGATCATGATTGTTAAGTTTCCTGAGGCCTCCCCAGCAACATGGAACTGTGAGTCAATTAAACTTCTTTCCTTTATAAATCACCCAGCGTCAAGTATTTCATCAGAGCAGTGTGAAAGCAGACCAATACAAATGTATATTTATATTCTGCAATATCTTTACTGTTTAAGCAATATTTCAGACCAAAAAATCTAAAATATACATAACCAAATTTTGTCTTACTAAATAAAACAACTGACTCAACTTTTGGTCACATTTCCATATGGAACAAGCAAATCTTCGAGGGTCAAATGATATTTCACTAGACCATTTCATTTAATGATTAATGTTCTCTGTTTTTTTTTTTTGGAGACATCTTTGAATTGTTCAGTCTAATCATTTACCTTTATCTCCATTCAAGTCTACTCAGACACATCAGGGTTTATTTGAATGTCTTGCTTCATTTTTTTTCCCCAGAATCCTCCTTGTTCTCTTTGTAGTCTATTTCCATTACTTTTATTTTATGTTCAACTTACAACTTAGATCTTTGCCTCCTTTTTTTTAGTCAATTTCTCCTCCCTAAGTTTTTACTCTTAGCTTGGCTGCCTAACAAAATACCATAGGCTGAATAGATTACACAATAGAAATGTATCTCTCACAATTCTGGAAACTGGGAAGGCCAAGATGAAGCTGCTAACATCGTAGGTTTCATTCTGAGCCCTTTCTTTTGGCTCCTGGGTGGTGCCTTCTCAATATGCACTCACATAACCTCCTCTTTGCCCCACTAAGAAAGAGAGCACCTGTAATCCCAGCACTTTGGGAGGCCGAGGCGGGTGGATCAAGAGGTCAGGAGATGGAGAACATCCTGGCTAACATGGTGAAACCCCGTCTCTAATAAAAATACAAAAAAATTAGCCAGGCGTGGTGGCGGGCGCCTGTGGTCCCAGCTACTCAGGAGGCTGAGGCAGGAGAATGGCCTGAACCCGGGAGGTGGAGCTTGCAGTGAGCTGAGATCGCGCCACTGCACTCCAGCCTGGGCGACAGAGCGAGACTCTGTCTCAAAAAAAAAAAAAAAAAAAAAAAAAGAAAAGAAAGAAAGAAAGAGAGAGAGCAAGCTCCAGGCTTTTCTTTTATTATGAGGACACTGATCCCATTATGGCGCCCCTTCCTCATGACCTCATCTAAACCTAATCATCTCCCAAAGGCCTAACTCCAAATACCATCTCATTGGCAGTGTGAATTTCAACATATGAATTGAGGGAGGACACAAATAGACACAAATATTTGGTTTGTAACACACATTTTTTAAAAGAGATAGGGTCTCTGTCACCCAGGCTGAGGAGCAGTGGCAGGATCAGGGCTCATTGCAACCTTTGACATCTTGGGCTCAGGCAATCCTCCCACTTTAGTCCCCTGAGTAGCTAGGACTACAGGCATGCACATGCACAACCACAATGCCTAGATAATTTTAATTTAATTTAATTTATTTTTTTTGGTAGAGACGTGGTCTTGCTGTTTTGAGGCTGATCTTAAACTCCTGGCCTCAATCAACCTTCCTGCCTCAGTCATCCAAAGCACTGCGATTGCAGCATGAGTCACCGTGATTGGCCCATAACATACTCTTTTGGGAATTTTTCTTATCCTCTCAATTTTCTGTATTTTAAATAACTCAAACTGTTATTGTTTCAGTCATCAATAATAGACTACAACTGAAATCTTTCTAGGCTTTGGCAACTAGAAAGAGACTAATCAAGTTAGTTTGGTCAGGTTAATGTGCCTGGTAAAGTGGGTGCATTAGATAGAGTGGCTGAGACGTTCCTTTATGGGGGGAATACTTTTTTAATGTTCAATTTTGTCATATTTATTTAATTGAGCATCAATCATTGCATGGGTGAATGAAATAGGTGATATTTAACACCTAATGCAACTATTGGTTGAGATGTTCTTTTATTGGAAGGGAGGTACATTTTTAGTGTTCAATTTGGTCATATTTACTTAATTGAGCTTCGATCATTGTGTGGGTGGGTGAATGAACTAGGGAATGTTTAACATCTCATGCAATTATTAAATTCTTTCATTCTGGGTTTGATGGAGCACCTCCCATGTCTGCAATATTATGAGTGACATAAAGGGACCCTGGGAGAATGATAGAGAAACAACAATTAAGACTAGAATTATACATTAAAAATGATATAATAAAAAATAAGATTAGACTAGACTGAAATGAAAACACTACAATGGATTCCTGTTGGTGAAATGTAGTTTAACTAGGATATTCTAAGACATGAAATATTTTTTTCCTCAGTTTTAAGATACTGAAAATAAACTGCTTATATTTTAGTGTGATAGTTTTGTAGTTGACTCAGATGTTAGTAACATTTAACAAAGTTCTAATTTTCTTTGATATATTTGAAATAATACATTTTATTAAAAATAGTTGGCAACAAGAAGTGTAGTCTTAAATATTAATAAACTATATGAATGTTTGTATAAAAATTTATTTCCTGCACTGCCTATTAGTTAGAAATAAGCACTCTGGGGTGTCTTATAAGCTTTCTTTGAGGTTAAATAATTAATGAAAATTTATCAAAGCTTAATTAAGTCATTGGCTTTAAATGATAAATGGAAATTCAAGCATTATCTCATCAATGTAATTCTCTGAGGTTTAATATATGCACACATATTAAAAATATTTCTTAAGCAACAAACAAGGATTTGATTACCTATTTTTAGCCTAGGAAAATGTTGACATTGCATCTCCAAGGAAGAAACTGAGTTAAATATAAAAGCTTTTGTAACATACTTGTTTCATATCTTTGTATCATTGATAATTACTTTTCCTTTATTATTAATGCAATGACTAAGTTCTTTATTCACATTCAACAGCAGGAAACTCAAGTTCAGCTTTCTCTGAAATAATTTTGTTTTCCTATAGAGAGAACCAGGGAAGGGCATATGCCTGTGTCACAGTCACAGTCTGCCAGCTCTTACTGGGGCTCTTTGTCTGGATTTCCCTTTCATCAGCTCTATCTCTGCCTGCTACCTCTCTATGCTGATGATACCTTATCCTTAGCCCCTAAATGCCCATGCACTCACCCTTTATTTCACAACTACATGCATATTTGGCAATGGATAACTGTTTTAAAAAGCTTTGTTAAAGTATTGGTGTGGTGAAGGGACACATATAAAAATTCTTACATGAAAAATGTGTAATGGTTCCTTCCTTCCTTCCTTCCTTCCTTCCTTCCTTCCTTCCTTCCTTCCTTCCTTCCTTTCTTCCGTTAGTCATTTATTGAGTGCCTACTATGGGAGAGCATTCTGGTAACATTCTATCAGCATCCATGAAGAGGAAATTATCATATAACAATTGTAGTGTTTGAGTCACAAGACTTAGGTCAAGAGCTGGGCTCCTCACTTGTAATATGTGTGACCTTTAGTTGGTAATGAGCATTTCATAAACTTTAATAATATCTTCCCTATTAGTGTAGGAATAATAATAACAGTAATAATAACCTATTAAGTGTGTTAAGAAAACTAAAGAAAATAATGCATAAGATATTCTCAGCATAATGCCTAGAATTAAGCATCCCATAAATGTTAGCTGGTATTATTATGTCTAGTTTTATTATTATAATAAAAATATGGTCATCATTATATAATAGATGCTAGAGAATCCCATTTGGTAATTGGCTTTTTCAGTTCTCTGTTAGTCTCTTGCATGAGTAAATTGAACAATTGTACTTGATATATCAGCACAGACATAGCCCACTCCTAGAGCAAAACACCACAGAAAACTAAAAAACTTTAGAATCAATGAATTAATCAGAAGAATTTCCCAGGTTGACTCAGAAAATATCACCAATCAGTCCATTCTGTCCAAGCAGGCATACTGTGGACATCCTGCACCTGCTGCAATAGTTGCTTCTAACAACCTCCTTTTTTTGTTCGTGTTCCACTGGAGTCCTTTGGGGTATTATCTCTTCTTCCAGTCTTGCTTCTGTCTTTGGATTAGCTGCTAAACTTTATTTTTCCACCCTCTCTCTGAAAACCTTGGCTCCAACTGTGCTCGTACACTTTCCAAGGGAACTCGGCTGCCACAAATAGGATGCTGTGCCATGTTGAAGTACCTGGTACTCACACCGTGTTTCCATCCTATGAACACAGACTTGTCCACCCTGCCATCAGCAAAAGAGGAAGGTGGTCAGGCTGTGAATACTTTTTTCCAATAAAGCCCAGTGTTTATTCAAGCAGTAAGCCTTGTTTTTTCCTGAAATCACCATAATTACCTCTTTACCATTTACGCATGAGAAAACTTTATATAATAAAAATCTGTTCCTATTTTATTATGTAATATTTATACCATAATATAGGACAAGGCCATTAGAAAGTTTGTGTTAAATAACAAAAGAGATAATTTTCCCACGAAAATATTACTGCAATTTAAATGCGACTAAAAACCTTCATATCTTGAAAATTGTCAAAACTTTAAGACAATATTTACCATATACTATAAGCCACTATTTTCACATCTGGCAGCCTATCTGGTTTCTTTCTTTTCTTTTACTTCTTTCGAATCAGTGGCCATTATAGAAGCAGGAACCTAGATTCACAGCACCATTGATTAATACGTTCCACTCTGTCAGTTTACATATTCATCAATTCTTTCCCACTTGTATTTTACTTCACAGTTCAGGAAAGAAAACATTCACATGCAATACCCTCAGATTGCTAGTTTAGAGATATCCTTTTGTATATCAGATTCCTTAATAGTTTAGAGATATCCTTCTTTATATCAGATTCCCTAATAGTTTAGAGATATCCTTCTTTATATCAGATTCCTTAATAGTTTAGAGATATCCTTCTTTATATCAGATTCCTTAATAGTTTAGAGATAACCTTCTTTATATCAGATTCCTTAATAAAATCGACATGAACCATAAAAACACTA
The DNA here is from genome assembly GCF_000001405.40 of Homo sapiens. Lineage (NCBI taxonomy): Eukaryota > Metazoa > Chordata > Mammalia > Primates > Hominidae > Homo > Homo sapiens. The sequence goes on from NC_000008.11 coordinate 49,647,088, forward strand.
GAAAGAGTACAAATCCTGCACAGAATTAGATTATGTGTACTGAAATTATGAAATTAAAACATTAGATAATTATGAAGTATTATCTATTTTCAAAAAACACATACAAAATGAAAAGGTAACATGGTAAAATAATGGTTAAATATAGAATAACAATTTATTGGATATAAAACGTTAATAGTAAGGTAAAGTGGAAACACATCATATTCTTCTAAAATCTAGGGCCATTTTATGTGACTAATTAAAAACGTGACTTTAGTAAGAATTATTAAATCTGCAGTTTGAGGTATGTCATTTCTTTTTCCACTAGACCCTCTAAAGAAATATAATAAAAGCATGTTACATTTTTATTGAGAAAATAAAGTAAGCATTACAGAATGTGCAAAGGAGTAAATAAGTCAATTCACATAGTCACACCATAGCATGGTGATCCTGAGCAAAAGACTGGGATGTTCCTCCTCCATGCCTGTCCTTGATCACCTGGTTCTGGATGTGGGAACTGGGGCAGCTGCTTCACAGTCTGTGTCCCATTGTCCTCATCTGGAACCAGGTGATGCGAACAGTGCTAGCTCACAAGCCTAAATGAGTTAACGTATGCAGAACTCTGAGAGGAGCACTTGGCACACAGTGCTGGGACATGCTGGAGTTTGTGGCTATTATTATTGAGGTGAAAATAGTTTTAAAATAACCAGTAAACTGTCCTCAATATTTTGAAGAAAATTGAGATCCAGAGAAGATCAGTGATCTCTGAGTATAAAAGGAAGGCAAATAAATGTATCAGTCCTGAAAATAAATTGTGGCGTTGTTCTTATGTGTTACATCTATTTGAGAGTTCCTTTTCTTCAGGAAATTTTATAAAATCATCAAATTTTTTCAAACATGTTTTACTGACCATGTCATTTGTGCATTAAGGAGATCAACTTGGTGGACTGCTCCAACATTAGGAACTAGCACACCTGAGGCAATCAGTAGAAGCACTGGGAACATATTGGACAAAGTGAAAACGGTGCAATTATGGTAAGTTTTGAATAGAAAAATAACAAACTCTGAGGAAACAAGAAAACTAAGTAGAAGAAAGAGCTAGAGAGTGAGAAGCGAAACTGAATGTTCTTTCTGACAATCACTGCTGCTCAGGTCAGAGTTGGTGTTACACCTGAATACCTTCTGAAAATAGAAAAGCAAACAGCAACAAGAGAAATACTCCCTTATCTTAGCAGGATGCTAAATGTTCTGTACCCTTGAAACAGTGCTCTGGAAATAATAGCCTGCTTGTGGTAATGGGAGCAGATGTTGTTGTCAGAAAGCACTTCCAATTACATTTTAAATTCCCCTGTGTTTCACAGAATTGTAAGACCAGCTTTGAAGGATTGTGTGGAGGAACGGAAAGAGAAATTAACTTACAATTTTATTCTAATGATTCAAGAGCGGTGAGGCTGAGCTCAAAAACTCTGCAAATGAGCGCAAATTAAATAAGCAATACGCAGTAGTGACAAATGAACACAACATACATTTTCTCCAGTTTTATCAGTGAAAGTAATTAAAGACAGATATGATGCTTAGCAATGGGAGGGTCACTAATTTTCTGCTGATAATTTATAATATACACTATTTAAATAGAAAGGATAACTTTCTTTGATAAAAATTCTCCCAAAGTCAATATATACATTTTGCACAATTAAATTAAAAGGTTTAAATATGGCAAGTTGAAAATTGGAATGCAGTATTTCTATTCATATAAAGTAAAGCTGCAATTTTTCTTTAAACTAAATACACAAGAAAAATGTTTTCATCTAGCATACTTGTGCACTATCACTGACATTTAATTTCTGAGTGTCTGATAGCCACTGAAGACTGAGGTCTCTTTTGGCACAGAACTATTATCCCAAGATGTGGACTGTGTCTGTCAGTGCAAGTACAGTGAAAGAAAGATACAAGTTTTCTACTTCATTCAAATTAAAATCCAACAAAGAAACAAACAATTTTTAACTGCCTGAAATAGTTATGAGTTATATAGTAAATTTTGTTTTAGTATGTAGTGTACTATGCTATACATTGTAATTCTCATTTTCAGTTAATGAGACAAGAATGCTTTGTACTACTAGTACAGATCCAAATATTAAAGTAGGTAGTATTTACACATAAATACACACACCTGCACCATACACAAATATACACAAAGAATTGAAACTGAAGGAACTTAAAATTATTTTAAAAGATAAAATATACATACATTTAAAATATCAAAAATCAAATCATCACATTGATACTGTTATTTCTGTATTATTTATGTTTAATATACTTCAATATTCCCTAAATTTGCCAGTTTTTTACTATATCTAATAATTTATTCTGGGCTTGGTGGCTTACGCCTATAATGCCAGCAACTTTGAGAGGCCAATGCAGGTGGATTGCTTGAGCTCTGGAGTTTGAGATCAGCCTGAGAAACATTCAGAGATCCTGCTGTATTAGTTAGTTCTCACATTGCTATAAAGAAATGCCTGAGTCTGGTTTAATTGGCTCATGCTTCTGTGTCCGGAATTGGTGAGTTCCTGGTCTGGCTGACTTCAAGAATGAAGCCGTGGACCCCCACGGTGAGTGTTACAGTTCTTAAAGGTGGCGTGTCTGGAGCTGTTTGTTCCTTCTGGTGGGTTCGTGGTCTCAGTGGCCTCAGGAGTGAAGCTGCAGACCTACAAGGTGAGTGTTACAGCTCATAAAGGCCACACGGAGCCAAAGAGTGAGCAGCAGCAAGATTTATTGCAAAGAGCGAAAGAACAAAGCTTCCACAGTGTGGAAGGGGAACTGAGCAGGTTGCTGCTGCTGGCTGGAGTGGCCTACTTTTGTTCCCTTATTTGGTCCCACCCACATCCTGCTGATTGGTCCATTTTACAGAGAGCTGATTGTTCCATTTTAGAGAGAGCTTATTGGTCCATTTTACAGAGAGCTGATTGGTCCATTTTGACAGAGTGCTGATTGGTGCATGTACAAACCTTTAGCTAGACACAGAGTGCTGATTGGTGTGTTCACAATCCTTTAGCTAGACAGAAAAGTTCTCCAAGTCCCCACCTGACCCAGAAGCCCAGCCGGCTTCACCTCTCAATCCCCTCTCTAAACAGGACGCCCCAACTGCTATTGGGAATTTGGTCGATGACTGCTCTAGCTACTTCCTGCTGGATAGGTGCAAAGAAGGGGCCCTGCAGTTGTAGTGTCCTCCAGAGGGGAGCTCTTTAGGCCATTGGAAGGGCCAGTGGGTCGGTCCAGGGGTCCTCGGTAGAAGTTGTTAGTTGAACTCATTTGGGGTTCCATTTGTAAGACCATCTGTAGCTTGATGGCCTTGATTCTAGAAGAAACAAATTTGACAAGACAGTTAAAAATACAGGGCCCAAAGGTAAGTAATAGCAAGATGGCTGCCACAGGACCTAGAAAGGGGAGAAGCCATGTTGCCCAACTCCAGAGGTTGGTATAAGAGTTTGAAAGGTGTTGTCTGATTTCAGAAGACTTTTCCTGTAAATGCCGGGCAGCCTCTTGTTCTATCCCTGACCAGTTAGTGTAAAAACAACACTCTTCCCCTAAGAAGGTGCAGAGTCCTCCTTTCTCAGCAGTGAGGAAGTCTAGGCCTCAGGGGTTTTGGAGAGTCACTGCTGCCAAAGAGTCTATTTGGGATTGTAGTTACTATCCTTATTGGATAGATTTTGTTACTTCTTGCAAATTGTCTGAGAAATCCTTTGAGAGTGTGTGGTAGTAGGATAATGAAGTAGATAAACTGGCTATTCCAGTTCCTATAGCAGTGGCTATTTCTAACCTTGTAAGTAGTGGTATTAGTTGTATGGCCCTGTGCTGATGGACTTGAGCTTTGAAGGGTGCTGATAGTGTCTGATTTCCATAAGATTAGAAGTTAGGATAATATATGTTTACACTGTTAACTTTTAGCAAACTTTACTTCTGTTGAAAACCTCGTAAGTTTGGGATTTCAATTATTCTTTGCTATTAATAAGACCTCGTTCAGTCCATATTAACTTAGAATTGGTATAGATGGCTCCTTCCTGATTCTGTAAGTACTTTAAGGTTTGGCTGAGTTCAAACAACTTGCACATTTGTATGGTAATTAATTAAGATTTAGATCCCCGTTAGGAAACCTGCTGGGTTAAGGATTTTTGATAGGAAGGCTATGTATGGGTTGTCAGCGGCCTCAGTGCTTTCAGGCTATGCCCTTGTTTACACTGACAACAAGGTGGTATTGGAGTGTTTTAGGGTTACAGAGAAGGCCTTCGATTATCAATTATAGGTTTCAACTTTACCCTGGCTTTTAAAGGAATAGGGTACACTGTTTTTTCTTTACTACGTCCATCTCTCTTTCTCTTTGACTTCTTCTTTGTCTCTGTCTCTTCCTCTCTCTCTCTCTGTGACTTTCTGTCTCCTTCTCTTCCTTTAACTTCTTCATCTCTCTGTTTCTTCCTCTCTCTTTCTTTCTCTGACTTCCTGTCTCTTTCTCTCTTTCCTTTCTGCTGGTCTTTCCCTGCCTCTGCCAGCTGCTTATGCTGCTGTACTCCCCTCTCCTTCCCCTTTTTGATGACTTTGGCAGTGTAAGACTGCCACCTCCTTGGGTTTTTGCACTGCATGCAATTCTATGATTTCCTTGTGGTATTGAATGGGGGTTCCCCCAGAGGTTAGGAACTCCCTTTCTTTCCATATTGCAGCATGGTCATATAGGATTAGATAAGCATACTTGCTATCTGTATACACATTTATTCTTTTTCCCTTTCCCATTTCTAAGGCTCGGGTAAGTGCCACTAGTTCTGCTCACTGGGCACTGGTCCCTGGGGGAAGAGGCTTACTTTCAAGTACAGTTACATCATTAACTATGGCATAACCTGTCCTTCATATCCCATTCTCCACAAATGAACTTCTATCGGTATATACATTAAAGTCAGGATTAGCTAAGGGGACTTCTAAGAGATCATCTCAGGCGGCATAAATCTGGACTATAATTTGTTGGCAGTCATGCTCCACTGGTTCCCAGTCCTCTGGGAGAAAAGTGGCAGGGATGGCCCCGCACGTACGTATTTGAAGCACCGATCCCTCAAGGAGTTGCACCTGGTATCTAAGTAGGTGGGTATCTGATAGCCATAAACATCCTTTGGCACCTAGTATGCCATTTATGTCACGAGTAGTCCAGACAGTGAGATCCTTTCCTTGTATTATCTTGATAGTCTCTGACACAAAGATGGCCACCGCTGCAACTACCCATAAACAGTGAGGCCAGCCTTTTGCTACTACATCAGTTTCCTTACTTAGGTATGCCACTGGTTGTGGGGTTGTCCCACAAGTCTGAGTAAGGACTCTGAGAGCTATCCCTGCTCTCTCTGTGGCATGTAAAGAGAAGTTTTGTCCTGTCAGAAGGCTTAAAGCTGAAGCTTGTACTAGGGCCTGCTTTAAGGTTTTGAAGGCTGTTTCTGCCCCGGGTTCCCATTCTACTAGATGAGTATTTCCCCTCTGGGTTTCCTTGATTAGAGTATAGAGGGGCCTGGCTATCTCACTGTATCCAGGGATCCATAGTCGGCAAAAGCTGGTGATTCCAAGGAACCCCCACAAGAGTTTTAATGTCTTAGGGCAAGGATAAGCCAGTATAGGCTGTATTCATTCCTTGCTGAGGGCCCTGGTCCCTCTGGCTAAGATTAGGCCTAGATATTTGACCTGCTGTAGGCAAAGCTGGGACTTCTACCCAGACAACTTGTACCCTTGATTAGCTAGAAAGTCCAGGAGATCTAGAGTAGCCTGCTGGCATGAGGCTTCCAAACTGGCAGCCAAAAGTAAATCATCCACTTATTGAAGGACCAGAGTGCCTGGACTTGAGAAGTGGCCTAGATCTTGGGCCAGTGCCTGACCAAACAGATGAAGGCTATCCCTAAACCCCTTGGGGCAAGACCATCCACGTAAGTTGGGACATGTGGTCTGTGGGATCCTCAAAGACAAAGAGAAGCTGGGAGTCAGAGTGCAGGGTGATACAGAAGAAGACATCTTTGAGTTCCAGAACTGTGAACCATTCTGCTTCCTCTGGTATTTGAGAGAGCAGGGTATAGGGGTTGGGTACAACTGGATATAGAGGAATTACTGCCTCATTGATGAGTCTAAGATCTTGCACTAGTCTCCACTGACTGTTTGGTTTTTGTACTCCTAGAATTGTGGTGTTGCAGGGACTGCTGCATTTCCTTAAGCTTTTAAATCTTTAACAATACCCTGTAATCCTTTATGAGCTTTCGGCCTTAAGGGACATTGCCTGTGATAAGGAAAAGTGGTGGGGCCTTTTAGCTTGATTTAGACTGGTTGGGCATTTTTTGCCCTTCCAAATTGTCCTTCCAATGCCCAGACTTCAGGGTTGATTCCCTCCTCAAGTAGGGGACAACAAGTGGGTAACTTGTTCCCCATATTCAGGTAGATAATAGCTCCAGCTTTGGCTAATATGTCCCTCCCTAATAAGGGTATGGGACTTTCAGGCATAACAAGAAAGGCATATGAAAAGAGCAAAGTCTCCTAATTACAACTGAGGAGGTGGGAGAAATACCTGGTTACAGGCTGTCCCAGGATTCCTTGGATGTTAATGGACCTTGAGGACAGTCATCCAGGACAAGAGATTAATACTGAGAAAGCCGCGTCAGTGTCCAGATGGAAGTCAATTTCCTGGCCTCCAACGGTTGAATGTACCTGGGGCTCAGTGACAGTGATGACATGAGCTGGCACTTGCCCTGGGCACCCTCAATCCTGTTGTTGGATCATCTGGTTGGGGGCTTCTGACCCAGAGAACCTTTGTTCTCTAGGGAAGTGCACCTTCCAGTGATTGCCTCAGCATAGTGGACATGGACGAGGGGGCGGCTTGTTTCTTGTTGGACAATCTTTTTTAAAGTGTCCTAGTAAACCACAATGATAACAAGCCCTACCGGGTGATTGGCCTGCTCCATTTTCTGTCCTCTCTGAGTCACCAAGGTTTGTTTGTCTGAGGGCCATGACTAAGGCTGCAGCCTTCCCTGATCTCGCTTTTCCTTTTGGGCCTGTTCCTCTTGGTCCCTATTATAGAACACTGAGATTGCCAGGTTAATAATGCTTCCAAATTTTGTTCGGGGCCCAGGGCTTGCTTTTGGAGCTTTCTCCTGGTATCTGCAGCTGATTGGGTAATAAACTTATCTTTTAGAATCAATTGGCCCTCAATTGATTCAGGTGACGGGGGAGTATATTTTCTTAAGGCCTCCCATAGCCACTCGAGGAAGGCAGAAGGATTTTCTTCCTTTCCCTGAGTTATGGTGGACATCATTGAATAATTCACGGGCTTTTTCCTAATTCTCCTTAGTTCTTCTAGAACACAGGTCAACAGATGTTTGCGACTCCAGTCCCCATGATCTGAGTCAAGGTCCCAGTGGGGATCCATACTGGGGACAGCTTGCTGACCGGTAGGGAATTTGTCCCTGTCTTCAGCTGTCATTCTGTCATTTACTTGACTATGATACCAGGTATCTCCAAACTCTCAGGCTGCAGCTAAAGCCACATTCTTTTCATTAAAGGCCAGGGTTTGATCTACCAATAGCATGGCATCTCTCCGAGTGAGATCGAAGGTTTGTCCTAGACCCTGTAGGACATCTATGTACCTATCAGGATCATCTGAAAACTTCTCCAGGTCTGCCTTGATCTGCTTTAAATCAGAGAGGGAGAAGGGGACATGTACCCAGGTTGGGCCAAATTCCCCTCCCCCTACAGCTTGAAGGGGACATAACCACTAGCTTGGGGGTTTTTGTGGTCCTTTGGAGATTTCTTTGCTTATTTCCTTCTGGGCAGGGGAGATTAGAGGAGGCTTATCATTAATAGGAAAGGGAGCTATAGGGAGGCTAGGATATGGGGGTAAGCTGAAAGGTCCTCCTGTGGGATGTAAATTGCAAGCTTTGCATAGCTGTGTATTCGCCTTCAATGAAAAGAAAGCTTGAACATAAGGTATTTCATTCCATTTGCCTGTCCTCTTACAGAAAATGTCAAGCTGCAAGATAGTATTGTAATTTGTACTTCCCTCAGGTGGCCATTTTTCCCCATCAGAGAGAGAATATTGGGGCCAGGATGTAGTGCAGAAAAAAATGAGCTCTGTTTTTTTCAGGGTTTGTGGGTCAAATTGGTCCCAATGGCTTAGGATGCATTTCAAGGGTAAGCCTGTTTATGCCTGTGTGTTTCCCATCTGAAAGACAAAACCACCCACAGTTTTGGTTAGTTTTGTTTCTCCCTCTGACCAAGAACCCACAACTGTCCCTGGACTCTGTTGATTGGAATAGTTGCACTCACTGACGCAGCAGCAGAAACACTAGTTTTCCTCCCAGACCACAAGGAGGACTGAGGAAGGTTGGATTTAGTGGCCCCTACTGACACATTTTTGAAAGCCTGCACCCTTGCCTATTCTTCTAGACCACAAGGAGGACTGAGAAAAATTGGATTTAGTGGCCCTTACTGACCTGTTAGAGTCCTAAGCATTCTCCTGTTAGTATTGGGACTGTACCCGTGTCCTATAAAGATGTTACACCCCAAAAATGAAGTGGAGGACCATACACTGAGGGAAGGAAGGGATCTCCAGAGTTGGAAGAGTGATTCCTTTTGTCCTCATTTATATGAATTGGAAGGATACAATTTCCGAGGCTCCCCATATCCTAGCTTCAGGAATAGCTTTTTTTAGGCCTGCTAGTCTGAGGAGGGATCCTAAAATTCCAGGTAGTCCCCCCTATGATGGGGCTTTGGGCAAAAATTATGTCTTTGTGATCGGTGAGCCCAGGTTCCTAAAGAAGGGAATAGAGTCCTGGAGTTTCTACTAGAAGTCATTCTTCCAGGAGAACCTACAAAAGCACCAGAGACAGGGAGTGATTTTTAGAATCGGGACTAGCCTCAGAGAAGAGAGGTGAGAGTAAGTTTGTCTGGCAGGCATTAGGACCCAGGAGGTAAGGGTCAGCGTAGATAGAATAGACGGGCGAGTCTCACTTGGGCGACATGCCTTTGAGAGTTCCACTCATGGCCGCAGGATAACCAACTTGTCAGGACCCCGGAGCTGAATGGCTTTCCTCTCTGTCGAGCCTCGGCTCAGCACATAAGTACAGGAAAAGCGGAAGCTGGTTCCAGGCAAACCAATGCTCCCAACTCCGAAGAGTCAGGGGTTGTTAGAGAGCCCTTTCCCAGAAAGCCTGACACCCATGTTTTTAGTCCAGCGGCCTTGCTAGTCACTTTTAACTGGCCAACAGGGGCCCGGTATTTAGCCCCTGAATTCTAAGGAAAAATAGGACAGAATAGCAAGTGAAAGGGGTCCGTCCGATGGTGCTCACCATTTGGCGATAGTCGATTGTCCCTTCATGGTTGCCAAAATGTGTCCAGAATTCGTGAGTTCTTGGACTCGCTGACTTCAAGAATGAAGCTGCACACCCTCGTGGTGAGTGTTACAGTTTTTAAAGGCAGCACGTCTGGAGTTGTTCATTCCTTCCAGTGGGTTCGTGGTCTCACTGGCCTCAGGAGTGAAGCTGCAGACTTATGCGGTGAGTGTTACAGCTCATAAAGGCAGCACAGACCCAAAGAGTGAGCAGCAGCAAGATTTACTGCAAAGAGCGAAAGAACAAAGCTTCCACAGTGTGGAAGGAGACCCAAGCAGGTTGCCACTGCTGGCTGGAGTGGCCTGCTTTTATTCCCTTATTTGGCCCCACCCACATCCTGTTGATTGGTCCATTTTAGAGAGAGCTGATTGGTCCATGTTACAGAGAGCTGATTGGTCCATTTTGACAGAGTGCTGATTGGTGTGTTTACAAACCTTTAGCTAGACACAGAGTGTTGATTGGTGCATTTACAATCCTTTAGCTAGACAGAAAAGTTCTCCAAGTCCCCACCTGACCCAGAAGCCCAGCCATCTTCACCTCTCATTTCTGCAGGCTATTCAAGAAGCATAGCAACTTCTGCTTCTGGGAAGGCCTCAAGAAACTTGCAAACATTGTAGAAAGTGAATGGCGACCCAGGTGTCTTACATGGTGCAGCAGGAGCAAGATAGTGAGGGGAAAGGTACTACACACTTTTAAACAACCTGATGTCATGATAACTCACTTACTCACTATCACAAGAACAGCACAGAGGGGATGGTGCTAACACATCCCTGATAACTCTGTCTCCATGATCCAGTAACCTCTCATCAGACCCCAGCTTCAACACTGGGGATTACAATTCAAGATGATATTTGGGCAGGGACACAGACTCTATCCATATCACCTGTCTCTACAAAAAGTACAAAAATTAGCTGGGTGCGATGGCACACATCTGTAGTCCCAGCTACTCAGGAGGCTGAGTTGGGGAAATCACTTAAGCCCCTAAGGTCAAAGCTGCAGTGAATTGAGATTACACCACTGAACGCCAGCCTGAGCAACAGAGCAAAAAATAAATAAATAAATAAATAATAAATTAGCCAGATGTGGTGGTGCATGCCTGTGGTTCCAGCTACTTGGGAGGCTGAGGTGGGATGGTCACTTGAGCCCAGAAAACTGAGGCTGCAGTGAGCTATAATCACACCACTTCACTCCAGCCTAGGCAACAGGGTCTCACTCCATGTAATATTTTTTCATGTTACATATATGTTTTATCTTGAAGCAAAATCCGAAGGAGTCTAGCATCAATATTTTATGTATTAAGAAGCCCAGGTCAGGTGCAGTGGCTCATGCCTGTAATCCCAACACTCTGGGAGGTGGAAGCAAGCAGATCACTTGACAAGCAAGCAGTAGTTCAAGGCCAGCCTGGGCAACATAGTGGGGCCATCTCAACAAAAAATTAAAAATTAGCCAGGTGTGGGGGTGCATGACCCTTGGGAGTCTTAGGTGGGAGAATTGTTTGAGCCCAGGAGGTTGAGGCTATAGTAAGCTAGGGCCTCAGCACTACATTCCAGCTAGGGTGGCAGGAGGAGACCTTGCCTCAAAAAAAAAAAAAAAAAAAAAAAAGATTTGCTTTTTTTTTTTTTTTTTTTTCTCTTGGCAAGAGGCTGACTAGACGCGGCCAGGTGGAAGAGCTGCCACTGCAGGACCGAGATGACTGTCACACTCCTAACAGATCTTCAGAGGGAAGGCATCAAGGGTAGAGGGAGGAAAGACACAGAAGCTGGGCTGAAGGGGGAGGAAACTGGGAAGCCCACAAGAGGCAACAATGAACCAGGAACTATTCCTGGTCCCCAGTGGTTCTGAGGGAAGGATGAGTTGAACTGGCAAGGAGCAACCTGCTCTCACCATAGGCCTCTGGAATGTTGGCAGGAGGAGACCCCTTGACCACCACAGGCACTTGAGTTGGCAGGGAGTGCTGCTTAGAGAAATGGCAAGGCTAGCAAGCCAGCTAATGTAGAGCCCAGAGAGTTTAATGAGGAAGGTTATGAAGCAAAGCATGGCCAGGGACGCCATCCCCCTAGGCTCAACTGGCTCTCATAGGAGACTTTAGTCCCAGGGGAACTGTTGGATCTGAACTCTGCAGAGAAGGCTTGCCCATCAGATATGGCCAGTCTGACGTGAGCTCCCCTTGGCCTGCTAGCCTCACCTGGGACCCCAGTCTGGTCATGACTGCTTGCAAAGCAGCCTCAGGTTCCCTGGGGCCCCGCATCATAGGTTTTGTGCTGGCGGATTGTGCCTCACTAGCGGAGGTCTCCAGTGGGGCAGCCCCCATGGCCATGCAGCATCCTGCACACTCCTTTCCCACACCGTAGCATCCCAGGGCCCAAAGCAACTCCCTGACATCACTTTGCCAGTGCATGTGTGCATGGATTAGTCTTGCTTTTCTTGCCCCACCAACATGAGTGTGTGCATGCACCCTGCCCTGCCACTGCTGTGGTGGGGGTGCAGTCCACTCTCCTCTCCCTGCCAACCACGATTACAGTTGAAGCCTTGGCAGGCACAGAGCCAGCCAGCCCCACCCCCATCAGTGCCCTGCCCTTGTGCCAACACTGCCATGGAACTTAAACTAGGCACAGAAACAACAGATCCTCCTCAGCCCTGAAAAACTACCCCTTCCTGCAGCACACACAGAATGGGCACAGACCTGTGCCCACCAGCACCTTGCCCCTGTGCCAATACAACCACCAGTGAAGCCACATGCACAGTCACCAGGAGGGGCCCCCCACCCTCCCAGCCACATTGCCTTCACCACTGTGGTTAACACCCACAATGAGGCAAGCACCCCAGCACGCACTAGTACTCTGCTGCAGCCAACGAGCGTGCACCCCACAGTGCTGTCACTGACGCTGCTACTGGCATGTGCAAATGAGTACAGATCCCACTGTCATGCCACTATGAAATGCTTTGGCTGACACAACACATCAGAGTGAAGTGACCAGCAGTCCAGGGGTACCTTGCCCTCTGACCCAGTGCAGTAGATTCCTAACATCAGGGAGCAAAAGAACAAAGTTAGGGCCTGATACAAATCCCCCAGAGTTACAGCATGCAGTCCAGGAACTGGGAACTGAGCCCTCTAAAATTTTCCAGAAATGAAGCCAGTTGTCTGAATCCACCTTATACGACAATCAAACCCTCAAAATCATCAAACAAAATAAAAGAAAAAAACATCCAAAGGCCAGCAGCCTCAAAGATTGAAGGAACATAAGCCCACAAAGACAATAAAGAACCAGTGCAAGAACCCTGACAACACAAAAAGCCAGAGTGCCTTCTTTTCTTCAAATGACTGCACCACTACTCCAGCAAGGGTTTTGAACCAGGCTGAGATGGCTGAAATGATGGAAATAGAATTCAGATAATGGATATAAAAATATCATTGAGATGCAGGAATACATTGAAACCCAATCCAAGGAAGCTAAGAATCACAATAAAACAATGCAGGAGCTGACAGACAAAATAGCCAGTAGAGAAAAGAACATAACAAACCTGACAGACTGAAAAATACACTATCAGAATTTCATAATACAATCACAAGTATTAACAGCAGAATGGACCAGGTCAGGAAAGCATCTCAGAGCTTAAAGACTGACTTTCTGAATTAAACAGTCAGACAAGAATAAAGGAAAAGGAATGAAAAGAAACAAAACCTCCCAGGAGTATGGAATAATTCAGAAACCAAATCTATGACTCACTGATGTCACTGAAAGACATGTGGAGGGTGTAAGCAATTTGGAAAGCATATTTTAGGATATCATCCATAAGAACTTGCCCAACCTAGCTGGAGAGACCAACATGCAAATCAAGAAATGCATAGTACTCCAGTAAGATACTCCACAACAAGTTCATCCTGAAGGCACATAATCATCAGGTTTTCCAAGGTCAAAATGAAAGAAAAAGTGTTAAAGGCAGCTAGAGAGAAAAGCCAGGTCATCTGCAAAGAAAAGTTCATCAGACTAACAGCAGATGTCTCAGCAGTAACCCTATAAGTCAGAATAAATTGGGGGCCAAAATTCAACATTCTTAAATAAAAGAAATTCCAACACAGAATTTTATATCTGGCCAAACTAAGCTTCATAAACAAAGGAGAAAAATGTTTTTCAGACAAGCAAATGCTGAAAGAATTTTTTACCAACAGACCTGCCTTAGAAGAGCTACTGAAAGAAGCACTAAATCTAGAAAAGAAAGAACATTACCAGCCACTACAAAAACACAGTGAAGTACACAGACCAGTGACACTATAAAGCAACCACATAAACAAGTCTGCATAATAACCAGCTAACATCAGGATAACAGGATCAAATACACACAAACCAGTATTAACCCTGAATGTAAATGGGCTAAATGCCCAAATTAAAAGGCACAGAGTGGCAAGCTGGATAGAGTTAAAACCCATTGGTGTGCTGTCTTCAAGAGACCCATCTCGTGCAATGACACCTATAAGCTCAAAATAAAGAGATGGAGAAAAATCTATCAAGCAAATGAGAAACAGAGAAAAGCAGGAGTTGCAATCCTAATTTCAGACAAAATAGACATTATACCAACAAAGATCAAAAAAGACAAAGAAAGACATTACATAATGGTAAAGGGTTCAATTCAACAAGACCTAACTATCCTAAATATACATGCACCCAACACAGAAGTGCCAAGATTCATAAGGCAAATGCTTAGACACCTTCAAAGACACAGACTCCCACATAGTGGGAGATTTAAACACCCCAACAACAGCTTAGAAATATTATTAAGGTAGAAAATTAACAAAAATTTTCAGGACCTAAACTCAGCACTGGGTCAGATGGACCTGACAGATATCTACAGAACTCTCCACCCAAAAAGAACAGAATATACATTCTTCTCATTGCCACAAGGCACATACTCTAAAATCAATCAAATCATCAGACACAAAACACTCCTTGGTGAATGGAAAATAACTGAAATCATAGTAATCAGACCACAGCACAATCAAATTATAAATCAAGACTGAGAATTCACTCAAATCTACACACAATTACATGGAAATTGAATAACTTGCTCCTGACTGACTTTTGGATAAATAATGCAATTAAGGCAGAAATCAAGAAGTTCTTTGAAGCTAATAAGCACAAAGATACGATATACAAGAATTTCTGGGATACAGCTAAGGTAGTGTTAAGAGGGAAATTTATCAGGGCCAAGATGGCCAATTAAAAGTAGCTGTAATACAGTCTCAGTATACAAAATTAAGGTGCAGAAAATCACAAGCATTCCTATACGGCAACAACAGACAAGCAGAGAACCAAGTCATAAATGAACTCCCATTCATAACTGCTAAAAAGAGAATAAAGCACCTAGGAATACAGCTAACAAGGGAAGTGAAGGATCTCTTCAAGGAGAACTACAAACCACCACTCAAGGAAATAAAAAAGAACACAAACAAATGGAAACACATTGCATGTTCATGGATAGGAAGGATCAATATAGTGAAAATGGCCATACTGCCCAAAGTAATTTATAGATTCAATGCTATTCCCATTCAAAGATCACTGGCATTCTTCACAGAATTTGAAAAAAAAAATGCTTTCAAATTCATATGCAACCAAAAAAGAGCCTGAAGAGCCAAGACAATCTGAAGTAAAAAGAACAAAGCTGGAGGCATCATGTTACCCAACTTCAAACTATACTAGAAGACTGCAATAATCAAAAAAGCATGGTAGTGTTACAAAAGCAGACACATAGACCAATGGAACAGAATAGGTATCTCAGAAACAAGACTGCACATCTACAACCATCTGATCTTTGACAAACCTGACAAAAACAAGCAATGAGGAAGGAATCCTCTATTTAATAAATGGTGCTGGGAGAACTGGCCAGCCACATGCAGAAAATTGAAACTGGACCCCTTTCTTACACCCTATATAAAAAATAACTCAAGATGAATTAAAGACTTAAATGTAAAACCAAAAACTGAAAACCCTAGAAGAAAATTTAGGCAATAATATTCAGGACATAGACACGGGCAAAGATTTCATGAAGAAAATACCAAAAGCAATTGCAACAAAAGCCAAAATTGATGAATGGGATCTAATTAAAAAAAAAAAGAGCTTTTTTCTTTTTTGATACCGAGCGTCACTCTGTTGCCCTGGCTGGAGTGTACTGGCACTATCTCGGCTCACTGCAACCTCTGCTGAGAATTGTTTTTCTTAACCTGTGTTCCTTAGACAGCAAAGTTAGTGAAAATTTCTCAGCAGGATTATATACAGTTGATCTGTATTTCTGCTTTTCAAAAGTAATGCATGTGTATGCCTGTGTGTGTGTCTTGGCCTATTTATTTTAATATGGATAGTCTAATATAAAATTTGCTTAGTTCTATCTTTTTTCTCTTTGAGAGAAACATTGGGATAGAGTATCCAGAAGTGTCTGCACCCACAATTGTTAATAAACAGCTTCTACCAACACAGAGCCTAGGCATAATTAATTATGGAGATGAGAGTCTATGCTGCCTCAGTTCTTTAGGTTATATCAAGTTTTTTTACCAGCAGCAGGTTATACAGACGTTAGTAGGTCTCCCCACAATGCCCCCCAACCATAACACTAACACCTTCCTCACCTTAGTTTTTACAGACAGAACCACCTAGCACATACTAGTTGTCACAATATCCTCATCCTACACACTTAAGGTGATTAGTTAGTTCTGATAATGCTTCACATAGCCCAACTGTTTTGTTTGTTTGTTTGTTTTTTAATCTGGTCTCTAGTTTACTCTTTTAAAATAAGCTTTAAACTTGGACAGAATTCAGTAGCTGAATAAATAAATAATCAGAAAATAACTGATGATTAATTTTATGTGTCAACTTGACTGGGCAATGATGCCCAGCTATTTGGTCAAACACAATTTTGGATATTTGCTGTGAAGGAGTTTTTTGTATTAGTTCAATATCTATATTTTTGAATAAAGCAGATTACCCTCCTTAACATGGATGGGACTCAACCAACTAATTGAAGAGTTTAAGAGAACAAAGCCTGACCTTTCCTGTGCAAAAATGAATTACAACAGCAGACAGACTTTGGACTTGAACTGGAACTCTCCTGAGTCTCCAACCTGTCAGCCTACCCTGTAGAATTTGGACTTAACCAAGTTTTCACAAACAGTTAGCCAAATCCTTAAAATAAGTCTCTCTGTGTATGTATATGCATGCCCTGTTGGTTCCGTCTATGGAGAATACTGACTAATACATATGTCTTTATAAATTTGCGACTGTCTCAACTTTTAGAACTTACTGGGATTGCCAGTTCTGCTGATAGTGAAATTATTACTGAAGTGCCAGGAGTTCAGTCTAGGTCCTACTGCTTCACTGCACAGAAAGCCAATCACTGAGAAGAGTATTGCTCGGGAACAAGGTTTTATTCAGGTGCTGCAGCCAAAGAGAATGGAAGATCAGCCTCAAATCCATCTCCGTGATGGACTGGAATTAAGGGTTTATATAGTAGGTAAGAAATGTAACCATGTGAGAGAAAACAGAAATTACGGAGGGGTAAGAAAGAGGAGTTGGTCAATAGGAAGCAGGTGGTCACTTAGGCAATTGTGATGGGTGTAGAGTCCTGAATCTCACCGTCCAGATGTGGTGACTTGGTAAGTTTCATGTCTTTGATACAATCTGGGAGACCTGATGGTTGGTTTCCTGGAAAAAAAAATTAGATAAGACAATTGTAACTTTCTCAAGTTTTAAGACTGGGAGGATCAATTTTTATGTTTATTCAAAAGAATCCCTAAATATCATTTTTATGGGACAGTTGGTCTGATTTCAAAATCTTAAAAGATAACCACCAATTTGTTGCAGGAATGCATTTCCCTCCTTTTCCAGACTACCATGGCCTCGCCTCCTGCCCTGTTTTGCTTAGGCCCATTGTTGACTCTAAGACCTCTGAGCTTTAAGAGCCATCACCAGAGAGAGCACCATCCATCCAAAGTACAAAGAATTATTCAAATAAAAAAACTGAGTTAGTTTTCTAGGTGAATATGTACATCTTACGGAAGTAGATATTTTAAAGTAATATTTACTAAATGTAATATTTATTATATATTAAAAAATAGAAAAAGTTAAACTAAAATATTTTATCTTTTGTTAAGTTACAAAATTTTCTGTGGAATGTATATAATTTGTGCATATATAAAATGACATTTATATCTACAAATGTAAAAATATATGTTATATATATACAGTGAAATATACAATGAGTACATCTACATTTTAGATCATCTGAGATTTATGTTCTTTGATTTTTCATCCTTCAGTTGTGTGAACTGTACTATTTGGAGATCAGGGGACAAAAGTATTTTTCAAATATTTATGAAGAGTAATAGAAGCATGTGGATTCAAACAAGGAAGCACAGGAAAGAGCAACAGGGATGACTGATATATCAGGACGTGAAAAGATGCTCTTTAAATTACACACACAAAAAATAGCACAAAGAATGCAAAGCCTTACTGACCAAGGTTTTTGTTGCTCTTTGTTATTTTTTTTTAGTCTAAATAAGTAAGATGACCCTATCAAATAGGGAATGAAGTTAGGGAATATGGAAGCAGGAGGGGAGTACTCTTTTTTGACTGATTTTGTCCTTTTCTCCAGAGGCACTCCTCTTGGTCAAAAGCACCAAGACTGCTTGCTGACAATTGCAAAATTTCTCTGTATAAACTTTAAAGAGTGGTTGAGAACAAGACAGGGGTATGACGACTGGAGGTATGTAAAGTTACCCTTATGCAAGGTAAACTTTGTTAGTTATCCCGAAGCCATAGCATAGAGGCTAGGCCAAGTTGGTGACAGCTTTTTAAATAACTAGGCTGTGAGCAATGGGATGAGGAAGATATATATATATTGCACCCAATGCTCTTAAGTTATGATAAATGTGCCATTCTGGACACTGGAAAAAACAATCAGCAACAACAAAAACAATAATTCAACATGGGCTCATGAAGACAAGAGCACGGTAGACTGTTCTCGTATGACCATTTTTAATTAGACTTATTACACCAATAATTTAGGAGAATGACATGTGTCTTAGTCAGCTCAGGCTGCTGTAAAAAATTACCATAGGCTGTATGGCTTAAACGACACATAATTTTTTCTTCTTACAGTTTTAAAGACTGGAAAGCCTGAGATCAAGGAGCCAGCATATTCAATCTGGTGAGAGCTGCTTCCTAGTCTGCAGATGGGCATCTTCTTACTGCATTCGCAGATGATGGAGAACAGTGTGTGTGTGTGTTGGGGGGTGGTGGGGCAGAGAGAGATAGAAAGAGAGAGAAAGAGAGAGCTCTCCTCTCTCCTCTTATAAAGGCACTAACCTCATTCTGAGGGCTCCCCCTTCATGATCTAATTAGCTTCCGAAGGTCCCACTTCCTAAAACTATCACTTTGGGGATTTGCATTTCAGCATAGAATTTTTTTGGGGGGGCACACACAGTTAGTCCATAAGATGAATGGTGTATTGTACTTCAAAATGGTTTGTCATAAGCCTCAACGTATTTGTATACTTAATTATGTGTGAGTCTGTATAAATAGTTGAAATATTTTAACAGTTGTTATATAGATAGACAAAAGATGAAGAAAACTCCAGGCCTCTATTCTCAGTTCTGGAATATAGGCTAATTTTTTTAAGGATTTCACAGAGCTGCTTGCTTGCTTATTAAATTTGCTGATGGCACAAAGCTGGAGGAAGGCCTAATTGGGATCCAAAAGGAGACTGGGAAGAGAGTGTCAAACACTTCTCTTCAGTCTTCTAGTCAGTATCTGAAAGTCCTTATCTTAACACTGACTCAGGGAACCATAATGACAAGATCTGTTAAAGTGAAAATCCTTGTACTTTGTGCCTTTTCAAAAAATTATTTTTATTTATTTTAGCTTAACATCTAAAGACTTCATTATTCCCTTTTAGTTCACTGTTACATTGTTACATGTTAGAATAAGCCAAGAACTTTTAAACTGCAGAGTCTTAATTAATTTCTATTTATATTTTTCTAGAAGTAAAAACAAAGAAAACAAACTCAAAAATAATCACATTGAAAATCAGTCAAGAACATATATGAGAAATGTGGCCCCTATCACAAAGCGCTTTATTTAGAGAGCATAAAAAGGAAAGATGCCTTTTGAACATCAAGGACAAATGTTTTGTTCCACCTAAAGGTGACTTTCAGCAGCTCAATTTATCTAGTTTTCAGCTTCTATGTTAGCCATAGTAAAATAGAAAATTACTTATTGAAAAACATTGATGAATAGTTTAAGATTTCTTAACATAAATAATGTGTATGTATTTGTATTTATATGTGTGCATATAGATGTAGGTGTGTGTGTATAGTGGGTGTGAATATGTGCACTTAATTGGAGCTATGTAGGACCTTCTACTAATGTGCATTAATAAGAAATAATTCACCTAAGTATGTTTCTGGATTTGGGGAATGCAAAAGTTTCAAATCAACATTATTTAGGCATAATTTACATGTGGTAAATTTTATCTTTTGAAATCTTATGGTTTGATGACTTTTTTTACAACAAAAATTAGGTTATTTGCATGACTCAAAGACTTTCTTCCTGTCTTGCAGTCAGAGCCCCTCACTTAACTCTAGTGCTTGGCTAATACTGGACTGGATTCTGTACATATAGATTAGATTTTCCTTCTCTATAATTCATTTAAAATATAATCAGACTGTATGCACACAGTGTGCCTTCTTTATCTAAGCAGCATGTTCAAGTCATCCATTTTCTTGGGTATATGTAGTTCATTTCTATCTATGCTTGAGGAATTTTCCATTGCAGGGATATACCACAACACGTCTCCTTATCTGTTGATGAACATTTGGATTATATTTTCCAGGTTTTGGTTATTATGAATAGAATTGTTATAAGTATTTGTGCAAACATACATTTTCATTTCTTTTAAGTAAACCACTACAAGAATTGTTGGGTCAAATGATCAGATGTAAGATTATTTTGATAACAGATTGCTAGATTACTTTGCCACATTTGTGCTCAATATGGTTTCCAACAGCACAGTATGAAAGCTCCAATTGTTCTAATTTACCCTAACACGTGGTGTTTCAGGCATCTTATTCTTAGTCATTCTAAAGGATGGTAATTTCTCTGGTAATTAGTGATGTTTGACACTTTTTAATGTGCTGATTAGCATTCAGATATATTACTTTTTGTGCCCTTCCAATTATTTTCTACTTTTATAATTCAATTATTTCCATTGTTACTGAATTGTAGGTGTCGTTATAGACTCCGGATAGAAATTGTTGGTTAGATGTATGTTTTGCAAGTAGAGTCTGCTGGTCAGCAGCTTGCTCTTCATTTTCTTAGTGATGTAATATTGAAGAGAACAAGTTTTTAATTTAAGTGAATTCTAATTTTCTAATTTATTTTCTCTACTGACTCACCTGTTTTTGTCATAGCTAAGGAAATGTTTATCCTAAAGTTGAAAATAAACAAACATACAAAGAAATTAACAAACTCCTAAGCCTTCTACCTAAAATTTATAATTTTAGTGTTTACATTTAGATACATGTCATGATTTAAGTTAATGTTATGTGCATACTGAGATAAGTTTTAACTTGGTTTTTTCATGTGAATTGTCAGTTGTTCTAACATCAGTTTTAGAAGAGACTATCCTTTCTCCATGAAATTTCCTTGGCATTTTTGTGAAAAACATCATGATTTGGCAAATATCCATGAAACTATATGCAAACTCATTATTCTGTTATATTGATCTACATATCTATCCTTTTGTCAATAATTCTATATCTTGATTACTGTAGTGTTTTGGTAAGTTTTGAAATTAAGTAGTGTCTTGTAATTTTAGCCTTTTCAATGTCATTTTGACTATTCTAGGTACATTGCGTTTCCATAAAATTTTTGAATGAGCTTATCCATTTCTACTAAAAATGCCAATATTTGTATTGGAATTTCATTACATTACAGATTTCATAACAATATTGAATATTTCAAATTATGAGCAAAGTATATATCTACATTTATTTAAGTATTATTTATATTACTTCAGTAATGTTTTGTAATTTTTAATCTGCTGCTCAACTACATATTTACTTGAATTTATCCCTAAATTCTTAATGCTTCATCTTGGCATTATAAATGATACTGCTTTTTTGGTTAGCTTTTGTTTTCCAATTGTCTGTTACTAGTATAAAAAGACAATTTATTTTATATGTTGACTTTGTATTTTCTGACCTTTCTAAATTCAGTTACACTTCTAACAGTTTTATTTTTTAAAAAAATTTCTTAGGATTTCCACTTTATATGTTTGCATCACTTATTAATAAAGACAGTTTTTTATTTCTCCTTTCTGATATATATGCATTTTATTTCATTTTCTTACCTTGCAACACTGGTTAGAAACTCAGTGCACTGATGAAACAAAAGTAGTCATCGCCTTATTCTCAATGTTAGAAAAAACTTTAAATACAATGTCAGTGTAGGTTTCTTTTTTATGTACATTGTTAAGGTCAGGAATTTCCCTTCTAGCCCTAGTTTGCAAAGCAATATATCAAAAATTACTCTTAAATGTTGTCTAATTATTTTCTCATACTTACTGAAAATATGTTATTTAAACAAATATTCTATGAATAAAGTTAATGATATTGATTATATTTAGTTTGTTAAACCAAAACTTACATACAGTAGTGTTTAAAACTTTTGAGAGGAGTTACAAATAAGCAAGGAGGAAGGAGAGGCTAGAAGGAACCTGAGGAACTGAAATGAAGTCAGAATTATCACTATAAACTCATGTTTACCTTAATCTGTTAAAAGACAGATGAAATTAAAACAAATTGTAGACATATATTGCTTGGTTTACATACCTACATTTCTAGCTCTGTTGCTGTGTGGGCCTAGAAGAAATGACACTCTGGTAACAATGAGAATTCCTAAAGCCAAGATAATTGTTTCTATTACCATTCTTCAATTAAAGCAAGGAGAGATGGCTGACGCTAGCACTGTGGTAGAGAAAATACCAAATGTTCCTGGGGCATCTTGTAGTGCATGAAAATAAAGAAATAAAAAAAAAAAAACACAGGTGATAGTATCGTGTCAAAAAGCTTTTCTACAGGAGTCAAGTAGAAAGAGCTACTAATTGCCAAAACTAAGAATTTGATCAATAAAATAGGTATTGATAGCATTAAATTATAACCTAAAGAATAAAATTAAAAGCCATATTCATGACCGGGCCCGGTGGCTCACGCCTGTAATCCCAGCACTTTGGGAGGCCGAGGCAGGCGGATCACGAGGTCAGGAGATGGAGAACATCCTGGCTAACGCAGTGAAAGCCTGTCTCTACTAAAAAAATTACAAAAAATTAGTCAGGCTTGGTGGCAGGCGCCTGTAGTCCCAGATACTCAACAGGCTGAGCAGGAGAATGGCGTGAACCCGGGTGGCAGAGCTTGCAGTGAGCCCAGATCACGCCACTGCACTCCAGCCTCGGCGACAAAGCGAGACTCCGTCTCAAAAAAAAAAAAAAAAATCCATATTCATATAAATAAATGAATGAATAAATAAATGGGCCAAAAGGGAGAACTTTTCCTTACAGAATAATTCTAAATAATAACTTTAGAAGGAATGAGAAAAGTGAAAAATCACTACTAGAGTACCATCATAGTATTAGCTGCAGCCAAGATTCACTGATGAATGCTAAAATTAGTGGCCAAAACTTTTAAGAAAAATAGGATAGCTATGTGGAGCTCAAAGTATCTCTCCAAGTATGTATTACATATTGTGGGGTAAAAGTTAAAAATATGCCATTTAAATGCACTTGGAAAACAGCAGGTGCAAAAAGATCACTCTGACCTTGATGCCGTTTCTGAAAAGCAAAAGATGAAATTTCCATGTGAAAGATGCAACAGCCTTATACTCAAGGATAAGAAGTTGAGACAAAGATAATTCTGTAAAAGTATTGTTAAAATAACTATTATATTTAAAGCTTCCCCCAGGTAATTCATTGCTTCTTCACAGCTTACTATTCTTCGTCCAATCCAGGATGTAAATAACTGAATTTAACTGCTACCTCGGGTCTTCATTTTCTTCTAAGAGTTCCTATGCCACATAAAACTCCTATTAAATAAATCTGTATGCTTTTCTCTGGTTAATATGTCTTATGCCAATTTAATTATTGGGCCCAACTGGGCCCCTAAGAGGATAGAAGTAGAGTTTTGTAGCAATAAATGCCTACATTAAGAAAGAAGAAAGATCTCAAACAGTCTAATATTACACCTCAAATAACTAGAAAATGAAGAAAAAAATTGAGCCCAAAAGTAGCAGAAAAAATAAAATTACAATAATTAGCGCGGAAATCAACTAGAGACTAGAAAAAACATAGAAAAGATTAACAAAACTAAAACTTTTTTTGAAAAATAAAATTAACTAATCTTTAGCTAGAATAAATTCACTCTGTAAGTATGGTTGCAAACATTTTTAACAAGACATTGGAATTTAGTTTTCAGCAACATATAAAATATTTACACACAATGTCCATGTGGGGTTTATTCTAGGGATTCAGAGTTGGTTCAAGACTCAAAAGGCAGTCAGTGTAAATCCACCACATTGATAGGCTAAAGATGAAAAATACATGATCATATCAATTAGTAAAGAAAAAGCATTTGATAAAATACAACATGAATTAATAACAAAAAGACCTCGGGAAAATAGAAATAAAAGGGAACTTCCTCAAGTTGACAAAGAACATTGACAATAACCTATAGCTAACATCATCCATAATGGCAAAAGACTTCCTGAATGCTTTCACTGTAATATGGGGAACAATGCAAGAAGCTTGTTCTGACCACTGCTGTCCATGACAGCATTGGACGTTCTGGCAAGTGCAATAAATACACAACAAGAACAAAACAAAAAAAAAAAAAAAAAAGAAAGAAAGAAAAGAAAAAGAATGTCCACAAATCAAAAAGAGAGAAATAAAACAGGTCCTATCTATTGAAGGCATAATTATCTAAGTAGAAAAGTCCAAGGAATCTACCAAAAAAAAAAAAAAATCTAGAACAATAAGTGAATTTAGCAAGGTCACAGAATACACAGTTTATAAAACTTAAATGAACATAAAGGAACTAAAAATAAAAATGATATTTTTTGTTTCAAAAATGAAATACTTATATGTAAATCTAACAAAACATGTTTAGGACTTGCATACTGAAAACTATAATATGCTGATGAAAGCAATAAAAATATATAAATAAATGTAGAGACATGGCATGTTAATGAATTAGAAGACTAAGTCAAGATGTCAGTTTTCTCCAAGTGGATATACAGGCTTAAGGGGATTTCTTTCAAAATACCCTTAAGATTTTTGTAGATATAAATAACGTTATTCTAAAATATATAGAAAAAAATGAAACTGGGTTAACTAAACAATTTTGAAAAACTAGAGATAAATCTGTTCCAATTCAAAACTTATTACATAGCTGTAGTAATCAAAACTATATAGTATTTCAGGAGGGTCACACATGTACATCAGCAGTACAAGAAATGGGCAACTGAATGGGCAAAAGCTGGAAGCATTCCCCTTGAAAACTGGTACAAAACAAGAACTCTCTCACCACTCCTATTCAATGTAGTATTGGAAGTTCTGGCCAGGGTAATCAGGCAAGAGAAAGAAATAAAGTGTATTGAAACAGGAAGAGAGGATGTCAAACTCTCTCTGTTTGTAGTTGACATGATTCCATATCTAGAAAAGCCTGTTGTCTCAGCCCCAGAGCTTTGTAAGCTGAAAAGCAACTTCAGCAAAGTCTCAGGATACAAAACCAATGTGCAAAAATCACAAGTATTCCTATATAACAACAATAGACAAGCAGAGAGCCAAATCATGAATAAATTCCTATTCACAATTGCTACAAAGAGAATAAAATACCTAGGATACAGCTAACAAGGGAGGTGAAGGACCTCTTCAGGGAGAACACAAACCACTGCTCAAGGAAATAAGTGAGAACACAAATGAATCGAAAAACATTCCATGCTCATGGATAGGAGGAATAAATGTCATGAAAATGGCCGTACTTCCCAAAGTAATGTATAGATTCAATGTCATTCCCATTAAATTGCCATTGACACTTTTCAAGGAATTAGAAAAAAAATACTTCAAAATTCATATAGGACCAAAAAAGAGCCCATATAGCCAAGACAATCCTAAGCAAAAAGAACAAAGCTGCAGGCATCACACTACCCCACTTGAAACTATACTACAAGGCTACAGTAACCAAAAGAGCATGGTTCTGGTACAAATAAAGCCTCACATCTACAACCATCTGATCTTTGACAAACCTGACCAAAGCAAGCAATGGGTAAATGATTCCCTACTTAATAAATAGTCCTGGGAAAACAGGCTAGCCGTATGCAGAAAATTGAAACTGGACCCCTTCCTTACATCTTATATAAAAACTAACTCAAGATGGATTAAAGACTTAAATGTAAAACCCAAAACTATGAAAACTCTAGAAGAAAATCTAGGCAATACCACTCAGGACATAGGCATGGGCAAAGATTTCATGATGAAAACATCAAAAGCAATTGGCCACAATAGCAAAACCTGACAAATGTAATCTAATTAAACTAAAGAGCTTACACACAGCAAAAGAAAGTATCATAAGTGAATAGACAACCTACAGAATGTAAGAAAATTTTTGCAGTCTGTCCATCTGACAAAGGTCTAATATCCAGCATCTATGAGAAACAAACAACAAAAAAAGGCAAACAACCCCATTAAAAACTGGGCAAAGGGCATGAACAGGCACTTCTCAAAGGAAGAGATTCATGCTGTCAACAAACCTATGAAAAAAAGCTCAACATCACTGATCATTAGAGTAATGCAAATCAAAACCACAGTGAGATACCATGTCCTGCCAGTCAGAATTATGATTATTAAAAAGTCAAGAAGCAACTGATGCTGGTGAGGCTGTGGAGAAATAGGAATGCTTTTACACTGTTGGTGGGAATGTAAATTAGTTCAACCATTGTGGAAGACTGTGTGGCAATTCCTTGAATACCTGGAGGCAGAAATACCACTTGACCCAGCAATCTCATTACTGGGTATATAACCAAAGAAATATAAATCATTCTGTTATAAAGATACATGCATATGTATGTTCATTGCAGCACTATTCACAATAGTAAAGACATGGAATCAACCCAAATACCTATCAATGATAAACTGGATAAAGAATATGTGGTACATATACACCATGGAATACTATGAAGCCATAAAAAAGAATGAGCTCATGTTCTTTGCAGTGACATGCAGGGAGCTGGAAGCCATTATCCTCAGCAAACAAACACAGGAACAGAAAACCAAACACCACATGCTTTCACTTATAAGTGGGAACTGAACAATGAGAACACATGGACACGGGGCTGGGGGAGCAACACACACTGCAGGTGTGGGGGCTGTTGTGGGGGTAGGAGGAGGAAGAGCACCAGGATTAATAGCTAATTCATGCTGGGCTTAATACCTAGGTGAGCAGTTGATAGGTGCAGCAAATGACCATGGCACTCATTTACCTATGTAACAAACCTGAACATCCTTCACATGTACCATGGAACTTACAATAAAATAAAATACTTTTTTTTTTAAAGAAAATACCTACAATAAAGCCATCTACATTTAAGGAAAAGGAGTTGAAAATGCAACCAACTCTTGGTGGAATGTACAAATAAATCTTTGCTGTACATTATTTCAAATAAATTCTTTTAAAATAAAAAACAGAAACAAACAAACAAAAACAAAAAGAGAATGCAGAAATAGCCTCACACAAAAAGGAAGTCAATGGAAGAAAGATAGTGCTTACAGAAAACGGTAATAGAACAGTTGACTAGCCACAGGAAAAAAAAGTGAACCTTGATCTAAGCTTTATACCTTATGATAAAAATTAAATCAAAGCCGATCACAGATTTAGGTGTAAAATGTAAAAGTGTAACACTTTTGGAATAATAACATAGGAGAAAACCCTGTGGTTTCTAGTGCTTCTTGAAAATTTCTTAGACATGATACAAAAAATGGTACATAAAGGAAAAAAAATTATAAATTATATTTGACAAATTTCAAAACTTTTTATCTGTAAAAGGTCCTGTTAAGAGGATAAAAAGACAAGTTACAAATGGAGAAAAGATATTCTCAAGCCATAAGTTTGACAAAGGATTAGTTTGTAGAATATATAACACTAAATATCTCATTTCAACTCTGAAAATGCACCAGTGAAATACCAAACAATCCAATATATAAGCAGACATTTCATTGAAGAGGGTGGCAAATAAGCACATGGAAAGATGTTGGCATCACTAGCCCTTAGTTAAATGCAAACTAAGGCCACAGCAAGATATCAATTTGTATCTTTTGGAATAGCTAACATTGTTTTCCAAAGACAATATCAAATGCAGGCAAGAATGTGGAGAAACAGGATCTCTCACACATTACTGGTGAAAATGAAAAACGGTTCAGCCATTCTGGAAAATAGTTATGCTTTTCTTAACATATTTAAAGGTACACTTTGCCATATGATCCAGCATTTATACTCGAGGAGTTTTATGTCTAAATGAAAATATGTACATTATTTTTCATAGCACCTTTATGCATAACAGCCAAATCATCACTCTCAAAATGTAAAAAAATTGTAGAGATGGGGAACAGATTAGTGATTGCCAGTGATTAGGGATTGTGAGGCAAAAGGGGGTACCTGTGACTATAAAAGGGTTGCAAGAGGGAGATCCCTGTAGTGATGGAATAGTTCTGGATATTTATATGCTGGTGGCTGTACAAAACTATACATGTGATAAAATGGCACAGAACAATATATGCATGTTATACCAATGTCAATTTCCTGGGGGCGGGCGTGTATTATACTATGAATATGTAAGATGCAACCACTGGGAAAAACAGGGTGAAGTATATAGGTGACTTCGATTTTATGATTGCAGCTTTTATAATGTATAACTATTTCAAAATAAACATCTTAAAAATGAAGCTAATTCACAAACTGCCATAGTTTCCAAATTGTATTATAGATAATAGCTCATGCATTCCGAATATAGAAAACTAAGCCATTTTTCTATCCACTGGTATCTTTGTAATGTTGTTATCTATTATTATACTTTGTCTTGGTTTCAGTTCTCTCGTTCCATAAATAAATGGAGTATTCAAGGTGTGTCATTTAAAATTGTTATTGGCTAAGAAACATTGAGATAGTAAAAAACCTATGAGTAATGACCCAGAATGGTGCTGAATAACAGATATATGAGAGCCATAAGCAAGAGCCACACAGGTCTCTGAGATTCAATGTGCATCTTACAATTACAGCACATCTCAGTTTGTATTAGTCATATTTCAAGTTCTCAATAGCAAAATGTGTAGTAGATACCATATTGGACAGAGCAGATTTAGATCATCTGTAAATGTTGCCAGCTTCCCTTTGTAGACAATTCATGAATAATTCAGAAGAGCCATGTTTCTTCAGAATGTTCTAAGTGGAGAGTTGAAGGTAACTGTGATATTATTGTATTTATATTTTTATAAATTTCATGCTTCCATCAACTGTTCCTAGCTTATAACTCCCCAAAGCCCTTGTTATTTCTCCCCAAGGTGAAGGTAGCTCATAAAAACCCTGCCTTACTCTAGCCTGGGTGACAGAGCAAGACTCCATCTCAAAAAACAAAAACAAAAAAAAAACGAAAAAAAACCTGCCTTTCTGTCCTGAAGCTGGCATAAAGAAATTCTCTGGCCTAAAAAAAAAAAAAAAAAAAAAAAATTTCAGAGCCTGTTATTGGTCTATTCAGAGATTCAACTTCTTCCTGGTTTAGTCTTGGGAGGGTGTATGTGTCGAGGAATTTATCCATTTCTTCTAGATTTTCTAGTTTATTTGCGTAGAGGTGTTTGTAGTATTCTCTGATGGTAGTATGTATTTCTGTGGTATCGGTGGTGATATCCCCTTTATCATTTTTATTGTGTCTATTTGATTCTTCTCTCTTTTTTTCTTTATTAGTCTTGCTAGCAGTCTATCAATTTTGTTGATCCTTTCAAAAAACCAGCTCCTGGATTCATTAATTTTTGAAGGGTTTTTTGTGTCTCTATTTCCTTCAGTTCTGCTCTGATTTTAGTTATTTCTTGCCTTCTGCTAGCTTTTGAATGTGTTTGCTCTTGCTTTTCTAGTTCTTTTAATTGTGGTGTTAGGATGTCAATTTTGGATCTTTCCTGCTTTCTCTTGTGGGCATTTAGTGCTATAAATTTCCCTCTACACAGCTGCTTTGAATGTGTCCCAGAGATTCTGGTATGTTGTGTCTTTGTTCCCGTTGGTTTCAAAGAACATCTTTATTTCTGCCTTCATTTCGTTATCTACCCAGTAGTCATTCAGGAGCAGATTGTTCAGTTTCCATGTAGTTGAGCGGTTTTGAGTGAGTTTCTTAATCCTGAGTTCTAGTTCGATCGCACTGTGGTCTGAGAGACACTTTGTTATAATTTCTGTTCTTTTACATTTGCTGAGGAGCGCTTTACTTCCAACTATGTGGTCAATTTTGGAATAGGTGTGGTGCGGTGCTGAAAAGAATGTATATTCTGTTGATTTGGGGTGGAGAGTTCTGTAGATGTCTATTAGGTCCGCTTGGTGCAGAGCTGAGTTCAATTCCTGGGTATACTTGTTAACTTTCTGTCTCGTTGATCTGTCTAATGTTGACAGTGGGGTGTTAAAGTCTCCCATTATTATTGTGTGGGAGTCTAAGTCTCTTTCTAGGTCACTCAGGACTTGCTTTATGAAACTGGGTGCTCCTGTATTGGGTGCATATATATTTAGTATAGTTAGCTCTTCTTGTTGAATTGATCCCTTTACCATTATGTAATGGCCTTCTTTGGCTCTGAAATTGTGGCAATAATCAGTAGCTTACCAACCAAAAAGAGTCCAGGACCAGATGGATTCACAGCCAAATTCTACCAGAGGTACAAGGAGGAATTGGTACCATTCCTTCTGAAATTATTCCAATCAATAGAAAAAGAGGGAATCCACCCTAACTTATTTTATGAGGCCAGCATCATCCTGATACCAAAACCGGGCAGAGACACAACCAAAAAAGGGAATTTTAGAACAATATCCTTGATGAACATTGATGCAAAAATCCTCAATAAAATAATGGCAAACCGAATCCAGCAGCACATCAAAAAGCTTATCCAGTATGATCAAGTGGGATTCATCCCTGGGATGCAAGGCTGGTTCAATATATGCAAATCAATAAATGTAATCCAGCATATAAACAGAACCAAAGACAAAAACCAGATGATCATCTCAACAGATGCAGAAAAGGCCTTTGACAAAATTCAACAACCTTTCACGCTAAAAACTCTCAATAAATTAGGTATTGATGGGACGTATCTCAAAATAATAAGAGCTATCTATGACAAACCCACACCCAATATCATACTGAATGGGCAAAAACTGGAAGCATTCCCTTTGAAAACTGACACAAGACAGGGATGCCCTCTCTCACCACTCCTATTCAACATAGTGTTGGAAGTTCTGGCCAGGGCAATTAGGCAGAAGAAGGAAATAAAGGGTATTCAATTAGGAAAAGAGGAAGTCAAATTGTCCCTGTTTGCAGATGACATGATTCTATATCTAGAAAACCCCATTGTCTCAACCCAAAATCTCCTTAAGCTGATAAGCAACTTCAGCAAAGTCTCAGGATACAAAATCAATGTATAAAAATCACAAGCATTCTTATACACCAATAACAGACAAACAGAGAGCCAAATCATGAGTGAACTCCCATTCACAATTGCTTCAAAGAGAATAAAATACCTAGGAATCAAACTTACAAGGGATGTGAAGGACCTCTTCAAGGAGAACTACAAACCACTGCTCCATGAAATAAAAGAAGACACAAACAAATGGAAGAACATTCCATGCTCATGGATAGGAAGAATCAATATCATGAAAATGGCCATACTGCCCAAGGTAATTTATAGATTCAATGCCATCCCCATCAAGCTACCAATGACTTTCTTCACAGAATTGGAAAAAATTACTTTAAAGTTCATATGGAACCAAAAAAGAGCCCACATTGCCAAGTCAATCCTAAGCCAAAAGAACAAAGCTGGAGGCATCACGCTACCTGACTTCAAACTATACTACAAGGCTACAGTAACCAAAACAGCATGGTACTTGTACCAAAACAGAGATATAGATCAATGGAACAGAACAGAGCCCTCAGAAATAATGCTGCATATCTACAACTATCTGATCTTTGACAAACCTGAGAAAAATAAGCAATGGGGAAAGGATTCCTATTTAATAAATGGTGCTGGGAAAACTGGCTAGCCATATGTAGAAAGCTGAAACTGGATCCCTTCCTTACACCTTATACAAAAATTAATTCAAGATGGATTAAAGACTTAAATGTTAGACCTAAAACCATAAAAACACTAGGAGAAAACCTAGGCATTACCATTCAGGACATAGGCATGGGCAAGGACTTCATGTCTAAAACACCAAAAGCAATGGCAACAAAAGACAAAATTGACAAATGGGATCTAATTAAACTAAAAAGCTTCTGCACAGCAAAAGAAACTACCATCAGAATGAACAGGCAACCTACAAAATGGGAGAAAATTTTCGCAACCTACTCATCTGCCAAAGGGCTAATATCCAGAATCTACAATGAACTCAAACAAATTTACAAGAAAAAAACAAACAACCCCTTCAAAAAGCGGGTGAAGGACATGTACAGACACTTCTCAAAAGAAGACATTTCTGCAGCCAAAAAACACATGAAAAAATGCTCACCATCACTGGCCATCAGAGAAATGCAATTCAAAACCACAATGAGATATCATCTCACACCAGTTAGAATGGCAATCATTAAAAAGTCAGGAAACAACACGTGCTGGAGAGGATGTGGAGAAATAGGAACACTTTTACACTGTTGGTAGGACTGTAAACTAGTTCAATCATTGTGAAATTCAGTGTGGTGATTCCTCAGGGATCTAGAACTAGAAATACCATTTGACCCAGCCATCCCATTACTGGGTATATACCCAAAGGACTATAAATCATGCTGCTATAAAGACACATGCACACGTATGTGTATTGCGGCACTGTTCACAATAACAAAGACTTGGAACCAACCCAAATGTCCAACAATGATAGACTGGATTAAGAAAATGTGGCACATATACACCATGGAATACTATGCAGCCATAACAAAGGATGAGTTCATGTCCTTTGTAGGGACATGGATGAAATAGGAAATCATCATTCTCAGTAAACTATTGCAAGAACAAAAAACCAAACACCACATGTTCTCACTCATAGGTGGGAATTGAACAATGAGAACACATGGACACAGGAAGGGGAACATCACACTCTGGGGACTGTTGTGGGGTGGGGGGAGTGGGGAGGGATAGCATTAGGAGATATACCTAATGCTAAATGACGAGTTAATGGGTGCAGCACACCAGCATGGCACATGTATACATATGTAACTAACCTGCACATTGTGCACATGTACCCTAAAACTTAAAGTATAATAATAATAAAATAAAATAAAAAGATAAGTACTCAGCTTTTGCATCACAGTCCTCAGCCTCATGCCACGCCGAAATGGGTCATGACCCTCTTTCCTGCTGACCCATGGTGCTCTTAGGGCCTTCTCATTCTGCTCCAGGCAGCAACTAAAAACCAATGTGTTGCATGGAGAGTGCACTTATTGTGTAGCAACGAAAAGTAAGCTTTGGATCCTCTCTCTTCCGTGTGTTCCTTCCAAGGCCTTTACTGGGATCTAACAATGTGCACATAAGGTCCTATTGTTGAACATTTTGTAAAAGTAAGATGTTTAAGATAGCTGTCTTTTTTCATTCTCCTCCTTTTGTATGTGGAGTGATGTTGGTGATGGTTTAAATGTGTTTCTCAAAATTTATGCGTTGGAATCTTTATACCCATTACAACAATCTTGGGAGGTAGGGCTCAGTGGAGGTATTTAGGTTATGAGGGTTCAGCCCTGATAAATAGAGTAATGCCATTATAAAGGGCTTGATGAGGGAAGTTACTGTCTCTTGCCCTCCTGTCCTCCACCACGTGAGGATGCAGCAAGAAGGCTCTTGCAAGATGCCAGTCCTTTGAGCATGACTTCTCTTCCTTTAGAACTGTAAGAAAATGAATTTCCCTGATTTATAAATTGTCCAGTCAGTGCTGTTCTGTTATAGCAGCACAAAACAGACAAAGACAGAGAGGCAAACGGCTTTTGGAGAAATGGGGAAGTAGAATTAACAGGGAATTAATGAATGTATTTATGTGCTTCGTGATCACTTCCACTTATAGCCTCTGGGAAGACTCTGCAAATAGAGAGTACAAAGCATGTGAAGACCCATGTTTCATGGATCCCAAGTGTAAATAATAAAAATGAAATTGCAATCAACATTGCTGGAGGAAAAATTGAATTACCTTTATATTATCTTTATATAAAATGATATTGCAACATCATTGCTATGGGAAAACCCACGAAAGCATATGCAGGCAAACATTGTAAAAGAGTATAGAGAAACACTGGGTCATTAATGATTAAACAATTATGCTATTTTTCTGAACTTTTTGATTTTCATAATATTTGTTAGCTTTTTGAAATTTTTTAATTTGTTATTTTTACTATAAATGATTACTCACTGTTTAGTTTGCCTTTGTATCATTTTTTTTTCTTAGAGAGGGCACTGCAAATTACATAAGCCCCAAAACCTAGATCTTTCCCACTGCACATGCAGTATATTCAATTTGCAATATCTGTTTTAGTCATGCTTTTAACTAAAACTTTATTGAAGAAAGCAAAAAAAATGATAACTTGCTATCAGACCCTGATCATAATTTATTTCCATGTTTTTCCTTTCATGAAATATAGAAAATGTCCAAATTAGTGAAGAAGAAATAAAAGGTTATGTATTGTTGCAGTATGACTTAATGATTGTATTGTAAACATTTGACTGAGTGATTTATCAAACTAAGTTATGTAATGACTGTTGAATTCAGATAGTGGTGAACTGGTAAACTAGGTGTCCAAGAAAAAAGCCTTGATGTGTAATGTTTGCAGATTTCCATTTTATAAATGCTCCCAATATAACCCATTCCATTTTATAAATCCCACCACCATGATCCATTTCAAGTTACTAACCATTGGATAATAAGCTTACAAAACTCCTGAGCATATAACCATTGGCTTCCCCAAGTCTGATCCAGCCCCCGCAAACCACTACATTCAGGCATATTTAAAGAGATCCCAGTGAAACTGGTATTTTGTGTTCATGAAGAGAAGTGAATGATTAAGGTTGGCAATGTTTCCCATCCCTATATTTGAACATAATATGATTTGTCAGCCCCACACCCTGTGGCTGACTTTTCAGTTTGTGTTTCTGTTCTGTGTAGCACATAAAAAAGTCAACAATAGTAAATTATGTTGAACATCTACATTGGAAGGGGCCCAAAGTCTTTGTAAACATGAAATATCCATTTTATAGCACATATTATCAGGTAAATTGTGCTCTAGCATGATAAAACATAACTCCAAAGCCACTGGAGCTCAAGCCACCATAGTCAGGGAGTGCTATAATTCTCAGGGGACCCAGCATTACCTAAATATTTAGAGCAGAAAACAGGAGTCAGTGATTTGAATAATGCCCATCTATAAAGAAACTTGAAACCAGAGTTCATATATAGAAAGTATGTAAATGCATATAAATAAATATCGATATCCAAAATTCCAGGTCATATACGAGGATCTTTTGTATTTTCAGTGTTTCATTTCATGTTTGATACTAATGATCCCTCCTCCCCATCCCACAGGGTGGATCACCCCCACAGAATCATGAAGTCGGCATCCCAACGCATCTGTCTATCTGTGTTCTCGCCTCCCCAGCAGGCTTCCCATCCTGCTTGCTTTATCATGCACACCTCTACCAGAGGGAGATGAGGAAATTCCATGGCATTACCTCACTTAAATTCTTAAGGAATTATCCATTGTTTAAAATATATGGATTAAACAGCTAATTATGATAGAAAAGTTCTTAACAATATGGCTCCCAGTTTTCTCTTCAGTTTCTCTTCGAATCTCTAAATCATATAACTCTATATTCTAATTACATAGAGTTACCACTTATGTGTTTGGGGGAAATGGAGGGGAAATCAAACTGTCATTGGCATCTATGTGCCTTCCATTTTCCTTTTAACCAATAGATAAAAGTTGTATATATTTGTGGGGTAAAATGTGATACTTTGATATATGGCCATAAGCTTTCACCTGAGGTATGTGAATACCTGTATTACCATTACCCGTAACCTTGTGAGTCATGTAAAACTCATATTCTCCTGTGACCACGCATCATGCTTTGCAAGCCATTTCCAAGACAAAGTGGTTAAGATTCTTTGTCCTCAAATTTACACTAGAGTGAAGAGCTAGCTTGCCCCATGTGCTCTCCCAGTTGTAACGTTTCATAAAATGAGTATTTGAATACCTCTTCACTAAAAATTATTGAAGTATAGGTCATGTCTCTTCACATTTCATTTCTATCACCCAGGTACACTGCTCAATAAACGTTTGCTAAATGACTGGATGAATATTGAATATGCCTGGCTATTGACATGACTTGTAAATTTTACTCTACAACCATATGTAAAGATGACCTATATCAATGAACTCAAGGCCAAGAAATGGTGATTAGCTACTAGGACATATTATTTATATTGTGCATGACTGGTGTCTTTGCTTCCTTTCATCTATATTGCAATTCATTTATATGCAATCAGACGCTCCATAAATCTTTTTTCTTCTTAGCATTCATGTAATGTATCAGATCATGGTCGCCAACTCTAAATATTTTTGTGTTTATTCTTATGGAACCAGACTTGAAATGGTCTGTTAAGAATACTTAATGGCTTTGAAGAGAAAAATATATCCTGTATTATAAAAGGATCACTACTAGAAATATAGTAGCTATAATCGGTCTCTGATCATTTATCAATAAATAGCTACTCCTATTCATCACAATTTTGTTATCTAATAATTTCATAACTATGAAAATTTAAATCTGACCACTGATAAACAAAAATGTTTTGAATGGAGTTAACGTATGGTCTCTTCTTATACTAACTTAAAATATAATTAAGTCAATTTTAAACAGAGATTTTATATTTGTCCCTGGGGAAGTTGTTAACATAATTCTACCATTCAGAGAGAAGGAAGATGCTTTGGGGTAAATACCTGGTGTTAATCAAGAAAGCAGAGTTGATTGATGGAGCCAGAGTGAAGAAGAGCATGTCCAATGACTTTCAGTGATTTGGGAAATAAATACAAAAATCTAAAAGTACAGGTAATAACATGTTAGGATGCAAGGATACATTGCGTTTAGTTACAGATACAAAACCACAAAGTAGTTCTGAGTGTATCAGTTGCTTCAAAAGAATAACAAAAACAAAGAACTGCGATTTTTCAGCCAATTGATATTCTAGATTCCCTTAAATAACATGACATATGCTTTATACTTTTTAAATAAAATATATTAATAGTCTCTGACAGATATTTTGGATGCAGTCACTGTTTCAAATGAATTGAAAATCACAATCAGGTCACTTTTAGCCCCAACTGACTAGCATGACTCTTTCATTCCTCCTTCAATATAGTAAGTAAGATGATACCTTCTCTTCTCCAAGCACTGTGAGCTCCTCCACATTTATTCACTCCCATAGTGTTCTATTGATATTTGTGTTACAGCACTTGCCATATTTTACTAGAACTTGTCTGTTTGTATTTCTCTTTCCACCACTAGAATGTAAATCTCTTCAAGTTTAGAAATTGGATTTCAATTTAAAAACAACAACAACAAACCCCAAAACAAATCCTACCAATGTGTTGTTGCATTGCCATTAATTGGTTCTTGATAATTGTGTGATGGATGAGCCATTTGGAAGCACTTTATGTCTCTTCTTTGAACTAACGACCAGACTGTAACACTGGGAGGTCCATGGATGTAGTCAACTCTCAGCTTCCTATTGGAAGAGGATGGCACAAATTAGCTACAAGAGAATTCCCTGAACCGAAGGTTCCAGTCATGAGGTGAAATACAGGTCTATATTTGCACCCAGAATCATTTCACTTCTACTTTGTGTTATGCTGGGTAGAGTAGTGAAGCACTGAACTGGAAGTGGCCTGAATATGGAAAAACCTGCTAGAGAAATAAGTAGACATGATTTAAAAAATGCAAGATGCTGTTTCAATGCAATTAGAGCGCATAACAAGCCAAACTGCAAAGCTGTTTCTAAGACCCAGTTTGTCAGAGCGTGAGCCTGACAGCCTTATTCATGTCTGAAACTCTGAACTCTAAGAAAAGTGTGAAGAAAGAGTTCCTTCCTTTTGCTATACAATGATGAATTAATTTCATTAATTTTGAAATTAAATACGAGAACATACTAGGTGAAATAGTTGCAAGTTTAGAGAAATATCTCAATATGAATTCCCTATAAGAGGATATTAATGGAAGTTGAGGCTAGGGTACCAAAATTCAAAACATGGTGAAAGTTCAAAGGGATGTTTAAGACCACGATGCAGAAATTTCAAAGTAATTGGACAAGAACCATCTCAGGGACTGTCAAGCCCAAAAAGAAGATATAAAATGGTAGAGGGTATAAATTGGAGATCTGGTTATTGAAATCATTTCTTTGGAAAATGCAATATTGCCATGCCAAAGTCTCAGATCTGACCACTGAAGGGAGGGATAAGAGGTCTGGTTTTATCTGTTTGTTTCACTTTAGGTCTAGAAAAAGGAGCCACACTGACATACTCACAGCATGGCCCTGCACATTGGGGATGCAGTGCACTAGCATCTGACCCCACCCCGCCCCATGACAAATC
Organism: Homo sapiens; assembly: GCF_000001405.40. NCBI lineage: Eukaryota > Metazoa > Chordata > Mammalia > Primates > Hominidae > Homo > Homo sapiens. The sequence continues at coordinate 49,685,399 of NC_000008.11, forward strand.
CAAGAGATAAAGGCTGGGCATATTCTCTAACATCAGGATAAAAGAAAAGAGATTTAGGTGGTATTTTCTTGCCCTCCAAAAGTCTGTGGGGCCCAGAAGTGTAAGGGGCATATGTGAGGGATAGAGCCCTTGATAGCCATGTGAAAGTTTGCACAGAAGACTGCCTGCAAGTGTGCTGGGAACTGACAGAAAACATGGCACCAGAGGAAGACAGCTCCAAGGAAGGGCAGTTGGAGGGATCAGTCCTCAGCTACGTGCCCTTTGTTTTTATTTTATTTTATTTTATTTTATTTTATTTTATTTTATTTTATTTTATTATTTTTAATTTCAATTGGTTTTTGGGAAACAGGTGGTGTTTGGTTACATGAATGCGTTCTTTAGTGGTGATTTCTGAGATTTTGGTGCACCCATCACCCTAGCAGCATACACTGTAACTAATGTGTGGTCTTTTATCCCTCACCAACCTCCCACCCTTTCCTGTGGGTCCCCAAAGTCCACTGTATTATTCTTATGCCTTTGCATTCTCATAGCTTAGCTTCCACTTATGAGTGAGAACATACAATGTTTGGTTTTTCCTTCCTGAGTTAATTCACGTAGAATAATGGTCTCCAATTCTATCCAGATTGTTGCAAATGCCATTAATTCATTCCTTTTTATGGCTGAATAGTATTCCATGGTATATATACACCATAATTTCTTTATCCAGTCATTGAATGATGGGCATTTGGGCTGGTTCCATATTTTTGCAGTTGCAAATTGTGCTGCTATAAACACACATATGCAAGTATGTTTTTTGTATAATGACTTCTTTTTCCTCTGGGTAGATACACAGTAGTGGGATTGCTGGATCAAGTGGTAACTCTACTTTTAGTCCTTTAAGGAATTGCCACACTGTTTTCTATAGTGGTTGTACTAGTTTACATTCCCACCAACACTGTATAAGTGATCCCTTTCTACCATATCCATGCCAACATCTATTATTTTTTATTTTTTGATTATAGCCATTCTTCCTGGAGTAAGGTGGTATCATATTGTGGTTTTGATTTGCATTTCTCTGATAATTAGTGTTGTTGAGTATTTTTTTATATGTTTCTTGGCCATTTGTTTATCTTGAGAATTATCTATTCATGTCCTTAGCCCACATTTTGATGAGTTGTTTGTTTTTTTCCTGTTGATTTATTTGAGTTCATTTTAAATTCTGGATATTAGTCCTTTGTCAGATGTATAGATTATGAAGATTTTCTCCCACTCTGTGGGTTGTCTGTTTACTCTGTTGACTATTTCTTTTGACATGCAAAAGCTCTTTAGTTTAGTTTAGTCCCAGCAATTTATCTTTGTTTTTATTGCATTTGCTTTTGGGTTCTTGCTCAGGAAATCCTTGCCTAAGCCAATGTCTAGAAGAGTTTTTCGAATGTTATCTTCTAGAATTTTTATAGTTTCAGGTCTTAGATTTAAGTTCTTAATCCATCTTGAGTTGATTTTTGTATAAGGTGAGAGATGAGGATCCAGTTTCATTCCCATACATGTGGCTAGCTAATTATCCCAGCACCATTTGTAGAAAGGGGTGCACTTTCTCCACTTTAGGTTTTGTTTGCTTTGACAAAGATCATTTGGCTGTAAGTATTTGAGTGTATTTCTGGGTTCTGTATTCTGTTCTATTGGTCTATGTGCCTATTTTTATACCAGTACCATGCTGTTTTGGTGACTGGCCTTATAGTATAGTTTGAAGCCAGGCAATGTGATACCTCCAGATTTGTTCTTTTTGCTTCGTCTTGCTTTGGCTATGTGGGCTCTTTTTTGATTCCTTATGAATTTTAGGATTTCCTTTTCTAGTTCTGTGAAAAGTGATGGTAGTATTTTTATAGAAATTTTATTAAATTTATAGATTGCTTTTGGCAGTGTGGTCATTTTCACAATATTGATTCTATCCATCCATGAGCACGGGATATGTTTCCATTTGTTTGTGTTGTCTATGATTTTTTTCAGGAGTGTTTTGTAGTTTTCCTTGTAGAGGTCTTTCATCTTGGTTAGATATATTCCTGAGTCATTTTTTTTTCAGCTACCGTAACAGGAGTTGAGTTCTTGATTTGATTCTCAGCTTGGTTGCTGTTAGTGTATAGCAAAGCTACTGATGTGTGTACATTGATTTTTTATCCTCAAACTTTGATGAATTCATCTGTCAGTTCTAGTAGCTATTTGGATGAGTCTTTAGAGTTTTCTAGGTGTATAATCATATCATCAGCAAACAGCGACACTTTGACTTTTTCCTTACTGATTTGGATGCCCTTTATTTCTTTCTCTTGTCTGATCACTCTGGCTAGGACTTCCAGTACTAGGTTGAAGAGAATTGGTGAGAGTGGGCATCGTTGTCTTGTTCCAGTTCTCAGGGGGAATACTTTCAACTTTTCCCTGTCCAGGGTTATGTTGCCTGTGGGTTTGTCATAGATGGCTTTTATTACATTAAGGTATGTCCCTTCTGTGCCAATTTTGCTAAGAGTTTTAATCATAAAGGAATCCTGGATTTTGTCAAATGGGTTTTCTGTGTCTATTGAGATAATCATGTGATTTTTGTTTTTAATTCTGTTTATGGGGTGTAACACATTTATTGACTTGTGGATGTTAAACCATTCCTGCTTTTCTGGTATGAAACTTACTTGATCATGGTGGATTAATTTTTTGATGTGTTGGTGAATTCAGTTAGCTACTACTTTGTTAAGGATTTTTGCTTCTATATTCATCAGGGATATTCGTCTGTAGCTTCCTTTTTTTGTGCTATGTCCTTTTCTGATGTTTTGGTATTAGGGTGATACTGGCTTCATAGAATGATTTTCGGAGGATTCCATCTTTCTCTGTAGTTTGGCATGGTGTCAATAGGATTGGTACCAATTCTTCTTTGAATGTCTGATAGAATTAAGCTGTGAATCTATCTGGTCCTGGATATTTTTGTGTTGGCAATTTTTTTTAGTTACCATTTCAATCTTGCTTCTTGTTATTGGTCTGTTCAGAATTTCCATTTCTTCCTTGTTTAATCTAGGAGGGTTATATATTTACAGAAATTTACCCATCTCCTCTAGGTTTTCTAGTTTATGTGTGGAAAGGTGTTCATAGTAGCCTTGAATGATCTTTCATGTTTCTGTAGTATCAGTTGTTATATCTACCCTTTCATTTCTAATTGAGCTTATTTGGATTCTCTCTCTTCTTTTCTTGGTTAATATCAGTAATGATCTGTCAATTTTATTTGTTGTTTCACGGAACCAGATTTTTCTTTCATTTATCTTTAGTATTTTTGTTTGTTTCACTTTCATTTAGTTCTGCTCTGATCTTTGTCATTTCTTTTCTTCTGATGGGTTTGGGTTTGGTTTGTTCTTGTTTCTCTAGTCCCTTGAGGTGTGATCTTAGATTTTCTATTTGTGATCTTTCAGACGTTTTGATGCAGGCATTTAGGGCTATGAACCCTCCTCTTAGCACTGCCTTTGTTGTATCCCAGAAGTTTTAATAGATTGTGTCACTATTATCATTCAGTTTAAATAATTTTTAAAGTTTCCATCTTGATTTCATTGTTGACCCAGTGATTATTCAGGAACAGGTTATTTAATTTCCATGTATTTGTATGGTTTTGAGGGTTCCTTTTGGAGTTGATTTTTAATTTTATTCTACTCTGCTCTGAGAGAGTACTTAATATAATTTTAATTATTTATAATTTATTGAGACTTATTTCCGGGCTATTATATGGTCTATCTTGGAGAATGTTCCATTTGCTGATGAATAGAATGTACATTCTGCAGTTGTTAGGTAGAATGTTTTGTAAATATCTGTTAAGTCCATTGTTTCTTTGTTGACTTTCTGTCTCGATACCTGTCTTGATAGTTGATAGTGCTGTCAGTGGAGTATCAGAGTACTCCACTATTATCGTGTTGCTGTTTATCTCATTTCTTAGGTCTAGTAGTAATTGTTTTACAAAACTGGGAGCTCCAGTGTTAGGTGCATATGTATTAGGACTGTGATATTTTCTTGTTGGACAAGTCCTTTTGGCATTATATAATGTCCCTCTTTGTCTTTTTTAACTGCTCTTTCTTTGAAGTTTGTTTTGTGTAATGTAAGAATAGCTATTCCTCCTTGCTTTTGGTGTCTATTTGCCTGGAATATCACTTTCTACTGCTTTACCTTAAGTTTATGTGAGTCCTTATGTATCAAGTGAGTCTTGGGAAGACAGCAGATACTTGGTTGGTGAATTCTTATCCATTCTACCATTCTGTATCTTTTAATTGGAGCATTTAGGCCATTTACATTCAATGTTAGTATTGAGATGTGAGGTACTATTCTATTCATTGTGCTATTTGATGTCTGAATACCTTTTTTTAAAAGAGATTATTGGGTTTTTATTTTATAGGTCATGTGAAATTTGTGCTTTAGGGAGGTTGTATTTTGGTGTATTTCAAAGATTTGTTTCAAGATTTAGAGTACCTTTTGGCAGTTATTGTAGCGCAGGTTTGGTAGTGGTGAATTTTCTCAATATATATATTTTAAAAAGACTGTATGTTTATGAAGCTTAGTTTCACTAGATACAAAATTCTTGGCTGATAATTGCTTTGTTTAAGGAGTCTGAAGATGTGACCCCAATCCCTTCTATCCTGTAGGGTTTCTGCTGAGAAATATGCTGTTAATCTGATAGGTTTTCCTTTACAGATTACCTGGTGCTTTTGCCTTAGAGATCTTAAGATTGTTTCTTTCATCTTGACTCTAGATAACCTCATGACTATGTGGCTAGATGATGATCTTTTTGCAATTAATTTCACAGGTGTTCTTTGAACTTCTTGTATTTGAATGTCTAGATCTCCAGCAAGTCCAGGGAAGTTTTCCTCAATTATTTCCTCAAATATGTTTTCCACACTATTATACTTTTCTTCTTCCTCAGGAAGGCAAATTATTTTTAGGTTTGGTCATTTAACATAATCCCAAAATTCTTGGAGGCTTTGTATATTTTTTTAGTTCTCTTTTCTTTGCCTTTATTGGATTGGGTTAATTCAAAAACCCTGTCTTCAAGTTCTGAATGTCTTTCTTCTGCTTGTTCAATTCTGTTGCTGAGACTTTCCACTGTGTTTTGCATTTCTCCAAGTGTGTCCTTCATTTCTAGAAGTTGTGACTGTTCTTTATTTATGCTATCTATTTCACTGAAGATTTTTCCTTCATATATTATATGATTTGTTTGATTTAATTAAGTTGGACTTCACCTTTCTCTGGTACCTTCTTGATTAGCTTAACGATTGACCTTCTGAATTCTTTTTCTGACAAATCAAAGATTTCTTCTTAGTTTGGATGCATTTCTGGTGAGCTAGTGTGATCTTTTGGGGTATTAAAGAAACTTGTTTTGTCACATTACCAGAATTGTTTTTCTGGTTCCTTCTCATTTATGTAGACTATGTCAGAGGGAAGATCTGGGGCTCAAGCGCTGTTGTTCAGATGCTTTTGTCCCATGGGGTGCTCCCTTGAAATAGCATTCTCCCCGTTTTCCTAGGGATGTGGCTTCCTGAGAGCTGAACTGTAGTGCTTGTTATTTCTCTTCTGGATCTAGCCACCCACCGGAGCTACTGGTCTCCAGGCACTAGAGAGAGTCTGCACAGAGCTCTGTGATGTGAACTGTCTTCAGGTTTCTCAGCCATGGATGCCAGCACCTGTCCCGGTGGAGGTGGCAAGAGAGTGAAGTGGTTTCTGTGAGGGTCCCTAGTTGTAGTTTTGTTTATTACACTAGTTTTGTGTCTGTTGGCCTCCAGCAGGTGGGACTGTCAAGAGATCATCAGCTGCATATGTATAGGGAGGATTAGGTGGGGCCTAGAGCTCTCAAGAGATTATGTCTTTTATCTTCGACTACCAGGGTGGGTAGAGAAACACCATCAGGTGGGGGCAAGGTTATGCATGTCTGAGCTCAGGCTGTCCTTGAGTGGGGTTTGCTGTGGTTGCTGTCAAGGATGGGGGTGTTGTACTCAGGCCAATGGATTATGTTCCCAGGGGGATTATGGCTGTCTCTGCTGTGTCATGCATGTCATGAGGGAAGTAGGGGAAAGTCAGAAGTTACAGACCTCTCCCAGCTCCCATAAAGTCCAAATTACCAGTCTCACTCCCATCATGCATCCCCCAACAGCACCAAGTTCATTTCCAGGCAGCAGGTCAGCAGGGCTGAGAACTTGCCCCAAGCTGCAAGTCTCCCAGCTGAGAACGCAAGCAGGGCTTTCAGGTTTCACACCTCCCCTCTTGCCGCAGCTTCTTTGCTGTGTCTGCAATTGTGATTCACCACCCCCCTCGCTGGGTTCTGTCCTGGAAACTTCACATTCAGTCCAAATTGTTACAAAGTTCAGCTGGAAGTTTTCTTCTCCCTGTAATCTTTTCCCAGTTCCTCTGGCAGCACTCCCCAAGGACCTCTGTGAGACAAAGTCAGAAATGGCTTCCCTGGGGATGGAGGGAGCCTACAAAACTCTTCCCACTGCTTCTTCTACCCCTCTATTTCGCTCAGCCCTGTGTGTTTTTGTTCCACATCATTCAGTTTTTGGATTTACTGCTTTCCTCATTAACTTCTCCCAGAAATTTATGGCACTTACATCTGGAATTGCTCAAAGTGCCTTAATTACCAAATAAATATCATCCTGTTGCCAAATGTAGATTCCGTAGTATTTATGTGTTCATAGGGGTGTGGGTATTGAATAGAGCTGCCAGCCTGTAGGTTGCTCAGTCTCTCTTTCTGTCTAGAGTGTGGTAGTCTATGTTCTATTGAAATATAACTACTTATATTGGGAGTACAAAGTTTTCTTCCATTAAGCGAAGCATGTTGCAAACAATTCTGTGTTATGAAAACTATAATTATGATCCTGATTTGTTTTAATTTATAAGCTTGATTAATTATTATTCAATTCTAACTTAACTTTACACTCTAATAATGAAATGTTAATTAATGGCAGACTATTTACAATGCTTTGAGAAGACCTGAAGTTTGCATTATATACCCTCCAAGGAGAAATATAGGAATGGGGAGGAGGCAGATGTCTTGTCTTGTGGGACCTCACTACAGTTTGGGGTGAATGTTAACAGGTGTATAAAGCAACAATCCCCACAGGAAAGACTAGAATTTGAAGTAAAAGCTCAGTAATTAAAAAGGCTGTGTAAGTCCATAAATGTACAGCAAGGAGAATTGTTGTTTATGGAGTTCCAACTGCTGAACCTTTGGGTATGTTAGATGCAGTTTAGAATACCGAGTATGTGTACACATTAATATATACACATTGTGATTTTCACTCCCATCATCTTAATATTTCTTCAAATTTTTCTGCCCTAAACATCAAATATATACCTTTTTCAATAAAATACGAGTGAGAAATTGGTAAAGCACATTTCTCTGATAGTATAGGTCAGATTATTATGAGGATGGCATAGGTTGCTGAAAAATTCCATGTAGTATTCCTGTATGTGCTCTCACCCTGAAACAAAGGAAATGAATGATTTGAGAATATAGTGAAGGTCTTTGAAAAGAAATGAAATTGTGCTAAGTCAGAGGTAACTCTGGCTCCCACCAGGAGCACAGACTCTTATTCAGAGGAAAAGATAGAAAAGAATACATACTGTATGACTTCACTCGTAAAAATAAATGTAAGATTTTGCACACATAATTGATTAGGATATTATAGTGATTATGGAGCAGGGATGTGTATTGACTGGAAACGGACATAAGATAAACTTCTGGCTGTTGGAATGCTTTTTGTCTTAGATGATTACATTTGTGTAACTTAGTAATGACTACAAAAGTATATCCATGTATAAAAATTCAGCAAGCATTACTCTTAGGGTTCATTATTGTTGTATATTCTGATGCAAATAAATATTTATATAGAGTAAAAATAAAATAAAACTTCCATATGGAAAAATGAAGGAAAAGTATTACCTTACACTATATGCTTATTCAAAGACTTACATCTGAAAGTCAAAGCTTTAAACATTTAGAAGAAAACATATAAAATCCTATTCATGATCTCAGCAAAAGAAAAAAGCTACATCACGCTACAAAACGACAAAAGATATTTGCAATGCGTATTACAAAAAATTAATTAACATTCAGAATATGTGAAAATTCTTAAAAAGTATAAAGGAAAAACAACTCTATAAAAGTCGGCATAACACATGAGCTACTATTTTTCAGCAAAAGTGATAGTACTATATAAACATAAAAGTAAACTTAATTATATTCAGGTAAGTGATATTATGAACCACGTAAGGAATTATTTTACTAGATTGGCCAAGACTAGGTAGTTTTCTGTGAGTTTAAGTATAAAACCAATTTATAAAGCAATTTGGAACAATTTTTAAAACATGTGCAAAAATATTCTTAATTGTACTGTTCATAAACACCAAGAAGGAGAATAACCCAAATGTCAATCATCAGAGCTGTGTATATATAACAGAGAAGTAAATATTACAGGAAAAATTATGAATAATATTCAAGTACAAAAAATACATAGATAATTGTTTAGCATCATGATATTGAAAGAAAAATGAAAGTTATAGAAAGCTACATTCAATGTGATAGTAATTTGATAATGCTCAATCACAAGCTAAACTGAATAATGTATGTTTTAGAATATTCTCATACGTGTTTAAAATATGTTTTAACAAAGGGAATAATAAACATAAAACCAAGATTGAGACCTGAAATAAATAGGGAAAGTGTAAGTAAATGGTAACATTCTAGTTCTTCAGTTGGTGGTGAGTTAGCACAGGTTGACTTCACTTCGCCATATATTGATATCCAGATGCAGATTTGGATAGATATTTCACGTTGTGTGGGTATATATGTATATGCTTTATGTTTATTTTATCAAGAAAAATGTCATGTAAAAAATTTATTTATTTTTATCAGTTTAGCAAAACCAGAGCAGGATTTTTTTCTTTTTTTAGATGGAGTTTCGCTCTTGTTGCTCAGGCTGGAGTGCAACGGCACGATCTCAGCTCACTGCAGCCTCCGCCTCCCCGGTTCAAGCGATTCTCCTGCCTCAGCATCCTGAGTAGCTGGGATTACAGGCATGCGCCACCACACCTGGCTAATTTTGTATTTTTTAAGTAGAGATGGGTTTCTCCATGTTGGTCAGGCTGGCCTTGAACTCCCAACCTCAGGTGATCTGCCTGCCTCGGCCTCCCAAGAGTGCTGGGATCACAGGCCTTAGCCACCACACCTAGCCCAGAGCAGGATTTTTTTAAAAAATTTATTTTTGATTATTATGGGTAGATGATAGTTGTACTTATTTATGGGGTACATGTGATGCTTTGATATGTATGTACAATGCATCATGATCAAATCAGGATGGTTGATGGATCCATCATCTCAGGCATTTATCATTTCTTTGTGTTAGGAACATTTCAATTCCACTCAGTTATTTCAAACTACACAATAAATTATTATTAACTTTATTCATCCCATTGTGCTACTTAACACTAGATGTTATTGATTCTACCTAACTGCATTTTTATACCCTTTAACCGTACTCACTTAAACCCCCCCCCCCCAACTACCCTTCCCAGCCTCTGGAAACTGTCATTCTACTCTCTATCTCCATGAGTTTGTTTGCTTGTTTGTTTTAATCTCCCAGATATGAGTGAGAAGATGTGATATTTGTCTCTTTGTGTCTGGCTTATTTCAGTTACATAATGTCTTCCAATTCCATCCATGTTGTTGCAAATGATAGGATCTCATCCTTTTTATGGCTGAATAATATATGTGCATGTATATTATTGTGTATTTGTACACAATATTCCATTGTGTATATGCACACATATTTTCTTGATCCATTCATCTGTTTTTATGAGCACTTAGGTTGATTCCATATCTTGGCTATTGTGAGTAGTGAGAAGGATTTTTTAAAACAAATTAACTTCTTTTAAAAAGAGAAGGAAGAGAGACTTTTGAAAGCACTGAAGCAATAGCAGGGACCTAGAACTTTATGATAAACTATTATTCCAATTGGGAGGGAGAAGCCTGTCATCACGATGGACCATGTTTAGCCAACGCAAATGCTCTTCATGTTATTTCGCTTTCCTGATCTGAGAGAAGAAAGGTCTGAGAGCTAGATCCTGGCAGGCATGTCATGCTTGCTGAATTTTTTCCCCCTGTGGCATGAGAGGTCTTTCTGGGGAGCCCCAGATAGGAGTGTTAGCTAAGATCTGTAGAAAAACTATACCTAGTAGGAAAAGCTGGAAATTTTGGAGGTTTTGCAAGTCCAGAGATAGAAATAATTCCAAACCTCTACAAAATCACACAACTTGATGCCGCCTATTGTCTCAGTCATTCCTGGTGCAGAGGCTTTTTAAATGTCAGAATGATGGCAGAGGGTAAATTCTATAGGAACATGTTGTTAAATTATAACTAGCCTGAACATACACTTTAGAATTTTAAAAGTTGCATTTGCCTTTTTAAAAAAACTTTGGTATTCTTTATCTAATAGAAAATGTTAGAGATATTTGAGTTATTTATGTAAATGTATTATAAAGAATGTGTTATGAAATGTATTATGAAGACAGACACTCACTTAAGATTGATTAAATATTCTGTGAATGGCTTTAGATTTGGTAATTCTTTTCACTGGTATTAATTAAATGATTAGTACAATACATAAAGAATGTCATTTTGTGGCAGGAATCATAAACTGCATCCCCAGAAATCTTGAGATTCTTAGAGGTAGTCCGAGGCTAACCTATCTAAAGTGAATATGACTATTCCAGCATTATCATTTACCACCCACTGGAATCCATTGTTTTTTTATTCTTCACACTAATGCACTCAGGATTTAGAAAGCATGGTTGCAAAAGAGTAATAAACTCTGACTCTTCAAAGAATACAACATTAGCATTCATTCATTCATTCATTCAGTATAATCATTTGAATTTTCATAGATTATATAATGTATGTAAGGCAAAGTGTTTGGGACCAGAGACAAATGATAAAAGTAATAGAGACACTGCATATTTAAATGCCACACTTCATACAGATTCACCTTATACCTGTATCTCCTGGAAGGGCGTATGCTACCTGAATTTATTTTTCATTACAGTTTTTAAGGATGGTTATGATTACTATTAACTACCTGGAGATGAGATCAATTGTCACAATAATAAATTGGTTTTCAAGATGTGGAGTAATTGTGATAAATATTATGGAAGAGACAGGTCTAATAGAAACTTCCAAGAAATTGTGTCATTTTTCAATAACTCAGAAACAAACATATGAAGATAATTCAATCATTAAAATTAAACTAAATAAGATGAATATTCAACATGGAGTTGGAGGCAGTGGCATGGGTGCAACACAAGTGTAGATGTGGGAAAATAATTGACACGCACTGGAGACAGTGTTTCTTTCATAAGAACACAAACAAAACAGAAACCTGCTATGCACTAACAGTGATTGCTCTATGACTTCATGCTATGAAACTGCAGGTAGCCAGGAAATTTCACAGCTTATTCCAGGCAAGCAGAATTGAATATACTAATGTGGCCTTGAAATCAATACAAGCATTTCTGTGCTATGAAAGCACATTAGTTCATTCATCTCCTAGGGCGTGAGCACTATATATTTCAAGGTTTCACATCAATCTTATGGATGGAAAAAATACTGACAGCAAAATTGTCATCAATCTGCTCTTGAATATACTTGGTGATTTGTTGGAAAAAATCATTAAATGGTTATTTCTGATATTTCTGGAGAATAAGAATAATAAATAATCAGAGAGATCTATATTGTAACAGTTTTAACGATCCATCATTTTAGAAAATATCAATGAGAGTCAACATATAATGTGAATGGATTCAGTGGATCTTATTTATACCATCTGACATGTGTGCAATGAAAATATATATTAATGCCCCAGCTGAGATTCTAAGCCCAATATCTAGTCATCCATGTCTTGATATTAGCACTTATAATGTTCTAGGGAGATGGCGCCTTTTGGTTTCTGAGAAATGAATGACACAAATGGATATATAATTAGAAAAACATGAGAATGGGAAGATTTAACAAAATCCAGATAAGTAAAAAACAAGTATACCTCTAATAATATCATTCAAGCACTGGAGACAAAGATACGAAGTATTAGGGAAAAAAAAAGTGATCCAGGGAAACGCTTTCTGAGCACTGTGCTAACTTTACAGGGAAGACCTGAGAAGACTTGGATGTCTTAATTAATGGCTGCTATTAGCATATTACCAATCAAATATTGCTGGCCCATTTAGATGAACTGATCTTTCCTGTCATCATTTGGAATTCCCAGCTAAGTGAAATATTTGAATTAATAAATTGTCTCCAATTGTCAGCTGGGTCCTCTGAGAACCAGGAGGAGGTTCCATGTGCAAGAAACTGAGGAATGTCTGCTGGGAATAAAGGGAACAGGAGTGGTGTAGGCAGATACCTGGAGACTCTCATGCAGGGGAAATGTCTGTGAAAGACAGAGGGAAGGAAGGAAGCTTGGTTCTGAACATGGTTCTAAGAAAGTCTCCCCAGCCGAGCAGGGCATTGCCCTGAAAGGCTGCCTGTCGGCAGATGTGTATGCTGGGCAGAACCATCAGCTTTGCTGTCATGCCTGCTTGGTCACCACCTGGGGCAGCCACTGTGGGTGGTCTCAGTCTGAGCCGCAAAGAGACCCAGGGCATGACCATAGAGGCACCAGGGAGGGTGCCCCTGCCCAGGCCAGGGATGCTGAGCAGGTCATCCCCATGGCCACCATCCTCCTTCTCATACACACAGATACACCTGTGCTCTTAAGGGCATCCCAGGACATACTAGGAGCTCATCCACAGAAAAGAAGGAAGACAACACAAATAGGACCGGGATGGACATGCTCTCATGTGAGATGATATGTAGAGTAAAAGCTGAGCATTGAATAAGGCCTGAAATGTCATCTATTGGTGTTGCTCAGGTGACAGGTGACAGAAACACAATGGAAATCAGTATAAGCAGAAAGAGGCCCAGGATAGCACATATCTAGTGCAGGCAGAATGAACAGAGGCACAACAAGGTACACGTGTTTTTCACCACACTGACTTCATTTTCCAGTGGGATCTGTCTTTCTAGCCCTTATCCCCCACATACAAAAAGCTCAGGCAAAGACTTGGCCTCCGAGATGAAGTGGCAGTCTCACTTCTGAACAGAGCACTGTGAGGATTGCAGTGGAGTGCTCTGATCATTTCTTCTTAAATCATCGGTCCCCTTTCAAGTAAAGGGGAAATATGCAATTTCTGCAAAATCAGAGAACTGGAAATAATGACTATGGGGTGAGGGAAGGGTGGGTTCCCTCAGGAAAAGGAGTCTTGGCAGGAAAAAAGAAATAGGAGTATTAGATGCGGAGAAGAGAATGAGGGAGGAACTGCAGAGCAAGACTTTTAGTTTGTGCTCGTGGGTGTAGGGGGATAAAATAGATATCTAGCAGATACTAGACATCTGCTGCTGCCAAAAATACAGGGGATGTCTGACAAATGATCTACAGGCATGGAAGCCATCCAGATTCTTTTTAGAAGATAGCCTAGACAGAGATGAGGCTGGCACATTGGTTGACCTACACCTCAATAGCCAGTGCTAACAGCAATGTGCATACACTATACATTTGGGAACCATTTTTTTATAGGTGTTTTCATTGAAGAAATAAATTCAAACATTGCCAGAGGAAGTATCTGTAAATCATATCAATGATCTGTACACATATATAAGTTTACCATATAAGACAATACTCAGAAGGCAACATCATCAGATTCCCCCTCAAAACAATAAAAAAGAAACAATTACTCTAAATCAAATCTAAAAATAATTATAAAATTGTCAAACAGAAACAGCAAATCAAAATCTAAATAAGAGCAGTATATAAATACGATATTAAAAAGTAGAAGGGAAAAAACATATAATTTTTTATTTGACTTGTTCATTTGATTCCAAAATCCAAAGGCTTTTGTAAAAACTTTGAATTTTAAAGTTAAAATTCTACAACTTATTAAGGGATTGGTCCTAGAGAGAATGAATAGCCATGAGTAAGGTCAATGTTTGGGACTTTGTTTTGATTTCAGTCTTAATTTTAATATCATATTCGTAATGTAATACAGCCATTGGCATTTTACATTTAAATGTCTCAATAAAATTTAATGCCCACAATTATATAGTCTATTTATTCTTTGATGAAATATCAGTTTACAATAATATTTCCATACACATATTTCTTAAATTAAGTACAGTCACAACCATTAATCTAACTAAAATTATTTTTATTTATACTCTTTCCCTACAGAATAAATTTTTATGTATCCACTATATAAAATTTATGCTTCTTTATAAAGTCAATTAAAATATAGAAAGTAGTAAATAAAATGTATTAATATCTAGAATATTTTATAAATTAAAACATATTTCAAATGTGTGGGTTTTTAAAAAATACTTTTGTAGTATGTATATTAGTCATATATTTAAGAATTTTTTAAATTCTAACATTTAGTTTCATAATTTGTCCCTATCAAATATAAAATTATTTTTGGCATGATCTTTTGGTCTTTAAATCTCTCATTACTGAAAATATTTTAGCCTCATGAATGTAAAAACATGTACTTATAATTCATAAATCTCTCTTGAGTACTGTATATGAGATTTTTGCGTTGTAAAGCAAATGTTCATTACTTCTCTTGAGTATCAATTTCTTCTAGTGGATGGAATTGAGGACAAACTAAACACTCATTTGATAACCCCAGGTGTTATTCCTCCCCTGTGATTACCAATGGAGAGAAGGAATAGCCTGCGTATTTGGCAATATCAAAACCTACTTAGATCTTGTGTGTTTATTCAGATAATCACAAAAATAGCCAGGGACCGCATACCACGTTGAACAGATACTGGATATTTCTTTCAATGTTACTAACACGAGTGCTGTCTTCCATTCAAATCACAACACTGTACTTCCAGTAGTTCAAAAATATTGTATTATCTATTTGAATTTGTCTCTTCTTTTTACCCACTGGGGAGTCTATCAAGCTGTAAAGAATTACCCTGCCAAGAGAAGCTGCTGAGACTTAAAATTTGCAAAAAGCATTGGAGTAGACTGTGCATGCTCTGGCAAAATCTGTCTGTGCAATGGCTGGTTTCTGTCAAGCATCTGTATATTAGAACATAATATGCCAAACACCTGAACATTTGGAAAGACCAGTAACTATGAATCTTTTAAATGTGCCAAAAGAAAAAAGTAAAAAAGAGAACAGCTGAGCATTGTATAAAAATTATTCAGAGTGAGTGAGAGAGAACATTTTAGAATATTTTATGGAGCTCTCTGTGTCACTGCCTGCCATTTTATTCTCCAGGATTCCTCTAAGGCTGTGGTTCTCAAACGTTGATGTGGATCAGACTCTCCTAGGGAGTCAAAAAAGACATGGAGATCCAAGCTATGGGAGCACGATGGAGGCTGGTGTTTGCATTTCCAGGCTCCTCAGGTGGTCCTGAGACATACCTGTTTCAGAAGCACTGTTTACATGTGGTGCTTGAGATGATTAAAGTGGCACCTGTGAGCTTCTAAGATATTCTTTCAGGAATATGATGAGAACATGGAGAAGAGCTACAGGGAATCACACTTAGATATAAAACTGTATTTATTTATTATAATTCACTTATTTATCAATACTGCCACTCCCTATTTATTGGTTGTCTTTCTAGTTCATTTGTTCTTCACACACCTAAACTCTAAAACAGGGAAAAGTAGCTTGGGCTGCCTGTCTCTCTAGAGAACATAAGCGTGGGCTGCGTATCACTCACGCCCACACAGGCATTTCCGCGGGATAGTCTGAAATTCTTCATGTCAAAGAGTTACTCCATTCCATCTAATCACACACATGCTATTTCTCTGATTGAACTTGACTATCACTTGATTGTTTTTAAATGTTAGAGATACGAAATATAATTCTAAACTTGTAGCTCATTTGAATGATTTAATTGTAACAACTGAGATAAAAGCCCCAATTTGGCAGAGTTGACTGACTTATTATAAATGTAGATGTAATACAAAGCTAATACATTTCTTAGGACATCACTAGTGTCATTTTAAAAATTGTTTAGCATAACTGTTGTTTGTTTATGGTTCATAAGATGTTGATCTCTTACAGCATGACGATATCCTGGTATGTGCTCGTTGCCATCAGTATCTCAATAATGTTACTAAATAAGCGAACTCACCAGTATTTTGTCCCTTAAGCATACATTAGAACATAAAGGTTTTAGAATAATATAGGTCCAAAGATAACTTAGATATATATTTTTTGAAGTATCTAAACTCTTCTAAATTTAAATCTTTTTTCTTTAGTCCTTTTCTCTCATATGAGTGCAATGGTGAAACTCTACCAACAATGCTGAGATGTATACTATTAATAACAGCATTTGCTTGTTGGGTGGATTATCTGGCCTGAGTTCTATGCCAGCCTCTCTCTATGCATTATTTCATCTCTTTTCATAATGCTATAAGGTAGTTTCACAGGTAAAGAAAGTAACGTTAAACCTAGACCCAGGCACAGAAAGTGGCAGGGAAGAGAGGAGAGTCAAGATTGTGGGCCCTACAGCCCGTGCTCCTAATCAGTTCAGTTCACTGCCAAGGTACACAGTTCAAATTCAAAATCCCACTGAATGAAATGTGCATGTCAGTAATAATGCTAAAGTAAACAGTAAAAGGGGAGCACTGGACTTCTTTTGCCTGTGCAAAATGACTGAATTATGACAAACCTACGGTAAGATCTAACAAAAACAATTAGTTACTAATCCATAAAAAGGAAGTTTTATACTCACCTAATGTGTTTAAATGACCTCTGAGTTAATTCACTATATTTCAGATTGGAATACCATAATATATATACAATATAATATATATAATTTTGGAATTGGAATAGCATAATATGCCATGTTTTAAATAATCATGCATTCATTAATCTTTTCACTACACGTGTTTTGAGTACTATTGAGCTGGAAGGTGGACAGAATCATCTCTCCTCTAAGGAATTTATAGTTTAGTGAGGGAGATTGGAATAAATGAAGTAAATGTGCATTCATATACACAGAAACACACACGCGATTGTGCTTGTACTGAGCACGGGGTGCTAATGGTTGTAAAATGGAGGAATCGTAACTGGTTTTGTAGTGGGGGAAGCCTGAGGAAACAAATTTAATATAAAACCAGAAGGGAACTCAGGGTTATTCAATAAAAGGAAGGAGGTGGAGAAGAAAAGTGTCGTATGGATAAGTCTCTGCTGATGGAAATATTTTAAAATTAAGAATTTTAAGAAATACTTGTGGCTAGATTATTTTAAGAAAAATTGTGGGTGAAGGGTGGGAGGAGGGATTTGTCAAGATGAAGCTAAGGCGTATCGGGAAAGACATTTTTAGTCACATTGAGAAATCTGGGCATTACACAAAGCTGGCAGTGGGAAGCCACTGGATGACTTGCGAGCAGAGGGACCACAGGATCCAGTCTGCTTTTTATAGGGATCACTCTGAGTGTTGTGCAAATGCCTCTGTGGAGGAAATATGTTGTGTACAGAACTAGATTAGAGGCTCTTGGGGAGGTCGAGAGTTATAGAAATGGTGAGAAGTAGTCAGACTGGAAAATTTTAAAATTCACAGGGTTTTGTAACTGGTCATCTGGTTATAGAAATTAAGGTGTAAAAACTATTTTCAGGTTCTAATAAGAGACAAGGCTTGAATACCACTACCATTTTTTATCACTAAGAACAATGGAAAATAATTAAGTTTGGGAAAGAAGATCATAAATTCTGTTTGAGACACATGAATTTGGGTTCTAAAACCAGATGGATATATAAGTATGCAGATACACATACTTGAGTATGTGGGCCTGAAATTTAGAAAAAGGCTGTAGGGAGGGGTTAGTGTCACTTTGTAGTCACCAAAGTAGAAGTTTAGCAATTGAGTGAGGCAGGACATCATGCTGCCTAGGAAGAAATGGAGCTTATAGTGGGATTGATCTTTTAAACAGAAATCCTAAATTTGGAAAGATTCCCCCATAATGCGTTTGCCTCACAACATAAACCACTCCCGAATTTTCCATTGTCCCTTGCTGTCAGGTCACAAGCACACTATCTAGACTCAGCTAATCAAATGCACCCAGGTGGAAGCTCAGAAGTGAGCCACTGAGGAAACCTGTAGAGTTTGGATTTCTTTCCAATGACAGTGTCAGCAAAGGCTTCTGGCTTTCGTTGACAGAGCCAGATACAAGACTCACCTGCACTTGCAAATGCGGGTTTCTGATGTTGAAGTGGAACTGGAGCTGGAAGCCACTCGTGAACACTGGCTACAAAAATTACCAGCCTTTTGCATAAAATAAATGGTGATTTGGTGACACTTTCTTTCTTTCTCTGTCTCTCTGTTTTTTCTTTTCTTTCTTCTTTCTTTCTTTCTTTCTTTCTTTCCTTTCTCTTTCTTTCATTCGTTCATTTGTTCTTTCATTCTTTCTTTATCTTTCTTTCTCTCTTTCTTTCTCTCTCTCCTTCCTTCCTTCCCTCCCTCCCTCCCTCCCCTACCTCCCTCCCTCCCTCCCTTCCTTCCTTCCTTCCTTCCTTCCTTCCTTCCTTCCTTCTTGAGAGTTCCAAAGCAGAATGTTGAACATCATTCCTGGAAGCTTAGTCTTTAGTATGGTTCGTCAGCCATCCTGATGTTATCTATGAGCAACAAAGTGGCCTTCAGTAAACATCCTTCTGTATAAAGTATCCAGAGTAAAAGTGGCTGTTGGCAAGTAAGAAGTCTGACTTAAAAGAGACTATATCCCAAAGTAGAGTATACGTATACATCTTCAACTTAAAGATGATGTTTCTAGAGGAATTCTGGCTGTGGGCACTGACAAATATTCTCCTTAGTGAAACTTTAGGCTCTTTTTCAACCAGGTCAGATTCTTGGGCCTTGTCCTGATAGCAAGAATCTTGTTAAGTCACTTTAGCGGGAATGCCCACCCTTGATATCTGATGACATTGCTCAGCCTCCACCATCCCCCAGGTCACCCTGGTCTGCTGGCCTTCAGCAAGAATCCTATCAAGTTGGTTTAGCCAGATCCCCCTTGCCCCTCATATTTCTTCTTAGTAATTTTCCATCCCTTGGCCCCACCCTGCTCCACTCACTTTTTCTTGTCTTATTCAGAGTTGAGCCCAATCTCTTTCCCCTCCTACAAAACCTCGATGTAGTCATCCCCCTTGAATAATGTCGTTATTGATGTATTTAACAAATGTGAGAATATATTTTTCTTTAGCAGCACTTGCCAAGTGTAATTGCAGAATGGGCATGAAAAAGGGCAGATGCTTACTAAATTTTTTGTGTTTGTTTTCTTAATGAGGAAACGGCACACATAATTCCAAAGGAACCATGGACTCTGAGGGCCCCAATATGGTGCTTAATCCTCCACTGCTTATCAGTGGAGAGCAGAATCAGAGCATTCCTGATGATATGAGTAAGAAAACCATCCCAGTGTTAAGTCAGAGATTCCACAGTGCATCTGCACACTAGGATTTGAAATTTGCTACAGACAATGCTTCCCTTTGTCCACTTTTCAGAATGAATGCTTTATGGCAATTACCTGTGTCCTTTCCTCTTTAGACAACTAGTGTGAAGAAGTGACAGATTTGATTCCATCACATCCAATACACTTTTAGGCTGTTTTGTGCCGTTAGCTTAATTCTTCTACCAGTTCCATGGAATTCCAGACTAAGAGAATATTTTTCTGATTCTCAACTCATGTTCCAAATTATTCTGCTATAATGGGTTAATTGCTCCAAACTTCAAAAGCTAAATTGTGAAAATTGGGTTGAAGCTTCTATTAGACTCAGTTCATCTCTGAAACCAAATCCTTTGCCAGTGAATGAGCTCACCTTCTCCAAGAGGGCTTTGAGAGCAAACTCCACAGCACTGCCATCTCAACAGCAAATTCCACGGGCTCAATGTTTAAAATAATTTCAGAATTGTCCCTCTCCCTACAACCCCTACCACTAGCATCCCATTTCAAACCACTGTCATAGCTGCTAGATAATTCTGTTAGTTCTCAATAGCATCCTAAAAGTTGTTTTGCTTAATATAATATCATGAGTAGCGTCCATATCATGTAATTGTTTACCTGAAGGCCCTCAATGTCTTCTCCTATTACTCAGAACAAAAACTATGTTCTTTCCTATATAGAAAACTAGTATGAAGAAGTTACAGCTTTGATTCCATCACATCCAATTAGGTATATATATATATATACATACTTTAAGTTCTAGGGTACATGTGCACAACGTGCAGGTTTGTTACATACACATACATGCACCATGTTGGTGTGCTGCACCCATTAACTCGTCATTTACATTAGGTATATCTCCTAATGCTATCCCTCCTCCCTCCCTCCACCCCACGACAGGCCCTGGTGTGTGATGTTCCCCTTCCTGTGTCCAAGTGTTCTCATTGTTCAATTCCCACCTATGAGTGAGAACATGCGGTGTTTGGTTTTTTTGTCCTTGCACTAGTTTGCTGAGAATGATGGTTTCCAGCTTCATCCATGTCCCTACAAAGGACATGAACTCACCCTTTTTTATGGCTGCATAGTATTCCATGGTGTATATCTGCCACATTTTCTTAATCCAGTCTCTCATTGATGGACATTTGGGTTGGTTCCAAGTCTTTGCTATTGTGAATAGTGCTGCAATAAACATACATGTCTTTGCAGCAGCATGATTTATAATCCTTTGGGTATATACCCAGTAATGGGATGGCTGGGTCAAATGGTATTTCTAGTTCTAGATCCTTGAGGAATTACCACACTGTCTTCCACAATGGTTGAACTAGTTCACAGTTCCACCAACAATATAAAAGTGTTCCTATTTCTCCATATCCTCTTCAACACCTGTTGTTTCCTGACTTTTTAATGATCACCATTCTAACTGCTGTGAGATGGCATCTCATTGTGGTTTTGATTTGTATTTCTCTGATGGCCAGTGATGATGAACATTTTTTCATGTGTCTGTTGGCTGCATAAATGTCTTCTTTTGAGAAGTGTCTGTTCATATCCTTTGCCCACTTTTTGATGAGTTTTTTTTTTTTTTCTTGTAAATTTGTTTGAGTTCTTTGTAGATTCTGGATATTAGCCCTTTGTCAGATGAGTAGATTGCAAAAATGTTCTCCTATTCTGTAGGTTGCATGTTCACTCTGATGGTGGCTTCTTTTGCTGTTCAGAAGCTCTTTAGTTTAATTAGATCCCATTTGTCAATTTTGGCTTTTGTTGCCATTGCTTTTGGTGTTTTTGACATGAAGTCCTTGCCCATGCCTGCATCCAATTAGGTTTTAAGCTAGTTTGTGCTATTAGCTTAATTCCTTCAGCAGTGCCTTGAAATTTAAGCCTAAGAAGATCTTTAGGCTTTCAAGTGCAAGCTGATAATTGTTGTGACCTGGTTTTGTCTGCCACTCTCACCATATCTTCTAACACATTGCCCCCCTGGGCATTCTACTTTAGTTGAACTTTCCTTTTTGCTTTTCAAATGCACATAAACACCACCCTGTCTCTGGTTTCAGCACTTACTATTTTATTTGCTTTAAACATGTGTCCTATTCATTCACTTTTCTGGCTCTCTCATTTTACTCTGTCTCAACTCATATGTCACCATAGAAGTTAGTGGATAGCCTATCTCCAAAGCAAAGTCCATCTCCATTTCTCTCTTTTACAATGCATTTATAACCACTGTATGTACTGTACATTCAACATCTATGATCCATTTTGAGTTAATTACATAAAATAGGAACTTTAGGTTGAGGTTTATATTTTTGACTTTGGATGTCCATTTGCTCCACTAACCTTTGTTGAAGAGTCTTTCAGTAAGTTACTCTTGCACGTTTCTCAAAAATCAGGTGGCCTCACTTGCGTGTAACTATTTTTCAGTTTTTGATTCTGTTTCATTGATCTATGTGTCTATCCCTACACCAGGACCACTGTCTTGATTACTGCAGCTATATAGTAAGCTTTGATTTCATTTTGAGCCATTCTTCCCATTTTTTTCTTCATTTTTAAGATTGTTTAGCTAATATAGGGCCTGTAACTTTCCATACAATTTTTTTAAATCCTTGCCAATGTCTACAAAAACCTTGTGGAAATTTGCATAATAATTACATTAAGCACATAATTCATTTGAGATAAATTGTTATCTTTACTAGGATAAGTCTTTTGATCATATAATAGGTATTTCTATTCATTTACACCTTATTTAGATTCTTTCGTCAGCATCCTATAATTTACAGCATATAGATGCTGAATACTTTTTGGTTTAGTATTGTTTTTTGCTAAGTATGTTTTTTTAAGTATTAAGTATAAAATTTGTTAACTATACGGAAATATTTCATTTTTTTGAGCAATTGTAAATGGTACTGTTTTTAATTTTGGTTTCCTCACATTCATTGTTGGTATATAGAAATGTGGTTATTTTGTGTGTTGATATTCTTTTATGTGACCTTCATGAGTTTTTGTGACCTAGCAGTATTTTCATTTTTGTTTGTTTGTTTCTGTACATTCCTTGAAATTTCTATGGATATAATTATGTCATCTGCAAATAGGGACAGCTTTATGTTTTATCTTCTTAATCTGTATGACTTTCATTTTTTAATTTTTACTTATTTCTTTTGCTAGTGCAGTGTCTACATTTTCTGGCATTATGTTGAAAATGACTGACAGGAACTGAAGTCCTTGCCTTGTTCCTTCTCCTAGGGGAAAGCACTCAATCTACACTATAAAGTATGATATTATCTGTAGGGTTTTTTCTACATGCATTTTATCAGTTGAAGTAATTCCCCTCTATTCTTAAATTGCTGGAATAATAATGGGTGCTGTATTTTGTCAAATGGCTTTTTATGCATCAATGGATACGACAATATGTTTTCTCTTCAGCTTATTGATAAGGGAGATTACATTGTTCAATTTAAGAATGGTGAATGGCCTTGCATATCTAGGTAAACCTGGCGATGGAGTATAATTATCTTTCTATATTTGTGGATCAGGCTTGCTAACACTTTGTTGAGGATTTTTTTCATCTATGTTCATGAGATATATTGCTCTGTGACTTTCTTCTCTTGTGATGTCTTTGGGTCTGGTGATAAAGTCAGAGCAAAAATATCTTTACAAGATGAATTGAAAGTGTTTCTTCCTTCTCAGTCTTCTCAAAGATATCGTATATAACTGGTGTTAATTTTTTTTAAAGAATCAGAATCTCACTCTGTCTCCCAGGCTGCAGTACAGTGGTGTGATCATAGCTCATTGCAGCCTTGGACTCCTGAGCTCAAGTTATCCTGCCACATCAGCCTCCTGAGTAGCTAAGACTACAGGTGCATACCGTCATATCTGGCTTTTTTGTTTGTGTGTATTTTTTTACAGATACAGGGTCCTGCTATGTTGCCCAGACTGGACTTGTTCTCCAGGCCTCAAATGATATCCCCACCTCAGGCTTCCAAACATTGGGATTACAAGTGTAAGCAATAATACCCAGCTGGTGTTAATTCTTTAAATGTTTGGTAGGATTCTCCTGTTAAATCACTGGGGCCAGAAGATTGAGTGGAAGTTTTAAACTCTGAATTCAATCATTTGCTTGTAATAGAACTATTTAGATTATCTATTTTACTTAGGTTAATTTTGGTATTTTGTCTTTTTTTAAGGAATTGGTCTATTTCCTCTTAAATGTTGAATTTGTTGAGCATAAAGTTGTTTACAGTATTTCCTTATTATTAACATTAATGGCTGAAAGATATGTTGCAACATCCCTTGTTTCATTTCTAATATTAGTGATTTGCATCTTAATCATTTTTCTCTGATTTGCTAGACAAATAATTTGCTAGAAACATTAGTTTTATTGCTATTTAAAAATAATTTTGGTTTTATATATTTTCTCTGTAGTTTTTATATGTTTTAATTTCTTTAATTTCTGTTATTATTTTTTATTATTTCTCTTTGTTTTGCACTATTTTCCAATTTTTTGCAGTAGGAACTGTGAAGTAGGAGAGTTTGACCTTGTCTTTGTATTTAGTACTTAATGCTATAAATTTACCCCTCAACACTGCTTTAGTTGCATCCCACATAGTTTGATATATCATATTTTCATTTTCATTCAGTTCTATGTATTTTCTACAACCCTAGAGACTGTATCTGTGCCCCATGGATTCCATAAATGTAAGCTGTTTACTTTCCATATGTTTACAGGTTTTCCTGATGATTTTTTGATTTCTTGCTTGATTTTATTATAGTCATACTTTAATAAATTAGCTTATTTTAAATTTGTTGATATTTATTTTATGACTTAGGGATATGTCATATGTTAGTGAAAATTCCACATGGTCTTGGGAAAATGTGTTTTCATCTTTTTTGGGGGGGGCAGTGTCCTACATATTCCAGTTAGATCCTGTTGGTTTATTATATGGTTTAGATATTTTATATCTTTGGAGTTTCCATGTCTACTAGGTCAGCTATTGAGAGAGAAGTGTTAATAAACCAACTATAATGTGAATTCAGCTATTTTTTCAGCCATTGCAGATTTTTTTTTGTATTGTGAGATTCTTTTGTTGCATACATATTTTGTATATTCATCGTATAGTTTAATTTTGAATGCATTTTGCATGTATATTTTGCATATCCTCTCTACATTTTTTGTAGTAGTCCCTCTGGATGTTACAATGCATGTATATCAGCATTGTATACCACTTGAAGTAAAGTGTTGAAGCCTCATTTCCATTTAGGTCCATTTACCCTCCCAACTTTTAAGTATCATTGTCATAAGTATTAGATGTTATAATTTTTGCTCTAGTCAATAAATATGATTTACAGAAGTCAAGAGAAAAACTACAGGAACATAGAAATGTGTCCCCATATGTGTGCTCTATTTGCTGGTCTTTATTTCTTCCTCATGTTCCATACTTTTTTCTTTTACTATTTTCTTTGTGTTTGGCATTCTTCCTTAGCCCATCTTTAGCAGTAGATTTGTTAGCAACAAAGTACTTCATTTTTTTCCCTTCTTCTTTTCTTAACTTCTGTTTCTGAAGCATAATTTTATGAGATGAAGATCCACTCTCACTAAAATTTGTTTTTCCCTAAATCCCCAGACACAATTGTCATGAAGAATAAAATACCTAGGAATACAGCTAACAAGGGAGGTGAAAGATCTCTATAAGGAGAACTACAAACCACCGCTCAAAGAAATCAGAAATGACACAAACAAATGAAAAAACCATTCCATACTCATGGATAGGAAGAACCAATATAGTTTAAATGACCATGCTGCCCAAAGCAATTTGTAGATTCAATGCTATTTTTATTAAACTACCATTGAGATTCTTCACAGAACTACAGAAAACTATTACAGAATTGTATGGAACCAAAAAAGAGCCTGAATAACCACGGCAATTCTAAGCAAAAAGTACCAAGCTAGAGGCATAATGGCTACCCAACTTCAAACTGTACTATAGGGCTACAGTAACGAAAACAGTACGGTCCTGGTACAAAAACAGACACATAGACCAATGGAACAGAATAGAGAACCCAGAAACAAGGTCACACACCTACAACCAACTGATCTTTGGAAAACCTGAAAAAAGCAAACAATGGGAAAAGGGTTCCTTATTCAATAAATGGTGCTGGTATAACTGGCTAGCAATATGAAGAAGATTGAAACCCGACCCCTTCATTACGTCATTTACAAAAATTAACTCAAAATCAATTAAAGACTAAATGTAAAACCCAAAACTATAAAAACCCTGGAGGACAAGCTGGGCAATATCATTCAGGACATACACACAGGCAAAAATTTCATGACAAAGACGCCAAAAGCATTTGCAACAAAAGCAAAAATTGACAAATAAAGTTGTATTAAACTGAAGAGCTTCTGCACAACAAAAGAACTAACAGAGTAAACTGACAATCTACAGAATAGGAGACAATTTTTGCAAACTATGCATCCGATAAACGTCTAATATTTAGCATCTATAAGGAACTTTAACAAATTTACCAGGAGAAAACACAACCCCCTTAAAAAGTGGGCAAAGAGCTGGGCACGGTGGCTCACGTCTGTAATCCCAGCACTTTGGGAGAACGAGGCGGGCGGATCACGAGGTCAGGATATCGAGACCATCCTGGCTAACATGGTGAAACCCGTCTCTACTAAAAATACAAAAAATTAGCTGGGCGTGGTGGTGGGCACCTGTAGTCCCAGCCACTTGGGAGGCTGAGACAAGAGAATGGTGTGAACCCAGAAGGCGGAGCTTGCAGTGAGCTGAGATCGCGCCACTGCACTCCAGCCTGGGTGACAGAGTGAGACTCTGTCTCAAAAAAAAAAAAAAGTGGGCAAAGAACATGAACAGATGTTTTTCAAAATAAGACACACATGCAGCCAACAAGCATGTAAAAAAAGGTCAACATCACTGATCATTACAGTAATGCAAATCAAAACCACAATGAGATACCATCTAACACCAGTCAGAATGGCTATTATTAAAAAGTCAAAAAATAACCAATGCTGATGAGGTTGTGGAGAAAAAGGAATGCTTATATACTTTTGATGGGAGTGTAAATTACTTAACTGTATGGAAGGCAGTGTGGTGATTCCTCAAAAACAGAAATATCATTTGATGCAGTAATCCCATTACTGGATATATACCCAAAGGAATATAAAGCATTCTTTTATAAGGACACATGCACACATATGTTCATTGCAGGGCTATTCACAATAGCAAAAACATGGAATCAATCTAAATGCCCTAAGATTATTATTATTATTAATTACTGTTATTGATAATAAAAGACTGGATAAAGAAAATGTGGTACATATATACCATGGAATCCTATGCAGCCATAAAAAGAACGAGATCATGTCCTTTGCAGGGACATAGAAGAAGCTGGAGGCAATTATGCTCTGCAAACTAACACAAGGACAGAAAACCAGATACCACATGTTCTCACTTGTTAAGTAGGAGCTAAATAATGAGAACACATGGACACACAGGAGGGAACAACACACACACCAGGGCCTATTGGAAGGTGGAGGGTGGGAGGAGGGAGAGGATCAGGAAAAATAACTAGTGGATACTAGGCTTTATACCTGGGTAATGAAATAACCTGCACAACAAATCCCTATGACATTATTTTACCTATGTAATAAACTTGCACATCTACCCCTGAACTTAAAATGAAAGTTATAAAAAATTAGAAAAGAAGGTTAAATGAAATCTGTGTTTTCCTATAGGCAATGTGTCATTTGTCTTTGTTTTCTATATTTTTATGGTCTTCTTTTTTAGAAGTTTAATATGATGTGTTTAATTTTGAAAAACTTTCAGTTTTAGCCTAATATTCAGTATCTTTATGGTGCGCTTGATTTGTCTGCTGCTGCTCAACCTTCCATGGTTCTCTAATGATGCAACCTGAAAGGTGGAAGAGATTTCCCCAGAAAAGGGGAGGGGGAGGAGAATCTCAGGACTACAAAAATGAAAGGTCATCTTTTCATGAGGACTTGTGTTAGGTTCCCTGCCTGCGGGGGTTGGGAGTGCATGCTAAGCTAGGCATTAGTGGGGCTCCCTTTGCCTATGTCACTTGGCGCTCCTAATATCTCTCAGTTGAGAGCAGAAAATCTCAGGCTGATGGAGAAATAGAGCCATTCTCCTACCTACTTCTGGTTAAAGGAACTCCGGATGGATCTTCCTGCCTGTGGACTTAGTTCATCTGGTGTTGTCAGAGGAACTCCCATTCCATCAAGAGAATGAGTTCAGCCTGCTGTTACCAGGTTGGATGTCAGGAAAACCCTGGTCTCAGTCATCTTGTTTTGCTGGATAAGGGGAAAGGAGAGGCACTGATACCTTACTATTCCTCTACTGGGCTCACAAGTGCATTCACCTTCCTCTACCAGCATTTAGAATTCTTTAGTTTCATCCTGTGTTTTTCCCAGGGTTTATAGTTTTATTTCACAAGAGGAGCCAGTTCATAAAACATAAAATAGCACTGGGTCATTGCCATTTGACTGGGATCTATTGGCTGAATATGAACGAAACCATGCGTAGTAGCTTCCAGGTGAGTTAGCAGATGCCAAGCCTTTCTTAAAACCACTTTGCACCTATTACAGCTGTAGGTATTTGAGACTACAATTCTTGTAGGTTCTGTGAAAGCATTATAAGACAAGCATATTCATTGCTTCTGAAGGTAAAACAAATCCTCACATTTGGAACTGTCAGTTGTGGATTTGGAGATGTGCTTCCGGGATCTTTTCTGATGAAATTTTCACCAGAGCTGCTAGAGGGTCTTCAGTGTTAGCCCTTTCAAAATTGTCTGAGCTGCAGAGAGGTGCTTTGTCCAGTAATAGCCATATGCCTTCCCACAGCAGGCTACATTCCATGACTGATGAATGCCAAAGTCTATAGGCCTGCACTTCTCACTCTATGGAGGCCACACCTACCTCTACAGCAACTTTGGGGGCTGTCTGACCTGTCCATGGGCCTGAATTTCAGCTATACTTCTGTCTCTGCCCAGCCCAGCTTCCTTCCTTCCCTTCCACAGGTTCTGATATCAAGGATATTCCTTAATAAACACCTTACCTGTTAAAATCCAACTCGGAGTGACTTCCTGGAGATCCTGGAGTTAAGAAGGGCACAACGAGGGCCAAATGGAGGTCATAATACATTTCTAGACACAATGAGAGTGAGTTTTGTTTGTTTTGTTTTGTTTTAAGAAAATTCCACTGGTAGCCGTGTGCAAGGTGATTTGAGTAAGCAGGACATGGTTTCGTGAATAACAGATGGCAACCAACACGTATTATGGAAACATGAGATAATGACTGGCTGAGTCATGGTAGAGGTAATCAACAGAAGGGGTCATGAAAAAAAATGCTTGGACTCTACTTCAAACAAAGGAAAGGGAAGATTTTTTAGAACTCTCTCAAAAATTCTACGCTAAGAAAAAAAACAAAAAACAAACTTGTTTCTCTTGACAGAATAATAACAAGAGAAGTCAAAACTGTGGATAACATAATAATTTCAATACATATATTCATGGGAGCCAGAGTATATGCTTGCAAGTATTTTACTTTCTTCAAAATATCTTATTTTTTCTTTCTTTTATCTTAATCTCTCATTTTTTATTCTTCACTTTTAATTTAATCCTTTAAAACTGAAATTAAAATTTATTTATTTTACATGGACCTTTAATTTAAAATTTAGTTTACATGGACCTTTAATTTTTAGCTAATGATAAGCTTCCATTAATTTGAATTAATAATTTATTGTTTAAACATACTTTCAAGCATATATAATCAAAATGTTGTGAACAGTTAAAAGAAGTTTAAATATTATATTGATTAGTGTTTCTTAGTCGCATCAGAATCACTTGAGTTGCTTGGAGAACAAATGTTGATTTCTGCGTCCTACCTTTGTCATTAAACAAGTTACTCTAGGACCCATAGGATCCATATAAAGATGAGGAAAAAGTCTACCAGTCCTGAACACTGTCTACTGCTCATGTTCTAAGCTTCTAAGCTCTTCTTAAAGTGTAAGAAATAAATTTGCAAAGACCTATTATATTTAAATATGTTCTTTTTAAAACCAGTTAACTGGGAAACAAGGAGAACCTGAAAGTTAGTAGTAAGACCATTAGAAGCAATTGACTACGTAGGTGGGGAACAAATCAGTTATTAAATTAGAAAATACAGAAAAATAAGGGAGGAAAGACCTTTCAGCTTGAGAAATCTGTTATTGAGAAAACCTACTAATGTCTAAACTAAGGAAACTGGGTGATTATTCTGTTAAGAGAAACATGCATAATCATATGTAGAGGGTTGTTTTCCTCCTCTTTTCCAAGAGTCTAATATAAAAATGGGCTCCTATTTGTAAATTTTAGAAAAGTTCAAAAAGCTTTGGTCTAAAAAATCAAAGATATAGAAGTCATGGCTATCAGAAATATTATAATATAAAACTAAAATGTATAAAAGAATGAAAAGAAGTTAAAGTCTCTTGGTTTATGGTTTTCAAATGCTGACTCCCCAAAATATCACCAAAACAATTTGTGGAAAGACAATTCTGAGCATAAAGTTCCAATAGCATCTCAGAGAGGGAAAGGTCAACGTTGTGGTATTTATTAGGATTTTATAGTGTGGCTTAAGGTAGGTCTGCCAATGTAGGGGTGTGGTTAGGATTGGCGAACATAGCACAGAGAACACTTGATGGGTTATTTAAGAGGTTCCTAAAATGAGCAGGAACATTATTGGCAATGCTTGTCTTCCCAGTAAAGTAATTCCTGGAATAGTAAAGTATGATTGATGAAGGCAGTGGAATAATAACTTTGTTACAGTAGGTAGCTAGTCAGTCATGAGCAGGTCAAGAGAGGACTCCTCATAAGCAGGAATGTCAGGCAACCATCAGGTGAGGGTCAGGCAGTTGTTACACTATTCCTCTAAAATAATAATTGGTGCAGGCAGGCCAGGGAAAGGCAGCCTCCTGATAGATAGAAAACACCTGAAACTGGTGATCAACAGCTTCCCAATAAGATCTCAAGAGCTGGGTGAGTGGGCTCAGGACTACGCTTTGAGAGACAAAATGGCAGAGTTTAACTGGTATATGACCTTCTAGGAACATTTGGCTGGTAAGGGAAGAACGCCTCAAGTGAGCAGGTGTACAGCTCCAGTTACACACTGCCTATGAAGCCCCTCCCAAGTACTAGCAGGCCACTGAGCATGTGGATAGCCCACCCCAAGGGAAGGAACAGGGGAGAAGGGACGCAAGCCACCAGAAGCATGCCAACATATAAAACCCTAAGTGACAGGTCCAATCATGCACTTGATCCCTCAGGTCGCCCACTAGCCCTCATCCAAGTATACTTTGCTTTCTTTCATTCCTGCTCTAAAGCTGCCTCAGTCTCTCCTTCTGCCTTATACCCATCAGTCGAATTCTTTCACTGGAGAAGGCAAGAATCAAGGTTGCTGCAGACCCATACACATTCACTGCTTAACTGCATCATGTTAATACAGAAAAGACAATAAATTTTGTGGTTACAGATGTGTGTGGTTTTCAAGATACAGAAGAATTTTTATGCTCCAGAATATACCAAAAATTTAATAATGTACTCTATTGACAGGGCATGTTATGTATGTGATGAAAAGAATACTACAAATTAACTATTAAAGAGACAAGTGATCAAACTGAAATTTTTATCAATTAGGATTCATTGTCAATTTAAGACTATACCCAAGACTATATTGAAATAGAGGTTACAGCCAAAGTAGAAGAAAGTTTTAGTAAGAAACAACATCTCTGGAGCAGTTTTCTTTCTTTCTTTCTTTCTTTTTTTCCTGATTGAAATATCTCCTTATTATGTAGGTTGGTTTTAACAGTGGTCAATTCTGTAGAAAGAAAGACCAATTAAATGAGAACAAAAAGAGTCTATTTGCTGAGAGCTTGCTGTAAGAAGGGAGTAAACCTTTTCACTTGCATTTGAAAGTCACTTAAGGCAGGTGGGGCAAGAAGGCTTTCTAGTGAGCAAAAGGGAAGGCCACAGGCATGCTGTGATTGCTGATGTATGAAAGATGAAGGCAGCTGACTAGTGTGGGAGGCCAGAATATTCACCCCAAAATATGTAGGATTGTTGAGCTGAAGGCAGTCAAGAAGCAGATGCAGTAAAGTTTTCCCTCTCTCTATCTGCCCAAAAGCAGGACACAGATTTACAAAGACAAATGATATTCTGCACTTTCTCTACCAAAGAGAACAGAAGTTGACTAGGGAAGACATTAGGCCCTCATCAGTCTGGAGGTGATACTAGAGGAATCTGCAGTGACAAATATTACCCCCTTGCCGTTATATGCCAGTTATTTCTCTCCCCCACAAGTCTACCACCCCTAGAGACTCAAAGTCTTTTTCTTTTGTCTTGCTGCTTCTCTAAAACTTTTCTGTCCTTTACTAAATATGCTATATAAGCTGGAATTCAAAGCTTACTTCTTTGCGAACTACTCATTCCCAGGGCGTGTCCCATGTATACGAACTATTCATGTGCTATGGTCTGAACGTATCCCCTCAGTATTCATTATGTTCAAATTTAATAGCCAATGTGATAGTATAAAAAGGTAGGCTCCTAGGAGGTGATGAAGCCACGAGAGTGAAGCCCTCTTCAATGAGATTAATACCCTTGTATTAAAGGTTGGAGGAAGTGTTCTAGCCCTTGCCCCATCTGCCATGTGAGGAAGTTATTAAGGTGCTGTTTTAGGAGTTATTAAGAAATTATTTTAGGCAGATAGAGAGGAAAAGGGGTCCTTAAGAAGTTTTCGCTTCCTTTAAAGCAGCTCCAGAAATGTTTCTTGTCTAGCAGGAAAGCCCAGGCTCTTAGACCCAGGCTGGCTACCTTTGATATGCAAATCCCAGCCATTAGAAACTGGGTTCACCCAAACATGGTGATTCCCATCAGTGTCTTCTTGCCCTTGCCCTCACATGTGTCTGGCAGCATGGCCGCCCCCACATATCCCCACTATATAGAACATCATGGCACCCTGTATTTGCATATTAAAAGGCTAGGGTGGGAGGGCTATGTGAGCGACAGGCCTGGCCAAACCAATCCCCTGAGCCCTATGCAAATCAGACACCACCTCCCCCAGACTCTTCATATAAGTAGCCACGTTTCTAAGGCACTGGGGTCTCCTCTCTTGGCTTTGGAGCTCCCATCCCTCTGTCGCTGTACAGGGGAGGTTCTTCCTTCATTTTTCTCTTTTCTTTCTTGCCTATTAAACTTTCTGCTCCTTAAAACCACTCCAAGTGTGTCCGTGTGGTTTTATCCATTTCACGTGAGACAAGAGCCCCGGTGCTCCTCCACTCATCAGAGCTGCATCAGTGCCATCTTCAAAGCAGAGACCAAGTCCTAGCCAGACAACATACCTGCTCAGCTCTGATCTTGGACTTAACAGCCTCCACAACGGTGAGAAATAAGTTTCTATTTTCTATAAATTATAGCAGCCTGAATGGACTAAGACAACGCTAATAAACTGTTTTTATCTTGTGAATCTGTCTTTCATTGCAGGACTCTGCTTCAACTACGAACTTAGGAGGTTAAGTAAAAACATGATTTTCTATTTCCAACTAGAAGCTGGACATCCTAAGTGATTGGTTAGAGGAGTATGTTTAGTTTTCTCTGTCTGGTTCCAAGTTGAAAGTAAGAACAACAACAACATGGGGAAGACTGCAATTTTTGACCACGTCCTGATCATTCTGTGCTGATCGCCACCAAGCTGGGGGTCAGGGTTCTGTTATCATCTCTGCTCTGTTCATTGCTTGAATATTCTCTCTCTATCTATAGAGGGAAAAAACAATAACCTTCATTATCAGAAACCTCATTCTAAGTTTGCTTTTCTATCTAGGTGTCCACGTACAAATCACTTAGCTTTTTAAATATACAAATATGTTTCCTAACTGAGTAGCAATAGAAGTAGTATTTTTGCTAGGCTTGAGTTGCTTACTATTACAAAAAATTATACTTATATTTATATAATAAAACCTAATCTTAGGCTCAAATGCACATAAACTAAAGGGCAGTGCTTGTCTTTTGCTTAATATTCATATTACAAATTAATTTTTATTTATAATTAATATATGAACATGATCTTTTCAAAAAATACACAATATGATGGTTAAATCTAACATCCTTTTTTGATAATCACCCCTGGTTTTAAGAATATAACTGTCTAGAGAAAATAATTAACAGAGGTCATTGTGTATTATCTAGAACTCATTGTATGCCAGGCAATTTTCTGACAACCTCATGGAGTCGGTACTATTTTTATCCCTATTTTACAGATGAGGAAACTGATGCCAAGAGATTTTCACATAGCTCACCAAGTCACTAGCTAGTAAGCAGTAGAGCCAGGATTCAAATTCAGGAAAAAAAGCACATGAGAAGGTTCATGCTGCTTCCTGATCAAACCCTTACTCTCGAAGGGTAACCACCATCCTGCTTTCTAACTGCATACATTCATTGTGCCTCTTTCTGTATTTTATATAATTTCATATAAAAATGTGTTTGTACATGGCATATTTTGTGGAGTGTTATGTTTTGAAATTTATTCATGTTTGCTGTCTATAGTTGTAGGTCATTCTTCTCTTTGCTGTAACCCATTGTGTGAATGTACTTCAACTTTATCATCATTTAACTGTTAGTGGGCATTAGGATACTTTAAAGTTTGAGGTAATTATGACCAGTGCAATATGAACATTCTCATAAATGTTTTTGATAAACATATGCATCAGTCTCATTTGAATATTTACCTAGAAATGGAATTCCTGTATGAGATCATAGAATACATACATATTTAGATTTCGTAGATACTATCAACGAGTTTTTACCCACTTGATACACCACCAGTGGTACATGACAGTTAAGTTTAATTGACGTATTTCAGCACTGTGCGAGTCTGTAGTATTTAGACTTAACAGAAAGAGATGGATATTTCCCAAAGAAGTTTCATTTCTAGTTACATATATTAGCTGAGCATGACTTTTTTGTTAACTTCCTAGGGGGGATGAGTGCTTGTGTGATTTTTTTTCATGAGCTAGAACTCACTAAAATAACTCTTGCATGTATTTGCATATATTTTACATAGGATACTGCTCTCTAAAATTATTCTTGCATTTAAGAAAAAATTGCCTTTATTGTTTCACACTTTCAAAAACACATTGACATGCATTATAACACATGATTTTCAAAATAAGGCTTTGATATGTCCAAGGTTGCACAATGAATCCCCTAAAAACACTGCCTAAATTGTGATACAGCAGTCACGAAATTGTAATAAGTTTGGTGCATACAATGCATTTCAATGGTAATCACTTAACATCCTACCTAGTACCTTGGCTTCCTACAATATTTATAAAAAGTAATAAATTCTAATATTGAAGCAGTAGATAATATCTCAAAGAAAAGATATTGACCAAAAGGACAATGAAGTAGGTCTTTAAATTTTTTAAAGAGAATGATAAACTTTGACATAGATTATTCTGACAAGGATAATCATTATACTTTTTTTTAAACAATAAGTGTATCAATTTAGATTTCTGATAAAACAAAAAGGTGTTATTTACTTGGCAGAAAAAAATAGTACTTACAGGTACTGATATATTTCCAGTTGTGAAGGTTTTTGTAAAATGATATCAATTTACTTATTTCTATTTAATGCCCCAAATAGCTCTGCAGGGAAATGTGAATCATTTCAATCAGCTAAAGCTACAATATAAAACCACTGGAGTATAAACCTTTGAGAACTGTTTTTGAAAGACTAAATTACCTTAGAAATACATATTTCTCTGTTCATCATTTATCTTAAAAGTAAAATTTTATTTATTCCTTGAGGGACAGTCAACATAACAATTTTGTAGATGAATCCCAAGCCTAACATCAAAACCGAAATTGTAGCTGAAGGATGCTGCCTCAAATCCTTTGATTTAGCGTATTAATACCAAGCATCTAAGGTTTTAAAATCTAAAACAAATTGTAATTTTTAAACACCGAATAGTGTATGATTTTTTAGATGTTGCAAAGTCACCGCTGAATATTCAATGCCTGACAGTTTGGAAATGGGTTCTGTAGAGGGAAAGTTTTACAGAATTATATATATTTGTGTGTGTGTGTTTGTGTGTGTATGTGTGTTATCCATTGATAAATAAGCCCAACTGAAAATTACTGTGTTTATTCATCCTTCACTGTGTTTTGTAAACATTTGCTGAGCTTCTTCCATAACACTAAGAATTGCGCTTGTGCTTGTGCTTGTGAAGGGGCCCCATTGGCCTCAGTGCTCTGAGAAAGTGGGTTCTGACAGATCTTGAATGTTTCTGGTCAGAGAAGTGTCCTGGAGCCTTTCAATAACCTTGACAGACCAAGCCAGCCTGTAAGTCTTGAATGACCTTAAGAGTCCCCATTGAGAAACCAAATCAACAATCCCTACCAGAAATGTAGGAATGGATCAGGAGCAACCAAGCCTGAAGCAGAATGGTAGGCTCTCCACAGCCACCCTCACAGCCCTCACCCCAGATCTGTGTCAGGCCAGGTTTTGTCATTAGGGTGTCTGAGATGTTTTCCAAGGCAATCGGTCCCGCATTATTCAATATTTTGCCAGATCTAAAAATAATCCTTACATTTACATATTTTATTTAGATAGAATGCGGATATAGGTTAATGAACCTCTAAAACTTCTCATGGAAATCCATCTAAAAGACTATTTTAAAAAATACTGTAGTAGATGTATACAGTAACATTCTAGATACTGCTCTGTAGTAGAGAAGCATCATGTCTTCAGAATCTTTTACCTGAACTTATTTCTTCCCCAATAAGATAGCACTTTATATTGGCATTCATTAGTAGGGATATTAAATGAGTGCACTATGCTGTTAGATCAATGATCAGCACTGTGTCACGCTGAATGTACAATTATATCCTCACGCCATAAATCCAATAGTGTCTTGTATAATGAATGAATACTTTTAAATGAATGCATATAAAAATGAATCAAGAAAAATAATGCAAAAAAACAGAAGCAAAAAGTATTTTTTCTTCTTTTTTATTTCATCCATTTCTGATCTAGAAAAGCAGTTAGAGTGACATCTTGAAAACAGTCAGGTGAAAATGCTGGAGGTACAGCCAGACATATTTTTAACCTACATAAGAATATTTTGTCTTTACCAAAAAACACAAAAACTAGCTGGGGGTGGCGGGTGGCACACACCTGTAATCCCAGCTACTTGGGAGGCTGAGGTGGGAGGATTGCTTGAACCCAGGAGGTGGAGGTTGCAAGGAGCCGAGGTCGTGCCACTGCACTGAAGCCTGGGTGATGGAGCAAGACAAGTGTCTCAAAAAAAAAAAAAAAAAAAAAAAAAAAAAACAAAAAATATTTTGAAAGTAAAAGAGGGCATCATTAACAATTGCATCAGGACATTGATTATAAATCATAGCAGACCTGTATCAGAGTTACTAATTATAGGCTAAAGTTTCCCTCCATAAGTAGATAATAAATAAAATTAGACCAGGAAATAAAGCACAGTTCTTTAAAGCACTGGCTTCATCTGCATCAGATTTCTTCTCTCCTGCTGGTTGCATTAAGACCCTCACCCTCCAAATATATTTGACAGCCATTATCCAGCATTGACTATCTTTTCTGGATCTTGACTCCACTTTGTTCCTAGCAAAAGGAAACATGGTATACTTTGGGGACCTGCTGTGGATGACTGCCCTCCTTGCATTCTCCTGATCACTCTCAGTTATAGCCAGTGGCGATGGGATCTGCCTCTGAAGAATCCTCCCCGTGTATCTGCTACTCCTTGCCCATGAAGAAGCATTGCTCACCTAGACCCCTGTCATCATCGGGTGCTTCAGATCTCTCTCAGGGAGCATCCTCAAACCAAAGTGCAGAAGGCCAGCCCTCAGTACTGGCTACAGAGCAGACACTGCAGTGCTAGGATTCCTCCCTCAGTCAAACCATTCAAAGACTTGGGATTCTAACCATAAAGTTCCCTCTGAAATCCTTGATAAACCTAAATATCACTCTCTGTCTTGTTAAAAACTCTCTCTGTCTTGTTAAAAATTCTATAGCACCAACAGAGAATCTCATGTTAATTCTACTAACTAAACAACATCTATCTTCATTTCCTATCAGATTTTGTTCTCTTTTAAAAATCTTCCCAAATGTACTGAGGGATCTTTTGTACTTTCAAAGATCCGATTTGAGGCAGTCATTGTACGACATGTTATTTATGTGAAACAAAAGCAACCGTTTTCTAGTTTTGCCTTTTAAACCACTGTGTAAGCTCATTCAATACCCAGCTCAGCCTTAGGAAACAACTTACATTTATCTCAAATGTCAATGTTCAGTGAGAAGAAAAACTTTAGTCTTACACCCCATATATTGAATTGTAGTCACGATGCTACAGTTTACAGGTTTTGAACTAAAGAAAAGATTTTCCCCTCTTTATCACTCTCTTGGTCTCACAAACGAACATATAAACACATATATAAAATGTACATTTAGTGCATTTGCTAAAGAACAGATAGAATGATCCATGAAACACAACTGAGACTCAGAAACAGACCCAAACACAGTCAACTGTTTTTTGACAAAAAACCCACAAAACAATTTATTGAAGAAATGATAATTCTTCCAACAAATGGTGTTGAACAATTAGATGTTCATATGCATAAAAATGAGCTTTCACCTACACTTTATATTTTATATAAAAATTAATTCAAAATGGATTTTGGACTTAATTATAGAATGCAAAACTATGTAACCCAGAAGAAAACATAGGAGAAAATCTAGGTTATCTTGAATTTGGTGTTGAGTTTTTAGCTACAACACTAAAACATAATTCATGAATAACAACAAAAAAAGGTTGAACTTCATTAAAGTTAAAATTTTTACCCTAAGAAAGGCACTGTTAATAGACTGGAAACATGAGTCAGTGATTGCAATAAAATATTTGCATGTTATATATCTGGTAAAGACATGTATTCACAATATGAAAAGAATCCTAATACAAAATAAGAAAACAATCCTAATAAAAATACTAAAAAGACTTGAATGCCCAAAGAAGATATAGATAGCAAATAAGCACATGAAAAGGTATCCCATATCATTTGTCACTAGGAAAATGCAAATTAAAACAGCATTGAGATGCCACTACAAATCTATTAAAATGACTGAATCCAAAAACCAGCAATACCAATTGCTGACAAAGAGATGGATAAACAGGAACTCTCATTCATTGCTGTTGTGAATGCAAAATGGTACCGCCACTCTGGAAGACAGTTTGGCAGCTTCTTAAGAAGCTAAATTAGTCTTACCATATCATCCAGTAACGGCACCAGTGGTGTTTACCCAACAGATTGGAAAGCATATCCACACAAAAATGTGCACAAAATGTAACTACTTTATCTGTAATTACTTCAAATTGGAAGCAACTAGTATCTTCTTAGATAACTTTATATAATAGGTGAACGAATAAACAGCCTGTGGTACATCCATGTAATGAAATATTATTCAACAGTAACAGTGAAAACAAAAGAGCTATTAAACCACAAAGAGACTTGGAAAGAATTTTAAGTGCATATTGCTAAGTGAAAGCAGCCAGTCTGAGAAGGCTGCATGCTGCATGTTTCTATTTATGTGACATTCTAGAAAGGACACAGCTACAAAGACGGAAAACAGGACAGTGGTTGCCAGAAATGTAGGGAAGTGATAAGGTGAAATATGTAAGCACAGATGATTTTTTTTAGAGCTTGAAACTATTGTGCATGACAATGTAAGGTGGGTACATGATATGAATTTCACAAAACCCATGGAACTTTGTAGCATAAAAGTAAACTTTTATGTATGGAAATTGAAAACAACACACCTAGGAGTACACGTGATCCTAGGGTAGAATGCAGATGATGACAATGATTCTAACAGTATTACAAATGTATGGCATAACCTCACTGAAAGAGTTGGGGAAAATTGTGGTGGCAACTTAAGTAATGTTGGGAACGACTGGAAAGTATAATAGCGAAAAACAAAGGATCTGAACATAAGCACTATAGTCCAGTTGGTAAAGCTGTTTCTCATGGGGAAGTGTTAATAGCTCTGAAACTATAGATGTGCACTGGGGTTGAACAAATGAATGGACGATGGGTGGCAAGACATAGGTTCCTCACTGCTGCAGGGGAGCTTACAGATCAGCACGAGGTGAGAGGGTGTGGGGGTGGAATGGCCCATACAGACCATATCAGAGTTGTAGACATGAGTGTGAACTTACATTTGGCTCGACACAGATAGTAATGGCTGGATATAGAAATAATTTCAGATATTGGGCCGGGCGCGGTGGCTCACACCTGTAATCCCAGCCCTTTGGGAGGCCGAGGCGGGTGGATCATGAGGTCAGGATATCAAGAACATCCTGGCTAACATGGTGAAACCCCGTCTCTACTAAAAAATACAAAAAAAATTAGCCGGGCATAGTGGCGGGCACCTGTAGTCCCAGCTACTCAGGAGGGTGAGGCAGGAGAATGGGGTGAACCCAGGAGGTGAAGCTTGCAGTGAGCCGAGATCGTGCCACTGCACTCCAGTCTGGGCGACAGAGCGAGACTCTGTCACAAAAAAATAAAAAGAAAAAACAAAAAAAAAAAAAGAAAAGAAATAATTTCAGATTTTAGATATTGACATATACTCAGATTACTGCCCTACATATATTTCCCAGCTGGGGTTGCTGAGAGGGCATAGAACCAATGGCATCTGGTAAAAATAAGCCGATCTACAGCCCAGATCTTCGTTTCTAATACAATTATTAAAAATATATAGAGAACTAGAGCTAACTGGAGATGTGGCTGATTTGGGAGCAGGAGATACACAAGATAACCTCAGAGCATCTTATAATTCCAGGAAGGCAATGCTAAACAAAATAAAAATAAAAAGAAATAAAGAAAAAAATGGGGCTGGCGAGGTGGCTCACACCTGTAATCCCAGCACTTTGGGAGGCCGACACGTGTAGATCACGAGGTCAGGAGTTCAAGATCAGCCTGGCCAAGATGGTGAAACCCCGTCTCTACTAAAAATACAAAAAATTAGCCAGGTGCAGTGGCAGGCTGAGACAGGAGAATCACCTGAACTCAAGAGGGCAGTGGTTGCAGTGAGCTGAGATTGTGCCACTGCACTACAGCCTGGGCAACAGAGTGAGACTCTGTTTCAAAAAAACAAACAAACAAAAAAATGGGAATATGGGAAAGAACACATGAGCCAACAGGAAGAGTGCCCAATGGCCAAAGCTGATATAATTTGAACAATCAAATAAACAATGTATTATTGGAATACAATCCAAATTATGAAAAAAAACTCCTCTGAGTTCATACTGACATAAATAGCTAATATGAATAAAAAAATAAATGGAGGAGAAGAGATATATCTTCTGTATAGGATGTTTCCAAATAATTATTGGCAATTCCATACCTTCACAGAGGTGGATCATGACTTCTCACTCCCTAAGTGAGCCATGTTTATAGTGACTTTCTTCCAAAAAAGACAGATATAGAAATGAGGGGTAAAAAGAGGAGCTTTACAATGGACAAAACCTGACAAGCCCTACCTCTGCCAAGGGATCAAGGTCACCATCACCAGTAAGTAGTTTTGTTGATAGCCTGTGTTCTGGATAAAATGTGATAAGGATGGCACTTCACATTTGTGGTCTTCATCCAGAAAACCATAAACCGTATTTAAAAGTAAGAAGAAAAATACATGAAGCCAAAGGGAGGGTCATTCTTCAAAACAGTGGACCAATGCTCCTCAGCACTGTCACGGTCATAAAAAACAAGAAAAATCTGAAAAACTGTCACAGCCAAGAGGAACCTAAGACATGGTGAACAAATGTAATGTGGTGTCTTGGATGGGATCCTGGAACATAACAAGAATAGTAGATAAAAACCAAGAAAATCTGAATTAAAATAAAGGCTTTAAGGCAAAATACTAAAAATTGAGAGAACTGGGTGTAGGGCCCATGAGAATGCCTCTGTGTACTTTCCTTGTAGGGCCCATGAGAATGCCTCTGTGGCCCTTTCCTTGCAATCTAAAACTTTTCTGAAATAAACAATTTTTTTTAATTACATGCATTTCTCTTGGAAAAATGTCACAAATGCCATCAAAGGGAATTTAATGATTTGGAAAATAAGTGATTTCTGTGCAAAAATTTGAAGAACTAAAATGACAATATATCTATTTGCTTTTGTGGTATTAGGAAGGTTGGGGCTAGTGCTGGTACATTCAAGTTCTCAAAGTAAGTAATTGAATGAATGTTAGTAATAAACTCAAGTAGACTTAAAGAATGCTATTCTTTAAGTTGCTTTGTTTGTGTATATGTCTAGAAAATAGGACTAATTTTATTTTTGTTCTATCAAATAAAACAATTTAAAAATTTTTCTAAGGAAATGTTTCAAAACAGTTTTCCCACCTTTGCACACTGAATCCCTACCCCGACATTTTTCATATGCCTTTCTTAATATAACACTTTAAAAATTTTAAGTAATTAAAAAATTATCTATTTATCGTCCTATGTTTTATGACTATTTCATAGTAAGTTCAGGTATGTCACTTGCTTAAAGCGTGAATTAGTTCTACCCCTTCCAGTTAGTTACATCTGAAGTAATATTGAGGACAACATTGTAGTCCTCAAGCAAGAGATGATTAATCAATGATGAAAAAACCTTCCTCTAACCATTCTTTTTTTTTTTTATGGTCCCTCCTAGCTCACTACCCTTAGATGTTCAGAGAACTTTTTTTTTTTTTTTTTTTGAGGCAGAGTCTCGTTCTGTCACCCAGGCTGGAGTGCAGTGGCGCGAACTGCAAGCTCCGCCTCCCAGGTTCACGCCATTCTCCTGCCTCAGCCTCCCGAGTAGCTGGGACTACAGGTGCCGGCCACCACACCTGGCTAATTTTCTTTTAACTTATCTTTACAGAGCAAATCCATATCTCAAAATGAGGAGCCAAAATAAGGACTCAAGAATAAGCAGTGCACAGTCGCTACCTCTAGGAAGGGTTATACAGGTGCAAATCTGATAAGTTCCATAAAATAGAGTCGAGAAGATGTAGAAATGTTGCCTAGGAATAAATATTGCCCCAGGAATATCTCAAAAAATGGCAATACCAAATATAAATGGAAAAGCATTAAAATAATTCACATTTTGAGAGTACAGAAATGAAAAAAGCGGGGGGGGGGGAAGAAAAATGTGATGCATAGCAGTGACAAGGCTGAGACACCTGACCATAAAGAGGCTCGTAAGCCATGCACAGGAGTTTGGAGTTCAGCTGTGGATTCATTTGCTAGGACTGCCAGAACAAAGTTACCACAGACTGGGTGGCTTAACAACAGAAATTTAACTTCTCACAGTTCTGGAGGCTGGAAGTCCAAGATCAAGGTGTCAGCAAGATTGGTTTCTCCTGAGGCCCCTCTCCTTCGTGTGTGGATGATTGGACACCAGTCATGTTGAATCGGAGTGCACCCATATGATTTCATTTCATCTCTATAAAGACACTATCTCCAAATATAGTCACAGTCTGAGGTTCTTGGGGTTCCTACTTCAATAGATGAATATTGTAAGGACACAGTGCAGCCCATGACAGCCTGGAAATAGAATTACAGAGGCAATAAAAGTGCCATTAAATAATTTGCAACTCAGAACATGTTGTCTCACAATGATGTGGAGGATGAGCTGGAGACTAGGAAACCTCATATGCTATTGCTGTGACACAGGCTAAAATGACATGCAATAAACAACGAGCAACTGAAACAGTGAGGCAGGGATAAAATTTGACATACATTTTAATAATCAAATTTTGATGACTTGGTAATTCATTAGATGTGAGATGGGGTTTAAGAGAGGTAGCTATCAAAAATCATTGAGGCTAATATATGCAAAAAATTGTCAGGACACAGAAGATGGGAGGATGTCTCAAAGAAATTGGATTCATTAAACATTTACCCTGCGCTACCTAGCTTTCAGTTTAATGACCACTCTCAGATATTAAATACTTTTATTCATATGTGAAATTTCTTTGGTGTAGTTATTGTAAATCTAACTGAAGATGAAGCATATTATGATTTAATAACTCTATTTTGGCCAGGAAGCTTTTTGTGATCATTTGCATAACATATTATGAATATTTCAATTGAAAAGAAATCAACACAACAGCTGCTATATGGTCTTCTTAAAGATATTTTGTTATTGTTTCTTGTAGGATTTAGTTTCCCAGAGGAATATGGAAGTGTTATCCAAATGCAGTGTTGTTTTTGTTATTTCCACTACTACAGGAAATACGCCTCCTCTAATTAGCCATCATTGGCTGCATTTTTATGAGAAAACAACAAGATTACCCTTCTGTTAAGAACACTTTATGCTGAGCCTTACCATAGCATACTGTAAAGAACCTGAACGTGGATTCGAGGTGTACATCAGTATATGGAATTGTATGGAATTATGAAAGTTTAGCTCATAATACAGTTCCTGGTTATCAATTTTTTCGTTTAGATACTGGTTATTCTATTTTTATTAATTATGCCTTAAAAATAAATCTGATTGAGATTTCTTTTCTCACCAAGCCTGAATATGAAAATTTAACCTTTCATTGTATCGTGGTTGACATACTGATAAAATATCATAAAAGTTAGTTGCCGAATCTGTTAAATTAACTGAGCAACTAGGAAGCAAAATGATTTTTGCTACCTTTCCCCAAGAGATTAC
Organism: Homo sapiens; assembly: GCF_000001405.40. Lineage (NCBI taxonomy): Eukaryota > Metazoa > Chordata > Mammalia > Primates > Hominidae > Homo > Homo sapiens. The sequence goes on from NC_000008.11 coordinate 49,729,687, forward strand.
AATAATGTACTGTTCCCAGAATATATCTTTTTCTAGAGATACTTAAGCATCAACTTTAGGCTTGATGCATTTAATATTGTATGCTTGTGAGTGTTTATGAAAGCCATATCATCTCTAAAGAAGGAGTTAATTTTCACATATCTCTTCAATGGCTAAACATAAGAGAGTTAAGGAAAATAATAAAAGAAGAGTTAACAATCAAAACCTAAAAAATATCACAATTACTTTCGGACAATCTCTTCTCTCCATAAAACACAAAGGAAATCTTGAAAAAATCATATTAATTGAAGAATAATGAGAAACTCTCTCCTGAAACAGTGACTTTAATCCTGCAAGCCGGGCATGTGCTTTCCTTGCCAGAGCATCAACAATATTGATCCTTAACTTACATTCCTCAACACAAAGCTGGTTCTAGTTGCTCAGTGTCATAAATGGCCCGCAGCAAAACGATGAGATTTGGATTATATTTTATCAGTTAATGTAAAAATTAAAAGCAACAGTAATTTATATAAAACTCCTAAAGCTGCTGATAGAACCAATAATGGAATAAAATTAAGAGGGAGTTGCAAGGTGGCCTGGATGCTCAAGCACAGCTGAAAGATGTTCTTTGTGCCCACTTCACTCACCAGCACAAAGATCACCTCACTTTTTTCTCTAGCTCCATGGAATTGTTTAGCTCTGTATATACACATGCACATGCATACATGCATACATATTTTAGACACAAATAAATACACTGCTTCACTTCCTCTCAATAAAGAACACGCTGAGCCAGGCATGTCAACTCGCGCCTATAATCCCAGCTATTCAGGAGGCTGAGATGGGAAGATTGCTTGAGATCAGGAGTTTGAGATCAGCATGGGCAGCACAGTGAAAGCCCATTTCTAAAAATATATAAATAAATAAAATAAGGGATGCGCTCTTTAGCTAGGGCAGCACCTTCTATAGACAGCTCCAGCTATCTGCTTCTTGTGGGTCAGCCTCAGCTGCAGAGAGCTGCTGTCCCCTGGCATAAGTCCTCCTTTCCACAGCCTAATCCAGGTAACCAAGCAAGGCAGGGTATAAGGGCTGTCCATTTCCATCCAATGCAGGTCATTCTGATGGACAATACTCACTCCATACTGTCCTACCATGTTGGCTGAGGCTCTTGTTGACCTTGCACTGCAGATTGACTTCTTCCTTTAGTTCTCCTTTCTCCTTTGCCTTTCTCATGCTTTAAAACCTGGTAGAATTCTCAACTCCGTATTGGCATCTGCTTCTGGAGAAACAAGACAGCAATATATGTGGCCAAATAACCCCCAAAATACTCAGTGATTAGCAATTATTTTAAATATAAAAATAGTATTTTAAGAGCTAATTGAACCAAGGAGCAACAACTTACAAAACCAGAACAAGAGCAACAGCAATAGGAACACATCTATGCAGATCTTGTTTGGCCAACATGGTATACACATATAAACAGCTTTTACTAGATAACTGTCAAGTTAGAAAATGTAAACTCTTTCATACCATCCCAGACAAATGTATAATATAGGGAAAAAAATCATAAAGTGGGAAATTTGGGAAAGATCAATATGAGACTTCTCTATAGATGGACCCTACAAAAGAGCAGTTGCTTGTGTATACCAGAAATATATGTGTTCAAGAGCAGGTTTCTACATTCAAATATATCATATTTAAATTCTGTAGTTAGCCAACATGCTTCAATCCTCTTACATGTGTGTTCACCTCACTGTGCATATCCTACACACCAAATTAATTATTTGCTTAAGCGTAAAATATGTATTGTGTATCTACTTTATATTAAATACACATATACACTTATAGGCACTGGGAATACAGAAAACTCATTGCTGTCCTCAGAAAACTCACAGTGGGAGAAAAACTATAAAAACAATAAAATAATAATTGGTGGGTTCGAGTAACCAAAGGATGCCATGACAACAAATAGAACCAAAGGTTAAAATCGATTAAGCAACTGAGCATATGTCTCCTTCAGGAGTCTGTGTCTGAACTGAAGTGTGAATCATGAGTGTGTTCATTAGGACAGGATTAGGGAATGTTGGGAAACACAAGTTCAGGTGGGTTATTTTAGATAGCGCTTGCCTAATAATTGACTATGAAGAAAAGAAAAATTTGAGTAAAATAAAAACACTCATTTAAATATTGGAGGGACTTGAACAAGTTGTTACATTCAAAAGAGAGGGGGAAAATACAGGAGATATGGAAAAGGGTAATCCCCCTCCAAAACTAGTCGGAAGTAATATCCCGTGGCACAATGAGTAACGTCTTTCTGATAAATTACCTTTAAGTATTTTGGAAAAGAGGCCTCTTTATTAATGTTCTTCCATATCTGACCCGCTGAACTGCATAATGGGAGGTAGGATGAATATAAATGTAGCAGTTAATTAGCGAGGGGGCTAGGTTTTGAAGGAAGAGGTCTCCTTCCTTCCTTCATTTTCTTTCTTTCTTTCTTCTTCTTCTTTTTTTTTTTTTTTTTTTTTTTTGACAGGGTCTCACTCTGTCGCCCAGGCTGGAGTGTAACAGCGAGATCTCTGTTCACTGCAACCTCCTCATCTTGGGCTCAATCAATTCCCCTGCCACAGCATCTCAAGTGGCTGGGATTACAGGTGCACACCACCATGCCTCGCTAATTTTCCTACTTTTTGTAGAGACAGGGGCTCACTTTGCTGCCCAGGCTGGTCTTGAACTCCTGGCCTCAAGAGATCAGCCCACCTCAGCCTCCCAAAGTGCTGTGATTACAGGCAAGAGCCACTGCACTCGGCCAAAAGAGATGTTTTAATAGAAATAAAAGACTGTGATATTTGGAAATATTTATGATGGGAAAAGAAAATATTATTATTTAAGATTTTAGAAAACTATGTGGTTGATTGACCCTGTTCGTGTATACATCAGGTTGTTGGTGCTGGAATTAAAGGAAGAAAGTGAGGTAGGATTTATTTCCTACTCCTATTTCATAGGAGTAGCCTATGAAATTGGATCACAAAGAAAATCATCATCACTACCCATACTGAACTTCAACCAACATAGTGAAAACTGGAAGATTTCCTGAAGGTATTGTACGGACACAACCACAAATCCTTCAAAATAATGATGATTACAAAGAAAGAAAAACAGAATTAACTATTAACATACAAGCAGAAAAAAAGAATTATCATTGATGAAACACGGAAATTCAGGAAGAAAACAATGGAAATAATACATGTGTGAAATATTAATAAATATTGGCTCTAAACAATACTGTTCTGTAGGGTTTCAAAATATTTAAAACAAAATATAAAATATGTAACTAAATTTAAACATGCTTAAAACTAAACTGTGAAATAACAACATTGCAATCATTGTTGTCATCAATGTCAGGATCAATGTCAACAAAGTGTATCAGTGTCAGTGAAGTGTATCCAGGAAGTGTATCAAAGCCAGGATCTGCTCTACCTCTGCCCACACCCAGACCAGCATTATACAAGTATCCCCCCAGGATGTGAGCAGCCACAGAAAACACAGGTTTCCCACCAGTTTCCTGCTGAGGGCTGTAGTAACTCACAAGAAGGAGCAGGCTGCCAAAATTTCTCATCCTACTAGCTGGGCTAAATAGACTTTGAAGCAAGAGCAGCTGGGAGGGGGGATATCTCCTCCACACCCCCACTGCTAGGACCAAGGTCAACAACAGGGATGGCAGACCAAGAATAATGGGGCCCCGCTAGCCCTTGCCCTAGCTCATTTACAGGGCAGAGTCCCTGCCAAGAGAAGCAAGCCAGAAGAAAAGAGACAGGCTTGCTCGCACAGCGACCAGCTCACAAAGCAAGTGTGTCACTGAGAAAGTGGGCCACTCTCCCTGTGCCCTGCTGTGGAGCTGTGATGCAGAGCTGTGTGCACGAGGAGAGTGGGTCAAAATGGAAGGGAGCTCCACTGCTCTCCTCAAGTAAACTGACTTCATTTGGAACAGAATGCGGGGAAGTAGGAAATAGGGTACGCTTACAAACAGTGGAGACCATGGTGATAAACAATTATAAGGAGGCTGGAAGCTCTGAGAAGACAAGCTATACTGTAAGCCAGATACAAAATCGGCAAAGACCTAGGAAAATGGATAGCTAAGAAGATCCCTCCTGGGGTTGGACCAGACCTTAAAGAATAATTTCAAAGAGAGAACTTCAGAAAATAGGCCCACATCTGGGCCAGACACGGTGGTGCATCCCTGTAATCCCAGCACTTTGGGAGGCTGAGGCGGGTGGATCACCTGAGGTCAGGAGTTCAAGACCAGCCTGGCTAACATGGTGAAACCCTGTCTCTACTAAAAATACAAATATTAGTTGGGCATGGTGGTGAATGCCTGTAATCTCAGCTACTTAGGAGGCTGAGGCAAGAAAATCGCTTGAACCTGGGAGGTGGAGGTCGCAGTGAGCCAAGATGGTGCCACTGCACTCCAGCCTGGGCAACAGAGAGAGACTCTGTCTCAAAAAAAGAGAGAGAGAAAAAAGAAAATAGGTCCACATTTAACTGTATCAGACTGTGAAACAATGTATGTTCATTGATGAAATAATTATAAAATTAGTGGCCAAAAGAATTATTAGAAACAGAAAATTTTCATAGTTTCAAAGTACTTCTTCATAAGATACTTACTAATTACAAAGGGAAAATAATAACTTTACAATGGAGAAAACTGTTGGACAACACCCTAACCAGGTGAGTCAAAAGGATATGACCCATAGGCAGTGTCACTGACCCATGTGTGTGTACTGAGATGTGTGTACTGAGAAGGAGGCAATGCTACTTTGTGGTTTTCTTGCCCCAAAATTAATAACCTGAATTTTATCATGAGGAAACATTATTAAAGCCCAGTCTGAAGCTCAATCTGTAAGATAACTGGCCAATTCTCTTCAACAGCGTAAGGGAAGACTGAGGAACGGGATCAAGTTGGGGGAGGCTGTGGAGTTAGCACATCAATGTGCAATGTTGTTTCTGAATTGGATTCTGGCCCGGGAAAAGGACGTTAGTGAACAATCAGAAATGTGGATGTGATTTTTAGACTATTTAGTAGTATCCCATTGATGTGGATTTCCTGATTATAGTAATTTTGTTGTTGTTGCATGGAAAGTGAAAATTTGGAGATGCTGAGTGACGATATAGAAAAATGCATTGTACTATTTTTGCCACTTATTTCTGGCTAAAATTTATGCAAGAAACCAGTTAAAAATATAAAAATATTTTAAAACAAACACAAATAATAAAAGTAACTCTTCCCCTTCTATTAAAACAAATACACAGGCTATGACACTACATACCCATCTGGAAGGCTGAAATGAATAAGACAAAGCTCGTTGTCTATAACTTTGTGGAGTAACTGGAACTCTCAACACAGTAAGTGGGAGGGTAAATTTATACAACCATAGTGGAAAACATTTTGGCAGTATCTACTAAAGGTTCACGCGTGCCAGTCTTACATTATAGGAAATCCACTCCTAGTTAAATGCCTAACACACATTTACAAGGATGTTTACTCCAGTATTATCCAAACTCCCAGAGAAAACAGGCCAAATGCTGATCAGCAGTGGAACAGATAAGTGCAACATGCTCCATTCACCAATGGAACATTCAGACAGCAATAACTATAATTATACAAAACCATATGCATAAATATCCTAAACATAATGTTGAACAAAAGAGTATATACCCTATATTTCCATTCATATGAATTCCACATATGGGAAAAGCGTATCTGTGATTTTTGACTTCAGGAGACTGTTATTTTGGGGTAGGTAATGTCTGGGAGGAGGCACAGGATGGCTGGTGCAGTTTTCTGTTTATCTGGTGTGCTGTGAAAGGTGATTATCTGAATTGGGTCATTCTTTTTATAACCAACTAAATCAGAATCCAGGGGCCAGGAGTGAAAAGTGCTCAGGGTACATAACATTGCTTTGGAAATGTAATTGTCTAAAAATCCAGTGGCTAAAATTACCTGTTGTAAGCTGAGACCAGTTTTATCTATGGCTGCTAGGATAGTATGCTACAACTCTAGGACTGATTTTGACAACTAGTCACCCACCAATGGAGCTTGCCAACTCCTCAGAGCTCACTTAGTCCTAATGAACTTTCTCTCAGGACCGCATGTAAACTTCATCTTCTTAAGAACACTTCCAACCTTCTTTTTGTCCTTTAGACATACAAAAAATACTCGGTCTTTATGCATGCCTCCAAATGCCATTGTTTCTTCTCAAATAAAATGTTAAATTTACAGATTCATTTGTATATTATTTTAACTTCAATATAACTTTGTAAAATTTATTAAACTGTCTTTACAATACTTTGTATATATATATATGTATATATACACACAAATATATGTTGTAATAAAAGTTTGGGGAGGCTGAGGTGGGCAGATCACGAGGTCAGGAGATTGAGACCATCCTCGCTAACATGGTGAAACCCGGTCTCTACTAAAAATACAAAAAACTAGCTGGGTGTGGTGGCAGGCCCCTGTAGTCCCAGCTGCTCAGGAGGCTGAGGCAGGAGAATGGTGTGAACCCGGGTGGCGGAGCTTGCAGTGAGCAGAGATCGCGCCACTGCACTCCAGCCTGGGTAACAGTGCGAGACTCCCTATCAGAAAAACAAACAACAACAACAACAACAACAACAACAAAGTTTTATTTGTTTTCTAAATATGTACATATAGGATTTTCCTAAATCTTAACTTGTTTTTCAGCTATTGCTTTGTCTGTCTCCTATTCATCTTTCTGTTTCTCGCATTTATCCTTCAAACTACTGTGCTAGGTCTTCCATCTACATTATGATATTAAATCATTCAGTGCTTTCTAATGACCAGTAACGAGCTTTTAAATTCAGTATTTGGCATTTTTTTTTCTGCCTTCTGAATCTTGAAACCCTTCTTGATTACTTTACTTCTTTTTCCAGAATTCCATGTGAATGAAGCTTACTTTGCCAGGTATTCTGTTAAGCAGGAAATAAGTATCACTAAATAACAGAAAATGCACTGACTAAATCAGCATAGGGGAATTGTCAAACATTTTAGAGATGGGGGAGAAATGGAAATTGCTGCAATTGACTTAAAAAGCTTTTCTTTGTCATCTCAGTCCTCATGACCTCCGTGATTGTCCTCATACCTGTGCAGCATGGTCTTGCCTCAGGGCCTCGGCCCTGTATGGACCTCCTGGGGAAGGTGGTACACCCAAGAATCTTCAGGGCACCCTCACTCGTCTCTTCAGGCCTCTGTGAAAATCAGCCTCCTTCCACACCTGATAGAATGGGTCTCCTCACCTGCTTCTTCCTTCCTGTGTTCAGCATTCCTCACCACATATGTTCTGATAGTGGTTTTTATTTGTTTACCCTCTCTAACTCCCTTTAGCATCATTAATGCAGGTATTTCCTCCTGTTCATTCACCACAGTAAGCTCACTGCTCAGAGCGGTGCCGTTGAGCTATTTAGAAGGATGTCAATCAATGTCTCTTGAACTCATGGAATATTGGTTGAATGTTGATTCTTTCATAAGAACTTTGTCAATTGCATGTGGAGGTGAAATATTGTATTATTACATTGAAATATCCATTAAATTAAGAATTAGATTACATTAAAAGAATAAAGAGAAATAATAATTGGGTGTGTTCAATTCTAGGAATGAAAAGATATAAAAAAGAAAACCGAGTTAATAAAGGCTTTGTGGAAGACAGAAAGTTTGAGAAGCAACATGCCAGGTAAATTAAAGTAGTATTTGCATCAAAGAGAACTAATGTACAAGAAAATCTTATTTTTATCTGGCATATAATGAGAACAAGCAATGCTGTCATGTCTGAATATTACTTCATCTTAGTAATTCATATGACATTTAATCATTAGCTCATAAATACACATAAATTCCCATTCAAAGAGATTTGAATGGATGATATGTTAACTTTGTTCTACACCTAAGCAAATTAAAAGAGAGAAGAGAAATGACATGGCCAAGGTCAAACAACAATTTATGATTAAACCCAGAAATTCCAATTTTTCTGAATTGTCACATCATCCTTAATGGCAGGCACTCATTCTTTCTCTATTGTAGACTTTGTCTGCCAATAATTTATTTTTGTTTATGTGTTTACAAAAATGCCACCAACATATAGTTAGGACCAATCATTTCTTTGGATTTAGTCAAAAATGTTAAATTATTCAATTAGAATTGGTGCTTCATACTTCTCTAAAATTAAGTTTAGCATTTGTTGACTTTTCAATCATTTAAAAATTCACAAATATATTTCAGCTTATTCTTCAAGGAAAATTTTAGGTAAAGAAACTCAGGAATTGAACTTGAAATCTCAGCACAGCTACTTCTATTCATATTCCAAAGTGAGGAAGGGCTTATAATATTTTTGAGATTAAAAGAGGAGATAACATGCTCAAGGTCACGTAAGCAATAGTCAGGTCAGTATTTGATTTCTATCCTGAATGATTCCAAAGCTCTTGACTTTTTATATTGCTGTGCTTTTCCTTAGAAGAGACTGAATACTCCAGCCTAGAGAATATTCAAGTCCTACTAAAATGGCACTAACAAATTACCCCAGTATGGCCACATTTGGACAAGATACCTTGAGCATCTTTTCATGCCAGGAAGCAAGAAAGTACTTAAATGAAAAAAGAAAGAAAACAGTGAAGGTAGGGGCCACAGAGTCAACTAAAAGATGGCCAAAAAATGGAATAAGTTAATCACGAAAATAAAAAAGTACTATAGCCAAAGTATAAAATAAAATTCATGTATATATACTGATATAAATAAATGATTGAGTAAGTAATATATGTGAGAAAGAAGACAAATTTCTTGTACAGAAGAAGTCCAAATAATTAATGTAGATGTTTTAGTTTCAAGGAGGAAGAACATAACCCCCTATCCCTTAAGTGTAAGCATAATAGCTTTCTTCTATAGCGTATGGTATGAAAAGGATGGGATGAGGAAAAGCCACTTCACAGTGCAAAAACCTGACAAACACTACCTCAGCCAGGTGACCAAGCTCCATATATCAGTAGTAAGTCACACCGATAGTGTGTACCCTTGAGATAACGTGATGAGAATGACATTTTACCTCAAAGGTTTTGTTTCTGTGAACCAAACCCCTAACTCTGGTCTAATCATGAGAAAACCATTAGACAAACCCCAAATGAAGGACAAAATACCTGACCAGTACTTCTCAAAATTATCACTGTCAATGTCAGATTAAACAAGGAAAGTCTGAGAAACTGTCATGACACATCAAAGGAGTATTTGATGATACTTCCTTGTATCATCAAAGAAGACAAGGTAAATAAATGAAATATGGTATCATGAATGAGATCCTGGAATAGAAAAAGCATATTAGGTAAAAACGAATACAATCTGAATAGCTGAGACAAATGAACACTTGTAATAAAAGATGTCAGTAATACTGGAAACTAGATGTGGGGTACATGGGAACACTTTGTACTATCCTTGCAACATTTCTGTCTATGTGAAAGTGTTCTGAAAATTTTTTTAGATGCTTTAGGACTTTAATGTTCTTCACATATTCAACATAAAATACTGACAATAGATAAACAATAGGGGAAAGACTTTTCAGCAAAGTATCACTGTCGTCGTTAAACATTACAAAGAAAACAGTCAAGAAAAGAAAGGATAAGATTATTTAACAGAAGTGCTTAGTTTAATGGCATAATTAAAAAACAACCAACCTGTCAACTTTATCTTCTACCTATGGAAATAACAGTAAAAATGAATCAAGAACTTCTAGATCTTTTTCATAAAACAGCTTGAAAAGAGGAAGGGGAAGACTAGGGAGGGGGTGAAACTATTACTAATGGAATGCTATGATGCACAAAGTCAAGGATTTAATAAATTCTAAAAGTCTCTACATGTATCAGTGATAACCGTATTATTAGAAATATAAATTCATAGAAATATAAAGCATATGGTATTAACAACACACCTTGCTAATATAAACATAGATAAAGTATGTAACTTCTCTTGTAATAACAGTATAAACATTGATCTACAGTTTTCCCTTTGCCTGGTACTCTTAAACCACTACTCCAATGATTAATGTTGACCTTGAATCAACAGCCGCTGAACCCAGGAGACCCCACAGATGTCTAGATTCAGCACCTAGAGGGCCCCATCTACCTCTGTGCTGTGTGTTCCCATGACTCCAGAAATACTTAATTGCAACTTGCATTATTATATCCACAGGAAGCTTTTAAATCTAACTAGAAAGAGTAGCAGCAAAGGCAAAATAAGCTGGAATTTGTTAGAAAAGCAATGAGATTTTTGAAAATGCTTCCAGTTCAAATCAGAATTAAGGTGAACATTACTTCACACCAGCTTTGCAGAGCTGTAGATGTTTTGCTGTTGTTCTTTCAAAAAAGAAAAATCTATAATAAACATGTTCATTTGAGAAAAAATACTGTGTTTGTTAACTTTTTGTAGCCATCCCCAAGTTACTTTAAACTTTGTATGTTGTTTAATAACAGAGTATATTCTGGTTAGGATGTGTTCATAGCTGACGCATCTCCAAAAATTTTTTCATGAAGGCGGCCAGCTCCTGAACATCTTCAATTGTGACAGAATTATACAGAGAGGCCTGGATGCTTCCCACAGACCTGTGCCCTTTCAAGGACAACATATTGAGTTTCAAAAGCTTTATCGAGAAATCTTTTTACTAAAGCATCATCTCCTTTGACATTGCCAATGCAGAACGGAATATTCATCTTGCTTCTATTTTGGGTCTCCACTGGACATACGTAGAATCCTTGAGAATTATCAGTAATCTCATAAATCATTTGGGATTTGATGGAGCTAAGCTTCTCCATGGCAGCAGCACCTCCATTGTTTTTAGTCCATTCCAGGAGCAAGCCCATGATGTAGATGCTGAAACATGGAGGCGTGTTGTACGAGGAGCTGTTTCCAGCCTGCACTTTGCATTCCAGTACTGAAGGGGACTCTCGGAGGGCAAACCCCAGTTGGTCATCACGGACTATCACCACAGTGACCCCAGCAGAGCCAACATTCTTCTGGGCACCAGAAAAAATCACATCAAACTTGGAAACATCCACTGGCTTCGACAGGAAGTTTGAGAACATGTCACAAACCAGTACTGCTCCTTTGACATCGGGTATAAAGTCAAATTCCACGCCACGCACCGTCCCATTTGCACAATAATACACGTAGGAGGCTTCCGGGTTGAGGTTCCAGGTGCTTGGATCTGGAATTTAGGTATAACTCCCAAGTTTAGAGTGAACAATATTTATAGTCCCAGGCTTCTTCTACAGCCTTAGCTGACCAAGCTCCTGTCACCACATAGTCCGCACTCCTTCCTGCTTTCAAGCCAATCAACTTTAAGGGGACAGCACTGAACTGGCTCGACCCACCTCCTTGCACAAAAATCACCTCGTAGTTGTCTGGAACAGCTAGCAATCCCCGCACAAGATTCTCTGCATTGTTAATAATCTTGATAAAATCTGACGGCCTGTGACTCATTTCAAGAATACTAATGCCAATTCCTTTGTAGTCTAATAATTCCTTTTGTATCTCTAACAACACTGAGTGTGGCAGCTTGGCTGGACCAGGCCCAAAGTTGACTACCTACCTCGGGGCGTCCATGCTGCGGCAGCGTGTGTGGCGAGTCAGCCAAGGAGGACTGAGCATGTGAACTGCGAGCGTTCCCGGCCGCTGCGGTGCGAGTCTGACTGTTCTGAAATTAAAAAAAAAAAAAAAAAAAAAAAAAAAACAAAAAACAGTGTGCATAAAACACATGCTTATGTATATGATCAAATGATATTCAACAATTTATAAATATTACATAAACGATTTATTTTAACAACCCAATGGTGGGTGCTATCATCATCTCCATTCCATTCCCCAGATGAAAAAACTGGGTCTCAGGGATGCTCTGTAACTTGCCCAAGATCAGAGAGCTCAGGCACATGTCTGGTGTGTCAAACTGTCTAGCCTGAATTTCGGGTCTGTATCCTTCAACTGTATAGTGTGCTGTTTTTGGTATATAAAACTTTTATCCAGCCTAATTTCTGAATTTTCATTTTTCTTTATGAAAGTATTTTGCTATTTAGAATAAAATACGTTTTAATTCTATTCATTTTATACTTAAGGAAGTTTGTCTCTAGGCTTTATAACCATATTTTAGTTTTGTTGTAAACAGGAAATGACAAACAATGAATTTGATGTCTGACAACATTCAAAAGGCTTGGAAGAAACAGCTTATAAAGCAGCTTTTTGATTGCCTAAGGTAAAACTCATAGAAAGATCAGATTCTTTCCTGTAAGATTTACTTAGGAATGAAATAATGCTAGGGAAAAATAAGTATGGACAATGAAATTTAAATTAGGAATCAAAATGAAAAGCATAATAATTTAAACACCTTGATGTTTTTTAATTGCTATATAAAAAGAAGACATTGACTAGGTTGTGTGTGGGGGGAGGGGGTATGACTTTAAGAAACAACAGGACTGCCATCTCTCCCAACTGGGGACAATGGCTCGTGAATATACAGGGCACTGACACTGATGCCATCAAGCAAAAGCTTTCCTTAAGGCATATTCATCTGGCCCATCCCTAAGGTTACAAAATATTTCGTACTCATGGTACATGGGAGATGGCAAACTGTTATTAAAATGTCAAATATCTTCCTAAAGAGGAAGAGTTTTGCATACAAATCAAGAATGAAAACCATTTGTAAATCAGCATTTTTTGTTTGTTTGCTTTTCTATGAAGTGTCTTTTGTAGCTTAAGGAAGGAGAGTATTTCAGTTCAGGATGAAAAATCTGAAGCATGGTGACAGAACGTAACAATTATTCATTCACTGAGAGGCAAAATAATCATTTTTAATACAAATGTTGAGACGTGTGAAAGTAAAATCTATTCCTCTAGAAAGTATGTAGAAACAGATGGAGTTTATATATAAACAAAATACATTATCGTTCCTTATATTAGTTTGAGGTTTGGTAATTTTACAAAACAGACCTGCTTTTTAGAGGAGAAAGTGATTAAATCGTGCTTTCTTTTCTTTCTTTCTTTTTCTTTCTTTCTTTCTTTCTTTCTTTCTTTCTTTCTTTCTTTCTTTCTTTCTTTCTTTTTCCCTCTTTCTCTCTCTCTCTTTTTTTTTTTTTTGACAGAATTTTGCTCTATTGCCCAGGCTAAAGTGCAGTGGTGCCATCTCAGCTCACTGCAACCGCCACCTCCTGGGTTCAAGCGATTCTCCAGCCTCAGCCTCCCAAGTAGCTGAGACTGCAGGCACACGCTACCATGCCTGGCTAATTTTTGTATTTTTAGTAGAGATGGGGTTTCACCATGTTGGCCAGGCTGGTCTCGAACTCCTGACCTCAAGCGATCCACCCACCTCAGCCTCCCAAAGTGCTGGGATTATAGGCGTGAGCCACCACACCCAGCCAAATTGTGCTTTCTTTAAAATATATACTTCATGACTTTTTAAATTTGCAAACCAGTAGATTTCATATCAGGGCAGGCTTATCAAGAAGCTTAAATAACTTAGAATGAGAAGACTTCCCTTCTGGCAATGTAATTTCCCATCTTGCTCAGAGATTAATACTTTAATCCTGGTATTGTTTGATTTATTATGCAATTCATATTCCTTACCAATTAATCTCTATTCTAAGAAGATTTTCACTAGTAGTTAACAAACAATTTTATTAAATGACATGCCTCAAGTATGACTTCTCTGTGTCTGGATGATTAATGTAACCCTAATTAGCATTAACTTCCTAAAAATTTTGGACTAGATTAGCCATTTTTTACTGACACTTGAGATTCTTATAGCGCTATTCGTAATTCAATAAATCTCAGTGTCAAGGAAACATCTAATATATGAAAACAAATAATATAAATGTAGTGCATAGAGCATCAACAATAGCCATGTATGCCCACATGGAGCCATCATTTAAGATTTATTATAGATTCCATGTGGGTTTCCATGCTTTTAAAACACAGCCTCTGAGAGCAGAAGCCTAGACTGTGGAGTCTTCATACAGTTAAGGGTTTTCTACATGATAAAATTTGCTTCAGTCAGATGGATAAGAATAAAATTTGGCAATTTAAATGTTAAAGGATTTTGAAGAAAGTAAGCCTTCTTCTTTCAAGGGACTTTCTTTTAACACTCCTTACCATCTTTCTTGCCCCCACCCTGTACATCCTTCCAAAATATAACATAGAATAAATATACTATTTTTACTTTGTCTATTTGCTTCATTTTCACCAGGTCTTATAGGAAATAAAAATAATTATTTTGTATAACATAATTTATGGCATCCTAATATGTGTCAGGGCCTCTTCTCTCTGCCGAGAATAGAATGCATAAATGGAGAACAATGTTGAAAACGTATTTGTTTAGGAAGCCACGCTTCCCTTTTGATTGTCCTAGTCTAGTCACTTTTTCTTCAGGGACAGGGAGCTTCAGGCTCCAAAACCCAGTTTGACCAAATGGCAAACAAAGACTTCCCACTGCCTTTTAATACTTTCATTTGCTGGCACAAAAGTCAACTATTTCCCCTGCAAGACCCAGACCTTCTGGGAGGACTTCCTGGTCTCTGATCCCATTTCCAATACAATGGGCTAGTTGGTCTTGTTAGTATGCGACACAGAGGATGCATTTGCTTAAAATGCCTCTTTTCCCTAAAAGTGTTATGTTAGCAAATTTCAAACCTACCTAGAGAAAAGTCACAAGAACAGCCCAATGAACACCCATATAAACTTCACCTAGATATACAATTATAAACATTCTGCATATTTGCCTTATCTATTCATATCTGTGTCTTAACATTAGATTGCCAGCTCCCTTAAAATAATGTCTGAGTATTTGTTCAATGATTTCTTATGGTTAATTTTATGTTACAACTTGGCTAGGCTATGGTGCCCAGTTGTTTGGTCAAAGACCAGTCTAGATGTTGCCGTGAATGTATATTTTTAGCTGATTAACATTTCAATCAATAGTTATTGATTCACTACCTTGGATAAAGCAGATTAACCTCCATAATGTGGGTGGGCCACATCCAATCAATTGAAGACCTTAAGAGCAAAAACTAAGGGTAACTGAGGAAGAAGGAATTCTCATGCAACGTAGAAATGCTGCCCAATTTTCCAGCTTGCCAGACTTCAGAATTAATACTAAAAATTGTAACATCAATTTTTAAATTCATCTTCAGCTTGCCCTGCTGATCTTGAACCTGCTAGCTTCAGCCCCACAATCATGTTAGAAAATTTCTTAAACTCTTCTTAAAAAAACATACACACACATATATATATACACACACATATATATGCACACATATGAGAGCGAGAGAAGCTCTATATGTATCCTTCATATAACTATATATGTCCTGTAGTTTCTTACTAATATAATCTATACATCATTAATATATTCTCAACAGGTAGCAGAGATCTGTGTACATATTAGAAATATGCTAGAGATGGTAATGGGTATTAAAGGAATGTGTTTTTGAAGAAACTAGACTTAATTTCCTCAAGGTCCTTCACTATTTGTCTCAATTATTTGCTAACTTTTTCATGGTCATTTTGCTCCTACATTTTGCTTCCCCCATCTTTCATAAATGTTTGCTTCAGAACTAGATTTGAGGAATAACTATTTAAGGTTTCTTTTATTTTGTATGCTGGATAAAAGACATACCAGAAATCTGTACACACAGAAACAAAAGTAATAGAACAGTAATAAGGTACTGGGAAATCTAATCCATCTTCATCAGCAGTATGACAGAAAGTATTTATTCGGTTTCATTGATTCACTATGGTGACATAGTCTGAATCAGCACCCAGGCCCAAACATGGGCACCAAGTAATCAAAGCATGCAATGAGGATATGGGCACCAGATGGAAATTGAAAACAAAAGGTAAAAATGCCCCAAAAAGAAAGGAAATGTAGAAGGATTCTGGGATGATGGCAAAGTAGGAAAGACCAAATATCCACCTTCCTGCTTAGACAACAATTGTACTTTCAAAATGTGTTAGAGTAAGTATTTTGGAAATCTGAAGTCTATCCCATGTCTTTCAACTTCCAGAGGAAGGCTTAGATAGTAAATTGTGTTTAATTTTGGTCTATTCCAGCTCTGAGCACAGTAACAAGTACCTAGTCCTGACACAAGCCCCACAGCACGAAGCCATGAACATGTTCCTGGAGCAGCTTGTATACAGCTAGCAGGAGCCAGGGTGGGCAATAAGGACCCTTTTCTCCAAATATCAGGGATCTGTCTTCTGATTTCTCATTGCTGCTTCTGATCACAGAGGAACAGATGAAGAGGTGGGCAGGCATCCTTGCATCTCCCTCCCTACTCTTACAAGCCTCTTCCCATAGGGCTGAAGCGACTTCCAGAGGATTTAAAGGCCAGCATATTTTTTTAAAATTTCATCATTTCTTTTCTTTTCTTATTGCATTTCCCCCTGTTTTTTTCCCATTTTAGGAGACACATATCAATACCTAGGGTGTTAAAAAGCAACAGAAGAAATTAAGAAGTCACTGTGCATGCCGAGGGAAAGGCATAGGCTCAGAAAGACCAAAGAAGAAATTAAGTTTATATGTCAGGCTGATCACTGACACAGAAATAGCTGTCAATAGTCAAAAAACAAAAAACAAAAATAAACAAACCTTGAGGAAAGGGTAGTCCTATTTCTAGAGAGTTATCACGTTATTTGATTCAAATGTCTAGTTTTTAACCAAAAGAATCACTAGGCATATGTCTTAATCTGCTAAGGCTGCCATAACAAAATGCCATATACTCGGTGATTTAAGCAACAAACAATTGTTTCTCACAGTTCTGGAGGCTAGAAGTCTGAGATCAGAGTGCCAGCATAGTTGAGTTCTTGGTGAGGGCTCTTTTCATGGTTTGCAGTGGAATGCCTGCTTGCTGTATCATCACATGGTAGAGAGAGAGATCGCTCATGCCTCTTTCTCTTTATATAAGGATATTAATCTCACCATTAAGGGCCCAAGTTTCATGCTCTAATCTAACCCTAATCACCTCCTAAAGACCTCACCTCCAAATAATATCCCATTGAAGAGTAGAGTTTCAACATACAAATTATGGGGGGACACAAATATTCAGTCTATAGCAGTATACAAAGAAACAGAAAATAAGGCCCATTCCAAGGAAAATCAAGCAATCAATCAACAAAAACTATCTTTGAGAATGACCAGATGTAGGAATGTGGGATTAATAAATACAGACTTTAAAACAACTATCTTGAAGAACTGAAGGAAGATGTGGAGAAAGTCAAGAAAATAATTTATCAACAAAATGGAAACATCAATTTTTTAAAAAATAGATAGCCTAAAAAGACACCAATAAGAAATTTTGGAGCTGAAAATACAAGAAATTTAAAAAAAACAAAAGTCACTCACTGGAGAGATTCAAATGCAGATTTGAGCAAGCAGAAGAAAGAAATAAAAAAACTCAAGACAAAATAATAAAAATTGACTTTGATGAAGAGAAAGAAAAAAGACTAAAGAACTGTGAAAAGAGCCTAAGGGACATGTGATACCCTACAGTGGACCAACATATGCACTGTGGGAGTTTCAAAAGGAGAAAAGAGAGACAAAGGGGCAGAGAGAATATTTAAAGAAGTAATAGCCCAAAACTTCCCAAATTAGATGAAAGATATGAACATAAATATGCAGGAAGCTTAGTGAACTCCAAGTAAGATGAACTAAAAGAGACCCACACCATGACACATTATAATCGAATTGTTGAAAGACAAAGAGAGAAAGTTTTGAGAAAGTTTGAAAAAAATAAGAGAGAAGCAATTTATTATATACAAAGTATCCTCAATCAGATTATGAGCAGATTTTTCATTAGAAACTTTGGAAGCCGGAAATATTGAGGCCAATGTATTCAAAGTACTAAAGAGAAAAAAAAGGCAAAACCAAACCTGTCAGCCAAAAATCCTATATCTGACAAAACTGTCCTTCAAGTGAGGAAAATATTAAGACATTCCCAGATAAATAAAAGTGAAGGAATTCATCACTACTAGACCTGCCCCACAAGAAATACTAAAAGAAATCCTGAAGGTTGAAATAAAAATATAGTGGAAATTAATTAAAACTTTATAAAAAAATAAAAATCTCAGTGAAGGTAAAGGCATGAGCATTTTATTAAAGCTATTGTTAATTGACTTTGGTTTGTTACTCCACTTTTTTTCCTACATAATTTAAGAAAAATTTTTAAATTATTAGTGTAAAAACTAGTGTTATTGTAACTTTATTACTCCACACTTTTTCTATATAACTTTAGATACTAATACATTAAAAATGTTTTTAGACTCATCCTGCATAAAGATGTAATTTTGTGACATCAATAACTGAAAGGGGGTGGGAATAACTATAAAGGAGTTTATATTGTGTATGTTATTGATGTTAAGCTGGTGAAAATTCAAATTAGACTGTTATAATTTTAGTATGTTAAATGTAATCCCATAGAAACTACAAAGAAAATAACTATAGAATTTGCACATAAAAAATGAGGAGAGAATTAAAACATTTCACTGCAAAAAAATCAACTTAAGATATTTCATATAAATAGCAACCAAAGAGAGTAGGGTTGACTATAGTAATATCAGACAAAATCAACTTTAAATCAAAGACAATTACAAGAGAGAAATAAAAACACTATATATTAATAAAAGTTTCAGTACAACAAGAATATATAACAGTTATAAGTATATACATCCTTATTAACAGGCCATCAAAATATATGAAGCAAAAATTTACAGATTGAGGGAGAAATAGATCTGGAGTAATAGAGACTTTTATACCCCACTCTCAGTAGTGGATAGAACAAACAGACGGAACATAAGTAAGGAAGTAGAGGACCTAGAACAATAAACTAATTAGACTTAACGGATGTATACAGGACACTCTAACAGACATTCTTCTCAAGTGAACATGGGACATTTTACACGATAGACCATATCTATCTATCTAGGCCACAAATGAAGTCTCAATGGACTTTAAAAAGATAGCTATCATACAAAATATCTTCTATGGCCACAACAGGATAAAGTTAAAAATAAATAGCAGAAGAATAATTGAAAAATTCACAAATTCTTAGAAAATAAGCAACACACTCTTAAACAATCAATGAATCAAAGAAGAAATAACAGGGAAAGTTAGAAAATACTTACAAATGAATGAAAATGAAAACACAACGTAGAAAAACTTATAGGACACAGCAGGAGTGGTTGCTATGGAAGAAATTTACAGCTGTAAACACTTAAGCATTTTTCACAATAGTAAAAACATGGAAGCATTAAACAGATGAACGGAAAAGAAAATGTGGTATATCCATATAATGGAATATTATTCAACCTTTAAAAGGCAGAAAATTTGGAAGCATGCCACAACATAGGTGAATCTTGAGGACAGGATGCTATATGAAATGAGTCACAAAAAGACATATACTGTACAATTCCACTTATATAAGGTACCTAAAAAAGTGTAATTTATAGAGACAGAGAGTGGAATTGTACTTATTAGGGGTTGAAGGAAGGGTGAAATTGGGTATTTTTTGTTTAATGGGCAAAGAGTTTCAGTTTTGCAAGGTGAAAGAGCCCTGGAGATGGACAGTGGGGATGGATGCAAAACCATTTTAAAGTATATAATTCAGTGGCATTAAGTACATTCATACTTAATGTATACATGTACCTAATACCACTGAATTGTATATATGTACTTAATACCACTGAATTGTATACGTTAAAATGTTTGAAATTGTATACTTTATGTTATGTGTATTTTACAGGAATCAAAAACATTTTATTAAAGTCATAAAGAAAAAAGGAAGAAAAGGAGGAAGGAAGAAAGAAAGGAAAGGAGGGGGGAGGAAGGAATAAAAGGAGCAAAGAAGTGAGGGAGGGAGGGAGGAAGGAAGGAAGGAAAAATGGAAGTGAGGAAGGAAGGGAGAGAGGAAGGAAGGAAAGAAGGAAGGAGAAAACAAAGGGAGGGAGGGAGGAAGGAAAAAAGGAAGGAAGGGAGGGAGGAGGGAAAAAAGGAAGGGAAGAAGGAAGGAAGGAAAAAGGGAAGGAAGGAAGGGAGGGAGGGAGGGAGGGATGAAGGAAGGAAGCAAGGAAGAAAGGAAGGAAGGAAGGAAACAAAAGAAAGAGCAAGCAGAATGGACCGATTAAATTAAGGTTCTCAAGCAAGCAATGCCTGAGATCAGTTAGAAAGACCGGGGAATCATCCACCTGAGAACTTCAGGCAGATCAGATGAGCGTGCCTCAAAATGTCTTTTTATTCTTGATGTCCTTTCTTAGATTCTGTTCCTCTATTAGGTTTTGCTAACACCCTGTCTAGGATAAATACTTTTTTAAGGGCCTGGGAGGGAGGCAGGGAAACAGATTCCAAAATACAGGTACAAAACTCCAACACAACAACAAAAAAAGTTAATACATATTTAATTAAATATCTACACACTATTTTGTGATGTCAACTATTTAACTGCAATTCAATTGAACTCTTAAACAGTAGCATATAAATTACACTTGAATATGGAATGGCCCAACTTTAAATAATTTGGTAACATGGGGATGAGCCTTTTAAGAGAAAGAGAATCAAAGGCCTACAAAAATATTTTGGTTTTACTCCAACTCAGAGACTAACATTCCTGGGCTTGATCCTGCTGTTTTCTGTAGGTTTTTACAAATCTAGCACCTTTTAAATAGAAATAAAATAAAAATAAAAAAGAAGGGAAAATAATACTTTATTTTAAGCTATATAAATCAGGGCAGGGAAATTTCTAGATCCATTTGTGTTCCTTCGAACTGTGTAAAATATCTTAAAGTTTAAATTCCACATTTTTCACATTAACTTTAAACCTTTAAAAATGTCCTTTGTGTAGAAAATCCATGGGTAAATTGGAGAGAGAAATCAGTTTGTCTTGTTTCCTGAGTTCCCAGATGGAAGCAAACGAAAGGGAGCACAGGATGAAGAAGTGGCCACCATTGTACATGCACAGGTAAAAACGAATCCAGGAAGGTAGTGGATGAATGTGGTGCTGATTGCCCAGCAGGACAAACAATTTTGTTTTATTTGATAGTGTGTACAGAATATACTTGTCTTTGAAATGTTTTTAAACTTTTGGCAGCTGAGGCTTCTGTTTCGTGCTTCTAATCCCAAGCATTTGAATATGACGTTATTTAAACATGGGATCCAAGATAAAATAGGCATCTTTGGGATGAAAATTAGCCAGCTGCCAGGAAGTAAGGGTTTTGCAATAAACAACTGAGATTGCTGTCCCTTGCCCAGCCTGGAGACTTCTCAGCAAGCCCAGGAAGCATCTGTTCTGCATCTCCTGAGAATGTTCCTTCCATGCAGAGCGACCATCACTGACCTCTTTGTGGAAAGGCGATAAAGCCAACTTACAAGCCTAACATTGTTCACGTCCTTTGTGGTAAAAATGTTAAGATTTCAGTCACACTTATATTAATGAAAAGCATAGCATTTAACATCACTATTGTAACTTCATCATTAAATAAACCAATTGTATTAAAGTGGAAATAATAAAATGAATAAAGTAACACGAAGTGTCAGTGAGATTATGTGATATCTGTCAAGGTAGTTTAGAAACTATAAATCATTAAAATATTTCCTCGATACCTATCCTACCATTAAAAGTGATTTTTCTATTTTGATAGAATCAAAAGCATAAATGGCATAAGCCTTGGATTTTGGTTTCAATACTATTGTTTTGTCTGGCATCCATAAGCATCATAGATTGACAGTCACAGGTAGAATAAGCCATCACCTTTGAGGACCATCACAATAGAGTATAAAAAATAGCTCAATGAGAAGGATAAAGAAATATTACTAAAATAGCAGCATTAAGGACTTTTACATGTAATATTAAATAACCTTTAAAATAAACAGAAAATTTTCTAATTTATTGACACAATTTCATAGAAGCGTTACACATGATAACCTAGAACTGGAAAAAGCACAAATGTTCATCAATAGATGAACAGACAAACAATCTGTGCTATAAATATAAAATAGAATAATACTCTTCAGCACCAAATGGGAATGAACTAGTGATTCACATGTGCATGGACAGAACCCAAAACATAATGCTTAGTGAAATAAACCAGACCCAAATACTACAAACTATGATTTCATTTACAAATGATGATTTCATTTATGTGAAGTTCTAGAATAGATCAAAGTAATCAATAGTGACAGAATGCAGATTAGTGTTTGCTTGGGGTGAAGAGTGAGGGTTGATTTCAGAGAGGCCCAGGGGACATTTGTGGTGATGCAAATGTTTCATATCTTGATGGTGGTGCTAGTTTTGTGAGTGTATATATTTATATTGCTATAGGTAATTGCATGTTTAAGTAGTTAGATAAACAGTTGGCTTTGTACTGTTCAATGAATTTTAAAGCCCATTTCTTTCCAGAGCTACACGGTTCAGTACAGTAGACACAGCCACATGGGGCTACTTAATTTAAATAAAAGTAGCTAAAATTAAATAATAGTTCAAATTTAGTTTCTGAGTTGTCCTTGCTGCATTTCATATATTCAATAGCCCTATGTGGCTAGGAGTTATCATATAAGATAGTGCA
Organism: Homo sapiens; assembly: GCF_000001405.40. Taxonomy (NCBI): domain Eukaryota; kingdom Metazoa; phylum Chordata; class Mammalia; order Primates; family Hominidae; genus Homo; species Homo sapiens. The sequence continues at coordinate 49,752,311 of NC_000008.11, forward strand.
ATATAGAATAGTTTCAACATTGCAGAAATTTCCACTGGACAGTGCCAGTTTAGAACATACATGAAGACTTTTCAAAATGTATTTCACTGTAAAATTATCATCACTGAATTGTGTATCCAAGCTCAGAATTTGGGTAATGATGTTCTAGATTGCTGATTCCAACCTTTTTACACATCTGAGAATTGATTCTAGGTATAATGTCATATAAAGTGAACTTCTTATTTCAAATATTTTGTCTTAAATCTTGTATTACCCAATTCAGTGTATAAATTATTTCTGTATAATGATACATTTACAAATGCTCAGTCTGACTGCTTCCCTCTCATTTGTGACACAATAAGACTCTTAAGGCAAGACAGTTCCCTGGATGTTCAAGACCAGCTGACAGAGTCAAGAGCTGGTGTACAGAACCAAGTCCAGCCTAGTTTCCCTTCCAGTTTATTACAATTCCAAAGAGCCTCTGCGAGTTTAGGAGCATAGGTAGAAGACGCCAATTACACCAACCACAGTGGGTGAAAAAGAACAGAAAATAAGTTATTTATTGAGAAAAAGAATGAATGAATAAATGATGAATTCCTATAGTGTGTTGATTAAAGTTATCTGAGATATGTGATAAGTTCCAAACATGATCTTGAGAAAATCTTTGTTAAAATCCTGTAATAAAAAGGTGGAAACTTTTCCAATTTTACAAACACAAAGATATATGGAACCTATAAACGCTTTTATTTATGGAAAACATGAAACTAAGAAAACTTCCACAAGTTAGAGGAAACAATACTAGATTTTCCCAGGAAAACTCTTATCCTTGAATTTAAGCTGAGCTACTCATCAATATTTAAGCATGCATAGCATTTCAAGTTCAAAGTAATATGACTTCTGGCTTTTATGAATGTATAACTATAATTAATACAATCCAATATTTAAAAATGTGTTCAGGTTTAAAAAGAATATTTCATTTTAAACCATATGTTCACAACTTGGTCATTCATCATATGGTATGCAATGCCTGTTGCTTACAGGTAGGTTTGACAGTCTATCAGATAATAACACACGTATCTTTTGTATGTTTTATTAATGCTTAAGTTAATCCTGATGTGGTCCAAATTAGAAATCTCGAAAACATAAAACTTCAGAAGAAAACATGACATTTTCAGGTTAGACTCATACTATTTGAAAAATGTTAGCAAAAACTCAATTATGCAGATCAAAGCAAAGACAGCTCAAATGGGGGTGGTGGCTCATGCCTGTAATCCCAGCACTTTGGGAGGCTGAGGCAGGTGGATCACGAGGTCAAGAGATTAAAACCATCATGGCCAACATGGTGAAAACCCATCTCTACTAAAAATACAAAAATTAGCTGGGCATGGTGGTGCATGCCTGTAGTCCTAGCTACTCAGGAGGCTGAGGCAGGAGAATCACTTGAACCCAGGAGGCAGAGGTTGCAGTGAGCCAAGATGGCGCCACTGTACTCCAGCCTGGTGACAGAGTGAGACACCTCAAAAAAAAAATAAAAAGCAAAGACAGCTCTACATACACTTGAAATAGAAAGTTGTCACAGCAAAAACTTCATGGTTCATAAATATACTTTTAAAAATATTATAATATATAGATATATAAACTTTTAATGTGCCCATACTTTTCATTATTAAGAATTTGCAAATTATAATATGTTTAGTTAACACATTTTTGGGAAGCAATTATTTATTGCATTGTATTGTCCTAGATCTTGAGGAAGAGACCCAGTAAATAATAGAAATCTTTTTTTAGAGGCACCTGAACTTCAGTTGGCAATGATTTAGAGGTAGTTCGCACCCAGATGGTTAAGGATTGCTTATGATGTATTTTCATCAATATGTCATATCTTTCATAAATATTATTTTAATATTTTCTACTTAATAATTAGAAAATAAAAAGCTTGTTACTTCTTGTTTAAAAAGCAAATCTCTAATCCTCTATGGAATTCATATCTTCTTATTATTAAAATTATATTTGCTAAAGTTAACTGACTTCTGCGTGACCCCAGCCCTGTACTGATCAGAGCAGGGAGGAGAAGAGCTTATCCCTGTGTCACCTCCATCTCTGCACAATGTCCGACATCCTAAGATTTTATAACTTCATTTCTTTCCAGCAGCCTGGGCTTGCTGTGCTTCCACAATGTGGAGAGCTGGATAAAGTAAAATGCCATTCAATAAGTATCATGCCTCTGAGTATTGTAAGGGTTAATTCAATTGTGACATGATAAGAACAAAATAACCAGAGATTAGAGAATTTTAGAACTTTGTTTTCAACACAGTGCAAACTTAATATTTAATCTACAATCAATATTATTTCAAAAACCACAGAGGCTTATCCCCCCAGGGCGTGAAGTCCTTTCACATCGAGACTGTGTTCTTCTTCTAATGGCTGTCACGGATGAACTCCGACCGTAACACACCATTTAATAGCATCTGAAAAGGGATTTCAAGAGACAGTTCGGCCATTGGAAATATCACTGGCTTAGTAACTTTTATGGTGATTTAATCATATAGGCTTGTTGACAATGTTTACGTACCAAAGTATTGAAGACTGACATCAGGCTGCTCTGTCATAAGTCAGCCTAAAGTTGAGACACGTATGCTGATGACAAAGACACTGCCTGTCTAAATAACGAGATTTCCAAACCTATGACTGAGAGTTAGGCTTGATAATTAAAAGTTGTTTACAAAGATTCCTCTTGTCAGATACATTCATTATCTTTTCACTGAATTCAGTATTACATGAAAGCGTTTTGGAATATCCTGCCAGTAACTCTGCAAAAATTCCAAATTCTTGTTTAGACACCATCTGTGCAGTAAAAGTTAGACAGTACACATTACAGGAAAGTTTTATGGAAGTTTTTTCCCTGCTGCCATTGTTACTTCATTCAATAACTTAGATTTTTAAGTTTGTGAAGAGGAGTTCCATGTTTCAAAGTGTCAACCTTGCCTAACACAGTGTTCCATGATACAATAAGTCTCTTCACAGCCTGGTCCATTGTCTAGGAGCATCAGCCTCACCTGGGTCTTCAGAAAGTCAAATTCTCAGGTCCCGACATAGATAAACTGAATTAGAAAATGTTTGAGCATAACAATATGTGTTTTTGCAAGCCCTGCAGGTAGGATGACTCACTATGATTGTGATGCCCACTTACCTGTGAGAACCTCTGGACTATAAGAGCCTCAGGGTACTGTGATCTACCTAAAGCTGGAGTCTCTCTGTGACAAGGAACCCTATGCACCATTGCTGAACATCTCCAGAAACATGGAACTCAGCACCCCAAAAGTAACTCATTGAGTCTTCAGAGTTCTTAGAAATGTTAAAAAGCATCTTCTGATTAGAAGCCAAAAATCTTTAAAACCCAAGTGATGGCAGTTTCCACACTTAGGTGCTTAATTCTAAACAATATGTTCTGAATTTTAGTTTAAAATAATGAGCAAACACGTCATTTTATGCAAATTATCTTTCTCGTATCTGAAATAATTTCTCCAGTCAGTCAAAATTCCCTTTTAAAATGTGTTAGAAATTCACTCTATTAAATTGCAAGTGAATTCTGGTCCTCACACTTGACATATATGAGGCCTTAGAAAATAGTACTGGTGCTTCCACAGGAAGTGTGGAAGGCAGTGCCACTTTGTAAGTCATCTTTGAAAACCAGTCTTGACTCACTGACATTGGTCATTGGCTTGAAGCATTTCAAGCAGCATTCCTCCTCCCTGCTGTTGTTACTGACAAAGGGTGTTTTTTGTTTGTTTGCTTGTTTGTTTTTGTTTGTTTTTGAGATGGAGTCTCGCTCTGTTGCCCAGGCTGGTGTGCAGTGGCACGATCTCGGCTCATTTCAACCTCCACCTCCTGGGTTCAAGTGATTCTCCTGCCTCTGCCTCCCAAGTAGCTGGTATTAAGAGGCCCATGCCACCATGTCTGGCTAATTTTTGCACTTTTAGTAGAAATGGGGTTTCACCATGTTGGCCAGGACAGTCTCAAACTCTTGATCTCAAGTGATCTGCCCATCTCGGCCTCTCAAATTGCTGGGATTACAGGCATGAGCCACCATGCCCGGCCTAACAAAGAGTTTTAAAAATTGAAATAATAATGTTTTAAATAATTTACTGACATCAAAAGCTTTAGAATAAATAATGCTTTTACTGGTTCACAGGCAAGTATACCTTGATGCACAGGAAAAATTAGTTGGAAATCCAAAAACGTAAAAATAAAAATGATGATTAAACTTAGGTGCCTTTTTAAACCCAAGAGTGAGTGGGACCCCGAGTGAGCAGGGGCTGGCAGCCTGGCAAGTCCACCAAGAAGCCCCTTGGTGAGTTACCGTCACTGCTTCTGCATGAAATTCTTTTCTTCACCAGGATTTTATTGTCCAGTCTATGAATATGAATTTTACATACAACAATAAAAGGAACCATAAATAGAAAAATATTTCTATAAGCAAAATACATGGAAGTAATTTAAATATATGCCTACTTGATAGAATATTTTGCTGTCCTTAAAAGGAACATGGGGAAGTGACAGACACTCCCTTTTGACCACACTTGAGTCAAGGTCTTCTGACTCCTTTCTCACTAGGCCTGACCTTGGGCTTACTTCACTGTCCTTGTAGAATCCAGTCTGAGCAAGAATCCTGCTAACATCCCTCACCCTTAGTATGTAACCTCCTTCCATATCCTATCACCTTGGTCTGGCTGCAGCAAGCAGTCTGTCGAGTGGGGCTGACAAGAATCCCCCTTGAGTGATGATCCTCTTAGTAATTTTCCACCCACTGACCCTACCCTGCTCCTTGGCTGTAAATCCCCACTTGTCCTTGTCTTCAGAGTTCAGCTCACTTTCTCTCCTCCACTGCAGGACCCCATTACAGTTTCCCTGCCTATTGTGATGCTGCCCCTTGAATAAAGTCCACCTGACCACATTTAACAATGCCATAAATATGTCTCCAACAGTCATAGGGCTGTGGCTCAGCTAGGATTGGATTCATCACAGGCCCACCTCTGGCCCTGGGCCTCTCACCCAGGACCCGAGTGTTCACCTTTGAAGTCTTGGTCTTCACACCTGACTGATTGATCCATTGATGAATCTAACTCCTGAGCGAGTCCTCTGGGTGATGGCCCCTGAACGGATGCAGTGAGAACAGATTTGATTCTCAACTCTGTGTGCTCTGGAGCAGTATCCGAGTCCAGCCCCAGGCTTTTGGAAAGGCACCTGCTGGGCTGGAGGTCTTTCCTCTGGGCTCTTTGCTCAGAGTGGTGTTATATGCATTCCCCAACTCCTAGACCTGGTCCTGGTCAGGAAAATTCTTCCTGGGTAACTTTTCTCTCAAGAAGAAATTACTCCCAGAGTCCCTCTCCCTGGGCTGGAAGATTGTCCTGTTTTTTGTGTGTGTCTTGAGTGGGGATCCACTGTCCAATGCCTAGGCTGACTTTATTTTTCCCGGCTTCTCTAGAACCTCTGCCGGCTATATGCTCCTCCATTTCTATCCTCTTCATTTCTTGCTGGGATAATATTGCTGAGCAACTTCAATGGGCTTTTTGGGAAACTTAAGGTCTCCCCAGACTGGCTCCCCTGGGACCTCTCCTTCCTATGTTTCCTCTCCTCCTTTCTCCTCTCATCACCTTTAATCATCCTTTCCATTCCCTTGAATCCTTCCAGGTGACCTCAAAACCCCTGCCTACTCCATTTCTCCATCCACTCCTGCCAGACCTTTCCCTACCTCCTATAGCTCCTCAATTCCCTCCCCACACTGGGGACTCTCGAGGGACTCAGGGACCCCCAAAGGCAACTACCTGAAACGCAAAAGAAAAACAAAAGAGTAATTGAAAATACACTGAATATTTTGTCTAGTCACCATGACCGGCCTTTAACAAAAATACTCTTGAGTTGGTCTAGCAAGAATCTCCCCTTTGGCTGTGATGTTTCTGCTTAGTAAGTTTCAATCTACTGACTCCCACAGGCTCCTTTGTTATGAATGGCCACTTGTCTTTGTATTTGGAGTGAAGCCCAATCTCCGCTCCTCTGCTGGACCCCACCGCAGAAGTCCCAACGCCTGTTGTGACCATTTCCTCTTGAATGAAGTCTGTCTTATCACCTTTCACAAGTGTCATTGAATAATTTTTTTCTTTAACAGATGGCATTGCTTAATTTATGTATTTATATCACATTTATGTAGTTATTTATCAGAAAAGTAAAGCAAAACACTATGTAAATTAGTTTTGATTACATCACTATAAAATGGAATTCTTGTATAGAAAAGGATTGAAAAAAATCAAGGATTTTTTTTAAGTATTTATTAGAACAGTGAAACGGGGATTGAACTGGTGTTTCTAAAAATAAAAATGCACAATCCCTTAGCACTATTTTTTTTTTTTTAGAACTATAGATAGATAAACAGTCCATCTTCCAGGCCTTCATGTGTTAATTCTTGTGTCAGGCTTCCAGTGACTATTAGAGTCCACGTGTTCAGTGTTTTTACAGCACCTCCACAGTGAGACATTTCCTGATGGAGACCAAGATCCCAGCTCAGAGTAGAATGCAAAAGACATGCAGAGGAGAGGAGAACCAAGTGCATAAAGTCTACCCTTGCCATGTGGCAGCATGAGATGGTGCACCAAGACTGCAGAAGCCACAGAGAAGGCTGCCTACTGTGGAAATGAGGTCCACCTTGCAATCTCATTTTATGATTCTAATTCACACAACAGCCTTTATGAATTACACAACAGCCTTGTGTTACCACACTTAGCACATTTTTTCCACATCTCATTAAATGTTGTTAAATGTCCTCTTTGGGTAGCAATTTACATGAAGTTTAATTTGTGTGAGTGCAATATTGTATAACCTTGGAAGTATATCTATTTATTATCTAGATCTGTTCTTCATGTGTTGATCTTGAATGTCTAAAATGTTAGCAAGCAAATCTTGTGTAAAATCTATATTCCCTATACCAATGTTCTGTTTCCAGTTCTGTGACTTTTGTCCCTATTTTGGGTGACACTCACCTGCATTGTTAAACCTGCTTGATATTCTCACTGGAGGCTTCAAAGTAGTTTGCTCAAACTGTTGTCATCTCTTCTACTCTGAACTCTCCCCTGGCCACCTTTCCCTACAGCATTTTCCATCTTTCTAGTTGACACAACATCTACACAGCTGCCCAAGGCAAACCCTGAGTCATCTTCAATTCCTTTTTCTCAAAACTGACACTGAATCACTAATAAAGTGCAGTAAATTGTATCTCCTTAACTGATTAAATGTGTTTCATTCTTGCTATTCTTAAGAACAGCTCCTTAGCTCAGAATCTAATTATCTCTTTCCTAGATTGTCAATACCCACAAAAGGAAACGTGATGGTCATTTTCATGAATGGCACTGGAGAAGTTGATTTTTCTCTATGAGCGAACAAGAAACTAACCCCTAATTCACACCATGCTCAATTTAATAATCAATTAATTAGTAATTAATTCAAGATAAATTATAGACTTCAATGTGAGGATAAAATAATAATGCTTCTAGAAGAATGCATACAAGGATATTTCCATAACTTGGCTGGATTAAAATAAGACTAAAAATGACTCATTATAATGGATTTGTGTTCCTAAAAAAAAAAAAATAAGAAAGAATAAAAAGGTAAGCCATAGCCTGAGAGAACAGATTTGCAATATTTGTCCAAGCAATAGTGCCCAGACTGTATATCTCAAGGTCAAAGAAGACAAGCAAACCATATTTCAAAAAAAAAAAAAAAAAGAGGAAAGATTTGAATAGGCATTGTACAAAAAGAGATCTCTAAATGGTAAATAAGCATACGCAAAGTGTATTTGGTATAATAATTCACCAGGGAAATGCAGAGGATATTCCCTGATATAAGAAGATATGTCACTACACACAGATCACAATCCTTAAAGTTTCCAAGGGTCAATACAAATATTGAGAAGATGCAGAATTTTCATACATGTGATGGTGTGTAAATTGATTAAGCTATTTTAGAAAACTAAAATATCTGGTCCTATTTTCTAAAGCGAAACAGTTACTGACTCTATAACCCAGCAATTTTATCCCTAGGTTTACATCCAAGAAAAATAAAAGTATATGTCTATCAAAAGATACGTACTAAAGTTTTGTTGCAGCTGTATTGATAATAGCCAAAAGCTGAAAATAATAAAAAAATCCATCAATAGAAAAATGAATTTAAAAGTGGTGGAATATAATTAAATTCCATATAGCAGTAAAAGAGAACTACTGCTACATGCAAGAGCATAGATGAATTTCACGGACATAATACAGAGCGAAAGAGGCCAGACATCAAATGATACATTCTGGATTTATATGACTTTCAGGATCAGGTATTAAAAATAGAAAATAAAGCCAGAAAAGTACTCATCTCTTTTCTCTGCAAGGGCACTGACTGAAAGATGTACACTGCACAATTCTAAATGCTACAGTTGTTCTGTACCTCAATCTGGTTGGTGGATATACTAGGGTATGCACATGTAAAAAGTCAAAACATTTTACATTAAGATGTGTGTGCTGAATTGTATGTATCTTCATAAAAAGTTATAGTTGTCTAAATACATAACAATTTTAAGGACCTTCCTACTTAACTGCCCATTCCTCATTCTCTCACCAAGGAAATCTTTCTGAAATGCACATCTCATCTCGCTGGCCCTAAAAGTGTCTTCCTTTGCTTGTTCTTCTTTGCTGCTTTCGGATAATGATTTTAATGAATTGGCCTCTGTCTACATCTCCATACTGCCCTCTGCCACACCCACTTTTGAGACCTACTGTGAGGTCTCTCAATGTAATTGCAGGTCCTCTCCTTTCTCCTGAGTCTGTCTGTGTCTTTCCAAAGCTGTTTCTACCTAAAACATCCTTAAACCCTTTTTCGAGCCAGAGAAGGTCTATTTATCCTCAAATTCAGCTCATGTGTTGCCTTTTCTAGATGGACTACTGGTAATCCTCCCTGACCATGGTTTAAGTACACAGGTTGATGCACATCTTACTTCTCCTATGACCTTCTGTGTTTTTACATCCATCATCTAAAAACACGGACGATAAGAAAAATTTCATTGCTTATAATGAAATTAGAAAGTACTTTGATAAATGCCATGGATTACGGTACTCTGACTATTCAAAGCTCCAGGTTCTCATACAATATCTTTTATCTGTATCCACAAACCTTCTCCCTTGCCTTTGTAGATAGTAGGCATGTAATAAATATTAACTTACATAATGAGAAATGAAATAAATTGACAGTTGAAAAATAATTGATTTAGTAACTTTCTAACCTATCTCCCCATCTAAAATTTCTCTCTTCTCCAATTAATGTCTTTTACTTTTTCTTTTCTTTTCTTTTTTTTTTTTTTTTTCTGAGTAGGCGTCTCACTTTACTGCCTAGGCTGGAGTGCAGCGGCACAATCTCAGCTCACTGCAGCCTCTGCCTCCTGGGTTCAAGGTTTCAAGTGATTCTTGTGCCTCAGCCTCCCAAGTAGCTGGGGTCACACCAGGCATGCACCACCATGCCTGGCTAATTTTTGTATTTTAAGTAGGACAAAGTTTCACCCTGTTGGTCAGGCTGATATCGAATTCCTGACCTCAAATGATCCACCTGCCTCAGCCTCCCAAAGTGCAGGGATTACAGGCGTGAGCCACTGTACCAGGCCCAGATAATTTCATATAGCTGTTTTAATTGTTTCTAAAATCTCTTATTCATCATAACTGTATTGGTCATTCTGATGCTAAGAAATACTGCCACATTTAGTTCTTTTACATAGCCCAAGGCCCTTCTGTCTTTCTTTCCACTAAACTCCAGCAAAGTGAGTTATAGTCATTATTTCTCATATTCAGGCTGGGACTGTCCGAGCACTGGTGAAACCTCTGCTTCAGTGCCTTTTCCTTCTCCTCTCATTTCCCAACCACATAATGTATCCAAATCCTTCCCACTTTATGTGCAAGACAGTCTCTGGTCGTGGTTAAACTTTTCTTGCTTCCCAGTAGCTGAATAGGTTATGTCTATGTGGTTAATAATGCGATGGTAGCATTATAAGTAGTTAAATGCCTGATCTTTCATACTAGCTTGTAAGCTGCTTAAAGGCAGGGTCTCCATAGTTTACCTTGTATCGCTTCGCGATGTCTACTGAGTCCTGCATCTACAGCGCATGAACTTCAGCACATGCGGTGCAGAGAGCTGAGCACAAAGTGCAGCACTTCTCGGGACCGTCATGTATATTTTTCAAGTAATACATCAGTGGAGGCAGAGTGGTTACTTTTCAGAAAAACTAAAGGCTGAGTGTTGAATCTCCATGGGTAAGCATTGATTTAAAGAAGTGATCTATAGATGCCTATGGCTACTAGATAATAGCACATATATCCAAAAAATAAATTAACTGCCTTGGGGCAAGTTAATGATGTGTATTGCACTTCATGCACTTTGAAATCTTCAGTGCGTCTAGCAAACACGAATTAATTTCCCAGCACCCCAGCCAGGTAGGTGTCAGCATTGTGCGTCACTTCATGCAGTGAATATGATGGGTTCATAATTAACCTAAGTTTGCATAGGAAACATGTTAGAAGATTGCAGCAGGTGTAGGTCACTGATGATGGTGGTAGCACACGGAGAAACAGATAATTGTTTCTTATTTTTTATTTTTATTTTTTTTTTAGAGATGAAGTTTCATTCTGTCACCCAGGCTGGAGTGCAGTGGCACAATCACAGTTCATTGTAGCCTCAAACTCAGGGCTCAAGTGATCTTCTTGCCTCAGACTCCTGAGTAGCTAGGACTGCAGGCATGTACCAGCATACCCAGTCTGTTTTTAAAAATATAGTTTTAACTAGTGGTCCTACATTTCTTATAATGAAATTAGAAAGTACTTTGAAAAATGCCAGTGAAGGCAGTTATAGTAAGAAAGGGAAGCTTGCTCTTTAACTGAATTATTAATAAAGATGTTTGCATAGTATTTGTAATACTTCTTTTTGTCTTCTTATCTTTTTCCTTTGATCCTTTCAATAACCTTAACTTAGACTATCTACCACAAGAATGTGGAAGTATGACTGGTGCTGACCCAAATATTGACAAAATTTAGACAGCCCTTATAGGCTTTTTATCCTTTTTATCCTTTTTATCTGTTGGCCCAAAGTAAATCCTGCTACTAACAGGAAAGTTGATTTTTTTTTAAACTAACTTCTTTCTGGTAAGCCTAATTTTTGTTTTACCAGGGAGGAAAATTTTTAACCTACAAAAATTGAGCAGTTCTTACTTACACAAATTTCTTGACTGCTCTAACCATCCTTCACTACAAAATTCCCTTGTATTTATCTCTGGATGGCATACACTAACAAGGACTAGATTGGAGGCCTCCCTTCCTGTCCCCTGTCCTCTCCACGAGGCATCACCCAGCATCTCGGCCATGTGCGTGTCTTGCACTCTACCTGTCTAGCCAACATTGCAGTGGCCTGTTCCTGAGCTGTATGCTAGAAATAGACTCATGCTCACATTCTCCCACCATGCATCTATTCTCTTATCCAGTTGTGGCCCATAAGATTAAATCAGACTCAAATACTGTCCGTTGACAAATCAAGTCAGATTATTGATTTCACTTTTTCTTTTCCCCCAGAGCAACAGAAAACAGAAGATGAGTGTCATGGGATGTTTCTTACAGAACAATTGGCTTCAGTTCATGCCTCAGCCCCAAAGGAGATTTATCAATTTTACTAATAAAACTTTGGCTGAATTCCATAGATGTGAAAACTGTAGTAAGGGTGCTTTGAATGTTTAAAAAAGGTCCTGTAATATGGAGAAACACACCAGTCTATCAAATATACTGTCATTGAAAGGCAGAATGGGGCATTATTTATTCTGCTGTGGCCTTATCTGTCTAACAGGAAACAGACTGTAAGAGCAAACACTTTCAAATGAGATTTTATAGAATCCTGATTTTTAAAACCCCAGTAGCAATACAGCAACCTTATCAAATTTAGGTAAAGCCGTCAAAACTCATCATTTAAGTGGGAAACTTGTGACAGCAACTTATTCCCAGATGCCGTCCCCACATTCCTAAGGCTTCTGCTTCCCACCTTACTGGCATCTAAATATTCTTTGTGAGTTCATTAAGGAAGTTCTGGAAGTCTGAAGATGTCATTTTGGAAATGTAGCTTGGCATGCAACTTTATGTTGACTCCTAAAGTGTTGATACAATTTTCAGGGTTGTGCAGAAAAAGAGGTGGCAGTACAAGATGTGAACTGGAATCACAAAAAGGAGCCCGGTCCTGGCTCGGAGTCTCTGTCAGGTGACCTCAACTGAGTGGTTTAATCTCCCTGGAGACTCGGGTGCTTAATCTTTAATATGAAGGTGTGAAATTAAATTATATTTCTTTATAATTACATAATTATTGTATCATTATTATTACTGATGGTACTATTATCAGTACTACATTGAACTGATTATTCAATAATTCTAAATTATTTATTAAAAATAATTTTGAAACTTCTAGAAGAACTTTATACATGTTAAATTCATTCTGTTTTTCAAGCAAATTAACATTTTAATTGAGAAATTGCTTACTTTCAAAAAGGATCTGTGTGGGCTGACTGATAATCTGGCATATATTAAGTTAAATTATTTAATGTATTGAAATATTATATTTAACCCTATTGGAAAAATAAAGTTGCCAACCAAAAGATTTCTCAGTACCAATATAGAAGAGAAAGTGAACACAAGCACAATTTATTATTGAGTAATCATTAAAAGATTCACATGCCTATGAGGTAGCAGGAAAGGAAATAGAAATTTAGAACAAAACCTCACACAGTTGATACAGCAAATCAGAAGAAAAACAATGCCTTCTCTTGTCTCTTCATGTATGTATCCTATAGATGTCTTCAGATACCGCTCCCCCCTGCCCGCCGCCCCTGCCCCGCTAGCTCCAGAACTCCATTTTTACAGATGTAGAGGCAGTTTGGCCTGTGACCTTGGAGATATCACTACATTATAAAAGGTGGAGACTGGGCTTAATCCCAGGAGAGATCTATCTCTATTGCAAAGGTTACAAAAGGGCTCAGTTTCACTAAAACACTTGAGTAAAGGTGAAAAGAGAAAATCATCTTTTTGCCCTTTTAAACAAAGAAGATATTTATATTCACCCTTAAACTCTCAGAGTAGTTTATTTTGTTTCTTTGTCAAAGTGTCGAAGAGAGTTTGTAATGGTTAATGCATTAGGTGTCAACTTGACTGAGTTGAGAGCTGCCTAGATAGTTGGGGCAGTGTTGTTTCTGGGTGTGTCTGTGAGGGTGTTGCCAGAGGAGACTGACATTTGTGTCTCTGGACTGGGAGAGAAGACGCCTCCCAATCTGGGTGGGCACCACCCAATCTGCTGCCAATGCAGTTAGAACAAGGCAGGCCGAGGAAGGTGGGATGCATTTGCCTGCTGAGGCTTCTGGCTCTCTTTCTTCTTCCTGTGCAGGACACTTGCTTCTGCTCCTCCTGCCCTTGGATATCAAGGCCTTTGGACTCTGGGATTTGCACTAGCAGCTTCCTGGGGGCTCTCAGGCCTTCTGACAAAGACCAAAGGCTGCATTGATGGCTTCCCTGGTTTTGAGGCTTTCAGATTTAGACTGAGCCACTACTGACTTCTTTCTTTCTCCAATTTGCAGGCAGCCTATGGTGGGATGTTGCCTTGTAATTGTGTGAGCCAATTCTCTTTGCCTGATAAACTCCCTTTTATATATACGTATATTCTATTGGTTCTGTTCCTTTGAAGAGCCCTGACTAATACAGAAAACAGGTATGTAGGAGTAGAGCTTTGCTATAAAGATACATGAAGATGGGGAAGCAACTTTGGAAATGAATAATGGGCAGAGGTTGGAAGAGTTTAGAGGGTGCAGAAGAAGTCAGGAAGATGAGGAAAAGTTTGAAACTTCTTAGAGACTGGTTAAATGATTGTGACCAAAATTCTGATAGTGATATGAACAGTGAAGTCCAGGCTGAAGAGGCCTCACATAGAAATGGGAACTTATTGGGAACTGGTGCAAAGGTCATGGAGTTATGCCTTAGCAAAGAACTTTGTTGCATTCTGTTCGTGTCCTAGGGATTGGTGCAAGTTTGAGCTTCGGACTGATAATTTAGGGCATCTGGTGGAAGCCAAAGCGGGAGCAGGCACATCACGTGGCAAAAGCAGGAGCAAGAGAAGTGGGTCAGGGTGTCACACACATTTAAATGACTAGATATCCTAAGAACTCACTCTCACAAAGACAGCATAAAGCCATGAGGGGTCTGCCCCCACTGTGTCTTGGAAGTAACTAACTTGTTTTTTATTTTACAGGCTCAGAGGTGGAAGGCATTTGCCTTGTCTCTGATGAGACTTTGGACTTCTGAGTTAATGCTGGAATGAGTTAAGACTTTGGAGAACTATTGGGAAGGCATGGTTGTAGTTTTCAATGTGAGAAGGACATGAAATTTGAGAGGGGTCAGGGTTTGGATATTTGTCCCCGCCCAAATCCCATGTCGAATTGGAATCCCTAGGTGTGGCCTTCCCAACTAGGAGTTCTCATGAGATTTGGTCATTTAACAGTGGGTGACACCACCCACATTCTCTCTCTCTTGCTCCCTTTCTTGCCATGTAAGGTGCCTGCTTCTCCTTTGCCTTCAACCATGACTGGAAGCTTCCTGAGGCCTCCCCAGAAGCAGATGACAGAGTTATGCTTTCTGTACAGCCTATAGAACTGTGAGGCAATTGAACCCTTTTCTCATAAATTACCCAGGTAACACAATGCAATACCTTTAGCAATGCAAGAACAACCTAAGTTGTTATTGTTCTATGTCTACATTTCATGTCTATAAAGGGATTTCCTTTTTTGGGGAACAGAATTTAAGTTGTACGCATACATCTCAGTTCAGTGGTACTTCTAAGATCACTAATATTGAGAGCTGCATCTTTCAGTATATAAAACCATTTGTATTTCTCAATGAAGAAAAAGCCAATACTATATTGCAACTGATGATTCACTCAGACAAGAGTATAGAGATTTTTTCATCCGTGTATTTTTTTGTAACTGGATATGTAGTTTTTTGAAAAATCACAATTTTGAGTCCTTCGTTTGCTCTCAGTCACAGTGTTTTGGATTTGGGGAAAGGATTTGGTGACCTGCAAAGACATCAATTCTAGGCCTAAATTAATCTTATAAACCTTAGAGAAGAAGATTTATTTCTAGGTTATCTGAAGGATTTTAATTTATTCTTTTAATCAAGTGTTTTACGTGAGGTACTTTTTAAGAGTGGGTCTCATTTCTCTGACCCTTTCTTATTGGAAAATGGAACAGTAAAGTCAAGAAATAAAAAGTTCTTTCATCTCTTTTGCACTCCTACAATCAACTCACAAATATCAAGAATAATAATTTAGTAAATTATTTATGTTGAGGTGGAAGTACTAACTCTATATCAAAAGCTCATCCTACTATCCTCCCCTCTATTCATTTATCATTTATTCACTGAAGTATAGCTTTAGGAAAAGCAAATAATGGCACACACACACCATACAGACACACCCCCCCATTACACTTATGCTAAGCACACACACCACACACACAAACATACACAGCACAACATACATTTACCCAAAATACCACACACACCCCACAGACACGCAAATCACACACAGACACAAACACACACCACACACACAAAGATACACACACCATTCATATACCACACACACACTACATATAGACACAAACTACACACGTTCCCCCCACACCATACATAGACACACACATACATACATTCACCACATACACCACATATATACACACACACCACACAAACATACACACATACAACAAACACACAGTACACACATACCCACACACATCCCATACACAAACATACACAACACATCATACATATACCACACACACCACACACACCCCACATATACACACAAAAAACACACATACCCTTCACACCACACAGACACAAAATGCACACACACCATACCATACATAAACCACACTACACCACACACACCCCACATAGGCACACAAACCCCCCACACCACACACAGACACACATACCACACACAAACATACACACACCATGCATATCTCACGCACACACTCCACACATACACACACAATACATACTACACACACACACACTCCACACACATACACCTCACACACACCACATATACACACATATACACACAACCACCACACATACAAATTACACACACCCCATCCTAGTCCTTCTGCAGCTATAACCACATCATTTCTGATATCAGGATATTCTTAGTGAAATGATGTCTGCAAGGAGAACCTTCAGAACTAGAAAACTAGGAGAGTTCTAGAATCTGCTTAGGATGGAAACATTTATATTGAAAAGTATTATAGGGCACCAAGTATTAAAACATAGTCTGTGATGGCACCCTTCAGACGGAAAGTTCTATCCAGGTATAGGACTGAGGTGCTGGGAGGTGACAGGTTCCTGTGTGGGGATGGATGGGCTGGAGGTGTGAGTCTTCCAGCAGCTGCACAGATGTGTTGACTTTTATGTACATGTTAATTTAGAACGTGACACTTACCTCTGAATCCTTTCAATATATGTCAGAGAGGAAAGTTTTACATCTATCAGTTCTAACATGATTTCACATTAATTTTCCTTTTCTTTAATTAGTGATCGTTATTTAATGTAACCACCTGACAAACTATTAGCTGTGGTGAGTGTCTGGATTTCTTTGTTTATTTTTCTTTTTATTATGTCCACCGTATACTCAAATTTGATTTATGAAAAAAAATTCTCTTGATTGACTGTCGAATTTTATCTGCATTAAAAATGAAAGTCAAAGAGATTTCTAACCGTCCTCCATTAGAGAGGAATACTAATGAGCCTTTATTTTCTAACTGAAGTATCTGACACTCACATTTAACCAAATTTAGTTTGATTTATATCATATTTTATAAGGCAAAGCACACCGACACTATTTTATAGCTACAATATGAAAGTTATAAAGAAAAGGACACTATCAAAGAATCAAGAAAGATGACCAATATTTTACTGTTTTTAACTCTCACAAGAAAATATTGACTGAATTCAGTACAAAGACAGCTATGTAGAAAAAATAATAAAGGCTTTCTATAGCAGAATCTGTTACCCTGTTAAAAACAATGGTGGAATCAGACTGAAACTAGTGCCATTATCTATCATTTTTTTCAGGCAAATGTTTGTATATATATATAAACACATTTGATAATGTGACATAATCATATATATCAAAGAGAAAAATTCGGCCTTCAGGAGGAAAGGACGTTATTCTATAGCCATCGCATTAATGAGAAACACCAGGTCTGGAGGCTGTATCTGAGGGAATAGAGGCAGGTTTTGACTGTGAGGGAATTAAGAGTGTTTTACTCTGAAATTTGGCTGATTCTTGGAGTCAGATCATTTGATGGGACAGAAGCATATTCAGATTTGCTAGCTGAAGTTTATTGAAAAGTATGCTAATGTTTGCTTAAAGTTCAAGAGGCCTAGTGACCTCCTCAAGATCCAAAACCCAAAGCTGAATCTCAGTTAAAGTCTGGTCATATATTATTCATATATATACATATATATATACACACACACATATATTATATCATATGTATTCTCTTTTGATTTACATTTTTAGATTTAATACTTGATTTCTTAAGGAGACAATGTATCTAGAAAAGTTCTATCTACATTTTAAAGAAGAAAGTGGGCAATTCTGTAAGGCATTCTGAGTCTGTCATTTACCCTGGTTACACTTCTAAAGTGAATGTTCTGTGAAATATGAATATGGCAAGTTGGAATTAATGGTAACAACAAGTAGGTCTGCCCACTTGGCACAGTAAAACCAAATACTGATATTAGGGTTGCAGCTAAAGAAAGTGGGGCATTTATTGCAGGGCACCAAGCAAAGAGAATTGGGCAGTTCGTGCGTAAGACCCAAACTCCCAAATGGCTTACAGGTAGAGTTTTTAAAGGCAGGGGTGACATGCAAAATCATAAATCAATATACCCAGGCTACACATGGGTTTTACCTAAAAAGGCAGGACATCAAGAAGCAAGGGCTACAGGTCATAGGTGAAGTCAAAGATTTTCTGATTTGTGATTGGTTAAGGAGCCAAAGATTTGTCTAAAAATCTGGGGTCAGCAGAAAGGAATATTGAGCTCTGGCTTGTGGGTGTGACCACCTCCAGGTCCCTGAGGAAGAAATTTAGAACAAAGAATGACAATCAGAATTCAGTCCTCAGTTCCCCCTCATTTGGAGTCTACATGACAGCAGACAGCATTTTCCATTTGGTAGGGGTTTGGATTTCTGAAAAACAACTCAGGGACATAAGATGTTATCTTTAGTTTCTATAGGGGAACAAAGCATCTCCTCATTCTCACTTCCTTGGCTTTTGTTTTAAGCTATTATTACTTCTTACTTATCAAGTTGCTCATTTGCTTCTCAAAGCTAGCGAAGTTCCTAGAATTCCCCTTGAAGAAATCAAAATTTCCTTTTATCTTCATGCTTGGGGTAGGGATGCGGTGCCCAGTCGACCCCTAAGAGGGGTCCCTGTTCCATCTCAGAATCAGTTGATTCAGGGTCATTTCAATAAAAATATGTTAATAATTATCTCAATAGGCAGAATTGAGATGGGTTCAATGCCAAAACAATTACTGACCAGTAGCTCTATAGCTGTATGGAGAGAGCTTCCTAGTAATAGAACACAGGCACCATCCTTGGCCATAACCTAACTAATATTTTTATTCATAATCTAGGTGAAGACTTATTAACTCACCTTGAACACTGAATTAGGTCATTCTGAACCATTGCTCCTAGGAGAAATAATGGGTTAGGTCCCTGCAAGCTTTTGGTCACATTTTTGTCAATTAAGCGACACATAACTATGTTTTATGTGTGTTTCTGTTTAAAGAAATCTTATTTAATATATATTGTTGATTCATCAACATGGAACTCACAGACCACACCACTATCACTCATGCCTGAAGGAAGCTTATTTAACAGGCGTAATTTCTCCAAAAGTCACTTCACAGCACTCTTGTGCTTAGGAACACTAGAAAGCATTTCAGCACTATACTTGAGGGCCATTTTAAACAGTGACATCGCCAACTAAAAATACAAAAATGAGAACAATGTGGTACTAAATCACCCTTGAAAAGGACACTTATTTAGAGCATGAGACCTGAAACAAGAAGGCAAAGCAGTTGCCTTGTTTGGCTTCAGCTGGGAATGTGTGCATCAAGCAACTCAAATTCTTTTCCCCTCTCTGCGTGCCCACCGATGATCAGGAAAGTGACAGTGAGTACTGATTTCAGGGTTATAAATAAACTTTGGCCTGTAGGTGAATTCACAAATACAAAGTCTGCAAATAATTAAGATCAACTGCATGTAAAATTGGCCTACTTTACTCTCTTTGGCTCTATGTTAGGAAGGATGTAAACAAATTCAAGTACAATCAGAGAAGAATGAAAATGAAAGATGATGAAAGTCCTGTAGAGCATGCCTAATGCAGAAAACTTAAGGAACTGAGAATATTTAATCTGGAGAAACAATTTGATAGAGAAAAAAGTAAGTGGGGGCATGGATTTATCTTCAAATGTTTGAAATAACATTGAGTTGCCCTCTATGCTTGCATTCACCTAAGGTCTCCTGACAACCACACTATCTCATCTGTGACTGAGTCTCTCACATCAGGCTGACAATCTTCCCACCACCCCCAGCCCCCTTCACTCCAAGGATGAGCGAGGCCTGGATCCAACAGTCTGTTAAAACACATCCCCTCTTCCGTAACAATTCATTATAAAATTCATAACATTTCCTAAATGGAAAATTACCTAACTGCTTCCTGATATTTTATTGCAGTAATCACTTGCATTACACTGAATAAACTCCTCTGAATATACATTAAAAGCTATATTATAAAACTATGATGATAAAACTATCATTTAAATTTTTGGTTTTCTGATTATGAAAGAAAAACATATCCATTACAAGCAAACTGGGAAAAAGAGCTGAAAAATTACCCTACCACATAGAAGTAAAATTTTTTAAATTGGTTTTATCTTTTTAAATTTGGCAAAATACCATAACATGAAATTTATCATCTTAACTACTTTGAACTGTGTTACAACATTTTTACACTGGTATTAAACATATTCACTTTGTTGTGCAAATAGCACAGCTATCCATTTCCATAACTGTTTTCATCTTGCAAAACTAATTTCTGTATCCTCTAAACAATAACTCTCCTTCCCCTGTTCCCCCAAATGTCTGACAACCACCACTCTAAGAACTAGCAAATTTTAATGTGCAGCTTCCTTCGAGTGGATTCTAAGAATACCTATAAATGATTTTTTATTTTTCATTGTTTTTTTTTTTGTAAACACATTTGGATTTATCAGAATGGAATACTGAAAGAAAGTTTAGAGGAGGCTTCAGGAAACCCCATCACTGGGAGAAAAACTGCATAACATTTGAAAAGCCTTAGCTTCTTAATATTTAACATTCAGAAGGTAGATTAGGTTAGTCTTAAAACTGTTCTGACCACATGCTTCTTGAATTCCAAAAAATTAAGTGCCCTGTAATCTGCACATTTATTCATAAATTATATATGCATGTATACTACCAAAATACTATATACTATAAAAAATAAAAATATAACATTGTATACATTGTTATAAGAAAGATTTCATTGACTGTGCTTTATTATCTTAAAATCCTGCTGTAAACTTTGCGATATTATTTTTTAAAGGTTTGGTACTAGGTTTAACGTGTTTTAGTATTTGACACTGATGGTTCTTAGAGTTGGCAAATGATTCTTCATCTTGAAAAAAGGTCTAGATAGATGGAATACACTGTGACTGTGAATACTACATCACGATGCTCATGGTTCAATTCCATCTATCAATTATAAAAAAATTATTATTGACATTTACCTTGCAAATTTTCATCTTACCTAATGTCAATTGTTGTTTATGAAAACTAATAGGAAAACGTTATATGTTCAACAAATGTGTTCAGACCATCTGAAACTTTTAATTTAGAAGAGAGTTTAGATAGATTAAAATTTCTCACAAGTTTTATAATTGTGGAGATATACAGAATTTTGTGAAAAACATTGTTTATAGTAAGAAAAATCTCATATATATAGAAACATTTCTAAACCCCTACAATTAAAATGTTTATGTCATTATTTTCTCCTGAAAAGCAGCAATTTTCTCGGTGTTAAAATACAAACAGGAAACATTCCATGCTCATGGATAGGAAGAATCAATATTGTGAAAATGACCATACTGCCCAAAGCAAGTTATAGATTCAATGCTATCCCCATCAAGATACCTTTGACTTTCTTCACAGAATTGGAAAAAAAAAAAAACACTCAAATTTCATATGGAGCCAAAAAAGAGCCTGCATTGCCAAGACAATCCTAAGCAAAAAGAACAAAGCTGGAGACATCATGCTACCTAACATCAAACTATACTACAAGGCTACAGTAACAAAAACACCATGGTACTGGTACCAAAACAGACATATAGACCAATGGAACAGAACAGAGGCCTCAGAAATGATGCCACACATCTACAACCATCTGATCTTTAACAAACCTGACAAAAACAAGCACTGGAGAAAGGATTTCCTATTTAATAAATGGTGTTGGGAAAACTGGCTAGCTATGTGCAGAAAGCTGAAACTGGATCCCTTTCTTACACCTTATACAAAAACTAACTCAAGATGGATTAAAGACTTAAATGTAAAATCTAAAATCATAAAAACCCTAGAAGAAAACCTAGACAATACCATTCAAGGCATAGGCATGGGCAAAGACTTCATAACTAAAACACCAAAAGCAATGGCAACAAAAGCCAAAATTGACAAATGGGATCTAATTAAACTAAAGAGCTTCTGCACAGCAAAAGAAACTATCATCAGAGTGAACAGGCAACTTACAGAATGGGAGACATTTTTTGCAATCTATCCATCTGACAAAGGGCTAATATCCAGAATCTACAAATAACTTAAACAAATTTATGAGAAAAAATCAAACTGTCCCATCAAAAAGTGGGCAAAGGATATGAACAAACTCTTTTTAAAAGAAGACATTTATGCAGCCAACAAACATATGAAAAACAGCTCATCATCACTGGTCATCAGAGAAATGCAAATCAAAACCATAATGAGATACCATCTTGCACCAGTTAGAATGGCGATCATTAAAAAGTCAGGAAACAACAGATGCTGGAGAGGATGTGGAGAAATTGGGAACACTTTTACACTGTTGGTGGGAGTGTAAATTAGTTCAGCCATTGTGGAAGACAGTGTGGCAATTCCTCAAGGATCTAGAACTAGAAATACCATTTGACCAAGCAATCCCATTACTGGGTATATACCCAACGGATTATCAATCATTCTACTCTAAAGACACATGCACACGTATGCTTACTGTGGCACTGTTCACAATAGAAAAGACTTGGAACCAACCCAAATGCCCATCAAAGATAGACTGGATAAAGAAAATGTGGCACATATACACCATGGAATACTATGCAGCCTTAAAAAAGGATGAGTTAATGTCCTTCGCAGGGACATGGATGAAGCTGGAAGCCATCATTCTCAGCAAACTATCACAAGAACAGAAAACCACACACTGTATGTTCTCACTCAGAAGTGGGAGTTGAACAATGAGAACACCTGGACACAGGGAGGGCCTGTTGTTGGGTGGAGGGCTAGCAGAGGGATAGCATTAGGAGAAATACCTAATGTAGATGATGGGTTGATAAGTGCAGCAAACCACCATGGCATGTGTATACCTATGTAACAAACCTGCACGTTATGCACATGTACCCCAGGACTTATAATAATAAAAAAATTATATATGAGAAAATCTGGTTGTGTTGTGCATAAAAGTAAGAGCACAAATTTTATGAGAAAAGAAACTATGAGCACCACCTTCAAAGTGAAAGTAGGAAGCATTGTACTGAAGAAGCTATCTTCAGCCCAAGAAACCCACAGAGGCAGAGTAC
Organism: Homo sapiens; assembly: GCF_000001405.40. NCBI lineage: Eukaryota > Metazoa > Chordata > Mammalia > Primates > Hominidae > Homo > Homo sapiens. Next base: position 49,775,356 of record NC_000008.11, read on the forward strand.
TAGGAAAGAGAGAAGCTGAGCAGAGCATGTCCCGCTGGAGTGAGGGGAGAAAGGGAGGGACTAGGGGCTCAGGGAAACCTCCTAGCCGATTCCTTCTAAATCTTAGAATTTATATATATTGATAAAACCAAAGCCTCTGTATTTGAATGCAAACAGCTGAAGAATAAATTAACACATTTTGATATCTAACTAAAGAAATATTCCATAATTTTAAAGAGATAAATGGATATGTTAAAGAAATGTTAATAAATATTGAAAATAAACGTAAAAGTCCAAAATTCACAATCGGATTTTCAGAGTGAAGAACCAAGAGAATGGAGAACATAGTATTTTTTAATATAGAATTTATTAAAATTAAAGGACAATAAAAAGACTAAGAAGCATGTTCAAAAACTTAAAACTTTTTATAACTAATAAAGAAAAATACTATAACGAGGTGTGTGTGTGTGTTTTTTTTTTTTTTTTTTTTTTTTGAGACGGAGTCTCACTCTGTTGCCCAGGCTGGAGTGCAGTGGTGCGATCTCGGATCACTGCAAGCTCCACCTCCCGGCTTCACGCCATTCTCCTGCCTCAGCCTCCCAAGTAGCTGGGACTACAGGCGCCCGCCACCTCGCCCGGCTAATTTTTTTTTTATTTTTATTAGAGACGGGGTTTCACCACATTAGCCAGGATGGTCTCGATCTCCTGACCTCATGATTTACCCCCCTTGGCTTCCCAAAGTACTGGGATTACAGGTGTGAGCCACCGTGCCCGGCCTATAACGAGGTGTTTTGTTTTTATGTTATTTGATGATACATTTATGTAATTTAATTTTCATTATGGGTTTATTGAGATATAATTTATATACTATACAATTTAACCATTTACTTGTAAAATTCAGTTTTTAAAAAAATATATTCACAGAGTTGTGCAACCATCACTGTAATCCATTTAAGAAAATTTTCATCACCCCAAAAAGTAACCCTACCTATTAGCAATCACTCCCTGTGTGTTCCCAACCTCTTTAGCTCTGGACAACCACAAATCTACTTTCTCTTTCTATTGATTTGCCTATTCTAGACATTTCAGATGAATAGAATTATGCAACATGTCCTTTCTGACTGCATATAGAAGGATGCACATAGAATGATGTTTCAAGTTCATCCGTGTTACAGCATGTATCAGTACTTCAGTTATTTTTATGGTTGAATAATATTTTACTTTATGGCTCTACCAATTTGATGCATCCATTCATCTGCTGATGTACATGTGGGTTGTTTCTACTTTTTGCCTATTATGAATAATGCTTCTATGAACATTTGTATACAAGTTTTTTTGTAGGGACATGTTTTCATTCTGCTTGGACACTTTTCATTCTCTAAAAGTGAAACTCCTGGATTATTTGGTAATACTATGTTTAACCATTTGAAAAACTCATATGGTTTTCCAAATTGGCTGCATTCCTACCAATCATTTAACTGGGTTCCTGTTTCTCCACATTCTCAGCAACATTTATTATTATCTGACTTTTTTGATCATAGTGATTCTAGTGGGTGTGAAGTGGTATTTCATCGTGGTTTTGATTTGAGTTGTTCTAATAACTAATAATGTTGAGCACCTTTTAACATACATATTGGCTACTTGTATATCTTTAGAGAAAAATCTATTCAGATTGCTTTTTTAATTAACCAACTAACTTTATTCTCACTATACCAGAGATGGTAAATTCCAAGATAAATTCAATAGCAGATTCTGTGCCTTGCTAAGTCTGGCTTGCATTTTTAATTGAGTTGTTTGTATTACTGAGTTGTAGAAACCATAATAAGATTTCACAGTTTAAAAGTGACTACATGTACAGGAAATAGAAGAAATAGTGAATACAAAAAAAATGAAAACTACTCTCTTCAAAGTTAGAAGCAAAATTAAAATGAAAGAAAGCAAAGAAATGTAACCTTGGAATTGTAGCTCCATGTGATAATGTTGACCTTTACCTGAGCCCTGTGCTCTTGAAAAACAGCAAAGGTTAAGAAATTACACAGAATTGTGTGTTCCAGGAAATGGTTAATCACAAAAGACCATATTGCCCATGTATATTTCCAGGTAAGACTTTTCTTCATCCTTCCTCACAACTAACTCTTTTGCCTACCTGCCTTTGTAAGAGTTGAGGCCCCCTTTCCTTTCTTTGAGATTGTCTGCAGTTCCTTTCTTTGAGCTTGTCTTGCAAAAGCCTAATTTTGTCAAGCTTGAGTAGTTATTGATTTAACAATGAACAACAACCTACAACTAATAAAGATAATAACATTGGGTGAAAAATTGTTTAGAGCAGATGGAAATAAATTTGTGGATTCTGTTCAACTTGGGCAGGGGAGGTACAAACTACTAAGTCTAGATAGTAATAGAAAAATTTGAATTATAATATGAATGTGAAAATTAAAAGAGTCACTGGAAAAATATAAGCATAATGTATAACTTTCAGATTAGTAAGATTAAAATGATTAAAGCATACATTAGACCAATTAAAAGACAAAAAAAGTGAAGATATTTAGAAAAAGACCAGTAGATTAAATACATAAAATTCCAGAAATAAAGTTTTAATAAACCTAAACATATAACCAAAATAGCTGTTAAATTCTAAATATATCCCTAAAATATTTAGCTAAAACTTAAACAAGATTGAAAGTAAAAGTATTGAAAATGTATATCAACCAAATGCTGTGGGGTTCTATCTGTCCCTCTAAATAAATGAAAATATTACTCTGTAAGAATACACCAAAATCCCTAGGGATTATCTCTCTCTCAGTAGAGGTCAAATGAGCCTCTAAGTTCATCATTAATTTCATCATTAGTTTCATCTGCATCATTTTGAAGAAAATATGTTGATTTATTACTTGTATAATTAGACAGCAAATTAAATTAAAAAGAAACAAAAGCAAAGAAAAGAAAGAAATATAAATTGCAAAGTCATAGCAATTAATAAACTTTAGGATTTTTATGGAATTTTTCTTCCTGGAAGTCTCAGTATTTTTACACATCTTTTTTTTTACATGTATATTAAAGACAAATTTTGAAGTATAATTATTTATAGAAGAAAAAACTAGTCTTGAAATCTGAAAGCACTAAACAAAAAATGTCAAGTAGATTGCAAATTTCTCTTCTTTACAGTCTTATTAGTAAAATTATTTAAACCCCAAAATAGAAAGGTGTTTTTTTAAAAACTAAATATAAAGAGTGAAACTCTGTTTTCATAAATATTTGCTTTTTAAGTAACCAGAACATATGTATTTTTAATTAAGCCTGGAAAATGTAAAAATACTCTTTTAGAGTAACACGGGGATGTTTGCTGAGGCTACAGCAAATAACAATTTAATATATTTTGAGAATTTAATATCTCAAAAAATTTAGGGCTTAATAAATTCAAATATTTTGAACAACTGTTTTGGAAAAATGTTAAACCAATTCCCCTTTCATTTGTGCATTTTATTAAACATTTCACAATTAATGATACCTAATGTAGAACCTTCTTAGATAGAAACCTAACCATACCTTTTTTATTTTTGCAGGAAAATGAATTGTTTTGTCATTTTATCAACAAATTATTTAAAACCCTTGTAGAGGGCACACCATTAGATAATGTGCTAAATACAAAAAATTGGTAGATGCTTTTTAATATTTAATTTGAATTATAGGAAAATACATGTGCATTTAACCTTGATTCCAATATAATTCAATTATGAACCAAAGAGACATTAAAACTGTAAGAATTTTTAAAAATATTATAACTTTAGACTAAATTTCTGAATAATATGAATTTGGATAGTGTTTTTAAAACACAAAGAATAAGGCACACAGATGGTAAAGAAAAAATGCTCATAAAACGTGCTTAATTATTAACATTTTATACATTATAAGTTGAGTTTCAGGAATTTTTTTAAAAAGCACCATTGATAACATCACTGAAATTATAAAACACGGAATAAACTTGTGGGAGGATGGATTAATTTGTTTAGATGCTAAAATTTTGAGCAAAGTGTCTTTAGAGAAGTGGATTAATGAAGAGAGGCTTCTCATAGTTCAGGCTATGGAACAGCAGATGGAATATAGTCAGGAGGGTCTTGTAGATCAAGGCCAAGGTGGAGAAGAGAGGTATGATGGTAAATTGTATGTGTCAACTCAACTGAACCATTAGTTGCCCCGATATTTGCTCAAGTATTATTCTGGGTGTGTCTGTGAGGATGTTTTGGACGAGTTTAACATTTAAATCAATTTGACTAAGTAAAGCAGACTGCCCTTCAGTATGAAGCTGGGTCTTATCCGATTAGTTGAAGTCTGAATAGAATAAAATGTCTGTCATGCCACCAAAAGGAGGCATTCTTCTAACTGGACTGCCTTGGGCCTAACACAGCAGTTTTATTCCTGCCTTTGGTTTCAGACAGGGACTCTACTGTTAACCCTCTTGAGCCTTCAGCATATTGTGCTGATCTTAAGACTTGTTGATGATTATAATTATGTGAGCCAATTTCTTATTTTGTATATCCATTCTATAGGTTTTGTTTCTCAGGAGAATCCTGACTAATACAGATTTTGGTACTGAGTGGTTTTAGAGGAACAAAATTTTCAGGATGGGTTTTCTAAATCAGTTTTGGTGTTTCTAAAATTGGCTCTCTAATCTGATTAGATTTAAAGATGCTAATGACTTTATTTCCAAGAGTAAACAAAGTACTGATATCCGTGGAGTGATCTGTTAAGAGATATCGGCCAGGTGCGGTGGCTCATGTCTGTAATGCCAGAACTTTGGGAGGCCAAGGTGGGCAGAACACCTGAGGTCAGGAGTTTGAGACAAGCCTGGCTAACATGGTGAAACCCCGTCTCTACTAAAAATACAAAAATTGGCTAGGGATGGTGGTGGGCGCCTGTAATCCCAGCTACATTGGAGGCTGAGGCAAGGGAATCACTTGAATTCGGGAGGCAGAGGTTGCAGTAAGCCAAGATTGTACCATTGCATTCCAGCCTGGGCAACAAGATTGTAACTCTGTCTCAAAAAAAAAAAAAAAGAGAGATTATATATATATATCTCACTATTATATACTCTTAACCACTTATAAGAAGCAAGAATCTGTGTGACTGTGCCATTTTTGTGACACTTTTGAAAATTTTTATTGACCTAAATGTCTTAGTCCATTTTGCGCTGCTTTAACACAATACTACACACTGAGTAATTTATAGAGAACAGATATATATATATTTTTTCATAGTTTTGGAGGTTTGGAAGTCCAAGATCAAGGTGCCAGCATTTGCTGTGGTAAGGGCCTTCTTGCTGTGTACACATATGGCAAAAGGCAGACAGAAGGCAAGCTAACAGTCTACCCAAACACTACATGAAGCCCCTTAAGAAAACTTGTTAATCCTATTAACGAGACAGCAGCCTTCCTGGCCTACCATCTCTTAAATATCCCACCTCTGAATACTCTCACTTTGACAACTCCTGAATTTTGGAGGAGATTAAGTTTCAACATGAACTTTAAAAAGGAAAAAAATATTTAAACTGTAGTAATGATTAGTAAATGAGATTGGCCGGTTGCTCCCAATATTGTTGGACAAAATACAAAAAGAAAGGAATAAGCTCATAGATTCAAATTCCTAGCTCAAGCATGGTAAATGATCCGAAAGCTTCAATATTGCCCTGAAAAAAGTCTTACCTCTTATAGATGCTAGGCTGACATGACTGAAAATCAGTTCTAGAATTTCATCCTGCAAGTGGCTGAGTTATAATGTATGTTATACTTCTAGCCTCACAGTATATCTACTATTAAAGTGAGAGCATTGATTGGGAAATAATAGAATCCTGTAAGTTGGAATGGGGATGTATGGTAGAGTCCTGATGAAGGTAGGGACATTGAACCCTAAATTTCTGATGAAAATTCTTTGCCAATGAAAGTAGTGTCCTAACCCCAATTAAAGTAAGTCTCTCCATCCCCAATGGAAAAAGACTCTTCACACCTATCTGAGGGGATTAAATCTGCATTGCTTGTGGAAACTATAATGATCTCACCTGCGGCAGTTGCCCTAAGAAGCAATGCTGATTCCCCTTAGGACCCACCCAACCACCCTCTTTGCTTCTTGCCCTATAACTAGGCTCAAGTTCCAGTAGACCCTTAAAATGAGGCACACAGTAGGACCCATGTAAAGATGCACTACATTTAAAAAGAAAACTTGAGTTTTCTAAATTCAGATAGCATGTGTGGGGATGGATATTATGGGTGTAGAAAAATTCTTGAAGGAATAAAAAGTTGGATCAGTGCAAATTTATTGATATGAGATAACTAAGCCAATATTCTGTATTTAATGTTACAGTTTGAGGTATTAGAAGAGGCGTTTACAGGTTGGTTGGCTGAAATATGAACCAAAAGGTGACCCACAGTGAGCAAGTTGGAAATGTTTCCTTGCCTTAACATAGAGGAAGGGACACAAAGTAATACCAATCCAAATCCCAAATGACGTAATCCTGAATGTTGAAATCAGGAAAGCTCAAAATCCCCAAAGTCTAAAATCCCTAATGCCTAAAACCCTAAAAGACTAAACTTCCAAATATGAAATCATGAAAGCCAAATTCTAGGGAAGAAATTATTGTGTTTGGGGTTGTATGTAGGATAGCTGCATCATGTCAGAGAGAACTATCACCTTGTTGTCTTTAGAAATTAAGCTTAATTTAAAGACGTGTATATGGGTGTGAACTTGAAAAGGAGTAGACTCATGCCTTAGTTTTCGGTGTCAACCTGACTAGAGTAAGGGAATACCTAAAAACCTGGTTAAGCATTATATTGAGTGTGTCTGTGAAAGTGTTTCTAGAGGAGATTAATTTGTGTGTATGAGTGGACAAAGTGCGGAAGATCTGCCCTCAATATTGTTGGTGGACATCATTCAATCAGCCAAAAGCCAAAGGGAACAAATAGAGAAGGTGAGTTGGCTGTATTCTGAGAGCTGGGACAGATTTTTCTTCTTCTGCCCTGGACATCAGAACTGTAGGCTCACCATTCTTTGGACTCTAACGCTTACATCAGTGACTCTTTGGACCCTGGGGCTTTTGACCTTGGACTGAGAGTTATATTTTCAGCTTCACTGGTTCTGAGGCCTTTGTATTTGAACTGAGCCATCCTACAGGCATCCCAGGGTCTCCAGCTTGCAGACAGCCTGTCATAGGACTTCTCAGTCATCAGAATCATTTAAGCCAATTTTCCTAATAAATCCCCTCTCATATATCTATATAGTTAATCTTGTTGGTTCTGTCTCTCTTGAGAACTCTGACTAGTACAGACTGGGTATTGGGGAAGCTGAATATCATTTCCTCTTACTGTATTCCTTACAACACAATGGAAGAGATTTATGAAATTGTTTCCTTATAAAAGGCTGTGATAAATTAAGGGTATGAGGCTACTTAATGGTGAAAGATAAAGGTTTGGAAGCTAATTATTAGTAGTACTACAAAAGCAGAAAATCACTGAATTGCAATGGTCACAATGACCAGACTCTCAAATGGACAGGATATACTTAAATTTGTAGATCACAACCACTGTCTAAATACAAGTGCAATTAATGTTTTGAAGATGATAGAAGTGAAAATGTAGGCAAAAAATACAAGAAATTCACCCTGCCAAATTATAATCATGTATAACTTCTGTCCCTTCACACAGAGTGCCAATTTGTTATGCTATGTACTTCCTCTTCATATCATTTCTAATGCTGGAGGTATGAATTGTGTAATGACTTCTAGAGTTCTAACTTACTTTATTCACTTTTTGCAAATCTGATCCCATGAAAGTGCATTATCACTACATTGACTTTGCAAGCATTGTGTGTGTGCTTATTGTAAACTAAAACTAAAATCCTAAGTTCACCACTGACTGAAGAGACTCCTTCTTGGTCAAGAAGAAGGAAAACATTAACACTGTGTTCCTAGCCATGATGGGATTCAAGGTCAGACAAGCCTTTTTATACTCCCCTTCCTTCTTTGGTTTAGGCACAAAAACTGTCCAGCATTAATAAAACAGAGATCATAAGACAAACTAACACAGGAATAGAAACCCAAACACTGCACGTTCTCACTCATAATTGGGAGTTGAACAATGAGAACACATGGACACAGGAAGGGGAACATCACACACTGGGGCCTGTCAGGGGGTGGGGGGCTAGGGGAGGGAGAGCATTAGGACAAATACCTAATGCATACGGGGCTTAAAACCTAGATTACAGGTTGATAGGTGCAGCAAACCACCATGACACATGTATACCTATGTAACAAACCTTCATGTTCTGCACATGTATCCCAGAACTTAAAGTAAAATTAAAAAAAAAAAAAGACTTACAGAACAGACTCTTTGTGGCAATAAGATACCAAACTATAAATAGAACCTAAGGCCATGTCAGGCAAGGATCAAGTCACACACTTCTACACTTAAAAAACCAACTATATTCTCACTGACACAAGGTTTTTCTTTTTCTCCAGCAGCTAAACAAGTGCCGGCCTTGAGATAAGGAACGTTAAAACAATTGCAACTCATCCAGCTCACAGACAGTAACTAACTGAGCTCCTGTTCCACTCACCATGACTACAGCTTTAACAGCACAAGAGACTGATTTCAGTAACTTCCTCCTGACAAGAAGACCACCAACCATGAACTGGTTTTGGCAATTTATAGAGACTGGGCACTTGTGTGCCTTCACGTTCTGAAAAGACCTTTTGACATATAAGGCCTAATTGTAATAAATGTCAATGTTAAGTGTCCACCCCAAAATGAACATGGGTTGTATGTTATATGCATGTTTTCTCAATATGCATGTGTCAGGACCACTGTCACGAATATTCACAGCTCCTACTGTAACCTGCTGAATATGTATGTTTAACCTACCTGTTTAGCATAAAGCTCCTGCTCCAATCTCTCCTTCTTCGAAGTTCCTATCTCTGGTCTCTGACCAAATTCATGCTTCCTGGCCTGCAAGACGGTAACCTTGCAGACTGTACCCCTTTATGAGAAATATAGTCTCCTCTAAATTTACAAATGTGTGACTTTTTAAAAATTAACAACATAAATGTTGAAACTTCATCAACAAATGAAGAGATGACTGCTTTGTACATCTGCATTTGTGAAAAAGAAAATTTCTCAAGATCTCAGCTTGTTGGGCAACTTCATATGTGGTAGTGACCTACGTAGGCTTTGGTCAGTCTCATCAAAAGTCTTAAGTTGTCTGTCACAGTAGATCTAGGTACACAAAATTAACAAACATTTTGATCTACTTCTTTATGAATATGGCTCACCCACTCATAACTGTTATGCTTGCATGACTGTCATTGGTATATCTGAGTGTTTATGCTTGCAAAAATACACAAGTTGTAATTGCCTATTTCATTGTATAAAGTTGCCAATGAAGTTGTGTTTTTTATATTCATCAAGTGAACTCTCTTACTTTACTACTCCCTTTACTAGCTTTAAAAATGTAAATAAATGTATTTTAAAGCATTTTTAAATTACTATTTGTGGAATTATTTTAGGGGGATTTTATTCTTCCAAGATTATGATTTTGGGGATTTTAGATTTTAAGGATATTTATCCTTTGAATTTTTAACATTTGAGGTGATGGTGTTCCAGACTGTGTCTTTTAAGATAATGGTGCAAACCCATCCAGAGCTTTAGGGAGATGGGAATATTAAAGTGGATTTGTCATGTTTTCACTCTGTCAGGGCCCATAGGACATACTTTTTAGCACAACTATGAGAACTAAATGTGTGAGAACAGCCCCAGAATTCTTGAAGAGTTCTGTAGTCACGCTTCTCCATAGTCCATACCTTTAGTGGGGACTTCAGTTACTAACTGGGAAAACCTAAATGCAGTGGGAATATTTTGACATCAGGGCTTCAGGGGCTAAGTGGATGCATTCAACCTCTAAAAGTAATACGGATGTGATTATTGTAATGAACAGCAAGTCAAAGGGGCAATCAGAATAGTCTGATTCACACAGACCTTATGGCATTGGCTAGTTGGTCATGGTGTTCCTAAAGTGAAATAGAGAGGAAAATTGCTAAATTGTTGGTTGATCTGTATAAAGAGAAATGTACATGTCAAGTCAGCAAAAAGTGTTACTTAAATCATAAAAACAGAGAACTACAGACTTTTAATTAATTTTCAGACTTGAGACACTTTACAGACCCAGAACAGCTTGAGGAAGGACCCCAGTACACCATAAAAAATTTATAATGTTAATCTTTCTCACAACCTTCTATAAATGGACCTACAGCCTTTTACCAGAGTAATAGTGCATTGGGGAAAAGAAAATAACTAGAAATCAAGGACTAGTGGACATTGGTTCTCAAATCTTATTAATTCCAGGAGAACCAAAATATATCTGTGGTCCACACATCAAAGTAGGGGCTTATGGTGGTCAGGTGATCAATGAAGGTTTAGCTTAGGTCCATCTCACAGTTGGCTATCAGTCTCCAAACCTGTCCTGTGGTTATCCCCTCAGTTTGGGAATGCATAATTGGAATACACATATTTAACATCTGGCAAAACCCCCACATTGGTTCCCTAACTCATGGAGTGATATTTATTATGGTAGTGTAGTAATACATTTTGCACTTCTATAAAGAAGTATCTGAGGCTGTGTAATTTATAAAGAAAAGAGGTTTTTGTTGGCAGACTGTAGAAAAGGCATGGCACCAGCATCTATTTCTGGTGAAGTCTCAATAATTTTAAAATTATGGTGGAGGATGAAGGAGGAACAGGTGTGTCACATGGTGAGAGAGGGAGTAAGAGAGTTGCTATGTTCTTTTAAACAACCAACTCTCATGTGAACTAATAAAGTGAGAACCCACTCATTATCTTGGGGACAGGACCAAGACATTCATGAGGGATCCATCCTCTGACCCAAAAACCCCCCACTCAGCCCTGTCTCCAACATTGGGGATCATATTTCAACATAAGATTTGGAGGGGACAAACATCAAAAGTATATCAATAGCATTGAAAGTACCTCAATGGCAAAGGCCAGGAGGGAGCCACCATACTTTCCTCTATCTGGAAGCACAGTAAAACAAAAGGAATACCATGTTACTAGAGGGAGTCTAGATATTAGTGCCACCATCAAGACTTAAAAGATGCAAGGTTTGTGATTCCCACCACATTTCCATTCAACTCGCCTATTTGGCCTGTGCAGAAAACAGATGAATCTTGAAGAGTGACAGTGGATTACTATAAGCTTGATAAAGCAGTAGGTCCAACTGAAACTTCTACCAGACATAGTTTCATTGCTTGGGCAAATTAACACACCCCCTGTTACTTTTTATGCACCTATTGATCTGCCAAATGCTTTTTTGTACATCTCTGTCAATAAGGACCAACAGAAGCAATTTGTTTTCAGCTGGCAAGACTAGCAACACACCTCCACTGTCAGGGGAAATTCACAGCTGATATTTCACGTAGGTTCTTTGCTATTTTCCCTAAGTGTTGGCCGGTCTGAGAAATAAACTGAAAGAGTACAAAAGAGAGAAATTTTAAAGCTGGGTGTCCAGGAGAGACATCACATGTCGGCAGGTTCCTTGATGCCCCACAAGCCACAAAACCAGCAAGTTGTTATTTGTGATTTTCAAAAGGGGAGGGAGTGTAAGAATAGGGTGTGGGTCACAGAGATCACATGCTTCACAAGGTAATAAAATATCACAAGGTAAATGGAGGCAGGGCAAGATCAGAGGACCGGGGCAAAATTAAAATTGCTAATGAAGTTTCAGGCACGCATTGTCATTGATAACATCTTAGGAGACAGGGTTTGAGAGCAGACAACTGGTCTAACCAAAATTTATTAGGCAGGAATTTCCTCATCCTAATAAGCCTGGGAGTGCTTCAGGAGACCAGGGCTTATTTCATCCCTTATCTACAACCTTAAAAGACAGACATCCCCAAAGCGGCCATTTCAGAGGCCTCCCGTTAGGGATGCATTCTCTTTCTCAGGGATGTTCCTTGCTGAGAAAAAGAATTCAGCGATATTTCTCCTGTTTGCTTTTGAAAGAAGAGAAATACAGCTCTGTTCCGCCTGACCCACAGGCAGCCAGACTTTAAGGTTATCTCGCTTGTTCCCTGAACATTGCTGTTATCCTGTTCTTTTTTCAAGGTGCCCAGATTTCATATTGTTTAAACAATTTGTGCAGTTAATGCAATCATCACAGGGTCCTGAGGCAACATTCATCCTCAGTTTATGAAGATGATGGAATTAAGAGATTAAAGGAAAGACAGGCATAGGAAATCACAAGAGTATTGATTGGGGAAGTGATAAGTGTCCATGAAATCTTCACAATTTATGTTCAGAGATTGCAGTAAAGACAGGCATAAGAAATTATAAAAGTATTAATTTGGGGAATTAATAAATGTCCATGAAATCTTCACAGTTTATGTTCTTCTGCCATGGCTTCAGCTGGTCCCTCCGTTTGGGGTCCCTGACTTCCCACAACAGGGTATATTAACTCTTCAATCTTATGTCATAATTTGGCTCATAGGCATCTTGATTGCCTTTTCCTTCTGCAAAATATCATACTAATCCATTATATTAATAGCATGCTGACTGGACATAGCAAACTAGATATATGAATAGCAACTACTCTCTATAATTATTGGTAAATCATTTGCAGGTCAATAGGTAGGTGAGAAATAAGTCCAACTAAAATTCAGGGACCATACATCTCAATAAAACTTCTAGGGGTCCAGGGGTGAGAGTATGTCAAGGTATTCTTTCTAAGGTGAAAAATAAGCTGCTTCATCTGGTCTCTTCTACAACTTAAAAGAGGGACAGTGTCTAGAAGGCCTATTTGGATTTAGGAGGCAACATATTCCTCCTTTCAGTGCATTTCTCTGTTCCATTTACTGAATGACCCCAAAAAGCTGCCAGTATTGAGTGAGACCCAAAACAAGAGAAGGCTCTCCAACCTGTCTTGCCTCCTGTGTAAGCTGCTCTTCCAATTAAGCCATAAAATACAGCATATTATGTTGTGCTTAAAGTGTAGTGGCAGCTAGGGATACTGATTACAGCCCTTGGCAGGCCCCTGTAGGTGAATCACAGAACAAGTCCTTAGAATTTTGGAGCAAGGCCCTGCCGTCCTCCATGCAGGCTCTTGGACTGCTGTTGAATCTTAGAAGAGACTGAATGTTTAACCATGAGCTTCCAGGTTACCATGTGACCTGACATTTCTATCATTAACTGGGTATTACCTGACCCACCAAATCATAAAGTTTGGTATGCATCGCAATACTTCATTATCAAATTCTGAGCAGACCCTTAAGCACAAGTAGGTTACATGAAAAAGAAGCCCAAATGACCATTGTCCCCACTCCTGTACACTACATTTTTTTTCTCCCATTCTGTATCTATGGGTTCATGGGAAGTTCCCTACAGTGAGCTGACAGAGGGAGAGAAGACCTGAACCTAGATTACAGATAATTCTTCAAGATATGCAGGCACCACTTAAAAGTTGACAACTGATCCCCTATAGCCTTTCTCTGGGACATCTCTGAAGAACTGTGGTAAAGGAAAAGTCTTTTGGTGAAAATCACAGTGGGAAGATTTATAAGCAATGTACATGGGTGTGAATTTGCTTGGAAGGAGAAATGGTCAGATGTGCAATTATATACCAATTTATGGTTTGTAGCAAATGGTTTGGCTGAATTATCAAGGACTTGGAAGGAACATGGTTGGAAATTGGTGGCAAAGAAATTTGGGGAAGAGGCATATACATGAACACTCCTGAATGGGCAAAAAAATGTAAAGCTATCTATCATATGTGAATGCATAACAAAGGGTAACCTCAGCAGAGGAGGGTTTTAATACTAAAATGGATGGGATGATCCACTCTGTGGATGCAAGTCAAGCTCCTTCCCCATCCATTGCTGTATTGCTCATGAAAAGAGTGGTCATGATGTCAGAGGTTGAGATTATGCATGGGCTCAACAATATGAATGTGCATTCACTAAGACTGACCTGGAGATGACCACTGCTGAGTGTCCAATCTGCCAGCAGCAGTGAACAAGTGGCACCATTCCTGGGGGTCATGATATGGCTATCCTGTGGTAGCTTTATTCTATTAGAGCCTTTCCATCATGAAAGGGGCAGTATTTAGTTTTTATTGTCATAGAAACTTACTTTGAATATAGGTTTGTCCTTACTGCATGCAATGCTTCTGCCAAAACTTCTAACAGTGAATTTACAGAATGTCTCTCTCATATCATGGTGTTCCACAGAGCATTGATTCTGATCAAGGAACTCACTTCACAGCAAATGAAGTGTGGTAAAAGGTCCATGCTTAAGGAATTAATGGTTTTACTGTGTTCCTCATTATCCTAAAGTGGCTGGCTTCATAAAACTATGGGATGGATTTTTGAAGACTCAGTTACAGCCACAGGTGCATGGCAATACTTTGCAAGGTTGGGGAAAGGCTCTAAATAAGTCTGTGTATGCTCTGAATAGGTGTCTAATATATAATATTGTTTCTCCTATAGTTAGGATTCACAGATCCAGGAATCAAGAGATGGGGATGGGGTGTCACTACTCACTATTACTTCTAATTACCCACTAACAAAAGTTTTGCTTTCTCTTCCAATCATCTTACACTCTGCTGGCCTAGAAGTCTTAGTTCCAGAGTGAGGAATCTCTTCACCAGGATACTCAATGATTCTATTGAACTGGAAATTAAGATGGGACCCACTCACTTTGGACTTTTCAAATCTTTGATTCAATAGGAAAAAAAAACTTTATTGTGCTGGGTGGAATGATTGATCATGACTGACAGGAGGAAATTGGACTACTACTTTACAGTACAGGTAAGAAAAATACAGGAGATCCCTGTGTGTGTCTCTTAGTATTATCATGCACTGTAATTAAGGTAAATGGTAAACTACAATAACTCAATCAAAGGCAGGGCTGCTGAGGGGTCATATCCTTTAAGAATGAAGGTTGGGTCACCCTACCAGATAAACAACCATAACTAGCTGAGGTTCTTGCTAAAGGCAAAAGAAATACAGGACAGCTAGTAGAGAAGGTAATTATAAATACCAGCTATGGTCAAATGACTAGTTACAGAAATGAAGGTAATTGGCAGAAACATTTTTGCCTTTTCTTTTTACTTTGTCATATATAATATATTATATTATATTAGTAAAATATAATATATAAAAATATAATGCTGACTGGACTTAGCAAACAAGAAGTGTGAATAGCAAGAAACAACAGGTGCTGGAAAGGATGTGGAGAAACAGGAACACTTTTACACTGTTGGTGGGACTGTAAACTAGTTCAACCATTGTGGAAGTCAGTGTGGCGATTCCTCAGGGATCTAGAACTAGAAATACCATTTGACTCAGTCATCCCATTACTGGGTATATACCCAAAGGATTATAAATCATGCTGCTATAAAGACACATGCACACGTATGTTTATTGCGGCATTATTCACAATAGCAAAGACTTGGAACCAACCCAAATGTCCAACAATGATAGACTGGATTAAGAAAATGTGGCACATATACACCATGGAATACTATGCAGCCATAAAAAATGATGAGGTCATGTCCTTTGTAGGGACATGGATGAAATTGGAAATCATCATTCTCAGTAAACTATCGCAAGAACAAAAAACCAAACACCGCATATTCTCACTCATAGGTGGGAATTGAACAATGAGATCACATGGACACAGGAAGGGGAATATCACACTCTGGGGACTGTTGTGGGGTGGGGGGAGGGGGGAGGGATAGCATCGGGAGATATACCTAATGTTAGATGACGAGTTAGTGGGTGCAGCGCACCAGCATGGCACATGTATACATATGTAACTAACCTGCACAATGTGCACATGCACCCTAAAACTTAAAGTATAATTAAAAAAAAACAAAGAAAGAGAAAAAAAAGAAAGCAACTACTCTATAATCATTGGTAAATCACTTGTGTATCAATGGGTAGGTGAGAAATAAGTCCAACTAAAATTCAGGGACCATACATCTCAATAAAACTTCTGGGGGTACAGTGATGTGGAGTATGTCAAGGTATTCTTTCTAAGATGAAAAATAAGTTGTTTATCTGGTATATTCTACAACTTAAAAGAGGTGCAATGCCTAGGAAGCCTATCTGGATTTAGGAGACAACGTACTCCTCATTTTGGTGTGTTGCTATGCGCTAATGCATTGCTATGCATTGCTATGCACTATGGCATGCATAGCAATACTCCATTATCAAATTCAGAGCAGACTCTTAAGCACAAGTAGGTTACATGAAAAAGAAGCCCAAATGCCTATTGTCCCCACTCCTGTAGACTACATTTTTCCATGTATATATATATACACACACACATATATATACATACAAATGTGTGTATATATACATTCATGTGTGTGTGTGTGTGTGTGTGTGTATATATATATATGTATATATATATATATATATATGTATATATATATACATATATATATATATACACACACACACACATACCAGTTAGTCAGTTCAGGGTGCAATAACAAAATAACAAAGTCTGGGTGGCTTAAACAATAGAAATTTGTATTCTCACAGTTGTGGAGGCTGGAAGTCAGAAATCAAGGTGTCAGAATGGTCTGGTCTCCTCTTCCTGGCTTAAACAATGCAACCTTCTCATTGTGTGCTCATGTGGCATGGAGAGACAATGGGTGAGCTCTCCTGTGTCTCTTCTTATAAGAACAGTAGTCCTATCATATCAAAGAACCACCCTCATTGACCTCATTTAACAAGTATCTCCTTTTTGGCTGTATCTCTCAATGCATTCATGTTAGAGGTTAAAAACTGAGGATATAAATTTTGGGGGAAACACTATTAAACCAACAGCATTCCACCCCTGCTCCCCACAAAATGTATGCCCTTCTTGGGTGCACAACACATTTATTTCATCCCAACAGCCCCCCAAGTCTTAACTCATTTCAGCATCAGCTCTAAAGTCTCAAGTTCAAAGTCTCACATAAATGTCATCTAAATCAGATCTGAGTGAGAGTTAAGGTATAATTTACCCTCAGATAAAATTCTCTAGAAACTGTTAAACTAGATAAATTGTGTACTTCCAAATATAAGAGTGGAGAGTCATATGATGGGTATTCCCACCACAAAAGAGGGGGAAAAAAAGAAAGAAGAAAGGAATGAAAGATCCCAAACAAGTCCAAAACCTAGGAAGATGAATTCCATTAGATCTTAAGGTTAAAACATAATCCTCTTTGTCTCAATATCCCACCTTCCAGGCCCACTGTTATGGCAGCCTCACTCTCAATGTTCTATGGAGTGGTCCATCCATCCAGCCCTTCTGAGCACCTCCTCCACAGCTCTCTGCAAGAGTTCCTCCCCTGAAGCACTCTGTGGGGACTCATCCAGGTGGCACTCTGCAGGTGGCCCTGCCCCTAAGGTGCTGGGTGGGGTCATCTTGGCCTACTGAATCAAGATAGATGACCAACCACTTGAAACCGAGGAGGAAACAGCCTTGCTCCCTGGGCCCATGTTGGAAGTGACAGCCTTGATGCTCTCTGAATTGCCTCTGAAATAATTCATCCATCTCCTTGAGGAACAGTGCCCATTCAGAGCCAATAGCTCTATATTTCAGTCCTGTAGCATCCAAAATGTCCAGCAGTCTTTCTTCTTTCCATCCCACTTTTTCTATTTCCTTTAATTCAAACTGTAGCATCTTTGCTGGTGTATTCTCTTCTCTATTCCTGGCCTCCATTGAGATGGCAGATTAATTTCATGAGTTGCACTCATGATCTGTTTATCAATTAGTTGTTTCACCACCTTCTTGATGTTGTCTTGAGAACAAGCTTTCACAGTTTTGGCAATACATATAGGCTGATAATTTTCCGAATCTTTGAGATCAGATTATTTTCTGTTAACAATTCCTTCTTCACATCATCTTTCTCCTTTCACATTTACCCTAAGTAGTCAGGAGAAACCAAGCTGTTTCTTCAACACTTTGATTAAAAATCTCCTCAGATCAATATCTAATATCATCACTTGTAAATTCTACCTTGAACCAAATCTAAAGCAGAGTTCAACTAAGTTGGTTGCCATTTTGTAATAAGAATGATCATTCTTTCAATTTCCAAAAATTTCATTTCTATCTGAGATATTATCAAAATTGCCTATAATGTTTATATTTCTAATATGCACTTTAAAACTCTTCCAGTCTCTACATATTACCTAATTACAAAGTCACTTCCACAGGTTTAGGTATTTGTTCAAAAGCACTCAAGTTCTGCGATACTAAAATGTGTATGAGGTAGTACAGAGTGGAAGTTTGAGATGAGAGTGTCAGCATGATCCAGCCATAGTGAGGCTCTCTTACTGGCTTGTGGATAGCATCCTCATAGAGAGTACAGTCTCTTCTCAAAAAGACACAAATTCTATTGTATCAGGGCCTCGCTCTTATGACCTCATTGAACATTACCCCTATTTAATCTAGGTCCTATTTCCAAATATAGTCACATTATGTGTTAGTGCTTCAACATATAAATTTGAGGGGAGACAAAATTAAGTCAATAGCACATACAGAAAAATATCCTTGCTTTCTTCTCTCATCATGTAACATATGATGTATTGACTATATTTCAGTATTTGAACACTGTTAATTTTACATCATTGCATTGACATTATGGGATATCAAGGAAAAGAGCAGACATCACTCAAGGGCTTTACCTCCTTTTCTGGGGAAGGGATTAGTGCAGATTCTGTTGTATGCAGAATAGCTGCATCACGTTAGATGAAATTAGGACCTTGTTATTGTCTTAATTTGAAGATTAAGTATGGTGTAAGGAGATACATATGGGTGCCAAGGTGACAAGGGGTAAACTTGTGATGGTTAATTTTATGTGTCAACTTGACTGGGCCATGGAGTACCCAGATATTTGGTCAAACATTATTCTGGGTGTTTCTGTGAGGGTGTTTTAGGATTAAACATTTAAAACAATAAATTACATAAAGCAGATTGGCCTTTCTAATGTAGGTAGGCCTCATCCAATCAAAAGAAGGTCTAGATGAAACAAAAATGTTGACCTTTCATCAAATTAGAAGGAATTTCTCATGCTCAATTGCCTTCTAGCTGTGACATTATTTTTTTTTTCCAGACTTCTACTGGAGCTATGCCATTAGCTTTTCAAGGTCTCCAGCTTACCAACTGCAGACCCTAAAACTGATCAGTCCCCATAATCATGTGAATTAACTGCTTATAATAAAACTGTACTTCTTTCTCAAATATATGTGTATATGCATATATATGTGTATATATATATGTGTGTGTGTATATATATACATATATATATATGTATATATATATATATACATATATATATATATATATGTATATATATATATATATATATAATCTTTCATGCTCTGCTCCAGAAATTAATCATGATTAGGGCACTGATGTATGTATAATCATCAAAGACATTGAAACTACAAATGAAGGAACTCTTTGGATTGCCACTGTGCCTCACCATCTAAACACATTGATTGGCTGCCCTCAGGACTCAGAAACTGGGTTTATATCTGTCCCAACTATGAACTTTTGTTTTTCTTTTTATTTCCATCGAAACATCCCTCATTAAATTTTTGATTACTTGCATTATCCAGCAAAGACCCTCTACTTTTAGGACTGAGAGACTGGTTCAACAGAATATGAAGGAATGTAATTAGATTTGCCCTTTTCTGCTTATTCATCTTGTTCTCATGCATATTCTTCTTTCTCTTTGCAGATTTTTTACCTCTCAACTTCTAATCATATCTTCTCCTCATAATAATTATCCTATGTTCTTATTTTTGAAGCTTCTTGGGAACTTTCAAAGGGCAGGGAATGAAGAGAATAAGAACCCACTAAAGTAGTATTAATATTACTGTAAACTGAAAACATAAATAATCAACAGCTACAGAAAGAAACAATATCTAAACCTAAGCAGAGCTGTTACAACCCATTAGGATGTTTTTACTTGCTTCACAGAAAAAAACAATACACTGAGAGAGCAGTTGTTGCAACAGAGAAAGATTTTAATCATTGCAGGATGGCTGAGCAAGGAGAGTAGGAGATACTTCTCAAATCCACCTCCCTAAGAATTTGCAGGCTGGGGTTTTTCAAGGATAGTTTAGTAGGCAGGAGGCTGAGGAATGGGGAATGCTTATTGATTGGGTCAGGGATTAAATTATAGGGGTGTTGAAATTGTCTTTACGTGCTGAATCAGTTCATGATGGGGGTCACAGGACCAGTTGAGTCAGTTTTTGGTATGAGTCACTGGTTCAGGTGTGCCCGTTGGTCCACTAGAATGCAAGATCTGAAAAATATCCCAAACACAAGTCTTAGGTTTCACAATCATGATGTTATCTACAGGGGCAATAGAGGAAGTTACAAATCTTGTGACCACTGGCTATGTAACTCCTGAGTAGTAAGCAATTAGAAAAAGACAAGTTAGAAAACAATGACTAGTTGTTATTTAATTATTCCTATTAGCAGATTTTAGGCCCCAACCGTAATTCTTATCTTGCGGTTTTTCATTAATCTTACAAAGGCAGTTTCAGTCCCCAAATAAGGAGGGCCTTAATTTTGGTAGGGGACTATTATCATCCTTGCTTTAAAGTTAACTTATAAACTGAATTCCTTCCATAGTTAGCTTGGCCTATGCCCAGAAATGAGCAAGACTAGTTATCTTGTGAGGTTAGAAGCAACATGGGGTCAGTTATGTGAGATTTATCTCACTGCTATAATTTTTGCAAAGGCAGTTTCAGAGCCCCCCAAAAATAAATTTTCCATTGACAGCTCCTGGCCCCTGCCCCCAAGGGAGTTTCCTATTTAGGAGAGGACTGCTAGAAAGTACAACTTCAGCTGTCATTAACCTAAAAAATCAAATAGAATCTTTCTTTCTTTTTTTTTAATTGAAACTCTAAACCTGCTCTACCTCCTCCACATGCATCACCCACACATCTTTACTTCTGACTATTTAGTGTATTACTCATTACTGAATACTCCCATGTGCACATGTAAATAAAACTTGCCTTTCCTCCTGTTAATCTTTTCTATCATCAGTTAATTTACAGGCTCTAGATCAGTTGGCCCTAAGTTGGTAGAGGAATAGTCTTCTTCCAAAAACACATAGTTTAGGGTCAAGGTGGAGCAGTTACAGTAAACTGGGGGAGATTTTCATAGTTCAGAGTCTATGCAAGTCACACTAAACTTATGTCAGACACACAATTTTTTCAACCTTGTTAAGTAAAATCTTGTATTTTTAACTGCTCTTCAAAATCACTACCTTTTATGTAAAAACTTTTTGTTGGGATATTTAATCTGGTGCCTTTGTATCTTTTGGTCTCACTCAGTTTATCCTTTGGCCTTGTCTCTGTACTCTCTCACAACTGAAAGCAATTCATTCAGAAGGGTGAGTTTAAGCTCCAAGCTAGCATAAGGTGGGCTTTATTCATATTTGAGTTGACAGTCTTAAGGAAATCCTCAGGCTTCTTCATTCCTGGTCTTCTCACAGCACTTAGTATTTGCATCATATATTTTTATCCTTGATTCTGTTCTTTTATTTATTTTTCTTTATTTGTTTAAGTAGTCCAATTTTATTTTAACTTTGGTGTTCCTTCAAAACATCAATCTCCATGAAATCATCATGCTGCTTCTTCCCCTCTGCCCCCTCTCCCTCTCTGCCTCCTCTCCCCTTTCTCAATCCTCCCCTGCTTCTCAAAATAGCTAAAATGTATTCCTGTTAACCATGCAGGCAAACTCATAATACTTCCTAAAGGGAGGTGTTATTATTCTGATATTTATTATATATTAAGAGGCTTAGTCTCAAAATGTAAGTAAATTGCATATAGTTATAGATAGTTAATCATGGAGTAAACTATGTGAACCCAAGCTGAC
Organism: Homo sapiens; assembly: GCF_000001405.40. Taxonomy (NCBI): domain Eukaryota; kingdom Metazoa; phylum Chordata; class Mammalia; order Primates; family Hominidae; genus Homo; species Homo sapiens. The sequence goes on from NC_000008.11 coordinate 49,797,273, forward strand.
GTAATGCAAATTTTATTCTCTTTGTAGCAAGCCACTATTTTGACTCATATTTACTGAGGGATTAAAAATGGACAAAAATCAAATTTCAAACAAATTAGGACTTTTAATAGTAAAGAGCTGACTCTTGTTAAAATTTTTTTCAATTACATTTGTTAAAACATGGTAAAGCAAACTTTATTTAGAAATATCAGGTCTTTCAGTGGGGAGAGAAATCAGGATCAACTGTGAATACAGCATGGGCAAGTTGGAATTTATAGCCAAGGTGCAGTGTGGATGTCAGTAGATGGAAACTTACTAAAAGAATACATCAGGGGGAGGGGGAATTCTGGATAAACTTAGCTAAATGGATTCTTGCTGAAGACAGGCCAGGGTGGATAGACATCACCTGGGAAAGGGTGGAGAATGAGTAAAATCGCCTTTGCAAATTTATAACTGAGGAAATTATGTCAGTGAAAGAGATGAGACCTAACCGACCCCTTCTTCCTTCTAACCTCTAAATTGTCTTTGTTCATTCCCAGGTGCAGGCTGAAGTAGCCTTGGGAAGAAAATTAGTTTATAGTTTAAATTCTGAAACAAAATGGATGATAGCCCTTTCCCGAAAAACCCCTTCTTTCCTGGGGACCAGCCTGCCTTGTAGGACTAACAAATTAGCTGCAAGATTAGATATCACTGTTTACGGGCCATGCAGCCTCGGCTGCAAGAGTCTGAACCTCCCCAAATTGCTCCTGGGAATAACATCACTATTGTAAAACCTAAGATCAGTGTTTGAGATATTTTGCAGATCTTGCATTCTGATGCAGCAGATGACAACACCCAGAACCAGCTCAACCAGTCCTGCGATCCCACCCAGGAAAAGAAGTTAGGAAGAACTCACTTGACTCCCTGTGATTTCATTTTCTACGTGACCAATCAGCACACCCTACTTTCTGGGCCCATACTCGCCAAATTATCCTTAAAATCTCTGATCCTTGAATGCTCGGAGAGACTGATTTGAGTAATAATAAACCTGCAGTCTGCCACACAGCCAGCGCTGCATGAATTACTCTCTCTCCATTGCAATTCCCCTGTCTTAATAAATTGGCTCTGTCTAGGCAGCGGGCAAGGTGAACTCATTGGGTGGTTACATGAAGAACCCGATAATATATTTAGGGTGATCAGATATCCAGGGTAAGGAGTTCTTGCTAAACTGAATTAGCAGGCTTCTTTGCTAGAACTGGATTTTATAAGAAAGTGCACAGATTGGCCTAGAAGAAGATTCAAAAGCATGACTAAAATTTGGCCAAGCAAAGAATCTTTGTCTGTATACCCTTATATTTTAAGTCACACAAAAATCTCAGTTATAAACATTCTCATTTTAGAAAATAAGAAGGATATGTTAAATTTAAAGTTTGTTTCTATGATCATGTAGGGGGAAAATTGACGCTTAATTTTTCAGAGCACACCCTAACAGTTTATCTGATTTTGATTCTGATTCTGCAGGGGTTCTATGCCTTTCATTGCCTTGGAGCTATTTTCCAACTCTGGTAATTGTAGAGAATTGAAGAAAATGCAAAAGAGGCTTATCTATTGACATGCAAATACATTCAGTCTGGTTGAATTTTCTTGAATGTCCTCCCCCACCCCCAGAAAAGCAAGTTTTGTATTCATTTGCAAATTTATTTTAGTATTTCTGATCTATAAATATGTCTCTTCTTAGGTTTCTCCTTTTAGCTAAATTTTACATATTATAGATTCCTTCATTAATGAGCTGTATAAAATCTCAAACAGCTATTTATTTTACATCTATTCAAGAATTATTATCTTACCCCTTTTAAAAGTTACTTTGTAACAATAAGTTTATAGAGTGGTAATCATACTGTAAATGCTTGTACAATGATAAAAGTAGAAGCAGTCTGAAAAGATAATTAATTTACTATTTAATTGATTTATTTAGATTAATAAACTGAGACATACTAAAATTGAGTTGCCCGTATTTCCATAGCCAGTTAATACCATAGCTGGGGCTAAATGAAGATCTCCGGACACCAAGTCCAGTGTTTTTCCTTCAATTGTAACAAACTGTTTTATTATGAAATAATTCCTTTAGTAGATCTGTTTTGAGGAAAAAATTAAAAAGTAAAGATAAACTGTCAATTCCTGAACTAAATAAGTACATTAATATAAAGTAGAAAATATTCTATTTTTAATTAGTTGTTTCTGTTTCTTTCAATTAATTTTCAGGAATATTTCCTGGAAAGAAGCAAGAGTTACAAAGTGATTTGCATCATTGATTATAGTTTTATAAAGAATATGATTACATATAAGAAGATATACTTTATTAATTCTATCAAAAAACTTGGTATTTTAAAAGAGGAGAAAGCCTAACAAAAAGACAGGATAGTACTTTAGTATTACTTGAAGCATCTGTTTATAATTTGCATAAATCATAGTGATGAATAATTTGGGCTAGGCAGGAAACTTAATCTGAGTTCATCCTGTTTCCTCTAGGTACTGTGTAATCTAAATTAGTTAGTTATGTAGAGAAAAAAGGCTTTCAGTGGAAAACTATCCATTATGTACAGCACGCCCTTGAGGGGTATCAGATTCTAGCCCTATTCATAATCTTTGAGTGATGTAACAAAGCTTTGCAAATTGCAGGAGTAACTGATAGACATGCAAATTCTGTCCACTTTGAGAAGTATTTTAATTGACTTCCTTCATTGGAGGAAACCAGTTTTGTCCCATTTGCAATTTGTTTCATCATTTTTTTATTCCTATACATTTTTTTACTTTTCCTTTGGACAGGCTATAACATCTACTCAATTCTCTCATATCATATGAAGAAATAAGTTATTTAACATGTGATCATTTTCGTATCTCTGAGTTATGATTTTACCTTTTCCTAAAAATTACTTTTGACCCTTACTAACTCTAAGTCTCTATAAGTTTTGTAAACTATTAAATTACAGTTACTAACTTTAAGTCTCTATAAGTTTTGTAAACTATTAAATTAGAAAAAGAATGTCTCTGACATATAATGTATGTTCTGGGCATATGTTTATATAATGTTAAATGTTTCCCTCTCTTACAACAAACTGGATATGCCTAATTTTTACCTGCTAATATTAATCATGAAATGGCATTAATAAATGAGCACTAGATGACATGATTTTTAATTTAATTTAACCACATTCTCTCATAGCTCATACATTTATCAAATTTGATTTTATATGTCATCCCTTTCTACTAGCTTTGAGCTATGGGTTGTAAATTATTGGAGGATGCTCTCTCATTGATTATTGGAGTAGGTGATAAAATATAATGCCAGTAAAATCCACATTCTTTTAAGAAACACAAATTCTGAGAAAGAAGCTTTATATAGTTATGTCTCAAGCTGCAGGCTATGGACCTCTGGGCATCATAGGCTAATAGTTCCAGGCATTAAACCAATTCCAAGGCATTGATCAGCTCTAGGAAGTAAAAGTTGTTTTTAAATCACCTTAGTGATGTCAGGGCTCAGAACACCCTACCCCAAGGCGTGGTGCCTTGGTATACAGAGTTCTCTGAATTGAAAGAAATTGGAAGGGCCTGAGAAGCAAGTGTCTTCCTAAACTTCTCCCGCCCTCCTTTCTCCCACTCCTCTTTCTGTTCCAAGAAGGCTGTAGAAACTAGAATTATTCTCCTCCACAGCAAGCCATAAGACCAAAAATAGCCTCTGGTCTCCTCCTAAAACTGTCCCCACAGGGTTGACAAGAATTGCATTCCAGGTCCAGACAGAAATATGGTGGTAAGTATGTGATATAGTTTGGATATTTTCCCTCATCCAAATTTCATATTGAAATGCAATCTCCAATACTGGAGGTAGGGCCTGGTGGGAGAGGTTTGGGTCATGGGGGCAGATCCCTTATGGCTTGGTTCTGTTCTTGCAGTAGGAAGTTCTCATGAGATCTGGTTAAGCATGTGGCACCTCCCTACCCACTCTCTTTTGCTCTTGCTTCTGCCATGTGAGACTCTTGCTCCCACTTCACCTTCTGTCACTGTTGCAAGCTTCCTGAGGCCTCCTCAGAAGCAGAGGTGGTGCCATGCTTCCTGTACAGCCAATTAAACAAATTAAATCTCTCTTCTTATAAAATACCTTATCTCAAGGTATTTCTTTATAGCAATGCAAGAGAGGCCTAATACAGGATGCACTAATCAGGCCGCAGGTGGGCCACTTCCTTGCTGCTAAAAGTCACACAGCCTTAGAGGATCACCGTGCCAGTCTCCATTGTTCCTATAGACAGGATCTTTGACATTAGAATCACAGGCTTTTGAAGAAGGATCACTGATGTTTTTTATTGCTGGTTTCAAATTCCAGCAACCAGTTTGAAGACCCCCACAGGATCAGCAGGAGAATACAGTTTCTTCATCTCTTTGTACCATGACTTTAGTGTGTACTCTTCAGCCAATTAATGATCTTCACATTTTAACCCATTCCAAAACTCTTAAAAACCCTAGCTCCAAATTCTTCAGAGAGATGGATTTGAAGTTTCCTTCCATCTCCTCATACAGTGACCTTATGGTTAAACCTCTCTCTGCTGTAAGCCGGTGTGCTTGCTGTCAGGCCTCTGAGCGCAAGCCAAGCCATCGCATCCCCTGTGACTTGCACGTATGCATCCAGATGGCCTGAAGTAACTGAAGATCCACAAAACAAGTAAAAATAACCTTAACTGATGACATTCCACCATTTTGATTTGTTTCTGCCCCACCCTCACTGAACAATGTACTTTGTAATCTCTGCCACCTTTAAGAAGTTTCTTTATAAATTCCCCCACCCTTAAGAAAGTTCTTTGTAATTCTCCCCACCCTTGAGAATATACTTTGTGAGATCCACCCCTGCCTGTAAAACATTGCTCTTAACTTCACCACCTATCCCAAAACCTATAAGAACTAATGATAATCCACCACACTTTGCTGACTCTCTTTTTGGACTCAGCCCGCCTGCACCCAGGTGAAATAAACAGCCATGTTGCTCACACAAAGCCTGTTTGGTGGTCTTTTCACATGGACGCACATGAAACTTGCTGTGTTCATTGGGAAATGAACATATCATGGTTATACTCCCTTTCCCCACCAAGGTTCTCATGTGTCAGGTATCCTGCCCCCCACACCTGGGGGAGGCCTGTCATATGAGGACACAGAAAAGCATCTGAGCAGGCCTGGCTAGATCCCCCTTCCCCCAATTTATTACCATTAGATCATACTTTTTTGTCCAATTATGCTTCTCCACAACTATCCCCTTCTTTAATCAGAGTTAACACAATATAGTTTTCCCTGGTTCCATGGGTCTTCATCTCTGAAGGCTGCTATGTCACATAAAACTTTGATAAAACATCTGTTATGCTTTACTCTTGTCAATCTGTCTTTTGGTTATAGATATGGCAGCCAGGACCCTTGTGACTGTTGAAAAGATATTATATTTTCTCCCCTACAGCAAGTTTTTCTTTATCAACACTGGCTTAATCAATTGCAGAAAGCAACAATAAAAATTCACAGTGGCAACAACAATAAAATCACTTGCAATATCCCTTCTTGACTATGGAAAAATAGAATGTTTTATACATTCTTTTCTACTCTTGGTTCACATTCTTTTCAAAATGTGAATCACACTAACCCCATTGTGTTGCAGGGGCCAGTGAGTGAGTTCCACTTGGCCCTCTGAAATTTCCTTGAAAAATCTATTATCAAAAGGCAGACTAGTGAGAAAGTACATGAATTTATTTAGTGTGTACACATGGAAATATTCAGAATGAAGACCCAAAGACACAAGGGAAATTGTCTACTTTTGTGCCTATGTTCAACAAAGTATGAACAGCTGTGTAGAAATGTGATTAGATGAAAAGGATATGATCTAATGCTGATACAATGTGTGGGAAAACACAGAAAGGATAACCTATCAAGATTCTTCTTGCCCATTTTGAGGAGTCCTCATTCCTTCTGGGTATGGGGCAGGACCCTCTCTGGAACAGGGGTCTTATGAACTACAGTCAAAACAAATTAGGTCGGAAAATTGTTTATGGCAAGTTTTTACACAAATAAGACAGAAGAAAAGTTGGAGCAATCCATTTTAGGTTCCATGTCTGGCTTTGGGTAAAGGGCTTCTGGTTTCTATGATTTACCTTGGGGAAGAGGGATTCTAGTTTCTATAACACCTCAAAGGAAAATGGGACTGAGAGACAGGAGGGCAGGAGAAGGTCAGAGAAAAATTTTTGCTTCTGAGGCTGCTGCTTAGGTCTTCAATATTGTTATCTAAGTCCCAATGGTGTCATGAATATTTTCCCTGAAGCTTAGGAAATATTTTGTTTTTAAGACTAGCTTCATTTTCGTCATCATTCTATTTTGCTTAGCAATTGAAAACAAAAAAGTCCTTAAATAACAGATGAGTTATAAGAAAAGATAATTATTTATTCAGAAATTTTGAGAACTTCTCCAGATATCATTCTGAGTCTCAAGTAACAAACAGAGAAAAAAATCCTGAATTTTTACCAGCATCAAATATAGACATAGACCAATAATTACAATGAGGTATGAAGGGGAGGCTGTGACAGCAGTCAGGGAGGTGCTACTAGAAGAAGGTTGGGGTAGGTAACCCAAAGAGGAAGCCATCTGGGGAGCTTCTGAGGTCTGTGAAATAAGGAGGTAGTGTAGAGGGTGGTGGTGGATTTGCATTTGGAAAATCTAATCAAGTGTGAGGGAATAGAGTTTGGGGGTGGAAGAGAGGCATGTTGTAGCTTAGCATTAGCATAAGTGTCCCTAATAACATGTACACAGGATGCAGAAAGGTTTGAAAAAGGAGTAAGCATTTTAGATCATCAAATAGTTACATGTTGCTAGAGAATAAAATTCAAGGCTGGCCTGTTAATCAAGCCACAGAAATCATCAAGGAAGCAGTTCCAGATGCCTTCATCACTGTGACAAGGAGCAGAGATGAGTGGCTGTGCCCTGAACAGCTCTTGTGAATAGAGAGTGCTTTGGTCACAGGAGGGCTACAGGCTGCTTGCCCACAAGTAGGTGAATGGTAACGGAAGGCAGAGAGAGTAGTGAGAACGTTTTGCAGTGGTGTGTGCGTGTGTGTGTGTGTGTGTAAGAAGGCCCCGCAGTTTCCTGAGACAGAAGATAGAAACAAAAGATATTTGAGGAGCCTGTGGAACATCCAAGTGGAAATGGCCAAAAAGGTCCTGGATCTAGAGTCTGAAGGTCACACCTGAGAGTACGGCACTGGGAGTCATGGCAATATTGCGATTTATGAAAACCCAAAGATCCATTAAGATTATTCAGAGAGGGCTGAGTCTATCATCCTGAAGGAGGAACACAGTTTCCCAAATCTGTTGCCTAAAAGTTAGAACTTTTCCCCTTGGGTGCAATGTTACTGAAGCAAAAACGTGAAAATAAACTTCAATGGTTTAATAGAATTTAACTTCCTATTTAGTAAAAACTTTGCTATTATTTTACCAAAAAATTCAAGATTAAATTCTTTATATTATAATAAAGGGTCAATAATCCAGTTTGTAAGTAGTACACTTGCCAATTACAGTGAGCATTAAATACTGGAAAATTTTGCTATTGTAGCTCCTTGAAAAGCTAGGGGCAGAGAGAAAATATTGCCCTTTTGGAGAGCTGTTAAACTTTTTCCAATGCTTTAAGTAGCTCCCTGAAAAGCTAGGGGCAGAGAGAAAATCTTGCCCTTTTGGAGAGCTGTTAAACTTTTTCCAATGCTTTAAGTAGCTCCCTATGGAGATAGTTATTGGAATACCATAAAATGTTCTGCGTGAACAACTGTAATTTTCTTTGTGATTAGAAAAAAAATGGTGTGTGTGAAAATATTTCTCCTGCTATGATACACGGAATTGTTTTATTTTTCTCCTGATGGTAACCTAAATAGTAATACCAGTAGGATGGAATGTTAATTCTAAATAGCTTTATTTTTTGTTTAGATGAGCATTACTAAATTATTCTTTCTTCTGAATTGAATCTGCATAAAAGAAAGCCATTTCACAGTAAGCACCTGTGTTTAATGATATGGTTGATTATAGTAAATTAGTTGTAAAACTGTTTTGGTTTTTTTCCCTCATAATTTTTCTGTAATTCCCTGATCTATTGAAGGCTTAGGTAATGGATTCTATCATGTTTTGGTAATTAAAATGGTACAGAACTTTGAAGAAAGATAACTGATTTTCACCAATTCAGCTTTGTATCAATGTTTTAGATAATAATTTGTGGTGGTGTTATATTTTATAGGCATATATTACATATTTACATGATGAAAACTTCTTCTCATTTTCAAAATGGGAATGATAATAAAGACATACCACTAAGGAGACACTAAATATGTAATATAGGCTTTTAAAATATAACACCACTTCAAATTATTATGTAAAACATTGATATAAAGCTGAAAGGCACAAAAATCCTGAAGAAGTCTTTTTTCCTTCAGTCTTTTATAGGATATAGTGATTTTTTGTTATGTTCTGCTAAAAGGAAAAGCCTATCTTGGTTGTAGTAGTTTACATTCCCACCAGCAGTGCAGAAGTGTTCCCTTTTCACCATATCCACTTCAACATCTATTATTTTTTTATTTTGTAATTATGGCTATTCTTGCAGGAGTGAGGTGGTATTGCATTGTGGTTTTGATTTGCATCTCCCTCACAGTTAATGCTGTTGAGCATTTTTCATATGCTTGTTAGCCATGTGTATATCTTCTTTTGAGAATTGTCCATTTATGTCCTTGCCCCACTTTTTTGACAGAATTATTATTTCTTTTTTCTTGCTCATTTGTTTGAGTTCCTTGTCAATTCTGGATATTAGTCCTTTGTCAATTGCATAGTTTGTGAATACTTTCTCTCACTCATGGGTTGTCTGTTTTCTCTGCTGATTATTTCATATGGAGAGCATAATGGAGATTCCTTAAGGAACTAAAAATAGAAATACCATTTGATCCAACAATCATATTACTGGGTATCTACCCAGAGGAAAAGAAGTCATTATATGAAAAAGACACTGGCACATGCATGTTTATAGCAGCACAACTTACAATTCCAAAAATATGGAACCAGCCTAAATGCCCACCAACCAATGAGTGGATAGAGAAAATGTGATTTATGGAATACTACTCAGCCATAGAAAGGAATGAAATAATGGCATTTACAGCAACCTGAATAGAGTTGGAGACCATTATTTTAAGTGAAGTAACTCAGGAATGGAAAACTAAATATCATATGTTCTCACAAGTGGGAGTTAAGCTATGAGGATGTAAAGTCATAAGAATGATACAGTGGACTCTGGGGGCTCAAAGGGAAGGGTGGGAGGGGGGTGAGGGATAAAAGACTACACATTGGGTACAGTGTACACTGCTCAGGTGATGGGTGCACCAAAATCTCAGAAAGCACAACAAAAAACATATCCATGTCACCAAACACCACCTATTACCCCAAAACTATTGAAATCAATTTTAGAAACCTGTTTGGCATAAACTAAGAAGCTCTTATAGGCTGTGTGCACAAGTCTCACCTACACACAGAAATTTCATATAAATCTGCTCTCCTGAAGACTGGGAGACTCTATCTATTGTGTCTTTTTATATAAAAACAGAAAAGCACAAGTATTACTCTCTCTCTTCAATAAAAATATATTGATTGATGAATTTTAAGCAAAATGGAACAATAGGAAGCTCCAGACTTCATTCCCTTATGAGATTCAGACTTAACAACAATATATGTTTCAAAAATTCTTCATGAGAATTCCAGAAAACAATTAAGCAGTTGAAATATCTCAGGCAAGTTTAAAGCCAAGAACAGCTGCATTGAAACACGTAAGAAAAGTCATTGCATTTCAGCTGTGATATCCCCTGCCCCAAGTTACCACAGCTAGGAGCAATCAGTAGAAAACACCCAACTCCAAACTTCTGCCTCAGGAAGGAAAGAGAAAATTGGAACAAAACATCCAGCATTTTGGCTTTTCAGGAGGCTGCCTAAGGACATGTGCTGGCCTCACTTCAGTTGGAGTGCTGATGGGGAACCAGCATACTTTGGAAACCTGAAACCACTGAAAACAAAGGAGAACTGAGTGGCTTTTTATAACACCATAGAACCTGCAGTACCAAAGACAGATATTAGAGGGAGGAAGAAATTATAAAGTCCTGAAAAAAAACCTGGCAAACCTCTAACTGGGAAATTACACACATAAGCCCATAGGAGATACATCCCCCTTAAATGTCTGATAGGCCACCAGAATGTCTAGCCATGCTGATAGATGAAGGTTTTTCCTGAATAAAGTCTGTAAAGACTAGGAGGGGAGCTATTTTTTGAAATGACAAAAATCTGAGATAAAAATAAATTATAAAAGTAACAGGATAAAAAAAGGTCCAATCAAAGGAAAAAAATAAATCTAGGAAATAACCACAAAATACTATGTAAAGGTAAAATTGTGCTTTAAAAAATGAAGTCAAAATAAAAACCTTTCCAGAAAAAAAAATCAAGAGCATTCAACATTGCTGGTCCTTTCTTACAAGAAATGCTAAAGGAAGTCATTCAAGTTGAAATGAAAAGACCCTAGACGGTAACAGAGAAGCTTATGTAAATATAAAGCTGTCTGATAAAGGTAAGTATATAGACAAATACAGAATCCTGTAATATGTAAATCACTTTTAATTTTCATATACAATGGAAAAGATAAATGCATAAAAATAACTATAAGGCTACATAAATAGAAAATGTAAAAAAAGATGTAATTTTAAGATCTATAACATAAAGCAAGGCAGAAAAAAAAAGAACAAACTAACCAAAAATTATACAACAAATAATTTTTAAATGGCAATAATAAGTCCTTCCCTATAAGCAATTATTTTAAATATACTTATACTCCTCAATCAAAAACATACTGTGAGTGGATTAAAAAACAAGATCCAACTGTATGCTGTATGCAAGAGACTTGTTTATGATTTAAACACACAAATAGGCTGAAAGAGAAAGGATAGGAAAAAAAATATTAAATGTGTAATTGATAACCCAAGAAAGCAGGACTGGTCATTCTTATATCAGACCAAATAGACTTTAAGGCAAAAACTGTCACAAGAGATAAAGAGCAATATTACACAATGGTAAAAGGGTCAATCCACTAGGAAGTTATAATGATTATAAATATATATGTAGCTAACATTGGAGCACCCACATATATGAAGCAAACATTGAAAGAATTGAAGGAAAAACCACATATAATATAATAATTGTAGGAGATCTTCATAATCACTTTTAAATAATAAAACAACTGGAGAGAAGATCCACAAGGAAACAAAGACTTCGGCAACACTATAATCAATTGGACCTAAGAGATATATTCAGAACACTTCTTCCAACAACAGCAGCGCACATTCTTCTCAAGAGCACATAAAAAATTCTTGAGACTGTATCACATGTTAGGCCACAAAACAAGTCTTTAAAAAATTAGGAAGATTAAAATTATATCAAATATCTTTTCCAAATACAGTGAAATAAAACTACCAGTAATTGGCAAAAGAACTAAAAATTCACAAATATGTGGAGATTAAACAACAGCATATGGGTCAGAGAGGAAATCACAAATTTGAGACAAATGAAAATTCAAACACAATATACCATACCTACAGCAAAATACATGCTAAGAGGAAAATTTAGAATGGTAAACATCTACACTAAAAAAATTTAAAAAGTCTCAAATCAACTATCTAACTTTACACCTCAAGAAGCTAGAGAAAAGAAACAAACTAAATTCAGTGTTAAAAGAAGGAAGGGAATGGAAATGAACATAAATGTTCATAAATGAACATAATGAAATAGAATATATTTCATAAATATATATATTTATGACATAATGAAATAGACATAAATGAAATAGAATATATAAAGAATAAAAAATATTAAAAGAAACTGAGGGTTTTTGTAAAGTTTAAAATAAAATTTGCAAACCTTTAGCTAGAAAGAGGGAGAGATTTGGAAGACATTAAAATTGATGCCACAGAAACAAAAAGGATAATAAACGATCAATATGAACAATTATATGACAATTATTTGGGATAATCTAAAATAAATGGATAAACTTTTAGAAACATACAACCTACAAGGATTGAATCTTAAAGGAGATTAAATCAATAATCAACAACTTCCCCAAAATGAAAAACCCAGAACCAACTGGAGAATGCTACCAAACATTTAAAGAATCACAGATACCAATGTTTTTTAAACTCTTCTAAAAAATAGAATAGGAAGAAACACTTCCTAACTCATTTTGTGAGGACAACATTACCCTGAAATCAAAACCACACAAAAGTACTACAAGTAAAGTACAGGCCAACGTTTCTCATTAATTTTGATTTAAAATTTATCAACAAAATGCTAGCAAACTGATACTGGTTTGGCGCTGTGTCTCCACCCAAATTTTATCTCAACTTGTAATCCCCATGTGTCAAGCCAGGGACCTGTAATCCTCACATGTTGAGGGAGGGAGGTGATTGGATCATGGGGGTGGTTTCCCCCATGCTGTTCTTATGATAGTGAGTAAATTCTCATGAGACCTGATGGTTTTATAAATGTTTGACGGTTCCTCCTTCACATGTCCTCTCTCTCCTGATGCCTTTTAAAGACGGTGCCTGCTTCCCCTTCCACCATGATTGTAAGTTTCTTGAGGCCTCCCCTGCCATGTGGAACTATAAGTCAATTAAACCTCCATTGTTTATAAGCTAGCCACCCTTGGGTACTATCTTTATAGCAGTGTGAAAACACACTAATGCACAAACTAAATTCAACAGCACATTAAAATGATAACACCTCATGACCAAGTGAAATTTACTTTTGGAATGCAAGGATAGTGAAACTTATTAAATCAACATCGTATACTACAAAACGTAATGGAGAACAACATCCACATGATTATGTCATTGATCTAGAAACAGCACTTGATAAACTTCAACATAGTTTCATCATAAAAACACTCAAAAAACTAAAAATAGAAAGAAATTACCTCAACATATTAAAGATCATATATGAAAAGTTTAAAGCTAGCATAATAGTCAAAAGTGAAAAACTAAAAGTTTTTTTTTTTTCTAAGGTCAGGAACAAGGCAAGTGTGCCACTCTCACCATTTCTATTTAGTGTGGCACTAGAAGTCCTAGCCAGAACAATTAATCAAGGAAAAGAAATAGAGGACATCCAAATTGGAAAGAAAGAAGCAAAAATATCATTGGTTGCAGATGACATGATGTTATTTTTAGGAAACACTAAAGATTCCACAAAAGAACATTTAGAACTAATAAATTCAGCTACATTGCAGGATACATAATCAACAGGCAAAAATCAGCTGCATTCTATACATTAACAATCAACAATCCTCAAAGGAAATTACGAAAACAGTCTCATGTACAATAGCATAAAAAAGAAAAAAACACTTAAGGATAAGCTTAAACAAAGAGACAAAAAATGTATAATGAAAACTACAAAACATTAATGAAAGAAATGTAATATGAAACAAGTAAATGCAAAGACATTCCATGCTCATGGATTGGAAGAATTAATATAATTAAAGTGTCCGTATGACCAAAAGTGAACTTCATAGTCAATGCAATCTTTGTCAAATCCTAGTGGCATTTTTGGCAAAAATACAAAAAAATTCTAATATTTATATGGAATATCAAAGAACACCATATAGCCAAAACAATCTTGAAGAGAAAAGAAAAGCTAGAGATCTCAAACACCCAGATTTTGAAGCATATTACAAAGCTGCAGAAATAAAACATGATACTGGCATTAAAACAGGCATATAGCCAATACAACGAAATATAAACAGCTCAGAAATACATGCTTAGATATATGGCCAAATGATCTCAGACAAAGATGCCAACACTACACAAGATAGTATCTTTCATAAATGGCTTTGGGAAAACTGGATATCTACATACAAAAGAAAGAAGTTAGACCTTTCCTTTTACCATATAAAAAATTAATTCAAAATGGATTAAATGCCTAAATATAAAGTCTAAAACTATAGAACACCTGATGAATAAATATGGAAGAAACATAGATGACATTGTGTACTACATTTTGGGTATTCTTTCTTTCTTGGATATGACACCAATGTCACAGGCAATAAAATAAAATGTAGAGAAGTGTAACTGTATCAAAGTGAACATGTCTGTGCAGCAAAGGAAACAATCAGCAAAGTGAAAAGGCAACCTACAAAGTAGGAGAATATATTTGCAAATCATATATCTAATAAGAGGCTAATATTCAGATAGTATAATGAGCTCCTGCATTATACAAATTTGATTTGTATAATCAAACAGCCAAAGTTGATTTGAAACTGGGCAAAGGACTTGAACAGCCATTTCTCCAAAGAAGGTGCACAAAGAACATATGGAAAGATGCTGAACATCACTAGTCATCAGGGAAATGCAAACTAAAACCCCAATGGGATACCTCCGTACACCCATTAGAATTGCTATTATCATATAAATAGAAACCAAATGCTGACAAAGATGTGGAGAAATTGCAACCCTGGTGCATTTTATGTAAATGCACCATATGTAAATGTAAAATGTAATGTAATGTAAATGTGAAACATAAACTTGTTCAGAAACCATAGAAAACAGTATATATAAGTCCTCAGAAAGCTAAAACTTGAACTACCAGCAAATAAAAACTGAACTCCTAGCAAATAAAAATTGAACTACTGGATACAGAAGGATCTGGCAACCCCACTTTTGGGTATATATCCAAAAGAATTGAGAACAGGATCTCAAGGAGTTATTTGCACACCCACATTCACTGTAACATTATTCACAATAGCCAATAGTTGAAAGTAACTAAAATGCTCATCAACACATGAATGGAAAAAGGAAATGCGGTATACACATACAATGGAATTTTGCCATTTGTTACGTCACAATTAAAACTAGAGGAAATTTTCTAAGTGAAATTAGCCAGACAAAAATACAAATACTGCATGATTCTACCTATATGACATACCTAATTTAGTTAAACTATTAGAAACTGTTCTGGGAAACGCCTTCTGGATTTAGACAATAGCTCTGAACTTCTCTCCTTTAACCTTATTTCTCAGCTATTTCCTGAAGCCCTGGGACAGCTCTCCTTCTCCACATGTGCCTGGACACCACTCAATGCTCCTGCTTCAGCTCTCATTCAGCTCTGGGGACTCCAGACTCGCCCTCAGTGTGACATCTTGTTCCACACCAGAGTATTCAGATCCCTCTTCTGGACGTGTGTCCTGATGGCTCATGGACACTTGTCCCAGTGTAGAGATAAGCTTCTTAGTTTCACATGGGCTGGGACTGCAATTAAAAATTTGCTAGAAAAAATAAAAGAGCAGGGCTGGGCACGGTGGCTCAAGCCTGTAATCCCAGCACTTTGGGAGGTCGAGGCGGATGGGTCCTCTGAGGTCAGGAGTTTGAGACCAGCCTGACCAACATGGCAAAACCCAGTCTCTACTAAATATACAAAAAAATTAGCGGGGTAGGGTGGCAGGCGCCTGTAATCACAGCTACTCGGGAGGCTAAGGCAGGAGAATTGCTTTAACCTGGGAGATGGAGGTTGCAGTAAGCAGAGATCATGCCACTGCACTCCAGTCTGGGCGGCAGAGCAAGAACTTGTCTCAGAAAAAAAAAAAAAAGAAAGAGCGAGCAGGGAGGATAGGAGTTGGCTTTTAAAAGCAGACTAAGACTAAGATCTGCCAAGAAGAATAAATGGCCTTCAATCAGGAGAAATCAATGTGAGTAAAAGCGCTGGAAAATATACAGTTAGTATAGCATGGGGGATGATAGATGAATATCTCTGCTGGAGGTTTTTTTTGGAGATAAGATCTTTACAGAGGTAATCAAGTTAAAATAAGACATCAGAGTGATCCCTTATCCAATATGACTGGTATCTTATAAAAGGGGAAATCTGAACAGAAACGGCACATAGAATAAAGAGGTCACATGAAAGAGGATTAGAGTGAGGTATCTATAACCCAAGGAAGAGCAACGATCACCAGCAGACCACCAGAGGCAAGGAGGAGGCACAGAATTCAGGAGGAGCACAGCCCTGCTGACACATTAATTTTAGACTTTGAGTGCCCAGAACTGTAAACCAATAATTTCTTGTTTTTATAAGCCACCTAGTTTGTGGTACTTTGTTACCGCAGCCATAGGAAATTAATACAGAATGTTAACCTACATAACATTTCATCTCTGAGGTTTTTTAAAATCACAAAATGAAAATAAAATGATAAAAGTTACATTCGTTATTTAAAAGGGTTGTTTGGATCATCAAATGAGGCAATATGTGTCAAAGTGAGTGTGTGTTTGCCTGTGTGTGTATGTGTATTTTAAGTGTAAGTATAAGACAATATGTGCCCAAATGTGCACGTATATGTTTATATACATATAAATATACCTTACATAAGAACAAGTGTTTTGCTTGTGCATGTATGTGTATATAAGTATTTTAATATAGACAGCACCTGGTGAAATTTTTGGTGGTGGTTCCTGGAAGGCAAAAACAGGGTTTTCTTTATTTTTATACCCTCATTGCACCTCTCTTGGGTGTTTTATTCAAGTGAAAATTGGGGTGTATGCCTGGTACATTTTGGTTGAATTATACCCACAATATTAGGTACCTATAAACACATAAATATTATAAAAAATATTTTTTCCTCAGAATTAATGCTAAAGCTATAACAGATTTAGAGCCAGGAAGAGTGTGTGTCAGGTTAGAAGTTCTCGAGTATGTCAATCCATAGGTAAGAACACTTAATTTACATTGGGGTTGGAAGTGCAGATTTTCACACCCCTTTAGGTCAGAATTTGGAAATTGCTTTATCTTTTCTTTCATCCTATTGCACCATATGTCTGCTAATGGCACACTGCTGTTCTAAGAGTCCTCCAAGCACACTGGCATTTTAAGTGAGTTGTCTATAATTGATAAAATAGTAATTTGCTAATTTGCAGGTAAAGTCGTGCATGACCTCTGCAAAATAAATGTCTCCTTTTTAGTTATAAGACTAGAACAAAATCATACACATAATTAGAATTTCTTTTTAAGTGATTATCTTATATTAGTGTACCCCTGGTTACTATTTGGAGTTTTAAAAATATTATGCAAGAATTAACTATTATGATTACATTTGTTATTATTTATTTGGTTTGGGGTACTTTTTTAAATTAAACTGGAGTTTAAGGATTTTTTTTTGCTGAAATTACCATGATAAAAACAATATAGAATCTACTTAATGGCAAGGATGTGTAAAAGGATGTGTTGTAATTTATTTTTTAGTTCTTTGTGTAAATTTAATAAGAAGATGAGTGATCTTTAGCTTATAAACTACTGTTTTTGTTGTTTTTAACATAGTATTAAAAAACAATAATTTTTAGGCTATGATAATTAAAGTTGTCCTTAACTGTAGTAAAATATATATACAAGCAACATATGTATGTGTATGTATTATAATTTTAACTGTTTTATTCTATTTAATTATTTAGTCTTAATTACTCTATGAACCAAAATAAGGTTTAAAAAGTAAGAGATCAATCCAAGTGCAAGGAAAACAAAATGCAAGCAATGCTCATCTCTCTTCATACAGTTCCATAGCAGGATATACAACAGTAACTGCAGCAGTAGATTATAAATAATGTACTATATATTCAAGAGGCATAATGCATTCCTCTATTCTTAAATAAAGTGCCTTTCTCTTCATTATGTTTTATGAGTGAAGGCATTTCTTTTTATTGCAAAAAAACCCCTGAAAATAAATTGCTGATTACTATTCAAGTAATGATATGTCCATTTGAGGAAATTTGTGAGAAACTGACAAAACAGCTATAAAAGTGTAGTTGCACTGTCAAAACCAGTATTTTATACTTTATTTTCATGTATGGTAGTGAATCACCTCCTTGACTTTCTGATAGCTAATCCAGTAAATTGTTGCATTAAAAAATGTCTGTGATAGTTATAGACTGCATGGTGACCTTCCTCATTAATTTCTGTGTTTGTAAAAGCCTTACAGTCTCACGCTTTGAACCTTAGAATCAGATGTTTCCTCTAAAAGCATAAATAGAAATGTCACCAAATTCCTTATACTGAGACAGATGAGTGAAATAATAAATTATATATTACTAAATATTTTAAAAATGGATCGAGTGTTCTTTTAAATCACAGTAAATGTATTTCTCCTAATCTTTTGACTTTCAAGATATTTTTGATTCACAAGAAATTCTTTGAAATTTTTGAGTGAATTTTAACATCCAGATCAATTTATAATGACTACCCAAAACTTTAAAAGGTAGTTTGTGCACATTCACTTTAATTGGACCAGTATCATATGTGTCTGATTTATCCATTTCAGCTAACCATACAAATCAAGAAAAGTGTTGAATGCCCATTTCATGATATACGAATGAAACATAAGGATTTTTTTTCTTGAAATTCATTCTTTAGAACAAAATAAAGTTCTGACACGTGAATTGTGATTCAAAGTACCTGGAAAGACGGTCAGATGGATGTAATTGAAAGGAGATTAAACATAATGTTATGGAAAGTGTCAAAATATTATTTATTTGATTGTAAAGCTGCCACCTCTAAAGATGTGTTACAGTTATGACTCAACAGATTTTCATTTTAATATATGTCTTTTTTATGCATATTTTCTTAGTGTTTCTTTATCCTTTGTGTCTCGTTTGAATTGAATCCCACAACTCATGATGGGATTTTCTCAGTAAGAGCAAGCTTTTTCACCTTAAGGTTTCAATAGTCATCCTAGCAAACTAACTTTCTATGTTCCCAATGAGAATCCCATTTGTACTGAAATGACAAAAGTGAGATGCCTTTTAACATAGCTATTTGAACAATTTAGCTCTGAGTTATTTTTGGCCTCAATAGTTGTTTTAATATAAATTACAATCATAGTCATGAGAGATAAGATTGCAAAACAGTTTGATCTGTTGGGGATAGTTGCTTTAGATAGGCATAATTGGATTCTTTATCCAGATGTGTTAGTTTCTCTTATTTTTATAAATCATTGAAATATTATTTTGCTTTTATGATAATATATGCATCTTGCATAGCAGCTAGTTAACTGATAATCAGATTTTACTCATTTATATGGATAGTTTGAACTTTCTGAAACAACAATGCCTTAATATTTCTTATTTCCTAATTTACACATGGTCACCGCTCTGTCAGCATTTCTACCCTTAACATCAATACTAATTCTATATGTGTGTATAAGTTAAATGTAGTTGCATAGACCCATAAATGGCCAGTTTCTCTTGGCTTCACCTATTTGTGGGTAGAATTGTATTTGTGTTTGAAATAATCACTCAAATTCTACTGAGTTTTGCCCCAACATGCACTCACGACTCCAGAAAAGTTCCTCTAACTTTTCAGCAACACCCGCATGTAGAGGCCAGACCTCTGCAAAAGGCCCAAAACCCTGCTAGACTCAGGCTCCAACTTGCCCACTTCTCGGGGCAGAGCTGCCACTTCCACGAGGTGCTCCTGCTCCCAAGGGGCAGTGACTATGTTCCTGGGCATCCCATCCTCTCTCATCATTTTTCTGTTTCTGAGCTTTACGACATCTGGCAGACTCCCCTGCCAAGCCCTGCTGAGTGAGGCTGCTTAGTCATGCACAAGGAGTGATCAGTGCAGTGGTTCCTGAGAAGGAGGGTGCTGTGCTGTTTCCATTGCTTTAGTACCTGCATGTAGATGGTGTTGTGTGCCTTCATGAAACAGCATTTGCATCATGTTCCATAGTGTCTTTCTTTGGCAGCACCCAGTGTTATAGCATGGCTCTGATACCAGCTGTGCTGAGCCCCTCTCTCTCTGGCCTCAGTCCCTTACAGGATATAAATTTCTTGTGTGTCTTCCCAGCCAGTTTCCTGGAAGGCCCATGCATACTGAAACCTAAGTTTAAGCATGCTAGGGCCTACCAAACACCTATCTGTATACATTTAAAGACGGCCCAAGTGAGTTTTGTTTTTTCTCTTTTAACCATGATTCTCAATCTCTTCTGTCCTCGTCTTGAAAAAAAAGAAAGAAAATAAAGACAAGCATTTGTTGTAGTGAAATACAAAACTCAGAATACTATAACTTACCCTGAGCATCTTCAAACACAGCAAAATGTTCTGAGGACTCTACTCTAAATATCTTACATTGTTGCTTGGCCACCAGGTGAATCCATATCGTTGTTATTTGATTGGAAATCTTGAGTTGAGCTCATAGACACCAGTAAGACAAGTAGAGGTAAATCAGTATGAAAAATATTCTGAGAATATCTTGTTTTTATAAGTCTAAGTAACTGTATTTCCTATAAAATGTAACACATTTTAAAACTCTATGGCTCTTGTTGAATCATTATATATTCACTCATTGTCGTGCATCAGACAAAACATTCTTGGACATGCCGCAGTCACAAGCAGTTACAAACCCTCAGCTGCTTAACAAATGAATGGCATGTCTCACTCAGGCTGTATGTGGGGCTGGCAGAGCTTCCACCTTCTGAAACACCACCAATCACTATGGAGGAAAGAACAGAGATTTAGCAAATCGTGCAATAGGTCATAAAACATGTCAAGCAGGGTGTGGGGAAGTATCAAAATACTACAGTATTAATGAGCAAACCAATGACTTCCACAGTTTGCCATTCTGGTCATCAGATAAATTTAGAGCACCTTAACACTCATCTTCAATCAATTCTCACACTTTTCTGAGCCACCCATATACTGCTTTATAGACAAGGAATGTGGTTAATTGGCTTGTCCAAAGTGTGAGATAAACAAAGACTACACAAATGAGAAAAGCAAAGCATATTGATTCAGAGCTTGCTATAGCCAGGGAGGCAGGTACCCTCATAGCTTTGGCAGACACTCACAGGCAGTCAGGTGCTTGAGAAAGCTTTAGAGTGGGGAGAAAGGAGAGTTTCAAGTGTTCCCTGAGTGGGGGTTGTTAAGCCTGGGGAAGCTGGAGGTGGCTAACTGGAAGAGAGACATACCATGTGCTCTGTTAGCAAAGCAGCTTTGGCTTTCTCTGGTTGATGCTAAGTTTAAAGAGGTGGCAGAAAATAGGAAAGGTAGAAGACACCACCCAAGTCCTGACCATGCTGGGCCTATTGCTGCACAGGTTGTCTTTGGGCTTCCTGGACTGGCTAGAGTAGAGGTTGTGGGTCTGAATCTGTTGTAATATATGGCCTGGTCCTGATCCATTTTTATATTCAGTCTCTCAATATCTTTCACTCATTTTCATGAGTCATGGGCCAAAGTAAGTCATATGTTCTTGAATCACTTTATGGTGGAGGAAAACTTAAGTGTTGACTCATGACTGCCATAGCCATTGATTAAGATTCAAGAATAGTTTTTAAAAGCACAATATATCTTTACATAAATTTCATAACAAGAGACAGTTCTAGCACTTGCATATGAACTTATGTTGATCTATTTCTTGGCACAGACAGATGTTTTTATCCCTCATCTACATTTTTTTTGATACAGACACAGAGAAATTTTCCTTTCATACTCAACAGTATCTAACCTTCTTTGTAAACAAAAATCCATGACTCTTCTATGTGCTAAAACATATATGTATATATTTTAGTGTAATTATATATGTATATGTATTTATATATGCAATTATATATGCACACATCCATAGACATACAATATATAATTAGATCAAAGACAATTTATGTTTTTTTAATAATCATTCACCCATCATTTTGGATCTAGAGTTTAGACCATTAGATATATCATCTGAAATACAGTTTATAAACAAAGAATATTCTATTCATAACTAATAGGTATTTTAGCATAAGGCAAAAGTTATCTTTCATAACACAAATTTATTGTCTTCATTAAAAAAACCCCAAAAATATAGTGTATGACTTTTGTCTTTTATATAAAATTGATAAAACAGAAAACATTTATTTGTAATTTTTACTGAGGGTTGACAATTTTCCCTTTCATACTATGTAACTTACATAATTTGATGCAAATCAGTAAGTGAATAGTAAATGTCCTCCTAAGTAGGCTGGGTACAGTGGCTCACACTTGTAATCCCAGCATTTTGGGAGAAGGAGGTGGGAAATTTGCTTGAGGCCAGGGTTAGAAAACAGTCTGGGCAACATAGTGAGACACCACCCCTATAAGAAAAAAAAAAAAGTTATCATAAATAAATAACAGAAATGAAAAAGAAATCTTAATTTTAAGAAAGTTTCCAAAATATAAAATAAAGATGCAGTTACTTTGTATGAAAGAGTAGTATTCACAGGTTACTGATAATATGTCTCTAATGCTATTTCTATACCCATTGTCCCCCAAGGATACACTATCTGTTCTCTCTCAGATCCTTTAGACATCAAGCACCATGCAGTCCCGCTGTTCCCATCATACTGGCCTACCAACTGTAGGTGCCCATGCTGCCCACCATACTTTTCATACTGAAGGGCTCTCCTCTTAGCTCCATGCAGCCATCTTCCTCTGGTCCCAAATTCTGTGTGCTGTGATGCCACACCTATACCTCCCCACGTAGGAGAAGTGGTATGATATCTCTGGTCCCTTTTCTCTGTAGTCATTCTCTTCTTGGAGAAGTTCAACTATTTCCATGTTTTTGACTCTAACCTCTAAACTCATGTTTCTAAACTCTAATTGCATAAGGAGCACCTGGGTAATTTGTTCAGCATGCACATACCTTTGTCAGAGATGCTAATTGGGTAAGCCTTGTCAGATGACCCTACATTTGCATTAGGCACCCAAGTGCAAGCTGGCCCCTGTCTCCGGATTTAGACTCAGCACCCATAGCACACTGGGTATTTTTATGTGAGTATTTAATGAGCCAATCAAATGAAGCAAGTGCAAAAGAGAACTCCTTATTATGATCAGGATGAATCACCCCCCCAACAATCTGGTCTTTTTTTTCCTCTCTAAATTCATCCATCCATTTTTTCCATCCCTTCACTATCTTCCCCATGCCACGGTCTTTATCTGTGTTCCTCACATATGGCTACTTCTTCCAAGCACAGGACTCTCACTGGTATGTTTTTTTTCCATTGGAACATCCTTTCACTGGGGATTTATCTGGTTCTTCTCCAGTGGCTCCTTCTCAGAGACCTTTCCTGCTCATTCTCTCTAATTAACCTCCCCACTCCACCCATGCTGACCATCAGACATTGCTATCTCTTCATGCTAGTGCTTCATTTGTGATCACAATCTGCACTGACTTCTTTGCTTGCTTGTTTACTTATTTACTGTCTTTGCACCGGTGATAGCACACAAGCACTTGATAGCAAGGATCTTGTTTTGCTTTCTCTCTTCTGTGCACCTAGTGCGTTTAACACAGAGAAGGTGTGCAGTCGGTAATGTTTCAAGGACAGGAAAAAAGGAAAGAAAGAGAGAGAGGGAGAAAAGGAGAAGGGAAGGGGAGGGAAGGAGAGGGGAGGGAAGGGGATGGAAGGGGAGAGGAGGGGAGGGAAGGGAAGGGAAGGGAGACGGAGGGAGGAAGGGAGACATCTTGAATATAAGTATCATAGAGGAAATATACATCCATTACCCTGTACAACCAATTAACTTTTTAGAAGATATCTTTGCTTCTAGCAATCACATATACTGTACAACTAACAAAACAAGTACGTTACTTGCAGTCTCCAGGGCTTTTCCAGGAATAGGAAATGGCACAACATATTGGTGAGGCAGCTCTGCACAGGAATCTGAGGCTCACGAGGAAAAGGTGGGACTGGGAGGATTTGGGAGGCCCAAGGCAAGGTTCTGTTTATTTTACTGCCTCAGTTCCTTCATTTCTAAAATTGAAATAAAATATTACTTATCTCATAAGATTATTATAATAATTTAATCAGGTAACTTATGAAAAACCTTTAGGAAGTGCTAATTACCCATTATTTACTATACCTCAATTTAGAGTTACTAATTTTATATATCTGGCTTTAACCATATTTATTTTGAGATTTTTGTAATTACTTACACAACAATAATCACTTTTTTTTACAAATATATATCTATAAAATTATTTTTTTCAGTGTTATTAGGTAGCTAACACATAGTCACTCTTTCAGAAATCCCATTAAGAGGCTCCTGACAGAATTCAGAATCGTATTTGTACCACATCAATGTCTTCCCTCAAACTCTGTTGAAACATATATCGACACAAATAAGCTAAAGCTATTTCTTTCAGTTAAAATTAGTTTCTAGCTAAGAGTTTTACACAGTTTAATATTGTTGTGATTTTTCTAACTGACATGTCATTTAAAGTATGATATTATTCACTAATCTAATAATAACATAAACAAATACATTTGTGTTCTCTTTGCCAGGTTCCATTCTCTTATTTTAAAAATTTTCCTTTTTTTAACTTAAAACATGTTTCAGAGCAGGTTTGTTTCTATTTCTTTTCTTTTTTTTTTTTTTTAATGAATGATTTGGAAAGAACATGGGCAGTGTCATCAGAATCTCCCCATTAGCTCTTACTCAGTATGTGACACTGAAAAATCTGCCAGTCTTGCCTTTTTTGGTTCTCCTTCACCAGCAAATGGAGATAACCGTCTCCATCCCTGCAGAGCACTAAGGTTGTGCTCCAAAAGGGTCTGGCGCATAACTGTCAACATTATTGTTTTTTTTACTGTTGATTTCAATCCAATTACTGTCAATTAAGTTAACATTTAGAGGGCTTGATAATAAAATCTTGATAATCATGTAGTAACTACTGCTTGAATCTTATTGAATATTATTAAAATATGTCTAATGATAGTTTGAATTTCCATGATCTAGTGAATTCTTTTTATGTAGATAAATCATCTTAAATTAGTGTTACTGTCATATAAACCATAACCAGATCAACATTTCTGATTTCCGCCTGTGTTCTATCCATCCGTTTGCAGTTAAGGTGGATAGATTTTCAGGAGGCAGGGTCTGTTTCCTAGAACTCACCTAAAGACTGAACTCTACGGATGTGCCAAGGAGTTCGTGCCCTTGAGGAGATTACATTTTTGGGGGATAGAAGGGGGAGAAGAAAAGTAAGCAAGTGGGATTTTCTTTCAATTCCATGTGATAAAAAAGGTAAATAAGGGATAGTAGGGAACTGCAAAAAGACAGCATTAAGCAGAATTCCTTGGAGCACACACAGAGTGTTGGTATAAGCTACTTGAAAAGTATTCAGTTTGTCCCTGAAGCCCATCTGATTTTATCACTCTACCATTTTCTCATCATACATATTATATAACAAGCAGAAGTTAAATATTTGTGCAAAGGATAAGCTTGCGCGTTGGTGGAATTGTTAATAAATTACATTCACTCTTTTCTTTGAATGTTTCTGCTCCTTTTGTATATAAGTTCCATGGGTTTCCCATGAAGGATATTAATACCTACTGAAAAGAGTGACAATTGTGCTCATTGCTAAGCTGAAAAAATGTAATCCGTCTATCTGTTTTCTCTGCAGTACATAACACTAGAAAATCTAATCACCTTGAAATTGTTTGAAAGCAAGCACAAGAAAATTCATGGATGTTCACTATAGAATGAGCACAATAGAGCACCTCAGCTCATCTTATTTCAGACCAAAGCATTCTACAACTCCATCAAGAAGGAGCTAAGCTACATCAGGATAAAGCAAATACAGAGGTACGTTTTTTTAAAACCCTTAAACAAGGTTTATGTCTGCTCTATTCTTCCCAATTGAAGCCTTAAAAAAAGAAAGTGAAATTACATGTAAGAGTCAGTGCCTTTATTTTTCAAGAGAAGCTAAAAGATGATTCAGTCTTACTTTATTTTCCCAAAGATGGCCTGCTAGGACTCCCTGCAGTGTATGCAATTTTAAGAATGATTGGTATTCTGTCAAAGTAAAATAAATGTATTAACTTCAAAGAAAAAAATCTTTACCAAAGTTTCCAGGACAGTGTGTTTCCAGGACAATGAGTTTCCAGGACATTGGCTTAACAGACTACCTTTACAGTTATGAGTCTACACAGGGAAATTGAGGGTGATACTGGTTTCAAAAGTCACTTGAGAAGTATTCTTTTCACTACATTCTAAAACCACTGTGGTGGATTGATGATGTGTTCTTAGAGTGTTTGATAGACTCCGCCATTAGGAACATCTGTGCCTGGGCTTTTGTTTTTGTGCATGTGTGAAATGTGTGTGTGTGCAAGTGTGTGAGTGCATATTCAGGCTTCATATTTTTAATAATTTTTAGCCTTATTATGTTGTCATTTTTATTGAATCTGTAGTAACATTGTCTTTCATTCATGATGGAGATAAATTGACTCCTGTCTTTTAAATCAACTTAACTACTAGTTACATCACTTTCAACTATCTTTTCATCAAAGGATTGCATTTTATTATATTGACTTTATTGATTTCCTCTACAGTTTGTTATTTTAAATTTCATTGATTTCAGCTTCTATTTGAATCGTGGTTTTGCTCCTACTTACTTTGGATTACTCTTTCATATCTTAGTTCTTTAGATGATGCAATAGATCTTTCAACTGGTTTGGGACACTTTTCTTTTTTATAATAAATATTTAACAATCTAAACTTTTGTCTAAGCACTATTTAGCCACACCCCAATCTATTTATGTATTATGTTGTTTTCATTGTTATTTTGTTCAAATGACAGGTTTCCCTGTCATTTCATCTGTGACCCATGATGCATGTACATGTATTTGTTTAGCAATATGTTGTTTGATTTCCAAATATGAGAGGATTTTCAGATCTGTTACTGTTACTAATTTATAATTTAACTCACTTTTCAGAAAATACATTCTGTTTGATTATAATTCTATTAAGTAACAAGAGTGTTTCATGGCCCAATATATCATCTATGCTGGTAATCTTTCACTGTAGTTAAAAAGAATATAAACTCTTTCTTTGGAGTGGAGTGCACTATCAATGTCAATTAGCTTGAGTTATATTGTTCTAGTTTTCTGTAGTCTTTCTTATTTTCTGTCTGCTTATTTCATCAATTACTGAGAGAGAAGTTTTGAAATCTTCAACTAAAATTGTAGTGATATCTATTTCTTCTTTCAGCTTTGGGAGTTTTTGCTTTTTTCAAGTTTCTCTTGATAGATATCCCATGTATATGATTGTTATATTTTCTTAATTAACTCTTCCTTTCATCATTATAAAATATCCCCTTATTTTCTTTATATCTTCTTTTGAAGTTTGCTTTTATGGATGTTAATGTGTAGCTTCAGCTTTCTTATGGTTAGTGTTTTCATGGTATGTCCTTTGTATGCTTTCAGTTTTAAACTATTTCTGTCATGTTGAAATAGCATTTCCTCAGATAAGATATATTTTGGTTTTAATTCTTTGAAGTTGAGTATGATAATCTCTATCTTTCTAATTGTAGTTTTTAGAATGTTTACATATACTTGTTTATGCTGTTTAAGTTTCCCATTTGTAATTTGTTTTCTATTTGCATCATTTATACTTTTTTCTTTTTTTTCTTTTAGTACCCTTTTTGATAAAATAAGTACTTTTAGTATTGCATTTGAGCTCCACTTCAAATTACTGAGTGAACGTATCTGGTTTATTACTGGTTGTTCTAGGGTTTATAATATGAATCTGTAACTTATCACAGTAACTGTCAAATCATGTTATGCCACTTCACATGTGAGAGCCTTAAAAAACTGTATTTTCTTCTCTCCTCTCTTCATTCTTATTATTATTTTTATCTACTTTACTTCAATATATTTTATTAATACCACAATATGATAACTAATTGGTCCTTCAATTATTTATCTTTTAAAGAAATCTTTGGAAATGTGTAAAATGCATTTACTGATATATGTCCATTTTCAGCACTCTTCATTCTTTTTTTAAATTAAAATACCCATTTGGTATCATTTTCTTCAGTGTAATGAACTTCCTTTAACCTTTTTTTATAACTCATGTCTGCTCTTAAAATTTTTCCTACCTTGTTCATCTGAAAATGTCTTTATTTTGCCTTCATCTATTTTAAATAGGATATAGAATTTTCAGTCGACAATTGACATAATCAGTAAGTTTCCACTCCAAACTGAAATTCAAAGCCGTGTGCCATCATTCATTTTGCTATACCCTGACTTGCCCAATTGCCAAATAATAAGGAGCAGAGAGTCATATATGAATTATGCATGACTGGGTTACAATAAATTATAACAGAAAATACATGTTAAGCATGAATAAGTTAAAAGTATTGCTGTATGTATAGAAAAAAAATCATCCTTTGGGGGAATTTAGTTACTATGGTATAAAGTTTGGGAACAATTTAAATACTTTCCATTGATTAATATCTTTTGGTCATTATAATCCACAGTTAATACAACCATCCACACACCCATACCCTCCTTGTTCCACAAACACTACTTGTCTACATGCAAGCATACAGGTGATCAACCATACTTCTCTTTTCTAAGTAATATACAATTTATTTTTAATCAATCTCTACTAAATAAATGTCAATCTCATATGTTGAAGACATAAATTTTTAAAACTCCAACTTACCTGTTTTAAGAAAAGTTTGGACTAATAATGATACTTGAGCAATCGTCTCTCCTTGCCAGACTGGAAATAAAAATATTGTCTTACAAACCAGTAAAATAAATATTAAAGCTTCAAGATATTTTTTTCCTGGTGAAGGTCCTCTTTTAGAATTTCTTTAAAAGTTCTGATCTGAACTGGAATGCCTTCCCATCCCCAGAGAAACCCAGCTTATTCCTACCATCAGTCACTAGCAGTGACTAAATAGCTAAAATAAGCTAAATAGCTATTTAGCTAAATAGCTAAATAGCTAAATAAGCTAAAAAGCTAAATAGCTAAAATAAGCTAAAATAGCTAAAATAAGTGACTAAGTAGCTAAAATAAAAAGAGGTAGGTATGGTCAAGTTTTTTGGATACAATTTGGTAACTAATTTACTCCCTTGGGAAAATCAGCCTCCGTTTTCATTTTAATATTCAGAATTTTCCCTTTCTTGTTCACAGTGCTGAGAGTCAGCCTTCTTCTCTTGTCAAATAAAGATGTAGAAGTTTCTACTTTAAAGCCTTATATACATTCCTAAAAAATGCCAAAAAATTTTTACAAAAATCACACACTAAAAATAATAAGGTTTGTGAGAAAACTAGGGTTGGATAAAAACAGTGAAAATCCCTTTGGAGTTCCAGTGAAACAATAATAATTTGAATAATACTAGCACCGTTATATAGACAAAGACAACTGTACCCAGAATTATCATTTTTCAACATTTTCAACACCTTTTTGGGGCTTGTGTTTTCTCCTTTGGGATATAGGCTTTGGAGAAATTCTCTATTAACTGAAACCATTTTATCAAACTTAAAATTGTAAGTTATGCTGAGCCGTATTCATTAACCATTATTATTAATACACAGTGTAATGTATTTGCAGGGTCTTAATCTTCACTTGTCACTTCTCTGTATAACTTGACTGTGAAAAATGTAGATGTTTCCGAAGACACTAAATCAGTTATTACACCAAAGGAAGGTACTTCCCAGGCTTATCAGGGTCTGTTTCAAAATCTTCAGCCAGGAAAAACAAACTGATCTTCGTATATTGGTAAAGTTTTTTCTTCATTGTGTGACAGTTTTCCCCTTTCCACTTCAAAATGTTAGCATTGTCTGAAAAAATATGAGTCTTTACTCTTTTCCTTTTTGTTGATACCACTTCTGTATTTACTCATCCCTAATGAGCTAATTCCAACTGCAGCAGAACAAACTCTATGCAGTATGCACAGATATATTTTCAAGAAAGTGAAAGCTATAAAGAAAGTATCTTACTCTCATGCTCTTTTCCTGTAAGAGGAAGGGACCAGCTCAGTCAGCCAGTGCCAAGCTCTTTTTGAGAGCTTGTACCAAGACTAGATGTTCGCAGTGATGCAACATCTTCGGGTAGTACAGGGCAAGAAGGGCCCTTGCCCACTATTCAGTATCCCCAGGGGTCCTATTCTTACTATCCCTGGTTTCAGTTGTTGGAGTCGTCTTTCCTACGCTGCTTGACCTCCTTAATATTTTCTGTCCTTTGTCTATTCCCTCCTGTTTCTTTTTCTTTTCCTTCCTTCCTTTATTTCTTTCTAATAAGCCTTAAACTGAAACAAGCAAATAAACAACAAGACGAACAAAGGAATGGTTCAATAACTCAATTAGTTCTGAAATTATTGCAAATGTTAAAAATTTTTATAATTTGACTGGGTCCCTTAAATCATAATGTCTATCCTAGCAAGATACCCAATGTAAAAATATATGTATCTAATTATAAATGATCCTGAGTTCTCTGTAATTAGCAAGGACTACTCATTCTCCTAGTATAACACCAGACAACTAACTTATTAACAATAATTTTATTTTTCAATTTTGAATTTTTATGTTTCACATATTAAAATATTTCATAAATTGTGCAGCTATCTTTTTTTTTTTTTTTGAGACGGAGTCTCGCTCTGACCCCCGAGCTGGAGTGCAGTGGTGCGCTCTCGGGTCACTGCAAGCTCCACTTCCCGGATTCACGCCATTCTTCTGCTTCAGCCTCCCGAGTAGCTGTGACTACAGGCGCCCGCTACCATGCCCGGCTAATTTTTTGTATTTTTAGTAGAGACGGGGTTTCACCATGTTAGCCAGGATGGTCTCGATCTCCTGACCTCGTGATCCTCCCGCCTCGGCCTCCCAAAGTGCTGGGATTACAGGCGTGAGCCACTGTGCCCGGCCGCAGATATTTTTCTTGAATGAGTACATTGTTTTTCCGCCCAGAGAAAATGTAGTAATTATCATTTAGTATAGGACTGATCCAAATATATATGTATAACAATGGGAAACTATGGGTATTTATTATTTCAGATATATTCAAAAAGTTTTTAAGTCCCTTGATAAATTTGAAAAAGAAAATATCTAGCACTTGTATAGATCCCTGGACAATTTCTGTTGTTTCCTCTGTTTCATATCTGAAGTGGAATCAGGATGCGTAAGATTTGCTGTGTTTTGAACCTACTAAATCACACTTTTTTAAGAGCAGAGTATTTGTAATGTTCTAAGAAGCATGCTACTATTCCAAAGGATCCCCTTTCCTGTCATGTTAAAAGAACTTCTTAGCAGCAAAGGGAACTTTCGTATTCTGATAATTTCTTCCTTATTTCTTTGTCTCCATAGTGTTTTGACACATTGTGTTTCCTTAGTCTCCTTGGTAGCTAAAGATAGCTCTGCTTTCCAAAGCAATAAAATGTGGAATTATTTTAAATATCATGCTCTCAACTTTTTACGTTTTCTACAAGGGAACTTTATTGTTGGGGAAATAAAACAAACTGCCTTCATAGTCTCTTTCTCCTCTACTTCAGATCCAAATTTTCCAAACTCAGGACTTTCTTATACATCAATCAATACAATGTGAGGATGTTATTGAGTATGAATAATGAAGTGGAGTGGAGTGGATGAACTGGATTATAACGTGACCAGAAGATACATTTGGCATAGGAATATGAACAGCCCTATCCTGGGATGAAATGATATTTCCTGTTTAGGTGAAGATACCCTAGAATGTAGGATGCTTTACAAAATCGTAGTGATAAGACTTCTACATTATGGAAGAAATGGTATGCTCTGTGTTTTCACTAAAGATCGAATTGTCAGTTCAGTTTTTACTAGAAAAATATAATTTTGTTTTCAAACATAAGTTTCGCTACCATTTGGCCACAAAATTTTACTGTCTCCCTGGTGAGTTAGTTTATTTGTTCTTATGTTTTCCATTTCCTTCATGTGACCAATATTGCATCTCTAAGATGCCATGGCTGTAATTTGTGAGAAGCAGGCAGGGGATGGAGAGGTAGAGAACTGTTTTATGCCTTACAGAATTTTCCACACTCTTTGATTTTCAACCATATACAAGAATGAATTTGATTAAAATTAATTTTACATATTTTTCTATTATTAGTACATGATAAAACTGTTGCATCTGTTAACTGAAGAAATAAATTATTCATAAAATGTTAATATATAATTGGTTAAATATTTAGAAACATATAGTTAGAGTATTGTCTCATGTCACCAAAATGATTTCCAACTGGAATAAAGATTTATATATAAAAATTAAACCATAAAATACGAAAGAGTACATTTAAGGAGGGGATGTTTTTTCTATATGATACCTAAAGTGAAAATGAAAAAAAAGGATAAACAGAATTAAGTACATAATAATTTAAAAGGCTATGTATTACAAATAGAGCATAAGTAAAGTCAAGACTAAATGAAAAACTGTAAAAATAGTTGAATATCATAAGATAAAAATTACTAGCTTTTTCAAGAATGAGCATTTTAAAAAACCAGTAAGAAAAGTTGAGGACTATAGTGGAAATTGAGTGAAATTTATGAAGAGCTAATTTATAGAATAATAAATTCAATTGCTGGTAAATATATGGAGAAATTTAATTTCACTAGCAAAAAATTCAAAATATGATAAATATATAGCACATATTTATCTATTGGGACAAAGTGTAACCATGTAAAACCAGTGAGTTTGTATTGCTATCTCATGGCTAGCGTTCCAAGGTAAAAGCTAGTGGATCTGTGTGTGTGTGTGTGTGTGTGTGTGTGTGTGTGTGTATGTATAAATGTCTAGATGTGTTTATTTGTATGTACATTTATTAAGTTATATACTGTGTCTACCAAATTGGCTTATAAATTAAAAAGTGCTCATAAATTAAGTAA
The DNA here is from genome assembly GCF_000001405.40 of Homo sapiens. Taxonomy (NCBI): domain Eukaryota; kingdom Metazoa; phylum Chordata; class Mammalia; order Primates; family Hominidae; genus Homo; species Homo sapiens. The sequence continues at coordinate 49,829,986 of NC_000008.11, forward strand.
ATAAATCCAAGCAATTTTCAAGTTTACCTGACTTAAGTAAATCATTACTAAACAAGCTGGCTTTAAAATTATTGGTAAAATAAAAATAAAATGTCTTCAGAATTGTCAGCATACATTTTTGTCTGGATTTTATATCTGTCTTTGACAGATATTTTGAGATGTCTGTGTTTGGCATAGATGGTTATAAAGCTATTTACCCAGCCAAAATAAAATGATCTTGGTTTGTGTGCCTTCTTTGAAAAATGAGACTAATTTAATGTTGTTAGCTGAATTTTCTGAGTTATTGGCAAAAATTACCTATATGTTTAACTTTGAAGCTGTTCTTTAGGTGAGCATCTGATGTTTGCTGGCTATTAAAAAATGGTTATTTTAAAAGTGGTTAACAAGGATATAACTAGCTTTATAGTGTCTAATATCTCAGTTTATAGGAGTAATGTAGATAAATTGTTAAAAATGAAAGAATTGAGTATATGTAAATGAGATAAATGTTTTAGGTCAACTTTTTGAGTAACTTAAAATATTAAAATTATTTTTTATGTTCATTAAATATCTGGGTCATTTCCAACTAAGAAAGGGTTATGATATGGAGAAATGTTTATAAAAATTATGGAATTGTTCTTATCTATAAAATGCTTTTATCTGATAGTTTAGGATTTCTTGCTTTTTAGGGTTTCACTAAAGTTTTAGGTTACTAAGGATAAGAATTCTAGTCAATACATAATTCTGTATACAAAATGTTCCAAAAAGTTTGTGTTGTTAGTGAGAAAAAGAATACTTTTCTCTAATTCAGAAATTATTTAAAAGTTAGTTCAAATTACAGATTTAAAATGGTTATTTATAAAAGAATGTAGTAAAGAACCAGTAAGTAGGGAAGAAAGATGTGGAAAAAGTTATATATACATATATATATATATCATTATTTGTTTTTGGTAAGGAAGGTTATAAAGAAAAGGTAATGATTTTGAGGAAGGATCTTGTATGGTACATTTTTTGTCCTGAAGTAAAATGGGAAGAAGAAAGAAGGAAGGAGAAGGAGAAGTAGAAGGAGGAGATGGAGGAGGAGGAAGAAGGGGAGGGCATGTGCAGGAGGAGGAGAAGGAGAAGGAGAAGGAGAAGGGGAAGGAGAAAATCTGGGGCTGAATGGAAACCCCAGGATGTTGTGGATGGTCTGTATAAGTCATATGTAGTTTTTCCTCTTCTTTTTCACATACAGAGAGAATAAAAAGTTGATAATGTTTAGATAATAAAATATTCTTTAAAATCTGATAGAGAATTGGAGAAATTTGTCTCATTAACATTTTCATAGTTAAAGCTCTTAGTCTTGATTAAAGCAAAATAAGAAATATTGTAAAGAAATGCATTGGCAGTTTGCCAATATTTATTTATTTATTTATTTATCTATTTTTGGAGACAGGGTCTTCCTCTTTCACCTAGGCTGGAGTGCAGTGGCTCAATCTTGGCTCACTGCAACCTCCGCCTCCCAGGTTCAAGCAATTCTCTTGTCTCAGCCTCCTGAGTTGCTGGAATTACAGGCACACACCACCATGCCCGGCTAATTTTTTTTAGTAGAGATGGAGTTTTGCCATATTGGCCAGGCTGGTGGCAATTTTTCTTTTTATATAGTTAAGAATGAAGCTGGATTTAGTGTACATGTTTGCATTGCTTCACACTATGTATGCTATTTTGCATGGATAGTGCTGGCACTAGAGTCCTTACTGGTCATGTGCCTAGAGCAAATTTCTTGATTGCACAGGATGTATGGTGATATTGGTGGACTTAAGGATATTGAATTGTGTATCAGGAATAAAATATTCATTATATGGGGTTTGTAGACTCTAGGTAACACTTTAACCTCTAAGGTAAACTGATAAACTTAGGACTGGTTTCCTGTTTATTTGTTTTTGCTTCTAATTTTCATTTGTTTTGCTGTTTCTTCTCCTTTGGGTTTTACTTGTGTATGCATATATATAATCATATATAAAACTATAGACATTTTTTACCTTCCAGTCAAAGGCTTTTGTTTAGTTCTGTGAATATTTTGTTTCCTATGCATTTCTAGCAAGTCATCATCTGTTCTATTTATCTGGAATTCCTAGGTTGCCTTTGGTGGGGCCTGCAGGAATTGATGGAGCACACCAGCCACTTGGAATTTCTTTGGTTTTGCTTGCTTCTGATGATCTAGACAGCTAAATAAGTAAAAGACCTATTTTTATAAATTCTGAACAGAAATAGTACATTATATGTTTTGTTGTTTGGAGAGGTGGATGAGTGCAAAAATATTTGAGTGGTGTTTGTTTCCAGGGTGACTCAATTGAATCAACACTTTGGATTGGTTTCAGATCTTTCCTTTGAGGAAAAAAATTGTGAAATGAGTACAGTTTTAATGTTCAGTAAAGATTGGCTTTGTCCTTAAGGAAATTATATTGATTAGAATTTCTTTAAAACTAATTTAAAGTGACACTCACTTGGATTAAGTAGTAATATAAAAAAGGGTGAGACTTTCTAGTGATTTTTTATCTCAAGCCATTTATCACTGATGGGCCTTCATGTTGTACTTAAAATATTTGCAGCTGTCGCACTGGTTTGAAGATTTTGGTGATTAGAGTTACCTAATTGAGGTAGGAGAACAGGGTCTGGGGGCAGGGAACCTAAGGACTTCCTAGAACTAAATCAAATAAAAAAACTCCAGCTTCCTATGATCAAGTAAATAACTTTGTAGCTCTACTTCAGCTGTAACAGGAAATATCCTCTTCATTTGTACACAGGGTGTACATCAAGTAAATGACTTTATAACTTTACTTCAGCCTCTTCATTTCCATAGGGCATACACCAAGTAACCAATGGGAAACATCTAGAGGATATTTAAACCCAAGACAATTTTGTAACAGAGCCTTTGAGCTGCTTGCTTGGGCCTGCTCCCCCCATGTGGAATGTACTTTCATTTTCAATAAAGCTCTGCTTTTGTTGCTTCATTATTTCCTTGCTTTGTGCTTTTTGTCCAATTCTTTGTTAAAAATACCAAGAATATGTACACCCTCCACCGGTAACATAATCAGTTGTCGGTACTATATCTAGAAAGCAATCTTGGAAATACGTGGTGATGCTCTTTAAAAATAGCTGAAAGGAAATTATCATTTGCTTATTCTTACTTTGTTCTTGTTTTGTCATATAGTATTTAAGTGAGAGGAGAGTATTTCTCATTGAATTTCCAAATCTGATATTTGCATTTATCATTTTTTAATGATGGAGAAAAAAGTTAGTTGTCTTACTCTGGTAAGTTTGGCATAGGACCTATGACATTTTTGATGTGTTTGGTCATAATTCTGTTACTAGAATGCTGGCAATTAGATATATGCAAAGAATACCTAACTACTTTAATACAATGGTTTGAAGTACTGCAGGAAGTAATTCCCAAACACCAAATCACAGTGTTTTAATTTGTAACATGTTAGAGAAAATGATAGGATTTTTCTGCAGCATAAATATCCTATTAACTAAGGCCTGTGCTGTTAAGTTACAGGGCTTTGACTTTTGAGTCTAAAGAAAGCACCAATCCCTGCTACATTTTGAGCATTGACACCAGTTGAGCATCATCACTAGACTAGGGAGAAGGTGACAATCAAAATGTATTGCTTTTGTGAGACATAGGGTCAGGAATTAAAACTATGTAATTCTCTAAGACCAGAGACTATTGTGGAAGAGATGGGTGCTTACAATTATAAGCGCCGATTTTGCGGGATAAGATTACTTCAGAGTTTTTCTATAAATTAAACATTAATATCAAAGGCACTCTGATACAAGGCCAGCATCTGGGCCCATGTGTTGGAATAACAGGGTTTTCTTGGACCATTGATCTGGTATTTAATAGAAAATTGGAAAATGTTATAAAAAGTTTATGGAAATCTTATGGTCAAACTGATTAAAAGTAGGCAGATTTGTTTATGAGGTTTTATTAAAATCAACTTTCACATTTATTATACACCATGTAAAGGCAAACGTTTTCTCTTTTGAACAAAATGTTTGTGTAATATTGAGAGGAAATATTTTGTTTACCTTCTGAGCAAACTGCAGGGAGAAGATGGAGGAAGGAGAGACAGATATAGCTGGCCTCATGGTGTCTGTATTAGGTCTTATTGTTTGGGAAACTGAGTCTCCTCTATCAAAAGGTAAAAGTTTTTGTTTTATCATTATGGATAAATGAATGACTGTCTTATGGTAATCAGTGATCCTACTTTATCATATCAAATTTCTTAAAACCTTGATACTTCACAGACTTTCAACAAAATTCCAGGTTCTAAATTTAGTCTTTTTGATCTTAAACTACCTTTTTTGATATGAGGTTCCCTGAAGTCCAAGAGAGACATATTAGGCTTATTAGGTTTATTTGTTATGTTAGTGGAAATATTGTCAAATCTGAGGTGGTGTTTACCTTCCTTTGGGTTATATTTATACAGATGTTTTGTTCATATGTGGTCCAGGATAGTATGACATTCCTAAAATTCTTAATGTATGTTGTAATTATTATGTTAAATTGTTGTATGCCACATAAATAACCATATTTCCTTGTCAACCGTGTCTTTAACTATGGCTGTGTTAAGACTTTTGTCATCCACAATTGATGTTTTGCTTTGATCCTTCTCAGAAAAAGTGACTTATAATCAGCTACAGTCCAGGGCTTGCTTCTTTGGAGGAGTTCATGAAAAGGACTATTGAATGCAGGTTTCTGATAACTTTGGAGATTGTGCCCTTGGTTGGAGAGAAAATTTGCAGGGCACTAATTGAAAGACTGCTGTGTTCATAAAGATTACTAACCCAGTATGAAGCAGCGAAGGTGTTGACATGCATGGACTGAACTAATGGAGAACAGAAATGATTTTTTATGGTGCTTTGGTTTGAAATATTGTGGATTGTTTTTGTTTTGCTTTTCAGAGTCTGGAGAGTTTTTTTCTTTTGAGCTACTTATAGTATTGAAATATACTTTATGTATATTGAGTAGAGTATATTTTGTAAACAGAATTTGAGTCATTTCTTGGTCTGCCTAATTTCTCCAGAATTTGTAAGCTATTTGCAAATATTCATAATTAATGGCAATGTGTCTGTTTGCATACATTTAATAACCACAAGTTTTCTTTTGTAATGGTTATTTTCTCAGGGCTCTGACTGAAATGGCCATATGAGAGGTTCTGCCAAAGCCAATTTAGGAGAGCCTATGTGAACAATAATTCTTGCTGCACTTCATGTGGGTAATCAGGCCAAGTATATGGGACCGAAACATATTTTGCAGGTAGATTTGTCCTACTCTGTTTTGTCTTTGGAAGTGGGGGACTGGAGAGAGGAATATTGTATGTCAGAAGAAAACTCTATAAGAGTAAACTTTGATTCCTAGGTGGCTACATGGTCACCCATAGTATGGAGCTGACTGTGGCACCCCTCTTCATCATGAAACAGCCAGAAAGACTGACAGCCTTTCATGATTAAGGAATTTATAAACAAAACAGAAAGGGGGAACTGAAACCAACCCAGTAATCCCATAGATCGTTCTTTTGGATGAACATAGAAATTGACCTTTCTGGTCTTAAGGCATGAAACTTATATTTGTTTTATCTGAGTTCCTTCCTCAGAAAAGGACTTTCAGGCTCTCAAAAAATATATGGAAAAACTGAAACTCACCAGATTACCACATCCTGACAATGGGGCTCTGAATTTCTCATTCATCATGTTGCTTCCCTGCCCCTCCTAGTTCCTGTTTTGTTTACACATTATTACATTTTGTCCCTGCTATATAAGCCTCTAATTAGAAGTCAGGGAGATGAACTTGAGACTGAGGTTCCATCTCCTTGGCTGCGGCACTCAATGAAAGCCTTCTTCTTCGGCAATACTTGTTGTCTCAGTGATTGGCTTTCTGTGCAGCAAGCAGCAGGACCTAGACCAAATCCCTGGTGTTTCAATAACAAGATTAGCATCATTGTCCTATTACCTAGATTGAGAAAGAGTACAATATCAGTATCTTGGATTCTCTGTTGTACCCCACAATCATAGCTTCTTCTGCTCCCTCAGGATTAATCAACTTTCTAAATTTTGTGTAATGACAATCTCTTTATAAAAATAGTTTTATTTCCAAAATATGTACATCTATATAATATATCATTTAGTTTTTATTATTTTTAACAATTTTTGTATTCTAAATATCTTCTTTCAGTTGCTACTTTCTCTTATTGCAAAGTTTTTGAAATGTGTCGATGTTGTTGCATGTAGTTGCAACAACTACATGTAGTTCATTAATTTGTGAGAATATGTAGTATTCCATAATATAAATGCACCAAAATATATGTGTACATTTTACTTCTATTAAATGTTCAGCTAGTTTCCTCTTTTTTAAATGGTTCTATGAGCGAGACAGAGGAGGGACTCCCTTTTAGAGGCCTCTTGGACCCCCTAAACATGGAAATAAATGAAAATTTAAGTTTCTTCAAGGGAAATTCCAGACACCTAGCTAGCCCTGAAATGTAAATAAGCAACTTAATAAGAAAGAAGGAAGGTAATAGTAGCTTAAAACAATAGCCAAGGAAATTATAGTCAGGAGATGTTTGGTTCTCTATAGAAACTAAATGTAACATCTTAAAAAATGTTCCTGACTTGTTTATTTGAAACATCAAGCTCCACTGAACAGATTCCATGGCAGTACACTTCAGATAATGGGAATTGAAGACTGAACTCTGACCACAATTCCTTGTTCTAAATTTCCTCCTGAGGTGCCTGGAGGGAGTCACATGCAGAAACCAGAGCTAACAGTCTTTTCTGCTGGCCCAAAATTTTTAAACAAAGCTTCTTCCTTAGCCAATTGCAAATCAGAAAATCTTTGAACCTCCCTATGAATCCTGGTTCAAGATATCCTGCCCTTTTAGGTGAAAAGCAATGTGTAACCTCCATGTATTTATTTATGATTTTGCCTTTAATTTCTGCTTTCCTGAAATTTACTCCTGTCTTTAAAAAGTCTTACTTTAAAGCCATTGAGGAGGTCAGAGTTTAACCATAGTTGCCTGAGTCCCTTTGCTTGGTGCCTTGCAAATAAATACTTTCCTTTCTCCTGCTATAAAACCTTGGTGTGGATATCTGGTTTTACTGTCCTGGGCGAGTAGATCATAGTTTGGTTCTATAACATGAACAGTCCTATATTTTGCCACTTAATGCTACATATGCAAAAGTTTCTTTAAGCTGATATCTAAGAGCAAAATGGCTAGGCCAAAAAAATTTGCACATTTTAATTTTAATAGGTAATGCCAACTTTTTTTTTCCAAAGTTGTTGTGATTTATATTTTTATCAGCCATGGCTGAGTTGCTATTGCCTCACATTTTAATGTACATTTGGCTTAATCTGATTTGTCATTTCACCAATTAGGTGCATATGCAATGGCATCTCATTTTGATGTTAATTTACATTTTTGTGATTATGAGGCAGGAGAATAGGGTCAGGAGGCAGGAAACTTAAGGCCAATTCATGCTGAGTCAAGGAAAAACACCAAGGTCTGGGGGAAGCAGGAAGTCTAAGGTCAATTGTTGCTAACTTCCCAAAGGTGGTTCAAAAGAAAAACACTTGAATATGGGGAGCAGAGACCCCAAGGCCAATTAACACAAACTTCCTAAAGCTACTCCAAGGGAGAAACCCCATCTCTCCATGCTGAGTAATAAAGGATCACAGGCTACTCTCCCTAAACCCTCTCCCTTCCACCAGGTCTCAGATGGAAAGGGAGAGTGCCCTGGATTGGCTGTGGGCCAAGCAGGGACCATCCTTTCATCTGCATAGGCCGCCAATTCACCTCAGCCCTGAATTAGCCATGAACCAAATCCTTCATCCAGATAAGGAGTAACCAATAGGAACCTCAAATGGAGTACTTAAAAGTCCAGGAAACCTTGTAACTGGGCCCTTGAGCTGCTTGCCCTGGGCCCACTCACACCCTGTGGAGTGCTTTCTTGCTTTTATAAATCCTTGCTTTCACTGTTTCATTCCTGTGTTTTGTCCCTTTGTTACTCTGTTTGTGTGTTTTGTCCAATTCTTTGTTCAACATTCCAGGGACCTGGACAGCTCACACTCAAGGTCTGCCTTCCAGTAATAATTATTAATGATATATGTATCTTTATATAATTATGAGCCACTTATATTTGCTCTTCTGTGAAATGACTGCTTGTATCTTTGCTCATTTTTTGCTTTTAGACAGATGGGGGAGGGCCAAGAGTTTGTCTGCTTCTCAGTTGCCTTCAGCTCAAAATAATTCTCATGCCAAAGTGGCATATTTTGAGTGGCATATTCTGCTACCCTTCAAAAGTTTGGCAAGCTGAGTGGATAGACATCGTTCTGAGATAATCCAAGAAAATAGTCACAGAACTCTCACCTGTGCATGAAGTGGACAAGGATGTATTCTTGAAGAGCCGGCTTGGCGCAGTGGCTCACACCTGTAATCCTAGCACTTTGGGAGGCTGAGGCAGGTGATGCTTGAACCTGGGAGGCAGAGGTTGCAGTGAGCCAAGATCATGCCACTGCACTCCAGCCTGGGTGAAAGAGTGAGACTTTGTCTCAAAAAAAAAAAAAAAAGAAAAATGTAAGAGCCTATGTGTCCCCTTAATGCTGATTGTGACCTGCGGCAGTATGGAGGTGAAGGAGTGATGGGCGACCCCTGTTTTCTGAGTGCATCAGTGACAGGTTCACCTGCCTTCCTCACCTTCCGTCTGTCAAACTCTTGCCTCGCTACTGATGGGCCTCTCTTCTCCTTTTCCTCACACAATTCTTCTCTGTTCTCTTTACTTCCTTTGTGTTGTTGTTTGCTAATTTCACTCTGCGCTCATATTTGGGCCTTATCTGAAAATGGCTGTGAAGCTTGTCATGGTGCGCCTACTATTGTAATTGGATGCACAGCATGGGTTCTGTTTTTGCCTTTGTTTCACAAAGCAAGGTACAAATGATTGGTTTCTAATGCTATTTTGAAAGTGGTTGATTTTCATCTGAATTAAACTGTGTTTATTTTCAGCTCCATGCTTGTATGTTGGGGGAAGGGCATATGTGTGTGTGGGCATGTGTGTATGTGAGATTCAGAATCAATTCCTACTTTCTCCATAGCATGATACCCATAGCAATTCATTCTTAACAGGGAAGATTACAATTGAGGTCAATCATCCCTTCAAATTTGCTCATAAATACATTCATAGAATGACAATTTTGGATGAAAGGAAATATATAATAAATGAGAATAAAAAAGTATATTGACGATGTGCTTGAAACATTGAAAAAAGAAAAGTCAGTCATTAAAGACTTTTAAAAAATTGCTTGATTAATAATGATTGAGTTTTTATATTTTATCCAGATTTATTAACTTTCATGATACAAAATACTCCTAAGTGATTTCAGAAACTACCAAATATATTTATCCCAAGTCATTCTAGTTTTAAAAATTAATAACTTTTGCATAAATGCTGGACTACAGAGTCCCTATGAACATTGCTCAATGGCTTTTACTATAATTGAAACATGAAAAGTTCCAATCAGTACATTTAATGGTGTTGGACTCTAAAGATTTCTATATGCAAAGAAGTGTGAATTAAAAACAACTGTTAAAGTAATTACAATCTCCTTCAGTGAAACTTTATGGAGTCTCTTTCTGCTACTTCTAGTGAAGCTCCTCATTGGCATACTCTCACTATACAGGTTTTTAATTAAATTATTCCTTGATTATGTTACCCCAATTCCATATTCCTTGTAGACCCAAATTCTTACCCAAAATCCTAGTTGTCATCTCACTAACACAACATGTTTCCTCTTGTCATGGTCCTGTCTTCCTAGCCAAACTGAAGCTGAGCAGCCCTCAGGTCCTGTGTTATCTTGGGAACTGCATCGCTTCTTGAGCTCTCTTTTCTGAGATCACAAATGTCGATTTTCGAAGCAGCTATTTTAATGCTTCACAAATTTACATCTTATACAAAAATGTGTGTGTACAGTAGTGTTGCGGTAAGGAAGACATGAATTACATGGAAACATATCTCCCCAGGCTAATAAAACAACAGTGTCACTAGCTCACGTTTCTGAACATCTTCAAATTTTTTCTCAAGCAAATGATGCAATCATTATTTTTAAATATTTGCATTGAATATTGACGTCGTTTCTCTAGTCTTATCTGTTCTTGAGGCTCGGGATCTGTGCTCTGCTTTTTGCTGAGCTGGTTCTAGGTTTGTATTGATTTATTCATTCCCTTCAGAGTTTCCTTGGAATTTTGTCTTTCACCCTTGGACTCCTATTAACTCTCTTTTCCCAATTATCATGAATGATGTTCCTGTCTACCTATGATCCTTCAGGGATCTGAATTCAAGGGAAACTGGTATAACTTAATGTTGTCCATTAGTTTCTTTGAATTTCTTCATCTTCTCTCATCTTTCTTCAGAAGAATTCAGACTAATATGTATTTTTAATTTATTCTAATGAAATATCTCTTATAGAATTTACTTAGCATTAACCATGATTCAAGCACTGCAATAAATTCTTTGGTAGATATAATTATTCTCCCTTTTGTATGAAGAAACCAAGACTTAGAAATTGAATAATATTTCAAAGTTCATGTAGGTATTAAGGGTTGGAAATAATATGTAAACCTAGGCGTGTGTAATTTTACAACTCAGCTCAAACCACTTATTATATGGCTTCTCATTTTTAGAGATTCTTAATGTTGGAATCGAGAATACTCTAAAAGTGTGATATGTAGCTCTTCCCTGGGAAAATATATTATTTTTTATCATATAAACCATAGTAATTTAATAATACAAACCACAGTAACTTTTATCAAATGAGTAAAAAGAGAATTATACTTTTCTATAATTAAATATTTAGTTAAATATGTATATACTAGTAGGGATATAGCTTCTACATACTGCTTGTCTCCTATCCTCTGGTTTTTGTTTTTCTTTTTAACTTAGGGAGGAGCTGGGCTTATGGTGGATATTGGATATTTGATACAGATACAATCATACTTTTAAAAAATTTTCTTATTGCTTTGTTAGATATTTTAATATAACTATTTTCTATTTTTTACATAAGCATTTTAAAGTTATTCATAATAGCTGTATAACATTCAACCATGTGGATAAACCAAATTCAATTAAAAATTGTTCATATCCTATGTTTAATACGATTCTAATTTTTATATGTTAAAAGATTCCTGTGTTTTTCCTTATAAGTAATGAATTCATTAAGTATCCTTTTTAGAAACTTTTAATTTTATAAGATTTTTTAATAGAAAAGTTGAGAAGGTTCGATATATATCTAGTATATCTAGTATCTCTATCTAGTATATAGAGATATACCTAGTATATCTATACTAGATATACAGAAAGTTTCTGTATGTCTAACATTCAAATCAATTTTGATACATTGTTATTAAGTAAAGTCCATAATCTATTAAGATTTCCTTAGTTTGTACTCAGTGTCTTTTCTTGTTCTAGGGCCCCATCCAGGATTCTGCATTTGATTTAGTTACCGTGACTTCCAGGTTCCTCTTGGTGGCACCACTTTCTCACATATCCCTTATTTTTAATGACCTTGACAGTTTTGAGGAATACTGATCAAGAAATTTGTAAAGTGTTCCTCTGTTAGGATTTATCTGTTTTTCCATTTCAGACTGGGGTTATGGGTTATGGGTTTTTGAATAGGTGAAGCTTGATTTTCATCCATCCTACGAAGGGTATACACCATCAACATGACTGATCTCTGTTGATACTGACCTTGACCACCTGGCTGAGGTAATGTTTGCTAAGATTCTGTGCTGCAAAGTTACTCTTTCCTCTCCTTTTCTATATTGTATTCTTTGACAGAGGTCACTATGTGCAGCCTACACTTCAGGAGTGGGAAGTCATGCTATACCTATGATAGCAACAGGAGACAGAGAAATTCTAGGTAGACAGTGGCAGGTCCCTGGCAAAGCCCCACCTTCAAGCTGAAAAGCCTCACACCATGGCCCAAAGTGAGAACTGACATCCCTGTTTTCCTGCTTGAATGTTGCCTTTTCCAAAACCACTCATGGCCCTGTCTCACCACTCCCATCCTGTGCCTATAAAAACCCCATATTCAACTGGCAGGGAGGAGAAACAGCTGGCAGTAAGAGAGAAGCAGCTTGATTTCAGAGGGACAGCTTGACGGTGTAACTTCAAGGAAGAATGTGGCTGGAGACGACCAGACTTCAGGAGAAGATTACCTTCCCGTCCTGTCCCCTTTTCAGCTCTCCTTGCTGCTGAGAGCCACTTTTATTGGCAATAAAATCACTGCATTTACCATTTTTCAATTCATTCATGTGAACTCGTTTCTCCTGGATGCCAGACAAGAGCTTGGGAGCCACGAGTACAGATGCAAAAGGCTGTCACACTTGCCTTTTGCCCTTGCTGGCAGAAGGCAACCGCTCGCTGCACATGAAAAGGTAGAAGGCCCACTGAGTTGTTAATATTTAAGCCATCTTCAGATGGCCGAGCTAAAAGAGTACTTTAACATGCCCTATGGCACTTCAGGGATCATGGGCACCCCCCAAGTTGCTGCCGCAAGGCCCACACGGAGTTTGCTCCTACCAGCACCCAGAAGTTCTCGCCCTGGCTCCTGCACCTGTTCATGTGTGTGCTCCCCCTTACAAGGGGTGGAATGCAGCGGGTCTGAGTGAGTGGAGTTTGCCCCTGCCTCACCAAAGCAATCAGCTGGTTCCAGCATGCATGCACTCTAGTTCCCACCTCATTTGCTTACATGCTCCCTCCCAAGAGGAGTTGAAAGCTGTGGGCTGGGTAAACGAGGCACCCCTGTTGTGAGTCCTGTGAAGAGGTCAGGGAAATATCCTGCTTCACCTATTTGAGGGCAGAATATATACATAAATTGTTTTGAATCCTCTGCACTGGAGATGTGCCTCTTCTCCCCCACTTCTGTATTTATTCAATCATTATTTATATCACTATGTACTCACAGCCTTTTATGTTATAGTTTTAGTTATGATCTAAACGTATTTTATTTATGTTGTTTGATCAGATTGTCCCAGGTTTGTCCATTGGGAGCTCTTCCAGTTGATTCCTGCGTCTCTTTGGCATAGTTCCATCGTGTGTGTGTGTGTGTGTGTGTGTGTGTGTGTGTGTATTTTGTGTGTGCACATGCAGGCATGTGTTTGAGCATTTTCTTTTCTTTCTGTCACTGTGGGATGCTTCAAGCTTATCTTGTATATTCCCTGAAACAGAAAGTAATGTCATAAAGAAGAGATTGTAAAGAGCCCCTGCAGCTCAGGGCAGACTTTTCTGAAAATTGAAATTATCCCAGATAGCCACAGCTTTAGAAACTCTTCTAAAATGTTGCCTCTACTCTGTCCTCTGATAGGTCTGATGAACATAGGAGATTTTCACCTCCACTCTTACATTCTCACATTATACAGATTCTGGACTCTGCTGACAATGCCTTGAAAGTCAAAGACTTGTGGCAATAGAAGTATATTGAGGTGTGTTCTAATTTTAGGTGAATCAATACCCATTCTCTATTAATATGCCGCAGCAACCATTTGCTGAGTGATTCTCACATAATTCATAGACTGCTGGGCTTCTAAGCTCCTTCTAGAAACAGGGTTTATGGCATCCCTATAGGCTGAGCAAGCACTTTGCTTCCTGTGTCTTTTACAGACCAAACCACTGGCTGTTGGGCATTTAAGTGCAGGAAATTTACACCAAGTACAGAGCAAAGTGGGTAATGAATGCTGTCTTTTAGCTCCCTTTGCCCACACCTTAACAGAAAAGGACAGTGAGAATTTTGCAAAATAAGAAGCTAGGCATGTCTCCAAGCAGGGGGCTGATGACCTGTGTTGTGTCTTCAGGCCAAGTGGCTATGGGCAGTCCCTCTTTGGGTTTCTCCTACTCATGAAAGGGTTTGAAAAATGAACTGATGGATGTCAATTAATGAGTACTCAAAAGAAAGTAACATAATTCTTGAAGATAAAAGAACCATAATTTTGCCATTTCTTATATTGAAGGCATAAGGCAGGAAATTTATTTTCTTCTATTTTCTCCTCTCTACATTCCTTCTGATATCCTGGGAAAGAATAGATTTTGGAAAAGAAAAGAAGCTCTTTCACAAATGCTTTGGCTTCATTGCAATTCACATGTTTTGTCTTTGGGAAAAAGTTTTGAACCGAATGACTATTAATATCACTTCAAACTCTAAGATTGGCAGTGCCCTCAAACATTTTTAAGAACGTAAGATATGTACAGTAAAATATATTAATAACTTAAACTTCAAATAGGAAACATGTAAAATAATCCATCAGTTGAAGCGTTAAAATTGCATTGCCTCTCCAACTTTAATAATTCTTCTCTCTCCTTCCCATTCTGCTTCTCTCCAGAGAGAGAGCTGTCATGCGGAGAATGAAAGAGAGCACCATGGGGTACAGCCAGACCTGTTGCATGCAGAACTAAGCCAGCTGAGGACAAGGAAAGGGGCACAGAGGCGCATCTTCCTGAAACAATTGGTGTCCTCTTCTCTGCTGGATCTCTAACTGGAGAGGAGACAGGCAGAAAAGCCCTGTTTCTGGCTCCTGCTGAGACACTGACTGCCAGAGTAAGTCTGCTGTCTTCAGGAGCAAGGTAGCACCACACACTGTGTCTACTTATTTCCTCAAATGCGTGAGTATTAGCACTATTCCCAATTGATACAGAAACTCAATTCTTAAGTTATTTACACATGAAAGTGAAAACTACCTGTTACATAAAATAATGAATCACAAATAAATTCTATTTATTGTAAATTATCTAACTTAAAGACTACCTATAACATTTTAGTTTTAAGCTTGGTCATGAAGAATGCAGGCCTCATAAACCATTTAATGGGGGAATATTAATGGTTAAATCAAATTATTAGATATTTGAAGATTGCATTTTTTCTAATGAATAGACAAAAGTTTCATTTTTTATTTTATGTTAGTCAATGAAATATTTGACGTGCTTTTATGGCAGTGTCTTGGCAATCACTAAAGCCACTTAGCACAAGCCATCACCCCAATGCTCAGACTTCGAATTCTCTGGTGTGTTTCATTGACATTATACATATTCTGTATCAATCAGGACAACTGAACCATGCTGAGTACCTGGGCAAGTTGTTTGTGCCTTTGCTGACAAGATTGATTACCCGTGCAAAGCTTGAAATATTTAATTATCCATGATTAAATATAGCTCCCTTCTTTGGAATTTGCATGTTTATACCTTTTCAGAATTAAAAGAATGTGTACGTGTATATATAGCAACATCACAGAGTAGCATACTAACACAAGGAAACCCTATGGAATCCATATGAGTTATACATTTGACAGCAAACATTGAGTCCTCTATTTAGAAAAATTAATGTACAAATTATTCTATATTAAAAATGACACCTCTGTTTCAAAATATGGCTACTCCAATGACTGTATTTTTAGATGTTAATGTGGAAATACCAAATTAAATCTATTATCTACTATTATCTATCTATTCTTCTAAAGTGGAAATACCAACTTCAATTTATTATCTATTATCATGCTAACCACAACTTAGAATGTGGTTAGATAGCTATCATTTCATGATAGTTCCGTCAGTTTTATCAATAACAGAATGTTTTCTGCAAAAATTCAGCCACTTTAGTAATTCTAAAATTCTGGAAAGGTGCTAGAAACAAAATTTAAAATTATTATCAACTGGTAATATCATATGCTAATAATGGCATGAAAGACAAAAAAGTGCTCAGAGAAATGCAGGATAAAATGTCGACTCTCCCTTAAAGTAGAACTTTAAATCAAACAAATTGACTTGTGTCTAATGCAATTCAGGGAACAACTCTGTTTAGAAATGTATAGTATGTAGACAGAAGGCAGACTACCAAAGAGAAACAAATATTTGCTGTGTGTAGTGTGTGTGTGGGAGTGTGTGTGTGTGTGTGTGTGTGTGTGTATACACACACTGCCTAACTTTGGCTTCTGCTTTCAAAATGTGTGCTTTGTAGCACTTCTCATAACATAGCAGGAAGGCACCATGAGGCAAAGGACAGAGCTGACCAACAGAGATTATTGCTCCAGCTCTGACTTTCCCTAGGTCTCAGACTTTCTGTCACTCAGATAATATCATTGCACCTCGTCTTACCCACGTATCTAAGGGGAGTGTGTCATGGCCGACTTATGCTCAGCTCATAGGATGTGGTGAAGATCAAAGTGCATTTAACTTCTTTTTACTCATACATGTTTACTGTGCTCAGAGGTTATAAAAAATTGGGTTGCAGGAGAGGGTTCACACTCCTATATATAATCTGAACCTGTACTTAGGAGTGTAATCATCAAATTAGAAGAAATACTGTGTTTGCCAGGACTGGTGGAGGGGATCATTATTACTAGTTAGGTAAAGAGGGAAGGTGAGTTTTCTCAGTGATGGGCGTGGAATGAGAATACACACCTGGAGATAAAGCTGTGC
The DNA here is from genome assembly GCF_000001405.40 of Homo sapiens. NCBI lineage: Eukaryota > Metazoa > Chordata > Mammalia > Primates > Hominidae > Homo > Homo sapiens. The sequence continues at coordinate 49,846,465 of NC_000008.11, forward strand.
TGTATTATACCCAAACCTGGGTCTTCAAGCATCAGTCAGATTTGTTTTTAGTGGGATAAACTATTTATCACACTACAGATGTTATAATGATCATTAAGTTAGGTTCTTAATGCGGGGTCATCTGTGAACTTGGATAAGAAAAAAATATGTATGCCTTCAGCTTTAGTAACTTCTAATTGAAATTTAGTACTTTTTTCAAATATGAATATAATTTTAAAACACAGTAGCTTTGGACATACCAAGAAAACTCATAAAATTTTAAATACTTTAACATTTATATACAGTTATTATGGATACATCAAATTTTTGTTTTGCTTATCACTATAATTATGGTATCTTAAAAAGTAAGTAGTCCTTATTAAATCATGGTACTTATTAATCCTTCATTGTTAGATCTCAATGTGGTTAATAAAAGAAGCACTTTTGAAATTGAATTTCAATATAATTTGTTTCCTTTGTGATTATATATATTTTAATCGTTCTTCTGAGACAGGGATCATAGGTACACACTGCCAAAGGAACATTGGCAAAGTTTAAGAGCCTTTGTCCGTCCAGCATTTTCAGTGGCAGAGCAGAAAGTAGAGGCTGCCTTCCTATTTCAGCTTCTTGAAACTATGAGACTCCTGAGGAGATTATCCTAAAGTAGAGATGGTAACAGGATGGGAAAAGAAACGGCTGTACACAGCAGGGAGAAGACCTTGCTAACCGACTCTCCAGGTGGTGGGAAGGGCCTCTGGGGGCTCTGGCTCATGAGGTGCATGGAGAAGGGAGTCACCTGGGCAGTGGGGCTCTCAGGATCAGTAAGGCTGATGAATACAGCTTGACATGCCACAAAGTAGCCTGCAACTTCAAAGAACTGTGTGGACTTGGCCGTAAACAATGCCAGTGGTGACCATAATGGATTAGAACCCATACCCTTGTGTTCTGAGCTCCTGCAAAACCCCCTAACTCCCCACTCAGATAAACTGTGCAACATTTACGAGGGACAGGTTGTTTAAAAATGATTGCATCTGAAATTACAGAAATCTGTTGGCATGAAATCTGATTTATTTTGATGTAGAGAAAATGAAGTCATTTCTCCTACATTCAAGTTTCTGAAGAATACATCATGTTGGTTACCTTACTTATTATTTTATTAGAACATTAACATTTTTATTATAATCACTTTATGAAACGTAGTGAATATTATTTCAAATCCTGAATATTGGGAGGAATGTTGAAGCTTAATTTTTTAATAGCTTTTGTAAACTATACTCTGATTTGGAAGACATATTTTGGACTATTTCATACCAGATGCAGACATTTTTAAATGAATAATAATAACCTTTAAATATGATTATATGAAAATCAACTTTAATCTTTCATTAACGAATATTTATAATGTGTGTACTATGGAATGTACTGGACATTGTTAGAGGCATCAAAATTACAGCCATGGACAAGAGGCACAGGTACTAATTATAATTTGAAGAAGATAGGCAGATGAATGATCACAATAATTTTAGTTGAAGATGATGAATGTTATGAAGGGAGATGATGAGTACCATATAATAGAGAGTGGTGAGTGGCTGGTGGGCTATTTTTGCTGAGCAGTGAGGAAAGTCTCTCTGAAGAACTGGCATTTCTTCTAAGACATCAATGTTGAGTAGAAGCTAGTCACACAGAAGCCAGAGACTCTGGGATGCAGAGGCTCCTGGGAATTAGTGAAAATTAACTGGGGCAGAAAGAATGCATGGGTTCCTGAACCTATGGCTAAGAACAAACTGAGTGGAGATGCAGCCTTAGCCAAAAGCTTAGCCTTCCCATGTGGAATAGAATGCTTTAAGGGAAGTGGTTCCATTTTATAAAGACCATTTTAGATGCTACTTTCCAGAATGGGTGACGGAAACAAGATTGGATGCAGAGAGAATGGTAGGTGGAAGTGCTTCAAGTTCAAGACAACAAAGGCTTGAGCCATGGTAGTGACAAATGGAGAAGGAAGACTGGATTATTTAGATCTATATTTTGTAGTTTGCTCTTATAGGGTTTGATGAAAACAATGACTTAGGAGACAGAAAGAGCCATCATATAATTTAGTTCCAAACCACAATCCTTTTAAAGTAAAATGAGGTAATTATTACTGAGCCAGGACTAGAAGTATAAATCAGGGGATGTATTTAGAATAGATTTAAGGAAAGAGAAGAACCAAGACTGAGGTAGAGGTTTTGGCTTCATTAACTACGCAGATGTTGGTGTGTTCCTGGGGAGAACCACAAAAGGCCACAGTAGGACAAGTTTGGGAGAAGAAATCAACTGCTCCCTAGTAGATGTTAGATCTGAGAAACCTATAGATTTGTAGTTGTTGTTTTGTTGTTTTTAAATCGCTGGGACCTAAGTAAGGAGTTACAGTTTAAATGCATTTAAGAGAAAAACATGTATTGCCAAATTTTTCAATAATTTTGCTGATTGATTTTCTAGAATAATTTGGTAGTATTTTATAATTTTGCATTCCAAATTTGCTGAAAAATCAGTGAACCAATTTATTTTATAAGAAGTTTTGTTAAGAAGCTGAAGTTCTCATTAAATATGTCAAAACATATTGCCTTTACACTATTGTATATTACACAGAATTACTGTATAATTTTGCTTACATAGACTTGGCTCACCATTTGAAAATTACAATAACGGAAAGGTTTCAATTCAACAAGAAGACTTAACTATCCTAAATATATATGTACCCAACATCAGAGCATGCACACTCATAAAACATGTACTTCAAGACCTACAAAAAGACTTAGACAGTCATATAATAATAGTAGGGTACTTGAACACCCCTCTGACAGTATTAGACAGATAGGGGAAAAAAAAAAAAAAACAACTAACTATGATATTCTGGACTTAAATTTGACACTTGACCAGTTAGATCTAATGGGCATACTCTACCCATCAACTACAGAATATATATTCTTCTCATCTACACATGAAACATCTAAGATTGACTCATGCTTAGCCATAAAGCAAGTCTCAAAAATTCAAAATATCAAAATCATACCAACGTACACCCAAGTAAAATAAAAATATAAATCAATACCAAGAATATCTCTCAAAACCACGTAATTATAGGAAAATTAAACAACTGGCTTCTGAATGACTTTAGGATAAACAAGTAAATTAAGGTAGAAATAAAAAATTATTTGAAATAAATGAAAACAGATACAGAGCATACCAAAATATGTGGGATACAGCAAAAACAGTGTTAAGAGGAAAATTTATTTCATGAAATGCCTACATGAAGTAGGTAGAAAGATCTCAAATCAACAACCTACCATCATACCTAAAAAACACAGAAAAACAAGAACAAACTAACTTCAAAGCTATCAGAAGAAAAAAATAGCCAACATCAAAGCAGAACTGAATGAGACTGAGACCCAGGAATCCATACAAAAGATCAGTGTACCAAAAGTTAGTTTTTGGAATGGTAAACAAGATCAACAGACCACTAGCTAGATTAACAAATAAAAAATGAAAGATGATCAAAATAAGCACAATCAGAAATGACAATGGTGACATTACAATTGATCCCACAGAAATATTAAAGATCCTCAGAGACTAGTATGAACATCTGTATGCACACAAAGTAGAAAATCTAGAGGAAATAAATAAATTTTTGCAAAGACAGAACCTCCCAAGATTGAATCGGGAAGAAACAAATATCAAATACCATAATTGAATCTGTAAAAAAACGCCAACAAAAAAGGCCCTGGAACAGATGAATTCACAGACAAATTCCACCAAATGTACAAAGAACTGATACCAATTCTACTGAAACTCTTCAAAAAACTGAGAAGGAAGGACTCCTCCCTAACTCATTTTATTAAGCCAACATCACCCTGATACCCAAATCTGGCAAGAACACAACAGAAAAAGAAAACTACAGGCTAATATCCCTACTGAACATAGACACAAAAATCCTCAACCATTATTAGCTAACTGAATTCAGTAGCTAATTAGTTAACTAATTAACTAATTAATTTAAAAGTTAATTAAAAAATTAATTCACTACGATAAAGTAAACTTTATTTCTGGATGCAAGGTTGGTTCAATATATGCAAATTAATAAATATGATTCACCACAACAGAATTCAAAAGAAAAACCATATGATCATCTCAATAAATGAAGAAAAGTTATTTAATAAAATACAGTATTTCTTTGTGATAAAAACTCTCAACAAACCAGACGTCGAAGGCACATACCTCAAAATAATAAGAGTCATCTATGGCAGACACACAGTCAACATCATACTGAATAGGCAAAATTTGAAATGATTCTTCTTGAAAACTGAAACAAGATAAGGATGCCCACTTTCTCTGCTACTATTCAACATGGTACTTGAAATTCTAGCCAGAGAAATTAGGCAAAAGAAAGAAATAAAAGGCATCCAGATAGGAAAATAGGAAGTCAAAGTAACTCTCTTTGTAGACAATAAGATTCCATACCTCGAAAATCCTAAAAACTACACCAAAACCTCCCAGAAATGATAAATGATTTCAGTCATGTTTCAGAATACAAAATCACTGTACAAAAATACCAATATAGAAATGCACCAACAACATGCAATCTGAGAGCCAAATCAAGAATAAAATCTCATTTACAATAGCCTCATACACACAAAAATAAAATACGTAGGAATACCGTTAATCAAGGATGTAAAAAATCTCTACAAGAAGAATTAAAAAACACTGTGGAAAAAATCAGAGATAACACAAACAAATGGAAAAAATATTCCATGCTTTTGGATTGGAAGAATTAATATTATTAAAATGGCTATACTGCCAAAAGGCATCTATAGACTCAACACTATTCCAGTCAAACTGCCAACTACATTTTTCATAGAATTAGAAAGTTATTGTAAAATTAATATAGAACCAAAAAAGAGCCCAAATAGCCAAAGAAATCCTAAGCAAAAGAACAAAGCTACAGATTCAACAATATTCCTATCAAACTATGAATATCATTTATCATAGAATTAGTAAAAAGTATTCTGGCTGGGTGCGGTGGCTCATGCCTGTAATCCCAGCACTTCAGGAGGCTGAGGCGGCCAGATCATCTGAGGTCAGGAATTTGAGACCAGCCTGGCCAACATGGTGAAACCCCATCTCTAATAAAAATACAAAAATTAGCTGGGCATGGTGGCATGTGCCCGTAGTTCCCGCTGCTCAGGAAGCTGAGGCAGGAGAATCACTTGAACTCGGGAGGTGGAGGTTGCAGTGAGTCGAGATGGTGCCGTTGCACTGCGGCCTGGGCGACAGAGCAAGACTCCATCTCAAAAAAAAAGGTATTCTAAAATTAATATAAAAAAGAAAAAAGAGCCTGAATAGCCAAAGAAATCCTAATCAAAAAGAACAAAGCTGGAGGCATCACGTTACCTGACTTCAAACTATACCCCAAGGCTATGGTAGACAAAGCAGCATGGTATTGGTACAAAAACAGACACATAGATTAATGGAACAGAATAGAGAACCCAGAAATAAAGCCAAACACCTGAAACCATCTGATCTTCAACAAAGTTAATAAAAAAAAAAGCAATGGAGAAAGGACTCCCTATTCAATAAATGATGCCAGGATAACAAGCTAGCCATACATAGAAGAATGAAAATGGGCCCCTACCTATCACCATATACAAAAATTAACTCAATATGGATTAAAGATTTAAATGTAAAACCTCAAACTATAAAAATGCTAGAAGAAATCTAGCAAATATTCTCAGTATTGGCCTTGGCAAAGGATAGATGGCTAACTCCTCAAAAACAATTGCAATAAAAACAAAAATTAGCACAGAAAAAGAAACCATAAAAAGAGTAAATAGACAAACAATAGAATGGAGAAAATGTTTGCAAAATATGCATCTGGCAAAGGTCTAATAGCTAGAATCAATAAGGAATGTAAACAATTTAATGAATAATAATAATCCTTATAAAAAATGGGCAAGGTACATGAACAGACACTTCTCAAAAGAAGACATACAAGTGGCTAACAAACATATGAAAAATGCTAACATCACTAATAATTAGAGAAATGCAAATCAAAACCACAATGAGATACCATTTCATATCAATCAGCAGTCAGAATGGCTGTTACTAAAAAGTCGAAAGACAACAAATGCTGGTAAAACTGTGGAGAAAAGGGAATGCGTATACACTGTTGGTGAGAGCGTTTATTAGTGCAGCCATGTGGGAAGCAGTTTGGAGATTTCTCAAAAAACTTAGAACTATCATCAACCCAGTAATTCCATTACTGGATATATACACAAAGGAAAACAAATCACTCTCCCATAAAGATATGTATACTTGTATGTTCATCATAACACTATGCACAATAGCAAAGACTTAGAGTCAACCTAGGTGCCTATCAAGGAAGCACTGGACAAAGACAATGTGGTACATATACACAAGGGAATAAAAAAGAACAAAGTCATGTCCTTTGCAGCAACATGAATGCAGCTGTAGCCCATTATCCAAGAAAATTAACACAGGAACAGAAAACCAAATACTGTATGTTCTCACTTATAAGTGATAGCTAAATATTGGATATGCATGGACATAAAGATGGGAACAATAAACACTGGGGAGTACTAGAGAAGGAGGAGAGAGACAGAGAGAGAGAGGGGTGGGCAAGAGTTGAAAACCTACGGACTGGGTCCTACACTCACCACCTGGGTGAAGGGAGCATTCAGACCCTACACTTCAGTATTAAGTAATATACTTATGCAGCAAACTTGCACATGTACCCATGAATCTAAAATAAAAGTTGAAATTATAAAAACAAAACACAACATTACAAGAATTAGAGCATAGTTTGATGATTCTTACCATTGAATTTTCTTTTTTTCTGAGACTGTTGTGATCATTGTAAACCTTGTCAACAGGAATGCTTTAATTATCTTTTGAAGATAATTAGGCACATTTACTCTTCAAGACACAGGCAGAGAATTGAAAAAAATTATGTGCTATCAAAATAACAAATTATTATTTGCTCAGTACACTGTACTATACATTGAGTGCACAAATTCTATATAAATACCTCATCATATCCTATGGTAATAGTTTCCACATTAGGGATGCACCCCTCAAATATACACAAAATGATTCATTCTATATACACAAAATGATTCATTCTATATAATCCTTTAAAATTGTATTTCTGTGGATATTTCAATATTAACATAATATACAGTTGTATTACTATTAACATAACATACAGTTGAGTGTATATATATATATACACTCTCCTATAGTGCTAATGATGATAGAGCATATTTTCAACTTCTTTGATTTTTTTTACTTCATGGAATGAGCTTTAAGCCTGGCAAGACGGTAACCTAATATTTGGCTCCATGCTCATCCTGGAAAGCTCTAGGCTTCCTATTTATTTAAGGAAAAGTCACAAACCCTTGTCACAAGGCCTTCAGCAAATCACTTCATCTTTTAAAATCTCAATCTCCTTATGTACACAATCGGAAAATTTGAATAAATGGCTGGTTCGGTAAAATTATAAATGAGTAAATAATGACTGGAGGAATGAAAGGTCTTATTGGGATACTCTGGCATTCTTAGATACTCATTTCATTCTCAGATATTCTTTTTTAGTTTCTAAACTAGAAGGAAGAAATATTAATTCCATGTTTAAGATATCACAATGTAAGATTGAACTTTTCATGCCTTTTTTGAAATATGTATATACATATGTGTATACATTTTAACAGTAAATTGTAAGCACCGCCACTAAACATAGAGTAATATGTAAACATGGGAAAAAGTAAGTCATCATAGGTCACAATGTGGTAAAATTATCTTCTTTTTACAGTATTTATGGAAGATGAGTGGCAAAGAAAAATTTAGATAATTTATTAGATGTTCAGTTTTACAGAGAGGATAATATTTTTTAAAACACTGGAAAATTTTACTCAATGGATTTACAGTTTAATGTTGGAGAAATGTCAGAAACTAGTTATCTGCATACCTGCTGGTATTCCCCCTAAATTAAAAGATTTTGAAAAATAATTAGAAATGTAATATATGCAACCTTATCTTGTCTTATAGCAATAGCATCCAAACTAATATATCAAGTAGATGAGTAAAGCTCTGGAACCACAGATTTTAATAGAGTAGAATAATTCTTCACAAAAACAATAAGGTCTACTAAAAATGTATGTATTATATAAGGCATGGTTTCAACTATATTTCCATAATATAATTTATGAAATCATAATGAAGTACATACTTCATAACAAGGTTATAAAACTAACTTGGGAAACATTATTCTGTTTTATGGAAAATAAAGTCATTTAGGTGAACTTCAATTTTCATTTCAAATGTCATAACTCTATATGTAATTTATTAAAAATGCCATCTTCCTGTCTCTGTAAGTTATTGAAAATGCCATCTTCCTGTCTCTAGTAAATCTGCATACCTATAATTCATTGCCAAGTATCATCATTTGAAAAAATTATCTAAGGACCATTTTCTATTGAAAAATCTCCGCATATTTACTATATAGTATTTGCAACATGTAACTATTACTTGGTAAGAATCATCACGTTTCCACATGGCATCCATAGAACAACTAATCTTGTTAAAATGTGTACATTGCTTTCTATTGCTCAATGCCATCATCATCATCATCATCATCATCATTATCACCATCTATTGGGCAAATACTATGGATGTTTCTCTGTATACCTATGTACTTGAAATATTTATATGCTGGAAGACATATCCTCTTCACCTAGATCTTTGATTGACTTTGTTCTGTCAGGTCATTCAGAACCCTACCAGTAGACAAAAGTTTTCTAGAATACCAGAAGAGAGAACTCTGGACACTCTACAATAACATTGCTAGAATGTGATGGGCTGGAAAAATTGGTTACAGGGAATGACTATTTGTTAGGCCATGGTTAGCTTGGGAGGAAATGTTGAGAAAACTTAAAACAAATTCTTCTTGATAGTGTTTTTCACGTTTTAGTCAGGCAAGGAATCATTTCATATGGAAAGCAAGTTAAGAAGTTCATTAGTAAGTACACTGTGCAGAGAAGCAAGCAGACATCACAAGTTCTGCTCAGACTTCATAAACCGTGCACTGCCAGTTAGTATTAGGGTGCATAAAGCCCTCCAAATCCTTCCTCATTGCTGCAGTTACTGCTGGTAGAAGAGCAGAGATCTAAGGCTATGATGAAGTATAAGAAATTGGCATCTCTTGGAAGCAAGCTCAAGTCTTTGCATTTCTAGAAAATGTTTCTTATTTTTGCCAAGTGCCTACAGGCCGGTAGAATCAATTGGATGACTTCCACAGTGTGGTCCTAACAGAACAGCTCCTAGATTTGATTTTCAGGCCCTTTTGAAAATTGTGTGAGCTATCTAATATCCTTTAATAAGTACCCTTTTCTGCTTAGATCAGTTAGTTTTATTGATTTGTAGAATAACTGTGACTGACAAGAGGCCTATGCCAACAGAGATGTGGAGAAGCTGAAAGCTTTCCTCAAGACAACTGAAACCAAGTCACCAAACGTCTTTGCTGGGACGCAGCAGAATGAGAGAATGAAGCCCTTACAAGCCCCTTATATTATTATCACTGTGGGAAAGTGAGGTATAGAAAATGAAGTTCAAGCCCCTACTGTGGAAGAAGCAGAGAGAAGCACAGGGGCACGAGGACGCTGCTGAGATGCAGCTGCCAGCTGGTTAGGGCCCAGGCAGCACTGGGGTCCCCAGTGGTTAATCTGTCCCCTCTCCATGGCAAAGCCAGCCTCACCTATCTTGGAGCTATTATTGACCGACAGGGACAGTCTGTAGCTCACTTCCATTTACACTGGATGTGCTAGATGCTGTGGTCACATGGTGCCAACAGTGTAGGAAGATAGTTCTGTCCATGTCATCACCTCCAATATCTGCATCACACTTCCTGAGGGGAGGAATGAGAGCCATGCTCAGGCTATGAACCTAAGCTGCAGAGAATGGGAAGGCATTCAAAAGGGAAACTGCATTTAGCAGGATTAAAACCATCCCTTGACAACTGTTGAATTTGTGGGACACATGGTTCTAAATAGAAAGGTCATCACAGATAAAAAAAATAGTTCTACCCTTTATTGCAATGCTCTCTTAAAACTGTAAAGACATAGAGGGATAAAGAGCAGTTGAAAGCAATCCAGAGTTCAGTTATTCACCATAAACAGATGCCATGACTCACTGGCCTGCATAGGACCCTATCCACAGGAGAGTTCCTGGGATGGCCCAGGTCCTGAAAGAGACTAGAAACCTCTGGCTGCTGTATTCACTTGGGGTGAGGTGGAGCCAGGCAAGGAGTGGTCATTCTCAATGCAGGAGATTGACTAGTCAGTGCTGTGATGCAGAAATTTGCTGAGTCCAACGTTGCTTTCACTGTGTAAACTGGTGCCAGTTTAGAACTGCAGGTATTATGTAGTTAGTTTTTCTGACCATAGAGTTCTTTTTTTTTAAAGTTATATTCATAAAATGAGGTATTAGTGCTGAAGCAAGCTAGCAGGGACAGTATTCAGTTCGTATTTTGAGTACATTTTCAAATGAAGAGTAAAGCCCGCAGCTTATTAAGCAAGGATTTCATTCTCCATGTGCACCAGACTGGACCCTGAGAGGCACAGACTTGGTGTTGCGCCCTCATCTCAGAAAACTGACACCAAGTCTAGCAGAGAGCATGGCCATCTGGGACAGAAAGGAGGATGGGTTCCAAATGTGGTTGAACCTGTGACAGAGTTAACAGCCAGGAGCTTCCCCAGGAGAGAGTGCCCCTGTGGATCTCCTCTAATCTGGGCTCATCTCTCCCACCTGGAAAGGGGGGTGGTGTGAGGATCCACAGGGAAACTCTAACCTGGGAAGAGTGGAGGCAGGAAGAGGAAGGACGCATTGATAGATACACCAGCCCCTGCCCAAGAAGTAAGAGGAGTAATTGTCACACATGAGTTATAGAAACAGTTGATTTTGCCACATTATTATTTCATTTTGTGCATGAAGGGAAAACACACACTACAGCTAATTCATGATTACAAATCTGTTCCCCCTCTGGCTCTAATCTTACACTTAAAACAGTACTTCTTCCTCAATTATTTATATATTATTTAACTAACCTCACCACTTTTAGAGAATCTTTATAATGTTCATTCATGGTCATGTAGTATTCATGTATATTTCGTTATCAAGGTTATGAATAATAAATAATAATATAAAAGAATGAAATGAAATCATGTCTGTTACCCTTTACCTTTGGTGAGCAAGTCAACACAGAGTTATCTGTGATTCAAAAACACCAGGTGGAATGGACATTTTGTATGAATTGGTTTGCCATTTGACAATGGTATTGACAGTCTTCACTGTACCACTCTTTGGAGAATGGATAGCTGTATAAATCATGATTTGGGCATAGGTTTCATAATACCCCAACAATTATTAGATTTTAAAACATGTAGGATTTGAATAATTGGAAAATAAAAAGGAAATCTTGTCTACTGACCGGGACCTGTAGAAGAACCATCTCTCATATTTTAGTGTCTCAAAATTCTCAGCAGTTAATTTTTGCTGAGGAAAATTCTGAATCACATCACTCTTTATCTTTGCTTCTTCTCATTGACTACTACAAGACCAAAATATTGGTCAATTGTAGTATTTTCAGAAATACCTGGCTTTTTTGGGGTATTATTTTTATCCCTGTGTCCTAATTTTGTCTACCTTTGTTTTCCCTTTAAGGTCATGTCTTTAAATTTTTTCAGTGTTATATAACATGAATTTTAAAATTCTCCCAATTTTTTGGAAGAAATTGAGGGAATAAGTTGAGAATGAACAAAAAAACCAAAAGAATAAAAAAATTCAGTTTAAAAAGCAAATCTAATTTATTTCAAAGGATTTTCTTTCTTGTGCTTTTAAACCATTATGGTTTGCCAATTGCTTATTCAAAATAGCTCTGAGCATCCCTGAGATCCTGAATGCATCTCAGAGCAATATAGCCTCCCAGACTTAGTTCTGCAGCCTCACACTGGTCCACTGTGGTGTCTTCATTTTTGGAAGCATTCAGTGAAATTGCTCCTGTAGTTCTTGACTTAGCTACTCTTCAGTTTGATGACCTGGCTACCTTTCAGTTCAGTTCTCTGGTCTTGGCTATAGAGCTTTTCTGATTCACTACAGTAGGTCTAAACACCACCTCTGCCTTTTACGTGGCCCCTTCAATGAAAATAAGATTTGCAGAGAGCCAAGCACAGCACAGTTATCATACTGCAAGGTAAAGCAGACTCAAAGAACTATTTCACACCAGTGTCTTGTTTTCATTCTTTCTTTCCATAAAGCTGTTCTATAAAGCTATTCCCTTTCCCTTAGGCACTGTGTGGATACCTCATATAGCAAAAGAATGATTCTGTTTTTTAAATAAATACATATTTATTTAAAGCTCTCATAGTTTAATTTGTGAGATTATTAAATAAACTTAAGTGATACAATTAGTATCAGCAACTTTTATACATATTTATATTATCCCTTGCTGAATATTAACATATCTACTTTGATAACATCATAACAAACATATTATAGGAGATTTCCACAAACCAGAATGCTCATTGATAATCCTCTAGAGGAGTAGTCAGTTTTATTTTGAAGTAATTGTTGGCAAGCTGTCAACTTAGAAGATGTGTACCAATAGAGAATCCTCACTCCACAAGGGGCAGAACTATTTTTTAAGATAAGAAGTTGGGGGGATAAAACAATATTTCCAAGTACTTTTCTTTTTTTTTTTGTGAGACAGATATCATGTCAGGACGAACACTTTAGTCCATAAACCAAATATCTAAGGTCCCTGTAGTTTCCGCTGCCCATGCCCAGACTTCAAATTTTCCTCTGGGAATAAGGTACAAAATGTAAGATTTGTATGACAATAAGATATTAGGAACAAGAAACAAGAAGCAAGAAAACACGATTTGCTATAATAGCTATTTACTGTCTAGGCCAGACTCCTGTAGGACCACTCCTAGGCCAGAAAAGCAAGAGGATTTGATCAAGCAGGCTGATTCAAGCCAGATAAGTAATGCGCTTTTTGAACAGGTGTTTGGAGAGCTAACAAATCTGTGCACCGCCAGGAAAGGCCTTTACAGTGCAGAAATAAAGAGAACTTCAGATTTGTCCCAAATTACAGGGCTTCTAGGTGTCCTTGTTTGAATTTCAGACTGATATGCACTTTCTAGCCTCAATCAAATACCAGCCTCTTAAGTGAGGGACCTGCTTCTCCTCCAATGAACAAGAGATTCTTGGAGACAGCATGGAACCTCAAAAGCACTGCTATTTATGTAGCTAACGTTGAGGGAAACTCACAGTCTCTGAGGATGACCTGGAGACTGGCATGAGGTGTCTGTGAGTCTCAATGACCTATGATGATTGTCTCAAATGAGATTCCCATTCGGTTCTTTATATACTGAACCAAATTTTAAGGCCAGATGAAGAAATTGGTGGGAGTAGATGCTATTTATGTCCTGAAGAATATTCTGGAACGACACCCTCTTGGGTGGAGAAGGAGCTACCCACAGGGAAGGGCATGGAAGATGTTTGGAGACAGTCATCATTTTATAAGTACTTGCTACAGTCTTTCTAAGATTAGTGGGGACGAATGAAGTATGTAAAGGTAGATTGTAAGGATCTGAAGGAATATTATAAGGTTATTTCTTGTAAAACACAAAAATGGATAGTTAAATAGAAAAGCAACCAAAAGACAGAGGAATTCAGGAGATCACCTGCATTCTTAACCTAAGGCTTTCACCCTAAAATAGGAAAGGAGAAGGAGTTACCAGAAGATGGCAAGCAGTTTGGGGTGACTCATCATGGTAGATATTCCACCCAATATGTGGCACCAACTGCCACTTGGAATGCATATGGAATATTTCCATGGGAACCTGAAATGAAAGTTGATTAGTGGATAATGCCACAGAGAGGTGTAGGAAGGATGAGGAAAGCCCTGCCCTGTGGACAAGCTGCATAGAGAGAACTTCAGTTATGTCTCCTTTTACCCATTGGACAAGGGAAAAACTGCAGGAGAATCCTCAGAAGAGTCCTCAAAAATAGAGAAAAAAAAAATCATGATGGTTCAACTCCAGAAAGTCATTCTGCTCAGTAAGCATAGAATCCCTGGCACTGTCCTTCCCCAGCACAAAACCCTGCAGCACAAATGCCAGCATGCCAAATTGTTTGAGGCATTGAAAAATTTTGTTTTTGCTGTGTTCTGCTCTATAAAATAGTACGACAAGGGTATAACTAGAAAATCTGTAATGAAAGATTCTGGAAGTTCTCCAAATGGTGATTATCTGGTGGTGTAGAAAAGGCCTAGGAGAGAGAGATCGTGAAGACTTTCAATCCAAATAGCACAATAAGCTCTTGCTTCAAGGGGGAAGAAAAAAACAACAAAAAACAAGATTTACAAACAGCCCCATTCAGCAGAAGTTAAATCAAAATGCCAAATACTGAATGCAGATGAAGCTGAAAGATGCTGGGCTAGGGAGCTGGATGTGGGTAGTGAGGGAATCCAGGAAAGAAAAAGGCACTCCATACAAAAAGCTGGATGGAATCCATCCATGTATATTGAAGCCAGTTATTTGCAGAGCTTCCCAGCTCCTGAGCTGAGAACATAACCGCAGCGCAGCCAGAGACTAACACCTACTATGAGCTCAGAAGGCTGGATGCCCAAGACTCATCCCTGCCTACAGGGGCTGAACCAAGTGCAGTGATTGGATGGCTACTTTCTTGAAGCTTCAAGCCACACTGAAGTGATTAAGATGAGCTTTTGGAAAAGAAAGTCTGTGTTAAAATCCTGACTCCAGAACTTACCATCTTTTGACATTTGGGAGATTACTTATACTTTTCTCTTTTCTTTTCTTTTCTTTTCCTTCTTTTCTTTTCTTTTTTCTTTTCTTTTCTCTTTTCCTTCTCTTCTCTTTCTTTTTTGCTTTTCTCTTCTTTTTTTCTCTTCTTTTCTTTTCTTTTCAGACAGGGTCTCACTCTGTGACCCAGACTGGAGTACAGTGGTATAATCATAGGTCACTGTAACTCTGGGGCCCAGTGATCCTCCTCCTGCCTCAGCCTTCCAAGTAGCTGGGACTACAGATGCATGCCATCATGCCCATTTCATTTTTAAATTTTTTTTGTACAGGTGGGGTCTCACTATGTTGCCTAGGCTGGTTTCAAACTCCTGGCCTTAAGCAATCCTTCTGCCTTGGCCTTCCAAAGTGCTGGGATTAAAGTGCACTTTTCGTTTCTTATCTGTAAAATGGAAATAAAATTCCTGCCTATCTCAGAGAGTTACATGTAAGACTGGAATGTGTTAATACAGATAAATCACTTACAAGGTAACCTGGCCCTCTGAAGCACTCAATTACTGTTAGTTATTGTTTTTATTTCCATGGAAACCCAGCATATCATTCTAAGAATTGATTCTAGACTAGGAACAGTGAAACAGGAAGCTGCTAAAGAGGTATGCATAAACACAGAGGGTAATTGAGCAAAAGAAAAAATGTCCACCCAATTGCCAGCAGTCTGAAAACACTGGCCTCAGAACACAGGCAAATAAAAATTACTACCAAAACAAGTAGTTGACAAAATCAGCATCAGGTACATGACAACATTCCAGATGAAACAATTTAATGGAATAGTTTGAGAAAGACTTATAAAATAAGCATATCTAAGACATCAAAAAGATTAATTCAAGAATAATATCAAGAAAACCTCAAGAGATTGTGACCCTAAAAAAGGCAGAAATAAAACAACCAAAAATGTCTTCATAAGAAATAATTAGAAATCTTTGAACTAAAAAAACATAGTTCTGAGAACTAAAAAAAATTACTACATAAGCCAAATATCTGTACTTGTCATAGTTAAGGTAATAAATTGAAATACTGCAACAGATACATGAGACATTCCCAGAATGCAACAAAGAAATGCAAACGTAAACACATTACAGGGCAGTTCAAGACATAGAAGGTAAGTTGAGACACTTCAGTTTGTATCTATTTAGAGTTCCATGTTAAAAAAAATGAGAGAGACATAGCTGAGATTTTCCTGGAAATAAAGATGTCTTTCAACAAAGAACAACTAACCGAACGACTTCTGATTTCCAAGAAATATAGGTAAGTAATAATTCAAATTTAGCAACACTGTAGTGAAAATGCAGAATATAGAAAATGAAGAGAAAAATTAAAAGCTAGCAGAGGGAACATTTAGAGTATAAAAGGCTGAAAGCAGGTTACTCACCAGTTATGCAGATGCCAGAAGACAAAGGATTATCTATCTTCCAAGGGTGCCCAGAGAAACAATAAATCTGGACATTTATCACAAACAAACCACAGCACAAGACTAAGGGGAAAATAGCGATAGTTATAAACAAACAATGGCAGAGATATTTCACCACCCTCAAGCACTAAATAATTCAGTAGTATACCCAAGCAAGAAAGAAGGTAATCCATAGGAAAGCTATGAGAGAAAAGAAACCCTGAAAAACTCAATACTGATAAAATGTCAATGCACATTTACCACAGACTCTGAAAAAGTTACACTAATTAATATTAAAAAAATTAAGTCCAAGGCCCGGTGCTGTGGCTCATGCTTGTAATCCCAGCATTTGGGAGACCGAGGCGGGCGGATCAGGAGGTCAGGAGATCGAGACCATCGTGGCTAACACGCTGAAACCCCATCTCTACTAAAAATACAAAAAAAATTAGCCGGGCATAGTGGCAAGGCGCCTGTAGTCCCAGCTACTCAGGAGGCTGAGGCAGGAGAATGGCGTGAACCTGGGAGGCGGGGCTTGCAGTGAGCCAAGATTGCGCCACTGCACTCCAGCCTGGGCGACAGAGCCAGCCTCCGACAAAAAAAAAAAAAAAAATTAAGTCCAGATAAAGTTGCCAGAAATATTAAGATGGAGGGAGTTAGTACTTGATGAATACCTTAAGTAGGTTGTTAAATCACTCTATTTTTATTTATTTTATTATTTTTTAATTTAATTTAATTTAATTTTTAATTTGTATGCATTTAGGGGGTACAAGCGCAGGTTTGTTACATGGATATATTGCATAGCGCTGAAGTCTAGGCATCTAGTGTAACCATCACTCATATTGTGTACATTGTACTCATTGCATAATTTCTCTTTCCTCACCCTCTTCTACCATCCCACCCTTCTGAGTCCCCTGTGTCTATTAATCCACACTCTGTGTCCATGTGTACACATTATTTAGCTCCCACTTATGAGTGAGAACACACAGTATTTGACTTAAGTACCATATGTTCTGCAGAAACATAGAATACTTCATACCTGCAACTCGTTTGGAAAAAACATATAAGGTATATGTAAAATTCAGATGTAACTATTAGAGGACAGAAATATATCCCATAGCTTAGTAGCATTGTGCCACAAAGATCTAGGCATAGCATTAACCCCTAGTGTCTGAATAATGCTTCTTTCATGTGCAATATGAAAATAAATCCCAGGACCTTCAAATCACTAAACCAAGGGAAAGGTCAAGCTGAGAATTATGTCAGGCAAACCTGCCTCCCGTTTATTCCTAAATAAGATAGCTATGAAGATAAAAAAACTATATATCTCCCTAACAATTTTCCCACAGGAAAATTCCTTGTGGACAAAGGAGAGAAAGAACTCAAAGTCATCGCTCTACTCGTAGGAGACAAACACATATCTGATGGCTTCCCCTGCCCTATTGTTTCACTAAGCCACACTAAGGCATAAGTGATGATTCCTCTACCCTTCTCTCACATGTAAATTGTGTATTCAGTGAAAGGCTCATCACAAACTCAGAAGAATGCAACTGCTTGTCTCCTATCTACCTATAACCTGAAAGCCCCCTCTCCAGCCTCGAGTTGTCCTGCCTTTCAGAATTGAACCAATGGACATCTTACACATTTTAACTGATGCCTGTCTGCCTGAAATGCATAACACCAAACTGCGCCCTGAAAACCTTGGGCACATGTCGTCAGGACTTCCTGAGGCTGTGTCATCGGCCTGTCATTAACCATGGCAAAACAAACTTTCTGAATAGATTGAGAATTGTATCACATGTTTTGGGTTCACACATGTGCTAGTTTGATGAAAAAGGGGAAGTTTCTGGAGCTTTCTGTGCCTCAGTTACCTCATCTTTAAAATGAGGATTATATTAGTACTCTCCTCATATAGTTAATATGAGGATGAATTAATGCCTGTGAAGCTTTCCTTGTCATGCTGTGCACTGAAGAATTTCCCTTTGTGTTTCTTCCAGTTCCGTTATTTTCTCTTCAGGTGTGTCTGCCCTTCTGTAATAGACTACAGTGGCTAGGACCCACCCATTGGGTCTTATATATTAATGTCTGTGGTTTTCATTTTAGAAAGTTAGAGTTTGTTTTTGGAGTCTGCTTTGCATTCTAATATTGAGTCTTTCTCTTTCTTTAAGGATTGTTTAACTTCATCTTTGTAACCACATTAAACACTTATTTACATCTGTGTTTACATTGTTGTTTAAGCAGCTTAGGTCAAGTGTATTATTTCCCCCAAGAGTCTGTAATGCTTCAGGGCAAACTCATCTTAAATATGTGTGTGGTGGAGGGAACATTTTTTCTATGAGGATCCCCCGAGGCATCACTGACATGAGACCATATTTTATGTTAACTTCTTAAACTGAAGTTTCTCACACAATGTAGAATTTGCATTCCAACAAAAATTAAGCCCAAGTTTTAGATTTTTATGTAATAATTCTCCACACATAGTGTCCAGCAGAAACAAGCCACTTTGTTGTCTTCCTGGGCCAGTGGCTGATGATTTTTAGTCCTTAGAGTTGCAGCTTAATGCAAAAGTTTGAATTCCAATCCTCCACTTTTCTCAAGCCATGGACCTTAACTCCTAAGTTTCTCTGCAGGCACTAAAGCCAAATTCCTTGAAACTACAGGTCAGGCAGCAGCCCCATCCCAGCCTGTAATAGCGTTGGCACACGTGCTCACTGCTGTAGCCCTCAGCTCCTTCCTGGCTCCTGGCTGTGGCCATTGCCTAGCTCTCTTGTGTCCTCCATCATACATCTCAAGCATCTCTCCATGTTTGGAAGAGAAGCTTTCCTGCTCATTGCTAGAATCATGACTTCGTCACCTACATTTTATTAAGCAAAATAATATAAATATTTACATTAATTTTAATATAATTTTTGTAATGTATTTTTGTTAACTTCCTGAGTGAGACTGCCAATGTTGTCCGCTTATACACCTTTCTCTAACAACACTTAATATGAAATCGATTGCTGCATATCATGAGGGCTTCTTGCTAACTGAAGTTAAAGTTTTGTCAGAACAACTTCAGTATCATCAATACCTCTGTTGCTGATATAGTTGGAACTTTTTAATTGCCTTAAGAAGCAAAAAGAAAAAGATCAGTTTCTTGAAATAACTCTGGCTGTTTGGATCTGTACTTCTACAGTTAGAATTTCAGAGGAAAAACGTTCTGGTTCTGTTTACTTATGCTCTAATTGGAAACAATGGCAAGTGCATGATCAAGTGGAAAAGAGGAAAAGAGACAAAGGGAAGGGAGGATACAGAATTATGACATTATTAATATAGAAATATTCCGTTTTTAAAATGTGTCAGCTCTCCAAAAAATTAATATGGGTCACAATACAGGATTAATGACCATACACATTAAATATGGAAACATCTGAAATTCTCTATCTTTAATTTGGTCATGTCATTTGGTGTGCAGTGATATGGTTTCAATGTGTCTGTCAATGTAGAGCTTGAGTGATTTTTTTCATGAGATTTAATATCCTTAAAGTATATGCTATATTTTCATAGTATTTTTATATAGAGTTATTAGAATAATTTTTATCCAACTTCAAGTAGTCTCTACAAAAACAAGCAAATATTCTAAATGTAATTCAAAAAATCATTCAAATTTAGCAACTTTTGGTAGGTGACCATGTGTTGCTTGAACTGCGTTTCTATTATACAGACAGCATCAATTTTCAAATGAGTCCATATATTTTGGATGGAGAATATGTGACAGATTGAATTATTGGCCTGGTTCTTTACCACACTGAATACATATCCTTTACATCTAACTTTGAAGTTCTTCTCACTAGAGGTGGAAAATTCTTCCAACTTCACAAGGCTTGCTTTGGCCAAATGGATGTTGACAGAAGTAGCACAAGCAGAAACTGAAATGTGTCTGAAATGTTCTGCCATTGCCATAAGAATAATTTTCCCACTAACTTACTGTTCCTACAGGTCCATGGAGGATGAAGACACAGAGAGCTTTCTAGACAATCCCTGTAGCTCAAAGTTGGCCATAGACAGACTCATCTCCAGACATATGGTTCAGAGTAAATAATTATCATTTTAAGACAAAGTTATGGATTGGTTCCTTAATCCAAATAATTGCATCAATAGTTAAAATGCATTCTTTTAAAATGCCTAAATAATTATTTTGACAGTTAATCAAATATATGTACCTAACATATTATTATTGATTTTTCAACAACAAAGAAGTTGACATTTTTGAGATTCTTTTTACTATTCAATTAATATGAGATAGGGCACTAAACCTAACATACCCTGAAATTAGAGAGACCACATAATATTTAATTTAAAAAGATTTCAATATAAAACTTGAAGCAGTTGAGTAGAAATTTATTCTGGCAATGGTAGCTGAAATAATTCAGATCTATCCTCTCGTTAAACACGATGAAAAATGCTGCATAAAATCACAGATAAAACCTTATACAAGAAAAAAATCTCATTAAAACCTGGGCAAAGGCCATGAAGAGACACTTTTCAAAAGAAGACATACATGCAACCAACAATCATATGAAAAAAAGCTCAACATCACTGATCATTAGAGAAATGCAAATCAAAACCACAATGAGATAATATCTAACACCAAGTAGAATGGCTATTATTAAAAAGTCAAAAAATAGCAGATGTTGGCAAGGTTGTGGAGGAAAAGGAACATTTATACAATGTTGGTGAGAGTATAAATTAGTTCAGCCACTGTGGAAGACAGTGTGGCAACTCCTCAAAGATCTAAAGACAGAAATATCATTTGACCCAGCAATCCCATTACTGGGTATTTAACCAAAGGAATAGAAATCATTCTGTTATAAATACACATGCACACTTATGTTTATTGCAGCACTATTTACAATAGCAAAGACATGGAATCAGCCTAAATCCCAATCAATGATGGATTGGATAAAGAAAGTCTGGTACATATATACCATGGAATACTATGCAGCCATAAAAAAGAATGAAATCATATCCTTGGCAGGGACATGGATGGAACTGGAGGCCATTATGCTTAGCAAACTAACACAGGGACAAATACCTCATGTTCTCACTTATAAGTGGAAGCTAAATGATGAGAACACATGGACACATAGAGGGGAATAACACACACTGGGGCCTTTTAAAAGGTAGATGGTATAGGGTGACAGAAGGGAGAGGATCAAGAAAAACAACGAATGGGTACTAGGCTTAATACTTGTCCGATGAAATAATCTGTACAATACACCTCCATGGCACAAGTATACCTAAACCAGCACAAGTAACAAACCTGCACTTGTAGCCAGAACTTAAAATAAAAATTAAAAATAAATAAATAACTTAAAAAAACGCTTATTAAATGTTTCTTAAAACTTCTAAAAAGCTACCAAGCTAATGAGAAATTATGAGACCAAAATCTGTAGAAAGACAGGTCCCTGAGTTTTAAGACCAGGTTCAAAAGTGCTGTGATCCAAAGCCATTTGCTAATCCAAAAGAAACAGATGAAATATATCAATAAATGGGTGTCCACATGGAGAAAAAAGAAAATCCATACCTTATATTGTATGCATAAATCACTTGCATATAGATTAAAAACCTAAAAAACACAGTCCAAAAGTTAAAATTAATGTAGAAGCATATCTTTATATATTGAGGGGTAGATAAGTGACCGAGAGACTCGAGGAATTGCTTAACCAAAGAGGGAAGCCAAATGGTAACTAAAAGTAGTGAAAAGTGTATCATCTCATTACTATTCAGAGAAATAAATGCACATTAGGCCACACTGAGACATGATTACATGGTCACTAGATGGTCTAAAATTTAGTCTGGCAATACTAACGCTCAGTAATGATGATGGTATGGAGTAAAGGATTATCATATATACCTACTGAAAACCCAATTTTTCATTACCTAACAAGCTTAAGATACACAAACCTATGGTCCCTAAATTTCAATCTTGGGAATATGTTAGAGAGAAACAAATGTAGTTGTAGTTATGTATTGCTGCATAAAATGTATCTCCTAAGCTAGAAGCTTAAAAGAACACACAGTGATTATCTCACACAGTTTCTTATGGTGAAAGACTCTGGGAAAAATTTAGTTGCATTGTTCTGGCTCCAGATTTTCCATGAGTTACAGTCCAGCTTTCAGGCCAGGACTGCACTCATGTCAAGGGGTGAATGAAAAAATCTGCTTCCAAGCCTATTAGTGTATTTATTGGGTTGAGTTGGGAGGGGCTTGGCTCCTCAGTAGCTGTTGCCCAGAGGCCTCTGTTCTCTGCCACATGGGTCTCTCCATAGGTTTGCTTACAACACGGCAGCTGCTTTCCGCAGAATAAGATATTTGACAGGAAAAGAAAGAAAGAAGGAGGAGAGAGAAAAATAAAGGCAGAGAAACAGACAGAGACAGACAGAGAGGCAGAGCAGGTGAGCTGGTGAGTGAGGAAGCAAATGCCCAAAACGGAACTGCAGACTTTTATACCTAATCTTTGAAGTGCCGTCCCATCACTTGTATCACCTGCTCATGCAGACCAACTTTGATATGATACATGGTGAGAGAGAACTACAGACTACACAAAGATGTGAAGACTGAGAGGCTGGGGTCTTTGGAGACTAAGCAATGAGCCCCAGGCAATATATACATGGATCTTCCAAAAACACGTTGTTTACAATAGCCCCAAACAGAAAAAAGCCCAGATGTTCATCAACGCTAGGAAGAAAAAATAACCTTTGGTGTATTCATAAACTGGAATATTATATTGCTATAAGGAAAAATAAGTGATAGCCACAACATAGGGGTAACTCTTGCATATATAATGTAAAGTGAAAAGAATAAGACAGTAAAGAATAATTATACTGCCATACTTTGGAAATATTGTGGGTTCAGTCCCAGGCCACTTCAATAAAGCAAATATTGCAACAAAATTAGTCCACATTTTTAAATTTCCCAGTGCAGATAAAAGTTATGTTTACGCTATACTGTTAAGTGTAAAATAATATCATATTTGATACATGCACATACCATGATTAAATACTTTGTTGCTAAAAATGCTAATGATCCCCTGAGCCTTCAGCAAGTTGTAATCTTTTCGCTGGTGGAGAGTCTTCCTTCAATGTTGATGGCCACTGATTGATCAGGATGGTGACTGCTGAAGCTTGGGGTGGCTGTGGCAAATTCTCAGAATAAGATAATAATGAAGTTTGTTGTATCAATTAACTCTTCCTTTTATGAAAGATTACTCCATAGGATGAAATGATATTTGATAGCATTTTAACCACAGTAGAACTTATTTCAAAGTTGGAATCAGTCCTCTCAAACACTGCTGCTGCATTATCAACTAAGTTTATGTCATAGCCTAAATCCTTTGTTGTCATTTTAACAATATTCACAGTATCTTCCCCAGGAGTAGATTTCCTCTCAAAAACCACTTCCTTTGCTGATTCATAAGAAGCAACTTCTCATCTGTTCAAGTTTATTATGAGATTGCAGCAATTCAGCAATGTCTTCAGGTTCCATTTCTAATTCTAGTTTTCTTGTTATTTCTACCACTTGTGCAAGTACTTCCTCCACTGAAGTCTTGAACCTCTCAAAGTCATTCATAAATGTTGAAGTCAACTTCTTCCAAACTCCTGTTAATGTTGATATTTTTACCTCATTTGATGAATCATAAATGTTCTTAATCACATTGAGAATAGTGAATCATCTCTAGAAGATTTTCAACTTACTTTGCTCAGATCCATCAGAGGAATCACTATGTCTGGCAGTTATTGCCTTATAAAATGTGTTTCTGAAATAATAAGACTTAAAATTACCCCTTGATCTCTGAACTGCAGAAAGGTTGTTGTGTTAGCAAACATGAAAACATTAACCTCCTTGTACATCTCCATCAGAGGTCTTGGGTGACCAGGAGCATTGTTAATGAGCAGTTATCTTTTGAAAAGAATATTTTTTTTCTAAGGAGTGGGTCTCAACGGTGAACTGAAAATACTCATTAAGCCATCCAGTAAACAGATGTGCTGTCATCAGGCTTTGTTATTCCATTTCTAGAGCACAGGCATAGTAGATTTAGCATAATACTTTAAGGCGCTGGGATTTTCAGAATGGTAAATGAGCACTGATTTCAATGTAAAGTCAGCAACTGCATTAGTCCCTAACAAGAAAGTCATCATCTCCTTCCAAGTTTTAAAGTCAGGCATTGACTTCTCCTTCTTAGCCATGGATGTTCTATTTGGCATCTTCTTTCAACAGAAGGCCGTTTTGTTTACACCGAAAATCTGTTGTTGAGTGTAGCTACCTTCATCGATGATCTTAGCTAGATTCTCCGGGTAACTTGCTGCTGCTTCCACATCAGCACTTGCGATTTCACATCACACTTTCGTTTTATGGAGATGGCTTCTTTCCTTAATCCTCATAATCAACCTCTGCTAGGTTCGAACATTTCTTCTACAGCTTCCTCACTTCTCTCCGCCTTCATAGAACTGAAAAGAGTGAGGGCCTTGCTCTGGATTAGGCTTTGATTTACTGGAATGTTGTGGCTGATTTGATCTTTGATCTAGACCACTAAAACTTTCTCCATATCAGCAATAAGCCTGCTTTACTTTCTTATCATTCATGTGTTCAATGGAGTAGCACTTTTAATTTCCTTCAAGAACTCTCCTTTGTGAAGTTTCCTTGACTACTTTGTTAACTGACACAAGTCAGCCTATCTCAGCTTTCGACATGCCTTCCTCACTAGGCATACACATTTCTAGCTTTTGATTTAAAGTGAGAAACATTCAGCTCTTCCTTTCACTTGAACACTTGGAGGCCACGGGCGGGTTATTATAAGTTGGCCTAATTTCATTATTTTTCTTCAGGGATTGTCTCAGGGCATAGGAAGATCTGAGGAGAAGGAGAGATGGGGGAATAGCTGGTAGGTAGAGCAGTCAGAACACACACAATATATATAATTTTGTCATAATTAACACCATTATATATGCATTGGAGAGAAAATAAGTAAAGCTAGAAGTTAATTATAACAAAATTCAAGGTATAAGTTATATCTAGTGGGGTGGAGGAGAATGTGTTTGAACAAGAAACTGGAGGTTTCTGGAGTACTGGAAATGTCTTTTCTTAACCTGGGTGAGTCCTCCATTGAATGTTTCCTGTGTAACTACTCACTATACTCTGTATTTATATTTTTGCATTTTTCTTTATGTATTTATAATCATGTCGAAACATTTAAAGGTTATAAAAAGTTTAACTAGCTTAAGTGAAAATCCATCCTATATGCATTACCATATTCTTAAATCTGACTTAATAATTGCTTAGAAATAAGCTCCTTAAATATTATAACATAAATGTAAAAATTCCCAGTGAAACCAAAATGTCTCATTGTCAAAGTTGATGACCACTGCCCCTGTTCTATGCCAATGTTCTTTAAGTTCAAAGGCATTGTCAAATATTTCTTAAATGTTGCACAATGGTCTCAGGGCTTCCATACACGATATGGATATTCAGAAAGTATTAGAACAGAAAATGGGAGCAGGAAAAGAAAGAAGAGAGTGGAAGATGAAAGAGAGGGATCCGAGATCAAGGCTTTTTCTATGTCGACAAATAGACTTAAGTATCATCTTGCTAGTTTAACCAGTGTTAGTTATCCAGAAATATAATCGAGTGCTTCCAAAAATACATGGGAAAATGCTTGGCAAGTTATGTTTCCATACAAATATTATAGTCATTGGTCCAATATTTTTAGTAATGTATTTTGAATGAACAAATACCAAGTCATTTGAAAGAATTTTTATAATAATTTCTAAAAAAAATAAGACTATCATTTATACGTTACATTTTCCAATACATTCCACATTTTCCAGTACTATGTAATTTTATAGATAATGTTAATGTATGAACATTTGAAAAAGTGGAAATCAACATTTTCATCAACTAATGCTGAATTCAAAGGACATTGTTGTATTTCATCAGACTCAAAAGTCTAGGTCAGTGATTCATCAGATCCACTCTCCTGAATTGCTCTCCCCAGTTGACATCCCCAACACTGAAGGTCATTGTGCAGGCCGAAATCTGAGCATTAACACAGCACCAAGTCTGGGCCACCGGGCTTCCAGAAAAAAGCAGCATGTTCACCTGAAACCTTCGAATGGCTTTGTTTTGAAATAATACAATACAGTTTCAATAGTGTTTGGAACAACTTCATGCATACAGATCTGAAATAAACACCTAGCCATTAAGATTTTGAAAGTTATGATCTGAAATGTCATGGAGGGCATTACCATCACATCATCTGGGGGCTCCTGATCACTGCACCCTCCTCCCTTCTAACACCATCTCTGGAAGGGATGAACTTCTTTACAGTCTTCATTATTTGTAGGTAAATACACAAATTTTTTGTACAGCATGTTAAATGCAGTCAATTATATGTAGCACAAAATGCAACTCATACAAGCACTCCTTCTGAGGCAATGTATATTATTACATGCATTGAATATAAACTTTAAGTAATAGTTCTAAGAAGGCAATAGCTAAAACAAAGTAAGTCACTTTCACTAACCCTCTCTGTGGCCCTCTGACCTGTTTCCCATGCAAATTCTTTGTGAACTCTCCTTTGTGAAGTTACCTTGACTACTTGGTTAACTGACACAAGTCAGCCTATCTCAGCTCTCGACATGCCTTCCTCACTAAAGGAACATTCTGTAACACCAATGCTTGCATTGGTTTTGGCAATTTATATGCAGCCATGCCTGTCCTCTGCTGCTTTTGAAGTTTGTTTTTGCATCATTTTTTTTTTCCTTCAGTTCTAAATTGAGCATGAATGAAAAACATATCTAGTGTAAATGCAACAGAAAATATACTGCTCTTCACACCCTCCTGAGTCCTAAGTTTCCAGCTTGCTGAAAAATATCAATATATACCTCATTTGCAGCTCTCTCTGCCCTGGCTCCACAAGCCTTACTGTGCATCCCTCTCTATTCCAAGTAGCTACTCTAAAACCCCAATGTGCATCACCAGCCTGATAATGGAAAAACATAGACACATATTTTGAAAGAGATTTTTATTTCATTGTTCACTTTCCACACTGTGCACAGTTTTCGCTTGTAATTTCTACTTCCTGCTTAAAAAGGACTTTCTCTGAGGTAGGGTAATGGTTGTTATCCAGCTCCACATAGGCAGATCCATGGGGAGATTCTTGGCAAATTATTCTTTTTCAGGGTATGAATGATCCACTTCAGAGCGTTAGAGGAATAACACTTGCGTAATTGCAACCTCACTTCTTAAAATCTAGATCTTGCTGCAAGTGAGCATATCAAAGAACTGTGTTCCCTATGAAAATTTTGATCTATATAAAAATCATGCCATCGTTAAAATTGAGATGGAGCAGTGTTATCATTCATCTCTTGAGATTTAAATATAACAAAAGTCACCTTTACCTTTTTTGGAATTACGACCTATAGGGACACATCACATAGTTATTGCATTGTTTCTGTCTAACTCAATATTAACTGTGAATTTTGTGGAAATTAAAATTAGAACAGGGTGAACTAGTTGAAGTCCTAAAAGACTATATTGACAGTTTGGCTTCCATAGAATGTGCACATTTACCTTCCAGAAAACAGCAGGATGCTCCTCTACTACATTTCCTCTTCTTTACTTTGCTCAGCTTTCCAGGAAGTTGAAGGTTCAAAGTGGATCTAAAGGTAGACAAAGATGTATGTGAAAGTAGCAAATAGAGTGAGACAGTTGAGTGAGATGGAGCAGACGTCAGCAGCCAGACACACATTTGAGGATGAGCCTAGAGCTCTTCCACCACCCCTTTCCCAAAACAAGATACTGAAAACAGAAACACTTTGCAGCTGTGCTCATCATGGTCAGACAGACTCTCCAGGAATATCATGAATATGGTGGCAGCGCTGGTGGGAGGATCCCACAGTAGGGGCCTCACATAGACAAACAACATGACTTGAAATTGGGATCTGCAGGTCACAGGCACCCCATAGCCACCCTCACAGTATCTTAGCTTCTTGGACAAAACCTCAATCAGTCATTGAATTTTCCTGAAGTAAGAGGCTCCTCTGATGTATATTCCAGAGCCTGCAGAGGTCAGTCAGGCAGGCAGGAGGTTGAGGGCGTTTTAGAGCAGGGCAGGGTGGAGCACACACTCATAAGACCAGACAATATGTCAGAGAGAAGCAGAACCAGATGCCAGCTAAAGGCGGTAAGGCAGGTTTCATTCAGTGTGGCTGCATCAGGGGAAAGAAACCAGTGTGACATAAGCATTACTCACAAAACAAAAACCGCAGGCCATGTGACCCAGCAGTGTGCCAAAAGAAAAAACAGAAGGACATTAAGGGGTGAGGCTGGGCCAGCTGTGTCAGTTAGCTGGCCTTAGGGAAGTCAGGCCCCCACCACCCTCAGACACAGGGAGACCCCGGCCCTAGCCTTCCCACAAGAAAGACATTCCTGGCTTGCGGAAGACACACGGATGTCTCAAAATGACAGAGAAAAACCCCACAACAGGCCCCTGTGTGTGATGTTCCCCTTCCTGCGTTCATGTGTTCTCATTGTTCAATTCCCACCTATGAGTGAGAACATGACGTGTTTGGTTTTTTGTCCTTGCAATAGTTTGCTGAGAATGATGGTTTCCAGATTCATCCATGTACCTACAAAGGACATGAACTCATCATTTTTTATGGCTGCATAGTATTCCATGGTGCATATGTGCTACATTTTCTTAATCCAGTCTATCATTGGTGGACATTTGGCTTGTTCCAAGTCTTTGCTATTGTGAATAGTGCCCCAATAAACATAGGTGTGCATGTGTCTTTATAGCAGCATGATTTATAATCCTTTGGGTATATACCCAGTAATGGGATGGCTGGGTCAAATGGTATTTCTAGTTCTAGATCCCTGAGGAATCACCACACCAACTTCCACGATGGTTGAATTAGTTTACAGTCCCACCAACAGTGTAAAAGTGTCCCTATTTCTCCACATCCTCTCCAGCACCTGTTGTTTCCTGACTTTTTAATGATCACTATTCTAACTGGTGTGAGATGGTATCTCATTGTGGTTTTGATTTGCATTTCTCTGATGGCCAGTGATGGTGAGCATTTTTTCATGTGATTTTTGGCTGCATAAATGTCTTCTTTTGAGAAGTGTCTGCTCATATCCTTTGCCCACTTTTTGATGGGGTTGTTTGTTTTTTTCTTGTAAATTTGTTTGAGTTCATTGTAGATTCCGGATATTAGCCCTTTGTCAGATGAGGAGGTTGAAAAAATTTTCTCCCATTCTGTAGGTTGCCTGTTCATTCTGATGGTGGTTTCTTTTGCTGTGCAGAAGCTCTTTAGTTTGATTAGATCCCATTTGTCAATTTTGGCTTTTGTTGCCATTGCTTTTTGTGTTTTAGACATGAAGTCCTTGCCCATGCCTATGTCCTGAATGGTATTGCCTAGGTTTTCTTCTAGGGTTTTTATGGTTTTAGGTCTAACATTTAAGTCTTTAATCCATCTTGAATTAACCTTTGTATAAGGTGTAAGGAAGGGATCCAGTTTCAGCTTTCTACATATGGCTAGCCAGTTTTCCCAGCACCGTTTATTAGATAGGGAATCCTTTCCCCATTTCTTGTTTTTGTCAGGTTTGTCAAAGATCAGATAGTTGTAGATATGTGGTGTTATTTCTGAGGGCTCTGTTCTGTTCCATTGATCTATATCTCTGTTTTGGTACAAGTACCATGCTGTTTTGGTTACTGTAGCTTTGTAGTATAGTTTGAAGTCAGGTAGTGTGATGCCTCCGGCTTTGTTCTTTTGGCTTAGGATTGACTTGGCAATGTGGGCTCCTTTTTGGTTTCATATGAACTTCAAAGTAGTTTTTTCCAATTCTGTGAAGAAAGTCATTGGTAGCTTGATGGGGATGGCATTGAATCTATAAATTACCTTGAGCAGTATGGCCATTTTCACGATGTTCATTCTTCCTACCCATGAGCATGGAATGTTCTTCCATTTCTTTGTATCCTCTTTTATTTCCTTGAGCAGTGGTTTGTAGTTCTTCTTGAAGAGGTCCTTCACGTCCCTTGTAAGTTGGATTCCTAGGTATTTTATTCTCTTTGAAGCAATTGTGAATGGGAGTTCACTTATGATTTGGCTCTCTGTTTGTCTGTTATTGGTGTATAAGAATGCTTGTAATTTTTGCACATTGATTTTGTATCCTGAGTCTTTGCTGAAGTTGCTTATCAGCTTAAGGAGATTTTGGGCTGAGATGATGGGGTTTTCAAGATATAGAATCATGTCATCTGCAAACAGGGACAATTTGACTTCCTCTTTTCCTAATTGAATGCCCTTTATTTCCTTCTCCTGCCTAATTTTCCTGGCCAGAACTTCCAACACTATGTTGAATAAGAGTGGTGAGAGAGGGCATCCCTGTCTTGTGCCAGTTTTCAAAGGGAATGCTTCCAGTTTTTGCCCATTCAGTATGATATTGGCTGTGGGTTTGTCATAGATACCTCTTATTATTTTGAGATATGTTCCATCAATACCTAATTTATTGAGAGTTTTTAGCATGAAGGGTTGTTTAATTTTGTCAAAGGCCTTTTCTGCGTCTATTGAGATGATCATGTGGTTTTTGTCTTTGGTTCTGTTTATATGCTGGATTATGTTTATTGATTTTCATATGCTGAACCAGCCTTGCATCCCAGGGATGAAGCCCACTTGATCATGGTGGTTAAGCTTTTTGATGTGTTACTGGATTCGTTTTGCCAGTATTTTATTGAGGATTTTTGCATCAATGTTCATCAAGGATATTGGTCTAAAATTCTCTTTTTTTGTTTTGTCTCTGCCAGGCTTTGGTATCAGGATGATGCTGGCCTCATAAAATGAGTTAGGGAGGATTCCCTCTTTTTCTATTGATTGGAATAGTTTCAGAAGGAATGGTACCAGCTCCTCCTTATACCTCTGGTAGAATTTGGCTGTGAATCCATCCAGTCCTGGACTTTTTTTTGGTTGGCAAGCTATTAATTATTTCCTCAATTTCAGAGCCTGTTATTGGTCTATTCAGAGATTCAACTTCTTCCTGGTTTAGTCTTGCGTGAGTGTATGTGCCGAGGAATTTATCCATTTCTTCTAGATGTTCTAGTTTATTTGCGTAGAGGTGTTTATAGTATTCTCTGATGGTAGTTTATATTTCTGTGGGATCGGTGATGATATCCCCTTTGTCATTTTTTATTGCGTCTATTTGATTCTTCTCTCTTTTCTTCTTTGTTAGTCTGGCTAGTGGTCTATCAATTTTGTTGATCTTTTCAAAAAACCACCTCCTGGATTCATTGATTTTTTTGAAGGTCTTTTTGTGTCTCTATTTCCTTCAGTTCTGCTCTGATCTTAGTTATTTCTTGCCTTCTGCTAGCTTTTGAATGTATTTGCTCTTGCTTCTCTAGTTCTTTTAATTGTGATGTTAGGGTGTCAATTTTAGATCTTTCCTGCTTTCTCTTGTGGGCATGTAGTGCTATAAATTTCCCTCTACACACTGCTTTGAATGTGTCCCAGAGATTCTGATATGTTGTGTCTTTGTTCTCATTGGTTTCAAAGAACATCTTTATTTCTGCCTTCATTTAGTTATGTACCCAGTAGTCATTCAGGAGCAGGTTGTTCAGTTTCCATGTAGTTGAGTGGTTTTGAGTGATTTTCTTAATCC
The DNA here is from genome assembly GCF_000001405.40 of Homo sapiens. NCBI lineage: Eukaryota > Metazoa > Chordata > Mammalia > Primates > Hominidae > Homo > Homo sapiens. Next base: position 49,878,451 of record NC_000008.11, read on the forward strand.
TGAGTTCTAGTTTGATTGCTCTGTCATCTGAGAGAGAGCTTGTTGTAATTTCTATTCTTTTACTTTTGCTGAGGAGTGTTTTACTTCCAACTGTGTGATCAATTTTGGAATAGGGGTGTTGTGATGCTGAAAAGAATGTATATTCTGTTGATTTGGGGTGGAGAGTTCTGTAGATGTCTATTAGGTCCACTTGGTGCAGAGCTGAGTTCAATTCCTGGATATCCTTGTTAGCTTTCTGTCTCGTTGATCTGTCTAATGTTGACAGTGGGGTGTTAAAGTCTCCCATTATTATTGTGTGGGAGTCTAAGTCTCTTTGTAGGTCACTAAGGACTTGCTTTATGAGTCTGTGTGCTCCTGTATTGGGTGCATATATATTTAGGATAGTTAGTTCTTCTTGTTGGATTGATCCCTTTACCATTATGTAATGGCCTTCTTTGTCTCTTTTGATCTTTGTTGGTTTAAAGTCCATTTTATCCGAGACTAAGATTGCAACCCCTACCTTTTTTTTGTTTTCCTTTTGCTTGGTAGATGTTCCTCCATCCCTTTATTTTGAGCCTATTTGTGTCTCTGCATGTGAGATGGGTTTCCTGAATACAGCACACTGATGGGTCTTGGGTGTTTATCCAATTTGCCAGTCTGTGCCTTTTAATTGGAGCATTTAGCCCATTTACATTTAAGGTTAATATTTATATGTGTGTATTTGATCCTGTCATTATGATGTTAGCTGGTTATTTTGGTCGTTAGTTGATGCAGTTTCTTCCTAGCCTTGATGGTCTTTACAATTTGCCATGATTTTGCAGTGGCTTGTACCAGTTGTTCCTTTCCATGTTTAGTGCTTCCTTCAGGAGCTCTTTTAGGGCAGGCATGGTGGTGACAAAATCTCTCAGCATTTGCTTGTCTGTAAAGTATTTTATTTCTCCTTCACTTATGAAGCTTAGTTTGGCTGGATATGAAATTCTGGGTTGAAAATTCTTTTCTTTAAGAATGTCGAATATTGGCCCCCACTCTCTTCTGGCTTGTAGAGTTTCTGCCGAGAGATCAGCTGTTAGTCTGATTGGCTTCCCTTTGTGGGTAACCCGACCTTTCTCTCTGGCTGCCCTTAAAATTTTTTCCTTCATTTCAACTTTGGTGAATCTGACAATTATGTGTCTTGGAGTTGCTCTTCTCGAGGAGTATCTTTGTGGCATTCTCTGTTTTTCCTGAATTTGAATGTTGGCCTGCCTTGCTAGATTGGGGAAGTTCTCCTGGATAATATCCTGCAGAGTGTTTTCCAACTTGTCTCCATTTTCCCCGTCACTTTCAGGTAAACCAAGTAGATGTAGATTTGATCTTTTCATGTAGTCCCATATTTCTTGGAGGCTTTGTTTGTTTTTATTCTTTTTTCTCTAATCTTCTCTTCTCACTTCATTTCTTTCATTTCGTCTTCCATTGCTGATACGCTTTCTTCCAGTTGATCGCATTGATTACTGAGGCTTGTGCATGCATCCTGTAGTTGTCGTGCCTTGGTTTTCAGCTCCATCAGTTCCTTTAAGGGCTTCTCTGCGTTGGTTATTCTAGTTATCCATTCATCTAATTTGTTTTCAAAATTTTTAACTTCTTTGCCATTGGTTCGAACTTCCTCCTTTAGCTCACAGTAGTTTGATCTTCTGAAGCCTTCCTCTCTCAACTCGTCAAAGCCATTTTCCGTCCAACTTTGTTCCATTGCTGGTGAGGAGATGCATTCCTTTGGAGGAGGAGAGGCACTCTGATTTTTAGAGTTTCCGGTTTTTCTGCTTTGTTTTTTCCCCATCTTTGTGGTTTTATCTACCTCTGTTCTTTGATGATGGTGACGTACAGATGGGTTTTTGGTGTGGATGTCCTTTCTGTTTTTTAGTTTTCCTTCTAACAGTCTGAACCCTTAGCTGCAGGTCTGTTGGAGTTTACTGAAGGTCCACTCCAGACCCTGTTTGCCTGGGTAACAGCAGCGGTGGCTGCAGAACAGTGGATATTGGTGAATGGCAAATACTGCTGCCTGATCATTCCTCTGGAAGTTTTGTCTCAGAGGAGTACCTGGCCCTGTGAGGTGTCAGTCCATCCCTACTTGGGGGTGCCTCCCAGTTAGGCTACTCGGGGGTCAGGGACCCACTTGAGGAGGCAGTCTGCCCGTTCTCAGATCTCAAATTGTGTGCTGGGAGAACCACTACTCTCTTCAAAACTGTCAGACAGGGACATTTAAGACTGCAGAGGTTATTGCGGTCTTTTGTTTGTCTGTGCCCTGGCCCCAGAGGTGGAGCCTACAGAGGCAGGCAGGCCTCTTTGAGCTGTAGTGGGCTTCACCCAGTTCGAGCTTCCCGGCCACTTTGTTTACCTATTCAAGCCTCAGCAATGGTGGGCGTCCCTCCCCCAGCCTCGCTGAAGCCTTGCAGTTTGATCTCAGACTGCTGTGCTAGCAATGAGCGAGGCTCTGTGGGCATAGGACCCTCTGAGCCAGGTGTGGGATATAGTCTCCTAGTGTGCGGTTTGTTAAGCCCGTTGGAATAGCATAGTATTAGGGTGGGAGTGACCCAATTTTCCAGGTGCTGACTGTCACCCCTTTCTTTGACTAGGAAAGATAATTCCCCGACCCCTTGCACTTCCCGGGTGAGGTGATGCCTCATCCTGCTTTGGCTCATGCATGGTGCACTGCACCCACTGTCCTGCACCCACTGTCCGGCACTCGCCTATGAGATGAAACTGGTACCTCAGTTAGAAATGCAGAAATGACCCATCTTTTGCGTCACTGATGCTGGGAGCTGTAGACTGGAGCTGTTCCTATTCGGCCATCTTGGCTCCATCCCTGGTGTGGGTTTTAATGATGAATCAATGCTGAGTTTTTAAATACTTTTTCTGTGACTATTGAGATCATCATTTTATCTTTATTTTTTATTCTGTCAATATGGTAGGTTACATTAAATGATCTTTGGATATTATATCAGTTTTGCATTTCTTTAATAAATCTCACTTGATTTATAGTGACGTAGTTTTCCATTGTTGTGACATCTATGTGTGGTTTTACTATCAGGATAATATTGGCCTCATGGAATGAGCTGAGAAACGTTCTTTCTCTATTTTCTGGAAGAATTTGCTGAATACCAGTATTAATTTCTTCTTAACATTTTTTATTGAATTTACAGTGAGCCCATCTGAACCTGGGCTTCCCTTTCTGAGAAGATTTTAAAAAACCTTTTTTTAAACTGCAATAATGTCTTATTCTGTCACTTAGGCTAGAGAGCAGTGGCTCATAGTAATGTAGAAGTCCTGGGCTCAAGAGATTCCCTGCCTCAGCCTCCTGAGTAGCTGGAACCATAGATGCACAGCACCAAGCCTACTTCTGAGAAGATTTTCAATTACTAATTCAATTTCTTGTTATAGGTCTATTCAGATTTTCTATTTATTTTTTATTCAGTTTCAGTAAATTAATTTTCTCTTCCAATGAATATCTCCAGTTCTTAAGTTTAAGTTGCCTAATTTTTTTTGGCAAAAGATTTCATGATTCTCTGCTACTCTTTTTAGTTTCTCTAAAGTGGAAATTTATGATTTGTTATCTTTCTATATTTCAGTAGTTTGTGTCTCCTCCATTTTTTCTTTGTCAGTATTGCTAATGATTTATGAATTTTTTTGATAGTTAAAAAAACAGCTTTTGTTTTGATGTTTCTGTTTCAATTTCATCACTTTACACTGTGATCATTTTATTTGCTTCCTTCTGCTTGCCTTGGGTTTAATTTATTCTTTTAATTTTAGTTTCTTAGCAAGGAAGTTGTTTCATATTTTTTAGATGAAAAACTTTTGCTTTCATAATATAAGTGAATAAATTCATGAAATTTTCTCTAATGACCACTTTCAATGAAGTCCAAAAATTTATATGTTGTGTTTATTGTGTATGTTAAGTAATATGGTCTAATTTTGCAACATTTGAATATTTGCTAAATATATTTGTTATTACTTCTTAATTTAATCTCCTTTTTTAGAGAATAGACTGTTATTTTTTCTTTTAGCACTTTGAATGTCATTCTACTGTGTTCTTTTTCTGATAAGCAGTTGAATGTTAATTACATTGCTGTTCTTCTATACACAATAAGGTGTTTTTCTTTCCCTGCTTTTAAGATTCTGTTTTTATTTCACTTCAAATCATTTGATTATGACGTATCTAAGGGTAAATTTCTTAATGTTACCCACTTGGAATTTGTTAAGACACACTCATTTGGATTTATAATGTCATTTTTTTTCATAAAATTTGGAAATTTTTTATCCATTTTTTTTTTTACATATTTTTTATTCCCCTCTTTGTCTTTTCCTCCTGGAACACTCATTACATAGACATTTATATGCTTATTAATTCCCACAGGACTTTTTGATTTTTTTCATTTTTCTTTATTCTCTTTTCTGTTCTTCATATTATGTAATATTTATTGACATGATTTCAAACTCACTGTTTCTTTATTATTTCAAATCTTGTCTTTATCATGTTTAGTAAGTTTTTCCATCTGGTTCTATTTGCAGTTTATATTTCTTTGTTGAAATCCTTTTTTTGAGGTGTTTTAATCATATTTTACTCTACAATTTTCATCATGTTGTGCTTATATAGTTGTATGAGATATACATCACATACCACAAAGTTTCCCTTTTAAAATGTAAAATTCAGCAGCTTTTGGTATACTTATGGTATATGGCGACCAATACTGCCATATAATTTTAAAAGATTTTCATCACGCCAATATAAAATTTATACTGACTAGCAGAAATCAAACCATTGATCTACTTTCTTTAGCTTTGTATTTGCCCATCACATTTCATATAATAAATCGAACCATATGATACTTGTACTTTTGTACCTGCTTTCTTTCACATAGCATGACCTTGTCAAGATTCATGCATGGTGTGATATGTCACAGTGCTTTATTCTTTTCTTACGGTTGGATAATATTGTATTATATGGATAAGTCACCATTTGTTTATTTATTCACCAGTTGATGAATATTAGTTTTATTTATTTTTTTGGTTATTTGGAATAATGTTGCTATGAACATTCACTATGAACATTCATGTACCAGATTATGTGTAAAAATATTTTTTCAAATCTCTTGGGTTTATACTTAAAATGGACTTGCTAAGTCTTATATAAATTCTGTACTTGACATTTTGCGGAACTGTTAAACTGTTTTCCAAAGTGACTGTATCTTTCTGCATTCCCAGGAGCAATATATGATGGTACCAATTTCTTCACAACCTGGCCAACACTTGTAAATGTCTAGTCATCCTAGTTGGTATGAAGTAGTATCTGATTGCTGTTTTGATTTACATCTACCTAACAATCAATGATGTTGAGCGTATTTATATTGTATTGACCATTTATATATCTTCTTTAGGGAAATGTTTATTCGAATAATTTATCTATTTTCAAGTTGGGTTGTCATTTTATTGTTGATTTGCAAGATGTTTTTAAATACCTATTCTTGATTATAGAGCCTCATCCGATATATAACTTGCAAATTTTTTCTCCCATTCTATGGGTTTGCCTTTTCACTCACTTTGATGTGTCCTTTGATGTACAAAAATATTCATTTTGATGAAATGTGATTTATCCATATTTTGTTATATTTTTGTACTTTGGGTTTTATACCTAAAAACCCATTGCCTAATCCATGTTCATGAAGAACCACATGTATGTTTTCTTCTACAAGTTTCAGTGATTCAGCTCTTATATTTAGGTTTTTGATTCATTTTGAGTTAATTTTTCTATTTCCTGTAACACATAATGAAAAAGTCATTCTATTGTATTTGAATATTAAGTTGTCACAGCACCATTTGTTGAAGAGACTTTTATTTCTTTATTAAATGACATTTGCACACAAGTTGAAACTCAATTGACCATAGATATATTGGTTTATTGCTAGAATTTAAATTCCATTTTATTGATTTATATGTGTCTTTTCATACAGTGTAGCTTACTATTAAATTTTTAAATTGAAAAGTATGAATTCTCAAACTTTGTTCTTTTAAAGATTTTTTTTTTTTTTTTGGCTGTTCTGAGTTGCTTGTATTTCTGTATAAATTTTAGGATCAGCTTGCCAATTTTTGTAAAAATGCAGCCACAAATTTGAAAGAGAGTTTATTGAATCTATAGAAAAATTTGGAGAGTATTGCCATTCTTTTTTTTTTTCTTTTTTATTCTCTTTCTTTCTTTTGTTTTTTTTTTTTTTTGAGTTGGAGTCTTACTCTGTTGCCCAGACTGGAGTGCAGTGTCACTATCTCAGTTCACCACAACCCCCGCCTCCTGGATTCAAGCTATTCTCCTGCCTCAGCCTCCGGAGTAGCTTGGATTACAGGCACCTGCCACCATGCCCAGATAATTTTTGTGTTTTTAGTAGAGACGAGGTTTCACCATGTTGGCCAGGCTGGTCTCAAACTCCTGATCTCAAGTGATCCACCGGCCTCAGTCTCCCAAAGTGCTGGGATTACAGGCGTGAGTGACCATGCCCAGCCAAGTATTGCTATTGTAATATTATGTTTTCCAACCAAAATGTCTTTCCATTTACTTATATCCTCTTAATTTACTTAATGAGATCAGTGTAAAAGGCTGATCTCATTGGTGGAATTGTTTTCTTTTGGATTATGCATTGCGAGTGTTGAGAAAAAAACTGATTTGGTATATATTGTTCTTGTACCTTATAATTTAATTAGCTCTAATAAAATTTTTTGTTGTTGATTCCTTAGGAGTTTTTAAAAATATATAATTGTCTACATAAAGAAATAGTGTTAGTTCTTACTTTTTAATCTGAATAGCTTTTATTTCATTGTTTTGCTTTTTTTCCCTGAATACAACCTTTAGCATAACGTGAATACAGAATGTGAGAGTGGGTCATCTTGTCTTCTAGATTTTGGGAGGAAAGCTTAAAGTTATTAATCATTAAAGTTATTAAACCTTAAAGTATAATGTTTCCTGTGGGGTTTTCATAGATGTCCTTTATCAGATGAGGAAGTTCCTTTTCATGAGTGTATTTATTATGAAGAAGTGATAGATTTTGTCAAATAGTTTTTGTGTTTATTGATCACATGCTTTATTGTTCTTTATTCCACTGATATGGTGCATTGCATTGATTGACTTTTGTATGTTGAACCTACATTGTGTTGCTGGGAAGAATCCTGCTCTGTCATGGTATACAACTTCTTGTGTGTTGTTAAACTAGCTATTCTGCTTGAGGATATTGACATCTATATTCATAAAAGATATTGGTCTGTATTTTACTTTTCATGTAATTTCTTTGTCTGGCTTTGCTATTTAGACAATATTGACCTAAAAAAAAAATAAGCTGTGAAGTGTTTCCTTCTCGTCTCTACTTTGGAAGATTTTGTGAAATATTGTTGTCAATTAATTAAACATTTGATGAAATTAAATTAAACATGCTGGACATGGTGACATGTGCCTGTAGTCCTAGCTACTTGGCAGACTGATGTAGGACCATCCCTTGAGCCCAGGGTTTTGATGCCAGCCTGAGCAACATAGTGAGACCCCCATCTCTAAAATAATTAATTAACTAATTAAACAGTGAAAACATCTGTTCATGTGCTTTCTGTTTAATTTTTTTTTGCTTATTAATTATTTTTAGTTGTTTTGGGTCTGTTGGATTTTATATTCTTCTCTAATTAGTTTCCGATATGGTTTGGCTCTGTTTCCCCACTCAAATCTCATGTTGAGTTTTAATCCCCAGTGTTGGAGGAGGTGCCCAGTGGGAGGTCACTGAATCATGGGAGTGGAATTCCTCCTTGCTGTTTTTGTGATAGTGAGTGAGTTATCATGAGATCTGGTTGATTAAAAGTGTGTAGCACTTCCCCCTTCACTCTCTCTCTCTCCTCCTCCACCACATGAAGACGTGCCTGCTTCCCCTTTGCCTTCCACCATAATTGTAAGTTTCCTGAGGCCTCTCCAGCCATGCTTCCTGTACAGCCTGAAGAACTGTTAGTCAATTAAACCTCTTTTCTTTATAAATTACCCAGTCTTAGGTAGTTCATTTAAGCAATGAAAATGGACTAATATTGTTTCTACTTTTCTAGGATATATTTTTATGTCATCTAGGCTCTCTGATATGTTGGCATACAATTATTCACTGTATTTGTTATAGCACCACAAGTTTATATGCCCACTGTGTGGTAACAGATCAGTATACTGAGACAGTGGAATGTGCAGCAGAGAAAGGGTTTAAGGATGTCTGGGTGGTTGAGTGAAGGGATGGGAAGAGACCCTCAAATCCATCTCCCTGAGCAGTTCTGGGCTGGGATTCTTGAGGAGATTGTGGAGGACAAAATGCTAGAAAATTTGGGTCTTTGATAGGTTGAAGTAAGGGGGATAAAATCATCAGGATGTGGAAACTGCATTCTTTAGTGAGTCTGTTTCTCAGGGAGTCCTTCAGACCATCTGACTTTGAAACATCCCACTGATATGCAGGACCTGAATAAATATCTCAAATGGAAAACATAATGTTTCCTAATGTTTACATCATTATCTGTAAAGAAGTTAAGGGGGTGAGAGGGGCAGTAGGCAGTGAACAACCATGAGGAAGCAGATCTGAGAGCAGGCTAATTAATGATTAATGTGGAATGTGCTGCAAGCTTGGTTTAATTTTATTTATCACTCTTCTTCCTTGTTTAATTGTATAAAGTATATAGGGATGGTTCTATAGTCTCCTGTAATCTGTTTTTATTTTTGTAAGGTCAGTGTTGATGTGCTTGTTTCATTCCTCATATTAGTATTGAATATTCTCTATTTTACTTAGTTGGTATAGTTAGTTGTTTGCTCTGTCAAAGAAAGTTCTCTGATTTAAATGACATTCTCTTTACTGTTTATTTTAATTTATTTACAACGTAACATTCATCCTTTCTTTTCTTCTGTTTGCTTTAGGTCTAGTTTGCTGTTTTTATAGCTTTAAGCTGGAAGTTTATGTTACCAATGTAAGATGTTTCTAGTTTTCAGTACATATGTTTACAGCAATAAACTGCTTTCTAAATACTGTTTTAGCTGAATTTCATAAGTTTTAATATGACATTTTTCTTTAAATTTATCTCAAATTGTTTTCTAATTTCCCTTGCGATTTCCTCTTCTTTTTTTTTTTTTTTTTTTTGGTTATTTAGGGGTGTGTTAATTATGACATATTTGTAAATTTTTTCTACTTTTATTTCATTGTGGTTAGAGAAGATAGTTTGTATCATTTTAGTTTTTTTACATGTAGTGATACTTGTTTTACGGCTGAACATATAGTTCTTATTGGAAAATATTCTATGTACACTTGAGAAGAATGTGACTTCTGCTGTTGTTAAGTGCTTGGTGGATTCATTTAAATACATTGGTTAAATTTACTTCATATGTTATGTTTCAGGTCTTTTAGTTCTTTCTTGATCTGCTGCATCATTTTCTATCATTATTGAAAGAAATATTGAAGTCACCAAATGTTATTGCTTAATTTCATATTTCTCTCTTTAATTATGTCAGTTTTTACTTTCTGTATTTGGGGTTGTGTTGGTAGTTGCATGTAAGTTTGCATCAGTTATATCTTGATTGATTGACATTATAATCACAATAAAATTATCCTCATCTCTAGTAACAATTTATATTGTAAAGTATATTTTTCTTAAATTAGTACAGCCCTTCCAGCTCTCTTCTGTTTACTGTTTGCATGTTATGTATTTTCTCTCAACTTATTTACAATCTACTTGTGATTTTGAACATGAATATGACTCTTTTAAACACCTAATATTTGGGTGAGGCTTTTTATTCATTCCTCCAATTTCTATCTTTTTAATTGGAGTGTTTAAGTTATTTATTGATAATGAAATAGTGATAAAATAAGATTCATGTCTGTCATTTTATTACTTGTTTTCTGGTCTTAGGACATTTTTTATTATTACATTCTTCTATTACTGCCTCATTTTGTATGCCAGCGAAATTTTATCAGAAGTGACACCAACAAAATGCTAGAGCAGATAGCTCCAAGATTCTGTTCTTCCACAAAGGGGCTTTGAAAAACTTGCAGCTACTTTTAGAGCTAACTTTGTCAGAATCTGGAACACAGTCAGATGTTTAGAGCAACCAAACAAATGTTGCATCAAGAAAATGACATTTCAGAAATTTAGGTAAAACTTTGTGGCATTTTTACTTGCCCTTCTTCTACATCCTTTCCAGCTCAGTGGCATTGCTGAAGATTCCAACCTATCCTCTCAGTGTGAAAATCCTTGTCCCTGATTAAGGAGAAAGCAAAGTCCAACTTATTTACAAGGTATTATATATATATAATATATATAAATATATATATAATAAATATATATATAATATTTATATATATAAATAAATATATATATAATATATTTATATATATAAATAAATATATATATATATATATTTTCTAACTTGCATAGGAGCTACCAGAAGGACTGATGTAAAGTGAACATGTCCATTTTGCCTAAGTCATGGATCACACAGTTCAGCAACATGTTAGACATTGCTTAAAAATATTGTAAGGTGAACAAATACCCCCAAAATGCATGACACAAATGATTATAGTTGAGGAAGGATACAGTTTCTAAGGCCCAGGGAGAAAAGCTGGACAGAGTTTATTTGGGAAATTAGGGAATACATAAACACTTAGAAAATTATATACATGCCAAGGTTATGATGTGTAATCATAAAAGACCAAAGAAGACCCTATGCTTTCAACTCCAGTTAATGATTAAGTTCAGTGCAAGCTTGGCTAAGTCAGCACAGAATCGATCTTCAAAGAGTGTGAGAAGTGGCTTACTTTGTTTTGCTTTGCTTTTTATTTGTTTAAACTCTTTCAGCTCTTGGCATTCAAGGATAACTGTCAAAACATCAGCTGAACACTAAATAAGCAACCTTACTGACCAGAAACAACAAGAAACACAGTCTCTGCAAAAGTAGTTATGAAAAGCCACTATACAAGTGGACTACTACAGCCTCCAACAACCAAAACTCTGCAAAGCCTGGGGAAGGAGCAGATTCTGACTTTAACAGTAATCCCAATACATTATTCAAATGTCTCATTTTCAACAACAACAACAAAAATGACAAGCACATAATGAAATGAGAAAGTACAAAATGCTATAAAAGACAGCTCCAAGATTCTATTCTTCCAAAAATGGGCTTTGAAAAACTAGCAGCTACTTTTAGGGCCACTCAGAACCACTAAGTAAATTGGCAGAAACCATTACTAAAGAAATATAGATGTTGGACTTGCTAGAAAAAGGACTTATGATAATTGTCTTAAATATGCACAAAGAGCTGAAGAAAAACATAGGCAAAGAATGGAAGGAAATTAGGTAAACAATGTATGAACAAAATGACAGTATCACTAAGGAGATGGAAATTATAAATAGGGAACAAACAAAATTCTGTAGCAGAAAAGTATAATTGAAATGATATGTTCATTAGAGAGGTGTATCAACAGATGTGAGCAGGCAGGAGACAGAATCAGCAAAATTGAAGATAGGAGAATTGAAGATGTACATTTGGGGGAACAGAAAGAGAAAAAAATGAACAGAATGGGAGACACCAGGGAATTACTATCAGGCAGGCCAAAATACACATTATGGTAATCTCAAAATATTTGAAAAAAAAAAAAAAGGCTGGAAGCAGCATAAAGTTGATGAAAGACATTGATATACACATCCAAACAACTAAACCTAAATTTAAAAAAAACTCAAAAAATAAATCACACTTCATCACATTATAATCACAGTTGAAAGGCAAAGACAGGCTGGGCATGGAGCCTCATACCTATAACCCCAGCCCTTTGGGAGGCCGAGGTGGGTGTATAACTTGAGGTCAGGAGTTTGAGATCGGCCTGGCCAACATAGTTAAACCCCATTTCTACTAAAAATACAAAAGTTAGCCAAGTGTGGTAGCAGGCACCTGTAATCCCAGACTACTTGGGAGGGTGAGGCAGGAGAATTGCTTGAACCTGGGAGGCAGAGGTTGCAGTGAACCAAGATCATACTACTGCACTCCATCCCTCCAGCCTAGGTGACAAAGTGAGACTCTGTCTCAAAAAAAAAAAAAAAAGAAAAGAAAAGAAAAGACAAAAAGAATCTTGAAAGTATCACAAAGAAGCAATTCATCACATATGTGGCATCCTCAATGAGATTAATAACTGATTTTTTATCAGAAACCAAGGAATGACATATTTAAAGTGTTTGAAGAATAAAAAAGGCCTGTCAATCAATAATTCTATATCTAACAAAACTGGCTTTCATAATGAAAAAGAGTTTGGGTTTCTGGCCACCATGTAAGGATTCAGGAAATCATCACTTTCATTAACATATCAGGCAAAATATTGAATAAATGGAAAATCAAAAACTCCCCATGGATTAATTTGATAATTCTCAGGGCAAAGTGATGCTCCCCAGATTGGAGGGACAGAAGACAGGAAGACAGGGAGAATCACTTGGTGGAGGAGATACCCACTTTGTGGGATGCAGCACTAGGGCAGGAAAACCTAAACTGTAATTGATAAATTTCTGAAGGTTCAGGGCGAAAAAGTTGGGGAGTTAAAAACTCCAGAAAAATCCAATCTTAGGACAACTCTTAAATTTTGGGAGTTTTAGCTCAAGGACCCCTACATGATTCTCAAACAGAATATAACAAAAACAGAAGCTCTTATGCTTCCAGAAGGGGGAAGGCGGGGGGATTAACCATTTAAAATACGCTCTGAGTATTCTCTTATTTTTAACCAAGTCTTCCCTCAAGGCAAATTGTTTGACCAGAGCCTTAGGATAACCCTTAAAGAGCTTAATCCACTGTAGTTCTAACACAGATTGACAGACCTGGATGAAGAGAAATACTCAAGTCCAGCTGCTGCTAGCTTTCCATGTGGGGAATGGCCCAGATCCAAATCTCTTTAGCCTTCCCATCTTGCCTAAGACAGTGGGGGAAACCCAAGGAGTACTTGTGATGATCATAGCCTAAAAGGAGAGGCTCACTAAAAGACTAAAACATAATCATAGGACCATGGAGTGCTTCCCCTCCCCTCCAATGTTACCTGGAGACTCTTGTATAATGACAGGGAATTAGAACTAAAAGAACTGCATATCTCAGACCTTATTAATAAGTATCTAGCAAACCCCCCAAATCAGAGGAGAGACAAATCAAAGGATATCAAACAAAGAACACCATTAGCTATAGGATACAGTAAAGAAGCTTAATTGCTAGAACTGTAAATGACAATACAGGTCATTTACCTTAGTTCCTTTATCTAGTGCATTATGTCTGGCTTTCAAAAAAATCAAACACAATAAAAGACACAGACAGACAGACAAACACACAGAAACACACACAGAGTTTGATGAGACCATATAAACATCAGAACCAAACTGGAATATGGAAGAGATGATGGAAATATTAGATTAGAACTTTAAAATATCTATAATCATCATGCTAAGAATTTTAATGGAAAAAGTGGACAAAATGTAAAAAAAGATGTGTAGTATAAGCAAAGAGACAGAGCATCTAAGAAAAAAATCAAATATAATGTATGTTAGAAATTAGAAACATTGTAACATAAATGTATTTGATGGACTCATTGCTTGATGAGATAGCAATACAAACTTCCAAAATTAAAATGAAAACAGAAAAAGCAATGAAAGAGACAGTACAGGTATCTGAAAACTATGGGACCATTAACATATGTGTAATGGGAATATCAGAAGGACAAAAATTGTTTGAAGCTATAATAACTGAGAATTATCAAAATTAATGATAGACACCTAACCCCAGAACTAGGAAGCTCAGAGAACACCATCAGGCTCAATACTAAAAAATATACACCTGTGAATACCGTATTAAATCTAAGAAAAATAGAAAGGAGAAATAAAAGAGCTTGAAAGACATCTGAGGGGTAACAAAAAACTTTGCCTGTAGAGGAGCAAGAATAAAAATCGCATGAAACTTCTCCTCAAAAATATGCAAGCAAAAATAGAGTGAAAAGAATAGGCTCACTAAAAGACTAAAGTATTTAAAGTGTTGAAGAAAAACTCATCAAGCTACAATTCTGTGTCCAGGGAAATTATCTTTCAAAAACTCTTATTTCAAAGAAATAAAAACCAAAAAAAAAAAATGAGAGAGGAAAGACTCAAGTAACTAAAATAAAAAATGAATGTGGGATGTTATGATAGAGCTTACAGAAATACAAATGATTAGAACAGAATACTATGAACAGTAGTGCCACAACAAACATAACACCCTAAACAAAAAAGACTTATCTCTACAAGCACAAATTTTCTAAACAAATTCAATAAGAAATAGAAATTTTTAACAGAACTATAACAAATAAAGAGTTCCAATGGTTAGAGAAGTCCAGAACCAAATGACTTCATTCATGAGTTCTAACAAGCATTTAAAAAAAGAATTAACACCAATCCTTCTCACATCCTTCCATAAAATAGGAAAGAAACATATACATCCTCATTAATTATATGGTATTAGCATTACATTGATTCTAAAGCCAGTTTAAAAAATAACAGAAATTACAGACCAATATCATTTATGGTATAAATTCCAATCATATGAATATGAATTATGAATATAAATGCCCATGTCCTTGACAATGTATTAGCAAATCAAGTTCAACAGCATATAATTGAATTATGCATCATGGCCAAGTGGGATTTATACCATCAATAGAAGAGTGGTTTAACATAAGAAAATCCATGTAATATACCTCATTGATAGAATTTAGGAATAAAAACACACAGGGTTATCTCAATTGAATTAGGAAAGGTGTTTGGTGAAATACAACCACTTCTCATGATAAAAATCCTCAGAAAACTGGAATAGAAGGAAACTTCCTCACGCAAAAGAAGATACTTTCTGAAAAACACAGAGGCAACATAATGCTCACTGAGGAAAGACTGCAATCTTTCCCTTTAAGGTTAGGAAAAAACAAGGATGTATACCTCCCCTACTACTAATAAACCTTGTACTGGAGGTTCTGACCAAGGCAATTAATCAAAAAAAAAGAAATAAAGATTACTGAAAATGGAAAGAAAAATTTACAGTTAACATGACCCTGTATGTGTTAAAACTCCCAAAATCTGTAGGAAATCTATTAGAGCTAATATTAATACATGCAGAAAAGTCATAGGGTACGTTATCAACACAGGAAAATATACTGTGCCTCTATCTACCAGTAAATAAAAATATAAAGAACAAATGAAGAAAAAATTATATTTACAACAGCACCCAGAAGAATAAAATATCTTGGAATAAATTTAACCATCGAGGTAAGACTTGTGCACTGAATGCTACAAAGCATTGATGAGAGAGTTGAAATGAGACATGAATAAATGTAAGCCCACTTGTGTTCATGGGTAGCAATGGTAGACACCAAGGATATTATTAAGATGTCAATACTACCCATGGTGAGCCACAGATTTACTACAATCCTAGTCAAAATTCCAACAGCCTTTTATGCAGAAATGGAAAAGTCCATCTTCAAATTCATGTGTAATTGCAGGAGGCCTTGAATACCCAAAATAATCTTATTTAAACTTTCCAATTTCAAAACTTACTACAAAACTACAATAACCAAAACAGTGTGGTAATGGTATAAAGATAGACAAACAGATGAATGGAATGAAATTAAGAGTTGAGAAATAAACCCATACATCTATGACCAATTGATTTTTTTTGTTGTTTCCATAAGTTATTAGGAAACAGGTGGTGTTTGGTTACATAAGTAAGTTTTTTAGTGGTGATTTGTGAGATTTTCATGCATCCACTGACCAAGCAGTATACGCTGCACCGTATTTGTAGACTTTTATCCCTCATCCCCTTCCCACCCTTTCCCCCTGAGTTCCAAAAGTCCATTGTGTCATTCTTATGCCTTTGCATCCTCATAGCTCCCACTTATGAATGAGAACATACAATGTTTGTTTTCCATTCCTGAGCTTCACTTAGAATAATAGTCTCCAATCTCATCCAGATTGCTATGAATGCCATTAATTCATTCCTTTTTATGGCTGAATTGTATTGCATTACCACAGTTTCTTTATCCTTTCATTAATTGATAGACATTTAGGTTGGTTCCACATTTTTGCAATTGCAAGTTGTGCTGCTATAAACATGCATGTCCAAGTATCTTTTTCGTATAATGAGTTCTTTTCATCTGGGTAGATAGCCAGTAGTGGGATTGCTAGGTCAAATGGTAGTTCTACTCTTAGTTATTTAAGGAATCTCCACACTGTTTTCCATAGTGATTATACCAGTTTACATTCCCACTAGCAGTGTAGAAGTGTTCCGTGTTCACTGCATCCGTGCCAACATCTACTATTTTTTTTATTATGGCCACTCTTGCAGGGGTGGTATCACATTGTAGTTTTGATTTGCATTTCCCTGATCATTAGTGATGTTGAGCATTTTTTCATATGTCTGTTGGCCATTTGCATATCTTCTTTTGAGAATTGTCTATTCATATCCTTAGCCCACTTTTTGATGGGATTGTTTGTTCTTTATTGTGTTGATTTGTTTGAGTTCATTGTATATTCTGGATATTAATCCTTTGTCAGATGTATAGATTGCGAAGATTTTCTCCCACTCTGTGGGTTGTCTTTAATCTGCTGACTGTTCCAAGTAGCTGACTGTGACCAAGTAGCTAGAAAGTGAGAGTGTTTTAATTCAGGACGACTTATAACGATTTAGCCATTTCCAGGCAAGGATTCTCGTGCATCCCAAAAATAGACTGCTTCTCTTTAAGCTAAATGAATTCAGGTATGCCAATCCAATAAAAGTACTGAGCATAACGCTAAAGACAATAAACACATATCTGAAAAGCAATAAACGTTTTCAATTCAGTGACTTTAAATGTTAGTTAAATTACTACACAGTGTACCTTTCACAGAGGCATGCTGCCTATAAGATAATTAAGTCTTTTCAAATGGATGAAGTAGTTTCTCCTTCCCTGAGTAATTTACGCTGTACTAACTTGCGTATCAGCAAATAGCATAAACATGGTATACTCTTATCCTCTGAAGTCTGAAGATCCCATAGTAGATTGTCTTTAGTCTCCCCTTCCCTTTTCCCTCCCTCTCTGCTCTCTGTATTTCTCTCTTTCTCCCTTTCATGGGAATGTGTTCTCTGGCAGCATTATGCTTATGCTGAAGAGAGGGCAGCAGCTTACTATCAGGCCACCAGTTCCATGTGGAACCTCGGGGCTCCAGGGGATCACCAGCTCTGCTCTGACGGCTGTTACCTGAGCTGTGGGAAGTGCTTCTTAGGAGCAATGCCAAGGCTGCTCTGCCTTTTAAGCGCTCTTCCATTATTCTCAGAACTGCCCCTCTTAATGGATGTGCTGTTTCAGAAGATGGAAACAAAGGGAAAGACAAAAATCTATTCCTCAAAAGCTATTTAGCAAAGATGTTCAGTGTGTTGGGGAGGAGATCATAACAGCTCTTTTCTCCCCACAGAAGTTCTTGGTCTAAAAATGACACTACCACCACCACAAAGAAATGACGTGTTCTCATAAAATTCCTATCTTCCACACATGAACACTTGTCTATTTCCCATGTTCTAAATAAATTACTGGACATATTCGACAGCTATTCTTCAGAACACAGGCTTCCTTTTCTCCCAAGCTGAATAACATATTTTGTTACCTTGTGTGGCATGGGTACTTTAGAAACTCATAAGAATTGTGAACACTTTCACGGAGAATGATGCATGCATTTTATCCAGCAATTCAACATGCAATTCATGTGGTTCGTAGGACTTCCTGAAGTCCAAACATTTGAAAAACATAGGTGGCATATGTGTTTGTGTGCAGCAGATAAATATGCTCATATTTAATTGTAATGAAAGCTGAGCAAATTAGAAAAAATATTGCAGGGCAATCTGAACATCAAAGCCAATTGCCAAATAGAAAAAAAAGAGGCAGGTTAAAGTGTAACTTTAAGTTAATAAATAGCCCTCGATCACTTGTTTCACTTGATGTCCAAATTAGATAATTTCTGGTGACCACTATGCTTGTTGATAAGCAAGATACACATATTCTGAACTTTTACAAAGATAACAGTTGCACACAACCTCTTAATAGCTAAATGTAGTCTCCTTGAAAATGTCAGGCAATTACAAGTCTGTATCTTTCTTTTCCATCTCTATTCTCCATGTTATGCCTTTTACATTGTTTTTCCGTGAAAATATTGCAGCTAAAAAAGTTGAAATTTTAGCCAAGGTTGTTGGTGTGGTATAATAAGAAAAAGGAAGCAAGAATGTTTTTGTAAATACACTGATATGAGTATACATTTTAGAAATAAAAGATAAATTGGGCTGGGACTTACAAAATGAAACACTGTAAATGATTAAAAATAGTTTTTCTTTCTCTCCCAAGTTTATTCAGAGACACAATAGTACCTTATAGTGTTAAGGGAGCTAGAAAATGTAGAAGCTTATGAGAACTGTGCAGCATTTTACAGAAGGAGACCAACTTGGGGAAAAATGAATTTGTTTAAGAAATTCAATGTCCTTTTTTCATTGTGGTAAAATACATATAATATAGAATTTACCATTTTAACCATCTTTAAATGTACAGGAAAGTGACATTAACTACAGTTACCTTGTGCAATTATCACTACCATGCATATCCGGAAGGTTTTCATCATCTCAAACTAAAATTCTGCCTCCATTAGGCAATAAGTCTCATTCTCCCCTCCTCCAATCCCTGGCAGCCACTATTATATTTTCTATCAGTCTGACTATTCCAGGTATCCCATATAATAAATAAAATTGTATTATACCCTTTTACAAAGACTTCTTCCTGGATAATATGGCTTTAGAATTGATAACAGGATTCCCTATTTGCCTCAGGACCATATTGAACAGACAGACAATGGACCTTTTACATGAAAAAGGAAATAATTAATGTAAGCTATCTAAATTTTATGGCAGTAGAAAATAAAATAAAACAACTAAATAATTACAGCAAAATTGTTCTTGTGCTGTTGTAGACAAGGCAGGATTCCTCAGTGTCCTGTAGAGTATTTTCAAAGTCTGAAGTTTCACAGAAGCCAGATATATTCTTCTCAGAATTCTTCATTTAATTTTAATAGCATCTCGGTTTCGCCATTGCTAGGATCCCTTAATGGAAATTTTCTACTTCCCTCTATACTTTCCACTGTCTCTTAAAAGAGATATTAAATGGCAATCAAGGAAAAGGACTGAGAGAGCCATAAGCGGCCACAGAGGGGCCATTTCTCATCACACAGGCAAGATCTCTCTCTTGGGGCCTTTCCGGGGGGATCTCTCAGAGACAGGGAGAGTAACCTATTTGGATGAAATACTAAATAAGATGTAAATCCAGGAGAATCTTATGAATGTGCTGCCTTGCAGAGGATGGAGACAAATGAAACCTTCAAAGAAGCTATGAAATATGAATGCAATAAGCAAAAGATTGAATGTGATGAGATTCCCTTTCCTCTTCATTATTTTATTGTACTTGAGCAATAATGAAGAACTAGCAATGTAAGGTATTTTCATTAGTTACTGGATACTTAGGTTGAGGAGCTGGAATATCTTCCTAAGCACACATTTATAATTAATGTTAGATTACATTGCTGGATACAGTTACAATGAGGCTCAATTTACTATCATGCTTCTCCACATACAATCATACATTTTCTATTCATCATTTTCACAAGTAGAATGTTCAGTCTGGCTTACATAATTCCATATTTTGAGAGAGAACGTTCAGGTTTATAATGTAAAATTCATTCATTTTTTTCAAAAAGTTTATTTAAATAACTAGAAGACAAGGTCAGGAGGTGAATAAATACATTATCAAAATTGTTTTGCTATGAAATGTATAAACATTTTTGTAAAAGGAAGAATGCTAAGATGGCTAGGTAAATATTTTTATTCCCCTTTCAGCAAAGACAGAATAAATTTGTCTTAGCTATAAATGCCAATATTATAACCCAAAATCTGTTAATCTAGTCAATTCACGGAAGTTGTGTTGTTTCAGTCCCCCGTAGCGTCCTCATATTTAAAGACTATGCTGCCACATTTAAGAATCATTTAGTACTGATTATTTAGCCAAATTTTCAAGGTTTTGCAAGTAAGAACACATTGGCAAAGATCAGATCCTTGAAAAGTAACTTAGCATCAATTGCTATCACCAATTGACTTGCCTCTGGATTTGTCTTCATGATTTGAGTAACATCATACATAAAATTTAAAAACATTCTAATTTATTTCTAGCATGGGTTGTGAAGCATGTTAGATATGTTTTCATTTCTCTCCCTCACTGAGGTTAAAATAAACTGGCAGCTGAAGATCTGGCTTCACAGACCTGCCTGTTTTAGCACCATCATTTGGGTAAATTCACATTCTCTCCAGTCACACTATGGGTTTTTTCTGTCCTCTAGGGTCAAGAACTGTGAAGGGGCTGAGATTTTGCCCTACTACAAGCTGACAAGTTAGCTTGCCACAGTTAAAACAGGAATCCAGGATCAGAGATAAAAGACTTTATTACTTGTGATGCAGCAAGCAGAATGAGCTTCATGTTCACCCTGGGGATGATGCAGAGATGAACCTAGATGGATACTGTATTCACAGTGAGGTTGTGTCACAGTTGAGCAACACCAAGCTTAGGAAACCCTCAATTTTATAAGGGGGCTGCAAGTAGACCTGTTCAATCTTTATCCCAAAGGGAAGGATTATCTTTATTATCCTCGTCAGAAGAAGTCTTCCCTCTGCCCTGGAGGAAGACACTACACTACCTCTATCTTCCAAGGCTGGTTGCTACACAAACATCCTTGAAAAGATAGTATAGAAGAAAGGCTGCTACAAGACGTATAGAAACTCTGTAAAGAATCCCGCACTCCAACATCTGTCTCCTCCCATTATTCACTAGAATGAAACATACTTTCCTTTTGACATTATCTTAAAACAATGATGGGGGAGGATGGGGAAGAGTTAAAGTAAGACTTCTAAAACTGAAAGTCGTGGTCTATCTTATAATCTTCAAACACAAAAATTCATACTTGTAAATATTTCTACATCACTTCTGATCCAAAAGGTTTAGCATTCTAAAGTTGTTGAATTTAATATAAGGTCCTGAAGCAAATTAAATGTTTATGTCCTGTCTTTTCTATTTTATACCATTACTTATTCAATGCATAAAAAATAAAAAATAAAGAATATGCATTTATTTGTCTCAAAAATTGAGAGAGTACCAACCATATTTTAAATGTAAAATAACAAACATAATTGTGGATATGGAATGTGTTGTTCTGTACTCTCTGTGGATGAATTTTAAAGTTTTCCACTGAATTCTTTGATTGCATTTGTTGAAACGTTAAAGACATTAAAAATATCTATGAAAAATTTTCTCTAAATAGAATTTATGCAGACAAAGCAATAAGTATTTACTACACTAAACAAAATTTTCTTTAACCTACATAAACTGCTAAAGGATTTCACATAAAAAATTGATATATCAAACTCAAAATTCTCAGTTCTTCCACAGCATTCTTTTAAAATGCTTCTGACATTAAGAATTGTTTGTTCACTGTTAACATTACATTAGCTGAACCATATCATGATCATTAGAAATAAAATTTTTAATGTCCAAAAATAGATTATTTATAATACTGCACAGTTGTCCCAAATGTTCTCTGTAATTTGACACCTGTACAATTAGAGACAGTAAACCTTCAAAGTTTCAGCAACTGTATTGCAATCAAGACTTCAAGAGCCTGAGCTGGAGGAGAATAGCCCGATGCTATGTTATATTGGCAGCACTCTTCCTGTACCCTTTGGTGTTCTGGTGTGGGGCAGTGTGTAATCTGCTATCCCCAAGTCCTTCCTGCAGTTGCAATGGAGACTCCTCATGATGATCTTCTTTGCCAACCCATAAGACTTAGATGTTTTCATAAAAATGAGAGCCCTAGGGACCTGCAATGAATTGTGATCTAAAACTAAGCCATTATTACCATAACTTCAGAGGACATCAGAAGACATCAAACAGTTTTGCTGCATGTGTATACATCTCCAATGGTTATGAAATGTTTGTGTCACGTCTATATTTTCTGTATACAGGATAAGATAGAAAGGAGGAAAAAGAGTAATAAGAGAAAGAGTAAGTGAGGAAACAGGAGAAGCAAAAAGCATCAACAGAGCATGAGAAAAAAGAGGAGAAAAAAGCAGAAGCAGAAATGAAAGAAGAAAGTAAAAATAAGAATAAGGTTAAAGAGTAAAGCTTTGGATACTACAAATGGTAAGCAAACATGGTCAGAGATTTAAACCAGCATTCTTAGCACAATTTTAAACATTCAGGACTATGGAAATATGAAACTTCCTTAAAGGCAGACATAATTGCTTTGCATGAAAGTATTTCTCTATGACACCATATACAAATATTATATATGTACATATATAGTTTATATAAAGAAACAGTAATATGTAAATTATACTCACAGAATAAAATAAATTTTATTCCAAGATTAAAACATATGTCTGGCCTTTATTTGTGAGGTTCTGCAATGTGTGTAAGAAACTACTTGTGAAGGGAACCATTCAGTTTCCTTCTAGGATGAGGGGCTTATTTGCATGTCAGAGTATGTGTGTTGTTTTCATACTTCCTAACTCAGAAACAAGGAAGGTTTGAAAAGAGATGAAAACACGATTAGCTAGGAGCAGCATGTGGTCTCTCGGGCTAAAGATCAGACATATTTGCAATGTAGTTGAGGGAGAAGAAAGTTACTGGGTATAAGAATTTTCCACAGACCTGTGCATGCATTCCAGAGACCTTCACTGAGCCACTGTTAGAAACCAGTTCATGTGTTCACTACTTGAAGTACAAAGATCATAAGATTCTAGCCCCTTTCATTGCTTATTTCCTAGAGAGACAAGTGGATAAACAATACATTTTTCCCAACGGATTTGTTGGAGGATAGGAATCTGGAGCTATGTCTGTACTACAGGTTCAAGATCTAGGATCCAAAGGTCAATCTACTTTTCTAGGATTTGATTTATAAAAGTCAGTACATTTCCCCATTTTGCCTTGAAATCTCTAAAACGATAGCTAAAGGAATTGTAACTCAGTGTGAATGTGCTATAGAATTAAGTATTGATTGATGTTTGGTTTTTTATTTCTTACTTCATTTGCTTTCACTACAGGAAAAAAAAAAAAAACACTTATCAAGTGCTGTATGAGCAGAGGCTGGGCGAGGGGGCTCACTCCTGTAATCCTAGCACTTGTTTGGGAGGCCAAGGTGGGAGGAGCACTTAAACCAAGTTGAAGATCAGCCTGGGAAACATAGTGAGATCTCTTCTTTACACACACACACAAATAGGTATATAAAGAGAGAGGAGACTGTGACTAATTAACTTGGTTGTTTGGAAAAGGAATCATGGAAATGCGATATTTGAATTCTGCATAAGATATTGTGTTAGTTAGTTATTGCAATGAAACAAATTACCCCAAAACTTAGTGTCATGAATGTTGGTCATCTACTCTCAGACAGGCTTGCACATATATCCTTGTAAGCTGGAGGGATTGCTGAGGAATGGCTGGGCTAGGATAGAGTCAGCTGAGAAGACTCAGCTGTTCTCTGTATCATTTCTCATCCTCTAGCAGTCATGACCTTTTCATCGTGATGGGGAAAAAGGCCCACATGATAGCTAAAGCGTTCAAGAGTTCTCAAGGCCCAGACTTGGGACTAACATCACATCACTCCTGCCACATCCTATTACTAAATGCAACTCTTCAGGCTACTCTGACTCAAGGGGTGAGAAAATAGATTCCAACTCTTTATGAAAACTGCCTAGACTCATCGCACTGTGTGGCTTGACAGAGGTAATTAATTAAATGTGTTATTTCAATCAATCCATTTGATAAGTAGGTAAATATTTAAGTAGGTAGATAGGAGCACAGACAGGCAGACTGGTAGATATGTGTCTGAACAACAGACTGTTACATAATCTATTGCATGGATAGATTATAACATAATATATATTTACATTTCTTCCGAAGGTTGGGTTTTCCCCCTAAGGAATATTACAAGGCTATAAATCAGTATAAAAAGAAAGCAATGATCATGTTATGTAAAATCTATAGTTATTGGAGTGTATCACCACTTTTTATTTTTATACATTGCCTTTGGTATTGTTTGGTTGTGATGTTTTCAAAAAATAAACAAATGTAAGTTTAAAAAAGAAAAGGGATGAAAAGTTTTGTTTACTTGTCTTTTATTATAACTTGTCCCTTATCAAAATCTGTATGAGCTTGTTTTTTGGATGATCTTTTTTGAAGTATTTATGCTATCTGAAATCTACCCAGGAGGACCCCAGAGAGAACTTCAAAGAGGTGAAATGGTTCTCACTTCCAAAAAGTTGACTGAGAATGTTTTCACCACACTTGAGTGGCATTTTTATTTAGTCTGACAAAAGTGCAAGTTTTATGGTATTTACAAAAGTGCAAAAATTTGCTCTTGGGGAGCTGGGGAGTATGCCTCTAAAAAGCAGATAGTCACCCTCCTGAGAGGCTGAAAATTTAATATTACAAGAGGTTTGTGATGCTGACACACACATATTAAGATACTGTGGATAGAGGAAATGAATAGTGGTTGTAAATATAAGCCCATAGGGAGAGTCACCAGTAAAAGTTGCACGTATGGATTTGAAATCAGGCTATCTCTCACTTAGGAAACTCTATGTAATGGATCACGGAGAGAATAACAGTATAATAGCATTCACCCATCACAATAAGTGGTTAATAGTTAATGATTCTTCCTAGCAGAGTAGGCTAGCAAAATTCCTCTTTGACTACAGGCCATCTTATTCTCTCTCTCTCTCTCTCTCTCTGTGTTTCTCTCTCTCTCTCTCTCTCTCTTTCATACACCTCTCTCCATACACAAAGGCCATATATTTAGAAGCATAAAAGTAAGCGGTACTTTAGGCTGATATTTGCATTGATTTGACTCTTCTTCCACCAAAAATAATTCAAATGATGGAAAAAGTATATCCATGAAGCTAGTCATATAACATAAAAATTAAAAATACACTAAAT
The DNA here is from genome assembly GCF_000001405.40 of Homo sapiens. Lineage (NCBI taxonomy): Eukaryota > Metazoa > Chordata > Mammalia > Primates > Hominidae > Homo > Homo sapiens. The sequence goes on from NC_000008.11 coordinate 49,903,530, forward strand.
GTCATAAAATAAAGATATGACAAATTATGTTACCTCCACATGATGGAGTTATATGCAGCTTTTACAAGTGATTATAAAGACTATATAACACATAGAAAATCTTACAGATTGTGTTAAATTGCAAAGGCTTGGTAAAAATTGTAAGTATACTGTGTTAATCAGTGGGGAGATGGCACATTGTAAAAAGTTAAGAGAAAATACAATAAAATTATAATGTAATTGGTAAGAATGTGTCAGATTGTTTTCTTCATTCCATTCCATTTTTCTTCATAGTTATCTTATTGGTTTTTATGATAAAATGCATTTATAAATAAAAATAATCACATACTATTCTTTCTGCAAAAGAAAGTGAAGATGATGAAAAGTGAAGATAGTAAAAATAATGAAGTGAAGGTAATGAAAGCATAAGAAATGCAGATCAGAGTGCATGGGGGAATGTTTACAATGAAATCTGGTTCTATGCCTTTACTTTTGTTTTTGCCAGACTATGAATAGTTTTAGTAATTTTACACATTAATAGCTATCCCATTAATTACACTAAAAAGTTAGAATTGTGAAGGCATACAAGGTGCACCTCTGTAAAAATAAATTCTTTATTGCAACATTGAAAACGTGGAAATATATATTTTTTAAAAGCCACTCTTAAGGGAAATAACTACAATATTAAGGCTCTCATGCCTATAAATAACAAATATTTCTGAAATCTGAAGAGCAAAGACACTATTTGGTTTAGTTTTGTATGTGCAGCAATTATCATACAGCTTTATTCTTTGGTTGTTCAATTCTGAACTATTTACTAAGCATCTACAATCTTCTGGTGCATTGTTCTAGTACAGGAGACACTCAAGGCACAGAAGGTCTTTGGTTTCATGCAGCTTGTATTATACAGGGAGATGATTTTATTGAATGCTTTTTCTGTGTCTATTGAGATGATCATATGATTTTTGTTTTTAATTTTGTTTATGTAGTGACTCACATGTATTGATTTGTGTATGCTGATCCAACCTTGCACCCCAGGAATGAAACCCACTAAATTGTGATGAATTATCTTTTTGAGGTGCTGCTAGATTCAGTTTGCTAGTGTTTTGTTGAGGATTTTTGTGTCTGTATTCATCAGGGATATTGGCCTATAGTTTCTTTTTATTGTTATGTCCTTGCCAGCTTTTGGTATCAGGATGCTATAGTGGTTTTGTAGACTGAGTTAGGATTGAATTGCTCCTCCTCAGTTTTTTTGAAGTTTCAGTAAGATTTGTACCAGCTCTTCTTTGTACATCTGGTAGAATTTGGCTGTGAATTCAACCAGTCCTGGGGTTTTTCTAGTTGGTAGATTTTTTTTTATTACTGATTTCCAAGCTGTTCCACAAACTACTATGTTTTCTAAGATTTGTACACTGTGTAGAGTGGACTAGAGGGGAATTTTATCCTAATTTTTTTAAAGAGGGATTGAATGAGCCAGTTTAGGATTCACAGTAATGATGCTAGGTTACTATATTTTCTTGTGCACGTAACCCTTCATATATTGTTTTGATTATTTATGTTCACATTTTACTGTGTTTACATTTTTAAAATCATGGCAATTTAAATTAAGAATTTAAAAAATACATTTAATTTTGTAACTTCTTATTGGTCTGCTCAGGTTTTCAATTTCTTCCTGGTTCAGTCTTGGGAGGTTGTTTTTCCAGGCATTTATCCATTTCCTCTGGGTTTTCTAGTTTGTGCACATAGAGGTGTTCATAGTCATCTCTGAGGATCTTTTATATTTCTGTGGTATCAGTTGTAGTGTCACTTTTGTCATTTTTTATTGTGTTTAGTTTAATTTTCTTTCCTTTTGCCTTAGCTAATCTAGCTAAGAGTCTATCAATTTTGTTTACACTTTCAAATAACCAATTTTTAGTTTTGTTGAATCTTTGAATGGTTTTGGGGTCTAGTTTTATTTAGTTCTGCTCTGATCTTTGTTATTTCTTTTTTCCTATTAGTTTTATTCTTGTTTTTCTAGTTCCTTTGGATGTGACATTAGGTTGTTGAGAAATAACAAAAAAATCATACACCAATAATTTCTGATTGTGATGATGCTTTCTTTAAAGATATTAAAACAAATTGGTGGACAGATAGAGACTGCAGACCCATTAAATTAGCTAGTCAGAAGAACCCTCTTTGAAAATGAGATGTTTGACCTGAGATCACAAGGGAAAACGAGGGGGTAGCCATGTAAAGATCTAGGAATAATATTTCAGATTATGGGAATGGGAATGGCACAGGCAGAGTCCAGTGTGAAAACCCAGAATGCCAGTGATCAAGAAGGAAAGAGTAATAAAATAAGAATCAGACAGGCAAAGCTAGACATGGCCCCAAGTGCATTAGAAAACCTTGGAGGGTTAGGCTATAGCATGATAGGGCATGGTTCATGTTGTCATAAATTCATTCCTACAGCTGTGCAGGGAAAGGATTCCACAGGGAAAACATGCCACAATGAAATAAATTAGTAAACTGCATTAGTACTGACAAGAAACTCTAGCAGCCTGAACTAAAATGAAAAAGTTATATTGGAAGAAGTCCATGGATTTGGAACCTACGTTAGTAACAGGAGCAACAGTCTTTGTTGACTCTGTGGAGATGGTGGGTAATGAGAGAATATAAATATTGAGATAACTAGTTGGTTGTGATCTTTAAGCAGGTGTGTAATGATGCAATATTTGATACAGACATGGTCAAAGAAAGTTTTTCTGTGATGGTGATCAAGAATGTTGTTTTGGATATGTTAAGTTTGAGATCTCTAGTAAGTATTCAGGTAGAGATGTCAAATATATAACTTGTGTCCCTTTCTCTCCATATGAGTATCTTTAGCTCAATGGATAGGTAAGGACTCCCTACAGATTTGGATGTCAATGTCATATAAATGATATTTAAAGCAACGGGAATGAATGAAATTATATAAGCATATAATACAGATAAGTTCTGCGGAAATAATTTCTGTGGAATTCCAATAATGAGAAGTAGGAGCAAATAAGCTGTTATCAAGAAAGGCTGAAGAAAAATGGCCATTTGTGTGAATGAGTCACAGTGGCCAAAAGAAGAGTGTTTCAAAAAATAGAAAGTCATTGAATGCGTCAAAGGCAGCCTGCAAGTCAGGTAAGATGAGTTAAATATAGTGAGGGCCAAATTATGACTGATGATGGTTTTGGAGATAGAGAACGCATTGGTATCTTAATAGAGAAGCTAATTAGATGTCTCTAAAGAAAAAATGGTATACTAGAAGGTGAAAAAAACAGCTCTCTGAAGACCACTTTAGATAATTTTTCCAAGAATTTTCTTCTGCTAATATTGAACACCAACTGGAAGTATCAAAGTAATATTTATTTCTTTTTAGAAATACATACACACACATTTATAGGCACACATGCACAGACACACATACTTGCGCACACACACATACACAGACACACACACGTATATTTTAAGAAGGAGGCTACTGAAATATATATGTATACTTATTAGAAAGGGGTATAGCTACTAGGCAATTAAAAACTATTTTATACCCTAGGCCAAATTGGCAGCATATCCTATGAGGATTTTTTTTCCCAGTGGTTAGCAACTTGCTTCTATGAATGATTTGTTGAGCTGTGAAGGGATTTCCATAGCAGTGAAATCTTGTGTGTGGAATTTCCACATATATGTATACAAATTTTATCTACACCACACTTCAAATACAGCCATATTTACTGCTTGATGTTAATGAACAATAAAAATTCTCTGCAGCACTGTTCCTGTCAGAGAGGCATGGAGAGATCTTCTAGAGAGTGTGCCATCTGTCACATATGGACAAAACCTTGATCCAGGTGCTATTTATTAACTCTACTAAATAAGTTGCATTATTTTCATTTTAAAGTGAATAGACTCAAAAAGATTAAGTAATTTATCCAAGTGGCAGAAAGTAGCACTCTTTGTCAAGTAAGTCGGTATTCAACTTCAGAATTTTTGTGAATAGAAAAAACAGAAATACAGAAGAAAATGCTTAGGGAACTACTCTCTAAAATGAAATGTCTCTCCTAGGCAGTTGCAGTTAACAGTATCCAATTTTCTAAGCTTCTCTGGCAGCCACTTGTTACCTCCCGCAAAAGAAAAATTAAACTAATCTGAGGGACAGATTTTTGTACCTCAGTCATTTGAGTACAAATTTCCATCTACTTTTGCCTGCTACTGAGGTTAACTAAGTTCAACTTATACAAGTGCAAACACCCATGAAGTCCTCAAGATTTATCTGACCACAATTCAGCAAAATAGAACTCCTTAGCTGAGTAGAGGTATGATTGAGTAAGGGATCTTATATTCAAAGGGGGCAAAAGAAAATACAACTCAGTAACATTTCATCTGAAAACCCATAGAAGGAGATTTTAAAATAGGATCACTGTTCCAATTCAGAAATAATTGGTAATAGATATGTAATATTTATTTGTACTTGGACACAATTTAAAAAAGCAGCTCAAAATTATACTGAAGATGTTAAAACTGTTAATTGAAAAGGGTTCAGATATGGGTATAGGCCTATTACAGCTCTATATCTATTAGGAAACATGAAGTAAACACAGAAATAATTAGAAATATATATTAACAAAAAATAGAACCTTTAAATGGAACCACCAGTTTTTCAATTGAGGTCTAAAAATTGTGAGCAAATGATACTCCACAGATGATAGGTGCTACTACCTATTTTTGTAGAAATATACAAGATATACAAAGTTTTTACATATGTTGATTTTTGCATATGACAGTTTATGAGGCTGGCAAAAATTATGATTATTATCACCATTTTACATATAGTAATGAGATGTGAAAATAGGAGGCTTCCGGAAGTGACACAGCCAACGTTTCACATAGTGTATAATGACGATTCATTTAGATCATATTGTATGGCGGTTTCAACTTACATTTCAAACTTCCTGACCCAAAGGACTTCCAATTGTTTACAAAATGTTCCACAAACTATTATGTTTTCTAAGATTTTTGCACTGTGTAGAGTGGACTAGAGGGGAATTATATCCTAGTTTTATAGAGAGGGATTGAATGAGCCAGTTTAGAATTCACAGTAATGATGCTAGGTTACTACATTTTCTTGTGCATATAATGCTTCATGTATTGTTTTGATTATTTATATTCACATTTTACTATATTTACATTTTTAAAATCATGGCAACTTAAATTAAGAATTTTTTTAAAAAATCATTTAAAATAGACTTTGGAAAATCTGCTCCCGGGGTGAAATTTCTTAACATAATTCTTTAATTCACCTCAGCTTATTTGTCCCTTGGTTTTTTTATGTTGTACTTCATTTATATTCATTTGTAGCATCAGATGTTAGGCGGTATTTAATTTTCATCATCTTGATTTCCATAACTGGTTATACAACTTGATGAGAAAAAATATAAAGTGGATTTTGCTTCTTGAAGAAAAGACATCAAACTATCATAATCATACTGGGACTGTCAGTTCACATTAATCAACTGTTTCTGTTTTCTTTTACTGGCAGGACAGAGGGAGGGGGATAGAAAGATTGAGAGAGACCGCATAAAACTCAATCAGTGCTCAGGAAGAAAAGAATCTGTTCTTCTAGGTCTGAATAATCAAGTGCATATGTTTTTAATTAGCAACATCTTTGTACTCTGTGCTTCATTTAAATGCTCTTATTTGGTGTGTTGATTTTCTGTGGTTATTCATGTTTCCGTATGTCCTGATAAAATAATTTAAACAATCAATTAAATCAACCTTAGTAAGCATAGAATTAAATACAGCAGAGAAAAGCTTCTTTGCTGACAAGGACGGATAGCCCCTGATTAGCATAACCCTCACACGGGGGGTTTGTTTTAATCATCTAACAAAAAGGGGGCATTTTCTGAAACACACACGACAGGTATTGTTTCTGCAGAAAAAAGAAGCACGTGTTTCACCACATTTGTCTAAGGAAAAGGGAAACTTCATTTACCATAACCTTAAGCAACGTTTTCACATGGACTGAAAAGCAAAAGACCCCCTTAAAAATTAGCCTCAAGCAGCAGATACTCTCTTTTTAGGTTTGTGTGTCTCCGTGAGGTCAGATGGATTCCCCAAACACGGTTTTAGAGAGAATCACAACCTTTAATAGATCCTCTGTTAAAAAAGACTGTTAGAGAAAGTTGACCAAGGGCTTCGTTCCACGGCGACCGTTTCCTGCGTGTGCAGCTCCACACAGCGACCGCGGCCTGCAATGTGCGGAGCACAGCGCGGCCCCTTCCAGCCGGAGCTCGCGAGCCGCGGTGGCGGCTGGTGGCCACCCCAGGGAAATAAAGCCGTTGCTGCTGCAGCAAAATGGCTCAAAGTCCAACCAAAGTCTGGCCTTTTCCTGTGAGTAAATACGCGGCCTGTTTGGTTTTCCGTCCCGAGTGATTCCCGGCTCAGTAACGTTTCTCCTCCAGGGAGCCCACTGGAACTCCACTGGCTGTGCCGCCTCCTCGCCCGTCCCCCGCGCGCGCCGCAGGCCGGTGCTTGGAGAGCGCAATGTCCCCGGGAGGGAAGATCCCCTACCTGGAATGGATGGTTCCAGACCAGCGGGAACGCGCTCTAATCCTTGATGGAAGCAAGCGTGGGAGGAAAGCACAACGTCTAGGACTTCCCTGTAGTGTCAGAACAGGAAGAAGAACCTGAGAAGTCGCCGGGGAAGGGAGGCCAGGAGCAGGCGTCCGGCCCCTTCCCACAGCCCGGGAGAAATTAGTGTTGCGCCCCGCCCCTCCCGGACCCCCGTCCCCACCACACACACCAGCGCCCCTCACCAGTCTTTCTCGAATTTCCTCTCATGTCTATCAATAACCTCCTTGTGCAGAAATCTACACTGCACAAGTTAGGAGTCTGCAAGGGCGGGCGGTGTTACAGTCTCGCTCTTTCCATTTTCCCCTTTTACTCCACATAGTTTCAAAGGTCCACATGGCCCTGGTTTTGACCAGTTTTCCAACAGTTTCAACGTTATGTATTTCAACTTCCCGTCTCAGTTCACTGGCGTCTGCACCCGTTGCCGAGTGTGGGTGGCTGAGCCCTGGGTGACAGCACTCGGGACCACGCACCCATACCCTTCTTTATGCTCGTTGTCAGCCAGTTGCCAAGAGCGGGAGTGAAGAGCCTGCAAGGCCCGGGAGAGCGCGGATTCCGGAGTAGGGAGGCGAGGGGGCAGCGTGGGAGACCAGAGGGAAAATGGGCTGAAAAGCCAACAAAAAAAACAACGTAAATTGGGCTTTGCTCTGGCTTTACAAAGGCAGAGATTGTCGAGCCCTCTGACTGTCTTTGTGCCTTCTTTATCCCGTCCTTTGTGAAATAAGCCGTTTTCTGCCCCCACTGCAGGAGCCTAGGCTGTGGGCGACTCGCTAGCACTGCCCTGGGCCTCCAAGCTGCCTGCTCGCTGAGCTCAGCGCTGACACTCACAGGAGCTGCGTTCGCCGGATCCTCTGAGAGGCTCTGCAACGATCCCGATCCAATTCAGCAGCGTTTTAAAAGGTAGCCGAGTGCAGATGCTTTTTCCTGTCTTTTTCATTCTTTCATTCTCTGTCTTTTAAAATTTTAACAATAACCTATCGTTTCCGCGTGGAGGGTCTAAGAATCTTCACTGGGTTTAATTTAGGAATTTCAAATTGGGTTTCTCAAAATTTGAATGTGGTCCCCTTAATTGGTAATCAAGATTGCGGAGTTTTCCAAAATATTCCTTTTCATCTTATGTAATTAAAGATCCACGAGCTTTCCAAAGAAGCTCTGGATTTTCCACGGTACAAATCTATATATTTTTTCTCTCTCTTCCTCTCTCTCTCTCTCTGCCTCTCTCGTGCGTGTATGTGCGCGCCCCTGTGCGTGCGTTTTCTTTCATTTCTGGCATTAGGAAACTCGTGCAGGGCCACTGAAAAGTCAGGGGAGGCTCAGATGTTATTTCCCAGGGATTCCTGTTTTTCCAGAAACGTTGTCACCAAATAAGTATGAGACTGTTAATTTGGAGAAACAATTAGCCCCTACAAAAAAAAAAAAGAAAGAAAAAAGAAAAAAAAAAGAACCGGAGGGGAGAAGGCTAGGGCGGAAGACAAGGAAGCTGCTGCTTGGATTCGCTGGTGGAGGAAAGTGCGACCTGGACCTGCGCTTAGGGGCTCCCGTCCCCTTACTTCAGCACCAGAGGGGATGGACAGCGTCTCCGGACTGAGCTGCAGCCACAGGGACGGAACTACGCTGCCGCCGCCGCTGTCCTTGCCGCCACTGTCGTCGCCACGGGCAGCTGGGCTACTTGCTCCTCGCAGCTAAAAGGCGGTGCCTCCTATTACCCCCTCGCCTCCCGGCCCCCTTCCTTAATGGATGAAAAGTACCCCTCCCTCTACACCTGCTGTACCTAAGGACAGGACTCTGAGGAGTACTCTTGCTCCACAGATTAAACTCTCAGCAGCAACTTCAAGAATCATTTTTCTATAGGGGTCTGGGAGGAATTCTGGAGGAGAGTAAAGTCGAAGTTCTTAGAAGCTCTGAGAAATCATGGGCCGTGCGGTAGGGGTTGAAATGCTCAAAGGTCCACACTTCTTGAAATAAACAGAATGGTCTTGAGTGGATTGCAACTGTTTTGGAAATAGCTTTGTGAAAAGAGGGTGGAGAGCTACTCAAAATTCTACGTTAGAGAGACTGAAAAGACATCTAATTTCATTGCTCGGCAGGTAAGTGATAGCGCTATTATTTTTGTTTTTTAAAATTCTAATGACTTGTCTTATGGTTTAACAGAAAGATCATAAGCAGTGTAATTTTTTCTGGGGTTAACGAGGAGACAAGCAATTTTGTTTTAAAATAATTGTTTCTGGATCATTGTGTGACAAGAAGAATCAAAATAACATACATGTTGCCTTACATAATTACAGTAAACTTTTAGCTGGCCATTTTTCTTATTGCTTATCTAATATCTTTTTGGATCTGGCATATCTTGTTTATTTTTTCCCAAAACTAATGCAATCGTTTGGCAAGATAATTTTGTTGTCTTATGTATGCCATAAAAAGTGATCCTGTCTGTGTTACATAGTATGCAAGACTAAAAAAGTTAAAATAGAGAGGGTTTAACCATGCCCTCTAACATATTTTATATTGTTATAATATACTAAACTATGCATGGGAACAAATACATGTATACATATACACCAGATTTCTCACTCCATGCCAACCTCCAAGTATACCTACACCTGTAGGATCTTACGTAAGGAGACACTCATATTTTTACTTAGCACCCTCTTTCCAGCCTTTGAAAGCTCAAGATTGCTTTCTCAAACCTGATCTGCCAGAAAGCAGAAAATGAGAAGCTTTAGTGTGCCTCTTTAGGAGAGCTGGATTTCAAAATCATTCTAACTTATTAGTTCTGCAAAATACATTTGTCAGTGAAATCCAGAAAGTGATAGGGACCAGTAGGTTCCCGAAAAACCATAAACTTTAAAATGCTAATTAAATCTGTTTTCTGTTGATTCTTATTTCTAGTTTTCCCCTGGAGCTTTAAAATTACAATCTTTCACAGTGACCTTGATAAGCATTCTGCTTTAATAAAAAGGGTTCACTGGGCAAAAGCAGTTACACAAATTTGTAACCCGTGCCTGACATTTCACTAAGAATCCGATCAATTCCAATGAGTACATTCAGTTCAGTGAAGAGTTTTGACTTGCAAGGATGGAATTTTACAGTCATGTAAATACATGTGATGAGATATTCATAATCAACTCTGTGAAAAGAGTCTACCCCTTTGAAAAATTACAGGAGATCTTTAGGTTTTACTTTTAATTTCACTGGTTGTGTGTAACGATAGTAAAATGGCTCTAATGCATATCTATACGTACCTTCCTTCTCAATTTTAACACAAAAATCATTGGAGGCCGTTACAGTGGCATTCATTGGTGGGGTGATGTCCTCTTGTTTTATGTTGGCTGAGTGTAGCAATTACTCTGAGGAAAAATCATTCTTAACTGTCACCACTTACCATGAACCTGCTTGCTTAGCAGAAAAGGAGCAGAGGCATCTATGTCACTGAGCTCCTTGGGGGCTCCGTTGCCCTATATAGGTCAAGAATGATTATCTGAGGAGGAGAAACATGTATTATTGATTTGGATTCCTTCCCAGAAAACCTACAATGTGCTCTTAACACAATCCTTTTTTTCCTCAGTGGGAGAGGTATGGAAGTGAAATTATCACATGGAAGACTTAATCATATTTTAAGAGAGTTACAGCATGTCTTTAGACAATTATTTTGGCTGTCAATTAATTAACACAGAGGGACTCCCCTAGTCAGTAGGGCATAAAATGTAAGCAGAGAATGTGTTTCAAGAAGCACTCCTCTGTGTATATGGCCGCAGTTCCCTCCTCAGGGGCAGAGGGGGCAGGCTTTCTCTATGTGTAACTGAAATCTCACAAAGTGAAAGTTACCTTTGCCTAATCCCTTAGGAGATTTAGTCACAGAAATATGTAACTCTAATTCACCCCAAACTCATGAAACTGCATGGAAACCCTTGTCAATCCTTATCTGTAGGGAAATGTCCTTACATTGAGATAGAGTTTGGGAAAGCAACTTAATGCCTACCAATGCTAATCTCTAATTGTAAAGTAGATAGTCAAACAAACAAACAAAAAGGGGGTAGTGGAAACCAATCTTCATTATTGCACAGAATCACTTGTCTTTAAAGAAAAATCAACATTTTATTAAGGGATATCTGTACCCCACTAAGGGCATCTATTTGCTTTGATAGTTATTTTGTTTTGCTAAAGAAAAAGGATGCATGAGGTCTTGGGAGTACCAAACACACTATCTTTTCCCCATTAAAAAAAAAAAAAAAGTTTTATTGGATAAGACTAAGTGTTGTTGGCTGTTGCTTACATTTGAGACTCAAAAGAGAAAGGTGAGATGGGATTACATAATCTAGAAAATGTAAAGTATATATAGGACCAGAGGATAATTTAAAATGAGCCCTGGAATCCATTCAATTGCCTTCTTCCAAAATGTTATAAAAACACTTCTTGATTAATTTTTGCATAGACTATATAAATATTACTTGTATATTCTAATGTAATTATTCATACCATGAAATCGTATTGGATTTTAATGCTCACAGTTTGCCTTTGGAGTTATTTACTTGGGTTTCAATCAAGTTCAAACATTTATCAAAAAATATAAAAGTAAAAAATGACTATTGCTAATATTTAGTAATTGGCTGTTTTTGACCACTTAAAGATTTATAAATTCCAAGCAGCTAGCCTGCTTACTCACCTAGTTCTGTTAAGCAACACAAAAGCCACTAGGAAAGAAAAAAGCATATTGTAAGCTAGAAATTATTTCCATAGTAATCTCACCTTCCCAGAAATCTGTACAGTGTGTTATAGAATAGAATTCAAATGGAGAGAGATCTCTTATTTGGTGTTTTCTTCCTATTTAGCTTAGCAGAGTGAGCACATAGCATGTGTTGGAAGAGACAACATCCTGTGGTAAGAAACATGTTACACATCATGTTGTAGGGAAACAAGTACTACTTGACAGTCAAAAGATCAGAATTTTTTAACTGCTGGCCATAAGATCTTCTACAAGTCACTCAATCCACTGCAGCTGAATTTTTCTTCCTTAAATTTGGGGATTCTTTACTTTTCAATGAAGACACAATAATTTACATACAGCTGATACCTGAACACTCATGAGATAAGTGAATGATGCCTACTTTGTGGGATACTGGAAAGTCGAAATTCAATGATTTTGAGAGTGTTTTGGAAACAAGTGTTATATCTGTGAGTTATTATAAATAATTTCCAATAGCATTCATTCATTCGTCAAAAAAAATCCCACTAATTACTAAATAACAGGCACATCCCTTATACTTAACAACTCTCAGCATAGGGAATATAATACTTCCCTGATACTTCAGCAGTCATTTCCTTTACATCTCTTAATGGTATAAATATAAGTGATATTCAATGAAGGTGGACTTGGTTTCAAAAATATTTTATTACTCAGAACTGACACCACATTCTATATCAATTGGACAAACTTAGTTGACCTGAGTCTATTTCAACAACTTTCATTTTGACCTTCAAAGAATCTATCATGTCGTGTCATAATTTTCTAGTTTATAAAGGAGGATTAATGTTTGTCATTAGTGATATTGATAAGGAAACTCATACGATGAAATACACTTCAAAACTCCATATCCTAAAACATACAGAAAGCATTGTGATTTGACTGCTGGCTTGTGAGCATGGAGTGAAATGTGGACAACATGCGGGCTGATCTAAGGGGCTAGCCTGGAAATGCTGTTAAGATGTTGTTTTGATTTAGTCGAAAGCCTAGATTTTATTCATAGGCCTCTTTAGGACATCTCTTTAGAAAATCGAATAAGCAGTATTTCATTGCTTATTTGCTTTTCTTAGTCGGGTTTTAAACGTCACTATGATTTTTTCAATGTAATTTATCAACATTTGGTCTGTATAGATTTCTAGACTATCACTAAAAATATACTGACAGTATTCTTAGGAAATATAAGTCAATGTTTGGTGTTACAGTTATTTCCAGCATTGTTTTGTGGTTAAATTATATAATTGCACCAGCGATAAAAAATTATATCATCACTTACTTAGTAATATAATTCAGATTTTTTTTTGTCAAATACACACACACACACACAAAAACCCAGAAACAGTCAAAAACATAAAATGAAAAAGAACTGAGAGTAAGAGGTCATTAAAATAATGTCTTGAGGCCAGAGAATTTATCTTTGAATTATCCTTAAATTTTCACCGTGAAGTTTCTTCAGCACATTCTACACACTGAAAGAGTCAGAAAATCATTTTGGGTCTCCTGAATTTGGTCTTCAATTTGTCAGCAAAGATAAAGTGATCATGTTATATTTTTTTTCAAAAAGAGTGTCATTAAATCAATTCATTTGAATACTTGCTTATTATCACTTCATCATATGTAATGTACATACTTGAAGATATTTTTAAAATTAAAAATTGTGAAGTAATTATATGCTCTATGTTTAACAAATTTACTCACAATTTCGGTCTAAGATTTAGTTTTTTAAAAGAATAAGTGCTTGCCTGGTAAATTCACTAAATAAGCTAATAGAAAATAGAAATCTTTTAGAAATGGTGCCAAAATTTGAACAATAATGTGTTACTTATATAAAACTATGAAAAGGCCAAGTACAGTGGCTCATGCCTATAATCCCAACACTTTGGGATACCGAGGCAAGAGGATCACTTGAAGCCAGGAGTTCAAGACCAGCCTGGGCACCACAGTGAGACCTCGTTTCTTCAATAGAAAAAAAAAACATAAAAAATAAAAAAATAATATCTGGGTGTGGTGAATGTGCCTGTAGTCTCAGCTACTCAGGAGGCTGAGGTAGGAGGATCACTTGAGCCCAGCAGTTTGAGGCTGCAGTGAGATATAATCACATCACTGCACTCCAGCCTGAATGAGATTCTATCTCAAAAAAATATATATATTAAAAATAATAAATTTTATTTGAATCTTTTCAAGGGGTGAGAAATAAGTATGTGAGATTAAGAAATTTAGATCATAGATGAGAAAAGAGTATTTTATGGTTAAAAATGCATCCAGTACACACAAAATCTGAGGTTCAACATGGTTTGTCATCAATTGGTTGTGTGGACTTGGGTAAATCACTTTATCTTAATTTAACTGCTCAGCTATATCCTTGGTCCTATTGGTAAATCATTATTATGTCCATGAGAAAATAAACAATGTCTATGTTTAGTTGAACTCATAAACTTTCCTTCCACATCTGTCATGCCATTCTTCTTGAAAATGTTTCCGTGCTCTCATGGTGGAACATACATGGGATTTAGAATCAGACTTAAGTTCGAATCCTGTTATAGAAATGGCATTAATGACAAAAACTTGGGCAAGGAATGTGAAGTCTCTAAGTCTGATGTCCACTGCAGTGTGTTGCTGGGAACAGTTAATGAGCAAATTGTATACAATGGCTAGTACATTGACCGGGATTTGTTGAAGCTGGTGAGTGTTATGACTTAGCCTGTTAGACTAGTCTATGCACATGGCTCTGATCAACTACCGCTCTCTCATTTCTCCAGATAAATCCCCCATGCTTTATATTCTCTTCCAAACATACTATCCTCATCACCACATAGTTCTTTTGTTAATGCTTTGTTCTAGACTTTCCCTTTTCTGTTTTCTTATTCAAACCTATATCTCTTTGCATAGATTGTAAATTCAAATGCCCTCAGGGTGCAGGCAGTTCATGTAAGGAGGGAGGCTAGCCAGTGAGATCTGCATCACACTGCAGAAAGTGAGCCCGTCAAGAGTCCTCGACTCAGCTCTGCTCAGTTAGAACAAAACGTGAGAACTGAAAATAGAGAATTTTGTGTGAAATCTACTTTTTGCTTTACCTAATTTCATTGTTAAAATTTTGCATGTAGCGAAACAGACTACATGCTAGATTCCACACATAGCTGCCGAACCTTTTCGTTTCCCATTTCAATGACATTTAATAGAAACCCTAAACTGAGATATTCAGTCAGATTTTTTCCAGACCTTTTTGTTTTTATCTAGAAATGAGACAATGAACCACGACTTGATGAAAAGGTTCATCTTAATATGTTTTTACAATTTTAAAATAAATAAACCTAAAAAATAATGAGTGGCTGAGATAAAATAGATACTTCATGTTTTTGAATGGGCAAAAGTTTTGTGGGGAAAAATTAACTCATAGAACAAATAGGAATGAAGATAGGTCAATAATATTACATAATATGTTTTATTCCAGCATCTTTTCCAGCTACTGTTTTTGCCCCTCATACACATGCAACAGCTACAATAACCCAGATAATAACCTTGATTAACAGTGAGACTAAGAAAAGATTATTAGTTATTGACTAATATCTGCAAATATCCCTTCTTCCCAGAATACAAATTTTCTACTTTTGTGCCTACTCATATGTGTAAAAACAGATAATTTCTTTAGAAAGTTATTTTTTACATTTCATCAGCAAATTATAACACACTCTATAGAATATTCTGTTGGATTTCACAAATTGGAGGCAGATGTCTTATTGTATGTTCGGTGATGTAAGTCCACACACCCACACAACCGCACAAACACAGGGATGGATAAGATTATGCTTTGGTTTGATATATGGCAATTTTTTTTTGTAATTTCTTCTTTTCTAATCCTTGTTAATAGTGACTGTGCCAAAGGGAAAAACAATTCTGCAGTTATTGATGGAAAAAAAGGAGCTTATTTTGCCTAATTGGTATTTGTATATTTTAATTTCTTTTTTTGCTAGAAGTGACAAAATCCCAGCTTAAAGTGGCTTAATCCAAATAAGCAACTAAATAAAAAATATATTTGCAAAAGAGAATTACTGGCTTATGCAGTAGCAGATTATAGCAGGTATGGCTTGATTAAAGTGTTCAAATACTATCCGCATTCTTCAGTGTTGTCTTCATTCCAAAGTACGGTTTGCCTACGTGATAACATTTGCCTCTTTCTCTGTTCTCACTGTCTTTCTCCCTCACTCCTGTCTATGTTTCTGTTTCTGTCTGTCTCTTTTCTCCCCCTCTCTTCTTCATCTCTTTCTCTGTCTTACTCACCTCCTTACCAGTTATAGTTCTACAGTGTTTCCTTCCCAAATCCAGTTCACTTCCTCAATAGTTCCAGTAGATGTACTGGGATTGACCAAGGGAATATTACATATTGGGCTGGATCTTGAAGTAGGATGGGCTTTACAAAACCACACTGATTGAGGGGTATTAGTTATTGACTAATATCTGCAAATATTCCCTCTTCCCAGAACACAAATGACTAGCATAGTGCAGTTTTCAGTGAAAGGGGAGACTACATTAAAGGATAGAAAAGAACAACACTTGTCCTCTACAATGCTAGTGAAGAATCTACCCAAGATTTCTAAGTCACTGAATTTATCTACTGCTGAGGGAATACTCAGCAAAAGTGGGCTCATTGGCTTGTTGTTTCTCTAAAAGCTTTTTTTTCCTAAGGAAAGAATGTCTTAAGATGAAATGTTTGACTTTAAATGTAATTAACATATCAAAGTTTTGTGGGTGTCCTTTTACTATATTATTAACAAATGAATAATATGAAAAGGACACACAAGTGGATTAAAAAATCATTGGGGATAAAAAAATAGTTATTCCAGAACAGTTATTTTTTCTATATTTGGTGACTTTTTTCAGTAGTTTTAAATGATATTTCCTTATTTAACACATGGTGGAGCCTGTTCCAGCTTAGCTAGACTATTTCCCTTTTGTTTTCCTGGTCTGGTTTTAATCTTGAAGAAGTAAAACTCCCGAAAGTAGATTAATCTACTTGTGTACATTTTACACCATTATTATAGATGAGCCAATCAAGAGTAATACAATAGCGCACACTTAGAGTCAAAGTAAGTCAGATTGTGGTAGTTTGTCCAATTCATTAACTTCATAAATTAACTTTATTTTTCTCTTCAAACACATCTTTTTCTCAACTTAAGAATCCTTTTAAGCGATTAGAGAAAACTAAAATATGTCCATTATCTACCTAAGTCATTTGCTTTTATTTTCCATATTGTGTTCTTTTCCAAGAAATCTCCTTGAAGTTGGAACTAGAAGTTTCAGTATAAAGTCTTCATAGGGCATAATAAATGCATTTGGGAAAATGTAACCCTACACTTTAGTTTCCGTTCGTAATACTATTTTCTCACATTCTATGTGTTATACATGATTGTTAGAGTCCTGTTTTAGGGAATCTCATGTGATTCTCACAGCAGGACTAGGAAGCTGACTTTTTCATTCCTGTTTTGCAAATGGGACAATCAAGCTCCAGGAAAGTTAAATGCTTCTCTATAGATTAAGTCAAAATTGAGATTTAGGATCAATATTTAATGCTTTTCTATTCATAAGTGGTTTAGGAAGAAAAACTGCCTCTCTTCTTATAACACCTATTATAGGCTTGACTTGCTTTAGATTGCAGTAAATAAATAAAAAAACAAATAAACAACAACAACAACAACAAACAGAACAGCTGAATTTCATTGACTTTAGTTTTACTAACTAAGTAACTGGAGGCGTTTAGATTCTCAAGAATCTTGAAGGGTTCATGTGTTATCTTGATCTTAATCTTATACAAACAGAGAGGTTTTTGGACAGCATAATCACATGTTGAAAGTCATATTTTACAAGCTTCAGGGAACCATGGTGGACCAGAGTTGATTCTATTGCAGAATTCAGACTTGAGATGATGAGAGCTGGACCTAATTGGGTGAAGGTTAGAAATTAGCCTATTAAAACTAAATGACTAGATGTTAGTGATGCCGCTATCAAATAAAACAAGAATCAGGAGGAGGCCAAATGAGATAGTGTTTTTGTGTACTAGGTAAATGCTCACATATGTAAGTGTGAAATACGCTTCTTTGGAAGGAAAGATGTGATATCTGACATGGGACATGTCAAATGGATAATGAGAGGACATAACAACCAAATGCAGGTGAAGAACCCATTAATTTTAGAAAGAGGGTAAAACCTGACCTATCTAACTCAGAGCTACCGAAGTGGAGATTACTGCTAAAGCTATGAAAATTTATTAGCTATTTGAGAGAATAAAAGAAAAACAATTGTTTACAGACATAAATATCTTTCAAAAGTAAGAAAAAAATAAGAGAAAAGAAGGTCATAAAAGAGTCGTAGAAAGTGTAGGGGAAAGGTATAAAGGAAAATGCATGGAGTTCTAACAAACATACCATGGTTAACAGTGTTGATACTGCACAGAAGTGAAAGGAATGGATGTTTGAGGTTCCTTTGGGTTTGCTCAAAAGCAGATCACAGGGCATCCTGGAGAGAACGATTTCTGAAAAACGATTAACATAATGTTTGGACTGTCAGATCCTCAAGATCAAATCAAGGATAGACAGTAGAAAGATCACGTTCATTCTAGGAAGATAGTAGGGATCAGAAGGGATTTTGTGACAAGGAAAAAGCACTGCAGAATTATTGCTGACAATGTGTGTTATCTCCCTTATTGCTTCCGGTTTACAGCCTGCTTTAGAATTAGGTGATGCTGCATTTCTGGGAATATGAGTGCTTTGTTGCATTTGATCAGATCAGGTCTGTCTGTGGTGATTAAGGTCTAGTGATTGGAATTATAAATGAGAGTATAGTCAACCAAAAAGATACACATACTACCTGGGAAGACATCTGTTTAAAGTTTTCTTTTCTCCACCTCATTATATATTCAATTTTAAGTGATCATGTAAAATATGCATAAAATATACACATAAAATAGTCAATAGTTGCTCATTTGTTTTAGCCACTGAGAATTGACTGAGTTCTCCACTTGGAACATGTAAGGTAGTGTTGACTTTACTTGAAAGGCTGACATCCATTTCAGATAACGGTGTCTCTTTTTATTTTATCATCCTATTATATTCTCTTCTACGTGATTTGCCTTCTCTGCTTTTCATGTTGTGTAAAATTTTCATATTTTTCTAAAAGAAATTTTGGAGCATGAAGAATGCATACAAGGGGTCTGCAGACCCATCTAAACTTTGTTAGTAGACTTTATATCTCACTGCGGCTCAATGACCTGGAAGATAAACTGGCCCTGTCTGTTCCATCAGAACAACAGGAATTTCCCGAGTTCAGGCAAACAGAAGTTTGCTTTTGTCTGATACTCAAATTTCTCTCTCAATCACTCAGATTCTCCAGATAATTGCCTGGCTTTTTTCTTGGTACTAGAGGAGTGAATTATCTACTTTCTGGAGGCCAATTAAGTTTTCTAAACCACTAGTGGGCATTTCAGCAAATTACCTTTTCAGTGCACTAAAAAGCTCCTCAGTAACCCAAAAGAATTAATGTACCACCAAACAGTGGGCAATTTATTCCCTCACCACTGATGAGGGCAGACAGTTTAGAGCATTAATGGGAGCATTTACATTGAGTCACAGTGAAGTATGGAGTCACTGAGCCTTTGTGAAGCTAACCCATGGAGGGTGAGGAGGTGTTTATCACTGTGGAGAAGGGAGGAGGGACAAAGGAGATGATCCCTACCCTTAAAAGCTGTAGATAATGCTGTCAGCCATTATCTGGATGGAATTCCTATATCATCATCTGTATATTTGGCAATAATAGGCAAGTTAACAACCCATGGTCATGAATAATTATCTGGTTTTAGAGTTGTATAAAAGTATTCTTTGTGAAATAATCAAATCTTTTATTTTTTCATGTACTGACCATTGCTATTTTTATCCTGGTCCTGTTTGTGAAATGGGATAATTTATTTCTGTCAACTAAAAAAATCAATGACTTGGATGTAAATGAACCTACTACATGTAACTGGTTTTGGTTTTAACTCTTCTCCTGTTTTTCTCCATAAATGTACTGATAAATGTAATGATTCGTGTCTACTTTATTAATTACTGCTATTTCCTGCTGTGGTAGATATTCCACCTGAAATATCTGGAAATTCAACTGAAAGAATTGTTTAAGGCCCTTTTTCTTAGGTCTCATGAATCATATTTCAAGCAATATATGCATATTACTACATACCATTCTACCGAATAACTCAAAGATATCCCACCTTGTTTTTAGGAGATATTGTCAAAAACACTGACAAATACCAAAGATTTCCTAGTCATGCTTACGAATGGATAAAATTGTTTGGAGAACTAAACAATTCTACTATGTATAATTCAATGTTGGGATTTTGTTAAAAAATAAAATTCCTTCAAATCTTACCCAATCTTTATTTCTGTGAAACATTTTTGGGAGGGGAAAATATGGATAAAATAGGCCTAATAGTAGAATAATCAATTAAATGAAGCCTAGAAATTATTTACATTATTTTTATAAGCATATAAAGTCTTCAATAGCCTATTTTCTTCTGAGGAGAATTAACAAAATTCCAAATGAAATACAGTCTCTTCCTTCAATGTGTACTTCCAGAACATTTGCATAAGATCTTCACTGTAATGAAGCCAAATTACTCAGCCTTTTCACGTTTATAAAGGATACATGTTAAGACATTGAGTCCTAGGAGGAAGATGGCACTTAAATACATGAAAGTTTTGAGCATCAATCTCAGACTATATTATAACTGCTCCTAATGAACATGGAATTTAAACAACTGGAACAAATCCAATAAGGAGAAAAAAAAAAGGCTTGGCATCTGATGAGTTACTTAGCATATCTTTTTGTAAAGAATAAAAGCTCTCTGGCTTCCAACAAAGAGTTTGTGAGCTGTATGGCAGTGTTTTGAACAAGGAGATCATTTATAAATGCTGTCTTTATTTGGGAAATAATTATGGGATGCAGCTGCAAGTTTTAATGACTTTTAATAAAGTATGTTATAAAGTGAATTAGCAATAAATATCTAACAGATGATACTGAATCAAGACATTAAAGAACATCATTAGACCTATATCTTGGATTGCTAAAGCAATAAATGTGTTTTTGTTAATACCAGTGGTTTTTTAATTTTCTAGGACATTCTGAAGGAAATTTTAAGGCAGGTTAATTTTTAATGAATAGGGTTAGTCTATCAACTAGCTCTGCTAGCCCAGTACAATTTTAGATATGTAACTAATAGGGTATCAAAGCTGAAAACTCTTAAATTTCAACAATATATAGAATTATAAAATAAGTTTCACCGGTAGTATCTGAAAATACAGTATTTCAGCCACTTAAATTATTATGACTTTCATAAAGAAAGGTATATGTACTTTATAGAGGAAAAAAAGTTTGTTAGAAAATCTGTGTTCAACACTTGCTTTGCTGGCATTACCACAACTAAATTTCAATGTCAGGTGGTCAGAATACCAATGATCAGGGGCAAATACAGATAATAACCCACACTTCCTGTTTGTACAAGTATTACTATGCCACCTCAGTATGCAGAATAATGCAGTAAAAATTTGTTTTAAAAACCAAGTTTAGTTACCAACCTCCAGAAGTGAGCAGAGCCGGGCTAACATAGCATTGTGATATCACTATAAGCTGGCTTTGGAAATGTACTCACAGATGATCAGGTTAGGAAGCTGACCCTCAGAATGTCTGCAATTTGTTTCAAGTTTCAAATTTAGTTTATGAGGGAGTTTAGACATTAATTATGTTTTATTTCATGATGATACTCCAAAAAGGCTAAAGAAAAGTTGAATAATGTTTAATGGGTACCTCTGTATGTAACCATAGTTCAGGGCAAATGAGCAATCTAGGATGCTGAGAAACAAGAGAAGAGGCAAGTTGTAAGTCTTGCTTGACTTCTCAAATGATATTCAATCATGGTTGAATTCCCTTCGTAGATGCAGCTATTGGCCAGGTGTAGTGGCTAATACCTGTAATCCCAACTCTCAGAAAGTCTGAGGCAGGAGGATCGCTTGAGGCCAGGAGTTCGAGATCAGCCTGGACAACAAAGTGAGACCCCCCCATCACTACAAAAAGTAAAGTAATTATCCGGATGTGGTGGTGTGTGCTGGCAGTTACAGCTACTCAGGAGGCAGAGGCAGGAGAATTGCTTGAGCCCAGGAGTTCAAGGCTGCAGTGAGCCATAATCATACCACTGCATTCCAGTCTAAGCAACAGAACCAGTACCTGTCTCTAAAAAAGTAAATAAATAAAATAAACAAATTACAGATGCAGCTATGCACAGTTATGTTATATTTAAATAATTACTTGTCTTTTAACTTTTTACTTTAATTATAAACTGAAAGAAGGTTGCAGACATAAATTTCTCATGAAAACTTCTCCAACTTCCTTCATGATAACATCTTACATAATTGTAATACAATACCCAAACCAGGAATTGATATTATACAGTATTGACAAATACACTATAGCCTTATTTAGATTTCACCAGTTTTTACCTGAACTAATTTGCCTGTGTGTGTGTATCTGTCTGTCTGTCTGTCTGTCTGTCTGTCGCTGTGTGTGTGGAGTTCTGTGTGGTTTATCCCATACATAGATTTGTATAACCACTCTCACAATCAAGATATACAACTGTTTTAGCACCACAAATAAACTTCCTTGGTTTATCTGGTACAGTGTGATTCACACCCAGCTACCCTGGAAACCACTGTTCTGCTCTCTATCTCTACAATTTTGTCATTTTGAGAATGTTACATAAATGGAATCATATGGTATGTAGCATTTGAGATCCATTTTTTGCACTCAGAGTAAACTATCCAAGTTGTTGCCTGTGCCAGTAGTTTATTCATTTTAATTGCTAAATAGTATTTTGTGGTATTCCAGCTTTTCCAATCTGTTTGCTCATTTAGTGATTGAAGGACATTTAGGTTGCTTTCAGTTTGGGGCTACTGTGAATAAAGGTGCTATGAATATTCATGTACAAGTAATTGTTATTCAGTAATAGAGAACTGGAATATCTCCCTATGAGCACACTTGATCACTTAATAGGACGTAATAACAATATATTTTGAGAAGGTAGGTAGACCAGGTACTAGAGAATGACTTGAATCGGTCATCCTAAGTTTTAAACTCTGGTTTTCATGGGTGGGTGATGGTTTTTTACTGGTTGCCTTTTCTCTATTAGTTTCAGATATATAATACTGTAAAACAATAATAAGGTTCTAGAAATTAATGTAAAATTTAAACAAATCAATAAACTTCCCACACAAGTATCGATTTTCTAAGAAGAGGTTCTAGGTAATGTCATATTTACTTGATTTTATAATTACCCATATGTTCTATTACGAAAAAATAAATAGGTTTGTGAAAGGTAACAAAAAATCTACACACAATTTGTACAAGTATAATTTTTTTACAATTTATATTTTTTAGAAGTTCACAAATATATTTATAAAAACTGGAGCATATATTGTGCCATAAAGAAAACTATGCTGAACTTCAAATGATTAAATTTCAAACACCATGATGTTATATCAATACAATTTAATTAAACATAAATTAATTAAAAATAACTAGAGTTTTTCAACAAATAAATATGAAACAACTGAACATTCACATGCAAAGAAAATGAGTCTAGACATAGACCTTAACAGTATTGACAAAAATTAACTTAAAGTGAATCATTCATCCAAATGTAAAATTCAAAACCACTAAACTCCTTGAAGATATCATAAGAGAAAATATAGATGACCTTTGGTATGGCAATGACTTTTTGGATGTAACATCAAAGGCATAATCTTTCAAAGAAATAATTGATAAGCTAAATTCATTAAAATTAAAAATATCTCCTCTGTGAAAGGCAATGTCAAGAGAATAAGAAGACAAGCTATGGAAAAGGAGAAAATACTTGCAAAGGATATATTTAATAAAAGACTGTTATTTAAAATATACAAAGAGCACTTCAAGCCCAACAATAGGAAAATAAACCAACCAATTAAAAAATCGGTAAAGGACCTTAACAAACATCTCACCAAAGAAGACATGCAGGTGGCAAATAAGCATATGAAAAGATGCTCAACACCTTATGTCATTAATAAATTGCAAATTAAAACAACATTGAGATGCCACTGCACAACAAAAAAATTAGAAAATTAGAATGGCCAAAATCTAAAACACTGACAATACAAAATGTTGACAAGAATGTGGGGAAACAGAAACTTATCCATTGCTGGTAGAAATGCAAAATGGTAGAGCCACGTGGAATACAGTTGGGGACTTTTTTACAAGACTAAACATACTCTTAGCATACAATCTAGCAATCACACTTGTTGTTATTTACTCAAATTATTTGAAAACTTACGTCCAGCAAAACTGGCTCAGGAATATTTATAGCAACTTTATTCATAATACCAAGCTTGGAAGTAATCAAAATATTCTGCAGTAAATGAATGAATACATAAACTCTGGTACTTCCAGGTAAGGGAATACTAAAATAAATGAGTTAAAATAAATGAGTTATTAAGCCATGTAAAGACATGGACTATATGTGAAATATATGTTAATATTAACTTACTTAAGAAGTTGAGAATATATTTTAAATATTAAGTTACTTAAATATTATGGTACTAAGTGAAAGAAGCTAACCTAGAAAGGCTACATATTATATTATTCCAACTATATGACATTCTGGAAAAGGCAGAATTATGGAGACAGTAAAAAATATAAAAATCATAATAAATTATTGATTGCCAGAAATTAGGGGGAGGGAGGGATAAGTAGGCAGAGCATAGATTTTTATCACAGTAAAACTAAACTGTATGACACTATAATAGTGGACAAAAGTCATTATATGTTTGTCCAGACCCACAGAATGTACAGTACCTAGAGAGAACCATAATGTAAATGATGGACTTTGGGGCTGGGAGTGGTGGCTCAAGCCTGTAATCCCAGCACTTTGGGAGGCTGAGGGGTCAGATCACAAGGTCAGGAGTTCAAGATCAGCCTAGCCAACATAGTAAAACCCCTTGACTACTAAAAATATAAAATAATAGTAACAAAAATTAGCTGGGCATGGTGGCGTGCACCTGTAGTCCCAGCTACTCGGGGGGCTGAGGCAGGAGAATCGCTTGAATCCGGGAGGCGGAGGTTGTAGTGAGCCGAGATCACACCACTGCACTCCAGCCTGGGCAACAGAGTGAGACTCTGTGAAACTCTGTCTCAAAAAATAATAAATAAATAAATAAATAAATAAATAAATAAATAAAAATAAAAAAGATGGACTTTGGGTGAAGATGTGTCCATGCAGTTTTTTTGTTTCTTTTTTTTTGAGACAGAGTCTAGCTCTGTCCCCCAGACTGGAGTGCAGTGGTGTGATATCAGCCGCTCATTGCAACCTCTGCCTCCTGGGTTCAAGCGATTCTCCAGCCTCAGCCTCCCAGGTAGCTGGAACTACAGGCACTCACCACCGTGCCCAGCCAATTTTTTTATTTTTAGTAGAGACAGGGTTTTGCCATATTGGCCAGGCTGCTCTCGAACTCCTAACCTCAGGTGATCCTCCCACCTGGGCCTCCCAAAGTGCTGGGATTATAAGTGTGAGCCACCGCGACCGGCCAGAGATTCTTAGACTGTAATAAATACACTACTCTGCTGGTGTGCAACAAATGTTGATAGTAGGCTAGGTTGTGGGTGTGGCAGCGCAGGAGCTATACAGGAACTCTCTGCACATTTTGCCCAATTTTGCTGTCAATGTAAAACTGCTTTAAAAAATAGTATATTTAATTTTTTAAAAATTAGAAAATTTTCTTGTTTGTAAAATTAAGAAATACTTTTCCCCAGTGCAAGAAAAAAAATAATATTTTTTAAATCAGAAAATATTTTAAACAAAAAAGTAATAAAATGTTATACATATGATTGTTTAGGACATGCATAATTTATAAGTAATTCTCTAGCCTTAAATATATTTTTGGAAAGAAACAAAGAATAAAGATGACTAAGCATCCATGTCAAAAATTTTAAATAAATCTAAAAATAATCACAGTGGAATTGGACAAGAGGCTATAATTAATATAAGAATGTAATTAATGAAAACAAACACAAACGTAGTATAGGAAAACAAAGAAAAAGCTGGCTTTTCAATAGATTTATATGTGAACAAATTATGGTAGGACATCAAGAAAAAGGGAGGACTTAAATAACTAATAAAGAAAATAAAATCAAGATAACATTTATTTAAAAGTTAGTAGTATATTGACAACCACTTCCCATCAATATTTTAGAAATTTTATTTTCAACTTATAAATTCCTAGAAAAATATAATTCATTGGAGAGGAAAGGATGAAAGCAGGGGGCATGGGATTCATTCCTCTCCTGAGGACATGATAAAGGCCAGTGACTCATCTGAATCTCTTCCTAAATATGCAGCCACTGGCCTCTTACTCAATGGTACTTGCTAGGCGGAGAAGGCAAGCCCGCATCTATGTAGAGCTTGTGCAGGCCATCCCTGATTTAGGATTGATTATGGGTTCCCCGAAGAATGTCATAGCAACGATGCAACTTTCTGGGCTGTGAAATGGAGGTCTTTTGTGAGGTAATCTGTGCATCCCACTCAGGGACATCCTCTGACCCAGTGAGTGAGGCCGGAAGGACGCACCTGGGGGGCTGCCCCCCTCCCATCCCAGCCTGTGCTGCTGGGTGACAGGTGTCAGTAGCTTTATCAGGGAGGCCTGACACTGGATGAGATCCCTGAATCACGGATTTATGGTTGAGCAACTCAGCCCTTTGTTTTAGCTTATTTTTTTTTAATTTTTTTTATTATACTTTAAGTTTTAGGGTACATGTGCACATTGTGCAGGTTAGTTACATATGTATACATGTGCCATGCTGGTGCGCTGCACCCACTAACTCGTCATCTAGCATTAGGTATATCTCCCAATGCTATCCCTCCCCCCTCCCCCCACCCCACCACAGTCCCCAGAGGGTGATATTCCCCTTCCTGTGTCCATGTGATCTCATTGTTCAATTCCCACCTATGAGTGAGTGTTTCCTCAAGAGGCAGAAAACCAAAATAACAAAACAAGTAAACAACTAAAACAAAACAAAACCAAAAAAGCCTTATAGGCATTGAAGTAATAATTTAATTGTTAGAAAAACATAAATAAACTACAAGTCCAGACTGCTTCGAAAACAATTTATACTAAATAGCCAAGAAAAAAATATCTTGGAGATGAGGACAAAAAGAAGTCTCCCATGAACTTTATAAGGTTATCAAATTTTGAATTTAAAACATAACAAGAGATAGTATGAGAAAGACAATACATAAAATAGAAAACCACATCCAGGAATAGTAAAAAAAATCATTCTTGGTGCCTTTTTTACATTTATATCAGTGAGGCAAGGTTATTCTATTCAAAAAGTAATAAAGCAATTAGCACTATTAATAGATTGTGAGAATCATACTATAACCTCAATATATAGATTTTTATTAACTAATTAAAAATTATTCAAATTCCTGATAACATCTAATAATCTAGCAATCTAGAAATAAAAGAGGACTTTCTTAATCTGATGAAGGAGATATATAATATATATGTGTGTATATATATATGTGTGTGTAGCATATGTACATATTATACATATGTGTGTGTATATATATATATATGTTACAGAAACCATCATTCTTTATTTATATATGTTGGAAATTTTCTATTTGAAACCAGGAACACAGTAAGAACACCAGTAAAACCACTTCCTTTCCATATTGCATTGAAAGTCTTTTCCACCACAGTAAGCACATTAACGACAATAACTGACAAACATTTTAATTGTTAGAAAGGAATACAAAGACACCTGCCATACTTTCCAATATTTGCACACAGCGATGCTCCCAAAATTTATAAATAAGATATTAGTAAGAACACTTGAAAAAATGCTGCATGAAATATGAAAATTAAAAAATAAACTTTGTTTAGATACCAGCAATATATACATTAACACATCTATAGCAAATGATACATATAAAATAGACACCTTTTAATGTCACACAACAATTAAGAATGATCAAAAAGTAAGCCTACCTAAAGCAATAAGAAAAAGATACATTTCAAAGGCAAAAACTATTAAAAGACTTTGCAATTCCCCAAAGAGGAAACCCAAATGTTGCATAAAGAAAAGGTGTTCAACCTTACTGATTCTCATGGAAATGCAAATTAAAGCCATAAAAACAGATAGACCAAACAAAATTACTAAATGTAACAAGCTCTGATATACATGCAGAGCAACAGGAACTCTCATATTGCAGGTGGCAGAGTAACATTTACAATGTGGCCGACCAACAGTTTGGCCTTATTTATTAAATTGGAATATCCACATATCCTATAAACCAGGGACTGTACCCTGAAGAAACCCTTGCACATATACACCTAAATACATGTGAGATTCATAGCAGCATATTTCATAAACAAGGGAATCATAGACACTGTAGACTACTAGAGGGAAGAGAGAAGTGGGGGCACAGGTGGAAAAACTACCTATTGGGTACAATGCTCACTATCTGGGTGATGGGATCCGTAACCCAAACCTCAGCATCGCACAATATACCCATGCAGCAAACCTGCACATGTAACCCTAAATCTAAAATAAAAGTTGAAATATTTTTAAAGTGTGAAAATAACCTAGAAGTCTATGAAAAAACTAACCAAAAAAGCAAAAATAACCTAGAAGTTTATAAACAAACTAACAAACAAAATCAATATCGGTATGTATTCACACACTAGAATTCCATCAGCAATGGAAATGAGAGGATGATGGCTACTTGCTCAATATGAATGAATGTCGCAATCACAATACTGAGTGAATACAACAAGATACAAAAGGAAAAGAACACATTATGATTCCATTCAAATGAAGTTTCAAAACTGGCAAGAAATATTGTTTTTAGATGTATAGATATTAAGTAGCACCATGGTTGGAATAAGATGGCTTCTGGCTGAATGAGGGAGGTTATGAGATTCTGGCGATATTCACTATCTTCATTTGGACAGTCATTAGTAGTTACTAGCTTTAAACACATAAAAGTATACATATATATTTTATGCATTGTGTGTGCTTAATTTTTTATAATTAAAGGAAAAAAGTTATACAATTGAAGCATTAAAACAGGACAGTAAGTCCTCTGCTCACCCTTCCCCATTTCATGAAGCTTCAAATCCCTTTTGTGGAAGAGACACAGATCACTAAAACAGGTCAGTTTTACTTCAACCACTGGTGCTTACTCAGTTTTCTGTTTTAGTTCCTATTACAGCTTCTAAAACATAGTAAGTGCTCAAACACATTTGTTGAGTGAGTGAAGGTCTAACATTTTAAAGAAAATTAATAACTTTTGCTCTGTTGTTTAATCCTAATGCAATTCTATTTACTTTTCTTCTAACTTTTTATTTGAAAAATGTCAATCTTAGAAAAAAATTGAAAGAACCCACAAAGTGAACACATATAATATCTTCACTGAGATTTATTAATATTAAATAATATTGAACATTATTATTGAATAATATATAACTTTCATTATTAATGTCCAGTGTCGTATTATTACACATGGTTTCTATCCATCTCAAACTAGTCATTATGTCTTTAAAAAAAAAATAGTCAGAACGTATTTAATGACAATTTATTTGATCCCTGTTGTTTTTTTAAAATACATTGAGATATAATTCCCATAACATAATACTTACCCTCTTAAAGTGTATAATTTAGTGGCTTTTAGTCTATTTACAAGGTTGTGCAACCATCACCACTATTTAATTTCAGAATGTTTCCATCATCTCCAAAACAAACTCTGAAACATTAGCTGTCACTCCTCATTCTCCTTTCCTCCCAGACCTTGGCAACCACTAATATATTTTCCATCCCTATGGACTTTCCTATTCTGGACATTTAATATAAATGAAGTCATAAAATCTGTGGTCTTATGTGATTGACTTCTTTCACTTGGCATACTGTTGCCAAGGTTCATCCATATTGCAGCATACCTGAGTGCTTCATGCTTTTTCATAGATGTATAATATTCCATTGTATGATTTTTTTACCACGTTGTATTTATCCATTTATTACTTGGTGAACATTTTGATGTTCCCACTTTTTTATTATTATGACTAAAGCTGCTGTTAACATTCATGTGCAAGTTTTTATGTGAACGTATGTTTTCAATTTTTTTGGATATATATCTAGCGGTGCAGTTGCTGGGTCATATGGACTAACATCATGAGGAACCACAAAACTGTTTTCCAAAGTAGCTGTACATTCCCACCAACAATTCATGAAGTTTCCGATTTTTCCTCATCCTCGCCAATGCTTGTTAGTGTCTGTCTTTTTTATTATAGCCATCCGAGTGGATGTGAAGGGGTAACTGACTCTAGTTTTAATTTGCATATAATTAGCGACTTTTTGATGCTTATGATTTTGGTGTCACATCTAAGAAACTATTGCCTAACTTAAGAGCTCAAGATTCATTCCTAAATTTTCTTCTGAGAATTTAACAGTTTAGCTTTTCCATTTTTGTCTTTGGTCCGTTTTGAGCAAACTTTTTTATATGCCATGTTGTAGAGGCCAACTGTATTTATTTACTTATTTATTTAGTTAGTTATTTTTGCTTGTGGATTTCCAGTTGTTCCAGCACCATTTGTTTAAGAAGCTGTTCTTTTCTCATTGGATGATCTTAGCACATTATTGGAAATCAATTTGCTATAAATGTAAGTTTTTGTTTTTTGAACTCTCAATTTTATTCCATTGATGTTGATGTCCAGTCTCATCCAAATATTACACAATTTTATTATTGTACCTTTGTACTAAATTTTGAAAGAGATGGGTGTGAGCCCATTCACTTTTATTCAACCTGTTTGATGCTTATTAATTCATGTGATGCATATTTATTGGTAACCTCCTGGACTTGGTTGTGGAGGTTTGGCAGGGATATCGCTACATATTTATGGTCTCTGCTTAGGTTAGGAATAACGTGGGAAAGGGAAAAGGCATAAATGTGAAAAGATAAGTAAACCTATAATTTATATCCAAGATGTTTCTTTCTTTCTGTCTCTCAACAAATTCATAACAGAAATTAAATACTCTGAGAAGGAAAAGTGAATAAATAGTACAATCTGTGAGATGAGTGTGTGGACGTAAGTCTCTTATCTAGTTAGGATGTCTGGGCTGCTATTCAAAACATAAACCTAAATTTGACTGGGTTATTCTCTAGTCTTTATAAGGTATACCTTACTTAAATTGATACCTTCCCTGATTACACATACCTTTCCTTGCAGCAAGCATCTTTCCTGGCCATGATCACCTCTCCTGGTCATATATACTATATAGATCTATCTATCTATCTATCTATCTATCTATCTATCTATCTATCTATCTATCTATCTACTCAACCCACCTATCTACCTATCTATTTATCATATCATTTTTGTAATATTATCATGTAGACTTTCTTTGAGAGAAAATATAATAGAATGGTATTTTCAAATTAGGCAATTCACAAAGATTTCAGCCAATTTTCAATTCAATATAAAATAACTGATGCAAGGTGAAAATGCTATGATAAAGACTAATGCGAAAGTGGAAGAGACCTCAGAGAGAAGGTGGGACTAAATTACTCACTGGAAATTATACCCCTGAAGAGTATGTGTTTAATGATAGAGTTTGCTCTGGAATGTGAAATAATTGCAAAATAAAGGTAATAATTGCCATTGTCATGATTATGTCGACAAGTCCTATGACATTTCATCAAAAATACAGATGCAAATATAAGAGCAACATGTTTGTGTATGCATGTGAAAACAGTACCATGTGTGAACAAGTAAATAAGTTGGTTTAAAATCTAATCTCCATAAGAAAATATGGGTTTCTTCATGAAACTTCCATCAGCAAAATAGCTCAAATGGGATAGGATTAGATGAGCAACCTGGAGAAAAAAAAATGCTGAAACAAAGGAATTGTTTCTCTTTGAATTTGTGAGGGAAAAATGTTAAACATATTTTCAAAAGAAACTATTATTTATCTTCATGAGAAAGCATAATAAATCAATGCCAATGCTGATTTAGCACCAGTAAGTTTAAGCCATCCCGTACCATAAAGGTTGAAGAAGGCAGAAAAGGTGTTGTCTAGATCATTGGTTAATAAAACTGACCAAACAGTTGTAGGAAGCATTTGAAAGTATGAATTTAAGAACTTATTCCAGACTTGCTAAATTTTAATCTTATCTGTGGAATGAGACAGCAGCCAAGCAGAAGTGTGTGTGTGTGTGTGTGTGTGTGTGTGTGTGTGTGTTTGTGTGTGTTAAAGCGCTTCTGAATGTTCCGATGACATCTTCTTAGAAGAAATGTTTGGAGAGCAACCTACTCCGATGAGGACTTTGATGCATGTCTTAGGGGATTCCCATACTATTTCACTCACAAAGGGCCCCCAAAGCCATTAATTCCTTTTTTTTTTTTTTTTGGTGTCAAGCACAGGCCTTCAATGACTGCAGAGATGCTTAGGAAGAATTTTACAAATGGGAAATGCTGGGTCACTGGAAAAAAAGTGGCTTCATGTGAGGAAGGAGATGTAAACCAAAAAAAAAAAAAAAAGAAAAAGAAAAAAAAATCATGCAGCCCAGGTGACTCTATCCAAATGCACACCGGCTCCCATTTTCCCAGCCCTGGTTAAGACAGACAGGAGAAATCAAACAAAGGTTTGTAGAACCCAACTGATGTATGCTCAGCCAGGACATCTCTCCTGTGCTCTTGGCACAATCCTTTGTCACCAGCCTGCAGCTCTGGCCCAGTGTTGGAAGCCAGATTTCCCCAAACCTTGGCAACTGCAAAACCCAACACTGCAATTCACCTGATAGCCTGGCAGATGTACTCACTTACAGTCTTTCAAATTTGTATCCTAACTTCATTCTCCCTTCATCTTCCCTATTGGACTATGAGGTATAACTGTGCCTTTTCTATTTTTTAAATGCTCGGCTGCAATATCTGCGATCTTCCCTCTGACATGGATAGCAGTGAACTCTGGCATTTACATTTTAAAGGGACGAATTGATTATGTGAAAGTGAATCCAATTAAAACTAATTAAAGTTGAAACTAAAAATGTTTATGAACACTGAAAAAAATCCTAATTGGAATGGTTCACAGAGAGACTTATTCAGCAATTGTTGAGTTTCCAATATGCAAAGAACTAGGGGTCATTGCAAACTAGTGGATATAATTTAAAGGGCTTAGTGCAGGCATAAGGACCCTTAACAGAGTTAACCAAAATGTTGTCAGCTGACTTAACGCCTTTTAAAAAATAAATTTTATAATTGATTTAGATACAAAGAACATTTTCCTTTTTTTTAATGTGGCTCCTCTATCTGCTTTGAAAATTCAGTGTGCTGAAAGTGTCGAGGTCCCTTTTGCTACAGTTTCCCTGTTTATTAATATGAGTTCATTTTATAGGGAATCTGAATATAAACAACTCGAAATTTTAGAGAATTATGGTGGAAGTATCACTCACGTTTGGTAACTAAAATACAAATTGTCAAATTGGTTCAAATAAAGTAATAAATATATCAAGTACTTTTGAGAATGAAAAATATAAAAAATGATTTCCTCCAGAAAATTCACTTTGGCACTATTTATGCTTTTTTACAATATGCTCTGTTTTCTGCAATTTGAAAAATGTGTCACTATTATGTAAAATTCTTCCTGCCACTTACTCATTCCACTTCCTGACTTTTCTTTTTGTACCCAAATGTTCATAGCACCCTTATCTAGTCAAAATTAGAAATAACCCAACAGTCCATCAACAAGTGAAGAGCAAACATGGTACATCCACACAAGGGAACTTTTTCAAGCAAAAAACAGCAATTATGTATTGAAATACTTATTGATACATGCATCAACCTAGATGAACTTCAAAACAGTTATCCTGGCTGGGTATGGTGGCTCATGTCTGTAATCCCAGCACTTTGGGAGGCCGAGGTGGGCAGATCATCTGAGGTCAGGAGTTCCAGACCAGCCTGGTCAACATGGTAAAACCCCGTCTGTAGTAAAAATACAAAAATTCGCCGGACGTGGTGGCACTCGCCTGTAATTCCAGCTACTCAGGAGGCTGAGGCAGGAGAACCGCTTGAACCCGGGAGGCGGAGGTTGCAGTGAGCCAAGATAGCGCCACTGCACTCCAGCCTGGGGGACAGAGCTAGACTCCGTCTCAAAACAAACAAACAAACAAATAAACAAACCCAGTTAGGCTGATAAAAGAAGTCAGACCAAACAAAGGGAAAAAAGAGTACACATTATATGATTCCAATTACATAAAATTCTAGAAAATACAAGCTAAACTATAGTGGAGTGGATCAGGAGCTGCCTGGGACAGGAAGAAGCAGGAACGTCAGGAGAAAGGGATGACATAGAGGCCTGCGGGGACTTTTAGGGGTGGGGTTCAGCGTGCTGATAATGGCAATGGTTTCGAACTATACACTTTAAATATGTGCAGTTTGTTATATGTGAATTATCTCCATAAAGCTGTTACAAAATTAATTCTGGCTTTTTATTTGTACTGTTTCAAGGTGAACTAGAACATTTAAAATTCTCTATGTAGCTCACATTACATTTCTATTGGAGAGTACTGATGGAGATCTAACTATGGTTTTTCAGGAAATATGAAGGACAATGAAACATGCTAACCACACCACTGGGATCTAGTCAGCTACACTCAAAATGTGGAAACCATAGTGAACAAATGATTAGGCTTTTTTCAACAACTAATGACAAGGGAAACCAGAGGTAAAAAGGGTCATGTGAAAAATACCAACCAAATGCAATGTGTAGCTTTTCAGACTGTGATTTTACATTTCCTTTTAGAGTTATTCAGCTGTCTTGGAGGCAGACAGTTTTCTTTTCTTTCTCCTTTCCTCTCTTCTTTCCTGCCTTCCTCCCTCCTCCTTCTGAGTTCCTTTTTGAAACATTATTCCTGTCAGATCCACAAGCTAATATTTTTGGCATAGTCATTGACTTGTCCCTCCCTTCTTTTCTTTATCCTATCAGTGATCAGTCTTAAATTCGGCCTTGTCCTTATCTTTGAACCTGCCTCTCCCTTCCCTGGCTACAAAAGTAGCCTCATTATTGGTTCCCTGACTCCTTTCAAATCCATGCCATGCCACTCTGTCTTATTTTCTGAAACCCAAATTCTAATCATTCCATGACCTTGACTATTAACCTCCATTGGCTACCCACAACTGACCATGTAATTCCTTGGTGTAATTTGTAAAGCTATTCTCAAGCTGAGCCCAATTGTCTCTCGAATCTCATATATGATCATTGCCCATGATGTGTTCCCAAATAACAGGATCAGCTCAGTGTGTGCCAAGCATTTTGCATGCCTTAGCTAATTTAATCCACATAATAATCCTAGAAGGTAGATAATAATTATAATCCCCACTATTTTGTAGACAAAGGAGCATGTGCATGTTTATTAAATTGGATACTCAGGATGAAAATCATCACTACATAGACAGGATTCAAATTAATTGCAGGGCTATACTATTCTTCCAGTGCCAAAAGGTGCATTTGTGGAATTTCTCTTTGTCCCTCCCTATCTTACCATGCCTTCTTTTCTTTTGTTTTCTTTTCTTTTCTTTTCTTTTCTTTTCTTTTCTTTTCTTTTCTTTTCTTTCTTTCTTTCTTTCTTTCTTTCTTTCTTTCTTTCCTTCCTCTCTCTCTCTCTTCCTTCCTTCCTTCCTTCCCTCCTTCTTTCTTTTTCTTCCTTTCTCCCATTGTTTCTTGGACTTCATAACAAGAGTTTATTTTTTTCCTATGAAAATATAAATTTAAACTAGATAACATATTTTGACTGTGTAATAAATTTGTACAAATTGTATTAAATTTCAAATCTTGTTCTAGATGTTGCTCTTTTCCTTCAGCATTATGTTTGTTGGAAATCTCACCATGTTGTTTCTGAAGCTTTAGTTCAGTATGTGTAAGTGTTTCATAGTATTCCACAGTGGTGCCCTATCACGTTTTACCAGTCTGTCTCCTAGAGATGGATTCTTAGGTTATTTTCAATTATCAGATACTATGCATAGTAGTGAAATAAGACTTTAGGATATTTCACTGATTAACTTATGAGTGTGCCGATTCAAAATGTTTTCACATTTTAAATTTTATTTAGTACTGCAGACTGTTTTTAGAATGGCCATTTCAATTTATACTTACTCTTTCCACTAGCGTGTTAAAATTTCTGTTCTCTAACATTCTGTATAAACTTTGGCATTAGCCACCCTTTAACTTTACCGTTCTAATGGGTATAAATTCATATGTTGGCAACTAAATTTGTATCTGTATTACTACTAGTGAATGTGAGAATCTCTTTAATTTTCTTTCAACCATTAGGCCCTCATCTATAGCTTGTCTATTTATAGTCAGTTGCCAATAAATAGTTTAATTGAATAAGACCCTTGTCATTGACCACTTAGTATACACACCACAAATGCTCACTTAATAAAAAGCAATGTACTACACTTTGTTTGTTGTTGTTGTTGGTTTTTTCTGAAACAGACTCCCACTATGTAAACCATGCTGGTCTTGAACTCCTGGGCTCAAACAATCTTTTCCACTTTAGCCTCCCGAGTAACTACAATTACAGGTTTAGGCCACCGTGCCTGGCCTGCTTATTTTGTATGTCAAATTCCTGCTATGTCTTTTGAGTTGGCTCAGTTAACCATGGGTAACAAGGCATAAAATGACCTTTTCAAACTATTAGTCATTAAGCCTTTTAAAATAACCAAAATGAACAACTTGTTCTCTGTGGTATATTCTATGTTTAGCAAAGGCCCACCCTCAATTTCTCTATTCTGCTAGAAAGCATTGGGTTTCAGAAGTTCTAACCATGGGCTTCTTGGAAAGTCAGCAGCTCCTGAGAGGTCTAGGGTCTAGCAGGCCGAGAGCATCTCTTTTCTGCCTTTTACTTAAAAACGAAAAATGAGGAACAATAAAATATGTGGAGTAAAATATAAGCAAAACTGAAAAAGTCTTATGATACACAGTAATAAGATAATACATGAGAGGATATTTGAATTCGACATAGCATGAGATGATTTCTTGGCTTCTGGGAGTTGACTCCATCAGGCTTTGGTCTGTATAATCTGGAGTCTGTGAAATTTGAGGTGCTTGGGTTGAACAAAACCAATACAGAGAAATTGCACACTGAGTCCTTGAGGTGGCAGGATGGCACAAACCAAATGCCCTGAAAGACCTGGGAAACTGCACCAAAAGGTAGTCAGCTAGGTAACATGCACCAAATACATTGAGCAGGGATGTGCAAAATGCCTCGAAAGACAGAGGATCCCAGCACCCAGGCGGTATTGTAATCACATATCTGAGGAATGGCTGTGCCCACTCTTGGGGTGGGTGGTGGTTGGTTAGCTTAGCGAAAAAGTAGATTTTCCTGGGAAATACTGTCTCAGTGAAAAGGGGAATGGCTAATTCAGTCACAGTGGCAGGTGTATCTTTATTTCTACCTGCTTTATCTCTTAACTTGATTATATACAATATGAAATTCATGTAAAAAAATCCTTTATTTTGACTCTGTTTTTTATGAAGCAAACTTTCATAACATTTGGCTTCCTCTCAGGTTTGCTCAAGGAGAGACAATGTGTTCAACAGATGACATTTCTGTACAGTCTCTTTCACCAAATGACGTTTTGTAAATACTTATTGAGGACCTAACATGTGCCCAATATTGTACTAACAACAGAGAACTCAAAACAGTTATGACCCTGTCCTCACAGAACTTGTAGTCAGATGGTAGAGAGAGATACCAAATATTAAACACAGAAATATTGAATATTTTAAGTATGTAATCATACATGTGAAAATAGAACACATGTTGCAAAAACATCATGAGACAGGATACTGCTTATGTGAATACTTTAGTCTCAGGGGTCAGGAATGACTGCTCTGAGGAAATGATCTCTTAGCTGATATTCTAAGTTTAAAAAACTTTAACTGATAAAATCAACATATGTTTGATGGAGCAACGTTTAAGGCACTGTTGGAACAGCCCTTGCCATTTAGAGATGGGAACGTGGACTGGACTGAATTCATCAATAAAATGCCCCTTTGTGGGATGCATCTGAGTGGGGCACCCCCTCTTCTCAGGACAAACTCTTCAGTCCTGTAGCACTCTGCATTCAAGCTCTGACAACGCAAGAGTGGGTGGTTTCACAAAGGGGGGTTTCCCTTTGACCCTTTCCCTGCTTTCTGTCCAAAAAATATGAATATAACAACTCCAGCCTCCGTGCAGTTCCTTTTGAGGAGACTTAACATTGCTGAAGAGGTTGAACAGCTCCCTTCTAGAAGAGCCACCCTCTTCCCAGAAGAAGTTGTCTTTATGGAACTCCTACACCTTTAAGGCTCACCAGAATGGTCACCTCACTTATAACTGATATTCAGAATCTGATATCACTTTCTTCTGACTTTT
Organism: Homo sapiens; assembly: GCF_000001405.40. Taxonomy (NCBI): domain Eukaryota; kingdom Metazoa; phylum Chordata; class Mammalia; order Primates; family Hominidae; genus Homo; species Homo sapiens. The sequence continues at coordinate 49,941,416 of NC_000008.11, forward strand.
CCTCTGAAATTCATTAAACAAATGTTTATATATTATATATTATATTAATATATATTTACATTAATTTATATACATTATATATTTATATTTATATATTATATATTTACATTAACTTTTATATATATATATATATGCATATTTGAAATGGCTCTGAAGCTGGTCATGGAGGCCTTTGCACCTGCTTCAGGTTCATGGGCAGCCTGGCCTGCGGCCTGAGTGAGCCCCTCTGGGCTCTGGCTGCCTGCCTGCCTTGAAGTCTGGCTGATGTTCCAGCTGGAAGCCTGTGTCACATTCCACTAGCAGATGTCCTGAACTCTGGGATAAGTCTCTAATTGAAGGGTAGGAAGCTTTCTGGATAGAGGTTGGATTTGTCATTCTAATATATGTTAATCTGTCTAGAAGGATATAAATGACCTTTTCTCTCTCGCTTTTACCATTTTGTGTTTATTTACTTGTTTTTAGATTAATAGATTTTATTAGTATGCAAGACCTACTGTGAACATTGCACTGGAGTAAAAATTTCGAGAAGTGTTCAGACATATGTTGGTCATATGTTTGACATGAAAAGGTATACAATCTAGTGGCATATATGAGAATGTACACAAATAATTAGAGATAAATATAGCTCAAAAAGACAAAAGGGAGGAAGGGTACGCTAAATATAGACTAGGACAGACCTGCCTTTTCAATCTGAACATTAGTAGAGAGGAGTAAAGGTAATATTGTAAACCTTGCCCACAAAATCTGATAAGAAGTTTTCTGAATTGATGCCCTATTTGTCTTGACTGAGACCTACCCAGGACTGAAGACAAGGAAAAATTTACTAACAAGTAACACAACTTTCATTTGCATATCACTTTCCAGCTTACAAAGCTCTTTATAGACAACATATTTCTTTTTCAAAATAAATTTTATTTTTTGAGTAGTTTTTAATATACAGAAAATTTGCAAATGTGGCACACAGAGTTCTCAAACACCCCATATGAAGTTTCTTTTATTATTAACATCTTACACTAGTATGGTATATTTTCTAAAATTAATAAACCAATATCAATGCCATTTTTTTTACTACAGTTCCTACTTAATTTAAGTTTTCTTAGTTTTTATCTGCTGTTCTTTTTTCTGCTTCAAGATCCCACCCAGGACACCACAGGACATTTTGTCCTCATGTCTCCTCAGCCTCCTCTTAGTTATGATCATTTCCCAGACTTCTTTTATTTTCGGTGACCTTGAGAGTTTTGAGGCATAATTGTCAGATATTCTATGGGATGTCCCTATATTGGGGTTTCTTTGATGTTTCAAGTATGACTAGATTGAGTTTATGTGATTTGAGGTGGAAGACCACAGAGGTAAATTGCCATTTCATTGCATCCTGTCAACACAACGTATCACCGTTGATGTGGACTTCAGTCACTTGGCTGGGGTAATGTTTGTCCGGTTTCTCCTCTGTAAAGTTACTTTCCCTTGCACTCCACCCACCTCCATACTGTGCTCTTTGGAAAATAGTCACTATGAGGATTTAGGCTTCATCTCTTGAGGGTTTATTATCTACAAAAAATATTTGCAATTTCTCTTCATAAGAGATTTGCCTCCTCTCCACCATTTGATGTTCAAATCTAATCATTCATTGTATCAGTATGAACTCATGGATGTTTATTTTGTAATTTCAGTCATAATGCAATACTCCTTTATTTTGTTGCTCAATATGTTTCTTTAAAAAGTATTTAAATCCACCCTGTTCAAAAAGAAGTTGGGAGTGAAAGAACGTTTCAGAAAGGTGAGGTGATTTGCCAAAGGACACACACCCAGGGATTACATCCAAATTATGGTACTCAAAGGCTGTATTCCTTGCTTACAAAAAGGGATCCTTCGATCTAGTGGAGAAACTGGCCAATTAAAGAAAGAATTGCAAAGTGGGTGCTTGCAGTATAAAGATGAAATGTATGTTCTAGTAACTATTGGTAAATACTAAGCACTAAGTACAAGTGCTAATATTTTAGGATAATGTTAATGGCTTCACATCTCTGAAACTGCTATTGTTCTTCCTGAAACAGAACAAAGAGGAACAGAATACTTGTTCAGGCTAGGAGAATGGATTTAGGATACAAGGTATGAGTGTGGAAGGATCTTTTTGTCTGAAGGCTTGAGAAAACATCCTGTATTTCCAAATGACTTCTCTTTTGTCCAATTTGCAGAATTTTAATCCTTGCCCTTCTGGCCCTATAATCCATGCATTTAAAATTTCACTGTGAGCCCCACATTAATATAAAACTTATTTGGATGAAAATATTTCTGTACTTCTAGTACTTTCAGATTACATTGCATTTCCTCTTCTTTTAAAATGAGTCTTTCTTGGAAAAGCAAACTTTTATATCACAATGTATTGTATTTGCATTTTATTTCCATTTTAATTTTGGTTCAATAAATATATTTTAGTACCCACTTAAGTTTAAATGATTAGTTTTTGTTATCCCATTAATTTGAGTAATGCATTTATTTTTTTAAAAGCTTTTAAATATTAAAGCAGGAAAATTTAATCTCATTATAGTTCAAAAGCAAATAAAGTGGTTACAATATGAATGTAGAATTAAGGAATTTTATCTCACTATATTATCACTGAAGTATTTGTTGTATAATAATTTTAAAAAATATGTTTAAATGTCCCCTTCCAAATTATTTCAGCAGTTACTATATCCTTATGTTGTGTACCTCTTGATTCTGGTGTGATAGGATCCAAGTACCAAGTCTTTGAAAGGTCCCAATTCTAACACCCATTTCACAACTCTCACTGAGAAAAGGGCAGCTCCTAGGAGAGTTAAACAGTATATCAGGTTTGACTTTGACTTTATAGAGCTCTGTAGGCTGTAGGGTGTGAGTCTAGAATTCTATTTCAGGGATTAATGGAATTTGCTACATCCTTCATTCTACAGATCAGTAGATGCTGTGCTAAGAAGAAATATTTGGAAAAAAAGATATTTGCATAATTTCATAACATACATTCTTTCTTTCTTTCTTTCTTTTTTAAGATGGAAATCATCATTCTCAGTAAACTATCGCAAGGACAAAAAAACCAAACACTGCATGTTCTCACTCATAGGTGGGAATTGAACAATGAGAACACATGGACACAGGAAGGGGAACATCACCCTCTGGGGACTGTTGTGGGGTGGGGGGAGGGGGGAGGGATAGCATTAGGAGATATACCTAATGCTAAATGACGAGTTAATGGGTGCAGCACACTAGCATGGCACATGTATACATGTGTAACTAACCTGCACATTGTGCACATGTACCCTAAAACAAAGTATAATAATAAAAAAAATCCATGTAACGTCTACTTCACCTTTAGTTAATAAATGAATTCATCACCTGCAAGAAAAAAAAAAAAAAAAGATGGAGTTTCCCTCTGTTGCCCAGGCTGGAGTGCAGTGGCGCAATCTCGGCTCACTGAAACCTTCATCTCCCGGGCTCAAGCGATTCTCTTGCCTCAGCCTCCTGAGTAGCTGGGACTACATGCGCCCACCACAATGCCTGGCTAATTTTTTTGTATTTTTAGTAGAGACCAGGTTTCACCAGTTGGGCAGGCTATATATTCTTACTTCTTTAATCTGAGTACTAACTACTGATTTTTTAATGTATTTGGTATTGTTTTCCATTAAAATATTAAGCGCCATGTAATTTTCTCCTGTGGTGTGATGAGTATTCTGAATAGGTATCTAATAATCATAGATTTAGTACCCTACTTAAGATACCTGGTCATTTATTTCATCTTTAGTCTTTGGATTTACATTGTTCAAAACAGTGTTGGAAGTCTGGTAGGTTAACTTCAATACTTGAATACACAAACTCACAGACTGTTAGAATCTATGGCTACAGGATTGCCCTCCTTGCAATGTGGAACTTTTGGGAGCAGCATCCCAGCAGGCCTTGTATCCTCTGCTAAAGCTTACAGGATACAAATGCTTTATTTTTAAAGGTAGTGTGGTCCATCGTAGGGCAGCTCCAAATAATTAGAAAGCTGAGGTCTGCATTCATTTAACCTTTCGTCATGGGTCTTATGTTAAGCAGCAGTTGCCCCAGTAATGCTGCCTTATAAACAAAATGACTTACAATAAGCTTGAAACAAGCCTTTGTTTTCACATTCACCAGCCAGCAGATGACCCGTGTTCAGCTGATCTATGCAGGACTCAGTCTTCCTGCAGATTCGCTGGGTTCATGCACTTTGCCTGCCAGGGCCCAGGCTAAAGGGGCAGCAGTTGTGAGTGTCCTTTTCCCTGTGTGGATGACTAGAGCATGACAGGCAAGCCTCAGCACACAGGCACTGAAGGCCTCTGCCTGTGTCAGTTAACTCAAGGTCTACCTGTCAAAGCACATGGCCAATCACATGGCCAAGCAGGAAAGGAGCAGGCCCGGACCCTTTGTGCACAGTGGGACCAAGAACAAGGGGATATTTGCTGGACAATAATTCACAATATCCTTCTCCTTAAACGTCATCGCTGTATGAAAGCAGGTCATTATAAGCATCTTCTGTTTGCAAATAAAGTAACTGACAATCAGAAAGATTAAATACCTTGCTCTCTAGGTTTTACTAACTAGGAAAACCAGGAAGCAAACTTGGATCTAAGTGACTCAAAAGCCCCTATTTTTTGCCAATGACCTCTCTAGTCCAGCATCTCTATCTATCATCTATGTATCTATATCATCTATCTATTATGTATTTATAAATGTAGGAAGTACTTTCCTAAAGGTTTATCTTTTCCAGCTGTACCGTTTTTGAGTTACTGTCAGCATTCTTTTTCTGTTGTTGTTCATGTAAATCTGACTCCTGGCTACTTTTGTCAAAATTATTTCATACTCTTAAGCATATAAAAGTCCGTTACTATAACTGGATAAAATATTGTAAATAACTTTGTAGACATAATAGTTCAATATACATTCTCTCTAATTTAGGCTACAATGAGACCGTGAATAAAATCTTGAAAACTCTGGGAGATACGTGTATGGTGGTGGGATATATACACATACCAAGGATTTCAATCCTCCCTAAATTTTACCTGGGCTTTTGAACATTTTAAATATTTGAAAGGCACTGGTTTTAACATGGCTTGCAGTAGCTTTTATATTATAGAATCAAAAAGGAAGTGATTTCAGAATATTCTTTTCTTTACTCCAGAAATAAAAAGCTGATTTTTTTTTCTGTTCTTTGGAAAAGCAGGGAAGTGTATTAATATTGAATTAAGTCTCACAATATTTTTTTGTAGTCAAAGTGGGCCGTCTGATGTAATCTGAATCTGGTTAATTTTATGAAAATCAACCATTACACGATATTCTTGTTCCTTTTACCTAGACAAAATCTAAATCATGAAAAGATGAATGTTGTATCTCCATGAAATAATTAATAGGACATGTAACTTCTAGTTGGATTCAAATTCCACTTCAATTACATTGCATGTTCTTTCTTCTTAAAATTAATGTCCCCAAATATTCATATTTTCAATGATTATATTAGCATATTCAACATATACGTTTAACACATTCACAACAAATTTAGCAATTCGTAATAGCTACGAGAGGTATAAACAAGAGTAAAAAGAGCAATTTTGGCCAAGTGTGGTGGCTCATGCCTGTAATCCCAGCACTTTGGGAGGCTGAGGTGGGCAGATCACTTGAGGCCAAGAGTTTGAGACCAGCCTGGCCCACATGGTGAAACCCTGTCTCTACTAAAAATACAAAAAATTAGACAGGCATGGCGGCACATGCTTGTAATCCCAGCTACTTGGGAGGCTAAGGCAGGAGAATTCTCAAACCTGGGAGGCAGAGGTTGCAGTGAGTCAAGATCCCACCATTGCACTCCAGTCTGGATGATAAGAGCAAAACTCCGTCTCAAAAAAAAAGAGTAATTTCTGTCCTCAATCCGTTTACAACTTTTTCCCAGTGATAAGATAAACATGACCAATGTTTAACCATTTTATGTTTCAAGGCCATAAAGAGCTGTCCTGGTGAATACATTCTTTTTGTTGTCACCACTATCTTTATGAGGGTCCAAAGCAACCAGAGGGCTTTTACCCCATTTCCACTGATACACACGTACACAGTATAAATGGCATCTTCCAGGAAGGATACTTCTTCTTAAACTTAAATGTATTCTAATATCACAAAGATGTTGTCTATGTAGATGAACATATTTGTGTTTCCCAACAAGGAGTGACAATTGGTAACAAGTTGTACATTGCTAGAAGACTTTTTAATCTCCTTGAGAGTTGCCTGAGGAGTGACTTTGTGTAATTGTAATGACCAGTTTCTAACTTTTCTGGAGATCAAATCACAGGAGCTTAACATTTTATAGGAAAATGCTCAAAGATACTTAAACATCATCCAAAAAATATGTTTTGACTCTATTAAGGCTCTGTGTTGATATTAAAAGTTGATATCAGGCCTGGCGCGGTGGCTCATGCCTATAATCTCATCACTTTGGGAGGCCGAGGTTGGCAGATCACATGAGGTAAGGAGTTCGAGAACAGCCTGGCCAACATGGTGAAACCCCCTCTCTACTAAAAATACAAAAATTAGCTGGTTATGGTGTCAGGAGCCTATAATCCCAGTTACTCAGGAAACTGAGGCAGGAGACTTGCTTGAGCCTGGGAAGCAGAGGTTGCAGTGAGCTGAGATCTTGCCACTGCACTCAAGCCTGGGTGACAGAGCATGACTCTGTCTCAAACAAACAAATGAAAAAAATAAGAAAAAACACAGAACCTCTTAATTATTCTCTCCCTTTTAATCTCATAAAACCTCTGTAAATTAAACTCCACAGAGACTGATATTTTAATTATTTTAAAAATCTAACATTAACTCAATTCATGTTCTAAGCTGGGCCTCCAAAAACTGTTTTATGTATATCATCTTATTATTCATTAATTATCATGGGTTATTTTACTGTGGTGAGGAAGTTGAACCTTAAAATTGTTTCGATTTTCTCTACCAGACATGAAGATTGTAGATCTATTGTTGTGAGGAACACAATGTCTTCCCCAAATCTGCTGATTTTTCTCTCATGACCCTTGTTTGGTGCATTTTTTACTATGTAATTTAAGATATTTCTTCAATTTGAATGTTGTAGTCACTGAACAATTACTATCCTCTTCTTAAATCATCTACTGAATAGTTTAGTTTGAAAATTATGTTCCTGGACTTTTGAATGTTGTACTCGAATCTTCTTAAGTACTCTTGTTATTTTCTTTGGTGCAAAATATCCTCTGTCTCCTCTAGAGGCTGTATTTTGGTACAGTGTTCTTGGCTCATTCATGATTGATGCCTAAAGCTCAGTTTCGGCAAAATTAGTGAGAAGGATGCAGTGTCTCTGCTCCTCGGGCTGGAAGGCTGTCAGTCTTTTGCTGAGGCACTGGAAAGAAGCGGTTCTCCCCTGAGCTGCCTTACCTACAAATTCCTAAGAGCCCCCGGGCTCACGGCATGGAGAGGCCCAGTCCACCTTTTGGTCTTTCCTGCTACTTCTTCCCTGATCTTTGCCACCCTTCTCTTTAAGTGCTGCAGAGCTTCTGAGATCACGCCTTCCACAGGAGAGGTGCACCGATCCTCACCCACTGGATTTCAATTCTGGACCCAAAGCTCCCTCAGGTTAAGTAGGAAAGTTCTTTCCTTGTTCTCACACTACACACCTTTAGTGTTTGAAGTCATATTCGTTCTGTCCAGGCCTGATGGTTCTAAAAGTTGCTCTTCTTAGGAAAGGCACTGGTCATTGGTTTGTGGTTGGTGAAGAGACCAGTGGGGATGTTGTCTAACAAATACTTACCAATGAATCATTTGAAATGGCACCACACATTTACATGAACACAAGAATCGATGTCATCATGTGAAAAATGGTGCTAGCAAACTATTCTATTTTATTTTAAAAAAATAATTTACAGCTTAATTGAAAATCAAGATGAATACTGAATCCTTAGGTGTTGGACTACATGTATCTCAGTCCTTATGTTTTATCTATAATTCACTGATCTTCTTGAGACCACTCTCTTTTTTTTCTTATAGACATGAAGCTCACTTCCTGGTATTATAGTTGCTATTTTGAATTGCATAAATCCATGTGAAATTATTTGGAGTGAACTTTATTAATTCCTGGCCTTCATGTAGCTCATTGTAAGAAACAGCATTACTTCATAGATGGACTCAGTAATGTCTACGATTTTTATATTTTTCCGTTAAATATGGAATATTTAGATCTTTCTTGTGATAAAAGAGACATCTAAATTCCATGTGCTCATAGGTAGGTTGTTTGCCTAAGATTGCCATACTTCCAGAAGCACAAGGGAATACCTGTTAACCCACGTTTGGCTTCATTGAGCTATCCTTCTCTAGTTATGTTTTTGTGGTCAATTGTTAGTGGTTGAAATTCTTAAGTATATTTCAGTTACTATTAAAGTATTCCTTGGCCAGGCGCAGTGGCCCAGGCCTACGATCCCAGCACTTTGGGAGGATTGCTTGAGCCTGGGAGTTCGAGACCAGCCTGGGCAACATGGTGAAACCTCATCTCTAATAAAGATACAAAAATTAGCCAGGTGTAGTGGTGCACACCTATAATCCCAGCTACTTGGGATGCTGAAGCAGGAGAATTGTTTGAACCTGTGAGGCAGAGGTTTCAGTGAGCTGAGATCATGCCACCACACTCCAGTCTGAGATACAGAGTGAGATGCTGCCTCAAAAATCAATCAATAAAAAAAAATAATTATTTAAAAACGCATTCCTTAAAGGAAAGTTCAAAGGACAACTTATGTCATTATATCTTTACAGACTCTTCTCTGAGTAAATTTTAAATGTTGCTTGCTTAATTTCTATTAAAATGAATGTTAAACATGTTATCATCTCAAAGTCCCATGGCACATGATAAATGCAATGAAATTGTATTAATATAATTTATTTCCCAGTTAATTACAATTGGAATGATTTTGAAAAACTGCTCAACATTTTATATGCTATTCCTCTAGTAGTTCTTATTTGTACTAATATTTATGCTATTTTTAAAATTTTTAAATGGAATTGGAAATCCAGGGGAGATTTTTTTGCCAATTAAGTAAAATACACCTTATTAATATGCCAGTATTTTGTCATACTAATGTAACTAATTTTCATACCATTATACTATACTAATTACTGTGCTAATTCATCTTTTTATTAGGCTATGGCAAATACTTAAAGTTGAAGGCAGAGATATTTCATCTGTGAAAAGGGAAATAATCAGTGGACTAAGAAATAAAAGTAATATGTTGTGTATTTTGCTTAAGAAAAAGGGTATGTTTGATCATGTATAAAACGTCTAGGCAGCTGGCTTTGATTTGGCATGCAAAAAGGCTGTGGACTCCTACCTTCACATCTGCTAAATGTGGCTATACCAAATGCTCCCCAGCTCTCCTCTACTTCTCACAGCTCTGAGACATGTGAAGTTCTCCTGAAATTCCAGAAAATATTGTCACTATTGTGATGCTGTGCAATTCTTTACTTGCAAAGAGCTCACTTTATTTTTTAAAAATAATTTTTAAATGTTATAAATCTGCTGTCCGAACAATACCTAAAACGTCTTTTGTTCATTGGTTATTCATAAAACCCTTACAATCTTAGGGTTGGCAGAGAATTTTGAATTAATCTATTCTAACACTTGCATTTGGGGGGATAGTAAAATTGAGACTAAGAAAGATTATATCTTTACTCTGACTTTATGCAGATAGTGGTCAAAGTAAAGCTAGAAATTAGGTTTGCTGACATCTAATTCATCATACTCTTATGCTACGGAAAATACTTAAAGGTGAAGACAGCAATATTTTATCTGTGAAAAGGGAAATAATCAGTGGACTGAAAAATAAAAGTAAAAATAATCAGTGTTATTAAGACAATGCCTAGTGGCATTTGGTTACAATATCTAAATAAATCCTCACAAATCTTGAGAGACAAATGAAATTAGTCCATTTTACTGCTGAAACCACTGAGACACAGAGAATGTAGACACTGAGACGCTGGCCCCATCAGATAACCAGGAAATGGCAGTGCTGTTAATGGGAAACCTGATTCCTTAGAAGTATCGCAAGAACAAAAAACCAAACACCGCATATTCTCACTCATAGGTGGGAATTGAACAATGAGATCACATGGACACATGAAGGGGAATATCACACTCTGGGGACTGTGGTGGGGTGGGGGGAGCGGGGAGGGATAGCATTGGGAGATATACCTAAGGCTAGATGACGAGTTAGTGGGTGCAGCGCACCAGCATGGCACATGTATACATATGTAACTAACCTGCACAATGTGCACATGTACCCTAAAACTTAAAGTATAATAATAAAAAAAAAGCTTAACAACCTTAAAAGAATTAAAAATTATATGATGTATAGTCTCTGACCATCAAGGACTTAAACTAGAAATCGACAACAGAAGGAAATCTGGAAAATTCACAAAAAAAAAAAAAAAAAAAAAAAAAAAAAAAGAAGTATCCATTGAACTCCTTGAGGCAATTTCTGAGTGAAGGGAGTAGTAAGGGTAGGTACTGGGAAATATATCACCCAGAACTACTCTTTTGTTTGTTGTTATGAGCATAGTTGGAACTGGATTGATCTCAAGAAGATTTTGGAGCCTGGGGAAAGCTTTCTGCAAGAAATGTTATTTTAGATCTAAATGTTTTTATCATCAACAGACTGTTCTTATAGTGCTTTTATTGTTTACTGCTTTTACTGTTTGTCTTCATTCACATAACTTCCATGTGCTATATACTGTATCATGCCATGAAAAATAAAACAATAAAGCAAGCCCCTGTCCTCAGAGAGCATCTGAGGAAAGACAGTAGACAGATTATGAGAAGTGTTGTAAAGACTTTTTTGTGCTGTTGTGTTAAACAACGCAAAATCCTGATGAGAATATGGGGAGAGAAGACCTCCCTCTAAGGGTGAGAACCGAAGAGAGGCATAAACCATGGTGAGAGGCATAAAACCATGGTGAGAGGCATTCCACAGAAGAGAAACAACTCACAAACGAGCATGGAAATGGGAAAGATCTTGGCCTGTCTGACAAATTAGAGGCTGCTGTGGCTGGAGCTCAGGAATGAAGAAGATGCTAGCATAGAATAGGTTAGAGAAATAGGCAGTAGGCTGAGGGTTTAAGGAGGTACGTGGTAATCCACCCATTATTGCTACTGTTATTGTTGTTCTTATCAACAGCCACCAAAAAGTATCTGACTTGGGATGAGGCAGTGATAGGATTGTGCAGAGGCTGATGCCACACCAGTGGACTAGGCCACACATGACAGTAATGTAGATGTACAGATAGATGCTGGCAGATTTGGAATGTGTTACCAGAGTTAAATATATAGGACTTTTTAATAGCTTTGACTTAATAGGTAATCATAAGAAGAAACCAAGGTGGACCTTCTAGATGTTTGACTTGGCTAACTAGTTGAGTAGGATACAAATTACTGAAATGGAAATAACTTGAGATAGAACAAGTATTGACTGGTGGCATAGGCAGAAATCAATTGTTCAGTATCATGTACGTTCATGTAGATAAATTTGTTGCCTTCCATGCAGAGATGCAAATCAATAGGTAGATACATGAGTATAGGGCTCTGAGGAGTCTGAAATTGACATATAAATTTAGAAATTATTAGCTTATAGGTGAGATTTATATTTATAAGAATTAATGAGATCATCAAGAGTGACAAGAAGATTAAAGTCCAGGAATGACTTTGAAGAACTCCAACATTTAGAAGAACAAAGTAAGGAGAAACCAGCAGAATAGACTGTGACAGACAGGGCTCTAACAGGAAACAATGAAGTCAAAGCCCCTCCTCCTCTTGTCCATAGATAGAGTAGACCAACTCACAGAACTTCAGTCTTCTCTCCAGGGATCCAGCCAGTCTGAGAGGACCCTTGGGGGGAAACAGAGGATAAATTTCCTGTCCTCATTGTCCTCTGTCCTTCCTTGGTTCTCTGTTGATGCTGCCCATTGGCCATATTTCCCTGGGAACTAGAGATTACAAGTGCCCTTACCATACAGGTCAGGGTCCCAGGTGCTAAAGAGGGTAGACAAGCTGGGGAGTCATCTGAAGATGCCCACAGAAGGTGCCTGGCACAGAGAGTAAAATATTTTAATTTAAGATTATGAAGATTATATGCTCTTTTCTTAATTTTGATGATATGTAAATGCAAAGGAAATGTAGAAGATATCTATTTGTTATCTCATCAGGGTATGTTCAGAATTAAGTTACCTGAGACACTGGAAATTTGCTGGAAAAGTTCATAACCCTATTCAGGCATTGGTATTGTTATTGCTGATGTCGGGTCGCCCATTGAGTAAAGGAAGACACATCCTGTCAGAAAAATAAAACCAGTTTTGTGCAGATTCCGTTTGCTTATTGGAAAATCCTGTCTGTGAAAAAGGTACTATTTCAGCTCTGCAGAGGCAACTTGAAATTATTTTATGTAGTAATTGCATAACTACAACTTGCTGCTTTTTCCTTCATGCACTTCTATTATATTCATAGCAAAAATGTTCTAGATTGAAAACCAAAAGATGGAAATTCCTTTATTTCTTTAGTGAAAAAAGTTAAGGATTGAGATCATTTAATAATATTTTCTGTTACAATCAAATTGTAGAAGACAAGATTAGCACCGTTATGAGAATGATTTGTATAAAAAGATTTGTAGTCACTTAGCATCTATTTTAATTCCATCTTTATCTTTCTGATAATTGTAAACTAACTGGGTAATTTTTAAAGGAAATACTACCAGAGAGAGAATCACATATGGTTAGAAAGTAAAACTTAAATGAATGTTATTGTCTTAAAGTGTAGTAATTAAATTAGTAGGCCACATTCAGAGAGATGTCAAGTAGCTAAATGGTTCAAGCACTTGATTAGTAACTATGTATCAAACATAAAAGTCACCAACAGCTCTCCTTTATAAAAATTATGTTAGGCTGTAAGATCTAATAAGTACTGCAAGTGAAAGTGAATTTGTAAATGCTGCTATTTAGAGGAGAAAGGTGATTTGTTTATAAGTCTTATTCTGTGGCAATTTTTCACCAAGAAATACGTACTCAAAAGCAATACTTGAAAGAACCAGAAACTGTATTTTCTCTGCAGTTTCTTTCAGTCTTTAATTTTTTATTCTAATACAATTTGTATTTCTAAATTGTCATGCTAAATTGAAATTTTACATGACAGAAGCCCTTAGTTAAATCTTCCCCTCTCATAAAATACTGAGCCAGAGACTGATGACAAAGCTTATTTTCATTATTATAAGTCCAGAGTTTTTCTTTTCCAATGTTAATGTTTCCTATTTCTTTTTTAAAGCATATCGACTTACTTATTGTTCTGCAATATTACTGTAAGTAATATGTCTTATTGTATTACTCCAAAGAAGAAACTTTGTATTCTAGAAATATTGTAGAAAACTACAACAATTTTTAATTATTTGAGATCAATATATGCTAAATGTTTATTTTCCAGTATTCCAGTAAGCAGAATGTTTAACTGGCATCTATTTAATTGGTCTGTTATCAATGACTCAAAAAATGTGATCAAATCTGAAGTGTTTCCATGAACATCCAAAGAAAGATTATGCTTGGCACAATTTTAATATTAGGTATCTTTAGTGTTATGTTTATAAAAGGTTCATAATTTATACATGTTATAAGTGAGAACACTCTTAGTCAGAATATTTGGCACACTTCATTTCCTTTCAAGACCAAAGACCAAAGACTTTGTGTAATCTATTTCAATATACATTCAGTTATCTCCTAAATCTGTTGTGTGTACTGACTGGACAATTCACTCTTTGTTTTTTGCTAGCTAAAATAATTTTAAACCTAAAATGATCTCATTAGATTGCATTCATGCGGTAAAGTGATGTTGTCTTCCAATAGAGTTCCAGTCCCTGCTGGCTCGATGGCAGGCTGTCTTCATAAGGAGCTCAGCACGCACATTGCCCTGGCACCTCAGGTGAGGCAGAGCCTTGCACTATGGCAGGGTCCAGTGAATGCTTCAAGCCTCTTTAGCCCATTCACATGCACAGGCAAGAGGTAAAGCTCTTACAGTTACAAATCCACTGGGAGTACCTTTTCATCACTTACTTGTCTTTAATGGGAAATGAATTAACATGATTGGCTCTTACCAGGAACTTAGTAGTATTCTTTTGATTTTAATTGACTTGCTGCTTACAAATGTTGTTAACTCACCAGAAAGGGAGGAGTTCCCAATATTCGCATTGGCAGTACTCTCCTCAGTAAAAGACAAAGGCTAAATCTTTGTCCAACATTACTAGAGATGCTGCCAAACCACTGTGGTGGCCCACGCTGCAAAACTGCATTGTCACACATGAAAAGGGCTCTGTATTCCCTCGCTGTGTCATCATGGAGATTAATATCATTTATAAGCTTTTCTCAGGCTTGTCGATTTATGGGCAGTAAGCTCTGAGAAGCCCTTGACATTGACTTCTGAGCCCTTGGCAAAATAATTCTAGGACCCAAGTATGTCATCTCATTTTCTATGCCATGTTTCTTCTGCTTTCTTTTCATTGCCATATATTGTTTTCTCTGCCAGAATACGTTTCTCTCCAGCTAGACAGATTTGCTGATCAAAGAAGTCTCCTGAAGTGTTACATACATCAATTGCTATTTATTTAACAGGTTTCACCGATACTAAGATCATAGGGATTTAAAATTCTGATCTGGGTTACTTTCATTTTGCAGAAAGATGTTTAACTTATTTTTGCAAATATAGTAATTTTAGGTTCTGCAAAGACATAATTTAAGCATTTGAGCAAAACACATTGTACAACTTGTTTGAGAACCTTACAAAGCCAATATAGTACAACTGAGGCAAAACCTAAAACAAACAACCCAAACAGTGTCCTTTGACTGAAGTATCCAAATTGACAAAATCTAATCTTTTCAGATAACTGGCAATCTTCAACTTTATTTTGCTATTTTATACAGTGGTTCTAGCATATCTCCTCAGTGTGTGTTAAAACTAATGTGGGTGGTAAGTAAGTTTGGTTCAGCTGTGAAATTGGATGGGTCATGTACAGCCAGGCAGTTCATAGCGTAGGGTAGCTCTGACCAGACACAGGTTTGTCTCCAGATCCACATTTAAAAATTGTACTTTTGTTGATTAGTGTTTCCCAATTTCATTTATTTTACTGAGGGTTGCAAAATAGCAGTTTTCTACCTGGATTATATTCTCTGCATGTATTTGTTTTCATTTCTCTTTTTTTTTAATTTTATTTTGCTAAACAGCTATATGAAAGGATCAGACAGACATATCCTGGACCCACTGATCATCCTTCATATAAATAAAAGTAGGAAAACAAAGAAAAAAAATGGGACTTTAAGAACCATGGTAAATAATATATTAACTTAGATAAGCATGGGTAATTCAGTCTCTCTCTTTTTTAAAGATTTTCTTTCCCCTCCTCCAGCTTTATTTCAGCCAGATATAGAAAGACAAATACTGCATGTTATTGTTTATATGTGGAATGTAAGAACTCATAGAAACAGAGAGCAGAAAGGTGTTTTGCCAGGGGATAGGAGGGTGAGGGAAATGGAGGGACTTTGGTTAAAGGGTATGAAATTTTAGTTACAAGATGAGTAAGTTAATTCAGTCTTTTAAGACAGCATGCTAAAAAGCTCTAACAAAAGTAGCATAGTCAGTAACCTAACCCAGTTCTAGAAGCACATCATTAAGATGGTGCTTCTGCACCCCTAACTGGTGTTCATGTGGGGATCCTGAAGAACTGTATGGGTCTTGTCTCATTCTCACAGTTTCCAGCAGACAGCCATGTTTTGTAAAAAAGATTGGGAAGAGCAACATCAGCAAAATGCCATTCCCCTGAGCTAATTTTAGCTATGACAGTCCTACATAGAGTATATTTCTTCTCATTCCAATGAAATGAATTCATTTTCTAAATGTATTATTAACTACAGTTGTTGTTTATCTTTATGTTCCTTTACTTCATTATTGCTGTACTTTGTGTGAAGTAGTTTAAGCACTTGAAGTTGGTCTAGCCTCATGTAGGGGGGTAAGTGTGTCATGATTAGTGTGTCTCCACACACCAGATGAGTGACAAGCAGGCAGAATGTTTGGGAAGGATAGTCCAGCAGGAAAGAAACATGTTCCAGAATGCAGAGAACCCTCGATTACTTGATTTTACAGTTATGCAGATAAATGTAAAAACTGGAATGTCATTCAGTCTGAGCCAGGTTACTTACTCAGATGCTTACCTTCCCCTTTGCCCTTTGGTTGGGTTTTGGAGAGTTGACCGAAAGGGGTGATGGCTTTAAAACTACACAGATGAAGCAGACTGCACAACATGGGGAGACCCTATCTCCACACAAATTTTTTTTTTAAAAGCCAGGCATGGTGGTGTGTGCCTGTAGTCCCAGCTACTCAGGAGGCTGAGACTAGAGGATGGTTTGAACCGGGAGTTGAAGTCCAGCCTGGGCAACAGAGTGAGATTGCATCTTAAAAAATAAACAAATAAATAAACATTATTCAAATGACATAGGACTTGTGGATCATGAGATTAGAGTCTAGCTCTTAAAAAAAAAATTCTGCTGTCCAAGTTTAATGCTTGAACTTCCACAGTTAAAGATTTAACTCTTCAGTGTTGGTAAGAGGTTGGGGATTCAAATAAATGTGGAGACCACGAAATGAAGGTAGGTGAGAGAGAAGCCATTTACTAGGGCTCCAAGGAAGATGCAGAGGCCCACAAAAGGACAAAGGCCCAGCCTATGGGGATCACAGATCAGCACTTTAGGTTCACTGTAGGGCTGAACACAAGGCACACATCCAGCAGGGAGGCACATACCTGCGGACAGAATGGTGGAAAAATGATGTCCATTTTGACAAAATAGGGAGTGAAAGGACATCCATTATGGAGAGATGAACAGCTAACAGGGGGCAGTGTCCTACAATTCCAGGAGTGAGTGGCTTGTCAACATTTTCTTTGTTTTCTTTCTTTTTTTTTTTTTGGAGACAGTCTCGCTCTGTAGCCCAGGCCGGAACCCAGTGGTGTGATCTCGGCTCACTGCAACCTCCACCTCCAGGGTTCAAGCAGTTCTCTGCCTCAGCCTCCCAAGTAGCTGGGACTACAGGCGCCTGCCACCACGCCTGGCTAATTTTGGTAATTTTAGTAGAGACAAGGTTTCACCATGTTGGCCAGGCTGGTCTTGAACTGCTGACCTCGTGATCCACCCGCCTTGGCCTCCCAAAGTGCTGGGATTACAGGCGTGAGCCACTACGCCCAGCCAACATTTTCCTTCTAATCCAAGAATTTACTACTATGAAATGTAGTTAGGATCACTCTTAGGCAAAAACAGTATAGCACATAATTACAGATAAATCATTACTGGTCATAGAGTAGAAAGATAATTCTTATTATCAGAGAAATTTCTCCATTTGGGTCCCCAAAGCAAAGATTATGGCCTTCATAACAGTGTAAATGTAGCTTCAAACAAAGCCTAAAGTATCTTGTGTTTGAAAGTGTGCTTTTAAGCATAAAATTACATGCTTTTTGATCTGTTAGTTAATGTGCAAAATATGATTCTCCTTGCAATATACACGTTAAATTCATCTAATTAGCTCTTTTGAATTTTTTTGTTTGCTTCATTATTTCTCAACTACTCAAAATAAGTAGCTGATATGAAATTCTCGATATTTTCATTAGTAATTGTTAAATCATATTGCAAGCATTTTCTGATTTATGGAAATTAGGCTCAGAGGAAAATGTACGGGTGCCAAGGGCTTTCTCCTCCCTCCTTGCTGTCCCTGGGAAAGAGCATGCTGGTGAAAAGCAAGAAGGCAGGACAAAAGGGGGAGACAAGTCTTTTCTGTTATTCTTGATTAAATGTCATTGATAAATAGGACTCCACTGACTTGGAGCCCTCAGTTTATGGGATTCCAAATGCTCTGGCATCACACTCATTGGCCCTTGACTTGTTTTCCACAGAGGTGTTGTTAGCACGCTAGCAGTCACTCCCCACTGCCCCATCTCAGCTCTACACAGACACTAATCTGCTTTCTGTCTGTATAGATTTGCCTATTTTGGACATTTCATATAAATGGAATCATACAATATATGTGTTTTTTGCAACTGACATTTTTACTTGGGACAATGTTTTCAAGGTCCATCCATGTTGTGTAGCACGTGTCAATACTTCATTTAATTTTATGGCTAAATAACATTCCATTATATGGAAATGCCACATTTTGTTCATCCGTTTAGCAGTTGATGAATATTTCACCTGTTTCTACTTTTGGGCTATTATGAATAATGCTTTTGTGAACAGCTGTATCCAAGTTTTTGTGTAGAGAAGTATGCTATAATTTACAGTTAGTTTTTAGAATACAAATGGTAACCTTTCCCTATCTGCATGGCACACTTGCTTATCCATGAATGTTACTGAAGTCCATTTGAATCCTTTAAGGTAAAATGGATGAGGATTTCTAGTTTAACCCTTATGCTTTTGAGATTTAAAAAACTGGATCCCATGAAATTAATAAATTACCCAAGGTGTTACAGCTAATTAGCGTCAACAGTATAACTCAAAATTTGCTTGAGATTCAGTTCAGCATTCTTTTACCGTGCATTGTAAACCCACACAGGGTGCAACTGAACTAAGCTGAGATCATATGAGCTGACCTGAGAAGCTTCCTTTTGTAACTGTTTTTCTTTGGAGAATAGATTTGGTTTCCAAACAGACCTATATCTAATTACCATATTTGATGCTTCATAAGAATGTGTGTGTATGCAGTGATTTGTTTTCTTGACTCTCAATTTGTATCGATTTAATGTAACAACAAATATCTATTGAGCATAAATAATGCTGTTAACATTGAATATTTTGGAATGCAAAGGCAATTACAACTGTATTAATAAATCAAGAGTCAAGATAATACAACAGTTAATAATAAAGTAGGTAATGAAGGGTTAAATTGTATGTTTTTGGGCCACTTACAGCATAATATACAGAATTGATTGCTAAAAGATGGATTTTGATCCCACCTTTAGTAATAATTAGAAATCTGATTTTGAAAAAAGAAATCTATTTCTTTGAGTGAAAGTTACATTACCTTTGAAAGGACGATATGTTGATATCTAGGGTGCCTTATAGCCATAAGATGCTACAGTTCAAATGGCACCATGTGTTAGAGTAATACACACATATATGCAGAGACATATAATGGGCAGATGCTCACATATATCACATGTAAGTGAGTCAGAAAACAAGGTCATCATGAGGAAAGAGCTCTAAAAAGATCTGGGTCTTGTTCCAACTCTGTGGTGCCACTCAAAGCCCATGTGACTCTCTGAGTCTGTATTTACCTCAGATAGAGACAATAGATGCATCCTGCCCTCCTCCTCCTCTCTTTGGGATGCAATGAGATAATGGCCCCTCTATTCTTGGGTAGAGTATTGAATATCTTACGTGGATTAAGGAAATGTGGAGGACTCCCTAGGGCCCTACACAGGAAGAGCATTATCAGGAGCGGAAAGTTACCTGTATAGGAAAATGTGCTTTTATTGAAATACTATCTTGAAAACTTTCTATTTGATAGGACTGTCATCTTCCAGAATCCTAGATGCTGGCTTGGGCAAGAATAAAACATATGGACAGTTGTCAGTGGATCTACAGGTTTAGCTAAGCTTGGTTATGCAGGGTCACCCTGTTCTCTGTGGAGTCTACTTCATAAACATAGCTGGACTATTTTTATCCCCCCTCAGAGCTGTTTCCACTTTAAAATAAATTTCTATTCATTGTTGTTTGCCAGGCAAAAATCATATGCAGCAATGCTACTAACATTGATATTTTATTTAAACATGTTGATAAGAATGTGGCACCTAATAAGAAATCCATATCCCACCATCAGCCATAGGCCCAGAATCCACTGTGGATGAGAAACTTTTGATTATAGGAAAAAGAATAATTGGTGCTTTCTAACCTGTAGAAACTTGGATGCCTGTTGGAGCCACTTGCTATTCCTTAAACATAATCATTCTTGCATCCTGACCCACATTCTTCCTGAAACAAAATTTTCAATATTGTCTTTTTTGTTGCTGTTGAAGGTCTGTGTTTGCAATGATTACCTTGCTAAATAAAAACTTCTGAGTATTTCTACATCACTGCTAAGAATAATATTTTAGTGGAATTCCTTAGAATAAGACTTTCTACTATACATTATTGCACGAGAATATGCCTGATATACTTAAAAGAGAACAATGGTAGCTAACATTGATTGAAAGCATCTGCGGAGGCAGCTATTTGTTGAAATGCCCTCTCTACATCAGATCACATGGCTCACATTTACCTCGTAAATTTGGAACTCCTGTCACCCTTTTCTAATGGAGAAGGACACAGACTTGGGAGAATTCAATGACTTGTTGAAACCACACAATTAAGTACTATCAAGTCACCTCTTGAGTGTCCATCCAAGTATAGAAAAAATAGCGTCTTTTCTACTGGCTTTACAAAAGGGATTTGTAATTGACTTTCAGGGAGTTTGAGAATGGCAAGAAAAGCCATGTCAATGGCAGCCGGACAAACATTCTCCAGCTTCCCCTCTGCTCCCAGGGCCTCCCTGGGGCTCAGATTAGTAGGTTGCCCTTGAGCGGACATTGAGAAACAAATGCAAAGCCCTGTGGAAGGCAGCTAAGGTCAGAGGTGGAGAGGAAGAGGTGTAGGGTGGGGAGAGCACAGGTGACTGTCTGACCATAAGATGAGCTTCATAATCAGATGAGGCGGCTAGTTGGAATGTGAGGTCAGCAAGGATGAGAAGCAGATGAGACTAGCCCTGGGGCATGCAGGAAGCTGAGAGACTTGAGAGAGTGGTTCTTTTTTGGGGGGCGGGTGATATCTAGGGTGCCTTATAGCCATAAGATGCTGCAGTTCAAATGGCACAATGTGTTATTTTGAGTAACACACACATACATGCAGACACATGTAATGGGCAGATGCTCACATATATCACATATAAATGAGTCAGGAAACAAGGTCATCATGAGGAAAGAGCTCTAAAAAGAGCCGGGTCTTGTTCCAACTCTGTGCTGCCACTCAAGGCCCATGTGAGTCTCTGAGTCTGTATTTACCTCAGATAGAGACAGTAGATGCATCCTGCCCTTCTTCTCCTCTCGTTGGGATGCAATGAGATAATGGCCTTGCTCTGTCACCCAGGCTGGGGTGCAGTGATGTGACCTCAACTCACTGCAACCTCTTCCTCCCAGTTCAAGAGATGCTTCTGCCTCAGCCTCCTGAGTAGCTGGGATTACAGGTGCATGCCCCACGCCCAGCTAATTTTGTATTTTTAGTAGAAATGGAATTTCACCATGCTGGCCAGGCTGGTCTTGAACTCTTGACCTCAAGTTGTTCCACCTGCCTTGGCATCCCAAGTTCTGGGATTATAGGCATGAGCCACTGCGCCCAACAAAGAGTGGTTCTAACCACAGATTCCCGGGCTGTTTGTAGCAGGGAGGCAGGCAGTATCTGGCAGGAGCAGGGGTACAGCCAGGGATCCACGACTCCTGAGTAGGTGCTTCTCAAGCCAGAGGCGGGAAGCGCAATCCAAGAAGTGACCGTCTCCTTGCAGTTTCATGACAGCACCTCCTGTAGTTGTAGCAGATGAAAGCTAAACAGATTAGTTAAAGGAATACATGAGTGGATGCATGAATAAAGTATAAGGGAATGAATCCAACCCTAAGTTAGAAAACCCTCTTCATCCTTAATCATACCACCTCCATAGTTTTCCCTTCCTCAGGAAGCAAAGCGCCAAGACATCTACCCACAGCATGTGCTGTATGAACGGTTTGCTGCAAACACTCTGCCAGGATTCAAATAAACAGGAGATCAGAAACTAGTGTTGGAAAATGTCTTTTGGCACATTGCCCAACTGTGATCTTGGCACGGCTGATTTTGTTTTGGTTTATGTCTTGGGCTTTCAATGTTCATTTTCATACTGCTGTTTCACAATTTTATTTTCTTTTTTGAGTCATAGTTTGTAAGAACTTGGTTTATATTACTATTCCAATGCAATAGTGTTTTTCTTTTGGTATGTAGTATGCTCTCCAATAAATTAGAAGTCACTAGTCTTGCCTCTTTACCATGCAGAAAACTTTCCTGATCAAGCAAGCATTGCCCCTATATCTTGCTCCTCTCCATTCTGTCAGCTGGGTGGAATTCAGTCCAGTGCTAACAGGTTGAGGTTTCCTTTACTACAAGCTACTGGTCTTTGCACTGTACCTTCTGATGATTGTTTAATCTCAAATGCATGTAGCAATGCTATGAATAGCTCCCACTTTATTTCAGTGAGTTTTAAAACTTCATGAAAATAGAACTTCACAGAGACTTCATTTTCTTCTCTGTTTTCCATAGCCAATATGATAAAACGTGTTTGTAAATCTTTTCAATTTAGAAAGACTTTTTCTTCAGCTTCTCATCAATGTCTGATATTTAAGAACTTATACATAAAGCTCAAAATGAGAAAAATAGCTTGCATCAAATCCATTAAATTCCCAGAAGTTATTTTCAACTCCACCCAAGTTAAATTAAATAACATGTATGCCTCACAAAAGTCACAGCACCTTGTTTATAGTAGGCACTCAGTGTGATTGATGTGTCAACTTGTCTAGGCCACAGTACCTAGATATTTGGTTAAACATTATTCTAGATGTTCCTGTAAAGGTATTTTTTAGATGAGGTTAATATTTGAATCAGTAGACTTGGAGCAAAGTAGATTACTCTTCAAGTGGATGACCACATCTAATCAGTTGAAGACCTTGGAAGGATAAGACTGGCTCCCCACAAGGAGGAGGGAGTCTTGCCACATACTGCCTTCAGGCTTGAGCTGCAGTGTCATCTCTGCCCTGGGTCTGCAACTAGCAGCTGACCCTGCAGATTTTAGACTTGTCATTCTCCACAGTTGCATGATCACATGAGCCAATACCTTCAAATCAATCCCAATGTTTCTCTAGTTCTCTCTCTCTCTACATAGATAGCTAGGTAGATTGATAGACAGGTAGATGATAACTAGGCAGATAGGTAGAGATTATATACATAGGTGAATAATAGGTAAACAGGCACAGGCATATACTCTATCTGTTCTGTTTCTTTAGAGGACTCTGGCAAATACTTACTGACAGTTGGATTAGTCCTTCTTTCTTCCCATGTGGGAAACCTCTGGAACAGGTGCGTTCTACTCACTTTCACCTTGTTTAGGCATATTTGTTGAAACAAAGTTTCCCCTTTTCTCATTTCTACATTTTTATTCTATTTTCCATTTTTAGCCAACATTTTGATATTTATCCAGTTCCATGATAGTAGGTATTCATTAGTGATCTCTTCCAAAAATTGTCTTTGTTACCTCCAAGATAGATGGAATTATTCTCAGTATAATTTTGAAGTTTAGTGTATTTCATTTTTTCTATAATTGATAGCCATGTATGGCACATTAAGTATTATCAAACCACATTAGAAATAGAATTTAATATAAATTAGAGTTTATTTATACAGTAGTTATTAAGGCAAGTTAAAATTAATGGCATACCGAACAGGATAGAGCATGGGATCTCTGACCTTTATTTTCAGTTAAAATAGAAAACATTGAAATGATACCACTGTTTCATGAAATGTCTAGTATGACGCTCTGGCACTGACCACACTCGTCTATTAAATTGGCATGATTTAGCTATCACTGATATTTGCCATTAATTCTGCTTATACCTATGAGGGTGATAAAAGTCAACTGTGACAATCTACACATCAATTTAGCAGTAAGGATACAGTTCTCCTGTGGATTCTAACAAATCTAGTACAGAAGGAGGCACTCAGTAGGTGATGACGATGATGTTAATGGAATGTAATACTCCTTTTTATATGAGTTTCTTTATGAACTTCTGGATATGTATACAGTGACTGAGGCCTGGATATATTTGCTAATGCAACAACTCACTGTCTAATCAGTCTGTTCTCCTCTCAAGGACATTTCACTTTGATTCTCATGCTTACTCACCTTAACAAACAGAAAATGAATTCAGAAATGAATAATTGGGCTTATGAGTGGAAGCTCAAGAGAATCCTGCTCTGGACACCAGGACAATAGTCTCTAGGGAAATGTGAAATCTCCATAAGCAGACACTGGGTTGCTTTTAGCTGCTTAATGTGGTTGTTGTCATGCGCCTTGATTGCTCCAACCTCTCTAGCCCCATCAGAAATGTTCCATTTTTAGATAACCGAATGTTTTTCATGAAAATAACACAAATAGGGCCCACTCTGGCTTTTGCAATTTCAAAGATATTTAAAACCAAATGGCATATTACAAATTTTAGTTATCATCCTCCTCTTTTATCTATTTTTTCCCAAATGTCATTTCTACTAATTCAGTGTTTTTCTAACTTCCTCCTGTGATCTTTCATCTCCTTTCATTTTACCTTTTCTTTCAGTCTATATGGAAATTAAAGGGAGTCCATTTTTGAGTTCCTGCTGTTTCAGTGTTTTATGCTGGACTTTCTTATGCCTCCCCTTCATCTACCCAACTAAGCTCTGTGCATCTTCCTTGTTATGACTTTTTGCTGCAAGTATACTCAGCATGTAATGTTCATCTCTAGAATATATCTGGTTTCTATTTCTGATTCAATTTCTACTTGCTCAAGTCTCTCTTGGACTATTTTTCTTGTCTCTATTGGGAAAATCTGAGAAAAAAATAGAGTTTGGAGCCTGTCTAATTAGGTTTGAAGCTTTGGTAAAGTTGCTTCTTTCAAGCCTCAGTTTCTGTCTTTGTAAAAAGGTATATTTATAGTTATTAGTCCATAAAATCATTGTAAATTTGTTGATTTGTACGGGAAATACAGTCAGTACTTTAAGTGTTTAGTTACCATTTTTGTTTTTCCTGTTTAAAAAAAGTCTATAGCTTATTCCAGTCTTTTTTTAAATTAATTAATTAATTTTTTTTTTTTTGACAGAGTCTCGGTCTGTTCCTCAGGCTTGAGTGCAGTGGTGCAATCTCTGCTCACTGCAACCTCAGCCTCCCAACTTCAAGCTATTCTCTTGCCTTAGCCTCCCTAGTAGCTGGGACTACAGGCACCCGCTACCACATCTGGCTAATTTTTGTATTTTTAGTAGAGGCGGGGTTTCACCATGTTGGCCAGGCTGGTCTCAAACTCCTGACCTCAAATGATCCATCCACCTTGGCCTCCCAAAGTGCTGAGATTACAGGTGTCAGCCACCACGCCCAGCCTATTCCAGTCTTTTTGACTAAAACACATATTTAACCTATGGAAATAATTTATTTTTATTTTACTTTTATTCCATTGGTAGTGAATTTGTAACCAAGAATGGGTATGATGACGTGTGAAATTATTTCCTTTACTATATAGGCATATTTTTATGTGCTACTTTGTGTATATCTAGCATATATTAAATAATAAATAATTGTTCGATGGTTATATTGCAATGCAAATAGATGTTTATGTAAATTTAGTGCCATATCACAAATTTGCTAGCAAGATTTTTTTCAATAATCTATAAACAATGTCAAGAAAATATTTTTGTGCTTTCTTTACTATTTGGAGAGCACTCTATTAGAAAAAATGCCAGGAATAATAACAATAGCTTATACTCACTATTGGCCAGGCATTGTCCCAAGGGCGTAAGTATTTTATCATCCTCATAACAGTCCTTCGAAGCTGGGCCAGTTGTGATTTTTATTTCACAAATGAAAAAACAGATGTACAGTATAGGTTATTTCTTCCCCAAAGTCACATGTTTAATGGCAAGAAAAAGGGGCTTGAAGAATGCCTGTCTGGCTTTGGAGTCTGTCCTCTTAGCATGCAGAAAGCCTGTTCTCAGGGAGCTTACAGTCTGTTCTCAGGATGGTGTTTTGTCACATGTGACACAGCCATTTGTTTCATCTTGTTTTATCTATTATAAAATCTACTTCTGTAGACATGAGACTGTGAACTTTTCTGTATTGTTTACTTTCTGCTTTGGTAGATACATTTGCTCATTGCACATACGTGGTGATGCAAGTTTTTCATCTGATAAAATCTTCACTTTTCATTGATTTTTGTTCTCAATTTTTATTAATTTATTATAATATATAAACTTTGTTTTAATTCGAATTGGTTAATTTGGACAGGAAAAAAAGTTCAGTAAATATAATTTTTAGCCTTTTCTCAACCTGCCTTCACCATAAGAGTGCCAGGTGTCTGAGTTCAACCCTTTCTCTGAAATAGCTTTTTCATTTGTAGTGAGAATTGATAAGTGTTAATTATCACTGAAAGTGAGATTAAAGCAGTGAAAAGTTCCATTAAGAAGAATTAATTACTAGGCTGGCATTTAATGGAAAGGTCTTAAGCAAATAATAAGATGCCATCAGCATCTTATTACATCTCGCTACTGACATTTGTAGTTTAAGATCATGATTATCAAATTAATCTGGCTTTACAGCAGCTTCCTCCCTGTCCCCAGGACTGTGCACTTTTCTACACAGATACAAGAGCGAGGGTATTCTCCTCAGTCTTGGTCCTATCCTTCAGTGTCTTGCAGTACTTCAGAGAATCACCCTATTCATCTTCCAAGTCCAGTTATGCTTACTCTATACCTGGTGAACAGTCTTTGTTTTTTTTTCTGCAAGTAAATACAATGGTCTTTTCACCATATGTCAATATATACCATTGGAAGGAAAGATTTTGGGCAGAGCAGAAGGAAAAATGTATTTTGTTCTTCCAATTTCTTTGTGTCCAAAGCCATTGCCCACATCCTTCATTGAATCTGATGATTTAAAATGTGCCCCCAAAGTCTCCAGTACTTACCAAAACACAATATATTTGCTTATGAAATTTCAGCACCTTCTCTTCCCCCCCAATTATGGTGTATTTTGTCTCATGTAAAGATCATTAAACTTTTTTGACTTTTGATTCTTGTGACTTGAGAATTACCAATAAAGAACACAAGCAAAAATATTTTACCCATTAGGTTGGCACAATGTCTTGACATTGCATTAATTTTTCAGTTCCAAAATTTTCATAAGATCTAAAGTGGAAAGATCCAGATCACTAGATGCAATACTGAAAGGATAAGGGCAAGAACTTGTAATAAAGTTTAAAGTTTCCAGGTTTCTACATGCAAAAGACATCTCCTTATTCAGAGGAAATAATATCAATTTGGGAGGATCAGATGTAGCTTCAGGATGCAGGTTATACCAAAGAGATAGACCCTTATTCTTCCAGATAGACCAAAGCTATAGCTGGAAGAATAATGAAGACTTCTCCATGAAAGAGAGGACCTCCCAGGCAAGCAAGAAGCCATTTATCTCCTGCAATCCAATCATAATTATTTACAGGCGCTGTGTTCCAGAGTTCCAGAAAACCAAAAGGCAGACACATTCCGGATAGAACTGGGGATGACAGATCTTTCCCTTGGACTGATGAGCACTACAGGCAAAGGGCGATACTGAGGCAGAATAATATATTTCAGGCTGCATTTAAAACTCCAGAGACTTGAGTGCCAAGTAAAGGAGTCTGGATAAAGTCTGGAGGAAGGGGACAGAGAGAGAATATTTTTGAGCTTTGGAAATATTAACTGGGAATTAGTGTGTAAAATGAATTGGAGGCAGAATGATAGACAGATTAGGTGACAGCAAAGTAACTAATGGATTGGTGGCTTGTATGTGTGCTGCTTAACTCAAAATCTTCTGCATTGATTATTTTTCTTTTTAATAACGTGGTGAATAATTTTTTAAGAGGCTTGGTTTACTTTTTAAATTTTTTTCTTTTAATTATTTATGAGTCTTTAATAATTCAGAGAGAGGCATTAATGCGAGGAAACCTTGGATTTGCTTCACCACAGGATGCCATAAACTACTTTATGGGAAGTTGTAGAATTTACAAAAATTCTCAAAAGCAAATACACATTTTAATTCATTTAATCTTTTTTTTTTTTTTTTTTTTTTTTTTTGAAATGGACTCTCTCTCTGTCGCCCAGGCAGGAGTGCAATGGTGCAATCTCGGCTCACTGCAACCTCTGCCTCCCATGTTCAAGCAATTCTCCTGCCTCAGCCTCCCAAGTAACTGGGATTACAGGTGCCCACCACCATGCCCAGCTAATTTTGGTATTTTTAGTAGAGACGGGGTTTCACCATGTTGGTCAGGCTGGTGTCAACCTCCTGACCTCAGGTGATCCACCGGCCTCGTTCTCCCAAAGTGCTCAGATTACAGGAGTGAGTCACCATGCCTCGCCATTCACTTAGTTTTTCAAGTTACATCCATTACATATGATCATGTAGGGTGGGGTCAGGTTAAAGAAGAGAGATACCCTCACTGTCAAAACAACAATGACATCATGGTGTATGTTCCAAGTTACAGAATTTGAAAAGTTGCTATTTCTTCTTCACTCTTCCTCAGCCACACTCAAAAT
The DNA here is from genome assembly GCF_000001405.40 of Homo sapiens. Lineage (NCBI taxonomy): Eukaryota > Metazoa > Chordata > Mammalia > Primates > Hominidae > Homo > Homo sapiens. Next base: position 49,969,874 of record NC_000008.11, read on the forward strand.
GCTGTTATAGATTCATGCTGCTTTTTGATGGTGGAATAAAAAACCTGTGTGTGTGTGTGTGTGTGTGTGTGTGTTTTCAGGCTGGTGTGCTATTGAATCCTTATAAAACAAGACTGTCTCATGTTTTTATTTCTTATTTTACTCAAATTGCCAATACAAATACTTATTAAGGAAACAGTTAGACCAATCTCAGGGTGACTTGAGAATAGGATTGGCGTAAAGAATGCAACTTTTACTCTGGTTGGCCTCTTACTGCTAAAGGGTTTCAGTGATTTGACAACTCCAGTAATATCTCTGTATCTCACCATCTGGCAAAATTTCACAGTGCCTATTTGATGAGTAAGAGGTGCTACGAGATCATCACGAGGAAATTTCAGCACCAACAAACAGCTTCAAGAATTGTTTATGCCCACTGGGTAGTGCTGCAAACAGACACATACACTGAAATATGTTGCTTTGTTTTAGAAACACATGTACTTCCTGTTGTAGTTTTTAATTTTTTCAGTAATGCATGTGTGTTTAGCCGCACTCTTTTTAATTCATTCAACATCTAGCATTTAGTGACCCTGTCTGATGTGAACAGTGCTTCTCTTCCAGGGACTAATGCAGTTGTTTTAGATTATTGTTTCTTCCCTGCAGCTTCCAAAATAATTAATAGCAAATCACTCATTTCATTTAAGAAATAGGTATTTCCTCCCTTGGAATCCAAATTATATTTAGATGTTTTTATTTGTCCTCTATTCCATAAGATCACTGACCACGTAGAGGGTCAGAGAAGGTTATAACTTACGTAGCTCTAATTCGCATGTCTCTAGAGAAGAACATTCTGTCGTCCTAAATTCTGCAGCTAGTGAGACTGGCAAACCACTTATTTTTAATGCTAGAGACTCCTTTCTCCCACCTTGAAGAGTTGGCAGCTCTGGTTAGGGAATGATGCCAGATCTAAGCAAAGCTGACTTAAAGTATGGGTAATCTGGGACACCAGTGGTGCTATGAATGCACACAGGACTCAACTCCCAGCTGGGTTCAGATGAAAAGAGTCTGGCTGATGAATTCTACCACAGGTACAAGGAGGAGCTGGTACCATTCATTCTGAAACTATTCCAATCAATAGAAAAAGAGGGAATCCTCCCTAACTCATTTTATGAGGCCAGCATCATCCTGATACCAAAGCCTGGCAGAGACACAACCAAAAAAGAGAATTTTAGACCAATATCCCTGATGAACATCGATGCAAAAATCCTCAATAAAATACTGGCAAACTGAATCCAGCAGCACATCAAAAAGCTTATTCACCATGATCAAGAGGGCTTCATCCCTGGTTTGCAAGGCTGGTTCAACATATGCCAATCAATAAACAATCCAGCATATAAACAGAACCAAGACAAAAACCACATGATTATCTCAGTAGATGCAGAAAAGGCCTTTGAAAAATTTCAACAACCCTTCATGCTGAAAACTCTCAATAAATTAGGTATTGACGGGACGTATCTCAAAATAATAAGAGCTATCTATGACAAACCCACAGCCAATATCATACTGAATGGGCAAAAACTGGGAGCACTCCCTTTCAAAACTGGCACAAGACAGATGCCCTCCCTCACCACTCCTATTCAACATAGTGTTGGAAGTTCTGGCCAGGGCAAATAGGCAGAAGAAGGAAATAAAGGGTATTCAATTAGGAAAAGAGGAAGTCAAATTGTCCCTGTTTGCGGATGAAATGATTGTATATCTGGAAAACCCCATTGTCTCAGTCCAAAATCTCCTTAAGCTGACAGGCAACTTCAGCAAAGTCTCAGGATACAAAATCAATGTGCAAAAATCACAAGCATTCTTATACACCAATAACAGACAAACAGAGAGCCAAATCATGAGTGAACTCCCATTCACAATTGCTTCAAAGAGAATAAAATACCTAGGAATCCAGCTTACAAGGGAAGTGAAGGACCTCTTCAAGGAGAACTACAAACCACTGCTCAAGGAAATAAAAGAGGATACAAAGAAATGGAAGAACATTCCATGCTCATGGGTAGGAAGAATCAATATCATGAAAATGGCCATTCTGCCCAGGGTAATTTATAGATTCAATGCCATCCCCATCAAGCTACCAATGACTTTCTTCACAGAATTGGAAAAAACTACTTTCAAGTTCATGTGGAACCAAAAAGGAGCCTGCATTGCTAAGTCAATCCTAAGCCAAAAGAACAAAGCTGGAGGCATCATGCTACCTGACTTCAAACTATACTACAAGGCCACAGTAACCAAAACAGCATGGTACTGGTACCAAAACAGAGGTATTGACCAATGTAACAGAACAGAGCCCTCAGAAATAATGCCGCATATCTACAACCACCTGATCTTTGACAAACCTGACAAAAACAAGAAATGAGGAAAGGATTCTCTATTTAATAAATGGTGCTGGGAAAACTGGCTAGCCATATGTAGAAAGCTGAAACTGGATCCCTTCCTTACATCTTATACAAAAATTAATTCAAGATGGATTAAAGACTTCAATGTTAGACCTAAAACCATAAAAACCCTAGAAGAAAACCTAGGCAATACCATTCAGGATATAGGCATGGGCGAGGACTTCATGTCTAAAACATCAAAAGCAATGGCAACAAAAGCCAAAATTGACAAATGGGATCTAATTAAACTAAAGAGCTTCTGCACAGCAAAAGAAACTACCATCAGAGTGAACAGGCAACCTACAGAGTGGAAGAAAATTTTTGCAACCTACTCATCTGACAAAGGGCTAATATCCAGAATCTACAATGAACTCTAACAAATTTACAAGAAAAAAAAACAACCCCATCAACAAGTGGGTGAAGGGTATGAACAGACACTTCTCAAAAGAAGACATCTATGCAGCCAAAATACAGTGAAAAAATGCTCATCATCACTGGCCATCAGAGAAACGCAAATCAGAACCACAATGAGATATCATCTCAGACCAGTTAGAATGGTGATCATTAAAAAGTCAGGAAACAACAGGTGCTGGAGAGGATGTGGAGAAATAGGGACGCTTTTACACTGTTGGTGGGACTGTAAACTAATTCAACCATTGTGGAAGTTGGTGTGGCGATTCCTCAGGGATCTAGAACTAGAAATGCCATTTGACCCAGCCATCCCATTACTGGGTATATACCCAAAGGATTATAAATCATACTGCTATAAAGACACAAGCACACGTATGTTTATTGCGGCACTATTCACAATAGCAAAGACTTGGAACCAAGCCAAATGTCCAACAATGATAGACTGGATTAAGAAAATGTGGCACATATACACCATGGAATACTATGCAGCCATAAAAAAGATGAGTTCATGTCCTTTGTAGGGACATGGATGAAGCTGGAAACCGTCATTCTCAGCAAACTATCACAAGGACAAAAAACCAAACACCGCATGTTCTCACTCATAGGTGGGAATTGAACAATGAGAACACATGGAGACAGGAAGGGGAACATCACACACCAGGGCCTGTTGTGGGGTGGGGGGAAGGGGGAGGGGTAGCATTAGAAGATATACCTAATGTTAAATGACGAGTTAATGGGTGCAGCACACCAACATGGCACATGTATACATATGTAACTAACCTGCACGTTGTGCACATGTACCCTAAAAGTTAAAGCATAATAATAAAAAAAAAAAAAGAAAAGAGTCTGGCTGAGGTCCAGATGAGATGAAATTTACTGCTTCACTTTGGTGAGTCTTGGCTTTCATTAATATGCATCAGTGTATCTTATAGAATTAGAAATATTTGAAGCAAGGAATAAAAATGAAAACACAGTATATACTGAAGAAAAGAGTATTCCTGTTCATTTGGCATAGATCAAATCAGTTGAACTTAAAACTGTAGAATAAAATTACAGATACAGAGGTCAAGAAAGGAATATTTGGAGAAAATAAAAATGAAAACAACAATGATAAATTTGGATACCATTTGATAACATATAGAATTTCATTTCAACAAAACATACTTCTACAATGCTATAGTAACGACATTAAGTTCTGTGTTTTCATTCAAATTAAGTAATAGAAGATTCTTGATGCTAAGAATTCTACCTTCTTAGTGGAAATCATATAAATATTTTACCATAAGCCCCAATTTTTTATGTCGTTAGAATGTTAGGCTGTTTCCTCTTTGAATTCATTAAGAGTATTCATCATTTCAAGTTTTCACTTTTTTATACTAGGAAGTATGCTGTTTTCCAAAGAGAATGAATGTAAGTTACAAAATTTCAAATCATCCAGCTTCCTTATTTTCCTATCTGGAAGCACATGCCACAACTCCATTAGCAAAACATAGTAACGATAGCCCGATAAAATTAATTCCCAAAAATTACCTTAGAGTTTTAATCTTTTCCAAATGGAGGCCAATAAAATACCACAGCCACAATAATATTCCATTGATGAGCGCCAATACCTTCCTAGCCCTCCATGTTGTAGCGGGTGCCTTCATATATTTTATTTGCTTCTTTGGACTTCTCAAATATTCCATGAGATAAAGAGTTAAAGCATGAATAAAACATCTGTTTTCCAGAAAAGGAATCTATATGCCCAAGGGCACATAGTTAACATATGATGAAATCATCTTCAGGTCTTTCACTTCAAGTTCCTTGCTCTTTCAACTATTTCTCAAGATGAATGCAAAAGGGATTATTTTTCTTTTGGTGTCATAAGAGAGCCCTGGCCTGGCCTAGGAATTGGAAGAACATAGTCCTCACGTGCCAGATCAGTGATTTGTATAGGCTGTGTGACTTTGTGGTTCCCTACATCAACTGTAAAATGAAGGCCCTGAACTAGATCATTTTAAGTACTTACAGCTATAAAATCCAACGACTCTATTTAAAATAATGTAAGAAGCTTAAGAAAAATTGCATCTATAATAAGTTTTATTGCTGAAAGTTTCCCAGAATGTATCCTGCAAACTACAGTGCCACATATGTTAATATATATATTATGGCATAAAAGAATCTTGTGGGTAATTGGTTTTGGGAAATGTAGAGTAAAACAAAATTAGGCATAATCCCTTTATGGCAGAACTTCTCTGTGACTAACATTCCAATTGCGGAGTGAAACTAGAGAAAGAACATGGAGAGTGCACAGGTCCAGGCAGGGTCCATGGACACGTCCATGGAAATGATAGTCCAGGAAAGGTTCTCTGAGAAAAGCTGTCATGTCCAAACTGTCAGTGATGGTTCTCAATGGGCGAATCATGGCTCTCTTCCAAATGGACCTAGAGGTGGCTATGGGCTGTGTACTTAAAGACATATTTGGCGGAATAAAATTAAAAGAAATTTCTTAATAAATATAACTGCAAACTAAACTTTTAGACTGCCTTAATTCATAATCACCTCAACTGCCGAGATTATTTAGCAATATTCAAGAGATTTTTTCATTCTTCTTTACCTATAGTAGTGCTGGATAAAAGGATTTCTGGAATTTCTTAGAATTTCATATTAAGAATACCCGATTATCTTTGCCTTAGTATGCTTGTTGATGTTGGTGATATGATACAAAGCTATTCAAGGAAGCTTCCTAAGGTTCATGTTTCGATTAATCGCCACAACATGCACAGCAGCGCTTGCCTTCAAGATCATTGGAGCTGTGCAGGGTTGTCAAATTGACATGCAGTCTCCACAATCTGATAATTTTTTTTTCTTATTACTGTTTTCAGGATGAGAATATGAAGCTGATCTGAATGCTTTTGACATCCATAGGACTTGCAAGATAGCTCTCCAATAACTATAACAGACAGGTTCTCTATACACATAAATCATAGGTAGTCCACAAGAAGGGGACTCTTATTTTCAGTCCGAGGAAAGATTTCTCCTGTTTTAAAACAATATGACTGTGTGCCTGCAAGACTCACAAAACATATATATATATATGTGTGTGTGTGTGTGTGTGTGTAAAGGCTCCATTCTTGATATATAATTTTAACAGTTTTTGTCTTAGAGATAAATTAATGGGATTGAGAATTTGTTAAATTGACTTTTCTTCAACATTTTTTCCTACTTATTTGTTTATTTTCATGTTGGTGGTGAATTACATGAAATTGTCTTTCATTTATTTTTTCAGTGAACAGCTAGTTTTACAAACTACATTTGCTCCCTGAGTTAGTTATTCTTATTTTTATTTCAAAAACTGTGATAGAGAAAGAATTGGAAAGAAGACCTACTGTCATTCTTGGCAACTATTACTAATTTTGAGATGCATGTCTCAATTTACCCCAGAAGCAATATTCATCCAGAGGTACCTTGCAATCAGTGATACATTTAATTAGATCCTATATCTTCTTTGAGAAAAGCAAGGCCTGATGTGAAGGCTCAGTGTGTGTATATTTGTGTGGAAAATGGAAAGAAATAGGAAAATAAGTTTTTTTTGTTTCATAAAGTGATATTTATATGAAATTATATTAGTTAAGTGCCTCAGACACAAACAGAAAGGATTGGATGGCAAGTCATCCACTTATTCTCTGTGTTTTTGCATTTTTGTATTTCTTCTAAAAATGTACATATTGCCTGATTTCTGCCAGGTTGTGGGGCTGAATAAGCAGATAGTTCCCTAGTTTCATGAAACTTTCATTGGAGTGTTTGTGTTTGGGAGGATAGGAGGAACAGGAAATAAGAAACAGAAATAGCCTGTGGAGTGTTCCTGAGTGTTTGGCACAGAATATTTAAATGTCATGCCAAAAGAAAAGTGTCTTAAATTTGTCCAGGGAAGCCTACTCTGAGGAGTGAATTTTAAACTGAGATGTAATTGACAGAGCAAAACCAACCATACCAGGATTAGAAGAGTTAACAGCAGAGCGGAGGCGCCCAGGTAGGAGTGAGCCCACAGGTTAGAGGAAGCAAGAGAAGGGAGCTCTGAGTCCTGATCATGCAGGATACTGTAAAGCCAAGGAGAGAAATTTTGCTTAAATTCTGGGTACAATGGGAAGCCACCACCATATTTTAAGCAAGACTAAATGGCATGCTTTCTTTGATTTTGAAGAGATCATTCTGGCTACTATGTGCAGAAACGAATCATAGAGGAAAGCAGCTCAGAGACTGGAGGTGGGCTTGTCTCAGTGACCATGGGCAGAGGCTGACAATTTGCAGCAGGAAGTGCTTGTGAGAAAAAAATGGATATATTTTAGACTTTGATTCCATGTTTTAATAATGAGGTGTGGGAAGGCACAGTCATTGCAACTCAATTCAAAGAGAAGAGCAACCAGTCTGAGAGGGAAGGTGGGTGGGAAGTGGAGAGCTTAGAGAAGTGTCTGCAAGATGAAGTAAGGATGAATGACAAGTCCTCTCAGCAAGCCAAAGCAGACTCAATAGATAAAAATGGGCATATGACTGCAAAGCATGTTTAACTTCTTGTGCTAGACCCATAAATAATTTAGACTGTTTTTTTTTCAGAAATTAAAAAAACAACAGACAAAGCAATTCAGAAAATGTAGGGACTGTGCTTTTTTTCATTCCCATTTTGAACGCAGTGCTTTGTTTGAAACTAGGAAGGATATGAAAGGTTGTTTTGAGAGTGCTCCATCCCAGAGACCTGTGCAAGGTCACCTCCATCTCTGAAACCCAGCCCAGTGCTCTTACTAGTTAGATCTCATCTTTATATACTGAATTCATTATTTTTATCTTCCAAGATCAGAACATTTTCAAAAGAAAAGTTAAGTAGGAAAACAGAGCAGCAAACAGAAACATCCGAGGGTAAGAGGCTAGGCATGTGGCCTGGGCAAGGATCCCTGAGGGGAAAGATGCTGATGAAGATCCTATTTGTGTTCACTTATCTTTACTCAAAGGAGACAATAAATAAATAAATAAATAAAGACCAGATGCCCTTTTCACCCTATCTTACATTCATTCCTCTTTTCCATTGTCAATCCTGTCATAGGCAGAAGATGGAAAGGCGAAGGCTTCATAGCAAGAGCTGATCAAAGATAAAGTTAGAAGGTCAGAAGACATGCAGACTCTGTAGTGGAGATGTGGCACCACAAACACTGCTTGGGCGTTAGACGGTCTTCAGTTGGCTTCCCAAGAAAGCTGTTTACTAGATTTGTGACCAGGGGGATATCCTTGGAGCCTCAGTTTTCATATCTTCATAAGGGGAAATAATAATAATACAGATGCCTGGAGGATCATTTGTGAATACCTGCAAAATATTTCCCACGGGGCCTGTTGCCAACCCAGCTCACAACGGTCCACTCAACCTAATGGACGTTGGGATGTTGAAATGTAGGTCACTCTTTTCTTCAAAGCCCTTTCTGCCTTTCTACAGTAAAGAGATGCTGGGATATGAAAGAGATTTGAAACAACTAATTCCCCAACTTAGACTAGAATGCACTGAAATAGAGAGAGCGGGGGAGAGAGGGAGAGAGAGAGAGAGAGACAGAAGGAGACAGAAGAAAGGGGGAAGAGGAGAGGAGAGGGAAGAAGAGAACAGGGCTAGAATGGAATGAGTTAGTCAGGAGCTAATTAATGACCAAAGATGAAGAAAAGAAAGCAATGCAAAAAAATGAAAATGCAGCCAAGGCAGAGCACATTGGATAGGACTATACTTAACAGAGAAATGTCTTGCTGTTGTGCAGGCTTCCTCAATCTAAAATAGCATGGGTGGCCTTCATTCATGGCCACGATCACTGAAGTGGCTCTGAAGTGTCTTTGTACCTGTAAAAATGGGCTTGTTTTGATTTTTTGAACATACAATTAAAATTGTTGTCTTTATTGTAAAGGCCCATGTTTCATTTAATAGTCTACCAGAAGTATGAGGACATCACTTAAAAACACTTAAATTAGAATGAAATAGTAATACAAATAAAAATAAGAAAAACAGCCATTTTATTGAGAGTTTAGCTGAGTTGGGCAGTTACTTGTTTCCCTCATTATCTAATGTTGAATTCCAGGTAGCAGGTTCTATATTTCTGTTCATTTTAGAAATGAGGAAATGGATGTTTAAGAAGTTGAGTAACATCCGAAATATCCTCCAATTATTAGCTGACTTCGGGATTCAGTCCTGGGTCTGCCTGACCCTAGACGTCAGTGTCACTAACCACTATGTTAGGAAGAAAATATAGGAGATATGGATGAATAAAGGTAATCTTCTTCCACACTTGGGTAAAATCACAAGCTTGGGAGAATTGACACCATAATGTAGGAATTCTTCCTTGGACAAGCTGAAAATCATTCTATTTCGGTACATTAAAAGCCTTCACGCTGTTAAGATTTTGGAGAAGAATGAGCGAATTTGGTAGTGTAACTAGCAGGCGGGGAAGGACTGTCCCTTATGGCTTAGCAATGAGCAGCAGGGCAGTTCACAATGGCGAGACGCAGACGCCTTTGGGGCGGTGCAGCCAGAGCGGAGTGCGCCTGGGACTGAGTGTCCTCCTCGGGGACTGCATGGGCCCCGCACCGCCGCCTGCCCCGCGCCACGACAGCCCAGAGCACGGATGGGCCCAGACTGTCCTACAGCCGTTTCAGCAGGCGAGGGTCTGTCCAGCAGCACCTAAACAGCTTTTGTATGTCCTGTCTCCAAAGTGTGTGGCTTTAAGTCAGGTTCTGTGCTTTTGATGACAATATTTTCTTTGGGTCGGGATCATTTTCATCTGTTGCCCCTTCTGCCCAACCTTTGCACTTCCCCCCGATCCTCCTCACCCCTTCCCTTCCTCTGCCTGTCTGCACACCAACGTCCTTGGGCTCCCTCATTCTCCAGTTCTTGGCTTGGTCTGACTGGGGACTTCTCACACCTAGCTTGTCGTCGCGCTCTAGGGCCATTGCATCTTGGTTAAAAGGCCTGTCTCTGCAGACTGAAGGCTCTCTGCGGGCAGGACCAGGCCAGTTTGGCTTCTCCCTGCCCGCCCTCGGAGCCTGCTCCAGGTATACTGGCTGAATGTTCTGAGAGACCCGCAGCCCAGGATTGCTGAGTCGCTTGTGTGTCCGCTGTTTACAGCTGTGCGTGCGTGTGTGTGCAGGGAAACAGCCAGGCAGATGCACATGGTTATTTATATCTTCAGATTATTTCTGTGAGGAAAATTCTATCCTGGTGAAAGAGCTTGCTGTTGAAAAACAGTAACTGTACCCATATAGACACCACAGTATTCGCTCAATGTATTTGACAGACACACTCATATTGTCAGGGTAAAAGGAGGCAGCAGCTTCTTTGAAATGCAGGGACAGAGCAAGTGACAAGGAAAAAACCACACAGCAGGTATGTCCACATTGTTGTGCAACCAATCTCCAGAGCTCTTTGATCTTGCAAAACTGAGACAGCGTACCTATTACACATCAAACTCCTCGTTCCCAGTTCTCCTCCAGCGCCTGGCAGCCACTATTCTACTTTCTTTCTCTATGAATTACATTACTCTGGATATCTCTTCCAATTTTTATTATAGCCTGCTTGACGTTGTAAAGAAATCAAATGTTTGGCCCAGTAGCCATTCTCCTCTCTGCTTGCTCCATCACGCTGAAAATCAACTGGTAGCTTCAGCTGTAGCAGACGGAGCCCTGAGCTCTCCTGACTTGTACATGCGCTTGTAAGTACACAAAATGCCCTGCTCCCTAGTTTCTGCCTGCACGAGTTCCTCCATATCCCTGCCCCAGGGCTTCCTGCTTTACTTTCTCCTCACATCCCTTCCTGTAGACTCCTTCGCAAAAAAAAAAAAAAAAAAAAAAAAAAAAAATTATGTTTGCCTCATGAGCTCCCAGGGCACAGCTTTGCTGCCTCTCAGCTGCCCAGCCGACTCCACTCGCAAGAACAGTGTGTTCCTGAATTTTTTTAATAAAATAAAATAAATTGTACTTTTATATTATACATTATAATTGAGTGTGGTAGAAATAAAATTTAATTTCAGGTACTTTTGATAATGTGGCTCTGGGGTTTTTACTGAAAAAGTAAAAATTCAATAAAAAGTATTCTTTAGGGAAATGTGTTTTTAAGCCTTTTAGACACTTAAAGCTAACTTTTATTAGGGGTTCATTCACAGACTGTACACTTTTATGATTTCTATTCATATTTTTCTCACTTTTGCTTAAAAAAATCTTTTCTTAGAGAAGAACTGTTTTTCCAATAAAAATGGAATGAATTCCCATACATTAGTCTCTTCTCTGTAAGTGCCCTTCTGAGCCCCATGCACACAGAAGAGAGTGAAGACCAGTGAAGCTCTTTAGGGAGCTAAATAATAGATGCAGATGAGTGTCTAACATCTATACAGACTAGGTTCCTGATAAACATTGAATTGAATCTCCTGGCAGGCCAGGGTATTAATCTGGGGAGAAGGAAAGCCATGTGAGTTAAAAGGGGAAGTATCACAGAACAGAAGCAAACAATAGTACCTGAAGTAACCTTAGCAATAATAGCCTAATAGCAAATGAAGAAAAGGAGAGACGGGAAAAAATAAACTGGCACCAGAGACCCCTGGGAAAGACTCATAATCAGAGGTACCAATAAAGGCAAATGTAAATACAGAGCCTCAGTCTTCTAAGGCCTCAGGCTCAGAAATTTTACCCATGGTTGCTAGACCATGGAAGTCACTGTTTCCTTTATCTTGGAGGCAGGCTAGACTGAAATGATAAAGAAAGAATCTGGACTCTGACATTTAGATTTACAGTAGTGCACTATTGTTTGTAAGGGCATTATTGATTAGAGTAGGGCAAAAAGATGGGCCAACATAATTTGTTTTAGTCTATCCTGTATTATGGTTACTTGTTTGTCTGCCACCAACTATGAAATGTGACTTTAGGAAAGCAAATATGGCTATCATTACATCTTGTTATAATAAATGAATAAAAGTGAATCATTTTATCATTTTCAGGTGGTCAATAATTGTTGAAATACTATAATCTTTTATGCATTTTTTAATTTTTATGAAATATTTTCCTGTTCCTCCCCAAAGGCATATAAAATATTTTGCTTTCAATTAAAAAATTAAAAATATTACAAACAAAACAATCCTTGCCCTCTTTGGGCTTTCAGAGTATGTAGACTTTCTAAAAAGTCTTTGTAGTGAAATAAAAAATATTTTAAAAGTTAAATGATGTCTTTAGAATATCTTAATTTTATTTTTTGTTGTTGTGGGTGTGAATATTATTAATTTTTTACCGCAGGTCCTTCTTAAAAAAATAACTAATAGATAATAAAATCTATGGAGAAAACAATAGCTTTAAAAATAAAAGTCTTTGAAAAAAATGAGCATGGTTTTCAAATTGACTTGATCCAATCAAACTCTTATGTCTCCTTTAAGTTAAAGATGCTTTCCTAGTTCCACATGAAATCACTTATAAAAAGAAAAAGTACATCTATGCCCTGGAGAATTACTCAGTGAGTATGTCAGATCCTTCAGTTATAATATGTATGGGCACATAAAAATTTATAAGTCTCAGTGGTATGCAACTGCTCAGGTAGTTGGCATCTGAATCCTTCATTTTGAGAGCTCAAAATATTTTGTGAGTTCAGGTGACTTTGACTTCTTCAGTAAATGTTTTTGGCATTTTGGGCCCATCTGCTCCTTGGTAGACACAGTTCTAAACTCTGGAAATACAAAAGAATTCTGATAGCTAATTTTGAATCTTTTCTAATTTTGAATCCATAACTATATATATTCATTATATATAGTGCAAAATATCACATATATGTATACATGTATACATACATAATGTGTGTGAGTTTATAAATATGAAATTCATCAGGTGCTGTGGCTCGTGTTTGTAATCCCAGCTACTCAGGAGGCTGAAGCAAAAAAAAAAAAAAAAGTTTGAGCCCAAAACAGTGTGTGTGTGTGTGTGTGTGTGTAATTATATTTACTTGACCAAGGACCAAGGATGCTACCTTAACTTGCATTTATCTTTACAAAAAAATAGATGGCTTAACCTAGTATAGTTTAGATCATTCCTAGTTTTATTTTTAGAAAACTAATCAAGTGGATATTTGTCTATTAACACTTATGTCCATGTTTCCTACAATACTCATAGAAGATGTCAGAATACTTCAGAATTAGTATTAAATTGTGAGAGATGGGAACTACAGTAAAATTGATGTAATCCAATTCAATTGAGTTGTAAAGTTATTGATTTTTAAAAAGCATTAAACATTATGCACTGTGTATACTTTTAATACAGTTTTTCAAAGGCTACAGTGCTTGTCTAAAGTTATACCAATGAACCTTTATAAATGCAGTTTCCTCTCATCCCTACCCAAAGGATGCTTCAGGAAGAGGGGGATTTATACCACAGTCATTTCATGGACCGTAAAACCTCAAGTGTTATGCCATAGTTATGCAATCATTTTGATGCTTGACAACTTGTCTTTGTTACATAATTATATTATTTGAAACTCAGCTATAACTGAAAAAGGAAAAACATTAACATAGGAACTTTCTGATTAATCATTGTAAACAGCGAGTTGTCTATTCATCAAGTAAAAGTTTAGAGAATTTGAAGCAAAAATAAAATATTTGCACATTTTTCAAAATTCAGGTAACATCTTTATAAAATTGTGCATTTAATGTGCTTTATGTGTATATATCATTTATACTGCATTCAATAAGAATATCAAATTCAGTCTTTAAACATAAATAATGTGAATTTTATATATTTAAATAATCCTTTTGTTTTTTGGATTTCTAAATACAAATAATCTCGTTTGCTTTTTATTATTGAGAAATTTATGAGATCACAGCTTACATAACCAAATGAGATAATATGTATAAGAGCACTGAGTGTGGTGCCTAAACACCCAATAATTCACTGCTCTTGCCCTGGATAGCCCTGACTTACCAGCTGAAGGCCAACATGGGTCCTTGTCAGTCACAGCAACCAACAGAGGCCCCCAGAGAGGGCTGGGATGGTGCTGTCTACTTCACTGCCCTGATGCTTTTAAAAGGTTTGCAGAACAGTGGTATAGAATAATCACAGTTATTGAATTCTTGTCTTGCCCCCGTTTAAAGTAAGAAGATAATGTTGCTCTACTGAAAATTTGAAACTACGTTTCATTTTATTCATGAGAAAATTCATTCCCAGTGAGATGAATGGGGGGTACTGTTATCCTGTGGCCTTGGTAGGATTTAACTTTCATGGATGTGCCAGTTCAGTTTATTACTCTGAGGCACAATTCTGCCTTGTTCTCTTCTATAGCCACTGTATTTCTTACTATCCATTATACTAGTTTTCTTTTGTGACATTTTATCTTTCAAATATTAGATTAAAAATCCTGTTTGGAATGAAGCTCAAACATTTGGCATTATAGTTCATGTTGTGAGAATTTCTTGTTTTTACTATTTCTAAACAATATATTTCTCTTGGATTGGATAGGGTCAAATATAATTTTTTTATTTTTATTTATTTATTTTTTTTTGGTGAGACAGAGATTTACTCTTGTTGCCCAGGCTGGAGTGCAATGACATGATCTCGGCTCACTGCATCTTCCGCCTCCCAGATTCAAGCGATTCTCCTGCCTCAGTCTCCCGAGTAGCTGGGATTACAGGCATGTGTTACCACTCCCGGATAATTTTGTATTTTTAGTAGAGACGGGGTTTCACCATGTTGCCCAGGCTGATCTCAAACTCCTGACCTCAGGTAATCCGCCCACCTCGGCCTCCCAAAGTGCTGGGATTATAGGCGTGAGCCACTGCGCCCAGCCTAGATAGGGTCAAATATAAATTATTTCCAGTATCAAATGAATGACTTGAGATATAAAATTTTCCTTAATGTTTTACACCTAAATGTATAACTTATATGGTTCAATTACTTGTATTGTTTGTTGTAAAATCTTATTTAAAAAATAAATGTTGTTTTTAAATTTTATTTAAAAAATAAGATCACTACATTTCATGCAAAGTAAGTTGAAGAATCGATACTTTATAGTAGGAAGAGAATCAGCATGCTAAGTACAGCATGCTAAGTATAGTTTAAGGAATTCTTACATGGCTGATTTCATTAAAAGGTTGCCCATTCCCCAATAATAGCATTAAAAATGTTTGGCTGGAGGTGTGTCATGGAAAGTAAGTTGTCTCGGTAATCTTAAAATTGTAAGCATCTGTATCATAAAGCAATCTGTTCTTCTGTTGGAGTATGTTTTTTTTACCTCTGCCTTACCAATTTCCAGAAGGAAAATTGTCTGAAAGTTGTTTTTGGTTGAATTCTAATTAATCAGCTTTCCCTCTGGTGGCCAGGATTAGATTCCTAAGGTACTAAAATGTCATAATAATGAATTGAGAATGAAAGTTTCAGAGGCACAAAGTGATGGTTGAAATATACTGAACATGTTTTAAAAGTGGAAGCAGCCACAATGTTTTTTTGTTTGTTTGTTTAATTTTTATTGTTTTGAGACAGGGTCTCACTCTGTCGCCCAGGCTGGAGTGTAGTGGCACGATCTCCACTCACTGCCACCTCTGCCTCCTGAGTAGCTGGGACTACAGGTGCGCATCGCCATGCCTGGCTATTTTTAAGAGAGATGGAGTTTCACCGTGTTGGCTAGGCTGGTCCCAAACTCCTGACCTAAAATGATCTGCCCGTCTCGGCTTCCTAAGTGCTGGGATTACAGGCATGAGCCACCGCACCGAGCCTACAATGTTTTAAATCTATTAAAATCAATATTGAAATCACATTTCTTATTATCTCTGGAGAGGATATTAACAATATTAAGTTGTGATACCATTTTGTTAATATAGATTAGGCTTTTAGTTATAGATGACAATAGAAATTTTTTTATCATTACAATATGAGGGGTTAATGACTAAAAATAGTTCATATAAATTATATTACATAAAATAAATACAGTTAAATAAGGCGCATAAACAATGGCAATGCAAGTTTTGATAATCAAATTCACTACTGCAAATAACTCAGCAGAAGGGATGGTTTTCTTCAGTTATTTGGTGGCATATTCTCTCATGATAGGTAATACCAAATTCATGTGATTGTTTTTTAAACTTTGATTATATTTATAGACACCTGTTTGGCATTCATTCCATGATGATAATGATAATGATCTCTATTTGACTTAGTAAATCTGATATGACCTTTATATTTTATAAGTACATATTTTTCATGTATCAAAGGTTTCATAGAAGTCTACTTATTAAAAATCCAAATAATTTCTTTTTATAACAAAGACCTAGTGAGATAGGCTTTATAGAAAAGTGTTAGAGTTCTACAAATAAAAGAATTAGGTTCATTTGAATTTATTGAAGTGAACAATATTTTAGTATTAGTTCTATTATAAAACATCCTAAAAACTTTCAAAGCAAAAGTTGTGCTGATCAGACCTATCGAGGTAAGTTTCTGGCATTAGGGTAATGTATAAAATAAAAAAGGGGAAAAATATGCCCAGATCAACAGAAAAACTGCAATAATCTGAATTTCTTGTGCCAAGCAGAACTGTATATATTTTACTTCCACTTTCCTGATAAAGGATCTAATTGGGTCACTGTTCTTCAGATAATGAAGAGTGTTCTACAGTGTGGGTGGAGCACTCATTATGACCCCCTCTCATATGACTGGCCTGAATTGGAGTAAGATTCTAATTATCGATTAAGTCAATTGTGGTTAAGCTGGAGGTATCACACCAGGCAAATCATTGGGATTGTGCAATATTAATGACTTTTCCAATTTCTTGTGTTGCCAATTTTATCAGAATATGTGTACATGATACTCAGTATAGCCCAGATTAAATAATAAACATCTGAGTGGCCATGCCTGTAATCCCAGCACTTTTGGAGTGGTTCATGCCTGTAATGTGGTTCATGCCTGTAATCCCAGCACTTTTGGAGGCCAAGGAGGGCAGATTGCTTGAGCTCAGGAGTTGGAGACCAGCCTGGGAAACACCATAAGACCTCATCTCTACAAAAAGTACAAAAAAAAAAAAAATAGCCAGGTGTTGTGGTGCATGCCTGTAGTCCCAGCTGCTCGGGAGGCAGAGGTGGGAGGGTCACATGAACCCAGGAAGTCAAGGCCATGATCGTGCCACTGCACTCCACTTGGGCGTCAGAGTGAGCCACGGTCTCAAAATAGATAAACAAATAAATAAATAAATATGTAAATATAAATAAATATCTGGGTATGGAGAAGAAAAGTCTTCTGTAATAGATGCTGAGATTAAAATGCAAGAGTATCCCAAAATTCCTAGCTAGAATGAGCAATTCCATTTGCCCTTAGCTTATGTTGGGAAATGAAAAGTAGGTTATGTTTGGAAAAGTATGACAAATTACATTTTGGAAATTCTGAGTTTGAATAACATGTTGGTTTCCATGAGGAGATACTTCCAATTAAGTTGAAGTGTCATACTGGACCCCAGGAGGGGGGAGTCATATCTAAGCAGATGGTGAATATGTAGTGAAAACAATATATATAAGAGTGTCAAATACAAAATCATAGGATGCCTGAAAAATTAAGAGTATAAATAAAACATACAAGAATAAGAATGAGTTAGAAGAATAATTTCCAGAATGGCAATGTGAAACAACCATAAAAATTAAAATTATAAAACAAAAGTAAATAAACAATTATTTAAAGTCTCTGGAAATTATCTCAAAGGCATACTGCAGGATAAGATACACCTAAAAAGAGTCTTCTTGGGGTCACAACAACCTCAAAATCTGTTTCCAAAATCTATTCTTGAAATAGGGCCCAAATTTAATTGGATCAGACAGTGGAACAATTTATGCCCAGAGCATTTTTGAATATAGTTGTGAAATTATCCTGAAATTAGTGGACGCTAACAGCCTGCTATAATATTAGGTCGGTGCAAAAGTAATTGTGGATTTTTTCCTTTAATTAAATTAACCTTTTTTTTTTTTTTTTTGAAACGGAGTCTGGCACTGCCACCCAGGCTGGAGTGTGGTGGCGTGATCTCGGCTTACTGCAACCTCTGCCTCCCGGGTTCAAGCCATTCTCCTGCCCCAGCCTCCTGGGTAGCTGGGACTACAGGCGCCCGCCACCATGCCCAGCTAATTTTTTGTAATTTCGGTAGAGCCGGGGTTTCACCGTGTTAGCCAGGATGGTCAAAATCTCCTGACCTCGCGATCTGCCCACCTCAGCCTCCCAAAGTTAAATTAACCTTTTATTAAAGGTTATGCCACTACCTTTAATGGCAAAAACTGCAATTACCTTTGCACGAACCTAATATTAGCAATGAAGGAAAGAAAGAGTCAAAAGAGTTCTATTAAAACCATTGATAACCCAGGGTGACTGTACACAGGCTCAAGGCTGTGACTTGTGAGGAGTGACACCAGAGACTGTACATGGCAGGAAAAGAGACTCCAGAGAAATAATCTAACCAAGTAGCTAGAGAAACAGACACAAAACAACAAAATGCCTTGGGATAAAGGGGATAAAAATGGGCGTGCAGAGTTGTTACAATATATTATCTAAAATGTTCAATTTTCAACAAAAAAATTAGGACACAAAAACAAACAGAAACTGTGTCCCATACATATGAAATAAACCAAGTTACAGTAACTTCTAGATGCCAGATTTAGCAGAAGACTTCAAAGCAGCTATTATCAATATGTTAGAAGAATTAGTGCAAATGATACACAGAGTAAAGAAGTGTAGGATGACAATGTCTCATCAGGTAGGCAATATAGGTAAATAGAGAAAATTATTTTGAAAAGAATCAAATGAAAATTTTGGAGTTAAAAAGCACAATCAATAATTGAAATGAAAAATACACTACATGAATTCATCAGTAGGTTTGAGCTGGCAGAATAAATAATCAGAAAATTTGAATGTATGTTGCTAGAGATTATGCAATCTGAAGAACAGAGAAAAAGAAACAAAGAAAATTTAATAGAACTTTAGAGAATAACCAATGTATGAATAATGAGAATGCTTTGCACAAAATACTTTGATATAAGTGAAAATGAAGTCACAACACACAAAAGCTTATTAATGCATAGAACTTAAGCACTACATAGAGATAAATTTATAGATTATATGCCTATATTTAAAGAACATTTCAAATGAGTAACCTAGTCTTTTTCATTAAAAAATGAAAAAGCAGCAAAATAAACAGAAAAAAGGAATAAAAAAGATGAGAGAAAAAATATAGTAACAGTAATTTACTGTATATTTAAATACAACTGAAAGAGTTATTGGAATGTTTCTAACACAAAAATGTCATAAATTCTTGAGGTGATGCATACAATTACCCTAATTTGATCATTATAGAGAGCATGCCTATGTGAAAACATCACCTGTACCCTATAAATATATATAACTATTATGTATCCAGAGTCACTAAAAATAAATTTTAAAAAATGTAAAGTAGAAGATATAGAAAATTGGGGAAACCAAAAGTTGGTTCTCTGAAATCATTTTCTAAAATCGACAAACTTTTAGCTGGAATGACCATTTAAAAGAGTGAAGATTCAAATTACTAAAATCAAGAATGAAAGAAAGATCTTAATAATGACCTTACAAAATTAAAGAGAATGATAAATTAGTACCCTGGAAAACTGTATACAAATAAATTCAATAACTTAAATGCAACGAATTAACTCTTAAAAATGATATAAACTATAGAAATTGACTCAAAAAACAGAAAATCTGAATAGATATATAAGCAGTTAACAGATTGAATTATTATTTTGAAAACTTCCAACAAATTAAAGTCCAGGTTTTACTATACCTTTCCCTTCTGGTGAATTTTACCAAACATGCAATAAATAGTCAATATAATTTTTAGCAAAATCTTTCTAAAAACATGGTAAGATGAAACACTTCCCAACTTACATTATGAGGCGAGTGTTACCCTAATGCCAAAAACCAGGCAAAAACATTAAAAGAAAACTACATCCCCCTGTCTCTAGAAATATAGACACAAAACTCCTTGGTTAAATACTAATGAATCTAAATCAGCAACCTATTAAAAGGAATATGCATCATGAACATGTTTGATTTATCTCATGAATACAAGGTAGTTTTAACATCTAAAAACCAAACAATGTAATATATTGATACAGTAATAAAGAAAATCTGTGTAATTATAGTAATATGGAAGTAATATAAAAGAAAAGCATATCACAAAAGTCAATATCCTTTCATGGTAGAAACACTAAATAAATTAAAAACAAAAGTAAACTTTCTCAATTTGATAAAAAGTATCCATGAAAAACCTATAGCTAACATAACTTATTGTGTAAAACAGAGTATCTTTCCTGTAAGATCAAGAACAAAACAAGGATCTGTGCTCTTGCCACTTCTATGCAACATTATTAGAAGTTCTAGCAAGGGTAATTAAGGGGAAGAAAAAAGAAATGAAAGAAAGAAATACAACTGTCTCTATTTAGAAATCATATGATCTTGTACATAGAAAATCATAAATTCACCAACATTTATTAAAACTTATAAATGAATTCAGTAAATTATATTTCTATATACTATAATGAACAATCTGAAAATGGAACTAAGAAAAACAATTACAACACCAACAAAAGGAATGTAAGACTGAAACTGTAAATAATTGGATGGCAACACGTCCCATATTGATCAAAAGATTTTATACAATCTTTATTAGATTCTAGCTTGGTTACTTATACAATTTTGCAGAAATTGACAATGTGATTTGAACATTCATATGAAATGCAATGGATCCAGAATAACCAAAAAAATCCCCTAAAAGAACAATGTTAGAGGCCTCACAATTTCTTACTTCTTGTATATATGTATTACAAAACTACATAAAATACATAATGTATTACAAAACTACAAAAATCAAAATGGTGTAATATTGGCGTAATGATAGACATAGAGGTTAATGGAATAGACTTGAGATTCCATAAATAAACACCTATATTTATGGTAAATCTATTTTCAATTTGTGCACAGGCATTTTAATGGAGAAAGAAGTGTCTTGTAAATAAGCAGTGCCAAGACACATGTAACATGATTAAGTTTGACTCCTTCCCCACATAACAAACATAACTCAAAATGGATCATAAGCATAAATAAGGCCTAAAACTACAAATATTATTCTTAGAAGAAAACATAGAAGGAAGTCTTCATGATGGTGTGTTATGGGAAGACTTCTTAGATATGGCCAATAAGCTTGAGTAGCAATAGAAAAAATGGACAAATTGAACTTATCAAAATAAAAATCTTGTATTCTTCAAAAGACACCATTAAGAGAATCAAAGGGCAGCCTAGAAAACTGGAAAAAGTGTTGGCAAATTATGTATCTGATGATAGACTTGTATACAGAATACATGAAGAGCTTTTACAACTCAATAATAAAAAGACAATAATTTAACTTAAAATGGACAAAGAGTCTGAACAGGCTCTCCTCCACAGGAGGTATGCAAATCAACAATAAACACATGAAAAAGATGATCAACATCTTTTTACCTGCCAGTTGCAAATCAAAACCACACAATTAAATGGCATTTCATATACACTAGGATGCCTGTGATCAAAAAGAAAGGTAATAGAAAGTGTTGATGGGGATATGAAAAAATTGGAGCCCCGATGCAAGGCTGGTGGGATTGTAAAATGGTGCAGCCATCTGTGAAAACACTCTGGCCGTTCATTAAAGTGTTAAACTGTGACCACACAACCTAGGAATTCTACTCCTAGGGTTATACCCAAGAGAAATGATAACATAACATTTATCCACACAAAAACGTGTACAATATTATTCATAATAGCCAGAGGGTGAAAATAACCTAAATATCCATCAACTGATAAAGAGATAAACAAAATATGGTACATCTCTATAATGGAAGAATATTTGAGAATAAGAATAAGAAATAAGAATAAGAAAAAGAAAGAAGAAAGTAATGATACATGCTGTATAACTGAGATGAGCTTTGAAAACATTACGCTATTGAAATAATCCAGTTACAAAAGAGCACATATGTTGTGATTCCATTTATATATAATGTCCAGAATAGGCAAATCCATAGAGACAGAAAATAGGTTCGTGGTTGCCAGCATATGGGGTAGAGAAGAATGGGGTGTGAATGCTTGTGAGTACTTCTCTTTGGTATGGTGGCATGTTCTAAAATTAGATAGCTGTGATGTTTGCACAACTGTATAAATACTACAAACCAATGAATTATGGCATTTAAATTGGTGAATATTAGGGTGTATAAATTCTATCCCATTAAAGCTGTTAAAAAATAATGTCTGAAAGGAGAATTCTTAATGATTTCTCCTCCTGAGCTATCATTATACTGTACTGTTTCCACGCCTCCCTTACAACATGTCTTCCTTTGCGGGAACAGAACTGGAACACACTGGAAACTTATACATATCTGACCCATATTTTTGGAGCTATGTAACATAGATTTGTAAATAGAAAGAGACTTTCCAAATTACATTATTGTATTGTAATAGTTTTCAGAATAAGAATGTAAGAAGATAAAAAATATTCAGAAATGGTACCACGTTGTATAATAGGTCAAGGTGTGTGGGAGAAAAAAGTAAGAGAGTTGTGAATAAGCAAGTTCTACAGGGACTAACTGTACCTCCATTTGTAGCAGGTCCACCACCGGGCACTAACTTGGCAATTTTGCATATTAAGAGTCCATTTTACATATTAGGATTTGATATATTTCTTAAATTTGGGGAAAATTTTTTATTTCAAATGTACAGAAATTTGCACACTTGATTTGAAGCAAGTTAACTTTTCTATTATTAGAGACACTTCATAGTTAACTAAACCTTGGTGGGTATAAGCCTTAAGTGCATACAGGGAGCCTCAGCAACCTTGTTACCTGGAAACAAACTCCCACACATCTGCATTGACAAATGGGTGGTGTTGGAAGAAACTTAAATTGCCTTTCATGATAGTGCCTACCATCAGCAGAAAGGGGGAATTCTAAGCAGCATGCTTGTCCTGATTAAATGCTTTGCCATCGCTGTATGGGTGGAAGTGGGTTTTATTTAGTAATGGACCTCTTGAGAACAATTATGTTTTATGTATTGCTTTAAGTATTAATTTATAAAAATAGTTCAAAATATAATGCTGAAAGCTTATTCTTAGTAAAGTGCTCACACATACTAAAATCACCTTTATTAGAATAACACTAGTGATAATTATATTTTGATTTTGCATTTGTTCACTTTCTTGGCTAGAGATTAAATACATATAGATAGAGGAAGTTGAAAGCAAAGTATTATTTCTGCAGAAATGTGTAATTAATAAATACCATTTACATGTTTTAAATCTTTTTTTTGTGGAAAAAACACTAGTCATTGCATGCATGCTTATATGTATACTTAAAATTATCATATCTTTAAGAAGTTCAAGGAGAATGATACATAAGGGTTTTATTCACCCAAAAGGTGGGAATAAGACTTTTCTCTGGGCTTATTTTTCCCACCACATGCATGGGAGTACTGGCAGGTGCAAAGCCCAGAGTGAGGTCAGGGCCAAAGCGGGAGGGGGGCACTTTACAAGGTTCTCTAAGTATGATTCTTTGACACTCACTCTATTTATTTCTTTATTTTCAGTAATAGCTTTTATTTAAAAATTTTTCTTCCTCTGTTGTAAATTTTTCTGAGGTTTTTTTTTTGTCGTCGTTGTTGTTTTATTTTCATTTTACTCTAAGTTCTGGGATACATGTGCAGAAAGTGCAGGTTTGTTACGTAGGTATACATGTGCCATGGTGGTTTGCTGCACCTATCAACCCATCATCTAGGTTTTAAACCTCACACACATTAGGTATTTGTACTAATGCTCTCCTCTCCTTCCCTCCCACACCCCGAAAGGCCAAGTGTGTGTGATATTCCCCTCCCTGTGTCCATGTGTTCTCATTTTTCAACTCCCACTTATGAGTGAGAACATATAGTGTTTGGTTTTCTGTTCCTGTGTTAGTATGCCAAGAATGATGGCTTCCAGCTTCATCCATGTCCTTGCAAAAGACATGAACTCATTCTTTTTTATGGCTGCATAATATTCCATGTGTATATGTGCCACATTTTCTTTATGCAGTCTATCATTGATGGGATTTTGGGTTGGTCCCAAGTCTTTGTTATTGTGTTCTCTGGGATTTATGTTGAAGAGTGGTGTTGATTATTGAACGAATGAAACATTAGAACCATTATATTCCTGTTGAAAATACCTTTGAATTCTTAAGCATGTAAACATATGGGGAAAGTTCTCTTCCTCTCAAATCCTTTCTACCCTCTACCTTTAACCTTCTAGTCCCTCAGGATATCCATTATATAGTCTGTAGTTTATTGAATTTTACTACAAGCCTTTTCAGTGTTTTTAAATTGTGATGGGTGTATATGTGTACATACAAGTATATGGATATACCTATAAAACTTATTTCCTGTAGTATAATATGCTTCGTCTTAGTATAATTGAGACATGAAAAAATAAATTCTTCTTTCCTATTATCCACATGATATTGGGTATAATATTCAAGATTATTATTTTTATTCTTCTTTTTTTTTTTTTTTTTGAGATGGAGTCTCACTCTGTCACCCAGGCTAGAGTGCAATGGCCCAATCTCGGCTCACTGCAACCTCTGCCTCTTGGATTCAAGTGATTCTCCAGTCTCAGCTTCCATAGTAGCTGGGGTTACAGGCACCCGCCACCATGCCCGGCTATTTTTTTTTTTTTTTGTATTTTTAGTAGAGACGGGGTTTCACCATGTTGGCCAGGCTGGTCTCAAACTCTTGACCTCAGGTGATCCACCTGCCTTGGCCTCCCAAAGTGTTGGGATTACAGGAGTGAGCCACCGTGCCTGGCCAAGATCATTATTCTTATAATGGAACTTTATAAAGAGCTATGTGCTGAATTGTAGTAACCCAAGAAATACGGATTCATGGCTAAAAAAAACTGTTAAATATTATGTAATATAATCTCCTCACTTTGACTATAGCTACTCATTTTTTTTTTCTCTGAACCTAAGAAACATCCTCATATAATGAGATGAAAGATGACAATGTTTTATGGAGGAAAAGTCAGGAACTTAGTAAGACACTGAATGGGCTAAAGGGTACCTCAAAGGTAGAGAATTAAAGATAATGGCTACTTTTTCATTTCATTTAGAATCATCCCAGATCTTAAAATGTAGTAAAGGACACTTTATTATTTCAATGCCCTCATGGGTCTTATAATTAACAGAATGTAAGTGCTAGGAAAAAGGTGTAGTAATTGCATAGCCAAATCACCTCATAATTTAAATAAGAATGTTGAGTCCAATGGTAAGATGATGTGAACTTGGCCTTTTCTTTTAACATGTGAGAATCGAGAGATTGTGAAAGACTAATGGAAATGAAGATAATAATGAAATAAGAGAAGAAGAAATAATCAGTGAACAGAGGTTTCAAAAATTCTGGAGTGAATAAAATCCTGAACTCTGGTGAAGAGTTCAACATTAAGATTGGCAAGGCCACTCAATGGAGTGTGAAACAGAAAATGAAAAAAAGAAAGGACAGTTGCAGCTATATGAATATTTGTGGGAGTTTAGATTAATGTTGATGTTATTTTTAGGTGGCTTTTTAAAAGAAAAATACAAAATAAGGCTATTTGCTGAAAATAAATCAGGTGGCCAGAAGGTTATGTTTGAGAATAGAGAAATTGTTCTGAATTCTTGTCTACTGAGAACTGGAGAGAGTATTGACATAGAAGGATTAGTGGGAAGAGCTAAGAACCCAGTGGAGTCTGGCATCCACAAGACAATGGTAGCACTGATGTGTGCATTTGTTTAATTTTTCTCCAATAGCATTCAGCAGTTCAGGGTTTTTGCAGAGCTGGCAGAGAATTCGGATTTATTCAGGTGAGGTCCCCTCACACACAAAGTAGCAGGTCAGTGTAAAAGAATACTGCAGTGAAAATGTTCAGGATATTGACAGAGTAGGCATTGGAATCTCTGCTCATTAGAGAGAGAATGAGAAGTCAGCTCTAGAGGAGCACACCCTCTGCGGTGTCTGTGTGGGTCACCCTCCATGCCTTATGCTCAGGCAGGGCTCATTGCCTTGTCAATAAATCCTCATTTTACTCTGTCACTTACATACCATTTATTCAGCTTTGTATTAGCTGATCGCAAGATACTCTTATGCCCTAAAGTTTTTTCTCATTTGATGCCTATGCATCCATATCTTTAAGCATAAAAACTGGGTATGTTTTAATGAATCTATAACTTCATGCTGATAGCCAGGGAGTAGAACTAGAAGGAAAAACTGCAAGTAGAACTCTCAATTTTACAGAAAAAGATGAAACCTTAGAAATTAGTTACTGTAAACTAGAAAATATATGATATTTACTTTTATTATTAAAATTGAATTTTTTGGTTTGTCTTTTTTATTGCCATTTTAGAAAACTTTCTTCATCCTTCCATTTTCTCAGATTTATATATAAAGCTAAATAAGATAGAAGGTTTAACTAATAATACTGCTTGTTTTCTTCTGAGATGATATGATTTTTGTAAGAGAGGAGAAAAGGCCAAATCACCAAATAACTTGCATTACAATTCTTGGAAATAAGGATTGTACCACTCCTTATTATTCAATAAGTGTATCAAGGTAAAAAATTAAAGAAGAAACAGTAAGAAGCTTTTTTTTTTTACCTCCACAATGTTTGTTGAAACATTCTTTAAAGAAAGAGCACTTCATTCTCCATGTCCTTGCCTTCTCCTTTTCCTTCAGTTCTAATTTTATCCAAAAGCCTCATACTGCATCTTGGAGAGAAATATTTTGTCACCATAAAGCTTGGAATAAGGACAAGCTTAAAATACAGAATATACTTTCTAATAGGACTTCTTAAAATACTACACATTAAAATAAATTTTATTTGAATAAATGACCAATTGCCAGTCCAAATGTTTATTTACATTATCTAGATTGTCTGGCAATTATCTAGATAGATATGCCAACACTTTTCACTACTTTGTCCCATCAAAAGGGTTATTGTTCTAATATCTATCATTTCACAGACCTTGAATTTTTAACATCCCGGACCTTCATATTAACAAGGAACTAAGAAAGTTTCTTGCTTTCTGATATAAATTCCAAGATAGAAGCTCATAATTACATAGTTTTTAGATTGTGGCAATCCTGGAATAATTATAATTGCATAGCCAAATCACTTCATAACTTAAAGAAGAATCTTGAGGTCCAATAGTAAGACGATTTGAACTTGTTTTATGCTATTTAATAGACTTATTTTATCCAATGTCTGTGTAATGAGTGGCACACCTAGAATATAATTAGCTTTTTAAAAGGGAGCCTTCTGTGAGCTACTTACTTACTTTGTCCTTTGAGAATATAAAATTTAAGCTGTATTTACCTAAACTAGGCAACTCTGTGACTCCACGAAGCTGTTCTCTGTCTAAATGAACACTGAGGAATCAGAATTGTACACATTTTATTGTGATAATTATATGCATACAATTGTCTTGGGTCTATCCAAAGCTGCACCATCCACTTTTGTATCTCACCCCATTCCCTCTGGCCTATTCAAGAGCATCGCTTTCCATAAATTCTTTCCTTTTTCTATTATATCTTTAGTCCCCATGCCTTCATAGATTATTCCCATAAGTATATAAATATATTGTTATTTTTTCAATCAAAAAAGCTAAAAATTAATTTTCTGTAATTACCACCTTATTTCTCTGCTCCCTTAACTCAGAGGAGTCATGTACTTCCTGTATCTAAATCCTTCCCTCCTTTATTTCACTATGAATTCCTTCAAGTCCTATTTCTCCCACCTGGATCACTGAAAATTTTTAAGGTTACCACCAAGCCTTATGTTGCTAAAACAATAAACACTCATCTTAGTGAGACCTAGTGGATTAGCAATGAGTATATTTGTCACAACTGATCATTCCCATACCCTAGAAATATTTTATCACTTGACTTCCAGAAAAAACTTGTGTCCTGGTTTTCCTACAATCTCACAAGTTACTCCTTCTTAGACTTTTTTTCTGTTATTGTTGTTTTTTTAGCATCTTGATCTTGAGATCTTGTAGTGTCTCAGTCATTAGAAATCTATTGTTTCATCTGGTTTCATGTCTTTAGAGATTATGCTAAGAATACAATTTCCTAGTCAACCAAGACTTCTCACCTGAAGTCTAGACGCATATACAGTCATCACTTTTCACTAAATAATGGGAATACTTTCTGAGAAATGTGTTGTTAGGCAATTTTGTCATGTGAACATAATAGAGGATACTTATACAAATTGAGATGGTAGAGCCTACTGTACACCTGGTCTATATGGTATAGCCTATTGCTCTTAGGCTACAAACCCATACAGCATGTTTCTGTCCTTGGCAATTGTAACAGCATGGTAAGCATTTGTGTATCTACACATACATAAACATACACATACATAACATAGGTAAAGTACAGCAAAAATACAGTATATAAGATCAATAACGGTATGCTTATATTGGGAACTTACCACAAATGGAACTTGCAGGACTTGCCGTGGCTCTGGATAAGTGAGTGAGTGAGTGGTGACTGAATGTGAAGGCCTATGACTTTACTTACTATACATTGTTGTAGACTTTATAAACACTGGACAGCCAGGCTAGACTAAGTTTATAAAACATATTTTTCTTTCTTCAATAATAAACCTTAGCCTGCTGTAACTTTTTTACTTTATAAACTTAATTTTTTTAACTTTTTGACTCTGTAAGAACAAAGCTTAACACACAGACACATTATAAAACTGTACAAAATATTTTTTAATATCTTTACTATACTATATGTTTTATTTTATTTTTAATTTTTTTCTTTACTACTTAAGCATTTTGTTAAAAATTAAGACACACACACACACACACACACACACACACACACACACAGTATCCTAGGCCTACATAGGTTCAGGATCATCAATGTCACTGTCTTCTGCCTCCACATCTTGTCCCCCTGGAAGGTCTTCAGGGACAATAACAGGCATGGAGCTGTCATCTCCTGTGATAATGATGCCTTCATCTGGATACTTCCTGAAGGACCTAACTGGGGCCATTTTTTAGTTAACTATTTTTTGTATATGTAGAAGTAATAATGATAGATAATGATAAAAATTGTAGTATAGTAAATATATAAACCAGTAGCATAGTCATTTATTATCATTATCCAGTATTATGTACTGGATAACTGTGTGTGCAGACTTCTATAGACTGGCAACACAGTCTATAAAATGGATTTGTTGACATTCACTTGTGTAATGCATTGCTTGACACTGTGATGGCTACCATGTCACCAGGCGAATGGAAGTGTTCAACTCCTTTATAATCTTACAGAACTGCTTTCATATATGGTGTTTCTTTAACCGAACCATCATTGTGGGATGCATGACTGTACATGTAGTTCAACGTAGATCCTCAGAGGTCTAAAAAGAATATGAAGTTAAGATATCCAAACCTAATACTTGATTTTTCCTCTCAAACTTTTCTACTTTTCTTTAACGGTGCCCAGTTTCACAGTTGCTGAAGTCAAAATTTTTCTTCTCTTTTTCTCCCTCTACATTTACATCATTAAGAGTGTAGCAGCTCATTGTCTCACTGCCTCTCTGCTGCAATCTCCTCTGAGCAGCCTGGGTGAGTACGGTCTTCTGCCTGGAAGCAGAGTGTTTCCTCATCTGTCATTATTCACTCTCCTCCAGTCTATTCTTGACACAACAGCCACAGTGATCTTGTTATAATAAAGTCAATTCAAGTCTGATTAGTATCTCTCAGTGACTTACATCTCACTCTCCATGGCCTATGATGAGTCTGACCATTCGTCCCTATTCTTTTTGAACATTCTCTAGGCCTACATGGGCCTCTTTATACAGTGCTTTGCACCTGCGATTCCATGTGCCAGAACACTCTTCCCCCAATGTCTGCATGGCTCTCCCCATTTCTTCCTGGGGCTTAGCTCTGATGTCACCTTCACTGCCAGGGCTTTTTGCCCGTTTCCTGAATCCAGGGCTCGGCTCTCCCACCGAGCCAGTGCTTCCTGTTTCCACCTTCTGCTTTATTTTCCTCTGTGGTACTTGATATTGGCTGGTATAATAATTACACTGAATATTTCACCTAACTTCATTTGCCTCTGTCCACTAGAATGGAACCTCTTTTTAGGAACTTGAATGATTTTTTGTCCCCTCTATTTTGTTTCCTGTTGTATTCCCAGGGCCTCGATCAGTTCCTGGCTTAATACATATTGTTGAATTGAATAATTGTATCTGGTATTGACTTGCAATCCTTCTTCACTACAAGAGAAATAAATCATTAGTTTGGTAAGGCCAAGAGAAAGTCTGTTCATTCATTTAACTTTTGTTTTTCATTTAGTGCTGACCATGATGACTGGCACCGTGCCACACTGGTCCAGATGTCATCTTTTCATACTGCAAGTTCCTGCCATATGATCTGCTTCTGTTTTTCCTGCTTGTCATTGTGTTGAAATGATTGATTGCTTACTTCCGGGCTTTTAATATCCATAGCAAAGACATTTCCATCTCTTTCTGACTGACATTATTCCAGTTCAGATTTTAAGCAGAAGTATCATCTAGTATATTTCTAAAAATCTATCAAGCTCTATTCCTCCGAGTTTTAAAATCACAGAATGCTAGAAGTGCCTGTGTGTATTTTGCAAACTGCTGCTCCTCCGAGTTGTTCTGGAATGGGTCTTATTTTTTTATGTTGTGCTTTAGTTATGTTTTTCTCCTTCTCTACTCCCCTTTCAGATTCTTTGTACAATGTAAAGGGTGTTTAAAGACTTACATTTTTGTGAAAAGAATTAAACTTCAGTGCATAACCTGACTTAAGAAAAGCTTGCCTGTAGTGCAAATATCACAGACTCTGTGCTACTTCTCATAAGCAATATAAAATAGTCTCCTTGGCTGCAATAATTGAAGCTTTTACGCTCTCGTGCCCCTAAATGTCACATAAATGTATAAGAAATGTATCTGTGCTTTACAAATGTAGTCAAAAATAACTGCTCCCTGCTAGTTACTTAATGTACTTCCTTTTATTCTTGCTAGAGTCCTATAGATCTGGACAAGAGGTTATCCTTCCTGTCAGTAGCAGACAAATTTGTTTATTTTAGGAGAACAAGTGAAACTGTTTCACCATATCTGAACTCTTGGCCCTCTGAAAACATCAGAGCACATTTGCCAAGAGATAGAGTTGTCAAAGCCTTTCTTTTGCCTTCAATTTTCTTTCCAGAAACTTATGTTAAAGATAAACAAAGCAGGACAATAGTTGACATGGTAAGGACAGATTTTAATCAGTCATACGCCACTGCATTAGGGAAAAGAGTCCAGGGTGAGCTGAGCTCAACTGTGACTTGTGCAGAAATGACTGTGTGTTACACAAGAAGAACAAGTGAGTGGGGAGTGGGTGTGCAGGGGCTTAGTATTCAGAGAAATGGAAAATTACAGAAAGTAGAAATGAGGGTTCGGTCTGTGTGAAACCTATCTGGGTTTTTTAATTGGTGCTTATTGAAGTTGGATTCCCACCCTCCCACAGAGACTGAGAGATGAGGATCCTGTCTTCAGGTGTCGGCTGAAACAAACAGTAAACTCTTTGGGCAGCCTTGAGTTTTCTCAGGACAGCACTTTTAGGGGGCTTATGGTGAGCCTAGGAAGGTGGCCTTGAACTGCTAGAAACTATATTAGTGTTTACTGAAGTCTTTATAGGACAAGAGTGAGGCCTTGTCAAAAGAGGGCCCAGAGGAGCCTGGCTAGAGTTCAGTCAAGGAGAGAACACTCATCATCTATTGTCTTACATACCTCTGGCTCATTGGAACTGTGGAGGCACCAACAACTTTCAGAGTTTCGTGGATTTTCAACTCCTCTGTATACATCAGACTGTATATTGTTGTGAAATTAAAGCATTAAGTTATCTTGCAGTTCTAAACTTCTGTGAATTGGTTACTGCTTGGTGAAGTGCACCAATAACTTCCCTCTGAGAATCAGGAAGTAGCACTCTGCTAAAGTGTGCCATGTCATACCCAGAGACCTCATAGCTTGTTCAAGGTTAAACAGCGAGTTTGCAGCAAAACTTATGGTTTGTAGAGTAATTCCACAAATATCAGTGTATTTGATTTATACAACCTTCTTAGGAAGAAGACAGGGAACTGAGCTATGTTTTGTAGATAAGAACAATAAGCTTAGAGAAAGAAAGTGCTTGTGGAAGGTGACCCAGACAGTAAAGCTGACGAATCAGGCTGGGAAGGAGGTTTTGGGGCTTGTAGACTACCGCTGTTTCTGAGCGGCACTTCACCTAATCAGGTTTGTCATGCACTTAGCACCACCAACACTAGACATATTTCATAATATTTAAAAGTCTTATTACTGAATCTCTAGAAACTATGAAGAAACAAAGGTAAATTGAAATGATGAGAATAAGATGTTGCAGGAAGGTAATATATCACAAAGTGGGTATTTTTTTAAAAGGCCCAACTCCAAATGTTTTCCTCCTTCTTCAGATACAGGACCTCGTGCTTTTGTTTAGCCATCGGCATAGTCCACTGTATTTTTTTCTTTCTGATTTTCCTTAATCCATGTTGTCTTCCCAAGTACCTTGTGATCTTCTAGAAGATAAGAGTGGTATCTCTTATTCATATGTATGTAGAAAAAAAGATTTCAAAAACTCAATATTGCCTGTTTTTCTGTGAGTTGGTTTATATATTTTCAGTAATAAAAGTGCAATATTTTATAATATGAACAGTCATTTAAGGTCAACAATAAAAACAATAAGCACAATTTTAATATTTTATTACTTTTTTCTTTATTTTAGAAAGAAATATAAAACTATATTGGGTGGATTACTTGATTTTTCTGTTTGTTTCCAGTGAGTTTTGCTCAGGTTTCAATTCTTAAATTTATTTAAGAGATTACACATAACACCTCCTCCAAATCAGGTTGATATGAATGTTGCATAATAACAGAATAAAAGTTACCCTATGATGATATGACCCAGCAATTTTGTTACAAATATATACCCAAGAAAAATAAAAACATATGCCCATACAAAAACGTGGAAAAATGTGAATAGCAACAGAATTTGTAATAGCCAAAAAACAGAACAAACAAATGTCCATCCACAGATACAGGGATAAACAAACAGTGGTATTTCCATACAGTGGAATATTATACAGCTGTGAGAAGGGAAAGGTACTGATACATGCTACAACATAGAAATGAACTCTGACAACATTATGCTAAGTGAAAGAAGCAAGTCACAAAGTCCCACATATTATATGATTCCACTTATATGAAGTGTGAAGAATAGGCAAATCTATAGAGACAGAATGTAGATTAGTGGTTGTGAGGAGCTTAAGAGATAATAGGCAGTCATATCTACTGGGCACAAGCATTTCTTTTGGGGTGATAAAAATGTTCTGGAATTAGATTGTGGCAATCATTGTACAACTTATGACTGTATTAAAAACCACTGAGTTGTACACTTAAAAGGTGAAGCTGATGATATAAAAATTGTCTCACTATAACTGTTATAAAAATATAATGGCATTTTATATTTGTTCAAAGTAAAGGGCAAGGAAGATATTTATTCTTATCACTTAAAATAAAAATGAAATTTGTAACTGTCAGTGCTTTTTTTGCCAAACAATTACAGTGGTCTTATGTGAAAAACAGATGCTTTAGAAAAATCTTCACGGAAACTGGCAACAATGATCACTTTTAATTAAATTCTTGAACTGAAAACATTCTACTTTATTTAATTTAAAAGATAAATTTAAATTTAAGAATAGAAGGCAATGCATTTTAAATGTTGATGTAATTATGGAATTTTTTGTCTTACTTTAATTAAAAAGCAAGATTACAGTGCGAAATTTACTTTTTCCCTGAAGAACCTTTTAGAAGGAAACTCTATTTAGAAGATAGACATTTTTTCTGTTGTAATTACTTGGTATTTACTTTTTGTTCTCTCAAGAGGATCTGCTCTCGTATATATTAAAATAATGTGTTAATGCCTCTAGGGGGAATAAAAATGATTTGGTCATTTTCTTTCTGGAAAACACCCAAATGAAAACTGTTTGCTCACTTGGCATGATCAGTTAGAATTAAGTAACTTCCAGGTGTCTCTCTCCTGTTTTCTGGAGTCTGTTACTGGCCCAAAACAATCTGGGGGAAGTGAATTTCATTGTAGCTGACCTAGG
This sequence comes from Homo sapiens, assembly GCF_000001405.40. Lineage (NCBI taxonomy): Eukaryota > Metazoa > Chordata > Mammalia > Primates > Hominidae > Homo > Homo sapiens. The sequence continues at coordinate 50,003,935 of NC_000008.11, forward strand.
TTTATTATTCTAGTTAAAAGAATTTGCCAATGATCCAAAGTTTTGTTAGGGCTTTTACTCCTGTTTTGATCGTCAGGACTTGCAAAGGGTGCAGAGTATGGCAGTATGAGTAGCATGTATATACGGGGATCAGGAAAAGCTAATACCCTGAGGCCATCATCTAGTGTCCTTGTGCCTGAGTTATATGAACCTACCATTAATGATTTTTGTAAGGAGTCAGTATGAAAACGTACACAAACCTTTAGCATAACTACCTCACATAGTTGTAATAATGAAAATAAAACTACTTAAATTCCATCCTCTCTTCCGGCCCAGGGATGTTTAACATACATTATTCCAACTCACTTCACATAAATTGAGGATCACTGAGTTTTAAAATATGTTTATTCCTAGTTAATTTGGAAAACATGATCACTTTAAGCTTTTATAACAAAAGCTGGTGGTTTCCCAAATCTAAGTAGGAGAGAGAGGACAATGGTAAGTCCTAGTTGCTGGGAATTAAATATTTTCCAGAATCTAGAGGATCCTCACTTACTGCAACTCTGCACCCAGCGTTGTGCTTGCTCACTCCAAACCTCATTCTCCTCTTAGTAACTCCCCAACACGTCCTTTGCCATTTTACTTTTGGTAAGGCTGACTCCATCTTCTCATCTTTTTCTCCATAGAAAAAGAAAAATTGCTTCAGTAGCACTCCACCCACTGACAATATTTGCTATTGTAGTGATTGGCACGTGAACCAATGTGGTCCAACAATTTCTATGCGGAGATTTCTGGAGCCTTTAGAGAAAGAAGTAAACTTCCTTTGTCTCCTGAAATAACTTCCAGAAGAAATCTTCTACCCTTTGAGAGAGAAGAAGCACCAGGTAGCCCTATGGCTACTTAGAACTAAAAGGGCAACCAGCATTAGAATGAACCCGACACACAAACCAAACCAAAAGCACACAAACCAAAGCAGAGAAAATGAACAAAGTTGGTGTTTGTAAGATTATTGCACTGCTGAATTAAACTGCGCATGAAACCTCCCTGACTGTTGATTTCCATTAGTTAAACCAATAAATGGCCTTTTCCGCGAGCCAGATACATTTTATTTTTGTTGTTTCTATAAATATAATAAAATACCAGAAAAAGTCATGTATGTTTTTGTATTATTTCTGTTACTAATATTTATAAAAAGATACAGACTAATAAAGATCTAAAATCTATTTCTTGATACTGTAAATGATAATTTACATAAATTTACATAAAAGCATACCTAAAGAAGAAAAATATACATTCTAAACTAGAAAACAAGGAAAACAGAGCATAACAGACATATCATCAAGAGTGTTATACAAATAAAAACTATTATTTTATTTTTCAAAATGCAGGAATTTTTTAAGGTAATAAATATAAATTATCTTTACAGAAAGATTATTTACCTTTAATTGAACATATACATCTTAAATAAACCCAAAAATTTCCTTTTATGTTTCTCATATTGTAAAAAGGAACAGTGGAGATTATTTCAATACAATGACATAGTCTACAGGTATTACTGCAAAAAAAAAATAATTGATCATTTAGTTGCGTATTTCAATATGGTATATATTTGTTAAATAGAATTTAAATAGAATTTTATTGAAAATAAACTAAAAATATGCAATAAGGGTTACTATATACATACAAATACATAATTACATTTACCTTATTGCATTATTTTGAAGTACAATGAAAATGTTGATTTACATATACAGATCCTTAGTTCAGGTAGTGTAGGATGAATAGTTGAAATTCAGATATAAAACCCTCCATGTGATAAAATTAGATTTGCTGATGTGAATATTGCCTATTTTGTGACTGTAAAAGGTCCCCTAGGCTATACTATTTTTTTTCAGTATTTTTCTCTCTACTGTTTCCAATGGGTCAGTTCTGTGGACCTGTCATCTAGCTCACCGTCTCTGTCATCTCAGCTCCAAAACTGAGCCCATGTAGCTTGCTGTATTTATTTCTGTTACTTTACTTTTCATTTCCATTACTTGCACTTTTTTTTTTTTTTTTTTTTTTTTTTTTGAGATGGAGTCTCGCTCTGTTGCCAAGCTGGAGTGCAGTGGCCATCTGGGCTCACTGCAACCTCCGACTCCTGGGTTCAAGCGATTCTCCTGCCTCAGCCTCCAAAGTAGCTGGGATTACAGGTGCATGCCACCATGCCCAGCTAATTTTTGTATTTTCAGTAATGACGGGGTTTCATCGTGTTGGCCAGGATGGTCTCAATCTCCTGACCTTGTGATCCACCGGCCTCAGCCTCCCAAAGTGCTGGGATTACAGGCGTGAGCCACCGTGCCCGGCCTAGTAGCACTTTTTGATAACTTCTATTCCTTTGTTAAAATTTTCTATATTTTCATTTGTTTCCAGAGAATTTGAAATTGCTGTTGAAACTTTTTTTTATGATGACTGCTTTAAAATTCTTGTCAGATAATTGTAATTTGTGATTTGTTTAATTATTGGTGTTCTGTGATTGTCTTTTATCTTTCAAGTTGTGATCTTCCTAGTTCTCAGTATAACACATACTTTTTAATTGTGTTCTGCCTTTTGGCTTATTATGTTTCAAGGCTGGGTACTATTTAAGATTTTTTTTAAAAGAGGGCATTTACCTTGTTTGGATTTAGCACATAGGTCCTGGCCTAGTTTTAGAGACTGATTGTCTGGCTCTATTAGCTGTCTCACTTTTGAGCCTGTGAGGTGCTATTTATTCTGAATGGTTTATCTTGTGCCAATGGGGCTTCCTCTGGTCCCTACTGATGCTGCTTTGGGTGAGCAGACGAAACTATGCAGGCCAGGTTGCTGGTGCCACTAATTAGGAAAGGGATCCTTTCTCACAAGGTGACTAAGAACATTTCCAGCCTCGTGCTTGTCAAGCTACGTCTGCCAGTTGAAAAAGTGGAATGATGAGGAGAACCTCTCAGGCTGCTCATGGGCTCAAGGTCACCTTTGCAGGTGTTTCCCACAGTGTGATATCCCTGCCTAGGGTAGGGGAGTCTTAGGCCCTAGGGGACTAAGTGGCTTCCCAGGTTGAGCATTTTGTTTGTAGCAGTTGCCCCTGCTGCTGTCTCTGGTAAATGGAATCACTCAGTGGGAGGAGGAGTCCCAGGACAGGGAAGGAGAGCACCACTTATTGCCACAGGGCTTCTGATCAGTCCCCTCTACTGGTTTGCCTCAACTTGCTTGGTATGGTGGGACTCTATTTCCACACACATGTGGTATGAGACTAGCTGATCTTCCCTCTTTGAGGCTGCGGGTCAGGAAATGTTAGGCTTGGATGTCCTTCCACTGTTGCATGGGATAATATGACATCCTACTTCTGGGCTGCTCCTCCAGTTCTGGCCCCTACCTGGCCTGCTTTCTCTTTGAACATTTCAGAACTCTCCTTGGGTCGTCTTTCATTTTTCTCCAACATGTCTATAGTTGAGCTTGTGGGGAGGAGGAGGGAGAGATAGTTTTCACCATATTGTCTGGACTGGAAATCTCTTTCATTTTAAAACGTAGGCATTTTTCTTACCCTTCAGTGATATTTCATTAACTGGAGGGGAAAATAAAGATTAGCAAGATTTAGGGATTCAATGTGCTGAGAGTTGATTAGACAAATTTTAAAGGTCAGAAAGGTAAAAACCATATAATGTAGTTGTATGCGTTGGTTTCAGATATGCTACATGGCAGGTCATGAGTGATTCCTGAATGATAAGAGATTCCATAGGATTTCAGAGAAGAGTCACAGTGAGCTAAGAGGGTGGGGAGATTTCTTTGAAGAGAGTTGCAGCTTTCTTGGGAATGAATTTAGAGGAAAGAGAATGTGTTAGTCAATTTTCACACCGCTATAAAGAACTACTTGAGATTGGGTAATTTATTTAAAAAAAAGGTTTAATTGACTCACAATTCCTCATGGCTAGAGAGACCTCAGGAAACTTACAATCATGGTGGGAGGCAAAGGAGAAGTAAGCACCTACTTCACAAGGTGGCAGGAGAGAGAGATAGCAAAGGGGGAACTGCAACACACTTTTAAAACCATCAGATTTTGAACTCACTATCATGAGAGCGGCATGGGGGATACTGCCCCCATGATCCAATCACCCCCTCACCGGGTCCCTCCCTCAACACATGGTAATTACAATTCAAGATGAGATTTGAGTGGGGACACAGAGCCAAATCATATCAGAGAATTTAAAAGAATTTATGGAAAAAAACCCACATGTTTCTATGTAGGAAGCAATACTTAGTTATTAAGAGCTCTAGAGTGACAAATTTTGGACAGGAATATTCACTCTTTCCGGTAGCTGACATCACAAACATTATCAGACCCTCTGTACTGCACTTTTCTTGTATGAAAATGAGCCAGTATTAGTACCTGCCTCAAAGGGCTGTTTCCAGGACTAAATGAGCTAATATGTACACATTTCTTAGTGCAGTGTCTGGATAAGCACCTGATTATTGTTGTTCTATTATTAAACACATCCTGTGGAAATTATTGCTCTTCTTAGAAATTGGGTCTAGTCTTCCTTATTATGTAAAGTTTATTACGGAGATTTTTTTAATCATTAGGAATGTGATATGTGGGCACATGGATGGATAGATGGATGGATGGATCAATGGACAAGTGGATGAATGAATGAACGGATGATAGATGTATGATGGATAGACAAATGGATGGATAGGAAACTGGGTGGATAAGAAACAAAGAAAAATTCCATCAACCTGATAGTGGATAATACCAGATAATGTTATGCTGATTTAATCCTTCCTACAGCTTGTCTCAGTTAATCAAATTATATGTCAGCCACCTGTTTTGTCATATTGCTGATTTATTAGAACAAGTAAATTAGATTCCTCATAAGATTTTTAAATGATTATATTAAGATTTGTATAGATGCATTACTTAAATGCATGCTATATCTAGCTTGTTCATAGTTGCAAAATCAAATCAATATATTAAAGAGGCATCTTGACATTTTTGCCCAACATGTAAGTAGCTATCTTGAGTAATTTTCAAGTAATTTTAGTTTTCATTCTTCAATCCCACAGTTTGCCTCTTATAGGGAATCAATATCCCAGTCAGTGCTTTATTTATTTATTTATGAGAAGTTAATTTATTTTTTATTGAATTTTGGATTCCCATGCTTATTTGTAAGGATAATATCTATAACTATTTCAGACTTTGCTAAAGTACCAGATTGTCATTTCTGGAGTCCTCTGCATCCTTATTCTATATGGCCTGCATGCTATTTGACTGGGGACTGATTTTTATATAGCATGTTGATCTCACTTAGATTGTATAATTTAATTTTAGTTGTCATGCTTTTGTCAACTTTAATTTAAATTTTGGATATTTGTGGAGTTTAATGTTCTTATTGTGCATGATATAGGGATTGTTATATAAGTACTACTCTTACGGGAATTATTTGGGTAGACTGGACTACCTTTTCTCTGGGTCTAAAGGGCATGGAAATGTAATTTGGTCTATGTTTTTCACCTTTCGTGTAAATGTATCCTAAAGGAAGTTTGTCTATCATCTAAGCATTAGGCTAAGCATTTTTGCATGGGGGTTTTGTGGTGCCGTTTAGTTTCATACATTCTAGGGTCTGAGAACAAGTTCTTGTCATAGCCATTGTTTCTATATTTGTCTGTAGCAAATTATCTGAAACCTTTTTCATTGTTGCCAATCTTCCAAAATCAAGAGGTTCTTTTGCGGTATTATAAAGAAAAATGTTGCAAAGTGTCAAGTATTATTTAGTCAAATAATAGTATGTACAAGGCTGCCTGTGGTGGCTCACGCCTATAATCCAAGCACTGTGGAAGGCCGAGGTGGGTGGATCATCTGAGATCAGGAGTTTGAGACCAGCCTGGGAAACATGGCAAAACCCCATCTCTACTAAAAATACAGAAAATTCTCTGGGCACGGTGATGCATGCCTGTAGCCCCAGCTACTCAGGAGGCTGACGCAGAATTCCTTGAAACCAGGAGGTGGAGGTTTTAGTAAGCCGAGATCGTGCCATTGCACTCTAGCTTGGGTGACAGAGTGAGACTCTGTCTAAAAAAACCCAATTATTTATTTCTTGATTCTCCTTTTTGTTTTTCCTTTTTATCAAGTCTCAAGTCTTCTTAATTAACTTTACTTTCTTAATGATTTTCTTGTAATCAGTTTGTTTTAAAAGAAAGCCACTAACATGTATACAATTAAGGATTTTGCTCTTAGTAGTCTCCTCTAATACTAGTTTGGGATTGTGTCCACTCAATATCAACATCTAATAATAATTGTGTTCAATTATACCAGGCAGTATTCAAGGTGTATTACTCAGAGTAACTCACTTAATCCTCACAAACTCCAATGAGACCTTTCCTTGTCTCATTTTACAGATTTGGAAACTGAAGCACAGAGAGCTTCAGGAACTTGCCTATAATTACACAGTTAGGAAGGAGTGCTCTTTGACAATTTAATAATTTTAACAATGAGATGCAATTAATTCTTGTCATAGCCATTTTTCATTCACTAATGTTTAGAATGAATTAATCAAATGTCTGACTTCATAAAACAAAATCTGAATGTATGATAGGATTACTAACACATATGGATGAAAAAAAATCATATACCCTAAAGAATCACCAGTATAGTCATTTTCTAAAGAATGACAAATTCACTAGGTGCACCTGACAAATACCAATGCAGTTATCTTAAATTTTGATAAACTCTCTTAAATGGTAGATTAAAAAAAAATTCTTACTAAAAACATCCCCGTAGGTATACTCAGAATATTTAAGAGGAATTCTGATGTTTCTGAACTGGGTGACTATTTACCTGACATATCCAAGGACACAGGCCTCTCTTTTTTTTTTTTTTTTTTTTTTTGGTGAGGTGGAGGGGGAAGAGGAGGAAGTTAGTTACTGTTGTTTCAGATTCCTTTGTTTACTTCAACAAATAGAGTTGTGTTATTTTCTCTATATTTTACGTCTTCATATCATCACACCATTGCTCATTCATTTTAATGGTAGTGAAATAATTTCCCTAAATTGAAAATATATATACCACTTGACTTACTGTGAATGAATAAAATGAGACTGATTTAAATGATTTATTTCATATATCTGGGTTTTCCATTAAATGCAAGACTACATATATGCTTGTGACTTCACATGGCCCTGCTTTGAAATGACACAAGCTCTGTAATAAATATTGAGGATGACAGAATCCATCTCCTCATCTCATTGAGAAATCTTTTAAAGAACTAGAACATGACAAACATTATTCTGAATTTCAGCTCTGACTCTTACTAGCTTCTAACCTTAAAGAAGTTAGGAAATGTACCTGAAATCTCTATTAGCAAATAAAATTTTAAAATACCCCGTTAAAGATTCTTGAAGGATGAAAATAATGTTTGTAAGAGCTAGACACTTAGTGCATGATACTTATTGTTAGCCCAATGCAGGGAGGTGCCATGAACTCTTCCATATTTTTAAGCACAAATATTTTTAACTTTTATCAAGATGTGTGACAACTCAGAATTTGAGGGAGTTTGATGAAGTTATTTATCATTACATGGTGTTTTTAACCTCTTAAGTATTTCTTTATTACTAGCTAAATATTAAATTGATGGGTTGCAATCCAGTGCTGCCAAATTCTAATAATTTTTATACGTGATTCCAGGTCACTATCCCAAGGTGAAATTAAAAAAAAAAAAAGATCTTTTGAGCCTTCCTGGTTCCTTCTGTTTCCTTTGGGGATTATGGAATTATTTCAATTTTATTCAAAGATTATCACTGTTTTAATGTCAATGGGGAGGAATATATTTTGTTAAACCATCCTTTATTTCTCATAGTGAACACTGGACACGTTGGTGGGAGTTGTTCTGTGCTGAGAGCATAGCAATGAATACAGAGACAGCAGACCTGCCTTCACAGGTTGTATGTTCTGATGCAAGTGGCAACAACTTGAATGTCAATGAACTTTAGTGCTTTCTTTGATGGGCAAAGGGCAGAGCTATAAATGCTATCACCTTTTTTTCCTTTATATTTGGAAACATCCCATGGCCCACAAAACATTCCTCAAGTTTGTCTTTGGGTAGAGTGAATTCAGCTTTTTGCACATTTAGAAGCCACATTAAATATGTCTGTGGCAAAAAGTTTGGTGAAGTTGGCAAGAGATGAGTAATTATTTTCACACACATGTTAATTTCAATTTTAAAAAGTGTTTTATTTCTTTAAATTTAAAAAAAATGAGCACTTACACCACATGAGCACATTGGCTTTTTTTGTGGACGTTGCCTGCATCTTCTTTCCTGTTTTTCTATCTTCATGAAGTCAAGTGCAACTGAGGTGGTTTATTTTACTACTTGCATGTCAATGGAATGTGGATATCGGGGCTGTTGTATGTTCTGGATGGAAATGTGGTCCTGCTGCAATACAATAAATCTCATCATTACCCTATGTGACCACAAAAAGGGTGAACCAGAAAAATGCTAGGAAGTATGGAGTCTTCATAATACTAATCACTTACATTTGTACAAACTTAAAAATTTCAGAGGTTAGATATTGGCTGTAATTTCCAAAGGCTCTGAGGTTAGGAATTCAGGTTTTTAAATTCACTGGAGAGTTAGGCCTTGTTTTAAAATGTAGTTTTATTATTCAGATGTAGTGAGGCTGACAGATCAGGAGATTACTGCCATTGAAAAGACAGTTTGTTACTCACAGTTCCCTAGAAGAGGTGCCTGCTATGCCATGGGGGTCACATGGGGGAGCACTTGGGTGAGTCTGGAGACAGAGACAAAAGGGGAGCTGTGGGCAAGAGTCTTTATTGTGGTTTGTCTGTGAAGGAATGGGTGAGGCAAAGTAAATGGGTTTAGGATGGACTAGATTGAGTAATTTCATTGGGTTTTGAGACAGCAGCTGCAGCTGTCCCTACTTGTCTGGTACCTCATCCTGGGGTAACTAGGGAAAGTAAATGGTGTCCCAGAGCATAAAAGCCCAGTAAGGAATATGGTTGGAATGTGGGCTCTGGATTTGTTGGTTTGCAAATGGAAGGCTGCACACTCACAGCTGAATCCTACTTCTAAGAGTTGGTGAAAACTAGAAAGAGAAGGGAAGTCCCTACTGTGTTAGCAAAGCCCTGGATATGAAAGCATTAGAATAAAAGGACACATTTAACACAGGCCCAGGCACTTTATTCAATAAATATTTGTTAAATGAATCAATAAATAACGGATTTGCAAATCTTTATACTGTAGTCTTGCTAGTGTTTAATCTTCATAGAAACAGTACTATTCTTTGAGTGACAGAGTGATAAAAAGTTTATTAAATGTGTAGAAGACTGCAAAGATTAAGAAGGATATCTTAAAAAATAGCAACTGGCAAAATAGCACCTCGTCATAGACTTTTATTTGCATTTGAATTTCTGAAATTCAATTCTCTGTGAAAGATTTGCTTGACAACTTTCTTTAATTATTGATTCCTCCTTTATTTTGTAAAACTTTCTTTTCATTAAATCTATAACCTCCAGAATGGGGATAGAGAGATAGATAGATAGATAGATAGATAGATAGATAGATAGATAGAGATATATATGTATGTGCACATATATACATATATATATACATATATATGGCTCTCTGTGACAGTAACTATCTGGAAAAGTAGGAAAAAGTACTGTGTTTAAAATTTTTTAAACTAACACATAATAATTTTACATATCTGTGGGATACATAGTGATGTGGTGATGCATATAATTACGGTAATGAGATCAGAATAATTAGCATGTTGTGCTTTTTTAAAATGGCAATTTTATATAATTGTATAAAACTTCACATATATTTAACATTTTTCCTGGGGGAAATAATAAAGGAATATATAAGCATAATCATGGGCTCAGGGATTTTATAAATACCCATGTTAAGGGAGGACTTGGAACCTGAAAAGTTTACATTGGAGAAAACATTGCAGAATGGCAGAGTGAAGATCTTGGTTAACTCAGTTTTCCTCTAACTCAATGTTAATGTGAAACATCAAAAATACAACAAGACAACTAAATAACCCATTTTTGATCTCAGAAAAATAACCAAAGCCACAGAATGTACTGAGGAGAACCTATTCAAAAGAAAGTACTAAACTACAGTATGACAGCAGGCCCGGTGATGTTTTAAGTTGGTGCTATCCCCATCCTTTCCACCACACACAGCAGCTCAGTGGCACAGTAGCCAAAGGCTAAGAGCATTGCAGACAGCAGACAGATGTGACCATTTTTGGAGCTTCACTAAAAATACTATCCCCAGAGCACAGTCAATATTTTGTCCAAATCTGTAGCTCCCTGTGAAATCTCTGAGTGTGTTAGCTATTTGATTTGACCCACAGCTCAACTCAGGCAGGACAAATACAAAATGTGCACCCCACATTATTACAGAAACAATAGAAAACTGCTGATAACATTTTAGTCACCTAGGGCTGTGATTTTAGTTGGGAAAACGGAGCCTGGCTGAGAATTTAAAAGGAAATTCTAAGATCTACACAATGATAAGGACTACCAAAAAGCTCTGAAATACTCTTGGGTATCTAAACTGATGCAAAGCCATGTGCATGACTAAGAAAGATCTTAGAAGAAGCCACCAGCTACTCACTGACCTTACGGTCCTCCCTAAGCAGGAAGTGAAGGCTAGTCTGTCTTGTAATACGCTGCCTGAAGTTGGAAGACATGGACTCACATACAGATCCCCACGGCAAAGGATAGAGGATCTATAGGCAAGCAATGTAGGGAAAACTTCTAAACAATAGTTATACACTAAATTATAATGTTTAAGGTGTGACTCCTAGGAAAGCAGACTTTAAAATAGTAAAAAGAACTTTAAAAAAATGTCAGAAGAGATCTCAGTGGCCACACACAGCAGGAAATACGTAATCTATAGAATTATTCCAGTAAAGCTTCTAAACAAATAAGGAATATAAAAGAAAAAACAGCTACAAGACACGTTAAGGGGAAAGGTATGGAAGAAATTATATTATCTAAATTGTCCAGTTTTCAACAAAAACTCATGAGCATGCAAAGAAGTAGAAAAGTATACCACATGCACAGAAAAAAAAAAAGCCAACAAAAAATGTCCTACAGAAGCCCAGATTTTGAATTTAGTAGGGGAACAATTTAAGTCAGTGAACCTACATGCATACAAAACTGAGGGAAACCATGTTGAAATAATTAAAGCAAAATATAAAAACAATGTCTCACACAACAGAGAATATCAAGAAAGAGATCAAAATAATAATTTTGGAAAGATCACAGAAATTTTGGTGATGTAAAGCAAAATATTTGGAATAAGAAATCCACCAGAGGATTTAAACAACAGATTTGAATAGGAGGAAGAGAGAATCAGGTAACTTGATGATAGGTCAATAGAGATTATGTAGTTTCAGAAAGAGAGTGGAAAAACAATGAAGAAACATGAACAAAGCCTCAGAGAAAAGTGAGACACTATCAAGCATAATAGGTGTATACAGACATTCACAGAAGGAGAAGAGAAAGAGAAACAGACAAATTATTTGAGGAAATAATGGCTAACAATTTTCCAAATTTGTGTAAAAAAATGTTAATGTACACATTCAAGATACTCAACAATCTCCAAGTAGAATAAGCTCAAAGAGATCCAGCCCTAGACACATCAAAAGTGACTTACGCACAAGGGAGCCTTAATATCAGTTTAGTGCAAAAGTAATTGTGGTTTCAGATGGTGAATTTTAAATTACTATAACTAGGCTCAAACACATCTTTATTAATCAAAATAGGAACCATTACAATCAACACATTGTTGCCAATGACAAGTCAGTTTGTTTATTCCTGTAGCATAAAAATCTGTGCTTTGGAATTTGATGAACTCTTGGAAAACATTCTCTGCAAAAAAATGGTTGGGCTGCTTGAAGAAGTTGTAGTCGGTTGGCAAGAGGTCAGGTGAATATGGCAGATGAAGCAAAACTTCATAGCCTAATTCATTCAACTTTTGAAGCATTGGTTGTGCGACATGCAGTTGGGTGTTGTTGTGGAGAAGAATTGGGCCCTTTCTGTTGATGAATGTCAGCTGCAGGCCTTGCAGTTTTCAGTGCATCACATTGATTTGCTGGGCATACTACTCAGATGTAATGGTTTCACAGGGATTCAGAAAGCTGTAGTGGATCAGACCGTCAGCAGACTACCAAACAGTGACCATGATCTTCTTTTCGTGCAAGTTTGGCCTTGGGGAGTGCTTTGAAGCTTCTTCTCAATGCAACCACTGAGCTGGTAGTCACCAGTTTTCATATAAAATCCACTTTTCATCACATGTCACAATCTGATAGAGAAATGGTTTGTTGTTGTTGCATAGAATAAGACAAGATGCCATTTCAAAATGATATTTTTTAAAATTTTTCACTCAGCTCATGAGGCACCCACTTATCAAGCTTTTTCACCTTTCCAATTTGCTTCAAATGCCAAAGGACCATAGAGTGGTCAACGTTGAGTTCCTTGGCAACTTCTTGTATAGTTGTAAGGGGACAACTTAGATGATTGCTCTCATTTAGTCATTGTCAACTTCTGATGGCCAGCCACTATGTTCATCACCTTCAAGGCTCTTGTCTCCTTTGCAAAGCTTCTTGAACCACCACTGCACTGTATGTTCATTAGCAGTTTCTCAGCCAAATGCATTGTTGATGATGCAAGTTGTCTCTCCTGATTTATAACCCATTTTGAACTTGAATAAGAAAATTGCTTGAATTTGCTTTTTGTCTAACATAATTTCTGTAGTCTAAAATAAACATAAAATAAACAGAAAGTAATAAGTCATTAGCAAAATAACATAAAGTGAGAAATGTCCATTAAAATGATGTATAACAAACCACATTTATTTAAGAATGTATTCCAATATCAAACAGCAAATTCCACCAATACAAAAAAAATGCAATGAGTTTGCACCAACTAATAAGACTAACAACTGACTTCACGTCAGAAACCAAGGAAGCTGGAAAGCAGTGAGATGACATAGTTAAAGTTGTGGCAGAAAAGGGCTGTCAACTGAGAACTCCATCTACCTCAACTCATATTCAACAACAAAAAGAAAATTAAACATTCCAGAAAACAAAAACTGAGAGACTAATACAATTAATATTAAAGTGAATCTTTCAAACTGAAATGCAAGGACAGTATATGGTTTCTCAAATACAAACTAAGAAATAAAGAACACCAGGAAATGTTACTACATTGTCCTTAGGTCAATATCTTTCTGTTTGTTACTCATTTCTTGTTCTATCTCTTTTAAATACAATTGTATAAGCAATAATTATAAAATTATTTGATAGCTTAACAAAAAATATAGAAAGAGAAAAAGGGAATTTTAAAACTATGTTAGAAAATAATCTATTTAACAATCACAAAAGACAGGAATGGATGAATAAAGAAATTTTTAAAAATAAGGCACATAGAAAACAAATAGCAAATAACAGATGCAAATCCTACTTCATCTGTAAATAAACTAAATTGAATAATTAAACATCCCAAATTGAAGGTGGATATTGAAAGAATGGATAAAAAATAAATATGATCCAATAATATGCTGTTTACAAGGACACATTTTTCATGGAAAGACACAAATAAGTTGAAAATAAACAAATGGAAAAGATATACAAGGCAAGATTGAATCAAGATGGAGATGGAATAGCAATATCAGGCAACATAGACTTTAAGATAAAATGTTATAAGAGTCAAAAAAAGCATACGTTATAATGATGAGTCAAAAAATGGAAGATATATGATTATAAACATATATGCACCTACAAATAAGGCCTCAAATTTAATGAAGCAAAAACTGACAGAATTAAAGACAGAGAGAAAGACAGAGAGAACTAAACAATTTATTTGACGATTCAATACCCACTTTCAATAATGGATAAAACATCTACGCAGAAGATAAAAAAGAAAACAGAAGACTTGAACAACACTATGAAAAAAGGTCTAGCAGATATCTAAATAACTCAGCACTTAATCACAGCAGAATGTAGCATTTTCTCAAGTGCACATGGAACAATAAAAAATACAAAAATTTGAAAGAAATTAAATGATTTCTAAATAAATAGACAGAAAATCCATGTCCATCAATCATAAGACTTAACATTACTAAGCTGGCAATATACCTTGCATTAATCTACAGATCCTACATAATCCCTGTAAAAATCCTAGCAAGTGTTTTGCATAAATTTTTATGATGCTTATAAAATTTGTATGGAAAGATAATGATTCAGAATAGTAAAAACAAGCTTGAGGAAGAATATTTATGGAGGTCTCACCTTTCCCAATGTCAAAACCTATTTTAAGCTTCAGTAATAAAGACACTGAGGTATTGGCATATGGATAGAAGTATAGATCACTTCAGAAGTAAGACTTTACATTTACACTCAACTAATTTATGACAACAGTGCCAAGATCATTCAATGGAGAGGGAAAATTCTTGTTAACAAATGTTCCTGGGACAACTGGATATGCAAAGAATGAGTTTTGACCTCTACCTCACACCTTACTCAAAAATCCACACAAAATGGACTGTAGACATGAATGTAAGATCTAAAGTAATAAAACTAGAAAAAGACATAAGAGTAAACGTTCTTGACTATGTGTTAGGCAATGTTTTTGCTGTTGTTGTTTCGCTTTTTACTTATGATATCAAAAGCAAAAAAGATAGATAAAATGGACATTATCAAATTAAAAACTTGTGTATCAAAGAGCACCAAGAAAGTGAGAAAACAATGCATAGAACATAAGAATATGTTAATACATCATATATATGGATCTAGATAAATTAGATAAATGCAAATTAAAGCCACAGTTTTGCTTCACACTCACTAAGATGGTTATAAACAAAGAAACAAAAAATAACAAGTGTTGGCCAAGATGTGGAGACATTGGATCCTTTGTACATTGCTGCTGAAAACTGGTGCAAGCCACTGTGAAAACAATTTGGCAGTTCCTCAAAAAATTAAACATAGAATTGTTATATGATCCAGCAAATCTACTCCTAGGTATATACCCAAGGGAAATAAAATAATATCCTAGCAAAAATAGAGATAGAAAGTAGACTAGAAGTTGACAAAGCTGGGTCTGGGGAAGGGTCAAGGAAAAGAAGAGAAGATGAATGATTGCTAATACGTGTGGGAATTATTTTGTAATTGATGAGAAAGGTCCCAAAATTCTATTACAATAAAGGCTGAACAACACTGTAAATATACTAAGATGGAAGTGAATATTTTAAATGGATGGATTTTATAGTATGTGAAATGTGTCTCAGTAAAGCTGCAGAAAAATTTTCATTGTCTTTCTGATAGATTTGAAGAAAATGATGTAAGTTCTTTTACTTGGTAAGACGTTCAGTCTTGAGAGTGGTTTTCAGGGACAGACTTATAAACAGAAAATACAAACGAGTGTGCATAGGTTCCTGCAATGTATTAAATTACCTTAAGATGGATAAAGAACAGTGTATTAGTTGAGTGAAATCCAAAGAAGCTCTTTTTACACTTCCCCCTTGTTCTTAATAAAGTCTCTTAGTTTATCTTGCTTTCTGTATCTATCTATGAAAAATTTATCTGAACTATTAATGCATCTGTTCATCATACACTCATGTGCCCATTCATTCATGTATCCATGCATGGGTTCTTTCAATTCACTTTAAGAACCTCTTAATTCAAAGAAAGAGACCTGATAAAACTGATTCATACATTCTGTGAAAACATAAACAAAATCAAATAACCCCCCAAAGACACAAGGAAATGTTAAGAGTAGAGAGTAATATGATAATGAGGAAATGACTGTAGGCATATGAGATTGAAATACAATTGTACAAACTAGTGTTTGCATAGCTGTTGTCTATGCTGAGGTCCTGCTGGGTGTGAAACATCATAAGCAGTGCTATCATGCATGTCAAGAGACATAAGAGTGTCCTCTAAACAGAGGTGTTATTTTATCCCACTTGTCAAACTGAGAGGCTGTGAAAATATTGTAATCTTTCCAAAGTTATTAAGACACTAAAACAGATGGCAATTTGACAGCAGAATCCATGACCACTTCTATTGTTAACCTTTAGAAAAAAAATCAGGAACTAATTGAGCCTTTTGTGCCACTATACTCTATCTTCAGCATGGGATTCCCCATTTACATTGTGTATTAAACAGCACCTGGAATGGTTATTTCTTACTGAGCATTGACAAATCTGGAATCCTAAAGGAAAATGTTTTGCTTTGATGTAAAGCTCTTCCCCTCCTCCTCTTTTATCTTGTATTACTTGTTTTTTCATTTAATTAGAGAAGATAACGCTTCCCTCAGTACAGAGTGAATAATAAGCCTTTACTTTCTTGGGATTGGTTTTGACATATTTACACAAGGTCTTAGATGGGAGACACAGACAAGGCTTCCTACACAGCTGCCAGGCTGCTATTCATCTCTCTTTAAAATCATTGGTTTTAATGCAAGCACAGCCAAGCCAAGTTTATTAATTACCTTTGTGAATAGTAAACTTTATATGTACAATGCAATCATTTAGGAGATAATAAAGTTTCAATTGCATTCTCTTTGAAATATATTTTATCTGTAAAATATTTTCTTCTTATAATAATGATTGTCTAATTCATTTAGGCACATCATTAATCTGCATGGATTTTATTGTTGTTTGATTGGTTTTGATACACACACATCTTTTTACAAAGGGGCTATTTATTGGAGAGCAGATGGTGAAAATGCATAGACTACACCCCTGCATAGATTGATGATTTGTAATCTGAGAAGCTATGATAGGGAGGAGAGTGAAAATGCTTTTATTCTCAGGTTATAAATGGACGATCCAATGCACCTTGGATTTTTTACTTTATGTAGGACAAAAAGGCATTATTTACTTATGTAGTTGATATGCCCATGGATTCTAAGAAATCTGATGGGAAAATGAAAAACTCCATTATAAATGGATTCTTCATCCTAATCTAACATTTTAGATATGGGCAATCTAGAGTTTCTCAAATTGCAATCTACAGGCCTGCTACCTCAGAATCCTTTTAGCCATTGATATGACTAGGGGCTACTCTTAATCTACTGTGATGAATATCTTTGGTTGGGCAGAGGAGGTGGCATTTGAACCACAGTTCCAGGTATTGCTTTTGCCCACAAAAGCCTGAGTACTCCTAAGGTTTTTCTGTGGGTGTTCACCAGAGCTAATCCCACTCAATAAAACTGGCTCTGGCAAATTTCCATGATTCCAGAGTTGATTTTCAAATGAAAGAGCTATAAGTTATATCTATAATCTTCCAACATGACTTCCTCAATTGTATCTACATTGTCATTGTTTCTCACCACCTTTATTTGAATCCTGTCAATTTTACTCTTGTTTGTTTTGCTGTCTGTTGTCACAGCTGGTACAGATTCTAGTTTATCCTTTCCAGATTTGAAACTTCTCTTACTTTCTCCCACTAATACCATATATATGGTCAATGGCTCATTTCCTCAAATCCTTGTTAGATTATAATATTTAATTTGATGAATTCATTTCTCCCATGAGTTAATTAAGCTAATGAAATTTTCTGTATGTATTAACTAACATGAGAACTCTGGGAACTCTAGTGGGTCTGGAGGGTCAATCCTGTATCATGGTGCTGATCAGTTATGTGGTTTCATGATCACAAATAACCCTTATCAAGCATCTTCTGCTGGACACTGTATGTGGGGCATGGTGCCCCAAGCCCAAAATCCCAGCATGTTGGGAGCCCAAAGTGGGAGGATCACTTGATCCCCAAGAGTTTGAGACCAGCCTGGGCAACACAGGGAATCCCCATCTCTACAGAAAATATCTTATAAAAATTAGCCAGGCATGGTGGCTTGTGCTTGTAGCCCCAGCTAATTGCAATACTGAGGCAGGAGGCTTGCTTGAGCCTGGGAGATTGAGGCTGCTGTGAGCCAGGATCACACCACTGCACTCCAGCCTGGGTGACACAGTGAGACCCTCTCAAAAAAAAAATAAAAATAAAAATAAAAATAAAAAGAAGAAGAAGAAGAAAAAGAAGGAAAAATGCATAGTTATTTCTTTAAAGACATTTCATTCTAAATAGCAACACAGTAATTCAAAAATTCAGCATACACCTAAGAATACATCATAATGTAAAGAACACATTGGTATAGCAAGTATATGAGACCAAGCTCCATCACTTTCTTGTTGTGTCATTTTTAACAAGACATAGAATGAATGGGATTCAGAAATGGGGGAAATAACATCCCTGTGATGGAGACAATAACAATGTCTCGAGACTGCTCTGTAGATAAATGAGATAATAATGCCTATAAATGCTGTAATAGATATTTGTGCAAAATGCTTTGTGTTATGGGGGTAAAATGATCACTGATGCCTTGAGATGGAGTGGAGAAGGATCCAGCAAGGCTTGAGAAGGCAGCTAGACTGGAGTCCGATGCTGCCAGTGAAGTAATGTCAACACACTAGTAGGACAGATGATGGAAAGCAAGTGCTATCTAATCCTGGGATTCCAGGGAAAGTAGAAGAGGCAGATTATTAAACCAATGAGAGCTTCAGATCCTCCCTAGCACTGATAAATTTCCTTGAAGGAGACCTGAACCTTGGTCAATGTCTTAAATTTGTAATAAATTAAATTGGATGAAAGTGGATTTAATTAAGTGGAATACAGTGGTAGCCTAGCAGTTTGTTTGTTTTGTTCTTTCGTTCATCTGCCTGCTCAGGACTGCTTACTGTCTGTGTTTTCAGGAGGCACTGAGCTGCCAGAGCATACATGGATTAGGAAATAGTGTCCATGTTGCCTCTGTTCCCACTGGGCTCAAACCCAAAATGCACAGTTCTTGGTTAAGTGAAGGGTTGAGGGTGTGGACCTTGACTTTTTATTTAATCTCATACAGTACACATGTTGGTTTGGGGCAAAGAAGTTTCTGGTTCTCCATGTTAGGAGAGTGTTTCAAAATTATCCTAATAGGAGTTAAATAGACAATTAGAGTTATTTCAGTGGCAAACAAACAAAAACAAAAACAAAAAATGTACAAACAACTAAGTTAGTTAATGTTTTCTGTGAATATACGATAGGAAAACTATGTCAACACCAGTCTGAGAAATCCGGTCCCCAAGGGGAGATCAACAAGGTTGGCAGTGGATGGATGGTGAAGTGGAAGTCCTTTCAGGCTCTGGAAGAACAGAGTTTGTTTGATATCCATCGACAGGGAGCCTGTGGAGAGGGACAGATGGAAGAGACGGGAAGGAAGCAGTGCATGTTTTGAGTTAAAGCGGTGATATTAACAATCAGAATTGGAGTAAGCTAGTATTCCATTACCTCATCATTTTCTCCAGAAGAGCACATTGGTTACATGGCCCAAGTTTGGGGAGACTCATAGCTATGGATTTGAATAAAGAGGCATGCAGAGAAGAGATATTTTAATCCTCATCAAGAAGGGCAGATTTATAAATTTAAAAGAAGTCAACTGGCACTTAAAATGGCATTATTTTATTGATAACTTTCCAATCACAGTAGAACTTATTCTCCTTAAGGCGATCAGTATGAGGTTCAGAGGGTAAAAGCTAAAGCCTGTTGTCCTTAAAAAGTTTATTCATGTATGCAAATATGAGTTTCTGAAAATTTCATGCCATTCCTGAAATTTTAGTAGGCTGCTAAGGATGATTTTCTTAGCTTTTTGACAGTAAAACACTTGGGAACCTCTTTCCTGGTCTTTTACAACAACCACCACATCTTTCAAAGACTCCTGCTGCCCCAGTATGAAGCAAATGCAGTTTCCCTTTTTTCCAATATATTTAGTAAGTCAATCTTCACTAAAAGAAAGGAATGAATGGCAATTATAATAACAAAAATGTCTCAGGTTTCATGAAATGTAAATAATGATTGACATGAAACAGGAGCCTCCATCAAGGGTCTTTGTGCCTGAGGCCTTCTGACCATCAACCATGAGCATTGTTGTGAGTCCATAGGGTTTTGGCCTCATAACCATGGGATTTCAGGCTCTGGGCCCAGAATCACATGGAGAGTTCACTAAAATAAACCATTGCTAGGCTTTACTGTCAGAGTTTCTGATTCAGTAGCTCCAGGATGGGAACCAAATTTGATTTTCTAGTAAGTTCCCAGGTGATGGCAATGCAGTTGGTTGAGGGATCATACACAGAGAACAGGTGGGATAAAAAATGAGAATGCCCTTCTTTTTGCCAATGTCTACTCTATATCCCAACTATTAAGAGAAACCTTATCATGGAATCAGTTTGGAATTTAAGTACATTCTCTCACCATACACATTGACCTGTCCATGACTTAACTCTCCAGGTGATTCTGATGCACAATCAAGTTTGAGAACCAGAGTTTTAGGCAAACAGAATCCAGAACTACAAAAAGGAATAATTATATAACTTCAGAGCAAGACGGCATTAGTCACTTACTAAAGGAAACCTGCAAAATCATGCAGACTGGATTTCTTTTAGGAAACTTATTTTTAAACAAATGAAAATAACTTATTTCATGTCAGTTGTGTTTCATTACTCTCAATACATTTTCTGTCCAAAAGCCAGTCAAGCAGTTCCCTTTATCAAAGGGAAACACGTTCCAGGACTTCCAGTGGGTGCCTGAAACCTTGGACACTGCCAAATGCTCTACATGCCATATTTTTCCCTTCTACATGTATATCTGTGATAAAGTTTAATTCATAAATTAGGCACAGTCAGAGATTAACAATAACAAAATGAAATGATTAAAACAGTATACTATAATAAAAGTTAGTGAACGTTGTCTCTCTCTCGAGATATTTTATTGTACCGTACTCACCCTCCTCCTACTTGCGATGATGGAAGAGTATGAAAAAGATGGCTACTAAGGGATTAGTGGGTGGGCAAGTAGTGTAGACAGCACAGATATGCTGGACAAATGAATGATTCATGTCCCGTGGCAAGACGGACTGGATGGCATGAGATCTCATCACGTTACTCAGTATGCATGCAATTTAAAATTCTACAAGTCGTTTATTTCTGAAATTTCCTATTTAATATTATTTTACCTCAGGTAACTAAAACCTTAGCAAGTGAAACTGTGGATAAGGGCAGGCAAGGGGCTGAAGGCTACCAGTTGTATTTACTGAAATGTAGTCTTTTACACCTTATTCTTGCTAATATTTCTTCACAGCAAACACCCTGAAAGATATACAAAACCAAGAAAATACTTCTAAAATAAACATTTTTAAATATTATAAAAACGTTAACTCTGGAACTTCTCTGGCACAAAATACCATATAATTTCACATTTGAAAAGTATATATTCATTAATTTTAGATATCTATAATAACCCACTTTCTCATTAATCTTAATCTTAATTCATCCACCATTCTAATTATTAGGTGTATTTTCCTCTACCAATTTTAACATGCATTCAATTGTGTCTGCCAAATTATTAATTAACTTAGAATGTTAAATTCACCCTTCCAAAAATTAATGGAAGCTAAGAAGTCTAGTACTATGAGATGATGTGATAGCCACCAGGCAAAAAGTATATTTTCTTTTTATAATTATACTCAGAGACATATAATAAATCAAAGAGAAGAGCTAATAAATGAGAACATTTGAAGAAGATAGATAGGGAAAGAAATGGCCATGGTAACTCCTGTAGTTGGAAAACCTATGTCGGTATTTTTAAGCCTTTCGATGGCAATTCAAGATTTCAAATGTTGAGGAAAATCTCATATTTTTATAAACATTTCTGTCTCAGAAAAAAGTGTGGATATCTCAGTAAGGTAAAAACAGTAGAACCACTCTGAAACTATTATTTTACTTTGTTATTGCTTTAGAAAATAACTTTCCTAATTGATACATTGTAACTCTTTTCTTCTCTCATGGTTATGTGTTGGTATGCAGAATGCATCCTACTGATTGTAGTGAAGAAAATACTTCTGTTTCTCACATTGATAAAATGCTAGACTATGGTTACATAAATGAGCTTGCATGCAGCCAGCAATCCTCCCTGGAGCTCTGTATTTAGGTCTGTGGCCCAGATTTTCTTAAACTTTTAGGCTGCTATATATTTAGAGTAGAATACAAATGAGTTTCAGAGGAACATAAATTATCTAAAATTGTTCCATACTGCAAAACGTTCAAATGTTTGTCTATAAAGATTTTCTTTGATCACTTGTATGCCATTTTCAATCAACACGCATTCTGTTTATGTATAAAAGCTATATTGTTACCAAGCTCAGTTTCTAGATTGAGTCCATGTATACCTTGCCAATAATGATTTTACTGTATTTGTATGGTTTTTAAAAATGTCTTTAGAAATGTGCAGAGGGTAGTGGTTGACTATTTAGTTCAGGGTTCTTGTTCTGAAAAATCTTTGCTTTTTGAATTCTATGTTGTTTTGAACTAGTTAAGTGAATGTGCACAAGAGCCTAATGTATTTTTCCTGTTCTAATTGTAATACATGTCCAGCGAGTTGGCTCATTTGGCTAAAGGGAGTTGATAATGAGATAAGGGTTGAAGGTTCAAACTCCCTGTTGACCAATTAAATTCATAAGAGTTTTCCATACTCCTGTCCCTAAGACTACCACATCACAAATACAAAATGTTGCACGAGAGACATTTATGAGTTTAAGGATGGTTCAACAGAAACCCAAAACCAACCATACATTTAAAAATAGACCATATTTAGAACTCTCAAACAGAAGGGTATTAATATCTTCATTCAAAAGTTATATTTATGGCATTTGTGTGTACGTGTGTGTGTGTGTGTGTATCCTAAAAATTATCTTGCCCCCTTGAAAGGAACAAATTTTAAATAAAAACATCAGGAAGAGATGGGTTGTAGATTTTTAAATTTATAGATTTTGCATTGTTTAAAACCTATATTTTTTCACTATTAAGAAAATGTGTTTTAAGTGTTGATGGTAAAAGAACAATTAAACATGTAGATAAGTCAAGGTCAAATGCACAAGCCCCAAATGTGCTTGCTTGACAGTGCTGCTTGTTCCTGCCTCTGGTTTCCATTCCCTCTGGGCAAAGCCCATGTCACTCATTTGCAGGATTGCTATGTCCTTCCTTCTAGCTGGCCACCCACTTCTAGCCTCCTTTCTTTTGAGTACATCCTACACACCATTAGGGATTGACCATTCGACACATTATTTCTAACCATGTTATTTCTGTGTTTAAAACAAGCAAAAGTGGGGGTGAAAGCGGGTGCTTTGATGGTCAAAGGGGGAATTAAGTTCATTTTTAGAGCAAAATGTAGCATTACCTCTCAAGGCTGCTTGCTCTCTATGCCTCACTGTTTGCCCAAGGTTTTGTTATATTTCTCTGGCCTTGGCTTCTCTGATCTCTCATCAGCTGGTAACCAGGTGTTGTTGACACCAGCCTTATCCAGACACGTCCTATGCCATTTTGGTGTCCATCTGTACTGCGTTGAACAATGTCTTCCAAAAATCTCTGTCTACCCAGAACATCAGAATGTAAGGATATTTGGGTAAAGGGTCTTTGTAGACATAGTTAAGATGAGATTATATGGATTAGGGTGGCTCCTATGGACCTGTGGAGACAGACATACAGAGGAAGGGTGCCATATGACGACAGAGGCAGAAACAGGAGTGATGCTGCTGCCAGCCAGGGGCTGCTGACCACAGGAAGCTAGAAAAGGCAAGGGGGCATTCTTCGTTAGGAGAGCATAGGCCTGCTGATGCCTTGATTCTAGACTTTTAGCCTTCCTTACTGTGGAAGAATAACTTTCTGTCATTTTAATCTACTCAGTTTGTGGAACTTTGTACCAACACCCAAGGACACTAATGCTTCATCCAACACAATTCATTGTAAATAGCACCTGTTCAGACTATATAAGAAGTACATTGATTTTTGTTCACCTTCTCTACTCTCTCAATTCATCCCATCCCTTAAATGATTAATCATTTTTAATCTTTTCATTTTGGACTAACTCACAGAAAGCTGCAGAAATAGTACAGAATATCCAGCATACCCTTCACCCAATTTTTCCCAGTGGTTACATTTTAGAGTACAAAAAGTAGGAAACTGACATTGTTACATTGTGTGTGTGTAGTTCTATGTCACATTACCACATGTTCTTGAAACCACCACTGGCATCAATATATGGGACTATTCCATTACTAACAAAGAGTGTATATACACAGTCACACCCACCCACATACCCTAGCAACCACTAATGTGTTCTCCATCTCTATAATTCTGTCATTCCAAGAATGTTGTATGAATGGAATCATACAGAATGTGACTTTTGAGGTTGACTTTCCATATTCAGCTTAATGACCTTGAGATGGTAAAAACTATTGTGCATATCAATATTCAGTTTGTTTTTATTTTTGAGTAATATTTCATGGTATGGATGGTTAAACAGTCTGTTTAACCACTGTTTTTTTCCCAAATATATTAGTTTACAGGTTTTGGTTATTGAAAATAAAGCTATTATGAATAATTGTGTATAGATATTTGTGTGGACATGTTTCCATTTCCATGAAATAAATGGCCAGCTGTGCCATTGCTAGGTGATATGGCCGTTGCAGGTGTATCTTTAAAAAAAAACTGCCAATGTATTTTCAGACTGAATGCACCGTTTTACTCCTCTACCAACAACGTTTAAGAGATACAGTTTTGGGAGGGGGGAGGGATAGCATTGGGAGATATACCTAATGCTAGATGACGAGTTAGTGGGTGCAGCGCACCAGCATGGCACATGTATACATATGTAATTAACCTGCATATTGTGCACATGTACCCTAAAACTTAAAGTATAAAAAAAAAGAGATATAGTTTTTCTAACTTATTGCCAGAATTTAACATTTTCAATATATTTTTAATTGTTTAGCTCTTCCAATACATTGCGTCATAAGATTCCATTATTGTCTTAATTTGTATTTCCCTAATGGCTAGAGATGTCAAGCAACATTTTTGTGTGCTTATTTTCCATCTGTATATTCTCTTCATAAAATGTCAGATCATGTCTTTTGTCCATTTTCAAATTGGATATTTTGGTTTTTAATGTTGAGTTTTAATAATTCTTTATGTGTTGTAGGTACAAACACTGTGGCAGATATAAGATTTGAATTTTTTTCCAAATCTTTTGTTTGTATTTTCATCTTATTAACAAGATTTATTGAAAAAAAAAGATGGAGTCCATTTTTCAATGTTTTTCTTGTGTTGTGCATGTGGTTTCATATCTAAGAAGTCTTTTTACATTTGTTTTATATTTTTAATTATTATAGGCTCATAATAGGTGTATAAATTTACAGGGTTACATGTGATGTTTTGATACAGGCATACAATGTGTAATAATCTCAATGGGTAATAATCACAGTGGAGTATCCATCACTTCAAACATTTATCATTTCTTTGTGTTAGAATCATTTCAATTCCATCCTCTTTGTTATTTTAAAATATGCAACTAATTATTATCAACTAAAGTCACTCTGCTGTGCTATTAGATACTAGATCTTACTCATTCTATCTAACTGTATTTTTGCATACATTAACCATCCCCACATTATCCTCCACCTCCCCACTTCTCTTCCTGCCCTCTGGTAACCATCATTCTATTCTTTATGTTCATGAGTTCAACTGTTTTAATTTTCAGCTCCCACATATGAGTGAGAACATGTGAAACTTGTCTTTCTGTGCCTTGCTCATTTCACCTAACATAACATCTAGTTCCCTACATGTTGCAAATGACATGATTCCATTCTTTTATTATGGCTGAATATGACTCCATTGTGTATATGTACCACATTTCCTTTATTCATTAGTCTGTTGATGGAAACTTAGGTTGATTCCAGATCTTGACTATTGTCAATAGTGCTGCAATAAACACAGGAGCGTAGATATCTCTATGATATGCTGATTTTTTTCTTTTGTGTATATACCCAGCAGTGGGATTGCTGGCTCATATGGTAGTTCTATGTTCCATTTTCTGAGGAATCTCCAAACTATTCTCCATAGTGGCTGTACTAATCTACATTCCCATCAACAGTGTATGAGGGTTCCCCATTCTTGACATCCTCACCAGCATTTTTTATTGCTTACCGTTTAGATAAAAGCCATTTTTACTGGTGTGAGATGATATCTCACTGTAGTTTTCTTTTGCATTTCTCTAATAACCAATGATGTTGAACAATTTTTCATATATCTGCTGGCCAGTTGTATGTCTTCTTTTGAGAAATGTCTATTCACATCTTTTGCCCAATTTTTAACTGGATTATTTGATTTTTTTGTCTGATAGAGTTTTTTGAGCTCCGTATATATTCTACTAGTCTCTTGTTAGATGCATAGTTTGCAAATATTTTGTCCCATTCTGTAGGTTGTCTCTTCACTTTATTGTTTCCTTTGTTGGCAGAAGCTTTTTAGCTTTATGTGATCCTATTTGTCCATTTTTGCCTTGGTCGCTGTGCTTTTGAGGTATTACTCTCTAAGAACTCTATACCTAGCTATAGGTCCCAAAGATTTCCTGTGTTTTATTCCAAAATAATGTATAGTTGAAAATTTTACATTTTAATTTATAATCCATTTTGAGTGGTTTTTTAATATATGGTATAAGGTTTAATTATAAATTTATATTTTTGTCTATGGATAGCCAATTGTTCTAACACCATTTATGGAACAGACTATCATTTCTCCACTTATTATTGTTTTTCCTCTCTTGCTAGGCATTAGATGTCAGTACTTATGTGTGTCTATTTCAAGATTCCCCATTTTGTTTCATTGATCTATTGTCAATGCCTCCACCAACACCACAAAATCCTGATTAGTGCATAATATTTTTTTAATTGAATGAAATGTTTTCTTCCACCTTATTCTTCTTTTCAAAATTGCTTTAGCTATTCTTAAATCATTGCCTGTCCATATATATTTTAGAATAATTCTGATTATATCTACTAAAAATGTGGTAGGATTTTGGTAAGAATTATGTTAAACCTGTATACACATTTGTAGAGAATTGACATATTTACTATGTTGAGTATTCTAATCCATGGATGTGGCATTTTTTAATTTAGTTCTTATTTGATTTTGGTGTCAGCAGTCCTTTATGATTTCAACATGAAACTCTTATAGAATTTTATTAGATGTATACTTAAATATTATTTTACTCATTGTAATATTATACTTTAAATTTCTACTTCCATGTGCTTCTTACTAATACATATAAATACAATTGAGTTTTTTTCTTACAGATTTTTTAATTATACAGTTGATTTTTGTGTGTTGATCTTGTTGGATTCTGTGATCATTTTAGGTCCTTAAGCATACAATTCTCAGGGTTATTTCTATAGATCACCATGTCATCTACAAATAAGTTCTATTTTATTTTTTCTTTCCAGATTTGTATGTCTTTTATTTCCATTACTTGCCTTACTGGACTGTCTATAACTTGCAGTATTATGTTGAAAAGTAGTTGTAAGAGTGGATATCCTTGCCTTGGTCTAAAGCTTAAGGGGAAAACATTTAGTCTTTTACCATATGAACTGTATGTTTTCGTAGATTCTCTTTATCACATTGAGAAAGTTTTCTCTCAATTCCTAGTTTACCAAAGTTTTTATTATGAATGGTGCTGAATTTTGGCAAATACTTTTTTCCACATAAATGTATATGATTATTTGATATTCCTTCTTTAGGTTGTGAAGTTGTATATCATATAGATTTGTTTTCAAATGTTAAACTAGACTTGCGACACTAGAATAAACTACCCTTGGATGTAGTGTATAATTCCCTTTATGTATTGGTAAATCCTTTACATTAATATTTTGTTAACAATTTTTTATCTATATTTATGAATAATATTGTCCGAAGTTTGTATGTACTTTCTTCGGTTTTGGTACAAGAGTAATACTGGCTGTATACAATGAATAGGGAAGTGTTGCTGCCTCCATTTTCTAGAAAAGAATGTGTAGAATTTACGTCTTATACAATTCCCCAATAAACCACTAAGCTTATAGATTTCATTTTTGAGAAGGTTTTAATTATAAATTTAATTTCCTTAACAGTTGTGAGGTTAAAGTTATCTTTTTCATTTCAGTTGAATTTTGTTAGTGTACTTTTCCAAGAATGTATCCATTTTGTCTAGTTTATAAAATTTGTGTGTAGAGTTGTTTATAGTAATTCTTTTTATCCTTTTGATGGCTATGGTGACTGTAGTGATGTTCCTTCCTTCATTTCTATTTTTTAGTAAATTGTATCTTCTCAATTCGTTTTTTCTTTTTCAGTCTTGCTACAGATGTGTCCATTCTATTGATATTTCTGGAAGAATCAACTTTTGTTTTATTGCTTTTTTCTTTTCTTTCTATTCTTCAATTCATTATTTTATGCTTATTATTGTTTATTTCTTTTTTCTTTACTTGGGAGTTAATTTTGCTCTTTTATTCTAATTTTTTGAGATGGCAGATTAGATTTTTAGTTTGAAATTTTTCTTTTTCTTTTAATATAAACATTTAGAGTGCTATAGTTTAGAAAACAGCACTCATGGTCTAAAGTTTTCTGTCTTGCTAGGCTGCTTTTTTTGTGGTTCTTTGGCTAGAAAGTGCAAATTTCTCTAGGGACCATTGTTGCTTTTGTTTTTGTTTGTCTGCACCCGTAGGCATTTCCAAGTCACTGACTTCTCCAGTAACCAATGTTCCAGTCGTGCCCAGGCCCATAGCTGCTCTGCTGTCTTCTTTCCAGTTTGCTGTGTCTTCTTAGTTTGTTTCGTAGATACAATGTCGACACTTTTCAGTTGTACTTTGAAGACAATAGAGAAGTAACTCTCCTTCACTTCCAGGAAGCAGAAGTCAAAATTTGGCTAATCTTTTAACACTATACATATATTTTTTTTCATGTTGCTCACCTGCTAAAAGTCCCAGGAACCATCAAATTAGCCAATTAGCTAAAGGATATAATCAAATTTTTTATCCTGGTTTCTAAACTCACAATAATCTGGTCCCATCCCCAATAATCATGCATCAGATTTGTCCATTCTTCTTTAGATAACTACTCAAAATTTCCTACATAGACATTTTATTGGACCTCATTTTCCTCTTTCAGTTTTTTTTTTAAATCTTGGGTTTGTTTTAGAAAACAAAATAAGATGTTATAGATAATACTGCTTTGAAAACTGCCTTGCACAGTGCTAAGGAACTATGCAATAAAAAGTGTTTTTTTTTTTTTGAGACGGAGTTTCGCTCTTGTTGCCCGGGTTGGAGTGCAATGGTGCAATGGCACTATGTCAGCTCACCACAACCTCTGCCTCCTGAGTTCAAGCGATTCTCCTGCCTCAGCCTCCTGAGTAGCTGGGATTACAGGCATGCGCCACCACACCTGGCTAAATTTTGTACTTTTACTAGAGACGGGGTTTCTCCATGTTGGTCAGGCTGGTCTCGAACTCGCAACCTCAGGTGATCTGCCTGCCTTGGCCTCCGAAAGTTCTGGGATTACAGGGGTGAGCCACTGCGCCCAGCCAATTTATTATTCTTAATAATAATAATTGATATATACCTAATGTCTTTGTATTAGTTTGCTAGGGCTGCCATAACAAACACCACGGACTGAGCAGATTAAACAATGGAAATTTATTTTCTCTCACTTCTGGAGGCTACAAATCCAAGACTAAGGTAGCAGGATGGATTTCCTCTGAAGCCTTTCTTCTTGGATTGTAGATGGCTGCTTTCTCCCTGTATTCTCATGTGATTTTTTTTCTCTGTGAATGTAGCTCCCTGGTATCTCTGTGTGTCCTAGTGTCATCTTATTATTGTAAGAACGCCAGTCAGATTGAATTAGGACCACAACAACGACCTCATTTTAACTCCATCACCTTTTTAATGGCCCCATCTTCAATACAGCCACATTCTGAGGTATTGGGGGTTAGGGATTTAACATATAAATTGCAGGGTAAGACTTATTTCATAAATGTTCCTATTATTTGGAATAAGAAGGTGTTCTGTAATCTCTTGAACTGATTTGTTAAAAGTCACAGATGGGAAAAGATAAGCAGTAAGAGAAGAGATTGTACTTTTAGCAGTCACTCTTCTGATTGTGATACAAAGATTATTTAATTAATTGCTTTTTTGATGGCAGAAGGTCACAACTCAATGAAAAAGAAGGTAGCAGAAATGAAATATTTTCTTCTAACTGTTAAGTAGCTAACATAAAAGTCTGGAACAATCAGGCACATTTCTCTCAGGATCTGGACTTTGGAAAAAATGAGGGTGCTCTTCCTTCTCAATCCAAATAAATTCAGCAATTGGATCATCAAATTTTTTGCCAGAATGGTTACAAAGCATTAGAAGAAAGCTTTAAAACATGCAAGAAGGATAATACAAATCACACTCCTATATTCATTTTATTGAAAGAAATAAGAGATGATGCAACATTGGTGAAACTTTTCTTAGACTTGTTAACTGGTGTAGTTAGAAAACAAGCAAGGTTGTCTGAGCTCCTAGAAATGCTAATTGTTTTCACTGTTTAAGAAGTTTATATACAAGGCTAATGCCAGCATTTAAAAATCAAAGCTAATTCCTTTGTTTGAAATTCCTACAGCAGTGAGAGCAGAGGTTGCTCACCAGGGTGGGATTGGGGTGGGGGAGTCTCAGCTTTCACTTGGTGTGAGCCCCTGCCCCAAACCTGGGATTTCATGTCAACCTGGAGAGTCTAGTGCAAGGGTGTCCAATATTTTGGCTTCCCTGGGCCACACTGGAGAAAGAATTGTCTTGGGCCACACATAAAATACACTAACACTAATGACAGCTGATGAGCTAAAGAAAAAAATCACAAAATTATCTCATAATTTTTAAATAAAGTTTACAAATTTGTGTTGGGCTACATTGAAAGCTGTCCTGGGCCACATGCAGCCTGTGGGCCACAGGTTTGAGAAGCTTCGTCTAGTGTTTTAGCAATTCACCTCATTTTCTGAAAGCAGTATTTGTTAGTCCTGGATTGTCATGATGCAGATTGAGACCAATTACCCACCAGTGCCTAGCACTCCTCAACCCAATTTCCAGCAGCGGGATGAACAGAGGTTCCTTGCACAGAACAATCTGCACTCCAAGTTGTCTTTCTGGCTGGGTGATGCCCCACATAGTTCCCACTAGATGTCACTTTGTTCTTTCCTACTTAGCTAATGTGGGATTTCCTTCTGGTTGGTTCTTTTCTTAGCATGCAGTGCACCAAACTTCTTCCTGAAATCACCCTCATTGGAAGCCTCACTCACTCTTCTAAGGAGGCTGAGCTTTTTGCAGTGTTTCCTCCTGGGTGTCTCTCTTAGAGTTGATGGTATTTCTTGAATAAAAGAATCCAAGTGCCCCCACTCCATGTCTGCACTTATCTGCGAACAATCTTTTACTCACACATCTCACCTCTGTGGGGGCTCCCTCTGTTCTTTTCCAACTTCTCATGCCATGTCCTCTCCAAGTCAAAGCTACTTACCTCTCCCCTCATCTGGCTTGTGAACACTCCCTGTGTTTCAGGAAGTAAGGTTTGAGCCCACATATCCTTATTTTCTGGGTGTACATTTTTTCCCAGAGATGGCACATGAGCAAAAATGTGAAGATTTTAGAAACATAGAAGTCAAATATTTTGTGCGTTGTTAAACTTCTCACCTTAGTGTGAAAATGAGGACTGTGCCTTCAGGAAATGTTTCAGTGTGTCCTCTGTGGTCAGTTCAATCCAACTTTCAATCCCATTTATCAGTTGAGATTCCAAATTCAGGCAAAGAAAAGACTCCCCAAAACTCCCAGCATCACAGTTCTTCGCTGAGGACTAACACAGACCATCACGAAGGACCCAGACAAGACTGTTTAAGGAACAGAGAGACTTGAAGAGAGCATCTGGGACTGGACCGGAACACACAAATCCGACAGCATGGAGGGCCAGATGGTGTTCCTCTGAACAAGATCTGGGTTAAGCTCTCGGACAGATGTCCAAGCACAGACTGCACCTGCCATCACCAGACTGAAGGACAGCTTGGTGAAGGCCAGGTTTGGGTTCATTTCTCAGATCATGTGAGAAAAAAAGCAAGGGAAAATATAGGCCATAAGGAATCAATCCTGCAAAATTAAAAAAAAATTGGTCTCTTTATGCATCACTTTCTCTTCACAACTCCATTTGGGATGGTTTAGGATGGTCGAAATTGGTGTAAAATGTGCAACTATAAGAATATAAATTAATTAGACTTGTTTCATGTGAATGCACAAGAATATGCATTGAATGTGTTTCATTTCACAGATAGGCTTTGACATACATTATCTCTCTTAAACACACACAAAAAAAGCTACAAAACAGTTCAACACCATTTTATTGATAAGAAAATGACAACTATGACGTCTCTATGCAGCTCCTGCATAGTCTTTCTGTTCTTTAATGTACTGTGCCCAGTGTCAACCACAATTCTGGGTATGCTCTCTTTTCTCTGCTTAAAACATATTATCTTTCCCACCCAACTTTCACTCAGTTCCTGCTTGGTTATTCACTAAGCTTCAGCATAGATAGCCTTCTTCCAGGAAGCCACCACAGTCTGGAATAAGTTATCCTCAGAAATAGTTTTTCTATCATCATGCTTACTGCACTCTATCATCCCAGCTGTTTTCTTGTTCATCTCCTCACTAGACGAGACCTCCTGATGGACAGGCAGAAAGTCTCATTGTTAAGGCATTCCCAGCTCTTAGAACGGTGTCTAGTCCATGTAAACAGACAATAATACGTGTCAAATGAATGGGTGGCATAGCTGAAGATTTATTATGTATAAATGTATATTTATTTCTTATGCATAAACAGGCTAAAAACCAAACTCCTCTTCTTCGGCTGAAGTAAGCATTCTCTGTAAGTTTAGAACTATGATTTCATTTTCTAAGAAATATTATACCATCTTTTATTTTCCCTTAAATTGTATTCTAACAGTAGGCATTGTTCACTAGCTGACACTCTTTTGGGATTACACACTTAAGAAATATACAAGACCTTATGTAAGAATTAAAAAGTTAAGGTTATATAATCTGCAATCTCTGGAAGTGAATGTCTCTGTAAATTTCAATAATATGAGTTCATCATATTTAATGCTTCTTCATTTACACCATAGATACATAACTTTCCAAGCTCTTGCTTTTCAGCACTGGGTGGTCCTTCCTCCCTTCCTAATTAAGTTTGTGTGACAACTGGCTTGCACAGTCAGTGAATTTATTCTCTAAGTTTAGAAAATCATAAACATTGTATGTATTTTCACAATTTAATTAGTTGGCAGTTTTGTTAAAGTGCAGATCATTAAAAAATATTATTTTAATGTAGGTTATCTTAAAGGTTTTTTGCTGAGTCTATAGTAAACCAGTGCTTCTCAACCTTTATCAGGAATGATCTGAAGATTTTCTTAAAATGGTGATTCAGGTCCAGCAGGTCTAACGTGGGGCCTGAGATTCTGCATTCTAACCAGCTCTGTGAGATGGCCAATGATGCCAGCCTGTGAACCAGGACCTCAAAATAAGAGTTGTCATCTGGTTCACTCGTGCTCCCTAATGCTGAAAATGAAATTTATAGTAAGGTTGCTAATAAAATGCAATAGATAATAGATAAATAGTTAGAAGGTAAATGCTTCAGATTATTTTGTTAATGTGAATTTAAAATTATCCTGCTTCTCCTAATATATGTTGTGTATTTTAAAAGAAGCAATGATGTAACATAAGTTTTAAAGCCAGATTTGACTTCTGGATTGTCCCTTTAGTAGCCAGTTGTCCTTGGACAAATTCATTAATTATCTTGTCAAGTTACAAACATTGGGCTAGTTATCAAATCTCAGGTCTCTTGGTTTGAATAAAATGGGTAAATTTATATAATAGCAATAAGCCAGGGATATGGTAAATACGTAATAAATCATAATTAAAGTAATAATAACAATCTCCCTTTAGAAACTGATGAGAGAGTGTGGAAGAATTACTCAATGTTAGCCATGAAAGGGACTTTGTGGGTGCTCTAACCCAAACCTTCCTCTGACACTGAAATCCCTTCTGGCATGCCATCTTGCCTGAAAAGCTGAGCCTCCTTGCCCTCGCTTTTAATTAAATCATCAGAAACTCCTTCCACACTCCAACTACGATACGCTTTCCTAAGACTTCCACCTCAGCCTTGTTCTTTCTTATGAATTCATACAGGAATGGCTCCATCATTTTGTCCTGTTCTGGTCCTCCTGTGCTTGACAATTGCCCATAGGTGGTCTCCTTGCCTTCTGTACACGTGGAAAACAATCACTCTTTTCCACCCTTCCCTCTGGCTGATCTATGTACCCCTGAAAATAGAGCATCCAGACAAAAGGCAAGAATCGGGTGGACTAATCGTAGATGTGTACTGCAGAATGGGCTCCTCCAAGTTTCTGGTTCTGGGAACTGTAGTTCTCTTAGTGCAATCCAAGATCACATTGGCACTGTGGTCACATCACAGTAAGGACCCAGTGGAAATTATGACTGAGTGTCGTCACAAGCAACTCTATCACTCCTCTCTCCAACCCTCCTGTGCAGTGGGTTTAAGGGATGCACAGACCTTATCACTATTCCTGTCAAAGGTATTACTATATTGCATTCCTTTTATATTACTCTCATGGCAGGCCACATTGATTTAGATCATTTTTCTTTCCATCAATGAATTTGCTGTTCCTCCCCATTTGATGTGAAGGGTAAAAGAAAAAAAATTCATCACTCTGATTTCAAAGTTCTTGTCTAAGTCATGAATAAAAATCCTAAAAAGGATAATTCTAGACACAAAAATCCTAATGACCAAAAGAAGTGTCTCCCACCTGTGAGTCAGATCTACTGACACAGATATAAAGACAGTGCTGATCGCACATTTGATGCTCTCTTATAATAGTGAATGACATACCAGGACTCTATGGACTCTTGGTTTGGCTCACACTGAGTAAGCAGAGTGTCTTCCGTACATTTCACTTTGGTTAATCAGGTGTTGGTGTGTGTTTCACATCAGCTGATCATGCCCCATCAGGTTGCATATAAGACTTCATCCGTGGTGGTGTACCCTGCAGGAGCCCTTTGGGGAACTCCGATGACACATAAGGATGCCTTGTGCTTCTCATAGCTTCCCATTATCCCTGGTTTCAGAAATTAAAATGGGGTCGTTTGCTTAAGATGGCCATAGTAGGTCCTTGCATTTATCTTAGTCTCCACCTGGGTGTGATGATTGTATCTGATAAGTAACTTGTGGAATAAGAGTTCAAATTAGGCTGGGCGTGGTGGCTCATGCCTGTAATCCCAGCACTTTAGGAGGCCGAGGAGGGCAGATCACAAGGTCAGGAGATCGAGACCATCCTGGCTAACACGGTGAAATACTGTGTCTACTAAAAATGCAAAAAAGTAGCGGGGCATGGTGGCGGGCGCCTGTAGTCCCAGCTACTCAGGAGGCTGAGGCAGGAGAATGGCATGAACCTGGGAGGCGGAGCTTGCAGTGAGCCGAGATCGCGCCACGGCACTCCAGCCTGGGTGACAGAGCAAGACTCCGTCTCAAAAAAAAAAAAAAAAAAAAAAAAAAAAACTCAAGTTAATTCCTAGGCCATGTCTTTATCTAAAATGGGTATCAGCACAGGCGAGGCCTCTCATTGGGATGCATCAACTGATCCATTTTATTTTAATCAGAATCACCATATTATCTTCCTTTAATCTTTCCCTATACATTTCTCTAATTAATGATTTACATTTTTTTTGCCTATAGAGTATATTCCCTATTTCCCATATCAAATCTTGCCATTATTAGATTCCTCTGAGTGCTTTAATGGATGTGAATTTTACTAGTTTGTATGCTTTCGTTTTATTTCTAATTGGTCAAATCGGTGTTATATTTTTTCTAGTAATTTGGGAGGCAGAAACTTAAACCTCAGACCCGTAAGTCATGATTCAGAAGACACTGAACTTGCTAATGATTGACTGCCCGGGGTGTGGAGGGTGAAGGAGGCCTTTGCCTGCTACGGAAGCTGCACGGACCACAGCCCTAGTGCACATGATGTCGAGCTCTCTGTGTGCCTTCGAGGAAGGTGTCCAAGGGGCAGTGCACACACTGACTCTTGGACGCCACAGAGTTGATGAAATGAGAACTAAGATGAGTCATGTTGAATCCAAGACTTGTGCAATTTATAAAACAGAGAAGTGGACAGGCAAGCTAAGAGCAGGAGTTTAGAACACCACTGACTAAGCACCTGAAGCCCACCTGTGCTGCTCTGGCGGTCGCTGGTTGTTGGCACTGATGTCTCTGCCTTGCCTGATGATTAAGAAAACACCTCACTTTTTGCTTCAGGTAGAAATATTTGCACCACACACTAAAACCTACTGCATTTAACTCCATATCTTTTTATAAAAATTATATATGTAAAAAAAATTTAGAAATAAATGAGACACAGACTTTTTGTTATAAAACTTATAGCGTGCTTATTTTTTCTATCTCATTTTGAGGCATTTGTTATCTTTCTTTTTAAGCATTTCTAGTCATTGTAAGTTACTTAAACTGTATATCTTAATTTGTTAGTGGCCACTTGGAATGTGTGCAAACTACACCATTAAAAACTTATTGGAGAAGAGTGACATGATTAAGCCAATGCAGGGATTATTAAGTATTGCAGGTAAATTCACAAGTAAGATATTCTGTAGGACAAGCAATCCTATTTCTTCAACTAATAAATGGCAAGAAAGACAAAGGGAAGGAGATGCTTATAAATGTAAGACATTTAAAACCAAAGCAAAGAAAGACGTTATGTGAACCTCATTTAGACCTGGGTTTAAAAAATACATTGATGAGAAATCTATGAGAATTTTAGGAGAAATTTAAAAATGACTTGGGTATTAGATGGTATTAAATAATAGTTATTAATTTCATTAGGGATTTTCATGACATTTTTGTTGTTTAAAAGTGCCCTTATCTGCTAGAGAAGCACAAAGGGGCATTTTTTAAATTAATTATTATTATTATTTTTTGAGACGGAGTTTTGCTCTTGTTACCCAGGCTGGAGTGTAATGGCATGATCTTGGCTTACTGCAACCCCCGCCTCCCAGGTTCAAGTGATTCTCCTGCCTCAGCCTCCCAAGTAACTGGGATTACAGGCATGTTCCACCATGCCCGGCTAATTTTGTATTTTTAGTAGAGACAGGGTTTCTCCATGTTGCCCAGTCTGGTCTCGAGCTCCCGACCTCAGATGATCCATCTGCCTCGGCCTCCCAAAGTGCTGGGATTACAGGCGTGAGCCACCACACCTGGCCAAGGAGCATTTGTAGTTAAAATAAAATAGTATTATTGAGTCGCTTTGAAATTCAACAAACAAAAGCAGAAGACATGTTCAAATGTCAATTGCTGTTGGAGATGAATGGTGGGTACAGGCAGAGTCACTACACCATTCTCTCCCAGTTGATGAGTTTTTGAAATTTTTCATAATAAAACATATTTAATAAATTAACTAAAATAACACTAATAAAGACTCTAAACATTTAATGTTGCAACATTAATGACAGTGTAAATCACTGTGAAGCTGGAGAGATTATTGACAACACTAAGCATTGTATTCAATGTAAAAATAAGTCTTGGGATTAAACGGAATTGAGCTCAGTAGAACTTACGATTGTAAATATTTTTTTTCTTCTAAATCATCCTCTTTTATCCAGTTTGTACAACTTTCACAATTTATACCTTCTTTTATTCAGGCATCACAGCTGCAGGAAATCTGTTAAGGGACTGTGGAACCATATTTGTGTCCCAGTTGAAAAGCGACAACATCCCCTTTTGATTCATGCCTCTCTGTTGTGGAACTAGTTTCTAGATGTGGTATTTCATAATCATTCTAATCTAGACTCTATGAATTGATCTTTCCTCTTAATGAGTTTGTTCAAGAGCAAAGGAAAAATATTGGTTACTGTTCTTTCCTGTAGACATGGCCTTTGCTCCTAGCAGAGGTGGCTACA
Source organism: Homo sapiens (assembly GCF_000001405.40). Taxonomy (NCBI): domain Eukaryota; kingdom Metazoa; phylum Chordata; class Mammalia; order Primates; family Hominidae; genus Homo; species Homo sapiens. Next base: position 50,041,892 of record NC_000008.11, read on the forward strand.
AAATTCACAGCTGCACCTGGATCCCATCCTTTCATACTCCACACTTTTGAATATCTCTATCTTGTCTTATATAGATGTTCCTCAACTTACAATGGGGTTACATCCTTATAAAACCATCATAATTTGAAAATGCATTCAACACCCTGATAAACCAATTATAAAGCTAAAAAACTGTGAGTGAAACCGTGGTATATTGGGGACTGTTTGTATTTCTAACCTTTTCTTCTCATTTTTTTGGTCATCAGCCTTTATACATGAGACAATTTACTCAATCTTTGATTTTCTTTGCTTTCAATAAGCAACAATTAAATATAATTTTACCACCATCTCTCTCTGGGATCTGTTCCCATCTCTTCATTCCTACAGCAATCTATCTAGTCCCCTCCACCAATTCCCATCCCCACAGCCCACCCCCAGGGTGCTGCTGATGTGTTGTAGGTCCTACCCCTAATCCATTCTTCACAGAGGAGGTTGAAGAAACTTTTAAAAATGCAAATCTTAAAATAATTCTCATGAACTGAAAACTTCCGCGGGCTGGGAGCTCCTGTAGTCTCAGCTACAGTTGAGACTGAGGTAGGAGGAAAGCTTTGGCCTAGGAATTTGAGGTTGCAGTGAACCATGATAGCATCATTGCTTTCCAGCCAGGGTGACAGACAGAGACGGTCTTTAAAAAAGAAAAAGATAAAGAAAAAAACCTGGTGGAACCCATTGATGAAGTGCAGTGGTGTGATCATAGCTCTTTGCAGCCTCAAACTCCTGGGCTCAAGTGATCCTCCTAGCCCAGCCTCTCAAGTAGCTGGGACTACAGGCACATGCTGACATGCCTGGCTAATTGACTTTTTTTTTTTTTTGGTAGAGGTAAGGTCTTGCATTGTTCCCCAGACTAGTCTAAATTCTTGGATTCCAGTGTTGCCCAGGCTAATCTAAATTATTGGATTCTAGTGATCCTCCCACCTTAGCCTCTCAAAGCAGTGGGATTATAGCCATGAGCTATGGCTCGTTGCCAATTTTACCAATAATTGTCTATTTAGCAATTAAAGCAATGTAAAGATTTTGGCTTGTGTCCACACAGGCATGAGCCATTGAGTAATAAAAAACTAAAAGTTATGATTTTTTAAAATTATGTGTATTTAAATTTATGATTACTAGTTTTATTTATTTCCCTTCCTTTCTTCCCTTCCCTCTGTTATTTTCCTTCTACTCTGAAAGAATGAAGATAACACAATTTTATGCACTTTCTCAAACTTTAAGATGCAAAATAATCATTTAGGGAGAACATGTAAAAATACAAATTTTCTTTATCAGTAGAGAATCTATATTAGCGAGTCTATATTAGCAAGTCTAAATTGAAGCCAGGAATATGACTTTTTATAAGTAAAGCAAATGATTTTGATAGATGATGTCCACATACAGAGAACCCAAATGCTTCTGGAATTATTTCTTGCATAGCAGGAAATTAAATTAGGATTTTTTGACTAAGGCACAAATGTATGCTATATATGGCATACCAGCAGGAACAAGATGAAAATTTTAAAAAGAAGTAACTGGAAACCATTTACATGACCTTTCATTCCTTATTCACATTGAATTTATGAAAGCAGTCTGCTTTATAAAATAATTTGTGAAGGGGATGTCTTTGCACAGAGTTGCAGGAGTAAACTGTGAGTTCCTTCACACTCCTGGCCTCACACTCTTGAAGCTGACTATGCGTTCCTGCAATTAAGGGACCCAGTGGACAGATGTTTGACTCGCACCCAGGCCATCCAGAAGTTGAGAGAGTGGGTGGCTCCAGCTTTAACAGTAAAATTAAAGATGCTTTGGTATTCAACAGTATTCCTAATTTGTCAGAAAGTGTTGCTTGTGGAACAGTGAGATTACAACATAGGGAGATAAGCACTCTTGTGCGTGCACACACATACACACACACACCAAAAACAGCAATGTAGGCTGAGGTGGGAAACTGCCACCTGAGGAAAATGCATTACGCATGTCATAGCAGCCTAGGGAGATGTCCTTAGTGAGGACATTTAAGAACCAACAGAAAATCAAGAAGCTTTAAACATCTCTCTGGTTTAGGGAAAAATAAATCATCTATGATAACACTAATCACATAAAACTTTATTATCATTCTGACATCTCTCTGAATAGTCACCTTTATGTAATACTAAAAAAAATTTCTGAAAAACTACAAGTTGCAAAGAAGAGAAGGGCCATATCCCCCTCTTTTTCGCCAGGGGTTAAACTCACAGAAGTCCCTAGTTATGGAAGAAAGAAGATACAATTTTAAGCAAGTTAAATGCTTTGAATGTAACATAAGTCAGACATATTTTACCAGTAAGTTAAGAATGTGTTTCTAAGTTGCCATCACATTTTTTAACCAAGAATTATCAGATAAGTAAGGGGACGACCAACCTTTTTACCTAAGAGCAGGAGAGAAATTTACATTTTAGAGGGAATCACAAGACCTGCTTGTAAGAATCCTGAGTGTCTTTTAAATTTCTTTCTTTTGGGCCAAAATTAAACCGGATTTCAAAAGCACATTAAAATAACATAGTTGTGATATTAATGTCTTCTAATGGTGAAATTAGCTTAAAAATGGCTTTTCATTTGATCATTCTCTACTGGGGCATATGAGGGTCACCATTACTTTGAACATGATATTTTGTGTCCTTACTTCAGGAGGTGTGGCATGGAGCCTAGAACCTGGACTTCTTAATCGCTCTGTAAAATAATCTGGAATAAACTCTGCAAGAGAACTATAGGTTCATATAAAGGTCTAAAGCTATAGCCTTGGAATTTCTTCTTGTTTTCTCATAAAATAACATCTATAAACTGCTGTATATAAAATTTGTAACAGAATTACCACATTGTTTCATCATATTTGCCATTGAAAACTTTTGATCTCACAAGGACAGAAAAATGTATTGATTCTTCAAGAACTTCCAGATATAAGGACTTAAGAGATGATTTTATGGTTATAAGGAAATTTTCAATTTGTTCAGTGAATTAAAATAGATGATATTTGCGAACCATTTAAAATAGTGTCTAAAATATAGGAAGGACTCTGTTGGTTTAGATAGATAGATGATAGCTAGATAGATAAAGAGATTGAGACAGACTGAGAGAGCAAGTCTACATGATGTAGAGCCTTTTCCTATGGCAGTGGTGAGAAACAGCTCCCAGTGTTAGGAGACAGTAGGGTGCAGGGCCAGAGCACATGTGCTGGAAGTCAGAAAACGTGGGTTGACATCCGAGCCCAGTCCCTTAACTCGCTTGGTGTATTAGGCTGTTCTTTGCCTTACTATAAAGAAATACTTGTGGCTGGGTAATATATATAAAGAAAGGAGGTTTAATTGGCTCATTTTTTCTGCAGGTTGTACAAGCATGGCTCCAGCATCTGCTTCTAGTGAGAGCCTCAGGAAACTTACAATCATGGCAGAAAGTAGAGCATGAGCAGGCACATCACGTGCTCAGAGTAGCAGCAAGAGCCAGAAGGAAAGATGCAACACATTTTTAAACAACCAATCTCATGAAGACTTAGACATTATTGTGAGGACAGCTAAGCCATTAATGACAATTTCACCCCCATGATCCAATCACCTCCCACCAGACCGCATCTCCAACATTGGAGATTACAATTCAACATAAGATTTAGGGGGGACAACATCTAAACTTTATTACTTAGGATTTACTTCTTTTGGGGAGGGGGTCCTCAGTTTCTTCATTTCTAAATCAGAGATAATAAAAACTATCAAAAATATGTGTTGTTGTAATCAAAATAGTAAACCAACATACCCCACAAAAATGATTACATATAGTAAGACAAATAGTGGGTAATTTTCTAACTTTCAAACTCTTCTAGCACCAGATCCTATGGATATGTGATTCTGTTAGGATAAAAGAGACACAAAGATGTAGTGTATTCAGCCCATCTGGGTTCTGATTTTAGTTCTGTTGAGAACAATTTGTAAGACATTGTTCAGTTGTACTGGCCACCAAAGCTCTAAGAACTTCCTAGCTGTGTGAAGAAGCTCAACGAGATCAGGGGTTAGCAAATTTTTCTTTAAATGGCCAAAGAGTAGAGTTCAGGCTTTGAAGAGCCACAGGGTGTGTGTAGCAAATACTCAACTCCATGATTTTAGTGAGGAAGCAGTCTTAGACAATACATAAACAAATTATCTTGTGCTTGTGATCTAATAAAATTGTATTTATGGGCACTGAAATTTGAGTTTCACATTTCAACTTGTCATTAAATAATATCCTTCTTTCGACATTTTTCAACCTTTAAATATGTAAAGGTCATTCTTAGCTACAGGCCATAAGTAATAGGTGACAGACTAGATTTGGTGCCAGGACTGGAGTTTTCTGATCTCCAAACTAGATTGTTTCCAAGAGCTAGCATACTCTCAAAACCTTGATTCTGTTGTTGTAATTGGTGCTCTTTGATCTATTTTCTCATTCTCATCCCCACACTCCCATTTCTGCATATCTACTTGGTATTCTTTCTGAAAATTACCTCATGGTTGCAAGCTCATAATTTGTAAAGGGCTGTTATCAAGAAAGATAACATATTATTTTAAATATTTAAATGTTTAACTCACTATCATTCATCAAATGGTAAGTTAATTCTACTCTTTTTTAAATATTCTGAAATCAAGAATCATAACCACCCCATTCTAGCGTGAATTTATATTACCAAGACTTGGGCCAAGAGTAATCATTCATTAACCTGAATTCAATTAAATGAACCTAAAACAAAGGAGTTCATAGAAAAAACAAAGAGAATCCCAGCATTTCTCTGTTATTTGTATGTGTTTGTTTATTTAAACAAAAGAAGTGATTTTCCTCTGCCACAAATGCTGACTGTTCAATTTTTGCATCTTGTCAAATTTTCCCAGGTATCTGATTTTTTGATATGTTATGTCTTAGCCTCCTTTACTTTTACCTACTAGAAGTTGATGTTTCTTCATAACCAAATTATTAGCCTTTATACAAATAAGTTTTTGCATTATTTACAAATATTAGTTTTGTTCCAGTTACACTTTACTGTTCCAAAGATATTTAAAATGTCATTTATGTTATTAAGTTAGTTTCTTTGAGTTTTCTACATTCCAAAATTCTTACTCTCCTTTTCATTTTTAGGAGTATTAAATTTTCTTAGAATATACGGTGAAGGTCTAAAAGAAATTTATTTTTAAATTCCAGCACTTTGGGAGGCTGAGTAGGGCAGATCACTTGAGCTCAGGAGACCAACCTGGACAACATGGTAAAACCCCATGTCTACAAAAAACACAAATGTTAGCCAGGTATGGTGGTGCATGCCTGTGGTCTCAGCTGCTTGGGAGGCTGAGGTGAAAGGAATGCTTGAGCCCAGGCAGTCAATGCTGCAGTGAGCCATGATGGTGCCACCATGCTCTAGCCTTGGTGACACAGAGATGCTGCCAAAAAAAAAAATTTTTAGTTCAACATACAATCAATCATTAATATTATCATTTACCTATATGCAGACCTACTTAACATTTATAAACTTATATTTTTTCATATAAAAGAAGGCTCTATGTAAAATGTGAGAGATAAAAGTTAGATCCAAGGAAGGACTCAAAATTAAGAGATACTAGGTAATCATAAAAAGCTATTTTAATTACATGAACAGAATACATTCATGACCAGAATGTTTCATGGAACAAATTGATGGGGGAAATAGTTGCCATTTTAGAAAACTTTCTAGTTGTAAGACTTAAACAAAATAACTGTCATTAAGTAAGTATATGTAATAGGATAAACATAAAATGTCCTCCCAGTCACCTTCTGCAAAGTAAGGTGAAGGGAAAGCTTATCCTGTGTTTCTCAAACTTGACTGTCATAACAACCTGGGGGTGTCACATGCTAAGTTAAATATTCTCCATGCCTTAGAGATTCTAGATGAAGATGCGCCAAAGAATCTGTATTTTACCAAGTTGCTAAGATGATTTTTGAAAATTATGCAAATTTGGTGAATCCTGAGTTAGTGGTTAAGACTTAAGGATCAAAATTTTAAGTTTTTTCTGCTTTAAAATTCGATAATCATACTAATTTCAAGGTATTTTTCAGAGTATTAAATGAGAGGGCATATGGAATGGACTTATTTGAGAACCTGGCACAAATAAAACAATTAATAAATCATCCTTGCAGGTGTAATACATTGTAAATACATTTTTTGTGTTGGCATCCATGAAAAAAAATAAAGTAATTTAAATTTATTTATCAGATTAAATAACTTCCTTTAAACAATCAGGCAAATTTATTAAATCTTCTGAATTTTAGTTTATCCTCCTCAAAAATAAGGGGTTAAAGTGGGTTTTAAAAATATTGGGATTGAGGGAAATTTGAATTCTTGAAGATAAACCAAGAGAAAAAAAGAGAAAGAAAAAAATAAAGTCATGCCCAGCATTCACAGTAAAATAGTTGTATATATGAAATAAGAAATCTGACAACTTGTCTTTACATTTACTGCTGCTAGCCCTGAAAAATGGCAGAGTGTGGGGTGAATGCATGATCCTCATGTGCAGCATTACCTGCACCTCCAAATGTGCTCCTTCACTTTAGTATTATCTCTTTGTTTTCTTTCCATCTTTTACAATAGTCATTAACTTAAATACTTTGATTTTTAATTACATTCTTTCATTTTCAGCACTATATTTATCAAAACATAGAAAAGGTGTCAGCTCCTAATGAACAAAACAAATATTAAATGAAGGTGAGAAAACTCTAGTTTTTTCACTTAATTTATTAGTTCTGTTTTGTAGAATGTCGCTCATATTTTTTAATACTAATTAGTAAATTATGGCAATATCATAAACCTATTTTTTATGTGTTTGACCTTATCATTAATATTTTGGCTGATTTCTTAATATTTTACCTCTGACCTGAAATTAGTTTAGCATTGATGTGAATAATGGCAGTTGCCAAGTAAGTTTTGCCTAATAGGACTGGGGTTTGGTTTTTAATTTTGTAATTCTTTACATTGAAATTTGCTACCTAATTTTAACAGTATGTCATTTACGATTGATGCAGGCAAGAACTCTGTTATATTAATAAATAGTGCATCAATATTCTAAACCACTCAAAAAAGTTAAAAAAACTATAATTGGTTGCTGAGAGAATTAAAAATAAAATTATATAAAATGCTCAATTAAAGCTAAAGAAGGCAGGATAGAGTGAAAACAAAAAAAAAGAAAAATGGAAAAGAGCCATGAATTGTAAAGATTAGCAAATACGCTATACATTAAGTCAACTATGTCAATAATCACTTTAATTTAAAATGTTCTAAATACGTCATTTAAAAGACAGGCTAACAGAATGCGCAAGGAAACAAGATCCAACTGCATTATCTACAAGAAACTTACCTTAAATATAAAGAAACAGATAGACAACTTGTAAATATATAGAGAAATATATGCCATGTTAACACTAACCAAAAGAAAGCTAAAGTAGCTAAATTATATCAAATAGGTCATTATATATAAAGGAGGTCATTATTATATTTATGCATGGATTGATTCATCAGAAGTCATAATAGTCATTAACATGTTTGCACTTAAAAACAGACGATCTTTATTTGTGAGAGGAAAAGCTGACAGAATTGTTAGGATAACTGGATGAATTAACCATTATATTTGAGCACTCATCTCCCCTCCATCAGAAACAGATAGATCCAGCAGGTAGAAAATGAGTGCATAGTGGAACTAAGCAGCACCTCAATCAACTAAATCTAGTTGGCACATATAGAATACTTTATCCAACAATGGCAGAATCCACAATAGACTACATTCGGGGCCATAAAGTACATCTTAACAAATTTAAAATAATAGAAACATACAAAGTATAATTTTAGACCATAGTGGGATTAAAATAGAAATCAATAATAGAAAGATAGCTGGAAAACTCTAAAATGCTTACAGGTTAATCAACTTTTCAATAACACATGGATCAAAGGAGAAGTCTCAGGAGAAATTTAAAAATATTTTGAATGAAATGAAAATGAGAATACTATAATACATGTCAAAATTCGTGGAATTCAGCAAAAGCAATGTTTAGAGGAAAATTTATAGCACAGAATGTATATATTATAAAATAAATATTGAAATCAACAATCTAATCTTTCACCTTAGGAAACGAGAAAAATAAGAGTAAAGAAAATCCCAAATAAACAGAAGAAAAAATAATAAAGTTAAAGCAGAAATCAATAAAATTAAATACAGGAAATCAACAGAATCAGTGAAAGCAAAGGCTGGCTCTTTGAAAAAAAATCAATAAAATCAAAACACCCTTAGCGAGTTAATTATGTAAAAAAGAGAGAAGACACAAATTATTAATATCAGAAATGAAAGAGAGGCCATCATTATTGATCTCATGGACATTCATAGAGTAGTAAGGGAATATTATGAACAAGCCTGTGCTTACAAATTTGATAACCTAGACAAAATGGACCATCTTCTTGAAAGACATGATCTGCCAAAACTCATACAAGCAGAAACAGAGAACCTGAATAGGTTCTATATCTATTAATGAAATTTAATCAATAATTAATAACCTTCCAAAACAAAAAGCACCAGGCTAGATGTGTTTACTTGTGTATTCTTCCCCAAATTCAAGGAGTAAACAGATTGAATTATAAGTAAAAACTTCCCAAATAAAATCCTAAGTACAGATGCTTAATTGATAAATACAACCAACAGCTTATTGAAGAAATAATACAAATTCTTCACAAAATCTTTGAAAATACAAGAGGAGGGAGCACATAAAAACTCATTCTATGAGGACAATATTACCTTGCTATAAAAACCAGGCAAATATATCACATGAAAAGAAAACTACAGGTCAACATCCCATATCAATGTAAACACACAAATCTTCAAAGTAATACAAGGAATCCAGAAACTTATTTATCCCAGTATTGTAAATTGTATTTATCCAGGAGTGTAATATTGGAAAATAAATTAATTTAATTTTCCATATTAATAGAAAAAATAAACCTTAATATAAGCATAAATTATAGCTGATGAAATCCAACCCCTTTCATGATAAAAATACCCAACAAACTAAAAGTAGAAGAGAAATTCTTCAACTTGATAAAAGGCATCTATGAAAAATCCACATCTAATTCATCCTTATTGGTGAAAGATTGAATACTTTCCCCCTAAGACTGGGAACAAGACAAGGATATGTGCTCTTGCCACTTATATTAAACATTGTAATAGAAGGTCTAGCCAGGTTAGTACGGCAAGAAAAAGAAATAAAACATACTTATTTTGGAAAGTAAAAAATAAAATTACACCAGAGGACATTATCTTTAGATAGAAAATCTTGACACACACACACACACACACACACACACACAAACAAACAAGAAGAAAACATTTAAATTAAAAACGTAGCAAGATAACAGCATATAAGATCGAAGTTTAAATATAAATTGTATTTTGTACACTAGCAATATGCAATCCAAATAAAATTGAGAACTGTTCCATTGACAGCAGCATAAAAATAATAAAATGCTTATGAATAAATTTAATGAAAAAGTGCAAACATGTATGCATTGTTTCCTAGGGCTGCCATATTAAAGTGCCACAAATGAGGTGGCTTAAAATAACCAAAATTTATTGTCTCACAGTTGTGTAAGTTTGAAGTCTGAAATGAAGTTGTCAAGAGAGCCATGCTCTGAAACACATACAAAGATCCTTCCTTACCTCTTCCTAGCTGTCAGTGGTTTCCCAGCAATCTTCAGCATTCCTCGGCTTATAGCTACGTAACTCCATCCTCTGCCGTTCTGCCACCCAGTATTCTTGTGTGCCTCTGTCTTCACATGGCTGTCTTCCTATAGAAACACCAGTCATATTGGACTAGGAAGTGACCCTACCTTTAAATATGTTCACATTCAGAAGTACTAGAGATTAGGACTTCAACCTACTTTTTTGGGGGCAGACATAATCCAAACCATAACAATTTGTATTCTGGGAACCACAAGATACTTTTGAACAAAATTAAAGATGATCTAAATTTTTAAAAATATTTCATGGTGATGGATTTTAATATTGTTAAGATGTTTATACCTCCAAAACTGACCTAAAGAAACAATGCTTTCCTTATCAAAATTTCAGCTTTTTTGCAGAAATTGAGAATCAGATGATAAAATTCATATGCAAGAGACCTAGAATAATTGAAACAATTCCAAAAAGATAGAACAAAGTTGGAGGATTCATACTATATTTCCTGATTTCAAAACTGACTAAAAGGATAGAGTAATCAGATAATATAATATAATCTGATTACTGTAATGTAATATAAAGATACACATGTAAATTAATAGAGTAAACTTGGGAGTTTAGAAATACAGTTTTACACTAAAATTCATTGTTACAACATTTTATCAATGTGGCCAAGACAATTCATTAAGTAATAGTATTTTTATCCAACGGCACAAGGACTTCTGGATATCCACATGCAAAAAGAATTAAGTTGGATGCCTAATTTACACCATATAATAATTAACTTAAAATGCATTATGCACTTAAATGGAAGAGCTAAAATTACAACACTCTTATAGGAAAATGTAAGAATAAATTCTTGTGCCCTAAAGTTAGGCAATTGTTTCTTGGCTATGCCAACAAAATCACAAGGAAAAAATTTAAAAGTAGATAAGTTGGATTTCATTAAAATTAAAAAAGAGTTTTTACCCCAGTGGACACTATTAATAGATCAATTTACAAAATTAGATAAACTATTTGTCAATTACATTTCTAATAAGGGCCTAGTATCCGGAAAACATAAACATTTCTTTTAACTGACAGTAAAAAGACAACCCAAATTTAAATATTTAAGGAATTAAAGAGATATTTCTCCAAAAGAAGAAACACATATGCACCATATGCAAATGAAAGTATGCTTAATATCATTAATCATCATTGAAATTAAAATCAAAACCACATTGAGCTATCACTTTATGTCCACTAGGATGGCCATTGCCAGAAAACAGACAGTAATAAATGCTGGCCCAGATGCAGAGGAATTGGAACACTCTTATATTGCTGGGGCATCTGAAATGGCACAGCTGCCTTACAAAACCTTTGCTAATACCTTAAAATATTTAGCCTAGAGTTCTCATGTGACCCAGTAACTCCACTGCCATGATAAATGAAACCACGTCCCATATTCACCCAAGATAAATGAACACACATTAACAGAAATGCTTTTACAAAAAGGGTCATAGTGGAATTACGCACCATAGTTACAAAGTGGAAATGATCCAAATGACCATTAACTGATGAATGGATGAACAAAATGTGGAATGCTTTTACAAGGGAATAGTCTTTGTCAATAAAAAGAAGGAAATGCAGATACATGCTATAACATGGTGAAACCTCATTGAAAACATGAAAACATTAAGCTAAGTGAAATAAGTAAAAAAGATCACATATTGTATGATTTCATTTATATGTAATGTCCAGAATAAGCTAACCCATAGAAATATAAATAGACTGGTGGTTTCCAGGGATTAGGGAGAGGAATGATTAGGGAATGATATTTTTCTTTGTGTAAGTAAAATATTTTAAAAGTAGACAGTAGTGATGATTTTGCTATCCTGGAATATAATAAACGTCACTGAATTATAGACTTCAAAAGTGAACTTCATGGTTTACAATGAATGAATTATATTTTGATTATAAATATGCATATATATAAATATATATAATTGTGTGTGTGTGTGTGTGTGTGTGTGTGTGTGTGTATAATCCAGGATAGTATCCTGGATAGAATCCTGGATTGTTTAAGCTGCCAAAACTTCCAAATTAGTAACACATGAACTTGTTCAATGACTCCTCTGTCACCTCTTGAAATTAATTCCAGCCATTTATTTATCTACAACACAAACCCCACCACAACACATACACATTGTGAGCTAAACTTCATTTTTCTGATGACTTCTCTCATATTCTAAATCCATATTTCCTTTTTCAAGCAATTTTTGAAACACCAAAACTATTGATTGAGCTCCCATCAGGTGGAGAACAAGATACTTCTCATTACTAGCAGGGACTGTGTCAGGCATCTCAAGCAATCCAGAAAAATTTATGCATCATATTCCTGCCTGTAAGAAGTGGCATTTAAATTCTGGCTTTGATCCTCTTACTTACTATAATATTGATTCTCAATAAAGAAGACAAAGTTACTATCACCCTTATGTGAATATTCCCAAATCTCCAATTTCAGCATTGGGTCTCTGATGAGTTGATGATTATTATTTAATGGACTCCAACTGTGACAACACGACTCATCTTTCCCAAATGGGCTCCCTTCTGGGCAGCTCCCTTCTCAGCAAATGATGTCATCATTTACCCACTTGCCCTTGCCAGAAACCTGGGCATTGTTTGTAAATGTTTCTTCTCACTTACTTATATTCTATATTCAACCAATCACCAAGTTCTATGTACTTTACCTTCTAAAGAGATTTTACTTCTCTCCAATTATCTCCTTACCCACTACTTATTTCCTTAACCATTACTTATCTCCTTATCTGTTACTGCTATCCTTGGCCAAGGTATCATCTTTTCATACTTATATTACTGAACAAACCATAAACTCTTTCCATCTTTGTTCCATATCATTTTTCATACTGTTGCCAAAATGTTCCTTCTCATGAGAGCATTTCTCAGTGGCTTCCATTGTTCAAGGTAAGGTATACAATTTTTAACCTGGTGATCGAATAACCTGCTCCTTGCCTACTGTTCCAGCCTCAGTTCTTATTATTTATTTATTTTTGAGTTGGGGTTTTACTCCGTTCCCCAAGCTAGAGTGCAGTGGTGCAATCATGGCTCACCGCAACCTTGAACTCTTGGGTCCAAGCCATTTTCTGACCTCAGCCTCTAGAGAAACTAAGAATCCAGGTGTGCACCACCATGCCCAGCTAATTTCTTATTGTTATTTATTGTAGAAATGGGGTCTTGCTATGTTGCTCAGGCTAGTCTCAAACTGCTGGGCTCAAGTGTTCCTCTGACCTCGGCCTCTCAAGGTACATCCCACCTTGGCCTCTCAAGGCATAAGCCAGTGAACTAGGCCTTCAATTTTTTTTAAACTTCTCTCACTCATATGGCTGAACCACCCTGCCCTTTCTTAAATTCTTCAAATGGACTGCAATTGTCTCATCATTCCGACTTGCCTGTAATTCAGACTCACTCTTTCCCACACTAACCTCAACTGCTTCAATGGCTCCACCTAGCTAACATCTGCTGAATGTTCGGAACTCACTAAGCTGATACTGCTTCTAGGACTTTTTCCCTGATCACCCCCAAGTTGGTGAGAGAATACTTGGTATTAACCTCCCTTAAGACTTTATAGTATTTATATGTTCCATTTTCTCTACTCCTGTATACATTGCTACCTCTGGGAAAGCAAGAAGCACTCCCATTTTATTATATCTTGCTTTGAAAAAAATCCGGTGATCAGTAAATATTTTTGAATGAAGAAATATGATTTGAAAGGTGTTTACCAGGTTTTCAATGAACTTTAAAAAACATGTTAATGCTCCTGTTTCTTTAAATTGAAGAAGTCCCTCTCATGAGGCTCCATGGTGCTGGAATGCGTGGGGCAGGGAGGAAAACAGATGTCTTCTTATTCCTGTGTGGGCGAGTTTATTAACATCCCTGAATCTCAATTTCCTCATTTGTAAAAGGCATTAGAACACATGAGGACTGTTTGTGGGTAAAAAGAAATGTTGTCTGTAAAGCATGCCAATTGAGGAAGCAGCGCTTGTCTTTCCCATCTTTTCTCAGTACCTCTCCCCTCGCCAGTCAGTCCTGAGAAAAGGTACCTCGAAGTTGGTCCTAACTCATAACCCATTCTTTTTTTCTCTCATTAGAAAACAAGTCATTTGCATTACTTCTAAGCAAGAGTTGGAAAAACAAACACATTAATGTATTTTATAATTTTAAAAAATTGTTTGATAGACTTAATAGGCCCTGTTTTTCTTAAGAAAATATATGTTGCTGTCTTTTTATTGGAAACAATGGATAATGTACCAGGCCAGGTAATTCTATTTGACCCCATTTTTCTATCCTTTCTGTTTTGAAGGGCTTGGAAGCAGTTCCAAACGGAGGGAAAAATGAATCATCACCTTTCCGTACATGCATTTTGGATTGTCAGATTGGATTTGAAAATAGCCTCATATTGTTTCACTCCACAATAGATAAAACATGAATTTCTATCAGCCTCATGACCTTCTTGTTTCCCCGGTACTCCTGCTTTAATCTAAGGATTCTCTGTTCTTGAGCTTGCATAGTTGAGTTAGAGCAAATTAATGAAAGACAATATGTCCTACTATGTTCCACAGATAAAATACCAGGATCATCCATAAAGGTCAAAACTGAGTGAGCCCAGAGGAGATTTTGGACCTAGGATTGGCCTTAGGCACTTTGTCTGAAAGAGAAGAGCCTGAACCTTACTCAAGGCTACAATATCTTCCTCCTCCGATTGCTATGGAAACATTTCTTTTATTTTTTAAAGCAAACATCCATGCCAGACATATGACACAGCAGAAAAGCTGTGGAGAAGGATGAAGTCAGGAGTTTGGAATCATCTTTCAAGATATATAGCCCAGTGGTTAAATTTTCAGGCCCTGGAGTGTGTCCAACTTCTTGGGTTCCAATCTGTTCACAAACCACACAAAGCAGGTTTCTTAATCACTTCATGCAAGCAGTCACATCATTAGTAAAGTAAGAAAGATGACGACATTTCCTTCCTGTGGTGCCGTGTGGTTTACTGTATGTAAAGTCTTTTAGAACATTGTCTGGTGCAAAGCACCATCAGTGTTAGCTGTAATTATCAAGTTTCAGCTTCCAACAATGTCAAGCAAGATAGATGAGTGAATAGGCCCCATGGAGGCAATTGGGGATTGCTGGAACAGCAGGACACTGGGCTGCATTTGTTAGGATCAAGGGCAGGCATGTTTTATTTCAAAATAAACAAGCAAGCCAGCAAATCCTCACTGAGCCTCCAGGTTTAGGTTTATAGAGTGTAACCATGTCATCTACCCTGTGTTTTGAGATTTAACTTATAATTTATTATATCAAACCTAAGTATATTGTTGCAAGAGATAAGACAATGAGTCATATTTCATCATGCACTTCTTTAGTGATTCAGCAAAACACAATTTCGAGGAAATATTTAAAATTGTTATAGTTACTAAGAAATAAATTACGTGGACAGCCTCTCTCTATCATTTCTTTCATTTTTAAGGGAAGAATTGTTTTACTCAGAACGTGGTGTTCTCCTAGCCAGAGAAACAGTCAGTTTGTCATATGCGTTCATCTTTTGTCATATTTGTTAAAGGGCTATGCTGAGTGGAAATGCAGCTGCACAGGTAACTTAAGCTCACAGGTGGAAGCCAGATGCATGAAGACACAATGGGTTAGGGTGATTATACCTTATCGGGAGCAATGCCTTGGCTGAGCCTGTACATTCTTTTTTTTCTTCTTTAGAAGCTTTACACTTTTTTGTTTTTGTTTTTCATCTTTCTAACTTTATTTGAAATGCCACAGTGGAGCAGAAAGTGTGTAGGCTGTAAAATGAAAGAGAACAAGGTCAAAGTCAAATCCAAGATCTGGTACTAACCTGGGAAAATTACATAATCTCCCCAAGCACTGGTGTCAAAATCTGTAAAATGGAGGTGATATGTCATGGTTAAGGACTGCTTTAAGGATTAAATTCATAAGATATATAGTAAGGCCTATAGCACTATGTACACAGAATGAAGTGTCATCGGAAGCTTCTTCCTCCTCTGTCTTTAGAGTCTACAAGACCTGCAACCTGGGACTGTGTCCATCCCTGTTTGAGTTGCTCAACAGGACTTGGTTAGGCCCTTTCATGTCAGCACTTGGATGTCGTTATAGGAATGAACCTATTTTAGGGTTGTTAATGATCCCAGGACCCATGATCATTTCAGTTTAGGGAATAATATGCACACAGTTTTTGAATGATATGTTTTTCAGACAGTGATAGTCTATGTGCACTTTTTAATTTATTGAATATTATTTGCATGTAATTTGATAAAGCATTTACACATGTTGGAAAATATGACTCATACACAGTCAGTGGTTGATGGTAAGTCAAAAACTTTTGTAAATTTCTATGGGTGAAAAATCTAAAGCTCCACCTCAAAATCCCAAGTCTGAAAGAGATCTTTGAGATTTCTAAAGCCACTTTTTAAAATTTGCACACTATCAACTGCAGACTCTGAGAGGTTGGGGGGTTACCACCAGAGGCACTTGTACCACACAGGCTGCAAGCATGATCTATGGAATAGATAAATAATATTTTCAAAACAAATACTATGCTTTTTCAAATGTATATAGATGTTTATATGATTAATAAGAGCAGAAACAGACAGATGAGATTGTTTTTAATGTAGAAATCCCGATCAGTGGTTTCTAAATACACTCATATAGTAAATATTTTCTTCAGGCTAGAAACCACACACCTTATCTAAGTCTCTATTTCCTATAAGGAAGCTGAAACTTAGAAAGGCCAAGTGATTTTTGGAGTGGCACAGCTGAAAGTGGTAGAGCAGAATTTAGAAAACATACCTTCAAACAATGTCCAACTTTCCACAACTATCTTGAATCTTTTAATTAAAGTTTTAACTTTGAGGATTGACATGCAGTTGTGAAGTTATATGCGATGATCCTGAGTACACTTTAAACAATTTCCCTCAATAGTTTACATTTTCAAATGATGGCACAATAAAGCAACGAGGATACTGACATTGATAAAATAAACTGATGTTTTTCAGATCCACAATTTTACTTACATTTGTGTGTGTGTGTGTGTGTGTGTGTGTGTATGTGTGTTTAGTGCCATGCAATTTTATCACAGGTAAAATGTCTTAAGTACATCACCTGCATCAAGATACAAGCAGTCATCGCCACAAGAATTCCTGCTGTTGTGCTTTAATAACAATAACCTCTCTCTCTTACCCTCTCCACCTGACTTCCTTAACCCCTAGTAAGCAATAAATTGTTCTCCATTTTCCAAACTTTGTCATTTCAAGAATGTTGTATAAATTCAATCATACAGTGTGCAGGCATTTGGGATTGCCTTTTTTCACTCAGTAATATTCCTTCAAGATTCATCCAAGTTGTTGCTCATATCAACAGTTCATTCATTTTTTATTTCTGAGTAGTATTCCATAGTACCCATGTGCCAGTTTATTTAGCCATTCTTCCATTGAAGGACATTTGGGTTGTTTCTACTTTTTGGCTTTTATGAATAAAGCTGATATAAACATGCATTTCAATTTTTTATATAAAATAAGTTTTCATTTCACTGAGATAAATGTTCATCATTAAGATTGCCAGATTGCATAGCAGTTGCATGTTTAACTTAGGTCAATTTTGTTGTTGTTTTAACAGATTTATTGAGCTATAATTCACACAGCTTATAACTCACTCGTTTGAAGCATACAATTTAATGGCTTTTAGTATATCTACAGAGGTGTACACCCATCAACATAATCAATATTAGAATATTTTCATTACCCTTAAAAGAAACACTATACCTCTAAACATTACCCTCCCATTTATCCAATTCCTCAAGCCTTGGTATACCACTAACCTACTTTCTGTTCCTATAGATGTGCCTATTGTAAACAATTCATATAAATGGAATCATGCAATATGCGACTTTTGTGATTCACTTCTTTCACTTAGCATAATGTTTCCCAGGTTCATCCATTTCGTAGTGTGTATCACCTAGATTTTCAAATTGTTGAATAGGATTTCACTATATGACTATATCATATTTTACTTATACATTTATCAGTGAATGGACAATTGGATTAACTATACCTTTTGGGTATCATGAATAATGCTTTTCTTAATATTTGTGTATAATTTTTTGTGTGGACATAGTGTTGTCATTTCTCTTAAGTATATACCTAGAAGTAAAATTGCTGGACCATATGGTAACTCTATCTTTAACTACTTGAAGAACTACCAGCCCGTTTTTCAAAGCAGGTGCATTATTTCATTTTACATTCCTACCTGCAGTAGATGAGTGTTCCAGTTTCTCACCATGTTTGCCAACACTTGCTATTTTCTGTCTTGATACAGATATCATAGTGGGTGTGAAGTGGTAACTTACAGTAAAGGTGGTTTTGATTGGCATTTTCCTGATGGCTAATGATGGGAAGCATCTTTGTATGTGCTTTTTTGGTCATTTGTATAGATTCTTTGGAGACATATCTATTCAGATCATTTGACCATTTTAAAAAATTGGGTCGTTTGTCTGCTTATCACCAAGTAGTAATTAACTATTCTTTATATATTCTAGATACAAGTGCCTTATCAGATAAAGCACCATATCAGATTTGCATTTTTTTCTCATTCTATGGCTTGTCTTTCACTCCCTTGATGGTGTGTTTTGAAGAGCAAAAGTTTTTAACTTTTGATGAAGTCCAGCTTTTTTGTCATTTGTTGCTTATGCTTCTTGAGTCACATCTAAGCTTTATTCCAAATCACAAACACTTGTACCTATGTTTTCTTCTAGTATTTTTATTACATTACCTCTTACATTTAGGTCTTAACTAATTCTGAGGTTTTTTAGATGGTGTGATTTATGGGGATTTCTTCCCTTTTTTTTTCTTATCCAGAGGCTTAACTTGGAACTTCTTGCACTATGTTGAATCAAAGCGGTGACAGCAGACATCTCTCCCTGCCTCTGATCTTAGGGTTTCTCACTATTAGGCCTTTCACTTGTTAAAACACCTACAGCTTTTTAAAATGCTATTTCTCTAGTTGAGGTATTTTTCCATTATTTTCGGCTTGCCTGGAGTCTACCCTACCCCTATGGATATGTTTTGAGATTTGTTTAATGCTTTTTTTATGTCAGTTTATCTGATCATATTTTTCTTCTGTAGCCTGTTGATATGGTATATTACATTGATCGATTTTTGCATGTCAAACCAGCAATCCCTGGAATAAATCCCACTTAGTCAGTGTAAATATCTCTTTATATACTGTTGGATTCAGTTGGCTAATATTTTGTTGAGACTTTTAATGTTTAAGCTCAAGAGGAAGATTTGAATATAGTTTATTTGTTTTTGTTCTGTCTTTGGTGTTGCTACCTGGGTACTGGCCTTAAAAATGAGTTGGAAAATGATCTCTTCTTTAATTTTATGAAAGGGGCTGTGTAAAATTATTGTTAAAAGCCTTATTCAAATGTTGTGTAGAATTCAAAAGCAAAACCATTTAAGCCTAAAGACTTTACTGGGGGAAAGATTTTAAATTATGACTTCAATCTATTTAATGA
This sequence comes from Homo sapiens, assembly GCF_000001405.40. Taxonomy (NCBI): domain Eukaryota; kingdom Metazoa; phylum Chordata; class Mammalia; order Primates; family Hominidae; genus Homo; species Homo sapiens. Next base: position 50,061,230 of record NC_000008.11, read on the forward strand.
TTATAGAATAATTTAGATTAATTATCCTTTTTGATTGAGTTTTTACAGTTTGTAGTTTTCTGTCGAACTTCTGAACATAAAGTTGTTTATAGTGTTCCACAATTACCTTTTTAATGGTTTCAGGATTTGTATTAATACAGCCTCTTTTATTCCTAATATTGGTCATTCGTGTCTTCTAATTTTTTTGTCATTTGTGCTAACAGTTTAATTTTATTGATTCTTTTAGAAAACCAGTTTCTTTCATTTTTAATTGTTTTCCTGCTTTTACTTTTACTTATTTCTTCTCCTCTTCTGTTTTATTTCTTCTACTTGATTTGGTTTCCCTCCCCACTACTTTTTAGGTAGGAATTTAGATTATTGATTTGAGATTGTTCTGTTTCTAATGTAAACATTTAGTGTTATACATTTCTGTCTTATTACTGTTTAGCTGCATCCCACATGTTTAATATTCTATATCTTCATATTAATTGAGTTTTATATATTTTTAGATTTCCTTTATCATCTTGCATTATTTTGCAGTATATGGCTTAATTTTTAAGGTTTCAGTTATTTTCTTATTGTCTTGTTATTGATATCTAGCTTGATGCACTTATTGTCAGAGAATTTCAATTCTTTCAAATTTGTTGAGATTTATTTCACGGCTGTGGATGTGGTCATTCTTGGTGAATGCTTCTTGTCTATTTTTTTAAAATATGTATTCTGCTACTAATGGGTAAAATATGGTTGGTTGATTGTGTTCTTCACATCTTCCATATCCTTGCTGATTTTCTCTTTATCAATTATATCAGATATTGAAAGTAAGATGATGGAATTTTTGTGTTTTTTTGTTTTTGAGACAGGGTCTCGTTCTGTTACCCAGACTGGAGTACAGTGGTGCTATCTCGCCTCATTGCAACCTGCACTTCCTGGGTTCAAGCGATTCTCCTGCCTCAGCCTCCTGAGTAGCTGGGAGTATAGGTGCATGTCACCACTCCTGGCTAATTTTTGTATTTTTTTAAATAGAGACAAGGTTTCGCCATGTTGGCCAGGCTGATCTCTAACTCCTGACCTCAGGTGATATGCCTGCCTCGGCCTCCCAAAGTGCTGGGATTACAAGCATGAGCCATGGCGCCAGACCAGATGTTGGAATTTCTAACTCCAATTATGGATTTGTCTATTTTTTTTTCAACTCTTATCAGTTTTTGCTTCTTTAGGGTTCTGTTGTTTGGTGAATACACATTTAAGATTGTTATGTCTTTCTGCTAAATTGATGCTTTCATCATTACACACTGTTGCTTTCTGTTTCTAGCAATTTTCTTTGTTTTGAAACTATTTTTTCTATCACTAATGCTGCCAATTCTGCCATATTTTATTAATGTTCACAAGCTAAATATTTTTTATTTTTTTTACTCACAACCTACTTGTGTCTTTGAATAGAAATAAGTTTCTTACAGTCAGCAAAATCTGATTTATCTCAGTAGAATTTACTTTTTCTTGGTCAGCATTGAATTTTGAGAACTTTGAAAGATAATTTGCCCACAAACAATGGTTTAATGTATACATTTACATATTGTAAGACTGAGTGAATTTTCCAAATATTTTAAGCATTTCATATATTTTGTATTTTATTTCCATACATAATATGTGCATATTTACCCAAAATTTTATATCCTTGCATTGTGAATCTAGTCAAATTAAGGAAAGTGATGATTAAATACATACAGAGACTTGATTGACCACAGACATATTAAAGAGCTAATGACTGCAGACTTAGATTTAATCCTCCTATCAAACTAGTTAAATTTACAAGATGTTTAAGATATATTCAGACCCATAATGACACAAGTGCATATTTTTGTTTCTTTAGGGAAAGGATTGTCACATTGCCTTGCAAGAGGCATTAAGGTGAAACACCACTAATACTGTGAATTTATTCAAGTCTGGAGTTCTTGCATCAGATACGTAATCTCAGATATCCAATTTTATTAGCAAAATAAAAGTGGATACACTTTTTAGAAGTTGGAACACAATAACAAAACTTCAGAGATGAATTCATAGAAACAGGAATTGAAAAGACTGAGAATTTCCAGAGTATCAAGAATTCTCACGTTTGCATCACCATGCATTTGTATATGTCACAATGGCAATTTACTGTCATGTATCTTCTATCAAAAGACACATGCTTATGAGGACAATTATGAAGAGAATAAAACACAAAGAAATGAGATGACTCAAGTGTTAAATGTCATCAGGCCATGAAATGAGAACAGCATTGCCAGTAGGATCAGGATACTTTGGCTATCTTGTCACTGACCACTGAAATCAAAGCATTGGCTTATCCCCCTGAGGAAGCACTGACAGTTCATTGTCATCTCTTCTTTTGTCCCTACATTTATGACCAAACCACTTCTGATCAATGCATTCTTTGTAAATAGAAATAGTTTCCATCAGGTCATACTATTGTTGTATCACCCTTTTCTCCTGGAAACCATTGCTTTTTTTTTTTAAATATAAAATGACTTAATAGCTTTTTTTTAAAAATATAAAATGACTTAATAGCTTAACACTAACTAAAGCAATTTAACTTTCACAAAGTAAAGGTAAACTTAACTGTAGATTCAAAATGCTGAAAATATATGCCAAAGTTGTTATAGATGTCAGTGATGCCCACATTTACATATCTCAAGCTCTAATCTCCTGCAGAACGTGTGTTATAGGATGAGGATTCACAACACAAACTCTAGCCAGACTACTTGAGTTCATTTTCCATCTATAGCAACTTACTAATTGCATAACTCTGGGAAATTTAGTAACCTTGTCATGACTCTGTCTTCTCATATGTAAAATGGTGACAATCGTGGTACCAGCTAACTCTGGGGCTATTATAAGATTAAATATGGAAATACACATAAAGTAACCTACACAGTGCTTGGCACCAATTAAGAACTCAATACATGTTAGCTATTTGTAGAAATTGTCAGCATCATCACGTGTAAGATGACTAAAACAGAAGCTTTGATTCCCATATTCATACTTAAAGATAGTTTTGCCTCATCTTTGGAAATGGCATCAGCTCAGTTTCTCAGGACCATGAATTTGACATTGATGTATCTTTCTATACTTCACTCCTCCTTTCCAGCAGAAAGCTCTTCATTCTCTCTCTCCAGATCATAACTAAACCCATCTCCTTCTGCTTACCTTGATGGCTCCCACCATCACTCCTACATAGATTTGTACATTCATCTCCTAATGAACTTTCCCGTTTGCACTTTTTACCTTTGCACTTCCACCACACCACAATCCTTCATCTGAAAGTTAGAAAAAGTCATCTTTTTAGACCCAAATATTTGCTGTCACCCTCAATGCTGATCACTGAAAACTTCCACTGTGGCCTGTGTGGTCATCCACAATCTGGCCCTGCCTACACCTCCAACCTCATTTCTCCTGAATATGGGTTCCTGTGGCTCTTGAACACATCCAGCTCTTTCCTATCTCAGGGCCACTGCTTGCTCTGTTTTTTCTGCCTACGGGCTCTGACCGGACGTTTACCTCCTGGCTCCTTCTTATAATTCTGGTTGCAGCTCCCCTGCTAGCTTCTCAAGGAGCTGACTCTTTACAACCATGTCTGAAATACCCTGCAACCCTTGATGCTCTTGTCCACATCACCATGTTTTATTGTCTTCAGAGCAGTTGTAAATTTCATACAGTATCTTACATTTATTATTTACTTCCCTCTCACTGGCATGTTAAAATATGGATTCCCTTGTAATGTTAAGTGCTTAGGACCGTGATTGGCATACAGTGATTCCTCAGTAAATGTAGAAGAAAAAATTTAAGAAATATAAAGCCATAAAGTGAGTAATTAAATATGATTGAGAGAATTCCATAAGATTTAGGTTTTACATCACCAGCTTAAAATAGTTATTCAAATATCATGAGTCAATAAAATAATCAATTTACTTATTGGCAGGTGATTTTCAAATGAATGAATTGGATTATGTTGCATAGTTAATAAAATGTGATACATTGAATTTACTGTAATTAGGAAATGTCTTTCACTAATGCCTGGAAAAAGATAACGTAAAGCATCATGTTTTTTATCTTATTTTTGTTTAGCTGTTTGCAGAATAAAAACAATTTTAATTTTACATAACAAATATCCTGAGGCAAGCAAATGAACAAATAAAAAGATGCATAAATAAATAGAATAAATAAAATCGCATTTTAATTTCAAATCCAATTTAGTGATACTGAGTTGCTAGGCATTTCTTTGGTTATAACCTATCAAAAACATTAAATTCTAATTACATACTACCCTTAAGAAAAATATTTGACTCTATTATATTTTGCTTTTATTGCATCTTATAGAATACTATAAAATTCTTATTAAACAACTTGTTTCAGGAAATATTATAGACGTTTTCAGGATCATTTCAGAACATTTAACCACTGATCCAACAGAATGTTATGCATTTTGTTATAAGTACTCTGGTAGTTTAATAAAAATATAGGAGCTTAAGTTCTTAAATATGCTGTTTAACCAATATGGAGGGTATTTGCCAAGGAGGGAGTACATTTGATGAAGTATATACATACAACATAAATCCACTACCTTCCTAATTTACTCAAGGTGTAGATATCTTCCTAGGATGTTTTGTCTAGAAGACTAAGTCTATGGCACCTCCTTTCCCGTGATAGTTTCTCAGCTTAAAATAAACCCCACATCAGCTGGGCACTGTGGCTCACGCCTGTAATCCCACCACTTTGGGAGGCCGAGGCAGGCGGATCACAAGGTCAGGAGTTCGAGACCAGCCTGGCCAACATGGTGAAACCCCGTCTCTACTAAAAATACAAAAATTAGCTGGCCATGGTGGCACACGCCTTTAATCCCAGCTACTCAGGAGGCTGAGGCAGGAGAATCGCTTGAACCTGGGAGGCGGAGGTTGCGGTGAGCTCAGATTGTGCCATTGTACTCCAGCCTGGGTAACAAAAGCAAAAGCTCCATCTCAAAAAAAAAAAATTAAGTAAACCCCACATCATAATAGCTTTTTCATTTTCTTGGCTCTTCCTCCCAACTTTACTGCGGTATACTTGACAAATAAAAATTATATACATTTAAGATGTACTGTGTGGTATTTTGATATATATATATATAAACAATTACCATAGTCAAGCTAATTAACATACTCATCATCTCACATAGTTTTTAAAATTTGCTTTATTTTTGTAGTGAGAACTGGAGTAGCAACTTTCTGGAAATACTGTCAATAGTAATACTTAGGATAACAACACGATGTCAAGTTTAAAAATAATTAATTAAATTCCTTTCCTTTTCTCCCCCCTCCATTTTTGTGCGTTTGTATATCTATGCTATAGCAATGAAAATGTTTCCAGGCAGAAATGAACGCAGACATTGAAGTAAAAACATGTGAGCTCATAATTCCTTTTCCATGTTCCATGTTGTAAATCTGCAGTGAAGAATAAATAGAAACTATTTTCACTTCAGTGTTTAAAATAATACAGGATTTAATGGGAATATTCTAATTGCATGATCTTCATTTATCTTCACAGACAATTCCCTCTGCACGTTGACTTTGTACCGTTATATCTGTCGAACTAGCTAGTCACCAGTGGTTTCTAACACCTACTAAATGATTTATTGAAAAATCCTCAAATGGAAATAAAAAACAGTAAAGAAAATATTGTAGTCTTATGTGGAAAACTCCACTGGAAAAAAGAAGGACGATGAATTTGATTATAGCAATAAATGCACACCATGAATATCATTAACCATCACTTATTCTTTCGTCAGTTCTTTTCTTTTCTTTTTTTTTGAAAGACATATAAAGCCATTCTGCTGTCACCAACAGTCATCTTACATTTGTCTTAAATGTGCCTTCTCTTATGAAAGACATCAAAGGTCTATGTGATTTTGCATTTAGTATTGCTGCTGTCTCTCTTTCATTTGTTTGTTACTTTTCTGTGCAAGCAATTCCAATGAACTTTTACAAACTTGAAAACATTCTTATTTCCTACATATGTGGCTTTTTTTTTACCAGTTTATTTCAAAATCCAAACTAATACCATTACTTTAAAAATTGAACTATTAATTTACACACCATTTAACTTTCAATTGCATTCTGAACCTAATTTAACTTTAGATTTACCTTTAAGCCATTAAGAAGATAAGATTAGTCGAAATACAATTGTAGGCCATATGGTTGTTTCAGGTCTCTCCATTTCTGATGTGGGATTTTATTTTGAATGGGCTTGTTTACTTAGCTCAGTGTGAAATTAATCGGTTTCTCAAACTACCCTTCTAGCTCTTACATTTTGTTAAACCTTTTTTAGTCTTCCCTTTGACAATCTGTAAGTTGCTTTCTTTTGAATTCTTTTCAAAATATAGTTAGGTAGTTATGACTCATGTATTATTTTTGTTAGGTACAAACCCACAGTTGACCAACTTTCTCTTTTTGTTGGAGTTTGAGGATCCACACCCTGATTTTGGTTGCCTTGGCTGATGTCTTCAGCATGAGCTCTTGTAGATGCTGCTTCCAGATTCATGGATTGCTTAGGGTCACCCACAGATGACCTGGAATGATGCAGTGCACACAGACCCCTGTGTCTGCAGTACTCGGGCACACAGCCTGCTGGGGCCTGTTGCAGGGTCTCCATCAACCGTTGCTGCATGAATGATTGCAGATATCTTTCATGCAAATTCAGATTTTTTTCTTCCCTAAAGATTCCTCTACGTGTATTTCATCATCTTTTCACGTCCAGGCACACCCAAACATTCCAGTAACAACAAAAATCAGACAAAATACCTAGGAAAGCTTTCAAAATAAATCTGAGGGTCTCCTATGAAGAAAAGTACAAATCTTTGTTGAAGGACATAATAGATGTAAAGGAACAGAACGCAATCAGTTTTGGTCCTTGATCAATGATCTACATGAGAATATTTCCATCTTCTCACATTGCAGGTTTGATGCAATCCTAATTACAACCTCTGTGGGATTAGCGGGCCGGACTGAGAGAGGCTCTGGGAATGTTACTGTCACATTCATCAGGCATTATCCTCAGGCAGATTACCCGTGCGTGGTATCCTTGTTAATTGTAGCTTTTCTTGCCACCGGACTTGTACTTTCTTCTCTTCCTCAGTGAGGAGTCAAACCACAGTAGTCACTTTCCTGAGTGAAAAATCATTTCCAAGGTGTTTGACACAAAGAGATCCTGAGGACATTTGCTGTCGTCTTTGTTTGAGTACTCCAGACTCAGGGAGCTGGGCTTGCGCTGCGGGAGGTAAAGCTGGGGCCACACCCCCACCCCTGCCAGCCAGGACAGTTCCTAGACCCTTCCCCTGAGCTAGGTTTTCCAGTCGCATGGAGCACTTTCTCACATATTCCACGCTACTGATTTATCTCGCTTATTTTCTACCTCTTCTACACAAATGGATGCCCAATTGTGGTAGGATTCTTTTTCTTTCTTTCTTTCTTTTTTTTCTGTTGATTCACTACAGTATCTGTAGTGCCTGAAACAATCCATGATATACTCTGTGGCTGCTGTTGAATGTTGAGTAGATGGCTTTGATTTTGCTTTTGCTCAGCTGATGTTAACAGTCCTTTTCCCCTGCTGCTGCTGTCTTGTCAGTCAGCTCCCTGTGCGTCTTCCTAATCTATTCACAGTTACAATTACTTAAAACATTATTTTTAAATTGCAGGTTTTATAAAGCTATCATGTCTGATCTCTTCATTGCAGTACATTGTTCTTGACAAAATTGAAAACAAGCAAAAAATCATATCTTATTTATGATTTACAATTTATCTGTTTTCTCCAGACAGTTGATAATTGTCACTACCACTTATAAACTTGTATCCAGTACCTTCCTTTCAAAGCTAGATGCTAGGGTGACAGAAAAGGTTTATAAAGGAAAATGTATATAAATTAAGTATCCAAGAACAGAAAAAGGGAAATGAAGTTTGGGCTACTTATAGGAGTGAAAATAAACTCTGTGATGTGCCAGCACCAGCACAGGCTCTTGTAGTTTCCTCCCAACTTTGGGCTCAGTGGTATCATGTTGGTGGCCAGTTTAGGAGTATTTATATCACAAAATCCACAAGTGCTGCAAATCAAGGCTTTTCTATTCTAGAATGCTGGTTGATAAATAATAGCCTCAACATTTACCAGAACACTATAAAACAATTCAGTGATCATAAAGTTATTATCCACAGAATATTTACTGGCATGGAAAAATGTTCACAATAAAAATTGGTGTTTAAAATTGTTTATTGCAAAAAATTGTGTAATGAAATCATCTTGAAAATACTTGCATTACTAAGATATAAATGGTTCTCTCTGGGCAGTGAGATTGGGAGGAATTTTTTTTTTTTTTTTTTTTTTTTTTTTTTTTTTTTTTTGCTTTCTCTCCAGCAGCTTGACAATACAGCTTCACAAGAAGATACCTTTTCCTTTTAAAACCCCCACTGTGTTCTCCTTCCTCCTGACTTCTCCCCAGAGTACCCATGTTGAATCCCTGGTGTGGATCCCATGCTTCATTCCTGCCCTGCTACTTGCTCTGCTCTCAGCTTGCTGCACAATCCCCCACCCTTCCTGCTGGGTTCACTAAGGGCTCTCTAGGCAAAGCTTGCCCAAGCTGCTCTCCTCCTGCAGGTCTGTGCTAAGGCCATCGGACTCCCCTGGGGCTGGTTCTGCATCTGCAGCCTGTGGGTGCTTCTGTGAGCGCAAGTCAGGCTGTGCAGCAGGTGGTCTGTTCTTGTCAGTTTCTTGTCTTCTGACCGTTTGTGGGGCTGTATTGGCAGTAAAACACCCACGACACAGAGAACATTCAATGTATGTTTGGTAAAGTAGTAAAGAATGGATGCATGTGATACTAAAAATATAATCATTACAATAGTTAATAAGGTATTTTAATGCAAATCAATCTTTTTATAATATTTTGAGAAGAAGAACATGTTCACTGGGGAATATTAAAAACAGATCTTAGCTCAGACGTGTTATTCAAATATTGAGGAAAAAATAAACATTATGTGAGTTCTTTCCGTCTTTTTGAAAATCGAGATTAAAAAAATTGTTCATTATTGTGGCTCCCATAATTTAAAAAAATAGCTTTTCTTTTGTTATTTTAACTTTTAAAAAACGTTTTGGAAAATGTAGTGAAAACGTATCATCCACTAAAAACTAAAAGCATTTTGTTTATTCTTGTGAACAGATGCAATCATAAATTCAATCTGATTTTTTTTCCTCTTAGAAATAAAACCATTAAATCAGATGACATAAATACCCATGCACCTGTGAATTACTGGTCAGGCCAAATGACTAGTTTCAGCATCCAAATTCCATAAAAGCAAGCTGAATAGGGCTTCTGTGTTAGAGATTTGAAATTGAAATGAAAAATCAAAGCAAAAACAAAAACAAAAAGAAATGATTTCAATTCCATTCTGCAAAGCAAAATTGAGTTTCCTGGTCAGGTTCTCTATTGCTGCATAACACAGTACCCACGAAAGTGAGTGGTTTAAAACAGCCATCATTTTATTTTATCCAATCAATGTGTGGGTTAAGAACTCAGGCAAGGCATTCTCAGTCAGGTTTCTACCCCATGGGTTGCCATTCTTGGTCAAAATGTGTCCAGTTAGTATTCTCACTTGCAAGGTGCCCTGTTGGGGACGGCTGGAGGCTGAGCCCTTCTCGTCTCCTTCTTCATGGAGGGTCGGACTTGCCACAGTCATTTAGCTGCATGGTTGTTATTCTTACCTGGAAAGTTAGGGCTCCAAAGGAGAGTGTTCCAGGAGGCAGAAAGTGGAAACTATCCGTGTTCTAAGGCCTGGACCCATAAGCAGGTACAATCTATTTACTCTGCACTCTGTTGGCCAAGGTGGTCACAGAGATTGGTCAGATTCAAGTGGAGATCCCAACTCCTAAGGGAAGAATACAAAAGAATCTGTGGACCTCATTAGTCCATCACATATACATGAACTTATTTTTCCTGTTTTTGAGACAGAGTCTTGCTCTGTCACCCAGGTCGGAGTTCAGTGGCATGATCATAGCTCACTGCTGCCTTGAAAGCCTAGGCTCAAGCTATTCTCTTGCTTCAACCTCCTAAAGTAGCTAAGACTAAGTCTTTTTAATTTTGTTCAGAGATGGGGTCTTGTTATTTTTCCCAGACTCACAAACTTGTTCTAAGATATAACAAGATTAAATATATATATGCATATATATGTGTGTGTGTGTATTATATACGTATACATATACATATACATATTTATTTATTTTTGAGTGGAATTTTGCTTTTTTTGCCCAGGCTGGAGTGCAATGGCGCAATCTTGGCTCACTGAAACCTCCACTTCCCAGGTTCAAGAGATTCTCCTGCCTCGGCCTCACGAGTAGCTGGGATTATAGGCTCACACCACCATGCCCAGCTAATTTTGTATTTTTAGTAGAGACAGGGTTTCACCATGTTGGCCAGGCTGATCTCAAATTCCTGACCTCAGATGATCCGCCTGCCTCGGCCTCCCAAAGTGCTGGGGTTACAGGCATGAGCCACCACTCCCAGCTTAAAATATGTATATTTTGATAGAGAACATACTAGTACTAAAAAAAAAAAAACCTAAGATTAATTATGCAACAATAAAAAGTTTCAGTTGATACATTTTTGCCATCCAATAGAGATAAGCATCAGGAATAAAATATAAAAATGTTAAGAGCTGATTCATATTTTGTTCTTTTCCATTAAAGAATACTATTTTCTTGCTATTATATTGTTCCTAGAAATTTAAATTATCAAAATACAGCAAAATGAACCCCCCAGTGTGATTGGTACCAACTCATTCTTGAATGCATTTTTGAAAGTCAAATATCAGAAAATTAAATAGCAGATTACAATTTAGTATTATGGCTAAGACCTTGAGCTTTTAATTCAGACAGACATGGATCTATTTGCCTTGGACAAGTAATATGTTTCTTGGACAAGTAATATATGAAGTATGATGGTTCACTGTGATAGCTAGAGGAAAAATAGTAACTGCTATAGAGAGTTGTTTATTATTAAATGAGAATACATATGAATGACTTAACATAGTGCTGAGACATATAGGTATCCAATAAGTAATATTATTTTTATGAGTGATACAGAGTGGTTCTATTCCATTTTACACGTTATAAAATTGAATATGAGTTATTCTTTAGGAGGAAGACACTAAATAAACATTAAAAAATTCTAAATTATGGCTTATACAGTTAATACTTGCCTGAGCTCAGGCGTTTTAACCAGAAACATAATAATAGAAATCCAAGCATCTTCCCTTTCATGAGTTAACTGCCTACATTAGTTTTGTAGAGCTGCTGTAACAAAGTAAATATAATACTTTATTGTTAATAAAGTTAATTCAGTGAGAAACATCATACTTTTATCTTGAAGTACTTGAAGATGATGTACACTCTTAGAAGAGTTATGTGGGAGGAAATCTGATCATCTCTAAAACTAAAATAGCAAAGCTAACATTAATACAGGCATACCTCAGGGATATCATGGGTTCAGTTCTAGACCACAGCAATAAGGTGAATATTGTAATAAAGTGAATCACACAAATATTTTAGTTTCCTAGTGCATATTCCGGTTTAACTGCAGTGTACTAAGTGTACAATAAAATTATGTCTAAAAACAATGTACATAATTTAAAATTATTTATAACTAAAAAATGCTCACAGTCATTTGAGCCTTCAGTGAGTTATAACATTTATACCAGTGGAGGGTCAGGCCTCCATATTGATGGCTGCTGACTAGTCAGGATGGTGGTTCCTAAAGGCTGGGGTGGGTGGGGCAATTTTCTAAAATGAGACAACACTGAAGCTTGCTGCATCAGTTGATTGTTCCTTTCATGAAAGATTACTCTGTAGCATGCAATTCTGTTTGATGGCACTTTACCATCAGCAGAACTTTTAAAGTTGGAAACACCCTCTCAAACCCTGTCACTAATTATCAAACAAGTTGATACAATATTCTAAACCACTTGTTGTCATTTTAACCATGTTCTATTCACCAGGAATAGATTCCATCTTGAGAAACCACACTTTTTTGCTCATCCATAAGAAGCAACTCCTCATACATTCAAGTTTTATCATGAGCTCAATAATTCAGCAATTCATACATCTTCATGCTCTACTTCTAATTCTAGTTCTCTTGTTATTTCCATCACATTTACACTTACTTCCTCCATTGAAGTCTTTAACCCCTCAAAGTCATCATGAGGCTTGGAATCTACTTCTTCCAAACTCCTGACATTGTTGAAATTTTGACCTCCTCTCATGAGTTCTGAATGTTATTAATGACATTTGGAATGATGCATTTTTCCAGGTTTTCAATTTACTTTGCCAAAATCCAGCAGAAGAATCACTATAGCCTTAGAAATTGTATTTTGGAAATTATAATACCAGCAACTCAAAATTACTCTTTGATCCATGAGCTGAGAAATGGATGTTGTGTTAACAGGTATGGAAAAAACATTAATCTCCTTGTATGTCTGCCTCACAGCTCTTGGGTATTCACGTGCATTATCAATAGCAGTCTGCTTTTGAAAGAAATTTTTTGAAAGAGATTTTTTAATTTTAATTTTTTTCTGAGAAGCAGGTCTTAACAGTGGGCTTAAAATATTTAGTGGACCATACTGTCAACTGATATGGTGTTGTCCGGCTTTGTTGTTCCATTTCTAGAGCACAAGCATACTAGATTTCGCATCCTTCTTAAGGGCCCTAGGATTTTCAGAATGGTAAGTGAACGTTAGCTTCAACTTAAAGTCATTAGCTGAATGAGCCCCTAACAATAGAGTCAGTTAGAGACTACTCATCTCTAGTTATGAAAGTCCTAGATGACTTCTTCTTCCAATATAAGGCTGTTTTGTCTACATCAAAAATCTGTTGTTTAGTGTAACCACCTTCATCACTTACCTTAGCTAGATCTTCTAGATAACTTGTTACTTTTTCTCCATCAGTACTTTTATGTTATGATGATGACTTCTTTTCTTAAACCTCATGAATCAGCACCTGCTAGCTTCAAATTTTCTTCTGTAGCTTCCTCACCTCACTCAGCCTTCATAGAATTGAGAGTTATGGCCTTGCTGTGGATTAGGCATTGGTTTAAGAAGAGTTGTGGCTGGTTTGATCTTCTAACTATCTAGATCACTAAAACTTTCTTCATATCAGCAACTGTAGAGTTACTAACTTACCTAATTTCAATATTGTTGTGGCTTTGGATCAGGGAGGTCCGAGTAGAGTGAGAGAGATAGAGAAACAGCTAGTTGTTGGAACAGTCAAAACATACACATTTATCAATTAAGTTTGAAGTTGTATATGGTCGTGATTTGTGCCACCCCAAAATAATTATTATAGTAACATTAAAGATAACTGGTAACAGATCACCACAACATAATAATAATGAAAAAGTTAATATTGCTAGAATTACCAAAATACTGAGAGGTGACCGTGCTGGCAGCCCTTGCTCACTCTCAGTGCCTCCTTGGCCTAGGTGCCCACTCTGGCCGCACTTGAGGAGCCCTTCAGCCCACTGCTGCACTGTGGGAGCCACTCTCTGGGCTGGCCAAAGCCAGAGCCAACTCCCTCTGCTTGCGAGGGAGTGGGGAAGGACAGGTACCTGAGGGAACCGGGGCTGTGCCCCGGCCGCACTCGCGGCGCACGCGAGTTCGGGGTGGGCATCCTCTCCACAGACCCCACACTTGGAGCGGCCTGCCGGCGCCACTGGCCCCAGGCAGTGAGGGGCTTAGCACCTAGGCCAGCAGCTGCAGAGGGTACACTGGGTCCCCCAGCACTGCCGGCCGCCCACACTGCCCCCATATTTTCACCAGGCCTCAGCCGCCTCCCTGAAAAGTAGGACTCAGGGCCTGCAGCCTGCCATGCCCGAGCCTCTCCGCCTCCCCCCTGTGGGCTCCTGGGCAGCCGGAGCCTCCCCAATGGGAGCTGTCCCCTGCTCTGTGGTGCCCAGTCCCATCGACCGCCCAGGGGCTGAGCAGTGCAGGCCTGCCCGTGGGACTGACTGACTGGCGGCCCCTGGGTGGGATCCACTAGGCAAAGCCAGCAAGGCTCCTGAGTCGGGAGGAGACTTGGAGAACTTTTATGTCTGGCTGGAGGATTGTATATGCACCAATCAGCACTCTGTGTCTAGCTCTGGGTTCATGTATGCACCAATCAGCACTCTGTGTCTAGCTAATCTGGTGGAGACTTGGAGAACTTTTGTGTCTAACTCAGGGATTGTAAACGCATTAATCAGCACCCCGTCAAAACGGACCAATCAGCTTTCTGTAAAATGGACCAATCAGCAGGATGTGGGTGGGGCCAGATAAGGGAATAAAAGCAGGCTGCCAGAGCCAGCAGTGGCAACACGTTGGGGCCTGCTTCCTACGCTGTGGAGCTTTGTTCTTTCAGTAAATCTTGCTGCTGCTCACTCTTTGGGTCCGTACTGCCTTTATGAGCTGTAACACTCACTGGGAAGGTCTGCAGCTTTTCTCCTGAGGCCAGCAAGACCACGAACCCCCTGGGAGGAATGAACAACTCCAGACGCGCCGCCTTAAGAGCTATAACACTCAACACGAAGGTCTGCAACTTCATTCTTGAAGCCAGCGAGACCAGGAACCCACCAGAAGGAAGAAACTCCGAACACGTCAGAACATCAGAAGGAACAAACTCCGGACATGCCACCTTTAAGAACTGTAACACTCACCACAAGGGTCTGCAGCTTCATTCTTGAAGTCAGTGAGACCAAGAAACCACCCCTTCCAGACACAACATAACAGATCATACAAGGTGCAAATTGACCACAAATCTTCAATTTGTAAAAAATCCAATATCTGTAAAGTGCAATCAAGCGAAGTGTAGTAAAATGAGGTAAACCTGTGGAAGCTTGATGGATAGAGCCTTAGAAATTTTCCATTAAGCCAAAAGGTTGGCATTGATGTGAGCTTGAGCCAGCAAATTCCACATGCTAATTTAGTTGAGGTCAAGCCCTTTTTCTCAGTCATACATCTGGCAAGGATTGTTCTTTAGGTAACATACTGAAAGAAACAAAAACAAAAAAAAACCTGAATTCTTTTGTGAGTTGGTTTATGAGTATTAATAGTATGTTAGTATACTATTAATGTTTAAGGTTGGACAATGTAGGTTCTATAAAAATGTATGAATTCCAATGCAATGAATTGGTCCAGAATAAAATTGTTTCTTTCCAAGAAGAACCATTTTGAGTGGACTATAAAATATGACCACAAAATTATATTACCTTGATTACTATTAAAATGAAAAACTGCTTAGGATAAATACAAATCAAGAGATAGAAGCTAATATATATTTAGGCCTAAATATTCCGTCGTAAAAATATGAAAATTCTCAGGTGTCTAAATAGGTATTTCAGATCTTTCTCTTGGTTTTTATCTTATATATGTAGGCACCTTATTTTTCTATGTAAATTATAGTAATTAAGCTTTCATATACTCCTAAGGTACAAAATGTTGAGTTCCTTGGAAAAAAATAACTTTGCAATAATCATTATAAATTATACCACTGCATTATTTATAATGTATACCGTATTTAGAAGTTTAAATGAGTGGTAACTCAGGAGATATCCAGAACTTTATTTTAGTGTGTTTTTAAAAAACATTTAAGTAGATTTAAGTTAAAATTATGACTAGCCAAAGCCAATCTAAATGGGTAAAATACAAAACAGGAAGTATAGTTGTCAGTGACACAAACTTTTCAATTTCAGTACAATGGATACTATTTTTCAAAGTGCAAAGAAACATCAAAATTAGGTGACTGTCTTTTCTGCCTCTGGCTTAACGTTCTATATTTACTCCTGGATGTTTGGTTTGGTGGCTTTTGTAGATTGACAGACTGCAAATGCACAACACAACATCCAACTGCATATTTTGGCTACAAAGTAGTTAGATACAGAAATGATGAATTCGATATTCAATTTGGCAGTTTTGTGTAGAATTATTCTTACATTTTTTCTTTATTCCTTCCAAATCTGGTTGGCAGATATTTTGACTATCATGAAGGGCAGGATAACTAAAGAAACATTTTCTGGCACATATCTGGCATGTAGATCATTTTACCCCTTCATAATTTTCTAGTATTATTATACAGGATATTACTAAGAGCTAAATACTTTATCTTCTTCAGAGCAATAATTTTTTCTGTTTTTCTCTTTGAGGATAACACTGAATTCAAATCAGTTTAGTTTTCTGACACATAATCACTCATATTATGGTTATTAAGCATTATTTAATAGAACATTCTGAGATATATATAGTCAATATTTGTCTAATTTGTGCATTTTAAAAGCTTTAAGCTATAATTTGTGTAAGATAAAATTCACCCATTGCAACAGATAAGTTGTAATTTTTTAGCAATTTATACTATTGTCCAACCATCATCAACCATCATTAGAACTAAATTTTAGATCACTTCCATCATCCTAAAGTGCTTGCTTGTACCCCTTTGGAGACAATTACTGCTTCCAACACCAGTTATTTTGGTGTGTGTCCAAGAATCTTTGCCTAAATGAATATCATAAAGACTTTCTTGTGTGTGTAAGCACATGTATGCATGTGTGTCTGTGTGTGTATGCATATGTTTTAAAGTTTTATAGTTCCAACTCTTACCTTTAGGTCTTTGATTAAATTGAGTTGGTATTTTTATGGTGTGAAATAATGGCCTAAATGTGTGATGTGTGTATTTATGTATGTGTGTGTGTGCATTTGTAATTACATCTATATGTACATATATGGATATAGATATAGTATCCAATTAAGGGACTTTCCCAATTTAATTGTCATGTCATGTTTGTTGAAAATCACCTAAAAATAAATGTGAAACCTTACTGCTGAACTACCAGTTCAGTTCCATTGGTTTATATGTTGTCTTTAGAGAATACAACACTATCTTGATTTCTGTAAGATAATAAGTTTCAACACTGTATAAGGTACATCTTCCACCTTTTCTTTTCATTTCAAAATTATTTTGGCAATTCTAGTTCCTTTGCATTTACACTTTATGTTCAGTTTGTCAATTTCTATGATAAATGACAGTTAGGCTTTTATAGAGATTCCATTGAATCTATATATACATTTGCAGAGAATTGCCTTCTTCCCGGCATTCCATGACCATGGAATATTTCTGTATTTCTTTTGATCTTCTGTACTCCTTCTTAGCAATGTTTGGTACATTTCAGTATATAAGTTTGCATCCATTTTGTTAATTTTATTCTTAGATACATTATAATTTTGTTTGCTGTTGTGAATGAGATTTTTTTCTTTTTTTACATTTATTTTTATTTTACTTTAAGTTCTGGGATACACCTGCTGAGCATGCAGGTTTATTACATAGGTAAACATGTGCCATGGTGGTTTGCTGCACTTATCAATCTGTCATCTTGGTTTTAAGCCCTGCGTGCATTAGGTATTTGTCCTAATGCTCTCCTTTCTCTAGCCCCCCAACCCTCGACAGGCCCCAGCGTGTGATATTCCCTTCCCTGTGTCCATGTGTTCTCATTGCTCAACTCCCACTTGGGAGTGAGAAAATGCAGTTTTTGGTTTTCTGTTCCTGTGTTAGTTTGCTAAGGATGATGGTTTCCAGCTTCTTCCATGTCCCTGCAAAGGACATGAACTCATTTTTTATGGCTGCATAGTATTCCATGGTGTATATGTGCCACATTTCTTTATCCCATCTATCATTGATGAGCATTTGGGTTGGTTCCAAGTCTTTGCTATTGTAAATAGTGCTGCAATAAACATACATGTGCATGTGTCTTTATAGTAGATTGATTTATAATCCTTTGGGTATACACCCAGTAATGGGATTGGTGGGTCTAATAGTATTTCTGGTTTTAGAACCTTGAGGAATCGCCACACTATGTTCCACAATGGTTGAACTAATTTACACTCCCACCAACAATGTAAAAGCATTCCTGTTCCTGCACAGCCTCACCAGCATCTGTTGTTTCCAGACTTTTTAACGATCGCCATTCTAACTGGTGTGAGACAGTATCTCATTGCGGTCTTGATTTGCATTTCTCTAATGACCAGTGATAATCAGCTTTTTTTCAAATGTTTGTTGGCCACATAAATATCTTCTTTTGGGAAATGTCTGTTCATATCCTTTGCCCACTTTTTGATGGGGTTGTTTGTTTTTTTTTTTCTTGTAAATTTGTTTAAGTTCCTTGTAGATTCTGGATATTAGACCTTTGTCAGATGGGTAGATTGCAAACATTTTCTCTCCTTCTGTAGGTTGCCTGTTCACTCTGATGCTAGTTTCTTTTGCTGAGCAGAAGCTCTTTAGTTTAATTAGATCCCATTTGTCAATTTTGGCTTTTGTTCCAATTGCTTTTGAGATTTTAGTCCTGAAGTCTTTGCTCATGCCTATGTCCTAAGTGGTATTGCCTAGGTTTTCTTCTACAGTTTTTATGGTTTTAGGTTTTGCATTTCAGTCTTTAATCAATCTTGGGTTAATTTTTGTATAAGTATAAGAAAGGGGTCCAGTTTCTGTTTTCTCCATATGGCTAGCCAGTTTTCCCAGCATGATTTATTAAATAGGGAATCCTTTTCCCATTGCTTGTTGAAGATCAGATGGTTGTAGATGTGTGGTGTTATTTCTGAGGCTTCTGTTCTATTCCATTGGTCTATATATCTGTTTTGGTATTAGTACTATGCTGTTTTGGTTACTGTAGCCTTGTAGTATAGTTTGAAGTCAGGTAGTGTGATACCTCCAACTTTGTTCTTTTTGCTTAGGATTGTCTTGGCCACATGGGCTTGTTTTTCTAATTTCATTTTCTAATGGCCTTTGCTGTAATATAAAAACACAATGTATATTTATGGTGATCTTTAACTTGTGACTTTACAAAACTTGTTTATGAATTATAAAAGTTTTATTGTGGTTCCATACTATTTTCTATGTTTTTATGATATACAGACACATTTATCATTATGAGATGTCCTTCTCATCGCTGTACTATTTCTTGTCTTAAAATCTATTTTGTCTGTTATTGATAAAACTAGGCAAATTCTCTGATGGATACAGTTTTAGAGTATACCATATGCTATCCTTTTAATTTCAATCTTTTTATGTCCTTGAGTATAAGATGTGTTTTTTGTTGATGATATAAAATTGTATCTTACATTTTTATCAAGACTGATGATATATGCCCCATTAATAGAAGGTTTAGCACATTCACATTTAAACTTGTTATTATTATGTGTTGTCTGTCATTTGCTACTTTTTAAACAGTTGTGTCTTTTCAGTTCCTGTTTCTCCTTTACTGGCTCCTTTTGTACCAAATAAGTATTTTCAGTGTGCCATTTTAATTTCTGTTTATTTTTGCTGTATTATTTTGAGTTATTTTATTAGTGTTGGTTTATGTTAGGGGTTGGCAAACATTTTTGTAAAGATAGCAAATATTTTAAACTTTTTGGGTTACATGATCTTTGCTGCAACTGATCAATTTGTTATTGTAGTATGAAAGCTGACACAGCCAATATGCAAATGAGGAACTAAGTCTGTTTTTCAATAAAAATGTACCTGCAATCAGTTAGCAGCCCAGTTTTATCTATGAGTGATAGCTTATCCACTCAAGTTCTGGGCATTACATTGGGTATATTAACTTGTTCAATTTACTTCAGAATTATAATTGCTTATTCTAATAAAATATATCAATTTTGCTCCAACTTATTTTCTTTTCTTCCTACCTCTTTTGTGCTAATATTGTCATATATATCTATATGTTATAAACTCCAATTACAGTGTCATGATTATCTATGTATAATATCTATATTTAATAAGTTAATAAAAGATAGAGAAAACATTTATAGAATCTTTCATGTATGCCCACATATTTACCATTTGTGACACTTTTAATTTTTTCTGTCAACTTGAATTCAGGGCTGCTAGCAACAGTTTTTTTCCAAAAATATTTATATTTTGCCTTCATTTTTAAGTTTTGCTGGTTATAAAATTCTTTGTTGACAAATATTTTCTGCCATAATTTTTTTGTCTGTTATTTCTAATAAGTCAAGCAATAATCATGTTGTATATGATTGGTCATTTATCTCTAGCCTTTACCAAGTTTACTCACTTTTTGGCTTTCAGTAGTTAGACTACTATGTGTAGATGTGTTATCTCTTTGTCTTTATTCCGTTTGGCATTTATCAGGTCTCTTAAATCTATAGGTTAAAATTTTCCATAAAATTGAGACATTTTCAATTATTATTTTTTCCTGTACTATTTTTCTGTCCCTTTCACTTTCTCCTCTTCTTCCTGTGGTGTCATTTCATGTATGTTGCTATGCATCATATATGGTGTCTTCCCACAGGTGTCTGAAGGCCTGTTCACTTCGTTTTTTTTGTTTTTGTTTTTGTTTTTGTTTGGTATTTTTTAGATGGAGTCTCTCTCTGTCACCCAGGCTGGAGTGCAGTGGTGCTATCTTGGCTCACTGCAACCTCTGCCTCCCGAGTTCAAGTGATTCTTCTGCCTCAGCCTTCTGAATAGCTGGGACTACAGGCTCATGCCACCACATCCGACTAATTTTGTATTTTTAGTAGAGAGGAGGTTTCACCATGTTGGCCAGGATGGTCTCAATCTCTTGACCTCGAGATCCACTCACCTCAGCCTGCCAAAGTGCTAGGATTACAGGCGTGAGCCATTGCACCCAGCCTATTCACTTTGATTTAATCTTCTTTCTCCCTGTGCATTAGACTGGAAAATTAATTTTGTTATATCATCAAGTTCATTGATTCTTTCTTCTCCTATCTCAAATCTTATGCTAAACTCCTCTAAATAATTCATTTTTGTTATTGTCCATTTTAACTCCAGAATTTAAATTTGATTTATTTTTTCTTAATAATGCCTATGAATATTGAGTTCCTCTATGTGGTGAGAAATTTTCATTGTACTTTCCATTAATTATTTAGCTATGATTTTCTTTAGTTATTTGAATATATTTATAATAGCTGCCTTGAAGTCTTTGCTGAATTCCACATTTGTTGACAGAGACAAAAATCTATAGACTTTAAAAATTTTTGCTAAATATTGGTTACACTCTTGTTTCTTTTTACTTTTATGCACAATAATGAGCATTTTGATAATGTATGTTGTAATTCTAGATTCTGACTTTTCCACAGTATGTTTTTGTTGTCTTGTTTGGTTGTTTATATAACTTGCCTGGACAAAGTTTGTGAAGTCTTTCTTCCTGAAATATGTGCCTGTTTATTTATCTGCTCCTATTTTTTCTTCTTGTTTTTATTTTTAAGTCTGGCTTCCTACGTAACTGGTCATCTTAAGAGTGGGTTCATCTTAAGAGCGGTAAAAGAATGTGCTCAAAGACTTTGAGCCAGTAAACTTCCTATTCCCTGATGATGAATTTATGAATGTCCTGGAGAAAGTTTTTAAATCTCAGGCCATTTTAAAGCTTCCCTGGCTTTTACCTCCAATAGGCCCTTTCATGCCTCCTCCACACATGCATTTAGGCTTCTTTTGCCAAGAATGTTTGGATGCCTTAGCACCCCTCTACTCTCTGCTGGACACACACAGTGACTCCCATCAATCAGGGATATGTGGCTAGCTTAAGTCTTCCTTTGACTATCTGACTTCTACAGCTCCCTATTACATCCCGTGCTACTCCTACAGTTCATTGTTTGCCCCAACTACGACCTCAATCTCAGGCTAATGGAGCCACTGACCTCTTTTTTCAATTGCCACTGAGATTTCCAGTTTAATGTATAATACTCCCAATGAAGTGAGTCCTTTCTGACAATAGGTGTAAAGCTGCTGGTTTTCATATCCTTCCAATTTGGGTTAAACTACTATGCCAACAGAACTGAGGGAGTCCTGGGACTAGTGTGGATGAAGCAATCACAGACTGTTAGGCAAGATTTTTAACTATTCTTAGCTGAAATTCAGTAGTCTCAATAAATTAATGTTTCTTAGTTGGTTTTATGACTTTTGTTAAATCCCAGAGCTCTAAAACTGCTGATTTGACCGTTTGTTCAATTTTGCAGTTGATTTTTGAGGGGAAGATTTGTCAAGCTCCTCAAGCCAAGAGTCAGAACAACATTTTTATATAAATGCTTATATAAAAAGCTAAAGAGACTTAGATAATTCTTTACAAATACATTGCTCAATAATTGAAGTCAATTTTGCACCCATAAATTATCTTGTGATGGATACATTTAATCAAATGCAGAAAATATAAGCAAAGCCTTTTAATTAAAGAAAGGGCTTCTAGTAAAACAGAAAGCAACTGGAAATCTGTGAACTTCATTATTTACATGCACATTCAGTTTTTAAGCTTGTGAATTTTATATAAAGCAAAATATTTTTTCACTAACAGAATTCTGTTAATCAGAAATAGTGTATGATACATATAAGCTATAAGATAATGCAAGCAACTACTTCAAGCATTCATTTTTTTGGAATGTTAATATCCCTTGTGGTGGTGTGCTAACACAGATATGTATCTGTGTTGTGATATAGTCCTGTTTCCTGAGAAAATATTAACTGCTAAAGTGGTGGGATTATGTTTGCTTATACTTTTCATTTGTTCATTTCATCATGCCTTCTGACTATCCAGTCAGTAATTTTGCAACATTTGAGTATTATTCAAAATTATGAATCTTCAGTTATACAAATAATATCAAATGGTTTTCTTATTCTGCAATTTCTAGGAAAACCAGAAAAGCCTTAATTTGTTGATGTAACTTTAATTTAGAACCTCTTTCAATTCTGAGTTCTTCATTCTTTTAGCATTAAACACACAAATTATTTTATTGCTATAGCCATTCTAAATGTAATAGATACTCCAAAAGCCATCTCTAAAAGACACCTCTCACACTAAGTGGTTCATGTCGGGGGAAATGTTGTGCTAAATAGTGTATGCTAGAAAATATTTAAGTAAACTGTAAAACTGGCCAGGCGCAGTGGCTCACGCCTGTAATCCCAGCTCCTTGGGAAGCCGAGGCAGGAAGATCACGAGGTCAAGAGATCAAGGCCTTCCTGGCCAACATGGTGAAACCCCATCTCTAAAAAAAAACACAAAGATTAGCCTGGCATGGTAGTGGGCACCTGTAGTCCCAGCTACTGGGGAAGCTGAGGCAGAGAATTGCTTGAATCCTGAAGGCGGAGGTTGCAGTGAGCCTAGGTCACACCACTGCACTCCAGCCTGGTGACAGAGTGAGACTCCATCTCAAAAAAAATAAAATAAAAAAAAGTAGACTGTAAAACTAATTTTTTGACTAAAATTTAGATGACCAAAATCTATATGACCTCAGATAAGTCATTTGCAGGTCCTTGGTTTATTTCATGACTTAGATGAGAGTAAACTATTGTGCTATAACATCTAAAATCACAAACTGTAAACATCTCTCTCATTGCAATATGTTACATGTGCTATGGCTTAAATGTCTCTGAAAAAACTCATGTTGAAATTTAATTGCCATTGTAACACCATAAAGAGGTGGGGTCTTTAAGATGTGATTAGGTCACAAGGGCTCTGCCCACATGAATGGATTAATGCTGTTATTGTGGGAGTGTGTTAGTTATTGCAGGAGTTCAGCCTCTTTTTTCTATCTCTAGGGCTTGCTTGCCCTTCTGACATTTTATGACACAGCAAGAAGGCCTTCACCAGATGTGGCCACTTGATCTTGGGCTTTCCAGACTTCAGAACTTCTGTTTTTCATAAATTATCCAGTCTATGGTATTCTGTTATAGCAGCAGACAAGAAACAAAAACAACATGTTTGTAACTACAATTAATGATGAACATGTTTGTAGTTTAAGTGCACTCTTAAGTTAGATGATGCAAGAGCAGGAAGCTGGTATGCTTTGTCTTCTCCAGGTAATCCTATCTGTCCATGTTAGAAAGTAATTATGGAAGAATTTAGATAAAGCCTCTTTTATTTACTTTTATTTTAAATTCTAGGATATTAAGAATATAGAGAAAATGTGTGCAAGTCAGAACAAACAATTTAGAGCACCAAGTCTTTATAGAAAAATTCATCAGTAACTGACAACTCCATAGCAGCATCTACACTCTCCTTTTTAAATGTCACAATTCACAAAACTGACTTCCTTCTTTCTTCTCTTCCTTCTATACTATATAGTTAGTACCAGAATGCCTTTATAGGCATGGGTAGGCAGTCCTGGATAATGCAAACAAAATATTTTTCTCATGTACTTTACATTCTTCTGAGCAAGTCAAGAGCTTAAGGATTTGAAGATCAAAGATAAGGCTCTATGCACAGTGTAACCAGCATCCTCATAGTATCATCAAGCCCTCAGGTTCTTTCTGTCTCTACTCCTCTAGTGTTAATTTCATTCTTAGGCTGGTCTCCTCATTGTCACATTTAGTAGACAATCTGTGCTGCAGTCTGCACTGCATGCCTGTTCATATTCAGCAGGATATAAAGTAATCCTGACCTGGAGCCTAGAATGTAAATCATTATTTTTCATCTGATTAGCTCATTAATTCATCCACCAAACCCTGGAACAGTAAACATCTTTGGGAACTCCACATGCTCTCACAATTTCTCTCATCCATGGCTGTACTTTAGGGTTTGGAAAACTCTTATAACACACACTGATGCCCAAGCCTTGTGTTGGACCACTGAAATCGGAATCTCTGACACTGGGGCCTTGTCAATGGTATCTTTTATAGGTTCCACATTTTCTGCCGGCCTGAGGACTGCTGGCGTAGCACAATGAGGATTTACTTTTTTGTCTTATGATGAGTTCATACCCAGATTAAACTGGAATTCTCTGAGAGAAAGAAAAAAAAAAGGATCGATTTGGGGTAGCAACCAACTATGTCCATACAAGCTTTCATGATTTTCTTGAGGGTTAAAACAAATGTGGAACACTGTGCAGCAGAAGAAAAATTCAGAGAGACAATTGGGCCACATAGGGGACTACAGAGAGCTGCATCTGATGTTTGAGTTATATCTTAAGGAATTAACAGGAATTCCCTACATGACTGTTAGGCATCATCACAATTTTAGTGTTGTTTTTTCTCTCTGATGGAAGTGTGGAGACAACCATGGGTACAGAGGAAGAAGTTGGAGGCAGGGAGACCATTTGGAAGCTATAATTGAGTAAACTTCATTAGGAAGGATTATGGACTGAATTAATTTAGAAAAATGGAATCTAGGCACAAGGCCACAGAAGGGATATGTAGAAAAAGGGTCAATATGATGTAATAATCAATTAGTGTTGCCCTGCATGATGAGGGAGATAATTTTTTAGGCTGATGGCCAGTTTTCTGCTTGAAAGGTCAGATGAATGTCTGTATCATTTATAGAGATAGGAAATACCAGGGGAAGGACAGGCTTGGGAGATAATGTCATGGGTTATGTTTGAAGGGCCTGAGGCATGGGAGGCTGTGCCTAAGATACAAGAGAATGGCAATTTTGGGAATCAACTGAATGTTCATAACTAGAGACATGGATTTCTGTGTTGTTTGCAAGAGGTGGTTGAAAATATGGTCTTAGTGACCATCAGTGGAAGGAAACAAACCAAAAACTCACCTTATTTTAAAAAGATTATAAGCCTATTATATATTGTGTAAAGTACTGAAGGGTTAGAATATCTGCTTAAAAAGCACCAATAGCAAACTTGTAGGCAGCTGCAGCAGTGAAATAAAGGTTTTTTAAACATTGGAAACGGACATTGTTTTCAGAACATTCTTTTTGAAGATCAGCATGTATTGTGGTATTCACACTTCTAAGGCAAGGTCATTGTTCTTTTATTTGTTTCACACAGAAGTCAGCTTCAAGGTCTTGTCAGGATTAAGAGTACCTTCAGCTTGAGGTATTACACCATTATGTTCCAGATAGTTTTTGTGAAATAAGTGAGAGATTATCATGTCTATTTTTTAACAGCCCTCTGTGATTGATCTTTTCTGAATAAGACATGGTTTAGAAAGACTCAAGAATCTCTGGTTTGTTTTCAGCTTCTTCTTTTAGAGATATAATAAGGTCTCTCAGTTGTAATGTCGTCGGGATTTGAACTTCCCCTGAAAGGGTCAAGTTTGTCTTCGATTGTAACAAGACTAGTGCTCAATTACCCCTCGGCTTTGGTATCTCAAATAGAGAGCTTCCACAGTTCCAGAGCAGCTGAAACTCTTAGTCATGTGGTTTACTATTTTATGATGCCATGTATAAATATTTGTTTCAATAATGTCAAGCCTCTTTACACAGTGTCAAAATCATGCTAAAATGTTCCACCTTTTCTTGCATACCTCTTCCTACATTTCTCTTTTGTTTCTAAAATATTTTAGGTGCTTTCATGGGAAAAATATCCTTACATAGCCAAACCATATAATAGTCTATAAATATATTCTACTTAGTTCTGTGTGTATGCTTAATCAAAGCATAAACTTAATAACTTTCCTTATTTCAAAGTATATGAGGATAATAGTGTTATTAACCTTTAAATGTAAACAATTAGACAGACAACTATGGGCAGTCCTGTTATACTTTTAAAAGTATTTAGAATTTATTTTATTTATTTTTTATTTATTTATTTTTTATTATACTTTAAGTTTTAGGGTACATGTGCACATTGTGCAGGTTAGTTACATATGTATACATGTGCCATGCTGGTGCGCTGCACCCACTAACTCGTCATCTAGCATTAGGTATATCTCCCAATGTTATCCCTCCCCCCTCCCCCCACCCCACCACAGTCCCCAGAGTGTGATATTCCCCTTCCTGTGTCCATGTGATCTCATTGTTCAATTCCCACCTATGAGTGAGAATATGCGGTGTTTGGTTTTTTGTTCTTGTGATAGTTTACTGAGAATGATGATTTCCAATTTCATCCATGTCCCTACAAAGGACACGAACTCATCATTTTTTATGGCTGCATAGTATTCCATGGCGTATATGTGCCACATTTTCTTAATCCAGTGTATCATTGTTGGACATTTGGGTTGGTTCCAAGTCTTTGCTAAAAACTCTCAATAAATTAGGTATTGATGGGACGTATTTCAAAATAATAAGAGCTATCTATGACAAACCCACAGCCAATATCATACTGAATGGGCAAAAACTGGAAGCATTCCCTTTGAAAACTGGCACAAGACAGGGATGCCCTCTCTCACCACTCCTATTCAACATAGTGTTGGAAGTTCTGGCCAGGGCAATTAGGCAGGAGAAGGAAATAAAGGGTATTCAATTAGGAAAAGAGGAAGTCAAATTGTCCCTGTTTGCAGACGACATGATTGTATATCTAGAAAACCCCATTGTCTCAGCCCAAAATCTCCTTAAGCTGATAAGCAACTTCAGCAAAGTCTCAGGATACAAAATCAATGCACAAAAATCACAAGCATTCTTATACACCAACAACAGAGAAACAGAGAGCCAAATCATGAGTGAACTCCCATTCACAATTGCTTCAAAGAGAATAAAATACCTAGGAATCCAACTTACAAGGGATGTGAAGGACCTCTTCAAGGAGAACTACAAACCACTGCTCAAGGAAATAACAGAGGATACAAACAAATGGAAGAACATTCCATGCTCATGGGTAGGAAGAATCAATATCGTGAAAATGGCCATACTGCCCAAGGTAATTTACAGATTCAATGCTATCCCCATCAGGCTACCAATGACTTTCTTCACAGAATTGGAAAAAACTACTTTAAAGTTCATATGGAACCAAAAAAGAGCCCGCATGGCCAAGTCAATCCTAAGCCAAAAGAACAAAGCTGGAGGCATCACACTACCTGACTTCAAACTATACTACAAGGCTACAGTAACCAAAACAGCATGGTACTGGTACCAAAACAGAGATGTAGATCAATGGAACAGAACAGAGCCCTCAGAAATAACGCCGCATATCTACAACTATCTGATCTTTGACAAACCTGACAAAAACAAGCAATGGGGAAAGGATTCCCTATTTAATAAATGGGGCTGGGAAAACTGGCTAGCCATATGTAGAAAGCTGAAACTGGATCCCTTCCTTACACCTTATACAAGAATTAATTCAAGATGGATTAAAGATTTAAACGTTAGACCTAAAACCATAAAAACCCTAGAAGAAAACCTAGGCATTACCATTCAGGACATAGGCATGGGCAAGGACTTCATGTCTAAAACACCAAAAGCAATGGCAACAAAAGCCAAAATTGACAAATGGGATCTAATTAAACTAAAGAGCTTCTGCATAGCAAAAGAAACTACCATCAGAGTGAACAGGCAACCTACAAAATGGGAGAAAATTTTTGCAACCTACTCACCTGACAAAGGGCTAATATCCAGAATCTACAATGAACTCAAACAAATTTACAAGAAAAAAACAAACAACCCCATCAAAAAGTGGGCGAAAGACATGAACAGACACTTCTCAAAAGAAGACATTTATGCAGCCAAAAAACACATGAAAAGATGCTCATCATCACTGGCCATCAGAGAAATACAAATCAAAACCACAATGAGATACCATCTCACACCAGTTAGAATGGCAATCATTAAAAAGTCAGGAAACAACAGGTGCTGGAGAGGATGTGGAGAAATAGGAACACTTTTACACTGTCGGTGGGACTGTAAACTAGTTCAACCATTGTGGAAGTCAGTGTGGCGATTCCTCAGGGATCTAGAACTAGAAATACCATTTGACCCAGCCATCCCATTACTGGGTATATACCCAAATGACTATAAATCATGCTGCTATAAAGACACATGCACACGAATGTTTATTGCGGCATTATTCACAATATAATTTATTTTAGAAGAGAAAATTTCTATAGGATCACTCCCAGGGCTAGGGCCGTAAGAGTGTCGTCTTCAAGTAACACATAGAAATTAAACACAGCATTTCAGAGCCAAATAAATTAAGTAAACATCAATTAATTGTATACCAGTCCTCTGCTTTTTCTTCTTAAATATTATAAAATCTTTGAGCAAAGTTTCAAATTTCATTAGTTTTCTATATTACTCAGGCTGTTTCACTTGCAAGTGACAAAATCCAGTTGTAAATTGGCTTAAATAAAAGGGGAATTGGTTGGCTCACGACTTGTAACCGAAGAGGTAAGGATAGAGCTGGGTCTATGCCCATCTTAAGTGGGGGACTCAGAAGACATCCCTGGATGCAGTTTCTCTCACTTTGTTTCTCTTCTCTTTCTCTGGATTGGTTTTCATGCAAGACAGGCTTTCCCTTCATGGTGGTAAGATAGCTTCAGTCCTGTGTTCTCACAAAATCAAAGAGCAGCAGATTTAGAAAGATTCATCTGCAGAAGGTTCTCTAGAAGTCTTGATACTCATTCTGGAATCACCAGCTCAGGTCAAGGTCTATATAACTCTTTAAGTTATTAGCTTGGCCGGGTGAAGACAATGAGCTAATTGGGTCCTGTACACTAACTTTGGAACCCAGTGCTCCCCTTCTCTCAGATTATACTGAATGGGAATCAAAAACGAGTGTGTGATCCAAAAATATCAAGGGCTGCTGACAAAAGCAGGGAAGATGGGTACTTGGGCAGACAATACAATCAGGAAGAGCCATTATATCTCTGCACATGTTGTACTAGTTAGAACCTGAGACACAAAGAAACAGACAGCATATGAATAAAATGCATTGAAGGTAGGAAAAGAAATAGAAGAATGAAAAGATAGCTTTTCTGAAATTAAGGCCACAATGGGGCCCTTGTTAAAATTATGCTTTTGGAAAATTTATATAGAAAGGACTAGTTTACTACTTTTAAAAATGCTGGAAGATGGTAAAGAGATGAGGAGTGCTCACAAGAATCTTAATGGACCAAAAATATGTTTTCAAGATGAATTCTTACTTTCCCATGAATAGGAATAAACATAGTGGCATAGATAATTAAAATATTTGGTAATAAAAATATATTTTTTCTTAATTTGGAGCAAGAGAAAATGAGATTATCTATTTTTCTTTTTTCTTATTTATATTTAAGGTGTAAAGCATGATGTTTTGATATACTTACACGTGGTAAAATGATTACTACAGTCAAGGAAATTTACATAACGGTCTCGAATTTCTCTTCCTTTTTTTTTCTTTTTAATGTTTGTGCGTGTGGTAAGAGCACCTGAAATCTACTCTTTTAGCAAACTTCCAGTATATAATACAGTATTACTAATCATAGTCACCATTCTGTACATTAAGTCTCTAGATTATTCACCCTACATAACTTCATTGAGAAACATCTTCTCATGATCTGCAACTCCCAATCCCTGGTTATCATCATTCCACTACTCTGTTTTTATGTCATTAACTTTTTTAGTTCCATGCATAAGTGAGATCATGCAGCATTGTCTTTCTGTGCCTGGTTTATTTCAGTAAATAATGTCCTCCAGGTTCATCTGTGTTGTCTAAAATGGTAAGATTTTCTTATTTTTAAAATTTGAATAATATTTCACTGTGTGTGTGTGTATGTATCATGATTCTATATTTCATAAGTATATTTCACCTAAGGTGTTGTTTATGTTTTTCTTGAGAATAACCTGCCTGATGATATCCCTGAAGAATGGTCAATGAGAAGTTTTGTGTAATCCATAAGCAGGATAATAAACAGATAAAAAACTTTTTAAATTTAATTTTTTTTTCTCCTATTTGATGGTCTGTAGAAGTCCCACATAATTTTAATTAAAATGTCAGATTTAATCTGAGTAAACTACAGTATGTTAGGACTTCTGCTGAGTGAGATAGCAATGACAAAATATAAAATCTGTCACCTGGGAACGCCCAGTCTAAAAAAAACAAAAACCAAAAACTCAAACCAATAAAACCCTTCTTTTCCCACTTCGTATTCTAAGGAAAATATAATGCCTTTATTTATTGTATGCCACTGAATGAGATTATAATTAATAATTGACTTGCATCAGGTTTGCTGTTTTGTGTCCTTTAGTTTTCTGATGGCAGAAGCCTGGCCCATCTGGTTAAGCTCCCCGTTCCTGGAAGGAGGACATAGCAGGGACTTCATACGTGGGGATGAATCAATGTCAAATGAGGAAAAATACAAAGACCTTAATTAGATGGTCATTGCTATCAGTGGACATGTTGTGAAAAACCTAAATACATCAGATTTGGGAGGTTTTTGAGAGCCACTGAGGCAGCTATCAAAATGCTCTTCCAGTCTCTTCCTTTAGGAAGGCCGTGTTTCCGTACTCTGAAGTCTACAGATGTGTTTGCTCAAAAACCACATTTCCCATGGGCCACACCCAACCTGACTGACCGGCAGGAATGATAACAGGCAGATCCATTTCTGGAAAACTTGGGTGGGATTTGGCGCACACCTGATTTTGGCTTCAGGACTCCCTGATATCCTTGCTGAACTTTCTTCAGCTTAAATAGCTACTTAGGACACTTCCACCCCATTTTCCCTCTCTTCTTCACTCAGAGTCAGCCTTGCATCATGGATTTTCTAGACTTCTTAGGCTTCTTCTTCATTTTCTTTCACAGGTATTTCCCTAATATAATTCTTGCACATTGAATCACATCTTAGCATTTGCTTCTCAGGAGACTATGACTATCACAACCATGTTACACTGACAAACAGTTTTAATATTATTCGACAGTCTCTGTGGAGTACAATGTTGCTGTGCTAGATTCTAGTAATGCAAAGATAAGAAAGACAACACTCCCAATAAAACATACTGTATTGGGAGAGAGTGTAATTCAATACAGTAAAAGTATTATAATTTACATTCTATGGATTTATCCCAAAAGGAAAGCACTGTGGCTGGTGGTAAGACACCAGTGGATCTCGTTGAAGGAGAATTCTCAAGAGCAAATAATATTAACACCCATCTGTGTAGAGCTAGCCATGAGAAGCATTGATTCTAGTTGTGGAGCACATATACCCAATGATGAGATTCATATGTGGGTGGACAGTCATTGTTAATGATTCCACCTAAGGAAGGGTTTGCCAAACCCTACCATACTCTAAAGTAATTCTCAAACATTAATATACATATCCAAATGACCTGGAGGTCTCATTAAAACTCAGTAAGTTTAATATAAGGCCTGGGACCATATATTTTCTTTCAATTACAATCTTACTGAGATATAATTGATATACTGTAACAATCATCCATTAAAGTGTACAATTCAGTGGTTTTTAGCATGTTCACAATCACATAGACATCATCATTACCTAATATTATAATATATTTATCACACAGACCACATTTTTTATATCAAGGTGCAAAAGGGCTGGCATACTCACCAGTAATTAGCACCAAATAACACTAGCCACTCCTGAGTGGTTTCTGTGAAGCCAAGTGAAATAGCAACCAAAATTCCATGTGGATTTCATTTTAGGGCTGGACTAGAACTTCATTCCTGCCTGAAGTTCTTTCCTACAGAGTCCCTGGAGAAAACATCAGGCACAAAGATGTTATGCCATGAAAGAATATGGTCCCTTGTAAGACCTACGAGATGCTAAGTATTATAAAATTTAGTTATAAAGTATAGGGGCAGTTGGCTAAGGTAAAGAAGTAGACTGTTAAAAAATTGTGAAAAGTCCACATCCATGGAGGAGTTTGGGATTTTATCTGAAGGTAGTGAAAAGCCATCAAGCAAGATTAAACCATAAAGAGACATGGGATAGGAAGATGAATACAGTGTTGTGAGGTTTCAGAAGAAAGATGTGAAAGAAATAGCAGATTCAAATAAAACTGAAGATTCTAGTGTGGTTAACTTGAGAAGATAATGAGGACATTACTTGAGATAGACAGAACAAAGAAAAAGGAAAAGCCATCTGTCTATGTGTTTGGTTTTCATTTATGTATATATTTTAGGATGCAGTTGGAGTATGAGGCAGTATGCGGCTTGAAGATACTGATGTCTGAGTCTTGTGGAGGTGTTTGCTGAAATTATATGTGTGTTTGGGAGTGTGCAGGGAGGGTAGGAAGAAGTAGATAAGTAGCACTGAGGACACATCAACACTTCAAGAGTGAACAGAGGTAGAAAAGTGTGTAAAGAAATGAGAGATTATTGTGCTAAGGGAAAGAAGATGGAACTGAACTGTCAAACCAATTCAGGGAAAAAAGTTAACAGGAAGGCTTACTTATTTACAAATAAGCAAATTTACTGTTTATAAATTTAGTAATGTATGCAAAGGGCTTCTGTGCAGCAAAAGAAACTATCAAGAGAGGAAACACACAGTCTTCAAAATGGAGGAAAATACTTGCAAGTTATATGTCTGACAAAGGTCTAATATCCAAAATCTATAAGGAACCTAAAGAAATCAACAAGCAAAAAACAAACAACCCTATTAAAAAATGAGCAATGGATATGAACAGATACTTCTCAAAAGAAGACATACATGTGGCCAATAAGCATATGAAAAAAAATGCTCCACATCACTAATCATAGAGAAATGCAAATCAAATCAACAGTGAGATGCCTTCACACCAAATCAGAATGGCTATGAAAGAGTCAAAAAAATAACAGATACATGTTGCAGAGACAAGGGAACACTTATAATGTTGGTAGGAGTAGTGGAAAGCAGTTTGGAGATTTCTCAAAGGATTTAAAACAGAACTGCTATTGGACCCAGCAATCTCATTACTGGGTATATACGCAGAGGAATATAAATCTTTCTACCAAAAAGGACACATGCACTCCTATGTTCATTGCAGCACTATTCATGATAGCAAAGACATGGAATCAGCCTATCTGCCCATCAATGGTAAACTGGATAAAGAAAATGTGGCACATATACACCATAGACTATTACATAGCCATAGAAAAGAAGAAAATCTTGTCCTTTGCAACATGGTTGCAGCTGGAGGACATTATCCTAAGCAAGCTAATGCAGAAACAGAAAACCAAATACCGCATATTCTCACTTACAAATGACAGTTAAACGTTGAATACACATAGACAAAAAGACGGGAGCAATAAACGTCAGGGTCTACTTCAGGGTGGAAAGTGGGAGGACAGTGAGGGTTGAAAAACTGCTTGTTGGGTACTATGCTCACTACCTGGGTGATGTGATCATTTGCACACCAAACCCCAGCAATGCATAATTTACCCACATAACAAACCTGCACACATACCCCCAAACCTACAATAAAAGTTGAGAAAGAAGAAAAAAGAAATCTAGTAGTTTAAGGACTGAAACCTTTCTGTGGATGTGATCTCTGCAAGCATTTAGATATGTGAATGACAGAAACAGTCTCAGCGTTGCTCAAAATGAAGAAAGTCATTCTGGACAGTACTGAGGTCAGGTGGCCTATTGAGGAAAAGGTAAAAGTCTGCCAGTTATACAGTGGATTTTATATACAATAGATTTTTATACAAGCACATTTCATAATGAAATCCACATAAGATATGATCCTGTTTTTTTTTCTGTGTGCAAAACCAGAAGGCAGAAAGTTGTAGCTATGCAGGTTACTACTGTGTACAATTGTGACATGCCCTTAATATTCAGAAAAGAATGTACAGAAATGTTGTACTAGAATATGTTTGTTTGCTTTGTTTATTTCTTTTAAAGTGCCTTTAAATACAGGTAAAAAAATGTGGAAAAAAACTGAAGAAAGATGTGGATTTTGTTTGTTTTTTTAGAATCTCTCCTTTGTGGTCAGTTTTTCTTTACTGGTGCTTTTTTTCAAATTCTCCAAAGTGAGCACAAGCCTATTTCTAACATTTTTGTTGATAAACAAAATACCTAAAATATGAAATTATTTTGAAATGTGAAAATTATCAGAACATTTTAAATTATTATCTTAATTATTATTACCTGAATCTAAAAAAAAAATTCCATGAATGACAAACATTTTTAAGGTCAATAGAGCCCCAATCTAGTAAATGCTAAAACCTGGAAATTGCACTGTAATATATTTTACCATTTTAAATCTTTATAATGATGTGCAATTTGGTTTTGTTTCCTCTCCAAGGTCAGATGGCTAAAAACTGGCAAATCCCAAGACTAGGATTCAATTTCCATCAATGTCAATATCCATTCCACACAACCACCCTTCTTGACAGTATTGAATTTGAGGATTAGGTGAAAGGGGATAGATAAACAATAACGTAATACAATTGTGGAAGAGTTCAGCACTTTTTAAATTACAATAGTTCAAATTTGTTTCATTGATTTTTTTGGCTAAGGTGTAACTCTGGAAATCTTGGAGCTTCTGCAAAACATAAAGAAACTTATTGGATAGAAGTGGCGAGTATAATTGTGAAGGAGGCGATGGGGAATTTGTCAGTGTAAACGATGACATCCAAATGAATCTACCCTTGAAGTAAATAAAGGCTTTCCTTGAGTTCACAATACAATTATTGTAATCTTGCTGAAAACTGAATTGTGGAGTAATATGTTTTCAAGTGAAGGGGCAGTTTATATATTTCTCTGTTCATAATATTACCTACTGTCAATGGGAATCATAAAATGTGCACCAAAAGGTGGCAAGATATAACATATTTCTGAACTAAAATAGGAGATACATATTGCAAAGTAGGGACTTTTTCCAGAAAGAATAGCTTCATGTAAGTTTGTCTTTGTTTTTAGAACAGCTCACAAAAATTTGGTAAGATTATCCACAAAAGTTATGAATGAGCTATCTTAATGTTTTTATGCCAAAGTAGTCATTCAGGATATAAGTGAATTAATACATTCTGCAAGTATTTGGATCTGAGTATGAAAAAAATAGTAGTAGTGTTACTCAAAAAGTAGCATAATCACTGCAGGAAAATACAAAACACTGAATTCTTACTAAAACTTTTTATTATTATTATTATTATTTTTTGAGATGGAGTCTAAATCTGTGGCCCAGGCTGGGGTGCAGTGGCGTGATCTCTGCTTACTGTAAGCTCCACCTCCTGGGTTCACACCATTCTCCTGCCTCAGCCTCCCAAGTAGCTGGGACTACAGGTGCCCACCACCACACCCGGCTAATTTTTTTGTGTTTTTAGTAGAGACGCAGTTTCGTCGTGTTGGCCAGGATGGTCTCAATCTCCTGACCTCGTGATCCGCTTGCCTTGGCCTCCCAAAGACTAAAACTTTTTAAAATTGCTGACATAATATTCAATTAATAATTATGTGTAGATGCTTAGTTGTGAATTTGATATAGTCCATGTTGAAGAATTTGTTTTTGCTAGGAACTAATAGTTTTAAACAAATGTAGCTTTAAAAAAAATTAAAATGAAATTATTTCTTTCTTGTAGTTTTTAGAGTAGTGTCAACCACACTCACAATCACAAAATTCCTTATATGTCAGAGAAATATTCTTTTCTAACTTAGTCAATTTTGAAACTAAGGAGAGAGGCCGGGCGCAGTGGCGGGCGCCTGTAGTCCCAGCTACTCGGGAGGCTGAGGCAGGAGAATGGTGTGAACCCGGAAGGCGGAGCTTGCAGTGAGCGGAGATCGCGCCACAGCACTCCAGCCTGGGCGACAAAATGAGACTCCGTCTCAAAAAAAAAAACAAAAAACGAAACTAAGGAGAGTTACAAGTATAGTGTATACTTTATGTACTTTAAGATTATGAAGAAAATACAGTTTTGTTGACTCTGATTGAGAGTGAAAAAACTTAAGAGAACTTCATCATGAAATTCACCCATCATGAGTCTTGGCAGTACCAGATACAAAAGAACTTTTTATGTAAGAGAGGTGTTGCTTGTTAAGTATGCTGTATTTCATTCAAATTTGTTTATGCAACAGCTTTTGTTTCAATGGTTATACTTGGCATGCTTAGTTTACATATGTCTTTTTAAAATATTAATATGTCTAAAGTTGTAAATATTTAGTTTTGGTGTGTGAAAAGCAATTGAATTTTTTCTACTTCCTACTTCTCCAAAATCTTATAATTGTCATTATTATTTTTCTTACAGGGAGTAGAAATTTCAGATTAATTAAAACATAGCTCAACTCCAGGAAAAACAGAGACATAAAAATATTTATCTTCATTCTCTCCTGACATTGTTTTTAATTATTTTCATGGTTTCAAATCTTTCCAGGATATTGCTACTGATTTCATCTTGCTGGTCAAGAAAAGACCATATGCCAACTAATTTATCCCAATTTCATGAATAAAATATTCTTCCAGTCAGTATTTCATTTCAAGATAGGGTAATATACAGTGGGCCCTTTGTATCGCTAGGTTACTCATTTGTAGATTGAAAATATTGAAAAACTAAATTGCATCTATACTGAAGATATACTGACTTTTTCCTTGTCATTATTCCCTAAATAATACCATCTAACAACTATTTACATAGGATTTTCATTGCATTTGGTATACGTAATCTAGAGATAAGTATGCAGGAGGATGTGCATAGGTTAAACACAAATAGTAGGCCATTTTAGATCAATGGCTTGAACATCCGTGGATTTTGTTTTCTGTGGAGATCCTGGAGCCAGTTCCCCATGGATATTGAGGGATCACTGTAATGATTCTTAATATAGTGGAGAAAGCATGGGTTTAGAATTTAGACAAGCTCATTTCATAATGAGATCCATATAAGATGTGATCTTGAACAAGTTATGTGTTTGAATATCAGTCCTTATTTATAAGCCATATAATTTTGCAA
The DNA here is from genome assembly GCF_000001405.40 of Homo sapiens. Classification (NCBI taxonomy): domain Eukaryota; kingdom Metazoa; phylum Chordata; class Mammalia; order Primates; family Hominidae; genus Homo; species Homo sapiens. Next base: position 50,098,768 of record NC_000008.11, read on the forward strand.
GTGATTTAACATGAATATATACAGTCATTTATTCCTTAGGCAGGCAATGTTCTAGGTTTTGAAGATTTTGTGGAACATAAGTGCACTTTCATTGGAGTTCATAACCTAGCAAAGAAGACAGGTACTCATTACAGCTTTACACAAAATAGTGAACAAATCACACTATTGTTCTTCTGTAGGAGGTAAACAATGTTACATGTACACATAGAACAACGGGCCACAATCCATCTAGAGGTTACAGAAGGCATTTTGAAATTTTTGAGGTTTTATACTGAAATTTAAAACTATTTAAAAGCACCTCACAAAAAATAAGTGAGTCAACCATTAGGGATATGTGTCTAATGGTAAAATTTCAGACTCTGTGTTACTTGAACTGGAGAGCTATTTGGGAACAGGTAGAATTCCACTCTGAGTCCACTGATGATGATATTCTCTACATAACAAGTAGATTTTCTGCTGCTGGTCTTTGAGAATTTAGATAGTATTTTAATTGTTTTTAAACAGAACCCAGATATTCTTTATATTTTACATAGTGTCTGTGGCTAAAATGCATACAGCCACACATGGATACACAAACAAGACAGAAACCAAATTTGTGATTATTCAAGAACATTGATTAGAAAGGAGGATCTTCAAAATTGACATATTCCCATTATCTTAGCAATTTTCAATAGTGCTGCAGTAAACGTGGGGATGCAAGTGTCTCTTTGATAAAATTTCCTTTCTTTTGGATAGATATCCAGAGGTAGGATTCCTGTGCCAAATGGTAGATCTATATGCAGCTTCTTGAGGAAACTTCATGCTGCTCTCCACAGTAACTGTACTAGTTTGAATTCCCTTCAACAGTGTATGAGTTCCCATTCTCCACATTCTCACTAGCATTTGCTATCTTTTATCTTTGTGATAATAGGCATTCTAATCGGGATGAGATGATATCCTGTGGTTTTGATTGCATTTCCCTGATGAATAGTGATGTTGAACATTTTCTCATAAATCTGTTGGTTATTTGTAGCTTTTTTGAGAAATGGCTAATCAGAGCATTTGCACATTTTTAATTGAATTATTTGCAGTTTTTTTGCTATTGTATTGAGTTCCTTGTATATTTTGGATATTAATTCCTTGTTGGATGAAAGATTTGCAAATATTTTCTCCCATTTTGTAGGTGGTCTTTTCACTGTGTTGTTGATTCCTTGGCTTTTTTTAGTTTGACAGAATCCCATTTGTCTGTTTTTGCTTTTGGTGCCTAAGTGTTCATCAATAGATGACGGACAATGCAAATGTGGTGTACATACACATTGGAATACTATTCAGCCACAGAAAAAAATGAAATCCTGTCATTCGAGACAACATGGATGAGCTGGGAAGACATTAAAGTAAGTGAAATAAGCCAGGAAAAGAAAAGTTAATACCACATGTTCTCACTCATATGCAGAAGCTAAAAAAAGTTGATTTCATAGAAGTAGAGTAAAATAGAGTAGAATAGTGGTTACTAGAGGTTGTGAAGGACAGAGGGAGGGAAGGAAAAGGACAGTTTTATTAAAGGATGCAAAATTACAACTAAATAGAAAGAACAAGTTCTAGTGTTCTATATTACTATAGGATGACTATAGTTAACAATAATTTATTATATACTTTCAAACTGCTAAAGGAGAGGGTTTTGAATATTCGCAACACAAAGAAACTGTAAGTGAGGTGATGGACATGCTGATTACCCTGATTTGATCACTATGCACTGTATGTATCAAAACATCACTATGTATCTGATAAATTTGTACAGTTTATTACCTGTCAATTAAAAAAGGACATATTCCTTCAAATATATTAACACAATATTATAATTGAATATTTACTTGACAAACTTTTGAGGTAAGGCTAAGTTACTTTCTTTGAAGAGAAGCTTGTTAATTAGAGTTTTATCTAGATTTTTCTTCATAAACAGTACTTGGTATGCATTTTCTATGTCATATTTCCATTTTCAGGTTTTTAAAAGTACAATAATACTTAACATTCCTTTTTTTAAAAAATTATTTTAGGTTCAGGGATCCATGTGCAGGTTTGTTTTATAGGTAAATTGTATGTCATTGGGGTTTGGTGTATAGATTATTTCATCACCCAAGTGAGACGCATAGTACCCAATAGTCAGTTTTTTCATCCTCACCCTCCTCCCACTGTCCACCTTCAAATATTCCCTGGTGTCTGTTATTTTCTTTGTGTCCACGTGTATTCAATGTTTATCTCCAACTTATAAACAAGAACATATGGTATTTGGTTTTCTGTTCCTACGTTACTTTGCTTAGGATAATGGCCTCCAGTTCCATCTATGTTGCTGTGAAAAACATGATCTCACTCTTTTTTATGGCTGCATAGTATTCCATGGTATATATGTACCACATTTTCCTTACGCAATCCATCATTGGTGGGCATCTAGGTTTATGCTATGTCTTTGCTAATGATAATAGGGCTGCAATGAACATACACATGCGTCTGTTTTTATGGTAGAAAATTAATATTCCTTTGAGTATATAGTCAGTAATAGGATTGTTGGGTGAAATGGTAGTCCTGTTTTAAGTTATTTGAGAAATCTCCAAACTACTTTCCACAGAGGCTGAACTAATTTGCATTCCCACCAGCAGTGTATAAGCATTCCCTTTTCTTCACAACTTCTTCAGCATCGTTATTCTTTGAGTTTTTAATAATAACCATCTGGCTGATGTGAGAGAATATCTCATGGTGGTTTTGATATGCATTTCCTAATGATTAGTGATGGGGAGTATATTTTCTTATTTTATTTTATTTTATTATTATTATACTTTAAGTTTTAGGGTACATGTGCACAATGTGCAGGTTAGTTACATATGTATACATGTGCCATGCTGGTGTGCTGCACACATTAACTCGTCATTTAGCATTAGGTATATCTCCTAATGCTATCCCTCCCCCCTCCTCCCACCCCACAACAGTCCCCAGAGTGTAATGTTCCCCTTCCTGTGTCCATGTGTTCTCATTGTTCAATTCCCACCTATGAGTGAGAACATGCGGTGTTTGGTTTTTTGTCCTTGCGATAGTTTACTGAGAATGAAGATTTCCAATTTCATCCATGTCCCTACAAAGGACACGAACTCATCATTTTTTATGGCTGCATAGTATTCCATGGTGTATATGTGCCACATTTTCTTAATCCAGTCTATCATTGTTGGATATTTGGGTTGGTTCCAAGTCTTTGCTATTGTGAATAGTGCCGCAATAAACATACGTGTGCATGTGTCTTTATAGCAGCATGATTTATAATCCTTTGGGTATATAACCAGTAATGGAATGGCTGGGTCAAATGGTATTTCTAGTTCTAGATCCCTGAGGAATCGCCACACTGACTTCCACAATGGTTGAACTAGTTTACAGTCCCACCAACAGTGTAAAAGTGTTCCTATTTCTCCACATCCTCTCCAGCACCTGTTGTTTCCTGACTTTTTAATGATTGCCATTCTAACTGGTGTGAGATGATATCTCATTGTGGTTTTGATTTGCATTTCTCTGATGGCCAGTGATGATGAGCATTTTTTCATGTGTTTTTTGGCTGCACAAATGTCTTCTTTTGAGAAGTGTCTGTTCATGTCCTTCACCCACTTTTTGATGGGGTTGTTTGTTTTTTTCTTGTAAATTTGTTTGAGTTCATTGTAGATTCTGGATATTAGCCCTTTGTCAGATGAGTAGGTTGCAAAAATTTTCTCCCATTTTGTAGGTTGCCTGTTCACTCTGATGGTAGTTTCTTTTGCTGTGCAGAAGCTCTTTAGTTTAATTAGATCCCATTTGTCAATTTTGGCTTTTGTTGCCATTGCTTTTGGTGTTTTAGACATGAAGTCCTTGCCCATGCCTATGTCCTGAATGGTAATGCCTAGGTTTTTTTCTAGGGTTTTTATGGTTTTAGGTCTAACGTTTAAATCTTTAATCCATCTTGAATTAATTTTTGTATAAGGTGTAAGGAAGGGATCCAGTTTCAGCTTTCTACATATGGCTAGCCAGTTTTCCCAGCCCCATTTATTAAATAGGGAATCCTTTCCCCATTGCTTGTTTTTGTCAGGTTTGTCAAAGATCAGATAGTTGTAGATATGCGGCGTTATTTCTGAGGGCTCTGTTCTGTTCCATTGATCTATATCTTTGTTTTGGTACCAGTACCATGCTGTTTTGGTTACTGTAGCCTTGTAGTATAGTTTGAAGTCAGGTAGTGTGATGCCTCCAGCTTTGTTCTTTTGGCTTAGGATTGACTTGGCGATGCGGGCTCTTTTTTGGTTCCATATGAACTTGAAAGTAGTTTTTTCCAATTCTGTGAAGAAAGTCATTGGTAGCTTGATGGGGATGGCATTGAATCTATAAATTACCTTGGGCCGTATGGCCATTTTCACGATATTGATTCTTCCTACCCATGAGCATGGAATGTTCTTCCATTTCTTTGTATCCTCTTTTATTTCATTGAGCAGTGGTTTGTAGTTCTTCTTGAAGAGGTCCTTCACGTCCTTAGTAAGTTGGATTCTTAGGTATTTTATTCTCTTTGAAGCAATTGTGAATAGGAGTTCACTCATGATTTGGCTCTCTGTTTGTCTGTTGTTGGTGTATAAGAATGCTTGTGATTTTTGTACATTGATTTTGTATCCTGAGATTTTGCTGAAGTTGCTTATCAGCTTAAGGAGATTTTGGGCTGAGATGATGGGGTTTTCTAGATATACAATCATGTCATCTGCAAACAGGGACAATTTGACTTCCTCTTTTCGTAATCGAATACCCTTTATTTCCTTCTCCTGCCTAATTGCCCTGGCCAGAACTTCCAACACTATGTTGAATAGGAGTGGTGAGAGAGGGCATCCCTGTCTTGTGCCAGTTTTCAAAGGGAATGCTTCCAGTTTTTCCCCATTCAGAATGATATTGGCTGTGGGTTTGTCATAGATAGCTCTTATTATTTTGAGATACGTCCCATCAATACCTAATTTATTGAGAGTTTTTAGCATGAAGAGTTGTTGAATTTTGTCAAAGGCTTTTCCTGCATCTATTGAGATAGTCATGTGGTTTTTGTCTTTGGTTCTGTTTATATGCTGGATTACATTTATTGATTTGCAAATATTGAACCAGCCTTGCATCCCAGGGATGAAGCCCACTTGATCATGCTGGATAAGCTTTTTGATGTGCTGCTGGATTTGGTTTGCCAGTATTTTATTGAGGATTTTTGCATCAATGTTCATCAGGGATATCAGTCTAAAATTCTCTTTTTTGGTTGTGTCTCTGCCCAGCTTTGGCATCAGGATGATGCTGGCCTCATAAAATGAGTTAGGGAGGAGTCCCCCTTTTTCTATTGATTGGAATAGTTTCAGAAGGAATGGTACCAGTTCCTCCTTGTACCTCTGGTAGAATTCAGCTGTGAATCCATCTGGTCTTGGACTCTTTTTGGTTGGTAAGCTGTTGATTATTGCCACAATTTCAGAGCCTGTTATTAGTCTATTCAGAGATTCAACTTCTTCCTGGTTTAGTCTTGGGAGGGTGTATGTGTCGAGGAGTTTATCCATTTCTTCTAGATTTTCTAGTTTATTTGCATAGAGGTGTTTGAAGTATTCTCTGATGGTAGTTTGTATTTCTGTGGGATCGGTGCTGATATCCCCTTTATCATTTTTTATTGCGTCTATTTTATTCTTCTCTCTTTTCTTCTTTATTAGTCTTGCTAGCGGTCTATCAATTTTGTTGATCCTTTCAAAAAACCAGCTCCTGGATTCATTAATTTTTTGAAGCGTTTTTTTGTGTCTCTATTTCCTTCAGTTCTGCTCTGATTTTAGTTATTTTTCGCCGTCTGCTAGCTTTTGAATGTGTTTGCTCTTGCTTTTCTAATTCTTTTCATTGTGATGTTACGGTGTCAATTTTGGATCTTTCCTGCTTTCTGTTGTGGGCATTTAGTGCTATAAATTTCCCTCTACACACTGCTTTGAATGTGTCCCACAGATTCTGGTATGTTGTGTCTTTGTTCTTGTTGGTTTCAAAGAACATCTTTATTTCTGCCTTCATTTTGCTTCTGGCCATGTGTATGTCTTGTTTTGAGAAGTGTCTGTTCATGCCCTCTGTCCACTTTTCAATGGGGTTGTTTGTTTTTCACTTGTTGTTGTGATTAGTTTCCTTATAGATTATGCATATTAGACTGTTGTAGGATGCAGAATTTGCAAATATTTTCTTCCATTCTGTAGGTTGTCTATTTACTCTGTTGATGGTTTCTTTTGCTCTGCAGAAGCCTTTTAATTTAATTAGGTCATATTTGTCAATTTTTGTTTTTGTTGTAGTTACTTTTGGCATCTGCATCTTGAAATCTTTGCCATATCCTACATCCATTCCTAGGTTACTTTCCAGGGCTTTTATAGTTTTAAGTTTTACATTGAAGTCTTTAGTCCCTCTTGAGTTGATTTATGTATATGGCGTAAGGAAGGAGTCCAGCTCCTATCTTCTGCATATGGGCAGCCAGTTATTTCAGCATCATTTATTGAATAGGAAGTTCTTTTCCCATTGCTTGTTTTCTTGACTTTGTTGAAATCAGATGGTTGTAGGTGTGTAGTTTTATTTCTGCACTCTCCATTCTATTCCATTGGTTTGTGTTTCTATTTTGTACCAGTACCATGCTCTTTTGGTTATTGTAGCCTTGAAGTATAGTTTGAATTTGAGTAACATGATGTCTTCAGCTTTTTTGTTTTGTTTTGTTTTGTTTTTTTTGCTTATTATTGTTTTGGCTCTTTGGGCTCTTTTTTGTCTTCAAATAATTTTTTTCTAATTCTGTGAAGAAAGTTATTGGAATTTTAGTAGGAATAGTATTTAATCTGTAAATTGCTTTGTGCAGTATGGCCATTTTGACAGCATCAATTCTTCCTATTCATGAGCATGGGATATTTTTCTAGTTGTGATGTCTCTGATTTCTTTCAGCAGTGTTTTGTAAATCTCATTGTAGAGAAATTTCGCTTTCCTGGTTAGCTGTATTCCTAGGTATTTTATTATTTTTGTGACTATTGTGAGTGAGATCGCATTCTGAATTTGGCTTTCAGCTTGGACATTACTGGCATATAGAAATCCTACTGATTTTTATACATTGATTTTGTATCCTGAAACTTTGACAAAGTTGTTTATCAGATCTGGAAGCTTTTGGGTAATTACTGTGGGGTTTTCTAGGTATAGAATCATATCATCTGCAAACAAAAATAGTTTGACTTACTCTCTTCCTATTTGGATGCCTTTTATTTCTTTCTCTTGCCTGATTGCTTTAGCTAGGACTTCCAGTATGTATTAGTCTATTCGTACACTGCTATAAATAACTACCTGGGACTGGTTAATCTATGAAGAAAAGAATTTAATTGACTAACAGTTCTGCAGGCTTAACAGGAAGCATGAATGGGAGGCCTAAGGAAACTTACAATCATGGTGGAAGGAGAAGGGGAAGTAAGAATCTTCTTCACATAGAGGGAGGAGAGCAAGGAGAGGAATTGTCACACAGTTTTAAATAATCAGATCTCATGAGAACTCACTCACTATCATGAGAATAACATGGGGGGAATCCACCTCCATGATCCAATCACTTCCCACCAAGTCCCTCTCCCAAAATTGGGAATTATAATTCAACATGAGATTTGGGTGGGGACACAGAACTAACCATTTCACAGTACTATGTTGAATAGGAATAGTGAGGGTTGGCCATCCTCATCTTGTTCCAGTTCTCAAGAGCAGTGACTCCAGCTTTTGCTCATTCAATGATGTTGACTGCAGATTTGTCAGAGATGGCTCTTCTCATTTTGAGGTACTTTCCTTCAATGCCTAGTTTGTTGAGGATTTTTAACATGAAGGATGTTGAATTCTATCAAAAGTATTTTCTGCATCTCTTGAGATGATCGTGTGTTTCTGTTTTTAGTTTTCTTTATGTGATATGAATGCAGAATCCTTCTTGCATTCTCATGAGTTTTGCAAACTTTTCTGATTGACTTACTTTAACTTTGATAACATTGTGTTTGACAACTCACCTTTATTATGTCCACCCAAATATTCACAGATTGTATAGACTCAATTCTATATTTTAGCAAGGAATTTCAATAATATGTATATCTGAAAATCATTATATAATCACAATAGCAATTCATACTGCCATAAACAGGTTTGGAGACAAACAGAGCTGATTAACTCTTGTTCCTAAATTAAAGTTTTATGATTGGCAAGAGCAGAACACATAGGAAATATGTTGCCTGCTGGTAATGAGCAACTGAAGCTCCAGGGTGCCCAGCAAGACAATTAAGAGACTTTCCAGTCTAAATTAAAAGAATTACAGAATGTAAAATTTTATTCTCAAGGAAGGGAATGCAGTTAATGTCCACTAAAGTAAGTTTTCTTGAATGCCCTTTTATATTTTCATCTTCTAAATATCTTTACCTTTTATAAATTCTCAAGACTATCCTAAGTTGCCAAAACAAAGTGTAACTTGGGCAACATGAAAGAATAAGGTATGGACCTTTTCCCCATCCTTTATTAGCATTCTGGAAGGAATATTGGCAACATAGACAGATAGATATGTAGATAGATAGATAAAAGAAAATAGATTGAAAGATTCTCACACATGTATGATATTTAAAGGTCAATTTTATAAAGTAAGGTGTCTTTAAATACTTCTTTAATTATGTTATATTTAATAACTAGAATTAATTGCTTTCACTTTTTTTAAAAGTTTAGGAGTAACTTATCTCAAACATTATTTTAAAGGTTAAAATAACATAAATGCGGAATCAAGGTTTTTTGTTTTTTTGTTTTTTTTGTTTTGTTTTGTTGGCTGGGCTGGAGTGGAGTGGCATGATCTTGGCTCACTGAAACCTCTGCTTCCTAGGTTCAAGCAATTCTCCTGCCTTAGCCTCCTAAGTAGCTGGGATTACAGGCACCTGCAAACATGCCCAGCTAATTTTCATATTTTTAGTAGAGACGGGGTTTTACCATGTTGGCCAGGTTGGTCTCGAACTCCTGACCTCAAGTGATCTGCCCACCTAAGCCGCCCAAAGTGCTGGGATTACAGGCATGAACCACCATGCCTGGCTAGAAATCAAGATTTTTAACAAGAGCGAATCACTAAGTGTTGTAAGAATGAAATGAGAAAATGTGTAAAATATTTTGTGTTAACATCACATAATTTTTTGGTAAGCGTTAGTTTCCTTGCCTTTGCCGTGAGCATTTCCCCAAGCTATATTTTGAATGATGAGTCAGTGTCCATTTCATTGATCACATTCTACCTGTGTAGGTCTTTTGCTGGCAACAAGAGATATTCCAAGTTTTGATGAGGTAGCCACCAACGTGGGTCACACAAATTCTACCTTGCATAGTTTTCTCTCTTTAAATAATTAGGCCAGCATCATTTACTAACTAAATAGAACTCTGTTCAAGAGGCATTGAAGAAAGATAGAGCAATTATTTTATTTTGAAAATAACAGCAACAAATGAACAGAATACTGTTATTTATTAGACTTGACATGCTGAGTAAAATCAAGTTGCTGTTAGGGGAATGAAGAGATATTACAAAGTACAAGACAGTTTATGTTCTGGTATTTCAGAAGGCAGGTCAAAGGTTGATGTTGTAAGAATAATTTATATTTGCCATTCTTTGCAATAATTTCACATGGAACTGGGATTGAATTTGATGTTGTGTAAAAAACAATATTGAGAGTGAAGAAGGTGGTAAACGTATTTTCAATGCTATAAAGATGATACTGTACAAAAAGCAAGATTTATTTTGTAACAAAACATTCATGAAGGGAAAAACCCCCACAAAACTTTCGGTAAAATTTACAACTGAATAAAACAATAACAACAAAAATGATTTAGTATCTTCTTTCTTTGTGATTTTCTTGAACCTAAAATATTTTATATGCTTTTGTTCCATTTATAGAAGCTTTGTTAAAATCCTACTATGTCCAGCTCCTTTGCTGAGTTATTTGTGGGGGGATTTTAGTCATACAGTGGCCTGAACAAATTTGCTTGATTTTGAGTATATCCAATACATTGCTCAAGGAACCTTACACTAAAACAACTGTGGTTTACTTTTGGAGTCTGAAGGAAACTTTGAAGAGGCCAGAGACCCAGGAATTTGCAGATGTGAGATGACCCTGTCTGGAGCAATCTTAGCATCACTTCTGTGTATGTATATAGTCTAGGTGGAAAAGGCGGGTAGGCAGGGAGTAGGAAGCATAATTGACTTAAGGAAATTCCATTATTGAATATAAAGGGACTCTACTCTGATTTCTGGGTCCAGCCCTGTGGGGCACCACCATTTCCATTGACAACAGAGACACTTTCCACTCCTGGGTATGGAGCATCCCACATTCCTTTTCTGGAAGTTCATAGGAAGCCAATTCATGGCATACCACAGGAATCAAAAGAAAGATCTCTCCCTTGAACTTTGACTATCTTTCTTACCAAAAGACAGGACAGCCTGACTCTCTTGTCCACTGACATAAATAGGCAAATATTTAAATGTACAAGGATACAATTAATACCTAATTCATGAGAATTTTTTAGCAGATGCAATTCATATTCACTTTCAAGTTTCTTCAATCTTAAGTTCTGTCATCCTGCAGAAAATCACATTACCAAAAACATGCCAGGAGTCTAAGTCCAGCACCTCAATGGAGAGTATAAAACATGGAGGAATCATAGTGGGGAAAATTGGTAAAACTGCACCAATTTTCTAGTTAGATCAAGAGTTCTCAAATTATGTTCTGCAGCATTTAGCAAATGTTCATATGATATTAGTTAGAATTGTTCTCAAACTTAATGAATAGAATACCCTACTATAATTCCTTAAATAACTGAGCCATTGAGTGGTCTCATTCAACAGGAAGTCCAGGTGTTATCAGGAAGGGGGAGATCCTCGGTTCTTGGTCTTACTTGGGAGACAGATTTCTACTAAGTGACAATTCAAAGATATCAGTGAGCCCTATTGAAGGGAAATTGAGAACAGAGAGTTTACATAGAGAGACAGGATACTCTGAAAGGTGAGGCAGAGTGGGCTACTGAAAGCCAGTGTGCCGGCAACAGCCCTGAGAGTCTGCATGGGCTTTTTATAATGTTGGATTGTTCTGGAAGTTCCCACCTTTGTCTTAAGTCACCACCTTTTTCTTTCTCTAGTTTTCCCACTTCTGTCTTAAGTACCCACCTTTCCCCATCTAGTTTCTGCCCAGGCTTGTGGAATTCTCTCTTACTCTCTGTTGATACGCATGTGCAAACCAGGAATTGGATATGAATTCTATCTAATGGCTGTGTTTTTCACTCCAGGAAGGTTGTGTAGTGGTTAAACCTGTACTTACTGCTCCTGCGTATCTCTTAGGGATTTCTCCTCTGCCCTCTTCCCTTATCATCATGCATCTAGTGACATTCTGGCAGGTTAACTGCAGAGTGAGGGATTACTGCAAGTCATAAGGGACATTGCTTTCCATCTAGGTGTTTTCCCTCCTCTCTCCTCATATCTAGCATGGATGCTTTGAGTGGTCTCTGGGGTGTGAGATTTTCCAGCCCTCCCTTTTCTCAGGGGCTTCCCCTTCTGCTCATGTCTGGCTATCAGCCTACTCTAACACAGGTGCAGGCAGGACTCTCATCAGTGACCATCATCAGCCTTCCTGGAAGGCTCAGGCATCCTTGGTGAGCAACACTTGTGATTTCATTTGCAACTGTAGTAGTTAGTCTTTCTGAGCTCAGACAAGCCATTTGTCTTTCAGCTTTTGGTCTCTATAACCCTGAACCCTCTTAGCACTCCTGCAGATGCACAAAGCCTGGAAGAGCAAGGGGCTAAAGCTTTAGGAACCAACACCAACTGCTCGAGATGAAGCTTTTTGTCCTTTAAATCCAGGTAAACATATTTAGTATATTTTTTGGTAAATATATTTAGTACACATTGTAACATTTTCTGGTCACACTGTCTTGCAGTTACTACTCATTAATACTACTGTAGTGCAAAAACAGCCATAGACAATACAAAAGTGAATGAATGTGGTCATGTTCCAATTAAAATTTTATGTACAAAAATTGGCCCCTGGCTAAATTGGGCCAATGGGGAGGGTTGCCATATTTAGCATATAAAAATATAGGATGCTTACATTGGAATTTCAAATAACAATTAACTTCTTTAATCTAGGTATGTCCTAAACAATTATTTGTTATTTCTATGAAATTCAAACTTAACCAGGTATCATTTATTTAACTTTCAACTCTACCTGCAAGTTGTAATGTGATGACTTCTGGTTTAGACAGATTTTCTGAGGAGGAATTCATTATGATTATCCAGATCCCAGGAAGATTTACAACTCTACTCATTGCAACATCAATGCCTATGAGTGTTAGTGTATTTTTGTTGTCATCGCCTTACTCTCCTAGCTCCCTCACACTTGCTTCCTGAGGTCACCTACTGTACTTTCCTGCTATGGACTAAATTGTCTCTCCCCAAAACTCATATGTTGAAGCTCTACCCCCCCAATATAATGGTATTTGGAGATGGAGGACTCTAAGGAGGTAGTTTACGTTGAAGGACGTCATAAGGTGGGGGTCTTAATTGAATATGAATAGTGTCCTTATACGAAGAGGCACCAGAAAGTATATCCTCTCTCTGTCTCTTTCTCTCTCTCTCTCTTTCCCTCTTCTTCTCATTCTTCTTGCACCTACAGAAGAAAACCATGTGAGGTCACAGTGAGAAGGGAGGAAGAGAGCCCTCACCAGAAATCCAACTGCTAGAAACGAGGTTAGGCTTCCAGCCTCCAGAAATATGAGAAAATAAGTTTCTGTTGTTTAAGCCACCAAGTCTATGATATTTTATTATGGCAGCGCAAGAAGAGCAATATACCCCTCCATTAAAACTCTTATTAAAGAGAGAAAATGATTACTACAAGTGGAACTGCATCAGTATTTACCAAGGCCCAGTGGAGGGCATATATCTCAGCTCCAAGCAAAATCCTAGGAAACTGAAATTATGAGTGACAAATGGGACATGGAGAATAACTCTGTGGCCAAATAACAGGAGTTGAAATGGAAAGTAAGGAAAAGAAAGTATCAGAAGAAAAAAGGGACTATGGAAAAAAGAAAGTTTCCACTTTCAGAGTTAAAAAACTCACAAAGGAAGATATAACAAAAATAATACTTTAGGCCAAAAAAATAGCCACAATATAAGTAACTTTATGGCATAAATCTGAAAAGGTGAATGAATTATTTTAAGAAAATTATATTTTATCAAACTTGAAAATTTAGTAGTACTGGAAAAATGGTCTGATAGAAAAGACAAGTGTTAATCTTCAGAAAACACATGATTTTTTTCATCATCCAAAGAATTTGAGATGACAGAAAAGATAGTTGGCATATATTTTATTTCAGAATATTATTAAGATATGACTAAAACTAAATTTGCATTAAGAACATAGATGTAATCACCCTAATTATAATTTTAGTTAATTAAATCTAAAGTCATACCAAAAGAATAATGTAGGAAACCAGGTAGGTATGATTTCAGGCATACGTGGATGACTTTACACTAAACATATTAAAATAGAGAAAAAAGAATAAAGATAACCTTCTGATTTGAAGGTTCATATGGTAGCATAAACTGAAGCAATACAGCAATTGGATCTAAGAATGCAGGTGTAAAAACCTTAATTAAAAAACTAGTTAATAAAATCAAGAGGTATATCAAAACAGTTATGCAGCATACACAAGTATTTAGTTCTTTCTTTTTTTTTTTTTTTTTTTTTTTTTGAGACAGATTCTTGCTCTGTCACCCAGGCTGGAGTGCAGTGGCACAATCTCAGCTCACTGCAACCTCTATCTCCCAGGTTCAAGAGAGTCTTCTGCCTCAGGCTTCCGAGTAGCTGGGATTACAGGCCCCTGCCACCACACTTGGCTAATTTTTGTATTTTTAGTAGAGATGGGGTTTCGCCATGTTGGCCAGGCTGGTCTCAAGTGATCCACCTGCTTCGGCCTCCTAAAGTGCTGGGATTACAGGCATGAGCCACTGCATCTGGCCCAAATATTTAATTCTAAATATGCATGGATGTTAAATAGGGAATCCTTTCCCCATTTCTTGTTTTTGTCAGGTTTGTCAAAAATCAGATAGTTGTAAATGTGGGGTATTATTTCTGAGGGCTCTATTCTGTTCCATTGGTCTATATCTCTGTTTCGGTACCAGTACCATGCTGTTTTGGTTACTGTAGCCCTGTAGTATAGTTTGAAGTCAGGTAGCATGATGCCTCCAGCTTTGTTCTTTTGGCTTAGGATTGATTTTGACTTGGCAATGTGGGCTCTTTTTTGGTTCCATATGAATTTTAAAGTAGTTTTTTTCCAATTCTGTGAAGAAAGTCATTGCTAGCTTGATGGGGATGGCATTGAATCTATAAATTACCTTGGGCAGTATGGCCATTTTCAGGATATTGATTCTTCCTATCCATGAGCATGGAAAATTCTTCCATTTGTTTGTGTCTGCTTTTATTTTGTTGAGCAGTGGTCTGTAGTTCTCCTTGAAGAGGTCCTTCACATCCCTTGTAAGTTGGATTCCTAGGTATTTTATTCTCTTTGAAGCAATTGTGAATGGGAGTTCACTCATGTCTTTTATTGGTTTATAAGAATGCTTGTGATTTTTGCACATTGATTTTGTATCCTGAGACTTTGCTGAAGTTGCTTATCAGCTTAAGGAGATTTTGGGCTGAGACGATGGGGTTTTCTAGATATACAATCATGTCATCTGCAAACAGGGACAATTTGACTTCCTTTTTTCCTAATTGAATACCCTTTATTTCTTTCTCCTGCCTGATTGCCCTGGCCAGAACTTCCAACACTATGTTGAATAGGAGTGGTGAGAGAGGGCATCCCTGTCTTGTGCCAGTTTTCAAAGGGAATGCTTCCAGTTTTTGCCCATTCAGTATGCAATTGGCTGTGGGTTTGTCATAAATAGCTTTTATTATTTTGAGATATGTTCCATCAATACCTAATTTATTTAGAGTTTTTAGCCTGAAGGACTGTTGAATTTTAAATGATTAGTTAATGGGTGCAGCACACCAACATGGCACATGTATATACATATGTAACAAACCTGCACGTTGTGCACATGTACCCTAGAACTTAAAGTATAATAAAAATATACAAATAAATAAATAAATAAATAAATAAATAAATATGCATGGATGTCTCAACTTCACATAAATTATCATAGAAAAAATCTAATCACAAAACGACGTTTGACAAGATTATGTGATCTTTACTGCTTTTAAAGACTAATAATCTAGGAATAGATTGAGAATATTCGACATAATAACTAACAATTCACCCACAAATAATGTGAATAATACTATATCACATAAGAGACACTCATTTACTTTGATTTATATTATTGCATGCCTAGAAAATCAAAGGTGCAACTAAAAAGCAGTTGGAATTATTTTAGACAATTTGATATGGTAATTATCTAAAAAATAAATACTTAAAACCAGTAGATTTTCTTTATATTAGTAATAAGCAGTAAAAGAATGTATCTCATTGCTAATAGTGACAAACATGCAATAACTTCTTAAAAAGAAGGAAATCCTGCTATCTGTGACAATATGGATGAACCTGGAGGACATTGTGCTAAATGAAATAAACCTGATTGAGAAAAACAAATGCTGTACAATATCACTTATTTGAGAAATTTTAAAAAGTCAAACCCATAGAAGCAGCATGTCAGAAGGTAGTTGGCCTGAGACTGAGGGAAAGGAAACTGGGGAAATGTTGGCCAAAGGGTATAAAGTTTCAGTTTTAAGATGAACAAAGCCGGGCGCAGTGGCTCACACCTGTAATCCTAGCACTTTGGGAGGCCCAGGCAGGTGGATCACGAGGTCAAGAGACTGAGACCATCCTGGCCAGCATGGTGAAACCCCGTCTCTACTAAAAATATAAAAATTAGCTGGGCGTAGATGTGCACGCCTGTAGTCCCAGCTACTCTGGAGGCTGAGGCAGGAGAATCACTTGAACCCAGGAGGCAGAGGTTGCAATGAGCCGAGATCGTGCCAATGCACTACAGCCTGGTGACAGAGTGAGACTCCATCTCTAAAAAAGAAAAAAAATATATGAACAAGTTCTGGGGGATATAATGTACAGCAGGAGTGGTGTAGCAATTAGTTTGATTGTGATTATTATAACACAATGTTTGCATATATCAAATCATCATGTTGGACACCTTGAATATATATGACATGTACTTGTCAATTAAATATGTTAAAATTCAAGAATAGATTTGCCATGAAAAATGAAAACATGAAAAAATAAATACTTTAGAAAGTGAATTTAATTGGAAATATATTGGGTTTATAATGAAAGTCCATGTCTGAGGTCATGGATTTAAAGTGCAACCAGTCAGCTTACTTTCTGATATTGTCTTGCAAAATTCAGGTGTTAAGACTGGAGAGAATGGTGATTAAATTCTACTAAGGATGTGGTTTTACAGTGTGAGTGAGAGGGTTAAGATGCTTGGCCGGGTGCCATGGCTCATGCCTGTAATCCCAGCACTTTGGGAGGCCGAGGTGGGTGGATCACCTGAGGTCAGGAGTTCAAGATCAGCCTGGCTAACATGGTGAAACCCCGTCTCTACAAAAATACAAAAATTAGCCGAGCATCATGTCTGGTGCCTGTAATCTCAGCTACTGGGGTGGCTAGGTGGGAGAATTGCTGGAGGAACCCTGGAGGCAGAGTTTGCAATGAGCCAAGATCTTGCCATTGCACTCCAGCCTGGGTGACAGAGCGAGACTCTGTCTCAAAAAAAAAAAAAAAAAAAACGAGATGGTTGAAGGCCTTTGTAGGAAAGTTGCTATGATACTCTGCAGTTAAGGAGACAAGTGATGACAAATGAGTGCTGAGAGGTGGAAGGAAATTGTCGTGCTCTGTGTGTGTGTCTAGAACTTTATTGTTTACATTGCATTTTATTGTTTACATTACATTAAGTCAATGACCCATTTAGAGATCATTTTTTTGCAAGGTATGACGTTTAGCTTAAGACTTATTTTATTTTGCTTATAAATGTCCAACTACTCCTTCATCATTCATTGAAAAGTACCACCCACCGCCCCCCAACCCCCAGTGGAGAGAATTTTGTTTTAAAGTAAATAAAATGTCAGTCATACACTACAGCAGTCCCAAGGTCATGTCAGGTTTGCCACTGTGCAGCTGAAGCAGCCCTCCCCAGCATCATACACACAGTCACAGCACCATGAGCGTAACTTGAGTGTTTGTTATGCTCAAGGCACTTTTTGAAGATCTTTCATATGTCTTTCTTTTTATTTAATTCTTTATAAAATGTGCACCATTTTTATTTCCAGGTTACATAAAAGAAAATACGCTATAGGCAGACATCAGTGACTTCCAACAGTTAAATTGTTATTAAGTGGTCAAATTTAGGGTGTCGGATTCCAGACCCCATGCCCTGAAACATAACTAACACCATCTAACATTAAACACTTTCCAAATGCCTTTTTTTCTACTTAATGTAATACTTACAATGATTCTGTGAAGTAGGATTTTACTCCAAAATCAATTTCAGCATAAAATTTGTCTTTCTTGATTTTTCTCAGCACTGGCTTTTCCCCAACTCCACTCTTAGGTCTTTTATTTCTATGATTTTTACCCACCCTTTGATTTACGTTGCTTATAATTTTTAGGAATCCTTGACTCTGTGTTGGAATGGACTTTAAAACCACATAAGATAAAATTCTCACCCACTTCTCCATCCTCAGTCATTGCGTACCTAATTCGTATTCGTTCATTTATAAGAATTTTGAATATACACCTTCTTCATATGCACAAAGCATGCCCATTGGATGCAGGCCTACGTGAAGTTTTATAATTTTAAAACCTGGCCTATTTCTTTCTCTTGTTAGTCAGGTTAGGTTGTTGGTGTGCCAGAAATGTCTATTTTAGACTCATTTTCCATGAGCATTTTGCTTGAGGAGTGCAGGGGCTGCTGCTCCTATTTGCCTGTTGATGCAGAAGCCATATTCCAATAACTTCTGAGCTCTATGCTATTCACTCTGCAAATTTACTTATGACTCTACCTGACCATGGCATCAGCAGAATGACCTTCAGAACTGCAAAGGAGTCAAAAAACATCCTGGCATTTTAAGTTAAGTGGAAAACTTTATATTTAACTTACAGAATACCAAAGCTTCTGAGTACTTAGATTTTTTAATGCTAGGACTCATTTTCTCAGTGGAGAATGAGGCATGAAACAACATGACGAAGATTATATTTGATAATTTTAACATCACGGTTTACATTTTAAGACAATTTTAATAATACTGGAACTAACATATTCCGTTCTTTCTGCTTGAAAAAGTTCTAATCACTCAGCTGAATGTGAATCATCATTTGTCTTTGTTTTACATATGCCTGAAAATATTCAAATGCCTTTTAGACATCTTTTCCAGAGTGTGTGCACACAATTTGGACTTGTCATGCTGTAAAAAAGCACTTAAGAACAGATGTAATTTACTATAATTTTAGAGTCCAGCATATCAAAAAATAAACAGGCTATGCTTGTTTATCCGGTATGATCAAAATGCGTGTGATTCTTCACATTCTGGAAAAATAAACAAGAAAGAATTGTCCTTATCTAAGATTGATTCCTGACATCAGTATACAATATGTTTTTCTTTTTCTTATAAAGAACATAAAATGTTTAGGGTCTAATTCACACACAGGGAAATGCCAATATTTCAGATAAAGCTGATCAATAATCATGGAGGAGGAAGGTAGGGCATGGCACCAGTCCTCATGCCTCTCAGCAAAATTGTTTTCGCTCCATTGCTGTCTGAGTCTTACAATTTAGTTATTTTTAAGTGATTTTTTAATCACAGAATTAGCTCTCACTATATTTCAGTGAGTAGCGAAGTCTCTCTCCTGGTCACTGAGTTTACTTATTCTCTCTGTTACCACTAGACTGTAGATAAGCATGTACTAGCAACTGAAAAGTCCCAGGAACTAGGAGGAAGCCAACATTTCCTCTATTCATTTATATTTTCTTCTTTAATATTAATATTAGGTCTGAAGTTAGGTTATGTTTGGTTTTGCTTCACAATCTAATTAGTGTGGTGAGATTTGTGACTAGCAGAGCTGAAGTGTGCTGAGTTCCCTGTAACCTGGTAAAAGCTATGTGAAGTTGGCCCTGGGGAAGGGAAAGATGCTGACCACTGCAGAAGACTGAGCACCCTCCTGTTCTTAGGTTGCATTTTACAGAAAGCACCTACTTGCTTCTCTATTTTCCAAATGTATGATTTATGAACAATCTATTTGATAATAAAAAATAAGGCTGCATACCAGCCACTTGGGAATATGATTTGTTTATTAACCTTAAATTTCCTAGTTGTTAAGGCATTGGAAGTGTTTGACCCACTAAGAGTCCATTCTCAACAGGCTTCAACCCAAAGAGTAGAAACCATGCTTCATGACTGGAGAAGACACTACAACTCCAAGAAGCAACAGTTCATTTTTCCCCTTCAGGTTTTAAAAAAAAATTACATGTACCATGATTTTCAATATTTTATTTCAAATAAATATGTTGGAAATGATAAGAAAATGAACTAAGATTTATTAACTGCTAAGTGTTGTTCTCAGTGCTTTACACATTTTACATATGTAGATTACTCACACAATCTTTGAGTGTCCCTATGAGGTAGATAATATCATCAGCTCTACTTTACATATAAGGAAATAGAAGCAAAGAGGATGTTAGTTATTGACTCTGGACACATAGCTAACACGTGGCCAAGCCAATCATGTGAGGAGTTCACCGAAAGGCTCAGCTCTTCTCTCCATTCCCTGTGGACCCCAAAGAATCCTGAGAATTTTGAAAGAAAAATCAAGAGCCTATGAGTTGAAAACAAAGTATTATTTTCTTTTATTTTTCCTTTATAGTTTATAAAATTAAAGTGTATTCTTAAATTCCACATTGTTTTTCAAATAACAAAATTACCAGCTTTTTATCATTCTAAAGAATTATATATAGATTAATATTAAAACCATGCTCAGTCAGAATCCAAAAATTAATTTCTTTAAATTAAAAGACTTGGAGGTAGAGTAATGGGATCTAGAACTTCTTTGTATTAGACTTAGCAGAGACAGATGCCTGTTTTCTGCTTGAGTGATGAAATTCTACTTCTAACTACCTCAAGAAAATACGGCAGGATGCACTGGCTCACAGAAACTAATGAAGCTTTGGCCCTCCAAACTGCTGTGGTGGAGGCACACAGCTGGTGCTCAGAAACTACATGGAAGCAAAACAAACAAACAAACAAACAAAACACCTCTGGAAGTAATTTTATGTTAACTATTTCTGATTTTCTTTTTTCAGTGTGCCCTCTTCTTTCTCTCACTGCCTTTCTCTATATGGTAAAAAATTATATAGCCAGCGAAGTGCCCACTTTTATATTTTATCACTGATCACTGCCACCACAGAGAGAAGGCTAATTCTCTTTTCAGTGGCCATTTAAACAATTTCAGGAACACACTCTGGTTGACATGGCCGGGAAATGGCCTCCTTGGATTAATCAAGTACCTTCAGAGGCAACTTGTGCTCAGAGGAGTCCTATGGCTGAGGCTTGTTCCCAGGATTCCTATAGGGGAGTGAGGCTGGCATGCAGCTGAACACACTTGACCCAAGAAAAGTTATGTTGCAATTCACCAAGAAACAAAATGATGTGATGGCAAGGACATGGAATTTAAGTGTTAAAGAAATAGTAATTCAACAAATCCTGGTTCAACTAATTACAACTAATTAATTAATTTATATAAATTGTGATAATTTTTACATTATTATGAAAATTAGATGAGATAATAGGTAAACAGATAATAGCTAGCATTGAGCTAGCTAGCTATTATTTTTTATCAAAACCCTTGTATTGATTCAGTTTGTAATTTTACAATGTAAGGACAATTACTATACCCCTATCAGATGAGAAACTGAGGCATAGGGAAATTAAAGAAGTTGTTCAAAAACTCATATCTAGTAAATTTAGGAGCCAGAATTAATACGCTAGAATAATACAAGCATGCTTGCTGTTACAGGAAAGTGCAATACTCAGGATATGCATTACATACTTCTTTGAATTGGATTCAGAATTGCTAAGATTATAAAAATATCCCTCATTCTTTATTAACAATTACTTATCATCAGTTTTGTTCATGATAATTTAGTTTCTTGCCTTGAGAAGCACAGTAGAAGATGAAGATGAAACCAGTCTTCCTGAGTTAAAAATGTAGCTTTGCCATTTACCTTGGACACATTGCATAACATCTGTCTTGTTATTTTTGTTTTCTCCCCCTCTAGCAAAAATGTTAATAGTAGTAGTAACTACCTTTTTGGGTTATTGTAAGGAAACAATTAATGAATTAATACTTGTAAGCACTCTGAATAATGCCTGACCCTTAGAAAACACTTAAGAAAAAGTTAGATCTTAGTATACTAGCTATTACTAGCTATTACTGTCACTACTATCATCACTACCACCACCACTACTGAAACTACCAGTGTTACTACGATCACGACTACTGCCACTAATACTACCAATATTACTACCATCACCACCACCACCACTACCATAACTACTACTATCCCTACTAGTACTACTACTACCACCACCACCCTACTGAAACTATTAACTATTACTACCATTACTACTGCCACTAACACTATCCAACATTACTGCAATCACCAATACTGCCATCACCAATACTGCTACCATGATAACTACTACTACTACCACTACTAGTACCACTACTACCACCACAAACTACTACTCATTATTACTGCCATCTTTATACTACCATCACCTCTGTCACTACCAACCTCACCACCACTATTACCGCTGTTATCACCACCAACGCTACTAATAGTATTGCAATGAGGTTTCTTCTCCTGAACCCACAATTTTTAGGTGATCACATTTTAATGTCCACATTCTGTTTTTATTTTTGGGCCTCATATTTCACTTAATCAAAAATTATGTACCAAGTTCTTAATTTGTAAGAAACTGGTAGAGAAATTATATGGTAGATATTAAATGAACAAGTCATGTAGCCGTGGAATGAGTGCAGTTTTGCAGGACAACTGATCCTCTCTACATGTCTGGTTGCCATAACTTCGCATAAACGTATCGTAGGACAATCTGACTTATAGGAAACACTGAGCTGCTTTTGCTCCCCATATTTCATTATCATATCAAGACACTGAAAGGAAAATATTTATTTATTAGATTTATTTTTATTTAAGAATATTAAAATGTCTTCATTAGTATTGAAAATAAATGCACACTTGCCATACACAAAAAACTAGTCTCTCAAGACCATTATTTTTTATACGTAAGTGCCTCTGAATATAACAACAGCATTGTCAGAGTTAAAATTTATTGAACTGGATGCTTGAAGACTAATTTTGGCCTCTGACTTGGCTATTTCTGTGAACTTAGACAAGTTAAAATTTCTGAGTTTTGGTTTCCATATCTGTAAAACAAAGCACTTTTAACTAGATGGGCTCAAAGGCCTCTTGGAGTTCTGGTGTTCCTACCTAGTTCTATGTGCACTGCTCAGAAACCCTGTACATTCTGGAATGTTTAACCTCAGATATTTATCAGTGCATACAAAATTTTATGTACAAAAATAAAAATAATGTTACAGGTACCTGCTAGAAAAAAAATGTTGATGTGCTTTGGAAGATTATAGAGTCTGTTAGGTGAGAAGTAACATGATTCACTCAAATAAGTATTAATACAAACTAACTTTAGTGGTATTGTGCCAGTATTTTAGAATAATTAGAAACTGAAACTAGTGACAGAGAAGGAGAATTTGTTGAGGATTTAAACCAATGTGTTACAACTGTACCAAAAAAATAGAATGAATTTTAAATCATGAAAATAAGCCAAACTTGGTGGCTCACACCTGCAGTCCCAGTTACTCGGGAGGCTAAGGTTGGAGGATTGTTGGAGCCCAGGACTTCAAGGCCTCATTGAGTTATGATAGCACCACTGCACTCCAGCCTGGGTGAAATAACGCAATGTTTAAGCTTGAAACTAAATTGGAGAAGAGAATAAATGCAATAAGGCAATAATATACACTTTAAATACAAATCTTAAGTTTTCTGGATAGGAAAATTTTTAGTAATAGTGCATTTTGGTGGTAAAAATTCTGGGACTGGGAAAAAACCCAAGTGAAATTGTTTTTAGGCTGGCTTGCCTGTGCTGGCCTCTCACCTGCTCCTCAGCACCATGTCCAACCCTCGATGCCCCCTGCCTTGGTTTAGGGACCCCCAGTGTCCTCTGCCATACAGATACACACACACCTTGTAAGTTGTGCCCATGGTTGTGTGGGATAGTGTTTCTCAGCCTCTGTAGGCCACGCTGCCTTTGAATAAATGTAAAAATATTCAAGGCATCCTTGGTAACTTGTGCCTTACCTCGTTTTGCAAAGCAAATAGTAAAATGGGTAAATAACTACTCCCTTATTCCCAGCAGAAGACTTCACTTTTCTTATGCACTTGGAGAGGGGATGCAGCTGGGAGAAGTAGTGAAAGTGAGGGAGTGAGGTCCCTTTCAGGAGTTACAGTAGATTTGCGAGGCCTGGAATGCAGGAAGAGGGCAGGCTGAGCACTGCACAAGAAGTAGGTCAAAAAAAAGCTGTGACTGCACTCAGCCCTTTGGACCTCATCTTCAAGGCTATTAGAGCCTGAAGAATGTTGAGGAGGAGGATGACATTGAGGCTCGTAGCTCATATTTTAGAAAGAGCATTTGGGCTGCAATGTCAATAACTAATTAAAGGAGGTGAGGCGGTAGCTCAGGAGCAGTGGGAAGATGGTTGGCAGCATAAGGAGGCACTGTGACTTCAATAGAGGCAGGAGGATAGTAATGGGGACAAGAGGATGCATTTAAAATAACTGATGATGAGTTGAAGGAGGATAGGAGTAGCACAGAGAAGAAATTCAAGAGATATACCAGCTAAAATACCCTAACAGTAGTTCTCCTCATAGAAAACCAAATTGTATGAGCTCTCACAGGAAGAATGCACCAAACCAATAGAGAGAAAAACCTGATTGCTTTGCATATAAAATGGGAATGGAAATACATTTATTTAACAAATATTTACATAGAGGCTTTTATGTGCTAAACACAAACACTCTGTGGATTCAGGGGGCTCATAACTTCTAGCATACTGTGACAGATTCAGAAACTAAGCGGAAGCCCGTGGCAGACCAGGTCATCAATACTGCAGGTGAGAGTAGGTCACCAGAGTACAAAATCTTAGATGCATTTGAGACATCTAAGATTTCATACTCCACATGCCTTTGCAAAGTCCTAAGACTCACTTCAAACCTGATTTGTCAGTTTTTATTGAAGCATTGCAGAATGTACATAAATACAGACTAGTGGCTGATGGTAATTATTGTACCGCTCAGTGCTCCAACACACAATTACATCGGTGCATAAAAGCATAGATATTTAAACTGCCAGACAGTTAATTTGAGAAAATGAATGCTTTTGCTGGTTTCAGTGTTCCTGAAAGGAGAATGGAGAATACTGCACAGGTCTTATGTGAATTCCTAATGATCGGTAGATAAACCAGTTGCACAAGAGCAAGCAAATGATTCAGTTACACTCAGCTAAAATTATAGTTTTATTCACTGCTGCCAAAAATATAAAGAGATCAGGCATTTAGAACATCTTTACATTAAGAAAGCAAGAGTATGGTTTTTTTCTTATATGCATTATAAAAGATGAAATATCAATTTGCTAAGAGATGCCTATTATATGTCATTAATTCTCATAATTTCCAAACAAAAACCCTCTTTCAGAATAAAATCTGGTCTTCATGTATATGCAAAGCACAGATTCTTTTATTTTGTTTTTCCTACTGGGAAAGGGTGACATTGTAGAGGCCAAAAGAAGGGACATCTTCAAGCAAACCAGTCCTGTGTGACAAATAGCTGTGTAACCTACAGGTAGCAGCTAAAAATGCACACAAGCCAACACATCTTTGCTTTCTTAAGTGATGTGCCCAAGTCCATACAGGTAGTAAGTAGCAGGGCTTGGAGTCAAACGTAGACATCCCATTTCCCAAGGTGACTTTGCTTTTAACAAAATTGAATATAAATAATATAGGGTTTTCAGTGTCTTTTTCTTATTATTAGAACAACAACTAAAACAACAAAATCCTTCAGTCAGGATCTGAACTGTGTCTCCCTCAGATTAATATGTTAAATTCTTAACTTCCGGTACCTCAGAATCTGTACTTGGAGATGGTGTCTTGGAAGAGCTAACTAAATTAAAACGAGGCCATTAGGATGGTCCCTAATCCAATATGCCTTGTGTCCTTATTAAAAGAGGAGGTTAGGACAGAGACAGATTCACAGAGAAGACCATGTGAAGACACAGGGAGAAAATGGCCATTTGCAAGCCCGTGAGAAAGGCTTTGGGAGAAACCAACCCGCTGACACATCAGCCTCAGAGTTCCAGCCTCTAGAATGTCGAGAAAACAAATTTCAGTTGTTTAAGTCACCCAGTATCTGCTACTGTTTTATGGCAGGCCTAGCAAACTAAAACACCTTCTTAGCATGTGAATAGTATTGCTGCTAAAGGATAGATGTAATGAATCATTGTTCAGAAATTTTTTAATAGACTGTGTAAAATAGTATTTGTCTGATACTTCTAAATTATAAATGTTATCTTTCAAAAGATTAACGTTGCATATTAATAAAGCTGACCTCTAAATATAAGATGCTGAATAGCAATACGGTCCTAATTGCATGATTGAAATGGACTTTGAAGCTTTACTTTTAATCCTCTGCTTATAAATTATTGATATAGCTTCAAATTATTGGTGAATAAGACAGAAAATGATCCTGTTCCCATGCCAAATTACCTCCAAGGGCTTTCCCTGCTTCTGCTTGTGCTAGGCAGTGAGGAAGAAAATTGTTGCCAAATTCCTAAAGAAATTGGCCCTAGTAATTGAAGCTTGTTGCTAAAATTCGAGTGTTAAGCAAAAGACAGTATGAGAGTGGGATTAAATACTCCATAGAATTTTTGAAATATTTGTTGTGTTAAAGGGTTTGTAACTGGATTACAAATTCTTGTGGGCAGGCAGTTACTTGCACTGAACATATGTTATCTTATTTTCATGGCATACCCTCTCATAAATGTTACTATAAGATAGTTACTTATCTATGGATAAAGCCATACCTGAAAGCACTGAGATTTCTGCCATCACTATACAAGAGTCCAGCTGCTGATTATTGAAAGGCACATTTGGCTTTAGTCCAGAGTTCTGTAAAAAGATTATGTGAATACAAAGCAATTACAGAGGTTGGTTTGGGTAGCAGGTGGACTAGGAAAGTGAGCATATGCATTTTTAACATCAGGAACTCAGTAATCAATGGCTCCTCTAAATGTGAAATTAAATCCCAGCTAAGAATATAAGCCATTATTTAAAGCAATTACAGGTGAAATTCTAAATATAACTATAATCAACACTTGTTTTTCTTTCCTATAAACAGTATCAAGATAATGTAGTAGTTATTATTTTTAAAATGCATTAGCTAAATTGAAGAAGATGGTTAATTTTGTCCAATACCATTTTTGTTTGTTTCTTTAAATAGACATTAGGTTTTCTTTATTTATGAGTGTGTCACATGGAAATCTCTCAAATATATGTTTAAGTAATGCCTAGTAAGTTTAAATATGTAGTATTAGAACATGATTTTTTTAATAAGCACATAAAATGTAATTTTTATATACTAAGGCAACCATTGTAATAAATACTCTACTACTGAATTCACACTATGTCCTAAGAACGGTGCGAGCTCTGTGGATAGAAGGAAAAGATGCACACTTGCTTTCCTGGGGCTCAGGTCTGCTGTGATACAAAGGTGTCATTGTACAGTGACTTGTTTCCTAAGTGCTTAGTATATGGTGTGTTACGTTGCTGTATTAAGATGTGCTGGGTGGCAATCATATGCTGTGCTAAAGAAAATGCTGATCGTATGGCATGCTATGTGCCCATCATACAGTGTGCTCAGTGCTCCTCAGAGGGCATGCTAAGTGCCTGCATATGGAATGCTATGTGTAGAGTCTGTGCAAGGTCAGAGGCATATTACTGTTGGTGGAATTCTGGAATATTTCATAGAGAAAGCAACATAAGAAGAGCTGTCTCTGGTTGTGTAGGTGAACTTTTCCTGCCATGCTTTGAACTTTATGCATGAGTACACAATGGCTGGTTCTGCGGCACCCTTCTTGGGTCATCACACCTGAGGACAAGTGGCCGCACACTGAGAAAGGTGAAGTGAAAAAGAGTCATAGAGGCCAGGGAAATTCAGGGACTCCATTTATCTGCATGACTCAGTAATGAAAACAGTGATGTTAAGTTTTGAAAGGGCCACGTGACTAAATTTCTAAGAATCTCAAACCAGGCCTTTGGACTCAGACTGGCTATTTTTAATTGGTTGTGCCAGGCTGTGTAGGTTGTGCCAGGCTGTATAGTTTTATGAGACTATTCACATCCATAACTGATACAGGAGAAGAAATAGGTTTGAATGCAAGGAAAAGAAGCTTTTTCAGAATGTTTTATTGTAATGTACATAAAATTGATTAAAATAACTTAGTAAATAATGGAACAATTGTAAGAAATTAGTGTGCATTTTTTTCAAAAGTTTAGTATTGATGAAAAAAAGATATGCATAAACTTGAGAAGATAGAGATTTACAATCACCAACATTGGGACATGTGTTTTATATATAAAGCATATATACATTTACATATGTGTTTTAAATATAAATTCATATATGTTTATATGTTTCATATATTATATATTATATATAACACAGATCCCAATGTTGGTGATTTGTCAAGATCATATTGTAGAGGAAGGTGTGTGAGTCAGCATTACCAGTGGAGAAACTTCTGGAACAGGTGACAATAGTATCCAGGTTAGACAGAAAGGCAGACAAAACAAAAGAAAGCCCATGAGCTATATGGGCCAGTAAAGGTCCAAGTCTGTATTGAAGGTGAGTACCAGGCTCCACAAAGTGGTAGTGAAGGTGAGTACCAGGTTCCACAAAGTGGAGAGGTACGAGCTTTTTCCTCAGGAGCATACAATCTTGGAGGCAGCATGCTTTTACATACATCACAGTTATATCTGGGGTCATGGAAGTTAAAATGGTTAAGAACCTCCCCAGTCAGGGATAAAAATATAAAGTCTCCTGGTAAATAAGGACAATGGAACGGTGAAGACAGAAAAATGTTAGGTATAATATCAGAAATTGTGATGTGTCCTACTGATTCTTTAAAACAGAAAGTAAAGGATTCCTGAGTGAAGGGGGAGGAGAAATTTGCTGACGCAGAGCTAGGAGCTGAGGCTGAGGTCCACTCTTCAGACCGACACATGAGGCCTATATGATAGAGGCACTTTGGAAGCCATTTACTGTGACTTTTAGTAGTAATTAAGTGGTACCAACATTGCATTAAAATACATCTTAGGAATACTAGAGGGAATATGAGGTCATAATGAAGGTATGGACTTACTTAGCAATAGTAAAAACAGTGCATCAGATTTAATCATCTTGAATGACTTAAGCATTGGGTTCAGTTACAACAGGTGCTCTTTTTCGGTCCTTTTCATCAAAATGGTTATTCTGGCCCACCGCCCAGTGGGTAGAGGGACTGGAACAGAAGTCTCAAGGGCTTTCTTGGAGCTGGAATCCTTTTAGAGCCAACTGCCTCAAGGCCTGGCAATTTTCCTGTAATAACTGCAGGGAAGCCTCCTGGTCTAGACCGGGTTTGCACAGATAGAAACATTCAAGACATTTAGTCAGTTTTCTGCCACTCTTGTTGCTAGAATAATTTTTAATAATGCTTCATTTCAGAATTTCCAAACAGGATATATTTCCAAAGTTATCTCAACCTACAAACTCTCTGACCAAAAGTAAACAATTAGGACATATTTCCTTCAGTAAAATAAATGTTATCTTCATTTATTTTCATTGGTTTACAATTCAGTCTGCTTTGCAAGTCCAATTGTTTTGTTTTTCTGACTGTGTCTGCCTCTGAGCAGCCACACACCACTGCATTAAACATGCCTTTTAATATCACTTCTGTATTCAATAGGTGGCTTTTAAATGTATGTATATCGTTATCATGCAAAACTGGTTATTAGATTGGGGAGAGAGTCTAAAAAATGTCTTTTACTGCAAACAAATGGGAAGAATCAAACTTTAAATCACTGAAACTTAGTAGCACTGCATATTAAGTTTCTAATGTAGCACTCTAATTACTCTCCACTGAGGAATCACAATTCACAAATATATTGGAAAAAGAAAGATTCTGTACAGAGAAACTACTTGCTTATCCCAAGATCGGTACTTATGTTTTAATTCTATCTCCCTCCATTACTGATGGTGAACAGGAATGAAAATAGAGACATAGTCCAAGCATAAACTAAATAAAATGATGGTTGTGATTAAGAGATAAGCAGAGAAATATTTTGCTCTTTTTGAGTGTCTCACTTGTAACAATGGTTCTTGTCTTTAGCTAGACAGAGCGTATAGAAAGAGCCTGTAGAAATTTAAAAGCAATATTACTTTATACGGTAAAAGCAATTTAAAAAGCATTCATGCCCATAGCAAAGATGCTAAAATTTGTAGGTTCTAAAAGCAGTAATAAGTACTTACATTCTTTCAAAAATTCCTACACACATGTCCAGATAAATAAACCATATATTGTTCCCAATACTTCATCCTAGGTTCAAATTCCAATACCGTGACTTAAAAGTGGGATGACTTTGAACAAGTTGAGCTTTTTGTTGGTTATTGTTTCTCCCACTTTAGAATAAAAAAAAATAATTGAACCAGCTTCATGGAGTGTTGAAAAGTAAGTTAACTTAAGTTCTTACCCCAATTCTCAGCTTGCAGTTAGTTTCATAAATGTTAGTTCTAATTATAATTACAAAAATGTTTGAATAGAAAATTATCTATATGCTCACCCCATTATTTAAATAACACACAATTTGAACTTTATATCAATATATACTCATAATTTGGACATACAAATTGCATTTAAGTGTCATTTTAGTGATTTTGGGCTATACATTCATGGCTATGTCAGTCAGAAATGAAATTTCAGATCATGAAATTACTTTGAAATCCAGCATGACTTAGAATTGACATGACCAGTAGCGAGAGTCAGAACATCATTTGATGAAGATAAAATTGATGACAGACAACTGTATTCTCTAAAATTGCATATATCTTAACTGATAGCATTAAACTGATTTATTTAGGCAACAAATATTTACTGAGTGCCTACTATGTGCCAAGCACTACACTAGATACTAAAGACATAAGAATGAATAAATTATATTAAAGGTCTTTTGTATTATTGTTTATACTTTAAAAGTTAGTTTAGCACACACGCTGCCCGATCATTCAGAGCATCGCATATGGCATAGAAGAGAAAAGAGTGGTTGAGGGTTTTGTTTCAAGGCTTCATAGCATCCAGAAGGAAACCTTAGTGTCTACTGTCCAGGTGGAATGCAGAAGGAGAGGCCCTCAATAAATGGGAACTGAAACTTTTTGGTTTAAAGCCAGCACCCTCAGAGGACCCCAAATATAATTCATAAAAAACATCAGTCTTCCTACAAAAGTTGAAAACTTGATTCTCACTGTCTTGGCCTGAGTTGTCAGCAAAGCACAAGCTACTATGGGTAACAATTTTACCTACAGAGTTGCCCTCACAGGATCTGTGGGTTTGGATTCATACCGTCTTGGTGGAGAAATGGCTCAGACTTGAAACTTCTCCCAATTGTGTTATGGAGAAACCATCCTCATATCACACATTATAGGTTCCTCAAGATTAAGAACAACCAAACATGACTTCAATCTCATAGTCAACAATTGCAAATACAGCAGGAAAAAGCCTTCTGTTTTCAAAGCTCATAATAAAACTAAATACAGAGTAATTTCATTTTATTATTTTGTTGTTGTTGTTGTTGAGGATCTTGCTGTGCTTCCCAGACTAGTCTCCAACCCCTGATCTCAAGCAATCCTCTTGCCTCCACCTCCCAAAGTACTGGATCCACAGGCGTGAGCCACTGCACCTTGAGCAAAGTAATTTTAGGTGACCAGAAATTCATATAAAGAGTTAATATACTTAAGGACATAAAATTCAAGTGGAAATTCTGTACAATATCACTATGGAAAAAATGTTCATGTGAATGTGAAAAAGAAACAAGTGGAATGCTTTGTAAATAGCCTCTAAGTTAAAACTATAAGTTTAAAACTCTGAGGAGAATTATTAGATTGTCATAGCCCAAAAAAGACATATCTTTAGTTACAGCTATAAAATATAACAAAATAAGTTATCCTGAATGTAGAACTGAAAAGACAGAAATTGAAACCAAGATAAGTTAAGGGTCAAAGAAAGCAAAATGGGAGGTTCTCACACAAAGCTAATTGGAGTTTCAGAAAGAGAATAGTGAGAGTGAGAGACAACTATTTTACAGATTTTTCATAAGTGAGGAAACACAAAAATCTTCAAATCTAGGAGGCACAAATATCAAGAAAGAGAAATACGAAGAAATGTAATATATAGCTGATTTTGTAGTGGATTCCAAAATGCCAAAGGGAAATTGAAAAGTGTTTAAGTAGTCAGAGAGAAAAGGTTATATATTTTACTATCATGATAATGGAAACCAGGAGCAAAATATAACACTTTCACAATGCTAAAAGAATGCAAATACCAGCTTGCCTTTCCTGCGTTCACACTTTTACTTATAAAAATTAGAAAGAATTTTTGTTTTACAAAACCTTTGAAATTTGCGTTAAAAGATGCTCAATAAATGCATTTCTGAAAGAGGTACTTGAGGAAGAAGATAAAGGATCTTGCAAGGGAAGTCTGAGAATCAAAAATTAATACTGAGCAAAAAATTATTAAACATTTGGGTAAACATAAATAAACACTGACTACATAAAACAGAAGCAAATTTGAAGAGTAAAAAAGTATGGGAGCTCCACATTATTGGACAACAGTATCATTTAGGATGGGAAATAATGGTTTCAAGTAACATTTGAGCTCTTTGTTCTGTTTAGAAAGATTACAAAGATATTCATTGACTGTAAACTTGAAATTTTAGAATGTCTTCTTAATTTAACAACAGCAAGGTATAAAAATAATATAGACCATAGGAAGGAGCAAATTAGAATAAAAACAGCATGTTTAATTTCAAAAAGAGAGCATGAAAAACACAGAGAAAAAGCAGAACATATAAAATAAGCTTCCAGTGGATATAGACAGTGAAAGTTTCAAATAATGTAAAATATGTGTATTATAAATCAACACATTTATGACAGTGTTTGCTTTCAGTGTGAAGGCTAGCAAATGCAATCAGGAAAGCATTCACAAAGAACTGTTTCAGTAAGCATTATATTTTGACCTGGAATAATCAAAGTGGGCACTCGATTATTTCTTGAATTTTTTTGCAGCTTTTTTGGAGGTATAATTGAAAAATAAAAATTGTATATATTCAAGGTGTACAACATTAAGTTTTGTTATATGTATGCATTCCACACATATGTGAAATCATGCAGTATTTTTTTTCTGTGTCTGGTTTATTTCACTCAGCAGAATGTCCTTCAGGTTCATGGATGTTGCTGCAAGTGACAGGATTTACTTGTGTATTAAGGCTGAATAATATTCCATTGTACATATGTGTACACACACACACAGACATTTTCTTTGTCTATTTATTTGTTGTTAGATGTCTAGGTTGTTTTCATATCTTGGCTATTGTGAATAATGCCTCAATGAACATGGGAGTATGATTATCTCCTCAAAATAGTGATTTCATTTTATTTTGTGGATATATACTCAGAAGTGGGATTGCTGGATCATATGGTAGTTCCATATTTAATTTTTTGAGGAACCTCCATTCTGTTTAATTTAAATGATTGTACCAATTTACGTTTCCCACCAACAAGGATGTCCCTCTCTTCACATCCTTCCCAACACTTGTTACCTTTATATATATACAATATATATAAAATAGCCATTCAAACATATGAGATGATATCTTACTGTGGTTTTGATTTGCATTTCTCTGATAATTAGTGATGTTGAGCACCTTGTTATATACCTGTTGGAGATTAGTTGACCACATATGCATGTGCTTATTTCTGGGTTTTCTATTTCATTCCATCAGTCTATTTTTCTGTTTCTATGCTGGTACTATACTGTTTTGATTACTGCAGCTTTGTAATATAATTTGAAATCAAAATGTGATGCCTCTAGCTTTGTTATTCTTGCTCAAAATTGCTTTTGCTATTTATGGGTCTATTGTCATTCCATGAAAGTCTTAGAATTACTTTCTCTATTTCTGTGAAAAAGTCATATAATTTTTTAATCATCATTAAAATATATTCACCATATCCCAACATCCCTCAAGTAACCATTGCAGCATCAACTCTAAGTCTGAAATCTTATCTATATATCATCAAATTGAAACATCCTAAATTTTATCATTTAAATTATTTATGGGTGAGATTCAGGGTACAGTAGATCCTGTGACAAAACCTCTCCACCTGTGGACCTGTGAAAACACCAAACAAGTTATCTGCTTCCAAGTTACAATAATTAGACTGAGACAGGCAGAATATAGACATTCTCATTCCAAAGGGAGAAACTGGAAGAAAAAAAGAATTACAGGTCCCAGGCAAGTCTGAAATCCAACAGGGAAAATTCTATTAGGTTTCAAGGACTACTAATAATTCTTTGTATCTTGAAAATCTGTCCTCTGGGCCTTCTGTGGCAAAAGTCCTCACTCTCTTGGCCCAAGTAGGTCCCATTGGACAGTGACTCTGCACCCATTTTTATACCCTAGAATTTTTCCTTTATTTTGTCCCATCTCTGTCTCTTTCAGTCTAAACTGACAGTGTCTCTGCTGGTATAAAATTCTCAAAAGCCTTATCAGTTTCCTGTATAATTCACAGGGATCCAAGCCATAAGACAAGAATTGTCCCCCACAGATCATTCCTGGATAACTGTGTCTCTATCCCTGGCTTCTGCTGAGAGGTTTGTGGACTGGATCCATGAGTTACACATAAAATCTCATTAAAAACACCTGTCCAGTTTCATCCTTGACACCGTCTCCAGGACATAGTATCTTAGTACCCTAGAGATTTTCCATATCAACAAGTACTGATTCCTTTTTGCTTCACTGTTAATTCCTCACTTTATCTCTTTTTCTCACATTTTACTATAAGAAGCAAGGACGAGCCAGTCTGCACCTTCTGTGCTTTGCTTGGAAATAACCTCAGCTAAATGTTCACATTTATGACTTACAAGTTCTACTTTTCACTCAATTCTAGAACACGATTCACCCACATTCTCTGACACTTTATACCAAGTATTGCCTTTCCTTCCTTTCCTCCACTGACCAATAATATGCTTGTCATTTCTCCATAAGGCCTCAACAGGAGCACTGTTAATGTCCATATTTCTAACATCAGTCTTGTCAAGACAATCTAGGTTTTTCTATTAAGCATCTAAAAATTCTCTCAGCTTCTGTCTCTTACCCAATTCCAAAGCCACTTCCACATTTTTAGCTATCTGTATGTCAGCTCCCTTCCTTTGGTACTAACATCTGTATTGGCTCCCTAGGGCTGCCATAAACTGAGTGGCTTAAGAGACATTTATTTTCTCAAAGTTCTTAAGGCTAGAAATCTAACATCAGGGAGTCAACATAGCCATGCCCCCTCTGACATTCTGGGTAGAAGCTGCCTCCTGGCCCCTTCCCAGCTTCCTCTGGTGGCCATCCATCTTTGACAGGTCTAAGCTTACAGCTGTGTCACCCCAGTCTCTGCCTCCACTGGCACATGGCATCCTCATTGTGTGTCTCTTCTCTTCTTTAAAGAATATAAGTCATGTTGGATTCAGGGCCCACCCTACTCCAGTATGACTTTATTTTAACCATTTATACCTGCAATGGCTCCCTTTTCCAAATGAGTTTACATTCTGTGGTACTATGGGTTAAAACTTCAATATGTCTTTTTGAAAGACACAGTCTAATTCATAATAAGAAACTTCAATGTAATTAACAAAAGAAGTCATGGAAGCAGAGAAAAGGACAGCTAGTCCAGCCTGGGATGCTTAGCAAGACAGCCCTTAGGAGGCTGTGCTTAAATTTTCTATATTGTTGAGTATATTAGTTAAGGCCAATACATAAAAAGGGCTATTGGGGCAGGGGCTGCCAAGATTCAGTACATAATATGCCATTCATGGAACTCAATCTATGGTGGTGGGTTAGTATCAGTGTTGGTGGTGGTGGGTTAATATCAGTGTTGCTGTCAGAAAGGAAGAGATCCTTGAATTGATGAGAACATGTGAGGCAATTCCAGCCATTATCATGGCATAGGTTATAGCAAGAGCACTGAAAGTGAAAAAGTCACCCAGGTGAACAAATCTGCGTGGTTAATAAGTGTAAAGGAGAATGAAAGCTGGAGATCGCCAATGCCTATGAAAAGAGCACAGGGAGAGGAGCTTTCCAAATGAGGCTTACAATCAATGTAAGATAAAATAAAAAGAGAGGGAATGTAATTGCTGAACCAAGTTGTCACAGAGCTGTTAGGCAAGGGAAGCACTGACATAAGTACACTGGATTTGGCAAGCAGGCTTTTCCTGGCTTATGGGAAAGCTTTTTTTTAAATAGAATATGGTAGAAATGTAATCAGCAAGTATAAACAACAATTTTAAGAATCTTTTCTGTGATGACAGGGAAAGATAGAATAGTAATTAGAGGGAATGTATGGTTAGTAGGGTACATTCCTTTTTCTTAACTTTTAAAAATGAGAGACGCTGAGGTGTGAGTATGTACTTTAGGAGAAAAAATAGTTGAGCGGTTATAGATAGAAGAAGGGGCATACTTGAATCACTCATGGAATGTGATCTCAGGAAGAATTGAGATTCAGAGCACAGATGGAAGTGTTCACTTTGAACAGGAGACTAGAATGATCCCAACTTACTATCAAAAACGATCCAGCTTTGATGATATTCTTCCAGTGGTTATAAAGTAATTTTCAGTCCTCTTTTATGTATTTACAATGAAAAAAAGGGTCAAATAAATAGAAACTGTAGCATAGAACTGATCCTGGATTGGGTTGTTTTCTGTGATCCCAGTAGGAAATAGCTCCACAGGTTCAATTATGTCAACCCGGTAGTTGGCCTGGAAATGAACATCTCTGTGAGACTCAGATTCCCTTTTCTGCACAGCTGCGTGCTGCAGTCTGAGGAGAGCCAAGCTCTTTCAAAGCCCTACCCCCTGTCAACAAGAAAAGGCATGAAAAGTCAATTGATCTTCACGGCTATTCATCCCCTTACCAATACTGTTCTCAAAGCTTTCTGAATGAAGTTCGGCTTTGTTTTATCCTATGTGAATACTTGAATCGGACTCTAAATCAAAATCCTGAACATTCTTAACATTCCATCATGTGGTAATAAATACAAAGACAAATCAAAAAGTAAAATATTACATAAGGAATGAAACTGAAGAATTGTAGTCTTCTTTCATACTTAGGTTTATTCTGGTAAGCATTTGTCATTATTTGAATTGTTATTATTTCTATTTGTGTGTTTAGCAGCAGATAATATTGTTGATAGCTACCATTAATATGTAGTGGATATTAAAGTGATCAGTAGGAAGCAAGAACTATTTAATTCTTGTTTATATCAGCTTGTGGATACATGATAATTTCTCCTTAACCTTTACAAGGTCTTTCATGATTTTGGGGGACTTTCGTTTTTAAAAAAAAAATTCAATGAATTTTATTTCTCTGCTTTTAAAAACTTTATTTTTCAGTAGTAGTGGAATATTTATGCTGCATCTCTTCTGTCCTTGTTATCTCTCAGTTTATCTGAAATTTTTGTTTGTATGTTTAATTTTTTAAATTTAGTTTTTAGTTTAGTTTACTACATTTAGGTAAACTGCATGTTGCAGGGGTTTGGTGTGCCGATTGTTTTGTCTCCCAGGTAACGAACATAGTAGCTGATAGATAGTTTTTTGATCCTCACCCTCCTTCCAACCTCCTCCCTCAAGTAGGTCCCACTGTCTGTTGTTCTCTTCTTTGTGTCCATGTGTACTCAATGTTTAGCTCCCAGTTATAAGTGAAAACATGTTGTATTTGGTTTCCTGCCCCTGTGTTAGTTTGATTAGGATAATGGCCTCCAGCTTCACCCATGTTGCTGCAAAGGACATGATCTTGTTCCTTTTTTATGGCTGCATTGTATTTCATGGTCTATATGTACCACATTTTCTTTAACAAGACCAACTATTCATGGATATTTAGGTTGATTTCATGGCTTTTCTATTGTAAATAGTACTGCGATGAACTTATGTGTGCATGTGTCTCTATGGTAGAGTAATTTATATTTTGGGGGGGAATATGCCCAGTATTGGAATGCTGGGCCAAATGGTAGTTCTGCTTTGAGTTCTTCGAGAAATTGCCAAACTGCTTTCCATGGTGGATGAATTAGTTTCCCACAACAATGAAAGCATATAAGCTTTCTCTTTTGTCTTCAGCCACACCAGCATCTGTTATGTTTTGACCTTTCAGTAATAGCCATTCTGACTGGTGTGAGATGGTATCCCTTTGTGGTTTTGATTTGTATTTCTCTAGTGATCAGTGATGTTGAGCATTTAGTGGTCTTGCTTTTGTGTGAATTCAGCTAAAGGGCACAGACTCCTTTTGTCCTGAGAAACACCTGAATAGCAGGGCACGTGACCCCACCCACACCTGCTACTGATAGCCAGGTGGGCAATGCCTGCTATAACTTCCAGCCCAGCCTTCCTGAAGCATCAATTTAATACCTGGTGAATGTTATTTTATGCCTGAGCTGCAGGGGGCACAGAGATGACTATGACTTACCTTGTGTAAAAGGACATCATGTGAAACAGACCTACAGGCCTATTAGCCCCATGGCAACTCACAGGGACTCTGACAGAGTACATACAGGGGTCAGGGTTGGGACCCATGGTAACTTGTGGTCCATGCTACCAAAATGAGGAAGAGGTCAGGAGACTCTTTAAAACCAACACATTTTAACTCTCTGTTGAAAAACAGTAGGTTTTCATCAAGCAGAAGAGAGCCTAAAGCATTTGTGGCCCTGTGGTACTCTCTGGAAAAGATATACAGAGAGCATCCCAAAACACCACAACACATTTAGGGGAAAAATACCTGCTTCAGAATGACTTCATTTTCAGCAGAGTAGTTGCCACAAAGACACTCTAAGAAATACAAACATTATCTCATGTCCGGTGTTAACATACTGTATTTAAACATCCTCCCATGCAGTGTGAAAGATGGAGTGTATTTGGTGAGATTTGAAAGTGAGAAGATGAGCTAGAAGGCTCCTGAATTAGTATAGTGAGAAATTTAAAAGGGTGCATAACACAGAACAGTGCTTTTAATCTGCCCATTCATCTTCATCGTCCTGCTGATGGGACGCTCTGAGTCCCCCATCTCATTGGACCAATCTCATCTCCTGACCACAGCTCTCACTGCCTGTAGTCAACTTTCCATCTTTCATTTAGCAATGGTTTATATGGTGCTTGCTGTGTTTCAGTAGGTGTGGGAACCTGGCAGCAAACAAAACCAAGACTTTGCTTGAAGAGTTTATCTTTCAGTGGAGGAGGACAGTCACTCATTAAGTAAATGCGTACGTAGATAGTATGTTAGAAGGCAATAAGTATTCCCGAGAATAAATAAGCAAAGCAGCAAGAAGGCGACAGAATGACAGTGTGCTATTTCACCTAGAGTGGATGGGGAGGCTTCCATTCTAAGGTCAGACCTGGCAAGGGCATGAGGAAGTGACATGGAGTAAACCACCAGATCTGTGGGGAAGATTCCAGGAGACGTCCAGGCAGGAGGCAGCTTCCTGTTCTGAGGCAGCATCAACACAGAGATTGCACTGGACACTGAGGATGGACGAGCTGAGCTTGGAGGCGACTGTCCAGAGATGCAGCAGCTGGGGCCACAGTGAGTGACCAATGGTGACTCCTCTTGGAGTGACTCCTCAAGACAGGATTCCCATGTTAGCATGTCAGCCATGCCTCATCTCCTGGGCTAGTCTCTGT
This sequence comes from Homo sapiens, assembly GCF_000001405.40. Classification (NCBI taxonomy): domain Eukaryota; kingdom Metazoa; phylum Chordata; class Mammalia; order Primates; family Hominidae; genus Homo; species Homo sapiens. The sequence continues at coordinate 50,137,957 of NC_000008.11, forward strand.
GTCCTGAGTCCAATTCTTCAGCCTTTCCATTAATTATGGGATCAAGCCAATATCTTTCTTATCAATAAATTTTCTGCTTGAATTCCATTCTGTTGTCTAAAGCTAAGAAACCTATCTAGTGGAGGAATAAGTTTTTTTTACAGATGCTGGTAATTGTGACTTCATAATAACCTTAAAAATGACATTAGTGTGAGGACTTTAACAGTCTGGAATAACGACGTCACGGCAAGACACTGCCTCCCAACCCCTGAAATTCACACATATGTTTTCCACGGATGACGAAAGCACTGAAAATGTCTGTTCAGAAAAAAAAACAGCAATTGAAATAATTCAGCATGATGCCACTGGAAATATACCAACCTTAATAATAAGAGTTCTGGCTGGACGTGGTGGCTCACACCTATAATCCCAGCACTTTTGGGAGGCCGAGGTGGGTGGGTCAACCGAGGTCAGGAGTTCAATACCAGCCTGGCCAATATGGTGAAACTCCATCTCTACTAATAAAAAAAAAATAAAAAATTAGCCAGGCATGGTGGCACACCCCTGTAATCCCAGCTACTCAGGAGGCTGAGGCAGGAGAATTGCTTGAACCTGGGAGGTGGAGGTTGCACTGAGCTGAGATGGTTCCATTGCACTCCAGCCTGGGCAACAAGAGTGAAACTCTGTCTCAACAATAATAATAATAATAATAATAATAATAATAATAATAATAATTCCTTGAAAGACTCATGCACCTTCAAAGCACTGAAGGACATGCAGTTCATACTGGCTGGTGAGTGCCATTTGCAGGCAGTTGTGTTTTTTCCCAATAAAATAGTTATCTATTTTAAACAGAAAAATCCTTGGGTAAGATATTGAAATTCATAAAAGTGGGTAGGATTATTGCATATTTTCCTAAGCAAATAAAAACTATAAGTTATGTTTATATGATATACAGTGTATCATACTGACTTTATAAAATTTAAATTTTATGTTTATTTGACAATAAAATTACTGAACTAAAGTCTAAAAGTTTAGAAATAACAGAAAAACAGTGGGAAATAAAAGCCACCTGTGATCCTGCTACACACAAATGCTGTTACCATTTTGATGTATGAATCCATTTGTAATGTGTATATTTGCTTACATTTGTGTAGATTTTTGTGTACATATATTTGCATATATTTATGTACATTTGTGTATATCTGTGGGTATTTATGTTCCTATAGTTCAGATTACAATGAATTCTGACTTTTGGCATATAGCAGGGGAAATTATGTTATCAACATTTTAAAAAACATTTTTAATTGCAGCAAAATATTGTACTGAATGTACACATCACAATTTATGTAACCAATCATTTATATTTGAACATGCAATTTTTTACTCTAAAATTGCTGTGGATATTTGTATGCATAATTTCTAAATATGACTTATTTGCCTAGGTAAACCCTAAATATGGATGTAGTCTAAGAGTGTAAGCTTTTAGGCTTTAACCCATGTTGACTAGCACTCCCAGAAGAGCTGCAATATGTAAGACGGTGTCATTAACCTAGAAAACAGAATGCCTGTGTCATGTCTGCCAACATTCAACTTAGTTAAAATCCCCAAATATATGCTAAAATAACTCCAACTATTTTATTAAAAGTCCATCAGTGAAAACTTAAAAGACTAGAAAGACACATCATTTGATGTGTTATAGTATGCCCTACTCTGGGAGATTGAGCAAGGAAAAGAAGAAAGAGCCCTCTACATTTATGGGACTCTAGAATTATCTTAATGCACTCCACGGTTGGGCCATTTGAAGAAACAGCTAATTATCTTTCATGTGCCCACTGTGCACATTCCCCAGATACCTGGCAAGATTGCAAAGCACCAGAGCCAAGAGTGAGTCACTGGAATTTAAAGGAGATGAGAACATTTGCAGAAAGATTCACAGTGACTCTTAGTGATGAGTAAACTCAGATAGCTCAGTAATGTAGTTCAGTTTAGAATAGTCTTGCCAAATTCAGTTGATGTCTGAAGCTTTTCACATGTCACTAGCGAGCTTTGTGTTTCTGTTTTATATTGCAAAGAAAACAATGCAAAAATTAAAATAAGTGCTGGAGTAAATGGCCGCGAAACTTGCAATGTCATGAAGATAATATATTGTTCTGTAAGGTCCCAGTTTATTTGATAAAAAATAATCAATCAACCAATAAGCACTGATGAGGCAAATCTTTGTTCTGTGTGATGCTGGAAATCAAGAAGTGTGAGACAGAAATCTAACATTTAAAGAGGGGTCAACTGATTCCACTATTGTTATTGTAGTTGAGAAGGGTTTCTGGAAGGATCCCACATTGTCACACATGGCATTGCATCTTTCCAGTTGTATCCATGTTCAGTCTTCTTCTGAGCCTAATGAACTGCTAAAGGTGATGCTTCCTTTCTCAGCCAGATTTCCCATTCTGGTTCATCTTGAACATGTGTGTGTCTGAAAGAGAGTGTGTATGTACGGTGTGTATATGCCTTATGTATGTGTATGTGGGTGTAAGAGTGTGTGTGTTTGCGAGAATGTGTGTGTATTTTATGTGGTGTGGTCAGTGTGGGTATGAGTGTTAGAAACTGTGTATGAGAATGTTCATGTTAGTGTGTATGTGTGAATGTTTATAGTATGTGGATGTAAGTCTGAATGTGGATGGGTGGGTGTGAGTGTGTTTTTGAGTGTGTGTGCACATACATAATACAAACTCCCCCTTGGCCTGCAGAGACCAAGTGCCAACCTCACTTGTCTTTCATTTTAAATGCTTAAAGCATTAAGTTCATATTTTGACATATCTATCTTCATTCCTTCTTTATGGGAGGATCTTTCTGGATCATCTTTAAAACATGGTCATTTTGGAAACAGGGAGATTGTTTTCATCTCACCTCACACATCATTGTACAAATACTTGTATACATTGGTTCCATTATAAAGAAGTAGGTTGAGGGAGCAACCATCTAAGCTCTTTACTAATTATATTCTAAATCAGTGTGCTCATTGTCTGGTTTCCAAAGCAACGGCTTTAACATCCCCTGGAAACTTGATAGAAATTCAAATTATTTGGCCCACACCAGACCCACTGGAACAGAAACTCTGTAAGAATGCATGAAAATGTGTTTCTTCAGTGATCACTTGAAAGATACATGGAGTCTCCAGGTTTCGCTGATTATGAATTAGCCTGCTGTTCACGTTTTAGGCAGGTCTTCCTATGAATGTCTCTTTTCAACTTTCTTACTTAAATATATGGGAATAGGATTGCCAGATCAGATAGTAAGTGCAGGATTGCTACATCAGATGGTAAGTGCATGTTGAACTTCATAAGATACCTCTGAATGCCCACCAGCAACCTGTAAGAGCTTCAGCTCTTCATCCTTGCCAACCCTTAGTCTGCATTTTTTCATTTGTTTCACTTTTGTTTTTAATTTCCAGAATTCTAGTAGGTGTGCAATTGTTCCACATCTTGGGTTTAATTAGCATTTTCCTAATGATTAATAAACAAAAATTGTGACTACTAATGGTTCAAACCTACCTAAACGCTTGCAATGAGAGATATGAATATGTGCAAAAATGGACATGTGCTAGGAAGGTTAGCTAATTAAGCTTCCATATAATTATTTATCCATTTAAAATGGAACATTTTGAGTATCTGAAACACATTAGTTACTATGTGATCATTAAGATACACAGCAATGACAACAACAAAATGACATGAAATCCACCTTAGAGAATTCTTAATTTAGTGGAGGGTGAAAATGTAAGTTTAATGCCTTACAACATGTTGTATAAATGTTCTACTAGATAGATCTACAGAGAAAGAATTAGAGGACCACAAGGAACCAATAACATATCTCATGATAAAGATTCAGTTAAGGTTTCATAATGCATAATTATGTATATTTATAATTTAATAATATTGAAAATAAAAGAAAATAAAAGCTGGGCATATATATGTGTGTTTCATTATTTGTCATCCTTTACAATGGCATATAACTATTACACACACACTCACACATAGATACAAATTATTTATATTGACACCTATTATTGCAAAATCAGCTCACACTCTATTTTTCTATAACTTACTTTTTATCTTTAAATGTTATGACATTTCTTTCTGGGTCACTATAATTGTGTATGTTTGTAGGTTTACCTAATTGTTTCTTATGGCTTCATGATATTTTATAGTATAGCTGTAATATTGTTATCTAAACATTTTTAAAGTTATTTAGCCAGAAAACATACATTTCTTAAACACTTCCCACGACAGGCATTTTACAAGATCTGGGAACACAAGAATGAATTCCTCTGTGTGTTTTCTACAGAAACCCAGACTACAGTTAAGATGAAGGATATAATATGATTTATAATACAAGGACATAAAGTTTATAACAGAGGAGCTATAAACAAAGAAAAGTGAGGAAGAGAGTAGGAGCTTGAAGAAGAATTCACAAGGAATTTCATAGCAAACATAAAAATTTTGCTTTTTACTTTTTAACACAAACCTGCAATTAAAAAGATTATATATATATATATATATATTTGGGTTGAATGAATCAAGCAGTTGGTTAAGTGAGAGAATTTATTTATTTTTTAAGAAAAGGTAACCAGAAGTAAAATGAATGTTGATAACATTGTAGTTAGGTTTATTCAGGAAGAGATAAGGTTTTGTTAAAGAAGCTGATGGTAAATGAAGTAAAATTTTCTAATGGCTTGCATTTTTACTTTATACAAGTGTTACAAGCATATGAATACAGGTTGATGGATGTATTTCATCATGTTAAAACCTCTCACTGAAATTTTGCAAAAGCAAGACAAATTAAAAATAAAGTCCATGACCAGTGTGGTGGCTTACACCTGTAATCCCAACACTTTGGGAGGCCAAGGCGGGTGGATCACCTGAGGTCAGGAGTTTGAAACCAGCCTGGCCAACATAGTGAAACCCCATCTTTACTAAAAATACAAAAAAATTAGCTGGGTCTGGTGGCGGGCACCTGTAGACCCAGCTACTCGGGAGGCTGAGACATGAGAATCGCCTGAACCCAGGAGATGGATGTTGCAATAAGTCGAGATCACTCCACTGCACTCCAGCCTGGGGGCCAGAGCAAGACTCCATCTCAAAATAAATAAATAAATAAATAAATAAAAATAAAAAATAAATAAAGTCCATAGTGTCTCCCATTACCCAGAACAATTACATTATATGGCCATGCTGTGTCGACCTGACAGAATGTTCCATGTGGGAAATGTTCTAGTGGGACATTTGTTTACATGTTTCTGATTTCCAATACTCACAATAATATCACTTTCTGTCTGAGGTGAAATTTCCTGTCTAGTTTTCAAGTTTTGCCTTGCTATATTTTGTACTACTAAATTTTTATTGAGAAAAACGTTGTGTTTGTTCCTTATCCTCCCTTGGCATTAAAATACTGAATGGAAATGGGGAATACAATTATATTTTAGCAGTGGAAGGGATGACTCTAGAAAATATTTCCTAACTAGGGTGACAAATAGTAACTGGTGTAGCAGAAATTGCTTCTGTGTATTAAAGACTTATTCATATTAGAAACATCACTTTTCAAGTGTCTATGGATACTCTTTTCCACCAAACTGTGCCAGATAGTCTCGTACTTTTAAACATACATATGCATAACATTTGCTCAGATGCAAGTTTGATAAGAATCACTTAGCAAGCAGTCTGTAAAAGCAATTTAGAAAGAACCAATATGTTACTGTTTGGGCGCATAACTCTGTTGGTCTGGTTTAATTTTAGAGTGTATTTTAGTATAATGGATATGTCACATATTCCTGAGTACAACCTCCATTGAAAATGCCTTGTATTTAGTTGATAATGGGGAGTAACATATTAAGACTGACTTCCTAGGTCAAAACTTGGAATACAGCTACACTCTGCTGCTTATTAAAAGTTACATCATATACCTTAATCAGTATTAAAAATTAGAATTCCTTTTAACATGAGGTAGCTGAGAAGCATAACAAGAACATGTCACCAGAAGCCTTCCATCAACCTCGGTATGGATTTGAGTCCATGAATCCTGGAGAGCAGGACCAGAGTGATGACACATTTCATCAGAAGCACTGACACACAGATGCAGTCACACACATTCACTTCCAACATCCTGGCTAGAATCTTTAGCCTAGAAAATTTCATCCGATTGAATGAAATGCCTACTTAAAAAAATAACTTTGAAAAACACTACTTCAAGATATGCTATACGAAACCATCTTAATGATTAAATGACCTACTTTTTAGACAAATTACTTAGAATGCATTGTATGTTCGGGCCACAGATGGAAGGCAGATGGAGAAATCAATCAGGAAGGAAACATAAAAATGGAGACAATAGTTCCAGATAGTGTTGATTTTGATAGGACAGAATAACCTAAGGGTGAAATGATAGTGGTGAGTATGAGGTCCAGCATACCTAGGTGAGGTCATCAAGGATGGGCTCCTCTGAGCAGGAGATATTACAATGAGGAGGAGCCAGCTGCATACAGATTTTCAGGAAGAATTTCCATGGGTTATACAGGGACCTAGTCCTTTAAGGTGCTGTAAGTGAAGGGTGAGAATTTTATATGTTTCATGCCTTTAGCACTGTAGGGTGAATTGGAGGGCTCAAAAATAGGACTGGGGATCATTTAGGAAGCTTCTTCAGGAATGGGGATGGAGTGAATCATATGCTTCCATTTGCACTGCAGGGACCAGCAGGTAAGAATGAGTGGCAGGCGACTGAGTGGGCAGGAGGAGCGGCTGTAGATTGGGAGTTGAGCAGTGGGTGGATAAACGTTCTACTCACATATATAGGTACACAGAGCATTTTTTATATAAAGGAAAGGGATCAATAGTTGTAAAAGAAAGGGATCAATAGTTGTATTTTTATTCTGGGTTTGAGACACTTATGAAAACTTCTAGTAGCATTGTCAGGTCAGCAGTCTTGGTAATCTTGAATAAAGATCAGGAAAGAGAGCAGGACTTGAGCTGCCTGCAGTGCTCTGGGCTTTGGGGGTCAGGATGACAGAAAACAATGACAAAAGGAGATGAGAAGGAACACCAAATGAGGTAGGAACACCAGTCACATGTGGTGCCCTCCACGCCGAGAGGACTCAGTGCTTCAGGAATGATGGCAATGCCAACCATAGGGAGGATGCCAGGAGTGACAGTGGCAGAGCCCTGGCCACCTGGAGGACAGCAGTGTTAGGAGAAAAGGGGGAGCCTCATTGGAATGGATTGAGGGATTGAGGAGACTCTTCATCGAGTGCTAGTGGAGACAATGACTATAGACACATTTTAAAATAAGTCTTGAAACAGATAAATATGAAAAATCTATATACAAATATATATAGCTAGATGGAATTATAGACTCAGTTTTATTTGCTTGCTTCTTTGCAGAGGAAATAGCTCTGTATTTTTGATATTTTAATATTTACTTTTAGACTAATTCATACATAACTATTTATTATTCAAAAAAAATTGATGTGAAACTAATGAAGTAACTCCTGGTTGCAGATCATAGTCAAAGAAGAAGCCTACTAATGTGAATTTTGGGCCCTTTTGTAGACTTACTCAAGATGAAACTCTAGGGATGAAGCCTGACTGCATTTACTGTCTTACAGAAAAAGTCATGGCAGTTGGGGCGGTGTTGAGAAACTCATGCTGACATACTCTGCTTCAGGGATTAATAACACAAACTGAAATATTTTTCTCACCCGACAAAGTTTAGGGAAAGCAGAACTGATTGTTCCAAAATAACAAATTTCCTTATTGTCAAAAGCACTTTTTATTTTTATGTTCATCTATTTTAGAAAGTAGCAGTTTACATATTTAAATAATTTAAAATTAGATATATATTTTTGAATAATTAGATATCTATGAATAATAAAATTCAAATACATTTAAAGGGGAAATAATATAGCATATTCAAATTCTAATAAAAATATATAGATGACTTGAACTATCTTTGTATCATGTACCCTAGAACTTAAAGTATAATAATAATAAAAAAAAAAAGAATGTTAGGTGGAAACTTGTAGAAATATAGCTAAATATAGATAAATGATTTTGTTAAACTTATTAAGGCACTTTGGAAAGAAAATTAGAAAAATAAAATGCCTATACTTAATGTTATTTTGTATGAGGATAAGGAAATATTTCAACTAAAGAGTATCCAATTTGTGTGTGTGTGTGTGTTTTGTGTGTGTTTGTATGTGTGTGAACATGCTTTCAAGTTACTTGGATAAATGCTTAAAAGTGGGAATGCTTGGCCAGGTGTGGTGGCTCATGCCTGTAATCCCAGCACTTTGGGAGGCCGAGGCGGGTGGATCACCTGAGGTCAGGAGTTCGCGACCAGCCTGACTAACATGGTGAAACCCCGTCTGTACTAAATACAAAAAAATTAGCCAGGCGTGGTGGCGCATGCCTTTAATCCAAGCTACTTGGGAGGCTGAGACAGGAGAATCGCTGGTACCTGGGAGGGGGAGGTTGCAGTGAGCCAAGATCACGCCATTGCACTCCAGCCTGGGCAACAAAAGTGAAACTCAGTCTAAAAACAAAAACAAAAACACAAAAACAAACAAACAAACAAACAAAACAAAGTGGGAATTCTAGGTTGAAAGGTAAGGCAGGCTTACTTATCTAAAAAACTGCCAAACTGTCATCCAGAGTGGCTATGTCGTATTGCAACCAATTGTCAATGTGTGAGGATTCCTGTGCCTGCCGATCCTCACCAGCCATTGATATTGTAAGAGTTTTGTTTAATTTTAGATATTCTAAAAATTATGTAGTGGCCTTTCAATGTAGTTTAAATTTAGATTTATTTATATTATTATTTGCCATTAATATGTCTTCTATGGTTAAGTGTCTGTTAAAAGTCTTGTGATGATTTTTTGTTCTTTTTTTTTCTTGTTGAGTTTTAAGATTTTTTTATACATTCTGGATATAAATTCTTTATCACATATATGATTTGCAAATATTTTCTCTCACTATATGGCTGTCTTCTTATTCTCTTAACAATGTGTTTCACAGAGCAAAAGTTTACATTTTAATTAAGTCCAATTTTTAATTTTTTTTTTACCATATATCCTGTTGATGTTGTATTTAAAACCAAAGGCAGGAGTGTTTGAATGTGACAAGGATACAGGGAACTTTGAAAGTGATAAAATTCTTCTGCATGATACTTGGGTGGTAGATACATGACTCTACGCATTTGTCAAGAGTCATCTAGTAAATTTGAAAACAGGTCATTTAAGAAAAATCAACCAGGACATCAGGGAATGTCAGAATGGAACGCAGACTGTGAAAAATGAATCAAACTATATTATAAATGTATAACAAACTTCACTGAAGGTGGTAAGGGAAAAATTGGAGCTGACTTGAGAAACATCAGAAAAATAACTGTTTTGACTGGTAACTGTAAAGTAAGCTAAAGACAAAAGAATTATAGAATTAAAGAATTAATCACTGTACCTTATTTGGAAAACTTGTTTTTTACAGAAATGGAGGTTAGAAATTTTGAAACCACTTTACAAATACACTAGGGTTTGACAAATAAGTAATAAAATATAAGTAATGGGTTACTCTAAAGAGTGACTTTGGAGTAGATAAACCTTGCAGATGCCACCTTGACCAAATTGATTCAGCATTTTTTCTGTCAGAGGAATAAGCCAGGAGGGATGGTGGGGATTGACTTTGAAGCTCATAGTTCTGGATTACATCTGGAGGTATTATGAATTTATTTAATTCAATAACAGATACAGACAGATACATAAATTATATGAGATGCAGGTTAGGATACATGCATGTATTGCCTAGCTGTGCACATGCATGGGATCTAGAAGCACTGTAATTCCAGTAACCATAAACACACTGCATGTGCCATGCCTCAGTTTCTAAATATTACTCTCTAATGAAATGAACCAGGATTTCCTGGAAAAATGGCTGATTCTCTACTTGAGACAGGGAAAATAGAGGATAAGCATAATGCATATTATAATGCTAGAAAGTAGAATACTGGCAAAAATAGAAGTTAAATAAAGATCAGGTTATATCAGAAGGACATGGGACCCAATCTGAAAGAACTCACAACAGCCAAAGTTTGTACAATTTGAGCAAAAATATGCGTAACATAGCGTGTGTGTGTATACATAGATATATATCCTATATAAGGTATATGTATATATCTATAGACACTATATTAAATATAAAATAAACATACATGAATATGAATTCATACTGGTATAAAAATGATTATGAATATAAATATATGGCACAGGGGGATCTTCCTTGCAGAGGAATTCAGAATAATATATGTTGATATACCTCCTTTCAAGAAGTGGAGCTTAATATCACTACTTTTGAGTGTAGGTTGGACTTAGAGACTCACTTTCAAAGAATAAAGTACATAAAGTGAGAAATAGTAACTTTATTTTTTATTTGTTTATTAATTTTTTTATTACTTTAACTTCTAGGGTACATGTGCACAACGTGCAGGTTTGTTACATATGTATACATATGCCATGTTGGTGTGCTGCACCCATTAACTCATCATTTACATTACATATATCTCCTAATGATTTCCCTCCCCCCAACCCAGAACAGGCCCCAGTGTGTGATGTTCCCCTTCCTGTGTCCAAGTGTTCTCATTGTTCAATTCCCACCTATGAGTGAGAACATGCGGTGTTTGGTTTTTTGTTCTTGTGATAGTTGGCTGAGAATGATGGTTTGCAGCTTCATCCATGTCCATACAAAGGACATGAACTCATCATTTTTATGGATGCATAGTATTCCATGGTCTATATGTGCCACATTTTCTTAATCCAGTCTATCATTGATGCACATTTGGGTTGGTTCCAATCTTTGCTATTGTGAATAGTGCTGCAATAAACATACGTGTGCATGTGCCTTGATAGCAGCATGATTTATAATCCTTTGGGTATATACCCAGTAATGGGATGGCTGGGTGAAATGGTATTTCTAGTTCTAGATCCCTGAGGAATCGCCACACCAACTTCCACAATGGTTGAATTAGTTTACAGTCCCACCAACAGTGTAAAAGCGTCCCTATTTCTCCACATCCTCTCCAGCACCTGTAGTTTCCTGACTCTTTATGATCACCATTCTAACTGGTGTGAGATGGTATCTCATTGGAGATTTGATTTCTCTGATGCCAGTGATGATGAGCATTTTTTCATGTGTCTGTTGGCTGCATAAATGTCTTCTTTTGAGAAGTGTCTGTTCATATCCTTCACCCACTTTTTGATGGGGTTGTTTGTTTTTTTCTCGTAAATTTGTTTGAGTTCTTTGTAGATTCTGGATATTAGCACTTTGCAAGATGAGTAGATTGCAAAAATTTTCTCCCATTCTGTAGGTTGCCTGTTCACCCTGATGGCAGTTTCTTTTGCTGTGCAGAAGCTCTTTAGTTTGATTAGATCCCATTTGTCAATTTTGGCTTTTGTTGCCATTGCTTTTGTTGTTTTAGACATGAAGTCCTTGCCCATGCCTATGTCCTGAATAGTATTGGCTAGGTTTTCTTCTAGGGTTTTTATGGTTTCAGGTCTAACATTTAAGTCTTCAATCCATCTTGAATTAATTTTTGTATAAGGTGTAAGGAAGGGATCCAGTTTCAGCTTTCTTCATATGGCTAGCCAGTTTTCCCAGCACCATTTGTTAAATAGGGAATCCTTTCCCCATTTCTTGTTTTTGTCAGGGTTGTCAAAGATCAGATGGTTGTAGATGTGTGGCATTATTTCTGAGGGCTCTGTTCTGTTCCATTGGTCTATATCTCTGTTTTGGTACCAGTACCATTGCTGTTTTGGTCACTGTAGCCTTGCAGTATAGTTTGAAGTCAGGTATCGTGATGCTTCCAGCTTTGTTCTTTTGGCTTAGGATTGTCTTGGCAATGCGGGTTCTTTTTTGGTTCCATATGAACTTTAAAGTAGTTTTTTTCCAATTCTGTGAAGAAAGTCATTGGTAGCTTGATGGGGATGGCATTGAATCTATAAATTACCTTGGGCAGTATGGCCATTTTCACGATATTGATTTTTCCTATCCATGACCATGGAATGTTCTTCCGTTTGTTTGTATCCTCTTTTTTTCATTAAGCAGTGGTTTGTAGTTCTCCTTGAAGAGGTCCTTCACATCCCTTGTAAGTTGGATTCCTAGGTATTTTATTCTCTTTGAAGCAATTGTGAAGGGGTGTTCACTCAGGATTTGGTTCTCTGTTTGTCTGTTATTGGTGTATAAGAATGCTTGTTATTTTTGCACATTGATTTTGTATCCTGAGACTTTGCTGAATTTGCTTATCAGCTTAAGGAGATTTTGGGCTGAGACGGTGGGGTTTTCTAAATATACAATCATGTCATCTGCAAACAGGGACAATTTGACTACCTCTTTTCCTAATTGAATACCCTTTATTTCTTTCTCCTTCCTGATTGCCCTGGCCAGAACTTCCAACACTATGTTGAATAGGAGTGGTGAGAGAGGGCATCCCTGTCTTGTGCCAGTTTTCAAAGGGAATGCTTCCAGTTTTTGCCCTTTCAGTATGATATTGGCTGTGGGTTTGTCATAAATAGCTCTTATTATTTTGAGATACGTCCCATTAATACCTAATTTATTGAGAGTTTTTAGCATGAAGGGTTGTTGAATTTTGTCAAAGGCCTTTTCTGCATCTGTTAAGATAATCATGTGGTTTTTGTCTTTGGTTCTGTTTATATGATGGATTACATTTATTGATTTGTGTATGTTGAACCAGCCTGTATGTTGAACCAGACTTGCATCCCAGGGATGAAGCCCACTTGATCATGGTGGATAACCTTTTTGATGTGCTGCTGGATTCGGTTTGTCAGTATTTTATTGAGGATTTTTGCATCGATGTTCATCAGGGATGTTGGTCTAAAATTCTCTTTTTTGTTGTGTCTCTGCCAGGCTTTGGTATCAGGATGATGCTGGCCTCATAAAATGAGTTAGGGAGGATTCCCTCTTTTTCTATTGATTGGGATAGTTTCAGAAGGAATGGTACCAGCTCCTCCTTGTTATCTCTGGTAGAATTCGGCTGTGAATCTGCCTGGTCCTGGACTTTTTATGGTTGGTAGACTATTAATTATTTCCTCAATTTCAGAGCCTGTTATTGGTCTATTCAGGGATTCAACTTCTTCCTGGCTTAGTCTTGGGATGGTGTATGTGTCCAGGAATTTATCCATTTCTTCTAGATTTTCTAGTTTATTTGTGTAGAGGTGTTTATAGTGTTCTCTGATGGTAGTTTGTATTTCTGTGGAATTGGTGGTGATATCCCCTTTATCATTTTTTATTGGGTTTATTTTATTCTTCTTTCATTTATTCTTTATTAGTCTTGCTAGTGGTCTATCAATTTTGTTGATCTTTTCAAAAAACCAGCTCCCGGTTTCACTGATTTTTTTAAAGGCTTTTTTGTGTCTCTATCTTCTTCAGTTCTCTGATCTTAGTCATTCCTTGCCTTCTGCTAGCTTTTGAATGTGTTTCCTCTTGCTTCTCTAGTTCTTTTAATTGTGATGTTAGGGTGTCAATTTTAGATCTTTCCTGCTTTCTCCTGTGGGCATTTAGTGCTGTAAATTTCCCTCTACATACTGGTTTAAATGTGTCCCAGAGATTCTGGTATGTTTTGTCTTTGTTCTCATTGGTTTCAAAGAACATCTTTATTTCTGCCTTCATTTCATTGTGTACCCAGTAGTCATTCATGAGCAGGTTGTTCAGTTTCCATGTAGTTGATTGGTTTTGAGTGAGTTTCTTAATCCTGAGTTCTAGTTTGATTGCACTGTGGTCTGAGGGAGAGCTTGTTGTAATTTCTGTTCTTTTACATTTGCTAAGGAGTGCTTTACTTCCAACTATGTTGTCAATTTTGGAATAAGTGCGATGCAGTGCTGAGAAGAATGTATATTCTGTTGATTTGGGGTGGAGAGTTCCATAGATATCTATTAGGTCAGCTTGGTGCCGAGCTGAGTTCAATTCCTGGATATCCTTGTTAACTTTCTGTCTCATTGATCTGTCTAATGTTGACAGTGGGGTGTTAAAGTCTCCCATTATTATTGTGTGGGAGTCTAAGTCTCTTTGTAGGTCTCTAAGGACTTGCTTTATGAAACTGGGTGCTCCTGTATTGGGTGCATATATATTTAAGATAACTCTTCTTGTCGAATTTCTCCCTTTACCATTATGTAATGGCCTTCTTTGTCTCTTTTGATCTTTGTTGGTTTAAAGTCTGTTTTATCAGAGACTGGGATTGCAAACCCCTGCCATTTTTTGTTTTCCATTTGCTTGGTAGATCTTCCTCCATCTCTTTATTTTGAGCCTATGTGTGTCTCTGCACATGAGATGGGTCTCCTGAATACAGCACACTGATGGGTCTTGACTCTTTATCCAATTTGCCAGTCTGTGTCTTTTAATTGTAGCATTTAGCCCATTTACATTTAAGGTTAATATTGTTATGTGTGAATTTGATCCTGTCATTATATGTTATCTGGTTATTTTGCTTGTTAATTGATGCAGTTTCTTCCTAGCATCAATGGTCTTTACAATTTGGAATGGTTTTGCAGTGGCTGGTACCGGTTGTTCCTTTCTATGTTTAGTGCTTCCTTCAGGAGCTCTTTTAGGGCAGGCCTGGTGGTGAGAAAATCTCTCAGCATTTGCTTGTCTGTAAAGGATTTTATTTCTCCTTCACTTATGAAACTTAATTTGACTGGATATGAAATTCTGGGTTGAAAATTATTTTCTTTAAGAATGTTGAATATTGGCCCCCACTCTCTTCTGGCTTGTAGTTTCTGCCGAGAGATCAGCTGTTAGTCTGATGGGTTTCCCTTTGTGAGTAACCAGACTTTTCTCTCTGGCTGCCCTTAACATTTTTTCCTCCATTTCAACTTTGGTGAATCTGCCAATTATGTGTCTTGGAGTTGCTCTTCTCGAGGAGTATCTTTGTGGTGTTCTCTGTATTTCCTGAATTTGAATGTTGGCCTGCCTTGCTAGGTTGGGGAAGTTCTCCTGGATAATATCATGAGGAGTGTTTTCCAACTTGGTTCTATTCTCCCCGTCACTTTCAGGTACACCAATCAGACGTAGATTTGGTCTTTTCACATAGTACCATATTTCTTGGAGGCCTTGTTCGTTTCTTTTTACTCTTTTTTCTCTAAACTTCTCTTCTCACTTCATTTTATTCATTCGATCTTCAATCACTGATACCCTTTCTTCCACTTGATCGAATTGGCTACTGAAGCTTGTGCATGCATCAAATAGTTCTTGTGCCACGGTTTTCAGCTCCATCAGGTCATTTAAGGACTTCTCTACACTGGTTATTCTAGTTAGCCATTTGTCTATTCTTTTTTCAAGGTTTTTAGCTTCTTTGCATTGGGTTCAAACTTCCTCCGTTAGCTCAGAGAAGTTTGATTGTCTGAAGTATTCTCTCAACTCGTCAGCATCATTCTCTCTCCAGTTTTGTTCCACTGCTGGCGAGGAGCTGTGTTCCTTTGGAGGGGGAGAGGTACTCTGATTTTTAGAATTTTCAGCTTTTCTGCTCTGTTTTTTCCCCATCTTTGTGGTTTTATTTACCTTTGGTCTTTGATGATGGTGATGTACAGATGGGGGTTTTGGTGCGGATGTCCTTTCTGTTTGTTAGTTTTCCTTCTACCAGTCAGGACCCTCAGCTGCAGGTCTGCTGGAGTTTGCTGGAGGTCCACTCCAGACCCTGTTTGCCTGGGTATCAGCAGCGGAGGCTGCAGAACAGCGAATATTGCTGAACAGCAAATGTTGCTGCCAGATCGTTCCTCTGGAAGCTTCGTCTCAGATGGGTACCCAGCTGTATGAGGTGTCAGTCTGCCCCCTACTGGGGGGTGCCTCCCAGTTAGGCTACTCGGGAGTCAGGGACCCACTTGAGGAGGCAGTCTGTCTGTTCTCAGATATCGAACTCCTGCTGGGAGAACCACTACTCTCTTTGAAGCTGTCAGACATGAACATTTAAGTCTGCAGAGGTTTTTGCTGCCTTTTGTTAGGCTATGCCCTGCCTCCAGAGGTGGAGTCTACAGAGGCATGCAGGCCTCCTTGAGCTGAGGTGGGCTCCACCCAGTTTGAGCTTCCAGGCTGCTTTATTTACCTACTCAAGCCTCAGCAATGGTGGGCACCCCTCCCCCAGCCTCGCTGCTGCCTTGCACTTTGATGTCAGACTGCTGTGCTACCAGTAGGGGCAGACTGACACCTCATACAGCCCGGTACCCCTCTGTGGGTGTGGGACCCCCCAAGCCAGGCATGGGATATAATCTCCTGGTGTGCCGTTTGCTAAGACCCTTGGAAAAGTGCAGTATTAGGGTGGGAGTGACCCAATTTTCCAGGTACTGTCTGTCACCGCTTCCCTTGGCTAGGAAAGGGAATTCCCTGACCCCTTGCACTTCCTGGGTAAGGCGATGCCTCACCCTGCTTCGGCTCACACTCGGTGGGCTACATCCACTGTCCTACCCCCACTGTCCAACGTGCCCCAGTGAGATGAACCGGGTACCTCAGTTGGAAGTGCAGAAATCACCTGTCTTAGTAACTTTAGAATAGAGAAACCCAGCAGACGCCACTGTAACCAAGAGGGCAAGGTATATGTTACCAGAAATAAGTCCTGTCGTTCCTCAAATAATGAAATAAGAAAGATGCTCATCTCTGTGATATTCTTCACAAAAATCTTTAAACCTAGTCTAACCATGGGGAAGCATTGAACTAACCAAAATTGCAACCATCTATAAATCACCTGGCCTATACTGATCACAACTATCAAGGTCATAGAAAACAAAACACCTGAACAAAATGCCATCGATTGGAAGTGACCAAGAAAACATGATGACTAAATGAAATGTGGCGTGTTGGATGAAATCTTGCAGTGAAAGAAGACATTAGTGGAAAAAAGGTAAAGTCTGAATATAAAGCCTATAGTTCAGTTCATGGCAATGTGGCAATGTTAACCTGTTAATGGTTATGTAATTTGTTACACTTAGAATAAAATGGGTGTAGGTTATAGAGTAATTCTGTGTACTATACTTACAACTTTTTTCTATGAAATTATTTCAAAGTAAAAATTCAATTGAAATAATTTTAAAATAGCTTGTGAAAGAATTAGATTTTTCTTTTACTTGAGATCAATTAATAGAGACCAAATTTGCCACCATGCTTGAAACAAAGTTGTAGTGCTGCTGCATTTGAAAGCTCAAAATAAAACTACCTTGATTACAGGCAGTATGGTCCTGTTGTAAAAATACACAGAGAGATCATAAGAAAAGGATAGAGAGTACAAAATTAGACCCAGGTTCACATGATCAGTTGGTTTTCATCTAAGTTGCAAAGGCAATTCATTAAGAAAAGGATTATCTAAAAACAACTGGTAGTAGAACAATTTGATATCCACAGTAAACAAAAATAATCTCAATCAACAATTCAAAAATTAGCTAAAAGTGTATTAGAGAACTAATGTAAAAGTTAAAACCACAACAGTTATAGAAAAAAAAATGGAAGAAAATATTTGTGACCTTTGGCTAGGCAAAAAATTTTAAGTTATGACACTACAGAATTAAATAAGAGATAAAATATTCTATAATGTTTAGAAATTCCCAAATATTTGTAAATTAAGCTATGCACAGGAAACCACAAAATAAATGAGAAATTATAGATAATTTAAAGATAATAAACATTTGTAAGATGAAGCTTAGAGGGAAATGTATAGCCTTAATTTTTTATATTAGAAAGAATAAAAGGTTTATGATAAAAACATCACCTTTCACTCTATAGGGCCATCTGAAGAAAGATTTAATGTAATTCAAGGTAAGTTGAAGAAAACAAATAATAAAGGTAACAGAAAACAAACATAAGATAGAAATAATAAAGACAAAAGTTGTTTGAAATGATGAATAAAACAAATACATCTCTAGTTAGAATTGTAAAAGAAAATAAACAGAAAAATCACAATTTGTCAGAGCAACACCATGAATACTACATATATAGAAGTGTAAAAAGGAAAAAAAATAAACACTATTCAGTAAAGAAAAAAAGGGCAAATGAAATGAAATGAAAACTTTTATTGAAAAATAGAATCTGCTAAGACTAATACAAAAAGAGGAAATCTGAATAGCCTTATTTTGTTTAAATAAATGAAATTGAGACTTAAGACTTCATCCTTTGCCCCTATACACAAAACACCCCCAGGTACAGTTGGCTTCATTAGTCAACTCTACTAAAACTCAGGAAACAATTATACAAAACTTACACAAACTCTTTCAAAAAATACAAGGAGAGGAAACATTCCCAATTTGTTGTACGAAATCAGTATGGCCCTGAATCCAGTATTGTCAAGTGCTATAGCAGAATGAAAATGTATTAAAATTACGGATCTATAACGCTTATGATCACGGATGCTAAAATCTTTTATGAAATATTGTCAGATCTCATTGAGCAATACATAAAAGGATAACACATGTTGGCCACATAGATTTAGTCTAGAAATCTAAGATTACTTCAAAATACAAAAATCAATATATGCACTGATCAATATATGGCTGATATATATAATGTGAATCTGTATGTATATATAGTTATATATGTATTACTGTATACAGTTTAATATATAACCTAAAATATAGGTTGGGATATGTGCATGTATTTCCTAGTTGTGCCCATGGACAAAATGTATCAAGAATAATAAAAATCATTGCTAAAAAGACAAATCAGCCCATTAAAAATGGGCAAGTGTTCTGATCAAGGACCCAGGCATGCCACTAAAGAAGATGTACAAATTGTGAATAAGTACATGAAAAGGCGCTGACATCATTATTAATCAAGTAAGTGGAAATTAAACCATCTTGGGCTACCACGTCACACCCACTAGAATAACTAAAAGGAGAAAGACTGGCAATACCAAGTGTTGTTAAGGATGTTGAGCAACTGAACTCACAAGCACTGTGTGAAATGTAAAATGGTACAGTGCTTCCATTTCCAAGAGGAATAAAATCAAGTGTTCATAGCAGTTTTTCATATCTAAATTGAAACTGCACAAAATTCTCATGATCAAATGAATAGATAAGCAAATGGTTTTATATTTATGCAATGATTGCTACTCAGCAATACAAAGAATGGAATACTGATAGATGCAAAAACAGAGCTGAATCTCAAACAAGGAAGACTAGACAAAAATAGATATCAATATCTATAGATGTATGGACACTTCCATATGTCTGAATATAGATATTTAGATGCATAGCTGTGGTAGTATTTCATTTGTTTGCTTTCTAGGTAAATTAATCTATGATGATGAAAATCAGAAGAGTGACTGTGCCTGAGTGCTATAGAAATGTTCTGTATCTTGATCAGAGGAGTAGTTACAAAGCTATATAGGTTTGCTAAAACTCATCAAACTGTGTCTTTCATATATGAGTATTTTATTTTGTTTAAATTGTCCCCCCAATAAACACTTATATTTAATGATTACTTGATAATTCTTTAAGGTAAATCTGATTATAAAAATACATATTAGTATACACAAAATACATATTATTCAACACACAATTAAAAACTTATTCTTCGCATAATTATTATTGTCTTATCAAAAAAGGAAGGTTAAATAGAGCAGCAAAAGCCTTTAAGAAAATTTTAAATTATGGAATTTCCCCGAGCTTGCAGATAAGGTATTATTGGATGACAAAATAAAATGTGATATTTAGGACTTTTCATTATAAATCATTAAAACGGAGGTAAAATTCAAGAATTCAGCCAAGGAAACAAAACAATGTGCAGCTTCTTGAGATTGCTACTGGTGCTTTGTTTACAGCACTGAGACCTTTCCTGTCTTGCACATTCATAGAAATGAAAATAAAGAAATCCATAGAATCGAGAATGTTATAAAAGTAGTTACCAAACCTAGATGGAAGTTAACTTTTTCAAAAATTTCTAAAGAAATGTTCATTGACAGATAAAAGCAATAAGTGGTTGTTAGTTTTGGATAAGTTAAATGTATATTTTCTTTTCCCAGGGCATTCCTGGCTTATGTCAACTGTCCTGGCAAATTGTAAATACCTCTTCCTATCACTCTCCCAAGTGACATTGTTTGGGTGGCAAATTCCATGATCATCTTAGTTTGGGAGACCTGGTCCATTTAGACATCAAGATAGGCACTTTTGGTTCATTTCTTCTACTAAGCAGTAAAGGGTTCTCTTCCCATTATCAGGTTCAGATTATGGTAGATCCATGATATCCAAAGCTTTCTTGATATTTTAATGTCACATGGCTGGAATTTTAGAAAATTCTTGAATTTATATGAAATCTATTCATCTTTCACATATGTAGTCTTATTTTTAGCCTGTCTCTTAGGAAATAAAAAACAATTGTACCCATGTGCAAAGTAGCTTCTTGGGTGGGTTCTCAAAACTTTTTAAGTATAGGAAGATGACCATCAGAGAGCACTGGGCAGAGTCCCCAGGGATTGACAATACTCAGTGAATGCTATGCCTATGATCATGGAGCACACACAGGACTTCTATTTAGAATAACAGGGTAATAGTATTAGCTTCAATTTAATAAAAACAATTTTAAATGCAAAATAGGAAGTCAAAGTTTGTTAATTTTCAACTATGCAATTATTGAATACCTACAGACATTTTCCTATTTTTCCACGTTGATTTATGTAGCTGGAGTTCATTGTTTTTTTCTGTTGTAATCAACCTTCCATTGCAGTAATACTGCATAATTTGTTTCTCTATTCCTTATTACATTAACATAACTTTTAATTGATTCAATTTTTTGCTATGATAAAGATGCTTTGGTGAACAGACATTCTGGTAGGCCTTGATGCACATGTGTAAGAGGATTTTTGTTTTTTAAGGGTATATATCTGGTGATAGAATCGCTGAGACCTTGGATATGGACACCTTTAACTTTAATAAATAATACTAGACTATTTTCCACAATTATTTTACAAATTTATGTTCTTACTAGAGTTTACAAACCAGTTGCTCCTCTTAGTCTCAAGCATTTATTGTCTGTGTTTGCTTCTAATTTGATGGTTGAATAACGTGTTGTGAACGGAATGTGCCTTTGCCTGATAACTAGTGGGCGTTGAGTGCTTTTTGATGACCGGCCGTTTGGGTTTTTTCTCTTCTAAAATGCTTGTTCCTGTCTTGGCTCCATGTTTATATTGGATTATTTGACTTTTTTCTTTATTGACTTTTAGAAGATTTTTGACTATTTTAAATATTCCTTTTTTTTCACTTGCAATTTGTTGCAGTTATGTTCTATGAGTTTGTTACTAAACTCTTTAGGTATGCTATAAACCAGTCTTATTTTCTGTCCACTTGAGGCAATACTTTCAAACATCTAGATTTTACGTTTCCTGGTTATACCAAATTTCTGCAGTATAAATTATCTTATTCCTATTATTTGCCTACTGTTGGCTTAGGACAGGTTTAGGCATTAGGCTTCTAAGCAAGTTACTCATCATCCATCTGGTTTTAAACTTCCAAAACATTGTTGTGTCCTCCGCTGTTCTTTGTAATTATTAATTTGTGTTTTTCTAGTCTCTTTACTATAATCTCAATGAGATTTTGGTCAAAGGAAAAAGCAAAATGTGAGTCTTTACTATTTTATCATGTTTATATAGAGAATATTTTCACTATTTGACATGTATATCAAAAAAGGAAATAAAATAGTAGTCATTGTTTTGCAGCTTCAATGAAACTAAAAGCCATACGTGTGTACTTGAGTATTTGACTCTCTCAGCAATTTTATTCAGTACCTGAGCCTAGTGTTTCTATGGAGTGTTCACAGGCATCCTCTCATTCTACCCTTATTCATTTGGTCCCATTGGTCTTACAGGTTCCATTATATATGACAAGGAATCACAGTTCAAAAACCTTAATTATCTTGTTCTGGAGTACCACCAGCAGCAGTTGAAGAAATTAAACCAAGTTCTTCAGAATCCACCTGCAGCTCCCTCTCCTACTGAAAAATATACCCAATTACCTAAGTTGGGCCCTTACCTGGTAGACTTAAACTGGGAGAAATTTTAATTCAGAACAATAAAACAGTAGCAAACTCTGCATGTTTGATATTTATGCAGGACAACATATTGAGTAATGTGTTTGTTGGTTTTTCTAATAAAAGGAGGACATGCTCTTGGGCATTGCACTTAATTTTCTATGCAGTTTGTGTCTCATCTTCTGAGAAAAATTTACTAATCTTTAGGGTTGGAAGAACTATTTCTAGATAATACTCACCTGGAGCCTTATGGAATTGAATTCAATTTCTGACACATAAACGTTGTTACAGCAAATTGACTTTCAATAATATCTGAAATTTTTGTGTTAAAGGGATGATATAAACAATATCTCTTCTAATGGTAACTGGTAACCTTTTGTTGACTTTTGAGATGAATTTGAAAGGGAAAATGCTATTGCTTTGAAACAGTTACCTCTTTCCAAGAAGAAAACCTCTCAGTTTTCTTAAAGGGTCATATGGATTGCTTAAGATTAGTCCTCATCACTTAGAAGCATGGACATTCTTTTGCTTTTCTGTGCTTTCATTTTATATCACAACTAGGATAGTTTCTAGGATTTACATTTCATTGTGAATGAAATGTAAATAAAATAACATAGTGTATTAGTAAATATCCCTGAATAACAAGGCATGTGATTTGTGATCTGAGTCATAATATATTTCTGAAATCTCCCTTAGAAATACTATGCATAGCTAATTATTGCCTTATAATGTATCCTATGGATTTTGAACCTGAAGTCATACTCATACTTGTATCAGCTTATTTGATACTCATAGGGATCTTGCAGAAGCACGGAATAGCTGTAGTACTTTTTTGGGAGCACAGAACTTGGGCATAGAACATAGACTGTAGAGAATATTTTTTGAAGGAGTTTTGAAAACAACTGGACACAAGCCTGGAAGAAGGATAGGAGTCTGAGAAGTGTGGGGAAAGGGGAGTTCAGGCAGACACAGCCACCAATGAGAGGGACCACTGCTGCAAAGAGAGGATTTCATATTTAGAGAATGGCAATGACTTTGGAATAGTAAAATAGAGAAGATGATATTTTAATGTCAAGACTTATAGATAGATCATTAAGGACAGTGAATATTATTCTAAATGATACTGATTGTGTCCTGAAGATGATGATGATCCATGAAAGAACTTATTGTTGAAGAATCACATGATCACATAAGTTGAAATTTTATGTTTCAAAAAGATGACTTCAGCAGCAGCGCATAGAACAAATCAGGGATTTTATATGGAACACTATATGATCAGTTTTTCATGATTATGGAAATCTAAGCAAGGAAAAGTAACAGGATAAGCTAAATGAGGTAGAAAGACTTAAGGAAAGTACACAGTTGGGAAATTATCTGGAGATTTTAGTAGAACTTGACCCATTGATTGTATAGGGCCAAAGTGAAGGAAGAAATCAAATACGAAGTTCAGTTTCATGGCTTGGGGCATAAGAGTTGTGATGACACTATTAATAGATTACATGGAAAGACAGGCATGTTTTCGTAGGGAAAGGCTAACTTTCAGTGTCCATGTGCTGATTCTAGGGACTTTCCAAGAGGACCTGATAGTGTGTGGTGCATGTGTTGTGTGTGGTGTATCTGTTGTGTGTTCTGTATGTGTATCTGGAGTTCAGAGAAATCTCTGGCCTAGAGATAGAATCAGTGATTGGCCCTTGAGTGCATGAGGTAAGTATAGATTTGAAAGCCCTTGTCTAGTGAGGGAAGCATTCCCACAAAAAAGGTATGGAAGAAACAGAAAAGAAAAAGAAAAAGAAAAAAAAAGTCACCCAATCAAAACATCCTGGATAGCAGCAATATTTAAGGGGCAAAAGGAAAGACCACAAATTAGGTTAAGAGATAATTGTCTTTAAAAAAACACAATTCATTCCCTATTTTGCATTAATAAAGCATATAATCTTAGACAAGCATTCAAAATCCTTCACAACCTGGCCGAAACTGCTTTTAGAAGAATGAAAGAGAGGGGAATGATATTTAGGGAAGGAGAAAGAGAAGAGGAAGGAGGAAGAGCAAGAGGGAGAAGAAATGCTGTGTGATTTGTGGTTGAATTGAATTGTACAGCGTCAGGGAAGGTGGAGAGCTTGACTTGACTGCCACTTGCTTGGCAGGACAAAATAAGGAATTGAGATAGAATTAGTCACCCTGGTTCTTGTCAGAGCAGCTCTGTGAATAACCTGAGAGCAGGAAAATAGTGTCACAAAGCCAATGGGAAGTGAGGCTGCCCAGAGTGAACCCTGCGGCCTGCTGGCTATAAGAAAGCACCGGCCGTGCGCGGTGGCTCATGCCTGTAATCCCAGCACTTTGGGAGGTCGAGGCGGGCGTATCACGAGGTCAGGAGATGGAGACCACCCTGGCTAACACGGTGAAACCCCGTCTCTACTAAAAATACAAAAAATTAGCCGGACGTGGAGGCGGGTGCCTGTAGTCCCGGCTACTTGGGAGGCTGAGGCAGGAGAACGGCATGAACCCGGGAGGTGGAGCTTGCAGTGAGCCGAGTTCACGCCACTGCACTCCAGCCTGGGCGACAGCAAGACTCTGTCTCAAAAAAAAAAAAAAAAAAGAAAAAAAAAGAAAGAAAACACCAGTCCCTAGCAGAACTTCATCCTCCATCATGCTTCCCTTCGTTAGCCCGCTGGATCTCCAGTTGAGGTGCTATCTAATCTAGGACATCAGGATAGGAAGGGGTATTTACGTCACATGTGTGAAGCTGAGTCCTCTGTCCTGATTGACATCAGCCTGGCCATTCCTCATGATTATGCAGTGACGTGTTCTGCTCCTGCCATCTGCTCCCACTGCTGTTCCTGGAGGTAAACATGCCCCGGCTATCCCAGCTTCAGAGCATGATCCTCTTACTGCCTCATGGGAGCCTGGACCCAGAAACTTTCTCGCATATTCTATAGCAAGGCACAGCCGAGATCACCATGAAATCCTTAGGAAGCCTTTCTAATGGCTCAGGGCAAACAGAAGGGGATGGCATCTGGTGCCATGTGGCTGCTTCCAGGATTCATGGTTCCAGTCTTTTCCCATAGAGTTGCTAACTACCTGCTTCCATAAGCAACTGGCTAGGTCCCAGTTCACTCTTCAGAAGAGAGGCCTCTCCCTTCACCCTCCAGGGAGGCCCTTTCTGGTCTCTCTGTAGATTCTATCAACTGGGAAGAAAGCAACTCTCCTCAACTCAGCCAGTTATTCCACCGCCCTTTAGTGAGACAGACTCGTTTCACCCACAGAAACTAAATCCCATATTCTCTAGTTTTAAATTTTGAAAACTGTCTTCTCAACCATAACCTATATAACCTATTGATTAGAAGACGACTTTTCTGTGTCGCTTTTACTGTTGCTTCCGAGTATTCCAAAATATAATTTTTCCAAAATTTATGTCTTCCAGTTATAATTCCAAGTTTTTTTTTTTTTAATAAACAAACTAAGTATTACAAATTTCTCTTCAGGAATTTTCTTCTTTTTTCTTTTTTTTTTTTTTTAGACGGAGTCTTGCTCTGGCGCCAGGTGGGAGTGCAGTGGCGAGATCTCGGGTCACTGCAACCTCCACCTCCTGGGTTCAAGTGATTCTCCTGCCACAGCCTCCCAAGTAGCTGGGACTATGGGACTACAGGCGCCCGCCACCACGCCCGGCCAATTTGTGTATTTTAATACACAACAGGATTTCGCCATGTTGGCCAGGATTGTCTCGATCTCCTGACCTCAGGGTCTGCCGCCTCCACCTCCCAAAGTGCTGGGATTACAGGCGTGAGCCACCACACTCGGCCCATGAATTTTTTTAGTAAAATTGATTTGCTTTTATAATAGAAGATTATTTAGACTGTAGTTTAAGATTCTAAATGGAACATGACAAGTTTAAGAATTCAAAAATCTTCATCAATATCACTTGTTGGATCCTACCTTTTCAAGATAATGACTACATCTTTACAATTGCTGCCTTTAGCACTGCAAATTATTGAACTGACAGACTGAAATCTATGGGTTTGATCTACCTCTTGTATTTGCTTTTTCCTCTTATCTCTCTTCCATTTTAATGTTCCCATTGATCTCAGAGACTTTGATAGAAAGACACAATTTCTTTTTTTTTTTTTTTTTTTTTTTTTGCTATCTATCATCATGGGCTTGCTGAATATGCTTAAACTATGGTCAGAAGTAAAAATGAACAGAAAGCTAATTTTTCACAATGCTTGTCTGAATTGGTCAAGGAGAATAGAACATTACTCTGCTGCTATTCAGATGCTTTGCCATGGCTGGTACAGCGTGATGCACAGTTACAAAGAACTTTGCGTATGAACATGTTCTGTTCCAGTATCAAATTCTGAAAGGGGACTGCTTTTTTCCAGAGAACTGGCAATTCTCCATTGACAAGCATGAACAGTGGATAACAAAGCAAACCTTGTTTACTGGTACTTATTCATTTAAAGCTCTATCAGGCAATCTGACTGAAATGATAGTTTTGTTCTGCAAAATCAAAAGATATTTAAAATTAGATAGGTTGTTAAGTAGATAATTTTTAGTGAACACATTTTAAATTACTAGGGGATATTTGGTTGCAACTCTTTTTGTGCATACAACATATTACATGTCATAATATAAATTTCACTTATTTATTTGTCCCTTGTTTTCTTTCCCTGCTACATTCACAGACCCTAGAAGAGCGCAAGGTCCCTAATATGCACTCAAATATGTAGTGAATGTGTAAATAGAAGTAACTCTTCAAAATATGCAACTCTTATGTTAACAGTTGGGAAACTCTTTGGAAAAAATATTATCTCCAACTATGAATTCTACTGTTAAATACTTATTATGCTCCTTGGCTTTATTAAATGGTATGGCTATACAACATCAGAAGATAAAGTTCATTCTTCTGAATATTACTCTAACATTTTGGTCAAAGAATGAGTCATCCCTTATTTATAGGTTTTTAAATTTGCTTTCAGCTTATTTTATGTATGTCATAAATTAAGACAATAGTGACTCTAACTCATAGAAACTATGCTTCCCCCTCCCCAGCAGGAAAAATAATCTTTCATCTCCCACACACACACACAAAAAATGTTGAATTAGGTGTCAGGTGTTTATACTATTTTGGATAGAACAGTGTTGAGTTCTGCTTTGATGAGCTTCACAGGCATAGCTTTGCTTACTGAAAAGAGAGCAATTAGCTTCATATTGCTCGATTTAATTAAGTGAGGTCAATTTAACTTAACATTTAGTCTCCATCCCCAGCCAGAGATTCCCATTCACCTTGCTCCAGCAAGTTGTCAGAGTGAGAAAAGATTAATTTTCTATATCACAGTGCAGTCAGTGACAGAGATGAGGCTTTAGCAAACTGATGTTTGGATGTACAGAAATCATTTTTGCAGGTAGTGATTTATTCAAGCAAGAATCAGGAAAATGTCAAAACGTATCCAAAAATTATTTTGTGTCCTGTATACTGATGTTTGCTGTAGAGTTTGTTCATCCTTGTACTCATCTCCAGATAGAGCTTTTGTATCTGGAAAGAGTACAATTGACTTAATATTGCTTAATTTAAGTGAAGCAATTAAATTTACGTCATCTTCAGCCACGGACACTCATCGACCATGTTCTGCATATTATCTGCTTGAAAATTGCTGCCACTATGGCCATGCCATTTTTATTTTCCTTCTTCAGTGATTTGCAACTATAATTTTCAGATAGTAACAGAAACCCTGGATTGGAAAACCTTAGTGGTTCCTAAAAAGATCGAGATATATGTTGATACATACATTTGTCATATAACCAATGGGCATTACTAGTTGAACCTAAAGTCGCATTGTAACTTAAATGTCATCCAATTATGCTGGAGGCATCACACTACCTGACTTCAAACTATACTACAAGGCTACAGTAACCAAAACAGCATGGTACTGGTACCAAAACAGAGATATAGATCAATGGAACAGACCAGAGCCCTCAGAAATAATGCCGCATATCTACAACTATCTGATCTTTGACAAACCTGAGAAAAACAAGCAATGGGGAAAGGATTCCCTATTTAATAAATGGTGCTGGGAAAACTGGCTAGCCATATGTAGAAAGCTGAAACTGGATCCCTTCCTTACACCTTATACAAAAATCAATTCAAGATGGATTAAAGATTTAAACGTTAGACCTAAAACCATAAAAACCCTAGAAGAAAACCTAGGCATTACCATTCAGGACATAGGCGTGGGCAAGGACTTCATGTCCAAAACACCAAAAGCAATGGCAACAAAAGCCAAAATTGACAAATGGGATCTAATTAAACTAAAGAGCTTCTGCACAGCAAAAGAAACTACCATCAGAGTGAACAGGCAACCTACAACATGGGAGAAAATTTTCGCAACCTACTCATCTGACAAAGGGCTAATATCCAGAATCTACAATGAACTCAAACAAATTTACAAGAAAAAAACAAACAACCCCATCAAAAAGTGGGCGAAGGACATGAACAGACACTTCTCAAAAGAAGACATTTATGCAGCCAAAAAACACATGAAAAAATGCTCATCATCACTGGCCATCAGAGAAATGCAAATCAAAACCACTATGAGATATCATCTCACACCAGTTAGAATGGCAATCATTAAAAAGTCAGGAAACAACAGGTGCTGGAGAGGATGTGGAGAAATAGGAACACTTTTACACTGTTGGTGGGACTGTAAACTAGTTCAACCATTGTGGAAGTCAGTGTGGCGATTCCTCAGGGATCTAGAACTAGAAATACCATTTGACCCAGCCATCCCATTACTGGGTATATACCCAAAGGACTATAAATCATGCTGCTATAAAGACACATGCACACGTATGTTTATTGCGGCATTATTCACAATAGCAGCGACTTGGAACCAACCCAAATGTCCAACATTGATAGACTGGATTAAGAAAATGTGGCAAATATACACCATGGAATACTATGCAGCCATAAAAAATGATGAGTTCATGTCCTTTGTAGGGACATGGATAAAATTGGAAACCATCATTCTCAGTAAACTATCGCAAGAACAAAAAACCAAACACTGCATATTCTCACTCATAGGTGGGAATTGAACAATGCGATCACATGGACACAGGAAGGGGAATATCACACTCTGGGGACTGTGGTGGGGTCGGGGGAGGGGGGAGGGATAGCATTGGGAGATATACCTAATGCTAGATGACACGTTAGTGGGTGCAGCACACCAGCATGGCACATGTATACATATGTAACTAACCTGCACAATGTGCACATGTACCCTAAAACTTAAAGTATAATAATAATAATAAAAAAAGAAAAAAAAAAGATTAAAAATAAAAAAAATAAAATAAAATAAAATAAAAAAAAAAATCTTTGAAATTAGGAAAGCAAAAGAGTCTGTTTCTAAACCAACTTTTCCTATATGTCACTCAGGTATTGAATCTTGTGTATGTAAAACCTTTCATATCACATTCCTTCAAATCACATTGACCTCTCTGGACCGTGATTATATGTAATGGTCCTGATAAGAAAATATATTTGGCCAAGTGCGGTAGCTCATGCCTATAATCCCAGCACTTTGTGAGGCCTTGGCAGGCAGATTGCTTGAGCCCACGAGTTTGAGGCCAGCCTGAGCAACAGAACAAAACCTCATCGCTACGAAAAAAAAAAAAAATACAAAATACAAAAATTGGCCAGACATGGTGGCATGCGCCTGTAGTCCCAGCTATTCAGGAAGCTGAGATGGGAGGATCCTGTCAGCCTGGCAATTCGAGGTTGCAGTGAGTCATGATCACACCAGTGGACCCCAGGCTGGGCAAGTTTGCAAGATTCTATCTCAAAAAAAAAAAAAAAAGGTAAAGAAAAAAAGAAAGAATAAAGTAAATTTGTTTCACTCAAGTATTATTTTGAGAGAGATTTAGAAAGCCATTAATTAGTTTGCATATCATTATGATTTTTTCTAATAATTTAAAAATTACCTTAGATAAGTATTATTTTAAAATACATGATTACTTAATGAAGGAATCTAAATTTTAACTTATAATTTGATGTTATGTGGCTACTTCTTGTGCTTTATTTCTCTTATTGAAATGTAAAAATATAATTTAATTACAATTCCTTTAATTTGTATGATAACACTTAAGCAAGTTAAATCATTAATAATCTTTTTCTAAAATGTTTAATATTTCCCAACTTCCTGAAAAAAATCTACACATCTTTAGGAAGGACCATATTTGTGAAAAATTATAATTCCTGACTATTAATTTTATTGCTACATACTTCATACAAACACAAACCAGTTTACATTGTTAACATAAAGACAATCAAATGTAAATAAGGCCACAAATTGTAGATTTACTATTAAGACCAAGTCATTCCATTCCTTATATTACTGCCATTAAGTAACAATTTGTTTTTTTCTCTAATAGTAAAGGAAAGAAAATATGTACCTCTCATCTGAAGATATGCACACACAAACACATAAACAGAGTATACATTATAAGATGCATTTTTCTTGTTTTACTTTAGTGTGATAGTTGACAAAGACAAAACCTTAACACATCCGTGTGTGTATACATGTATATGCATGTGTATATATATATGTATATATGTATGTTATAAAGCATATTAATACCAAAAGAATCTGTGAATCTATTACCCAATATAAGAAGTGGAGCATGACAACTGTAGTACACATGGTTTTTACTATATTTGTATTTTATTCTATTTTCCTTTAAGAGATAATACGAGTTGGAGTTATATTCAATATTTCCTTTACTTTTTAAGAAACTTTTAAGATTTTAATTAGTCATAATTTCTAGGAAGTTGCAAAGAAATCTACAGAGAGATCCAGTGTACACTTCACCCAACTTCTCCCAAATTTAACATCTTGCATAACTGCAGTACCTGATTATGAAAAGCAGGAAACTGACCTTGGTACAACCCACAGAGTTATTCGGTTACACGTGCACTCGTTTTTATGTATAAGTCATTTTATCATATGTATATTTCTGTGAAACTTCCATCACAACTAAGATATTTAACTTATTAAATAATACGCCAGGCAGAGTGATTGTTTCACATTTTTATATAGATGAGGAGTATTTTAAAACACTTATTTTCTTTCTGTAACTTTTCCATCTTTGTCATTTGTGGTTGATTTCTTTTCCTCAGTGATATTTGTGTTTCAGGGTTTTCAATGAACAATAATTTCAATGAATAATTTCAGTGAATAATAATTTATTTCACAAAAAGACATCATAGGGCACACAGATGGTATGGTTGTATCTATATTAAAAGACTTTGAATAACTGACATCAATAGTGTATTTTTAAAACTCACATGTATACTCATATTTCACACTTAAATTTTCCAGTTAAATTCCTAAGTCAAAAATGAAGTTCGACTTCTGCTTCTGAGAAAACTGGAGTAGGAGCAATTCTGCTTCTTCCTCCCACTTAAATGCAACTTAATATCTTGGACATCACATAGAGAAAAATGTATAAAGACCTAGAAAGGGAGGGAGAAGACAGCCCACTCTTAGGGAGCTCAGAACTGGGAAGGACATGGTGGCAAGAGCCCTGGTATTTCTTATTTGCCTCACATATTCCAGTTGGATAGAAACTTAAAATCCCTCCGTTATTCTAGTTCCTTGTTAAGTAATACATTGATTAACCTACCATTTTTAGATTTTTATTTACTTCATTAGCTGTAGTGAACTCTTCTTTGGACTGTCTGTGTTTTGGTTTGTAGTTTTTATTTGATTTCTTCATTTCCCTCACAGTGTTAAGTTAAAGCCTTTGCAGAGGTCCCAACTAGGAGCTGAGTGTAGTGGCTTGCACTTGTAATCCCAGCTACTTGGGTGGTTAAGGCAGGAGGATCACTGGAGCCGAGGAGTTAGAGGCTGCAGTGAGTTATGCACTGAGTGTTCACCCACTGCACTCTAGTCTTGATGACAGAGTGGGACCCCATGTGTAAAATAATAATAATGAAGTAAAAATAAATAGGTAATCGTGGAAATGAGGGTGGTAAATATGTAAACAGAAGACTCATCTAGCCATTGAACTTCCTTTCCCTTTTTGCTCTTCATATTTGCACCTGGGGCTGTGAGAGTGGTACTTTGGACATTGTGTTCTAGTTCTAATGTCTGCTCACCTCTGTGGCTATAGAGACCAGGAGCGGACCAGCCTCAGTGACGACAGCATGTTGTTCTTTAAGTAATGTTCCTACTTTCACACCTCAACATTGGTCCTTTGGAACAAGGTTACATTTTTTTTAATTCAAGAGGCTTAATGTATATTTATTATTTCATAAATAAAACCCACAAATACATCTATATAAAATAAATAAATGGAGAAAATCAGATTAGTCTAAAATTATTTCACATAAAATAACTAAGGAAACAACCTATGAAAAAACTTAAAAGATATGATAATGATTCTAGTGCAATTAACATTATTTTGACACAACATCTAATTCTGAACTCCTTATCATGTAAATTAAAAAAAAATCTGGAATCACATGTATGACATATGTGGGGATACAGTAATAATAGAGTGAGGCATAAGATTTATCTCGTGTATTGGTTATCTATTGCTGCATAAAAACATGTAGCAAACTTAGTCATTTAAAATAGTACTCTTTTGTTTCCTCATAGTTTCCATAGCCAGAAGTGCAGGCATGACATATCCAGATTGATTCTATGCAGTCTCACAATGCTACAATTGTAGTGTCATCCAGGCTGTGTTTGCATCTGGAACTTGGGGGTTCTACCAAGCTTGTGTAGGTTTGTGGCAAAATCCAGTTCTTTGCATTTCTAGGACTGAGGTCCCCACATTCTTGCCGCTTGCTGGCCAAGGGCTGCTCTGGGTTCCTAATGGGCACCTCCTGGAGGACTTGGGCATGCAACCATCTCCACAGGGCAGCCTCCCTCTTCCAAAGGCACAGGAGGATCTGTCCCAGCTTGATCCTCTGACCCTTTGTAGGAGCTCCCACCTGATCGATCAAGTATGGCCACCCAGTTAATCTCCTTCAAACTGATTAATTCAAAATTGACTGATTTGGGAGATGACAGCTACAAAATCCTTCCACCTTTGTCATCTGATGGAATCTTAGAACAGGAGTGAAATCCACAACTGCCACAAGTCCAGTCCACAGCCAAGAGGCATTTCAGGGGCAAGAATCTGGGGGCCATCTGTATTAGTCAGGGTTCTCTAGAGGGACAGGACTAATAGGAAATATACATACATATATATATATTTCCTTTTACATATATATAATGGGAGTTTATTAAGTATTATTAACTCACACAATCACAGTGTCCCACAATAGGCTGCCTGTCAACTGAGGAGCAAAGAAACCAGTTTGAGTCCCAAAGCTGAAGAACTTGGAGTCTGATGTTCAAGCGCAGGAAGCATCCAGCACAGGAGAAATATGTAGGCTGGGCCGCTAAGCCAGTCTAGTCTTTTCATGGTTTTCTGCCTGCTTTATATCCTGGCAAAGCTGGCAGCTGATTAGATTGTGCCCATCCAGATTAAGGGTGGGTCTGCCTTCCCCAGCCCACTGACTCAAATGTTAATCTACTTTGGCAACACTCTCACAGACACACCCAGGTTCAATACTTTGCATCCTTCAATCCAATTAAGTTGACACTGAGTGTTAACCATCACACCATCCAAGAATTATTCCTAGCACATCTCACAAGCTTTATTCTGGTTAAGGGTTCTCGACTTAGCTGTGCTTCAGATTTTGAGGGAGCTTCTTAAAAATGCATATTTATAGGCCTCTATATGAATCTGATTCAGATTCAGAATTGAACTCTATCTCCTCAGTTATAAATATTATTTTCAATAAGCTACAGAAGCAATGCTTATGGAGCCAGCTTCATCCCCTTGAGACTTCTGATAACCACTGCTCTATTAAATATAGGCATCTCACCTGCCTATCATTGATTAAAGTATGGTATTTTCAAAACTACAGTTGAGTTCATGAGGGGCCAAGTAACATAAACGGGATCTTTAAAAACTAAATGACAAAGGCAGAAGCACCACTCTAGCCTCTAAAATTAGCAATCTGTTGCTCAAGTCTTCAATTACAGTATGTTTTAAGAGGTCAGCCTGCCCCCCACCACCATAAAACTGAGTTAACAGCTAAGTCTCATAAAAAAGTAATCACTTCTTGGCATTAAATCAATAGACCATTCCTCACAATGAATGCTTTTAAATATTATCACTAATTTAAACTTGGAGTCTGATTCTAAATTTAGATCCAAGTGCTACCTACTGGCAAATGAAATATCCTCTGGTACTCCTTTTGAAGTCAATTTCCCCAAAGTGTGTTCTACAGAACTTAATCTTGTGGCATTAGTCATTTGGAAAATATTACCTCATTTGGTCTCTAGATAATTTACAGGGATTTGAGCTATTCCTAGAAATTGACAAGAAAGTGTGGAAAATTGTGTATGATTTGAGTGTAAATAGCAGTCTTGTCTTCCTCATGGGTAAAGTAGATACATTTCGGTGTGTAGATTTCATCACTTCTATTTTTGAATGCTCATAGGACTTATTTTTTTTTATTTCTGCATCTAGACTGCTCTCCAGAATGTTGAGATTGCCCGAGAAGTGACCCCAGCAAAAGAAAAATATTGCTGTACCTAAATTCAAGTAAGACCATTACTTTGCAATAACGTATCATGTGTAAATTAGTGGAAAAAATCAACTGTATTAGTCTACACTTCTAAGAGACAATTGTTTTCTTTGATATTAATCTTTTTGAAGCTTCTTTCTCTGTTCTTGAAAAATGACAAAAAAAAAAAACAAAACCTCTTGTTATGGAAGCAGTAGAAATATTCAGAACGTATCTCCATGTTTAGTTGTAGTTACACAGCATTTTGATGTGTCTTTCCACAATGTTTATTTAAACAGCTATGTTGAATTTGTGTTGTTTCTTTAATAAGCACTATTTATAGGAATGAGAAAAATCATTTAGTTTTTCAAAAACACCCTTTATTAGGTGAGGGATCTGTGTCTCTTCATGAAGATGGTAACTGGAGTTACACATTTCAGTGAGCTGCGATTTTCTGAGAAGGGCAGACACTCAACAATGGGGAGTGGGTTGCGATGCTTGGCAGGGTGACTATAAACTGTCACGTTCTCTTTTGTTTGTTCAGAGGAAGGAGTGAATGAGGTGAAATTAGTACAATGAATCAAATTCCTTCAGGAAGGGAGTGTGAGTCAGCATGGGTGATGCAGGTGGATCAATGACCTTGTAGTAGAATAAGTGTTACTTTAGGAAGGAATCATACACTATTTGTTGGAAGGAGGTGAACGTGGCTAGAAAAGGTTAGGATTGAAGTCACTAAATCTATTTTTATAATAAGCTGTCACAGTATTTTTGATAGCTTATGTCCTTACAGTCCAAGGACTTGTAGTATGGCTTTAGTAAGATTCATCAAACTCACTGATATATGTTGGGTTTCAATGAGTGCCAGTACTGAAAAGTATACTGTGTGCATATTTATGTACTCAATTATACTTAAATGTAGTGTAGAAGTGGCAAGAATCTTTGAGTGTATCATGTGTTATAAAAACCATGAAACTTTATAACTTTATGTAGCCATGCAGATTGCCTATTAAAGAGATTTCTAGGCTGGGTTTTCAAGGACTATGGCAAGTTCTGAGGCACTGAGGATTAAGCAATTAGGCCTCAAAGTTGTCCTGTTTGCTACCTATTCTGTTAGACATGGAAGCCACATTGTGCTGTTTCTTGTCATGGATGGGTTGCTAATAGATTGATTTCCCTCACCCAATCTGATCCTTAAATTATTCAGGTAGATTTTTTAAACAATTATCTTTTTAAAAAATTTTACTTTAAGTTCTGGGATACATGTGCAGAACATGCAGGTTTGTTACATAGGTATACATGTGCCATGGTGGTTTGTTGCACCTATCAACCCATCATCTAGGTTTTAAGCCCTGCATGCAGTAGGTATTTGTCCTAATGCTCTCCGTCCCCTTGGCCCCAACTCCCAAAAGGCCCTGGTGTGTGATGTTCCCCTCCCTGTGTCCATGTGTTCTTGTTATTGAGCTCCCACTTACACATGAGAACATGCGGTGTTTGGTTTTCTGTTCTTGTGTTAGAGTGTTGCGAATGATGGCTTCCAGCTTCATCCACGTCCCTGCAAAGGACATGAACTCATTCTTTTTTATGCCTGCATAGTATTCCATGATGTACATGTACCACATTTTCTTTATGCAGTCTACCACTGATGGATATTTGGGTTGGTTCCAAGTCTTTGCTATTGTGAATAGTGCTGCAGTAGACATACGTGGGCATGTGTCTTTATAGCAGAATGATTCCTAATCCTTTGGGTATATACCCAGTAATGGGATTGCTGGGTCAAATGGTATTTCTGGTTCTAGATCCTTGAGGAATCACCACACTGTTTTCCACAATGGTTGAACTAATTTACACTTCCACCAACAGTGTAAAAGCGTTAAACAGTTACCTTTAAATTAAACAGTGTATTTTCATCATTCATGTAAACTCAGAAATTTCCAAAGCACATTTTCCCCAAAGCAAAAATAACCCTTTCTAACGCATTATAAATGCCATTATATACCCAATGTTTTCAAGTTATTTTTCATTGCTAGACCTTTTTTCATAGTTAAATATGTACTTCAAATAAAATCTCATAGGGGAGTCCAACAGATAAAAGAGGAAAAAAGAAGCATTTTTTAAATTTTTTTATTTTTATACTTTAAGTTTTAGGGTACATGTGCACAACGTGCAGGTTTGTTACATATGTATACATGTGCCATGTTGGTGTGCTGCACCCATTAACTCATCATTTAGCATTAGGTATATCTCGTAATGCTATCCCTCCCCCCTCCCCCCACCCCACAACAGTCCCCGGTGTGTGATGTTCCCCTTCCTGTGTCCATGTGTTCTCATTGTTCAGTTTCCACCTATGAGTGAGAACATGCGGTGTTTGGTTTTTTTGTCCTTGCGATAGTTTGCTGAGAATGATGGTTTCCATCTTCATCCATGTCCCTACAAAGGACATGAACTCATCATTTTTTATGGCTGCATAGTATTCCATGGTGTATATTTGCCACATTTTCTTAATCCAGTCTATCATTGTTGGACATTTGGGTTGGTTCCAAGTCGTTGCTATCGTGAATAGTGCCGCAATAAACATACGTGTGCATGTGTCTTTATAGCAGCATGATTTATAGTCCTTTGGGTATATACCCAGTAATGGGATGGCTGGGTCAAATGGTATTTCTAGTTCTAGATCCCTGAGGAATCGCCACACCGAAGCAGCAGCGAGTGATCTAGAACTTGGCTGCTCTGTCACTGCCTTCATTTCTTCTAAATCCATTCCCATTCCCCAAACCTCCAGACTAAATGGATATTCATATTTCTCCTGTGATTCCTTGGTTTCTCAATCCTTAATTTGGAAGCACTTGTGGAAGAATCAATTGAAGGGGACAGAGAGCAAAGGATGGAAGCTGAAACTTCCAGAATTATTCTGGGCTAGCCATCAGTGGCCAAGCTGTTGCTGTGTAAGAGGGGGTCATTTATTCCCTTCTTAGAATTTCCCAGTGTCAGGGGCTGCTCTGCATGCTTTCACACTACCATTGTGCAAAGGTTTCAAAGTATCATGCACAGTAAATCCTGACTAAAGCCCAATAAGAGTACAGGTTATACATGAAGAAATGGAGAAAGGCAGTTGTAAGGAAAATAATGGAAATTCACTTGAGGGCGGCTATTCTCATCCTCAAGCCACCTTCTTCTGACAATCCTGAAAAGTAGTTAATATTTTGTTATTTTTTAAAAAATATGGCTGGATGCATTTCAAGCCGTCCTCTTTCTTAAATATATCTCTTTGCCTCTTCATGTTTAATTCATGCTCATATTTGCCCACATTTAAAGCTAGGCTGGCTTCACATTGGAATTGAAAATAGCCCTAGGAGCATGAGGAACCCTGAGAGCCTGGGTGTCCTCAGCTGTCACAACTGGGTACCTGCCCCTTTGTGTTTGCTGCCCTCTCTGCCTGGCTAGAGGCGGCCCCAGGCTTCCTGGGCATTTTTAAATTACTGAAACAAGAGTATTATAATAAAACACTTAACATTTTAATACATAGTTTTTTTTTGCTATTGTTGCTTTTGTGTGTTTTGGGGATGTCTGAGGCCTCTGCCCTTGACTGCAATTGGTCCTTCTGCTGTGGCCTGCCCCTCTCTGTGTCACAAGTTGCAGCTGCTGACAGGACGCAACTTCTATTGCCCCATGTGCCACCAGAATCATTGTTCAAGCTCCCAGTACTCTCAGACAGATTTGTGATTGAAGAATCATTGACTTCACTTGGAAATCATCTCTATTTCTAGTGTTGTCTGTCACAGATAAAATGACAAATTGATCAAATGCAAGCAAGCTTAGCATTCAGCCCAGTACTGACTTCATATCCTGGGCAACTTTCTGAATTCATTCTGACTGGGACCCACTGCCTATTTCTCTTGTTTCCTGGATCTGACTGCAAAAGCTTCATGTAGGGAAGGCAGGTAAAGTCCTCAGCTAGGGCACTAATAGCAGTGAGGTTCCCCTAGACTGGAAAAAAAAGAGTGACTTGCATTTGTTTGCTTGTTTTATGTTTCCAGGAAAGTTATATGACAGGGAAGAAACGGTAGTTTCTCCTTGTGATCTCAGGATTAACTGGTGTACCACAATGTATAAGGTCCAAATGAACATTTCAGAAAAATTGATCAACTGAAGGGAACATTTCTGTAGCTCCATTTTGTTCATTTCAAAGACTCTCTTAGTTGAGAAAAGTCTAGCTACACTTAAAAATAGTCCCTTTTATTGTTCGTATTGTCTACCCTAGTAGGTATGAAGGGACTTCTGGAAGTTCTCAAGTTCTTGGTATTGCTTTCCCTCATGGGCAGATTAATCTAGGCTGCTTCAGTCTTGGTGATTCCATCTCCCCCTGTTCAGTCAAGAGAAGGTGGGACTGTGCCGTGCAGGTAAAGGCCATTGGCAGCCTCTCAGGACTAAAAGTGTGGGCCTGTATTTGTGTTTGTCTGTGAAGTAGAGTCACAAGAAAATCTTTAGGTCACCATCAGACAACTTTGGTAATACAGGGAAAAGCAAAAAAGTCTCAAAAATTATTCTCATAAATCTTGTTGTGTTAAATGCTGCTTATAGTATCAAAGCTGCAGAACAGAATTACAGAAACTCTGGAGCATGGCAGCTGAAATGGTGGAGAGAGGTAGTGTCTCCCTGAGAGTGTGGGGCCCTCTTGTTCATATGACTTTCCACATCTGCTCAGTCCTGCCTTCTTTCCAAATTTCAGGTGTCTTCCTTGCCTTCAGGCTGGATTACTCCTAGTGATGGCTCTCACTACCCCATGGTTATCTTGTGTCAGCTGCAGTCAGTGCCTCATTCCCGAACATCCCTGCTTGCCTCCCTCTGTCCTGGATGCAAAAGCCAATCTTCACTTCAACCTCAACTATTCCCACGGAGGAGGAGTTACAGCTGTACAGTGTCTGCTCCAACCCGTGGGACACACAGAGACCCTGGTTTGCTCAGAGAGGCTGGTTACAGCCAGCAAAAAGCACAGAGGCAAATGTTAAGAGGCAAACGTTGACAAGTGAAACAGGAGTGGGCTGGCTTCATGGAAACAAAGACTTACTTAGCCTTATAAGGCCCCTGCATACACAGCCCCACACTTAATTGAACGCTTTGACCTCTTTAACACTTGTTTAATTTGCCTACATTCAAATGAGTGCTTTGTGTTGCAGTGTTCTATGGGTCTGACAAATGCATATCATGGAACCATCATTACAGTGTCATGCAGAGGAGTTTCACCACCCAAAAATATCCCCTACGCTTCTCTTA
Organism: Homo sapiens; assembly: GCF_000001405.40. Lineage (NCBI taxonomy): Eukaryota > Metazoa > Chordata > Mammalia > Primates > Hominidae > Homo > Homo sapiens. The sequence goes on from NC_000008.11 coordinate 50,177,869, forward strand.
TTTAACTCTCCTCATTCCTGAACCCCTGGAAACCAATGATCTTTTCACTGTCTCTACCGTTTTGCATTTTCTCAATTGTCACATAATTGGAATCCTACAGTAGATAGCCTTTCAGAATGGCTTCCTTCACTTAACAAAATGCATTTTAGATTCATCTATGTCTCTTGGAGGTTTGATAGCTGATTTTTTTCCTAAAAATATGGCATTCTGTGGTATACTCCGATTTATTTATTCATTCGTCTTCTGAAGGCAGTTACAAATACAGCTGCAATAAAAATATTCAGACCTTACATAAGCTTTCAAATCCATTGGTAATGCTTAGTAGCATAACTGCTGCATCAAGTGGTAAGCTCTGTAGGGAATTGCAAAGCTGTTTTCCAATGTGGCAAAACCATTTGGCATTCTCTTTTTTGCCACTGCTGTCTTCTCCTTCCTCTACCTCTCCCTCTTTCCATTCCTCTTTTTCTTCTTCTGGTCTCTTCCTCCTCTCTTTTTTTTTTTTCTGTCACTTTCTGTCTCTCTCTTCACACACGTGCGCGCGCACACACACACACACACAGGGATAGTTTAGGAAATTGTTGGAGGTTATCTAACATGTTAGTTTTGAAATTAACAAGTTGGGAAAGGCCATTATAGACAATACTAATTAATACAAATGAATTATAAAGAGAAGATACAATATGAAGCCTCTTCCTCAGGTCCCAGTATTAGTCAATATCTTCCTCTATTTATCTGCAAAATCAAACCTATAGTTGTCCATTTCTTTCTTCTTGAACTTCCAGGTGTCCATGAATTCTATAACCATCAGCTCTATCAGCCTTCTTATGCATGTTCTGTTCATTATTTTTGTTCTTTATCATATCGAGATATATATTTGCCTCATCCTATAATCTCACCTTTCTCCCTGATGTTATCTCTGTGTGACACTCTGCCAAAAAGACACACTTTCCCTTACTAAAACGTTTCCTATTTTGATGTAGTCATGCTTGCTTATTTTTACTTTTGCTGCCTGAGCTTTCAATGTCATATTCAAAATAATTATTGCTAAGACCAATATCAAGAAGGTTTTCCCCATGTTTTCTTCTACAAATTTTACTGCTTCAGATCTCATATTGAAATCATCAATTTATTTTGAGTTGATTTTTGTGTGTTGTATAAGAGTCCAGTTTCACTCTTTTGAGTACTGATTCCCAGTTATCCTAATGTCATTGTGTCTTCTTTGTGGCCTTCCCAAAATTAGTTGACCATGTATGCTTGGGTTGATTTTTGGGCTCTCTACTCTGTTCCATTGGTCTATGTATCTGTTTTTATGCCAGTACCATATTGTTCTTACTACTGTAGCTTTGTCATGTAATTTGAAGTCAGGAAATATGATACCCCAAACTCTGTTTTCAGCTTTCAAGATCTCATTGGTTATTTGAGTCTTTCAGGGTCCCATATAACTTTAGAATGTTTTTCTGTTCCTGTGAAAATGCCATTGAAATTTTGACTGAGATTGCATTCAATCTGTATATGGCTTTAGGCAGTATTTGACATTTTAAAAATATTAAAACTTTCAAGCCATAAACATTAGTTATTAAACTAAAAAACATTTGCATGGAAAAGGAAATAATCAACACAATAAAAAGGTAATCTATGGACTGGGAGAGAATATTTGCAAGCTATACATCTGATAAGAAATTAATACTCAAAATACATAAGCAGTTCCCACAACTTGAAAGGAAAAAAGTAATCTAATTAAAAAAGGGCAAAATATATGAATAGACGTTTTTCGAAGAAAGACATACAAATAGCCAAACATATGCAAAGGCATTCAACATCACTAATTATCAGGAAAATGCAAATCAAAATCACAGTAAGATATCACTTTACATCTGTTAAGATGGCTATAATAAAAATGACAAGAGATAAGAGGTGTCAGCAAGGGTGTGGAGGGAAGGAAACCCTTGTGCACTGCTGCTGAGAATGTAAATTGGAACAGCTATTGTGAAAAACTGCATGGAGTTTTCTCAAAAAATTAAAAACAGAACTACTGTATGATCCAGCTATCCTACTGCTGGTTATATACCCAAAGAAGGTGAAATCAGCATCTGGTAGAAATATCTGCATTTGTCTTTTCTTTGTAGCATTATTCACAATAGCCAAGATATTAAAACAACCCTAACTGTTCATAGATGGATGAATGGATAAATAAATTATGGTATATGTACATAATATAATACTATTCAGTCTTAAAAAAGGACATGCTGACATTTGCAACAACATTGTTGAGCCTGGAGGATATTACACTAAGTGAAATAAGCCATAAACAGTAAGACAGATACTGTATTATTTCACTTATATGTGGAATCTTAAGTCAAATACACACAAACACAGAGTGCAATGGTAGTTACTTGGGAGGAGAGGGTGTGGAAATAAAGAGATGGGAATCAAAGAGTACAAACTTGAAGTTATATAGGATGAATTAGTCTAGAGATCTATGGTACAGCATGAGGACTCTAGTTCATAATACTGTTCTGTATACTGGAAATTTCTGAAGAGAGTAGACTTTAGGTGTGCTTACCATACATACAAAAAAGAAAGTAATAAAACGTCTTGAAACTAGATAGAAGTAATATTTGCACAATGTTGTGAATTTACTAAATGCCACTGAGCTATATACTTTAATCAATTTTATTCTATGTGAATTTTACCTCAATGAAAAGAAATGCAAGAGAAAATGGGAGAAAACAGACTTCCTATTATACAAAACCCAAACATAAATCCCACCACCTTCAACACATTTTTTTTAGGTGGCCCATCCTAATTATTCCTTTTCTATCTTTCTATATAATAGCATTTTAGATTAATTTTGCTTGCGTTTCCCACCAGATTGTGAAGCCTTTTTTTTTTTTTTTTTTTTTTTTTTTTTAACAAAGTTTTGCTCTTGTTGCCCAAGCTGGAGTGCAATGGCACAAGCTCGGCTCACTGCAACCTCCACCTCCCAGGTTCAAGCGACTCTCCGGCCTCAGCCTCCCGAGTAGCTGGGCTAACAGATGCACGCCACCATGCCTGGCTAAATTTTTTTGTATTTTTAGTAGAGATGGGGTTTCACCATGTTGGCCAGTCTGGTCTCGAACTCCTGGCCTCAGGTGATCTGCCTGTTTCAGCCTCCCTAAGTGCTAGGATTACAGGCGTGAGCCACTGCACCCGGCCTGTGAACTCTTGAAGAGAAGTCTTGCATTACTCCATTGCCAAGAGTACTTCTCCCTCCTAGTCACTTCACACAGCCCTGTCTGAACTGTGCTCTCCAGGCCAGCATTGTTGGTGGTGATTGCTCTGGACCTCACTTTTAGTTAACTTAATCTGACTCATGTCCTATGCTTTTACACATGCCCCATCCTTAAAACTCATTTCTTTGTACCTTGTGTGTCTCAGATCCTGCATCTGGATATTTGGACTTGATCTTTGTTTTTATTTTCCTAATGGAGTTTATCATAAACTTGACTGTAGTTTTATTAATTGCTTTAATATAATTTCAGCCTTCTTGCCTTTCCAAAAACTTATTCTCCAAAAACAACCATTTGGTTAGCACGTGCATCAGTCCTACCTCCATGAATAGGTGGGGAAGGGCAGTCAGCAGAGTTTTTCAGGTGCTATTTCTGGGCTATACATTCTCATTTTATAAATTTAATTGGGTTTAACTGGTACTTACAATATTTATGTTTTCAACAAGTTATTTTGAGTATTTAAGGAAGAAAATAACACTAGTATAATGTATACTGTGATAATATTTAAGGGATTTCATTTTTATTTTTAACTGTGTAATTGCTAGTATGCATAGAAAAATGATGAGAAAATGAAGCAAAATTTAATCTGTTAACATTTCTCAGTGATGGATAGTAACATGTACAAAGTTATATGCTTTTGAAATGTGATATTATCTTTTATTCTTTAAAAAGTTCAATTTGGGCTTTGCTGCATATTATTTCTTAATATGTAGAAAAAATAAGAAGGAAAGCTATTGATTTTCCTCCAGTATGAAAGAAAATCAATAGTGCAAGAAGGGCCAATTGACCAAGCAAAGAAACAGTTCCCTTGAAATAAATGTTGTGACAGAATACAATAATTATTCTGCTATTTAAAAACCAAGCCAGATTTTCAAAATTATTCTACACTTCTTTGTTACAGTATATAATGTATGAACTCAATGGAGCAAGTGGTGATATCATATTAAGAATATAATATTATTTTCTAAAGCAAGATCAATACGAAGATCTATTTTAGAAGAGTGTCATTTGCAGCATGAGCACCCCAGTCTAAATGCCTAAGGGTTGAAGAGGCAAAGAATAACACATATATAATAATAACACCAGTCAAGTTTATGCCTTTTTAAAAATGAGAATGCACCATTCAGCTTTGATATAGATATGGTGGGTTCTTTTATTGCCGATTGCCCTTCTCCAAAGTTAGGTGGTGAGATAATGGCAGATCAACAACTGTCTCTTCAGGTTTTTGTCAACTAATCCAAATATTTTTATGACATGACATTAAACCATTTTTATATTGCAGGGTATAAACACTATAAGAAATAAATCTTTAGTTGAGTAACATGTAATTAGTAAGCTGAAAGAGATAAATAGGTACAAGATGCATGTTACTAAATAAAATATATTTTATGTTTATGAGTACAGATATCCTAATATATTAGTTATAAAAGTAGCCCTATTTGCAACAGGAAGCATTTTTTCAAGAAAAAAATGTGATTTGGCACGTGCGTGTCTGTGTGTGTGCGTGTGTGTGTACACCAGACATCTCTTAAAAGCTACTTCAGATTCTCTTAATTTCATCTTTTTTGGTCACTTCTTCCAGCTTCAGCCACTACTGCAGTGGTCAAGTTTCTGGAGTTTGAAAAAAATTTATGCAAGCACAAGTGACCAGCTCTTCATCTTAAACCTGCATCCCATATCACTCCTCTTTTTTCTTCTGCCTGGAAATTTTCTATTGAGATGAGGCACAAACAAATGCTATGGAATTAATTGTCCATGAGGCAAATCTCTGACAACCTGGAGACTAGAGCCAATAAATATATTATTCTCCCCTTTATCCTCAGAGACACCATCCCAAGATGATGTCACTGATGCCGCATACCAAGTGGTGGCCAACTTTACATTACATCCTCTCACGGTTTGCCCCAACTGACTGTAACGCCTAATCTGACCCATTCTGTTACCTTGCTCCTCCTTGCTTTTCCTGATCTCCACTCTCTTATAAACCACTACTCCTTTGCTAGGCATTTCATCAGAATGCATTGCTTATTTTCATACTGATGACATCAACCTGGTCACTCCTGCTCATTTACTCAAGGTTTTAGTGTTTGACTAACAGTGTTTCTCTGCGCTATTTCTGTAAGTCTTACGCTTCCGCATTCACACAGAAGATTAATTCCACACCCTGGCTTTCAGTGCTATGCTGCTTCCCTCTCAGCTATTTGTGCATTTGTCTGCAGGTGCCCATTCCCTAAACTGTATGATTGCCTGTGACTGTACCGTCTCCAGAGTCTCCGTTTTATAACTCTATATCCCATTTTTTCAGCCCACTTACCTTAGTTATCCTATTCCAGACTAAGCTGAAGACTTCCAGTCCTCAACCCTTTACCTTCAAGTGCCCATAGCACGTTATGGCTTCATTCCATCCTTATACAACTTATATTCCATAATACATCAGTATAATCACCATTTACATACCTTCCCAGCGTTTTTGCCTTTCTCTCCTTCCCACAGCACATCTGGAAAAATCTTAACCATAATTAAACTAAATTTCTATCTGCTTCCCCAAGTAGCAAAATATGACTCAAAGAAAACATACAACTATGCTGATGAGTTCGCCTTCAACTTGTGACCCCCAAACCTCAGCCCAGTCATGACTCTTACTTATGAGTCATCATTTGTCTGAATTTGCTATTTATATCTATTTTCTCTCCAAACTTTCAGCAAATGTCTTTTATCGCTGTATTTAATAACCTTGCCTTAACTTTACTACTATAGCAGCATTAATAAAAAAATTACTTATCTATTAAGAAAATCTACCAAACTAGCTGCATTTATTCCCGTATCCCTTCTTACTATGAAGGAAATGTATATGCTCCCATCTTAGCCAAAAATCCTTCACTTTTACATTGGATTCCATTTTTTTTCCACCCGCTTAAGGACTCTGCTTCTGAAATTGTATCTTACTTATTCAAGTATCAACAGTTTGTCTCTCTCTGCTTCATTTGTCTATTTCCATTAGAATACAAATATGGTTACATCTTTTTTATTATTATTATTATTTTTTGAGATGGAGTCTTGCTCTGTCGCCCAGGCTGGACTTCAGTGGTGTGATCTCGGCTCACTGCAACCTCCGCTGCCCAGATTCAAGCAATTCTCCTGCCTCAGCCTCCTGAATAGCTGGGATTACAGGTGCCCACCACCACACCTGGCTAGTTTTTGTATTTTTAGTAGAGACAGGGTTTCACCATGTTGGTCAGGCTGGTCTCCAACTCCTGACCTCATGATCTGCCTCCCTTGGCCTCCCAAAGTGCTGGGATTACAGGTGTGAGCCACCGTGCCCGGCCTACATCTTAAAATTAAAAATAAAATTCCTCCTTTAACTCCACTTATTTTGGTAGCTTCAGCCTGAAATGTCTGTTTCCTGCAATCTCAATCTCTTTTAAATGGTTGTAATTATGGTATGTTTTCAAATCTTCACATTTTAGTCACCTTTGAAACTATTACAAATAGGTCTTAACTCAGCATTCCACTGAAACCATTCTTATCAAACGAGCCAAGGGAAATTTAATATGTGTCCCAGTGAGTTTACCCCTGACTTGAAATATCTCCGTCATTCAGATTCCTTTTTAATGGTTAAACAATAGATATTAGTGCCCCAAATGTAAAAACATAAGGATTGGTATATTTTTGAGGAAAAAAAATTAAAATGTTCCTAGTTCAGTATTAAATATCCTTTTTGTGGTATTTAAGTATTATTGACTTTGTAAATGACAGTTATTTATTACTGTGAAGATTCTCAATATTTTTATAATATAAAATTATGATTGTTCTTTTTTAACAAAACAAAGAAAAATTTGAGATTCTTCTTATTCAAGGTTATACTTTCTGACATTGATTCCTCTGAAGATGACAAATGTCTTCACAAGGTAACAGTGTTTTATAATATGCTTAGAAAATAGAATCAGGTTCATATGGTTTGCATCTATGTCCCCACCCAAATCTCACATTGAATTGTAGTAATCCCCACATGTCAAGGGCAGGACCAGGTGAAGATAATTGAATCAAAGGGGCAGTTTCCCCATTCTGCTCTCATGATAATGACTGAGTCTCTTGAGATCTGATGGTTTTATAAGCATATCACATAACCCCTGCTGGCACTCATTCTCTTTCCTGTTGCCCTGTGAAGAGGTGCCTTCTGCCATGACTGTAAGTTTCCTGAGGCTTCCGCAGCCATATGGAACTGTGAGTCGATTAAACCTTTTTCTTTATAAGGTATCCAGTCTCAGGCAGTTATTTACAGCAGTGAGTGTGATAATGGACTAATATACATGTTGTGTTAAAAGTTGTCCAAAGAAATACTGCTTAGGTCAAAACCTGATGCTGCCATTTACTAGTTGTGACTCATTTGACAGTTTCTTAAACTCTCTGAGTAAGTTCCCACATAGACCATACTGCTATGATAAATATAAATGTATATGTGAAAACTGCTTAAGGTCATATTTATCAGACAATATAAGCAAATAATATATGTTAATTGGTTAAGAGAAATCACACCTTTTTTTACTTTAAAGTTCACTAATAATTGTGGAAAATATTCTTTTTTCTTTTTCCTCATCAAACTTTTATCTATTAATGTACATTTCTATGAATTCATTTTTTTCTATATTATACAATGGAAGATAATATAACACTATTGTTTTTTATTTTATTTATTTTTTTTTAATTTTACTTTAACTTCCAAGATACATGTGCAGAAAGTGCAGGTTTGTTACATAGGTATACATGTGCCATGGTGGTTTGTTTGCTGCACCTATCAACACGTCATCTAGGTTTTAAGCCCTGCATTCATTAAGTATTTGCCCTAATGCTCTCCATACCCTAGACTCCCACCCCCGACAGGTCTGTGTGTGTTGTTCCTCTCCCTGTGTGCATGTGTTCTCATTGTTGAACTCCCACTTAGGAGTGAGAACATGCAGTGTTTGGTTTTCTGTTCCTGTGTTAGTTTGCTGAGGATGATGGCTGCCAGCTTCTTGAACCATGTCCCTGCAAAGGACATGATCTCATTCTTTTTTATGGCTGCATAGTATTCCATGGTGTATATGTGCCACATTTTCTTTATTCAATATATCATTGATGTGCATTTAGGTAGGCTCCATGTCTTTGCTATTGTAAATAGTGCTGCAGTAAATATATGTGTGCATGTATCTTTATAGTAGAATGATTTATATTCCTTTGGGTATATACTCAATAATGGGATTTCCTATGGTCAAAGGGTATTTCTTATTCTAGAAATCACCTTAATTCAAATCAATCAAAGTCCTTGAGGAACACTGTCTTCCACAATGTTTGAACTAATTTACATTCACACCAACAGTGTAAAAACATTCCTATTTCTCCACAGCCTCGACAGCAAATATTGTTTCTTGACTTTTTAATAATTGTTATTCTGACTGGTGTGAGATGGTATCTCATTATGGTTTTGATTTACATGTCTCTAATGATCAGTGATAATGAGCTTTTTTTCATATGTTTGTTGGCGGCATAAATGTCTTTTTTTTTGAGAAGTGTCTGTTCATATCCTTTTAACACTTTTTGATGGGGTTGTTTTGTTTTTGTTTTGTTTTGCTTTGTTTGTAAATTTAAGTTCCTTGTAGATTGTGGATATTAGACCTTTGTCAGATGGGTAGATTGCAAAGATTTTCTCCCATTCTGTAGGTTGCCTGTTCACTCTGATGCTGGTTTCTTTTGCTGTGCAGAAGCTCTTTAATTATATCCCATTTGTCAATTTTGGCTTTTGTTGCAATTACTTTTGGCATTTTTGTCATGAAGTCTTTGCCCACGCCTATTTCCTGAATGGTATTGCCTGCATTTTCTTCCAGGTTTTTTATGGTTTGGGGTTTTACATTTAAGTCTTTAATCCATCTTGAGTTAATTTTTGTATAAGGTGTAAGGAAGGGGTCCAGTTTCAGCCCAAAGTAATTTATAGGTTCAATGCTATTTCCGTCAAACTGCCACTGACTTTCTTCACAGAATTAGAAAAAAACTATTTTAAATTTCATATGGAACCAAAAAAGAGATCATATAGCCAAGACAATCCCATGTCAAAAGAACAAAGCTGGAGGCACCCTGCTACCTGACTTCAAAGTCTGCTACAAGGCTACAGCAATGAAAACAGCAAGGTACTGGTACCAAAACAGACATATAGACCAATGGAACAGAACAGAGACCTCAGAAATAACACCACACATCTACAACGATCTGGTCTTTGACAAACCTGACAAAAACGAGCTATGGGGAAAGGATTCCCTATTTAAGAAATGGTTCTGGGTAAACTGACTAGCCATACGCAGAAAGCTGAAACAAGAAAATGTTATACTTACATTTTTGTTTAACTTTTACAGTATCTTTGTTAAATAGATTATGTGCTTGGGCCCATTTTATAGCTTATAGAATTAAAAAAATAAGCAATATCAAACTGCACAAACCCATACATATATAAACTCAGGATGCTATTGTTTTAGAGTTTTCATGAGCATAAACCAATGGTCACATTTCTTTTGCTCTGAGATGAGGTCCATGGTCAGAAACAATACTACGTACAATGCCATGATATTTGAAAGGGCATTTTATTAGTTCATGGATGGTAATTTTGCAAAAGCACTGTAATCAGGGAAAGCAAATCAATACCTGTAGTAAGTATTCCACTATGAACAAAGCTCTGCCCTTCCATGATGGAAGTGGCCCAGTGAAAACAACCAGGCAGCTGGCTGATCACCCAGGAAGTGGTTCCATGTTAGCAGGGACTATATCCAAATCAGCCCAGGTGAGTGGAAGACAGTGTTTTTCAGCACATACATATTATCCATCACTGCCACCTTAGCCACTTTGTCACCAGCCAATACTTGGATATGATAGTAATGGCTGGTGAAAGAGCCTGGCTGACATCAACAGAACAGGCCATTCTATTTTCATTATTAAAATATTGGTCTACTGAATCCACTTATTGACAATCATTCTCAAAGAACACGAATATCTTTATGGTGTTCCATTCAGTGACCATTCAGTGAGGTCTACCCACATGCTCCTTCCCTAGACTTCCTTGCCACCAATATTCCAATCACGTTTCTTCAAATAGTGAACCATACAGGCAAGCCATTGGCTTCAGCTCATGAATCATTGTAGTCCCCCATCTTTAGCCCTCTCTGCTTCCAGGCAAAATGAACAACCAGGTGCACTCATCCACGTTCTGCCCACTGGGAGGATTTTCCTTTGCGATTGTCTTCAGGAAGACCCTGTAGGTGTGGGGCTGCAGTATTGCAGCTGCCCATCTCAGACAGTACGTGCACATCATTCAGATCCATTTGTAAACTACACAAGAGTTTTTTCACCCTCAGATAGTCATAGGGTACTCTCATGTGGGTTCAGGTACAAGCTGAGAGAGAAAAAGCAGTGTAGCAAGAGTAAGAGCCATGCACATTTGGGACACCTCTTCATGTAACTTTCCTATTCCTTCAAGGTGTGCCTGAGTCCACTCTGGTAAACACCACTTCCATTTGATAATGGAGTACTGCAGTGCACACCCAACTGTGACTTTTGGGGGCAAACAATACACAGTTCACAATGGACTATCTATTAAGTCCCTGTAGCAGACCAAAATCTGTTTCTCAAAAGCAGAGTAGACGTTCACTGAGGATAGTAAGGCCTTGATCCCAAATCCTAAAGGCCTGCACTGTGACTCACCTGTAGCAACCCTCTCTGCCACTGACATTTCAAGTTCCCTGAGGTGTACTCTATCATGAAACCCAAGAGGCAGAGCAGATTGCATAGCAGCCTGGATCTGTTCAGAGCCCTTTTGTGTTCTGGGCCTCACCCAGCATTAGCAACTTTTGAGTCACTATGTAAATGGGCCAGAGAAGCATATCTTAATGAGGTACACACTTCCTCCATAATCCATGGAGGTCTCACAGGAATAGCACAAAGGTGGAAAAACAACAACTTATCCTTTACCTAGACAAGGATATTTTGACAATCTCCAGGCCACTGGGCCGTGGAAACTTTGAAAGACACATAATTAAGCCATCAGAGGTATTATGAATTTAAGGATGAAATTAATGGGATAGAAATATAGTACTTTTTATTGTTATCCTATGTCATTGTTTATTTTTTTTTCAGTAGTCTTTGACATCATAAAGCAGTGGTTCTCAAAAGTGAGCATACAATGGAATCACCTGGATATCTTGTTAAAACTCTGGTTGCTAGGCCCTAACCCCAGAGTTTCTGATTCGGTAGATGTGGGAAGGAGCCTAGGAATTTGCAATTCTAAGTTCCCAGGTGCTGCTGATGCAGGGACCACACTGTGCAAACCACTAGATGGAGAAAGAAGTGGATGATTTATGGTAGAAAGCAAGTTATAAGTTGACTGTAATATGATTTGTCCCTGATAACTCTCTGTTTTGTTTCTGAATTTGTTCTGTGGGTAAAGGATACTCTGTGTAAAAGGAAAGTTAACAACATTCAAACTCCAGGTACCAAGTCTGCTGTAAGACCACACAGACCTCTGTGTCAAGCCTCCTTGTGTCTAGGTGCTGCATGGCATTTACACAGCAGAACAGAACATTTAATACATTTCAGAAGAGATAAACATTTTAGTATAAATATTTAGTATTTTAGGCATAAAATATAGTGTTTTTCAAAAAACTATAAAAATAGAGATAGGATTTTAACTTGATTTCAGTAGCACATCTAATAATTGAACTTTTTTGAATCCCAATTCTAAATTCTAATCTAAGTTAAATTCTGATCTAAGTTAATTCTTCTCTAGAACACGTTTGAGTGAAGATTATTTTGTGAACAATGGGAAGACAATTGCTTGTGTTATAGATATTCCCTATTTTCTGTTTGAATGTTGATTACTCATAAGTCATTTGGTAGCTTTCATTCATTTATTAATCCATTAAACAAGCATGTACTGAATACCTGCTATATACTAGGTTATCTACTAGGCACTGGAATTCAAAGATGGATACGGTATAATTCAGCCTTTAAGGAGCTCACAGTCTACTGTAACTGAGTCTTCTCAGAGAAAGGCCAGCATTCTGCTTCTGATTCTTTCTAGAACAATATTATATTTCATAGAATATGATATTTCATGCAAAATACAGCTGTTAACCATATTTTTATAGTTATTACCTCCCTGGATTGAGGAGAACAGTCAGAACAAAAGGTGGTAATATTTATATTTCATATTTTCTGCTTTTAAGATTATATTTCAGATTTATTTTCACTCAATGTGCCCAATTTAAGTCTATTGTTGATAACATTGATAACATCAGTAAGGTTATGACTTTGCAATCAGTTTGAAATGCATAGCTCCAGTTGATTTAAATGATTTCTCTTTGAGAAAAAAAGGTAATGAATTGGCCGTAACTAATTAGCATGCCATAAATCATCACACTGGTGTTCTTTTCTACTTGAATACCTGAGAAAGGTATACTAACAGAAAATACTCTCTTTCTCTTTTTTTAAGTGTTTGCTAGTGCCTTTTAGAGGTAAATTGTTTCAATAAAGCTTCTTGCACACACTTGCAGAACCTTTGAAAGCCATTTTACTACCTCCTGTTGACAAACAGCAAGATCCTCCGCACATCACAGAGGTGACATGCTTGGTCATTTGGGGGTGGATAGTGGAACTGGTTCCCTGTGAGGAAGCAGCCACCTGTTCACTCTTTCAGTAGGTGAAGCAAAACAGCTAGAGCATATGAAGAAACAAGGTGGAATGACACGACAATAAGAATAAATTGGGCTTAGATAGAATGGTGCAATTATGCTACAAACAGCTTGCCTTTCATTGCCATAAATTATGCCGGGTTATAGTATTATTTTCTGGATAAGCACTTCGCTATTTTTTCTTTCACTGGTCTTCTTTTTACATTTTACCATTCAGAATTCTCTATTTTCATCAGTCTTGCCATATATCATACTTACGTAGCCTTCTGAAAGCTCCAAAGTTTATGAGACTTTTATGTCAAATATGTTAGGCTGGGTTTTGTTTATTTGTTATTTATATTATGCTGTGGTGTTTCTGGGATAAAATCCTCTCTGTCCTCACTATAAGCATTACATACAGCCATTTGGTAATGGTAAGAAAACTAAGATTTTATTGTAACAGATATTTTATCCTTTTTTTGGTTCATCAGAAGCAGTATTGAAGGGCAAAAGGAGAAAAATGCTTGGCAAATCGTTGCTAATTTTGAAATATTGGGTTATCAGCATAGGATGCTCTAATATGCCAGGTGAATCAGTAAGTAGTGTTCCATTGATTCACAAGAGCACTACTGGAAATAGTTCGGCAAATCATTTGCCTCACTATCTTTGGTTAATCAGCTGTAATTTATGTTGAGAAACAATCCTCTAATACAGAATTATGAGGGGAAACTGTTCTTGTTTTTTAAAAAAATAAACTTTAAATTCTGGGATACATATGCAGAACATACAGGTTTGTTACATAGGTATACACGTGCCATGCTGGTTTGCTGAACCTGTCAACCCATCACCTAGGTTTTAAGCCCTGCATGCAGTAGGTATTTGTGCTAATGCTCTACCTCCCCTTTCTCCTCACCCCACAACAGGCCCCGGTGTGTGCTGTTCCCCTCCCTGTATCCATGCAAGGAACGTGTTCTTGAGATGAGACTGGTGATACCAATCACCATTGAATATTTGTCCTCTCAGTATATTGTCTCAGTTAGCCTATGTATGATGGGACAATAAAAGGGAGAATTTCATGGTCAATAACTCAAAAGCAAATGTAATAAAAACAAAGAAAAATAGCTGGGGCCTAATTAAACTAAAGAGCTTTTGCACAGCAAAAGAGGATTTCCAAATATCACCATATTGTTTTTACCTTTCCGTGTTTACTGGACTTCATGGAGTCAGAGAAGCCACAGAGAAGGCTTCCGTGTGGCCTGATTTATTGAGAGCCCTGGTGTGCCCAGTGGGCATCCCACCCTGAGTGCAGCACAAGAAAGCCAAATCTCCAAAAAGCTTTTGTTGTTGTTTTGTTGTTTGTTTTGTTTGTCATATCTTTTTAAAAAGAACAAAACCAGAAGCAGCTTGGTATTATCAGATTCCACTGGCCTGGGATGTTGGAGTCTCTGGCTCAACAACTCATCTGCTTTTTAGGTTTGAGAAATTTACTTGCTTTCTTTGGTCCTTAGTTTTTTCATCTGTGAAATAAGGAAGTTAGGCCCATTTTGTTGTTACACCATCATGTAACATTTCCCTGATCATTATTGATGTTGAGCATTTTTTTCATATGTTTGTTGGCCATCTGTATATCTTCTTTTAAGAATTGTCTATTCATATCCTTAGCCCACATTTTGATGGGATTGTTTGTTTTACTGATTTGTTTGAGTTTGTTGTAGATTGTGGATATTAGTCCTTTGTCAGATGTATAGGTTGTGATGATTTTCTCCCACTCTGTGGGTTGTCTGTTTATTCTGCTGACATTCCTTTTGCTGCATAAAAGCTCTTCAGTTTAAATAGGTCCCAGCTATTTTTTTTTTTTAATTGCATTTGCTTTTGGGTTCTTGGTCATGAAATCCTTGCCTAAGCCAATGTCTAGAAGGGTTTTTCCAATGTTAATTTCTACAATTTTTATAGTTTTAGGTCTTAGGTTTAAGTCCTTAATCCATCTTGAGTTGATTTTTGTATAAGGTGAGAGATGAGGATCCAGTTTCCTTCTCCTACATGTGGCCAGCCAATTATCCCAGCACTATTTGTTGAAAAGGATGTCCTTTCCCTGTTTTATGTTTTTGTTTGCTTTGTCGAAGATCAGTTGACTGTAAGTATTTGGGTTTATTTCTGGATTCTCTATTCTGTTTCATTGGTCTGTGTGCCTTTTTTTATACCAGTACCATGCTGTTTGGGTGACTATGGCCTTATAGTATAGTTTGAAATCAGGTAGTGTGATGCCTCCAGATTTGTTCTTTTTGCTTAGTCTGCTTTGGCTGTGTGGGCTTGTTTTTGGATCCATATGAATTTTATAATTATTTTTTCTAATTCTGTGTAGAATGATGGTGGTATTTTGATGGGGATTGCATTCAATTTGTAAATTACTTTTGGCAGTATGGTCATTTTCACAACATTGTTTCTACCTATCCATGAGCATGGGATGTGTTTCCATTTGTTTGTGTCATCTACAATTTATTTCAGCAGTGTTTTGTAGTTTTCCTCATAGAAGTCTTTAGGCTCCTTAGGTATATTCCCAAGTTGTTTTTTTGTTTTCTTATTTGTTTGTTTGTTTGTTTTTGCAGCTATAGTAAAAAGGGTTGAGTTCTTGATTTGATTCTCCACTTGGTCGCTGTTGGTATATAGAAGAGCTACTGATTTGTATACATTAATCTTGTATCTGGAAACTTTGCTGAATCCTTTTATCAATTCTAGGAGCTTTCTGGAGGAGTCCTTAGGGTTTTCAAGGTAAAGGATCATATCATCAGCAAACAGTGACAGTTTGACTTCCTCTTTGCCAATGTGGATGCCCTTTATTTCTTCCTTTTGTATGATTGCTCTGACTAGGACTTCTAGTACTTTGTTGAAGAAGAGTAGTGAGAGAGTGCATCCTTGTTTTGTTCCAGTTCTCAGAGGGAATGCTTTCAACATTTCCCCATTCAGTATTATGTTGGCTGTGGGTTTGTCCTAGATGACCTTCATTACCTTAAGGTATGTCCCTTGTATGCTGATTTTGCTGAGAGTTTTAATCATAAAGAGATGCTGGATTTTGTCAAATGCTTTTTCTGCATCTATTGAGATGATCATGTGATTTTTGTTTTTAATTCTGTTTTTGTGGCGTACCACATTTATTGACTTGTGTATATTAAACCATCCCTGCATCTCTGGTATGAAAACCACTTGATCATGGTGGATCATCTTTTTGATATGTTGTTGGATTCTGTAGCTAGTATTTTGTTTAGGATACTAGCAAATACATTCATCAAGGATATCAATCTATAGTTTTCTTTTCAGTTATGTCCTTTCCTGGTTTAGGTATTAGGGTGATGCTGGCTCCATAAATTGAATTAGGGAGGTTTCCTTCTTCCTCTATCTTGTGGAATAGTGTTCAATAAGATTGGTACCAATTCTTATTTGAATGTCTGGTAGAATTCTGCTGTGAATCCATCTGGTCCTGGACATGTTTTGTTGGCAATTTTCAAATTAGCATTTCCATCTCCCTGCTTGATATTGTTCTGTTCAGGGTATCTAATTCTTCTTGATTTAAGCCAGGAAGTTGTATTTTTCCAGGAATTACTCATCTCTTCTAGATTTTCTAGTTTATGTGTGTATAGGTGTTCATAGTAGCCTTGAATGATCTTTTGCATTCCAGTGGTGTCAGTTGTAATATCTCCTGTTTCATTTCTCAGTGAGGTTATTTGGATTTTCTCTCTTCTTTTCTTGGTTAATCTTGCTAATGGTCTATTAATTTTATTTATCTTTTCAAAGAACCAGCTTTTTGTTTCATTTATTTTTTGTACTTCTTTTGGTTTCAATTTCATTTAGTTCTGCTCTGATCTTGGTAATTTCCTTTCTTCTGCTGGGTTTGGGTTTGGATTATTCTTGTTTTTCTATTTCCTTGAGATGTGACCTTAGAATGTCAGTTTGTGCTCTTTCATTTTTTTTGATGTAGGCACTTAGGGCTATGAACTTTCCTCTTGGCACCGCCTTTGCATTAGCCCAGAGATTTTGATAGATTGTGTCATTATTGTCATTCAGTTCGAAGAATTTTTTTACTTCAATCTTGATTTTGTTTTTGACCCAGAAGATGACTCTTTCTAGAAAGCATCAGCTGTAGTAGTGTACAGAGAGACAGGCGGTGGGCAGGGCCCTAGAACTCACAAGATTATATGCCCCTTGTCTTCTGCTACCAGGATGGATAGGGAAGGACCATCTGGTGGGGACAGGGCTAGGCATCACTGACCTCAGTCTCTACTTGGGCAGTTCTTGCTGTGGCTGCTGTGGAGAATGCAAGTGAGGTTCCCATGTCACTGGAGTTGTGTACCTGGAGGACTATGGCTGCCTCTGCTGAGTCATGCAGGTCATCAGGGAAGTGGGGGAAAGCCAGCAGTCACAGGCCTCACACAGCTCCCATGCAAACCTAAGGGCTGGTCTCACTCCCACCGTGACCCCCACAAGAACCCTGAGTCTGTTTCCAAGGAGAGGGCATGATGGGCTTGAAAACTTGCCCCGGGATACCTGCCTTCCAGCTGTGAAAGAAAAGGGCTTGGTTCTTCCCCCATCTGTAAAGTCTGCACACCAGATTTCCATCCTCCCTGGATTTCTGGCCAGGAGGTTTCTCGCCCCGTTCAAATTGTTACAAAATTCAGCTAGAGATTTCCTTCTCCCTGTGGAGTTATACCTCCTGCTCCTCTGGTCACCCTCCCAATGGATCCCTGTTATGCCAGGCAAGAATGGCCTGCTAGGGGATGCGGCAAGCTCCCAGGGCCTTTCTGCTTCTTCCTCTACCCCTGTATTTCACTTAGCTCTCTAAATTGACTCAGCTCCAGGTAAAGTCAGAAAGGTCTCCCGCAAACAGACCTTCAGCTTTTCCACTGGGGGTGTGTGTTCTGGAGAGAAGGGTCTCCCTTTCCCACTTCTGCAGTTGTATTTGGGGTGTCTTCTGGGTCCTACAGGAGCAGTTCACTTCCTTCAGAGGGTCTGTGGGTCCTCTCAGGGCTGTTGGTTTGTTCTTGCAGTCGGCCTGGAGCTAAAATTCACAATGAGAGTTTGCGCAAGCTGCTCTGTCTGGAATTGCAACTAGTCCTGCCTCCGGTCCTCCATGATGATGATTCTTGAGATGAGATTTTAATATCAATAATTTTCATGGGGATCTTTATCCATCCAAACATATGAAAGTGGCTTAACTGGAGTAAATTTCAGGAATTATTTGGGCTTAATATAAAAACTATCCTTTTATGTAATGTCCTTAGTCTGTTTCACACTGCTGAAGTTGATGGAATTGTCCCAGGAAATCACTGTTGTATAAAGTCTAATGATTCTCTATCTGAGTTGACCAGTATCCATTAGAGTTTTTGACCTAGTGTCAAGGCAAAAGCACTTAAATAATTGTCAGAAGGCCTGGACAGAAGACCCTGATTTGCCATTTTATGGCTAGCAACTGGTATCTCGTAATCCATGCAACTGTCTCAGAATTAACAAGTACATGAGATTCTTATGAAAGCCTAATGAAATGATTTGTGAAAACTGCAATGCACAATGAATAATCATGATTATTAAAGATAAATTTAGAATATTTGTAGAAGCTGCCTTTAAACTCTCTTTTTCTCTTCTTTAAGCCGTGTCTACTTTTACAGCAAGTGTGGATGGTTGAAGGATCTCTCTCTCTCATTTGTTTTGGATTATTTGGATCAAAGCATTGTCTGCTTTCTTTTTTAATTTCATTCTATGTAGAAAAGTACTCTTCATAGAAGAGCAAGGAGAAAAGTTGTTTGGGGCCAGACTTGGCAAGTAGATGTGAACATTCTTGATGTTTTAAAAGTAGCATATAGGCTGGGAGTGGTGGCTCATGCTTGTAATCCCAGGACTTCGAGAAGCTGAGGCCGGTGGATCACTTGAGGTCAGGTGTTTGAGATTAGCCTGGCCAACAAGCTGAAACTCCATCTCTACTAAAAATACAAAAAAAAAAAAACAAAAAAAACCCAAAACCTAGTCAGGCATAGTGATGTGCACCTGTAATCCCAGCTACTCAGGAGGCTGAGGCAGGAAAATCACTTGAACCTGGTAGGTGGAAGTTGCAGTGAGCTGAGATCATGCCACGGCACTCCAGCCTGAGTGACAGAGCCAGATTCTGTCTCAAAATAAAGAAAGAAAGAAAAATTGAAAGTAGCATACAGAGAGAGAAAGAAAACAGGAATTTTTAAAATAAAAGATACCACTTTGCTACTACTTGGTTTATTTTCTTGAAAAGTAGGAACTGGAAGAGTACCGAAATTTAGCAAAAATGATTGTTATTTATTTCCATATTTATTTTTCTTTGTGGTCTTCACTTGCAAATAGTTGAATTAATCATATTATTTGGTCTATGGAAAACATCACCACTGGCCTATGCAAGGCCCGCCTGATTATACATTTATGTGTATGTGTGAATATGTAATATGTACATAAAGATATATACATTCAAATACATTCCTGTAAGCAGTATTTCTGTTGTCTGTTTACATACATTTTAGGATTGCATAGTTTATTGTGCTCTAATGCTTTCTCATTCTATTGTACTTTTGCTCAGCATTTTTTTAAAAACTTGTCTCTGTTAATAGGTGCACCTTTTCTCTATCTTTTAGTTTCTCAGTATTGTTCTCCAGAGATTGACTTTGAGATTGCATCCAGGGCCTTGTCATCACAGGATAACACCAGAATGAATATCCTTGCATACTTTCCCTTGTGTGAGAATATCTTTGGAATATTTATCTGTGATCTGACTTTCTAAGATTTTCACATGCTTAAATTTTGTATTGCCAGATTACTGTCCAGAGTGGCAAGCTACATATCACTAAAAATAAGGATATTCTACTTTATCATTTTACCTTCCACATTGAGGTTTCTGATGCATCTCGTTTCAAACTTGGAACATGGTGTTATGCAGGTACACAGTTTTATCATTTTTCCCTAGTAGTAAACATGTCCTAGTACCGTCTTCTAAACCATCTATTTTTCCCGTTGGTTTTACTGGCATATTTATTATATTTTCTTTTTTTATTTTAAAAATTATCAGTCTTTATTCTCATATGCAGTTCAAACAATACAATTTAACAATTCTAAGACATTATTTTCAATTGTCACTTATAAATTGACCATTCTTAAATCTCTCTCTTGTGTTCTGTTGGTGTCCACTTCCCTACCAATGTCATTATATTTATTTCCGTACTTTGCAGTTTATCTGCACATTTGTCTTCTTTTCAGAATGAGCCCCATATCAGATAGCAGCCTGTGCCCAGAGCGCAGGTGAAGTCTCCCATTTGCCGCCCCTCAGCAGGTGCATCCTAGGCCAGTGACTTGACTTTAGACTCAGAAAAAAACAGCATCTGATTGGGAGGGATCCAGCTGGGAGAAAGCAGTCTCCCGGGTTGAATCCGCCGGCTCTGAAGGTGGCAGTGGGGAGAAGGGAAATAAATGCCCTTTGGCGACTTGTCCTGCTAATAGCGTTTTTCCTTTCCTGGTTTTATCATGCCACACCATCAGTTTGAGTTGCTGATTATTTCTCTGGAAATAGGATAGGCAATCATTTTACAAGGCAATATGGGGCAAGTAAATCCTGAAGCAGAAGATTTTTCTCCAGCCTTGACACAGTCCTCAGGCAGCTACAGAGCCCAAATCTGTTCCTCAAATCTACAGGGCTCTGCAAGCCCTGATGATTTACCTTTGTGACAGGTGACAGACACTCAGGAAGTTCATAATAGGGAAGGAGGCAGAGTGATTAACATCAGCAGCAAAGTACAGTAAAGCATCCATTTCTTTTTTAAAATGTCATACTTTCTTTTAATTAACAACTTGATGCCTTGTAGAATTTTTAGGTTCAGAAGCTAGCAAGTACAGCTATGAATGCTACAATTCAAGGAATCACAGTGTGTTTCCACAATCATTTTTCCATACCAGCCAATACACTATGATCTTGGACTTTTTTGGCATCACAATCATTAGGAGGTTCAAGTCTTTTCGTAGAGTATCAACAGTATGAAAGAAAGGGACCTCAAAGCTAAAATCCCTGAATTAAAGTCCTACTTCCAGTGCTTGTTAAATGTGATCCTGGTCACACTGTTTTTATTTTTGGTGGAAGTTGTAAATGAAATGCTTACACAGGGAATTAGTACTGAATATGGTTAGCATTATCTCACCTGGGAAGTCAGGAGCAAAAGTAATGTCATCAGGCTCAGATTTGGAATGCATTCTCTGGGATGAAGACGGTGGAAGATAGTTTCTTCTATTCTGTAAAAGTTTTTATTTTTCTTTGCAGTGTTTTTTTTTAAAATCACAGTTTCTTGTGATTAGACAAAACTGTTGAATGTTGAAACACAACGATTAGGACTTAATTTCCTTTTTTTTTTTTTTTTGAGACCAAGTTTCACTCTTGTTGCCCAGGCTACAGTGCAATGGTTCAATCTCGGCTCACTGCAACCTCTGTCTCCCCAGTTCAAGTGATTCTCCTGCCTCAGCCCCCCAAGTAGCTGGCATTACAGGTGCCCACCACTACACCTGGCTAATTTTTGTATTTTTATTAAAGACAGTGTTTCACCATGTTGGCCAGGCTGGTCTCGAACTCTTGACCTCAGGTGATCCACCTCCTCAGCCTCCCAAAGTGCTGGGATTATAAGTGTGAGCCACTGCGCCTGGCAGGACTTAACTTCTGATGTGCTCATAGTAAAGCAAATCAACCAACGTGGAGTTGAGCCCAAAATTGTGTTGAAGCAATTCTGAGAAATATGTGGCAGGACAAGCAGACCCTCCTTGTGAGTACAGATTCTAGGAAATTATGACGACGCTGAGTGCAGGTCGTCAGCTGCCCTGTTTTGGTGCATGACTGCCTTATCTACAGGATAGTATGGAACCTGGTGGATGTAGGGTGCGAGTCAGCCAACAGCTGTTCCAATCTTCCAGTGGGCCTTATCTTAGCAGAGAGTGCAAAATACTTCTTGCACGTGGTTTCAGTTTCATCAGTGATTTGATCTGTAGGGAATATTGATTCTGAAGTGAATGACATGGATAAAGAAACAAAATTAGGGAACCTGTATTGTGGGTGTGGATTTTAGCAAGCATTTGGGCGCTAATAGGATGATAGGCAAGGAGTGCAATTAGCTATTTGTATCATTCCCCCAACAAATTGGTTTTTCTTTTGAGAGTCTGAATAATATAAATGCTTACCTTCATGTGCCTACCTGGTTGTTTTAGAAAGGTGTATGTGACATAATAACAGCAAATATTTTCTTAGCCCCTGCTTCCTGCCAGACATTGTACTAAGCACTTTGCATATAATGACTCACTGAGTCCTCAAACAACTCTGTGAATTAATTCCCGTTAGTATCTCCACTTTACACTGAAAAAACAAGGCATCAAAATGAAAATAATTTTCCAAGGGTCGCATTGAGCAAGTGCTGGAAGTGGAAGTGGGACTTTATCTCAGGCAGTTTAGCTCTGAAGTCTCCTCACTTAAGCTCCTGAAGACTATGACATCAGAAAATCCAAGGTCACAATGACTTGAGCTGTGGAGAAAGTAAATGATCATAGAAACAGACGTTGATTCCTTGGGTTGTAGCATTAATACTCGAAACTCAATCCCCAGACTTGGGCTAAAATGAAAAGTGTAGCAAGCAGAAATCTTCTCTGTGTGGAAAGATGTGTACTTGTAATTCTCTGCTCTCTCTTAAAATCTGGCCTGTTCCATCCAGGCGCTTACTGAACAAAATGCCATCTACACCAGGGATGCCCTTCCTCAACTCTAGTCAATTTAGTCACCAGAAGCACAAGAGGAGCAAGGATTGGAAGCATTTGAGCAAGGATACCTCAACTGATGACAGACACTAGAAAGGCAATTTCAGAATGAATCACGATAAATGAAAACCAAATAGGCCTCTGTGAAGGGAAGGGGAATGATCCATGCAATATTTATACATGTGTCAGTGATATTTACAGCAAACTAGGGCTAAAAAAAGTAAAACAAACCAAAAAAAACCTCTAAGTATAAAAAGAATAAATTTGATGTAAATAAATTGTTGACTTTGTTCTTCACAGTGGCTACCACTATGAATCCAGTGTACAAATCTTAATTTATTCCCCTAAATCAGAGAAGGGGCTTATGTTATAAATCAAAGGAGGGGCTCATTCATTGTCTTTTGATTTTTTATTTTAAGCATTAAAACTTTCTCTAACATCATGGCTTGCTTTGAGGTATACTGATGGAATACTTCATGAAAAAAACAATATGTTATCAAGTCCTTCTCAAGATTAAAAACTAGAAGTTTAAAGGAGGTAACATACATCTTATAGCCATGTGCCCAGGATCAGACAATTAATAATGAAGTTTAGAGTTTTCTCATTTATCTGTAATTCCCAGAAATTTAAGTGATATTTTGCTATAATAATGTGGCTGAAATCTCTCTTTTTCCTAAGAAAACTGAATTCCTTTCACTGTGATTTTTAAACATAATTTAATATTTAAAACTGTTTTAGATTTAAAGAAAAATTGAAAAGATAACACAAAGAGTTTCCACACATTCCACACAAAGTTTTCTGTATTATTAACACCTTCTACTAGTACTGGGTATTTGTTACAACTAATGAACCAATATTAGTATGTCATTATTAACTAAAGTCCATGGCACATTTTTAAAATTTATTTTACTTTTATGGAGCACTTTCTTCCTTTCTAGCGCTGCGTGACACTCCATGATCATCTTGTTTACTTTCTGAGTTCTAGAATTAGCCATTTCTCTAAGGAGCCTTGGTTTATTTTACTGAACACTGATACTAGAAATCAGGAACTGGGTGTTATGTGTCCTTGTAGCTCTTGATGTGCTTTTCTTTTAGACAATCTCAGCAAACATAAGTGTGTATATTCATTGGCTTTTAAACAGATATTTATAAATATTTTTGTATATATCCATTTGTATCTATATTCAGCTAAACATGAATTGATACCAATGACCTCAACTCTCTAATCTATCACCACCTGAATCATTTAGCTTCTTCTTGTCTATAAATTTTCACTTCAATAGTTAGAAACATGGCTCCCACCATCAAACAGCCATTTACTGATGTATTCAATTCTAGAATACAAGTATAGCAATATGAGGATTTTTAACCCACGTCTCCATGGGCAACACCTTTATCAAATACAGCACCGTTCTTATGTGCCGTTCTTTTTGCATTTAGCCTTATAGACAATCCTTCTTTCCAGAGTTACTTAGGTCAGCACCTTTTCTTCCCAACCCCATCAATGAGGTTGTTTCATATATTTGTAATACAGTTAGATTTTCTTATCATGGTCTGAATTCCTTCCTGGGATACCCAATCCTCCTTTTTTTAAATTTGCATGTATTAATTTTCACTTTATGTTCTGTAAGTTCTATGGTTTTTGACAAATGGGTAGGGCCATGTATCCACAATTACATATCATACAGCACAGTGTTAATGTTCTAAATAATCTCCTGTGCTTCCTTCCTCTACTCTCCTGTCCTCCCCTCCTTCCCCTGATCTCTCTTGGAATTACTGCTCTTTGTATCATCTTTATATCTTTGCTTTTCCAGGGTGTGATATAATTGAAAGCATACAGTATGTAGTCTTTTTCCACCGATTCTTTCACTTAGCAATGTACAGTGTTTCCTCAGTGCCCTTTTACGGCTTGATAGTGCATTTCTTTTTACTACTGAATACTGTTCTATTGCACAGATGACCCACAGTTTTTTTATCCATTTGCTTATTAAAGGACATTTTGATACTTTCCAATTTTTGGCAGCAGAGAATAAGTTGATATAAAGTTATGTGCAGTATTATCTATGGAAATAAGTTTTCATTTAATTTGTAAGGAGAGTTAAAGTAAATTTACCCTTTTTCTTCTAAAGGTAAGCATTCCCTCACCTCCCATTCATGGCTTCTTTCAAGACTTTCTCTTTGTTTTGTTTTTTTTTTTTTACAGTTTGAAAATGTTATGTGTAGGTGAATGTATTTATTTATTATTTTACTATTTATACTGCTCTGTGTTCTCTGTGTATTCTGTTTTTTTGTTTTGAGTAGCATTAATTTTGGAAAGATCTCAATGACTATTACTTCAAATATTTCTTGGTTTTGTCTCCTTTTTCTTTTGATATTGTCATTACACATATATGACAGCTTTGAAACTGTCCCAAAGTTCTTGGGTACTTCTTCTTTCTCCTCCTTATCCTCTTATTTTTCTCCTTCTTCCTCTTCATTATATATTTTTTGCTTTTTCCATTTCAGTTGGGAAGTTCCTGTTAACATGCCTTCAAGCTCACTCATTCTTTTCTTTGCCACGTCTAGGATTCTGATGAATCCATCAAAGGCATGTTTCTGTTTCAGAGTTTTTCAGTTCTAGCATTTTCCTTGAATTTTTCTGAGAGTTTTTATTTACATTACCCATCTGTTCTTCCATGCTGACCACTTTTTCCAGAAGTGTTAACTTTAGGGCTCCAGCAGCCCATCCTCCAGGTAAGACAATCTCAGCTGTTTCTCTGTGTTCACCTGTCTCTGCAGATTTCAGGTGACAGTTTGGCATGAGACTTCAGTTCTTTAATGGGCCCAAGAAAAGCCATTAACTTTCAGTGCATTCATATTTTTTCTTGTTGTAAGGAGTGGAGTAGCTATTTCTAAGATTTTTTATACATCAGACGTGAAAGAAACATATTGTATTTTTTTTAATAGCAGCATTTCGGCTCCTTACTTAGTGGTTGTTCTTTGTGTGCAGAAAACCAAGCGAAAAAAATGTGAAACATATACCTTTTATTTGGGCATTTGTAATGGTTCTGAGGAGCTGAAATTGAAGCTTAGTTTCGTATTAATACAAAATTTCATCCATTGTACTATTATTGTCATTGCTATGTGGCAGAATTAAATATGTGTGTGTGTGTTTCTGTGTGTGTGTGTTTCTGTGTGTGTGTGTGTGTTCGTAATAAAATCTTGTTATATTTGTACTGAAGAATAATGTAAGACTTTTAGTATAAAAATAACAATGTAGGATGACTAGAAATAACTGCAACGTCAATGCATTTTTTGTAGCAAATCTATATTTTTTCAACCTAAAAGTTATGTTGTTATTGATGAGCTCTGTAAAGGGCAACTCTGCTTTTGTGACCTGTCAGTTTTATAAGGTGATGAAAAATGCATAATGATACCCCCTGGAAAAATTTAGTAGATACATTTTGTATACAGACATAGAATTTAGTGTAAATTAAACAATTTACTAATGGACTGAAAAAGGGAATGGGAATGTTTGATTTCCTCAAGTTTTGGTGGCTAAGAGACTAGCCATCTACCTTACAGCCCTCCGAAGATATGTGCCAAGTAAGATTTATTTTCTTCAAGTGAAGAACTTTTCATTATTTTTCTATTTCATAATATCTCCACTCTACCTAGGTCTGTACTAGATGTATAGTACATATCTTTTTTTTGTCCAGTAAATATGGCACTGAAATGAATTGTAGTCAACACTCAGTATCTGGGCATGAATTATGTTCCAAGTAGATTATCTTGATCATGATTTTCTGTCTTTTCCTTGCCAATGTGTCTGTACCTTGCCAGACAATATTTGTCTGGACTAGATATCTTCCAAATAAACTGCAAGTTCATTTTGTATAGCATATTAATCTAGGAATTGCATAAATGTAAATTTGTTGAAAATACATCTTTGAAAATAAATTTATTTAATCTTAAAATAAGATATAAATTTTTTATTATACTTCAAGTTCTAGGGTACATGTGCACAACATGCAGGTTTGTTACATATGTATACATGTGCCATATTGGTGTGCTGCACCTGTTAACTCGTCATTTACATTAGTTATATCTCCTAATGCTATCCCTCCCCACTCCCCCAACCCCATGACAGGCCCCGGTGTGTGATGTTCCCCACTCTGTGTCCAGGTGTTCTCATTGTTCAATTCCCACCTATGAGTGACAACATGCGGTGTTTGGTTTTCTGTCCTTGTGAGAGTTTGCTGAGAATGATGGTTCCCAGCTTCATCCATGTCCCTACAAAGGACGTGAACTCATCCTTTTTTATGGCTGCATAGTATTCCATGGTATATATGTGCCACATTTTCTTAATCCAGTCTATCATTGATGGACATTTGGGTTGGTTCCAAGTCTTTGCTATTGTGAATAGTGCCGCAATAAACATACGTGTGCATGTGTCTTTATAACAGCATGATTTATAATCTTTTGGGTATACACCCAGTAATGAGATGGCTGGGTCAAATGGTATTTCTAGTTCTAGATCCTTGAGGAATCACCACACTGTCTTCCACAATGGTTGAACAAGTTTACAGTCCCAACAGCAGTGTAAAACTGTTCCTATTTCTCCACATCCTCTCCAGCACCTGTTGTTTCCTGACTTTTTAATGATCACCATTCTAACTGGTGTGTGATGGTATCTCATTGTGGTTTTGATCTGCATTTCTCTGATGGCCAATGATGATGAACATTTTTTCATGTGTCTGTTGGCTGCACAAAATGTCTTCTTTTGAGAAGTGTCTGTTCATATCCTTTGCCCACTTTTTGATGGGGTTGTTTGATTTTTTTCTTGTAAATCTGTTTAAGTTCTTTGTAGATTCCAGATATTAGACCTTTGTCAGATGGGTAGATTGCAAAAATTTTCTCCCATTCTGTAGGGTGCCTGTTCACGCTGATGGTAGTTTCTTTTGCTGTGCAGAAGCTCTTTAATTAGATCCCATTTGTCCATTTTGGCTTTTGTTGCAATTGCTTTTGGTGTTTTAGTCATGAAGTCCTTGCCCATGCCTATGTCCTGAATGGTATTCCCTAGGTTTTCTTCTAGGGTTTTTATGGTTTTAGGTCTAACATGTAAGTCTTTAATCCATCTTGAATTAATTTTTGTGTAAGATGTAAGGAAGGGATCCACTTACAGCTTTCTACATATGGCTAGCCAGTTTTCCCAGCACCATTTGTTAAGTAGGGAATCCTTTCCCCATTTCTTGTTTTTGTCAGGTTTGTCAAAGATCAGAGAGTTGTAGATGTGTGGTATTATTCCTGAGGGCTCTGTTCTGTTCCATTGGTCTATATATCTGTTTTGGTACCAGTACCATGCTGTTTTGGTTACTGTAGACTTGTAGTATAGTTTGAAGTCAGGTAGTGTGATGCCTCCAGCTTTGTTCTTTTGGCTTAGGGTTGACTTGGCAATGAGGGCTCTTTTTTGGTTCCATATGAACTTTAAAGTAGTTTTTTCCGATTCTGTGAAGAAAGTCATTGGTAGCTTGATTGGGATGGCATTGAATCTATAAATTACCTTGGGCAGTATGGCCATTTTCATGATATTGATTCTTCCTATCCATGACCATGGAATGTTCTTCCGTTTGTTTGTGTCCTCTTTTATTTTGTTGAGCAGTGTTTTGTAGTTCTCCTTGAAGAGGTCCTTCACATCCCTTGTCAGTTGGATTCCTAGGTATTTTATTCTCTTTGAAGCAATTGTGAATGGGAGTTCACTCTTTATTTGGCTCTCTGTTTGTCTGTTATTGGTGTGTAAGAATGCTTGTGATTTTTGAACATTGATTTTGTATCCTGAGACTGCTGAAGTTTCTTATCAGCTTAAGGAGATTTTAGGCTGAGACGATGGGGTTTTCTAAATACACAATCATGTCATCTGCAAACAGGGACAGTTTGACTTCCTCTTTTCCTAACTGAATACCCTTTATTTCTTTCTCCTTCCTGATTGCCCTGGCCAGAACTTCCAACACTATTTTGACTAGGAGTGGTGAGAGAGGGCATCCCTGTCTTGTGCCAGTTTTCAAAGGGGATGCTTCCAGTTTTTGCCCATTCAGTATGATATTGGCTGTGGGTTTGTCATAAATAGCTCTTATATTTTGAAATATGTCCCATCAATACCTAGTTTATTGAGAGTTTTTAGCATGAAGGGTTGTTGAATTTTGTCAAAGGCCTTTTCTGCATCTATTGAGACAATCATGTGGTTTTTGTCTTTGGTTCTGTTTATATGATGGATTACGTTTATTGATTTTCATATGTTGAACCAGACTTTCATCCTAGGGATGAAGCCAACTTGATTGTGATGGATAACCTTTTTGACGTGCTGCTGGTTTTGGTTTGCCAGTATTTTATTGAGGATTTTTGCATTAATGTTCATCAGGGATATTGGTCTAAAATTGTCTTTTTTTGTTGTGTCTCTGCCAGCCTTTGTTATCAGGATGATGCTGGCCTCATAAAATGAGTTAGGGAGGATTCCCTCTTTTTCTATTGATTGGATTAGTTTCAGAAGGAATGGTACCAGCTCCTCTTTGTACCTCTGGTAGAATTCGACTGTGAATCCCTCTGGTCCTGGACTTTTTTTGGTTGGTAAGCTATTAATTATTGCCTCAATTTCAGAGCCTGTTATTGGTCTATTCATGGATTCAACTTCTTCCTGGTTTAGTCTTGGGAGGGTGTATATGTCCAGGAATTTATCCATTTCTTCTAGATTTTGTAGTTTATTTGCATAGAGGTGTTTATAGTATACTCTGATGTAGATTGTATTTCTATGGGATTGGAGGGGATATCCCCTTTATCATTTTTTATTGTGTCTATTTGATTCTTCTCTCTTTTCTTCTTTATTAGTCTTGCTAGTGGTTTATCGATGTTCTTGATCTCTTCAAAAAACTAGCTCCTAGATTCATTGATTTTTTGAAGGGTTTTTTTGTGTCTCTATCTCCTTCAATTCTGCTCTGATCTTAGTTATTTCTTGCCTTCTGGAACTTTTGAATGTGTTTGCTCTTGCTTCTCTAGTTCTTTTAGTTGTGATATTATGGTGTCAATTTTACATCTTTCCTGCTTTCTCTTGTGGGCATTTAGTGCTATACATTTCCCTCTACACACTGCTTTAAATGTGTCCCAGAGATTCTGGTATGTTGTGTCTTTGTTCTCATTGGTTTCAAAGAACA
Source organism: Homo sapiens (assembly GCF_000001405.40). NCBI lineage: Eukaryota > Metazoa > Chordata > Mammalia > Primates > Hominidae > Homo > Homo sapiens. The sequence continues at coordinate 50,207,794 of NC_000008.11, forward strand.
TCTTTATTTCTGCCTTCCTTTCTTTATGTACCCAGTAGTCATTCAAGAGCAGGTTATTCAGTTTCCATGTAGTTGAGAAATTTTGAGTGAGTTTCTTAATCCTGAGTTCTAGTTTGATTGCACTGTGATCTCAGAGACAGTTTGTTATAATTTCTGTTCTTTTACATTTGATGAGGAGTGCTTTACTTCCAACTATGTGGTCAATTTTGAAATAAGTGAAATATGGTGTTGAGAAGAATGTATATTCTATTGGTTTGGGGTGGAGAGTTCTCTAGATGTCTATTAAGTCCACTTGGTGCAGAGCTGAGTTCAATTCCTGGATATCCTTCTTAACTTTCTGTCTCGTCGATCTGTGTAATGTGGACAGTGGGATGTTAAAGTCTCCCATTATTATTGAGTGGGAGTCTAAGTCTCTTTGTAGGTCTCTAAGAGCTTGCTTTATGAATCTGTGTGCTCCTATATTGGGTGCATATATATTTAGGATAGTTAGCTCTTCTTGTTGAATTGATCCCATTCTGTAATGGCCTTCTTTGTCTCTTTTGATCTTTGTTGGTTTAAAGTCTGTTTTATCAGAGACTGGGATTGTAACCCTTGCTTTTTTTTGTTTTCCATTTGCTGGGTAGATCTTCTTCCATCCCTTTATTTTGAGCTTTTATGTGTCTCTCCACGTGAGATGGTTCTTCTGAATACAGCACACTGACGGGTCTTGACTGTTTATCCAATTTACCATTCTGTGTCTTTTAATTGGAGCAACTATCCCATTTACATTTAAGGTTAATATTTGTTATCTGTGAATTTGATCCTGTCATTATGATGTTAGCTGGTTATGTTGCTTGTTAGTTGATACAGTTTCTTCCTAGCCTTGATGGTCTTTACAATTTGTCATGTTTTTGCAGTGGCTGGTACCAGTCTTTCCTTTCCATGTTTAGCGCTTCCTTCAGGAGCTTTTGTAAGGCAGGCCTGGTGGTGACAAAATCTCTCAGCATTTCCAAGATGGCCAGATAGGAACAGCTCCAGTCTGCAGTTCCCAGCGTGAGCGAAGCAGAAGATGGGTGATTTCTGCATTTCCAAGTGAGGTACCAGGTTCATCTCACTGGGGCTTGTCGGACAGTGGGTTCAGCCCACGGAGCAGGGCAGGGCATCGCCTCACCTGGGAAGTGCAAGGGGTCTGGGAATTCCCTTTCCTAGCCAAGGGAAGCTGTGACAGATGGTGCCTGGAAAATCGGTACATTCCCACCACTTTTCCAACAGTCTTAGAAAATGGCACATCAGGAGATTATATCCTGCACATGGCTTGGAGGGTCCCACACCCATGGAGCCTCACTCACTGCTAGCACAGCAGTATGAGATCGAACTGCAAGGTGGCAGTGAGGCTGGGGGAGGGGTGCCCGCCATTGCTGAGGCTTGAGTAGATAAACAAAGTGGCCAGGAAGTTCGAACTGGATGGAGCCCACTGCAGCTCAAGAATGCCTGCCTGCCTCTGTAGACTCCACCTCTGGGGGCAGGGCATAGCTGAACAAAAGGCAACAGAAACTTCTGCAGATGAAACGTCTCTGTCTGACAGCTTTAAAGAAAGTAGTGGTTCTCCGAGCATGGAGTTTGAGATCTGAGAATGGACAGACTGCCTCCTCAAGTGGGTCCCTGACCTCTGAGTAGCCTAACTGGGAGACACCTCCCAGTAGGGGCCGACTGACACCTCATACAGCCAGGTGCCCCCCTGAGATGAAGCCTCCAGGGGAAGAATCAGGCAGCAACATTTGCCGTTCTGCAAGATTTGCTGCTCTGCAGCCTCCGCTGGTGATACCCAGGCAAACAGAGTCTGGAGTGGACCTCCAGCAAACTCCAACAGACCTGCAGCTGAGGGTCCTGACTGTTAGAAGGAAAAATAAGAAACAGAAAGGACATCCACACCAAAACCCCATCTGTACGTCACCATCATCAAAGACCAAAGGTAAATAAAACCACAAAGATGGGGAGAAACCAGAGCAGAGAAGCTGAAATTCTAAAAATCAGAATGCCTCTTCTCCTCCAAAGGAACGTAGCTCCTCACCAGCAACGGAACAAAGCTGGATGGAGAATGACTTTGTTGAGTTGAGAGAAGAAGACTTTAGATGACTGGTAATAAGAAACTTCTCTGAACTAAAGGAGGATGTACGAATCCATTGCAAAGAAGCTAAAAACCTTGAAAAAATATTAGACGAATGGCTAACTAGAATAAACAGTGTAGAGAAGACCTTAAATGAACTCATGGAGCTGAAAACCATGGCACGAGAACTACGTGAAGCATGCACAAGCTTTAGTAGCTGATTTGATCAAGTGGAAGAAGGAGTATCAGTGATTGAAGATCAAATGAATGAAATGAAGTGAGAAGAGAAGTTTAGAGAAAAAAGAGTAAAAAGAAACAAACAAAGCCTCCAAGAAATATGGGACTATGTGAAAAGACCAAATCTATGTCTGATTGATGTACCTGAAAGTAACGGGGAGAATGGAACCAAGTTGGAAAACACTCTTCAGGATATTATCCAGGAGAACTTCCCCAACCTAGCAAGGCAGGCCAACATTCAAATACAGGAAGTACAGAGAACTCCACAAAGATATTCCTCGAGAAGAGCAACTCCAAGACACATAATTGTCAGATTCACCAAAGTTGAAATGACGGAAAAAATGTTAAGGGCAGCCAGAGAGAAAGGTAGGGTTACCCACAAAGGGAAGGCCAGCAGACTAACAGTGGATCTCTCAGCAGAAACTGTACAAGCCAGAAGAGAGTGGGAGCCAATATTCAACATTCTTAAAGACAAGAATTTTCAACCCAGAATTTCATATCCAGCCAAACTAAGCTTCATAAGTGAAGGAGAAGTAAATTCCTTTACAGACAAAATATAAATATTTTAATGACAATCCCCTCCTCATTGGTACATAGTTAGATAATGATTAAAACTTAAAGGATTTTCACTGTTGAGTTTGTACCACTCAAGGATTTTGCAGTAGACCAGTAAATTTAAAAACAAAAACAAAAACAAAAAACATAATTCATGTTATGATACTTTAGTTCTTAGAAATGACAGGTTAAAAAATGTACCATATTAGAAGCTAGACCTAATTGTACATAGTCACTAATTAGCTTTTCTCTTAGCTAAGTCATGTATCTTTCTAGATATTATTTGTAGTGCAAAATACCCCTGCAATGAGTGTAATTTATGCATTGGTAATGTATGATTGCTTCTTTCAAGTCTAATATTTTAGAATCCATGTTGTTAAACAATATTAAGTTGGAATATGGGTGTTACAAATTCAGATCAGAAATATGTAATGTAGTATAATCATCCCAAAATATGTTGACTCTAGAGGCTGTGCACAATGGATTTTTTAAAATTACAAATGGTAATATTGAGGTAAAGTACATAACTTAGTGTAAAGAAACATGGAAATTTATTGTTTAGTACTATCAAGAGTATATTAAAAGGTCTGCTTAACTTAATGAAAATTATTTTTAATATCTTAAATGCACCCTTAGAAACAATAGCTATTATCTGGCTTTTGAAGTGATTTGGTAAGATCTTTGTTATCAGAGAAATATTACATTTCATTTTCTCCATATAATTATATTCATTTAATAATAATTGACTAACATTGTTTATGTACTTGGTGCCATGCATTGTGCTAGTTCTTTAATGCATTATCTTTCTTAATCCTGAGAGCAACACTGTAAAGTCAATAATTTTATACTCAGTTGCACCAATGAGATTGCAAGACTATTAGGATCAGTATAAGAATTCTAAGCCAACATGGATTTGATTCAGAACTGCTATGTATTGCTACTTCTCAATTAAAACAATTCTAAGAGAAATGAAACAATTATCAATGAACTGAGCCATAAGATTCCACGTCTTATTTTTTTAAAAGAGAGATATCAAACATTTTTAAAAAATGTTTTATTTTCATAAGAAACATTGCAATTACAAATACAAAATCATTTTGCTTCAGTGAGATCAAAGAAGGTTTACATTTGACAGTATCTGACACTCAAGTTTCAAAAGTTATTTTCCTGTTATTCTGTGTTTTCTGAATCTCTAGTATCTGAGTAGACAGTTGTGAGAGAGATCAATAGAATTTTTCTCTCAAGGTGTTATTATTTTCTAAAGGAGAAATAGAAAATAAATAAAATAAAAAGACAGGCTGTTATATGTGTTCTGCAGTAATTCTTGAATTTATTCAGAAATTTCCATAATAATTTTAATGAATTAAATAAATATACTATCACGCATTTTGGCAACATTGAGAATAGCCCCCAAATTTTACATCTTTCTCTCAAAACTGGTTTTTTTTTCTCTCATTTTCTTCATCAGCGGACTTAATACAAACTCAGCAATTTCTTGTACAGTATCTGTTTTAACTTTCACTGTGATAATGAGGGAAGTCATTCAAACAAATCAGCTCTGTTGCCTGGGCAACACGTTTCTTTCCTGTGTTCATCCAGTTCCAGATAGGGGTCCATTTTAACCATAAGTAAAGCTATGTAGATTATATCCCCTAATGAATGATAGAGATTTTATCAAATGTGAGTAATGAAAATTGCCTCTAGGAGAAATTGCTCTTTATAGAGCAATTGAGTTTAGGGTTGAGATGCAGGATTACATGAACATAATCTCTCCATACCTATTGAACATTCATTAGGAAACATTCTCTGAGCACATAAGTAATGTGTGATGTATACAGAAAGATACAGATCCATGCTCTCCAAGAATTCATGGTAAGAGGGGGAGATGAGCAAGAAAATAAAAAGGGGAAAGCTGATAATACTTTCTCATAAGAAAATGATAAGTATTCTGTTTTCCTATTACAACGGGCCACAGTGGTATGAGACAGTTAATTCTCATCTCTAGCATGTGGTCTACTCACCAAAGCCATGTCTATATATACTCTGTGGCAGAAAAATTCAAATTCTGAAAGTGCTGTTGAATGGAACAGATCAGACACAGTTTTGTCCATGAGGCAGCAAAATTGGCTGAAATTCAAAAGTGCCATTCAGTTTCTTCCAGCAGCTGTGTTGTAAGATCAGACTGACCAATTTGAATAGAAGTTTTGGCTGGAAGTTCTCAGAACTATTCTGTGAGAGAACGTGTGGAAGCAACCCCAGAGCAATTGAGACCTGCCTATGCGATGGCAAACAGCATTTTAATGATGCCTCTCCCAATAAACTCCATTTGGAAATAACATTTCTTCTGCCTCTAAACTACTCATATTTTATTGCCTGCTATGCATTCCCTTGAGTCTTTGCAGTGTTCACATATATCATCTTCCCTATGAAAGAGTAGACACACATCATCACTTATCGAAAATTCTCAGACAGGCTTGCTTGTGCATAGGCGGTGTGCCAATAGATATTTCTAGAAGGAAATAAATCATCATATATGTGTGGAGGTGGCAAAATCTTAACATCTGAACAGGAATTTCTCAGTGAAGTATTCTGTATAGGAATTTCTTTCATATGGCTCCAGCAAACCAAATTATATTCTTGTGAATAATTACTGAGTGATAAAAGCAAACCCAAAAGGAATGAAAGTAGTACTGATAAAATTGACTTAAAAAGTATGTAGGCTATGTCATACCACATACCAATTGCTGTGAGGGGGATGTTTTCTGGCATATGAATAAATTCATGTGAGTTGATTTGAAAATAAACTATTTTGTCATCAAAATTTTGGGAAAAATAAATATGTACTTTATTTTCAATCACAGCATTAGAAAAAAATCAAAATTTTCTGTTCCTATTTCTCCACATCCTCTCCAGCACCTGTTGTTTCCTGACTTTTTAATGATTGCCATTCTAACTGGTGTGAGATGGTATCTCATTGTGGTTTTGATTTGCATTTCTCTGATGGCCAGTGATGGTGAGCATTTTTTCATGTGTTTTTTGGCTGCATAAATGTCTTCTTTTGAGAAGTGTCTGTTCATGTCCTTCGCCCACCTTTTGACGGGGTTGTCTGTTTTTTTCTTGTAAATTTGTTTGAGTTCATTGTAGATTCTGGATATTAGCCCTTTGTCAGATGAGTAGGTTGTGAAAATTTTCTCCCATTTTGTAGGTTGCCTGTTCACTCTGATGGTAGTTTCTTTTGCTGTGCAGAAGCTCTTTAGTTTAATTAGATCCCATTTGTCAATTTTGGCTTTTGTTGCCATTGCCTTTGGTGTTTTAGCCATGAAGTCCTTCCCCATGCCTATGTCCTGAATGGTAATGCCTAGGTTTTCTTCTAGGGTTTTTATGGTTTAAGGTCTAATTTGCAGCCATAAAAAATGATGAGTTCATGTCCTTTGTAGGGACATGGATGAAATTGGAAATCATCATTCTCAGTAAACTATCACAAGAACAAAAAACCAAACACCGCATATTCTCACTCATAGGTGGGAATTGAACAATGAGAACACATGGACACAGGAAGGGGAACATCACACTCTGGGGACTGTTGTGGGGTGGGGGGAGGGGGGAGGGATAACATTAGGAGATATACCTAATGCTAAATGACGAGTTAATGGGTGCAGCACACCAGCATGGCACATGTATACATATGTAACTAACCTGCACATTATGCACATGTACCCTAAAACCTAAAGTATAATAATAATAAAATAAAAATAAAAATAAAAAATGAAAAAAATCAAAATTTTATATTCTCTTTATGTTTATGTGGACCAGTAAAATAGTCAGAAAACCACTTTGGACTGGATGATACAACAGTTTTCACCTACAGGGACACAAGTGTTTGAATTTTCTATGTACTTGGAAAATTGGGGTCAAGAAAATACATTTCGTGCACTCATCTACTGTGTTTTATTTTCTGCTCCTGGTAATTTCCTTGGTGTTCTTTGTGTAATGTAATTGGCTTGACTTGATTCAATACTAAGCCTATATCTCTAATAACAGTGTTATTTGGGATCTGGCAAGGCCTTTTCAATTGTCCACCCTAGGGTTGGACACTTAAAATAAAAATAAAAGGGACCTGGCAAATAGAGAATAGCCAAGTCAAAAAATTGCAAGTGAGATGGGCTTAACTCCAGTACCCTGACAAAGCTGAGGATACTATAGAATAGTAACATGCTAGAAGCAAGGGGAAACTGTCTCGCAACTCAGCTACCTGGATGTCTCAAAGAGACCTCATTTGACTTCATTTAGTGGCACGTCCAGTGGCGTTGAAGGCAAAGGCAAAGAAATCTGTTTTCCTCTTCCAATTCTGAGAATCAAAATGCTGTAGACTGAGTTTGCTTTGCAGGGTGGGTTCTCATCTTGGGCTGACCACCAGATGGCCACATGTGCACCAGTCCCGGAAGATCATTCTCCTGGGGCCCTGTCTCCTAGGGCAGGAACCACTCCTTTAATTACAATCGAGTGGAAGTCACAAGACAAAAACAGAACAATCAGCTGAGACTTTTAGAAGATTACATTCTTCAGGAGATTTTGATGTTTTTATTTTTTTATAATAAAAGTTAAAATATCCATCTGGGAAAAGTTGTATGAGGAAGAACAAGACATTTTAATATTGGATACCTCAGTTTGAAGTGTGAACAAGGGGCATAGAGAAATGTGTATATAAATATATATATGTGTATATATACTATATATATATACTATATATATTTTATATATATAGTCTATATATATGTAGTCTCTCTATATAATATATATATATAGACTATATATATATAGACTATAGGCATAGATGAAAGGTTGAGATTAGTTTAAGATATCCTGACATTTTATTATAATTGTTATTTCAAGTGACAATAATAAGGATCAATTAGGTTTATAACAAAGGTGATAAATTATAGCTTAATTTAAAAAATAATTTTAAAAGTATTATCAATCCAGAGAAACTGTTGAACTCTAGGTACTCATCGAATCCAAGCTCTCTCCTTTCAAAAAGATTATAGGCAGAGACATATCTTCTGAGACTAAAATCCAATCACTTTCAAACTTTCTAGAAAGTTTTCAGAAGGAGATTATGAATTTAATTAAATTTAATCTCAGCTAACTCTTCACATGGCATCTGCCACATGGATAACAAGGATCAATGCAAAAAACTTCTTATGAGTAATATGCAGTTTAATTGCAAAACTGAATTAGTGATAACTTTCACTAGAATAGGCTTATTTATGGTAAAATGTATTAACAAATCTATCAAGATTTATTGTAAAATCAAGGAATTTTTTTACAGAAAGCCAGAGAGTGTCTATCTCACTCAGGAGCATGGCTCAGGTGGGTCTTCCCTCCTGAAAAATGTCTGATTCTTTGGTACTGACAGATGGCTTGGACACCTGTCATTCCAAGGACTGTTTTCAATGGGTCAGCTGATTTGGCTGGCTAGATTGATTTGCTCCTTCTGTATCTTTCCATGTAAGCATCTTTAAAAGCCACAAAAGGATAGGAACATTTGTAAATGACCTTTTTACATATTGCTGATCTCTTTTCATGTTTTAGTTTTACCTTCCCTCTCATTAATCACTTCTAGTTCCATGTGTTTTTATCTCTTTGTTTCACATGTTGTCTTTTACTCAACTTCTTTTGAAATGTAGAACTATCTTTTCAGTAAGATAATACATTGCTGAAGGAAAGAAGTGTCCCACTTATTTTTTCAATAATCACATATTAGGTTGTTATAAGAGTCTGGCATGAGGGAAATAAGTAGACTCCATAAATTTATACTGTTAAGAGTAGCAACAGACTTAGGGGATGAAAGCAGGTTGCTTCGAATCTATCACATCCTTTTGTTATAAATTACTTAGACAAATTTGCTTTAGATTTTATCTGAAGGGGTGTATACTAGACAGTATAATTAAAGGAACATTTTTTCTGGGTCTAGAATATGGTAATTACAACTTTGTTGGCAATTAAGAAAAATAACCATGGATCGTGCTATTTGAATGTTGAATTAGAAATTAAAATTCTTAATGTCTGAGAATTATTTTCATAAGAAGAGGAAAGTTGCTAAAATTTTATGTCAACAATTGCCCAAAAAGTGTAACTTAGTGAATGATTTTAGAGATTACTGGATGCATTTATTCCAGAATGCATGCCAGAATAGCATTTGGAGAACCATCACTAAGAGGTTTGTTACATCAGAGACTAGTCAACATACCAGATAGTATCCTGTTAATATTTAACAGAAGTAGAAAACTTATTTATTGAGTTTGGGAGAAAAGCAATTCAAGGGTAAATTTATAAAATATATATATATTTATAAGTTTATTAGTATTGAAAATTAATGAAACAAATGGGCTGACAAACAAATGAAACAAATGGGCTGACACCAAAAGAAGTTGATTTTTAAGCCGATGATTCAACTTAGTGTAGACATATTAATTAATAAAAGTAAAACTTCATCATGATATGACTACATATTTAAATATTACTCATTTATGAATGGTTAATATACTGGTACACACCATAATTTGTTTCATATTGATGATGTAAAATCTCATGTAGGAAAAGTGTAATAAAACCACCTTGGCCTATGATGAAAGAAGTATTAATGAAGGGGAGTCATTTTTTTCAATCACTGGGAAGACAGCCCAAAGGGATAAAGCACTATATATATATTATATGTCAGAATCAATCTTAAAAACTCTATTTCCTGACCTTTGCAATAAAACCCAGTCACCTATTTGTACTCTTACTTAGCACCTTCATAATATGTGCTGTCATGTAATGTTCTTACCTTAAGTCTGTATACTGAAAATAGGCCAATAGCAGATTTAATAGAAAAAAGTCGAGTGGGTGCACACAAGGCCAAATCTATTTACAATTTAATTACAGGATCTAGAATCAACTTATGATATTAAAAACCTATTATATTAAAGGTTCCATGGTTCCATTACATTCTACAAACCACTGTTTTCTCATTTAGCAGAATATACTCTTCATAACAACTCTTCAAATTATGAGGCTAAGAAAGCCTACCATATTTTCTAGTAGGCCAGAGAGTGATGGAGAAGTTATTCAAAATCTGTTGTTCTGATCTCCAGCTCTGTGCTGTTTCCACACCACTGAGCAAAAGCAGAGTCTGTGGATGTGAGGATGAGGAGGAAAGACTGTAGACTGCATTCATTCTGAGCCATGTAAAAGAAGAAGGCATATCAGCTCAGTTCAAAGACTTTCATTCCTGGTTCTTAATGTTGTTAAGTTCTGCTCTGTGAATAAAATCAAATATAACAAAAATACCAAGTCACCTCAGACCTTGAAATGAAATTTCATGGCTTCAAAAATACTAAGCCATTATTTCAGCACGAGCTAATTCCTTGCCATGACATTAGGGCATAAGGCTTTTTCATAATAGTTAAAATTTTCACTCTCAATGTAAATGTTATTTTTGAAAATGAGACTAATGTTTTATGTTGCCTAACACTGGCAATATACTTACCAACTATCTCTGAGGAATGCACTGAGCATAGGGATGGTTGTAGAAAATTACACAATTGAGGCCTGAATGCACGTTTAGCACTGTGGGTTACGCTTTGCTTCCAACAACTCCTCAATCATTGTAAAAATTTAAGAAAAAAAATTTAAATGCTCACAAAGAAAAGAATTCATTCACATATCCACTATATCAGAGTTCAGCATTTATACTCATTGTGTGGTTGTTATATATTTAAGTTTATTTAGTATTCATAAATGCCTGCATTATATGTTCTTAGAGAAATAAAAATAACTATTTTTCTTAAAGGCATACAAACTTATAAAGTGCTTAATAATCAGTATTACATTTTTTCTATGTTTTTTTTTCAGTATAGTGAATGGTTTTATTTAAAAAATAATGTTATGTTTAAAGTAATACTTTCTCATGATAATATGTTATGGTTATTGAAATTTTTAAAATACAGGACCACAGATACTAATATAAAGTATTAGTAATATAAAGTGCAGCTATAATCAGACATCTAATTCCAGCAATGTAGAAGACTACTTGCCCAAATAGCCTTTGTAATACATTACAAATTAAAGAATAAAAAACTGGATACAAATATCCTCTTTATGTAGAGTTGAGTTGACAACAAAGTAAGAGGAATCCAGAGAGGCAGAAACAATGAATTGGACAGGCACTGAAGCCACAGAGCCAAGGGCTCACAGCCTCCTTGATCCTCCATAGCCCAAGTATCTGCATTTAAATGGGCTTCACGAGGAAAAGAAGAGAAAGTCTAGGTCCTGAGAAGGTGGGAAATCAGTATGGGAATCTCCCACAGAAACAATTTCCAAAAGGTGATTTTCTCTAGGAAAGAACTAACTATGAAGAGAAGAAAGTAACCAAAGAATGAGACAGTGGGGAAACTTTGATGTTTTGGCTTATATGGAAGGAGGAAAACAGCTTTAATAAAGCATTTCCAATGACAGGCTGGTTACAAGGCATCTTTTAGACTAGAATCCACTCTACTTCTAATGCCAAAAGACCTAAGCCCAGCATTAACTTTAAGAAGCTCCCACTGGTGACCCTTCCTAGTTATCTGACAGAAAGAAGGCCTAAATCAAAACCTCAAAAATCCCACAGATCAAATTTTATTGATTGTGATATCACAATTTTCAAAGTCACATGAAATAAGAAGATATAAGCCATTGTGAGCAAATTTTAGAAGAAACAATAAACACCAGTGTTTTTGTCTGTTCTCATATCGCTACAGAGAACTACCTGAGACTGGGTAACTTATAATGAAAAGAGGTTTAATTGGCTCATGGTTCCACAGGTTGTACAGGAAGCATGGCTGGGGAGGCCTCAGGAAACTTACAATCATATGGGAAGTCAAAGGGGAATCAGACATGTGCTATATAGCTGGAGCAGGAGGAAGAGAGAGAAACGGGATGTGCTACACAGTTTTAAACAACAAAATCTCATGAGAACTCACTCACTATCATGAGAACAGCAAGCAGAAAATCTGTCGCCATGATCCAATTACCTCCCACCACTCATCCTCCAACATTGGGGGTTGCAATTTGGCATGAGATTTGGGTGGGGACACAAATCCAAACCACATCAACCAATAACAAAGTAGCAAAGATTCCAGATGGAATAACAGATTTTAAAAGGCAAATGATAGAAAAGTAGTGAACTTTTATTAGTCTAAGACGAAACAGACTTTAAGACCAAAAGCTTTTCTTGAGATCAAACATGAAAGTTTAATTCACCAGGAGGGGAGAACAATCCTAAACTTACCTAAACATAGTAACATAACTTTAAAATATATAAAGTCAAAAATGAAAGAACTACAAGGAGAAATTGACATATCTGGAATTAACTTTAAGAAGGTCCCATTGGTGACCCTTCTCAGGTGTATGACAAAAAGAAGGGCCAAATCAAAGCCTCAAAAAATCCCACAGATAAAATTTTATTGATCATGATACCACAATCCTCAACATCACATGAAATATGAAGATAGAAGCCATCTTTGGGGTAATTTCAATGCAGCTGTCTTTAATGTCGATAGGAAGTGTGTGAAAGATTTGAACCACACAAACTGCAAGGTGAAACTGCAGGTTATATAGATATATCTGCACTGAAGCACTGTCTACTTCCTGAAAAATATATTGTTCTGAAAAATATATTCAAAAGATAACAGGGATTATGAGAACAAAGAGTTGTGGAAGACAGTACAAAACTATGCAGCTTTGTAACAAGAGGACCAAACAGAAAGGAATACATGAGACTGGAGGGGATAATCTGTCTGCCCATCCAGATATATTCATGTGAGCACATGCTGCCACAGTGGTTGCTAAAAATGCTCCAGAACAATAGAGTGGAAATGTATTGAAGTTTTGTTGGAGCAGAGCTGGTGGGTACAAACTGGCAGTTGGGAGGAGCATGAGCCAGCGTGCTCCTTTAGGGTGTCTGTGGAGGCAGGGCAATGGAGCAAGAGTGCAGCACAGTAGGAAGAGGGTTGTGGCCCTGAGAAGGACCCTGGCACTTGTTTCTAGTTTTCTTAAGATACATGCAGTAGTGCTTTTCCTGCCAGCATGGCAGCAACATTGAAGACTTCTATTTCCCAATAAAGATATGATCCTACCATCATTCTCTCCCCTCTTGTCTAAAATATTTGTGGATGAACCAACACAGTGTTTACTCCATTCTAAACTAACTCCCTTATTAACAAATCACCCATGAGTGAATTCACCTTACAGAAACTCACACTGTGGCTGCAGATAGAACACTGCACTAAGCAGGTGGAGAAAATGTCTTCCTTTCAAATCCAGTCCATAAAACCAGTACTGGTATTACATATATTATATTATCTGATGACAGCACAATTGAGTTAATAATTGGTAACAAAAGAAATCATTAAAACTCCTATATATTTGGAAATTAAAGGAAATCTTCTAAGTAACTCATGGTTTAAAGAGGAAATCATAATGGGAAGACATATAAATGTACACAATATGGTAATATAGAAAATATTAAATATAAAAATTTGTATGACAGAGAGAAATGTATAGCCTTTAATGTAATGTGGGAAATGCAAGACTTAAAATTAGTTTGAATGTTAAGGAATGTGCAGTAGAGGGAAAAAATAGTTACAATGGGGAATTAAAATGGAAAACAAAGGCACAAGGGAGGGTTCAACAAAGCTGAAGTGTTAAAAAATATAAGATCAACGTGGCAAAATATTAATAAAAAATAGAATATTAATAAAAAATAGAGATGATAATGCAAGGACTTTTACATCTGCTACCCCTCCCAACACACACATACACACACACACACACACACACACACACACACACACACAAGACTGACAGATAATAAAACCAAATACTTAAAGGCAATGAGAGAGTTAGTAATATAGGATGGATCTGGTAGAAGATTGCAGTATATCCGTGTATGCTGTATGTGTGACCCATTTAAAAAATATATTTTTTATTGGACACATAATAGTTGCATTTATTTATGGAGTACATAGTCATGTTTTGATATGTACAATGTATAGTGGGCATATCAGGGAAATTAGCATATCCATTTAACAATGCAACAGGTTCCTTTTGCCAGCTGCCCAGATAGAGCCAATTTATCAAGACAGGGGAATTGCAATAGAGACAGTGTTTAATACATGTATAGCCAGCTAAATGGGAGACCAGAGTTTTATTATTACACAAATCAGCCTTCCCAGAAATTCAGAAGCTAGGGTTTTTCAAAGATAGTTTGGTAGGTAGGGTGCTAGGATATGGATGTTTCTAATTGGTAGGAGATGCAATCTTAGGGGTGCAGAAAATGGCCTTCATGCACTGAGGCCACTTCTGGGTGAGGGTCACAGGAGTGGTTGAGTGGAGAGTTGCAGGCAAAAGCCTGCAAAAGCCAGAAAAGACATATCAAAAGGCCAGTCTTGGGTTCTAGACTAGTAAATTGGAGAAGTTGCAAACCTTGTGACCTCTGGAATAATGGCTGGTAATCATTTAACTACACCTACAACTTATAGAAACTCATCCTCCTAACCTGGTGGTCTTTCATTAGATTTATAAAGGCAGTATAGCCTGAGGGAGGGGCTACTATCATTTAAACTATAAACTAAATTTCTCCTAGTTAGATTGGCCCAAGTCCAGGAATGACCAAGGGTAGTTTGGAGGTTAAAGGCACATCTCTTTCACTGTCATAATTTTCTGACTATTATAATTTTTTACAAAGATGGTTTCCCCATCATGTCAAACATATCATTTTTTGGTGTGTTGGGAATCATTGAATTCTTCTTTTCTAACTCTCTGAAAATATATGATAAAGTGTTTTCAACTAGAGTCATCCTCCAGTGCTACAGAATACTAGAACATATACCTCCTTTTTCCTTAATTGTCCAGTTTGGGAGGATTTTGACCACTGACTTCAAGGCATTGTGGGGACATTAGTTTGCCGCTAGGGATTGCCAAGGTAGTGACCAGCCACTGGCTAAGAGTAAGGATTCACTTGATGCAGACAGACCCTCAGCGGGGATTGCTTCTCAGCCTCACAGCATCTCCAGCACCAAAATTAATTTAGAATGGCCCGGGGAACTAGTGACCACAGTTGCAGACAGAAGCAAATGTAGATGCTCTCTAGAGACATATAACACCATCTGAGGCTTTAATTTATTTCTGTAAAAACTCTTTTCAAATGCACTCTTCAACCCACAATAAAAATAAATCACTCATAGGAGAAGGGGCAAGAAAACATGCCTGAAAATCAGAGAAAGAATAGTCAATAGAAATAGACCAACAGAGGCTTCAGGAATTGGAGTTATTAGAAAGACCCTGAAAACCTTGGTACCAATAAATTTGAAAATTTATATAAATTTAAAATTTTCCAGGACCAACTCAAAATAAAACAAGCAATCTAAGTATTAAAGAATTCAAAGATATATCAAGGGGAGGGTGATGAGGAATGACTGCTAATGGGTATAGGTTTATTTCTGGGGTAACAGAACTGTTCTGGAATTAGATATCGAGGAAAAGTACACAACCTTGTAAATACATTAAAAACAATGAATTCTACACTAAAAGAACAAAAATACTGGACTTTTCTCCACAAGCAGAATAGCTTAGTATGCTCATTTTATATGGCTAGTACAACTGATCTCCTAATAGAAAAGGAATATAAAAATATGCAATTTTAATCAAATACACAGATGCAAAGTAATTAAATTAAAAATTAGCAACAGGAATCAATGATATATAAAAATATCATAGGAAATAACTAGTATTGGAAATAACTATTTATCCTTATTGAGTTTATTATGCAAAAGGAAGGTATTTTCAACATTAGAAAAATATGTCCTTAAGAAATTTAAGGAGAAATACGACCATCTCATTAAATGCAAAAGATAATAATTTGATGAAATGCATCACTTAGGAAACAAAAAGAAAAGAGCAATAAAATACAGAAAATATATTTTTTCAAAAGGCTGTCTCTACATCAATGGGAACTCTTCAAATCAATAAAGTGCATTTTCAAAAGAGCTACAGCAAATTTATTGAATAGAGAAGAATAATTTTTTTAAATCCCTGTAAATTCAGGAACATGACAAAAATGTTTAATTTCTTTTCAGTGTAGAACAGATGCATTAGCTACACAAAAATAGTGATAACCCTAAAGTATAAGGAATATAAGAAAGGAATAAAATACTGTCACTCTTTAAATGAGACATTCATCTATGTAGAAAATCCAGAAGAATCCCAAACTGATAGATTTAATAAAAAAATAGTAAAATTGCCAGATACAAATCTATTCAATTTAGTGAGTGACACTTTTATACAGCAGCATTATCAAAAAAACAAAAAATATTTAAAATGCCTAAATATTATATAATATGCATAATAATGAATAATGTAAGACATATAAGACCTACATATAAAAACATATAAAGTGAATAATGTACATTACAGAAAACTTAAATAAGTTGGGAGACATATCACATTAGTGGAAATATTACTATGCTAAAGATATAAATTCTGCTTACATTGTTTTAAATATTTAAAACAAGGGAAAAGTGACATAGATTACACACACAGATTTTTCAAGCACTATCATACTTAGACCTAATCAGGGGACATCCCTCCATGGGTCCCAGGCTTTGTAGATCCCACAGATCACAAACAAACAGACATGCTTTTACTAAAGAGCATATGGCTAATCTGTCATGCAGGATCCAGAACTCAGTTTTCAAAGGAAGACTCAGGACCCTAGGCCTCAAGGATGTGACTAACACCATTCACACCTAAGTAAACCTTTCTTCATATCTATTCTCCTCTATCCGTAAAACAAGATATGTTTTTCCTGAATGCAGTTGTAAACCAAAAGTAAAATTCTAAGCACCCCCCAACCAACTGACTGGACTCCTCTCAGCTAAGGGCATTTTAAGGTAAAGCTGAAGTTCTAGTTCAGGCCAAGATGGGAATGGATGGTTGAACATGCCTTGTTATACTTTCCTCCCTTTGGAATCCAGGCATAGCTGACCAGCATTAACATTGAAACAGAGACCTTAAGACTAACAAAGCAGACTCTGTAGCAATAAAATGCCAACATGACAGATAGCAGGCCCAAAATATATTGCCCTGATGTATTTTAAAATGTTCCTGCAAGGCTGTCTCTTCTGGGGAAAATCTACATTCTAGAGAGAATCCCCTTCTCTTTTCAGGCTTTTTCCTGATAAAGGAAAGAATTAACTAAAGAGTCTG
Organism: Homo sapiens; assembly: GCF_000001405.40. Lineage (NCBI taxonomy): Eukaryota > Metazoa > Chordata > Mammalia > Primates > Hominidae > Homo > Homo sapiens. The sequence goes on from NC_000008.11 coordinate 50,224,961, forward strand.
GTGTATTTTTTTATTTTTATTTTTTTTTGAGATGGAGTCTCACTCTGTTGCCCAGGCTGGAGTGCAGTGGCGTGATCTCCACTCACTGCAAGCTCTGCCTCCTGGGTTCACGCCATTCCCCTGCCTCAGCCTCCTGAGTAGCTGGGACTACAGGCGCCCACCACCACGTCCAGCTAATTTTTTGTATTTTTTTAGTAGAGACGGGGTTTCACCATGTTAGACAGGATGGTCTTGATCTCCTGACCTCGTGATCCACCCACCTCAGCCTCCCAAAGTGCGTATTTTTAAGTCTGATAAGAAACATTTTAAATCTGTTCTCTCTGAAGCAGGCTACCTGGAGGCATCATCTGCATAATAAGAACCTTGGTCTCCACAACCCCTTATCTTAACCCAGACACTTATTTCGGTTGGTTCCAGGTCTTTAGATAAACTATAAATGCTTTCAACCATTGTCAGTCAGAAAATGTTTGAATTCACCTATGACCTGGAAGTGCCACACACCCCACCACCTTGAGTTGTCCCCTGCCTTTTCAGACAGAACCAATGCTCATCTTACATGTATTGATTGGTGTTTTTTGTCTCCCTAAAATGTATAGAACCAAGCTATTGCCCAATCACCTTGGGCACATGTTCACAGGATCTCCTAACTCATATTTGGCTCAGAATAAATCTCTTCAAATATTTTACAGAGCTTGAGTCTTTTGCCAACGCCATTAATATTTCTTCTTTTAACTATATTAAAAATAGGGAGGATTTTGAATATTTAAGTGCTTGAGTAAGAGAAAAGACAAATTAAGTAACACATTAGACACTTGCCAATTCATGAATGGAATACGTTTTTAGATAACAAAGTATTCTTAATCAGTAGAGCCAAATATCCATTTTGTTTACTTTATGTTGTAGCTTGTGGTTCAAGAAGTATTGACAATTGGCATAGTATTTGCAACAGTTATCACTGGCAGCTGAAAATATTTTGCAGTATTAAAAATTTACACTATTGTTAATTATGTACACATATAGGACTAGATATGCATACATACAACATGATACCGATTCTTTATATTGACAACAAAATGAACACAATAGAATTGCAAATAGTGTTATTTTTATTAAAAATACTATAAAAGTTTATTTTCAAAAAGTTAAATTCTGGTTTTTATTTTTATTGAAGTAATTTTATGCAAATGTTATATATATTGAGGACTAAGCTCTGATTTTTTTATCTTACCCAAATTCCTATCTAAGGGGTCTGGGGAGTCATCCCCTACAAACCATAAATTCTCATCAGATGGGTTTTATTTAACCCTATATATCATGACTCACTTTCCAATCTGACTCTGGCATAACACTATGAGACAAGGAAGAAAATCAAAATATTTGATTTTTGCATTTCCCTGATGTCCTTTGTGGGGGAAACTCTGTATCTGTAAAGAATCTCTATTAAGATAGCTAGTTTTTTTTCTTCCAGGCCCTCCCAGTCCTAAAGAGATTAACTAAAAGTCTAGAAACTTTTAAAGATCTGAATAGGAAACATTTGCCATCTGTTGTCTCTAAGGGCAGCCACTATAAGACTTCAAAAGATCCGTGGTCTCCACAATCTTTTATCTTAACCTGAACATTTCCTTTCTATCAATCCCAGGTCTTTAGACAAACTCAACCAATTGTCAACCAGAAAACGTTTAAATTTACCTATAATCTGGAAGCCCCCCCACCCACTTTGGGTTGTCACCTTTCTGAACCAAATCAATGTGTTTCTTAAGTGTATTTGGTTGATGTCTCATGCCTCTCTGAAATATATGAAACCAAGTTGTAACCCGACCACCCTGGGCACATTGTAGTCAGGCCCTCCTGAGTGTTGTGTCATGGACCATGGTCACTCTTATTTGGCTCAAAATAAATATTTTCAAATATTTTACAGAGTTTGACTCTTTTCATCAACAGTATATTCACTATAACACTTCATTTAATTTGAATAGATGGTTCTGAATATTTACCAAAAAAATTTTAAAAACAGATTTGAGGGGAAAGTTTGATTTCAGCACTAATGGGTAAAGAATTTGGATGTTGTTACTCTAGTTTTTACAACAAAATACATCTGGACACACTGAAAATCAATGATTTTTTTTGTACTTACCAATAACCGAAGCTGCCAGTTTTATCATCAATATAAAACTCTGGGGAGACAGGCCAATTTGGAGATCGACAGTCAAGATTGCTTCTGTGGAGAAGAAGGCCCTGAACTACAGACCTATAGAAAAAATGAATTGTTGATGTTCTCAAATTGGTGAAGGCAAAGTGTAGAATAGCATAAGAATGAGAAACTCATGGTGCTGCAGTTTTAGAGGGGGTTTCACTTCCAGGAACTGACCAGATTCTGATGGTAAAATCCAAGAAAGAGAAGAGGGAGGGGAAGAGTAATCATTGTGAAACAGGTCTTGAGAAATCTTCATTAGAAAACCTACTCTACAAGGCAAAAGACCACTACAGTTTTGTATCAAATGCAGAATGGTATTTCTCTCACTCTAGTTCCCTTTAGCTTTCCTGCATCACCTAAGAGAATATCTCTGGAGAAAAACTTGTGAAGGTCCCAGACCACACACAGAGGCCCATTTGGAAGAAAAAAATTTCATCATCAGGTTGTAGAATGATTCTCCTCTCTGACCCTTCCCACTGCATCAACGCAGCTCCAGTAAAATATCAGTAGCTAGAGTTGAAAGAGCTATAAGACACAGATTTTCCCTGAAGACAAGTCATCGGAGAAGCCAAAAGTCAAGGGAACAAGGATAAGAAAAAAAAAAGGAAACTATGAGAGCCTTTGACAACCATAACTGAGAAAGTATTTATAAAGCCCAATTCCTAGCCAAATTAACATATATCCCAAAAGGTAAGGTCTATTTCATCTTTAGTTTATACTCAATGCAATACGTCCAGCCTCCAAAAAAAATGACATAAACAACAACCAAAAAAAAAAAAAAGAAACACCAACACCATTATAAGCAAAACACAGTCTGAAGAGACAAATCAAAAATTAAAATAAGAATCAGATTATGACACAGATTTTGATATTATCAAATGGAGAATTTAAAAATAGTTATGTTTAATATGGAACATAACAGAAAAATATAGACAGAAGGTTAATGAAAGAAGAGTGATAGAAACTCTAAAAATGAATTAAAAGAAAATGTAAGAATCAAGAACATTGTAAGAGAAATGAAGAATATCTTTGCTGTTCTAATAAGTAGACTTGACATAGCCAAGGAAAAAAATATTACGAAACTAAAATATAAAAAGCAAAAGGAATAAAAGAAACAAAACATCTAAGAAATGTGAGACCATTTCAAAACTATTACATACAGGTATGTGGACTACCTTACAAAGAAAAAAAGATGATCAGAAGGAATATTTGAAATTATGATAGCTAAGAACTTTCCCAAATTAGTGACAGATACCAAACCACAGATCCAAAATGAACAATCAATGCCAAACAAAATACTAAAATTACCTATCTATTCCTAGGAATATTTAAATTGTTGAAAACAATGGTGAAGAGAAAATCTTGAAATAAACCAGAGGAAAAAACTTCTTAAATATGGAAGAACAAGAATAAAAATTACAAGAGACTTCTCATCAAAAACCAACCCAGCCAGAAAAGAGTGGAGTGAAATGTTTAAAATATTAAAGGAAAAAAATTACACTGACTTACCGTTCTCTATGTTCTGCAAAACTATCCTTTGAACATGTAGAATAAATAAAGACCTTCTTAGACAAAAACTGAGGGAATTCATCACTAGAAAATATGACTTGTGAGAAATGTTAAAAGTTCTTCAGGGAGAAGGAAAAGAATATAACTCACAAATGCATACCTGTAGAAAGAAAGGGAGAGCACAGGAGGGGGAATACATTAAGATATATTTAATGTGTTATTTGTTTAATTCTTGGCTGAAAATATAGCTGTTTAAAATAATAATAGTAACAATTATAAAGTGATTATATCATATAGATAAGTTAAATGAATGATTTCAATGTCATAAGAGGTGAGAGAGTAATTGGGAGTACTCTGTTGCAAGGTCCCTATACAAGTAAAGTGGTTTATTGTTATTTGATTGTGGATTTAGATCAGCTAAAATGATATATTATGAACTCTAGGGCAATTACTATTTCTAAAAATGTATGGTGGATATGCTTGGAAAGGAGATAAAATGCTCAATTAAAACCCACTAAGACAGAAAAAGAGGGGAAAATAAACAAAAGCAAATGCAACACATTGAAAATGCTTAAGTATGGTAAATATTAATTCAATAATTATTTCAAGTGGACATAATCTTAAACATACCAATTAAAAGACAGTGAGCTTCAGAGTATACCCAAGTGTATGCTGATACACTATCAGAAATCCACTTTAAATATAAAGAATTAAATAGTTTAACTAAAAGGATAGAGAAAGATATACTTTACTAACACAAATTAAAAAAATAAAAATAAAAAGACTGGGTTAGCTATATAAATTTCAAGGAAAAAAACCCAGACTTCCAAACAAGGAAGATTATCAGGAATAATGATCCGTTTTACAAAGCAATTTAACAATCCTTAACATGTACACAATTAAAAAGAGAGTCAAAATTTGTGAGGCAAAACTTGATAGTTGTTAAAGATAAAAATATGCAAATGTAAGAGTGTAGTTTGAGACTTTATCACCCTTTTTTTTAAGTAACATTGATTAAGCAGGCAAAAATTTCATTTAGTTGACTGAATAGCACTGTAAATCAGTTAGTTCTAATGGCTTTTTATAGAATTATCCATCCAGTGGCAAGAGAATTCAAATTCTCCTCCAGCTTATGTCGAACATTCATGAAGAAAAATTACGTTTTGGGCAACAAATACACATTAACATATTTAAAATAACAGAAATCATGCAAAGTCTATTCTCAGACTTCAATAGAGTTATGCCAAAACTCAATAACACAGTGAGATGTGGGACATCCTCCAATATTTGACGATTAAACAACACACTTCTAAATAACACATAAGCCAAAGTAGATGACTCAAGACTAACTTAAAAATATTTTGACTTAAATGAAAATGACAATGCAACTTATCAAAATGTGAGATGTGGCAAATGCAATGTCTAGAGGGTGATTTACAGCATTAACAACAAAATTAGAGAAGAAGATCTGAAACAATAATGTCAGCTTCCAACTTAAAAACTAGAGAAAAAGCAATTTTAGCCTAAAGCAACAGAAGAAAAGTAAAGCAGAAATCAATGAAACTGAAAACAGAAAATAATAGAGGAAATCAATGAAACAAAAATCTGTTTCTTGGAAAAGATTAATGAAACTGACAAATCTCTAAAAAGATTGAGAAAGAAAACAGAGAAGACATAAATTACCAATATTACTATGAAAGAAGGGACGTCACTACAGACCCTGGAAAAACCAAAAGTACATTAAGGGAGTAATACTATATGTATAGCTTTACACATAAATGAACAAGTTAGATAATATGGATCAATTACATTAAAAGGACAAACTACCTCAACTTGTCCAATATCAAATACATAATTTCGGAGCTTTATTACTATTAAGGAAATAGAAAGTATAACATAAAAACTTCTCAAAAAAGCAATCTATAGGACAAGATCGTTTCATTTGCAAATTCTACCCAACATTTAAGAGCAAAAATACAATGGGAAAATGACAGTCTCTTTAATAAACGTTGTAGAGAAAACAGGATATCCACATGCAAAAAATCAGCCTGGACCCTTATCTCAGACCATGTATACAATCCAACTCAAAAGTATTAGAGACTCAAACATAAGACTGGACACTGTAAAACTACTAGAAGAAAATAGGGGGAAAACTATCTAACATTGGTTTGGGTAACTTTTTTTTTTTTAATTTGACTCAAAAACCACAGTCAACAAAAGCAAAAATAGATAAGTAATGTTACATCACAGTAAAAAGCTTCTGCACATCAAAGGAAACAAGAGTGAACAGTCAACCTTCAGACTGAGAGAAAATATTTGCAAGCCATACATCTGATAAGGGATTAATATCCAAAATACATAAGGAACTCAACTAACTCTAAAGAAATAAAACAAATAATCTGATTAAGAAATGGGCAAGGAAACTGAATTTCTCCAAAGATACAAATAGCTAACAGATACATCAAAAAAATTCAACATCACTAACCACTGGGGAGATGCAAACTAAAACCACTATGAGATATGGCCTTATTTGTATTAGAATGGTTGTTATTAAAGAAAAGACAAAAGACAAGCATTGGCACAGATATGAGAAAAGGGAACCCTCATACACTAATGGTGGGAATGTAAATTAGTACAACTATTATGGAAACCAATATGGTGGTTCCTCAAAAAACTAAAAAGAGAGTTACCATATGATCCAGCAATCCCACTTCTGGGTATTTATCAAAAAGATTTGAAATCAATATGTCAAATAGATGTCTGAACTCATATGTTCATTCCAGCACTGTTCAAAATAACCAAGTGATTGAATAAACCTAAGTGTCTATGAAGGGATGAATGAATAAAGAAAATGTAATATATATGGAAAATGCAACACTATTTAGCCTTAAAAATGAAGTTCTGTTGTTTGTGACAATATAGATGGAGAATATTATGCTAAATTAAATAAGCCAGAAACAAGAAAGACTGATTCCAAATGTTCTCACTTATATATGAAATCTAAAAAGAAACGTTTAGAATAGAATAGAAAGGTGGTTACAAAGGCTGGGGACTGGGGAGAATGGGAAGATGATAATCAAAGGGTACAAAGCCTCAGTTAGAAGGAATACATTTGCTTTATTTTTTAAATCAGTAGCACAATATGCTGAATATTGTTAATAACTGAGTACTGTACATTTCAGTTTTGCTGAGAGTAAATTTCTCATGGTCTCACCATCAAAATAGTTGCATATTTGAAGTGATAAATATGTTATTTAGCTTAATTTAGTCATTTTACATTATATTGAACTGTCATGCCACTTTGTACTCCATAAATATATTCAACTATAATTTATCAAAATATTAAAAAATGAAATGAACACCAATTCTATGCAACGTCTTCCTGAAAATGAAAGAAGATAAAACACTTACCAATTCATTTTAATGAAGCTAGCACTACTGTTCCCAAATTAGCAAAGGCAGAATCAAAACAAGAAAAGGCAAAAATAAATAAACTACAGAGCAATATGTCTTAAAAATATAGATGTAAAACTGTTTTTAAAAATTTTGTAAAGTAGAATTAAGCAACATATATAGGAAATATACACTGTGACCAAGGGGTCTTATTCCAGGCAAGCAGGCTGTTTCAACATTTTAAAAGCAATTAGTAAAATCCATTATTTTATCAGGCTAAAAGGAAAAATCACCTGAATAATAATTTGACAATTCAGCACACATTTATGATTAATAAATACTCTCAGAAAATTAATAGTAGGAAAGAACATTCTGAACTTAATAAAGAGGATCTATAAAGAAAAATAGAAAAACTACAGCTAACTTCATACATAATGGTGAAAGAGTGAATCTTTACCCTTGAGTTTAGACACAAGGCAAGATGTTTACTCTTTTCAATTTTTGTGAACATAGTCCTGACATTTTTAAACAGTGCGAGATGACTTGGAAACATATGCAAAAGAGTCTGAAGGAAGAAATAATATTGTCCCTATTTGTAGATCACATGATCACCTACATAGAAAATCTTAAGGAATATAAAAACTAACTTCCTAGAACTAATAAGTAAGTTCAGCAAAAACCACAAAAATACAGATCAACATTCAAAAATTGCTTTGTATTTCTATATACTAGCAATACATTGAAACTAAAAATAAAATTCCAATATTACTTACAATTGCTCAAAAAATGATAAAATGCTGTGATATAAACTTAAAACACCTACAGGACTTTAACCCGAAAACTCAATGATTCTGGTGAAATAAATAAAAATGTAAATAAAGTCATACTGTGTTCATGGATTATAACACTCAAAATAGTGAAGATGTCATTGTCAAATTGATACATAAGTTTAATGAAATTCCTGCCAAAATTTCAACTTGATATGTTGTGGATATAGACGTTATTGTTGTAAAATTTATAGAATCAAGCCAAAAAAATGTAATAGCAAAAACAATTTTGAAAAGAAAGAATAAAGCAGGATGGATCATTATACCTGATTTTCAAGATAACAGTACACAGTTATCAAACTGTGTGGTATCAGCAGAGGGATAGATACATAGATCAATGGACCGGAAGAGATGGCCCTAAAATAGTCACATACAAAAATGACCAAGTGATTTTTGGCAAATATTCAAAAGCAATTAAATGGAGGAAGGATAGTCTTTTCAAAAAATGGTGCTGGTAACAATTGGATATCAACAGGTAAAAGTAAACCTTGATTTAAACTTCACTCCTCATGTAAAAGAAAAAAATAAAGAAAACTTCAAAATGGAACATAAATTTAATTTCAGCCTTTAACTCTATAAAACTTTGAGAATAAAATATAGGAGAAAATACTAGGACCTAGAGTTTGGTTAAGACTTCTTAGACATGAACACCAGAAGCATGGTCCATCCAAAAACATCAATCAAAAATCAATTAAACACTAGCTTTGAAAATTCTGTTAAGAAGATGAAAGACAAGCCACAAGCTGGCAAAAAATAGCTTCAAACCACAAACCTGATAAAGAGCCCATATCTAGAATTTATAAAGAATTCTCAAAACTTCACTTTAAAAAAACCCACTAATTAGAAAATGGAAAAAAAAATGAAGACACATTTCACTAAAGAGGCTATATGGATGGCAAATAAGCACCTGATAGAATGTTAAACATCATTAAACTTTAAGGAAATGAAAATCATCCTAGCAATGTAATGTCCTACAATGTTAGGAGAGCTAAAGTAAAAGTTACTGATAACTCCAAATGCTGGTAAAGAGAAAGAGAAAACGGATCGCTCATATATTTTTGTAAGGAATATAAAGTCATAAAGCCACTCTGAAAAAAATGCTTTGGCATTTTTTAAAAATCAAACCAAACAGAAATTGACCATGTTAACCAGTGGTTGTATTCCTGGGCATTTATTCTAGAGACATAAAAATTCATGCTTACACAAGATCCATACACAATTATTCATACCAAATTCATTTGTAATAGCCAAAGACTGGAAATAATCAAATGTTTCTAAATAGTTGAATGATTAAGCAAACTTTTGTACCTCCATATCATGATATACTTTCATCAGTAAAAAGGAATGAACTAATGATATATACCAAAGCTTGAACTGATATGAAGAACATTACACTGAAGGAAAAAGGCTGTGTCAAAAATTGCATACTGAGTGATGCCACTGAATGACAAAAGGATTAAAATGGCAAGCAGATTAGTGGATTGCGTGGGTTAGGGGTGTGTGTGTAACTATAAAGGAGTAGTACGAGGGAGTTGTGGTCATGGAATAGTTTTTCAAAATAGTTCTGTACCTTCATTTGGTGTTGGTAACCAGAATCTAAACATGCAATAAAATGGCATCACACTATACACACACTTTGTACCAATGTCAATTTTCTGCAATGATATTTTACCATACTTACATCAAGTGTAACCAATGGAAAAAACTGGGTGAAGGGTACAAGCAGCCTCTCTAGGCTGTCTTTAAAACTCCCTGTGAATGTATAAAAAGTCAAAATAACAAATTAAAATGTGTTACATCTATAAAACCATATCCTAAATATTGCTACTATTAGTATTTCTAAATATTATAAAAACCCAACAAGATAAATTTATATCACAAAGTGACTAAAAATGGCATCAAGCAATCACTTCAACTTTTAAAAATGGTCCTTTGGATCTCTTTTTCTGATAGATCATATCAGAATCTTTTTGCTAGAATAAGAAAAGGAGGACAACAGCTAACAGATAGAAGCTGTTGTTAGTAGATGTGGAAAAATTGATAAGATTGGCAGAAATAGTCATAGGATATTAGACAAAATCAGTGTGAGGAAAGATGCAGGTGCATTTGGAAATTTCAGTGAAAAGTTAAAACTGAAAGAATCAAGGTTAGCTTGGTTAGTTGACAAAAATTTAAGAAATGCTGACAAAATGTATACTGTTCTCTACTGGACATATATCAAAAGGAGTTGAAATCAGCATGCTGAACAGATATCAGCACTCTCATGTTCATTGCAGCTGTATCATAATAGCCAAGACATGGAAGTAACATACGTGACCACCAACAAATGAATGGATAAAGAAAATGTGGAATATGTGTATAGTGGAATACTACTCTGTCATAAAAGGAAGGGAATTCTGGCACTTGTGACAACAGGGATGAATGTGGAGGGCATTATGTTAAGTGAAATGAGCCAGGCACAGAAAGACAAACATAGCAAGATTTCACTCTTGTGGGACCCCAAAACCTTGTTCTCATAAATAGAATTAATCATTCTGTATATATCCTGCAAAACATCATGTTGTACATGACAAATACATACAATTTTATCTGTCAATTTAAAATAAAAACAAAAATTATGACATAAAAACAACAGGTTTTCTAAGAAAAAAATGTACAGTGATCTGTGAGTGAGTGGAAATCAATCAACACATTTTTGTTGGAAAAAATAAATATCAAGGTCAACTATGCTTATTATTGGAATAAACTTGCTGGTTTATGGGGAATGTGTTGGCTAGTGGATTACGTGTGAAGGAAAAAGCTCATTAGATAAGAAGTAAGTCAAAGATTTGAAAAACAATTATGATTCTCTTCTTTTTACTTTGTAGGTGTTCTTTCCCTAAATGCATGGGAAGACAATGGTATAAAAGTATTCAAAATAAATGTACTTCGGTTTTCTTATTTTCCTCCAAGTAAAATATGTTAGCAGTTTCTCACAAAAACTTCAGCCAAAAAAAAAGAAAAAAGAAAAAAATGTTTCTAGCATTATTTAAATTTAAAGTAGATAATATTCTACCCATAAAGAAATTCCCATAGTTAAATAATCTCTTCTTAGTGAGTTTATAAACCAACCTAAGATACTAAAGCCCAGTCATCTAAAAGAGCCGTGTAGTTGTCTCTGTCCCACAGTGTGAGAGATTTTTGAATGGCATTGGGAGTATGGAGGAGAGGTTGTGCCACTTTAAGATGGTACAATTTTATCTGGATGGTTTTTCCACATTACACAAATTTCCTTTTCCTAGTCTAACAAAGAGTGCCACTATAGATTATTATAATATGCTATATCTTGCTCAGGTGTACTGAATACAAAAGTAACACATTAAGAAGATAAAATTTTTTGAATAGAAAATAGACTATAACTGAACGTAGACAGACATTCCATAATATTTATTTCTAATTAGTGTCTTAGTGACTAAGTTCTTAAACCTTCTCCTTCCAAGGTATGATTCCGGTGCATCATTTTTATACATTTAAATTTTACAGGTGATAAAAAGCTCTGAATGTTTACAGAAACTTTTTAATTGTAAATTTTTTTTTTTTTTTTTTGAGACGCAGTCTCGCTCTTTAGGCCAGGCTGGAGTGCAGTGGCGCTATCCCGGCTCACTGCAAGCTCCACCTCCTGGGTTCACACCATTCTCCTGCCTCAGCCTCCCGAGTAGCTGGGACTACAGGCGCCCGCCACTGCGCCCGGCTAATTTTTTGTGTTTTTAGTAGAGACGGGGTTTCACCGTGTTAGCCAGGATGGTCTCGATCTCCTGACCTTGTGATCCGCCCGCCTTGGCCTCCAAAAGTGCTGGGATTACAGGTGTGAGCCACCGCGCCCGGCCAAAAATTTTTAAAACATATATTTATATATACAGATATAAAATAACCTAATGAACTGAAATGTAGACATTACACAGCTTCAAGAAATGTCAACATGTTGTCAGTTTTGTTTCTTCCTCCTGTACTTTCTCTGGGTTATTTGGAAGCAAATCCTAGATATCATAAAAACTTCCTTTAAGTAGTTCAGTGTGTGTATCTAAAAAATAACTTTTTGATTTACAGCAATACCACTATCACAAATATTGCTTGAATACAAACAAGTACTTAGTATTTGAATTTCCCCAATTGTTACAGAATATCTTGTAATAATTTATTAAAATCAGAAATCTAGTAAAGATTATAAATTAAGAATCACACATTAAATCTTTTTTTCCTCACTCTATTTTTTTACCTTTTTTTTTCTTGCAGTTCATTTCTTGAAAGAACCAGAAACTTTGTCTGATAGTGTTTCTCACAGTCAGGATTTGTTTGCAATTGCTTTTCTATGGAGTAGGTTAACATGATGCTCTACTCTCTACTGTCTATATATTTCCTGCTTATTTGTAATTGGAGCTCTAAGGTTGATAAAATTCGGGTTCCATTATTTTTGGCAAGAATACTTTATTGGTGATGTCATGTACATCTATCAGATGCCGTGTGTTAACTTTCTCTCTTTTCATGAATTTGGCCATCATTGCTGATCATTCATTAGATTTCTTATTTCATTGGCATTTTGAGATGACATTCACTTATTCCCTAGAATATATTTAATGGAAAACATCATCTTATCAACTATTCATGTAACTTGAAAAACAGACCTTATAGAAAAGACAGGAAAAATGCTCAATTATTTATCTCTACTTTCAATATAATGATTTTTTTCCTGAACTCTCCTTCAAAGAAGGCAAAAGGGGATTTTATTTTAGTATCCATTTAAATTCATAGTTTTAAACATATTTAATCCATCACTGTTAAGATTCTCACTGATGCTAAAATAATCTCAAATTTGGCCAATAAGAACTTCTTCATATTGTCTCCTGAGTCTATATAATATATCCTAATAGTGTAAGGTAGTGTTTTGTCTTCTTTTATAAGAGATTTTAAGGGTTATACATTACTTGTCCTGAAATTACCTATTTCTATAAAAAAAGATATTTAGATATGAAACTCTGGGCACTCTGGCTACTCATTACTACTCAAACAGTCTTCGTTTCTTTGCCTATTACTAGAATGATACAACTTTTTGTTTTTAAGATAAGACACATCATGAGATCATATCCTGATTAAAATTGTTGAGCCATATGCATAGGAGGAATCAATATTATTAAAATGGCCCTACTGCCCAAAGCAGTTTCTAGATTCAATGCTATTCCTATCACACTACCAATGACATTTTTCACAGAATTAGAAAAATTTCTAAAATTCATATGAAACTCAAAATGAACCCAAATAACCAAAGCAACCCTAAGCAAAAGGAACAAAACTGGAGGGATCACACTACTTGACTTATAACTATACTACAAGGCTATTGTAAGCAAAATAACATGGTACTGATACAAAAGTAGATACATAGGCTAACGGAACAGATTAAAGAACCCAGAGATTAAGTCACACAGCAACAGCCATCTCATCTTTGTCAAAGCTGACAATAAAAAGAAATGGGAAAATAATTCACTATTCAATAAACGATGTTGGGATGACTTGCTAGTCATATGCATGAGATTAAAACTGGACCCCTTCCTTACACCATATACAAAAATCAACTTAAGATGGATTAAAGACTTAAATGTAAAACCTAATACTATAAAAATCCTAGAGGAAGACCTAGGATATATCATTCTGGACATTATTTCTGGCAAAGATATCATGACAAAGACTCAAAAAGCAACCGCAACATAAACAAACATTGACAAGTGGGACCTAATTAAGCTAAAGAGCTTTGCACAGCTAATGAAACTGTCAACAGAGTAAACAGACAACCTACAGAACGGAAAAAACATATTTGCAAAGTATGCTTCTGACAAAAGTCTGATATCCAAAATGTACAAGGAACTCAAACAAATTTGCAAGAAGAAAACAAACAACCCCATTAAAAGATGAGCAATGTTCATAGACAGACACTTCCCAAAAGAAGAAATACACATGAACAACAAGCATATAAAAAATGCTCAACATTATTAATCATTAGAAAAATGCAAATCAAAACCACAATGAGATACCATCTCACACCAGTGAGAATGGCGATTATTAAAAAGTCAAAAAATAACAGATGCTGGAGAAGTTGTGAGAAAGGGGAACGCTATACACAGCTTGTAGGAATGTAAATTAGTTCAGTCACACGAAAACCAGCTTGGAGATTTCTCAAGGAGCTTAAAACAAAACTGCCATTCAACCCTGCAATCACATTACTGAGTACATAAGCAAAGGAATGTAAATTGTTCTACCATAAAAACATTTGCACATCTATGTTCATCACAGCACTATTCAGAATAGCAAAGACAGGGAATCAACCTAGATGCCCATCAGTGGAAGACTGGATGATTTAGTTCATTCGCACACTGCTATAAAGATAGTACCCAAGACTGGGTAATTTATAAACAAAGGAGTTTTAATTGTCTCACAGTTCTGCATGGCTGGAGAAGTCTCAGGAAACTTACAATCATGGTGGAAGGGGAAGCAGGCACCTTGTTCACAAAGTGGCAGGAGAGAAAGTGAGTGCAAACGCTGGAAAAACTACCATTTATAAAACCATCAACTCTTGTGAGAATTCATTTACTGTCCATGAGAACAGCATGGGGAAACTGCCCCCATAATCCAATTACTCAGTTGTAAATGAGGACCAGTTGGCAATGGAATTTCTCCTAATATCAAGGGTATCAGAATAATATCTGATTTCCCTGCTCCACTTTCTCCTGGAATCACTGCTGACTTCACCAGGGATTGTTGCAGTGTGTGGTTCAGGCTTCCAAATCTTTTAGGTTTGTGAGGATACTTCGTCAATATTGTTACAGATGTTCTTCATAGTTTTGTTTGTTCCTTTAATTATTCACTAGGTTTACACTGCTTATGCTATTGTTTCATTTATTTCAGGGATCAGGGGAGAGTTAAAGATTTTGGGGTGGGTAAATCTACTATTATCTTTCCAGACCTCGGTCTCAATTTGATAGTATGCTCAACAGTTAGAACAGCATCAATTTAAAAATCCCAATTCTCCTTTCTGATATAAGAACAACCTTTGACTTCCATCACTTCTGAAAATTCACTAAGTAACTATAATCTTTTGACTGCTGCAATGGGCAGGAAGTTGTAGGTATATTTGTAAAAACAGTTAATGCTAAAGATATTGGGGTTAATGGAAAGACAAACTAAAGACTCTCTTGGTATTTGCAGAGAGAGCTCATTAATATGCCTGTTAGACTTTTGCAATGAGACATGCCTAGATATTTCCATTTGAAGAAAGTAAATTAACAGAAAAGGAAATAAGCCATTTTTGCTCCTGAAATGCAGGCAAGGCTTTGCGTATTGTTTGCTTTCACAAGGATTCCAAGCACTTTTCTTTTATGAAGTTGGTTTTGTATTTTTAATTTCAGCAGAAGGTGACAACAGGCTGAATTGCTTTTCTCAATACCAGAATTCATAATTTCTCCTTAATAATGATTGTGGAATAAATGACATTTACTTAGCTAAAAAATTTAAAATTCCAGTAAGTCTCTTTAGTTACATTTGAAATAATTTAAATTTTACGAACCATCATGAATCCTGAACTCTACTTTTGCTTTGTGACTTCTTAGAACAAACTAAACCTATCACAAGATTTTATATATTATGTAAAAAACAATTTTGTACCAAGAGAGCTCTCCTCTACGATTAGCAGGAGAGGCGGGAAACAAGCGGCACAGAGGATCCTGGAGCTCAGTCAAGCTCCATCCTCCCCGACATTGTCTCAGCCCATAGTTAAGCAACACTTCGGTTCTTCATGTTGGCCTCTGACTCATTCCCTCACCCATAAGTACTTTATAGCATAATGCTTAAACAAAGAAAATAAGTTTATATAAACTAATGCTTAAACAAAGAAAACAAATTTATGCTTAAATAATTTTGATTTACCAGTTTCTAAAATAGAGGTATTTCCCGTGAAAGATTCATATTCCAATTTCATATTTTTTAATCTCAAGGTGATGATTTATATTTTTCTGGATTTTTTTTCCCTAACAACGAAGGGTGATAAATAGAAGAAAGGTAGCCTTAATGTAATTAAACCTTGATAAATTCAAACAATGTCCACTATAAAAAGTCTTTAGGGAGTTTATGAGGTCATAGGATAGTCTTCTCTTTCCTTAGGAAGTTAGAGTAAGTAGAAAGACAATTTCCTCTCAGTCTGGGTTAAGGCTAGTGGTAGAGTAAAAAGTTCTGATACACTTATACTTCCAGAGTTAATGTATACATTTGTTTTGTGTTTTTAATTTTACAAAGTGTTTTGAAATATTGTGGTTCTTTAAAAATG
Source organism: Homo sapiens (assembly GCF_000001405.40). Lineage (NCBI taxonomy): Eukaryota > Metazoa > Chordata > Mammalia > Primates > Hominidae > Homo > Homo sapiens. Next base: position 50,241,231 of record NC_000008.11, read on the forward strand.
TTTTTACTCTCTAGCTACTGATTTATGTGAACCTACATTATATTTAAAGTCAAATATATAGAAAGAAGAGCAGAGAGTGTGAATGGCAATGGCTTGCCATCAGAGAGATACTTTGAGAAAGACAAGTTCAGACTGAATGTTACTAGATGAGGTGACAGAATGGTTCCAGGTAAATGGAAGAAAAACAATATTTTTTAATGTGTGGCAATATTCTGTTGAATTTTAGTCTCTAGGCTGCCACAGTGACAAAGATGAAGCTATGCAATATTTCTATGAATCTGTTTAGGGGCTGGAGTAAAGAGCAGTTATTTAGGTGGGTGGTGTCTGATGTCCCAGTGGGCAGACATTCTGCATCTATGAAGCTTCTTCAAGGCCTTAAGTACTGCTTTTAGGTTTACGTGAACAGACTTTACTTTTGGCGAAGAGAAGAGTAAGGTGATGTCTCAATGTGAAGAGGAAGTTGCAAAAACAGTTTTCATAGTGTGCCAACATGAACTAAGGTAGAACTATATTGATGAGCAGGGTTAATGATTCATGCCAGATGGGATGATAATGAACTTTACAATTATGCAGTAATTCCTCTTCTCAGCTCGGAAGTGCCTCAGAGTACGCAGGTAGAACTTGGGAAGCAATAGGGATCCCACTGCCCAGCACTAACATATCAGTCTCAGGTCATCTGCCCATGGTCTTGAGGTTCTCACTGCAAACACTAAACCTCACTTCTGGAGTGATGGGGGATTTAGGCTGATACTTGCTTCAAAATGCTCCCTCTTAACTGGAGCCCTCCTTCCTCTCGATGGATCACTAGATAGATACATAGATAGATAGACACACAGATACACACACACATATCTACGTATATATACGTATACATATCTACATATATATGTATACATATATACATACATATACATATGTGTATATATGTATATTAATATTTATATTTGGTTTATCATAAAGAAAATGTCTTCTATAAGTCTTTGAATAAAGCTGATGCTCTAAGAAGATGTATCCTAGGCCAGGTGTGGTGGCTTACACCTGTAATCCCAGGACTTTGGGAGGCAGAGGTGAGTGAATCGCTTGAAGTCAGGAGTTCAAGATCAGCCTGGTCAACATGGCGAAACCCCATCTCTACTAACATAGAAAAATTAGCTGGGCATGGTGGTGTGTGCCTGTAATCCCAGCTACTTAGGAGGCTGAAGCAGGAGAATCACTTGAACCTGGCAGGTGGAGGTTGCAGTGAGCCAAAATCATGCCACTGCTCTCCAGCCTGGGTGAAAGAGTGAGAATCCATCTCAAAAAAAAAAAAAAAAAACACACCAGGAAATGTATTGTATTTATTCTGTAGGTTTTTATGGAAGCTTGTATATTGATGTGAAGCCCCCAAATATGTACACATTCCAACTTGTGAGGTGTGGGAGTGGTTAGTCATTATCTACTCTGTATCTTTCCATTAATTTGTTTGTATAGCCATATCCATATCACGTATGTATTATGATATTATTACTATAATAATTACTATATAATTATCTATTATCATATATTATCTATTTATATTACCATATTATCTATTTAAAGAAAATATAAGCATGTAAATAAACATAGAAAATATAAGCACATATACTACCTTTTATTTATTTATGTGCTTATAGAAAATAAATAATGTATGTTTTTAGAATAGCATTGCATAGAAATCATGAAATTTTCTTTGATTCATGCAGGACTTACAGAGCATGTCTGTTGAGATCTATGAGTTTGTCTGTTATTTCTACTAAGGTTTTGAAATAGTTTTTTGAATATTGACACAAAATAAATAAATTTGACTTCTGAGAGTTAATTACATGTGAGAATTAGTAAACTGTTGAACAAAAAACATGTATCTATGAAATATTTAAGAATAAATTGACCGCTAATGGTATATGTTCAGATAAATGAGTCCTGAATTATCTTATATATTTGAAAGACCTCTGTGAAAATTAATTATATTGTAACATTTTAACAGTCTGACCCAAAACTATGTGACAGTATTATCTGACATTTCAGGTTCATAAAAGAATTGCAATTATATATGCTTAGTTAGGGTTTGATGCAAGTGTAGGTTTTCTGAATTTATAGATATTTTTGAATAATTCAATTATGGAGTAACTTTTCCCTATTTTACTAAAATTTATCTAGATCAATTTGATTTTTAAAGATCCTCTCATCTTTCTTTCCATCTCTACTGTATCCATCTTAGAAATAAAAACTCTCCGGATTTGAAGGGATTTTAAAATGCAAATGTCTGTTTGCTGCATCAAGCAATTCTACTCTATTCCTGGATACCACTGATTAACCATTTTTAAACATCTTCAGGGACACAGAACTCACTAGTTTTAACACAACACTTTTTGGGCCTACTGTAAGAGCAAATGTGATGCATTTTAAGGCGTTTGGGCCAGGTCTCAGGGTAATTAATTAATTTTTTTTTTACTGTTCCATGGACATACACACAGATTACATGTTCTAGAATGTTAGATTAGAGTTTAAAACTCTAATAAGTTTCCTCTTTTCATTTTATGAAAAAAACAAATACATGATTCAAGAATGAACATATGATTGAGGATAGGAATAACTGATATATTCCCTAATATCTCCTTTTTCTTCATTGAGATAACCTTAGAAGACTGAGGAATCGACCTTTCTGTCATTGAGCTGGGGTTTTGGGGGAAGGAGAATATATTAGACCATTCTTGCATTGCTGTAAAGAAATACCTGAGACTGGGTGATTTATAAAGAAAAGAGGTTTAATTGGCTCCTGGTTCTTCAGGCTATATGAGCATGTTGCTGGCATCTGCTTGGCTTCTGGGGAGGACTCAGGGAGCTTTTACTCATAGCAGAAAGTGAAGTGGGAGCAGACATGCAGGAGCAAGAGACAAGAGAGTAGTGGGAAGGGGAGTACCATAATTTACAACACGCAGATCTTGGGAGTACCCACTCGCTATCATGAGGACAGCACCAAGCCATGAGAAATCCACTCCCGTGACCCAAATACCTCCCACCAGGTCCCACTGCCAACAATGGGGATTACAATTCAACATGAGATTTAAGAGGTGACAAATATCCAAATCATGTCTGAGAAGGCTTTTAGTAAGTGGGGAGATTCTTTTTTTCACTGTGTCAACAGGCTCAAAGTATCAAGGGAGGCCTACAAAATCCAACCTTAGATCCTCTTGTTATTCATATTTGTGTTTCATGACACTCTAAAATACAAGTCATGAGCTTCAAAACCATATCCATCTGATTCCAAAAGTCTGTGAATGTCCTACCTCAAGCATATATATTTTTAAATTCTAGGTTGAGCATGTTTAATTTTCTGTTTCCCTCAGGAGGACTCTGGTTACTTTAAATTTCAATATAAAATTTAGCTGTTCTGAACATAGGGAGCTCTATTAGCACAGCAGACATTCTCATGGGCTCCAACCTGAATATCTACCGCATCCACAAATATATGAATATTTACCAACTCTTTGCCAATGTAAGACCACATAATGGTTAGTCAAGTGTCAAGATATTCAGGTTAAGAAAAACTTGCAGTCTCAAATATGCTTGGCGATCACAGAATAGATGCTAGATACTTATTTCAAGTGTATTATCCTATAAACCTAATTCAAAGAGAGAAAAGGATAGATAGACATTCTACAAAGCTAGGATTAATTTTCATTTGAAAAATTTTATTGTACAGTTTAAAGTATGATTCATGTTAATATAAGTAAATGCCATTTTTACATTTTTTTTCCATTATCATTCTTGCAACAAAAGTTTTATTATGTTTTCTTGGTTGGATCAGAGCAATTACAACTCTCAAAGTGTCTAGGAATCATCTCAGTGCATGTGTACGCAGCAATAAACATGCTTCATTCTCTGGGTCAGTCAGATTGTTCTCTCTCTTCCAAATGGCCTAAGAAGTTAACAGACTAAATGAAGGTGACTTGAAAATCATGCTTGGGGCTTCTCTCACACTCCTGAAAGCACACTGATCTGGAGTTTTCAGTGTCTCACAATTCCTTGATTTGAGACAGATCACCAGACTATAGATTCTTTGGTTTCTTCTGCTTTTTTAAGTTTGATAGTTAAATAAGTAGCAGCATGGTATGGAGGGAGGAGCAGAAACTGTAAAGTGAATGTAAAATAGCCTGAGTGTGGTGGCTCACACCTGTAATCTCAGCACTTTGGAAGGCTGAGGCGTGCGGATCACCTGAGATCAAAAGATCGAGACCATCCTGGCCGACATGATGAAACCCCATCTCTACTAAAAATACAAAAATTAGCTGGGCATGGTGGTGCATGCCTGTAATCTCAGCTACTTGGGAGGCTGAGGCAGGAGAATCCCTTGAACCCAGGAGGCGGAGGTTGCCATGAGCCGAGATTGCACCACTGCACTTCAGCCTAAGTGGCAGAGTAAGAGTCCATCTCAAACAAACAAACAGACAAAAGAAAACAAAACAAAAAAAGGATGTAAAATAGATGTAAAGTCCTCTTCTCATTGTGACCTGGGGCTTGTCAGCCATCCCTGTGAGCTCAACTTTCTTATATGTCAGTCGTAACACTATAGTGATGAGAATATTCTTGTCTTGTGGTAGTCATTATGCGTGATAGAACGTGTAAGTACAACTTTGCAAACTATGAAAACTTTGTCGATTATTAAGAATTACATCAATGCCTATCCCTTTTGTCCTCAAATTAGGGTAACCGCTAAACAATTATAATTTCAAAAGCCATGGTCAATATAATAGCCAGATGAAGGCTTTATCTATTTTGTAATTAAAGAAAAACAGTGGAAAACATTAAATAATCCTTATTAAAATGTATTAAAATCTCTCATGCACAGAAGTAATACAGACCTGATACTAGATGCATAAAATGTGAAACTATTAATAATGGGTAAGTAGATATTGTCTGATCATTTAAAACTGGAGTAGAAATATAACATCCTTAATCTGCTTATTCTTTGGTAAGTTCCTAGGGCTATGGTAACAATGATCCACAAACTAGATAGCTTAAGGAGCAGATACAAGGGGACATCAAAAAGTGTGTGGAAAAATGGAATTAAAAGACAACAATAAAAATATCAATCAGCTCTACTTCTCAACATAAGTTCCATCAAGTTTAACACACTTTTGTAAATGATGATACCAGCCATTTAGTTTATCCATAAAGACCTGAGGATCCTGGGAATAGAACCAAGTCAATCCACTCTTCTTAACATTACTAAGTGAAGAAACATTAGTGTCTTTCTTTTTTTTTTTTTTTGCTTAATTAGAAAAGAAAGAAAGTCAGAAGGAGCCAAATCAGGGTCGTAAGGTGGATGCCTAATGATTTCCCTCGAAATTGCTCACAAAATTGCCCTTGTTTGATGAGAGGAATGAATAGGAGCATTATCGTGGTGAAGAAGGGCTCTTTGGTGAAGCTTTCTTGGGTATTTTTCTTCTAAAGCTTTGGGTAACTTTCTCAAATCACTCTCATGGTAGGAAGATATCATGATTTGACCCTCCAGAGAGTCAACAAATAAAATGCCTTGAGCACCCCAAAAGACCAATGTCATCCTCTTGACTGGTCCACTTTGGCATTGACTAAACTACTTCAACCTCTTTTTAGCCATTGCTTCAATTGTGCTTTGTCTTCTGGATTGAAACACTGAAGCCACTGTTACAATTCTTTAAGCAAATGCTTCAGGATCTTGAACTCACTTGTTAAAGATTTCCATTGAAAGTTCGGCTCTTGTCTGTAGCTGATCTGGACACAAAGGGCTTGTCACCCACTGAATGGAAAGTTTGCTTACCTTTAATTTTTCCATCAGGATTTAGTAAGCTGAACCTATTAAGGTGTTGGCTATTGTTTCTGATCTTAGTCATTGGTCCTTTTCCATTAGGGAACGAACAAGATGAATATTTTCTGCACGATTTGTGTATGGTCTATTACTGCAGGCTTCATCATGAACATTGTCTCATCCCTTCTTATAATGAGTTATCCACTCACAAACTGCTTATTTCTTTGGGGCATTGTCCCCATAAACTGTTCATAAAGCATCAGTGATGTTACCATTCTTCCACCCAAGTTTCACCATAAATTTGGTGTTTGTTCTTGCTTCAGATTTAGCAGAATTCATATTGCTTTGATAGGGGCCATTTTCAAGCTGAAGAAAGCATCATCCTTCTTAGTGCCTCAAACTAGATTTTGTTCTGTCATGTTATCTTAAGTTAGTGCAACTTACTTTGGTGCAAAAAAATTGAAATCTATGAATAGATTAAAAAAATTTTAGAGACAAATACTCTGTCACCCAGGCTGCAGTATAGTGGCATGATCATAGTTTAATGTAACCTCAAACTCCTGGGTTCTGGTAGTCCTCCTGCCTCAGCCTCCTGAGTAGCCAGGACTAACGGTGCATTCCACCAGTCCCAGCTAAAGTTTTTAGTTTTTTTTTTTAATTTTTATTTTGTAGAGACTGGGTCTTGTCACGTTGCCCAGACTGGTCTTGAAGTCCTGGGCTTAAGTGATCCTCCCACCTCAGCTTCCCAAAGTGTTGGAATTACAGCCGTGAGCCACTGTGCTTGGTCCCATGGGTTTTTCATAATACTAATTTTCCATGAGCTTTTTGAAGACCCTTTGTATTTATTGTCTCATAATTTTGTAGGCAAGAAGTCTGAGATCAAGTTGTTGGCAGGGTTGGTTTCTTCTGAGAGCTATGAAGGAAAGATCAGTTCTGGGACTCTTTCCTTGGCTTATATATGGTTATGGTCGTCTTCTCCCTGTGTCTCTTCACATCTTCTTCCCTCCATTTGTGTCTTTCTCTGTACCCAAATTTCCCCTATTTATAAAGACATCTGTCATATTGAATTAGGGTCCACACATATGGCTTCATTTTAAGTTGATTAGTTCTGCAAACACCTTATCTCCATATAAGCTCAGATTCTAAGGAACGAGGAGTTAGGACTTCAACATTTGCATAATGGTGGGGGAGGGAAATTGTCAACCCATAAAATAGTCTATGTTTAAAAGCATAGCCCCCAAATCAAACCTCCTTATTTGATAACTATAAAGCCTTCTTGACTTGTCAAATAAAAGTGACAAGTCTCTCCATATTTGACTTTCAATTTCTCTTCAGCCATATTATTTTAAACTCAATTCCCCCAAGGACAAACATGTTCTTATACATCTTTGCATTTCCAAAAGTTGATTTACTTGTCCCAAAGATTTTTTCTTTGCTTGACATCTTCATAAATCTCTCTGCATACCACTTTCCTCAGTCAGACTATTAATTCTCCAGTGAAGCCTTTTTCTAACACCTACTTCAGCCTTAATGATAAATTCTCCAGATTACAAGGCCTCTCTGGTCTTTGTAACAAGTTTATGCTCTTTGAAATGAGTAACTCTATCTCTATCTAGATATATCCAGAGACCACCACAAAAATAAGGTACAGAATACACGGCAATCACTAAATATATGTTAAAAGAACAAATAAAAAGAGAACAAAGTAATTAGAGAGATAGAAATAAAGATGGTGGTGCTGCTGATTATGATATTAGCAATAATTCATATTTCTTGAGTACTTACCATATGCCAGGTATGTGCTAATTGGTTTATAAATTCTATTCTCACTTTACAAATAAAATGTTATAATTTGGCTAAATATCCTGCCTCAGCTTACAAAGTGACTAGAAAGAGATGCCAAAAGAGAATGACATCAGCATGGTGGCCATCAAGGTAACATCAAAATTCCTGTGGAGCATGGGAGCCCAGTATAACACCATATAGAGTGGAGCATGGTACCCTGTATCTGTCACACTGTATCTCCTACTAGATCAGATCACAGACAGGAGAAACCTCTTCCTACAAGGAAAATACAAGCTGGAGACACTCATTGGTCTTCATCACTGCCAGATACGAATGGTAACTGATAGAGGAGGATCTTCTAGTCCTTACAGGCCCTGAGTTCAGTGTGAAAATTGCTGGAAATCTGCACAGTTGCAACCCATCCCCAGGGCAGGAGTCCTCATGGCATTTGCAACCCGTATGACCTAAGAAGCTATGGCACAGTCTTGGACATTGGAGCAGAGTTCTGCATAGCAGCAAAACTGCATGCACCTGTCCCCACCAACAGCCAGGCCAGAGGCAGTCCTGCCCCATAAGCTGGCCTCACCTCAGCAGAGAGGTTTGGGGGCAGCCCCTGGACTCACATGTACCTGCCCCTAGCTTGACAGCTTCCTAGAGGTAAACCCATTTCTCTAGAGGAACTCTTGCTCAGTTGCTTAACACATGCACACCCACCCCTGCCCCTTACAGACCAGGCAGTGACCCTGACAATTCAGAAGAGCCTACCACAAAATTTGACTTCCATGCCTGCATGTGTCCTACCAATGACTAGTCCACCACCCTTGCCACTACAACACCACAGTCACAAACTGCTGTAGCCTAGGCCTATAATAATCTCACACATCACAATCAAGGGTTGTAACTGAAGCATCTGCACAGAGAACATGCTACTGAGTTCACCCAGAACCAAAGCCAATGCTACATTCTCAACCAACATCCTAGGATCCATTTACAGGAAAAAGCTTTTTCCTATGAAAGTTATTCCATAAATTGGAAAAAGAAATTGTTCTACTAGATACACAGATATCAAGGTAGGGACACAAGAAACAAAAAAGCAAAAAATATAACAACCACAAAATAACAGGGTTCTTTGTCTCTAGCAACAGATCATAAATGAAAGGGTATTTATAAAATGCTTGAAAAAGAATTACTAATAATGATTTCAAGAAAACTCAGGGAGATATAAGAGGATCTAGAAAAAAAAATTCAATGAAATCAGGAAAACAATTATGATATGAACGAAAAATGTAATAAAGAGATAGATACTATAAAAAACAGAATTGTTGGAGCTGAAGAATTTAACAAATGAAATAAAAATACAATAGAGAGTTTTGACAACACTAGATCAAGCAGAAGAAAGAATCTCTGAGCTTAAAAGTAGGCATTTTGAAATAACCCTATCAGAAAAAAATTTAAAAAAAGGAAAGAAGAATGAAAAAGAATAAAGAAAGCCTATGTGATATATGGGACTTCATTAAGCAAACAAGTATTCACATTATACAAGTGCCACAGAAAAAGAAAATAACCAAGTATAGTAAACATACTTATAGCTGAAAAGTTCCCAAGTCTTAGGGGAGATATGGACATCCATGTCTAAGAAGCTCAAAAGTTTTCAATGATTTTTAACCCAAAAATATTCTTTCCAAAGCACATTATAATCAAAATGTCAAAGGTTAAAGACAAAGAATTCTAAAAGCTGCAAGAGATAAATGTCAAGTTACATATAGGGGAATTTCCATTAGACTATCAGCATATCTCTCAGCAGAATCTCTGCATGCCAGGAAAAAAATTGATGACATACTACAAACACTGAAAGATAATAAACAAACAAAAAGAAAGCAAACAAACAAAAATAAAAAATTTCTCACAGCCAAGAATATTATATCCAGCAAAGCTATTCTTCAGAAACAGCAAAATAAAGACCTTCGCAGACAAGCAAAAACTGAGGCAATCCATCACAATTAAAATGACCTTATTAGAAATGCTAAAAAAGGAAACAAAAGGATAATAATTAATATTATGAAAATACAAAACTCAGCAGTATAGGTAAATGCATAACCATACCCAGAATTCCCTGGTGCTGTAATAGTGCTATGAAATTCTTCAATATTACAGTATGTAGGTTTAAAGTCAAAAAGGTAAAAACACCAACAGCTGCAATTAATGACTAAGGAACACATAGAAGATAAATATACAAATTACAGTAACCAAAATGCAAATGAAAAGGGAGAGGGAAAAAAAGTCTATAGTATTTTTATGTGACCAAAGTTAAGTTGTTATCAGCTTAAAATAGGCCACTATACCTATAAGACTTTTCATGTTAACCTTATGGTAACCAAACACACACACAGACAAAATTATAGTAAATGTGCAAATGAGAAAGAGAAAAGAAACAAAATTTAGCATTACAGAAAACCACCAAACCAGAGAGGTAAACAACGAGAGAAGGAAAAAGAAACAAAATATCTACAAAACAACCAAGAAATCGTTAACAAACTTGCAGGAGTAATTATTTGCCTATAAATAATAACATGAATGTAAGTGGATTAAATTTTCCAATTTAGGTTTAGAGTAGTTAAAAGGATAAAAAACAAAATCCCACTATATGTTGCCTATAACAGATGCACTTCACTGTTAAACACAGACAGACTGAAAGTAAAAGGATGGAAAAATATATTTCATACAAATGGAAACCAAAACCAAGCAGAGATACGCATACTTATATCAGATAAAATACATATTAAGTGAAAAACTCAGAAAAGACAAAGGATATTATTATATAATAATTACATAACTAACTCAACAAGAATTTACAACAATTATGAATATGTATGCACCCAAAACAGGTCTAGCAAGTATTACTAGACCTAAAAGGAGAGTTAGATAGAAATATAATAATGGTAAGAGACTTCAGCTTCACATTTTCAGCAATAAACAGATACTTTTAGACAGAACATTAATAAAGAAACAACAGACTCAAACTATACGATAGATCAAATGTACCTAACACATATTTACAGAACATTCCATCTACAGCTGCAGAATTCCAAGTTTTCTTAACTGCATATGGAACATTCTCGAGGGTAGATTACATATTAGGCCACAAAACAAGTCTAAACAGATTTAAGAAGATGGAGATAATATCAAGTATCTTTTATGACCACAGAAGTATAAAACTAGAAATTAACAAGGAAGACTTCAAAAACCTTACAAATACATGAAAATTAAACAGCATCCTCCACATTAACCAATAGATCACTGAGAAAATTAAAGGAGAAATTTAAAAATTTCTTGAAACAAATGATAATAAAAACACATCATACTGAACTGTATAGAAAATAACAAAAGCAGTTCTATAAGAAAAGTTTATAGCAATAAACATCTACATCAAAACAAGAAAAATATTTATAATCAACAACCTAATTGTATAACTCAAGGAACTAGAAAAACAAGAATAAGTTAAGCCCAACATTAGTAGTGGAAGGGAACTAATAAAGCTCAGACCTAAATAAACAAAATAGAGACTAAAATAATTCATAAGATCAACTAAACAAAGAGTTGGGTTTTGGAAAAAATAAACAAAATTAACAAACTCTTGGTTAGATTAACTGAGAAAAAAAGAGAAAAAACCCAAATAAATAAAATCAGAGATAAAATTGAAACATGATTATTAAGATCACAGATACAAAGGTTGCACACAAAGCAGAATGCCAGCATCTGCTTCTGGTGAGGGCCTCAGGATGCTTCCATGGTGGAAGTTGAAGGAAGAGACCACAAATCACATGGCAAGGCTGAGAACAAGAGAGAGGGAGTGGGGAAATGCCACGTTCTTTTAAACAAACGGATCTTGAGTGAAGTCATTACCACTCATTACTGTGGGGAAGACACAAAGGCAGTCACAAGGGATTCACCCCCATGACTCAAACACCTCCCACCAGGCCCTACGTCCAACATTGACAGTCACATTTCAACATGAGATTTGAAGGGGACAAAACATTGAACCATATCAGACAGTAAAAGACATTTCTCAATAGAAGAAATACACATGGCTAACAAGTACATTAAAAAGTGCTCATCAGTAATAATGAGGGAAATGAAAATGAAAACCACAATAAGATACACCCTCAATCCAAGTAGAATGTCTATTATATAAAACCCAAAAGAAAACAAGTGGTGGTGATGATGTAGAGACAGGGGAACATTTACACACCGTTGGTGGGACTGTAAATCCGTACAGCCACTGTGAAAAGCAGCACGGAGATTACTTTAAGAATTAAAAATAGAGGCCATGCTCAATGGCTCACTGTTATTCCAGCACTTTGGGAGGCTGAGGTGGGTGGATCACCTGAGGCCAGGAGTTCAAGACCATCCTGACCAACATGGAGAAACCCTGTGTCTACTAACAATACAAAATTAGCCAGGCGTGGTGGCGGGCACCTGTAATCCCAGCTACTCAGGAGGCTGAGACAGGGGAATCATTTGAACCTGGGAGGCAGAGGTGACTGTGAGTGGAGATCACACGATTGCATTTCAGCCTGTGCAACAAGAGTAAAACTCCGTCTTAAATAAATAAATAAATAAATAAAAATAAAGGTAGAGCTACCATATGAGCCATTGGGTATAAATCCAAGGGAAATGAAATTGGTATGTCAAAGAGATTTCTGCTCTCCCATGTTAATTGTAGCACTATTTCCAAAAGCCAATTTATGGAATTAACCCATGTATACAACCATGGATGAATGGAGAAAGAAAATGTGGTGTGTGTGTGTGTGTTCCATATATACACACATATATATGTATACACACATATATGTATACACACACACATATATAAATACACATATATGTATATATGGAATGGAATACTATTCAGCTGTAGAAAAGAATGAAATCTTACCATTTGCAACAACATGGATGGACCTGAAGAACATTATGTTAAGTGAAATAAGCCAGACACAGAAAGGTCACAAGATCTCATTCCATGTAGAATCTAAAAAAAAAAAAAGTTCATCTCATAGAAGCAGGGAGTAAAGCGAGGGGAGTAGGGAGGGAAAGATGGAGAGAGGTTGGTGAATGAATAACCATTGATAATTACAAGGAATAGGTTGTGGTATTTTACTGCACAATGTGATGAAAATAGTTAACAGTAAGGTATTATATATTGGAAAACAGAAACGAGAGGATTTTGAATATTCTCACCTCAATGAAATGATCAATGCATGAGGTGATGGATACACTCGATACCTTGATTTCATCATTATACAATGTATATATGTATTAAAATATTACATTGTATGCCATAAATATGTATAATTACAAGATTTCAACAATAAATTTAAAATAAATGCACAAGTATGATGTCAGAATTGGAACCATGAAGATGAAACTCAAAGACTATATTCTCGATCAATACAAATTTTTAACTACTAAAGAATAAAACCCATGTAAGATGTTTTGGTTAGATGGTACAGTTTATTTTGCAGAACTCACCTTCATCCGTGTACCTTTTTTGAAAACTCAAAGATTACTAAAAGAGCTTTGAAATATCATCCTTATGGTTTGTTTTATAGCCTGAGTTTTACAATTCACATTTAAACTCCTTGGTAATTTTTTAAGGATTTTTCTTCTACTTGAGTCTCAAATTTCTTATGAACTATGACAAGACTAAAAGATACTGAGTGAGAATAGAAAATAGAAACAAACAGGGCCAGGTGTGGTGACTCACACGTGAATCCCAGCACTTTGGAGACTGAGGCCAGTGAATTACTTGAGGTCAGGAGCTTGAGGCCAGGCTGGCCAACATGGGGAAACCCTGTCTCTACTAAAAATACAAAAATTAGCCGGGCGTGGTGATGCGTGCCTGTAGTCCCAGCTACTCAGGAGGCTGAGGCAGGAGAATCACTTGAACCTGGGAGGTGGAGGTTGCAGTGATCTGAGATTGAGCCACGAGCCACTGCACTCCAGCCTGGGCGACAGAGCGAGACTCCTCAAAGAAAAAAAAAAAAAAGAAAGAAAGAAAGGACAAGCTGCTGAGTCTCTTGCGCAAGACTTCTGCTGCTGGAGGCTTGATAATCTCTTTTATTGCCACTTTTTTTTTTTTTTTTTTTTTTTTGCTCCAGACATTTTTATCACCTTCTGGTAATTTTTCTTCACTTCACTTCAATCTGAATTGTAGCCTTTCTGAAAGTATTTATCACTGTGATTTTGTTTGCTGTAGCTTATTAAATGCCCTTTTGGTCCTTTTTAATTGACCTTTTTAAATATGAGCTCATCTTAGAGAACTATCTTTATATCTAAAATTAGTCCTTAGAAGTTCCTAGTTGTATTTCTTATCAGGGTCACTTGTAATTATAATGTCAGACTTTTAGAATGAAACATAAGCATTTGTCACATTTAGCCATGATTGGTATTCTTAGCACTGAACTGGTTTCCTTAACTCTAGTAAGTTCCTTTCTAATTTATAAATTATGTCAAGTTTCTAATGTTTTGGATTAAATTCTAAAGGATATTATCACACTTTCCAACCATGTCTGTCATCATGCACATTAGTTTACTAGGGCTACCATAACAAAGTGGCACTCAGTAGGTGGCTTAAGGACACAGAAATTTATGTCCTCATAGTTCTAGAGACTAGAGGTCCAAAATCAAGTTGCTGGCCATGTTGTTTCCTTCTGAGACTTGTGAGCAAGAATCTGCTCTGTGCCCCTCTCATAGCTTCCGGTGGTTTGCTGGCAGTTCTTAGTGTTCTGACTAGTAAAAGCATCACTCTGATCTCTGTATTCATCTTTACATCAAGCTCTCCTTGTCTGCATGTTTATGTCTAAATGTCTCCTTTTTATCAGAACATCATTTGCATTGAATTAGTGGCCCACCTTACTCCAGTATGACTTCATCTTCACTAATGACACTGCACTGATCCTATTTCCCCCCAAAATGTCACATTCTGAAGCACTGAGGGCTAGAAGTTCAACATAAGAATTTGGGGGGTGGGGAGACACCATGCAGTCTGTAACATCATGTCACTTGACACAGCAAAACCACTAATGTTTTCCATTACCCCGTAGGACAGGCAAACCCTACCTTGCCTATAAGACCTATCACAAGGTGTCTGTAAACAGTGTTATGATAGACCACCTCTTCCATTAGCCCTTATCCTCAAATACTTGTCTATTCACCAAAAACAAAGCATGTTGTCTGCTTTCTGACACTGCCTTGTTGCTCTATACTTTGCCTGCTTGTATGTATGTCATTAGGATTTCTCTTCACCGACATAGCAGTTAAGTATGTTCCATGTGTCTTTTTGTTTATACATTCCCATTTTGCTATATATTGTGAGTATAAAAAAAACAGCAGCCAAGCCTTTCATGTCTTTGTAACACCCACAGGGCCCATAAAAGTGTATACCACATAGCAGGTACTATATATTGTTTTCTTTAAGAGATGAAAAATAAAGAATAAAAAGTGAAAGACTAGTCATTATACTAAACTAATCTACAATAAAATGTTTAAAATTTTAACATTTTGATTTAAAAATAATATTAAAATATATTAAATATTTAAGCCTAAACACCTTATTAATCATAACACCATTTATTAATGTATTTTTAACTAATATGTTCTAAAACTACATGAATGTGAGTATGGATAAAACATGTCTTCAAAAATTTGCAGACTGGTAGGGGAGATGGACAATATATAAGGAAATAGCAGAATTGAGGGAAATCCATTCCAAAAGCATTGTTTTGGAAAAAAAATTATATTTAACATGTTTAATAAATATTTTGTAAGAAAATTTTAAAAAGAAAGTTATTGTAACTTAGAAAATTAAGGGATCTTCACTCCCAGAACTGCATTTTTAAGAAATCAATGGACAGACCCACTCCACAACCATTTAACTGCTTAACTGGAAAAAAGGGTGTGTGTGCGTGTGTGTGTGTGTGTGTCTGTGTGTGTGTAGTTTCTAAAAATTGTCCTAAGAGCATACGTCAAATGGAGAATCATTTATTCAAGGAAAGCTACTAAATCTTAATCAGAATAACAATAATCTGTGACATTTGAGCCAGCTGCCTGCTACCACCTCTGTGTTCAGTTCCATGTGATGGAAGAGCTATTCTGAATAAGTATGGCCAAGAAGGCATGGCTTTGTAGCCCCCCTGCTCCCCTCTTAGGAGTTCAGTTTAAACCCCAGAAGAGGCACACCCACCAGCATGAAGCACCCCCACCAGCAGAAGCACACCCACCAGCAGAAGAGGCACACCCAAAACCCTTCGGCTTGTGCAGCAGGAGCTCTTTCTGAGGCAGGCATGGTTAAAATTGAGGCTCCCTTCTCCCACTGAACATACACTCGTTAAGAAAAGCTTTATCCAAGGAATTGCAGATGAAAAATACTGGACCCTATTGTCCAAACCTAGCCCACTTATAGGGTGTAGTTTTCTTGCCAGGAGGAGAAAACTAAAAAGGACAAATGCTGCCATTTACATCTAGCACCCTCCTCGTAGAGTAGGGGTGCCCCTCCGTGAAAAGCAGAAAATTTTCCCTGTCCCCATGTGTGGTGCAGAGTTTCTGCCAAGAGTGAGGCATGCCATAAGGACAAAGAGCCTCACAGCTCTCCCTAAGTGAAGTAGTGTTCTTTGAACTAATTTCGAAGGGTGTTTCAGAAAACAATGTAGATTTGGTTGGTGAGCAGTTAAGAGGGGGTAAAATGGTAGACCAGCTACAAGTTTAACACATTTGTGCCTGAGATTCAATCTTTTTGAATTTTTGCAATCAGTCCTTGGCGATGGCCTTGAGCAGTATGATATAAATAACTCTCACATGCTTAGTGTTTCAATAATGGAACACTAGACATAAGTGGGAAGAGAGATAACCAGGAAAGAGGACAGCTAAGGAGCCCTCTTCAGTTAAGAGCAAGCTCAAAGAAGGACAAAATAACCCTACTGCCGCAAATGGAGCTCCAAACTTAATTGAATCAGACTGTAGAACAATTATGCCCCTGGGTCTTGTCAAAAATAATAAAGCAATCAGCTAGCAATTAATGGAAGCCGACAGCTAGGTGTGAAACCAATAGAGGCAGAGCAGCCAGAAAGTTAACATGAAATCAAGGAAAGAAACAGTCAAAGGAAATCTGGAAAAGCCACATCCATTACTTTGTCCAAGGAATCTGTGCACATGAGCAGTAATATGTCCTCTGAGTCTGCACATGCAAGAAAACAGACTTCGCTGAACAAATCTAGCCTAGCTAGTAACAAATGAAACAACAGCAGCAGCAAGCTTGGAGTGCAGAATCAATATGCAGAGTTGCTACAATATATTATTTAAAATGCTGAGTTTTCACTGCTAGATGATCCGAAAGCAGTTTCACTGATGAGGATGCTAATACTGTATATTTTGAGTGTTTAAATAACACTATGAAATGTGAGAGTAGGAAATATTATATTACTAATTTTTCTGAAATATGCTATTTTAATGTGTATACAAATAAAATATATTTTTGATGAAACATAAAATGTTCACTTTTCAGAAAAGCACTGTAAAACATGCAAAGAGACAAGAAGGTGTCATCCATACACAAAAGAAAATCAAGTGATAGAATTTGTTTTTGAGGGGTCATAGATGTAGACTTCAAAGCAATTATTGTAAAAATATTCAAACATTTAAAAAATTACATAATTAAAAGATGGTATGATGATAATATCTAATTAACTAGAGAATATCAACAAAAATAAATTTTATAAAAGAACTAAGTGAAAATTCTAGAGTTGAAAGTAGAATAATTAAAACGAACTATTCACTCATGGGGCTCAATAGTATATCAAAACTTGAAGAATAAACAATCTATGAACTTGAAGAGACAAGGATAGAGATTATATCATCTGAATAACACAGGAAAAAAAGAAGAAAGAAAATGAGCAGAGTCTAAGAGAAATGTATGATGCCATTAAATACATAAACTTACACATAATGAGATTACCGCCTGATGAGATTACCAGAAGAGAGGACAAAGAAAAAGGAGCAAAAAATTATTTTAAAACATAGTAGTTGAAAATGCTCTAAATCTGATTAAAAACATTAATTTACACACCAAAAAGTTCAACAAGGTCTAAACAGGAAAAATGAAAAGAGACCTAAATCTATACATATCACAGTAA
Source organism: Homo sapiens (assembly GCF_000001405.40). Taxonomy (NCBI): domain Eukaryota; kingdom Metazoa; phylum Chordata; class Mammalia; order Primates; family Hominidae; genus Homo; species Homo sapiens. Next base: position 50,259,009 of record NC_000008.11, read on the forward strand.
AAATGTTGAAAGGCAAAGAAGAAAATCGTAAAAAGATTAAGATACAAAGGGATCACCATAGGATTAATAGATGACTTCTCATTATTTACAAGGACATTGCCATGGAATACTGAAGTCAGCGTAATGACATATTCAAAATTCTGAAAGAATTATGAACCAAGAATCTTATATCAGGCAAAACTAGCTTTTTTCAAACATTAAAGGAGAAAATCAGTCACAGTGGCTCACACCTGTAATCCCAGCAGTTTGAGAGGCTGAGGCATGTGGATCACCTGAGGTCAGGAGTTTGAGACCAGCCCGGCCAACATGGCAAAATTCTGTCTTTCCTAAAAATACAAAAATTAGCCAGGCATGTTGGTGTGCACCTGTAATCCTAGCTACCCAGGAGGCTGAGGCAGGAGAATCACTTGAACCTGGGAGGTGGAGGTGGCAGGGAGCCAATGTCACACCACGGCATTCCAGCCTGGGCGACAGAGAGAGACGCTGTCTCAAAAAAAAAAAAAGAAAGAAAGAAAGAAAGAAAGAAAGAAAGAAAGAAAGAAAGAAAGAAAGAAAGAAAGAAAGAGAAAATAAAGAAGAAAAGCACATTTCCAAATAAACAAAAACTGAATTTGTTCCTAGACAATCCATCTTAAAAGAACGACTAAAGATGTATGGTTTTCCATATGATATATATGGATCTTGGAAGTTGTCAATTTCATTCACACTATAAGAAAAAGCTGAACAAACTGAAAATCAAAAACTCTTAGATCCTTCAGAAAACTGAGACAATAGGAGAAATTGCTGCCACATAAATTGAAGAAGCAGGAAGGTAAATGCAGATGAATCACAATTTTTTTGGAATATAAACCTAGGAGAAGAAATTTTCATGAGACACAGTCTGGGGTTGGGAAACCGAAGCTGTAATTGATAAACTGGTGGATGAGTATTAATAGTTCCAAGGAGTACCTGTCTTAGAAGGGTTTCCCACACTTTTATGTAAGTTTTGCCACTGAGAGCCCTACCAGGTTTTCACCAAAAAGATTGGAGAAAAAATCCCTTATGCTTCTGGCAGAGGGAGAAAAAAGCAACTGTTTTGAAATACACCTGGGACATTCTGTTCTTAACAAGAATTACCCTCAAAACCAAATAGTTTACTAGAGTCTAACAAATGGTTTTTACCAGAGTTTAAGCAACTGAGAGGAAGGAAAATATCCAACTTCAGCCTCTCTCTAGATTTCAATGTGGCAGGGGGAAGAACAATACTCAACTGCAACCCACTCCAAACTTCCACATTGTATTAAGGACATACCTAGCTCTAGTCCCTTGTAGCATTTCTGTCTCACCAAAGCAGAGGAGACTGAAAAGGATTTGTTAAGTCACAACACAGAGGCACAAGCTCACTAAAAAACAGAACTAAGCACGGGACTATAGTACACTTCTCCACACACAACTTACAAATGCATCACTAAAGTACTGTTGAATGCAGGTTTTTTCACCCAGTACATCACATCCAGCTTTTAACACACACACACACACAGACACACACACACACTACACAGTATTCTAAAAAGCAAAAGAGAGTTTGAAACAACAAGAAAAAATAAGCATAAGAACCAGAATCAAATATGGGAGGAATGGTGAAATTATCAGACCAGAAATGTAAAATAAATATGACTATCGTGTTAAGAGCTAATGGAAAAAAAACCAGACAATATTCAAGAGTAGATAGGTAATGTAAGTAGAGAAATAGCAATTCTAAAAAAAAAAAAACAATTAAAAAGAAAAGCAAGAAATTAAAAGTATTGCAAAAGAATGAAGAATACTTTTGATGGGCTTATTAGGAGAATGAACATGATTGAAGAAAGGAGATCATGGAACATGAAAGTTTTTCTGTAGAAACTTCCATACTGTGGGATAAATACAATAGCTATAACACATGCATAATGGGAATACTAGAAAGAGAGAGAAAAAAAGGAGCAAAATATTTAAAGCAACAGTTACTGATAGTGACAACTCTTTTACAAGATTAATTTCACAGAGCAGACTACATACCCAGGAAGTTCAGAAAACACCAAGCACAATACATTGCAAAAGAACTACATCTAAGCATATTATATTCAAACTGCAGAAATTCAAACACAGATCAAAAAAACATGAAAAAGTGAGGTAGGGGTGACAACCTTATCTGCAGATGAGCAAGGATAATAATTGTATCACTCTTGTCATCAGAAACTATGCAAGCAAGAAGAAAATCAAGTAAAATATTTAAAGTTTTGAAAAATGAATTCTCATCGATTTAGAATTCCATTCAAGTGAAATTATTCTTCAAAAGTAAAGGAGAAATAAAACTTTTCCAGATAAATAAAAATTGTGGATATTGTTGTTAGTAGCCCTATCTTACAATGAATGTTAGTTCTTCGAAAAATAGGAAAATGGTATAGGTTAGAAACCTTAATATAGTTTTCAAAATGAAAAGCACTAGAGAAAAAATAAGTAAAGGTAAAAATTTTTTTTATTCTTAGTTGATCAAATAGACAACAGATTACTACTAATCTGTTAGTTGCTACTAATTATTAGCAACAATGTACCCAGTGGATATAATTTATGGATAAGTGAAATGAAAGTAATGACAGAAGAAATGGTAAGGCAAAATTGGGAATATTTTCTATTAAGGTACTTGCACTCTCTGAAAAGCAGTACATTATAATTTGAGAGTAGACTTGCATTAGACGTAAATGTAAATTGCAAATTCTAGAACAGCCAATAAAAAAGTGAAAAAAATTATAACTGACATGCTAAGGAAGGAAAGAAAACAGAATCACATAAAACATTCAATTAAAACCATAGAAGGCTGAAAAAGAGTGGAGGATAAAAAGACAAACAAGGAACAGAGGAGAATAGATTATAAATATATCATATATGAATGTAAATTTATTAATAATCACTTTAAATGTCAATGGTCTCTATGCACCTATTAAAATATAGAGAATTTGGCAGGGGTCCCTAACCCCAGTGTATGTGCTCAGATCACAGTAAAATTAAACTGGAAATCAATAACATAAAGGTAGCTGGAAAAATCACCAAATACTAGAAGATTAAATAACATATTTCTAAATAACACATGGGTCAAAGAAGAAATCTCAAGAGATGTGGAAGATATTTTGAACTAAATGAAAAATAGCATACTAAGATTTGTAGAATGCCATGAAAGCAGTGATTAAATGTAAATGTATAACATTGAGTGACCATATTGAAAAGAAGAAAGATCAAATCAATAATCTAAGTTTCCAGCAGAGGAAACTATAGAAATAAGAGCAAATTAAATCCAAAGTAAGCAATAATAATTAAAATTAGAACAAAAATCAATACAATTATAAACAGTAAATCAAGAGAAAATCAGCAAACCAACATCTGTTTTTTTGTTTTTGTGTTTGTTTTGAGACGGAGTGTCGCTCTGTCACCCAGGCTGGAGTGAAGTGGTGCGATCTCTGCTCACTGCAGGCTCCGCCTCCTGGGTTCACGCCATTCTCCTGCTCAGCCTCAGAGTAGCTGGGACTACAGGCACCCACCACCACGCCCAGCTAATTTTTTTATATTTTTAGTAGAGACGGGGTTTCACCATGTTAGCCAGGATGGTCTCGATCTCCTGACTTTGTGATCCACTCGCCTCGGCCTCCCAAAGTGCTGGGATTACAGACGTGAGCCACCGCGCCCGGCCCGAAATCTTTTTTTTTAAAAGATCAATGAAATCAATAAGCCCAGGCTATCTAAAAAGAAAGAAACTATCAAGCTGTGAAAAGACATGGTAAAACTTTAAATCCAAATTACTAAGTGAAAGAAGAAAACTGGAAAAACAACATACAATGCTACTCCAAATATATGGCATTCTGGAGAAGACAGAACTGTAGAGAGAATTTAAATCACTTGTTTTCAGGGATTAGAGGAAAGAGAGAGATGCATTATCACAGAAGGGAGAATTTTTAGTGCAGTTAAAATACTCTGTTTAATATTAAAATACTCCGTTTAGCAGTCTATTTTATAATGGTGGATACATGTCATTATACTCTTGTCCAAATGTATGTACACAAGAGTGAAACCTAATGTAACTATGAACTTTTCGTGATAATGATGTGTCAGTGTGGGTTATCAATTTTAAGAAATGTACCACCGTGGTGGGAGATATTGATAAGGGGATAGGCTATGCGTGTGTGGATATGGTACATTTCTGTAACTTCTTTTTAATTTTGCTGTGAACCTAAAATTACTTGAAAAATAAAGTCTTTAAAGAAGATATATATTTGAGGTAAAGACATGGAGTACAAAAGGAAGAAGACAAGATGATAAGACATATAGAAAGAAAAGCAAAATGACAAACGTAAATCTAACCATATTAGTAATGTTATTAAATATAAATGGATTAAATAAGGTAATAAAAAAGCAGATATTATGAAAATTAATTGAAATGGAAAGTGTCTCTAGGAGACACAACTTAGATTCAAAGACACACGTAAATTGAAACTAAAATGACAGAAAAAGACATATAATGCAAATGATGATCTTAAGATAGCTGGTGTGGCTATACTAATAGCATAAAATAGATTTAAAGGTTAAAAAATTTACTACTAAAAAAGTAACTTCATTTTTAATGAATTTAAAATTCATGGGGAGGAAATAACAATTATAAAAATTATAGGCATCTTACAGAGGAAACACATAAAGTGAAAACACAAGTTTGAATGAAGAACTAGACAATTTCACAATAGTAGCTGGAGACTTCAATACAGGTAGAGCAAGCAGAAAAAGCACAATAATGCAGAAGACTTGAACAGCTCTATGAATCCTTGCTAACCCCAACAGACATGTGTAGAACACTTCACTCAGTGATTGCGGCATACACATTCAAGAACACATGAAACATCTGTAGGACAAATCATATGCTAAGCCATAAAACAAGCTTCAATACATGTAAGAAAATTAAAACCATCAATTGTTTTCTCTGAATGCAATGGATGAAAAGCAGAAATTAATAACAAAGAAGATGTGGATAACCCACACATATATGAAAATTAAACATTAAGCATTCTCGAATAAACAAGATATCAAAATGAGAATTACAACGGAAATTAGAAAATACTTGAAGATGAGTTAAATTAAAACACTGCATACCAAAACTTACGGGATCCAGATAATGTAGCGTTTACAAAAACACTACATTATAGCTGTAGTCTATTATATTAAAAAGCAGAAGAATCTCAAATTAATAACCATAATTTTATCTTAAGAAACCAGAAAATGCACTGGGTGCAGTGGCTGATGTCTGTAATCTCAGTACTTTGGGAGGCTGAGGCGGGAAGATCGTTTGAGGTCAGGAGTTCGAGACCAGCCTGACCAACATGGTGAAACCCCGTCTCTAATAAAAATACAAAAAAATTAATTGCATGTGGTGGTGCATGCCTGTACTCCCAGCTACTCAGGGGGTGGAGGTAGGAGAATCACTTGAATCCAGGAGGCAGAAGTTGCAGTGAGCAGAGATCGCACCACTGCACTCCAGCCTGAGCAACAGAGCAAGCCTCCGTCTCAAAATAAAAAAAAAAAGAAGAAAGAAACCAGAAAAATGAAAGTAAACTAAACCCAAAACAAGCAGAATAAGGAAATAATAAAATGGAAACACATAAAAATATAGAAGAGAAAAATAATTAAAAAAAATTAATGGTACCAAAAGTTGATACTTTGAAAACACCTGCGAAATTATAAAACATTTAAATAGAGAGAAGACTTGAATTATTCGAATCAGGAATGAAAAGGAGAACATCATTACTGAGCTTGCAGAATTAATGAAGAAGGTAAGAGAATACTATAAAAAACTCTATGTCAACAAATTAGATAATTTAGATAAAGTGGACACATTACCAGAAAGAAAAATATACCAAAGTAACTCATTAAGAAATACAAAACTAGAATAGACCTATAAATAATAAAGAGTTGAACCAATAATTTTAAAAACTTCTTCCAAGGTTAAAAGCTCAGGTCAAATAATGTTACTGGTAAATCCTTCCAAATATTTAAAGAAAAATTTACATAAATGTTTTACATATGATTCTAAATATTTAAAAAAGAGTGAACACTCCTAACTCATTCTGTGAGGTTATTAATACCACAATATCATAACCATAAAAAGACAACACAAAGAAATAAAATTACCACCAAATAATTTTTATGAATATATAGCAAATATTTGCAAAACAGCACCAGAAAATCAATCCCAGCAACACATAGCATTATATTCCACAACCCGGTATCACATATTACTAGAATAAAAAGTTGGTTTAACATTTTAAAATCAATAATCTAATACATCATATTATTGGAATAACTGGAAACCACCGGATTTTCTTAATAGATGTAGAAACATTATTTGTCAAAATATAACACCATTTTATAGTGCATACACTCAGGAGACTGGACATAGAAAACAATCTGATCAACCTTATAAAGGGCATCTATAAAAAACCTATAGCTGGCAATATTCTTAATAATGAAAAACCAAAGCATTTCTTGGTAAGTTCTGGAGCAAGAAAAGAGTATTTGCTTTTGTCACTTCTATTCGAATTTGACAGGAAGTTCTAGTAAGGCAATTCACCAAGAATATGGAATAATAGGCATCCATATTGGAAATAAGTAATAAAGCTATTTTTATTTTCAGATGGCATGATATTATAGGTAGAAAATCCTAGGATCTACAAAAATTTAGAGTTAATTAAAAGTTCAGAGAGACATTAAATCAATTGTATTTTTATAAAGTAGTGATGAAAAACCTTTAAATGAAATAAAAAAACAATTACATTTACAATGATATCAAAAAAATGAAATACTTTGGAATAAATTTCATGAAAGTGGTATAAAACATATACAGTGAAAACTAGAAAAAAATTAAAAGAAATTTTTTAAGAAACCTAAATGAATAGAAAGACATACCATATTCATAGATAGTAAGAACACTGTTAAAAAAGCTATACTTTACACATTGATCTACAGATTAAACACAATTTATATCAAAATCCTAGCTTTTTTTTTTTGCAGGAATTGATGAGCTAATGCTAATATTCATGTGGAAATGCAAAGGACCTAGAATACCCAAAACAATCTTGAGTTAACAGAACAAAGTTGGAGGACTCACATTTCTAGATTTTAATACTCACTTCAAAGCCACAGTGAGCAAGAAGTATAAGACTGGTATAAGGAAAGACATATATAAATCAATAGAATAGAATTAAAATTCCGAAAAATAAGTCTCACATTTATGCCAAATTGATTTTCAACAAAGATGGTGAGAGAATTCAGTAGAAAAATATTCTTTTCAGCAACTTATCCTGAAACAACTAGTTATACGTAAGCAAATGAATGAAGTTGGATCATGTCCTCAAATCATAAACAAAAGTTAACTTAAAATAGATTATAGGTTTCAATGTAAGACCTAATACTATAAAAATCTTACAGAGAAAATAGAAGTAAATTTTCCTGAAATTTGATTATGCAATGACTTCTTATGACATGAAAACAAAAATACATGTGATGAATAAATATAAATAAATTAATAAAATTAATAATTTTGGTGGGGCATATGGTACCACAACAGAAGTGAAAGACACAGAATTATGTGTGTGTGTGTGTGTGTGTGTGTGTGTGTGTGTGTGTATATATATATATATGAATGATACAAATGTTAATAAGAAATTAAATAAAGCAGTAAACTTTCTCCTTAAGCTAACCAAAAAAAGCGAAAGAGAAGTAGAAATCATTGTGTGATTCTTGCCCCCCGGTTTTGAGCCACAGTGCTACTCTTCACTTTGGAAACTCCACTTTAAGCATCAGTGACTGGAAAAATCCCCTGAAGCCACTCCCCTTGGGTATTTTCCACTTGCTCAGACATCTCTGTGTAGGAACGTTAACAAGATCACCACGCCCCAGAGAAGCTGTCTGTAAAGAACATTTATATTTAAGACACCCTTTTTTTTTCATAGTTACTAAAGATTTTCATTCTGCTATCCTTAGGACATACTTTAAATTCTTAAAAATGATAACCATTTCTCATTTGTCACCATATCTAAGCAAATAGTATACAGTGTAATGAAGTTCTAAATTTTCTTTCAGATGTTTACAGGTTTTTCTTTTATGCCTTTACTGTGTTATTAAAGTTTAAATGTATGAAGGTTTTTTTAGGGTTAACCTAAATAATTTTATATAGCAGAAAAAGTATTTTTAAATCATATGTCTGATAAGGGATTTGTAGCCAGAATATATAAAAACTTCTGCATCTCAGTAATAAGATGAAAAATGACCTAGTTAATAAGTGGGTGAAGCATTTGAATAGATATTTCTCCAACAATAGTGTACAACTGGCAAATATACACATGAGAAGATATTCAACATCGCCAGTAATCAGAGAAATTCAAGTCAATCTATGAGCTATACTTTACATACACAAAGCCGGCTATAATAATAAAGTGATAGGCAATACCTACAGTTGGTGAGGTTGAGAAAAAATTAGAATGCTCATCTATTACAGATGAGAAGGTAAAGTGCTGCAGCCATATGAAAAATAACTTAGCAGTTCCTCAAAATATCAAGTTCCCACATGAAGACAGCAAGGCTTATTCAAAATTCAAAAGTCAATCTATGTAATCCACCATATTAATGGGCTAAAGAAAAAATATATAGTAGTATCATTTGATGCAGAAAGCACATTTGACAAAAAAATTCAACACTTGTTCATGATAAACATCTCATCAATTTAAGAATTAATGAGAACTAACTCAATAGAGAGAATCTACAGGAAAAATAGATACTGCTAATGTATTCAGTGATATTGTGAGTTCTTTCCCTAGAAATCATGAACAAAGCAAGGGTATACATGCTCACCACTTTTATTCAATACAGTACTAGAAGGTAAAGTCACACACATTGGAAAGGAATAAATAAAACTATTCCTGTTTACCAATGACGTTTTTGACTATATAGAATATTTCAGTGCATCTGCAGGAAACTTCCAGAAACACTATATGAGTTTAGCAAGGTTACATGACGCAAGACCCACATAAATTGATTTGCATTTCCATGTACTAATAATAAACATGAGGAAACAAAAATTGAAAATACAATACCATTTAAAATGTATCCACAGGAAAATTATTTGGTAAAAATTTAACAAAACATGTATAAGATCTGTATGCTAGAAGTCACAAAATGTTGCTAAAATGAAATCAACCTATATTTAAATAAATGGAGAGACATATTATGTTCATGGATCCAGAAGTAATGGAAGATTCAGCACAGTAAAGGTGCCAATTCATTCTCAAATTAATCTATAGATTTAATATCCATCAACATCTAGCAAGTTTTTAAAATAGACATAAGAAAGACATATTTTTTAAATAGACATAAAATAAACATATATGGAAATGCTCTGGTCCTAGAGTAGCCAAGACAATCATGAACAAAAAAAGAGAATAAAGTGAGAAGAATCACTCTAACCAGTACTGACCTTTAATAAATAGCTACAGCAAACAAGACAGCATGGCACTGGAGGAGGGAGAGATACACAGATCAATGGAACACAATTCAGTAGAGAACCTAAGAATACGTATACATACTCATACATATTCAATTTTTTTTTTTTTTAATTTTTAGGCAGAGGCTCCCTCTGTTGCCCAGGCTAGAATGCCGTGGCAGGATCTTGGTTCACTACGACCTCCGCCTCCTGAGTTCAAGCAATTCTCATGCCTCAGCCTCCCGAGTAGCTGGAATTACAGGCACACACCACCACACCCAGCTAATTTTTTTGTATTTATAGTAGAGAAGAGGTTTTGCTATGTCACCCTGGCTGGCCTCAAACTCCTGGCCTCAAGTGATATGTCTGCCTCGGCCTCCTAAAGTGCTGAGGTTACAGGTGTGAGCCATCGCACCCAGCCTCAACCAGTTTTTGAAAGGTACAAAAGCATTTTATGGAAGGTAGGGTGGCCTTTTCACCAAATGATATTTGAGCAGTTAGATTTAGTGGGCCAAGTAAAAGGGGCTAAACCTTACATCTTATACAAAATTTAACTCAAAATGAATTACTGGTTTAAACATGAAATGTAAAACTATTCAACTTAAAGAAAATATCTTTGATATCTAAAACTGGGCTAAGAATTCTTAGTCCTAACATTGAAAGTATGATTCATAAAAGGAAGAATTCATAAATTGGGCTTTATAAAAATTAAAAATATTCACCATATAAAATACCTGTTTAGGAAAAGACAAACTACAGGTTGAAAGTAAATATTTGCAAACAAATAATATAATATCTAGAATACATAAAGAACACTTAAATTTAACATGGATAACTGAGAAAATTTGAGCAAAATTTGTTGATTTTATTACTGTCATAATTATGGTCATGATAGTGTATAAGTTTGCCCAGGTGTTACCACTCGGGGAAATGCTATAAAGTGTAAACTACGTCTCTCTATATTCATTCTTACAACTGCTTGCCAATCTAAAATTAATGCAAAATAAAAAGTTAAGGAAAAAAAATTATGTGCCAGCAAAATTGCGTTTTAACATCCTCCACAGCAACCTCAAAGTATGGTACTCACATTGGTACATACAACCCAGCAGTCCAAATATGTATATTTATGTGTAAACTTTTAGTACTGACCACGTACAACAGCTTGCATTTGGCAAAAAGATAATTTGAAATAGAAAATAAAGAGAAAAAAAACAGAGTTTTTTCCTTCAAGGATTCTGTAAGGTAGTCAGAAAATAAGACACATACAAATGACTGTGGTACAGGCAGTATGTGGGGAGTTACATAAAAGACGTATACACATTTACTCTATGAGCTTAGGAGGAAGATAGCAATGCTTTTTGGAAAAGTTCATGGAACACAGGACTTCTGCAGTAAACTTTAAGGACAAAAAGATTTTTTCTTCTTTCTCCATGTGTTTTTAATTCTTGTTTAATCCTTTCTTTATCATTCCTTATGATTGAAAATAATTTTTAAAAAGATTTTTCCAAGTATAAGTTAGTAATGGGGTAACTTCAGGGTAAATCCAGCATGAACAAGAATATCAAAGCAGAAAACATGAGCTAGCAGAATACAATCAGCCTATTTCTTCCAAAGCAAGAGCTATAATATATGATGACAGCAGAAAAAGATGCAGGCCAGATTTTAGGTTTTGAATGCCAGGTTAAGAATTTTATTTTTGTCCTATAGAGTGACAGACGCTATTAAAAGTGTTTCAGTGGGGCCACACAGAGATGAAACAGGCTATCCAATGAAAATGTGTATGTGAAAACTTTCAGTCCTATCATAGATATAGAAAGAAAAAGAAACAAGAACTATAAAAAGAGAAAGCTGTACTGTGGATAGTTCTCTAACAAAATTTAACCAATAACTCTCTTATCATCTTGCTGGATCTTCAAAAAAGTTTATGAATTCAACACGAAAAATCTGTTATGATTGGAGATCAGAGAGGTATCTCATAATTTTGCTGTCATAATCTTCCAAGTCAGAGGAATTGAGATCTGCATGGCCTTTGAAGGAACTAGGTTGATAAGCTAGATTTGAGAACTTTTCCTCCCTGTGAAGTCAATGAGGGAAGGAAACTCACTCCTATTCAGGTCTCTGTTGTCATTGCTTTGCATAGTACTTGGAACATAATAACAGATCAACATGTATTTTGAGTGCATTATGAATGAAGACAAACATGAGATAAAATCAAAAGGCTTAGCACATATTGATTCTGAGTGTAAAAGAGAAAGAAAGACCTAAAAACAAAGAGCTGTTCAAGCCCTGTTTCTGGTAAGAATAGAGTTTCAATAAAGAATCAGGAAAGTCACAGCCACACCGTGTGAATTATGAGCCAATCACTGCTCAGCTGTTTGCGATGCCTTTGGGTATAGTTGGAAGACGATAAAAGTTACTCTAAATATGTGCTTGCTGCCTCTGTTTTTGCCATTTACAAATACTCAGAGACAGAAAAATAGATGAATCTGATTATTTTTTCTAAAGGAGAACATGAGATACTCTGTACCAAATTCAAATAAAAAATGAGTGCTTTGAGATTGCATGATTAAATAGAATAACAACATCCCTGGCAAACGTGATTAAGGGAGAAGATTATAGAAGCATGTGAGAAATGGAAAGTGTTATTAAAAATATGTCAGCTTTTGGTATATCATCCCTAACCCTTTCAGAAGATCCATTATTATGCCAACAAATTTCGTGTAAGAATAATGATAGTGACATTTACTGAAGAACTACAAACAATATAACTTTCCATTTTAATGTTTCATATTTCTCATGTTTATCTAAGACTCAGAAAGGTTTTAGGTTTGTATTCAAATTCAAGGTGTTTTTATTCACTTCTTTTTAAAATTAGTAAATATTTTATTTTGGCATCTGCATAAAGTCTGAAATTTTATGAAATGTTCTGAAAATGAATAGGCAGTAAGTTTTAATGGGCTGTAGCTTTTTAAGCTGTTTTTGTGGCTGATTAAATTTATAAGGTTTTATTTCATATCTATATAGATTTCTTATAACTATTGGCTTTCCAAAAACTAAATTATCAGGCAAAAAATTAAGGTATAATTCAGTTTTCTTTCATCGGGATGGTTCAACTGAGCTTTTTAGAGAGGTAGAGAGTACATTCGTATGACAGTTGACCTCCTAAATATTTCATCCTGAAAATTCCATTACTAAGATTCTCTGGGAATCTCTGGGAATTCTCTGGGAATGCTTTTGTTTAAGACATAAAATATACATACCTGGTGTTATGATATGAATGCCTGTGTTCCCATGAAATGAATACATTGAAATCCTAGCTCCAATGAAGGATTAGGAGGTGGAGCCTTTTGAAAGGTGATTAGGCAATGAAGGCAAAACCCTCATGGGTGAGATTAATCCCCTCATAAAAGAGACCCCAGGGAGCTCTTTTGTTTTTTTGACCAGGTGAGAGTACAGCTAGAAGGTATCATCTATGAGCCAGAAAGCAGCCCTCACCAGATATCGAATCTGCCTGTATTTTTTATTGGACTTCCCAGCCTTCAGTACTGTGAGAAATAAATTTCAATTGTTTATCAGCCACACAGTCTAAGGTGTTTTGCTATAGCAGCCAAAAGGAACTGAAACATTTAGTTATATATATCATCAATTTGGTAATTATTTGCAAACTGTTGAGGTTTTCTCAAATGTTTATTTGGCTAGTCTGCATTGTATTTCCAAGAATTACCCTTTCTGTGTGTTTCTGGTTACAGTGGGCCACAGGAGATATTCTTCTGGGACAGTTCAAGTGTCAAAGTGAAGCAGCAGCTTTTTTGTAGCTCACATATACATTTGCTTTCATGCCTGCAACTTTCTGTCTTTCCCTGGATCCTCTGTCAGCTTCTTTGATTCCTGGGCCAGGTGTGCACAGAACTTTGTGCCATAACAAAGAGACCTGGTGCTGTAAGGCACCAGGACATGAAGATTGTTCACAGCAAAAATTGGCACTGGCTTCAGCCTTCCCTGAGGACTTCAGCTCTTGCTTGACGGGTATAGATGGTTCTTGTTCTCTTTGGCTTTCTATGCATAGTTCCCTCCCAATGGCCACAGGATACCCGTGGACTTTAAGCACTAGTATCAGACTAGAAGAAAAGAGCCATGAACCTTGATTTGTATCATGTACATGTGTACGATGTATCATTTATATCATACAACTTGTAATTCTACACTTTCTTTTTTTATAGACAGAGTCTTTCTCTGTTGCCCAGGCTGGAGAACAGTGGCACAATCATAGCTCATGGTAACCTCAAACTCCTGGGATTAAGCAATCCTCCTGCCTCAGCCTCCTAAGTAGCTGTGACTGCAGGTGTGTGCCACCATGCCTGGATACTTAAAAAAAAAAAAAAAAATTCTAGAGACAGAGTCTCGCTATATTACCCAGGCTGGTCTAGAACTCCTGGCCTCAAGCAGTCCTCCCATGTCAGCCACCCAAAGTGCTGGGATTACAAGCACGAGCATATTTTTAAATATTAGTGTTTATTCAAATTTTTTATAATTACAAATAAGAAATAGTTATCTGAAATTGTCTTGGGAGAATGATGAAATTTGAATCAACATGGTAAATGGTTAGGATGCTGATGTTTAGAACAGTTTTAAGATATTTTTAACAAATCTTAGGATGTTATATTATAAGGGCTTTGAGGGAAATAAAAGCAGCCTTCAGAATACAATTGTGAAGTTTCATACTAAGAGCCTCATACAAACACTTAATCCAAAATGGTTCAAAATGTTTTGAAAAACACAAGTTCTGACAGAAGTCTGCACAAAATCCACATACTTTGTCATTCCTTCATTTGACACATTGATGTGGCATCTATAACCTGTGCCAGGCACTGTTCTAGGTCTCGGGTTATATAAATAACCAAAAGAGAAAAATAATTCTGCCCTCTTGAGCTTATACTCAGGAAAGAAATAAAACATATGATAACTGCAATAGTAAGATGCTGTGTGTAGGTTAAGTCATTTTAAGCATTATGAATAAAATTGAAAGTTGTTCGGTGTCATGGGTATTGGAAGGATTGGAAGCACTAAATAGGAGCAGATGCATGATGCAGTTTCAAACAGAATGATCAGTGTAGGCCTCCTGGGGCTGGCATTTAAACAACAATTTAAAGAAAGAGATAAGAGGGTTAACAATGGTGGTGACGAATATCTTAAATTCTGGGAATAATCATGCCAAGGTCCTAAAATGAGTTTTGGACTGGTATGTTTGGTAAGGAAGGAAGCATGTTTGACTGAAGCCAAAGAGGGAGAAGAGTGATGAGAGAAAAGTCAGATATTTAATGGAGGATGTCCTGGAATGGCAGTATGAAAAGACTTAGGAATCATCTTATTTATTTAGACCCTTTTTGATTCATTTCATCAAAACTTTACAGTTTTTTACATATAGATTGTGCACCTACTTAATTAAATATTTATCTAATTATTTCCTTTTTTGGTTCTATTTCAAATTTCAATTGTTAAATGCTGGTATATAAGAGCACAACTGAATTTTGTGTGTCAGTTTTTGTTGTTGTTGTTGTTGTTGCTTTTGAGATGGAGTCTCGCTCTGTTACCCAGGCTGGAGTGCAATGGCGAGATCTTGGCTCACTGCACCCTCGCCTCCCAGGTTCAAGCGATTCTCCCACCTCAGCCCCCCTAGTAGCTGGGATTACAGATGCAGGCCACCATGCCAGGCTAATTTTTGTGTTTTTAGTAGAGACAGGGTTTCACCATGTTGGCCAGGCTGGTCTCAAACTCCTGACCTCAAGTGATCCACTCACCTACGCTTCCCAAAGTGCTGGGATTGCAGGTGTGAGCCACAGCACCCGGCAATATATAAATCATGTACCCTGCAACCCTCTTATAATTACTTATAAGAGTATTTTTTGTCTATTATTGGGATTTTTTACATATATAATTATACTATCTGTGGAAAAATAAAAAAAAAGTTTTTACATTTCTTTTCAATTTGTATATTTTAAAATTTCCTTTTCTTGACTTATTGCATTAGATGAGACTTCCAGTACAATGGCTAATAGCAGTGGGGAGAGAGGACATTCTTCCCTTCTTCCCCATCTTAGGATAAAGACACCTCATCTCTCTGACTCGTGAAGTATGATGTTAGTTGTAGGTACTTTTGGAGATGCTCTTTATTAAATTGAAGAAATCTCTCTATATTCCTAATTTGCTGAAAGGTTTTAATCATTGATGGGTGTTATTTTCTCAACCAAATTTCTGCATGTATTGATATGATCATACGATTTTATCTTTAGCTTGCTGATGTGATTGATTGATTACATAATTGATTTTCTAGTGTTGAACTAGCGTCAAATATGTGGGATAAATTCCACTCGGTAGTACTATGTAATTCTTTTGATTATTTCGATTACAATTCTATAATCCTGTTGAATTTGATTTGCCAATATTTTTGAAGACTTCTCACCTATATTTATAAATTATGCTGCAGTTTTCCTTTTTTTTATAATTCTTTATCTGGTTTTGGCATTACGGTAATGCTGGCCTTCTAGAGTGAATTAGACTTCTATATTTTGGAAGGGATTTTAAAGAATTGGTGACTTTTCTTCCTTGACTATATAGTAGATTTTACTAGTGAAATCATCCAGGTCTGGTATTTTAAAAAATTATTAGTTATTGATTTATTTTCTTAAATGAATCAACACTCTAATAGTGTTTGTCTTTTAATTGATATTTAGACAACTGATATTTAAAGTGATTACTTATATAGTTAGATTACCTACAATATGTGTAATTGTTTTTATTTGTTATATTTGTTCTTTGTTATTTTTTAAATCTTTGTCTTTTTTCTGCCTTCTCTGATGTTAGTGAATATCTTATTACATGATATTTCTTTTCCTCTTCTAGCATATTAGTTTATATCTTTAAAAAATATTTTTGTGTTTCTTCTAGAGTTTGCAATACGCATTTACAGTAATCTAAGTCCGGCTTCAAATAACATTATAACACTTCACAAGTAGTGCAGGTAACTTAAACCCCTGTGTAAAACATGAGGTGATTTTTCTCTATTCTTCACCATTAGAAATTGCGGTGCTGGAGGTAGAACCCATGAATTTGTGGAGCTCCTACCCCACCTAAGTCCGGGCCCCCAGGCACCTTTACCTTCAAGCTTCACCACATTCAGCCCCCAGCAATTCATTAGTTACTGTGGAAATTTTCCTGCAAGATATGGACTCCAGCGACTACTGCTCTAAGTTGATCTTGACTGTAAGATTCCCTGCATTTGCTTGTCTTTTCAGATTTTAGGGTGGCATTTTGCCCCATGACCACCATTCTTACTTGGATCTAAGAAAAGATAACTTGTTTCTCTTTGCTCTGGTTTCTCTTGAGGAGGATGGAGTGATGCTTTCAGATCCCCAGTGCTGAAATCAGAAGTCCTCCAACTAACAAATATTTAATGTGTTTATTTGGTAACCAATGTCTATTTTATTTTTTAACTTATTTTACTTCTGCTAAATTTTGAATCTCTACATATTTTATTTCAATATATAACAATACCTACGTACCAGAGACATCTAGAAGCATAACTCATTTAAAGAGCAAGAACTAGGGAGACAGCTGTGATTTGCCACAGTACAGGCCCACGGCATTCTGCTTGTTTGTTAATTGGTAGATGATGGAACAGTTCAGTGAGTCATTGCCACACTACAGACCTACAAGCTCTCAACACTCACAACTGTGATACAGCTAGAAAATGTTCTTAGCAGTATGCTGTGACTTATTCTAAATTCGTCATCAGCATTCAACTTAGGTTTTAGCACACATATATGTGCAAGTAAATTTTATATATATATATATATATATATATATATATATATAAATCATATATTAACTAACTAAACAAAAAAATACAGGTTCTTGTACTTTAATCTTCCTTTTGTAATATACCTAGAAGGCAATGATTTTAACATTCTGGAAGGAAACTGTCATTGCTTTTTTCCTCTTCATTTTTTGTAAATTAAAAGCACCAGGACTCATTTGGGCAAGACACTGATTAAACCCTAAGCCTAAATCTATGTTGAGTTTTTAATCATTTCATGCTATGGAATAAATGTAACAAGCACTGGTGTATTCATCTGCCTCTCTACCTGAAGTATTAAATATCAAAAATAACATTTTTATACATAAAGCTCTAGAATATACAAATTATTCTAAATTAAAATAAGTTTGTCTTAGCCAGGAAACACAGTGAGACCTCACCTGTATAAAAAAGTAAAAAATTAGTTGAGCATGGTGGTGCATTCTTTTTTTCTTTTCTTTTTTTTGAGATGGAGTCTTGCTCCGTTGCCCAGGCTGGAGTGTAGTGGCATGATCTTGGCTCACTGCAAGCTCCGCCTCCCACCATTCTCCTGCCTCAGCCTCCCAAGTAGCTGAGACTACAGGCACCCACCACCACGCCTGGCTAATTTTTTGATTTGTAGTAGAGATAGGGTTTCACTGAATTAGCCAGGATGGTCTCGATCTCCTGACCTTATGATCCACCTGCCTCGGCCTCCCAGAGTGCTGGGATTACAGGCGTGAGCCACAGCACCTGGCCAAAGTGGTGCATTTTTGTAGTTCCAGCTACTCGGGAGCCTGAGATGGAAGACTCTCTTGAACTTAGGAAATCAAGGATACAGTGAGCTATGATTGCACCTTTGCACTCCCGCTTAGGCAACTGAGCAAGACCCTGCCAAAAAAAAAAAAAAAAAAAATGAGTTTGTCTTTCACAGAACATCTAAACTGGAAACACATTATAATAATATAATGAATAAATCTAATTATGGTTTAATATTCTTTTATACTCAATTAACTACTGTGGCTTTATTAGATTACAGAAACTTTTTCAGACACAGACAAATTATATGTATTTTTGAAATATTTGGTAAATCATTAAATGAAATAATTTCTTATCGAAAGTAAGGGAGACCTATGTGATTTCAATCTATTTTGAACAGAGTTGAAAATAATACTATTTGGCTGATAGTTGTTATAAAATGGAATCCAAAGCAACATTAAACAATTGTGTGATATGATCTTACATTGGTATAAATAGATATTCATTCTTTGTGCAGAGGTGTAGGTATTCTACAAACTTTTCCCAAGCTCCATTTCCAAGTTGTATACTTAATGCATCAAAAAATCATAACCTTTTCTGAGATATTATTCTCTTCTGTCTTATTAGGAAGACACCTAATCAGGATTTGTATAAATTAAGTTTTTATTAATTTTATTTACATGTACTCATTATTTTAATTAATTATACCGTATTAATTTTATCGATGGTTATGAAAGGTACCTAATCAGGATTTACATTAACTAGGAAGAGCACGCTGGCTCACACCTGTAATCCCAGCACTTTGGGAAGCCTAGGCAAGTGGATCACTTGAGGTCAGGAGTTTCAGGCCAGCCTGGACAACATGGTGAAACCCAGCTGTACTAAAAATACAAAAATTAGCCATGCTTGGTGGCGTATGCCTGTAATCTCAGCTGCTAAGGAGGCTGAGGTGGGAGAATCACTTGAACCCAGGAGGCAGAGGTTGCAATGAGCCAAGATCGCACCATTGCACTCTAGTCTGGCCACAGAGTGAGACTCCATCTCAAAAAGAAAAAGAAAAAAAAGGACTTATATTAATTAATAAAAATTAATTCCATGAATTTTTCTTTCTCTATAATTTTAAGGAAAGGTGTAATTTTCTCTCATTGTTGAATATAATATTTTTCAAAGACAAAGAGTTGCTTAGTTATTTATAGGTCTTTAATCCTTGTAACTGCAGAGATTGTTTTCAACTGGCTTTGTACTTTATGTCTGTCTGTTGGCTTTGGCCTTGTTCTTTCTGCCTCAGTAAAAGTATAATAATGATGCCTGCCTAATTGAAATGGAAATCTCTTCAGAAATCCCTGTGATTGAATTTATTGTGAATCATAAACAAGGACTCTTTATGACATACAAAACTTTGCATATGGATTCATAGTTAAATGTTTAGGCTGTTATAGGTGGCTTATTTATCAAATTTAGTGACCCCTTTTAGTATTCTCTCAATCATATGTTTAGGGGAAATATAAATGGACCCTAAATCAGTAATCTCAAACATGAACTAAAGGAGTCTATATGAAAAAATGCTAAAAAAAAATTTGGAAAAATGTAGAATTTTTTTAAACCTTAAATTGAATCAAGTACAGTTACATATCTAAAGAAACAAACATCAGACATCTTTCAATTAGCCACAGTGTTTCAGATAAGGCCAATATTTATACCTTTAACTTAACTTAAAAAATTCATGTCTAAGAGAGCAGTTTACAGTTATTAGACTGGCATTTACTGCTATATAAATTTCAGAAATGTTTATAACATTATCGAAGTCCTTTGAGGGATCATTTTGATATTGTCATTGTTACAAAGTTATAGAAATAAAGGCTAACACAGTTCACATCATAATTTAGAAGAAGATGAGTACAAGATACGAGAGTATGCTTTCAAATATTTTCTCACATCTATTCTTTATGCAATCAATTAATGAATATTTATCAAAAGCTTAAATGATGCATAAAAAATGCAGAAAACCATGGTCGACACCTAAATAATTTACAATCTAATTGAGAAAAATAAGTTGATTTCACTTATGAAGCATGGGTATTTGACAAAAGCAATAAGAGTATTGGTAAATCCAAAAAAATGCTCATAAGAAATCAATAAACATGTGGAAAATGGCCTTGAGAAAACTCTTTTAAAGATGTTTTTGATTTTTGGTTCTTGCTTCTTGGTACTAAATGAAAAACAAAATCTGAGTAAAGCATTATGAAAATTTGAATTAATATATTTGAATATCATCTTGATTAACTTTACCAGTGTGTTTGTATAGTTATTAATTGTATAACAGACTGAATAAGTAGAACAAAGTTTTTTCAACTAAGGCTATCTTGTCATTATAATCATTTTATGAAATACATTTATCATATATGTGTTTATGTGCATTTTTAAAGTATATCATGTAAATTTAAAAAAATATTTGTTTCTCTGCCCTTTTTGAGTTACTAGTTGGGACAGATGCTTGTATCAAAAAATAGATTAACAAGAGAAAATCAAACAAGTTTATTAAAATGTGTATATCATGCATACAAGAGAGATGACCCAGATAAATTACTATATTGCCAGAGTAGATCTCAAAGAGGTCACTTTGACTTTGGGATTAAGTACCATCCCTTGCTGAAACAAAGAAAGAAGGGTATGAGGAAAGGGTAATTATTGGGAAATAGCCAGGAAAAGTACAGTGAAAAAGAACAAAGTCTGTTATGTGGACTTCAATCAATGCCTTCCCCACTGATAACACATTTTAGAGATGTAGTCATCCTTCTCTTCCTGGAGCAGAGAGGGAGACACCCTTACAAATGGATATTTCCTTATAGATGTAAACTTCTCTTACAAAAGGGTAACTTCTACTCTGTTTTCAAAGCTTCTCCCTTGTCTGATGTTTCTCAAAATAGTTTGTTCCAAATTATTTATATATACTAAAGAGACATATTTGGGGTAGCATATTCTGGCCTCCTACAGTCATATTTTGGCTGGTGAGTGATAGGCGTGAGCCCTCTCATTTTTCCATTTGAAAATTCTGCCAGAAGTTTCACAGTCCAGGACATGAGTTGGTGGATTATCTCATAATTTGTTGAAGAGGCATTTCTATGGAAATAAAAGAAAAACAAATGTTAATAGTTAGAGCAAAGTAAAAACCAATTTCTGCATTTGGAGGACAGTCAGTTGAAAAAATTTCTAGATGTGGGTTGGGCTTAAAACATCTTTTGCAATTTAAATGTCTCAATGTTCCAGTGAACTTTCTGAATGACCTACATAGCTGTAAACAAAAACAGAATTAAACTCTGTAAAATATTTAAAGAGGTTTATTCTGAGCCAAGTAAGTGACCATGGCCCAAGGCATAGTCTCAAGAAGTTATAAATTGGTTTTGTATGTTTTAGGGAGACAGAAGACATCAATCAATATATATGAGGTACACAAGCGTTCAGTCTGAAAAGGTGGGACAACTTGAAGAGGGGGTGCTTATAAGTCATAGGTGGATACAAGGATTTTCTGACTGGCAATTGGTTGAAAGAGTTAAGTTATTATCTAAAGACCTGAAATCAGTAGAAAGGAGTGTCTCAGTTAATATAAGGGGTTGTGGAGATAAATTGTAGATGAAGTCTCATAGGTGGCCACCTTTAGAGATAACAGATGGCAAATTTTTCCTGTCTGACCTTTAACAGGTGCTAGACTCTTGCTAATCCATTCAGGATAAGAAAAGGACTTAAGGCCCAGCAAGGTGGCTCACGCCTGTAATCCCAGCACTCTGGGAGGCCGAGGCGGGTGGATCATGAGGTCAGGAGATCGAGACCATCCTGGCTAACATGGTGAAACCCAGTCTCAAAAAAAAAAAAAAAAAAAAAGAAAGAAAGAAAGAAAAATAAAAGGACCTAGAAAAGGGACGAGGATTCTCTACAGAATTTTAATTTCCCCATTAGAAGACAGAACTGCAAGACTATTTCAAAATATGTCAAAGAAATATGTTTTGGGGTAAAACCTCCTACATGTTATGTGGTGCTACACTAGAGTCAGGTTGGAATTTGGTATCCTACTGCAACAAAGAGTCTGTTTTGTCAGTCTTAAGATCTCTGTTTTAATGTTAATGCTGGTCAGTTGTGCCTGAACACCAAAGGGAGGAGAGTACAGTGAGGCCTGTCTAACCCTCACTTCCCATCATGGCCTGAGCTAACGTTTCAGGTTTCTTTGGAATCCCCTTGGTTCATAGGGGGGTTCATTCAGTTAGTAGGAGGACTTAGAATTATATTTTTGGTTTACATAACAATACATTCAAGTCTATCCACACATGAGCTGTTGTAGCGATTTCTCTGAAGTTTTTATCAATCTCTTCACCTTCAGCTTGCAGGGCTTCAGGAAAAAGACAGTTTTGTTTTTAGTGATTTGAAGTCAGAAGAGTGAGAGCAAATGAGAAATGCTAGTTTGGAAAGTCATAGTGAGATATTGGAGAAAAACTGGAAGAATTCCGAATCCAGTTTACTTTATGGATAGGTAACAGTAGTTCAAGGACAATGAAAAGGACTAGAATCTAATAGGTATACTATAATTTTTCTCTCTACATTCACCTCCATTTTTACCAAAAATAATCATAGTAACATTGGTTTCTTTGCAAATTAAAAGTAGTCTCACTAAACTTCGAGTATTTATATAAGTGAGCAAGAGTAGCAATTGAACGTATAGGATCTGTTAAAGTCCACTTTGCTGGAACTTATGAGATATAGCAAATACAAGTTTTAAACCCTCTTAAGTTTAGAAAGCCAAGCCAAGGAATTGACATTGGACTTCATCTACAATACTTATTGACAGAGCAGGAGCATCGCCATCTTGGACAAGCACTGCCATTTTAAAGTTCACCTTGATCAAAAACTGCCCAAATCCAAAGGGCATCAGCCTAATGGCTAAGGTCAGCCTGACCATAAACGACAAATAACATCTCTGACCAGAAACAGTCTAACCATAAGATAAACCCCTTCCCCAACCAGAGACATACCAGCTCCCCTCTGGCCAGAGAAATGTCAGCCCCAAGATAACCTCCCCTCCAACCGGAGACATTCCAACCCCACAGTAAACTTCTCCCTCACACAGAAAATTTCTGAGCCTGTAATAAGCTCTCTCACCCTAAAACCAATAAATACTGTCAGTTTGTAAGAGAGAGTGCTCATGACAAAAATCGGCCAGAAGCCCCTCTCACGTTTATTCTCCAAAATAAACATGTCTTTCACTGTTGAGCCATTTTTCATGTTTCTTTCTTCTTTCTTTAACTCTTACACCTATAGATATGGGTAAATTCCTTACCTGAAAGTTACTCAACAAATTTACTCAATTTATAAGGCCAGGAAAACTTTTTAGCCAGGTGCTAGACCATGTTTTTCCCCCAAGGGTCTCTGTTAGCTATATAAAGTCAACCTTATTTCCTTAAAACTGTCTGCCCCGTCCCTACTGAAAATACAAAAAAAAATTAGTCAGGCATGGTGGCACACGCTTGTAGTCCCAGCTACTCTGGAGGCTGAGGCAGGAGAATCACTTGAACCCAGGAGGCGGAGGTTGCAGTGAGCTGAGATCGTGCCACTGCACTCCAGCCTGGGTGACAGAAGAGACTCTGTCCATCTCAAAAAAAAAGGAAAAATAAATAAATAAATAAAAGCTGTCTGACAATATCTGTTTCTATGTACATTCCTAGTATGACATTCCATCCAATCCTTGGTAATGCAACCAATGTTACCAATTGTGTCCTGTTACAAAGAGAACAGATTATTATTGAACTCATGCAAATAACCATATTGCCATGAAAATAAAAGTATTCACTAAGAGTTTCTAAATTCTGGATGAATTGGGTAGTAAACAAATGGTAAATGCTTCAACAATCGTTTTTACAAATGTGTATTTTACCGTATTGCTCCAAGCTGTAGTTTAAGGAAAAAGAAAGGGAAAAATGTTTCCTTGAAGCCAAAAAATAAAACATTAAGTAATCAACAGTGTTTGAAACAAAAAAGCGACAAAAATTACAATCATCCTCATCAGTTATTTCAGTCTCATATAATTAATTTCTGTTGTGCTTAATCTTGGGTTAGCAATTTTATGAATCCTGCTTTTCCATGAGAGTTCAGGAAATTCTTACCTAGTTCAACGGGATGGTTTTAAAGTTATCAGAAACATGTAATTGTTAGTCTTTTCCAAGAATTTCCTTAAAGACAAAGCACATTTGTATTATAGTTGCTCACAAAATATTTCAGGAAAGAATCAGAGAAAAATGATTGTCTGCAGATGGCAAAAGATTTTACATGGCCATTGTTGAAGGTCTGATGAATGTACATTATAATGCAATTGACACTCATCAGTATAGGAAATATAGGAATATGGAACAAAACTGATTTTTGTGTAAATTCACATTTTATTTTATATCCGTCAATTCCAGCATCCTTTAGTATTAGTTCTCCATTTATATATTTTCAGTGCTCACCCTATTTACTTTTAAAAGTTTCTCATTCCTGAGAAGTTCATCTTGAATCAACTCTTAACTGAGTACATTACCTGGCCAAATCATTTCTTCAAAAGGGCACATAGTTCTGTATTTCCCAAGCTGTTCTGGTTGAGAAAGTTGTGGTTTTCTTGATGTAGGCATAATATGATACTCTGGGATCACACATTATTTTGTTTTTAATCAACTTTATATTTTATAAGATTTTCAGATTTGTGGAAAAACTTAAAATATATTATGGAGAATTTCTAAATGCCCCTGCACACAGTATCGTTTATGATTAACATAGTATATGAATATGGTGCACTTGTTAAAATTACTATAAATTGTTGGTACATTAGTATAAAGTAGAGTGCATACTTATTCAGATTTCAGATTTTAACTTAATGTTCTTGTCCCAGTCCACGATGCCTTCCAGGATAACACATAGTATTTATTCATCTTGTCTGTAACGGTGTCACAGACATTCTTTGGTTTTGATGACCTTAACATTTGAGGAATACTGACCAGGAATTTTGCTTTTATTGTTTTATTAGAATTTGTTAGATGTTTTTCTTATGAATAGATAAACATATTCTTATGAAATGATAAACATTTTCTATTCTTATGAATAGAAAAACAT
The DNA here is from genome assembly GCF_000001405.40 of Homo sapiens. Taxonomy (NCBI): domain Eukaryota; kingdom Metazoa; phylum Chordata; class Mammalia; order Primates; family Hominidae; genus Homo; species Homo sapiens. The sequence goes on from NC_000008.11 coordinate 50,284,259, forward strand.
AAGATGTTTTTCTTATGAATAGATTGAGATTATAGATTTTTCTTATGAATAGATTGAGATTATAAATTTCAGAGAGCAAGATCACAGAGGTAAATTACCATTTTCATCCCATCATCTCAAGCAGACATACCCTGAACATGCCCCATCATTGTTGAGGCTCATGATGCATCTCTACTGTCTTATTTCATTGTTCAAATGTTCTGACTTTGGCCATTGGTTGTCCTTTCAGATGGGTCCTTTAACATCCACCTGTCAATGTGTGCTTTGGTTTTGCTGTTGTTGTTACTGTTTTTAAGCACTTCCTTACTTCCTGGAACCACAAAATGCTCCAATTTCATCTTGCATATTTCCTGTCCTCTGAAATCAGCCATTTCTCCAAGGAGTCATTGTTCTTTTTACAGGAAAATGGGTATAAGCTTCTTGATCATTTGCTACTTGGTGTTATTTCATTGTGGCTCACTGACAGAGTAAAGAACATAAATGTATTTATTACCACTGAACTGTACACTAAAAGATGGTAAAGATGTTAATTACATATATACTTATTTATATCTATCTAGATATATTATCTCAATAAAAATAAACTCTCCTATATCCTTAAAAAAGGAAATATATGTGTATATATTCACATTTTTGCAAAAAGCAACTTATCAATGTTTATTTTTTTTACTTTTAAAAGTATTTGTTTGCTTGGAAATGTTATTTTGAGCCTCAGTGTATTCCTTCAGATGGGCAAGTTCTCCTTTCATTTCATTCTGTTTTTTATTATTTCATTTGTGTGCTTTTATTACATTGAATTAAGAAGTAGATGAGAAGGTATCTAGAAGATAAAGAACAGCAAATGTTTCTCTCCAGGCACCCTTGGTCTATGCAATCTTACTTATTTCATGACACTTCCTAGTCCAGTTTCAGGCCAGCCGCCCTACCTCTCAGAACATTTGTCATTTTTCTCACTATCACCATTGCTAAGCTCAACAGCAGCCAATCCTGTATCTGCCCATATCCACACACTGCCAATGGTTTCCTACTACACTATTTTCTCCTCACTAATTAAGAATTAAATACATTATTTGCTAGGACCAATCAGCAAGTATATGGTGTTTTGTTTTGTGTGCTCTAGGTATGATGTTAGAGCCATGATCATGCAACTGCACTCCAGCCTGTGAGACAGAGTGAGACACGGTCTTAAGAAATAAAAAGGAAAAATTATTGTGGTAACAAAAAAGAGCAACTCCTTTGTAGGAAATACAAACAAAAGAGGGTATCTTCTTTCTTAGGAAATACACACTTAAAATTTGAAAGTAAGCTGCATATATCATGCACCAACCTCTCTCATCTCATTATTTCTGTCATTCATGTCTGTTTATCCATCCATCCATTCATTTTTATATATGCACAGATAAATGACTAAATTGAGTTCATCAATAAAAATGGCGACTTCTGGACAGAAATAACAGGTAATTTAAAACTTTTTCTCCAATGGAATTTACAAAAACCATAAGGGCGTCATTCTTTTTTAAAATGTATTATATCCAACAATAAAACAATATATTTCCAAAAAAAAAAAAACAAAGGTGCTTATTAACGTGACAATGAACAATATAATTATAGCAAGTATAAAACATTTTCCTCAGTAACTTGAGTTATGTTGTTTTCTAAGTAAATTTGTTTCATCAATAACATGCTACTTTATTTCTTTTTCTATTTCAATATTATGTTTTCACAATTGCCATTTTGTTTTTACCTCACACTTGAACCCTTCTATTCTACCATTTATTTTATTCTAACATTATATACACATGTTTTGGCGTTTTTTCTCACTATATGTATAACTTCTCTTTTTCCTATATGACCATTCTGTTCTGTTTTCTGTTCTATCCATTTTTATGTGTGCCTTATGATTGAGGTGAGGGCAGTAGTGTTCAGAGAATGGGAAAATCTGAGCAGAGGAGACCAACAAAAAGCATACCCTCTTTGCTAGAATGGCAGATCTTTACTTGCCTTCTCATGATGTATTCTCTAACTGCTTTCTACTGCTGTTTGTTTCAACCTATGTGGGGGCTGTATCTGTCCCAATGTGACAAACACCTGGGTTTTGAATGTGTTTTCTTTGCCTGAAGTCAGTGTATGCTACAAGTGTGCTCTAGTCTGCAGTCACTTGTGCCATTTATGATCCCTGATTCACTCATTTCTCCCCACCAGTCACTTCGTTTCTACTTCTATCCAAATGGGGAAACATAATGATAGTAACCACATTTTTCTCTTGATATTTGTATTAGGAGGAATTCCACAAATTGTTACCACATACCTGTGTGGCTTCACCATTGTGAAGGAAGAATGAAGACCTAAGCTGAGCCGGGTTGTCGGCTTCAACCCAACATTATTGTCGTTGTTGTTGTTTCCTCTTCCTTAATAGTTTTAAATGTTAATTGCACTATGTTAAAATTCTGTTGTCTGGGTTAAGGTTGGGGAATTTGTTGCTGTGTTTTATAAATTTTTGTTAAGTTCATAATTGGTGAAGAAATACTGCGATGCAGGTTTAACCTGTTATTTCAATACAGAAGGCACCAGAATATTTTTCAAGCCATACATTGAGGCTTCTGCCCCATGACTCAGCTGAAGCAGCTCTGATTGAGGTCATCAGTGCCTTCATTACCAGTCCTGTTGCTTGTTTTAGACCTAATTTTACCATATTGCACTCCAGTACCTAGCATCATTAATTTCTTTTTCTGTCTAAAAATTATTTTTTCCTTTCTTATCAATGGCCTTGTTCTCTCCTTGCCATGTGCTGACCAACCTGACTGTTACTCCAGTCCTATTTGCTTGTCTTTTTTCCTTTGACTCCTAATAAAATACTGGGTTCCCCTAGAGAACCATCCTTATCCTGGCTTTCTTTCTCTCCCTGAGCTATTACGTCCATCTGTATGTTTTCAACATCTAACTTTTTACTTACTGCCCCAACCATAAATCAGGTTAAGCTCTATCTCTCAAAATCTAGGCCTACTGAATACTTACTAGTGAAACTTACCAAAAGCTGTAGTTGTCATATTTTTCTTCCAATGTTGTTCTTCTCCTAGTTCCCTTGTCTTTATGAATAAAAACACTCAGATGAGCAGTCTGAAAGTTAACGTCGTTGCCATCTGGCCCTTGATTCCTGAGCTTTCATGCAAAGTTATGCAAGTCACTGACTGCAAAACAGCACCAGGCCAGGGGACTGTCTGAGGCTCAGGTTTCCCAACAAGCACAAAGGTGCCCTGGGGTCAAGCAGCAGACCATCCCCACTTACAAAATGATGCCCAAATCCTTTAGCAGTAGCCTGAATTGCAGTTCTGTGGTCGGTTATCTCCTTTCTGCTTCAGTCATAGTTTAGGAGCTCTTCCTCTTATACCCAACCTGTCTTCCTGCTTCCACAATTACCACCACTGGATCCATCTTCCACATTGTCTGAGCAATGATTTTAATCCATACTCCTGAGTAGGCTCTCTACCAGTTCACTTGCTCCCCAAGAACCCTCATAACTCATCTATCTCCTCATGGTAGACTCTGGTGACAACATTCCATACCATGTTTTAAAAAAATACTTTATACAACTTTACTTATGCTCACGGCATTCCCAGTATTTACTGTGTCCTTTCCACCCCTCTGTGTCCATCCAGCTCATCATATTGTGTTTTCCAGGCTCATTGCAAACGTCATCTCTATGAAGCAATTCTGACTTTCTGCTATTCCTCTGTTTCTCCCTTGCTCCCCTCCAAATATGGCATTTATATTATAGACCTTTGGGGACTGTAAGTTATTTACAAAAATACCAGGATGCACTCACTTATTCATATTTGTATTTCTAGTATTGAGAAAAATGCCTGCTCCATACATTAGTACAGGGGAGAATGGCATTGATTGAGGAAGCAATTGTTATTAGTTCTGAATAAGCACGCTTAAAAAAATAATTTGGTCTTCTCAAAAGGATTAAGATTGCACACATCTACAACTCTCATATTTTTTAAATACAAAGATTTCCCTCCATATTTTTAATTGTTTTACAAAAAGAGAAATACAACTAACCTACTCAAGTAACAAAAAAAAATTAAATATTTCTAAATGGCAGGACGTTGATTTACTGGTCTAATTGGTTTATTTGTTCTAGAGAATGTGTAATGTAATGTAAATTATTTCCCTGTAGGTAAAGACATCTACTATATTGAGAAATTCCACCTATTTTATACTGCCTGTGAGAGCAGAAATAGCCTTTGCTTGTCATTTTTTAAATTTACTGACAAACCCAGCACTCTACTCTTGCCGACATTAGATGAACAATGAATTAAACAGCTTACTTTTGACAACTCAACTCTCTGAGGACATGCAGACTCAGAAACATCAAAGATTTCATGGGATCAGTTTTGTGTGTAGAGCTATGAAATGTGTTGATTAAGGTCATCTGGAAAAAAAAAGGATAGGATAAACAGAATGATTTTTAGTTATATGATTAAAGGATGTTGACATGTGAGGCTATTTTTGTCATTTCAGAGGTTAATGTACTTAAAGCTTTATTCTTACTCCACCTAGGAATTGCATGTTATAGGTTGCTAGCATTAATTTTCAGTGTCTCTTCTCCTTAAAATAAACACTACAATTTTATCCTTTTCTTGGTGAAGGCACAGAGCTGTGTCCTAAGGTTAAATGTGTTTACTAGGAAAAATATTAATTCCAAAAATATTATTTCCAAATATTAGTTCCATTTAGTTCCAACATGTGACCAGTTTAACCAAGAGGAATTTGATTCTGTTGCAACATGTTTTACATTTTGCTTTGCAAAGTTCCTCTAAGAGGAGCAAAATGGTAATGTTCAACCTTTAGACTTAAGATAAATAGTATATAATAAGCCTGGGTAGAAGACTACTATATAAATATTTCAATCCTTGGTTGTATGCGGTATGGAAAACACAGTAACATAAAATTCACTAATCTGCTATGTAATGTTTATGTGGATCCAGATGAAGCTGTGTCTTCACTAGATAATTTATCAAGTTTACTGATCTTACAGTATCATTTACTAAGTTATCACCGAATAGAATGCACAGACTTAGGACAAATCTCCAGGGTGCAACTGCATCAGTGCCCATGATTCTTTTGTAGCACAATCATGCATAACAGCCTCAGAAAGTGGAAGCGTGGGGTCAGTGACTGAAGTTGTACTTCCTCTTGCTTATACCTTAGTTATAGTGAGACAGTGCTGTGCACCATTAAAGAGTTTGCACACATCATTGTATCACTAACACCATTGAAGTTCTTGCATTTTTAATTATTCATACTTAAAGAAATATTACAGAATCCTGAGCCGTTTCCACAAATGTAGAAGCTAGAATGTAAATGACACTGGACTGGAAATTTTGTCTGTTTTGCGCTTTGCTGTATTCCCAGTGCCTACAATAAGGACTGATATCATAAATGAACAAATAATAAATGTATTATTATTTATGCTCAGCAAACAGTTTTGAAATGAATATTGAAAGAGAGGAGAAGTCAGATGTGTTTGCTGGTGGTTACAGTCAGGATTGGTACCAGGAAAAACTGCAGAGTTGCTTAAGGTCCTCCACCTTCCTTTGGGATGTCTGTTTTTCCCCTTTTATAGCAAGGGAATGCACGGAATGTACACATAGTAGGCTTTGGATTCCGCAGAATGTCATCACAGAATTTGATTGGGCATCTGTTGAAGAACATGAGGAATGGGTTCCTACTGAGTATTGCAGGGGATAGGGGTACAATTACGTTATTTTCAACTTGAAGGATTCTTCAGTTCCTTCAGTGCCAGCAGGATTCCTGGATGACTGCTATCCAGTTTTATCTTCCAGGAACCATAGCTCTCTATCCCACACAGGGCTGGGGTCTCTTTCAGAAACATTCCTTCAGCCTCATGTTTCTCAGACCCTCTTCTGTACCTAGGTTCCTCCAAATCCTGCCTATTTTAGGTATCTGGAGTTAATGTAAAAAACAAGCCACTTGATGTGCTTCGTGAGTCATTACATTATTTCTCCCTAAGATACTCAATACAACTCTATAAAAAATGGCTTAGCTACAATTTCAGAATGCCATTTGCAATGCCTAAAGGTCCTTGAAAGAGGATTCTTTCTTCTTTTTAATCTCAAGAATCGTAGGGTGAATAATGCCATTTTTCACTGCTGTGTTCTCTACAGAATGTGAGGCCTTTGCCGGGAAACATCACTGTTTAGGTTCCTGGGGTTTAAGGAAAGTCCAGTCTTTGGCAAATACCTAATACTTTTAGTTTGCAGTTTCCGAAGAGTTTTAGGTTTTTCCAGTTGTAATATCCTTGATTCCTAAATATAGTCATTAGTATAGCACATATATTACTTTATTGTCCTTATTTATTTACATTTGCTTATTCCTATTCATTCTTCTTGAGGACAAAATCTAGTCAGTTATCATATTAATAATAACTGTACTCATTTAAACATTTTTAAATTTTTTGGGATTTATTTATTTTGTTTTGTTTTGCTTTTTTTGAGACAGGGTCTCTGTTTGTCCCCCAGGCTGGAGTGCAATGGCGTGATCTCAGGGCTCACTGCAGCCTTGACTTCCCAGGTTCAAGCAATTCTGCTTCAGCCCCCCAAGTAGCTGGGACTACAAGTGCACACTAACACACCTGGCTAATTTTGGTATTCTTTATAAAGATGAGGTTTTGCCATGTTACCCAGGCTGGTCTCGATCTCCTGAACTCAAGCGATGCCTATCTCGGCCTCCCAAAGTGCTGGGACTGCAGACATTGACCACCCTATACATTTATGTATTTATTCATTCTTGCATATGTGGATTTCATTAAAGTAATAATCAGTGAGCATTTGCAGTGCAATCTTGTCGGCCTTGAAGTTTCAGCAGAGAACAAAAGACATAAGGTCTCTCCTCAAACATCTTGCCTATTCGAAAGAGACAGACTTATGTGTTTATATATAAGAGAGAGAGACAGACATATGTGTGTGTGTGTGTGTGTGTGTGTGTAGAATGCAATGTCAGATAATGAAAAGGACTGTGAAGAAAAACAAAACAGGGTAGAAGGAAAGAGTGTGAGGTACTATTTTTTTAAAGAGTGATAGGGAAAACTTCTCCAAGGAGGGTTATTTGAGCAAAGACCTGAATCAAGTGGGGTAACTATTCTGGGAAAAACTTTTTCAGGTGGAGGAAAAAGCTTGTGCACGTGCCATGTAATGGAAACCTTCATAGTGTGTTTGAAGGCCAGTGACATAATAAATGAGACAGCCAGGTAAGAAATGACCTCAGGAAAGTTGCAGGGCTAGATCGAGGAAGACTTTCTAGGATGTACTAGGGATTTGGAATTTTATTGTTTGTATGATAGAGAATCAATGCAGGCTTTGAAAAGGAGTAATATGATAAAATGACTGTCTTTAAAAAATTACTCTGGCAACTGAGTGAAGAATAGGCTACAAGAAAGAAAATGAGATCGTAGAGACCAATTGGAGGGGTGACATAGCAATCTGACTGTTGCTTGTGTCCTAGACCAAGGTGTCATGAATAAAGCTAAGTAGAAGGCATAGTTAGGATACAATTTTAAGACAGAAAAGACCGGACATGTTGATGGATCTGATCTATGTGAGAGAAAGGGAGACATCAAGATGCTCTCCGTTGTTTTGGAGTGTCCAATGGTAGAGGCATTTATTGAAATGGAGGGAAGTTCATGGTAGGAAGCAGAATGAGGAAAGGTGTGTGTGTGTGTGTGTGCTCTAATGTTTGGTTTGAAATGTCTATGACACATACATGTATAATGAAGTAGTCAGTGGGTTTGAATCTGGAATTCAGGGAATAGGTTAATCCTACAGCTGAAAATACGGTATCCATCAGTATATAGAGACAGCATTTAAAACCATGGGGCTGGATGACATGTCAGAGAGTCATGTGGACAGAAGTGCAGAGGGAGGAAACAAGCCAGATGAGTAAGGAAGACAGGGTGTTCCAGGTTGGTGCAACATTTAACTGTAGTTGAGAGCATAATCTACTTGAATCCAGGACAGGTCAGTTTGGGTAAGATATGGAAAGAATGAAGGGTGTAATGTGGTATGAGCCAAAAGGAGAAACCAGGCAATATGTTAGAAAATGGATGGTCAATGATGCTGCGGTCCTGAGGAACAACTGAAGGATTTTCAACTGGGAAATTACTGACATATTCAGTTATTTTTTTTAAATCTCTCTGATTGAAGTGTGAAGACTGGTTCAGAAAGGAAAAGAGGAGAGGCAGATAGACTGTTCAGAATACTTATAGAAATACCTGTGAGGGATGACTGTGTCTGGCGCCCAGATGGTCACTATGGAAAGAGACAAGCAAAGGCATGTGAAAGACAATGAGAAGATGTGGGTTAGGTTTCTAGGTTGAGTGCTTGGAAGAGGTATTACTGTCAGTTGAGATGAAGATGACCAGGGCATGGGAGAGGCTCCGTGAGTTTAATGTGCTCCTTGTGAAAGGAATGTTTTGATATTTGGCAACAGAACTGGGATGTATATTTTAATATTTAGTTATCCATAACCTACAGGTGGCATTTAAAACTAAAATAATGAATGAGCTCTCTCTGTAAGTTTATAACATAAGAAGAGGGAGCAAGGGGCACCTGAGGAAAAGCAGTATGCAACAGCATTGAAGGAGACCCTAGCAGAGGAGGTGGAGAAGGAGGATCCAAGGACCTGAGGGAAGACACAGTGGGTTCTGGCCTTGGAAGTCAACTAAAAAGTGAGAGCTTCATCACAGGACCCCTCAGGAGGGTCCAGAATTGTGTTCATACAAAGTGTTTCCTTGGAACAACCTGCGTGTAGCCTTTGGAATTCATTATAGAATTGGGACATCCAGGTTGTCTTGTCACGTGATTGTCTGCTAGGGTTATCATAGCCGAGTACTAAACACTGATTGGTTTAAACAACAGAAATTTGTGTCCCTGTGATTCTGAAGGCTAGAAGTCCAAGACCAAAGTGTTGGCAGGGTTGGTTCCTCCTGAGGCCTCTCTCCTTGCTTGAAGATTGTCATCTCCTACCTATGTCTTCACATGGTTTTCCTTCTACGTGTCTGTGTCCTAATCTCTTCTTATATAGAACCAGTCATATTGGATTAGGGCCCACCTTAGTAGGCTTCTTTTTTTTTTTTTCTTTTTTTTTTTAGACTGAGTCTTGCTCTGCCACCCAGGCTGGAGTGCAGTGGCATGATCTCAGCTCACTGCAACCTCTGCCTCCTGGGTTCAAGAGATTCTCATGCCTCAGCCTCCCGAGTGGCTGGGATTACAGGCATGCACCAAAACGCCCAGCTAATTTTTGTAATTTTAGTAGAGATGGGGTTTCACCATTTTGGTCAGTTTGGTCTTGAACTCCTGACCTGAAGCGATCCACCTGCCTCGGCCTCCCAAAGTGCTGGGATTACAGGCGTGAGCCACTGTGCCCTGCAGTAAGCTCCTTTTAACTTAATTACCTCTTTAAAGACCTTATCTCCAAACACAGTCATATCTGTAGTACAGGGGTTAAGATTTCAGTATATAAAACTGTGTAGTATACAATTCAGCCCATAGCACTTAGACCACACAAATCCTACATTTATGGGAGCTGTGACTTGAAAAAAAATAAAAATATCTTCAGAAATAATTCAATATTTGACATCATATAACTTTTGCTATCTCTAGAGAAAAACAATTTATGCTGTGACATTACTGGAAAGAACGTCTTATCAAGAAAAAATTATGACCTAAACAATGATGATAAATTAATTTACGATCTGTTATTAGGAAATGTGGAAGATTGAATCAAGTTGTGCAAATAGGTACACATGTCTACTTTCTCTTCTATCAAAACTGTAGAAAATAATAAAATAAAAATAATCAAATAAATACACAGAATAAAAAAGTTAAGATAACCTAATATTATTACACTTAAGATTAAGTAATTCCTAAAACTGCGACAAGTAAAAATGTCAAATAGACCAGTAAGAACCTCTATATCAATTTAATTCTGAATGTGTAGTTCTAATCCACATTAAATAGCTACAAGAAGCAAAAAAGGCTCAGGAGTCATCCAACAGCTTCAAAGTATTCTTAAGCTTTCTATGCCTTTTAAAGAGAAACAGAACTATAGGACATGTGTATATATTAAGAGAGATCTATTTTAAGGAATTGGTTCATATAATTATGGATACTGGCAAGCCCCAAAATTTGCAGTTGAAGTTCAAAGACCATCAGGCTAGAGACCTGGGAAACAGCTGATGTTGCACTTCAAGTTCAAAGGTTGCATGCTGGCAGAATTCCTATTTATGAGGCAGGAGGAAAAGAAGGAGTCAGTCTTTAGTTCTTTAGTTCTAGTGAGGCCTTCAACAGATTGAGTGAGGCCCACCCATGTTATGGCAAATCTGCTTTCCCCAGAGTCCACAGATTTAAAAGTTAGTCTCATCAAAAACACTTGCATAAAAATATTCAAAATTACATTCCACCAAGTATCTGAGAGCCATGGCTCAGCCAAATTGACAATAAAATTAAGCATCATAATACTCTACTTCTCCTCTACATTTTCTTATCAGTGCCAGCAGGAAAAATTAGTAAGGAGGTCAGTGGAGCAGATGTGCAGGTGAGTGGTTCAGATGGCCACTGTCCTGCCAATGGCTCACCAGAGCCGGACAACGAGCACTAAAAAAACTCCATCCAACACCACATCACATCTCTCTCTCAGTCAACAGATACAGGCTGAAGTCACCAGATCAGTTAGGTAAGTAGAATATTCAACAGACAAACCACTTTGTACATAGTATATACCTATGGAGGTACTGTAGTCTGAGAAGGAAACAATTTAAGACAATACCTACCTCCAAGACATTTTGCAAATTTAGGGAAGAAACAAAGAAATTAAAATCAAACCTAAGGACAAAGTACATTCTTAAGGATACGTTTTAAACAAGAAATAATAATCATGTTTTCTAATAATGATAATCCAGGTCACTGTAAACAGATAGAACTACAAATAATGGCAACGTTGATAGGAGGTTGAACATAGAAAATGCTTTTGGTTGCCAAACTCCATCATCTCAAACATTCATAATACTTCTATATCTCTACTTATTCCAGAAAAATCCATATATGTCTTTAATCATTTTGAAGTTTACCTTAAAGGATATTTTTCTCCTTTAAAAAGATAGGTAAATTATTTCTTTGAAATACGATTTTTTATCCAAACAGAGCAGTGTTTCATTGAACATATTGCAGCTGCTTTGATTTAGTAGTGAGTTTCCAGTTGCCATCACAGATATGTTGACTGGAGTCACCTGCATTGTCAAGTCATAGTTTCTTCTTTGTGCCATAAGTTAAAAAGAGATAGACATGACTGCCAAAGGTTGTTTGCATGTAAACAAACAACCTTCCAGAAATTTAACTATTCTCATTGTTTTAGTTGTTCTTTAACTGCCAGAGTCAGCATTTGCTTGGCTATTCAAATGACAATTTAAGGACAATTTGGAATCTGCCAAGAGTTTGCCAAGATACATATGATGTGTACTGAACATATCATGCATAGAAAATAAAGTGCTAAAGACAAGGATATCTTTGGACAAAATGTTCCTCATTTGAGCCTAATTTCATTCTAGAGGCTTCAACACCTAATGATTGATAACAAAACTCTTAATGTAAAAAAGTGCACCTAAAGCATTTAAATCCTATGATGGCATTTGAGTGTGTGCATAGCTCATTAATGTGATGCTAGGCTGGGACTCTATGTTAAAGTGTTTAGGAAGATTTTTAGATTTTAAAATATTTAATATTCAATTTGTCTTTCAGTAGACCACTCACAGCTCCCCAGGAGAGATGGAGAACACCATGTTCTGCATTTTAATGAGAAACACTAGGTAATGGAAAGACTGTGTTGCAGGCTACAATTGAAAAAACAAAACAGTGAAAGACAGTGTGGTGATTCCTCAAGGATATAGAACCAGAAATACTATTTGACCCAGCAATCCCATTACTGGGAATATACCCAAAGGAATATAAATTATTCTACTATAAAGACACATGCACATATACTTTTATTGCAGCACAATTTACAATTGCAAAGACTTGGAACCAACCCAAATGCCCATTAATGATAGACTGTATAAAGAAAATGTGGCACATATACACCATGGAATACTATGCAGCCATAAGAAAGAATGAGTTCATGTCCTTTGCAATGACATGGATGAAGCTGGAGACCATCATTCTCAGCAAGCTAACACAGAAACTGAAAACTAAACACCTCATGTTCTCACCCATAAGTGGGAGTTGAAAATGAAAACACAGGGACACAGGGAGGGAACAACACACACTGGGGCCTGTCAGGAGGATGGAGGGCAAGGGGAGGGAAAGCATTAGGACAAATACCTAATGTATGCAGGGCTTAAAACCTAGATGACAAGTTGATAAGTGCAGCGAACCACCATGGCACATGTAAACCTATGTAACAAACCTGAATGTTCTGCACATGTATCCCAGAATTTAAGTAAAATAAAAAATAAAAAGACAGAGAAAGAGAAAGAAAAAGCAAAACGAAAACAAAAAACAGTTTATTCCATGGGCATTACATCACATTTGAGGAAATTAGTTATCCTGCTTATTAAGTAGTAAGCGCAAGAAGTACTCCCTAAATATTTGTCCCACATAGCTCATAAATCCATCTGGAGATTTGTTGTTCATCAGTTCAACTCTAGATTTCTTAAAAATGGGGTCCACCTTATCCATCCCTAAATTTGTAGTTTTTGGCACAGATTAGAATACATGGCAGTGCCCGGTATATTTTCATGGTCTTTAATTTCATGGACGTAAATATTTTGTGGAATTAATTATTTTTCGAATGGGAAACATTTGACCAATGAGTCATGATTGCACATGACAGTATGGTTGTCCTCCTTATCTGCAGAAGATACGTTTTACAAACCCTAGTGGATGCCAGAAAGCATAGATAGTATCAAATCCCAAATATGTTATGATTTTTCTTATACATGCATGCCTGTGATACAAGTTAAATTAGGCAGAATAAGAGATTACCAACAATCATAATAAAGTAGGACAATTATAACAACATACTATTTACAATTTCACAGATAGATGGCTCATTCCTACCATAGATCTTAGCAACCCCAGCACACAATTTTTTTTCTTTTCCTTATTGAGTCAAGAAGTCACAACTTTTCACTTGGAAGCACTTTATGGGTTGTCTTTGGCATATCTGGCCTCTCTACTTTTGCACTTTGGGGCATTACACAGTAAAATAAGGGTGACTTGGACACAAGCAATGTGATACTTCAACAGTCCAGATGGCCCCTAAGTGCCTCAGAGGTGGGGAGGCTACACAGTGTGGAGACGCTGGAGAAAAGGAGTGTTCACATCCTGGGCAGAACAGTTGGAGATTTTGTTATGCTACTCAGAATGGCATGCAACCTAAAACCTATTCACTGTTATTTCTGGAGTTTTCCATTGAATATTTTCAGATTGTAGTTACTGCAGGTATCTGAAACCAGGAAAAGCAAAACCAGAGAGAAGAGGGGATTATTGTGGTGTGGTAGCAAGAGAACTGAGTTGCAGGAGGAAGATTTGGTTGAAATATGTGGCTTTTTTTTTTTTTTACAACAATTTGGTTCGTTTATGAGGACACTATTACATAGAGAAAAATAGAAGTAAAATATTGTTTTTGTTGTCAAAAACAGGGTAATGGGGGAAGGAAGAAGACAGAAACACATTATGTCACAATCCTGTTGAAAAGCTAAAAAAAAAAATCCATATTAAGGGCCGAATCATCTTGTCACTGGCCAGCTTTACACCTGCTCATCCCTCTCCGCAAGATAAAGGCCTGATCCAACGGCAATGAAACTTTTCTTATCTCCCAGAGATGGACAAATGATCACATCTCAGATTAGATCCTAGGTTTTGTCTCCAAATATCAGGAAGAGTAGAGTAGTTATCTGCCTAAGTATTTATATTTCAAGAAGTAATAATACCTGGAAATTTGGAAACATCTCTAGGTTGGAAAGATTCAGATACATGAGACTATTTGGCTTCTGGAGAGTATATTTATATTCCAATGGGGTGGAGTTAGGGCTCAGATTCATGATGTTTCCAAAGATGCACTCTCAAGAAGAGTGAGGGAAGCTGCCTTATTCCCTTTGTAAGCAGAGAAAACTCATTTTCTTCACCCCCTGCCCATGCAATGTACAGCTAGTTATGTTGGAAAAATTTCCCTCAGCTCTCATGGCATAAGATAAGGATGAAGGCAAGGGGCTGATGCACTTATTATTTACTTTGAAGTAATAAGTGGTCTGTCTCTGATCCAGAACACTTCATGTGTGCAATCAAGATACATTTAATAAAGATGAATATTAAAAACCTAACAAGCTTCAATTCAATTTTATTACCCTTTGGATCAGAGAAACAGAACAAATGGCCATAGATCTACTCCTTATTGTATGTGAAGAGTGAAATGTTTCTAGAGGAAGTGACGGCAAACATTTCCTATTTTTGTGCTGTATACACTTCTGTGTTTCAGGCTAGGGTTTCTAGCATGAGCTCTGAGAAATACAAGCAAGTTTACTTCATGGACACTTTATTCTTTGGTTGGTATTTCATATTCCTTCAAAATTGATCTTGTAGCAACAAAATCAACCATAAGAAATAATAGGAAGGTTTAATTTTTTATAAAGTATTGAAGTTCACGTTGTTTTTAAATGCCTTTGTTTGAAAGTGAAATACATATATTGAACTTGAACACTCAAAATTCCCATGGAAACAAATCAAATAAAGTAATTACAAAGTAATTGCTAATGTTAAGTATGATCAAATTTAAGTTGTCTCTTCTAGGACCAGTTTACACCTTGATAGTTTTAGCATGGCAGGTGTAGATTTAAGGGTACCATGAGAAAGAGAAATACCAAAAGTTTTCCGAAGAGACAGGGTTTTGTTGGTCAACCAGGCTGGAATGCAGTGATGTGATCATAGCTCACTGCAGCCTTGAACTCTTGGACTCAAAATACCCTCCTGTCTCCTCTTTCTCCTTCTTCAACTTCACCTTCTCTTCCTCCTCATTATTGTTATTGTTGCCATTGTTTTAGTGAAAAAGAAAGAAGGGGGAAAAAGACATCATATATTGAACATGTATCATAAGAGGGGCATTCAAGTAAACTCTTTGGAATCTTACAAAGTTTTCAAATAGTCTTTTGGGGAACAAAGAGACATCATAGGGTAATGGAATCCTAAGTTAGTGCCAAATTGAAATATTTGAGTCACATGTGCAACTTTAAGTTTTCTAGGAATCACATTAAAAAAGTAAAAGAAATTGATCAAATTAATTATAATAGTGTTTTAATTTAACTAAATTGATCCAAAATATTGAAATTTCAGCTTATAATCAATATGAACATTATTAGAGAGGGATTTTACATTTTTGTACTAAACCTTGTCTGTACCATATTTATTTTTATTGGGATCTCCGTTAGAACTAGCCCTATTTCAAGGGCTCAGTAGATACGTGTCACTAGGAGTTGCCATATAGGACAGAATAGGCCTATGGAGTAAGATCTTACGTCTACAACCAACTTGCCTGTTCTTTAACCCATTTACTAAACTTTGGTGATATTACCTAAATGCTTTCAACTTTATCTTTCATAGCAGTATCTGATATAGGGTAGTTGTAAAGACTAAATTAATTCATATAGAACAGTTAGACCAAAGCCTGTCACATATTTTCAATTATTATAGCACTTATAATTGCTGAATAAATTTATTTTTAAAACACTTTTTTTGAGATTAGTTTTAGTATCTCATTCACAAAAGAGGAACTAAATGCAGAGAAGTCCAATAATCTGCCCAAGTTTGCTCAGTTAGTAGCTAACTTTTGTCAAATTTATTGTAATTTTCCCTAATGCACTTATCTTTTCGACCAAAAGAGTATTACGAAACAGTTGTAGTATGCAAGCACCAGTTTGTATACTTATTTGTTTGCATCCTTCATGAAGACTTTTGTTAGTTGTTAATTAAACACATGCACATACATATCTACATAGTATACATTTTTGTGTGTGTGAATACACAAATTCGTTTGATTCATGTTGGACTGTCCCAGAGTCCTGGAAGAGGGTTTCCTGAAAAACATATCTTAAATCTGTGCCCAGCCAATAAGTTTTCAAGATTATTCTTGGTTTTTCTTTGCAGCATCAAAATATAAGAATGGGAAAAAAAGTATTTCAAAGTACTTAAGTTAAAATTGGTATTCTTCTAATAAATTTCAATAGTTTGAAATTTCTTCTTTTAGTGATAGATTAAGTAAAGCAAATAAATTTTTCCCATGGAAGAAAAAATTAAAAAACAGGAGACTGATTAAAAAAATTCTGATATAATTTTTATCAGTATTCATTGTTTCTCTGTGTGGATTCAAGTTACCATCTGGTACCATTTCCTTTTAGCCTGAAGTAATTATTTTAGCATTGGTTGTAAAGCAGGTGCTAGCAACAAATTTTATCTTTCTTTATCTTGGAATGTATTTAATTTGCCTGTATTCTGAAAGATAGTTTTGTTAGATATAGACTTTTCAGTTGACGTTTTTATTTTCTTTTAACACTTTAAAAACATCCTTCTGCTGCCTTCTGACTTCATTTTAGTAATGAGTAGTAAGAGAGCTATATTGTGGTCCCCTTGACTAGAAGGAGTAATTTTTGCCTTGCTGCTTATAGGATGTTTCCTTTGTCTTTTTCAATAGTTTGAAAAGCCTGTGTAGAATTATCTAGGTGTGTGTTTTTGTATGTGCTTATCCTATTTGGAGTTTATGGAGCTACCTAGATGTACAGGATAATATTTTTCATCAACTGTGGAAAGTTTTTATTCATTATTTTTCCATTTTCTTCCTTCATCACTCTCTCCTGCCTCTGCATCTCAGACTCACATTACACTCATGTCATTATGCTTGATGGTGTTCTAATGGACTATGGGGCGCTTTATTTTTCTTTTTACATTGTGTGCTTTCAACTGAGTGATCTTTACTGATTTAACTTTAGGTTCACTGATTCTCTATTCTAGCAGCTCATATATACTATAACCCTATAGCAAAAAATGTTATTTCAATATCATATTTTTGAATTCCAGAATTTCAACTTCTTTTTTATATGATGTCTATCTCTTTATTGACATTCTATATTTCATAATTTATCATCATCATACTGTCATTTAATTCTTTAAAAATGGTTTATTTTAGTTCTTCAAATATACTTACAATAATTGATTTGGAGTCTTTGTCTAGTAAGTTCAACAGCTGTAAATTCTCAGGAACATTGATTACTGACACCTTTCTATTTTTAAGCTTATCTTATTTTTTTCTGGAAACTGGATATTTTATATACTGTTTTATATAATATATTGTTGCAATTTTAGATTCTCACATCCCCTGGGATTGCCATTTTTGTTGTTTTTCTGTTCATTTATTTTGGTCATTCATTTTTACATAATTTGTCTATACTAGTTCTCTAGAGCTGGTCTGCCCTGAAACATGTATTTATTGAAGTTTCTGCTCTGTTTTGTTTTTGTTTTTGTTTTCTGTTTTTGTTTTTTGTTTTTTTTTTTTGAGACAGAGTCTCGCTCTGTTGCCCAGGCTGGAGTGCAGTGGCTCAATCTCAGTTCACTGCAACCTCCGCCTCCTGGCTTCAAGCCATTCTCCTGCCTCAGCCTCCTAAATAGCTGGGATTACAAATGCCTGCCACCACGCCCAGCTACTTTTTGTACTTTTGGTAGAGACAGAGTTTCACCATGTTGGTCAGGCTGGTCTGCTTTTTTTATTATTCTTATTTTTTAAGCATGCTTTCCAGGGATTACCTGCTTAAACATATATTGAGTGACACTTTGCTGACAGACCGGTGTGTGGATTGGGGAACACATTTAATGTGGAAGCAGTTTATAGGTCTATCCAGCTTTTAATTTCTGCATGTGTAAGGCATCCTGCCCCACTAAGGGTTCAGTTAGCTGGGCCCTTTCCTGTTGCCTATTAGGTGTGCAGACTTCCAGACAACCAACAGCGTTGTTTCATCAATGTTGTGACATCAGCTGTGATGTGTTTCCCCGATTATTTGCCACTGGGATCACTATAATTTTGACAATGCTCTGGTTAAAGGTTTTTTTTTCATACTTCACTCAGAATCAAGACTGCCACCTTCTGTAGTGAGTCTGCCAGTATCCATGATCATCCCTCCCTGGTTAAACTACCAAGCAAAACACCATAAACTCCAAATGTTCTTACTGAGATTTAGTGAATTTTCTTGAATAAATGACTTTTAGTTTATTAATGGATTTAATTTAAAAAGGAATGAATTACTGTCATTTTAATGGGAGTATGTTACATATCTTGGGTGTGAACTCCTGAGAAGCGATTAAGTTTTGCCTCCATTTTCTCTCTGTCTTTCATACTCTCATAAATGATGCCTTTCAGCATGTTATAACATAACACGGGGGCCCTCACCAAATGCTGAGCAGATACAAGCACTCTGCCCTTGGATTTCCAGTCTCCACAGCTGTGAGCCAAAGAAACTTCTTTTCTTTATAAATCACCCTATATGCTTTTGGTCAATTTCTAGTGTTCTGAAATAATTGCTTTTGACGATTGTGTCCAGTTTTATCATTGCTGCTGTAGAAAAGCTTTGCTGAGATGCTTACTTAGCATTTCCAGAATAATGAATACAAGTTTGATGGATAAAATAACTAATGAATGTATTCATATCAAACCATATGCCAAAATGTCTTAAAATTTCTCATTTTAAAAAACATTTAAATTAATTATATAGTAAGCACATAAACACATATTTATGTTACTACTTTGAAAATCTGTAAATACGTTAGTAGCATTTCTATGGTCTCTAAGACGAGGACTTTTTTCACAATGGACTCCCTGATTATTTATTAAGTTAGTTAATTAGATATTAACCTCCTTGATTCAAATAGTTCTTGTTTATAAAAGTGACTGACTTTTAATCACAACATTAAATTAGTTTCTGAGAGTAAGGGTGTTTTTAAATTATGATTTTAGAATGTCCTCAGTACATATAGCAAAATTAATATGCTAAAATTTCTCAATTTATTATTTGAATGTTAGATAGTAAATAAAGGTAATAAATATATTTTATGACATATTCATAGATACTTAATATACAATGGAATATGCTTAAAAATAATATAAAACTTATGATTAGGCCTCAAATTATTTTGCATTGGAATACATAAAAATAAAACTACCTAACCTATATAATATGTATAATTTCATAGAACATATTACATCTTCTAGAAATAAGAAATATGTATTTGTAGCATTTTCAAATAGTAGGTGAATTTACAATGCATATGCTTTGGTCTTCTGCAAAAGTCTTTTTGGTCTTTTGTTTTTATTATTAAATATATAATTTTTAAAAAACGATTTGTATGTCTTAATGTTTTAGCTTGTGAGATTCATTTTATGCCTGATTGTAGACCCTAGAACATCCTCTTCTGTGAGCTGGACATGGCAAATGTAGTCATTTCAGAGTCAAGAATTACAATTTCAATATTAACAACTCCATTTGATGTTTTTATTTTATTTTTTAACTTTAAAAAAGAATCATATTGAATTGCCAAGCTGCTTTCTTCTATTTCTGCTACGTACAGTAGAATGCTGCAAATCACACAATAGTTATGCCAAAACAGATATGTTTGCACTTTGCTTTAAAATCCCACACTGGCTCTGTGCTATTGTTTCAATGTCCACTCCAAAACTCATGTTGAAATTTAATTACCATATGATGGAATTAAGAGGTGGGGCCTTTAAGAGGCGATTAGACCCTGAGGGTTGTGCCCTCATGAATGGATTGATGTCATTATCATGGGAGTGTGTTGCATATCTTGGGTGTGAGTTCCGGAGAAGAGAATAGGTTTTGCCTCTATTTTCTGTCTGTCTCTCCCACTTTCATCATGTGATGCCTTGGCCCTCACCAAATGCTGAGCATATGACAGCACTCTGACCTTGGACTTCCCAGCCTCCAGAGCTGTGAGCCAAACAAACTTCTTTTCTTTATAAATCACCCTGTTTGTAGCATTCTGTTATAGAAGTAGAAAATGGACAAAGACATCTAATCTCCACCATGACATTACAGCTTCTTTTGAATTAATAATTTTTTGGATTAACTATAATACTGCACATTGTATCAACTGATTTTTTTCTGTAGTTAAATAGACTGACACATTAAAACAAAGATAGAAAAGTTAAAACTAAAGTGGAGGCAAAGATATGACAGGCAATACCAAATAGAAAGAAAGCAGGGGTCACAAACATGATATTTGACAAAATACATTACAGAACAAAAAAAAGTATTTAAAAAAAACTAAAAAGTTTATTTTATCCTGCTCCCACCCACTTCTAGTTCTTGACTTATATCTTTATTGTCTGAGCAGATAGCTTTTTCATACTATACTCTGTCTAATATAGCCATCATTTCATGATGATCCACCATCGGATAGAATTTGTGTGACCACTATTTCTTATGTCGCAATCTCTCTTGTCATTTTGGTTATTTGAACCTTATTCTCTGTTAGATTCCTCGAGTTGCTCACAGGAACTTTTATTTTTATTTTTTATTTCTTTTGTTTTTGAGATGGAGACTCACTCTCTTTTTGCCCATGCTGGAGTGCAATGGCATGATCTCGGCTCACTGCAACCTCCACCTCCCAGGTTCAAGCGATTCTCCTACCTCAGCCTCCCAGGTAGCTGGGATTACAGGTGCGGACCACTACAGCTGGCTAATTTTTGTATTTTTTGGAGATGGGGTTTCACCATGTTGGCCAGGCTGGTCTCAAACTCCTGACCTCAGGTGCTCACAGGAACATTTTATTGAGCTCTTGTATGTTGAAAGGAGTTGGTCATAGTCTTTATATTTCTCACATTGTCTTTTTATTAGTATCTTAAGTATATTACTGCATTTTCTCTTGGCATAAACTATAGCAATGAAAAAAATCTAAGGACAGTCTAATTTTCTTTCTCTTATGGTGTACCTGCTCAATTTTTGCTCGGGTGATAAAACAGTTTTTTTAATGTTTGTTTTTAAAGTCTGGTATTTTTTACTAGAATGTGTCTTCTTGGTGTTGGTCATTTGGATTTGGTTTTTCCAGGTTTGATGTATTATTCAAATACAAATTTTAAGTTTTGTTTACATTTTAATTTGTGGAAAGTTCTGTGGATGTTTGGTTTGTTTGTGCTTATGTGTGTGTGTGTGTGTGTGTGTGTGTGTGTCTGTATGTCTTCCATTCCATTATTTTCCCATTATTTTGGTTTTTACTTTGTTTTTGTATTTTTTCCAATGTGGAATTTCACTATATATGTGTTAGATCACTTTGTCTGTTACTTTTTTTAATAATACCTTTTTATTTAGTTTATCTAAAAAATTGATGTAAGTAAAACATATAAACCAAAAATTACTCATAATAAAGTTTAAGGTTCAATGAATTGGATGTTGAATAAGTAATATCTGGATTAAGAAATCTAAATTTCAGAGTCTCAGTAACCCAGTAGCTCCAATTTACATTTATCCAATCACCAACATTGCCAAAAGTTATACAGCATCCTGTGTTATATTTATTTAAAAAAAAAAAAACTGTTTCAATAGCTTTGGGGGTACAAAGGGTTTTCGGTTACATGGATAAATTTTGTAATGAATTCTGTGATTTTAGTGTACCCATAGTATACATTTTATCCAATATATAATTTTTTATCCCTACCCCCCTCCCACCCTCCCCCTTCTGAGTCTCTAAAGTCCATTGTATCACTTTGTATGCCTTTGTGTACCCATAGGTTAGCTCTCACTTATAAGTAAGAATATACAGTATTTGATTTTCCATTTTTGAATACTTTCCTTAGAATAATGGCCTCCAGCTTCATCCAAGTTGCTGCAAAGGACGTTATTTCATTCCATTTTATTACTGAGTAGTATTCTGTGGTATATATATACCACATTTTCTTTATTCATTCATTGATTGATGGACACTGGGGTTGGTTCTATATCTTTGAAATTGTAAACTGGGCTGCAATAAACATATGTGTGCATGTGTCTTTTTCATATAATAACTCCTTTTTCTTTGGGTAGATAGCCAAGTAGCAAGATTACTGGATTAAATGGTAGATCTACTTTTAGTTATTTAAATAATTTCCATACTATTTTCCATAGAGGTTGTACTAATTTACACTCTCAAAAGCAGTGTATAAGTGTTCCTTTTTTACCACATCCACACCAACATCTATTGCTTTTTGACTTTTTCATATTAGCCATTCTGGTACGAGTAAGGTGGTATCTCATTGTGGTTTTAATTTGCATTTCCCTGATGATTAGTGATGTTGGCCATTTTTTCTTGTTTGTTAGCCATTTTTATATCTTTTTTGAGAAATGTCTATTTATGTCATTTGCCTACTTTTTGATGGATTTTTTTTTCTGATTTCTTTGAGTTCCATGTAGATTTCAGATACTAGTCCTTTGTTGGATGCATAGTTTGCAAATATTATCTCCCATTCTGTGGGTTATCTCTTTATTCTTATGATTATTTCTTTTGCCATGCGGAAGCTTTCTAATGTAATGAAATCACATTTACTTTTTTTTTGTATTTACTTTTGAGGTTTTAAAATTATATCTGTTTTTAAATTTTACATAAGGGATATTTACAGTATGTGCTCTTTTGTGTCTGGTCTCATTCTCTCAACATCATGTATATGAGCTCATCAATATTCCTGTATATAGTTATTCATTACTTTTCATTTATATATGGTGTTTCTTTGACTGAATATACCATGATTTAATTCTTTGTTGTTCCGCTAATTAAAATTTGAACTTTTTAAAGCTCTTGGCTATTATGAATAGTTCTGACGACCAAGGTGTCAATCTCTTGATTAACCTATATATGCATTCTCTTGTACATAAATGTATGCAGGAGACTAATGGGTCTTAGGATATGAATATGTCCAATTTTAGCTACTGCCATTTTTCCAAAGTGATTGTACCTAGGGTTATATGAGATATTTAAGCACTGTTCAACACAATTAGAATTGTATATATTTCATTATTATTATTATTTAGCTGATTGGACTATATGTAGTGGTATTGCATTATAATTTTAATTCATATTTTCTCCATTTATTTTTTATTTCAAAAAAATTTCCTCTCTTCCATCTTTCTGTTTCAAGGAATTTTCTATTTTTTTATTTTCCTCTTAGCCTTTATGTCTGAAAAAAGTATTTTATTTATGAAATAAAAAATATTCCTGTGTTTTATTACTTGATTTTTGTTTTTAATCCTAATTTATATCTTCATTTTACTTTTCATCATCTTCTTAGCTCATTTTGAAACATTAGGTCATAATTTTCATCAATTTATGGGCATGTCCTATGCTAATGTTGCCTCTAAGTACATTATTCTGTCTTCGATGTTTTTCTTGTATCAGCTTTATATGTAATTCAATTATAACTTCTTTCTGTTCTTCATTTTTGTAGACATCATTTATTTATAGCTGAACTTTTAGGAAAGAGGTTACAAAAGGCTTGTTTTTCTAGCTTCATGGCATTAGAGATCTTTCTGTTGCCCTGTGAATTGTTTTAAAAGGCACTGTCCCACATTCTGAGATGTCCTGGATCTGTTCTAACATTTCAGCTTTCCCTTTGCCCATATTTTTCTTACTCCTTCAATGAAAATATATGTTGCTAGAGGTTTCTCTCAGCTCAGGGCTTTGTTCTGAAGAAAGCTTTGACTGGACAGTAAGTTCACTCACTCCAGTGATGCTGCAATTGCTTCCATTGTCTGTTTTGTTTTATCGTTGTCCTGCAAGGAATCTTTGGAAGCGCTCACAGGACTCAGATGGTCCCAGCACCTTCAGACTTTATCAGAGACCCCTTTCACTCTGGTATTAATTTGAAACAAAAACACTTCAAGTTTCATCTTTTGTTCTCAAATCAGTCCATTGTACACTCCAGAGAGTTCCTATTAGTGGGATTAGTTTTTCTTTATTTAGTTCTTCCATAGTCGTGAGAGGCTTCTCTGCTTCTCTCTGCTTCCTCCACTCAGACGCTAATGCCATGCAAGGCCTATAGAGTTCACTTGTATTTTCTTCTTGACCAAGCAAGCACATTGGGGTGTGTATAGCTATCTTACCTCCTTTTGTGTGGTCATTGTTGTAGATGTTGCCCATATTTTAATATTTTATGTATAAACCACTCTTCTCATTTTCAGAGGGATTTAAGAATGTTAAAAAATCTACATTGTCACCACCTCCATCTTCCTTCTGTTTTCTTTTAAGATTTGTAATATTCCAAGTTATATTAAATATATAGTCAGCTGGGTAGAGCACACTACCATTAATTTAATGTCATTGTTTCTAATGGATTATATGTCATACCTACTCATTTATGTGTTATTAAATGCTTAATAAAATAAAAGTTGCTATCATTTCCCAATTGTCCATAGATATTGGTGTCTTCTAACAACTGGCTCTTAAAGTCAGAAACGCTATTTAGACATTTTTGTTCTTGCTAACTTTCTGCCCTCGTTTTCCTGGCAAATGATTTCCAGAGCTAGATAGTTATACAAATGATGTTTTGTTTTTTTTTAAATGTTTCTATTCATAAACTAGATTTTTGTGTGTTATAACTAGGAAGCAATAGTTTTGATCTACACATCAAAGATGACTTTGAAAGGCTTTCCTGATAGAACACAAATGTGTCTTCCCAAATTCTAGGCATTTATAGTCATCTGGAAAGAGCTAATACTTAGAAGAAATAAAAAAAAAATTTTCTAAAGCTATTTTACAACATTCATAGCCCTTTACTGAATTTAATCAAGCTTAAAGTTCAGAAGATGAAGAAAGCCACAAGCTTTTGGTTATTGTTATATATTTGAAAGGGCACCTAGGTTTAAGTTTCTTTCGAAATCTGTGTATCATTTTCTAAAGCAAAAATGACAGGATTTCATGATAAGAGGGAAGCCGCGTATTTACTCTTTTCTCTCAGGTTTTTGAGTTCCTAAATATTAAATAGACTTTGCCTCTTTCTTTTTTAAGACAAAAAAAAAAAAATCACTGTTCTGTAAAAATGTACTGATTATTTCAAGAAGAGAAAGTCAGATGGTTTTGATTCCTTCGGCCCACATAGTTAAATGCAAAGCTAATGCTGGGAAAACAAATGAATTTCGTATCAGATGTTATTTTACTGTGCTCATACTTCAACGAGATGAGTGGGGGATTTTGACATGCAAGCTGCATTCATTAATTTAGGGCAAATTGATTGTATCTTTCTTGGTAATAAAACTTCAAAAAGCTACAGAAGAGGCAGGTAACATTGAGGGCTGGAACAAATATACCATATCTTAGTAGCGGTTTAGGTATGCAGCTATTTTAAAGAAGAGTGACATTGGCTTCTGAGAGACGAAGTGGAGATTAAAGGAAAATGTGTATCTAATTTAGCTTTAACCAGTTATCTTCCAAAAGTTTTTAAGACCTTAGAAGCTAAGAATTTTAATACTTAGTATCAAAAAAAACCTTTTTATTGCAACAACAAATTAATTCGCTGTCCGCAAACTCCATTGGTCAGTGTCCAAAAAATATTGGACTGAGACAATTAACTGGAAAACATTGTGTTTTAACTTCTGTGGTATTAATATCAAAAGTAAAAAAATTCAGTGTCTATGTGCGTAAAAATAGTCAAACAGCCCATTTTATTTAATCAATATTAATTGAAACTCAATCTGTGTTTGAGCACATCCACTTGCATATGCATCTATCTAGAAGATCCTCGTACATCTAAGCTTACAGTTTAAAATGACCATTGTCCTTCAAGTTGGTCGCCTGGGGAAGGAGTTTACCTACTCGAACCATGTGGCATTGTTTGAAATATCTGCTTTGTTTTATCTCAAACTTGTTACCTGGATTATTCTCTAGTTTTATTAAATAAAATAATTATTGATTCCTTGGAGTGTTATAAAATTTCAATTTCAAAGAATAAAGATTTTAATTGCTAACAAAAATTGCAGAAATGCATCCTGAATGCAGTTCTAAGAGTAGAATTTCAAGAAGCTTAAACAGTCGCAATTTTATTTAATATAAGTATCCTGGCTGGGCTTGGTGGCTCACGCATGTAATCCCAGCACTTTGGGAGGTCAAGGTGGATGGGTCACCTGAGGTCAGAAGTTCAAGACCAGTCTGACCAACATGGAGAAACCCTGTCTCTACTAAAAATACAAAATTAGCCAGGTGTGGTGGCGCATGCCTGTAATCCCAGCCACTCGGGAGGCTGAGGCAGGAGAATCGCTTGAACCTGGGAGGCAGAGGTTGCAATGAGCCGAGACCATGCCATTGCACTCCAACCTGGACAACAAGAGTGAAACTCCATCCCAAAATGAGTAAGTAAACAAATAAATAAATAAATAAATGTAAGTATCCTTTGAAAGTGAGTCTGTGAAGCTATTAAAGTGTTTTTACATAAGATTTGATATATTGGTTAAACAATTAGTATTGTGAGATAAGATATACATACCAGTATAAAATACACATTTCCCATATATAAAGAATGTATGTGTATAATTGAATCATGAAATGTCATAGCTAAATGGGGTCTTACAGTTAATCTATTTCAGCGTTCAATTGCCACCTCCTGCCTTTAGACAAATGAGGACAAAAGTCCAGAAAATTTTATTTCAAGATCACACAGCTACTTAAGGCCTGAGCCAAAATTAGGTCCTGACTTCTGATTCATTGCTTATTTCACTGAGGCATGATTCTTTCTAAAAATATTATGAGCCTTCCTATCAACTTAAAATTACTGTTTTTAAGTTCTGTTTTTGAAAATGTATTTCTTTCATTTTATACTTGGCTATCTAAGGTTTGTGTTCCCTCTGTGTGTTCTCCATCATCCCATTCATCTCACATAGTTAAGGGACTGTGGCTGCAGCCAAGCCTGAATAATTGGATACCTCTGTCAGCATTCATTATCAGGGCCTGCAGAACCCACACAGTGTGCCACTTTAGGAAAGGTTATGTTCCGTTGTAGACAGCAATATGTGTGCTGATCAACCACCAACTTCACATTTTAAATGCAGAGCCTAAGTGCTTTTATAATCATGTTTTGATGAGGTGTGTGTTTATGTATGGCTTTTGACAGAAAGCCTTTTCTTAACAGGATCCCTTGAGTGGATACATTGAGTAGGTTGTGTGCCTAGGGTTACGAATCATCTTTTACATACAAACGTCTTATTCTTAAAATATGTATTTTTGATATGCATAATGTGACTGAAAATATAAATGCTTTGGGCCTATGTACCTTGAAATTCTGAAAATATATTTCAAAATCTTAAATTGTTATCCACTACAACTTGTTCAATTCTCTTTATATGTATATTTCTTATGAACTCAACAAAGAAAACACTTAAGAATGTAGGTAAGCGTTGGAAAACTCTATATCTTGAGATTATTCTCAAAAATATTCTGTAGAAAATACATGGAAATACACTTTGTATAGTTTTTGACTGACCCAAGAGTAATGTGAAATATTCAATTAAGTTGCCAGGGTAACCAAGTACTAGTCTTTGCATTTAATTTCTCTAGTTCAGTTATTTGATATTTGTGCATTGTCTGTTCTCCTGGGATCACTGCAGACTCTTAATTATCCCCATTAATGGAGAGGACTGGAAGAATAGATTCTCCTTAATAACAGTAAAGAAAGGTAGTATGCATATGATTTTGGAATGTATTTTGTGAAGAATATGTTTTTGTATGTTTTTAAAATAGAAAAAAATCCAGCTGTATGACAATGGACAAGTTACATAGTCTGCTCTGGGTTTCACTGTGGGTTCAGTGTTCCTATTTTGAAAATATAAAAATTTAATAGTAAATCCAAAGCTATTAGAGTGAATATTATCTGGGATTTCAGTGATATTGTAAAATATTAAACCAACAAATGCTTTTAGTTCCCCCCATCTATCTTTTCTGGTCAATTCCCCGCTAGTCTTATTTCCAAGGAGAGGGATGCTTAGTGATTGTCTCAAAATAACACAGATAGATGGCCCCAACGAAAGATAGCTTATTTCTCCAATAATCTTGATATGAAATTTTGGTATAATTTTTTAAAATTCTAGATAAAACATAATATTTTTATGCATAATGAATTCAGAAATATGTAAGGTGAGTAACAGAGTAAAATTGAAAATCCAAGCAGTAGCTGTAAGCTGGCACTTCAGCTGCCTCAAGGAGGAAAGAGATTGTGGAAAAAGTCAGTCTTTCACTCAGTAGCCAAGGGTTTGGGTTAAAAAGTTCTACGATTATGAAAAATTTCAAGCCTATACAAAAACAATGAAAATAGCATAAT
This sequence comes from Homo sapiens, assembly GCF_000001405.40. Classification (NCBI taxonomy): domain Eukaryota; kingdom Metazoa; phylum Chordata; class Mammalia; order Primates; family Hominidae; genus Homo; species Homo sapiens. Next base: position 50,312,657 of record NC_000008.11, read on the forward strand.
AGGCCACCTCATACCCATTACTAAACTTCCACATGGCAAAATATGTTCATCTCTACGTTTTCTCAATTCCTAACATGCCTTCCAGGATTATTGTGAAACAAAAACCAGGGAACAATACAATTTCAACTATAAGGTTCTTCACTGGGCGTATGTTAACTATGAGGGCTTTAAAACATAAATATAATAAAATATAACTATCTTACCCAAAATTACTAACATCCAGTTAGGTTTCAGATTTGAGGAATTTAAAGTTTAACAATCATGTGCAGTCAGATGCCCTATGTTTGTGGATTGGGAGAATTAATATTGTTAAAATGTCCATACTACCCAAAGCAATCTACAGATTCAATACAATCCCCATCAAAATTCCATGGTAATCTTTCACAAAAATAGAGCACACATGGGGAAAGGACAGTCTCTGCAATAGATGCTGTTAGGAAAACCAGCTATTCACTGCAAAAGAATGGCACTGGACCCTTATCTCACCCCATATACAAGAATCGACTAAAAATGGAGTATAGTCTGAAATGTAAGATCTGAAACTATAAAATAATTCAAAGAAAAACTTAGAGGAAAAGCTGCATGATATTGGCTGAACAATGATTTTTTTGAATATGACACCAAAAAGCACAGGAAACCAAAGCAAAAATACACAAATGGGGTTTCATCAAACTAGAAAGCTTCCGCACTGCAAAGGAAACAATTTAACAGGGCAGAAAGACAACCATAGATAGAGAAAAATATTTGCAAATTGTATGCTGATAAGGGGTTAATATTCAAAATATGGCAGGAATTCAACTCCATAGCAGGAAAACAATCCTGTGAAAAAATGGGCAAATGATCTGAGTAGACATATCTAAAAAGAAGACATACAAATGGCCAAAAATAAAAGAAAAAATGTGCAACATCGTTAATCATCAGAGAAATGCAAATAGAAACCAAAATGAGCTATACCTCACACAAGTTAAAATGGCTATTATATTTTCAGTTTATTTTATAATGCCAAAATTATATTAAACGTATTTTTAAAAACTGGTTTTTGAAATATTTATCTTTTATATACTTGCAGCTACTGTAAATTATTTTATTCTGGAGAACCTAAACAGACATAAAAAACAATGTAAAGAATTGACAGTGATCAATATCTTCTTTTACCTCCCTTTATCATAATTTGTTTTCCAGAAATATTTAAAAGTAAGTTTTGACATCCTCTTACTTCTGCCTCAAATACTTCAGTGTGCATATCTGAAATACAAGGATTGTTTTTCTACATAACTAGCTTGGCATTATCATGCTTTAAAAAATTATTGATAAAAGATTTATCAGTATTTAATACCCAATCTTATATATATCTTTTAATTTTCCCCATGCTATCTTTTCAATCTTAGTTTCTCCATTTAAAACACAAACAAGCCCTTACATTGTTAGGTACACCCACAGCCATGAGCTCATCCAGTCATCCCCTCTAGGCCCCTTCAGTGGACAGTTACTTATTAAAACTGAGGTGAGCATTCTGATTCGAATCTGGTTTCAGTGTTTTTATTTAATTTTCTTGAGTTGATTCTTTCATCTTTACTCCCTCATACTATATGTCTTGTTTTTTTTTAATTCCCTGGCTCATTTAAAGTTTTCCTTTTTATCTCTTGTTTTGATCAACTTGATTGGGACATGCTTCAGTGTAGCTATTTTCATTTTTCTTGTGCTTAAGCTTTATTGAGATTCTTGGATCTATGAATTTAAAGGTTTCACCAAATCAAACATTTCTTAGCCTTTAAAAAAAGTCCCTGTTCCCTCTTTTACTCTAGGCATTCCAATTAAGTGCATAGTGACTGGAGTGCCTGACGGAGATGATTTTCAGTGAAAGACTTTGAGAGCCTTATTAGGCACACCAACCAGTCATCCATTTGAATAAAGTATATTGGGAGGTATAGATGGAGATCTGAATCTCATGAAAGAGTTTCACACTTTTTGCTATTTCCTGAAAGTGTCTTATCATTTCTAAAATCATGCTCTTCTTTATGTTATTTCATGAATCTGAAATGATCTATATCACCCCTTCCTTTACCCCATGTCGAAATGTAAATGATAATTATAGGACAATTTCAAATTTTATTTCTTTTAAAAGATTTGTGTAATCTCCCCAGTTAAATGTGACCTCTTCCAACTCTGCATTTGGCTTATGCCTCTTTTGAGCACTTTTACTTTACCTAGTGTTGTAAGCACTGGTGAACTTTTCTGTCTACTAGGTGATCATTACCTTGAGAGCAAGACAATGTGTTACAGTTTTTACGCCCCTTATGGTACTGGTTCTAACTATAGTGTTTTGATAGATTGACAGCATTAAACTCATTGATTATAATTTATTTATTAAATAATTCATCAAAAAATTAATTACTAAATATTGCGAATGGATTGCCTTATTTTAAAAAATGAATTTAAAAAGTCATTTAACTCTGTTATAATATTCTTGTATATATATTATTTATAATTTCTGAAATGCAAGATAAGGGATAGAGCTGCAGTGGTCACTGAGGAATGTTAATTTATCTTCAGTTTGTTATGTCTATGGTGCAGCGTTCAATGCAATTCAATTTTATTTCCCATATGTTGGCTACGGAAAAGGAACAATATCATTGCTTTACTGGAGCTAATGGGAGATAATTTATATGTTGATATGAGTAACTACTTTTAAATTTACTTCATAAATACCTTAGTAGCATTCAAATTTTGTATGAACTTTATTGGCATTCCCCACAAATTATATAGTGTATAGTAAAAGAAATAAAAAATAACTGTATTGATCATATTATGCAACATTGTTGAGAACTATTTAAGAGTAGATAAAAAATAAAATGTTAGATATAATGAACTAATACTATAGGTAGTGAAAATGATAGTGGAGAATCATATTGAAATGTTGAGTGGAATGACAAAATGCAGATTGCTTCAATAAAGCAGAAAACCTGCAGTGTAGAACTAAAATGAAGCATACTTCAAGTATGTAGTGATTCTAAGAATGTTTTCTTTCTCTTGGACACTTATAGTGAATATGCCTTCCTAACAATCTTTCATTCAAAACCATTGAAAAGAAAAACATACTAATACTAAGGATGCAAACCATCAAAGCTCTGCTATTGTTATTCCCACCATGAACACCTGCACTGCAATCAAGCACAATTCACAGATGTGAGCTGAAAGTGTGCTGATAAGCACATGTCTACCTTTCAGATTTTCATTGAATAAATACTACCTGGAAGTTCAGAAAAGTGGAAATTGAATGTGAGAAGACTTCACTCAAAAAAGAAAAATCTCTCAAATGTTTTTCCCCATTTTTTGATTCATATCACATTTCAGTTGCTTTTCAAGAAACCAACTTTTAAAATTCTACTTTTTTCTACAGACATCATGTGACATGGTAATTTAATTAACATCATTATTCTTTCATTTATATTTAATCTTATCTCTCAGTCTTGTCACTGCAAGTGATCAATTCAAAACATTTAAAAACAATGAGGTAAAATACAATAAACTTGTACAGATTTTCCTAGCTTACAGAATTTGGTAAACACGGTAGAATCCATGATGATGCCAGAGCACATTTGTTAGAAAAAAAAGTTTCAGTTTGATCATGAAAGTTGGGTGCATATTCTCCATCTCCTATGATGTCATACCGTGTGACCACAATCATGTCTACTTAATTCATTTTGGATGTTTTGATGTACTTGAATTTAGAACACGTCTGTCGGAAAGAGGAATTAGTGCCTTTACTAATGTTACCATTTTAAAATATGACAAAACCTAATTAAGAGTACTGCAAGTTATTGAAACATTCTTTATGTGGCTTTTTGTTTGGTCACTCTATTATATAGCAAATCTGTCCAAAGAATGGAACTTATAAAGAAATTTTAAAATAATTTCATTTTCTGCTGATGGCAACCTTTTTATGACCTAGGCCATATGACAAAGAATACACTTAATAATTCAGCAAATGATGAGAAACTAATATGTTCCAAGCAGTCCAGTTAGTACTAAGGATGTAATTCTAATCTAGATAAGTATACAGTTGATTGCAGAGAGATATGTACATAGATAATACAATGAGAACTTGTAAACACAATAAGAGTATGCAATCAACAAATACATATTGAACAACCACTATGTCCCAAGCACTGTGCTGAAATTTACATACGCCAAAATTCCAGTAATAGTGGAACAATATTTCTACTGGAAAATGTTTAAAAAAATTTATAGAGATAGTACTTAATCTGCATTTTGAAGATAAATATGTTTTTAAATGAAGATGAGTTCAAGATTTCACTGCTAAAGAAGCAATGATTATAAAGGTCTAAGCTGAATCTAGATTTAAAAAGTAGTGAGTGATTGTCACTGAAGCCCAAGATAAATGGGGAGGAGAAGGAAAAGCTATTGGAGGTGCTTTTGATAAATATCTGGTAGATTCCTTAGGGGGATTATTTCCTTTAAGAGAAATTTGGTAATCTCATTAGCCTTTTCTGTTCTGGGAGGGTAAGCTTCAACCCAGCCCATAGAGGTCTCTACTAGTATTAGCAAAAACTTGTATCCTTTGCAAGCTGGCATGTAGGTGAAGTCTAATTGCCAGGTGACATAGTTTGTCCAGAACAATACTGATTATATGACTATTTCTGAAATCATGATTAACAGTGTCCCTTTTCACTCCCAAAAGTTTCTTTGGTCTGAAGATAAAGTGCAAGGTTATTTTCTATAGAAAAGTTAACTTACAGAGTTCTACACATCAGCCCTTTAGCAACAGTAAACAGCAGAAGACTCTAAGTGGAAAAGTAATGCACATGCCTATCCTTAAAGATAATCCTGGCAGCAATGTGAAGAATAGTCAGGAATGAGACTGAAACAGGATGATGGTGTATGAAACGTGTTAGCACAAACAGAAACAAAGGAGTTTGAATTAGAGCAATGCAAGTGGGAAGGAGAGGAATCCTACCATAGGAAGAATTTGGTCTTTTTCATGTCTTCTCTGGAAAAGAGCTAGAACACATTCTTACTTTCCTTTTCTTCTCTGTGTCCTTATGACATCGTTTGCCTATTCATGACATCTTGAACTCATCTTCATTTAACAACATATTTACCTTTCAAAATGCAGATTAAGTACTATCTCTATGACATCACTTATTGTCTGAGTTGTTTTTTTGTTTGTTTGTTTTGAGACAGAGTCTCGCTCTGTCGCCCAGGCTTGAGTGCAGTGGCGCAATCTCTGCTCACTGCAAGCTCCGCCTCCCGGGTTCACGCCATTCTCCTGCCTCAGCATCCCCAGTAGCTGGGACTACAGGCGCTCGCCACCACGCCCGGCTAATTTTTTGTATTTTTAGTAGACACGGGGTTTCACCATGTTAGCCAGGAAGGTCTCGATCTCCTGACCTCGTGATCCGCCCGCCTTGACCTCCCAAAGTGCTGGGATTACAGGCGTGAGCCACCGAGCCCAGCCACTTATTGTCTGAGTTGTAATTACTACAGGCTTGTCTTGCTCCCTGGACTTGAGAGTAGGAACTGTCTCATGTCACTTTTGCTAGTCTGTTCTTGCAGCTGTTCTCAACATGTGCACGGCAATCTACAAGTATGTGTAAAAGAATGTTTGAAGGTAATTATACAATTGTGCCATTGTGGAAAGCATTGGATACAATGCCTAACTGCATAAAAAGCATCGGTATTTCTTTAACTTGAGAACACATACTGACATGCTCCTCGTGGCCTGAATCTTGTTTACCTCCCTAAAGCTCCATCTGTTGAATTTTCCAACTCATTTTCTCCAGGGAAAGAAAGATAATGCCTGATTCATTGCCCTCCATCACTTCACAGCAGAGAACTAATCTCTCAATTACTCACAATACAAATGGCGCTGTGTGACTCCCACGGTAAGACTCTGCCCTATTTTTCTCCAAAGGATCTTAATGGGGGACAAAGATCTGTGCTTCCAATACCACTGGGAAAATTTCCTTAAGTAGATTTGAGAAACTGAAGCTTTTCTGTCAATTCCTGAATTGTGTTATCTGTGGAAATTTAGACTATAGAGCCATGTATATCAGTTCTAAAGTGTTGAAATACACATTCTATATATGTATATGCAACAATGTGTTTACATAAAAAATAATACATGCACATCCATCCTATCATCAACCTTCTATTTTAATATACCTCTCTTTTTGAGGACTTTTCAAGGTGGTATTACATATATTTTCTATTTCAATTCTATAATTCTTACGTTTTATCAATAGAATACATATATGTGTTCTACCTGTGTATATATCTACGTATGTATATTTATATATATATGTATGTATATGTATATGTGTGTATATACACACAGAACACATATACACATATATGTGAGTATATATATCTATGTATACAGATATATATACATATAATGTATTTCTTCTATTTGTTTACCTAGTGTTATAGCTCCTATAGGAAAGCCAAGACAAAGGCTCGATTCTATTTATTTAACGATTTTTGGAAATGATTTCATATTTATAGTAGAAATACATACTTACAAAAGTACAAAAATTAGCTGGACATGGTGGTGCATGTCTGTAATCCCAGCTACTCAGGAGGCTGAGGCAGGAGAATCGCTTGAACCTGGGAGGTGGAGATTTCAGTGAGCTGAGATCATGCTACTGCACTCCAGCCTGGGGGACAAAGCAAGACTCCTTCTCAAAAATAAATAAATAAATAAACAAAAAGGAATGCTACTGATTTTTGTATGTTGATGTTTTATACTACAACTTTACTGAATTTATCAGTTCTAATAGTTTTTTAGGGAAGTCTTTAGGTTGTTCCAAATATAAGATTACATCCTCTGCAAACAAGGATAATTAGACATCTTCCTTTTCAATTTGTATGGCCTTTATATCTTTATCTTGTCTGATTAATCTAGCTAATACTTCCAGTACTACGTTGAATAATAGCGGTGAAAGTGGGCATCCTTGTCATGTTCCAAATCTAAGAGAAAAGACTTTTTTCAGTTTTTCCCCATTCAGTATGATACCATCTCTGGGCCTGTCATATATTACCTTTATTATGTTGAAGTATGTTGAATTTTATCAAATGCTTTTTCACCATCAGTTGAAATGATTATATGGTTTTTGTCCTTCATTCTGTTGATACAATGCTTCATATTAATTGATTTGCATATGTGGAACCATTCTTGAATCCCACATGGTTATGATGAATGATCTCTTTAAGATATTGTTGAATTTGGTTTGCTAGTATTTTGTTGAGGATATTTGCATCAATATTCATCAGCAATATTGGCCTGAAGTTTTCTGTTTTTGATGTGTCTTTGTCTGTTTTGGTGTCAGGGTAATACTGACCTGTAGAATAAGTTTGGAAGTATTTGCTCTTCCTCTGTGTTTCAGAACAGTTTGAGTAGGATTGGTGTTAGTCGTTCTTTCAATGTTTGATAGGGTTTAGCAGTGAAGACATTGGGTTCTGGACTTTTCTTTACTGGGAGACTTTTTATTAAGGCTTCAATCTCATTCTTCGTTATTGGTCTGTTCAGGGATTGTATTTCTTCATGTTTCAATCACGATAGGTTGTATGTGTCTAGGAATCTGTTCATTTCTTTTAGATTTCCCAATTTATTGGCACAAAGTTGCTTATAGAAGCCACAAATGATCTTTTGAATTTCTGCCATATCAATTGTAATGTTTCATTTTTCATCTGTGATTTTATTTATTTGGATTTTTTTCTCTTTTTTTCATAGTTAGTCTGACTACAGATTTGACAATTTTGTTTATCTTTCAAAAAACCAACTTTTTGTTGAATTGATCTTTTGTATTGTTTTCTTCATTTCAATTTCATTTAATTCTTCTCTGATCTTTATTATTGTTTTTTTTTACTACTTTTGTGTTTGGTGTTCTGTTGACATTTCTAGTTCTTTAGGATGCATCACTGGGCTGTTTATTTAAAGCTCTTCTTCTTTTTTAATGTAGGCACTTGTAGCTATAAATTTTTATCTTTGAACTGTATTTGCTGTATCCCACAGGTTTTGGTATGTTGTGTTTCCAATACCATTTGTTTCGAGAAATTTTCCAATTTTCTTCTCAATTTCTTCATTGACCCACTCATCATTCAGGATCATATCGTTTCATTTTCGTGTGTTTGTATAGTTTCCAAAATTCTACTTGTTACTTATTTCTAATTTTATTCCACTGTGCTCAGAGAACATACATGACATTATTTCATTTTGTTAAATGTTTTAAGACCTGTTTTGTGGCTTAATATGTGATCTATCTTTAAGAATGATCCACATGCTGAGGAAAAAAATATGTATTTTGTGGCTGTTGGGTGAAACGTTCTGTAACATTACACGAAATATACCTGATATACATATAGGTCCTTTTGATTTATAGCACAGATTAAGTCTGAAGTTTCTTTGCTGACTTTCTGTCTGAATAATCAGTCCAATGTTGAAAGTGAGGTGTTGAAGTATCCAGCTATTATTGTGTCCAGGTCTATCTCTCTCCTTAGCTCTAATAATATTTGCTATATATATCTGGGTGCTCCAATGTTGGGTGCATATATATGAACAATTGTGGTATCCTCTTGCTGAATTGACTCCTTTATCATTATATTACCTTATTTGTCTCTTTCTATAGTTTTATCTTGAAATCTATTTTGTCTGATATAAGTGTAGCAACTCCTCCTCTTTTTTTGGTTTTAATTTGCATGGAACATATTTTTCCATCCCTTTATTATCAGTCTATGTGTGTCTTTATATGTGAAGTGTGTTTCTTGTAGGCAACAGATTATTGGGTCTTCCCTTTTTATTCATTTAGCCACTCTATGTCTTTTGACTGGAGAGTTTAGTCCATTTAAATTCAATGTTATTATTGATAAGTAAGGACTTACTTCTGCCATTTGTTGTTTTCTTGTTTTGTGGTCTTCCTTCCTTCTTTCTTTCCTGTCTTCTTTTACTGAAGCTGACTTTCTCTGGTAGCTTGATTTAATTTCTTGCTTTTCAATATTTGTATACTTGTTGTGTGCTTGTAGATTTGAGGTTAAAATGAGGCTTGCAAATAATATCTTATAACTTATTATTTTAAACTAATGCCAGCTTAACAGTGATTGTGTAAACATATAAGCAAAAAGAAAACTAATATAAACTGTACACTTTAACTTTGTTCCCCCAATTTTTAAGTTTTTGTTGTTTCTATTTACATCTTATTTTACTTTTTACTGTCTATGTCTTAAAAATGTGTTGTAGTTATTATTTTTGATCAGTTCATCTTTTAGTCTTTCTACTTAAGAGTAGTTTATACATCAAAATTACAGTGTTATAATATTCTTTATTTTCTGTGTACTTACTTTTACCAGTGAGTTTTGTGCTTTCAGATTCAGATGATTTTTTATTGCTTATTAACATCTTTTTTTTCAGATTGGAGAATTGCCTTTAGCATTTCTTCTTTTTTTTATTATTATACTTTAAGTTTTAGGGTACATGTGCCTTTAGCATTTCTTATAGGTCAGGTCTGGTGTTGATAAAATCCCTCAGGTTTGTTTGTCTGGGAAGGTCTTTATTTCTCTTTCATGCTTGAAAGATATTTTCACTGGATATACTATTCTAGGAAAAAAGGTGTTTTTTTCTTTGTTTGTTTTGGTTTGCTTTGTTTTGTTCTTCTTCAGCACTTTAAGTATACCATGTCAGTCTCTCCTGATCTAAAAGGCTTCCACTGGGAAGTCTGCTGCCAGCTATATTGGAGCTCCATTGTATGCTATTTGTTTCTTTTCTCTTGCTGCTTTTAGGATCTTCTCTGTGTCCTTGATCTTTGAGAGTTTGATTGTTAAATGTCTTAAGGCAGTCTTTTTTGGGTTAAACCTGCTGGTGTTCTATAATCTTCTTGTATTTGAATATTGATATATTTCTCTAGGTTTGGAAAGTTCTCTGCTCTTATTCCTTTGAATAATTGTTCTATTCCTATCTCTCTTTCTACTCCCTCCTTAATGGCAGTAACTCTTAGACTTGCCCTTTTGGGGTTATTTTCTAGATCTTGTAGGCATGCTTCATTGTTTTTTATTCTTATTTCTTTTGTCTCTTCTAACTATATATTTTCAAATAGCCTGTCTTCAAGCTCACTAATTCTTTCTTCTGCTTGATCAATTCTGCTATTAAGATACTTTGCTGTGACCAGGCAAAGTGACTCATGCCTGTAATCCCAGCATTTTGGGAGGCCAAGGAAGCAGATTGCCTGAGGTCAGGAGTTTGAGACCAGCCTGGCTAACATGGTAAAATCCCATCTCTACTTAAAATACAAAAATAAGCCAGGGGTGGTGGCACATGCCTGCACTTCCAGCCACTCGGGGGGCTGAGGCAGGAGAATTGCTTGAACCTGGGAAACGGAGGTTGCAAGATTGCACCACTGCACTCCAGCCTGGGCAACAGAGCAAGACTTGTCTGGAAAAAAAAAAAAAAAAGATACTCTGATACATTCTTCAATATGTCATTTGCATTTTTCAACTCCAAAATTTCCACTAGATTCTTTCACTTATTTCAATCTCTTTGTTAAATATATATAATGGGATTCTGAATTCCTTCTCTGTGTTTTGTTGAATTTCCTCAGGTTCCCTCAAAACAGCTATTTTGAATTCTCTGTCTGAAAGGTCGTATATCTCTGTTTCTCCAGGATTGCTCCCTGGTGACTTATTTACTTCATTTGGTGAAGTCTTGTTTTCTTGGATGCTGTGGATGATTGTAAATGTTCTTTGGTGTCTGGGCATTAAAGAATTAGGTATTTATTATAGTCTTCTCAGATTGGGCTTGTTTGTGCCTGTCCTTCTTGGGAAGACTTACTTGTACCCTAAGCCAAATAATGCTGTTGATTTTACAGACTCATAGAGGTACTATGTTGGAGGTCTTGGAAAAGATCCAGAAAAATTCTCTCAATTACCAGCCAGTGTCTTGGTGTTTTCCTTTATTTTCTCAGAAACAAGCAGAGTCTCTTTCTCCCTGTGTTGAGCCACCAGGAACTAGGGATGTGGTGATGCAAGCACCTCTGTGGCCACCACCACTGGGACTGTGCTGGGTCAGACCTGAAGCCAGCACAGTACTTAGCCTTACCCAAAGCCCTTATCTTCAGGGTGGCAAGATCCCCAGTCCCTGAACATGTCCAGAGATGCTATCTGGGAGCCAGGGATTGGACTCAAAACTCAAAAACTTTAACAATTTACCAGGTGTTCTATTCTACTACAGCTAAGCTGGTGCTTAAATCGAATACTGGGGTTTGAAGAGGAAAGGCACAAGTCTTCCCTTAGCTATTCCAGCTAGTGTCTCCTTAGGTAACATGTCACCCTAACCCACCTGCTCTAAGCCCAGCCTAGCACTAGGATTTGCCTAGCAATTGCAGTCTTTGTATCCTATACTGCCTTTCAAGTTTACCTAGGACCCCAGAGCCCTTCAGCCTATGATGGCAAGGCTTGCAGAGAAACTTCCAACTGCTGGGATGGGCCATTCCTCTCCAGCTAGGGCTGGTAAATATTTTCCCTCCTTGTGCCGGCCCTGGCTAATCCCAATATGGTTTTATTCTCTGCTGTAGCAGGGCAGCACTGAGTTTGATGTAAAGTCCCTCAGTTGCTGTGCTCTTCCTCCCCAAGATGCACAGATTCTGTCTCCACAGTGCATGGCATTGGCAATTTATGCCACAGTTGTTGGCATTGGCAATTTATGACTGTCTCTTCGGCCCTCCTCAATACTCTTTCCATAATATAAAGTTTAAACCAGGTACTGTGATTGTTCACATGATTTTCGGTTCTTGTAATGGTGCTTTTCTGCATGTGGTTGGTTGTTAAAATTTGGTATTCCAGCATGTGGTCGGGGTAGGAGGGATGAACAGTACTGTGAGCTTCTATTCTGCCCTCTTGCTCTGCCCCCAAATCTCCTTGTTTTGGCTTGCATTTCCCTCTTTAGTTCCTGGTATATTTTGAACAACATTCCCTTGTAGGATATGCCTTTTGAAAATATTTTTTGGCAATATTTTTCCCCAATATATGGCTTCTCTTCTCATTTCCTTGAGAGTGTCAATTGTAGAGCAGATATGTTTAATTTTGCTGAACTCTAGCTTATCAATAATTTCTTTCATGAACTATGCCTCTGGTTATATATCTAAAAAGTCATCACCAAATGTAAGGTCATTTAGATTGTCTTCTGTTATTCCTAGAATTTTTGTAAACTTGTGATTTACATTTAGGTGTATGATCCCTTTTGCATTAATTGTGTGTGTGTGCATTTTATACATATATATATATATATATATATATATATATATAGACAGAGAGAGAGAGAATACTGTGTGTGTAATACACACACACACACAGACACAGATAGATCAATAGAACAGAATAAATAACCCAGAAATAGACCCACCAAATATATGCATATATACATATATAAATATATATATGTATATCTTGATTACTGTAGTTATATGGCAAGTCATAAAGTTAGGCAGTGTCAGTCAATCCTTCAACTTTGTTCTACAATATTGTATTGCCCATTGTGTATCTTCTGTTTTCCAATCTTAACTTTAGAATCAGTGTGGTAATATTCAAAATATAACTCTCTAAGGCTTCTACTGGAATTGTAATAAATCTATAAATAAAATAGCAAAGAATTGACATCTTGACAATTGAGTCTATCCATAAATAGAAAACAATACTTTATTAATTTAGTTGTTTTTAAATTAATTTCATTCAAGTTTCATAGTTTTTCTAATATAGATCTTGAACATTTTTAAAAAGATTTATGCTGAAATATTTCATCTTTGGGGTGCTAATGTAAATGATATTGCATCTTTAATTTCAAACTGCACTAGGTCATTCATGGTATATAGAAAAGTGATTAAAATTTATATATTAACTTCATATCCTGCAAGCTTGCTATATTACTTATTAGTTCTAGGAGTTATTTTGTCAATTATAGTATTTTCTATGTACACTATCAAGCTTGCAAACAAAGAAAACTTGTTAAAACTTGCTTAAAAAGCTTGCAAACAAAACATTCTTCAAATCAGTACACCTTTTATTTCCTTTTCACATAGTATTACATTAGCTAGGACTTCCTGTATGATTTTTAAAAGGAATGGTGATAGGAAACATCTTTGCCTTGTTCCTGATCTCAGTGGAAAAGCTTTTGGTTTTCTACCATTATGTGTGATGTCAGTTATTCTGTAAATGTTCTTTTTCAAGTTCAGGAGGTTTTCCTCTATTTCTAGCTTGCTGAGAGTTTTCTTCATGAACAGATGTTAAATTTTATCATACTTTTTTTTGTGTACACATAGATAAGATCATGTGATTTTTTATTAGCTTGTGAATATGATAAATTACAATAATTAATTTTAAAATGATGAAACAGCTTTGGAGCCTGAAATGAATTCCAAGTGGCTGTAGTGTATAGTTGTATACACTGTTGGATTTTATTTGCTGTCATTTTGTTCACTGTCTTTGCCTGTAATTTTCTATTCTTGTAATGTCTTTATATTGTTTTTATATTAGTGTAATACCTGCCTCAAATGAGTTGGAAAATATTTTCTCCAATTCTGCCTTCTGGAAATGCTTGTAGAAAATTGGTATAATTTCTTCCTAAAATGTTTGGTAGAATTCATTTGGTAGAAGCGTTTTGCTTCCTGCTTGGAAAGGTTATTAATTATTGCTTCAATTTCTTTTATAGATATAGGACTATTCAGAATGACTGTTTCTTCTTGTGTGAGTTCTGGCAAATTGTATCTTTCAAGAAATCAGCCCGTTTCACCAACATTGTCAAATTTGTGGGCAGAGAGTTGTTATTTTATAGTATTTTTTGTTATTCCTTTAATTTCCATGTGATCTATACTTATGTCTCCTCTTTCATGTCTGATATTAGTAATTTGTGTCTTGTCTCTTTTTTTTTATTCCTAGTTAGCCTAGCTACTGTTTTACTAATTTTATTGATCTTTTCCAAGAATCAGCTCTTTAAAAAAATTTTCTCTATTGATTTTTTTTTTCATTTTCACAGGCTTTTGCTCTAAGTTTATTATTTTCTTCCAGTTACATTGAATTTCATTTACTCTTATTTTTCTAATTTTCTAAAGTGGATACTAATATTATTGATTTTGAGCTCACTTTTGTTCTGCAAATGCAGTATATGTCCTAAATTTCCTTCTAAGCACTGCTATCTCTACATCCCACACACTTTGAAAAGTGGCGTTTTTATTTTTATTTACTTTGTTTGAAATATTTTTAATATCTTTTGATCTTTCTTTTTTGAGCCATGTTTTCTTTAGAAGAGTGTTGTTTAATCCTCAAGTGTTTTGTGATTTTCTAGATATCTTTCTGTTATTGATTTCTAGTTTAGTTCCATTGTAGTGTGAGAGCATATATTGTATGATTTCTGTTCTTTTAAATATTTTAAGTTGTGTTTTATGGCCCAGAATCTGGTCTAACTTTGTTAATGTCCCATGTGAGCTTGAGAAGAATGTTGTGAATACCAATTAGATCCACTTGATTGATGGTTAATATTGAGTTCAACTATAAGCTTACTGCCTTTATGTTTCCTGGGTCTGTCCATCTCTGGTAGAGGGGTGTTTAAGTTGCAAAGATAATAGCGAATTCACCCTTTTCTCCTTGCAGGTCTATCCATTTTGCCTTACATATTTTGATACTTTGCTGTTAGACACATACACACTAAAGACTATTAAATCTTTTTAGAGAGCTAATCCCTTTACTATGGTTCAGTACTTTACTCCTGTTACTTTTTCTTGCTTTTTAGTCTGCTGTCTCTGAAATAAGTCTTTCTACCCCAGCTTTCTTTTGATTTGTATAAACATTGTATGTCTTTCTGTATCCTCTTACTTTGAATTGTGTGTATCTTCATATTTAAGTGGGTCTATTATAAAAAACATATAGTTGATTTTTATATTTTTATCCACTCTGACAACCTGTGTTTTAATTGGTATGTTTAGACCATTGACATTATACTGGTTATTGATACCATTAGATAAATGTCTATAATATTTATTGTTATTTCTATTCATTGCCCTTCTTCTTTGTTTCATTTTTGTCTTCCATTCTGTTTCTGCATTTTTTATTTCAATTGCACATTTTATATGCTTCCATTTACTCTCCATTCTTAACATGTCAGCTCCTTATTTTTTCACTTATTTTTAAAGTGGTTTTAGAGTTTGCAATATACATTTACACTGAATCTAAAGCAACTTCAAATAACTACTTCTCTTCACAGATAGTTCAAATACCTTCTAATAACAAAATATTCCTAATTCCTCTATCTCATTTCTTTTATCTTTGTTGTCATTCATTTCACTTATATATAACCTATTATTATGAAACACATTGTTGCTATTATTATTTTAACAAACGTTTTGCTGTTAGATTGATTAATAATAATAAAAATAAAAGTTTTATTCTACCTTCACTTATACCTTTTGTAATTATTTTTCTTTATGCAGATCCGAGTTTCTGATCTATATCATTTTACTTCACTCTTAAGAACTTCTTTTAGCATATTTTGCAAGACAGGGCTATTGGCAACAAATTCTCTGAACTTTTGTTAGACTGAGAAAATTTTAGCTTTCACTTTTGAAGGATAATTTTGCAAGATTCAGAGTACTAACTTCATGCTTTTGTCTGTCAACTTTAAATATTTCACTCCACTCTTCTTGCTTACATGGTGTATTAGTTTTTTTTGATGCTGCTGTAAAGTAATACCCGAGACTGGGTAAAGGATAAAGGTTTAATTGACCTACAGTTCTGCATGGCTGGGAGGCCTCAGGAAACTTACAATGGTGGAAGGGGAAAGAGAAGCAAACACTTTCTTCACAAGGCAGCAGGACAGAGAGAGCATGTGTGAAGGAGGTACTGTCAAACACTTATAAAACCATCAGATCTCATGAGAATTCACTCACTATCATGAGAACAGCATAGGAGAAACCACCTCATGATCCATTCACCTCCCTCCCTCAGCATGTGGGGATTACAGGTCCTTCCCTAGATGTGTGGATTTTATAATGTGAGGTGAGATTTGGGTTGGGACACAGAACCAAACGATATCATTCTGCCCATGGCCCCTCCCAAATCTCATGTATTTTCACATTTCAAAACACAATCATACCTTCCCAACAGTCCCAAAAAGTCTTAACTTATTTCATCATTAATTCAGAAATCCAAGTTCAAATTATCATCTCAGACAAGGCAAGTCCCTTCTACCTGTGAACCTGTAAAGTCAAAAACAAGTTAGGTACTTCCAAGACACAATGTGGGTGTAAGCATTGGATAAATACTTCCATTCCAAATGGGAGAAATTGGCCAAAACAAAAGAGCTATAAGTCCCATGTGAGTCTGAAATCCAGCAGAGCAGTCATTAAGTCTTAAAGCTCCAAAATAATCTTTTACTCCATGTCTCACATCCAGGTCACACTGATGTAAAAGTTGGGCTCCCACCCTGTGGCACTGCAGGGTTCAACCTCCCCGATACCCTCCCCTGGCTGCTTTCACAGCTGGCATTGTCTGTCTATGGCTTTTCCAGGTACACAGTGCAAGCTGTCATTCTGGGGTATGGAGGACAGTGGCCCCCTTCTTACAGCTCCATTAGGCAGGATTTCAGTGGAAACTATGTGTGGGGGCTCCAACTCCACATTTTTCTTCTGTATTGCCCTAGTAGAGGCTTTCCATGAGGGCTCCACCCCTGCAGCAGACTTCTGCCTGGACATCCGCGCATTCCCAAACATCCTCTGAAATCTAGGTGGAGGTTCCCAAACCTCAATTCTTGACTTCTGTGTACCTGCAGGCAAAACACCACGTAGAAGCTTCCAAGATTTGGCCCTTGCACCCTCTAAAGCAACAGCCCAAGTTGTACCCTGACCCCTTTTAGCCACACTAGAGCTGTAGTGGCTCAAATGCAGGGCACGAGATCCCAAGGCTACACACAGCAGCCAGGTCCTGGGCCTGGTCCACAAAATCATTTTTCCTCCTAGACTTCCATGCCTGCAATGTGAGAGGCTGCCACCAAGATCTCTGACAAGCCCTCGAGACATTTTTCCCATTGTCTTAGTGATTAGCATATGGCTCCTCCTTACTTATGCAAATTTCTGCAGCTGGCTTGAATTTCTCCCTAGAAATTTTTTTTTTCTATTGCATCGTCAGGTTGCAAATTTTCCAAACTTTTATGCTCTGCTTCCTTTTTAAACATAAGTTCCAATTTCAGATCATCTCTTTCCAGTAAAATTTCCACAGATCTCTAAGGCAGGGGCAATTTGCCACCAGTCTGTTTGCTACAGCACAGCAAGAGTGACATTTGCTCCAGTTCCCAAGAAGTTCCGCGTATCCATTTGAGACCACCTCAGCCTGGACTTCATTGTCCACATCTAATATGGTTTGGCTGTGTCCCCACACAAATTTCATCCCATAATCCCCAAATGTGGTGGGACTCAGTTGGAAGTAATTGAATCATGGGGGTGGTTACCCTCATGCTGTTCCTGTGATAGTGAGTGAGTTCACATGAGATCTGATGTTTTTATAAGGGGGTTTTTCCCCTTTTGCTTGGCACTTCTCCTTCCTGCTGCCACATGAGAAAGGATCTGTTTGTTTCCCCTTCCACTGTGATTATACATTTTCTGAGGCCTCCCCAGCCTTGCTGAACTGTGAGTCAATTAAAGCTCTTTTCTTTATAAATTAACCAGTGTCAGGTTTGTCTTTATTTGCAGCATGAGAACAGACTAATACAACATCATCATCCGCATTTTGGTCAACACCATTCAAAAAATCTCTAGAAAGTTTCAAACTTTCTCACATCTTCCTACCTTCTTCTCACCCTCCAAACTGTTTCAACCTCTTCCTGTTACCCAGTTCCAAAGTTGCTTCTACAATTTCAGGTTATCTTTACAGCAGTACCCCACTATCCCAGTACCAATTTACTATATTAATCTGTTTTCACAGTGCTATAAAGAAATACCTGAGACTGGGTAATTGATAAAGGAAAGAGGTTTCATTGACTCACAGTTCCACATGGCTGGGGAGGCCTCAGGAAACTTACAATCATGGAAGAAGGGGAAGGGGGCACAGTAAACTTCTTCACGAGGTGGCAGGACAGACAGCATGTGGGGAGGAGGAACTGACAAACACTTATAAAACCATTCGATCTTGTAAGAACTCACTCACTATCACAAGAACAGAATAGGAAAAACTGCCTCCATGATCCAACCACCTCCCTCCCTTGACATGTGAGGATTAACAATTCGAGATAAGATTTGGGTGGGGACATAGAGCTAAACCATATCATGTGATTTCTGAGGAGAAACAGGATATAATTCTTTTTTTTGCTTCTCTACAGGTAATATTTTTCTAGCTATTTTCCAAAATGTGTTTCTATATTTTTTATTTTCTAAAATATAAATATGGTGCACTAGGTATTTATCATGTGTGTGTGTATGTGCACATTTGTACGTACATGCTATATAACTGTCAGGGAAATCATCGGCTAGTAGAAATTGAAATAGCACACAGACAGGTGGGCAGACACATGTGGTACGCTTGTTGTATTTTTTACTAAGTGTGTCTTTACAGCAGCACACCTTGTGGGGCTGGTGTACCCTCTAAAGTAAAGTGAAGTGTGTCTAGGACATCTGATTTTGACTGAGGGAATCAGAAGAAAAATCTCTGATACAGTTTGCATGAACTTGAGACCAAAACGATCTTTAATTAGTGTTCCAAGCTAGAGAAACAGCCCTGAGTGAGGAAAAGGCATGGTATTTTTGGAAATTTAAGGAGAGCTAGCAAGTCTGGAAGAATCAAACAAGAGAAGAAATCCTGCAGCTGAGAATCAGATGATACAGTGTCCATGGTCAGAATTTTTCCATTTCAGTCTAAATTTACCGAGAAGCCATTGGCAATATTCAAGCATAGTCTTGGCAGGTGAGTGCTTCATCTGGGTACTTATGGACAATAGACTGAATGATGTGGTTAAGAGAAGTATCTGCATGAGAGATAGCAGTAGCTTGAATCACATGGTGCTTGCTGGTATAGAGAAGGATACTGAATCAAGGTATAGTTTGAAGGTACAATGGACAGATTTGCCAGGAGATTCTGTGAGTGAGAGGGAAGATTTCTCAATTTCTTTACGTCAGAACTTATAATGAGAACAACTGGGTAGCTGAAGATGCTATAATCTAAAGTGGAGAAGACAGCAGAAAAAAGTGTTCATTTAAAATATTTTAATTTTCAGAATTTTTCAGAAGTCAGTCATGCCTGAGCTAAGGAAAAAGATGCAGATGGCAAATTTTTGTTTTTTAAAATTATAGTATCAGCAAATGGAATCACAAAGGTGAATGTAGAATTCTGAGGCCATGCTGTTAAGTAGTTGCAGATCCATAATTTAATTCTAAGCTTCTCTGACTCTCAAATGCATGTTCTTGACTATTGAGCTGTGGAGCTAGACAACCCCAAAATTTTTATGAAATATGAAAAATGTTCTGATCTTTCCATCTATTCAAATGAGCTACCATGTTGTAAGCACCACATAGTCTGTTTATGACATACATATTATTCCTATTCTTTTCCCCAATCCTGCATGTGATTGTCATTATTATTCATTTTTTCCAGAAGAAAAAATTGAGTTTTGGAGAGTTAAAAACTTATTGGGTCCTCATTTCTTGAATGGCTTTCCTCTACAGTGTGCCCTCGTGTACATCCATGGCCCCCACCAGGCAAGAAAACAGAGTCCCCACTTAGGAGAAAATTATTACTTAAGCCTTGTTTTTTTTTTTAAAATGTGTTTTATAATTAATACTAAAATAAATTTCACTGAGGTGTGAATCAAGTTTGTTTGGGAAATAAAATATTAAAATACATGGAATCGTGTATAATGTTTGACAACATCTGCATGCTTACTTAATCACATGATCTCCCTGATGGAATCAGCTCTTAAGTTGAGATCTGACACCATCTTATATAGATAATGTATGTCATAGGCATACATGGCTCAGCTACTGAGGCAATCTTCTCTCTGTAAAATTAAAATAAAAGTTTTGCCAGCAATTAATCTCCTTAGCCGTTAGAATAGATTATACACCAGTCCTTGGAGTGCAAGGAAGTGAGCATGTGAGAGTGTTTGAAGACCTGGCACTAAATGATTACAATGTCACCAGGAGAGAGCTCAGTTACAAAATAGTACAGTTGGAGCAGCTTATTTCTTCTCAAGTACAATTACTTTGTTCTCAGAACCAATGTAATCATTGGAGCACGTTTATTTCTTCTTTGTTCTCACATTGTGAGTATGTGTTAGCATGTAGCCTAATGCAAATATGGTAAAATATATTATATTTGAAGCTAGCTAGCAATAGTTTGATATATTTTCAGATATGAAGATATAAAAAACAAATAAAAAACTTTTAAAAAGTCATTGCTAACTTTGTAAAAACGTAATATATACTCAAGACTCAGCCTGCTGGGCTCAGGTTCTGGCCCTGGCCCCATCACAGAACAGCTGTGTGACTTCGATACAATAACTTAACCTCTCTGAGACTATGTATCATAATTTATAAAATGGGAAGAGTGAAAGTGTCTACCTCACAGGTTTGCCATAGAGATTAAATGAATTAACCATTATTGATAAATGTTAATAATGGTGTCTAATACATATTGAATGTTTAAGTGTTTGTTTGCAAGTATTTTCCTGACATTTTTGAAATATATGTGTTTTATATGTTCCCTAAACTTTTGTATATCTTCTTACCTCATTTATTAGCCACAATTTGATCATCTGAATTCCTAGCTGAATAACTGGTACCATGTTTATAATACTTCAGCTTCTCCTAGTGTTTCAAAGCTACCTCCTGCCATATTTTGCTATGAATGTACTTTCTTATTTCTTATTATGCTGGAAACAGCATTACCTAGCAGTAGCAAAACATTTCTTATGGAAGAGGAACAAATATATTTCTTGTTGAGATTGTAGCTGCAAAACTTCTCTCGCTTGAGTTCCCATCATGAGAATGGCGTTATCAGAGAAATACAGAACCAAAATCTTTATGAGGCCAACGTTGTTTCCAAACATTTCTTAACGTTCCCTTGATTGACCAAAATAAACTAACTAATAATAAGGAATCAAATCCTCCAGAAAAAAATAAAAATCAAATTAAAGAAGGAATTAAGACTACTAAGGTAATTCTTAGGACAAATGAAATCAAATTGAGCTCTCATTATCTCCATTAAAGTGCCACATGGATGCATACAATCTTACATGGATAATGTACATAATTTAGATTCTTGTCAAAAAAGACACTGCAGCCTCTGCCTCCCGGGTTCAAGCGATTCTCCTGCTTCAGCCTCCCAAGTAGCTGGGATTACAGGCACCCATCATCACGCCTGGCTAATTTTTGTATTTTTAGTAGAGATGGGGTTTTGCCATGTTGGCCAGGCTGGTCTAGAACTCCTGACCTCAGGTATTCTGCCCTCCTCGGCCTCCCAAAGTGCCGGGATTACAGGCCTGAGCCACCGCGCCTGGCCAGGAGCACATTTTTCTAAATCAAGCATGAAGACAAAAGTGCACATGGCAGCCCCCTTGAATTCAGCCTCTTGCCATGAGCCAAGAATCTATGTATACCATGCTGGACTCTTGAGTTACAGAACTGAAAGCAAATAAAGCAAAGTTGTTTTAAGCCAGTAACTTTGTGGTGATTTGTTATGGCAGCAAAAAACTAACAAAAACCATAACAAAAGCAAGCTGCCTTCAGCTTTCTCTGATGAGTTTCTCCCCTGTAATTGTCCTGTTCTGCATTGTTTGCCTGGGATTTTGTCCTCATTTATATCTCTGCTAAAAAAAAAAAAAAGGAAATAGCAGCCCTCATTGCTCAAACCAGTGTATGGTTTTCACTACTCATTTTACCTTATTTCTGTAGCAATTGAAGACTAACCTGGGAGAACATGCTGAAAGGTAGGAAATAAAAACAGCAACATAGTGTCAAAGTCCAGAAATGCCCATTGCTGTGCTATCTGGGCAAATTACTCAACCTCTTTCAATCAAATTTCTTTATAAAATAATAAAGAAAAATGAGCTTTCCTTATAAGATTGTGTGGATTAAATGGGATAATAGACTGAACAATATTTCTCCAAGCAGCTTAAAAGCCATTTTTCAAGGGTGTTTTTCTAACCTCTAAATCTTCGAGGCTATGCTCACTCAATGCACCTCTTCTCCTGCACTTATTGTAACTTGAAAATATAGTTAATTGTGGGAATGTGTTCATGCCCAACTCTTCTGCTAGATTATACTTACAAAGGAGACTATTTTTGTTCACTGTAATATTCCTGTGTGTGGTGCAGGACCTAAAAAATATTAGGTAGTCAATATATATCCGTTAAATAATTGAACATTAAGAATGTGTCTAGGATATATTAAGTGTTCAAACAATGTTGATTTCCTTCCTTACTTGACCTTGTCTTGTTTATCAGCATTTAGGGCTGCATTTTGTGTTGTTTCTTCTCCTTGTTCTATTCCTTCTGGTTTCATGTGCTTTCTCTTTTTATTAGTTTCATATTGCAGTCATAACAGATAACCACAAACTTGGTGGTTTAGAACACCCACATATCATCTCACCACTCTGGTGGTCAGAAGTCTGAGCATACAACATGGCTCAACAGCATCCACTGCTTTGCTTATCGGAAAACTGAAATCACACGTCAGCAGAGCACTGTTTCCTGTTCAAGGCTCCGGAGAAATATCTGCTTCCTAGTTCAATCAACATTTTGGCAGTTGTTTGTGGTAGGAATACACATTGGTTATAGGAATGAAGTTCCCATGTTCTTGGTGGCTATCGCCAGGGCACTGATCATTGTACTTAGAAGTCTCTTTCTGTCTGTGTTCATGGCCCCTATATCTCAAAACCAGTATGGTTGAATCAAATCCTTCTCACACTTGGAAACCATCAGACTGCTCTCTCTCATATCCTTAACTCCAATGGGAGGGAGTTCCTACTTTTAAGGGCTCCTGTGATTAGACTGTGTCCACTTGGATACTCCAGGGTAACACCAAGAACACTCTTACACCACCGCATGGCAAGGCCTCTAGCTTTCTGACCTCTAATGCCAGCTAAGTCATAGCCACTGCCAATTCTATGCTTTTATGTTTTATTATTTTATTTTATTTTATTTTATTTTATTTTATTTTATTTTATTTATGTTACCCTTATGGGATCACATCACTTGGGGGAAACAATTTCTACATTAGTCAAGGTAAGTCATGTTATATAGGTATATAACAATCACAAAATTCCAGTGCCTTAAAACACAAAGGTCTTTCAGATGTTCTATTCTTCCTGTGTCTTCCGAATCCACCATCTTTGATGTACACCTGTACTTTAACTTCAGGAAGGGTGAGATGAATTAAGTATTATGTGTTGGGTATAGAATTGGGAATATGAATTTTATCCACATTCCATTGGCTAAAACTCAGGCCATGGTCCCTGCAAACTGCAAAGAGGACTGGGAAATGTAATTTCTCTTAATGTTCCAGGGGAAATAAAAAAGAATTTGGAGACCATAGAGCATTCTCTTCATCCTGTAGACTCTTTCCAATTGAAAAGATTTCTAAACATATTCCCTTCTATACTCTGAATCTGTATTCATAGATTTTCTCTCAACATCTAGTCAATTCCCCATGTTTCTGTGCACTGCCTGCTGTTTCTTCTTTCCATAATGCTCTATCCCTGTTTATGTGAATTGAGAGGTATTATTCAATTATCAGTGCCAATTGTTTTGAGGCACTGGTAGAAGATTTATGAGGTTCTTCTAGATTGTCTAAACCAGAGGTGGTCTTTTTTTTCCTTATATTTTTAACAAAAACCTATTTATTTACATGCTGCATATCAAATGAAACATAGTTATAGTTTGTCTTTTCAAAATGTAGTTTTCTTAGGGCAGAAATTATGTCTGTGAATGCCCAGCATTAGCGAAGTTCCTTACATATGGTAAACCCACACTATGTTTGTTTGTTTGAAGGCTTAATATGTAAATGAATGTCCTAATAAATAACAGATTTATTGAATGTATTTGTCTTAGTAATAATAACTCATGCTTATCTTGACCTTGCTGTGTGCTAGGCATGAGTTTTCCAAAATGTAGAAACTAAGGCACTGAACAGTGAAATAACTCCATAAAATCATGGCCTAAGGAGTAGTAGAGATGACTTTGAACCCATAGATTGTGGCCATTGAGTTTGTGTTCTTTACTACTATATGTCTGTTAATTTCAGCATTATTAAAGAAAATAACTTTTTATTTCTATATATTATGTGTCAGACATTATAATCATTGCTGTTGCTCTTTTTATCTTCAAAAGTTCCGTACAGAAAATGTATTGATAGTCCCCCTGGCTTTTTTCCCTGCATTGCATCAGATTAGAAAAATGAGGAATCAGGCTGCTTGTTTCTGCTCTTACATGTAAATGACTTGGCAGTTGTCACTGTCTTCTCTGCATCAAGAACAAGTGAACAAACTGTATAGTGACAACTCTTCTTCTAATCACAGAGAAAACCACCACGCCTAAAACTGGAGAAACAAGTGAATACAGGGAACCACAGCTTACTAGGAGCAGAAACCATCATTGGTGCCAATAAATTACAGAGAAACTTAAACTATAACTGATGAATTGGTGGTTGCTCAATGTGGACTAGTTGGAAGTTAAATCTCCTAGAGGTCAAGCCTCAAGGGGAACACTGCTCTTTCATGAGTTTTACCTCCAGGAGACTCACCAGGTTATCACTGTAACAATCTGAGAAAAATTTCTACCCGTTTCCTGCAAGGAAAGGAGAAAAGCAACCATGTTTAAATATACCCAGAGCATTCTGTTCTGTTTAACAAAGGTCTCCCCTCAAGAAAAACCTAGTTTATTAGAACCCACCTAACATGGAAGAAGGGAAATAACCCCTTGAAGACCCCTCAAACTTTCCTGTCTCACCTATGGGAGATGAAAGAAAAGCTGAGATGTATTTGTTAGGGTCGCAACCCATGGGCACAGGTTCACTGAAAGACTGAGACCTAGTCAGAAGGTTATGGAATACTTCCTCCTTTCTCACATTTTATCCCACATCAACAAGGCTGTAGCATAATAATAGTGAAATATAGTTGAAAAATTTATGAGGATATAACTTTATTTAAGAAGTGTCTTTTAGGCCGGGCGCAGTGGCTCACGCCTGTAATCCCAGCACTTTGGGAGGCCAAGGCGGGCGGATCATGAGGTCAGGAGATCGAGACCATCCTAGCTAACACGGTGAAACCCCGTCTCTACTAAAAATGCAAAAAGTTAGCCGGGCTTGGTGGCGGGCGCCTGTAGTCCCAGCTACTCAGGAGGCTGAGGCAGGAGAATGGCGTGAACCTGGGAGGCGGAGCTTGCAGTGAGCCGAGATTGCGCCTGCACTCCAGACTGGGCGACAGAGCAAGACTCTGTCTCAAAAAAAATAAATAAATAAAAATAAATAAATAAAAATAAGTATTTTTTGAGTTTGCATACAAACTCAAATGCAAAAAGGGAGACAAAAACAAGGACACTGGAGGAAATGGAAACTTCCGGCATCTACAGCTGCAGCAAGCAGTAAACACAGCCTAACTCCTGGCAAGACAAATGCAATAGCTCACACTAATGATCTACTCACATCAGTTTCTTTTACCAGGGCATCATGTCTGGCTTTCAATAAAAACCCAGAAGGCACGGTAAAAGGCA
This sequence comes from Homo sapiens, assembly GCF_000001405.40. Classification (NCBI taxonomy): domain Eukaryota; kingdom Metazoa; phylum Chordata; class Mammalia; order Primates; family Hominidae; genus Homo; species Homo sapiens. Next base: position 50,338,404 of record NC_000008.11, read on the forward strand.
CATAATACAGTGTGAAGAGAAAAAACTAGCAACAGAACCAGAATCAGATATGGCAGAGATTTTTGAATTAATGAATTGGTAGTTTAAACTAACTATATTATGCTAAGAAGTATAATGGAATAAAGTTGACAGCATGCAAGAAAAGATAGGTGATGTAAGCAGACAGCTGAAAACTTTAAGAAGATAACCAAAAGAAAATGCTAAAAATCAAAACCATTGTAATAGAAATGAAAAAGTTACAGTCTTTCATGAAATTATTAAACTGGATACAGCTAAGGAAAAAAATAGTGAGCTTGAAGATACGTCTATGGAAGCTATCTAAACTAAAAATTAAAAATAAAGACTGAAAAAGGAAACAGAACCGTATACCCAAGAAATGTGGAACAATTTAAAAAGGGGTAACTTATGTGTAATGGGAATACCAGAAGAAGAAGAAAGAAAACATGTAGGAACAGAATAAATATTTAAAATGATAATGGCTGAGAATTTTCCAAAACTAATGACAGGTACCAAACTTCAGATACTGGAATTTCAGAGAAATCAAACAGAATATACAGAAACTAAAAGCAAAACAACACAAAATACTATGCCTAAGAAATATTTTATAGAAGCTGCAGAAAATCAAAGAAGAAAATAAGCCAGAGAAAAAAAATCACCTTACTTAGAGAGGTATAAGTATAGGAATTACATTGGACTTCTCTTAGAAACCATGCAAAGAAGAAACAAGTGGAGTGAAATAATTAAAATGTTGAAAATTTCATTAAAAAACACACCCAACTGGAATTCTGTATCAAGTTAAATTATCCTTCAAATGTAAAGAAGGAATGAAACTCCTCAGTCAAACAAAAATTGGGGAACATATTTTCAGTTCATCCTCCTTGCTAGAGCTATAAAAGAAATTCTTCAGAGAGAAGAAAAATGATATGGGTCAGTAACTTATGTATACATTAAAAAAGAGAATTAAAAAATAAATAAAAACAAGATCTTGTTTATATTTAATTTAGCTAACAGCTCTTCTGTGAAATAATAATAACAATGGTCTATATGCTGATTATGCCTTATGGATAAGTAAAATGAATTACAGCCATGTTATAAGAGATAAGGAAGGTGAGGTTTTGAATATTCTACTATAAACCACATGCATTATCCATGAAGTGTTTTAGTATAGTAGTCTTATATTAGTTTTAAATGTATATTTCTAATATTAGGGAAATCACTAAAGTAAATTGAAAATATAAATAAAATTGATATACTAAGAGGGAAGTAAAAATGGAGTCATAAAAAGCTCAATTACAACCTGAGAAGGCAGAAAAAGAGGGGAAAATAATAAAGAAACAAATAAAAAGGGCAACAAACGAAAAGCAAGTACATATGTAGTAGTTATTCATCCTACTATGTCAACAATGACTTCAAATATGACTGCTCTAAATATACTCATTAAAATGCTCTAAATATATCCATTAAAAGACAGACTTTCTGTGTAGATAAAAATAAACAAGAGTAAACTATGTATTGTGTACAAGAAATCCACTTTAAATATAAGGACACAGATAGGTTAAAAGTAACAAAAGAAACACAGAAAAAGAGAAGTATTTAGATACAAATCCATAAAAATACATAAAGGATCTACACTGTGAAATCCACAAAGCTCTGAAGAAAGACATTAAAGAAGATATAAATAAATTGAGAGATATTCCATATTTATGGGTGGGAAGAAATATTGTTAAGATGTTGATTTTTCCTAAATTTATATATAGTTTCAACACAATCTCAGTCAAAATTCCAGCAAGGTATTTTGTAGATACTAATAAACTGATTCTAAATTCCACATGGAAAGCAAAAGCCCAGAATGGCTAACACAATAGTGAAGAAGAGCAAAACAGAAGAGCTGAAGAACTGACACTATCTTATCTTAAGAGTTTCTATAAAGCTACATTAACCAAAACAGTGTGGTGTTAGCAAAAGAATAGACAAATTGATCAAGATAACAGAATAGAGAAGTCAGAAATAGCCCTGCACAAATGTAGTCAATTGATCTTGACAAAGGAGCAAAGACCACAAAGAAAGGATAATCTTTTCAGCAAGTAGTGCTGTTAACAACTGGACATCCACATGAAAGAAATGAATATAAATACATTTCTTACAATCCTCACAAAAATAAATTCAAACTGAATCACAGAACTAAAAGCAAAACACAGAATGATCAGTTTTGATAAATTCCTAAGACAACATGGCAGAATATCTAGATGAACTTAAGTTTGGCAATGAGTTTATGGATACAATACCAAAGCATGATCTATGAAAGAAAGAAGAAAACTGAAAAATTGGACTTCCTTAAAATTAAAAACTTAATTTTCCCTCACTAATCTATTGATTAAAAGTAGATTAAAAATGATGCACTCTGTAAGTCTAGGACTTTGTTTTTGTCTGTACATTATCTCTAAAATGTAAAAAATACTTCTTGGTGCAAAATAGGTACTAAAATTGTTTAATGACAATTTGCAGAGTTCAAAGTAAAGCACAAATTGCTTCACTTGTTCACACACAAAAAAATTTTACTTTTCAATTGAGACTTAATTCATCTAATCCAAACCTCCAAATGTGAGATAGTTACAAATGAAAACAAAGAGGTTAAGATTGTTTGAGTTTTACTTAATTCAGCTGCTTTTGTTGTTGTTTGGTTGTATTTTTCTGGCTACATAGTAGTTTGGCCAACTGTAGGCAATGCAGCCTTAAATAGAGAGGTTTAGTACCAAGCCTCCTTAAAGGGATTTATCTCTTTCCATATATATTTTTTCCTATAGAAATATTTAACCCAGTACTCCTTTTGGAACATTGATACATAGTCAGTACTATTAAAATAGGCAATTAATATTGTGGAGTTCAAACATGGGACAAATAAGAGTTGGAGGAATGGTGACTAACATATTTTTTCTCTGCTTGTTCCACAAATGGTACTTTTTCCCCCATCTGCATAATCAGATTTCAAATTTAATGAATATTTGCTACAGTCATTTCTATGTATAATAGTGAGCTAATATGATAATATTTATTAATTTATTCAACAAATATTTATGAAAGTGTCCTACTGTTTGCTACTCCTTTGAATACCTAATGATGATAGATGAAGGAAATGAAATTAGGGGAAGATTGACATGAGTCATAAGACGTGTGGCTGAAAATAAATTTTAATAGGAGGAAAGAAAAAATTACCCAACTGGGGAGAAAACATTGTAGTAAAAAATGTAATCATTTAATTCTGTTTCCCAAATGAAATGGACTTTAATTCACTACAGGGCAACTAATATTAGTAGGGTTAAGGGGAACCATTAGTGGTGCCAGTTTGTAGGTGACAGTAGTCACCTTTGCCTTGTAAACTTAACTGATATTGAGAGTCTTAATAGCCATAGGAACATGACAAGATAATTATCACTGAAGAATAATAACAAGCTAAATGCAGATAAAGTTAACTTTTTATTCATTTTGAACTATGCCAGAAAATAGTTAAATAGATGACCATTTTCCAAAACCAAATTTTGTATGATTGCCTATTTCCATATTTTCAGATTAAATTTCTATTCCAAATATTGTGCTTTTCATCATCATTTCATCCAAGCCACTCTTATAGTCTGGATGGCTGTAAAAATGGCATAATCACTATGTGTACAGTAGCAATTTTGTCATTACTTGCAGAATGACAATAAATATGTAACTTGTTTTTGCTTCAAAGAAAAAATAGACCTGTATAAAAGGCAATTTTTTTCCTTCTGCTCATTTTAGTTCGGCATGAAGTAGTTTAAAAGTTTCCAGGATAATATCATGCACCCTTTTAACATTACAGATGCCACCTTCTGGAAGTTACAATAAATACTTAAGCACAGTTGTGAAAACATGCCCTCTTTAGCTTATAAAATACTTATAGGTAGATATAGGCAAATTCACCTGACATCATCATTGTGTTTTGCATGAACAATAATTGACTCCTTACTTCTATACTACGTTTTAAAGACAAGAAATGTTCGTGGTGAACCACAGACTAATTATACTCTTTGCATTGCAAAAATAGTTCTTTAAACATAAATCAATAGATTAAAAAAATGTTTTGCTAAGTAAGGCAAGCAAGAAATATATTTAGAAAGAAGTATTTTGGCTTCAAGTATTTAAAACACATCTATTGTGTTAACCTGCCAATGACTCAATCATGTTACATTCTAGGTTTTTAAAAATCTGTCATTCACATTCCCCCCAGCAAAACTGAAGCCATGTAGGTAAGAACAGAAAACTAAGAAGCTTGTTAATAGAGAGGACTACTCTTCAAATAAGTTAAAAATAACTTTGCAAGAAAAAAAGGATCACCATAGTAGTATTTATATAAATTTATTTAATGCTTTTGTTTTGCCTGTGAGTCTGGGCATTTAGAAGTCCTAACATGTTAAAGTGGAAAGGGAGAGCAGTCTCATCTGGTCTAATTCCTTCTTTCCAAACCTGAAGCAAAGGAGTTCTAGAGATATGGGGCCATCTGCCTGGAGCTCACTGACAAATCCACCAGTATCATAATTCTGTTTCAAGTCAAAATCCTCTTTTAAAGAAACCACCTGGGATTTTACTCCCAGGAAACAAAATTGGGATCAAAACCAGAAAACAAACAGAGATACACAAATCAAAACAAAATTTTGTCACTGAAATTTTTCCTGCTTCACTGTTTAATCCCCAGTACTTCGTGATGGATTTATGTCGCTCATAGGAATTGCACCCGGTCAGACCTGAACAAGCTTAACCTCCCAGTGAGTATACAGCTTTCAAACCCACACTAAAAAGTGGGGAAAATAGGTAAGAACGACCATCAGCATTGATTCAATAGATTACATGGCATTAATTACAAAGTAGTTTATAAACCAAACACTAAATGGAAGACGTTTATATCCTTACCATTAGTGATTTCTGTGTCAGAGGACTCACTTGAGTTTATAAAACTGTATTTTAAGGCTGGAATCCTAAAGTAAGATATTTCTGTAAGAACAATCAGTTAGTGTCATAGATATTAGTGTGGTTGAAAGCAATTAGCAATTGATTTATTTTAATTATAAAAAAATTAAAAGATCACAAATACAAACAAAACAAAGCCAAGCAAATCAATCTTAACATAAATATTAATGATGTATTGGATTTTTAATAAAGAAATGTAAATAGTGAACAAATAGCAAGCTATTAGATTTGGAAAGATAAGATTTGGGAAATGATTTATTGTAGTGTATTTTATTTGTAGTTGCATCAGAAATTACATTAATCATTGATTAAATTACATTTATGATTCTTACGTGATCACCATATCCATTTAAGAGTGAGCCTATTAGATAAAAGCCAAAGCAATTATCTTACTGATTTTTTGAAATAAAAAAATAGTAATAACTCAGAAAAAATGAGATGCACATGTTCTTCCAGCATATTTTCCAGGCTTAATAGAGTTAAAATACAGGCCTTAATATTATCACAATAGTGATGAATGTGCCTGCTTCCCAGGCTAGACAATTTAGGAATAAGATGGCTGGTGTTAGTCATCTGATCAGGTAGTTAACTCCATCCTCAGCTGGCTTTTCTCTTTACTGACAGACTGTCACAATGTCCATTAACAATTTCCCAAAAGCAGCATGGAAATTGATACCAAGAACACTGCACCTTCAGCCTAAGAAGGTTTAGATTTGAGGGTATTGTTTTATTAGTAATCCATTATTCAACTGAGTTATAGTCAATTCATTTTTTTCTCTGAATCCTGATATATACCATTTTTATATATACCTTATATATACACCATTTTTGAAAGAAAGCAAAGCAACTTACTATCCCAGTTAAAATGGCTTTGTTAAAAATTACACAAAAAAATAGCGGCTTAAAACAACGAGAAGATTTATTTAGCTCAGAGATCTCCAGCTGGAGCAAGGCTCATAGAAGATAGCTTGTTTCTGCTCCATGGTTGGTAGCTGGGGCTGGTGCAAGGCTGCCCTGGGAGGCAGGCAGCCTCACATCTGCCTCACTGTTTTTCAGGGATTCCACACACTCCATCCAGTTTCAAGAGGAATAGAAATAAACTCCATGTCTTGATGGGGAATGGAAAGGCACTGGAAGAGCACATGGAAACAGAAATATTACTGTGGTCATTTCTGGATGATATAATTTACCACATCTGCCCTCTGGCCACTACAACTTAATGGCAGTCTTCCCACTTGCAACACTCACTCATCTGCTCTTCAAAATTTCATCTCATTATTGCTCAAGGCGAAGATCCAGCACAGATGCAGGTGTGGCCAAGGCTTCTCAAAAGGCTTCTCACATTGGAATTCTTGAGTACTGCCCCTCTGGTGCTGAAAGAAGCTATGAGCTGAATTGCATTTCACCAAAATTCATACATCACAGCCCTAACCCCTAGTACCTCAGACTGTGACTGTATTACAAGATACGGCCTTTCAAGGTGTGATTAAGATTAAATGAGGTTCTTAAAGTGGGCCCTAATCCAATCAGAGTGGTGTCTGACCTGAGGAAATTTGGACATACAAAAGAATAGCAGGGGTGCACAAACCCAGGGACAGGCCATGTGAGGACACAGGGAGAAGCAAGCCAAGGGGAGGCCTTGATAGAAACCAGACCTGCTGATACCTTAATCTTGGACTTCTAGCCTCCAGAACTCTGAGACAATCAATTTCTGTTGGTTGAGCCACCCAGCCTGTGTTACTTTTCTAATGACAGCCCAGAAAAAGAATACAGATTTGAATCAAAGAGATAAGTTATCCCCTTCTCTTCTGTACCTTTTATACAATGGTGGAACAGGCACAGAATAGACATGACAGGCCCTCCTGTTCAGTAACAGGGAATGCTGGAGACTCACAGCAATTACTAGCCCATAGATATTCTGAAAGCTGGCAAGGTGCATGTCTATTCCTTGCCTGAGGCTCTGTTTTAGTGCCTGCGAGTGGTCCACCTGCTTCCTGGCTCTGCCCTCTAGGATCCTGGCTCTGCCTTCTAGAACCCTACTCTGCCCTCTTGAATCTTTACTCTGTCTTCTGCATTTATGGCCCTGCCCCATAAGGTCTTGGCTCTGCACTCTGAATCATATTTCCACTGTGCCTTACCTGGGAAGATAAAACATGTAAAACATATGTTCCTGGTTCATAGGGAGGTGGGTGTATTATGCATATGTTAAATCAACTGCCATAATTGCATTAATCTCCACTTTATGCTCATGATTTTCTAATTGATTTATCAAGATCAAACAAAAAATAAGCAATGACTATAGACGTTTATCAATTTTTCAGTATATTTTATACCAGTTTTCTTTTTAAAATTTCAGTGTTACATTGTGATATTCTTTTATCTATAAAAGTCTAAAATTCAAATTCTGAAATAATGCTTTTCCTCCAAGTATTCTTTTTGGTTAATATTCTCAACCTCTCTTTCATTTTGACTGCATTTATCTGATATCATTTTCAATGCAGTTAATTTTAACCATCCTTGCTTTAGTTTGACAGTATTATTTTACCAAATCTAATAGTGTTTAATTTCATTAACTGGGTTTAGTTATCTCTATCGGTATTATGTGAATATTTGATCTTCTTTCATTCATGTCTTAATTTATTAACATATTATCTGGCAGGATGACGGGCCATAATGAAGCAAAATGGTATTCCAACTGCCCAAATACCTATGACTTACAGGCATACGTCATTTTATTGTGTTTCACTTTATTGCATTTCAAAGATGTTTCCTTATTTATAAATCAAAGGTTTGTGACAACAGTGCATCAAGCAAGTTAATCAACACCATTTTCCCAACAGCATGTGCTCATTTCCTGTCTTTGTAATTGTCATGATATTTCAAACTATTTCGTTATTATTATATCTGTTATGGGGATCTGGAATCCGTGATCTTTGATGTTACTGGTGGGATTTTTTCAAGTGCCACAAACTGTGCCCGTATCAGATGGCAAACTTAATTGATTCATGTAGTGTGTCTGCTCCACCAACCAGCCATTCCTCTGTCTTGCTTTCTCTCCTGGGGCCTCCGTATTCCCTGAGACCCAACAATATTAAAATTAAGCCAATTAATAACTCCACAATGGCCTCCTAGTGTTCACGTTAAAGGAAGCCACGTTTCTCCCTTTAAATCAAAAGCTAGAAATAATTAAGCTTAATGAGAAAGGCATGTGAAAAGCTGAAATAAGCTGAAAGCTAGGCCTCTTGTGCCAAACAACAAAGTTGTGAATGCAAAGAGAAAGATTTTGAAGGAAATTAAAAATACTTCTCCAGTGAACACACAAGAATCTTAAGAAAATGGAAGAACCTTATTGTGGATATGGAGAAAGCATTAGTGATCTGTGTAGAAGATCAAAACAGCTACAACATTCCCTTAAGCCAAAACCTAATTCACAGCAAGGCCCTAACTCTCTTCAGTAAAGAGAAGGTATGGCTGAAGGCCGAGAGAGGTATGGAAGCTGCAGAAGAGAAGGTTGAAGTGAGCAGAAGCTGGTCATGAGGTTTAAGGAAAGAAGTCATCTTCACAACATAAAAGTGCAGGGTAAAGCAGCAAATGCTGATGTAGAAGCTGCAGCAAGTTATCCAGAAGATCTAAATAAGATCATTGATGAAGGTGGGTACAATAAATAACAGATTTTCAATGTAGGCAAAACAGCCTTAAATTAGAAGATGCCATTTAGGACTTTCTCAAATAGAGAGGAGAAGCTAATATCTGGCTTCAAAGCTTCAAAAGACACAGGCTGACTCTCTTGTTAGGAGCTAATGCAGCTTGTGACTTCAGTTAAAACCAATGCTTGTTTACCATTTTTTAAATCCTAGGGCTCTTAAGAATCATGCTAAGTCAACTCTGCCTGTGCTCAAGAAATGAAAAAACAAATCCTGAGTAGCAGCACATTTGTTTGTAGCATTATTTACTGAATATCGGAAGCCCACTATTTAGACCCATTGCTCAAAAATAAAACAAAACAAAACATTACTTTCAAAATATTACTGCTCATTGACAATGAACTTGATCACCCAAAAGCTCTGATGGAAACCTGCAACAGGATTAGCATTGTTTTCATGCCTGCTAACACAGTATCTATTCCGCAGTCCATTAGACCAATGAGTAGTTTTATCTTTCAAGTCCAATTATTTATGAAATACATTTATTAATGCTACAGCTGCCAAGATAATGATTCCTCCAATGGATCTGGGAAAAGTAAGTTGAAAACCTTCTGAAAAGGATTCACCATTCTAGATGCCATTAAGAACATTTATCTTTTTATCTCCTGAGCTATTCTAGTGGTTGATCCATAGTAGGTGTTCAACTAATATTTACTCCTCATTCATTCATTGCAAGAAAGTATGACGTTATGAGTCTTTCAAGGAACTTTCAATTCAATTGCATGGGTAAGACATACGTACTTAAATATTCACATATATACTTTAAATAGAGTTGTGGGGAAATAACAAATTTCCGGGTTTCCCAGTGGGCCTGTTAAGAGCCCAGCCCTCATGAGTCATGAAAATATATATGATATAATGTTACAGGATGTTTGCTTTCACTTCCCCAAGAAACATTTTTACATACTGTAAGGTTGAGATCTATAGCCAATGTTTCTTTAATGATGCAGTTAATTGCTCTGATTGAAAAGGATGATAAAACTTCCTTCATCTCCCCAAAAGCCAACTGAGTACATCCTGGGATAGGTACCTAGGTTAGTTACCAAGGAGGCAGTGAGACTGGAGTCTTATCTCTCTAAGTATTTGCATTTCCAAAAGAAATAGCAACTCAGAGAACCCAGAGACATCTCCATGCCTTACAGGTCAGAAATGGGAATGAGGGGTGGTTGAGTGGTTATCTGGCCCTTGGAAGGCATATTTTCATTCCAGAATGTGAAGGTAGGATCCCAGGATGCTCCTCATCCCATCTCAACAGTGCAACTGGATTCTGTCCCTGCACCCACCCCCACTACCCGCTCCTTTCTGGAGTTGGAGGGAAATGACTAATGTATGTTATATGTCTCTCTCTTACATGTGAATAGAGAAAATCCATTTTCTCCATGACTTGTGTATAGCTTTCCAGCTACTCATATAAGTCATTTGACCTGGCTTTAATTTGGTCACCGCAAGGAGTAAGGTCTGAGGAAAGCAGGACCAATGCACTTAATATTTAATGTAGGATGATAAATCAGAAATCCCTTCCTTGATTCAGAATACTTTCTATGTTCATTCAGAATAAAACTAATAAAGATGACTATTTAAAACCTTGCAAGCATATGACCCATAATGAATGTGACAAGTAAAGTATAATAACACTGTATAGACTTAAGACAAGCTGTTCTTACACTGATTTTTCCCCTTCTAGGGAAGGAATGTAAACAGAAAAGGCAAATGCTTTGTATTTCCATCATCATGTCTATTTTATGGACACAAGGTCTAGTTTAAGTTTTGCCTTTCAATAACCCTGCTGGGCTGGGACTTTGTAAGAAGACATTTCAGTATATACTCATACATGCATATGATTACAACAGCCTACCCTGTAGATTTTATTCTAATTTAAATCTCATAATAAGGATTGCTTAACTGTTATAAGTATGACGTGAAAGAAGACATTTTGTATCTTCAAGAATATGAAGAATCCCCAACATTAAGAGGTTTACTGGCCACTAAGTCAATGGACGTACTATTTGTCTTAACCAGCCAAATATCTTACTATATGATGAATACATTGTCCCTAGGTTTCATATGTGAAAAGTTCACTTTTGTTAGAAGAATAAGAAAATATTTTATGTATTCAACACTTAACAAATTGTCTGTGGGGACCTATCATGTTTTGGGAATTGTGCTAGGTGCTAAGTGATGGGAGTCTACACAGGGGTAAGACATAATTCTGCTTCAAAGATTCCATAGTCTAGTAGGACAAATTTGCAAGGAAAGTTAGTTTTTTAATCTATATATTTTCTTTTTTTAATTATACTTTAAGTTCTAGGGTACATGTGCACAATGTGCAGGTTTGTTACAGAGGTATACATGATCTATATATTTTCTATGTTTTTTTAATCTCTCCTTATTTTTTCAGTGAAATTAATTTTGTTGAAACCAGACCTGTTTGGCAGAGTTTCTCAGTTTGGATTTTGCTAGCTGCACCTCTATGTTATTCTTTTTTTTACATATTTACATTGTCTTTGTATGTTGTGTAAATGAGTATTCAGTTCTAGAGGTCCAGTGAGATTCAGGTCTAGTGTATGCTTGAGTTTTGGAAAGGCACTTTGCTGTGATGCTATGGGATTCTTTCATAAGGCATGCCATGTTCCCTTGTCCCCTTGAGAAGTGACAGTGTGCTGGCAGCCCTCGCAGCCCTCACTTGCTCTCAGCACCTCCTCTGCCTGGGCTCCCACTTTGGCGGCACTTGAGGAGCCCTTCAGCCAACTGCTGCACTGTGGGAGCCCCTTTCTGGGCTGGCCAAGGTAGGAGCCGGCTCCCTCAGTTTGCAGGGAGGTGTGGAGTGAGAGGCGCGAGCCGGAACCAGGGCTGCACCGCGTGCTTATGGGCCAGCTGGAGTTCTGGGTGGGCGTGGGCTTGGCGGCCCCACACTCAGAGCGGCCAGCCAGGCCTGCCGGCCGGGCAATGAGGGGCTTAGCACCCTGGCCAGCGGCTGCAGAGGGTGCATTGGGTCCCCCAGCAGCGCCGGCTCACGGGCGCTGTGCTCGATTTCTCGCTGGTCCTTAGCTGCCTCCTCAGGGTCAGGGCTCTGGACCTGCAGCCCGCCATGCCTGAGCCTCCCTGCCCCCACCCCGTGGGCTCCTGTGCAGCCCGAGCCTCCCTGACGAGTGCCGCCCCCTGCTCCACCGGAGCCCAGTCCCACCGACCACCCAAGGGCTGAGGAGTGTGGGCGCACTGCAGGGGACTGGCAGGCAGCTCCACCTGTGGCCCTGGTGCGGGATCCACTGGGTGAAGCCAGCTGGGCTCCTGAGTCTGGTGGGGACTTCAAGAACCTTTATGTCTAGCTAAGGGATTGTAAATACACCAATGGGCACTCTGTATCTAGTTCAAAGTTTGCAAACACACCAATCAGCACCCTGTGTCTAGCTCAGGGTTTGTGAATGCACCAATCCACACTCTATATCTAGCTACTCTGGTGGGGACTTGGAGAACCTTTATGTCTAGCTAAGGGATTGTAAATACACCAATCGGCACTCTGTATCTAGCTCAAGGTTTGTAAACACACCAATCAGCACCCTGTGTCTAGCTCAGGGTTTGTGAATGCACCAATCCACACTCTGTATCTAGCTACTCTGGTGGGGACTTGGAGAACCTTTATGTCAACACTCTGTATCTAGCTAATCTAGCAGGGATGTGAAGAACTTTTGTGTCTAGCTCAGGGATTGTAAACGCACCAATCAGCACCCTGTCAAAACGGACCAATCAGCTCTCTGTAAAATGGACCAATCAGCAGGATGTGGGTGGGGCCAGATAAGAGAATGAAAGCAGGCCGCCCAAACCAGCAGTGGCAACCCGTAGGTCCCCTTGGAGGCTGTGGAAGCTTTGTTCTTTCGCTCTTTGCAATAAATCTTGTTGGTGCTCACTCTTTGGGTCCACACTGCCTTTAAGAACTGTAACACTCACTGCGAGGGTCTGCAGCTTCATTCTTGAAGTCAGTGAGACCAAGAACCCACCAATTCCGGACACACCCTTACATGGTGTTGGCAGGTATTGGTGATGACTACCTAGACCCATTTCTTATTAAGGATGCCTGTGTTGCTCTTCTGATTTTGTCAGTTGTTCTCGTGTATTCAGTAGAATTAGGGTGTTGGAGTTTCTTCTCAAGTTGTGGGAGTTTCAGTGCAAAACTGGCAAAGTCCCGAAAAACCAGGACAAGTTGGGTACTTTGATGGAACACTTCTACACACAGAACGTCCCTTCACTCACCATTTGGCTACACAGGTGTACAGTTTATACAGGAAAGGCGCTCAAGTAGTTTTGACAGAAATGATGAATGCTACCCTTGGAGCTTTCTAGATAATTTGCCTTTAGAAACATTGTGTTTATCTCATTTGATTAATGTACTTTCTTTTTATTTTTACATTTTTGCTTTTGATCATGTATAATTTCCTAATGGACTTTAGTCAAGCATTCATTGAGATGTTCTTGAAATAAATAGGCTACTACATGGAAATATCACAGTAAAACACACATGCTGGAGTAAAAAACTGAAGAGAAAATAGTAAAAATAAGAAAAATATCAACAATTCTAAAACTGCATTACAATTTTAAAACTGAGGAGTTACAAAGAGCAGAGAACAGCTGAAAGTTTCCTTTTCAATATCAGGATATGCCTGGTCTGAAAACTCTGGAAAATAAATTCTGGAGTAATTGGCTGATTAAGGAGATTCTTAAAAAGTTGTGGCTAAAGTTTGGGAAGTTACTTGATGATCTTTGGTAACTGGGAAATAAAACTGAATTTCTGCTGAATTGGGAAAAAATATTGGTTCATATGAATTAAAAATAAATATTGAGAACCTACAAGTTAAAAGTACTGTGGTCCTTGAGGGAGGAGAGGAAAAGGAGGAACATATCCTGCCATAGAGATTTTACTGCTTGTAATTCAGTTGAATATTAAAAAGATGGCACATGAAGCATAACCATGCTTTTCTTTGCAAGTGAGAGTCATGTACTCGGAGAACTTTGATCTGAAACAGACTTCAGTGATCTTATTTCTAGAGATCTCATTTTAGGTATTGTGAATCCTATACCCAGAAAGGTAGACCTACCGAAATTAACTGTTAAGGGTAAGTAAAATTAGATAATTAGCTTAAGACTGGAAAGCAATTTTCAGAACAGAGTTGAACTAATGTGTCCCTGTTTTAATTGATTCTTGAGGAAGGGAACTTTAAGTGCTTTCTTTGAACTCCTGGGATCCCCCAGGAAGCACAGTTATTCAAAACATCTGACATCCTCCTTATGGTTTTTGGTTCGTTCTTTCTCTTTTTTTTTTTGGACGTAGTTTCACTCTTGTTGCCCAGGCTGGAGTGCAATGAAGCAGTCTCGGCTCACTGCAACCTCCACCTCCCAGGTACAAGAGATTCTCCTGTCTTAGCCTCCCAAGTAGATCAGATTACAGGCATGCGCCACCACACCTGGCTAATTTTTTTATATTTAGTAGAGGCGGGTTTTCACCATGTTAGTCAGGCTGGTCATGAACTCCTGACCTCAGGTGATCCACCCGCCTCAGCTTTCCAAAGTGCCAGGATTACAGGTGTATACCAGGCTTTTGGTCCTTTCTGTTCTGGTAATTATTCAGTATAGAAGTTAAGACAGCTATTAAACATTTTCAGAAGCAGTTGAAATTCTCTTGCCTTGTCCTACAATATTTAGGCTTCTCAGAATGCCTTTATTAAAAGAACATTTTTCAACCATTTTGGAAGACAGTGTGTCAATTCCTTAGGGATCTAGAACTAGAAATACCATTTGACCCAGCCATCCCATTACTGGGTATATACCCAAAGGATTATAAATCATGCTGCTATAGAGACACACACACACGTATGTTTATTGCAGCACTATTCACAATAGCAAAGACTTGGAACCAACCCTAATGTCCCTCAATGATAGACTGGATTAAGAAAATGTGGCACATATACACCATGGAATACTATGCAGCCATAAAAAGTGATGAGTTCATGTCCTTTGTAGGGACATGGATAAAGCTGGAAACCATCATTCTGAGCAAACTATCGCAAGGACAAAAAACCAAACGCCAGATGTTCTCACTCATGGGTGGGAATTGATCAATGAGAACACATGGACACAGGAAGGGGAACATCACACACTGGGGCCTGTCATGAGGTGGGGGGAGGGGGGAGGGATAGCATTAGGAGATATACCTATTGTAAATGACGAGTTAATGGGTGCAGCACACCAACATGGCGCATGTATACATGTGTAACAAACCTGAACGTAGTGCACATGTACCCTAGAACTTAAAGTATAATAATAAAAAAAAGAACACTTTTAGCATTATCCTACTCACTAAAATTAGCATTGCAAATGTGCAGGAATATTTTAGTCTTTTTTTTCACAAATGCAGAACTCACCAATATCATGAAAAATAAGCATGCCACCTTGATGATACCTTGATTCAAGTCAATATTCCACTTTTATGAGATATGACAAGTGAGTTTGGGCTTTGCTCCATACAATTCATAAGTCACATACGTAATGAGCATTTATTTGAGCTACGTTGAGCCTGTCCTGTGTGTGGTGTGCTTTTATGTTGTTTCCCCACAATGGGCCAAGGCCAGAAACCATTTCTTTTCATTCATACAAGGTCAAGTTCAACCACAAAACCCACACTCATTATGGTAGCAGGAATGGTGCTTTAAATAAAAATGTGAAAGAGTGAAGAATTGATCAACGAAGACTGCAGGCCATCCAGGAAGGCAAGGGTGAAGGATTTATTCTTCAGCAACAAATCACATGCTTCTAAGTGTTCAGTATTTTAACTGGTCTCAAAAGAATCTCATGGTGTTTCAAAAGGACTAATTGATAGTTTGTACCTGGCTCTCAGGTGAGGAAGAGACATGAGCCCTCAGCAGGGAGTTTCCCTATCTAGAAAGGGCAGACCAGTGAACTATTCACTTGATTATCTCCAAAGCAGGACTTTCCATTTCAGAGAGCTCTGTGCCTTCTTGTCCATATCCAGAAAGCTCAGCCAGCCTGTTCTTTCTGCATTCCTGCTGATGGAAACCCCAGTTGTTCTTTATTAGCTGTTACTAAAAGTCTTGACTTTCCCTTCATCACAAAGGTGTAAAAGTTACAAACAATTCTTTATGTCTGGAGCAAATAGTCACAGATCTACCTTTTTATTAAAAGGTGCTATTGACTCTGTGCAAACTAAAGCATGGTCAATCTTTCTTTAAATTAGAGTCTATCAAAAATCTTTGCAACATCATCACATAGAGTTGGAAATACTCTATGTAAAGTATTTTTTTCCATTTTTTGTACTAGATTTTAGGCCTTTTTTGGTATGGGATAACATTTTCTATATATTGTATTATCATTGAATCTTGCGTGTAGTAGTTAAAATTAATTAGCTACAATTATGTATTGTTTCATGTTGCCCTAAAAGCAGGAAAATCTTACATCCTGAGAGCTGACATTATTGTCTCTTCTGTTATATTAGTTTTTTTTATTGTCTTATAACAAATTACCACAAATGTAATGGCTTAAAACAGCATGTGTTATTCTCTCTCAGTTTCCACGTGTAAGGAGTCCAAGCACAGCTCAGGTGGGTCTGCAGGTCAGGATCTCACACGGCTGCAGTCAAGATGTCAGCCAGGCTGTGCTTCTTTCTGGAGCCTGGGTCTTCTTCCAGGCTCACGTAGCTAAGGCAGAACTCAGCTGCTTGCAGTGGCTGGACTGAATTCCCCATTTTCTTTCTAACTAAAAGTAATAAAATTAAAGGTGAAATAGGCATACAGAACTGTGTCATCTGACTGTCTTAAATTAGAGCACAAATTTGATACTACTAAATTTCCTGAAAGCTGAAGGATATAGGGAAATGTAGTTAGATTTGAGATGCACGTGTCTTTTAAGAAAAGAAAACTCACCATCCTTGAGAAGCGTGCATTGTTTCAGTCAAGGAAGCCTGAGTTCGGGGAGGTGTGGAAGGCTATTTTAAATGCAAGTCTGTTTACTTTTCACTCCTACACTATTTCCTTAAAACATTCTGCCTGTCAGAGAATTGTAGTTCAAATATTTTATTTTACAAATAAAGCAACTGAGAAAAAATTAAGCCAAGCAGCTATGTAGTGAAACACTTGGAAATTAAATAATTAATTAATTAAATAAATTAAATAGTCATTCACTGATTTTTTCATTAATTAAATTGCCACCTCCAATCGAAATGACAGGCATATATTTCTAATTTATGATATACTATGACCAGATGTTATTTACTGAAAAATAGAAAATTGAGATTTGTAAGATCTCCTAATGTTCTCCTACCACCCCTGCCTAAATTTGATAATTATGTTAGTATTTTTGGGTGAAATGGCACTTTTAAGTTGTGAACTTCTTTATATATTCAACATGCTTTACTATAGAAAGGATACATGAAAGGCGAAATTGATGAACCTTTTCAGGTTCAAAAAATATTTTTGTTCTGCCTTAACATTTGAATGATTGGTTGAAAATGTTTTGCTCCAGAACTTTGAAGATGTTGTCTCAGTATCTTCTGTCATCAGTTGCTGCTGCTGAGAAATGTGATGCTCAAAATTTTAAAATTTATGCAAGAATCAGCTGTGGGATTTGACCTAAGTCTGTGAGATTCCTATGGTATAAGAGGAAAGAGGATTTCATTTTAAGACAATAAAACCCTCATTTTTAGCTTCAACTATCCCAACAGTACATTTAATCTGTTCATTGAGAAAGCTTCTGATTCTTTGCTGTGAGCTTACCGTGGCTTTTAGACTGAGCTGATTCCAGTCTCTGTGTGTGACTGATTGTTCTGAGCACCAGATCCTTCTGAGTGGCAGGGAGTTCGTTCACAACACCCCATGTAATATTGTCACAGCTCATAGTAGGCTCTGGCTTTTTCTGCTGCCCAAATCCTGTACTTCCTTTTTTTGTTTGTTTTTGTTTTTTGTCTGTCTTTCAGCATTTTGGGGATGGCCCTTGCAATTCTGATTTTCCATCCATGTGCAGTTTTAACTCGGTGGGTTTGTTTTTTTCAATACATTTATGTCAGTGGGGTCTATAGAGGGATAGAAGTCAAATATGTACTGAGTTCACCATCTTGACAGGAGCCATTCAAGTCATTTTTGCCAAACGACTTGATTCAGCTTCCCAGGGAAGGGGTTCAAGCCTCTCTTAACCTGGGTTTCCCATCTCCCTTCAGGATTCCTAATAGAGAAGTATGAGTCAGGGTGCCTCACAGTACTGTTGTGGACAGAACCAGGGATTTAGGGCCCAAAGGCAAGGTTCAATGTTGCCATAGAAATAAATGGCAGTGTTCTATTGAGCAAATGCTCTATACTCTTTGTCTTAGTCCATTTGTGCTGCTATAACAAAATATCTGAAACTAGGTAAATTGTAAAGGACAGAAATTTATTTCATACAGTTCTGGAGTCT
Organism: Homo sapiens; assembly: GCF_000001405.40. Classification (NCBI taxonomy): domain Eukaryota; kingdom Metazoa; phylum Chordata; class Mammalia; order Primates; family Hominidae; genus Homo; species Homo sapiens. Next base: position 50,356,544 of record NC_000008.11, read on the forward strand.
GGGAAGCCCAAGATCAAGATGCCGGCATCCGCTGTCTGGTAAGGAAGGGCCTTCTTGCTCTGTCCTCCCATGGCAGAAAGTGGAAAGGCAAAAAGGGACAATCTCTCTTTTTCAAGTCCTTTTTTTAAGGGCCTCTAATCCCATTCATGAAGGAGGAAGGAGGAACCCTCATGACCTAATTACCTCTTAAAGGCCCCACCTCCCATTATATGGGCCATTCAGTTTCAACACCTGAATTTCAGAGGGTACCCATTCAAACCATAGCATTTTTTAGTCTGATTCTTTATCTTCATAATGTAGAAATAACTCATTGGGATTCATGGAGACAGATTGTACAGTGCTGGACTCACTGCTGCTTCTCAAAAATCCAACAACCTCAGCGTGACTTTTGGGCCTCAATGAGCTGGACATGGGTTCTGTTTTTCCAGTCTTAGGGAATGCGTAACTGGAAGGGCTTCACACTTGTGTTATATCCAAAATTGCCTTTGGGCCTTAGCACATGAACTTTTTTTCTCTCCCTGGTTGGCCTTCCCTCCGTGGTTTGCCTGAGAAACTGCCCTTCCTTCAGGAGCTGGCTTCACCTCCCTCCTGCTCATTTCCCACGTCAGCCATACTCCTTGGTGTGGAGTTGCTCCTTCCCCTCAGTCACCAGGGCTCTGCAAATGAGGTTGTGCTTCTCCCTGGGGTCTCCCCCTCCACGACTCTCAGAGGGCAGCAGTCCAGTCTTCTACATCCCTGTATTCCCACAGTGGGGACTATCCTGCCATGTAGAAGTTAATCAACAATTGCCAAGTCCAACTGGATGGAAACAAAAGAACAGGTTTACACATTGTTTCTGCGACGTGCTTTACAGTATGGTTTTATTATGCCACTGAGGTGATATGAATTATAAAAGCAGCAGACACAGTTCCAAATTAAGTTCAAAATCACATTCTAAAATCAATACAAGTGTCCTTGGCATGTGGGAATTATTATCACTACTCTTCCTGTTACCAAGATGAATAGATTTTATATTATATTAACATCATTCTCTGTGCAGTAAGACTGGACTTCAAAGGAAATGGACCAGCCTTGATACTGAAGCAGGTTTAATGTTGTCAGCTTTTGATTATCCTTGTCAGCACATTCATGTTTATCTGTTTTCCAGAATGACTTTCTCATGTCACCTAGAATATTTCTCAGTAGACTGATAACTGCTTAGTGGTGTGCCTTTAAAGAATATAAAGTAATTTTATCTTGTGTTACTTTACAAATGATGAAATAAGCTTCATAAGAAAAAAATACTCATGGGAGGAAATCTAATGTCACCTGTAAATAACTGCTAGATGATCCTGGCCAGCATTTCTTGTCAATAATCCAGATGACAGATATTTGATTGTGTCTCCGTTGAGTGCATATGTAATTAGAAGTTTTATTTGTTTTCCCTTTTTGTGTTTTTTTTTACTATTTCCTTCTTATTTTTTAAAAATCCAAGTCCCAGCTTATCCATAAAGTCCCTTTCCAGCCACTCTGACATAATGTGAATCTCTTCCAAATATTGATTGTGTCCCACCATGTGGCAGGCTCTGTGCTGGGTGCTAGGAATACTGTGCTGAACAGCTGGGAGCAAGGTTTCTCTCGGGAACCCATAGGCTCTTTTCAGAAGCACCTTGAACTTTATCGGAGTGAAAGGTAAAGAAACATCAAATAGTTTTGCCATACAAATGTACTCCTGGATAGTTTTCAGTTTGTTTGCAAGAACGCTCACACTCCTACATCTGCTCAGTATTCATTAGAGTAAGTTTTTGTTTTTAACTTCATTAACTAATGGAGGATACAAGCAAAGGTCAGGACCAATGAGTTCCATGTGTCCTCAGGAAACCCTGAAGGACAGCATATGGGAACCAGTTTGATATTTGGCCTTGACACACTAAAGGAGAAAATCACATAAAGTGGGATGGATGGCCTTGGACACAATTAGTCCAGGACCGCAGTTATATTTCAATATTTCAGATAAGTTTGCAATGGTTTAGACCTTGAACAATTTTGACTCAATAACACTATGCACAACTTTCATAACAATTTCATTTCAAGAAGTGTCTAATGATTATCTGGATAATTTTCATAACTATAAATTACCAAATGACTGATGAAAGTATTAAAAAAATTTACTTTTAACAGTACAGGGATTAATGCTGTAATTTTTTTACAGATTTCAAATGTAGCCAATAAATTAGAATCTTGTACTAAGAAAAATTACCACTTTCAATGCAGATATGGTAATGTTTTAAGGCTTGATGAACTATTCAAGTTCAGACCATCATCAAGTGTGACAATAAAACACTTTCATACTTGAAATTGTCATTTCTTATTGTTCCATGTAAGTTAACGCACGGTTTGATACTCCTTTGTTTCTCAATGTTATGGGAGACATGCATACTGGTATTCTGTGCCTGAAAATATGGCCTTGCTGGCACCTAGTTGCTGATCATCTAAAGACAAATCATACTGTGTGGCAATGACAGGCGACAGCAAATGTTTCTGCCTTCCAGAACCAGAATATTCTCTGTCTCCTTGTGCCTTTGCTGTCATAACTGAAGCTGTCAACCAGTTCTTTCCTTAGGTAGATGCACATAAAAATTTCCCAAAATAGGCATGCCATTTATTCTGCTTTGTGCTCAGTCTTCCTCTGAGTTCAGCTCCTTAGTCCACAAAACCACTCCCCATGTGACAGGGTCTCCACATTTACCACATTTATGCCTTATAGACTTCTCAGCCCACAGGCTTCACTCTGTACCCTGCTGTATTCACCAGCATGTATTTGACATCTGAACCAAGGCTGGAATTTATCTTGCTCTATACAGTCTACTTTCTGGGACTGCCCATTGTAAACCGCTGGCATTTAAGTGTCCTGAATTTGCTGGCCTTGCACTATAAAACAATATAACCCTGGCTTAGCTCCAATTTTTGCATCTCTGTTTTCCTTGTTGTTCCCAATGTGATAATATTTTTCAATAAAATTTGCTTTGAGCAAGTTTTGTATCAGTGATAGCAGTAACAGTTTGAATCTTAAGGAGATTTTGGAAATCTGTCTAAAATATGCCACTGACTTGACAGTGAAAATAAATGAAAGATACTTTAAATGCGTGAAAGAAATTCTAGTTGTCTATCAGCTTCTCTCAATCTCAACTCTTTAAAAATCATCTTTCAGCACAATGTGGATAAATTTTAAGGTAGAAAACTTTAAGGATAAAGATTAATACTATTTCAAAGTATTTTTCTGGTTCTGCTTTCTGTTTGCATCTTTCAATACTTATTTCACATTTAAGCTTCTAGTTTTCCATTCTCTTTTTATTTTTTCACTGTGATGCCTTTCTTTCTTTTTTCCACATGAGTGTGTTACAGATTTTTCTAACCACATTAGTGCACAACTAACTTACTAAAATCTTCATGTTAAAAAGAAAAGAACAAGTTTCTTAGAAATGCAGGCCTTTCTGTAGAAGAGTGAGGATAAATTAATGAGTGACTCAATTCTAATTTTCAGTGAATGGGATAATCAACACCTCTTATTAACTGGTCTAACAGTTCATGCAGACCCACACGAGATCAGATAGATCATCATCACTACAAATCATTGTGTTCCTATGATCAAACTAAATAGTGCTTCCTAGGATCAAACTAAATTAGGCAACAAACTTCGCAGTGAATTACATGTACAAATGGGAGTGACAATGAAACCCACCCCCATTTCCAAAATATTTTCTTGATGACTAGTAGTCATGTGGATTGCTCAGCATGTATTGATAATCCAGTTCTCTATCAACATCTGGCAGATCATGTGTTTTAAAAATGTTTTTCTTTTTGGGTTTTCTTTTGTCTTGGGGAACTGTAGTTATAAGTCTTGCCATTGTGACCTCCTAGAAAGTGTGGGTGGGTTATCACTAATATCTTCTAACACATTTAAATACAACCATGCATCACTTAAGGACAGGGATACATTCTGAGAAATGTGTCATTAGGGGATCTTGCTGTTGTGCCAATATCAGTGTATTTACCACATACTTGGGAGTTATAAACTATGACACACCTACACTACATGGGATAGCCTATTGGTCTTAGGCTACATGCCTCCACAGCACATTACTATATTAAAACTTGCAGGCAATTGTAACAGCACAGTATTTATATCTCCAAACATATCTAAACATGGAAAAGGTACAGTAAAAGTATGGCATAAAAGATAAAAAATGGTACACCTATATAGAGCACTTATGATGAATGGAGCTTGCAGGACTATAATTTCAGTATAGAAGTTGCTGTGCACGAGTCAGTGAGTGAGTGGTAAGTGAATATGAAGGCCTAGGACATTACTATACACTACTGTAGACTTTTAAATGCTGGACACAGGCTACACAAATTTATTTTTAAAATTTCTTTAATAAAAACCTTATCTTACTGTAATTTTTCACTTAAACTTTTAATGATTTGCTGTTTTTTAACTCTTTTGTAATAGCTTTTAGCTTAAAACACAAACATTTACAACTGTACAAAAATATTTTCTTTCATATATCCTTGTTCTATAAGCTTTTTTCTATTTTATTTTTTGAATTTTAACTTTTTTGCTTTTTAAAATAGTTTGTTGGAAACTAATACCCAAAGACACATGCTAGCCTAGGCCTGCACAGGGTCAGAATCATCAATATCACTGTCTTCCACCTCCTCTTGTCCCACTGGAAAGTCTTCAGGGGCATTAACAGCCATGGAACTCTCATCTCCCATGGTAATGATGCCTTCTTCTGAATACCTCTGGAAGGATGTGCCTGAAGCTCTTCTTGAGGAGGAGTCACATTTTTAGAAATATGTCCATGATGGTTTGCTTCTTTTTTTCATTATAGACTTGTTTATAAACAGGTAAAGCATCATAAGCATTCCTCTGTATTAATGAAAACCTTTAGATGTTGGGATCTATGGTTTCAAACCTTTTGTTTGCTTGTTTGTTTAGAGATAGGATCTCTCTAGGCTGCCCAGACGGGACTCAAAGTCGCTGGGATTACAGGTGCATGCCACAACACCCAGCTCAAACATTCTAAGGAGCATCTTGAGGTCTGCAGAATCTTCTGCTAAACCCTTCATTGTGAATTTTTTTTGGGGGAGGTCACTGGGCAATAGAAATTTTTCAGTTCCTTTATAATCTTACGGGACCACTTAACATGAACCTAGGAGTTATAAGCTATTACACATCTAGGCTACATGAGATAGTCTATTGTTCTTAGGCTACACACCTGTACAGCACATTACTATACTAAAACTTGAAGGTAATTGCAACACTATAGTAAGTATTTGTATCTCCAAACATATTTCAGCATAGAAAAATACAGTAAAAGTGTAGTAAAAATATGATACAAAAGATTAAAAATGGCACACCTATATAGAGCACTCATGCTGAGCAGAGTTTGCAGGACTAGAAGTGGCAATGGATGAGTCAGTGAGTGAACATCTCTATGTAGCACCTGTCTGTGATACTTTCTTGTTTTCTTATTTACCCCCAAATGTGCTTCCTGCCCTATGTTTCCAGTGTCTTTCCAATTATATTTGTATAGAAAATCACCTCAGGACTATGGATTTTGTAAGCCAGGGAAGGGCTTGCTACATTTTATTGTCCCCTCATTGAGTTCACTTCTCATTCTGACCAATGCTGGATGTCACAGTCTTGACTAATTAGACCCTTGACTGAGAATGAAGATAACCAGTATATCTTCCAGTGCGGTACCAAAGAAGGGGACAGTAGCAGTAAACATATACACAAAACAAAACAGTGAAATTATGTTCAATAAACTAACGCTGTAGCTTTGACCTGGAAAATGAATTTTTTGAGGAGTAAGTCTTCTAATGAGGGAAGGGAGAAGTATTGGACACTTCAAAGAATACTTCTTTAATATCTAAAGTTGATTTTCCTCTCATCCACTTGTAACATGCTTCATTATAAAGATAGTCTTTTTTTTTTACTAAAAATATATAGGAATGATTTAGCACTCTAATTTTCTTCAGATGAGCAAACTAAATCCCTTTAAAATTATTCCACCAAGATCACATAGATATTAAGTAGTCACTGTAAGGCTAGAATTTAGTATTCTCTTTCCCTGGTTATTTTTACTATATGGAAGCTACTTATGTTTATTAGGATTTTAGGTTAGAGTCTTATGTATAGCAGGTGATAATTTATATCAGGTGCTATGCTTTGTTATATATGGTGAGTTTTATGGGAAGTATACTTTACTCTGGGTGTTAAATAAGGCTTCACAAAGACACATAAGATTGATATAAATTTAAAATGTGAAAGCAAAACATGAATGGGCCATATAACTATCACTGAAATCTACTGAAGATCTCATCTTCCTTAGTAAACACAGACAACTGAATTGCCAATAGATGATTGCCCTGTGGGAAGAGAAAGGATGGAAAATGAAACTCATGGCCTCTTCCTTTCTTTAGCCCTATCAGGACATAGCAGAACTTAAAAAAAAGAAAGAAATTCTTATTTTGTTTGTTTTATATTTATTTTTAAGGCTAAATAATGGTCTTTTTTTCAACCCCAGTGGTAAAGCCTAGAGAAACTTCTAACCAGATTTAGCGACTAAATCATCGACACTTTAGTCAATCTTTTACCTAGTCACTCAACCAATATTTATGAAGAAACTATCAAGTGCCAAGCATTTTTCCAGGAGCGGAAAATAAACAAGTATGATCCCTGCCTTACCTGAATTTACATCCCCTCTCCATAACTCTTTTTTTGATAGTGCAAAGGTGGTGAATCTGGGAGGTAACAGTTGTGGCCTATGTGCAGGTAGTGGCAGTGGTGGCCGAAGGTGCAGAGCGGGGTTAGAGCCTGCAAGCTGATCTAGGGAACTGCTGGTCATTGCAATCAGGCTTTTGCCTTTACAATTGGACTTTGTCCCTGAAGCTTGTGTTGGGGAAAATCACTTCAGGGTGTGTGTATGTGTGTGTGTGTGTAATAACTTTTAGATCCTCAGTTGTGAAGTGACTAGTGAGGAAACGAGAAATTCACAGAATTGTAAGACATATTGGATTTTGATTATGCATAAATATTAAGCATGTGACATCTTTTTTTATTAGATTGAATACAAACACTTTTTTTTCTGTAAGAGGACTTGCAAGTTATATGCTATTATATGTTTAAGAAGATGCAGCCATTTTAAGAGTTTTTGTAGGTCTAAATAAACTCAACTGTCTCTGGATACAATTCCTTTGGTAAGAGAGATTTGGAGAATCTCTCATAGGCATTTGAATACTGGTCTACCCAAGGATAGCCTTCTCTCTAAAGGTTCACAGGACTCAGAAAAACAGTTTACCTATTAGATTACTGGCTTAACATAAAAGGGTGCAACTCAGAAAAGCCAGATGGCAGAGATACACGCCTCAGGCATGGAGGAAGGGGTTTGGAGCTTCATGCCCTGCCCATATGCACCAATCCCTGAGGCCCTCCCTATGACACCAACCTGGAAGCTCTCAGAATCCCTTTGATTAGGGATTTTTAGGGAAGTTCCATTACATAGACAATAGATCATATCATCGGCCATTGGTGATTAATTCAGTCTCCAGTCCCTCTTGCCTTCCTAGAGGTTGGGGAATTGGGGTTGAAAGTTCCAGTCCCTTAATCCATAGTTCCCCTGGCAAGCCACACCCGCTGCTTAGAGGTTTTCTGAAAGCCACTGCAATAACATAAACTCAGGTGTGGTTGAAAGGCACTTGTCATGAATGATGAAAGACACTCCTTTCACCTTTATCACTCTTATCACTTAGCAAATTACAAGGGTTTTAGGCAGTCTACCCAGGAACCTGGGACTAAGACCAAATACGGATTTCTATGACATCGTAATTTCACACACTTACTGTCATGGGCTCTTTTTCTTTCTTTTTCTTTCATGACGGTTTATGTATATTCTGGGAATAAATAGAGAAATGGGTGAGAACAACTTTAGTTTATGTGTTTTTCTTTAGGATTCTATATCGTATATCTTAAAATGCTTATATCATAGCATTTTCTCTGAGACATAACACCATTGCATTAATTACAGCACCTCTCATTATTATATTGGCTGTAAAAAGGGTTAATATGAATAATTCATTCATATTCAAGATCAATACCTCCATCTGCTTTCCTATAGGCCTTGAATTTTCATAAAAAATATTTAAAAATACATTATATTCAATTATATTTTACTCAGCATTTTTAGGTCAGCAAACTATTTCTTGTTCTTTTTTATTGCAGTAATCATTTAAATCAGTTTTTGACTTCTTACAAATCACAAAAATTAATAGTAATTATGTGTTTTGGAAAAAGCTGAGTTTAAAATAATATAATTTTATTTTTTCAAACAGAAAAAATCATTTAAGGCTTTTTGCAAAACCATAACAAATGTTCTTTTTACTACTGCTACTATTACAAATGCTTCCACTATCCATTCTCATAATTTCTATTTATTAAGCAGTTATTTTGTCCTTGTGCTGAGTACCTTACATATACTACAAATCTACTTGATTTCTCAAATTTTAGAGTTCATGTGAGAGTCAATTAATTTCCATAAGTTTAATTGCTTCTATATGAGTAGTCAGAGAAAAATTCGAGTGGAAAAACAAGAGATCAAAAAGACATCTAAAACTAGATTTCTAGAAGTTGTATTCATTGATTTTTCTCTTCAATGTCTTTAATTTTTGATGGTGTCATTGTAGCTTGTGTACAAAGAGACATGGTGAGATAATTACTGAAATAGACCTCTAAGGCAAAAGCAAACCAAATGCAGAGTGAAAACATGGTTAGATGAATTTACTTTTATGTTTGTCATTTATTAATATAGCTTTTAACTCCACGTAATATACAAATATGTTTATTTGAATTTGAATATATATACATTGACTATATGTATTTATAAACTTTCCCTTTGAAATTTGCTAGTCAAATAATAAGAAAATTTCTGATATATCTGATCTAAAGTATTTAGGAAAGAATTGTATAAAATCAAAGATTTTTTTTAAATCTTGCAGAAATAAATGTATAAATGTTTTTGTTTTAATTATATCTAGACTATGAGCTTAGGAGAATGGATACAGCAAATTGAAATTCAGTTCTTTGGCCAATTTCCTTTAAAATTTATTGTGTTCTTATTACAATAGACTGATTATTTTATGGTATCTTCTTAATTATAAGTGTTGATTAAGAACTCTTATAACCACAAATTACGAGTGGTAAAGACAATTGTTCTTGCTTATTCATTTTAAAATGCATAAAATATTTTAAAAGCTTATTAGTCTGTAATTGCTAACATAAATTATTTTGAAAGCTTTATTTTGCAAAATGTTGCAAAACTGCATCTAGATTGGATTCTGGGCAGCTGACATAAAAGCAATTTTCTAACCATTTCCTACTTTTCTAAAATAACCAGTTGACTGTATTTTAAACACCCAAATTAATTGGCATGCCTATTATTTTCTAACAAACAATTTATCACCTGAGTATTTGAGGAATATAGAACTTTTATCATGCTATATTGAAAATATCCAGTGAACAAGAGAATGAGAACTAGAGTCCATCCAAAGCATGAAACATTGGGATCTGTGTAATAAAGTCAACGCACAACTATAACATTGCCAAGACATGCTTGTAGGACCTCTGCATGTTAGAGCCAGAAAGGAACATAGCTCAATGCTTGCAGATGACTAAATCAATCAGTATCAGGAACTACTACATGGTTGCGCCCAAGATCACAGAGTGAGTCAGCACAGAACTGCATCTTTACCCAATAGCCTTTTTACTACGCTGTGCAGTTACGTTTAAATTGGTATTTTTCAAAGTGTAGTCCTTGACTATCTTTATCAGAAATCATAACCATGTCCATGACCATCTTAATCAGAAATTCATAACAAGCCCCTTTCAACCATAACCATGTTCATGAAAAATTCATAATCCTGAGTTTTTCCCTAAATTTACTGAATCAGATTGAGGTTTGGGAATGTATAATAGGGATCTACATTGAAAATAAGCACTATGTAATTGATTCTTCCGTACTGGTTTTTAAATAATAATATATGTCTATATGATTTTATATATATATTATTTTGTAATAATATAGGCCTATATTATTTTATATATATTTTATATAATATATAATATACTTACTATTTGCATATATATGTGAATACATATATTTTATATATAATATAGTATTATTTAAGAACCAATATGGAAGATATAATACTATAATAAAATATATTATATATAATATATATACCATTATATAGTATAGGCCTATATTATATATATTATAGTATTTTATCTTCCATATTGGTTCTTAAATAATACTATATAATATAGTATAGGTCTATACTATATAATATATAATATAGTATACTATAAGGACGCAAATAGTAAGGAGTAGTAAAATACAGATTTAAGGAATCATCTGTTTTGTCTGCATCATTGGTAAGACTAACACCATCAAAGAGATCTCAACAGCAATAGCATGGAGTCCTAGAACCCACCCCAGAGTTGATGATAATTGTTCTGATGTGAGCATAGGTGATTCTAAGAGAATATTTGGAAAACATTCATTTATATAATAGAGTGTTGTTTCCTTTACCAAGTAGATCAGCTTGGTATTTAAAATTCATAGTTCATTTCTTACATGTATTCTTTAAATGTTAGAAATTTGAAACTTTGATTTTAGTCTCTTGACCACCAAGAAGTCTACCAAAGTCTATGACATTTCCTAGTTCACAATATTAGAAAGAAAATAGTCATATAATTCATTAAATTCCCACAGTAAAATTAGCTAACACCAGATTAATTTTATTTAATTCTATGTTAGAATGCTGAATTGCAGCCACTAACAAAATATATACATTAGATTTTAACCCTGCATATAAAATTTATTATTTTTTATTTTTTATGTTAGTGAGAGAAATATGTGTTTACTTACATAGTCTTTCAGAATATTACTATTTTTGATAATGACTCAGTTGAAAATACAGCAAAATGTACTTACTTTAACAACTGATTATACTAATGTAGAATCATTTCCAATTCTTATTTGTTACATTTTGCTAAAGTATAAACTCATTCAATCATGAAACTGTATCAGGATATAATATCTAGTAATTACCTGTGATTGTTAATTTTTTGTGTCCACTTGAATGTGCCACTGGGTGCTCAAATATACTTGGTCAACCATTGTATTGTATACACACACACACACACGCACACATGCACCCTACTGGTTTTGCTTCTCTGGAAACTCCTGAGCAACACTGCACTGATTTTGGTACCAGGAAGTGGACTGCTGCTATAACTAATACCTAAAAATGTGGACCTGGCTTGGCCTTGGCTTGGGAACTGGGCAATAGGGTAGAGGTTGGCTGAGTTTTGAGGTACAGACTAGAAAAAGCCCGAATTTCTACGAAGGGACTATTGGTAGAAACGTGGACATTAAAGGCAATTCTGGTAAGGGATCGGGAGGAAAAGAGGAGAGCTGTAGAGAGGGCTTCACTCTTCTTAGAAAATAAATAATCATGAATAATCAAAATAGAATGTTTGTGGAAATATAGACGTTAAATATTCTGAGAAGGTCTCAGATGGAAATGAGAACAGGCCACTGTAAGCTGGAGGAAAAATGGTTCTTGTTATATAGTGGCAAATATCTTGGTTGCATTTTGTTCCAATGTTTTGAGAAAAATAGCACTTATAAGTGATACACTTGGCTATTTACCAGATACAATTTTTAAGCAAAGTGTTGAAAGTATGGCTTGGGTCCTCCTTAAGGCAATACAATAGGAAAAATATGGATTAAAGAAGGATTTGTTAAGCAAAAAGACCCAGGACAAGGAGATTTAGAAATTTCTCAGCTTATCTATAATGCAAAAACTGGAGAAGTCTGTTCTGGAGACAACACTAAGAGTGCAACTGAATCACCCTTTGCTAAAGAGATAATGGGGGTGACCCATCAGCTTAATCAGCCATATCAGCAGAAGCCAGGAACAGCAAATGGATTACACCATCAAAGATCCGGCCCGTTTGAACTGAAGAGGATAGGGGGAGCAGGACAGATTAAGGAAAAGCTGTCAGACTTCTTGGATTCTATAGGACCGTCTGGTCCTATAGAATCCATAGAGCTGTTAACCAAATGGTTGGGGTTGTCCTACACCCTCCTTAACAGGATATGGAAACAAAGAGGTTCTTCTTCAGACTTCAGATTTAATGAAATTGCCCTTGCTAGGTTTTCTGCTTTCATGGGAATCATCACTTCCTTTTTTAATTTAGATTTTTCCATTTTGAAAAGAAAATATCTATCCTATGCCTCTCCCATTATTGTATTTTGGAGACACATAACTTGTCCGTTTCACAGGCTCAGCGCTGGAGGGGAATTTTGGCTCATGATGAATTGTACCTCAAGTCTCATTCATATCTTAGTTAGATGATTTTAGTATGAGACTTTGGCCTTTAACCTTTAGAGTTAATGCTGGAATAAGTTAAGAATTTGGGGGCTACTGGAATGGGATGAATGTATTTTGCATGTGATAAGAACATGGATTTGGGGGAACCAAGGGAAGAATTCTATGAGCTGAACTGTGATGTCCTTCCAAAATGCATATATTGAAGCCCTAACCCCTAATGTGACTGTATTTCATGGTAGGGACTTTGGGAGGTATCAAAGTGAAATGATGCCATAAGAATAGCATCTTCATTTCATAATATTGGTGTCCTTTAAGAAAAGAAAAAGAGGCTGGGCACGGTGGCTAACGCCTGTAATCCCAGCAACTTGGGAGGCCAAGGCAGGTGGATCACATGAGGTTGAGAGTTCGAGACGAGCCTGACCAACATGGGGAAACCCCATCTCTACTGAAAATACAAAATTAGCCAGGGGTGGTAGTGCATGCCTGTAATCCCAGCTACTTGGGAGGCTGAGGCAGGAAAATCGCTTGAACCCAGGAGGCAGAGGTTGCAGTGAGCTAAGATTGCATCATTGCACCCCAGCCTGGGCAACAAGAGCAAAACTCCGTCCCAAAAAGAAAAAAAAAAAAGAAAAGAAACAGAAACCAGAGCTAGCTCATTATCTACCAAGTGAGGACACAGCCAGAAGGTTGCTGTCTGCAAGCCAGGAAGAGAGACCACACCAGAAACCAAAGCCCACTGGAACTTGATCTTGGACTTCCAGCCTCCAGAACTGTGAGTGATACATTTTTGTTGTTTTCTTCACCCAGTTTATGGTATTTATTATGGCAGCCCAAACTGACTCGATGCCAAGTGTCATTCTAGGGAAAGAGACTTTTAAGAATGAATTTTCTGAGTTGGTTCTGAAGTATCTGGAATTGGCTCTTTAATCTGATTGGGTTTAAAGATGCCAATGACTCTATTTCTAATATTCCATGGTGTCTATATTCCATGGTGTGATCTGGCCATAGAGATATGCAGAATATCACCATTGGACACTCCTAATCAACCATTTATAAGAAGCAAGGATCTGAGTACTATGTATATACATTTGAGCATTTTTGGCAAACTAATGAATATAATGAGATTGGCTGGCAGCTCCTAACTCACTGCACAAAGTGAGAAAATAAAAGGATGAGTTCAGGAATTCAAATTCCAAGCTCAAGGGCTACATAAATGACATGAAAGATTCTGGGCGTGCTATGAAGGAGCTCTTTTTTCCTGTAGCCATAAGGCTGAGATTGTTAAAAATCAGGTGCAGAATACCACTCTGCGACTGGCTGAATCAAAATGCAACTTGAACTCCCAGCCTGTTGAACTATCTGCTACAGTGAGGGCATTGATTGGTAAGGAATGGGATCTTGAAAGTCAGAATGGGAACGACCCTGTGGGAAGACCCTGATGAGTATGGGCACAATGAGCCAGTAAATTGGAATGACTCATTTTTGCCAGTAGAGGAGGCTTCTCCATTTTCAGTGGAGAGTAGGAGCAGCGCTCCATTTTCAGGGCTTCAGTGGGAGCAGCCTCCCCACCTGCAATGATAGTAGTCTCCTCGCCCTTTCACCCCTGTCTGAAGGACTTAACCTTACATTGCCTGAAAAACCTATAATGGCCTCCCCAAAGGCAGTTACTAGGCAAGGTAATGCCATTTCTCTCCAGAGCCATCCCCACCTCCGCTCCTTTCTTCCAGACCTATAACTAGACCCAAGTCCCAGAAGTCCCCTGAAGGTGAAGTACAAAGTATGACCCATGAGGAGGTGCACTACACTCCACAAGCACTTGAATTTTCTAATTTATACAAGCAGAATTCCGAGGAATATATATGTGAATGGATACTAAGAGTATGGATTAAGAATGAAAGGAAAATAAAAGTTGGATCAGGCCGAATTTATTGCTATGATCTCCCTAAGCTGAGATTCTATTAGGGAGGATTTTAATAATTTGTTTAATAGGATAATAATTTTTTGATAGGATAATTGAAACATGAACTTAAATGTGGCCTAATGTGACCAAGTTAGAAATGCTAGACTGGCCTTTGGAGGCTTCTATAGGTGAACCACAGCATGGGTCTTTATGATTTTGGAGAAAAGCCCAGCCATTCACTCAAGATAACTATTTTCTTTTGAGAATCAGCTATTGGCCTACTACTGGATCTCAGAAAAGACTGAATGCTTAACCATTGGTCACCACGTTATTATGTGGCGTGAGCTGCCCATCATTAACTGGATGTTATCTGACTCACTAAGCCATAAAGTCGGGTGTGCACAGCAGTACTCCATCATCCAATAAATAAGTCATCAGGCCTCAGCAAGCCCTGAAGGCAAAAATAAGTCACATGAACTAGTGGCCCAAATTCCCATGGACCCCATTCCAGCTACCATGGCTTCTCCCTCCCAGCATATTCATATGGCTCCTGCCAAGTTCACTGTGATCAGTTGGCAGGGAAAGAGAAGTCTCTAACCTGGTGTGCAGATGATTCTGATGTTGTTGGGTGAAGTGTTCAGTATATGTTTATTAAGTCACATTGGTGTAGAGTGTTGTTCAGCCCCTTTGTTTTCTTATTGATTCTCTGTCTCACTGACCTACCACTACTAAAAAGGCAATTTTTTAGGTCTTTTACTATTATTGTGTTAATATCTATTTCTAACATAAATTCTGTCAAGGTTTTATTCATATATTTGAGTGCTCTAATGTTAGCTGCCTATATATTTATAATTATTACATCACATCTTCCTGGTGAATTGACCCTTTTATCGTTACATCATGTCCTACTTCGTGTCTTCTGACCATTTTTAACTTAAAATCAATTTTGTGTAAGTATAGCTACCCCTGCTCCCTTTGGCTACCATTTGTCTAGAGTATCTTTTCCTATTTTTTTACTGTCAGGCTTATATCAAAAAATAAATCTCCTGTAGACGGCATGTAGTTGGATCTTGTTTTTTAATCCATTCAGCCACTCTGTCTTTTGATTAGGGAGTTTAATCCACTTACATTTACAGTAATTACTAATAGGAAAGAACTTACCATTGCCATTTCGTTATTGTTTTTGTGTGTCTTATAGTTATTTCATTACTTTTTATTTCTCAACTCTTTTCATTTTTCATCCTTTTTTATTTTTCATTTATAGTTATCTTATCCCATGTCAACTTTTCCTCTCTAGCTGCTTTCATTTGTGTTTCATTGATCTTTCTCTGTGTGTGTGTGTGTGTGGTGGCATGCTTTGATTCCTTTGCCATTTTATTTTATGCATCTTCTATAGTTATTTTTTTTCGGGTTACCATGGATCTAACATAAAATATCTTATATAATATATTTTAAATTGATAACAACTTAACTTCAATTACTTACAAAACCTACTCCTTTACATCTCTTCCTGTTTCTTGTCCCCATGTACATACCATATATTGTTACGCTAGTGTCTCTGTGGTAGAAGAAGTTCTGGTATTTCCTATTCTGCCATCTTCCTGATACTTTGCATCTTTCTTTATTTAAAATGGGCAAATATGCATTTTAATTATTACTTCCTATTATGTATAAGTCACATACTCAAGAGATGGTCATAATTTAACTTTATATAATTTTATTAAATGTCTGCTGTGTGTCAAGCTCATTGAGAAGCTCTGGGGATTCCAAGAAATGAAAGATACAGCTCTGACATTATGTAACAGGATGGGATGACAAATAGGAAGAAAAAATCATTAAAATCCAGTGTAAGGATTTCAATAATGAAACTCAGTACGCAGTGCAGTCTGAATAGTTGTTTGTCTCTGTGGAGTCAGATAGTATATCCCAAGAAACTGCATGCCGGGTTGAATTTTAGGAAGTAGACTGGATTTCGTATACAAAAAATAACCTCACCATTTTGAACTGAAGAGTTTCCAAGAGACAGTTGGTAAACAAAACACCTGCTTTAGAAGTTATCTGTGTTATACTGAAAAATATTTTCTGTGTCTCTCCATCTGTCCAAGCAGTATAACTATATTTAAACATTTAGCTATTCTGCATGTATATAACTGCATTTTACCCACTGACTAAAGAAATTATCTACAGAGAACAGAGGGAGGCAAAAATCACCAATGTAAGTAAAAATTTTTCCATGTGTTAATTACAAATCATTCCAATGTAGCACTTGGTAAATTCTGTTTTGTAAAGTTTTAATTTTTGTTTATTTGCTTCATAAAGATAAACAAATTGTAATTCTTTTTGGTTAGTGATTATTAAACTCCCAGATCCTCTTATTTAAGGAATGCAAATATGTTTTCACGAAATACAGAAGTTAATTTAATGTTATGAGCTCAAATATGGTAGGTCACTGTTTAAATTGTTGAGTAAATCTCACTTGTTAAGTCTAGTGATCAGGATTTTTTCAAACAGCTCTCCATATTAATTTTTCAAGTGTGACAAGAGAATTCTAAATTAATTCTTGGTGATGTGTAAGATTGTATAATGTTACCATGTGATTAAATGGATATACATACCTTTGTAAAAGTTTATTAAGTAGTAAAAAATGTACAATATGTGCCTCAGTTTCCTCAACCTCACAATAGATAACTATTTTTCAGGATTGTTCTGATGACAGGGAAACAGTAGATGGGAAACTCATTTAAGAAGTGCAGAGTTTAATCTCACATGACAGCTTATACTTTTCATTATGGTTAAATGTATATTGGAAGATATATTTGAAGATATCAATATACTTGCAGCTAAATATTATTTTTTCTCTAAAGTGAGATGTTCTTAATTCCATATCTGTTCATGGTGACAATAACTGTGAAGTCACCTGGGCTATGTTAAGGCTGACTCCACACCTGTTCGCATGCCTTAGCATTGTTTGATCACCAGGCCCTTTTGTCCAAGGCTCCCACCAACACCTTTACTCCACTGTGAATCCTCGTTCCTGGGCCATTACAGGAATCATCTCACTCCTCTTACAGATTCTAGTCCTGGGATCTCTGATGTAGCCTACACAATTTTTTTTTATGGATTTAAATTTATCTTCCCCAAAATTCATATGTTGAAGCTATGTATTAGTGTTGAAATGCTTAGCTTGTTAGAAGACCTATTTTGATGGTGAAGGACCCTGAACAAAACACATAGCCAATGGCATTCTGCCACAATTTTCACTGTCTTTTAGGTGTTTGTGACCTCTCTGTTTGCTGTTAAAATCTTAAATTCCCTTTAGGCAAATCTTCCTGGTGAATTGACCCTTTTAGCCTTGCTAATAGTGTGATCAATTGTAGTTTCCTTAATATGTAAACATCCAATTAGTTAAAATATCAAGGTTGCTATTTTTGGAGTCCTGGAAGAAAGAGCATAATAACTAAGTAAATTCTGTTTAATAAAACTATATAGGCACTTTCGAATTTAGTCAATATCATTCCTGTTACTATTTTGTGAGGTCCAGAGACTAATCTCCCTTGCAGGTTGTAATGCATGGTACATTTTTATATGGGCAGCTCAACTGTTGTAAGGCGCACAAAAGATCTTCATTTTCTGTCCTTTCTGTTTTCAGCCTCTTCCCAGACCAGGTACCCAGTTCATAGGGACAATTGGGACTGTAGTAATTAGTTAGCTTGGTGGTCTTTAAACTTTGCTCCGCAGAGCTCCAGGCTTCAAGAAGAGTGGCCTAATTTTCACTGGAAAATAAAGTGAACTTAAGAAACCTCAGCCTTTTTTCATGCCCAAATCAATGTGAACTGCTCAGCATTTATGTGTTTTTCATATTTGGCTTCTACACAGCATTTAGATGAAACAAGGCATCTCATAGCTAAATAAATAAATAAAATTCCCTAGGCAATTTGATCCTTTTTTTTAGATCAAATTGGAAGTTGGAAAACTGTTTTAAGTTGGAAACTTGTTTTCACATAAATAAAAATGTTTTCATCGTGAAGAAAGAAAGTCACAAACTCACTACCTCAGGCACTGGGAAGTAAAATTAAAAAGTGAAGGTGTAATGTGTCCTGGATAAGGAAGAACTTGCTATCCATTAATTGCAGAGTGAATGTCTGCCAGAGTAACATTTAAACAACATGTGTCTGCAGGCTAGATTTGGTCCTTGGTTTGCTGTTGGGGATCTCTCCTGTAGAAGATTCTTGAACATGCAGGGCAAAATAGTGTGTTTTTAAACAACATCATTTCTGAAACTCTATGCATGCTCCTTATAAAATGAGATGTTTGCATTACTGACTTTTGTGGACATAGAGCCTTGAATCTATACTCTAATGTCATCAGATGGCCTTCAGGCACATGGTTGGGCACATTAGATTCTGGTGGATCTGGCTGGTGTGCTGGGGCAATGGGACATGCACAGGAGGACCTGGGGGACAAGCTCCAGAACTCTACAGAGAGCCAAGAGTTTGTACATGGAACAGATACGACTTACAGAGGAGCCAAGCAGAAGAGACAGTGATTCAGAAGGGCTAAGGTAAAGAATCAAGGGCATGGCAGCTGTGGGAGGGGTGCTGAGCAATTGTGAGCATGAGTGTGAATGAGGTGAGAGTAGATACTCCAGGCAGAGGGAAATGTTTAGGCTGAATCACTTAAAAAACATGTAGTGTCAACTTTACAATCCTAGCCTGTGCTTGTTTGGGGATATTATTCCCATGTAAAAGGAGTCAGGATAAGATAAGTCACAAAATCCTCTGATAATACGATGAACATTTGGAATTTTATATTACTATGTGGGGAAAAATAGTAACCCTATAGGTCCTTGGTTGGAATTGACCCCCATAACAAAAGACAGATTAACAAGAGAAAAACAAACAGAAGTTTATTACATGTATGTTTTATATATGCATGGGAGGCACCCAGGGAAGGAGTAGCTCTGCAAGGGGAGACTTTGAGCTCCAGGTTATATAGCAACTTTACGAAGAACAGTACATTTTTAGAGAAGTGACAAGAAAAAGGAAAAGGACTTTGAATCTCTATAGATGGCAATTCAGGGGAAAGGCAAATAAATGGTGAAGGCCGGTTAGTAAAGGTGTTATCTCCAGGCTGAAAGTCTAAAGATATTTCCAGTGGGTAAACTTTGTTCTCACTGGTAGAAGGAGAAGGCAGGGTATCTTTTGTCTTTGTAAATTTACATCCTACTTTTAGGCAAATAGAGGGAGAAAAAAGAGCTTTCCTGCGTCTGCTGCACCATAATTGTCTTCAGCTCAACAAACCTTCCTATTTGGGGGCAACATATTCTGATTTCCAACAACTGTAACTATACAGATTATACACATCCTCCACTTCATATTTATAACAAAATTGGCAATTACTAAAACTTGAACCAGACTCTTGCTATTCAGATTTGAGGTTTACATGTCCCAGAATGGGTAAAATATTTTCATATCATCTTACTGAGGTTTTCTTTGCAGCAGTAGTATTTTTCACTTGCATAATGATAATAATTTTGTGAAAAAAAATATTACATCTGCCTATTACCTCATCCTTGAGGAAAAGTCAGTGATGTATCATTGGATAGGAAAAGGGTATTGAGACTCAGATCGTTTAAGCAAATGATTCAGCAAGTAAGTAACCCAGCCAATGGTGAAGCCTCCTGACTTGCAGCCTGACACTTACCATACTGTGTCGTCCACTTTCAGAGTCTTCATCAAATTGTATATATTTTTTGCCTGCTTCCATGAATCCCAGGACTTCATTTTAATCTATTTCAGAAGTAGATTAAATATATAATATTATATATTTAATATTAATAAATTATATATATATATATATATATATATATAGAGAGAGAGAGAGAGAGAGAGAGAGAGAATAGTGCTTCCCCAAGGGTTTGAAAACAATATTACCTTGCCCTGAAGCTCTCCTCATCTTCACCTTCTTTTGTCAGTTACACACTTTGATCAGTTGTCTTGTGCTCTTTACATGCTGCATTTAGAACTTCTTTTATCCTCAAGCCTGAAAGCTAAAACTTCTGGAAGGTCAAAAGGAAGCAGTGAAGGATTCAACCTGGCCTGAGTGTTCCCAGACTCCGGCTCCTGCCTGGGCATCATGAGCCCAGGCTCACAATGGGTCGGCTTTCTGAGTCAGCTTCATAAAATAATAAGCACATAGAAAGGAGGCTGCTCTTGGGGAATTCGGGAGGTGTGTATTTGAGGAGGGTGAGAAGGACAATTGAGGTGAAATTTTGATGTAAGTGAGTTTGGCTGAATTTTTGAAATGGTAAAATCTAGGCACTCAAAAGCCTGCACCTTCATAAATTAAACTTTAGGAAAGGAAGAAAAAAAATGGAATGTGTAGGGACATGAATATTTATACCCATTTATATATCCTTTGTTGGCTTATTTCTGTGCACATGGGAAAGTTTAACAACTTCGTACATAATTTCAAGTTCTTTATTCATTTTTTAGATTTGAAGGAGGAGAACAATTTTGCAAAATAGGGTATTCTTCAGTTTTTTGGAAAACGTTTTATGTTTCTTAAAACATCTCATTTGTTTTTTTTCTAATTCACTCTTCACTGTGTTTGCAGTACTTTTCTGGAAATGTATTCATGAATTTTCAGAATTTTTTCTCCTCTAAGTGAAGAATCAATGGTTGAAAAGACTTTTTTTATAGCATATTATCAAATTTGCATAATTAAAAATAAATATACACACAAAAATGTCAAAAATCTAGCTAAATTGATTGGTTAAAAGCAATTTTATCATATAAAGCAAAATCACCTAAAGAATTGACATAATTGCCTAATATTAATTTAAGAATTATAAAATCAACTTAGACATTTGAAGCCCACATAAAATATCAAAATGTCCATGAGACTGCAGTTATTTTGATTTTTAAAAAAATTGATTTTGGAATGTTCCTCAGGGGTGAACAGAAAATTTCAAAACTTCATGACAACTTTGTGAAAAAGCAGAGTAGGTATAACTGGTCAAAACTGAGTTAATATCAATAATAATGCTATGGGATGCTTGAGGTGTCGCTTTTCCGGATGGAAACCTCTGTGGCTGGTGGCACCTTTGCCCGAGTTTTGCTCAGGTCCACTGGGCTCGTTCCGCCCACTCGGCCTGGCAGGCTGTGCTTGGCTCATGCTACCAGCCTGGATCTCATGCCTGCCAGGGCAAGTCATGCATGAAGTGGCAAGGGGTGTGTGAGTGAGCACGGGGTTCGGCCACTGCACGATCAGACACACCAACTGCTGCAGTGGGGAGGGTGGCTCCAGGTGCTGGCATGAGCAACAGCTCTCTGTGAGGCTGTGTCTTGTCCAGGTGCACTTCAAGCAGCTCCCACAGGTGGCATTGCAGAACACAGTGGCACCCAGAAGTTTGGAGATGCCAGGAACCACAGGGCCCCAAAGATGGTGTCACAGCCCTGGCTCAGGGAGTTCACAGATCTGGGAATACTGAAGGGCCACAGCTCTTCCCTCCTTCTCTTCGCCTGCAACATGATGAGCAAGGGGCATGTTTCAGCCCTGCTGGTGTTACAGCTGTTTTAGCCCTGCCAGTTGATAGATCCTGAGTTCTTGTGCTGTGACCAGGAAAAATGAGGTGTGCAGACAAGTGGAGGGTGAGCAAGACAAAGAGGAGCTTTATTGATAGATAGGACAGCTCAGAGGAAAGCCACAGCAGGTAGCTCCTTTCTTCAGGCAGGATATCCCAATGAGTGTTCAGCTCTTAGCAGAGAAGGTAGCTCCTCTCTGCTAGGCAAATCATCCTGATGAGTGCTCAGCTCTCAGCAGAGAGGGTAGCTCCTCTCTGCAGACAGGTTGTCCCAAGAAGTGTTCAGTTCTCAGCAGAGAGGGTAGCTCCTCTCTGCAGCTGGTCATCCTGGCACCTGCTCAGCTTTGGCTGATCCTAGGGCTTTTACGGGCCTCAGAGGGGAGAAAGGGCATGTGATTAGTCCATGGGAGCCATAGGTAGGCCCAGAAAAGGCACCACAAGCTCCCACTCTGGTCAGCAGGACTGACAGCCTGTCCCCCAGCCTTCAGGCCCTCCCTGCCCTGAAGGTGGAGCCTTACCAGGGTCTTGCCCCCTTTCACCCAGGAACCTGTCTGCATTCTGCAGCTGTTCATGGAGCCCAGGCTGTAGGTACCAAGGGGCACCTGCAGGCTAGTGAAGAACTGCCCTCAACCCCACCTCAGCTTCCCTTCTGTGCTAGTTGGTGCCCCAAGTCTGGAGGCAGCTGAAGTGGCAAAGGGCTGGTGTGGCAGCATTGCCTTGAGCATGTGAACAGCTGGGTGGGCTTCGACGGCATCTGGGCTTGGCCCCGACTTTGCTCCGAGATCAGAGTAAGTGCTCACAGCAGGGAGTAGCCAGGCAGCAGGAGTAGGCACTTCCTAGCCTATGAAAGCAGGGGGGGCCTTCATGGGCCCCCAGAGATGCCTTGGTTTACAGCCACAGCCATGGCTTCACAGCTGCAGTTGGGCAGCTGCAGTTGTGCCGATGGGGGGTCAGGGGCAGGGCTCCCTCCTGCTCCAGGGCCCAGGAGCACAGGGATGTCTGGATCCACAGCTATGCATTGGGTGACTGCAGCAGCATGTGGGGAGCTCCCACCCCAACTTTGAAGGGGCAGAGCTCCCACTTTTTCCTGGCTCCCACCACTCCATGGAGCATGCAGCCATGGCTGCACCTCTCTTCTGCAGCTGACCTGATGGCAACTGCCGCTCCAGACAGCCTGCTGCTGCCAACAGTAATAATAATAAATGTTAAAAGTGCATAAAACATCTCAGTAATCCCAAGGACTACAGAAACTCTCTTAAAAGGACTCTTTCACACAGGTGAAAGTTACAAGGTGCAAGAGCAACTTCGGAAAATGCCTGGCGGCCATCCCTGTTCTCCAGCATGTGTTAGCTGGTCACAGGGCTGCCCCCTTAAACACCACATTTCCCAGTCCCAGCATGGCTAGATGTGATCTTGTAATGAGAGAATGGAATGTGAATGGGCTTGATGTGTCCAGCTCCCATTTTCTGCCTGGCAGGAGCTTGGACATGAGGGCAGCAATGAACTCTTGTCAGAGCACACATGCTGAGGATGGCAGAGAAATTGGAGGGATGGAGAGTGGGTCCCACAGATTTTGAAATCACCTCGGGACGTTTACGTTTGGACTCTTACAAGAGAAGCAAACTGCTCTCTGAGTTATGCCACTATTATATTGATTTTTTAAAAGAAACCAGTATCCTAACTAACATAAAAAGGTTAAAGATGCTTAAATAGTTGACTCCAAGGTACATATTGTTAAATGAACAAAAAATTCACACAAAATGAAACTCAAGTGACTGTAACCATTGTTTTAAATCCTATTGTTGTAACTGAGTTTGGAGAGAGGACCAATTAATATTTTTCCAACAGTCAAGGCATAACCTGAAGATGTGAATGTGTGTGGAGAGGGTACACACTGGGTTTCAGTTTGGGACACACAAAGAGATAGGAGATAAATTTTGCATATTTCATTATTTTGCCTAGAGCAAACTCTATAAATAGATAACATTTTTCTCTTCAGTAAACTGAACTGTCAGAGTAAGCAGAACATTATAGAGACTTTTTAACACTCATCAAGTAAAGCATTATGGAAATTATCAAAATCATTTAAATCCAAAATATTTTTGCACCAATACTTCCTATTCTGTTTTACATAACTACTTAGCTCTCCATGGGTGCAGCTGGAGAGGTGCATATCTTTATCAGTCTCCTGGGCAATGGAGCATTTGAAGGGAAGCAGTCTTATGTTTTATATTCAGCATGCATAAATTTGGCTGTGTTTGTCTCATTTTATTTTCCAGGTTTTGGTTGCAAAGATGAAGTTTAATCAACAGCTATTGTTGCTGTTCTTATCATAATTGATGATAATAATTCTTTTTAATTTCTGAGTGTTAGATTTAATCATAATAGGCAAGATCTCTAGACAGAGGCCACATCTGATGATGTGACAGTCAGGAAATGTTCAGCTTCACTTTCACTTTTCTTGGTCAGGAACCAGGCTGTTACCATTGTTTGTTAGGTCAGTGACGTAATAATAGTCTAGACAGGCTTCCTTAGGCTAGAGCTTTCCATGCTTTGTGGCTTATCACTGAGCTGTCCATGGAGATTCTACATGGATCAAAGATGAGGTAGGGGACATTCATATATTGTCATTTTTTAAACATTAAAGATGATTTCATCACATTATATGCATTGCAGTTCTCATCTCCATATTTTAGGTAATAAAGTTTACTGATGAAATTTTAAAAATTATTTTCATAGGGGCTTTTTTTTTGCCCCTAGAAAAACTTATGCTAGATAATGATTAACCAATAAACTTATTTTTCTTTTATCCATGGATACAGAAAAGAAGACATTTATAAACTATGTAATTGTTCCTGCATCATATTTTAGTACAAATCAATTACTTTTAAAAAATCATATACAGAAAGCATTAAAAATTTCATATCTGAATAAGAAAAAAAGTAATATGGGAAGATGAATGTGTCTCCAGAGAAAAATAAGTTTTGTTGTTGGAAAAAAAATCTAAAGTTTACATTTTAAATAACAGAATTAGTTAACCTATTGTATTAGTCAGGGTTCTCTAGAGGGACAGAACTAATAGGATATGTGTGTGTGTGTGTGTGTGTGTGTGTGTGTGTGTATATATATATATATCTCCTATTAGTTATATATATATATCCTATTAGTTATATATATATATATATATCCTATTAGTTATATATATATAGGATATATATATCCTATTAGTTATATATATATATAGGATATATATATCCTATTAGTTATATATATATAGGATATATATATCCTATTAGTTATATATATAGGATATATATATATATCCTATTAGTTCTGTAGCTATATATATAACATATATATATATTATATATATATATATATGAAGGGGAGTTTATTAAGTATTAACTCACACAATCATAACGTCCCACAATAGGCTGTCTGCAAACTGAGGATTAAAGAAACCAGTCTGAGTCCCAAAAACTGAAGAACCTGGAGTCTGATGTCTGAGGGCAGGAAGCATCCAGCACAGGAGAAAGATGTAAGCTGGGAGGCTAGGCCGGCCTCGTCTTTTCACATTTCTCTGCCTCCTTTTTATATTCTAGCCATGCTGGCAGCTGATCAGATGGTGCCCACCCAGATTAAGGGTGGTTCTGACTTTCCCAGCCCAGTGATTCAAATGTTAATCTTGGCAAAATCCTCACAGATGCACCCAGGATCAATACTTTGTATCCCTCAATCCAATAAAGTTGATACTGAGTATTAACCATCATATCTATGTTACTAATAAACCAGCTACAAATGAAGTGTTTTCCTTATAGTTTTTATAGTATAACATAGAAATATCTAGTATATATTATATTCTGGAACTTATCATGTTATTAAATGGCTGGCACTTGTTAGTTGTGTTTAAAGGATTTTCAGGAATATCTAGAAATATGCGCTACTAGAGTTATTTGGATACAAGAGACGAAATCCAAATATGACTAGCTCAAACTATAAAATAATTTTTTGGAAAAATATGGACTGTTTCACCAAAGTGAAGAAGCAACTGACCAACTAGGCTTTGGAAAGAGCAGGAAGTAGGGTAGCTCACGGAATCCAGATAATGGGACTGATTGACAGTATTTTTTTCTAGATAATATCATCAAAATAAACTACTTTCAATATTTCAATTTTTTTAAAAAAGAAATATGCTCTTTTAGTCAATTATTATCACAAAATATTACACAATAAAACAATAAAATCTCAGTGGCATACACAACTGTATCAGTCAGGATTCTCCGGACCAGCTGAAGCAGTAGAATATCTATGTATGTGTACACATATTTTAAGAGACCCATTTAAAGAAATTGGCTCATGCAATTGTGTGGGCTGGCAAGTCCAAATTCTGTAGGGTAGGCTGGCAGAATGGAAACTCTTGGGCAGGAGTTGGTGCTGCCTACTCGAAACAGAATTTCTTTATCAGAGAAACCTCAATGTTTGCTTTTAGGGCCTTTCAGTGATTGCATGAGGACCACCCACATTATTGGGAATAATCTCCTGTACTTAAAGCCAACTGATTTCAGATGTTAACCACATTAAAATACCTCCACAGCAACACTTAGATTAATGCGCAATTAAATAATTGGGCACCATAACCTATTCAAGTTGACACATAAAAGTAACCATCACAGCTCACCCTTTGTCAACGTAACATTCATATATATCCCCTTAAACCTACTTTAGCTCCAAATAAAAACCATCACAAAGTCATCCTTCTAACGAATATGATACAACAGTCCTTTGTATAATCAAAAACACACTAATTATTTCCCTAGAAGGGGATACAAAGGCCTTGAGTAATCTCCTTGATATGCTGTAATTTAAATGCTGTGATGTAAAATTAACTATTATTAATAAATCTTATGTTAGATGATAAGGGAATAAAGAAGGGAAGAAAACAAAGATAATTGACATATATTATACATATGTGTATACACACATATATATGTTTGTAAGTGTACATGCACATACAGTCAAGTTTATAACAAAATGAGAAAGAAATAACAATTACAGTCCTCATTTTTGCAGCTGATCATGTGGTGGTAGTTGGTAGTAATAACCGCCTTTTTCCACTACCCATTCCTTATTCCTTGTGTCCTCAGCAAACACCTCAGCTGGTCATAGTTCTTCACCTGGTAAGGTAACCCAAATCTTCATTCCTGAAGTGTCTGGGCCATTAATAGTCCCTGCCTGAACGGGGTTATTGCAGTTTTCCATTGGCATGAATCACAAGCATGGTAAGACACACCTAAGGAACCTCCTGTGCATACTCTTCCTGACCTCCAAGCTGGAGCAGCCCAATTTCCCTCTGGAAGTCAGTATCAATCACCCCAGTCAGAGGAGTAACTCATTTCTTTGCATGTTGATTCAGAGGCAATGGAGTCCAAAGTGGCTGGGAGTATCTCAACTTCCAATTCAATGAAATCATTGTTGGATCTCCTAATAGAAACATTCTTCACTGTGGAATGAAGACCTCTAAACCAGAAGAGAATAAGGTCGCAGGTACAGGAAACAAAAGTTTTGCTAGTAAGTAGAGAGTAATACTGAGAGGCACTACCCTCATTTCCTAAACTCATGAATTCTGGTAATGGGAGAGACAGCACCATATATTGAACATATACAGCTTCCTGGAGAACTTTGACTCAGCCCTGCAAGAAAATGCCACCTGGCTGATGCCATAACTGTTTTCAAAAGGCCATTGCACTGCTCTATCAAGCCAACTTCAAGATGGTGGGAAAATGGTAAGACCAGCCCAGTGAAATTTATGAGCATGGACTCACTGCTTCACTTCATTTTCTGTGAGGTGAGTGCCTTGATCAGAAGAAATGGTGTATGGAATATGATGACAGTTAATAAGGCATTCTGTAAATCCACAAATGGCAATTTTAGCAAGAACGCTGTGTATAGGAAAGGCAAATTCATATCCAAAATAAATGTCTATTTCAATAAGCACAACATGCTGACCTTTCCATGATGTAAGTGTGGCCCAATACAATAAACCTGCCATCAGGTACCTGGCTTATCACTCTGGGGAATTATGCCATACTGGGCTCAGTGTTGGTCTATGCTGCTGACAAATTGGGCACTCAGCAGTGGCTGTAACCATGTTGGCCTTGGTGAGTGGAAGTCCATGTTGCACCTGCATATTGTGCAGAACCATCTCTAACCCAAGTCAACTTTTCTCTTCCTCCAGTGAATTGTGGTTAGGAAACTCCCCATGAGACCATAGGTGTGGGCTAAGAGAAAGAAGGTAATGGAGCAAGAGTGGAAACCATAGATAATTGAAGTTCTTTCTCTTGTAAACTATTTGTGCCTTAGGGTCTGCTTGAGCCCGATCACTTCCATTTGATGATGTGTACCCCTAATTTTATGGCTTGGTCTATTGGATGATACCCAGTTCATGATGAACATCTCAGGTGACTTGGTGTCCCATGGTTAATCATTCTGTATCTACTAATAGCCAATAGCAGAAAAAGAGCTGTCTCTTAAAAGGGAGTTGTTATCCAGAGAAGAAAGCAGGGATTAGCTCCCAAATTCTGAGGACTTGTCCTGTGATTCACCTACAGGGACATGCCAAAGGCTCTAAACAGCATCCCTGTCTGCCACTGCCACTTCACATGACAGATATTCTGCGTCATATGTTCCAAGTGGTAGAGCGGCTTGCACAGTAGCCTGGACCTGACGCAGAATCTTCTCCTGTTCTGGACCCCACTTGAAATCAGCAGCTTTTTGAGTCACTTCTCTAAAGAGGCCATAGTAGTCCACCCAAATGAGGAATATGTTGCCTCCAAAACTCAAATAGGCCTCCTAGGCATTGTCCCTCTTTTCTGGTCATAAGCAAGGCCAACTGCAACAACCTATTCTTTACCTTAGAAGGGTATCTCAACTGACATCACACCACTGGACCCCCAGAAACTTTGCTGAGGTAGAAGGTCCTTGAATTTTTGTCAGATTTATTTCCCACTTTCTGACACACAAATGTCTTGTTAATAAGCCTAGAATAGTTCCTAATTCTCACTTACTAGGTCCAATTAACTTAATGCCATCACTGTAATGAGCCACTGTGGAATCTTGTGGAAAGGGGAAGTGATTCAAAATCCTTGTGAGCTATTGACATAGGGCTGAAGATTGATACATCTCTGAGGTAGGACAGTGAGGGTATATTGCTGTCCTGGCCAGCTGAAAGCAAACTGCTTCTGATGGGCCTTATGGACAGGAATGGAGAAAAAGGGATTTGGCAGGTCAATAGCTGCATGCCAGGTACCAAGGGATATGTTCATTTGCTCAAGCAATAAAACCACATCTGCTACAGAGCTTCAATTAGAGTCACCACCTGGCTAAGCTTGTGGTAATCCATTGTCAGTCTCCAAAATCCATCTGTCTTCTGCATAGGCCAAGTAGGTCAGTTGAATTGGGATATAGTGGGAATCACTTCTCCTGAAACTTTTGAGTCCTCGATGATAGTAATAAAGTCTACAATATCTCGAGGAAAGTGGTATTGTTCTTGGTTTGCTATTTTACTTGCAAAGGTAAGTTAAAGGTAGTTCTAATGGCATCCATTTGGCCTTTCCCATAGCAACAGCTCTCACTCCACATGTCAGAAAACCAATGTGGTGATTCTGCTAGTTACTGAGCAAGTCAATTCTAATTACACACTCAGAACCAGGGGAAAAACATACAATGTGTTCACAGACTACCTTGGCCTTACCCTGAGATGGACTTGAGCTAAAACTCCGCTGGTTACTTCCACAGCCCCTCTTCTGATTGGTGGACCACAGTGGTGTTTTGTGTCTCCAGGAATTAGTGTCATTTCAGAACCAGTGTCTGGTAGTTGCTGAAAGATATGGTTTTTTCCCTTCTTTAATTCATATTTAGTTCACATTTATTTGCCCTGGTAAAAGATTCTGCAATTCTTTGGGGGAGGCTGGGAGCAAGATTAACAACATACACCTGTGGTAGGGTATCAGCGTCCTTCTTTATGTGGCCCGACTTCCTTTCTTTATTAGTTCATTTGTATTGCTATAAAGGAATACCTCAAGCAGGCTAATTTATAAAGAAAAGGGGCTTACTTTGACTCATGGTTCTGCAGGCTGTGCAAGAAGCATGACACCAGAGTCTACATATGCTGAGGTCCCAGGAAGCTTTTAGTCACAGCAGATGGAAGGGGAGCCAGCATGTCATGTGGTAAGAGAGGAAGCAAGAGAGAAAGAAGGGAGGTTCCAGACTCTTTTAAACAGCCAGGTCTGGCATGAACTTATTACTACAGGGAGGACACCAAGGCATTCATGAGTGATCTGCCTCCATAACACAAACACTCTCCACCGGGCCCACCTTCCACACTAGGGATCCCATTTCAACATGAGATTTGGAGTGGACGAACATTCAAACCTTCATGCAAGGGGCTCTGGTTCTACAAACCATTTCAATTCTGGGAACTGAGTGAGAGTCTATGACTCTATTCTGGTGATTCATACTAGAATTTTCACTCAACCTAGAATTCATTTGCTTGTACTGATCAAATAAAAATTTAGTAGGCTTCCTGTCTATTTTGCTTCTAGGGACACATGATCAACTTGCCAACACCATAGGCCTCTCCGAGTTAAGCTACTCTGATTACTGCCTTGGCCCTGATTTCCATTCTCATAACCATGGCCTCTTTGTCTTTGCCACTTGGGCCCTGTCATCCCAGGATCCAATTACTGCCATTGCATGTAAGGATTCCAGTTCAGTGGCAATAGTTCCTATGGTAATTTCTGCCCTACAGAGAAGAGTGCCCGAAGAGCTCTTTAACAGAGCCACCACACAAATTTCTTCCTCAGAGTCAAGTCGAAAGGTGCATTCTCTGGGCCCTCCCAGGGTCAGTGAGGGGCTCTTGTATGATAAATCCACTCTAACATTCCAGTACTCTTAAGTCATCTGTTAACTTCCTCTGCAGTGTACCAAGGCGATCCTGGCATTTTAATGTAATTTATTATAAGTCATTTTTTTTTGGTCCATGTTTAAACCCAAGTCAACTAAACAAACTGTCAGAATCCTTTCTAACACCCCAAATTTACATCCAGAATTTATGCTTAGTGGGGCAATATCAATCAATTTGACCTAGTCCAAATTTATGTGCCTTCCAACATTATCCAAAATCATGAGTATCCATTCCACACGTATTTCCCAGAAGTCTGTCTGTATAAATTGAAAAAATATGCAATGATTTTGAAGTGGAACACACGTTTAATGGGTTAAACTTTGTATCTCACCTTTTTTCACCTGTTGCCACTTGAGTGTACTTATACCTATAAAAGAAAAGAGGGTTGGTGGGGTTGGATCCTCAGGAGAATCAGCATTGTTTTTAGGACAACCACCTCAGTGAAGGCTATCACTCTACCACCAAAGAAGACTCAGCAGAACTTAGGGGTTCACTGAGCTCAGCTTCATCACAGACTTCATATATGTCTTCCTTCCAATATTCAGGGTCCTGTTTTTCCCAATCAACGTCTGTGTTTAACAGAAGAAACTTTGCTAAGCTGGGGTTTAATTTGTAATGTAATTCAGTGACTAGCAGGATGAGACTCTGGGTTTAGTGTTCAGAAATCTCAGGCTCATGGCTATAGGAGATAAGGGTATAATCTAAGACAGGCATATGCATTTTCAGGTCATATATGCAGGGCATAGGCTAGTAATTTGAAATCCTAGGCTCACCCTTTTTCTCTCTACTTTCTATACCATGGTTAAGAGCAAACAACCAATCTTATTGCACTCATTATTTGACAGAACTGTTCTAAGTTATCAAATACTTGGTCACTGAGAACCTTGCCTTATCAATACTTGAGTAGTAGTATTCAGTGGTGATATTGTGTGTATCTCTATTGCCTCTTTGTGCCATGGACTACCAGTGTTCTTGTTAATACTGGAAATAGAGTCTTTACTGCCTTTAAATCTAATTAGATTACAGAATCAATTCCTGAAACCCCAAAACCAAGTCAAAAAACTCATTCTTAGAATTCTGTGCCTTTAAAACCACTGTTGGTACCCAAATCTATATCAGTCATGGTTCTACAGAGGAATGGAATCACTGTGTATATGACTAACATGAATGGGATTCAGCAAGTCTAAAATCTACATCAGCCCAGCAGGCTGGAAACTCTCATGCAGAAGCTGATGATGCAGTCTGGAGGCAGAATTTCTTCTACAGAGGAAACTCATGCTTGCTTCTGAGGCTGTTCAACTTATTTGATGAGACCCACCCACATTATTGAAAATAGTCTCCATTATTTAAAGTGAGTTGATTATATATATCATCTGCAAAGAAACTTCACAGCACCACCTAGATTAGTGTTTGATTAAATGGCTGGGCTCTGTAGCAGCTAAAGCTCACCACCACAAATATCAAGCACTTATTTGACGCAGGAGTCTTCAATGTGATTGTGGCAGCTCTGTCCTGGGCAGGGATGTAAGGGTGGTTGGGATGAATCTTGCATTCTGTGGGTCATATAAGAAGTTTGGCTCTGTGTGTGTCACTTTAAGGCCAGGCCAACAGGGCAGCAGCTTCTTGGGGAAACTGTTCTCGTGCAATTGCAGAAGTGCTAGAGGGCACGGGAAGCATGTGAGGCCTGTAGAGAAACTAGCATATGGTCATTTCTCCCCACCCATAGCTGGAGTAGACATAAGTAATTTTGATAATAAGTGCAGTCTATATGAATGAACGTAAAATAAACTATGCTGTAGTGGATACAGTTGTTTCCCACAGGCCTGTGGGTTAGCATTTCTTATGGCTATACATGTATACTGGGATTGCACAACTGAGCACATGAATGATTGGTTATTGGAAACTATGTTTCTCACTGTCAGAGACTTATCCAGTGGAAATACTTAATCGATTGTATGACATGTTCAGTTTCTACTAAAAATGAACAATCTATTTCCTTTCACAGCCAACAGGCCCTGGTGTGTGACGTTCCCCTTCCTGTGTCCAAGTGTTCTCATTGTTGGCTTGGTTCGAAGTCTTTGCTATTGTAAATAATGCCACAATAAACATACGTGTGCATGTGTCTTTATAGCAGCATGATTTATAATCCTTTGGGTATATACCCAGTAATGGGATGGCTGGGTCAAATGGTATTTCTAGTTCTAGATCCCTGAGGAATTGACACACTGTCTTCCACAATGGTTGAACTAGTTTACAGTCCCACCAACACTGTAAAAGTGTTCCTATTTCTCCACATCCTCTCCAGCACCTGTTGTTTCCTGACTTTTTAATGATCGCCATTCTAACTGGTTCAAGATGATATCTCATTGTGGTTTTGATTTTCATTTCTCTGATGGCCAGTGATGATGAGCATTTTTTCATGTGCCTTTTGGCTGCATAAATGTCTTCTTTTGAGAAGCATCTGTTCATATCCTTCGCCCACTTGTTGATGGGGTTGTTTGTATTTTCTTGTAAATTTGTTTGAGTTCTTTGTAGGTTCTGGATATTAGCCCTTTGTCAGATGAGTAGATTGCAAAAATTTTCTCCCATTCTCTAGGTTGTCTGTTCACTCTGATGGTAGTTTCTTTTGCTGTGCAGAAGCTCTTTACTTTAATTAGATCCCATTTGTCAATTTTGGCTTTTGTTGCCATTGCTTTTGGTGTTTTAGATATGAAGTCCTTGTCCATGCCTATGTCCTGAATGGTATTGCCTAGGTTTTCTTCTAGGGTTTTTATAGTTTTAGGTCTAACATTTAAGTCTTTAATCCATCTTGAATTAATTTTTGTATAAGGTATAAGGAAGGGATCCATTTTCAGCTTTCTACATATAGCTAGCCAGTTTTCCCAACACCATTTATTAAATAGGGAATCGTTTCCCCATTTTTTGTCAAAGATCAGATAGTTGTAGATGTGTGGTATTATTTCTGAGGGCTCTGTTCTGATCCATTGGTCTATATCTCTGTTTTGGTACCAGTACCATGCTGTTTTAGTTACTGTAACTTTGTAGTATAGTTTGAAGTCAGGTAGCTTGATGCCTCCAGCTTTGTTCTTTTGGCTTAGGATTGACTTGGCAATGCTGGCTCTTGTTTGCTTCCATATGAACTTCAAAGTAGTTTTTCCCAAATTCTGTGAAGAAATTCATTGGTAGCTTGATAGGGATGGCATTGAATCTATAAATTACCTTGGGCAGAATGGCCATTTTCATGATATTGATTCTTCCTACCCATGAACATGGAATGTTTTTCCATTTGTTTGTGTCCTCTTTTATTTCATTGAGCAGTGGTTTGTAGTTCTCCTTGAAAAGGTCCTCCACATCCCTTGTAAGTTGGATTCCTAGGTATTTTATTCTCTTTGAAGCAATTGTGAATGGGAATTCACTCTTTATTTGGCTCTCTGTTTGTCTGTTATTGGTGTATAAGAATGCTTGTGATTTTTGCACATTGATTTTGTATCCTGAAACTTTGCTAAAGTTGCTTATCAGCTTCAGGAGATTTTGGGCCAAGATGATGGGGTTTTCTAAATATACAATCATGTCATCTGCAAACAGGGACAATTTGACTTCCTCTTTTCCAAATTGAGTACCCTTTATTTCTTTCTTCTGTCTGATTGCCCTGGCCAGAACTTCCAACACTGTGTTGAATAGGAGTGGTGAGAGAGGACATCCCTGTCTTGTGCCAGTTTTCAAAGGGAATGCTTCCAGTTTTTGCCCATTCAGTATGATATTGGCTGTGGTTTTGTCATACATAACTCTTATTATTTTGAGATATGTCCCATCGATACCTAATGTATTGAGAGTCTTTAGCGTGAAGGACTGTTGAATTTTGTCGAAGGTCTTTGCTGCATTTATTGAGATAATCACGTGGCTTTTGTCTTTGGTTCTGTTTATATGCTGGATTACGTTTATTGATTTGTGTATGTTGAACCAGCCTTGCCTACCAGGGATGAAGCCCACTTGATCATGGTGGATAAGCTTTTCGATGTGCTGCTGGATTCAATTTGCCAGCATTTTATTGAGGATTTTTGCATCAATGTTCATCAGGAGTATTGGTCTAAAATTCTCTTTTTTTGTTGTGTCTCTGCCAGACTTTGTTATCAGGATGATGCTGGCCTCATAAAATGAGTTAGGGAGGATTCCCTCTTTTTCTATTGATTGGAATAGTTTCAGAAGGAATGGTACCAGCTCCTCTTTGTACCTCTGGTAGAATTCGGCTGTGAATCCATCTGCTCCTGGATTTTTTTGGTTGGTAGACTATTAATTATTGCCTCAATTTCAGAGCCTGTTATTGGTCTATTCAGAGACTCAACTTCTTTCTGGTTTAGTCTTGGGAGTGTGTATGTGTTGAGTAAAATGGCATTTTACTTCTGAGATCGTCCCCCTCCAAAACCCCATAACCACACTATAATAGTTAAAAAGAACATCAGAATAATCCCAATGGAAGAATATCTTACAAATTCCTTACCAGCATGCTTCAACACTGCTAAGGTCTTTAAAAATAAGCAAAGTCTGAGAAACAGTCACAGCCAAAAGAAGCCCAAGGGAAAAAGGGGACTACATGTAATGACGTGCCTTGGAAGCAATCCTAGAACTGAAAACAGACAGTAAGGAAAACTAGGAAAACACAGATGAAGTTTAAACTTTAGATAGTACTAATGTATCAGCAATGGTTCATTAACTGTAATCAATGTGACATAATCATATAAGATGCTAACAGTAGAGAATAATGGAAGTGGAGAACTGTCAGAAGAAAAAATTACAACAATTGTAGCAAAATGATTGGATTGGCTTTGATTGTGATTTATGAATCATGGCAGCATCTCCTTTAAACATTTAGACAAGGTGTTCTGATGAGCTGAGCCCTGGAGGTGGGATTTATATGCAGAAAGGACTGAAGAAAGAATAAAAGCCAAAACATCGATTATTCATTACAAAGTTACTTTCCTTTTAGGGTTAAAGCAGAGGGGACTTATTTAATGCCAGCTAAAATTGGCCTCTTTGGCTCTTTGGCTATTATTCCCTCTCCCAATGTTTTAGAAAAGTCAAATAATCATCTTGCTTTCAGTTTGGTGATGTGAAGCTTTAGCAAGAGTAACTTCATTTTGATATGGTCTAGTAGAACCTGAGGAACTCAATCCAAATAAGTTATCTCCTATATATTTTATCTAACTGTATGTAGAAATTCTTTGTGCTTATATATGAATTACTTTTCTGAACAAACAACTGATATTATCACCTAATGTTTTGATGAAAAAGAATAGAAGATTAGAATTGAAAAAAGGAAGATGTGCTAAAAATGGTAGAAAGTATAGATATAGCACCTGCTCAAATGTGCCATGTTATGAAATAATTAAAATTTTAAGATGTATGCATTAAAATTAAATACAGCATATGAAACAAATATGAGGTTATATTTAGATGGTTCAGTATCCTCATGTCTATTTCTCTGGTTGCTTTTTAGTAGCAAGAAATTGATTCCAGACATCTCTTGTTTTTATATAATCAATACATATCAAAATTTTCCTTCTTTTGTAGTAAAAGAATAACTTTACATCACAGTTAGAGACAAGAAGATATTTACAGGTTCTTCAAATAAAATGTTTAAGAGCAATTTTGAAAAATAATTAAGTTAGTAATAAAAATTTCATTAATATTAATGAGGCTCACAATCCACAAGATTTATCTAGGGGAAATATTTAATAGATTATATGATGCATTTGGTTACTACTGATGATGGCTAATCTCTTTCTTTCAAAGTCAATAGTAATAATCTATCAGTTCAGTGACAGCATGGTGATACCTCCTACTCTGTTTTGCCACACTTACCTGATAAAGCATTAATTAATCTTGTATAATTAAAAAGAAATGCCAAAGAAAGATATAATAGTTTACTCTTCCAAAGGCTGAGATGAGTAATTTTGAGGAGTACAAAGTCTTCTATTTTGGAATTAATCATTCATCTTACTTTGACGTCTCATTTACTTATCCATTATATTTTGGCTCTGCATTGCTTTGTTTTATAGTGTCTGGGTGTCAACTTTCCGTGACATATCTTAGTTTGGTTAGGTGTATCACGTAATGAAAACAAAACACTCCAGAATAATTTTACAAAAACATCTATATGTATTTAAATCTACATTCATCATTTAGGTATTATAGTGACCATAGATGAATCTATTTTAGATATTTTATACATTGATTTTTCTTAATATTATTCACTCTGACAAATAGCTTGCTTCCTTACATCATATTGTGAATAAAATTTTAAGTTCCAGAGAGAATTATTCATGCATGTAGCTTTTTAATTAAAAAGAGAGAGATTAGTCAATCTTTTTTCATGAGGTAACCATATGAAAGGCAACTTTTAATTGCTCTTTTTGAAGTTTCTTTCTCAATTGCAAACTCAGGTTTCACAATGCATGTTGGGAATGAGCGAGAAGAGGTTGATCTGATGATACATGGAGTCTGAATGCCTGCTGGCGGGGTGGAAAGGTGCCTGGAAATGCACACTCAATCACACTGAATGATGGCAGGATATTTATACTTCCTAAAAGCTGGGGATTAAGACTTTTTTCATCTGTTCATTTTCCTCTCTTCAGTATACCCTGGAGCTCTTGTTCCTTACAAGTGGTTGTAAACACAGTTTTCCCACAAGTTCTGCTTCACGATTTCCTCCACTATATTAGTGTTCTCTCTTACATGCCATGCTGTGCCTAATGGCTTACCATTTCTGTGTCTTTTCAGACGACATCCTTTGTGGTGCCACAGCACATGGATTTCAGAACCGCCTGTGAGGAGGTGAGTACAGAGCTTTCTGCTTTTCAAACAGGGAAAACAGAATATAAGCGGGAAACACTTGGCTCCAATTTATATAGGGAAATTCTGCTTTTGGCAGAAAATGGAGAGAGGAGGATGGGCTCTTTTTCCTTCCAGATTACGTTCTCCTTCTGCAAAGATAGAAAACCTAACTGTGCATGGAAAGCCTTGGACTTTAACTCTTTCTTTAGGAAGACTGGAGCATATTGAATATAATTGAGTTGCTCCTCTTCACCAACTCTGCACATTTCAGGTAGTGGAAGTGTTGGAAAGAATTCTTTTCACATAAATGGTAATAAATTAGAAGACATCTAAGGTTCCTTTCAGCCCTAAAATTCTATGATTTTATGATTCTGATAGTATTTAAGTAATTCAATATTATTTAAGTATTAATACACAAGAATTTAGATTCTCTGTAGAGCTGTCATCACATTTCAGCACGAGTTAAAGTGGCACATTAGTATTTCAAGGATGATAAACAGTGTTCAAGTTTACAGTTCAATAGTGCATGGATGTGGGCCCCCAGGGAATACAACCATTCCATCTTAGGAAGAAAAACTAACTTTTTTTTTTTTTTTTACTAAATATGTAACATTCAAAGTATTGTGTTTTCATTCTTCAGGCAAAATACAAATACTTGCAGCTTAAAAATGTTTTATATTTGTTTAAAAGGTTTAAAGCATTTTTTTATTGTATATAAACAACTCAACAAAAACCAACCATAACTGCTTACCTCTGGTAGTGTTAAAATCAAACTAGGGAAAGACTTCAGTTCTTAACCTTGTGAAGACTGTTACTTTAGTGAAATGTCATGTGTTTACAGTTCTTGCATGAATTTGTGGAAAGTAACTCCTTATTTTCTTCTAAAGCAATTGAAAAAATATATATTTAAAAATACTTGTCACTGTTGGTAAGAAGTTCAGAATATAAATATAAGGTTTTTCAGAAAACTAATAAATTGCTTTTATATTTCTATTCTTATGTTTCTACTTTTAATGCTTTAAGCATAACATTTTAAACATATCTCTATGCTAATACTCATCAAATTACAAGGCAGTTTTTTTGTTTACAAACCTTTCTCATGTGCTACACTGAATACTATAAGGTCAGAGTGTGTACATTATTCATCTTTTTAACTTAGCACTTATTGGTTCATATATTTTTAAAAACTGAATTAATGTTCTAGAAGCTTTGTATTTTAAATTTTAATTGTCTAATTTCTGTTTTTTTTTTTTTTTTTAATGGAGTCTCACTCTGTCGCCCAGGCTGGAGTGCAGTGGCGCGATCTCGGCTCACTGCAAGCTCTGCCTCCTGGGTTCATGCCATTCTCCAGCCTCAGCCTCCGAAGTAGCTGGGACTACAGGTGCCTGCCACCACGCCAGGCTAATTTTTTTATTTTGTATTTTTGTATTAGAGACGAGGTTTCACCGTGTTAGCCAGGAAGATCTCGATCTCCTGACCTCGTGATCCACCCGACTCGGCCTCCCAAAGTGCTGGGATTACAGGCGTGAGCCACTGTGCCCGGCCCATTTCTGGTTTTAATTGCATACTTAATTTTAAAAGTAGCAAGTCTTCTATTTCCATTAATGTGCAACCTTATGTCTTGAGTAGTAAGGCATTCATTGAAACCCAGTGGATATTTGTGTGAATGAGATACTTATGGGACACATGACATTCATATGGTACAGATTGGACAGTGGTCAAATACTATTTAACAAATGGTTTATTTTGGATTTCAGAGGCTGGAAAGATTTACAAGAGCTTTTTGTAAACAAAATTGTTTTGATGTACTAATTTGGGATATTTCTCAAATTCTATTAAGATACAGAAGATTTATTTAATTGGTAATACTGTTATTACCATACTAGCTCTTGTAAATTAGTAATCCTTAGTACTGAAAAGAGTGACAACCTGTTACTGAGATAACAATATAGAAGAGGAAATTAAATCACTCATGTGAGATATAGCTAAATATTGCTGAAGTCACTATATGTGATGCCAAAAGACAATAGTGATCAATTTTGGGGTAAATATTTACTTAATGGAATCCAAGTGTTCAGGAAAGTGAGGACTCATCTTTGAATAGAATGATTTCAGAAGGCTTCAAAGAGAAGGGAGTCTGGTGCCAGGACTCGAATAATGGCTAGAATTTAGTTAAGGAAAAGGCCATGATCAAAAGTAATCCAGGAATGGGAACGTAAATGATAAGATGCAGTTTGAAGCACTTTGCATAAAAGAACATTTAGTACACTACTGCTACAATGCAGTACAGTATAAGACAAAACAAATTAAATCGTATTTGGCACTTGAAACATGGAAATACTGTGGATACTTGCAAGAAAATTTGCAGTCCATTTTATTATCTCTGCCTACTTTTTGTAGTTTGTCATTTCTTATATCTGATATTGTGAGTATATTTCAAAATTAATAGACCTTAAATTTTAAAGTTTCATGAAAATACATTTTGTACATTTTGAAAGACTAGAATATAAATTAAAAAGGCCTTAACTTTTAAGTAGAAAATGGATGATATTCTACTTTTATAAAGATCCAACCTAGGTCCTATGTTTAAGAAACTACAAATTCTTAATAAGTTTAAATGTGAGAGAAGTTAAATGTGAGATTTGTTTAAAGAGTAAACCCATGCAAATTCATAAACATTTTCTTGATTTGCAGAAAGCATAGCTAATTAATAATTTAAATATGTTGCCTTTTAGGCAATTAGGAAGTATTGCTTTTCAATAATTCCTTTAAGCAAATAGTCTCCAATGTGGATTTTGTAAAAAGTTCCATCTAGAATCGTCCATCAGTCAGAGAAGAAGAATATTTTACTTATATCATTTTTAAATGAATCATCCCTTTAAAATTATGTTTGGTGTATATTTTATAAAGTACAAAATACATTCATACAGTATCTATATCACATGCATTCCTTTATTTATGTGCAATGGTATGCAAAGTCAACGAAGTTTGGAGACAAATGATGTTACATTAATAAAAAGAAAGAAGAAGATTCATGTC
The DNA here is from genome assembly GCF_000001405.40 of Homo sapiens. Lineage (NCBI taxonomy): Eukaryota > Metazoa > Chordata > Mammalia > Primates > Hominidae > Homo > Homo sapiens. Next base: position 50,397,305 of record NC_000008.11, read on the forward strand.
TTTAGTTTATATTAAAATTTGAGACCAATAATTATGTAGGTGATTTTCGATATCTAAACAATTTGGGTCCACAGATCTGTAAAGACTTTGCAGGTGGGGCTGTTTTAGGTTTGCAGCACCAACCTGCAGCTGCTCCCATGATTCGGTCTCTCATTTTTAGCTCTTAAAGCACTTCAGGAAGGAGTGGAGATCAAACTTCTTCCTCTATCAGACAGTCTCCTAGTAGCGTGGCTTTGGGGAAGATCATCCTGTAAGTTCCAGAGTAGTCTCTTACTCGTTTTTTCTCTCTAGTGGTCATTGCTTCAATACAAGAAGAATAGCTGCTTCAAGATTATGTTGTTCTTTTCAAAATTATCCACACCCCATTAGGAGATTATTGATAACCATAATGCTCTCCAGTGAAAGATGCCAATAGCCATGTCATTGTATACAGGACAACTGGGGGTGGCATTCTTAAATAATCTGTGTATGCGGGATAGCAGAGTGTGTGGTGAAGAGCCTAGCTGCCTGTGTTGAATTCTAGCCTTTTCTTCCTCTAGGTCCCTCTGCACTTGTCTAATCTGTAAAGGCAGATGGTTGCGTTAATTTTTGTTAAGGGAGAAAAATAAATTAATACTTCTTGTCACACAGTGAGCACTATATAAATAATTATTATTAAACAACAAATAAATGAAATATATGACCACATTTCATGAGTGAGGATCTCAGTCCAGCAATGCTGATTCTAATCAAGACAGTGCCCTGAAATGGAGTTTATCCTTCTTCTTGCATCTCTCAGAGGAGCTCTGAATCTAATGCACCTGTTTATTAGTTCCCAACTTCCCTGCTCAGTGCCTGTTTCTGTCAACAATAAGTGTATTTTAACTTTCCCATTTATTCTCCATCTTCTACTCTGCTACAAGAAATACATTTAGAACACATAACAGTGAACATATTATCTCCTTGCTCACATTTATGTATGGCGTCTCCCTTACCGTCCACCATCTGCCCATCATACAGGGCGTTAGCACGCCTGGTCCTCTCCAGACATCTCTCCTGCAGCGGCCCCTGCTGGACCACACAGGCTCAGCGGCGAGCGCACCTTCATTTTCTTGCATCATCACGTGGCATGCATTTTCACACTTCCATATCTTTACTCATGTGTTCCCTCTTGATTAAAATGACATTTGTTCCTCTAATGATTGTTTCCTCAATTAATTTTTTTCAAGACAAACCACACATATTTCCTATCCTCCATAAACTCCCTTCCCTCATGAATATTAAATTCCCTTCCCCATGTTGCTCCCATATCAGATGTCATATTGTGTTTTATTACATATGTACTTTCGAAGTAAATACGAGGCCGAGCGCGGTGGCTCACGCCTGTAATCCCAGCACTTTGGGAGGCCGAGGCGGGTGGATCACCTGAGGTCAGGCGTTCGAGACCAGCCTGGCCACCATGGTGGTGAAACCCCGTCTCTACTAAAAATACAAAAAATTAGCTGGGTGTCATGGCAGGCACCTGTAATCCCAGCTACTTGGGAGGTGAGGCAGGAGAATCGCTCGAACCCAGGAGGCAGAGATTGTAGTGAGCCAAGATCGCTCCACTGCACTCCAGCCTGGGGCAACAAGAGCGAAACTCTGTCTCAAGAAAAAAATAAAATAACATAAGGTAAAATAGTTACGAATACTATGAGGCCAGGGAATGTTATCTAATTAATGTCTGATTCTCTGTTAATGCTGCACAGTATTTGCAAAATTAATAAATGTGTGGGATTTTAAATGTATTTCCATGTGCACCAGCTGAATTTTCATGGTAGAACATGTGTAATATCTGTAACCTCTGGAAATGTATTTTAACTGATCTGTTTTAGCACTTCGTGTACTGTTTTCTCCAGCAGCTATTTATTGGAATGTGTGTTTGTGAGTGTGTGTGTGTGTGTGTGCTTCTGTGATTTATTCTAAAAAAAATCCTTCTCATTCTTTATTTTCTGCAACTCTTGTCCTTTCAGAACCCAAAAGCGAGCTCAAAGACTGTATTCTGTTTTCCAGACAACTATCTAATAATTTGTGAACATTTTACATAGTATTTAAGTGAATGATAGCTTTGGCCATATAGAAATTAAATGAGAACACCCTGATAGCTTTGTTTTAGCTCCTCAAACTTTCCCTGGATGATCTTTAGTATCTCTTTGATGTGCACCAAAAGTATATCTCTGGGCTTTCAGGGAAAACCCTTCTAACATCCTGAAGTTCAAACAGAGCATTATTTGTGATTATCAGCTATTCCATTACACTTCTGGGTGAAAAAATGTCCTGGAATATACTGTACTGAAAAATCAGGAAATGTGCTCATTTATGATCACTTGGCTTTGATGTATCATTTCATATTTCCACTCCTCAGAGTGGCTTCCCCCCTCAAAAAGGATGCATGTCGGCCCCTCTCCAATATCCTATTGTAAGCATGAGTGACTTTGTGTAAAAACATAGAAAAAATATGTTCTATATTAGGGAAAGTACAATCTGCTTGTGCTGAAAGATTTTTGTCCTCTAGATATATTCACTTAAAGTATTCTCTAGATTAGTCAGCCTGGTTTCATGAGCACTTGTGTGCTAATGCCATGGATGAAGAAAACTTGCTTTCCTTCCTCATGAAAAAGCTTCTGTTTTTCCTAAAAAAGACATCATACCTTTTACAAAATAATTCTAGAATAATATAAGAGTGTATATGATAGAGGGCAAAAGAGTGTGCATCAGCACACGAGAACAAAAGCAGTTTAGAGAAAGAGTTATCTTTGGAGGCTGCAGTATATAAATATATTCCCATCAATATTACAGCGGATTCTTTTAAAGTAGCAGACTCCCAGCAATAGCCATGGAAATGTATATTCCAAGAGAAAGTCTGGTATTATTTGCCTGGGATAGCATGCTCCTTAAATCTAAGGATAGATTTCACATGTAAGTGATATAATATGATATTTGTCTTTCTATGCCTGGCAATTTTTACTTTGCAAAGTATCCTCCATCCTTATCTATGTTGTTGCAAGTTAAATAATTTTATTCCTTTTTTATGGCTGAATAGTGTTCCACTGTGTATAAGTACCATATTTTCCTTATCCATTCATGTGTTGATGGGCATTTAGGTTGATTTCATATCTTGGCTGTTGTGAATAGTGCTACAATAAACATGGGAGTGCAGATGTCCCTTTGACATACTCATTTCATTTCCTTTGGATATATACCTAGTAATGGAATTGCTGGATCAGTTTTTAATTTTTTAAGGAATCTTCATACTGTTTTCTTTAAGGGATATACTAATTTACATTTCCACTAACAGTGTGTAAGGGTTCACTTTTCTCCACATCTTCACCAGCATTTGTTATTTTTTGTCTTTTTGTTAGTCACCATTCTAACTTGGGTGAGGTGGTATTACATTGTGGTTTTGAATTGCATTTTCCTTATAGTAAGTGATGTTGGAGTTGAGAGTAGAATAGTGGTTACCACACACTGGGGTGCATGGAAGGGTCAGAATCGGGAGATGTTGGAGAACAGGTACAATGTTACAGTCAGATGGGAGGAATAAGCTCTGTTACTCTAGTGCACGCTAGGATGATCACAGCTAACAGTAATGCATTATATGTCACAAATAGCTGGAAGAGAGGGTTTTGAATGTTCTCACAACACATATATTATTAGTGTTTAAAGTGATGTATATGCTAATTATCATGATTTGATAATTACACAATATATACATACATCAAAACCTCACATTGTTTGCCATGAATACTTACTATGTGCTAAATTTTTAATTTGAAATTAATTAATTAATTAACTCTGAGGATAAATGTATATCCCCATATATATATTCCACTATCTTAAGAATGACTCAATAATTATTACAAGAAAATGTCATTTCCAAAGTGGTCATTATTCCTATGGACTTTTTGGTGCCGAATAAGAGCTAAAGATTATATTCTATCTCAAAGGAATTACCTTTTGTGTCTGTGACAAGTGGGAATGTTAAGTGCACTTTCTAGGGAGAATATTTATATTAATCCAGGTTAATATATGTATTCTGGATAAATGACAAGACTCATGGACTTCTTTGGTGATTACTAAGATAATAGCACAAGTTCAGAAATCTTTACAGTCTGTTTTCACAATTACCCAAAGTATATAAAGCAAACACATTGGATTAGGCATCAAAAATCTTGGGTCTTAAACTAGGCTCCAATTTTAATTAACTGTGTTAATCTGGGTAGTTTATTTCACCTTGTTACCCTTATTTCCTTCTAGGTATAAACTGTGTGTGTGTGTGTGTATGTGAGTGCGTGTTCATGCAAGTCTGTGCATGTGTGTATGCATGCATGCATGTGTTTGTTGGTGACTAGGAATGCTGACATAGTGGAGTTTAGAGTAGGCTGGGGCAGTGGGAGGGGAAATGGAGAAATAGGAGTGTGTTCCTTCTTTTTGAAGTAATGGAAATGTTCTAAAATTGATTACAGTGATGGTTGCACACCATTGAGTATATTAAAAATACATGAATTGTACATTTTAAAGGGTTGAATTGTATGGAATTTGAATTATATCTCAATAAAGCAATTATTTTTTATTTTTAGATTATAAGTATTACAAAAATCCTCATTATTTTAAAAATGTAGTACATGTACCATAATCCTTACTCCCCACTTCTTTGTGTGAATTTTGTGACATTGTTTTCATTATCCGAGTGTTCACTCTACTTGAGATCATTCTCCTTTTTTTCCCTTGCACCCACGTTAAGTATTCAATTTCAGGCTCATCAGAGTGTGTTTTCACCACCTCTTAAATGTTATTCACCATGTTTTGCTGTAAACTGGCCACAAAATTACAACCTATAAACTAAGTATAATTTTTCCTCTGTTTGTTTTTTTTTTTAATCTGAAGACAAAGACAGGAATTTGTTTGCTGCAGGATGGTAACCAGGAGCCTTTCAAAGTGCGGCTGCACCTAGCCAAAGACATTTTGATGATCCAGGAACAGGATGTGATATGTGTGTCTGGTGAGCCTTTCTATTCTGGTGTAAGTAGCTTTTTCTTCTGTTGAAATTTTTTGTGTTTGTTTTTTGTTAATAAAAATGTTTATTCACAGGGCATTTTAAATATGTTTTTCTTTCAGTGTCTAGTCAATGGTTCTGCATGGAATTTTTGCTTACATCATTAAGTAATCAGCGGCCCTGTACGAGAACCTTGCCTGGGGTCCATGAACACATATTTCGGGCCCATCTCCAGCCTGTTGTCTATGACTCCTAGCTGTCATCATATGATGGGAGTGACACTGTATTTTCTGATTATTCTACCATTTTACATAGAGAATTAATTGAGAACTGTGCATGGTGATGGCTTTTGCTCTGGTCTTATCTTTCATGACCTGGGACTACTGAGAGTGGTGCCAGGGTGGGGCCCAACCTTCAGCATCACTGAATCAGGAGACGTTAGGCAGCGGTCACTGAACTCAGCGTGAGTGGTGTTCCCCTAGGATAGTGTCTAAATGATTCTGTGGGCCTCCCTAATAGAATTATGCCCAAGTGCTGTAGCAAATTCTTTTCTCCAATGCTCCAACCCATTGACACATTACACTGCTCCTAATCTAACTTCAGAAAGAGCCATAAATTACAGTGCAAAACTGATTGCTGTACCTACTCATGTCGAGGCAGCATAGCTATGGAAGACATCCTTAGATGAGATTAGATTTTATTCTGCTAAAAGACATTATCATAAGACGAGTTCTGGAGTTTATCATTCATTGTATAATAATGCTATTAAAGGCTTCTTTTTAGCAATGTTGCCGTATGTGATCTCAGAAGAAAATTACAGACAGTAGCATGTAGTCTGCTCCCTGCTTTCCCCAAACATCTGCAACTATTTAGCATGGAGATTTAATTTGTACCTTATTAACAGACTTACCTTGGAGTGTTTAGTTGGTGGTGAATAATGCTGAACTTGAGCTCTCACATCACTTCTTACTAACACCCTATGGGAGTCACACAAGGCCCTAAATCAATAGGCCTTTGCCAACTAAAGATAATGGACATTTTGCAGACTGTTAACTATTCTTTTGTCACAGACCATTTAAATCATTCTGAATCATGGGCCTGGATGTCAAGGCTGATTAAACTGTTCCCATGGGGTTGTCCTTTCTTCCCTTTGGTTAATAATAGAGAAGTGACATGAGTCATATAACCCTCTAGAATAAATATATCACACTGGTCCCAGATCAAAAAATAAAATCAGTAAAATTTACTACTTTGATACTGAAATAATATTATTGATTTTAAACTTCACAGTCAATAATAGCTGATACACATAGACCTATTCTCTTCTTAAAAGATAATTGTGCATATAAATAAAGCTCAGAGTGCTAGGAATAATGAAGAGAATTAAGGAGAAATATCCTATGGCATTTTCAACAAATTCAAAAAAGCATTTGACAAAATTCAACACCCATTTTTACAAAACACTTTAGCAAGATATGAATAGACAAGAATTTTCTTAATCTGACAACTGTCATCTAATTAAAGCCTCTCCCTAATATGTTAGTTAACATTGAACATTTTCTCTGAGATTGAAAGCAAGTCAAGGATAATACCTTGCTTAATAATCAATGTTGTTCACCATGCTCCTACAGCAAGTCACAAACGATATATAAAGAACAAAAATTATACAGGAAGAGGCAAAATGGCTTTACTTGTAGATTTCATGATGATATGCATAGAAAACCTTAAGAATTCTACAAAAGATAGAATAACACTAAAATTAAGCAAGGTTGCTGAGAATAAGGACAATAGCCCAAGTTAATTGTGTTTCTAAAACTACCTACAAGCAACTAGAAATGAAATGAAAATGCAATCCACAATAAGTCAGAAAGACAATACACTCAGGAACATATTTAACAAAAGATGTATATGATCTCTACCCTGAAAACTACAAAAACTATGTTGAAGGAAATTAAAAGATATAAACAAATAAATGGAGAAATACAACATGATCATAAATTAAAAGCTAAGTATTGATAAACTGTCACATCTTTCTAAATATTCCAAACCAGTCAAAACCCCAAAATATTTGTGTGGATATGTACAAGTTGATTCCAAAATTTACATGGAAATATAAAGGACTTACAATAACCAGAATAATCTTGAATAAAAAGAACAAAGTTGGAGTGTTTATTCTACCTGATTTCAGCGCTTACTATAAGATTCTAATAATAAATACAATGTAATGCTGTAATAAATTCAGGCATAGCAATCAGTGGAACATTCTAAAGAGTCCAAAAATAGACCCACTCTTATATGGTCAGTTAAGTTTTTTTTTTTAACTGTGGTAAAATATACATAATATAAAATGTACCATCTTAACTATTTTTAAGTATAAAGTTCAGTAGCATTTCGTGCATTCATTTTGTTGTGTAACTATCACCACTATTCATTGCCAGAATTTTCATCATGCCATACTGAAACTCTGTACGCATTAAACAGTAACTCTCCATGCTCTCCTCCTCTTAACCCCTGGTAACCACTGTTCTACTTTCTGCCTCTACATTTGACTATTCTGGGTAGATCTTGTAGGTGGAATCATACAATATCTGACCATTTGTGGATGACTTATTTCAATTATCATAATGACTTTAAGGATCATCCATGTTGAAGCATATATCAGAATTTCATTCCCTTCAAAGGCTGAATAATATTCCATTGTGTATTTATACCACCTTTTGTTTATCTTCTCACTCGGTAGTAAACATTGAGGTTGTTTCCACCTTGGCTTTTTGAAAAATGCCTCTAGGAACATGGGTGTACAAATATGTTTGAGTCACCACTTTCAATTATTTGGTGTATATACCCAGAAGTGAAATTGCTGGATAAAATAGTAATACTTTGTTCAACTTTTTAAGAAACTGCCGTACTCTTTTCCACAGTAGTTGTACCATTTTCCATTTCAACAAGCAAAATACAAGGGTTCCAAGTTCTCCACATTCATGCCAAGCCTGTTGTTTTCTGTGTTTTTGATAATAGCTATCCAAATAAGTGTGAGGTTGAATCTCACCGTGGTTTTCATTTGCATTCTCCTGTCAATTAATAATGTAGAGCATCATTTTATGTGCTTATTGTCTACTTGTGCGTCCTCTTTGGGTAAGTGTCTATTCATATCCTTTGTCTATTTTTGAATTGGATTGTTTGTTTTTTGGAGCTTAGTTGCAGGAATTCTTAATGTATTTTAGATACTAGTCCCTTATCAGATATGTGATTTGCAATATTTTCTCCCAAATTGTGGATTGCCTTTTTACTCTATTAGTATTTTTGATGCACAAAAGTTTTTAATTTTAATAAAATCCATGTCAATTTTTTCTTCTATTGGTCGTACCTTTTATACCATCTCCAATAAATAATTGCCAAATTCAGTGTCATGAATCTTTTCCACTATATTTTCTTCTAAGAGTTTACAATTTTTGCTCTTACTTGTGCGTTTGGTTATATTTTAAGTTAACTTCTGTACATAGCATTAGGTAAAGATCCAACTTCATTCTTTAGCATTTGGATATCCAGTTCAAAATCATGTGCCGTATATATAAGGGGGTATTTGTGGCCTCTCTATTCTAGTTTATTAGTCTATATATTTGTCTTTATGCCAGTAACGCACAGTTATGCCTTTTGTTTGTTTGTTTTTACTGTAGCTTTATAGCAAATTTTGAAATCAGCTAATTTGGGTTCCTTAAGATCTCAAATAAATTTTGGAATGAATTTTTCTATTTCTTGAAAAAATATCATTGCAGTTTTTATAAGGATCATGTTGAATCTGTAGATCACTTTTAGTAGTATGGACATCTTAATAATAGTAAGTTTTCTGATAGATGAACATAACATCTTTCCATTTATTTATGGGTACTTTGAGTTCTTTTAGCAATGTTTTGTTGTTTTCATGTACAAGTCTTTCAACCCCTTGCTTAAGTTAAAACCTTAGTACTTGATAATTTTTGATAGTATTGTTAAAAATTATTTTCTTAGTTTACTTTTGGATTATTTATTGTTAGTGCACGGAAATGTAATGGATTTTTACATTTTGATTTTGTATTCTGCTACTTTGCTGAATTTATTAGTTCTAATAGTTTATTGCGGAATGTTTATGGTTTTCTACATATAAGATTATGTCATCTGTGATTCAAGATAAGTTTACTTATTCCTTTCAAATTTGGATGACTATTATTTCTTTCTCCTGCCTTATTACTCTCGTTAAGATTTCCAATACTATGCTGAATAAAAGTGGTAAAAGCAGGCATTTTTTTTCTTATTCCAGATCTTAAAGGAAAAGCTTCATTTTTGAGTATGATATTTGCTGTGGGTTTTTCATATACTGCCTTTGTTATGATGAGGTAGTTGTCTACTATTCCTAGGTGGCTGAGTATTGAGGCAGTTTTGAATGTTATCATCGAAAGGTATTGAAGTTTGTCAAATGCTTTTTCTGAATCAATTGAGATGATCATGTGTGCTTTTTAATTTTTTTTCTTCTGCTCTATAACTCGCTTTTCTTACCTGAAAGTACTTCCTGGGACCCCTGTCCCGGGAAGGAATTCTATCTTCTAGGTCTGCATCTGAGGAAAGCCAATCTACAACAGAGAAAGTAGCACACTGTACTTTCAGATAACCAGATATTCTTTGAGAAAAACTCCCTTTGTCTGTTTTTTAAAACCTCCCACTGGTAAAGGCCCGCAGACGCCTCTGTATTAAAAGATACCCTCTTTAAACTTGACCTTTCACAGTGCACTGTTTGTGTTGTATTGCCACAATACATAGTCCATGTGCTCGCTGGACAGGGATCACCTCTCTTATCAGCTAATTATGAGATGAATTTGAGACAGTAGGGCAGAGATAAACATCCAACTTTGGAGAGCAGAAAGTCTCATCTGAGTATTACAACAAATAGAGTGTTAACTCTCAGTCTGCTTAAGTGAGTGGAAAGGTTAGGAGAATGTTCTAAGGAAAGGCAGATGTTAGTCTGAAGAACCATAGGCAAGGATGCTATTTTGTTATCTAGAAGCAATGCTCTGAAGTCCTGGGTGGAAAATAGAACAGTCAGGGGCAGGGGACTGAAAACAAGATTGCTATCAGGCAGTTTACTCATGAGGGAGAAAAATGAAGCTCCACTCTGCTGAAAAATCCTGAGGATTATAGAATGTTGTAGTTTTTTCTCCAACCCCACAATAGGGAGGAAGTTGTTTATATTTTCAGGTCTATCACATTAGCTGAAAGCTGCTTCTAGGATTGTCTTTGCCTGACACTTTTGACCTGCCTTGCTCAGGCTGAAAGAAAGTGTTACAGTTCAGTCAAGCTCCTCTTGCCCACTTCACAGAAAAAGCCAATACAATGAGACAGCCAGTATTGCATTAGATGAAGAGTTTAATACTTGCAAGGCAGTGAAGCAAAGAGGACAGGAGATATTTCTCAAATCTCTCTGCCTGGAAATTTGAAGACTAGCGTTTTAAGGATAGTTTGGTGGGCAGGCAGCTATGGAGTGGGTTGTACTGACTGGTTGGATCAGGGCCTAAATCACAGTGCTGCCAAAACTGTCCTCAGGCATTTAGTTAGCTCCTGGGTGGAGTCACTGGTCTGGGTGGCATTAGCTGGTCTACTAGAATGCAAAGTCTGAAAAATATCTCAAAGACCAGGCTGAGGTTTCACAATAGCAGTGTTACCTAGAGGGGCAACTGGGGAAGTTACAAATCTTCAGACCACTGGCTATGTGAATCCTGAGCAGCAAGCAATTATAAAAAGCAAGCTAGGAAACAATGCCTAGGTGCTGTTTATGCCTATGTCTTAGCAGAAATCAGGTCCCTAGCATAATTATAATCTTATGGCCTTTCATTAGTTTTACAAAGGCAGTTTCAGTCCCCAGTATGGAAAAGCTTAACTTTGGGAAGCGACTATTATCATCCTTGCTTTAAAGTTCCTTGCTTTAAAGTTAAACTATAAACTACATTTTTCCATTAAATTGTAAAGTAAATCCCTCCCATAGTTATTTTGGCTTTTGCACAGAAATAAGCAAAGGTAGTTAGCTTGTGAGGTTAGACGCACTAGGGAGTCAGTTATGCCAGATTTCTCTCATTGTTATAATTGTGCAAAAGTGGTTCCAAAAGCCCTTGTGGACTGGGACTCAGGGATGGCAGTGGGACAAGGTCTGGGATAGGGAGTTAGTGGTAGGCCTGACAATTTCTCTGTATCTGCACCAAGGCAGGAGAGGGTGCCATCAGCCCCAACATTAACCCACTGACCATGAAGGATAAACAGTGAGATGTGAGCCCAGGTAAAAGGCTCACTCTGAGGGAGAGGGCACAGAACTGAGCATTTGGAGAAGCTCCAGTCAGGCAAAATGTTGGTATCTGAAAATCAAGGATTGGCAGATGGGTCAAAACCCAGGCGTCATGCCAAGTAACCCTCTTAGCTCCTTGCTCTGAATTCCTGGACATATTGTAGGGCATAGCTCAGTTGCAGAAACAAGAATTGAGAATTCGTGGTAAGTATGTAAGGGCAGCCTCTGTGAGAGGGCAGGATATAGGATTTGGATAGCAAAGGGACCCCTGGGAAAAGGCTTTGCTTCACAAAATCTCTAGAATTAAGAGAGGAAACAGGTAATACAGGGTCAGCGCCAGAAAACCACAGGCTGATGAACCTGTAGCTGAGCTCCAGGGCTTTATCAGGGTGAGCTTCTAAAGAAGGTGACTTAACAATAACCCCTATCAAATGGGGCTTAAACCTGCTCATCACTCCCTGATTAGTGGGTCTGGGAGTTTATAGTAGAAGTCAAGTAGCTCCTCAGAGGCTTCAGGAGGTGACGCAGAGAAAAAACACTCTTGACATATTTAGCACATCTGACTCTAATTTTAGTTATGCAGAAAGTCCTATAAAATATTGATCATTTAGAAACTTGTGTCAACATTTTCACCTACAAGAGACAGCTAGAGAGTTAAAACTGAAATATCCAACGCATTTACTGTGACTTCTATCAGCAAAATACTGCTTTCCCCCAGTGCCTTTTATTAACTACTTTTGAGGAACATTCTGTGATTTCTTCAGAGATTACACAGTTGAAGTTTTAGCATTGAGTTCATATCAGATAAAACCTGTTTCATCTGTGATCATTTAAAAATAGTATCAAAACGTAGGCAGCAATTATTCAGGATCTTTAGATGCAGATAGTAAAGTGACTGTTGATCAGAATGATGCATGGCCGTTGTCAGATAGATGTGTTAAAGCTTCAGTTAACATACAAGAAAGCAATCATCTTCCCCTGGTGCTCCAGGGGAGCTGAAATCCAACATTCAGTTCCTGTCATCCTTCTGAATGGTTTACCACTCTAAGTCAGAGATATCTGTGGCTGTTCTCATGGTAGTATACCCTTCAATGGGCCCTGAAGGAAAATTAAATTTAGCCTGTGCTAGTTTTAAATATTGACGAAATATTTTTAAAAGGTAAATGAGGGTAAAATCAATACAAGATGGCTATCTATTTCCCCATAGAGACACCAGTTTCAAAGGTGTTGCTAGTAAAAAGATACGAAAACCATGAAGAATCATGGAGCTTAAATTCCAAACATGACAGAACTGTCAGATAAATAGCATCAATACAATCAGTACCTCAGTGTAATGGGCACCATTAGACTTTAAAATCAACAGAACAACTTCTTCCAGTTTCCTTGTGGAATAAAACACACAATTAGCAATCCCACGAGTGAAACCACAATTTCCTGAAGATGACTTTAAGAGAACTAATATCTACTATTAACCTTGGAATTTGTACTGGCTTTCACATGGGTGTGACATGATGTAGGATGTGGCTTTTTGAGGTTCATTATCTGTGAAAATGTGATCCAGAGAGAGAATGTATCTAGACTAGTGCACCTATTATGGATAGATTCTTAATAGGTCATCTGGGAGGCATGGTGTGTGCAGGCCTAGATAGGAACATTGTTTTTTCTTTTTCCCACATCACAGAGCTACTCACTGAAATCTGTCAACATGGAGATTGGAGTCTGTGTACACACACATGCACAAAATACACGTTGTCTATATTTTTTAAACTTTTAAAAAAAACTCTTGTATGCCAATGTTATCATTTATTTGCTGATTTTAATGAGATTGCATTCTTCTTTTATTTAAAAATATTGAATTTACAAAGAATATATATATTCAAGGTGTATAATATGATGACTTGATAGATATATATACATACACATTGTGTAATGATTTTTACAGTAATGTAACACATCTATCACCTCCCCTGCTATATATTAGACCCTGAGATCTTGTTCATTTTATAACTGAAAGTTTGTACCTTTTTATCAGCACCTTCTATTCTTCCATTCCTCAGCCCCTGGAAGCCACCATTCTACTTTCTGTTTCTGTGGATTGGACTTTTTTTTAGATTATGCATGTGCGAGGTCATACAACATTTGTCTTTCTGTGCCTGACTTATTTCACTAAGCATAATGTCCTCTGTTCATTTATGTTATCACAAACGGAAGGGTTCCCTTCTTTCCTCTGGCTGCATTATAGTCAACTGTGTATATATATGCTTTATCCATTCATCTGTTGATAGACACTTAGGTTGTATTCTATAAAATTTGACCCATTCTAAGTAAATACAACTGATTTTTCAAAATGTTTTAGAGGTAAAAGTGGTCACTGATTACTAACATTGATAAAGAAGCTATCAGTTTAATCCCGTTTTTACATTTGATTGTATGTTTATAAACTTTTCAATCAGAAGTATTTTATGTTTGCGCTTCTCCTTGTTTGGCCTTTTTGGGTAGACTGACATTCCAAATGTGTGCAAATAAGACTAAGAAAAGGAAGGCCGGGTGCGGTGGCTCACATCTGTAATCCCAGCACTTTGGGAGGCCGAGATGGCCAAATCACGAGGTCAGGAGATCGAGGCTATCCTGGCTAACACGGTGAAACCCCTTCTCTACTAAAAATACAAAAAATTAGCCAGGCATGGTGGCGGGCGCCTGTAGTGCCCGCTACTCAGGAGGCTGAGGCAGGAGAATGGCATGAACCTGGGAGGCAGAGCTTGCAGTGAGCCGAGATCTCTCCACTGCACTCCAGCCTGGGTGACAGAGCAAGACTCCATCTCAAAAAAAAAAAATAAAAAGACTCCATCTCAAAAAAAAAATAAAATAAAAACAGAAGGAGGAAGGGAAACATTTTTCAGGAGTAGAAAAATACTTGCAGATGGGCAAGTACTGTTTAGAGAGTTGTGATTTTATAACAGAAAGATAATACAAAGGCCTACTCTTGAAACCTAGAGTGTCCCTGTCTTTTATTATTAGAGATTGTTAAATTGAAAAGACAGTGCTGGAAACCCCTTCTCTCTATTTCTTATGTGATGTTTCTTTTTTGCCAGTCAGTAGTCACCACTAGGGACATTTACGTTCCTAATTTCCCAGGGCTTATGCGGTTCCAGATATGGCAGCCCTGGAAGAAAAGATTATGGCTCCAGTGAAAACATTGTCACCGGATCCCCTGGTGGTGGCCGCAGTGGGATTAGCCCGAGTTGGTCACAGTTGTAGTCAGCCTGTGGCAACACCATCTCAGGTTCCATAGTCTGGGCAGCAGTCCCCAGGGACTACTGCCTGTGTCTCCTTTGATTAGGATAGACAGAACAGATGCAGTTGGAGGTGTTGGTGTTGTTATTTGAAGGCTCCTCCAAACGTAGAAGCAAATGAATGATAATATTTACCACAAGAACAATGGCACCCACAGAAGGATACCTTATTAACAGAGTTAATTTTTTTGTGAAATACATTGCTAGGTATAAGATTCATATTAAGGATATTTATCTTAACGTGTTTTGTTAAACCTAGCATTGTTAAATCCACTTGTTATTGTGCATCTTGTTTTATTTTACCTTTAAAATAATTTTAATATGAGATTTTCTTTATACATATAAAGCAAATTTATTGACAACTCTTTAATACTTAGTTTTTTCTTACATTTTGTACCTATTTGTCTTTCTGTGGGGCACTAAAGGTGACTCCTTCTTTCTTCTTTTCAGTTCATAACTCTTTCTTTGACAGATTGAGTCCATTATTTAAACTATTGAATTTCTGATTCTTATTATTATGTTTTTCACTTCTAAATGAATATAATACTATCTGTCTTATCGGGTAATTGTGAAGATGAAACAAGTGAATGCAAGTAAAAGAGAATATGGTCTCTGGCACATAGTAGGAGCTCAACAAATAATATCTTTATTAACATGACACATGATACAATGTGGGTGTGTATAGACATGGTGATACACAGAGTACAGAGGTCTAGGTCAGGAACTGCTTTCCAGAGGATGTGATTAAGGTCCCACCTCTTAAATAGCAGGTAGAATTTTGCGGGATATATGTAATTTTGCAAGACATATGTAAGTAGCATTTAAAGCAGACAAAAAGTGTATGCAAAATTACCAATTACCAAACTGTTAAAAAGCATGCCATAATCAAGGATGGTTTAGTCATGGGACATGTTTCCTGCAGGATACAGTTGGGAAGGATGTAAGGTGGGGTGCAAAGTGTATTGGTGGGTTGTGGTGCCATCAATAAAGGGAGCAATTTAAGTAGGAAAATCAGGTTTTAGAGCGGTGTACAATGGAAGTTGAATTGAGACCAAAAAAGCTTAGACCATTTAGAACCAATGCAATTTTGTCATAGACTGATATCAAGATGGAAACTAAAATCAGTTAATTAAAGCAATGGTGCCTGGTTCCACTGGCTTATCAGTTACATTGCTCACGTTTGTGATTTTACAGATTTGTCATACTTACAAAAAGATATGTCATTATTTACACAAATGAATTTTTATAACATTAAATGTGAGTGTAAAGTTCAAGAGGGTTATGATCAATCATGTGCCCATCAGCAGCTTAATGATAGATAGAGATGGATGATAGATGCATAGAGGCATAGATGGATGACAGATATAGACAGATGATTGATTCATAGGTATCAATAGATTAATTTAACACTGTTCATTTGTTTTTTTCTTCTTCCTTAAAATGGTTGACAGTTTGATGTATTTTGTAATATTTTCATCCCTTAGCTCTCATACTGAGTTTTGGAGTTTGAGAAAGTCTGCCATCTATCTATTTTTTCTTTGTAGGAAAACTGTCTCTTCTTTCTGAGTGTTGAAGATTTCAGAATCCATGCCCATCCACGCCCCATGGTAATCTGCTGTGTCACTCTGACATATCTATCTGAAGATGTATTTTCTTTGCTTGAGAGTCACAAGACCGGAATATGAAAATTTATGTATTTCTTCAATTCTGAAGAATTTTTAGCCATTATCTTTGAAGAGCCTCCTCTCTATTATCTGTGTTCTTTCCTTCAGTAACATTTGGATGGATGTTAGATCAGCTCCCTGGATTCTCCATTTTCTTACGTTTTTTCATATTTTGAACTTGTCTGCCCTCTGTGGACTCTAAAGGCAACTCCTCCCATCTTCC
The DNA here is from genome assembly GCF_000001405.40 of Homo sapiens. Taxonomy (NCBI): domain Eukaryota; kingdom Metazoa; phylum Chordata; class Mammalia; order Primates; family Hominidae; genus Homo; species Homo sapiens. The sequence continues at coordinate 50,413,806 of NC_000008.11, forward strand.
TTTCAGTTCACTATCTCTCTCTTTGGTTACATTGAGTCTATCATTTAAACTATTTATTGAATTTCTGATTCTGGCTATTATGATTTTCACTTCTGGAAGTTCTATTCTATCCTATTTTATATTTGCCTCATAGTATTTTACATCACGATTATACATTTGATATCTCCTTTCTATCAATATTAATCTTGTTAGACAATCCTATTTATATGCCGTATCTGTAATTGCAAGATCTGCAGTCTGTATAGATCTGACTCTGTTATCTGTTCTTTGTTCTGCTGCTGATGCACTCACTAAATTCCATTTCCTCCTGGGATTTCTCACTGTGGGCTCATGGTCTTGGCACTCTATAAGTATCCCTCAGTTTGGCTCTATAATGTGTTATGAAGATAGAATTTACAATTAGTTCTTTCAGGTGAAGGGGCTATTAGCAACCCAGATATTCTTTAAACTAAATTCTCAGTTGGGGATATGAGGCCACACAGGTAGAGACAATTCATCACACACCCACCTGTGGGCCAATTCACAAAATCTCAGAAATGGTTTTTAATTCCTTCATCCAGATCTGAGGTCAAGATTGGCAAGTTTCTTTACTATAATCCTTTGGGTGATAGGAATGGTTTTTCATACTGACACACTAAGAGAGTTTTCTATGCAGGTGACGGTGCCTCTCCTGTCCTGCTTGGGTCCTTCCAGTGATGGCCCTGAATGTTTGCCTTTGGGTCTCTGCTCGTACAGACTTCTTACCTGTGAATCTTTATACTTCGTCATCATTCCTGACAACCGAGACATTTTTCTTCTTTCCTTATTACTCTGACTGCACGTTTGACATTATTTTTATTTATTTTATTCATCATTTTATTGTGTGTTGTCTTGGAAAGGGATTTTAAGTATATCTGACTCAAAGGAGTGTTAGACTCAAGATTAGTTGTGTGTGTGTGCATGTGTGTGCGTGTGTGGGTGTGTTTGTGGAAAAGCTATCAGATCTGAAGTGTACAGGCCTGGCTTCTAATATCAGTCTCCCCATTTGCCAACTTTGTGAACCTGTGTGACTTCTTGCTTTCTCTGAATCGTTGTTCGTATGAGGGAAAAACAGAGACCACCTACTATACATAGTTCACTGTGGCAAAATTAAATGAGATTGCATTGCCTAGGTGACCACTAGAGGTGAACAATAAAGATGGCTGTCTTCTTCCTTTCATCTGGATAATTGTTTCTTTCTCTAATTCACTTTGTCTAAAACTTTAAATTATTATCCTGGATGAGTAATTTGAGCTGCATAAATAATCTTTCTGTGTAAAATTAGAAAACAAAACTTCTCACCTTAAAAGAAATTTTTCGTGAGTGAACAAATGTTGTTTAAATGCAAAGGAGTTTCATTATTATTGCTTTAAACCAAGGAGTTCTGAAAATGGCAGTAATGTAAAGCAGCCTAGAGGTATTCCAAAGACTACAGTCTTATGAAGTTTATATTGTTTCTGCAGAAAAGCATTTACATTAAGAAGGTAATATTTAAATGAGATTGAATATAAACTAATAGGCTGAAATCTATATTGTTCTGGAAATCAGTAATCAGGACACACTAGAAAGTGAAATGGAATAGGTAATAACGTAAATATAAGGTTAATGTAATTGATGTAAATGTTTACTTATACCTATACATGTTAACATAATATATCAAGGAGTAAGATTTTTGGTTAAAATTTCTCATTTTTGTCAACAATATATTTGAAATATACTCTTCCCATGAAACAGTTCCTCAGTTGTTTTAGTAGCACAAGTAGTTTTAGTTTAAAAAAATATATTTTTCTCCTCTCCAAGCCAGTAAAAGTTCCTCTTTCAGTATATTATATAAAACTTAAATTATTTTTGTATTTAATCCACATAATTTTGCATGATGCTTGCTATCATACATATTGTTAATTTTTACTACATATGTGGAAACGGTAAGATAGCCACCTTTTTAAAAAAATTAATAATAAATTTATAAGTGGAATGTGGGTAACCAAAGCCCAGAGTTTAAATAAGCCTTTTAATTTTCAGAGCATTAAGAAGGTAGTGATTGAAATTTATATTTGATAAATGGATTGCTGTTAATGTATCTAGGCATTGAAGAGACTTAATACATGATAACGATGGGTGATTATGATGAGAGAGTAAAATGGAGAATGTTCTGAGTGTTCAAATATTGAGCCACATAGGCCATCCACTTTTCTTTGTAGCTTAATATTTTTATTTTTACAATGTCAATGCTTTTATCTTCATGTTAATTATTTTAGATTGTATCTTTTCTCTCTTCATCTGTGACAGCAGTCTGTGCAATCTTAAACAAAATGTCCCAAGTACAATTAAACTTGTATAATCATCAGTATGGATATTGGTTTTTGCACTGGGCATTCACTCAGTGATAATCTGTGGTTTGTGGGATCATTTGCTCGCACACTAAATATTCCTGGATTGCCATGGAGGTTATAAGCATAGTCACACATGTGCACATGCATGGAATGGTTCTATAGTTCCTCCTGCTTCATTCCATTCTAAAACACTAAGTCTGTTACTTTCCTATACAGTGGGCTTGGATCCACATAGCCAATATGTCAAATGTGTAGTACAAAAAGTGAGAATCTGAGTGAGAATTTAAGGCCTTCTTACTTAAGAGCATAAATTTTGAAATATGTATTAAACAATAGTGGTGATTTATTTTTCTTCTTTATGGTTTTCAAGACTATTATTAATATATGAGTTTGCAGATTAGCTAAATATTGGAAATTTGAGGTGTTACTGTGGCTTGTATTTTATTATACTTAGTTCTTGGTAATTTACAGAATATTTTAGATAGATTACTTAAAATGTTTGAAGTGTATTTGAGACATTTTGTTTATGACTACTTATATTCATATCACATCATTATTTTGCTAATTTGTCTGTATCATTGCCTTTTTCCATAAATGAAGACTTTGACATCCATGTGATTTAATGCTAAGATCTGTCCATAATAGAGTGATAGCCGTGCTGAACTCTATGTCATGGATCCCATTACCCTGCATTAGAGCAATGGAGTCAAGCAGATAGATACTTGTTCTGTTCTATCCATAGCTTAACACCTGAGTGACTGTGACGATGATTCACTGTCTTTGCTTCAAATGTCACATAAAGTAATACATTCAAGTGCACTTTGGACACTATAAATTGCTATAGTATAGGAGGACTTATTTTTACTTGTACTTGAAAAAGTGTTTTAAAGAAGAAATTCTAGGTGGTTTTAAACCCACTGGAAAATTTGGTAAAACAATTGTAACTTATAAAAAATTTATCTTCAAAGATATGTATAACTTCAGTTTGAACCGCCATGATATACACTTTTCTAAGTGACATCAATAAAATCAAAGCAATTGCTTATATACACAAGTTGGAACATCTCTGCGATAAGGAGCATATGCAGAATTTTGACACTCCTTGAATTTTCTACTAGTTATGAAGCACGTGCCACATTATCTTACTCTGTAGACTGTATATTCTGAGACTTAGCGATTTATAGGAGAGAACTGACTTCTATTTCAGAGTCTATCAAAAGGCACCTATGTGATCCTCACACTTTACTTTCTCTAGACGCAATATTTGCTTTCTTAGCATGTAGAATTATACTTATGAAATGTCGCCCAGTTATAATATTCCATGGCTTGCTTCTCTTTTTTCTTCTAAATCTCCTCTAACAGTGGAGATGTTATATAATTGCCTGCAAGTGGCTCACGTAAGATATAAATAAGAGTGTGCTTTTCTCACCTTTCATGAACTACTACATCACACTTCATTTTCTTGTCCATTCAGTCCCTTGCTCCCTTAGATGACAATGTCGTATCAACTTCTCTCTCCAAGTGTATCCAATAACATCTCTCCCATTCTCACTCCAAGGTGATGCCCTTGCTTCCTCCTTCACTGAGAAAATGAAGCCGAGAAAACAATGCCCCACTGCCATTTATATCTACCTTCCTGGACTTGTGACCTTATGTGTTTTCTCCCTTTCCATTACCACAGATGATCTGTCTTTCCTCCTATCTAAGGTCACCATCTAGTCATACACTAAATTCCACCCTTGCATGCATCTTCAAAGACATCGTTCCAGCAATTTCCCACTGCATTTGATGATTCCCACTGTATTTGATTGCATCATCAAATGCTCATTTTCCACTAGATCATTCTGACCAGTGATCATTCTGATCATTCCAACCAAGCAACTATAATTTCCCCTTCTTCAAAAGCAAAATAAAACCAAACTCTCTCTTGGCCCGAAATTCTCCTCCAGCATCCACTGCATTTCTCTGCTTCCTCTTCCAGAGCAAAGCCATTGAAGTGATTGTTTCTTTGCCATCATCCCCCAAATTCAGTAATTCATCCCCACTACTCCACTGACATTTCTCTCTTCAACTTCACTAGTTATTTCAACATTGCTCAATTTAATGGATATTTCTCATTCCTAATTTTACTTGTGTTTTCAACACCACTGACACTCCTTTCTCCTACAAATATTTTCTTACGGGCTTCTTGGGTACCCTGCATTCCTCTTTTCCTCCAATCTCTAAGCAACTTAGAGATCTCTAAGTCTCAGTCTTCACTGCTGAGTCTTTTCTTCATTTCCATCTATAGGCACTTTAATGGTGCAAAGCTTAGTTCTTTACGTTATTCTTTTTCTTTTACTTTTTGCACTTGCTCTTTCAGATGTCATCCATTCTCATGGCTTTAAAAGTGACTAAGCTCCAGCTTATATCTTACCCTGTCCTGTTCCCTGCACTCCAGATTGAGATAGTGCAACAATTTGTACAATATCTGCAGTTGGAGGTCCAGTAGGCATTTTCAACTTAAACATGAAGTTTTAGTTAAACTTCATGTTTAACTAAAACATAAGCTTAAACATGTTAGGCAAACTAAACTCTTGATTATTCCCCAAATTAATTCCCTTCACAACGTTTCCTATCCCAATAGAGTAAATGGATATGTCATCTTTCCAGCTGCATTAGGCAGAATCCCTGGAATCTCTCATTACTCTACTCTTTCATTGAAGCCACATCCAATCAGTTTAAAAAATCATGTTAGCTTTCTGTCAAAAATATATCCAGGATATATCCAGTCTTTCTTCTGGAAAGTAGGGATAGAACTGTTTTTCTCTATTATTTGTACTAGGTAAAAATTAAAAACTATGACTATTATCTTTTAAAAAAAATACCATAAGGCTCTGAAAGGAACAGGGAGAAAGACAGGTTGGCTTGGGATTTTAGGATTTGAGGAAGTCATAGAACCATGTTCTCTGATGGATTTTTGGCCTCAAATATCCCAGATTGGTTACAGGAGAAGCCAGTAACCTGGAAATGACAATAAGCCCAACCAAAACCTTTCTTTCTAGAAAAAAAAATGGGCAGCTTAACAAGAAAATAAATTCTTCCAAAATAAATGCTCTACTCTACCAAAATACCACACACACACACAAAAGTGCCCTCTTTCTATCTCCAATGGCAATGGCCAAGTGGAAAACTTAGACTTATACCCTCACCAGGCTGCACTGATGTTCTCCAGCTCTGTCTGCCAAGGTGGTATTAGGGAAATCATAAATGGGAACAAGGACTTTCATCTTTATGGAGCAAGGCCAACAACAATCCCCCACAAACTCCACCTCACTGTGGTATCAGAGAAGATTATCTGGTTGTCTGAAATTCAAATCTGTGCAGCCCAGTGATAAAGAAGCCATCGCAAACAATGGAGTCGGTTGAGACCTCTCAGAGAGCAGTAATAAGGCTCTCCTCCTCCCCTCAACAAGGGTTGTATCAGTGGAGGCTTAGTAGGGAGCTAAAATTCCCACCTATCACCAGCAGAAACAAGAAAATTCTCACCTTGAATGAGAAGCAATAATTAACAGATATCAAATCTGAAATGATACAGATATTAGAATTATATAATATGAATGTTAAAATAGCAGTCATAAAATTGCTATATATTAGTTACAAACACCATTGAAACAAATGAGAAAATAGAATATCTCAGCCAAAAAAAATTCAAAATTATTGAACTAAACAATACAATAATTGAAATAAAAACTCAATGGTTGGGCACAACAGCACAATGGACGGGACAGAGAAAATAAACAGTTAACTTGAGACAGAGAGAACAATAAAAATTACTCATTCTGAAAAAAAAACAGGGAAATTGGACTGAAAAAAATAAGAAGTGTCTCAGGGACCCATGAAAATGTGACAGAAGTTCTAACATGTATTTGAGCAGAGTCCCCTGAGAAGAAAAAGAGTTCAGACTCAGAGTATTTAAAAAACATAAAGGCTGAAATTTTTCAAAATTGTGCAAAAAGTATGAATTTATGTATTCTGGAAATGGAGCAAACCTCAAAAAGCATAAAGTCAAACAAATTCATGTCAATCACTTCACAAGCAAATTCTGAGGACTAAAGACAAAGAAGAATACTTCAAAAGCAACAAAAAAGGAATAACAGCAATAGGAAGAAAACAATCCAAATGACAGTGTAGTTTTCACCAGAAACAATGAAGGCCAGAAGGAAGTGAAACAATAGTTTTAATTGCTGAAAGGAAAAAAATTGTCAATCCAAAATTCTATATCTGTGAAACACATCCTCCAGGAATCAAGAGAAAATCAAGACATCATAAGATATAAGAAATATAAGAAAAGTATTTCATTAAAGGAATGGCTACAAAGATCTCTCTCAACAGAGAGGAAATGGTTAAAGAAGGAATCCTGAAACATCACAAAGGAAGAAAACTAATAAAAATAATTAAAATATATGTAAATATAATACATTTTCCTTTTCCCCTTAAGTTTTTTAAAGTAAGGGTGATGGTTCAAGCCAAAATTTTAACATTGCCTAATGTGCTTCTCAATGTATATAGAGAAAATATTTGTAACAACTAAAAATAGGGGAAGATAGGCCAGGTGCAGTAGTTCATGCCTGTAATCCCAGCACTTTGGGAGGCTGAGGCGGGTGGATCATGAGGCCAAGAGATCAAGACCATCTTGGCCAACATGGTGAAACCTCATCTCTACTAAAAATACAAAAATTAGCTTTGTGTGGTGGCACGTGCCTGTGGTCCCAGCTACTTGGGAGGCTGAGGCAGGAGAATTGTTTGAACCAAGGAGGTGGAGGTTATGGTGACCCAAGACTATACCACTGCACTCCAGCCTGGCAACAGAGTGAGACTCCACTTAAAAAAAAAAAAAAGGCGGTGGGCGGGGGAGGGGGGGGCGAAGATAAAGGGACATTTAAATGAAAGTAAGGTTTCTATTACTTCCCTTGAACTGGTAAAATGCTAACACTGTTACCAGAAAAGGGTACCAATCCATACCCCAAGAGAGGGCTCTTAGATCTCCACAAGAAAGAATTCAGTGTGAATCCACAGAGTAAAATGAAAGCAAGTTTATTAAGATAGTAAAGGAATAAAAGAATGGTTACTTCATAGGCAGAGAAGCGTTCGGGGCTGCTAGTGGCCCATATTTATGGTTATTTCTTGATTGTATGCTAAACAAGAGGCAAATTATTCATGCTTCCCCTTTTAAACAATACAGCATAACTTCCTCACATTGCCATGACATTTGTAAACTTTCATGGTGCTGGTGGGAGTGTAGCAGTGAGGAACACCAGAGGCCACTCGTCACCATTTTGTTTTTGGTGAGATTTAGCTGGCTTTTTTTATTGCAACCTATTCCATCAGCAAGACCTTTATGACCTGTATCTTGTGCCAACCTCTTATCTCATCCTGTGACTAAGAATGCCTTAACCTCCTAGTAGTGCAGCCCAATAGGTTTCAGCTTTATTTTACCCAACCCTTTTTCAAGATTGAGTTGCTCTGTTTCAAACTCCTCTGACAACACCAATAGTCAGTGTGAGGACCATAGGCTCTTGGCCCCCTAAAGGTCTGCTGAAAGATCACTGACATGAGACATATTCATTAATAGGAAAAAAGGCATACAGACTTACTTAATTAATGTGTATACCTGGGAGCCTTCAGAATGAAGACTCAACTTTTCAGTAAGTAATAAAAGCTTATACACCATCTTGAAATTACAGACATAATGCAGATCCAGAGTATCTCCAAAAACAGGTTTTAATGGCAAGAGAGGTTATGGGAGGGAGAAAGGAGGAAGATTGACTCTCAAAGTGGCCTTGTTGTGCAGACCAAGCCTCTATAGAGTAAATGTTTCTTTTCAGACTTTTAAAAATGTCACACACTCAATCTCTCCTAGACCTGGAAACGGCATGGAAAGGAGAGGCCTGATTGCATTAATGGAGATTCTCTACAGATGCAAATTTTCTTCACAAAAGACAGGCTAATAAGACCACTTCTGTTTGCTGGCCAGAAGGCAGCCATTTCAAATATGTCAACATATATATTTTGGGGTAAAATATTTGAATTTCCTTCAACAGCGATCTATCTATCTATCTATCTATCTATCTACTATCTATCTATCTATGTAGATAGGTAGATCACATAAAATTGATTGACCAAGTAGACAAAAAGATATATAGAAGGACTCAGAAACATTATCAACCAACCAGATCTAATGAGCAAATGTATAGAACGTACAGCAGATTACACATTATTTTAAAATACCAAAGAACATTTACTGTAACTGTATGAGGGGTACTTTCTGCCTGCTGCACAAGTAAAGACCACAGTATTGCAGTAAATAAAGAAAGAGTTTAATTGACATGAGTCCAGCCACTCCATGCAGGAGACAGAATTATTGCTCAAATCAATCTCTCCAAAAGCTCATAGGTTAGGAGTTTTTCAAAGGTAGGTTGGGGGGAAGGGGTGAGGTTGATCAGGTAATGTGTGAGAGATTAAATCCTGGGTGGAACCACAGGAGTGGGGTTGGTGGGGCCAGATGGAGCCAGGTGTTAGACATGCAGAAACCTGAAAAGATATCTCAAAAGACCAATCTTAGGTTTGACAATAGTGATGTTATTTGCAGGAATGGCTAGCAGTTGTGTATGTCTACACTTTACTAGAATGCAGGCTCCTCTACTCTTCCCTAGTCAGGTGATCTCTCATTAGCTTTAAAAGGTGGCTGAGTTTTGGCAAAGGGCTATTACCATTTAAACTATAACCTAAATAGCTTCCAAAATTAGCTCTGGCCTAAGCCCAGATGTAATTCAGGCATGTTGAAAGTTAAAGGCAGGAGGTGGGTTTGGGGGGGTTAGCTCAGATCTTTTTAGCTGTCAAACTTTTCTCACTGATACAGTTTTTGCAAAGCTGGCTTTATTATGATGATATAACATATTTTTGACCAAAAATGAGTAAATATCAATATTTTAAAAGAATGGAAATCCATACAGTGTGTGTTCTCTGACTATAGTGGAATCAAAGTAGAAACCAATAACAGGGAGATACAAGGAAAATCTTCAAACACTTCACTAGAGTGTGAGCACCTAACAGAAATTTTTAAATCAGTTTGTTCTCTGTTATGTTTATAGCATGTAAAACAGTGCTTAGTATATAGTAGCCACACAACAATTATTTGAAATATTCAATATTGCAAAAAACAATCATAAAAATCCTCTCATTTCTCCTGGTTCTGAATTCTGCATTTAAGTTTCATTGACTTTTTATAATTTAATTATCCCTTTCCAAAAGTTCATTTATTCACTTATGTTTTTGCACTCAACATGACTATAAAACCTTTAATTTTTAACTCAAGTTAACTTCTTTATCTTTTCTCCTATGTTCTTGCCAAAGGATGACCAAAACTATTCATTCAAAGGCCATAGCAGAATGCTATCTGACAGAGAGATATTGTGGATATATTCACAAAGGCAGTATTTTCAAGCCAACTATGAAGAAGGGTAGCTTTCAAATAAATCAGTAAATTAAAGCTCAGTACATGAAATGACTCTCAGCTTGAGAAAATCTACAAAGAAAATGGAAAAGAAGCATAAAGCAAATGAGAGATGTAAAAAATATAATAAAACCTATGGAAATTGGCCAAAAAATGTGATGAGATGAGACTTAACTGACTAGTAGTTAGAGAAAGGTAAAGTCTGAGTGCCTGACATCGCGTTAGGGAGCCGACATAAAGTGGTCAAGTCCTTAACTTCAAATGATGAAAGGCTCAAGTATTGGAGACCCAAAGTTCTTCTAAAGTCTTGGATATGGGGATGATCTAAAGATGGAGAGACTGATGGAACCTGTGTTTAAGGTTTTAGACAAGAACATCTCTTGTCATAGACCAAAGACCCTTCTTCCCCAGTATCTAGCCCTAACAACAAATAAACATGATGTTTGCTTTTGGAATGGGTGAATCAAAGGTTCCGGGAATGTGCTCCAGGTGAAACTGTGATGAGGCATTGCACTGCAAATGAAGGGATTAAACATGGAGAGATAGCGATATGTGCCAGGTACCCTCCCTCAGCATCACTCCTCTCCCAGAATACAGAACCTAGGTCTGTAAGTCCTTGGCAAGTAAATGGAAGATTCTTTTCAGACAAAACAAACAAACAAACAAAAACAAAAAAAGGTAATCTCAAGAGAAAGCCTCAACAACAGATGTTGACATTTGGAAGCTCCTCAGCATCTGTAAGGTGTACCAATCAAAAATCTAGCCACATATATACAGTTTCCACTATCATTTTTATACCATGCATGGATGAGTGACGAAAGTCACTAGTAAACACACTGAAGAAGTCAATTTTAAAAAGGAAGACATGGAGTTAGGAAACAGATCCTACATAGAAATATGATACAAGTTTCCAGGAATGGGATGAATAGAGGACTCAGGGCAACAGCTGTGTAGCACACAACAAACTTAATTAGCTGACATGGGAACAGGAGGATGTATGAGTCCAGGAGAGAGATAGATTTTTAAAAAATTAAAAATCACACTATCTTATGATTGAAAACATTAAAATATGTGACTTTGTTAAGAGGAGTTTTACTGTTCTTTAAATTTGGGAATCAATTTCATGACAGACAAGTATATAGAAAACTAGGAAAATTTCAAAAGCCATTTAGGAGCTTCAGGAAATGCTAAGAATTGCACAAGATGGAAACATAATTATGCTCTGCTCATTGTATTCAGTGGGAATAATATTTCAAAGTAATTACATAAACATTGACTACTGACTCACTAGAAAATTATAATTATATTTACAGGTGAAACTGGAATATAAAAAGTGTATGTGTGTAGCATTGTTTATGAGAAATCAATAGTTTTTTTCCATAGTAGAGATAGCATTTTTTAAAATGGAAGACAATAAATCACAAGTATATTATTTAGAAATATGGAATGAGTCATAAGAAGAAATGGCACAAGATTTGCGTCCGGGCAGGTGAAAGCTAAGTGGAGATAAGGGCAAAAAGGGATTTTTTTTGTGGTTAATACAATTCATGTAGAATATTAGACTTTTAACACAGGGGTCCCAACTGGTACCAGTCAGCAGGAGGTGACTGCTGCTGGTCACACAGCAGGAGGTGAGCGGCAGGTGATCATGCTTTACGGTCTGAGCTCTGCCTCCCATCAGATCATCAGCAGCATCACATTCTCATAGAAGCACATACCCTATTATGAATTGCACACGCCAGGGATCTAGGTTGTGCACTCCTTATGAGAATCTAATACCTGATGATCTGTCACTGTCTCTCATCACCCCCAGATGGGACCACCTAGTTGCAGGAAAACAAGCTGAGGGCTCTCACTGATTCTACATTATGGTGAGTTGTATAATTATCTCATTATATATTACAGTATAATAATAATAATAGAAATAAAGTGCACCATAAATGTAATGAGCTTGAATCATTCCTAGTCCAATCCCCACCACTTGGTCTGTGGAAAAATCGTTTTCCATGAAACCAGTCCCTCATGCCAAAAAGGTTAGGGACTGCTATTTTAACATACATACCTTACTTTGATACAGATAAAAATTAAGCATTAAACTGAATTATATGAAAGAAAGGTCAATCTGATATTATTGGTAAAAAATATTGGAGGGTGACGTTTGAATCAAGGAAAACACTTAGGAGATGCAATGAGGTGCTGAAATAAGCTTGCAGTGAAGAAGCAAACTGGACGAATTCCTAAATCCCAGTTGTTTTATATTCTTCTGTAAATCAAGTGCAAAGTAGAGTGTCTGGCATTCTGGAAGTCTTCATTAAATTTAATTTCCTCCATTAAAAATGTGCTTTATTATTTAGGACAGTTTTAGATTGACAGAAAAAATTGCAAAAATAATATAGAGATATACCACACACCGAGGCTCCCCTATTAACATCTTACATAGTATGGTAAGTTGGTTACAGTGAATGAATACATTTTGATAGGTAAATTGTAACACAAGTCCATAGTGTATTTAGATTTTCTTAGTTTTCATCGATAGTCCAGGATCGCATCCAGGACACCTCTGTATGTAGTCCTCAGATCTCCTCAGGCACCTCTTGTCTGTGACACTGTATAAGAATTCATTTGTTATTGCTTTCAGCAATAATGATATTTGGTCAATGAAGGGCCACATATATTACAGCGTATCATAAGATTATAATAGAGCTGAAAAATTTCTAGTTACATCTTAATGATCCTGACCCTGTGTAGGCCTAGGCTAATATGTGTGTATATGTCTTAGTTTTTAACAAAAACATTTTAAAAATAAAATAATAATAATAAATAAAAAGGCTTATAGAGTAAGAATATAAAGAAAATATTTTCACACAGCTATACAATGTGTTTGTGTTTTAAGCTAAGTGTTATTAAAAGTCAAAAAAATAAAAAGTTTTATAAACTTTTTACTTTATAAGTAAAAAATGTTACAATAGGCTAAAGTTAATTTATTACTGAAGAAAGAAAAGTATTTTAAAATAAATTTAGTATAACCTAAGCATCGAGTGTTTACAAATTCTACAGTATTATAAAGTAGTGTGCTATCATTCACAATCACTCACCACTTACTCACTGCCTCACCTAGAGCAACTTCCATTCTTGTAAAATGAAAAATATTTGGGAAAAAAATACAACAATAAGAAGTAACACAAATTTAAAAAGCAATAACGTATAATAACTATTTACTATATAGGCTATAATACAGCAATATGGTATAACAGCTTTTTAATAACTATTTATATAGAACTTACATTGTATTAGGTATTTTAAGTAAAGATGAGTTAAAGTATACCTGGAGATGTATGTAGATCACATGTAAATACTATGCCATCTTATATGAGGGACTTGAGCATCTGAAGATTTTGGTATTCCAAGGAGATCATGGAGTCAATCCCCCACAGATACTGAGGAATGGTTATGTATACTTCTACCTATATAGATATAAAATTTCTTACTCACAGTAAAGGTTTCATGAAAAGCAAAAATCAATGTTATTTCTTAGTTTTGTGGTAATTCACCCCTAAATTACCATTATGATAAAAGTTACAGTCAAAAATATTATTTAACAACAATCTAAAATTACAAGCCAATTTTACTAAGTAAGCTTTGCAGAAATGTAAACATAATGATTATTATTAATATCAATATTTACAAATGGTATGAATCTGTTTAAAAACTGTATTGAAGACACTGTTAAAGAAAACAGACACTAATGCAAATATTCAAATATGTATATATACACTTTTTTTATTTTTAATTTTTTGAGTCGGGGTCTCCCTCTGTTACCAAGCTTGGGTGCAGTGGCATGATCATAGCTCACCACAGCCTCAAACTATTTGGTTCAAGCTGTCCTGCCTCAGCCTCCCAAGTAGCTTGGCCTACAGGTGCATACCACCATGCTTAGCTAAGCTTTTTTATCTTTTGTAGAGACAGGGTCTCACAATGTTGCTTAGCCTGTTCTCAAAGGCTCAACCTCATGCAACCCTCCCACTCTGGCCTCCCAAAGCACTGGGATTAAAGGCATGAGTCACTGCACCCAGCCTCAAATACATTTTTACTAATAATTTAAAAATATTCTCAGAACAAATTTACTCAATTGTTCTTTCTATATTATGCCAAGAGGCACTGTTGGGACTATATGTTCAAATACAATTCATTAGATGATTTGAATTAGTGAATCTTTGTCTCACACAGCCTTTTAAATATATATTTGTCTAACTCAATTAGAAGTCCCATGCCAGAGTTTTCAGTTAGAGAAACAGTAGATTAGACAAAAGGAAATAATGATGTTTAATACAGGGCTCCTCAGAGACATTACCATCTAAATAAGTGTTAAGAAATAGGAGACAGGAAGAGGTGCAGTGGCTTGCACCTGTAAACCCAGTGCTTTGGGAGGCAAAGGTGAGATCACTTGAGGCCAGGAGTTGGAGACCAGCCTAGACAACATAAACTACATTTCTACAAAAAATTAAAAAATTAGTTGAGCATGGTGGCATATGCCTGTAGTCCTAGATACTGGAGAGGCTGATGCAGAAGGATCTCTTTAGCCCAAGAATTCAAGGTTACAATGAGTTATAATGAAGCCACTGCATTCCAGCCTCGGCAACAGAGTAAGACTGTGTCTCTTAAAAGAAAAGAAAAACAATAAAAGAATAGAACAGGGGATGAATATATGGGCAGTGGCTCCTAGTTCCTGCATTTCAATCCAGAGAATTCACCACTAACTGACCTTGGTAAAGTTACTTAACATCACTGTGGTTCTGTTTATATTACAGATGCATATTTGCAGAAACAAAAGTGGAATTGTGCAATTTTCAATTCTTTGCAAAGCTAACAAGGAATATTTAAATTTTAAATAGTCTGCATTATCTAATGACCTTAAGTCACATATGAAGGACCTGCTACAAACTACAATTTTCAGTGGGCTTTAGGGAATGTTAATCTCCTTTTTCACCACTACACCTGTAGCAAGAGAGAAAAACCCAAAACCCTGAGAGCTTGCCTGGGGAATGAATCAAAGGGAATGAAGCAAGAAACCTCAGAAGTGCTGTAAATGTGATCTGTAAAAGAATTTATAGGAAAGGGCCTTTTTTTGTAATTTATTCTCTTTAATTAGATTTTTGTAAAATTATCTAGGGAGGTAAGTTCTGTGCCTAAGTCTTCTAAGATGGAATGCTATTACTTCCTTGGGACCAAGGACCCCATTGTTCATTTAAAGTAGCATCAAAAATACTTAGGAATAAATTTAACAAAATTATAAAATACCTATTCTGAAAACTAAAAATCATGAGTAAAAGAAATTAAACAGAGCCTAAATAAATGAAAAGACATACCATTTTCATGTATTAGAAAACTCAATATTATTGTTTATATTATCATAATAATCCCAAAATTGATCTACATTATAAATCCCTATAAAAAAATCCCAGCTAATTTCCTTGCAGGAATAGACAAGCTGATCCTAAAATTCATAAGGAGATGAAAGAGATTTCAAATAGCTAAAACAATCTTGAAAAAAACAAAAGAGTTTGAGGGTTCATATTTCCTGATTTCAAAGCTTACTATGAATAGACAGTAATCTAAGGTGGTACTGGCATAACGATAGACATAATAGATCAGTGGAATAGAATTGAGAGTTCAGAAATAAACAAATTCATAGTCGACTTATTTTTAGTAAGAGTACCCAAACCAATGAAGAAAGAACTGTCTTTTCAACAAATGGTTCTGGGACAACTGAATATTTACACATATAATAATGAATTTTGAACCCTACCTCACACCACATACAAAAGTTAATTCAAACTGCATGAAAAATCTAAATTTAAGAACTAAAACTATTAAAACTCAGAAGGAAACATACATGTAAATAATTTTGACATTGGTTCAGGCAATGGTTTTGTAAATTTGCCATCAAGGTGCAAATTACACAAAACACAGAAAAAACAGATAAATGGCACATCATAAAAATTTAAAACTTTTGTGCTTCAAATAACACTATCAATACAGTGAAAAGACAATACACAAAATGGGAGAACATTTTTGTAAATCACAAATCTAGTGTGGTATTTATATCCAGAAAGTGTAAAAAGTTCTCGCAACTCAATTAAACGGGCAATCAAAAAATGGGCAAATAATTTGACTAGATGTTTCACTAAAGAAGGTATATAAATGGTAAGCAAATGAACAAAGTGCCATCAGGGAAATTTACATCAAAACCATTATATACAACTTTATATCAATTAGGGTGGCTATAATCACAAAGATAGATAATAAGGTTTATTGAGAATATGGAGAAATTGAAATTCTCATACATTGTTGATGAGAATATAAAGTGACATGGCCACATTGAAAAACAGTCTGACAATTCCCATTTTCAATACTTGGTATATATGCAAGAGAAATTTTTACAAATGTGCCATAAAATGCTTGCACATGAATGTTACAGCAGCTTTATTCACAGTAGCCAAATAAATTAATTGTGGTGAATGCACAACTGTGACTATGCTAAAAGTCATTGAATTGCACGCTTTAAATGGGTTAATTTCATGGCATATGAATTATATCTCAAAAAATATATTCTTAGAAAGATAAAAACTGTGTATATTCACATATCTATAAATATTTTTATGCATAAACATCAGTATCAATATTAAGCTAAACATGAGTTTATACTGATGTCCCCAACTAGTTTCCACAACCTCGTGAAATTTTTAGCCTCCTCATCTTGCTTATCTGTTAGTTCTTCTCTAACACAGAGAAACCTGGATTCCCTTCATCCACCACCCGTTTACTTGTTAAATTTCAATATACATGTATAATAGTATTAGGATTGTTAACCTGTATGTACTGTGAAAGGGCCATTTATGCAAAGTAGCCCCCACATGCTGAAGAAGCCAAGGAACCAAAGAATGAGACAGACAAATCGACTTTGTTCTAAGGGGTGTTTTATTGGCAGAACTTGCAGACAGAAATGTGGTCTTGGTTGGCTGCAAGGCAAGTAGATCTCTGCACTGTTACTCCTCAGATCCAGGGCTTGTATACCATAAGGAAGGGTGTATATGCTCCAGCAAGACATTTAAATGCAACCATCCAGAAAAGGCAAGAATGACATGTTCTTACAACAGAGATGGTAAATCAGGATGGTAAAGCAGAAATCAAAATACATTCATGGGACTGGGATAGTTAGGAATCGACATGGAATTCCGAGATGGAATCACTCTTGTCTTCACACCATACCCTGATGTGAAACAACTTTATCAACCAGAATACAGTTCCATGTGCAGTTCCTTTAGCCTTTCATCTTTAGCCTTTGTCTTACAGATGCTTGTGCCTTACTTCATTTCCACAGTGACTTAGGTCACATCATCCCCCTGCCCCATCGCTGAGGTTGTAACATACATTCGTAATGTAGTTCAAGTGTCACAGACTGCATTCCTTCTTTAGTCCTGAATAATTTTTAGACATTTGCATACATTAAGGTTACTCTTGGTGCTCTAAAGTTCTATGGGCTTTGACAATGTATAATGGTATGCAATTTCTATTGTAATATCATATAGAATAGTTTCCTTAACATGGAGATTCTGTGTCAATGTGGGTTTGTCAGTTGTAACAAATGTTCCCCTCTGATAGGAGATATTGATAACATGGGAGGCTATGCATGCAGAATCTCCATGTCTTTTTGCAGCTTGATTGCTCATTTTTAAAATTATTCAATACTTCACTGTATAGATGTACCACAGTTTGTTTATTCATTCACTTATTGAAGGACATCTTATTTGGCTATTTATACTTATTGGTGATAATGGATACAGGTAGTATAAATATCTGCATGCAGATTTTTGTATAAACATAAACTTTCAAATTATTTGGGTAAAGACCTAGGAGTATCATTCCCAGATCATATGTTAAGACTAGGGTTAGCTTTGTAAGAAACTGCAAAAATCTCTTTTGCATTCACACCAATAAGAAATGAAAATTAACCATGAACAGTATTCTTGAAAGCATTTGGTATTGTCAGTGTTTTGGATTTTAGCCGTTTTAATAAGTGTATAATATTATCTCATTGTTATTTTAATTTGCAATTCCCCCTGACAAATGATGTTGAACATGTCTTCATAGGCTTGCTTGCTATTTGCATATCTTTTTTGATTAAGTGTTTGCTCAAATACTTCAGCCACTTTTTAATTGGGTTGTTTGTGTTCTTACTGAGTGTTATGAGTTATTTGTATATTTTGGATACAAGTCTTCTATCAGATATGTGATTTACAAATATTTTCCTCTAGTCCATAGCTTGTCTTTTTATTCTCTTAGCAGTATCTTTCACAAAGCAAAGTTATTAATTTTAATGTATTCTCATTTATCAACATTTTTATAAATCATACTTTTGGTGTTGTATCTAAAAACTCATCACTAAACCAAAAATCACATGGGTTTTCTCCTGTATTCTCTTCTAGTACTACTGTGTTTTTAATATTTAAGCCTATCTATGATACACTGTGTTAATTTTTGTGAAGAGCATAGTATACATGCCTTTTCTTCTTATGGATGTCCAATTCCTCCAGCACTGTTTGTTGGAAAAAAATATCTTTGCTTTTCTCTATTGAATTGTTTTTATTCTTTTGTCAAATATTAGTTGATTCTACTTTTTTGTTTCCTTTTTTTTTTGGCCACCTGTTCTGTACCAGTGGTCTAAATGCTTTTTCTGTCAAAAATGCCATGTTGTGTTGTGTACTAAAACTTTATAGTAAGTCCTAGGTCAAGCATCCTGAGTCCTCCAACTTTATTCTTCTTCAGTATTGTACTGGTTATTATAGGTCTTTTGGCTGTCCATCTAAACCTAAAAATTAGTTTGCTAGTATCCACAAATAGCTTGCTGGGATTTTTATTGGAATTGCATAGATTTTAAAAATCAAGTTGGAAAGGAATGACATCTTAAAAATATTGAGTCTTTCAATTCATGAATACGGTTATCTCTTCATATGTTTTGAACATATTTGTTTTTTCTCTAGATTTTTTAGTTTCATATATAAATCCTATTAGTATTATGTTAGATTTATACCAAAATATTTTTCTTTTATTTTTTATTTACATTTTATTTTTTATTTTATTTATTTATTCATTTTTTTGAGACTCTGTCTCACTCTATTGCCCAGGCTGGAGTGCAGTGGCACAGTCTCGGCTACTGCAACCTCCACCTCCCTGGTTCAAACGATTCTCCTGTCTCAGCTTCCCAAGTAGCTGGGATTACAGCGCACATCTCCATGCTCGGCTAATTTTTTCTATTTAGTAGAGATGGGGGTTTCACCATGTCGGCCAGGCTGGTCTCGAACTCCTGACCTCCAGTGATCCACCTGCCTCGGCCTCCCAAAGTGCTGGGATTACAGGCATGAGCCACTGCGCCAGGCCACAAAATATTTCCCTTTTAGTATGTGTTATTTTAAATGGCATTATGCTTTTAATTTTCAATTCCAATTTCTCATTGCTGATATGTAAGAAAGCAATTTAATTTTTATAATAATTCCATATTCTATGAACTTGCTATAATTACTTACCACTTCTAGAAGAATTTTTTTTCAATTCTTTGGGATTTTATACGTTGACAAAAAACAAAGATAGTCCTCTATTTTTGTTCATTTCATAAGCCTTTATTTCATAGTATTTCATCACTGCGCTAGCTAGAACATCAAGATATTGAATGGCAATGGTGAACAGGGATATCCTGGCCTTATTCCCAATCTTGCAGGGAAAATATTACATTTCTCCCCCTTTTTACTACATTGCACCATGAGTTTTCTGTTTTTTTTTTTTTTCATTCTAATTCTTCATTTTATCTCAGGCCTGTTGGGATAGAAAGAACAGCAGAGATCAGAGAAAACTTGGTTTCAATCACAACTTGGATCTTGGTCAAGTTAATTTCACTCTTTTACATTTTGATTTTCTCATCTGTTAATTAGAAAAACAATTTCCTACACCAGTGGGTTGCTGTGATAATTACTTAGAATAATGTTTGAATGAATATTTATTCATTTAACATTTTAATACCTAACTTTGTTTCATGACCTGTGCTAAGTGCTTGTGAGATAACTTTGTGTAAGACATAGGTCCAGCTCTCAGAAAACTTGGAGGAAAAAAGTCGAGGGCATAGTTCTCTTCAATAAACAATTCTAAGTGCTATGAGAGCTATAAGTACACATAGTAGATTTTTATTTATTTTTTATTATTATACGTTAAGTTCTAGGGTACATGTGCACAACGTGCAGGTTTGTTACATATGTATACATGTGCCATGCTGGTGTGCTGCACTGATTAACTCATCATTTACATTAGGTATATCTCCTAATGCTATCCCTCCCCCCTCCCCCTACCCCATGACAGTCCCCAGTGTGTGATGTTCCCCTTCCTGTGTCCAAGTGTTCTCATTGTTCAATTCCCACCTATGAGTGAGAACATGCGGTGTTTGGTTCTTTGTCCTTGCCATAGTTTGCTCAGAATGATGGTTTCCAGCTTTATCCATTTCCCTACAAAGGACATGAACTCATCCTTTTTTATGGCTGCATAGTATTCCATGGTATATGTGTGCCACATTTTCTTAATCCAGTCTATCATTGATGGACATTTGGGTTAGTTCCAAGTCTTTGCTATTGTGAATAGTGCCACAATAAATATACGTGTGCATGTGTCTTTATAGCAGCATGATTTATAATCCTTTGGGTAGATACTCAGTAATAGGATGGCTGAGTCAAATGGTATTTCTAGTTCTAGATCCTTGAGGAATCGCCACACTGTCTTCCACAATGTTTGAACAGTTTACAGTCCCACCAACAGTGTAAAAGTGGTCCTATTTCTCCACATCCTCTCCAGCACCTGTTGTTTCCTGACTTTTGAATGATCGCCATTCTAACTGGTGTGAGATGGTATATCATTGTGGTTTTGATTTTCATCTCTCTGATGGCCAGTGATGATGAGCATTTATTCATGTGTCTGTTGGCTGCATAAATGTCATCTTTTGAGAAATGTCTGTTCATATGTACACATAGTAGATTTTTAATAATTAGAGGCCATCATCCTCATTATTCCTTTTCCAACTTCAGCTACTCTTCCTCAGTTGTCAAAAAGAACTATTAACATTCTCTATTTTCTTTCCATTATTGTTCTACAAACAATAATGTATTGGTTTCTGTAACACAAAATTAATACAAACAATTTTCCAATGATAATCTCTTTAGTTTCTGCATGATTTCCACTTCTTCCTAACTTTTTTCCATACAAATCTCAAAATTTCAATACCTGAGATATGTGATGCCAACTTTTTTTTGGTGTCATGTATATTTTTCTTCCAATATAGTTCATACAATCTTTCTCTATATGCAACTTATAATATAATATTCCAAAAAGCAGGGATGATAGTTATATTTTTCTACAAAGCATACTAAGTATTTAATACAAGGCTTTTTTTGTAACATTGATGTTGATTATTTAAGTGTGCAGCAAGTCTTTATACAGTCCGATATTAATCTTGGGCTCAATCCTTTGCATTTTTGTAACGAAAAAGAAGATTAAATAAAGGCATTATATATATATGAAACTGTATAGGAGCATCAGCCTGGATTTTGTGTTTTACAAAATAAAATCACTGACAATACTTTGGTCTCCCAAAGGACGGTGCTTTGTTACCTGGCAACAGTCTTTACGACACTCATGATGTGTTAACTAAATATACTTTCAGATCAGCTTCCAGATATTGTCTGATTTATGAGCTGAGTATTTGAAATGGTTCATTTCTTCTTTTTATTACGTCTATTTTGGGAGGAGGAAAGAAGCAGAGGTGTAAGGGGATAAAGTGGCAGAGCTACCGCAAACACAAACAACTGGGAATATATTAGCAGAGGCCACACCAAGAACAGTTATTTCCCTTTTCATGCTTCCTGCTGCCTGCAGTGACCAATGTGCAATCTTGGTTTTAAAACACTAAGTAACTTGTTTTGCCTTGTCTCTCCTAACTTTCTTAAAAGTAAGCTAATGAAGAAGCAGCATCTGGAGACACTGGCTATAATTTGCATGTTGTGTGTGTGCCCAGGTGTTTAATAAAACATTAAGATAAGTGCTGTTTTTGAGATTCTTTTGGTGGTTTCTGCTGACTCTTTAGTCTCTCCAAAATCTTTTCTGCATCAGCAGTTTTGTATTTGATTTGGAACATGTTCTAAATATTCTCCACCAGAGATTAGAGAGTGGGCTTGTAGAGCATGAGTAAAGAAGTTCAAAGAAACGGTTTTTGAGGACCCTGCGATGCTTGTTGTTTCTGTCAAAGGAAAGCAGCACTTCAGTATGCATTTAGCTATTGAGCAGCAATTACTGACCGAGTTTTCCTCATGGCCAATTATTGCTAGGCAAAACGCTCTACAAAATTTAGGGGATGGCATTTGCTGCTTAAAATGCATTTGCTCTGACTGAAATTTGTATTTTAAGACAACTGATATGGGTTGTCTGGATGACTGCACCACTGATTTTGATACTGTTTTAAGGAATCACATATTTACTTTTTACAGAAAAGGAAAAAAGAAATAGTTCCTGTCATACAAGAATTTTAGTTTAGTTGGGTTGTCAGTTTTATAAAAGCAGTTTACCTATCTATTTTGTAGGAAAAATAGTCACGATTTAATTCACCTATTCCTGAATCTTAGTCTTCCAGTATTTGAGTTATTCTATGATGTAAATATATTAAAATGACTATTACATAAGAATCCCTATATAGGATATCAGATTGTGTGTGTGTGCGTGCATGTGTGTGTGTAAATACTAAATTTCTACTCTATGCCAGGGTCTTTTACAAATGTTAATTCTCAAGACAAAGCTTTTAATTGCTATGTATTATTTATAAGCATTTTCCAAATTTGAAAACAGAGGCTTATAAGTAATTTGCTGAATGGATGAAGTTGTATGAAGCTGTAGCTATTAGCATCATTGGCACATTGTCTAACTTCAATTCCAGTATTGTTTGCAATATTCAACTTCTCTTTAATGAACCATTTAATGAGAAATAACAAATATTAATTAATTATTCGACAGATTGCATTTCTCCTTTTCAATAAAAAGACATTTCTAATACATAGTTTATTTTAAATTATTAATAGATTTTGTGTACTTATAATGCACATGTTTAACCTTCCTTTTTGCTTTTGTATATGCAGCCCTGTTTATATGTGTAGGTTTTGCGATATAAATTCTAAAATATATCTTCCCGTATTTGTGGTTGCATTCCTGGGGTAATGCAACAAACAGTATGCTGAAAAATAAAAACAGACTTTGTGGTAGTATTTAATACAAATAGTTCATCTTATATTTCAAGTTGCTTTGCATAAATTGTTATACACATAGAAACTTATTTGTACAATTATAATTTTAATGTTGGTTTGAAAGTATGATTGGATGACAGATTATAAGAGTAACATAAGTATTTTTGAAATAGATGAAATTACTCAGCACATTGTCAAAATAAAGAAAATTTATTTTATCGAATGCTACTCATTTGCATTCAATAGTAATAATAATAATTTCTAAGTAAATATGCACCATCTTCATCAAAAAGTCTTATTTTCAAAATTCAAAATAAATCAATAATAGTATACCTCAAATTCTGGTATGGCAATCTTGTTCTTTAAGTATTATTTTGTTCTATTTATAGAAACCAAACTTTTGGCTAAACAAGGAAGTTTTTAACCTTGCCAAAATGAAGAGTCTTATGCTATCTTAAAATATTTAGCAAGAGCCACCAGAAGCACACATTTTTCCAATTTTCACTAGTTCTTTTAAAATAATATTATCTGTTCCACACAGTTTCCGCAGAACAAGAGAATGAGGGAAGCAATTCATCTGTAAGAAAGAGGGCAGTATTTACATTTGGAAATGGATAATGTGGGCAAAAGGTATTTGTAGAGATATAGGGACCAGATAACAAATATCTACCCCAGATGCAGGGGAAAAGGGTCAGTGTCTCAAATGATTCTGCATAGGGGAATGTTCAAAAAGATTGATGTAATGGAGCAAGCTATAAGTTAAAGCGTTCAGCCCTATAGCATGCCTCCGCAGTAAGCACTATGTAAAGATGACTGCCCAAAATCAGAGCAGTATCGATTTTTCAAATTGAAAATTACAGGATTTGTCTAAATGTAGCTCTTTGTTCTCATGCCATCATCTTTGTGATTTTGAAGTTTTATAGGCCAGTGATTGAATTACTTCTATTGTGGAGAGAAAAAGAAACTGATTGTTAAAGTTGATAATTCAATTATCATTATTACTTAGATGTGTAATTTATTCATTTTATGAACAAGCAATTAGTTTATTTTGGACTTGGTTTATTCACTTTCAATCTAAAACACACACATGTAGCATTTCTGTGCTGGCCACGGCAGCCTCCCAGCTTAGCTCCCGAATTCCAGGCAGGGATGGAGACAGGGCCATGGTTTACCAGGATCATATTTACCATTGCCTCTGAGTTACTTTTATATAACCTAAAACTTATCATTTCTTAGAAAATAAGAATACGTAATGTGGAAATAAGAAGAGGTATAAAAGTTAAGATTCCAAAATATGTCCAAAATAATCATTGAGAAGAACTTATTTTTAAGAGTTTAGGAGTTTATAACGCTTCAGTCCCTGTTATTTTAACAAGTAACCCTTTGATTTAAAAGTCAAAGACTATTTATTACAAGATGTGGAGGCACTATCCCAGCACAGAAGAGTTCTCTTTTGTTTTAAAGAGCAAAAGCAAAACCCAGAAGAAAACCAAAAAAACAACAAAAAATGGTGTGTAAGTATAGTATTAGGAAACACTAACCATTCTTAAAAATCCTGTCTTTCAGGAAAGAACGGTGACCATCAGAAGACAAACAGTAGGAGGATTTGGATTAAGCATAAAGGTAGCCTGCCTTTCTAGTCTATCCTTACAAAGGCCATGCCATAAGAGCTGAACTTTGGTGCATTTCAATGTTTGCTGATTAATAATTAGACAAGGATGGCTATAGCAAACTCCTTAATATTTGGACGGGGATGTAAATTAGGTAGGTTCTCACAGAATTCCTGCAAACTCTTACCATTTGATTTAGAAAGTTTAGCAAAGAATATGGGAATTTACCTTATGATTGAATTTAACTCATTAACTTTCTTTGTCTGGTTTTTCTGAAATGTTAAATATGATGTCGTGTGCATATCTTTCTTTAACCAACTGGAGTAGGAAATGATGATCTGCAGTAAATAGAACAATAACAAGTTTCACACTAATAAAGCCCAATAGTAAGTGAGATATTGTATTCTGTTCATCTTGTTTATTTTTCATTTTTAAAAAAGAAATCAGTAAATTTAATTGTATAGTGCTAATCATATAGGATAGACTTAAAGTCTTTGCATATGCTTTATTTTAAAAGTGAACATATGTGTTCATTTAAATTTATTATCAAATTTTAAAGGCCTTTATTTTGTATATTATTGACTATTAGAGATGTACCATATCTGCAATTTATTATCATTGAAATAAAGGATAAATTTTTAAAGCATAGGAAATTATGTAAATATTGAAGAGTTAATCTCATGACTGCAATGCCTTTGTCAAACCTACATCTCTTCATAGATAAATGAAGTTTAACTTTATAATTATTGGGTTAGTTATTTGACTTATATAGGGTGAAAATAATTTATATATTTCAAGTACACATTGCTTGAAATTTCAACACAACTCATGTCATATATTTATGGAAAGCAGAACTCTAAATTTTGTGAACATCAGCTCTAGTTGACTTTGTGAAAATGACTCAGAGTAGAAATCAGTATGCAATAGCGTTGTATTGTCAGTGATAAGAAAAGAATATTGCTATAAAGAGCACTAGCTTCAAAACATATTTTGTACATTCAGTTTATCAAAGTGAAACTTTATCTTATCACCAACTAAGACCAGGGAGGCATGCAGAACAGATTATAGGATGTGCAATGTATTCTATGAGAATTTAATCACTCAATAAATGAGATTTTTTTTTGTTTTGCTTTTTTTTTTTTTTTTTTGGCCAGGCTGTTTATTGAGATTGCTGTAAAGAATTTAAAAGTACCACTAAAGATACTAGAAAATCCATGAATAAAATCCAATAGTGAGAGCTGATTTCATCTGAAATCATCATTTTTACTGAACCAGGCACTAACTCTATTTCTGGTAGTAGAGCTTCCATTAATTTTGTGTCACCTAGAAATGTTCTTTTCCTTTTTTTGTTGTTTTTCGTATTTTAAATTTAAACCCAATAATGCAATGCTATCTATTTTTACTAAAATGCCACATTTTAACCTAGTTTTTAAAGCATCAATAATTTTTCTAAATAAAGCTTTTCATTTTAATATTTTCATTATTTCAATCCAATCAAAACTATTGTATATATAATAAATAGAATATTTTTTGAATTAAATAAGTATGAATTTTCCATTCAATTATTGACCAAAAAGTGGTATTTGAGCTATGATCAATATCTTATATTAGAGTTAACAAAAAAGAACTTTTTGCAAAATTCTTATGACACACTCTGACAAGAAATACAAACATCAAGACTTTTATTTAGAATATTACTCATTCATCCTAAAGAAATTCCTTTTATGGTTTTTTATTTTTACTTTCTCATACTTACCTCTGAACTTCATTTTTCTATTTTTTAAACTATCTTTTATTGTGATTATTTAGATCAAAATATGATTCTTTCTTTTAACTAGCAGTGTTATTACAAAAATCTCTTTCCCTGTCATATATGAGTTGAATAAACTACTGTGTTTATTTGTTAGCACTATTTTCCTTAGATCTGAGAATTTAAAAAAATGTATAAACTTTTTTAAAAATATCATTCTAGGCTAGAAGCAGAATTAGTATTTTAATGTTGAACTATTTATTTACAGTTTTCAGGAGCAATTTGAGCCACTAATAAAAGTATGCATATAAATACATAAACGCATATCTTACCACTATTTGCTTCAGTTAAGTAATCCTCAGCGGCACACACCGGAAAGACTCGTGGTGAGAATTATTAATTAAAACCTTTATGGTCTTGACTTAAGATGACAGAAGGAAGATGGTATGTTAGACAACTGAAAAGCCATTTACCAATGTAGTTAAGACTCCTACAGGTGCTTGTGAATTCCGCTGGACTCAGAACACATGGTATTTTAGTTTTATGTTAAAAACACATTCTTTAAAAAAGAAAAAAACTTGGTTAAAGGGTAATGAATGTCCTTTTTAGACAGAATTCAGTCAAATGCTCTAACATGTGCTGCTAGAAGTCAAAGCCAGCTGGCCATGCCCTACACTCTTGACAGATCTTGGCTTGGGGACTTTCCTGTCACAGTCACCACTGTGCAGCATGGTAATTCCTCACATCTCCCCACAAACTGGACAAGGACAGTGTGGTGGGGCTTCTTATGTAGGTCTGAGTCCATTGTTTTGTTGATTAATATGTCTCAGCGGCTGTGGGCTGTGGGCAACATGAAGTCTCTGTAGCTACCAGTGTCCACAAATCCTTGATGTCTGCTGCTCATGTGCAATATTGCTGTCTCTCTCAAGCCCTGTCTCCAGCCAGGGTACCTTGTAGGGTACAAGTTGGTGGGAAAATAAAAGTTAGCCTTTACCTTCATTTTTCTTCTTTACCTTATATAAGACATTGTACAAACTTCTGGGACAAAACGTGCAGGTGGCTTGGAGGTTGAGGCAGTTCAGTGTCCCTACGGCTTAATTCTAGGACTTTAACTCTTCCCTTGATGTACTAATGCTAGATATGATGCAGACCACATTGAGGAGGGTTCCTATGTCAAAAATTCCTGAAATCCCAAAGAATAAGAGAAAAATATATATTTAGTAGAAATGAAAGGAATATTGAAACAGCTTTACATTTTAAAAATATGACTTAAGTAAGTCCGAATCCTTTTTCTTTTCAAATTTTGTCTAGTTTTCTTTCCATTATTCCTTAATTTTTCTCTTTAAATTTTTTGAAGCACATTCTTTGGAGTTTCTTACCAAATCTGAGCCTGTCCTTGGAAAGTCATACTTACCATTTCTTCAAATCATCTCCAAAAATGCTAGACACTCAGTTTGAAACAAAGCCACCCAAAAAGAGTTCTGACATCAATTACATTGAGATTTAGGGTAGGAATTACTGATTTATCTTCATGGACTTATTTGTCCTTTAGATTCCTAAACTCCTATTGTTTTATAACAGGAATGTTTTACCATTAAAAGGTAAAGACCAAAATTGCCTGTTTCTCCATGTTAATTCTAAATAATAAGAAAAAAAAAGCAAAAGTAAAGCCCGAAATGACGTATGAGCACAATGTCCAGCTTTAGCGCATGCTGCACATGGAAAAGCAGATGCCTTGACCAGGGAGGTGCCACACACAGGCTGACACTCTCGCATCCCCATCTCCCAGTTTTGATGAACTATTTGCACTCAGCTCCTAAAGTGAAAAGAAATCCTTTTTAACCTCTGGGGAGAATGTCCCTTCCTGGTTGTGCTACTTTCTCTGCTTTCTTGTCTCATTCTACAGTTATTCTTTCATTGCTGTTTAGCAACTGTAGAAGGATCAAATGAGTAACTGAGCCATAATATAATGAGATGAAATTTGGAGTCATGACACACATTTGCACCGGTCCCTCCACTGTCTTTAAGTGAAGCAAATCCCTACTTTAGAGCCTGGAAGGAGACAGCCATGCCTCCTTCCTCTCTTATTAGAACCCTTCTAGGGCTTTATGCACCTGGCTCACTCCTGCTCCCAGCCCTCCAGGCATCCTTGCTTATCCAAGATATTCTTTCTCTCAGGTTGCCTTTCAGAGGCATCCTCACTCCTGCTGTAACTTTTGGGATTTTTTGACAGTGATTTAGATTTCTTCCTGCCTGTTATTATTTAATTTTCCTTTGTTAAAACATCTCTCAGAAATCACATACTTGTGTGCCTTTTTTTCTTTGTATTAATTTGTCTATCAGTAAAAAAAAAAAAAAAAAAAAAAAAAAATCAAGCTCTTCAGTTTACTTTTCACAAAAATTTCAACAAAAAGCCCTATCTGGGCTTCCCCCAAAGCTGGACAAAAGAACCACTAAACTTTCAACTCATAATCACATAGTCTGCTGCCTGTTCTCAGGCAGAAACTGCTCCTTTGAAGCGGGCAGATTCAGCAGGCTAGTGGCATCCTGCACATGGCCTCGGGCCTGGCTGCTTTTCCCTGCTTGCAGCACCATTTCTACTGGCATTTCCTGGTTCTTCTCCCAGCCCCACCAACTCTTGTCTCCTTCCCCTCTCAAGTGCCCATCCTCTGGGCTGGACCATGCAGAGACTTGGCATTTATATAAATAACTTTAATAGTTTCCTCAACTACATCTGCAGAAATCACCAAATTTCTGCATCGTAGGATCCAATATTATTGTATTTTGCCTTATTCTTCCTATCGGGATTACCATAGGGATAGTCATGTTAAAGCAAGCCATCGTCTTGCCCTTGTGAGGCTTTATTTATCTCTCATATCTTTTAAAATTCAATACTATCTAGCTGCACATTATTAAATTATACTTCTGTTCATTGTCATTTAAAAATTTACCTTTGAGGGAAAGGATGTTTTAAATGTTATTACTATAAATATATTTTATGCAGTATTTTCCAACAGACACAATTTTCTTATGAAAATAATAAATTATCTATGTCCATTAAATAAATGTATGCAATCAAAGGTGATTTCTATTTGGAAGATTTAACACTACAGCAGTAAAAAATAGAATTATAATCATTATTACTCTTAATCATCTTCTCATTTCTAAATAATTGCTAATATTTATGCCCCACTTATTAAGTGCCAGTTTCTGAGCTAAATACTTCATATTTAGTTCAATTTGCCTTTATTATCCAGTGGAGTAGATAACTATTGTTATACCTTCCACAGACAATGAGATTAAGTGTCAAGAGGTTAAGTAATTCATCAATTGTTATAAGCAGTAGAGTTGGACCTCAGTCCCCCTAGAAGCCGATGACAAAGTCCTTACTCTTAATAACTATGCTTAGAACTATAAAACCTGAAATAAATTACCTCAAAACTCTCTACTCAGGGACATAGATCATGTTTCCTCTCTATGCTGTTTACTTTCTGGTTTATTTAAAACTGAAATAAGACCAGGCACGGTGGCTCATGCCTGTAATCCCAGGACTTTAGGAGGCCAAGGCAGGCGGATCATTTGAGGTCAGGAGCTTGAGACCAGCTTGACCAACATGGTGAAACTCTGTCTCTACTAAAAATAAAAAAAAAAATTATCTGGGCATGGTGGCACATGCCTGTAGTCTCAGCTACTTGGGAGGCTGAGACAGGAGAATCACTTGAACCGGGGAGGCAGAGGTCGCAGTGAGCTGAGATCACGCCTCTGCATTCCAGCCTGGGTGACACAGTGAGTCTCTGTTTCAAAAAAAATTACAATAAAATAAAATAAAACAAAACTGAAATAAATGTGTAGCTCAAGTAAGCAATTTTGTAAGATAAAGGGTTGAGTACTAGTCGTTTCAAATTTTCCAAATAAAATATATATATTAGTTGTAATAAATGTATGCCTTTTAACTTATTAGTGGTATCTGGGCAAAAATATTTAAATAACAACCATTGCTATAAGTGCATGGACGTGCTTGCATACATTTTTCTGCATTCTG
Organism: Homo sapiens; assembly: GCF_000001405.40. Classification (NCBI taxonomy): domain Eukaryota; kingdom Metazoa; phylum Chordata; class Mammalia; order Primates; family Hominidae; genus Homo; species Homo sapiens. The sequence goes on from NC_000008.11 coordinate 50,444,379, forward strand.
CTTCCCCTGCCATTTTTACTCAAGTCTGATTCACTTGTTTTCACTCTAGACAAAATGAATATGTCCATTTCCATCATAAAAGTAGATAACAGGGACAGGCACAGGGCTCACACTTGTAATCCCAACATTTTGGGAAGCCAAGGCGGGTGGATCACAAGGTCAAGAGATTAAGACCATCCTGGCCAACATGGTGAAACTCCAACTCTACTAAAAATACAAAAATTATCCAGGCGTGGTGGCACACACCTGTAGTCCCAGCTATTCTGGAGGCTGAGGCAGGAAAATCGCTTGAACCTGGGAGGCAGAGGTTGCAGTGAGCCAAGATTGTGCCACTGCACTCCAGCCTGGGCGACAGAGCAAGACTCCATCTCAGAAAAAAAAAAAAAAAAGAAAGAGATAACAAGCATACAGTAAAGCTTAAATTGAGGGTTATGGATTAGTCCCAAAAATGAGTTGAAACCACTGGTCAATTATCATTTCAAAGACCATTACATTTTTTTTCATTACATAGCTTTATTGAGGTATAATTCCAATACCATACAATTTACCCATTTAAAGTGTACAATTAAATTGTTTTTAGTATATCCGCAGATCTTTGCAAGTATCACGGCAGTCAATTTTAGAACATTCTATCACTTCCAGAAGAAATCTCATATTTATTCATCACCCTTTTATCCCCTATCTCCCCTCTTTCAAACCTGAGCAATGACCATTTCCCTATTTTAGACTTTCATATGAAGGTAATCATATAGCATGTGAGAAAGACAATTATTTTTTGCCAAAATCAAACGAAGTATGTTGGCAGGTAACGATAGCATCCAGAAGGATGATGGCACATGCCCGTATTCCTCCAGGTGATATTCCTTTACTTGCCTCTTCTGTAGTTGTCCATTGCAGCTCTTAACTCTAATTACTGTTATTCTGTTTACAAGTAGTTTCCTTTCTCTAAAAGGAAAAATAGTGGTTAGCTCTATGCATCTTCCCTGCACCCCCATGCCCATAATATGATTGATTGATTAATTGATTGGAGTAATAATAATATTGAACTGAAAAGATTACTTGGCAAGACTCCTGATGCTCTAAAAGCATTCCAGGTTTTATTTGGTGGTATTTCACAGTAATGCTAGTAAAACCGTTGTGTAGAGTCATTCTCAAAATGCTTTAGATGGAATTATACATCCTTCTTCCTACAGAGCTAGCTATAAAATCCACTATGCTTTGTAAAAAGATTATCACAAAGCTGAACGATGTATGTGCGAACATTACCTGGGCTGTGCTTTAGAACACTGCCTTCCTTTTCCTAATCTTGTATTTCTCCATAAACTACAATAACAATGCTCAGTTAATTCAAGCATTCTCTAAACCACAGTCATGAGCCACAGTCCCGCCCAGGAGTGCCTTGGGGAGAAGATGGTGATGAAAGCCTTGCCTGGACCTCAGGCCATTTATACTTCAGTAGGAAAGTAGACTTTGATCAAATTGTTACCAGAATAAATGTAAATCACAGGCATGATCCAGTGCTACATAAGTGTATTATTTCAAGTAAGGAGACACTAAAGGAGGGGGCTTTAAGCCAAAATTTCAAAAATGAACAGTTTCCAGGTTAGGAGGGAAGGAGGAGCATAACTGGCCAGACAACAGTGCATGCTGACATCCTTCAGGTTCAGGGCGATGGAGGTCCAGGAGCTACACTGGAAGAGAGGCAGTTTAAAGGTTCTCATTATTATTCAACTGTCATGGAAGCCTATCACCTGTTTTAAACAAGCCACATGATTTGATTATTGACTGGAAAACCTTACATTTCCCCATTTAGGCCCTGCACTAAATCTAATTAACTGTAGCAGCTGAGCTGCTCACATTTTCTCCAGTAATGAAGGCAGCGTGATTTTGAGTTCCAATTTTATCTTCTGAGTTTTGTCTTAAAATTCAGTAATTACTGAAGTCATTTTCAGAAATTAGTTTAAAAAGTACATCAGAGCTCCAAATGTCTAATTTAAAAGCAAAAAAAAAAAACAGGCCAGGTGCAGTGGCTCGTGCCTGTAATCCCAGCATTTTGGGAGGTCAAGGTGGGCGGATCACCTGAGGTCAGGGAGGGGTTCAAGACCAGCCTGGCCAACGTGTTGAAATCCCATCTCTACAAAAATACCAAAATTAGCTGGGCATGATGGTGAGTGGCTGTAATCCCAGCTACTTAGGAGGCTGAGACAGGAGAATCACCTGAACTGGGAAGTGGAGGTTGCAATGAGTCAAGATCATGCCATTGCACTCCAGCCTGTGAACAGAGCGAGACTCCCTCTCAAAAAAATAAAATAAAAACAGAAAACCAAAAACCATGTTTGGATTCAAACCATTCAAATTTCAGGATAAATTTTACATATAAGAGAAAAACTGTGGTAAAATAAGTGTTACATTTTGCATTTCAAAGATGGTTACAATAGTCTCCACTTAACCTTGGGAGATGCATTCCAAGACCCCAGTAGTTGCCCGAAACTGCAGACAGTATTGAATCTTACACTGCATATAACATATTTGCTTACATATGCAAATTCATGATAAAGTTTAATTTATAAATTAGCATAGTAAAATATTAACAATAACTAATAATAAAATGGAATTATAATAATACACTGTAATAAAAGTTATGTGAATGTGCTTCCTTTCTCTCACAAAATGTTGTATTGTACTGTACCCTGGATAACTGAAACCACAGAAAGTGAAACACAAATAAGCAGGGGATTGCTGTACAAGTCTGGGTGTTGAGGAAAGAATGGGATTATTGAGTCAACCCTCAGAAAAACTCTATCTCAAAAGCCTTTTCTCTGGACACCAAGAATAGGTTTCCCAATGTCTTGCCATGGTAATTTGCATTAATAGTCTATGCATTTAAAAAAAATGGGTTCAGTAGCAGAATAAGAGAAAAGGGTGAAATGCAAAAACAGCTGAAGGAAAATACTCTGATAACAGCCTCACTGAGGAGACCAGCAAAATCATTGTTGTTCCCTGTCCCAAAATATCTGAATCACAATATCTGGATGATTGTTTCATGGTTTAATTCTACCTAAAAGTTCATCAGTTAATGATTCATTTGAGTTAACCAGCTTTTTCCTTCTAAGAAACATAGATGCATCCTTAACATCCTTTCTAATTTCCAAGTGTCTCTAGAGGCTATCAGTGACCTTACGCTGGGCCTGGAAAAGCCGTAGACTTCATTCATTCATTCATTCATTCAACTCAACAAACATGTCAAAGATAGACCAGACATTATTCCAGGCACTGGGTTTACATCGATGCACAAAACAAACTACCAAAAAATGTCTGCACCCTGAAGAAATGTGCATTTTAGTTAGGAATGGGAAGAAGAAAGAAAACAATAAGTGTGAGAAATGAAAAAATAACATGTTAGACACTGATAACTGTAATGGGACAAAATAGAACAGATAAAAGGGGATTGGGAATTTGGAGTTCTAACTCATAAATATTAAGGGTCTTAGAAGGGATTAGTCCTAATCTTATTTACCACTTTAATGCTATGTGAGTTTCCTCATAAATCTTAATACATGGGCTGTGTTAGCATAATAGCCTTCCTTTATTCAGTGTTTACTGTGTGCTAAATAAGCACTTGATTTCCACCACACTGTCAGCCACAAATCACTATCTCTGTTCAGGTCAGAGGCAGGGTCATCTTAGACACAGTCTGTGTTTGTTAGGGACACACAGACCAAAAAGCAGAACAAGTGGGAGCCATTGTAACCTACGCCAGTAACTTCCCCCACAGAGCTGAGGGGTGCGGTGCATGAATATTAGGTTGCTGTGAAATAGTGAGGAAAAGGGAACTGAGCAGTGGGTTTGAAATTCAGTGAGTAGGACAGTTTTCATTACCTTAATTATCATATTTCTTCTTAATATTCTGGAATTAGAAAGGACTCTACTTGCCAAAAAAAAAAATTCAATATTCCTGCTTTTCTAAAAAACTATTGACTATTTTATATTTAAGTATACTGGCAATTCAGTGTTAAAAATGGGCATGCAAGGGAAAAAAGAATATCTCTTCCAAAATAATTTTTTATACTTGAAACAAAAGCTTAGGTGGTTTACATATTCTGAAGATAGAACAACCTCAATGGAATTCAGATTGTCTTTTCAACTAGGCTGTGTTACAAGTTCTATGCTTCTTTTTATATATGACATTTTATTCTTTTATGTACTGATTTCATTTCTCTACTACTGCTTTTAACCTTCTCAACTCTGTAATACAGAAATGGGATTCTTTTTCCGTTTTTAAGGATTTATTTTATTTTCTTTCACATAAGTTTAGCTTACTTGTCTTTCTTTTTTCATATCTCATTTAGTCAACTAATAAATAGTACTACTGCAGGCCGGGTGCGGTGACTCACCCCTGTAATCCCAGCACTTTGGGATGCCGAGGCAGTTGGATCACGAGGTCAGGAGATGGAAACTATCCTGGCTAACATGGTGAAACCCCGTCTCTACTAAAAATACAAAAATTAGCTGGGCATGGCGCACCTGTAGTCCCAGCTACTCGGGAGGCTGAGGCAGGAGGATGGCGTGAACCCGGCAGGTGGAGGTTGCAGTGAGCCAAGATCGCGCCATGGCACTCCAGCCTGGGCAACAGAGCGAGTCTCCTCCGTCTCAAAAAATAAAATAAATAAATACATAAATAAATAAATAATAAAAATAGTACTACTTCAATATTCTTGGCAGTATGTTTTACTCTGCAAATTGTTTAGTATGTGCTTTCACACAAGGAGGAATTCAATACTAAGGAAGGAAATGCAGATGAATCCCTCATTTTTCATGCATATGTGCATTCTGATTTTGTTTATCCATTTGTTCTGGTAAAGGTCTCTCTACTTCCTTGGTATCCCAACGGGTCACTGCACCACCAAAAGCCCTTAGCTGCCAGCACAGAATAACTTAGCAGGATAACAGTAATATATAATTATCTGGTGTTTGGAATCCTAAATAAGAATTTCTATTGGATAGCATTGCTACACATTGAGGAGAATGCCTATCTAAATACATAATCAATATTTGTTGATAAATGAAAACTTTCAAAGCCAATTGTTATTATTGGATGTCTCAGCAAAATTCTAAACAGGTAGATAATTTTCATGGGAGCACTATCTACTTAGAGGAGAAATTCCACAAGTTTATTTAAATTCTGCCTAATATCCACTTAACATTCCCTTCAGAGCCTGTATGGTTTCTTAGCTAAAAGCAGCATTTTTTTTAGATTAAAAAGTACAATATATGATTTTCTCTTTTCAGGGAGGAGCAGAACATAACATTCCAGTTGTCGTTTCAAAAATCTCCAAGGAACAAAGAGGTAATATGTTTAGAGAATTGTGTACCAGCCATTTCTTTAAGGCATTGTTTTTGAAGTGTGAGATGATATTCAAGAATCCTAAATTACAATGTGATTGACTGGCTCCAGCTTCCCCACCTTCAGGCATTAGTGGCTGAGTCTGCTTCCTGGGTCCTTGCCCTTTATCCTCCTGTGGGAGAGGACTTCTCTCACAGAAGGGGAACAAGGCTGAAAGATAGGAACCCTTGAAAGCAGGTATGAGTTAGGGACTACACAGCTTTTCAGTTGTTTCATTAAACCAACAAAGATACAAAACTAATGATAACAAGTCCCATCAAGTAAAGACAATTTCAAGTGTCTGTTTTTCAGTTCTCATTTGCAATTTTACTCAGCTAACCATTCATAAGAAACTGTAGGAAAAATAATGGAGATATAAAGCAGATGTTGCAAGAACTGAAATTAGTAAAACAATGTAATGTTTAAAAATGAACTTGGAGCCAATTCCATAGCTGACGGATTGAATGTCTATGTCTTAAACATTTTCACAGAGACCTAATAATCTTAAGTGCGTGAGAAAATGTGGTCTTTTACCCTTAGAAGAGTGGCTCATTTTTAGCAACTGTTAGGTCTGCAATAGTAAAAGTAAATGGAAATATGTCTGCATGTGCTTCAGTAATTAGACTGAGTCATATTGTTTCGAATTTCCATTTTTTGTGGATCTTTTAAGATGCTAACCATATAAGACACTTAATTTTTATATTTGTAAATTTTACCTTTATTTAATTAAAAGTCCTTTCATCTGCATAACAAAAACAGTCAATGCATTATCAATTGTGCTTTTTCATTCACAGCGGAACTTTCAGGACTACTTTTTATTGGAGATGCAATTCTACAGGTATACATTTTATCACTATATGTGTGGTCAAAACATTAACTCAATTTACAATATGCCATGGGAAACTATGCTTTTCTTTTCATTGCAGATAAATGGCATTAATGTGAGAAAATGTAGACATGAAGAAGTGGTGAGTTTACTTTTTCCTAATGTCATAGTTTTCCCCATGTGCAAATAAGAATTTAGTGCATTGCTAAAGACTGTCACTTCATTCATTAGGCAGATATGACATTTATCCAGTTTGATATCAAATTTTCAAATGTTCTCTTAATTTTTTTTTAAATTAGAAATAGATTAACGAGTCCTATCAAGGATGAAATGTGTTCTGAAGAATTCTTACTTAAAGATGGTCATTTTCTATGTTTTTCCAGTTTTTCTATCTACCCCTACCAGTCAATGTCCATTAAATACACCACTGGGCGAAATACATCTCTAAATCTCTGTAAATGTTTAAAAGCTTATAAACCATACATTTATGCCTGTAGAATCTCACACAGTACAGTCATCCCTCCCTATTCATGGGATTTCACATCGGCAGATTCAACCAACCATCTGTAGAAAATATGTGGGGAAGAACAATAAGAAATAACAATCAATAATAAAAATAATACAAAAAATAATGACTATTACATAGTATTTGCATTATATTAGATATTGCAAGTATCTAAAGATTATTTTAGGCATACAGGAGGATGTGCATAGTTTATATGCAAATACTACAACTTGTTATATAAGGGACTTGAGCATCCACGGGTGTTGGTATCCTCTGGGGTCCTTCCTGGAACCAGTCCCCCACAGACAGATTACCTAGGAACAAATGGAAGGGCATATAAAGACTGCGTGTGTGTGTAGTCTGTGTGTGTGAGTTTGTGTGTTTCTGTGTGTGGGGTGGTGGGGAGAAAGAGAGAGACAGAGAGAGAGAACCTTAACCTCAAGGCAGACAGGTTTAGCAATAGACAGAGTAGTCATCCAGTTTTTCGGCAGTATTTTCTTAGATTTGTGAATGTACAGATTCCCAAGCCCTGGAATTAGATATTCTAATTCAGCCAGTTTGGGAGGGCCCAGGGATGTGGATTTTAGCAACCGGCCTAAGTGTTTCCATCATAAGTGGCCTCTAAATTAAACTTTTAGAGAAGCTGAAAGGTTAAGGAACTTCTGTTGGGGGTGGTGAAATGACATTAAAAAAATACAGAAAGGAACAGGACTGTGGTAGGCATTCTAGGACATGTCTGTCGTGGTTGAATAAATATCATTCAAAAACCTCACTGATTTCTGTATCAGCTCCTATGGGAAAGAGTAGAGGATAAATCGTATTTAAAAGTTTATACTCAAAGGTGAAAGAAAATAAGAAATACTGTAGTCCTTTTGCTTGTCACAGCTCTAGTTTATTTGGTTTTTGAATAGATTGCTCCTCTGTTAAAAGCTATTTAGAGAAAACTATGTTGATACATTTCACATCTAAGAGAGGCAACCTCAAGTGTCTGTGAAAAGCCACGGCTGCACAAGAACCGAGACGAAGGAGGGTTTTTAATTAGGAACACTTGGCATAACTAATCAAGGTTTTTTAGTATTTGTCACTTGTCTTTGTCTTCTTAAAATCTTATTGGAGTCATGCTCTTGCCACTCTGTGCTCAAGTTCATGTAAAATATACATATTTCAATTCCCAAGTTTCCTACAAATATGTGCAAAAAAACTAATATTTTAGAACAAGTTTGTAAACAAGTGAGAAACCAGCACAGCACAGAGCCTTCTATCTTGCAGATTCCTATGTAAATTTTAAATATAGTCACATAAGCAAAGCTGCTTGTAACTTGACTCTTTTTTCAAAAGTACAAAGTGATTTTAAACTCATTACCCAGGGAGTAAAACCAAGTGCATTCTCTTTTAAAACCACATGCTGTTAGACGGAATGCAATTTGCCCTTCAGAGGCAGGCAGCATGCTTAGACAAACTGAGATGGAGCTTTGATTAAACAGATTAGTGCAGCATGAAAGATTAGAACGCACCAATAATTCCACTTCTGAATGGTTCTCATTCTGTTATAAAGGAAAGAAATTTGGGATTGTATTGCAAATTATATGTGGTCCTTCACAATAAGCTTTTATTTTTTTCTGAGAAGCTTAACTCTACCAGCTTTGAAATATGAGTACTAATATTTTTATTTATTTCTAATATTTCACTTTCCAACAGCTATTAGATGCTTTGTCCTCACTGCTTATTAGCTAAGCCAGTAGACTTACACCTCAGTAGAACAGAGATATTAATTAAATGTTTAATAATCAACCTACAAGGGCAGAAAAAGGTATAACAAGCTGAGAGAATGTAGGTGGTTTTGAGCTAGCATGCTGATGTACCACATTTCTTATTCCAAATAGCATGCTGATATGCCACATTCCTTGTAAAACACCAAATTCAGAAACAAATTGGGCAGGTATGGAAGCATGTTGTTTGTGCATGTAACTTTTATTTTATATACCTACTCTATTCCTTGATGTTAGAAATTCTGCATTCAGTCTATGATCAGCTTTACTGTCAAACAGTCTTCAAAAGTGTAAATGTTACTTTTGTGTTGGAGTTATCAGGTTTGATTTATATAGAAGGGGGATTTTACATTGTTCAGGTAGTGGACAGTACCTGGTGCTGTGAGCAGTAGGTGCTCAGTAGATTTGTGGATGGGATTCTGTAACCAAATGCCTAGAATTAGATCATGGAAGCATTTACATCTACTGTATATATTTCTCATGGGACCAGTACGGGAGTGTAAGTGAAGTCCTGGCTTCACCACATCACCCACTGTATTCTTGCTGGAAGATTGTTAAGGAAGAGAAGCTCACAGTTTCCTCATGAAAGGAAACTAGAACCAGTGCCCAGCACCGCTTGGCATGCAGCATGGTGCACACATAGGGCTTCAATGCTCAGAAACAACTCTGCAAATCATAGCTCAACCACTTACAAACATTGTAATTTAAGGTGAACGGAATGAACTAAACTTTTCTATCACTCTATTATGTATTCATAAAAATGAACCATTAATAAATGTTATGGGAATGAATGAGAGTACCATATGTGAAACTCCAAGCATATACCTGGCAATTAATTGGTAATACATTATTTTGATGGCACCAAATGCCACCGCTCACATGCTGCTGCTCTTCTCCCTATTCCCCCTCCGTGGGCACTGCTGTGTCAAGGTGGGACAGGGTCTGCTTAGGAGCCATGATGGGCCCTGGGGGGTCACACACAGACAGAGCCAATGCTGCTGCTCAGCATCCCATGCTTCCTCCAACAATTCCAGTGAGGAGTTGACATGGTCAAGAGTGGCACAGCAAGAGTGGCAAGACTGTGTGAAAAATGGGGATTCCTTGTTCATTCTAGCAGTGTGTGTTTTTATTTTCCATGTGAACACGTTTTGGAGCTTATGAGTTGTACCTCCAAGAGACCAAAGCCCATCAAGGAAAATGATCTATTGCCACTACTGATGTTAATTAACACTGATGCTATTCTCCTTACCACTGAACCCTAGACATATTAAGCTGATGGCCATCTCTATATCTTGTCATCTGTATTTTTCTTTTGCTTAACAAGTAAACTGATCACATATCAAGAATTATCTGGGCCAGGTGCGGTGGCTCATGCCTGTAATCCCAGCACTTTGGGAGGCCGAGGTGGGCAGATCACGAGGTCAGGAGTTCAAGACCAGCCTGACCAACATGGTGAAATCCCATCTCTACTAAAAATACAAAAACATTAGCTGGGTGTGGTGGCATGCACCTGTAACCCCAGCTAATCAAGAGGCTGAGGCAGGAGAATTGCTTGAACCCGGGAGGCGGAGATTGCAGTGAGCTGAGATCACACCACTGCACTCCAGCCTGGGTGACAGAGCAAGACTCAGTCTGAAAATAAACAAACAAACAAAACAAAACAAAACAACAACAACAAAATTGTCTGAGTGGCTGGGTGGCAGGGCGTGGTGGCTCACGCCTGTAATCCCAGCACTTTGGGAGGCCCAGGAGGGCAGATCACTTGAGGCCAAGGGTTCCAGACCAGCCTGGCCAACATGGTGAAACCCTATCTCTACTAAAAATACAAAAATTAGTCAGGCGTGGTGGCGCACGCCTGTAATCCCAGCTACTCAGGAGGTTGACGCAGCAGAATTGTTTGAACCCAGGAGGCAAAGGTTGCAGTGAACTGAGATCGTGCCACTGCACTCCAGCCTGTCAGACAGAGCTAAAAAAAAAAAAAAAAAAAAAAGAATTATCTGAGTGCCATCTATGTGAAAAGCACTGAGACTGAGTACTTTCTGAGGCTGAGTACTTTGTGTGATAAGAAAGAATATATAAATAACTGTATATCGCTGTAACCTTATTGGTATGTAGACATCATTTCTTTAGATTTTAATAATTGAGTATACAAAAATTTTAAGAAAACTATTAGAAAGGGGCAATATGAAAACAATGTTTATTTACAATGGTCTTTAACATATAACAATGGTGATCTTCCTCTCTTCACTAGAAATAATAGTAAATAAGATTTAACTATAGCAGAAAAGTATTTGTTGAGTAAAAAGCATCCTGGTTCTAATAGGATAATCTATTCGTATAACTGAAATTTCCATCTAATGAGACTTTTGAAAGAGATCATCATTAGGCAAAGCAAGATGGATGCATAGCTGATTCCAGAGGTTTCCTTTTAAAGTAGCATTTCTGCTTTCAGACTTGAGATTTATGGGTTTCAAAAAAAATATGTTCATCTGCTTTTTGTTTCTATGATTCTCATGAATAGAATTTATTAGGTAATTTGAATTGCAAAAATTAACACCTAATTCTGAAGTCATGATTTTGAACTAAACTCTAAAAACATTCATAATTCTACATAATTCTAAAAGAACAGACTGAGTAACTAAAAGTATGTAATTTAAAATGACACCTTCATACAGTGAAAACAAATGCTGATAAAACCTAATGCAAAAATCCTGGCTAATAGCATTTTGCTTGTTATGATATATGCCTAAGTCAATTTAAAATTTCCACTGGAGTAGGAACATATTCTTTTTTACTTTAGATTAATCAGACAGAAACAATACAAGAGTTATAACAAATTATCTGGAAAAAGGCATAAATTTATATATTGGAACAGTCTAGGAGGTTTTATATGTCACCAAGGAACATATTTAGCATGTGAGTTGAGCACAAAGATCATTTTAGATTAAAATATCATGAGGCACAAATCATGTTTTACCTAACTGCTAACGATTACATTGTTTACAATCTGGAAATAGGTTTTGAGCTCTAAGTGATTAATACTGCCTTAAGAATTCTAACCATACTGGATAGTTTTTCTTTGAATTAACTTCCACCAAGGAAAGCTATATACAATGTAATTTAACTTTGAATATTTCTCAGTGCTCTGGGAAATGTTTAGCGCAAAGACAAAAGGCCAGAAATGCTGTCTACACTATGTCTGCTTTTGAAAAGAAATAAAATATCCTTGCCTTATTTTCATACTTAGCTTTGCATTAATACTTTTAGGGATGCCTTTTTTGCTAGACCCACATGTCCGTCCCCTGTATAAGCTATACATCCAGACAGCACAGGTGACATTTTAATGACTGCATGCTTGTACTCCTGACTGCTGATTCTTATCAAATCTTTATTTGTCCTCTTATTTTTTGAGTGAAGTTGAACAACTTAGAGAACTGAAAGACCCAATTTTGCAAAGCTCCATCTAGTCCATCCCCTCAGCTGTAACAAAATACTTGTAACTGGGTACCTTATAACTAATAGAGGCTTTTTTTTTTCCCTCACAGTCATGGAGACTGGGAAGTCCAAGATTAAGGCACCAACAGGCTTGGAGTGCACTGAGGGCTGCTCTCTGCTTTAAAGATAGTGTCTTTTTGCAGCCTCCTCTGGAAGGGATGAAAGCTGGGTGGGTGCTCACATGGCAGAAAAAATTTGAAGGGCCAAGTAGCTCTCTGAAGATCTTTTATGAGAGCATTAATTCTGTTCATGAGAGTGAAACACTCCTGATTTAATAACTTCCCAAAAGACACCACCACTTGCTACCACCACAATGGGGGTCAAGTTTCAATATAAAATTTAGAGGGACACAAACATTCAAACCTTAGCACCTTCTAATAATGAGACAAAACCAGGCCTGAAAAACCAATTACTTAGGAGGGCCCCAGCCGATTTCCTTGGAGAGGAGTCTAAAAACAGGATACATCTCAGAAGGCACACCTAAACCAGGTCAAATTGGGAGGAGAAAGCTGGCAGGGCAGGCATGGGTGAGCCTGCAATCCCTTCACACATTCTGCAAGGATCTTCTCAGACACTCTCCTGTCTGGGGGGTTGGAATGAGGAATGCGTGTTATACAAATTCCAAAATTTTCACATAGCTGACATTTTATTTTCACAATAACCAGCTGATCAAACTGAAAGCCAAGGAGAAGAAACCGTATGACAACGGAGATTTTAACTCAAGGTAAAAGTTTTGTCACACTTTCCACTGTTTGATGTTGATAAAGGGCCTCATTCTGTCTTGCCCTCGTTTTTCTCATCTGAAGGATTAAGAGGTCGCAGTAGATTATTGCTTAGGTCTTTTTCAGGTAAAATCTTCAGTTCTTTCATTGTCAAAGAACACAAACATTTGTTAAAGCCCACAGAGCTGCAGCACACAAAGAGGAACCTCTAATGGGGCTAACTATGGGCCTCAGTGGATGACAACGCATCCACACTGGCTCAGCGATGGTCACAAATGCACCATGCTGATGCAAGATCTTAATAAGAGGGGAACTCTTTGTATTCCTGACTCTTTCCGAATTCTCTATCAAAAGACAATTTTAAGGCCTTCCCAAGGAGCAAATGTACAATTTTAAGCAAATGAATACAGAGATGTGAGATTAGGCAAAATGTTTTTACTTCTCTCCCCTTTTGAAACACTTTTTATATGACAATGAATAACTCTTTAAAGGTAAAAATCATACAGATAAAAGAGGAGGAGAAGAGAAGACAGGGGGCAAGGGTTGTTGGTAACTTTATTTAAGAATAGAGAGCAGATAGACAAGACGGGGGGAATCCTGAAGGGCCAAGGGGCTGTAGCCAAAGCCGCCATCCAGCAAACATCCCCACTGCAGGCCTCAGACAGCAATCGCGAATGGGAGTGTTGAAAGGAAGGGTTGAAGAGGTGTAGCCAAGAACAGGCAATCGAATTAGAGTTCAAGAGGCTCTGAGTATTCAGCCCCAGGCACTGCCATAAGTACAGCGAAAGGTACATTCTGGGCAGTAAGTGGTCTGCGTTTGTCCTTCTTTCAGCTCTCAGAACACTGGCAGCCGGTTTCACCACTCAGAGAAGAGGTGAGAGGATTCTTTTTTAGTGAAATTGATCTAACAGAAATAATCCACAAATAGTACATTTGGACTCTCCTGTTGCAAACAGGGTTCACCCTAAACCACACAGTGGAGCCCAGTGGATAAACCATGAATCCTGTACCCAACGCTGTCAATTTGCTTTTCAGTGTCTCACTCTCAAATATTTTGTAATACCAAAGGATCATTAAGATTTGAAGAAAATCAACCACATCAAAGGCAGAAGCTAAAACAGGAAAAAAAAAACTGAGGAAACAGACAAAGCAAGGTTTATTGAACAAAAGGATTTTATATTGTAATATTTTCAGATAGATGGTGAAAATTAATTTGTAAATGAATTAATGCTACCATTATATATAAAAGGAACATGCAGAAAAAGAAGAGCTCTTGGATATTAACACTTTGATATCTATCTTCAAAAATTAGATTACAAAAATGTTGGGAAACATCTCAAAATGGAATAAAGTAGCAAACAAGAAGGTGATATGACAGACAAAGAATATGAGAGATACTACATTCAATAATTTTTACACTGAACCAATGGAATTCAGAAATAAAATATTACATGAAATAAAAGGAGCATCCATTATCAAAAGAATAATACAAGAAAAATATCCAGACTTCTTGTATATATTTTCCAATAGAAACACACTACCAATTAAAAAAAAATAAAAGCATTTTACATGTCTACACTTGCCATGAAGTAGCATCACATTTTGATATTACTTTGCATTTTCCTAATGACTAAAAGTATTGAACATTTTTTCTTGTGTTTGTTATATATGCCATATCACTTTTATTAATTGGGTTCACTTCTTACTGATTTCTAAGAGTTTGTTTACATAATCTGGCCACAAGTCAGATATACAATTCGCAAATATTTTTTCCTAGTCTGTGGCTTAGTCTCTTCAATTACTTAATGGTATTTTTTGAAGCTTAAAGGTTTTGACTGTTAATAAGTCTACTTTATCAATATTTTAATTTTGTCAGTTGTGCTTTTGGTGTCTTAGTTAATAAATCTTTTCCTAATCTAAGGCCATACAGACTTACTGCCATGTCTTATTCTAACGGTTTTATAGTTTTAACTCTTGTATTTATGTCTAGGTTCAATTTTGAGTTAACTTTCGTATACAGTAAGGTAAGGTGTCCCATTTATTGAGAAGACTATTCTTTCCTATTCTATTGCCTTGACACTTCTGTTGAAAATGAGTTGCCCTAAATGTTAGAGTTTATTTCCAAATTCTTAATGCTGTTCCATTAATTTATTCACATATACCAGTATTACATTCTTGATTCTTGTAACTTTGTACTATGTTTTGAAATTAAACGTTGGTAAGCCATCAAACTTTGTTCTGTTTATATCTGATTGTTAAGCAAACTATTTGTATTAGAATGGTTTTAGTTTTTATTTTTATTTTTTATTTGAGCATTTTATTTGAATCATCATAAGAGAGGAGGTAATTAAAATAAAATATTCGAATATATATTTATTTTGAATTTTCATGTATTTTTCTCCAAATGAAATATACCCTTTTTATGCAAAATGATATACATTTTTTCTTTTTCAACTTTTATTTTAGATTGTGGAGGTACATGTGCAGGTTTTTTACCTGGGTATACTGCATGTTGCTGAGGTTTTGGGTATGAAAGACCCGTCGCTCAGGTAGTGAGCATATTACTCAACAATAAGTTGTTCAGACCTTGTACCCCTCCTTCCCTCCTGCCTCAGTGTCTATTGCTGCCATCTTTGTGTCCATGAGTACCCGATGTTTAGCTCCCACTTACAAAAGAACATGTAGTATTTGGTTTTCTGTTCCTGTATTATTTCACTTAGGATAATAGCCTCCAACTCTATCCATGTTGCTACAACAGACACGATTTTTTTCTTTTTTACTGCCATATAACATTTCATGGTATACATGCACCACATTTTCTTTAATCTTCCCTTGGTGGGGACTTAGGTTGATTCTGTGACCTTGCTACTGTGAGTGGTGCTGCAATGAACAAGTGAATGCGTGTGTCTTTTCTGTAAAATGATTTGTTTTATTTTGGATATATACCCAGTCATGGGAATGCTGAGCCAAATGGTAGTTCTATTTTAAATTTTTTGGGAAACCTATAAACTGCTTTCCACAGTGGCTGAACTAGTTTACATTCCCACCAACAGTGTATAAGCATTCCCTTTTCTCTGCAGCCTTTATTAACAGACATTCTGAATGGTGCGAGATGGTATCTCCTGTGATTTTAATTTACATTTCTTTGATGATTAGTGATGATGGACATTTTTAAATATGTTTGTTTGCTGCTTCTATGTCTTCTTTTGAGAAGTGTCTGTTCATGTCTTTTGACCATTTTTTAACAGGGTCATTTGTTTTTTGCTTGTTCTATTGTTCCAGTTCTTTAAGGACTCTGGATATTAGTCCTTTGTTGGATGCATAGTTTGTGAATATTTTCTCCCATTCCGTAGGTTGTATGTATACTCTTTTGATGGTTTCTTTTGCTGTGCAGAAGCTGTTTAGTTTAATTAGGTCTCACTTGTCAATTTTTGTTTTCATTGCAATTGTTTTTGAGGACTTAGTTATAAATTCTTTCCCAAAGCCGATGTCCAAAATGGTATTTTCTAGGTTTTCTTCTAGGATACTTACAGTTCGATGTCATGCATTTAACTCTTTGATACATCTTGAGTTAATTTTTGTATATAGTGAAAGGTAGGGGTCCAGTTTCTTTCTTCCGCATATGACTAGCTAGCTATTCTAGCACCATTTATTGAATAGGGAGTCCTTTCTTGATTGTTTATTTTTGTCGACTTTGTCAAAGGTTAAATGGCTGTGGGCATATGGTTTTATATCTAGGTTCTGTATTCTGGTTTTAGATTGACAGAAAATTGCAAAGATACTACCAAGAATTCTAATATACCCCTCACACATATTTCCCTAATATTAATATCTTTTGATATTATGAAATTATTACTAATATATTACTAGTAAGAAAAGTTTGCACTTTATTCAGATTTCATTAGTTTTTACCTAATGGCTTTTTTTTTCCTCTTACAGGATCCCATCAGAATACACATTGCATTTAGTAGTCATGTCTCTTCAGGGTCCTTGCTTTTAATTTTTTGATGACTTTGAAAGTTTTAAGTAGTACTGGCCAGGTTGTTTTGTAGAATGTCCTTCAGCTGAGATTTTTCTGGTGTGTGTGTGTGTGTGTGTGTGTGTGTGTGTGTGTGTGTGTGTGTGTGACTGTACTGGGTTTATGTGGTTTTCCAGAGGAAGACCACGGAGTGAAATTGCCATTCTTATCACATCATATTAAGAGAAAACTACCAGCATGACTTATTACCATTGATAATAACCTTGATTACCTGTCTGAGATAGAGTTTTTCAGAATTCTTCATTGTAAATGTATTTTTTTCTGTCCAGACTATGTTTTCAAGAAGTATGTCACTATACCCAATGCCAATTATGCAGTTGAAAACTGTGCTTTACTGTGTGAGGGCAGGCTATCTACATAATTATTTAGAATTCTGTTAACATAGATTTATCTATTTTCTCAATTTATTATTTATCTGATCATTTTGATAAATCACTCTGGATGCATATATATTTATTTTATACTTTGGGATGTAATCCAATACTATCTTATATATTTTACTGGTCAACTGGTTCCAGTTTTGGGTATTGGGAACTCTTTCTGTGGACTTCAGTGTCACTTTTAAATACTCTAATATAGTAGGATTTGCTGTTGTTGTTGTTATTGTTTGTTTGTTTGTTTTGTTTTGTTTTCAGCACCTCAGCTTCTGGCACTAACATACTTTTCAGGCTGATCTTGCATATATTTCCTGCCAGTCTAAGAATCAGACATTTCCCCTAGAAGTTCTGCTTGCCTTTATTAGAGAATGGTACTAGAAATCAAAATCTGGATTCTAGATGTGCAAAGTAGTGGTGCTTTCTAGGCCTTCTCAGCTAGGAAGGAAACATGTGTATACATGCCTGTTCATATACACATAGAGGCATACCTTGGTGATACTGTGGGGTTGGTTCTAGACACTGCAGTAAAAGACCACATATTCGGTACAGTGTACTCTGCTCCAATGACAGGTGCACCAAAATCTCAGAAATCATCACTAAAGAACTTACCCATGTAACCAAAAGCCAGCTGTACCCCTAAAACTATTGAAGTCAAAATAAAAAATAAAAAGATAAAAAAGAGAATATCACACTAAAGTGAGTCTTGTAAATTTTGGTTTATGAAAATATCTATATGGAAGTACATATACAAGTTATATTTAAAATATACTATAGTCTATTATGCATGCAATAGGATTATTTCTTAAAAATGTACATAACTTAATTAAAAATATTTAATTGCTAAAGACACTAACAATTATCTTAGCTCTCAGTGAGTCATAATCTTTTTGCTGGGATAGAGTTTGCCTCAATGTTGATGACTACTGACTGATTAGAGTAGTGGTTACTGAAGGTTGGGGTGGCTGGGGCAATTTCTTAAAATAGAACAATGAAATTTGCCACATCTATTGGCTCTTCCTTTCATGAAAAATTTTCCGTAATGTGATGCTGTTTAATAGCATTTTGAACTTCTTTCAATATTGGAGTCAACTTTCTCAAATCCTGCTACTGCTTTATCAACTAAGTTTACATAATATTCTAAATTCTTTGTTGTCATTTCAAGAACGTTCACAGCATCTTCACCAGGAAGAGTTTCCTTTGCAATAAACCACTTTCTTTGCTCTTCCATACAAATCAGCTCCTCATGTATTCATGTGTTTTCATGACGTGGCAGCAACTCAGTCGCATCTTCAGGTTCTACTCTTTTTTTTTTTTTTTTTTTTTTTTTTTTTTTTTTTTTTTGAGACGAAGTCTCATTGTGTTGCCAGGCTGGAGTGCAATGACACGATCTTGGCTCACTGTAACTGCCGCCTCCCAGGTTCAAGTGATTCTCCTGCCTCAGCCTCCCAAGTAGCTCGGACTACAGGTGTGCACCACCACACCCAGCTAATTTTTGTATTTTTAGTAGAGATGGGGTTTCTCCATGTTGGCCAGGCTGGTCTTGAACTCCTGACCTTGTGATCCACCTGCCTTGGCTTCCCAAAGTGCTGGGATTATAGGCGTAAGCCACCACGTCCAGCCCAGATTCTACTTCTAATTCCAGTTCTCTTGCTATTTCCACTGTTTGTTGTTGTTTCCTACACTGAAAACTTGAAGCCCTCAAAGTCCTCCATGGGGGTTAGAATCAACTTTTTCCAAACTCCTGTTAATGTTGATATTTTGGCCTCACCCATAAAACAGAAATGTTTTTTTAATGGCATCTAGAGTGGTGAATCCTGTCCAGAAGGTTTTAAATCAACTTGGCCCAGATCCCTCGTAGGAATCACTATTTTTGGAGCTATCACCTTACGAAATGTATTTCCTAATAACAAAACTTGAAAGTTGAAATTACTCCTTGATCCATGGGCTTCAGAATGGATGCTGTGTTAGGAAGCATGAAAACAAAATTAATCTTATTTTACATCTCCATTAGGGCTCTTGGGCGAGCAGGTGAATTGTCAGTGAGCAGTAACCTTTTGAAAGGAATCTTATTTTCTAAGCAGTACGTCTCAACAGTGAGCTTAAAATATTTAGTAAACTATGCTGTAAACAGATGTCCTGTCATCTAGGCTTTGTTATTCTATTCCTAGAGTACAGGTAGAGTAGAATTAGTTTAATTCTTAAAGTCGCTAGCATTTTCAAAATGGTACACAGACATTGGCTTCAACTTAAAGCCACCAGCAGCATTGGCCCCTAATAATAGAGCCAGCCAGTTCTTTGAAGCATTGAAAACAGACATTGACTTCTCCTCTCTAGCTATGAAAGTCCTAGAAGGCATCCAGCAGAAGGCTATTTTGTCTACAGTGAAAAATTGCTCTTTGGTGTAGTCACCTTCATCATTTATCTTCACTAGATTTCTTAATAACTTCCTGCAACTTCTCTATCAGCACTTACTGCTTCACCTCGCATTTTTATGTCATGGAGATGGCTTCTTTCCTTAAACCTCATGAACCAACTTCTGCTAGCTTCCAACTTTTCTTCTTCAGTGTCCTCATTTCTCTCACATTTCATAGCATTGAAGAGGGTTAGGGCCTTGCTCTGGATTAGGCTTTGGATTAAGTGGATGTTGTGGCTGGTTAGATCTATTCAGACAACTAAAACTTTCTCCGTATCAGCAATAAGCTTGTCTCACTTTCTCACCATTTGCATCTTCACTTGAGTAGCACTTATAATTTCCTTCAATAACTTTTCTTTTAAATTTACAACCTGGCTAACTGCTTGTGCAAGAAGCCTACAATTTGCCCTATTTTGCCTTCCAATACCCCTTCCTCACTAAGTTTAATAAGTTCTAAGTTTTGATTTAAAGTGAGAGGTGTGGGAATTTTCCTTTCACTTGAACACTTACAGGCCATGACAGCATAATTACTTGGCCTAATTTCAATAATGTTGTGTCTCAGGGAGTAGGAAGGCCTGCAGAGAGGGAGAGAAATGGGGAAATGAACAGTCAGTAGAACAGTCAGAACACACACATTTATCAATTAAGTTTGCTGCCTTATACAGGTGTGATTTGTGGCACCCTATAAATAATTATAATAGCAACAACTAAGATCACCGATCATCAAGAGGCTGATGCAGGAGGATCACTTGGACTGGGAGGTGGAGATTAAAGTGGGCTGAGATCACACCACTGCACTCTAGCCTGGGTGACAGAGTGGAACTCTGTCTCAAAAAACAAACAAACAAACAAAAACCAAAAAACAAAAAACACTGATCACAGGTCACCATAACAGATACAATAATATCTGTTAACATAGTATCTGTTAAATAATATCTGAAAAAAGTATCCATTTTTCAAGCAGTTTGACTAACTGAAAAAGTCAAAATATTGTGAAAATTACCAAACTGCAACCCAAAGACACAAAATGAGTACATGCTGTTGGAAAAAAAAAAAAAATGCTCTGATAGACTTTCTCCACACAGGCTTGTTACAAACCTTCAATATATGAAATATGTAATATCTGCAGAGGTCAGTTAAGTCAAGCACAAGGAAACAAGGTGTGCTTGTATCTATTCATACACATTTCTATATGTAACTAATATTAGCTACTCCTGAGTTTATACTGCTGTCTCTAACTCAACCCTTTATCACATGAAACACCACAGCCTCCTCCCCTTGCTCATCTCATTCTAACAAATGGTTATATTATCTGTCATTCATTTATTTAATTGTTCAAATCTAGTATATATGTACAGCAGTATCAGAATAAGCCACTCCACAATGGGAAACAATTTTATCAGGTAGAGTAGAAGAATTATGCTCAGTCCCTTTCCCCTTTGTCTTACAGACCTTAAGTGAAGTTGCTTCAAACATTTGTAACACAATAAGATTCTCTTGTCACATTCTGCATTTTGTCATATCTCACAACCTCCTAAGTTGTTTTTATTCTAAGATTTTCACACACTGAAGTTAACTCTTTGATTGTAAATTCAATGGGTTTTGACACCTGCACAGTATCATGTATGTAGCCACTGTTACAATGTCATACAGAATAGTTTCACTGCCCTAAAAAATCCTCTAGGATCCATTTGTTCCTACTATCCTGGCCATGGCCTTCAGGAAGCCATGGATCATTTCACTGTTTCTGTAGTTTTTCCTTTAACAGAATGCCAAGTAATTAAAATTGTGAAAATCTAGCCTTTTTAGATTGGCTTTTTTCACTTAGCAAGGTGCATTTAAGATTTATGACTTTTTTCCTGGCTTGAAAGCTCTTTTTGTTACTGAAGAATATCCCATCATATGGATGCAGTATAATTTGTTTATCCATTCACCTGTTGAAGGGCATCACACTTGCTTCTACTATTTGTCAATTATTATATGAAGTGCTATAACATTTCCATGCAGGTTTATGTGTGGA
The DNA here is from genome assembly GCF_000001405.40 of Homo sapiens. Classification (NCBI taxonomy): domain Eukaryota; kingdom Metazoa; phylum Chordata; class Mammalia; order Primates; family Hominidae; genus Homo; species Homo sapiens. The sequence continues at coordinate 50,465,928 of NC_000008.11, forward strand.
CATATTTTTAGAAATCAATTGGCTCAGAAGGCAGTTTCTGAATTATATTGAGAGACTATCTTTAGCTTTGTAAGAAACTGCCAAACTGTTTTCCAAAGTGGCTATACCATTTTGTGTATATGCCTGTAGTAAATGAAAGTTCCTGTTGCCCTACATGCATGCCAACATTGTCATTCATTGACATAAAAACTAAGTGTCAAGCTCAAGGTTATTTTATACTCCACTTTCTTTTAGAATTTTATAGTATTGCATTTTAAATTTAGGTCTATTATTAATTTTGAGTTCATTTTTGTGAAAGGGGTAACACTTATATTTAATTTAATTTTTATTTTTTGCATATGACTTTCTAATAGTTTCAGCACATTTGTCAAAATCTTACCAATTTCCCATTGAATTGCCATTGCTTCTTTGTTGACCAGTTGTTTATATTTATGTGGAGCTATTTCTGGTCTTTTTGTTCTCTTCCATTGATCATGTGTATTCTTTTGCCAACACCATGCTGCCTTAATTATTGTAGCTTAATTGTAAGTCTTCAAATTGGGAAACATGAGCCCTTTAACTTTTTCTTTCCCAATATTCTGTTGCAATTTAAAGTCTTTTGCTGTTTCATATACATTTTAAAATCACTTTAAAATATCTACAAAATAGCTTTTTGGATTTTGATGGGAATTTCATTAAATTCATTGATCAGTTTGAGAAAATCAGCATCTAAGCAATGTTGAGTCCTCGAATCCATGAACATGGAACGTCTATTAATTTAGATTGCCTTTGCTCTATCAGCAGAGCTTTGTAGTTTTCCACATATAATTCTGTACATATATTGCTAAATTTTGACCCAGGTACATCAATTATTTGGTGTTATTGTAAACAGTATTGTTTTTCTAACTTCAAATTTAAATTGTTTATTGTTGGTAAGTAGAAAGCAATTAACACTTGCATATTAAATGTCTATCCTTCTACCTTGCTATACTTCTTCATTAGTTCTAAGAGGTGTCGTGTTTTGTTTTGGTTTTGCTTCTGGTAGATTTTTTGATATGGTGGGTTTGTCTGGATTGCAAACTTTGATTCATACATGCTTAACTGGAATAAATCTCATTTGGTGTGATGTATAACTCTTTTTATACATTATTCAGTTTGATTTGCTAATATTTTATTCACAATCATTGTAGCTATATTCATGAGAAATATTGCTCTTAATTTTTTTGTAACGCTTTTAAAAACTTTTGTGGGTGTTAGGTTAATTATGTTATCACAGAATGAGTTACAAACTGTTGCCTCTCCTTCTGTGTTCTAGACAAAATAGTGGAGGATTAGTATTATTTCTTCATTAAATATGTGATATAATTTACTAACGAAACTCTAGATTTCGTGCTTTCTTTTTGTAATGTTATTATTTATTCGTTAAATATCTTTAATAAACATAGGCCATTTTGTATTATCTATTTCTTCTTGCGGAAATTTACCCAGATCATGTAAGTTATCAAATCTGCGGGCATAGAGTTGTTCACAGTGTTCCTCTATTAGCCTTTTGGTATCCATGGGATCAATAAGTATGATCCCTCTTTCATTTCTGACACTGGTAATTTGTATCTTTCTCTCTTTATTTCTTGGTGAGTTTCCTAGCAATTTCTCATTTTCTTTATCTTTTCAAAAAACAAGCATTATGTTTCATTATTTTTTCCCTGTTGTTTTTTGTGTTTGCTTTCCATTTCATTGATTTCCTCTGTAGTTTTTGTTATTTGCTTTCTTTTTACTTTAGGCTTTGATTGCTGCTTTTTCTAATTCTGTATTGTGAGAGCTTAGATCATTGATTTTAACCTTCTTTACTAATACATGCATTCAATGGTTTAAATTTATCTCTAAGCACTGCTTTGCCTGCATGTCACAAATATTGATAAGATGTATTTTCACTTTTATTGAGTTCAAAATATTTTTAAATTCTCTTCAGACTTCTTAATGACTCACATGCTATATAGAAGAGTACTGATTAACCTCCAAATAGCTGGGGATTTTTGAGGTCTCTTTATTTTACTGATTTTTATTTTAAATTCTTCATTGTCTGGGAACGTATTTGTATAATAAATATTTTTTTTTCAAAAAATAGTTAAAATTTGTTTTCTGGCATAGAATATAGTCTGCTTTTATAAATTTTCCATATAAGCTTGAAAAAAGTATATGTTTTGCTACCTGTAAATGGTATATTCTATAAAAGTCTATTATAACAATAGTACTGTTCAGTCCAACTGTATTTTTAAAAAACTGCTACCTGCTTGAACTATCAGTTTTTGAAAAAATGCCATTATAGGCTAAAATTATAATAAACATATATTTCTCCTTTCAGTTCTATCAGTGTTTTTGCCACACATATAATAACATGCTGTTGTTAGATTGTCTAATATTGCTATGTCTTCTTTGAGATTCTACTGGTTTATCTTACTTAATTCCTCACTTAATCATTATTTCATTCCCCCCCTTAGCTTTAGTAATTCTCCTTGCTCTAAGTCCTCTTTGTCTGTAATTAATATATCTCCTCCAGCTACCTTCATTAATGTTAGCAAAGTATATTTTTCTCCATCTCTTTACCTTAAACCTATAGGAGTCTTCAATTAAAATGGGTTTCTTGTAGAAGTTAGAGTTGGGTCTTTTATATTCCCTAGATAATCTGTCTTTTGGTTGCAATATTTATACCATTCAAATATAAAGTTATTGATGTAACTGAATTAATATCCACCATGTTTGTAATGTTTCTCTATTTATTGCTTTGGTTCTTTGTTCCCCTCCCCCACTCTTTTTTAACTTCCTTGGTTTACCTTAAGCATTTGAGTAAGCCCACTACATCCTTCTCTTATTGTATCAATTATGCTTTTGAAAACAATTAGTGTTTGTTTTAGTTTCCATTATGCGTTTTTAAAAATCTGTATGCATTTTCAGATAGCACTGTGCTGCTTCTTCATGTGTAGTGCAGGTACCTTTTAACAGAATGTTCCCAATTCCTCCCTCCCATCTCTTATGACATTACTATAATTTATTTTACTTATCCATAATCTTTAATCACCCCACATATTGTTAGTACTATTATTTTATACAAAGAGTTAAGTTGACAAGAATGAGAAAAGCAAGATAGTTTATTTACTTGCGTTTATTCTTTCATTGGCATTCTCCTTTGCTTGTGTGTATCTGAGCTTCAGACTTGTGTCATTTTTCTAATCCCTGTAGGAATTCCTACATTTCTTGCAGTGGAGAGTTCCTGGCAAGGCATTTTCTACTATTGTTTGCCGGATTAAGTGTTTATTCCTCTACTTTAGAAGGACAGTTTTATGGGACACAGGCTTCTGTTGGTGTCGTTTTTGTTTTCAGCAATTGACATGATTCACTTTTTTCTCCTCTTGTTTTCTTGGGTTCTAAGGAGACCCAGTAGTCTCAGGACTGCACTCCCTATTCCCCTGCTGCGTGTCCACCCCCACCACGGTCAGGGTTCCATACTGCAGTCAGGTTCTGCCAGCATCCTGAAAACCTTCCAGAGGCTTCCCAGCATAGAAAAAATGAGTGCAAAGTCATTATCTGGGCTTCAGCAACTCCAGTATTCAAAATTCATCTAATTCCTTCACCCTCTAACCCAGCATGTGCCAGCCCCCACTCCCCCACTTTTGTTGGGGCTCACACTCACCTTAAGGCCTTTGTCCTTGTCTTCTTTTCCTGCATTTTTCTCCCCTGATCTCTTCATGGTTTAGATTCTTGTCATTCAGACCTTAGATTAAAAGCCTCCTTATTGCAGGCATGGTGGCTCACGCCTGTAATCCCAGCACTTTAGGAGGCCAAGATGGTCAGATCTCTTCAGGCCAGGAGTTTAAAATCAGCCTGGCCAACAGGGTGAAACCCCGTCTCTACTAAAAATACAAAAATTAGCCAGGCGTGGTGGCGTATGTCTATAATCCCAGCTACTCGGGAGGCTGAGGCAGGAAAATTGCTTGAACTGGGAGGCAGAGGTTGCAATGAGCCAAGATGGTGCCACTGCACTCCAGCCTGGGCAAGAGAGAGGCTGTCTCAATAAATAAATAAACAAACAGTTCTCCTTATCACAGAAACCTTCTCTGGTAAGTCACACAATAGAAGCCGTTTGCCATTTTGGGCTGCCCAGCGCCACACAAACATTCTTATATGAGGGAACATTCCAAGACAATTGGGAAATAGGTCCTTGTCTAGAACAACAAAAATGAATTGAAGGAATATAAATTCCCCCATTAAGTTCTCTACAAAATAGAATGTTAACAAAGCAACAAAGTTTAGCCGAACCTAATACTCCCAGTAATGAACTTTAATCCTAAGAAATAAGAGTGAAATGTCAATATGAGATTATGTTCTGTGCCAAAATGGCCAAGACATTGTGTCCAGAATTGGTTCCTTCCGGTGGGTTCTTGGTCTCGCTGACTTCAAGAATGAAGCTGCAGACCCTCACGGTGAGTGTTACAGTTCTTAAAGATGGTGTGTCTGGAGTTTGTTCCTTCAGATGTTCAGATGTGTCTGGAGTTTCTTCCTTCTGGTGGGTTCATGGTCTTCCCGACTTCAGGAGTGAAGCCGCAGACCTTCGTAGTGAGTGTTACAGCTCTTAAAGGTGGCGCGTCCAGAGTTGTTTGTTCCTCCCGGTGGGTTTGTGGTCTTGCTGGCTTCAGGAGTGAAGGTGCAGAGCTTCGCAGTGAGTGTTACAGCTCTTAAATGTGGTGCGTCCGGAGTTGTTCATTCATCCTGGTGGGTTCGTGGTGTTGCTGGCTTCAGGAGTGAAGCTGTAGACCTTCGCTGTGAGTGTTACAGCTCATAAAGGTAGTGCGGACCCAAAGAGTGAGCAGCAGCAAGATTTATGACAAAGAGCAAAAGAACAAAGCTTCCACAGAATAGAAGGGGACCCCAGGGGTTGCTGCAGGGGGCTCTGGTGGCCGGCGTTTATTCCCTTATTTGGCCCCACCCACATCCTGCTCATTGGTCCATTTTACAGAGAGCTAATTTGTCCATTTTACAGAGTGCTGATTGGTTCATATTTACAGAGTGCTGATTGGTGCATTTACAAACCTTTAGCTAGACACAGAATGCTGATTGGTGTGTTTTTACAGAGTGCTGATTGATGCATTTACAAACTTTAGCTAGACACAGAGTGCTGATTGGTGCATTTACAATCCTTTAGCTAGACAGAAAAGTTCCCCAAGTCCCAACCCACCCCAGAAGCCCAGCCGGCTTAACCTCTCAACATCAGTGCCACAGCATAAATGTCCAGGTGTCAGCCGTGGTAGAAACATCCCAAGCAAGGTGTTTAAAAATCATATAATTTTTTTTTTTTTGGAGACACCCTTGCTCCTATCAGAGTGTGTTTCAATAGACATTGCTTCAATTTTATGAGCTAATACCTTTGCGATATACTTATAGTCTATGTAAATTAAAAATTGTCATCTATGTATAATACTACATAGGAAATAATACTAAATAGAAAACAGCAAGATATTACTACAACCTTATTAGAATGGCTACAATTCAAAAAATCAAGCATATCAAATGCTGGCAAAGATGCAAAGCAGCAGAAACTCATTCACTGCAGCTAGAAATGCAAAATGGCACAGCCACTGTGGAAGGCAGTTTGACAATTTGCTACCAAGTTACATATTATCTTAGCATACAATGCCACATGCCCACTCCTAAGTATTTATCCAAGATAAATACAAACATGTCCACACCAAAACATATACAGGAATGTTTGTAGCAGGTTTATTCATAACCAACAGAAACTGAAACCAAGAAAGATGTCATTCAACATATGAATGAAAAAGCAAACTGTGGTAAAATGAAATACTATTTTGGAATAAAAAGAACACAGACTACATGACCCTATATGTAGAAATCCCTAAAGAGTCCATAAAGCAAAGTTAGAACTAATAAATTTAGCAAAGTTGGCAGATTGAAAATTGACACATAAAAATCAGTTGGATTTCTATACACTAACAATAAACTACCTAAAAACATTAAAGGAAATTTTATTTAAAATAGCATAAAAATAAAATATTTAGGATTAAACTTAATGAAGGAGGCAAAATATTTTTACATAGAAAACTCAAAAATATTTCTGAAATTAAAGAAAGTACAAGTAAATGGGAAGACATCCTATATTCATGGACTGGGAGAGAATTTTTATTAATACATCAGAACTACCCATTGTAATTTACAGAGTTGGTGTGATCTCTCAAAATTGTGATGGTGTTTTTCTGAGAAATAGAAAACTCCATTCTAAAATTCATATGGAATTGCAAGAGACACCAAAGAGCAAAAGTTATATTGAAAACCAGGAACAAAATCAGAGGCATTACACTTCCTGATTCCAAAACTTATTACAAATCTACAGCCAAAACAATGTGGTAGTGATATAAAGACAGGCGCCACATTGTAGATGTGATGAAGAGAATAGTTAGCTCAGTAAACGATTTTAAATAACATTTTAAAGACCATTCAATTAGGAAACATAGTCTTTTCAACAAATGGTGTTGGGAAAACTGGATATCTATATGTGAAAAAATTAAACTGGACCATTGCATCATACCATATAAAAATTAACTCAAAATGGATGATTAAAGATCTAATAAGACCTAAAAAAATACTAAACTCATACAAGAAAACAGAGAAAAGCTTTATACCATCAGATTAGGCAAGGAATTTTTGGATGGAACACCAAATCACAGGCAACAACTGAACAGATAGATAAATTGTACTAAATCAAAATGAAAAACTTCTGTGCATCAAAGGACACAGTCAAGAGAGTGAAAAAGGCAACCTATGGAATGGCATAAAATATTTGTAAATCATATATCTGATAAGAAGTTAATATTCGGAATATATAAAGAACTACATTTAACAACAACAACAACAACAACAAAAAACCTTACCCAATTAAAAACTGTCTAAAAGACTTGAATGGACATTTCTCCAAAAAATATACACAAATGGCCAAAAAAACATATGAAAAAATGCTCAACACACTAATCGTTAGGGAAATTCAAATCAAAACCACAAAGTGATATTCTCAAACCAGTTAGGAATGCCACTATTAAAAACAAAATCAAAACAGAAAACAAGCGTTGGCAAGTGATATGGTTAGGCTTTGTGTCCCCAACCTAATCTCATCTTGAATTGCAATCCCCACGTTCCCCAAGTGTCAAGGGAGAAACCAGGTGGAGGTAACTGAATTATGGGGGTGGTTTTCCCCATGCTCTGCTCATGATAGTGAGTGAGTTCTCAGGAGATCTAATGATTTTATAAAGGGCTCTTTCCATTTCATTTGGCACTTCTCCTTCCTGCTACCTTATGAAGAAGATGCCTTGCTTCCCCTTCACCTTCTGCTATAACTGTAAAATTCCTGAGGGCTCCCTAGCCATGCTGCACTGTGAGTCAATTAAACCTCTTTCCCTTAAAAATCACCCAGTCTCAGATATATCTTTATAGCAGTGTGAAAATTGACAGATACAACAAAGATGTGGAGGAATTAGGACTCCTGTGCACTATTGGTGGAAATGTAAAATGGTATAGCCATTATGAAGAACAGTATGATGGTTCCTCAAAAAGTTAAAAACATAGCTACCATATGATCCAGAGTGTCTCCTCTGGGTTTATATTCAAAAGAATTGACGGCAGTTGTGAAGAGATGCTTGCAATCCCATGTTCATGGAAGCATTTTTCACAATAACCAAGAAGTGGTGGCAATCCAAATGTTCATTAACAGATGAATGGATAAACAAAATGTGATATATACTTGCAATGGAATATTATTCTCCCCCAAATGGAAGGAAATCCTTTTACATGATACAACATGGATAAACCTTGATGACATTATGTTGAGTTAAATAAGCCAGTCACAAAACAATACATCCTGTATGAAACCACTTATATGGGGTACCTAGAGTAATAAAACTCATAGAAGCAGAAAATAGAATAGTGTTTTCCAGAGCCTGGGGGAAGAAGGGAACAGAGGGTTATTGTTTTAGGGGTATAGAATTTTAGTTTTTAAGTTTTTTTTTTTCTTTTCCCCACTGGCTCCACCACAGAGGTGCAACGGCTCCATGGAGTCTAGAGTTTCAGGTTTTAGAGTTGAAAACATTGTGAATGTTTGTTGCACAACAGTTTGAATATACTTAAAACTGCTGCACACTTAAAAATGATTAAGATGGAAGAAAACCTAGGCAATACCATTCAGGACATAGGCATGGGCAAGGACTTCACGTCTAAAACACCAAAAGCAATGGCAACACAACCCAAAATTGACAAATGGGATCTAATTAAACTAAACAGCTTCTGCACAGCAAAAGAAACCACCATCAGAGTGAACAGGCAACCTACAAAATGGGAGAAAATTTTCTCAACCTACTCATCTGACAAAGGGCTAATATCCAGAATCTACAATGAACTCAAACAAATTTACAAGAAAAAAAAAAAACAACCCCATCAAAAAGTGGGCGAAGGATATGAATAGACACTTCTAAAAAGAAGACATTTATGCAGCCAAAAGACACATGAAAAAATGCTCATCATCACTGGCCATCAGAGAAATGCAAATCAAAACCGCAATGAGATACCACCTCACACCAGTTAGAATGGCGATCATTAAAAAATCAGGAAACAACAGGTGCTGGAGAGGATGTGGAGAAATAGGAACACTTTTACACTGTTGGTGGGACTGTAAACTAGTTCAAATGTTGTGGAAGTCGGTGTGGCAATTCCTCAGGGATCTAGAACTAGAAATACCATTTGACCCAGCAATCCCATTACTGGGTATCTACCCAAAAGATTATAAATCATGCTGCTATAAAGACACATGCACACGTATGTTTATTGTGGCATTATTCACAATAGCAAAGACTTGGAACCAAGCCAAATGTCCATCAATGATAGACTGGATTAAGAAAATGTGGCATATATACACCATGGAATACTATGCAGCCATAAAAAATGATGAGTCCATGTCCTTTGTAGGGATATGGATAAAGCTGGAAACCATCATTCTGAGCAAACTATCGCAAGGACAAAGAACCAAACACCGCGTGTTCTCACTCATAGGTGGGAATTGAACAATGAGAACACATGGACACAGGAAGGGGAACATCACACACTGGGGACTGTTGTGGGGTGGGGGGAGGGGGGAGGGATAGCATTAGCAGATATACTGAATGCTAAATGATGAGTTAATGGGTGCAGCACACCGACGTGGCACATGTATGCATATGTAACAAACCTGCACGTTGTGCATATGTACCCTAAAACTTAAAGTATAATAATAATAATAATAATAATAAAAAAGAGCATGCAGTGGCAAAAAAAGAAAAAAAATGGTTAAGATGGAACATTTTATATGTAGTTTCTCACAATTAAAATTTTTTTAAAATCATGACAAATCACATAAAAATTCAGATATGTGGCTCTTCATTTAAAAATCAGAAGCTCTGGAAACTTTGGGCCTCCACTGTTTCTCAGGTATTTCACAGATTCCAGTTATCCTCCTCCTTGTGCATTTGCCTACCTGACTTCTGTAGATTCCTGAATGGCAATGCTGAAATGGCCAAATGCCAGAGTCAGATGCCATTTCCGTGTGTTCCTTCGCATGCTATAGTAGATCCCAGTAAAATTCAACCACATCATAAGCATCTCTTTACCGGCCTCCCAGTAAAACCAAGAGGCAATGGTGACAATAATGCTGTCTTTCACACCATGGTTTGTGCTCCTAGAGTAATGCCTGGTAAAAGCAAGATAACTAAAAAGTTTGCTGAATAGAAAGATTTCCAAAAAAAATCATTTTAGAAGTTTGGAAAATCCCAGAGTGGAAAGAAAATGTGACAACATAATATAAATGCATTACAAAGAAAGTGCTGACTTTGGAAATGAGGAAAAATTGTAGATTAAAGGCAAATAAACTGCATAAATACTATACAGCAGTCCCCTCCTTACCCATGGTCAACGATGGTACAAAAACGTGAAGTGGAAAACTTCAGAAATAAACAAGTCATACGTTTTACATTGTGCACTGCTCTGAGTAGCATGACTGGAGCACTGCTCCAGTCCCCCATGGACTTGAATTATCCCTCTGTCCAGCATATCCAGATTGTATACACTACCCACCCGTTAGACACTTAGTAGCCATCTTCATTATCAAATTGACTGTCATAGTATCTCAGTGCTGTTTTCAAGTCGCCCTAATTTTACTTAATTATGGTTCCAAAGTGCAGGAGTAATGATGCTGGCATATTATTATAATTGTTCCATTTTTGTTATTAGTTGCTGTTAATATCTTACTGTGCCTAGTATATCAATTAAACTTATTCATAGTTACATATGTACAGGAAAAACATGGTATATATAGGGTTTTGTACTATCTGGTGATTTCAGGAATTACCTGAGTGTCTTGGAACATATGCCCTTTGAATAACGGAGGACTACTCTACTCAGCTGATAAAGTTGTTTTTCATGGATTATGGGTTAAAAATTTCTGAAACTGCTACACATGTACACTGTATTTGAACTATTAAAACATACTGGATGGCAGAGCTAAGTTTCTCACTGTTGGAGTGGGAGGTTACAAATAAGCAAGGGGAAAAGATTAGAATGGTCTGTGTGGTAATGGATAGGATACAGTTGGGGATGTCCTTATGAGCTCCTGTTTTGCCTAAATTAGATATAAGTCATTGCACATAGAAACATTTATACACTTATGTAAATAAACAGGTTTATAAACCTACTAGATTTTTCTTGCTGTCCCAGCTGGAGGGCTTAGAAGGTACTGTCACTTCAGTGGAAATGAGCACACCTAGTACCTAGATCTTGGTATCTAATACTTTTCTCCAGTAAAGAGAAATGGATGATTCAAGGACTGGGGCAGGACATACACAAAATGAGCCTGTGACACACACAGACACACACACACACACACACACACACACAGAGGGATAAACATACACACACAGTATTAATAGGGCATGTCAAAGGAGCAAAGGAGCCAACTGAAAGAGGCCCCAATGGCCAAAGCTGAAACCATCTGAACAAGAAAATAAATCAGGTAATATTGGATTTTAATTCATTATATGAAATACATATCTATGAGTCCTCGGTGACATAGATGATTGAATCATTAAACTGGGGAAGAAAAGAAAAATCAGTGCAGAACAATTTCAAATAATTCATGCAGATAAGCTGTACTCATGGAGGTGAAGTATGACTTGCCACTTCTTAAGTATGGGCTGTCCATTCTGACTTCCTTATGAAGAATGAAGTATGAAAAGGAGGGGTGGGGAGAGGAAATTTAGCGTGTAGAAATGTGACATCACGGCCTCAGCAAGTTTATCAAGGATAATATCCACAATGAGAGTCCTATCAATAGCATGTACACTTGATGTGATATGAGGAAAATGACCCTTTATTTCTGTGGTCCCCTTCCCCAGATCACATATACCTAGTCTAATTATGAGAAAAAAAATCAGAAAAAAATACAATTCAGGAATATACTACAAAATACCTGACCAATACATCTCAAACAGTTAAGGCCTTCAAAAAAAAGAAAATCTGGAGAAATTGTCAAATCCAAAAGGAGCCTAAATAGACAGAACAACTAAATGTAATGTAATATCCTGGATGAGATCCTGGAACTAGAATAAAGACATTAGGGGAAAAACTAAGGAAATCTGAATGAGCTATGGACTTTGGTTAGTAAGAATGCATGGATACTGACTCATTAACTGTGGCAAGTGTACCATAGTAATGAAGGATGTTCATATAGGAAACCGGATGTGGGGTACATGGGAACTCTCTGTGCTGTCTTTTCAAGTTTCTGTATATCTAAAACTGTTTTAACACAACCATTCTATTTTTACAAACAATTCATTTGTATTTACAATGATCTCATATTTTTCCTTTTTTGTTTACTTTTATTTATTTTTCTCTCTCTCCTCTCTGGAATGTCAGCTCTTCGAGAGTGAAAGTTATTTATCTTTTATTCAAAGTGTTGTGTATTGATATAATGCTAATGGGCAATACATATATGGGTACAATGAATGAAATACTGAAATACCCTCTCTGCTGTAATCTAGATGACCCATTACTTTCAGAAAGAGCTCTCCTCCTCTCCTATAGATTTTGCTTCATTCTTCTTTTCTGTTTTCAAATAATCCTCTCTACTTTCATATTCATCTGGCATATCAGCTCTTCTACCAGCTTCAGGAAGGAACCTCCAGACAGCAGCCCTTGGTTTACCTATGTTTGTATACAGAAAACCATGAGATTAAAGGTGGATCAACACAATTTGGATTTCAACCTATTTTGAAAATATTCCTTTAAAAATTATTTGGACTTTAAGTCATCCCTAATATATTTCTATACTTGATGCTTTAGGATTAATCTTGTATTATTTTTAATGACAGGTTTTTGGATTCCAACATATCTATTCATGCATATTACCAATTGTAGATTTCTGAATAAGCAATACAATTTGATAAGCTAAAAGTTCCTTCTTGTTCCCAAAATTCCCAGTTTATTATCAATCGTTTCACTCTGCTAACCACTGAAGCCACTTCCTAATCACTAGTTTTTGTTTTTCAATTCTAGCATTTCTGGGATAACTCCTCTTTTGCTATAAGTTGTAAACTGTATCCATTGGACATATATTTTCAAATTTTCTTTCCTTCTCTTTCTGTGAGTAAAGTAGTGCATGTGTGTGGCTGAAACTATCTTTGTTTTTCTTAGGGATTCATCTTATTCCAGACAGCTCTGTTATTTAAATGTTGGGTATGTTCTGGAGTTTGTATTGTGGTCCTTGAAATGAGAAAGCAAATGGGTACATATGGTCAGATACTTTTAAGTCTATTTCACTGGAGTTCCATATATTTATTGAATAATTTTGTTGAATAAAATATTTCTCTTATAGGAATACATAGACATCCCATAATAAAACATTTTATATGAAATTCCTCTTATTTTAATTAATCTAATACTTTTTCCTGTAACAAAAGGTAATATTTATTAAGTAAATACAAACTTCCAAGCTCCTCTCTAAGTAGTAAAACACATAATCTTCATAAAACTGCTAGATAGATATGATTATTACTATTATTTCATAGATGAGAAAGATGCAATGCGGAGAGATTAAATCAATTGCCCAGGGATATACAGCTGTCAAACTATGGAAATAGAATTAAAACTAATAGAATCTAGCTCCCAAGCCCAAATTTTAACAAGTACATGCCATTTGAAGAAAGTAGTTTGGGGATGATTTTGTGATAATAATCTTTCTTCTGAGAATATAATTGGAATTAAAACACTTGGCTTTTTTTTTTCTTCAAGAATTTAATAGAACTTGGGCATTGAGGGACTCTTGTAATTATCCAGCTTTCTGCCAAGAATTTGAATCTCATCTGATGCCACGTTTCTGACTGTTTTTAAGCGTTCCAAATCTGTGGTGTGTAGTGTGTTAACAGAAAAATGCTTTCTTTCCTACAGAATTTGAAATTAATTTTCTTAGTGCCTGTCTTCTGCTTACTTCCCCAATGGGGAATATTCTCGGTTTCTTTCTTTTCCCATTGACACTTTCCTCCACATTCTTAATGCCTTTGATGCCTCATTTAGCTCCTCACCTACACAGAATTTGATTTCACAGGGCCTGAGACTTGTCCATCCCAGCTTTATTCCAACTCTGCCTGAGAGCCCTTCCTCTGCACTCACTGTGGAGTCTAGCCTTTGGTCTAGCACAGGGTGGACTCTGGGCCCCTGTGCCTTCCTCCTCTTCAGCTGTCCCCCATATTGGTGGTGGTGGGTTTCTACCGTTTCATGTTGCCTCACACTCCCCTGTTGAAGTTTTCCAAGACATCTCATGTTAAATTACCATTTGAAAAACCTGAATTGTTTTCTATTGACTAGATCCTGACAATTACAAAGGTTTGTCAATATTTCAAGTTTTCCTGGGCTCTTAATGAATGCTGCTGTATTTCTCCTTGAAGAGGTTCAGTAAATGTTAGTTGATTAGGATAATAAATTGGATAAGAAAAGATACAAAAATAGACACAATATCAACTGTGGAGACTTTAAAATAGTGAGACCTTGTCTAACTGAGGATAGAGCACCTCTGGCTAGAATTACATGTCAAACATCTTGAAATATAATACTTACAATTTTAAAATAAAAATGTTAAATCATCAGTTTTAACATCTCAAGGGTTTTGCTGTAACAATCTTTAGTAAGTCACTCTCCTCCCACCTTCTTGCATTTACCCCACCTGAATTTTAATTCGCTCTGATTGTGGAGCTTAAAATTAGTGATGGGTATGGTCATCGTCTTTTTCTTTTTTGAGATTTTTTCCAACATGAACAAATTTAATGTGAGGACCAGCCTGTAATCAGGTGTGTGTAGTCTCTTTCGGAATGAATGGGGCATTGTCATTCGATGACTTGAGATATCTCAAAAGTATACAAGGAGAAATATGTGTAAGGCCACTGTAATGGCTGGAGTTATAATGCTTGGTTTATTTAAATTTATTTTCTGTTTAGCTGGAGAGCTGCTCAGGCTAATTAACAAGCTCCCGACATGTAGCATCACACAATCCAAGGAAGTAAATGGAAACAAATTGCTAACTAGTGCTGAAATAATTAGAGTAGTATTGTCTTTTGGCGTGAAAATGTTAACAACATAAAAAAGTCCACCACACATTAGTAATCTTTAAAGTGTTTCTTTCACAGTGACCCAATGTTGAAGGTTTGGTCAAATAGGGTTTTGTATTCTTTACAAAATTATATTTGGATGATCAGATATAAACTATATTGCATGATTTAATAATAAATTGGGAAAATATTTTGACTTTCACAACAGAAATCAGCCTATATTTAACAATATTAAATATTTCATTGAAAGAATTACAGGTTGTGAAAATGAAAGAATGAACAGTTGTTTTTATTGGGATGTAGCTCAAATAGAAGACTCAAAACTATAATTACCACACTATTTTTATTAAAAACAAGCATTGAATATTCAGTGTACACATAGTATCCTCTTGTATATAAAAAGTATTACTAAAAGTTGTTTCTTGCCATAAATAACTTTATCATTTAAGGTGGCAGCACCCACAAAACAAGGCAGTAATAGTTTGAAGGCAAAGCTGATAAACATACAGCACAGGCTGGGCGCGGTGGCTCACGCCTGTAATCCCAGCACTTTGGGAAGCCGAGGCGGGTGGATCATGAGGTCAGGAGATTGAGACCATCCTGGCCAACATGGTGAAATCCCGTCTCTATTAAAAATACAAAAATTAGCCGGGTATGGTGGTGGGCACCTATAATCCCAGCTACTCGGGAGGCTGAGGCGGGAGAATTGCTTGAACCCGGGAGACGGAGGTTGCAGTGAGCGGAGATCACGCCATTGCACTCCAGCATGGGCGACAGAGTGAGACTCCATCTCAAAAACAACAACAACAACAACAAAACATACAGTGTAAAGTATTATTAGGTTCTACAGTGGACAATGTGTAACATTTGCTTTATTTGGGGATTTTTATACTATCTCCCTATAATTGTGCTCTGTATATTCAAGGAATGTGAAGATTTTATGTTTAGTGAGTAGCAAATAATTATGACCACAGCAAGTGAAATTTAAAAACTTAACTGTTCTATGTTAAGAAAAGCACTGAGATTGCATTTTAAGGACAAGAGGACTGCACTTTGGATTTCTATTACTCTAGATGTCATGAAATAAATCATATTGATTTTAGATACTTTTCCTCATCAATAATTGGAATAAAGTTATGTACTTCTACTTATATCAAGGAATGTTTTGATGATTGGTGTGAAAAATATCTATGAAATCCTTTTACGTCTCTTTCACTAATCAATATCAAAAAGAACAATGCTTCATTGCTCTTAATGGCTTCCCTTAATGTGTAATGTTTTTTGTTACTAATCAGTTTTGTGATTTCTGCAGAGTCATGGAAGTGAGACAGTCAGTCCCAGCAGTGAATGGAAACAGTTCTGGTCCTGGATTTTCAGCCCTGCATGCAACATGTTATGGACATATTTATTCAGTCCCCGGTTTATGAAGTGAACATAGGAACAGAATCAGCAGAGCTGTAGCCATTTCCCAGTCCAGTGATCTGACAAATTGCTGCCCTAATCAATCTGTCAAGATGTGTCTGTCATGCCTCCTCTTTCCTCCCACTAAGTTGTAGCTGTGGACTAGCTCTGTCTGGAGGCTCTGCTGCCCCAGGTTGCTATGGAGACCACAGTGATAGTAGATATGAAAGTAAAAGCTGCTCTTTTTCCTCCTCTTCTTACTAACAAACGTGAACTGCTATCCTACCCTAGAGTCCAAATATAACTGAGGCAGGTAGGGTGAGAATGACGGGACTTCAAAGGCATGTGGGGCTTCCTTTCTAATCCTCCATATGGGCAGGAAGCCCAGCTTCCCCGTCCCCGCCTACTTACCACCTGCTTTGCAAAGGAAATGTTTGTGAGAATTACCCTCAGTAGTTTTTGTAACACTGTCTCATTTGAAAGTATTACATGTGAGTTCTCACACTCTCATTGTGAGTTTGCAAACTCCCAATGAGCACTCATTCCTCTAAAATCTCTAACAGAACATAACCCATTTCAATCTTAGGTCTGAAGTAAATAGCCTACAGATTATAAAAATCAGCAATCATTTACTTCAATTCATTTAGAGAGTAGAGAGACAGAGCTTGAATTCCCCGTTTCTACACCATTGCCGAGGACACATAGATGCAAGGATTCTAGGCAAGTGGCCTCTGAAAAATGCAATTATGAAACATGAGGGGGCTAATACTTTGGCTCCAAACTATGCCTAATATATGGCCATTGATATGTGTACTCCTTACCTGGAGGTTTCTTTGCATTGAGATAATGATGTATTTAGTTTGGAGGAGAGTTGGTATGATGCTGACATCTGAGCCTGAAGCTCAGAGCATGAACACATGAAATTCCCCAAAGATGTTTTATTTATTGATTTTTCTTATTATTCAGATACCAGGTGATGGGAATGCCCTTTGGGACTCTCTTGGAAAAGAAGCAAGGCTTGAAGTAGAATAGTAGACTAGAAAGAGGTCTGAGATAAAATAGAAAGGTGACAATATTATAATTTTAAGGGTTATTTTTAGATATTTGCACTAATTTTCATATAAGTAAAATGGGGGCATAAATTACTTCCAACTATGTATTAAATATTGAACAGTCTCATAATGTACATGCATCTTGCACAATTTGATAAATATCTTAGTGATTTTTATAGTTATCCTATGTCTGACATTTTTGTGCATAGCAGACCTCTCTGAAGGCTGAAATTTAAAGTGACTATGAAGTGATAGAATGGATCTATGTATTTTTTTTCATGTATTAAGCAACATATAAGGCAGACAATTTTCTCCCTACCCATTTTTTAATACATTATATTTGGGATATACACATCCGTTTTTAAGTGTTTAAAATTACTGGACTCTCAAAGAAACCACTGTTTTCTCTTGGTGGTACAGCTGTGTTTCTCCCTATGCAGGCTTCAGTCATCATGAAAGTGCTAGCACAGCTCACTCCATGGTGGCCCCAACAATGCTGCTAATGGTATCAGGGTATTTATATTGTACTCAGTGTATATCAAAGGGGATGGCATTTAAAATTCAGAATAGCATGTTCAAATGACTCATGCAGTGGACGGAAATGACAGTATATGGCAGGGAACAGTGTAAGCAATTCTACAATATTTACTTCTTAGTTACATGTTGTGCAAACATTTTGTGATAATACGCATAAACAAATATTTAGCAACTGTATTCTGCAGCTGCAAATCTAATGTGGGTGTGATAGGGGTTAGCTTTGTTTTTCAGATCTTGATAATTCTTTATGCTTGAAATAACCTATACAAAATTCTATTAAAATAAGGATAAGTGCTATGTATTATTTCTTTTTCTTCACAAATTCTACTTAAATGTGGTACATAGTTTTCAAGCTAAACATTTATATAGCTATGGTTTTACTATTATGAATTTAGAGTGAATATGTGTATAAGTTATTTCCATCTAATGTGGTTATATCAAATATGTATATATGTATGAGGCTTTAAGTAAACATTCTGGATTTTCTTTCTTTCTTTTCTCTTTTTCTTTCTCTCTTTCTTTCTCTCTTTCTTTCTTTCTTTCTTTCTTTCTTTCTTTCCTTCTTTCTTTCTTTCCTTCCTTCCTTCCTTCCTTCCTTCCTTCCTTCCTTCCTTCCTTCCTTCCTTCCTTCCTTCCTTCTTTCTTTCTTTTTTTTTTATGGAGTTTCCACTCTTGTTGCCCAGGCTGGAGAGCAATGGCACAGTCTCAGCTCACTGTAACCTCCACCTCCCAGGTTCAAGCAAGTCTCCTGCCTCAGCCTCCTAAGTAGCTGGGATTACAGTCATGCGCCACCATTCCTGGCTAATTTTTTGTATTTAGTAGAGATGGGGTTTCACCATGTTGGTCAGGCTGGTCTCAAACTCATGACCTCAGATGATCTACCTGTCTCGGCCTCCCAAAGCGCTGTGATTACAGGCGTGAGCCTCCATGCCCAACCTGGATTTTCTTGATATAGACATGTTCTCTACTTCAGTATCCTGCCTGTATAAGAAATATGCAGGGCCTGGCGCAGTGGCTCATGCCTGTAATCCTAGCACTTTGGGAGGCCGAGGCAGGTGGATCATGTGAGGTTGGGAGTTCGAGACCAGCCTGTCCAACAGGAAGAAACCCTAGCTCTACTAAAAATACAAAATTAGCCACACGTGATGGTGCATGCCTGCAACCCCAGCTACTTGGGAGGCTGAGACAGGGGAATCGCTTGAACTCAGGAAGGGGAGATTTCAGTGAGCCGAGATCACGCTGTCACACTCCAACCTGGGCAACAAGAGAGAGACTCCATCTCAAAAAAAAAAAGAAAAAAGAAAAGAAAAAGAAAGAAATATGCTATAACCTTTCAGTCTGTAAAATATGTCTTGTCTGCCCATCTGCAAGATTTGAACTGAGTACACTTCATTTCATGCGCAATGATTGCATTTTATAAATATACTCTCTGCCATTGAAGGAAGGTGGAGGGACATTCAACATGGGTCTGAATTAAGTATTTTGGGGCCTCAGTAAACATGTGATTACATTTGATCTGATAATGGAAACTTTGCTCATTTGAGGAAGTCATTGGTGGTCTCTGAGATATGACCAAGAGGGCACTGTAGAACCTTGTGGAAAAACGGCTGGGACCATCAGGTTGTGTGGGCAGGGTTGCCCAGGTTTTGTTGGTTTCCTTGTTTGTTGTATCACACTAAGCAACGAGACAACTGTACCACATTTCAGTGATGTCAGTATTATTAGCACAGAGGCCAAAAAAACACTTTGAATCCTTTTATGCAGACTAGATTTGGGCCAGGGTTTTTTACATAATGCTATTTACTTTTAAAAACTTCTCTTATACTTTTTTTTCCTTTTAACTGGTTGTAAATATTTGTCTTCCCACCAGCTTAGAAGTCTCTAGAACTTCTTTTGAGAAGTGTCTGTTCATGTCCTTCACCCACTTTTTGATGGGGTTGTTTGTTTTTTTCTTGTAAATTTGTTTGAGTTCATTGTAGATTCTGGATATTAGCCCTTTGTCAGATGAGTAGGTTGCAAAAATTTTCTCCCATTTTGTAGGTTGCCTGTTCACTCTGATGGTAGTTTCTTTTGCTGTGCAGAAGCTCTTTAGTTTAATTAGATCCCATTTGTCAATTTTGGCTTTTGTTGCCATTGCTTTTGGTGTTTTAGACATGAAGTCCTTGCCCATACCTATGTCCTGAATGGTAATGCCTAGGTTTTCTTCTAGGGTTTTTATGGTTTTAGGTCTAACGTTTAAGTCTTTAATCCATCTTGAATTGATTTTTGTATAAGGTGTAAGGAAGGGATCCAGTTTCAGCTTTCTACATATGGCTAGCCAGTTTTCCCAGCACCATTTATTAAATAGGGAATCCTGTCCCCATTGCTTGTTTTTCTCAGGTTTGTCAAAGATCAGATAGTTGTAGATATGCGGCGTTATTTCTGAGGGCTCTGTTCTGTTCCATTGATCTATATCTCTGTTTTGGTTACTGTAGCCTTGTAGTATAGTTTGAAGTCAGGTAGTGTGATGCCTCCAGCTTTGTTCTTTTGGCTTAGGATTGACTTGGCGATGCAGGCTCTTTTTTGCTTCCACATGAACTTTAAAGTAGTTTTTTCCAATTCTGTGAAGAAAGTCATTGGTAGCTTGATGGGGATGGCATTGAATCTGTAAATTACCTTGGGCAGTATGGCCATTTTCACGATATTGATTCTTCCTACCCATGAGCATGGAATGTTCTTCCATTTGTTTGTATCCTCTTTTATTTCCTTGAGCAGTGGTTTGTAGTTCTCCTTGAAGAGGTCCTTCACATCCCTTCTAAGTTGGATTCCTAGGTATTTTATTCTCTTTGAAGCAATTGTGAATGGGAGTTCACTCATGATTTGGCTCTCTGTTTCTCTGTTGTTGGTGTATAAGAATGCTTGTGATTTTTTGTACATTGATTTTGTATCCTGAGACTTTGCTGAAGTTGCTTATCAGCTTCAGGAGATTTTGGGCTGAGACAATGGGGTTTTCTAGATATACAATCATGTCGTCTGCAAACAGGGACAATTTGACTTCCTCTTTTCCTAATTGAATACCCTTTATTTCCTTCTCCTGCCTAATTGCCCTGGCCAGAACTTCCAACACTATGTTGAATAGGAGTGGTGAGAGAGGGCATCCCTATCTTGTGCCAGTTTTCAAAGGGAATGCTTCCAGTTTTTGCCCATTCAGTATGATATTGGCTGTGGGTTTGTCATAGATAGCTCTTATTATTTTGAAATATGTCCCATCAATACCTAATTTATTGAGAGTTTTTAGCATGAAGCGTTGTTGAATTTTGTCAAAGGCCTTTTCTGCATCTATTGAGATAATCATGTGGTTTTTGTCTTTGCCTGTGTTTATATGCTGGATTACATTTATTGATTTGCATATATTGAACCAGCCTTGCATCACAGGGATGAAGCCCACTTGATCATGGTGGATAAGCTTTTTGATGTGCTGCTGGATTCGGTTTGCCAGACATTTATGCAGCCAAAAAACACATGAAAAAATGCTCATCATCACTGGCCATCAGAGAAATGCAAATCAAAACCACAGTGAGATACCATCTCACACCAGTTAGAATGGCAATCATTAAAAAGTCAGGAAACAACAGGTGCTGGAGAGGATGTGGAGAAATAGGAACACTTTTACACTGTTGGTGGGACTGTAAACTAGTTCAACCATTGTGGAAGTCAGTGTGGCGATTCCTTAGAGATCTAGAATTAGAAATACCATTTGACCCAGCCATCCCATTACTGGGTATATACCCAAAGTACTATAAATCATGCTGCTATAAAGACACATGCACACGTTTATTTATTGTGGCATTATTCACAATAGCAAAGACTTGGAACCAACCCAAATGTCCAACAATGATAGACTGGATTAAGAAAATGTGGCACATTTACACCATGGAATACTATGCAGCCATAAAAAATGATGAGTTCATGTCTTTGGAGGGACATGGATGAAATTGGAAATCATCATTCTCAGTAAACTATCGCAAGATCAAAAAACCAAACACTGCATATTCTCACTCGTAGGTGGGAATTGAACAATGAGAACACATGGACACAGGAAGGGGAATATCACACTCTGGGGACTGTTGTGGGGTCGGAGGGGGGGGAGGGATAGCACTGGGAGATATACCTAATGCTTGATGACGAGTTAGTGGGTGCAGTGCACCAGCATGGCACATGTATACATATGTAACTAACCTGCACAATGTGCACATGTACCCTAAAACTTAAAGTATAAAAAAAAAGTCCAGTAAAAAAAAAAAGAAGTCTCTAGAACTAAAGGGCTTTATCAACTTTATTTCTTCATTGCTTATTCTGTGTTACCTCATATGGTGTTTTGAATGTGATAGATATTTGATATATGTTTGCTGAGTTAATTTAAACTATGCTTCTGGATCTCAAAAGAAAATATACACAAGTAAGTAACTTAAACAAATGGAGTCTTATTAATGTGGAAAGAAGCTACTTAGTCCATTCTATCTTGTTTTCTGTATCTAGGTAGAGTCTTCCTTCTCAGAACTAGGGCTGCGAAGTGGTGCTGTGCAGCTGGGCTCTATAGATAAAGACGCATGAAGAAGTTGATAGATGATGATCATCCTGAAATTGCTATGAGAGTAAAATAGGTTTTTTTTAAGAAATTCTGCAAGATTTGCCACTGACTATTTTAAGAAAATGGCACAGTGGAAAAAATGGAGAACTCACGTTTACATGTAGTTTTATTTGTCAGT
The DNA here is from genome assembly GCF_000001405.40 of Homo sapiens. Lineage (NCBI taxonomy): Eukaryota > Metazoa > Chordata > Mammalia > Primates > Hominidae > Homo > Homo sapiens. Next base: position 50,488,326 of record NC_000008.11, read on the forward strand.
CTGCCACATATTAGGTGCTATGTTTGAGCAAGTCACTCAGTTTTTCAATGTTTCCATAGAGTCTAGCATGCCCTTTACCTAAGTATCTGTATGGCAAATATGCTTACCTCCTTCTATCCCTTGGTCGGAAATCCTATCAATGGGTCCTACCTTCACTGATCTATTTAAAATAACTCTCCACACAGCTCTGCTCTTGCTTGTCTGCTCTGCCTGCCATTTTCCTTGCCTATGAGCACCTCTCAACGTCTCCCTTTCTGGGCTTGCATATTGTTTACTTCATGCTCACCTAATGTCTATCCTCCATCATCTGTTCCTGCCCCTTGAAAATGAGCACTAGGCAATGACCATGATGACAGCAAGCCATGTTATTGACAGACGGGTTCCAAGAGCCCAGCATGACACTTGGCCCATAAAAAGTATTCACTAAATAGTCATTAATAAATAAATGTAATGTAGTCTTTTTTTATTACACTTTAAGTTCTGGGATAAATGTGCAGAACGCGCAGGTTTGTTACATAAGTATAAACGTGCCATGGTGGTTTGCTGCACCCATCAACCCATCATCTACATTAGGTATTTCTTCTAATGCTATCCCTCCCATAGCCCCCCACCCCACAACAGGCCCCAATGTGTGATATTCCCCTCCCTGTGTCCCTGTGTTCTCATTGTTCAACTCTCATTTATGAGTGAGAACATGTGGTGTTTGGTTTTCTGTTCCTGTGTTAGCTTGCTGAAAATGATGGATTCCAGCTTCATCCATGTCCCCACAAGGGATATGAACTCATCCTTTTTTATGACTGCATAGTATTCCATGGTGTATATGTGCCACATTTTCTTTATTCAGTCTATCATTGATGGACATTTGGGTTGGCTCTGTCTTTGCTAGTGTGAACAGTGCTGCAATAAACATACGTGTGCATGTGTCTTTATAATAGAATGATTTCTAATCCTTTGGTTATATACCCAGTAATGGGATTGCTGGGTCAGATGATATTTCTTGTTCTAGATCCTTGAGGAATCACCACACTGTCTTCCACAATGGTTGAAGTAATTTACACTCCCACCAACAGTGTAAAAGTGTTCCTATTTCTCCACATCCTCTCCAGCATCTTCTGTTTCCTGACCTTTTAATGATCGCCATTCTAACTGGTGTGAGATGATATCTCATTGTGGTTTTGATTTGCATTTCTCTAATGACCAGTGATGATGAGCTTTTCTCATATGTTTGTTGGCTGCATAAATGTCTTCTTTTGAGAAGTGTCTGTTCATATCCTTTGCCCACTTTTTGATGGAGTTGTTTGTTTTTTCTTGTAAATTTGTTTAAGCTCTTTGTAGATTCAGGATATTAGCCCTTTGCCATATGGATAGATTGCAAAAATTTTCTCCCATTCTGTAGGTTGCCTGTTCATACCGATGATAGTTTCTTTGGCTGTGGAGAAGCTCTTTAGTTTAACCCAATTTGTCAGTTTTGGCTTTTGTTGCCATTGCTTTTGGTGTTTTAGTCATGAAGTCTTTGCCCATGCCTATGTCCTGACTGGTATTGCCTAGGTTTTCTTCTAGGATTTTCATGGTTTTAGGTCTTATGTTTAAGACTTTAATCCATCTTGAGTTAATTTATGTGTTAGGTGTAAGCAAGGGGTCCAGTTTCAGTGTCCTGCATGTGGCTAGCCAGTTTTCCCAACACCATTTATTAAATAGGGAATCCTTTCCTCATTTGATTGTTTTTGTCAAGTTTGTCAAATATCAGATGGTTGTAGATGTGTAGCATTATTTCTGAGGTCTCTGTTCTGTTCCATTTGTCTAATTTTCTGTTTTGGTACTACTACTATGCTGTTTTGGTTACTGTAGCCTTGTACTATAGTTCGAAATCAAGTAACATGATGCCTCCAGCTTTGTTCTTTTTGCTCAGGATCGCTTTGGCTATATGAGCTCTTTTTTGGTTCCATATGAAATTGAACGTAGTTTTTTCTAATTCTGTGAAGAAAGTCAATGGTAGCTTGATGGGAATAGCATTGAATCTATAAATTACTTTGGGCAGTAAGGCCATTTTCACGATATTGATTCTTCCTATCCATGTGCATGGAATGTTTTTCCATTTGTGTCCTCTCTTATTTCCTCAAGCAGTGGTTTGTAGTTCTTCTTGAAGAGGTCCTTCACCTCCCTTGTAAGTTGTATTCCTAGGTATTTTATTCTCCTTGTGCAATTGTGAATGGGAATTCACTCATGATTTGGCTCCCTGTTTGTCTATTATTGGTGTACAGGAATGCTTGTGAAGTCAATATTTGAAAGCAACAAAAATTGTCCTGAAGGTTAAAACCGTAAATCCACATTGGAGGAACTGCAGGGGCAGGGGCCCCGGGCAGCCCAGCCCCAGGGGTAGGCAGGCAATGGCTCCTTTAGCTGACCTGAGGTGCCTGCAGCGGGACTTCCTCAGCCTCTATCCACTTGACCTCGACCTTGCTTGTGGACCTGGCAACTCCAGCCTGGGCCTGGGTCCCACGTCCTGAGACTGCCTTAGCTCAGATGCTCCTGCTCCGCCAGGTCCTCCTCAAGGCGGCTACTGCTTCTGGCACTGCAGATAGAGTGGTAGCATATAATGTATAATCAACGAATTTCAAGACAATTTTGGAGCTGGAACCCAAGCCTATCAATCATGTCTACATTGCTCAGACAAGCTCTGCATCAGGAGACTGGAAAAGCCATGCTTGGAAACCTTGGACACAGAGAGCGACCTCACAGATGGAACAGCAAGGACGTGACACAGATGTCCTTGGCCCAGGGCCCTTCCTGCCCCGCTGGGGATGCAGCCACCACGGGTTCTGCCGGGAACCTCTGATCCCAAGCTCCCCAGAGTTTACACGTGACCTGGAGACACACCTCGGACAGCCAACAATTCAGTATTTTGAATCAGTCGGGACAAAACAACGTGACAGTATCAGAATGACGTACCTTAGAAAGAATGACATATTCCTAGGCCTCTGGGAGTTTGCGACAAGTACTTAAGTTGTACACTTTATTATTGGAAAGCTTCATGTACGGGAAAGAAAACAGCCAAGACAAACACAAATGCGTTTTTGATGGATATGGATAAAGGGGAAACCACCGTTCCAATGTTCAAGCAGTGATTCCATCCGAAGACTACACAAGACGACAGAAAGCCCCAGCGAGTGAGCCAGCCGCCGGACAACAGCAATGTCCTTCCTGACTATCGCGGAGCTGGCGGTCAGCAGCCCCTTAGCTCCCATGCCCATCGGAGTACGTGCGCAGCAGGCAAGGGCGACCCCGTGGAAGGACGCGGGCTGAGCTTAGAGGGGCACCCAGCGCTGCTGGAGCCGCCCATGCTGCAAATGCTGTGCTGTGATCCAGAACTTATTTATTTATTTATTTATTTATTTATTTATTTATTTATTTTACTTTAAGTTCTGGGGTACATGTGTGGAAAGTGCAGGTTTGTTACATAGGTATACTTGTGTACTTGTGCCATGGTGGTTTGCTGCACCCATCAACCCATCATCTACATTAGGTATTTCTCCTAATGCTATTCCTCCCCTAGCTCCCCCGCCCCCCTACCACCCGCAGGCCCCAGTGTGTGATGTTCCCCTTCCTATGTCCACGTGTCCTCACTGTTCAACTCCCACTTATGGGTAAGAACATGCAGTGTTTCATTTTCTCTTCCTCTGTTACTTTGCTGAGAATGATGGTGTCCAGCTTCATCCATGCCCCTGCAAAGGACATGAACTCATCCTTTTTTATGACTGCATAGTATTCTATGGTGTATATGTGCCACATTTTCTTTATCCAGTCTATCATTGATGGGCATTTGGATTGGTTCCAAGTCTTAGTTGTTGTAAACAGTGCCTCAATAAACATATGTGTGCATGTGTCTTTATGGTAGAATAATTTATAGTCCTTTGGGTATATACCCAGTAATAGGATTGGTGGGTTAAATGGTATTTCTAGTTCTAGATCCTTGAGGAATTGCCACACTGTCTTCCACAATGGTTGAACTAATTTACCTTCCCACCAACAGTGTAAAAGCAAGCGTTCCTACTTCTCCACATCCTCTCCGGCATCTGTTGTTTCCTGAATTTTTTAGTGATTGCTATTCTAACCGGTGTGAGATGGTATCTCAGTGTGATTTTAATTTGCATTTCTCTAATGACCAGTGATGATGAGCTTTTCTTCATATGTTTGTTGGCCACATAAATGCCTCCTTTTGAGAAGTGTCTGTTCCTGTTCTTTGCCCACTTTTTGATGGAGTTGTTCTTTCCTTGTAAATTTGTTTAAGTTCTTTGTAGATTCTGGATATTAGTCCTTTGTCAGATGGATTGCAAAAATTTTCTCCCATTCTGTAGGTTGCCTGTTCATGCTGATGATAGTTTCTTTGGCTGTGCAGAAGCTCTTTAGTTTAATGAGACGTATTTGTCAATTTTGGCTTTTGTTGCCATTGCTTTTGGTGTTTTAGTCATGAAGTCTTTGCCCATGCCTATGTCCTGAATGGTACTGTCTAGGTTTCCTTCTAGAGTTTTTATGGTTTTATGTATTACGTTTAAGTCTTTAATCCATCTTCAGTTAATTTTTGTATAAGGCATAAGGAAGGGATCCAGTTTCAGTTTTCTGCATACTGGTACCAAAACAGATATATAGACCAATGGAACAGAACGGAGGCCTCAGAAATAACACCACACATCTACAGGCATCTGATCTTTGACAAACCTGACAAAAACAAGCAATGGGGAAAGGATTCCCTATTTAATAAATGGTGTTGGGAAAATTGGCTAGCCATATGCAGAAAACAGAACTCTTAAGATAGTAGAATATACGGAAATACAAACGGGGATTTTGGAGCATGATGGTACAACCAATTCCAACTTTGTTGTAATTTTTAAAATTCTGGCACCTTCTATGCATATGATCCTTTAGATGATATATTCTGTACAGAGGAAGAACCAGATCATCCAACCAAAAACAAATGAATGGATGCCTTACATATTCCTGAATGAACTTTTGAAGAGCTTTTGAGAGGCTGACTTCAAACCGTTTAGGAAACTACATGGAAATTGTGCAGACTTTTCTGGGACTTTTCTAATGTTTGTAATACTGTATTTAGGTTCTTTTCCTATTTTCTTTTAAGGAGTACATTTGGAAATTTAAAACAATTGGCAAACCTTCAATTAGTGTATTAAATGCAGGAGACTTCTGTATTTTGGGCACCTTCCTAATACGCTTTATCATTTAGCACTTTGACTTGAGTGGTGTTGATTAAACATTTGACCAGTAACTATGTTTTTATAAATCTACTGTACAAATTATACAGAGTTTAAGATTTAAGATACAGCTTCTAAGGTCAACGCTGTATATAAGTGTATAATTTTTAAAAAAGATTTTGTACATGGAAATTTTCTATTTATATATATAATATTTTTTACTTCTATATATTGAGAGTATTTAGTATACTTTTATATAAATAAAGACAACTGGTAATTGCTGAAAAAAAACAAAAATAATAAAACCATGTCAAATACAGTCAGGTACCAAATAAAGATAACCATTATCTCCATTATTTTTCAACAAATTTGATGAGTTCCAGCAAATACAGGTAAATAAAAAATTGAAATTTCTTTTAGAAATATTAAAGAGAGCCCTAAGTTGGAGGGTTGCGGGGGATATGCCAGGGAATTTTTTTTTCTATTCCTACTTTTCTTAGAGTTTTCATTAGGAATTGCTGCTCAATTTGACCAAACATCCTTTCAGAATCTTTAATTGAAGGGAGAAACATGTATATATGTATATATACACACACACACACACACACATATATATATACACATATATATATGTACACACACACATACAACTTGTTGAGGAAATTAATTATATTCATAATAATTCATGGATATTTATTCAGGATTTCTCTTTTGAAATAAAGACCACTTGCTCATAGCAAAATTTCATTTCTCACTTGCTGAATTCCATATGCTAATACTGTATTCAAAATACAGTATTGGCATATGTATTTATATTAATAATTGTCTCGTTTATTTTATTTATACTACCACATCTGCCTTTATTTTTAATTTTCATTTAAATTTACTTTAATAAAATGGTTTGAAGATACATGATTTTCTACTGGAATCATCTCTTCTTTAAGAATTAGGTAAAACTCAGTTTTATCACTCTGTTCCTGATGCTTTTTCAAAGTAGAACTTTTATCAATTGTAAAATTTAAATTAACTTTATTAATGGATCTTGAGCTACTCATTTGGCCACATAACAATCAAAAGAAAAAAGAAAATGTTGCTTGAATCATTGAGGAAATCATCTTGGAATTACAACAAATGCTGAAATAGTGTTTCCATAGCCACGTGAACTACCTAATAATGTATTTTACTTCAATTAGTTTAACTCAGAATGATATGTCTCTTTATACACTTTTATTACATAAAATCTTGTTTTAATTGAGTCTTTGAAAACAATGAATTATTTTCAGTCATAGCCTTAAATATTGTCATTACCTTAAATAAGTACAATTTTATCAAATGTTTCAATATTCTTTTCTAACTAAAATAGGTGGCTCTTTTCTATATTGAAATTCAGTGATTTATTATTATTGTATTATGATTAGTTTCACTAAGATTTGTTATTTTTATTAGAGCTGAGAGCTGAAACTGCATTCTTAATTGTAATAAATAATTATCAAAATCAAACATTATTGCATAATTATACATTATTTTAGGCTGAAATTTTAGGAATTGTGAAATTTTAGGAATTGTGAAATTTTAAACTATTCATAGTTCTTTCTTTCATCATATAACCAGATGGACCTTCTTGTTGGGACTTTTCATTTTAAACGACATAAAATTTAGACTAGAAATGCCTATTGAAAGATTCCTATGTCATTTCTACATATTTATGAAGTATTTTTAAAAATTAAAATGCAGAAAAAAATAATAAAGTGAATGAATACATACAATGCCTCCCCAGGAACATCACATTACCTTCCTTGAACTATTATGTTGACGATAATCTGACTCCCCATCCCTAATGTGATGTATTTCTAGCTTTTCCAGCTCTGTCCTGTATCCTGTGGTTGCAGCAACCAAGATGAGAGCTGATGTGACTCAATCATGTCAAATTCTTTTTTTTTTTTTTTTGAGTTATTTCCTCCACGTTCCCAATTATATTTGACTTCACATAGTTGATTAACCCACTACTTCCAAAAGTTATGTGATAAGGTTTTCTTAGATGCAGCTCTATACCCTACTTTCCAGCTGGGTAATTTCTGCTGCTACACTTGATTTACTTTCCAATCCAACAGTAACAGCTCTTGTGAATATTACAGACTCATTTCTTGCTCAAATGCTTCTCTCTTAAGAAGGCCTTATCTCCTGCCCATGGCTAGCAACTGCCATGACCCTGTGAGCAATCTGCAGTTGTGAATGTATATACCTGCAGGAAACCACAGAAGGGTAGTATGCTCCCTCACCCTGCCACCAGAAGACTCCTCTGGAAACATGAATGTGCTGGTAGACACACAAATGGCAGGAGGACTCCCTAACACTGGCATGAAAGCCTTTACATTACCGTTTCAACCAAAGCTGTCACCCAGTAGTTCCTGTAAAAAGCCAAGTTCTTATTTTTCCTTCAGTTCGTAAATGACTGCATAAAAAAAGATACATTTATTTGGTTTCCACGTATAGTCAGTATTTTAGAGTGAACAGTAAAGTGTGTTATAGTTTCTAGATTAGCCTAGTTATTTTATCTGTAAAGTGACCTGTTTCAAAATCAACCCTCAAAGTCATGTTTAAGATCCTTTTCAGATAGGATCCAGAATAAGAAAATAATTTACTATGTCAAGTGGGATGAGTCCAATATCTAAGTGACCGTTTTCCATCATTGTTACTGGCGGGCAGAAATACGTCAATCTGACTCTCTTAAGATCAAAATCTTACTTGATTCCCTGACATCATATGAGGCCAGTTAACTATGATCCTCACAAGCTAATCTTCCTGCCCTTGCTGTCTGTGAAGGGAGGTGTGTGCGTGTTTCCTGATGTGTGCTTAAAATATGCCTAGACAAAGCAGCAGTGCCCTCTTTTTATCAATTAAAAGCAAGCTCAGCTATGGGTATCCTTGGCTTTATATTGCAGAGCAGTGGCAGGTAGCTAAATTCCTCCTTAGAATCTCATAGACGTTAGAATGGCCTCCAAGAGGAAACCAGAAAGGGCAAAGAACCAAAAAATGTTGTATGAACTTTTCTTCTTAATAGATGAATGGAACTTAAGAGCTTTCAGTTCATGAACTGAGTCATTAGATTTGTAGTGGTTTTAATATTAAACACATAAATATCTATTTGAATTTAATTTCTCTTTTCTATTCTTATTGATTGTCACCATTTATCAACCCTCTTGCTTGGGTACTCATCTATAGCAGTTTGAGAGAATAACTGTGCTAATACTTTATCTGATTAAAATTCACAACATTTTATTTGAATTATGAAATGTGAGTGAAAGTAAAAAGGACAACTGGATTTATTGGTTATTTCTTATTTGGCAGGAATAATTCGTTCATTATTATTCAAGATATAGAACCTGTATTTTCCAACCTGACAGTATCAGTCTGATATAATATGCATTTAAAGCATAGAAGAAAAATTGAAAAAAAAAACACTATCTCAATCCTATTCCCTGAAAAGATTAATAAGCCTGCATTAATTAAGAAATGTGTATTTGTCAAAGACTTAAAATTATGATTACACAGATACTCATAAGTGACCTTATATTTTAAAAACTCATTATCTCTTTAGGGTGAGATTTTATTATTGTTTAACGTTCTTATATTTTTCACTTATACTTGAAAAAAACTTTAAGATTGAAGCACAAATATAAAGCTTTAAAAGTAAAGCAACTGCCCAGTGCCTATTTCATAGGCAACCATATTTAACCAATACATGTCATATTTTTCCCATATCTATACCCATATTTACATATTCCCATATTTATATACTTATTCAAAATTGATTTTCATACCATTATTTCTTTTTGTTTAATCCTAGATATTATCTATTGTACACTTAATATAGAATATGAGTACTTAGCTATTTTTTCCACTGCCCCATATATTTTAATTTATCAGAAATTCCCAATAGAGTCACATAATATTGATTATATCAATATATAGAGGTTATAATATAATGTCAATACAAATACATAAGCCAAGTTCATAAATTCATTCTAAGCCAAAAAAAGCAAAAGAAAAAACACTGGAAATTTCAATGAGATTGTCCTAAATCTATAGAAAAATAGGGCAGAATTGTTATCTTCACAGTACTGTGTCCAGCAATCCATGACATAGAATACCCACCAACACAATCAAGGTAATAAAATACTCATTTACCCTAAAAGTTTAATCTTGCCACTGTATAATCTGTCCTTCTGCCTCTTCTCTTCTCCCCATTCCCTGAACAATCACTAATCTGCTTTGTGGCGCTATACATTTGTTTACATTTTCTACAATTTTATGTAAATGTAATCATATAATAGTATGTTTTCTGGCTTCTTTCACTAAATATAATTATTTTATATTTATTCACCTGGTATCATGTACCCATCACTCATTGCTTTTTTTCTTGTTATGTGGAGTCACATTCCATTATAAGGATATATCTCAGTTTGTCTACCCATTTACTTTTTGATGGACATTTGAGTTTTCTAAATTTTCTGATTAAAAATACAGCTGCTATGAATATTCATGAAAAGTATTTGTAAGTACATTTACTCTGATTTCTCTTGGATAAATTTCTAAAAATTAATTTACTAGATCATGTAGTATGGCTTGTTTCAATTTTATGAAATTGCTAAATTATTTTCCAAAATCATTGTGACATTTTCAGTTTTAATTCTTAGTCTCTAAGCATTCCAGTTCCTCCAAAACCTTACACACACTTAGTATGTGAGACATACATAATTTAGACATTTCAGAAGATTTATAGTGGTATCTCATTATAGTTTTAATTTACATTTCACTAATTGCTATTATGTTAAGCATATTTTAATGCACTAATTTGCCTTGAACATAAGTTCAAGGATATACCTGCCTAAGATTTTTCCTCATGTTTTATTAGGCGTTTGTATTATTATTGAGTTTTGAGTGTTCTGAAACATATTCCAAGTATATATTATTTATCAGAAAAAGATTTACAAATATTTTCTCAAAGTTTGTGACTTTCTTAAAAGTATGTTGCATAGAAAAGAATGGTTCAATTTTGATTACTCCCAACTTAACAATTTGTGTTTTTATTGGATGTACTTTTGGATTAATAACTACAAAAATAAATCCTGCCTTAATGCCACAACGGTTTTCTCCAAAGTTTACTTTTAGAAGTTTTATAAGCTTAGACTTTACATTCAGGTAATTGATTCACTCTGAGTTAGTATTAGTATGTCGTGTAAGGTATAGCTCAAAGCTCCTTTTCTTTTCTAATGAGGATTTGAAATAGTTCCAGCACAATTTGTTAAAAAGATTTTACTTTCTCTACTCCATTGCAACATTGTTGAAAAATTGTTGTTTATTTTTGTTTGCATTTATTTCTGGACATATATTATATTAATTATATTACATTATATCATGTTACATTATTATTTTATTTTGCTTTATCTATCTTTTTGATAACACAATGTCTTGATGATTATAGTTTCTTTATATCTCTTAAAATCAAACGATGTTGGTTTAATAGCTTTGCTTTGATTTTCCAAAGGTGGTTTGGTTATCCTGGATTTTTTAAATTTCCACATGAATTTTAATAACAGTTTGTCAATTTTTATAAAAAAGTCTGCTGGGATTTCCATATGGGTTTGATAAATATTGAGTCTTGTGACACATATATTTAAATGTTTAAAAATTACTCATAGCAATGTTTTGTATACAGGGCTTTTACTACTTTTGTTAGATTGATACATAAATATTTCATGGTTTTGGTGATTTTATAGTTTTTTTAAACTAGAAATTCTGATTGTTTATAAAGAAATGTGATTATTTTATATTTATCTTATTTCCTGAAACTCTGCTAGAAAGATTAGTTATGATTAGTTCCAGGAGCTTTTTTTTTTTTTGGTAGATTCTAGTGCACTTTTTGTAAGCCATCATGTCATCTGCAGATAGAGGCTTTTATTCCTTCTTTCCAAATATAGATACCTAAATTTTTTCTCTATATTGTCCTGCCTAGTACCTTTATGGAAATGTTGACTAAAAGTAGACAGTGTGGACACTCTTTTATTTTTTCTAAACTTAGGTCGTTAAGGCCTTTAGTCTTTTACTATTTAGTAATGATATTACCTGTAGGTTTTTTTTTTATAGCTTCCCTATGCCAGTTTGAGGAAGTTCCGTTCTACCATTACTTTGCTTAAAGTGTTCAACAGATATGAATTTTGAATATTGACAAATATTTTTTGATATTTCAACTTAGGTTTTTATGTGGTTAATTACACCAGTTGATCTTCTAATGTTAAACCAACCTTGTATTCCTGGATTAAACTCCATTTGATCATTTTGTATTATCTGATTTGCATTGATCATGTTGTATTGTTTGATTTGTTAAAATATTTAATAATGTTTACATAAGTCCTTTATCTGGCTCCTTTTAAAAGTTTTAAAAGTTTGTTCCTTTTTATCTTTAGTTTGCAATATTTTTATTATGATGTGTCTTAGCGTAGATTTATTTGGCAGGATTCTTTTGAGGTTTGTTAAGCTTCTTAAATCTGTGGGCTCATGTCTGTCATCCAATTGGAGAAATTTTCAGACATTATATGTTTAAATATTCTTTCAGTCCCTCTTCTTTCTCCTCTCCTCTATGACTCATATGATATGCATTTTATACATTTTGTTACTATCCTTCAGGTTACTTTTTCTTTTTTTTTTTTGGTCTATATACTCTATTGTTCAGATAGGGTGAATTCTATTATTCTGTCCTCATCTTTGTTAATTCTACTCTCTCTCATTCCTACTTTGTTATTGAACTATTCCCAAGTGATTTTAAAATTTATGAAAAAATATTTGTATAATATCTATTTGGATATTATAACATAACTTTTTTGGCTGAAATTTTATAATTTTTCACTTGAATCAAAAAGCTTGTAATTTCTTATGGCAACATTTTTGTTGATTGCTTCAAAATCCTTGTCAGAGAGTTCCAATATGTGATTTATCTCATTGGCATTAGTAGATTATTTCTTCCCTTTAAAATTGTGATTTTTCTGATTCTCAATATGACATATACTTTTTACTATATCCTGGTCATTTTGTTTATTATATTAGGTGACTCTGCCTCTTACTTGAGATTTCTTTTTTTAAGCAGAAATTTACCGTTTAGCTCACGGGTTTGTGGTCCATGGTTCCATTTACAATATATGTTTTAGAGCTGTTTGGTGCTGCTTTGTTCTGACTGATTTATCTCGTGTCACTGGGCACCCACTGTTCCCTGCTGGGATTGTTTGAAGGGATGGAAAAAGCTTTCCCAGGTCAGTGCTGGTTATGGAGGGTTCCTCCCTGCTGTAGAGGAGGTAGGATAATGGGGACCTTGGAGCAGGTCTATCTTTGCTGGTACTCTCCACTAGGATGGTGTCTCTAGGCAGAGGAGGATAGTCTCAGGACCTTGACAAAGTGGCCTCCCTCACTGGGCACGTATGAGGAGGTACCCCTGCCAATGATCCTAGTTACACAGTGCCTCTGAGTGGGGCAGAGTGTTCTGAGGCCCAGGGGGAAGGCTAGCACTTCTGCTGGCTTCCCGTTGTCACCGCTCACTGATGTTTGCTGCCTTGCCTGGTATTAGTGCGGCTCCTTTACAATCCAGAGGTGGTATGAGCCTATATAGCGTGCTTTCTGTTTTAATGATGGGGCTGAGAAAGTGCCCGGCCTGTTTGGTGTTCCTCTGGTGGAGCAGGTAAGGTATCCGGCCTCTGTGCTGTCCAGTGCTGGCCTGAGACCCCAATCAGATTTTCCTTCTCCTTCTGTCTTTCAGAGTTCTTATTTGGTTGTCTTTTGTATTTTCTTCAGTGTTTACAGTTGTACTTCTTGGGGAGGAGCAGAGAGAGATGAGCCTGTGCGTTTTTTTTTTTTTTTTTTTTTTTTTTTTTCACGGAGTTTTGCTCTTGCTGCCCAGGCTGGAGTGCAGAGGTGCGGTCTCAGCTCGCTGCAACCTCCGCCTCCCAGGTTCAAACGATTCTCCTGCCTTAGCCTCCCGAGTAGCTAGGATTACAGACGCCTGCCACGAAGACCGGTTATTTTTTTTTATTTTTTTTTTTTTTTTTTGTATTTTTAGCAGAGACGGGGTTTCACCATTTTGGCTAGGCTGGTCTCGAACTCCAGACCTCAGATGATCCACCTGCCTCGGTCTCCCAAAGTGCTGGGATTGCAGGCATGAGCCACCATGCCCAGCCATCTGTGCCATCTTGTCAGGGCCAGAAGTCATTCTAAATTGGTTTCAAGTAGCCAATTCTTTAATTGCGGTTGAACAAGTTTTCTATGTATTTAACAAGATATATTTCCATGTTTATTAACTGCTTTTTCACTGATTATTCTTGTCTCATTTTACATGATAGTTTAAAATTATAAACATATTAATATCTTTTTCAGGTGTGTTTGCTATAAGTAACTCTTCAACTTCTTGTTCTTTTAATTTTTTTTAAATTTTAAAATTTGCACATGGCTTATATTTTTGGATATGATTCTTGGAGAAATTGAAATTATTTTAACTGGAAGAACTAGACTTACTAATTCTGTATTTTAAAAAATGTTGAGAGTTATTGATAATAACAGACTTCAACATTATATTACAACTGATGCTATTGATAATAACAGGTTTGCAGGGGAAAGAAAAGAAAATATTAAGTAGAATATGTAATGCCTATTTATTTTTTGCAAGAGGATTAGAGTGAATTGGGTCAATTTGCTTTAATCTGAATTAGTACTCTGGTCAATATTGGCAGAATCAGATTTTTATGCTTTTCGAATCATTTTCTCTTACATCTTAGCTTATTTTATGTTACATAACATATGCTCCAAAGCTTATCCAATTTATTGGTGCAAAATAGGTGCTCAACAATTATTAATAATTTACCAATAAATACAGTGACCTGAACATTCTATCTGCCTTTCTGTGGACTTCTTGATTCCTCATATTGCCTAATATAGAGCATAAACTCAGGAAGACCTCAACAAGTATGAATGGAAGATTCACGTTGTGTATAAACAGGTGATCACAGAATGTGACAAGAGGATGAACATTGATGGCTCTTACTGCAATGATAAATAATTAGCTCCCTCTATCTTTTATAAAATGTTTCTGAATACTAGGGAAAAATGGAAGGTGGAAGAAACAACCAATAATTTCAAGGCTTTGCCATCATATAACATGATAAATGTAATGATGATTGTATTCTTTTTATTCTTTTTTTCAGGTTCAGGTTCTTCGGAATGCTGGAGAAGAAGTGACTCTAACAGTGTCATTTTTAAAAAGAGCACCTGCTTTCCTCAAACTCCCATTGAATGAAGATTGTGCATGTAAGCATTTATAAAGAATAGATAAAAGTGCTCACATCATTATAGTTACATAATTATTATTTTGACAATAATTGGTGATTTCTTCTTAAAGTTGAGATTTTTGCCTGACTGTAAACATTTTTATATTACAAAGTGTTCTACTAACCTTTATGAAAAGGGAACAGATGTTATTTTTCTTGAAGAATAGATTCACCACATTACAGTTTTTTCTAACCTACAATTGGAGAAGTATTATTTGTTTTAAAAATAGGCATATCAAATATCATGTATGCATTATGCATGTCTATTAAATTTCATCAGAATATTTGGTGAATGTATTTTCTCTAACTAAAAATTAATACTAAACAAGAATATGTGCTTAAGTTATTCTGATGAGAGAAGATGAAAAAAAGCGTTTGCCTTTGAGGGAATGTACTAATTTACATAGAACTACTTAAAAAGTTATTTGTCAATTTTATTTTCATGTTCCATTTTCTAAAATGAAATGTATATTATCTAATGCTTTTGCTGAAAAATTGAAGAATAATATATGTTTCACTGAGACATAATTTGTATGCAATAAAATACAAAGATCTTGCACAGTCGGATCAGTTCTGAAAAGGCACACATTTGCTTAATCCACTTCTTACAATCATAAAACTGTTCCCAGTAAATAACAGCCCAGAAATGACTACTCACTTACACTCTCTTCTTCATACATTATTTTGCCTCTTCTAGAACTTTACAGAATGGAATTATACTTAATTTTTTATTCTGGCGTCTTTCATTATGAATAATTTCCTTCAGATTCACTTATTTCTTAGATTCACATATTTCTTAGTTTGTTCATTTATATTGCTGTTTATTTTGCTGTTTATTATTCCATTGTATGAATGTACTACATTTATTAATGCATCTTTCTGTTGAAGATACCAGCACTGTTCCCAGTATTTTGCTATAATAAATAAAGCTGCTGGAAACGTTCTTTTATTTAACTTTTATTTTAAGTTCAGGGGTACAAATGCAGGGTTGTAACATAGGTAAACTTTTGTCATGGGGGTTCGTTGTACACAAACCAGTTATTGAAATTAGTACCCATTAGTTATTTATCCTGATCCTGTCCCTCCTCCCACCCTACATCCCACTGAAAGGCCACAGTGTGTGTGGTTCTCCTCTATTTGTCTATGTGTTCTCATCAAATAGCTCTCACTTGTAAGTGAGAATGTGAAGTATTTGGTTTTCTGTTCCTGTGTTAGTTTGCTAGGGATAATGGCCTCCAGCTCCATCCATCCATGTCCCTGCAGTGGACATGATCTCGTTCTTTTTTATGGTGACATAGTATTCCATGGTGTATATGTACAACATTTTTGTTATCCAGTCTAACACTAATAGGCATTTAGGTTGATTCTATGTCTTTACTATTGTGAATAGTGCTGCAATGAACATACACATGCATGCGTCTTTATAATAGAATGATTTATATGTATTGGGTATATACCATTTGACCCAGCAATCCCATCACTGGAAGCTTCTTGTATAAGGCTTTTGGCAGTTTTGTAATTTTATTTTATTACAATAAGTACTTAAGAATTGAATTGCTGAGTGACTAGAAAGATGTATAATTAACTTGTTAATAAATTGCCGAATTTAGGTGGGGTGCAGTGGCCCATGCGTGTAATCCCAGCATTTTGAGAGGCTGAGGCCGGCAGATCACCTAAGCTCAGGAGTTCAAGACCAACTTGAACAACATGGCAAAATGCCATCTCTACCAAAAATACAAAAAAACCCCAAAATAGCCAGGCATGGTAGCATGTGCCTGTGGTTCCAGCTACTTGGGAGTCTGAGGTGAGAGGATGGCTTGAGCCTGGTAGGCTGAGGATGCAGTGAGCTGAGTAAGACCCCATCTCAAAAATAAATAAATAATTAATTAAAATAAATAAATTGTGAAATTTATTTCCAAAGTGAGCATGTTATTTATTGTGGTAAATAACACATAACATAAAATTTACCATCTTTACCATTTTAAGTGTTCAGAAGAGTAGCCTTAAGTCTATGTACATTATTGCGTAACATATCACCAGAAACTTTTGATATTGCAAAATGGAAATTCTATACCCCTTAAACAATTCCCTATTTTCCCCAGACCCACCCACTGGCAAACACCATTGTATTTTGTTTATAAGAATTTGACTACTTTAGACACCTTATGCACTTGGAATAATCCAGTATTTTCTTTTGGTGATTAGCTTATTTCATTTAGCATAATGTCCTTAAGACTCATCTATGTTGTAGAATAGGACAAAATTTCATTCCTATTTAAGAATGAATAACATTCTTTCATATGCATATACCACATATTCTTTATTCAGCCCTCAAACAGTGAGCATTTAGATTGGTTCCACATCTTTGTTATTGTGAATAATGCTACAATGAACATGAGTGTACAAATATCATTCACAACTCTGCTTTCGGTTATTTTGGATACATACTCAGAAGTGGGATTCCTGGATCATATGTTAATTCTATTTTTAATTTTTTGAAGAATGACCATACTGTTTTCCATAGTAGCTGCATCATTTTACACTCTTAAGTAACAGGCAAAGCTTCCAATTTCTACATATCCTCACCAGCACTTCTTATTTTCTGTTTTTTTGCTTTGTTTTGTTTTGGTTTTGATAGTGGCCATTCTAATTGTTGTCAGATGATAATTCACTGTGGTTTTGATTTGAATTTCCCTGATAATCAGTAATCTTAAGCGTCTTTTCACATATTTATTGGCCATTTGCATATTTTCTTTGAAGACATGTCTATTCAAGTCTACTATCCAGTTTTAAATCTGGTTATTTGTTTTGCTGTTGTTGAGTTGTAAGAATTCTTCAGATACTCTGGCTATTAACGTATTACCAGACATATGGTTTGAAAATATTTTCTCCCATTTCAAAGGTTGCTGTTTCACTCTGTTGATCATTTTATTTATTTTACAAAATTTTTAATTCTTCTGTAGTCAAGTCTATTTTTGCTTCTAATGCCTGTGTTTTTGGTGTCATATTCAGAAAATAATTGCCAAATCCAATGTCATAAAGATTTTTCTCTAATTTTTCTGCTAGGATTTTTTACAGCTCAAATCTAATGTTTAGGTATTTGATTTGTGTTGAGTCAATTTTTATACATAGTATAAGGTAAGTGCCCAACATTCTTTTGCATGAGGATATCCAGTTTTCCCAATATAATTAATTGAAGAGAAGACTATTCTTTCCCTATTGTATAACCTTAACATGTTTGTTTAAAATAATTTCATCACATATTGAGGGTTAATTTTGGGATTATTCCGTTCCATTGTTCTATGTGTCTGCATTAATGCCAGTACCACATTGTTTTTATTATTGCAGCTTTGTAATGTATCTTGAGTTCAGAAAGTGTAAAGCCCCAGCTCTGTTTTTCTTTCTCAAGAATTTTTGACTATTCAGAATTCGTTGAGGTTTTGTATGAAGTTTAGGATAGTTTTTCTATTTCTGCAAAATAATACCATAGAGATTTTGATAGGGATTGCATTGAACCTGTAGATTGCATTGCTTAGCATGAACATTTTAACAATATTAATTCTTCCAGTGTATCAGCATGGGATGTCTTTCTATTTATTTGTTTCATCTTTAATTTCTCAATGATATTTTGTGGTTTTCAGTGTAAAGTCTTTAAAATTTTGGGTGAGATTATTCCTAATTATTCTTTTTGATGCTATTATCAATAAAATTGTTTTTTTATTGTTAATGGATAGAAACAACTGAATTTTTATGTTGTCTATTCTGCAACTTCCTTAAACTTGTTTATTAGATCTAACATTTTTGTGTGTGTGTTTAAACTTTAGAGTTTTCTACATATAAGCTCATATCTGCAAACAAAGATAATTTTACTTCTTCATTTGAATTTGGGTGACTTTTATTTCTTAGTCTTGCCTAATTGCTTCTGGCTAGAACTTTTGGTTGTATGTTGAATAGAAGACTTGAGAGTGGGCATCCTTGCCTTATTCTTAATCTTAGAGGGAAAGCTTTCAGTTTTCCATTATTCAGTATAATGTTAGCTATGGGCTTTTTATATATGAATGACCTTTATTATGTAGAGGTAATTTCCTTCTATTCCTAGTTTGTAAAATGTATTATGTTTTAAATTGTGAAAATATTGAATTTGGCAAATGCTTTTTTCTTCATCAACTGAGGTGTCTATGTGGGATTTTTTTTTCTGCCATTCTGTTATTGTGATGTGTTAATTACATAGATAGATTTTTTTTCATGTTGAACCATCCTTGCATTTCAGGAATAAGTCACACTTGATCATGGTGTATAATCTTTTAAATTTGTAGTTGAATTCAGTTTTTTAGTATCTTTTTGAGGACCTTTGCATTAATATTCATCAGGAATATTGGTTTGTAGTTTTATTTTTTGTAGTATCTTTGCTTGGTTTCAGTATCTGGGTAATGTTCACTTCAAGCTGGAAACTGCTTTCCCCTCATCAAATTTTTTTGAAAGAGTATGAGAAAGATCAGTGCTAATTCCTCTTTAAATGCTTGGTAAAGTTCTACAGTAAAACCATCTGGTCATGGGCCCTTCGTATTTTGTGAGGAATTTATTAATGATTCAATTTCCTTACTAGTTCTATGTCTGTCTGTATTTTTTGTTTCTTCATAATTGATTGTTGGTATGTCACATATTTCTAGAAGGTTATCTATTTTTTCTAGATTATTCAGTTTGTTGGCACATAATTGTCCATATTACTCTTTAACAATCATTTTGGTTTTTGTGGCATCAGTTGTAATGTCTACTATTTCATTTCTTTTTTTTTAATTATACTTTAAGTTTTAGGGTACATGTGCACAACGTGCAGGTTAGCTACATAAGTATACATGTGCCATGTTGGTGTGCTGCACCCATTAACTCATCATTTAACATTAGGTGTATCTCCTAATGTTATCCCTTCCCCCTCCCCACACCCCCAAACAAGCCCTGGTGTGTGATGTTCCCCTTCCTGTGTCCATGTGTTCTCATTGTTCAATTCCCACCTTCATTTCTTTTTTTTTATTATACTTTAAGTTTTAGGGTACATGTACACAACGTGCAGGTTAGTTACATATGTATACATGTGCCATGTTGGTATGCTGCCCCCATTAACTCATCATTTAACGTTAGATATATCTCCTAATGCTATCCCTCCCCACTCCCCACTCCCCTCAACAGGCTACGGTATGTGATGTTCCCCTTCCTGTGTTCATGTGTTCTCACTGTTCAGTTCCTACCTATGAGTGAGAACAAGCAGTGTTTGGTTTTTTGTCCTTGCGATAATTTGCTGAGAATTTTATGGTTTCCAGTTTCATCCATGTCCTTACAAAAGACATGAACTCATCATTTTTTATGGCTGCATAGTATTCCATGGTGTATATGTGCCACATTTTCTTAATCCAGTCTATCATTGTTGGATATTTGGCTTGGTTCCAAGTCTTTGCTATTGTGAATAGTGCCACAATAAACATACGTGTGCATGTGTCTTTATAGCAGCATGACTTATAATCCTTTGGGTATATACCCAGTAATGGGATTGCTGGGTCAAATGGTATTTCTAGTTCTAGATCCCTGAGGAATCGCCACACTGACTTCCACAATGGTTGAACTAGTTTACAGTCCCACCAACGATGTAAAGTTTTCCTATTTCTCCACATCCTCTCCAGCACCTGTTGTTTCCTGACTTTTTAATGATCGCCATTCTAACTGGTGTGAGATGGTATCTCATTGTGGTTTTGATTTGCATTTCTCTGATGGCCAGTGATGATGAGCATTTTTTCATTTGTCTGTTGGTGGCATAAATGTCTTCTTTCAAGAAGTATCTGTCCATATCTTTCACCCACATTTTGATGGGATTGTTTGTTTTTTTCTTGTAAATTTGTTTGAGTTCATTGTAGATTCTGGATATTAGCCCTTTTTCAGATAAGTAGATTGCAAAAATTTTCTCCCCTTCTGTAGGCTGCCTGTTCACTCTGATGGTGGTTTCTTTTGCTGTGCAGAAGCTCTTTAGTTTAATTAGATCCCATTTGTCAATATTGGCTTTTGTTGCCATTGCTTTTGGTGTTTTAGACATGAAGTCCTTGCCCATGCCTATGTCCTGAATGGTATTGCTTAGGTTTTCTTCTAGGGTTTTTATGGTTTTAGGTCTAACATTTAAGTCTTTAATCTACCTTGAATTAATTTTTGTATAAGGTTTATGGAAGGGATCCAGTTTCAGCTTTCTACATATGGCTAGCCAGTTCTCCCAGCACCATTTATTAAATAGGGAATCCTTTCCCCATTGCTTGTTTTTGTCAGGTTTGTCAAAGATCAGATAGTTGTAGATATGCAGCATTATTTCTGAGGGCTCTGTTCTGTTCCATTGGTCTCTATCTCTGTTTTGGTACCAGTACCATGCTGTTTTGGTTACTGTAGCCTTGTAGTTTGAAGTCAGGTAGCGTGATGCCTCCAGCTTTGTTCTTTTGGCTTAGGATTGACTTGGCGATGCGGACTCTTTTTTGGTTCCACATGAACTTTAAAGTAGTTTTTTCCAATTCTGTGAAGAAACTCATCGGTAGCTTGATGGGGATGGCATTGAATCTATAAATTACCTTGGGCAGTATGGCCATTTTCACGATATTGATTCTTCCTACCCATGAGCATGGAATGTTCTTCCATTTGTTTGTATCCTCTTGTATTTCATTGAGCAGTGGTGTGTAGTTCTCCTTGAAGAGGTCCTTCACATCCTTTCTAAGTTGGATTCCTAGGTATTTTATTCTCTTTGAAGCAATTGTGAATGGGAGTTCACTTATGATTTGGCTCTCTGTTTGTCTGTTATTGGTGTGTAAGAAGGCTTGTGAGTTTTGCACATTGATTTTGTATCCTGAGACTTTGCTGAAGTTACCTATCAGCTTAAGGAGATTTTGGGCTGAGATGATGGGGTTTTCTAAATATACAATCATGTCATCTGCAAGCAGGGACAATTTGACTTCCTCTTTTCCTAATTGAATACCCTTTATTTCCTTCTCCTGCCTGATTGTCCTGTGCAGAGCTTCCAACACTATGTTGAATAGGAGTGGTGAGAGAGCATCCCTGTCTTGTGCCAGTATTCAAAGGGAATGCTTCCAGTTTTTGCTCATTCAGTAGACTATTGGCTGTGGGTTTGTCATAGATAGCTCTTATTTCTTTGAGATACATCCCATCAATAACTAATTTATTGAGAGTTTTTAGCATGAAGGGTTGTTGAATTTTGTCAAAGGCCTTTTTTGCATCTATTGACATAATCATATGGTTTTTGTTGTTGGTTCTGTTTATATGCTGGATTACATTCATTGATTTGCATATGTTGAGCCAGCCTTGCATCCCAGGGATGAAGCCCACTTGATCATGTTGGATAAGCTTTTTGATGTGCTGCTGGATTTGGTTTGCCAGTATTTTATTGAGGATTTTTGCATCGATGTTCATGAGGGATATTGGTCTTAAATTGTCTTTTTTTGTCGTGTCTCTGCCAGCCTTTGTTATCAGGATGATGCTGGCCTCATAAAATGAGTTAGGGAGGATTCCCTCTTTTTCTATTGATTGGAATAGTTTCAGAAGGAATGGTACCAGCTCCTCTTTGTACCTCTGGTAGAATTCAACTGTGAATCCATCTGGTCCTGGACTTTTTTTGGTTGGTAAGCTATTAATTATTGCCACAATTTCAGAGCCTGTTTTTGGTCTATTAAGAGATTCAACTTCTTCCTGGTTTAGTCTTGGGAGGGTGTATATGTCGAGGAATTTATCCATTTCTTCTAGGTTTTCTAGTTTTTTTGCGTAGAGGTGTTTATAATATTCTCTGATGGTAGTTTGTATTTCTGTGGGATCGGTGGTGATATCCCCTTTATCATTTTGTATTGCATCTATTTGATTCTTCTCTCTTTTCTTCTTTATTAGTCTTGCTAGCGGTCTATCAATTTTGTTGATATTTTCAAAAAACCAGCTCCTGGATTCATTGATTTTTTGAACAGTTTTTTGTGTCTCTATTTCCTTCATTTCTGCTCTGATCTTAGTTATTTCTTGCTTTCTGCTAACTATTGAATGTGTTTTCTCTGGCTTCTCTATTTCTTTTAACTGTGATGTTAGGGTGTCAATTTTAGAACTTTCCTGCTTTCTCTTGTGGGCATTTAGTGCTATAAATTTCCCTCTACACACAGCTTTGAATGTGTCCCAAAGATTCTGGCATGTTGTGTCTTTCTTCTCATTGGTTTTAAAGAACATCTTTATTTCTGCCTTCATTTAGTTATATACCCAGTAGTCATTCAGGAGCAGGTTGTTCAGTTTCCATGTAGTTGAGCGGTTTTGACTGAGTTTCTTAATCCTGAGTTCTAGTTTGATTGCACTGTGGTCTGAGAGAGAGTTTGTTATAATTTCTGTTCTTTTACATTTGCTGAGGAGTGCTTTACTTCCAACTATGTGGTCAATTTTGGAATAGGTGTGGTGTAGTGTTGAAAAGAATGTATATTCTGTTGTTTGGGGTGGAGAGTTCTGTAGATGTCTATTAGGTCTGCTTGGTGCAGAGCTGAGTTCAATTCCTGGATATCCTTGTTAACTTTCTGTCTCATTGACCTGTCTCATGTTGACAGCGTAGTGTTAAAGTCTCCCATTATTATTGTGTGGGAGTCTAAGTCTCTTTGTAGGTCTCTAAGGACTTGCTTTATGAATCTGGGTGCTCCTGTATTCAGTCCATGCATATTTAGGATAGTTAGATCTTCTTGTTGAATTGATCCCTTTACCATTATGTAATGGCCTTCTTTGTCTCTTTTCATCTTTGTTGGTTTAAAGTCTGTTTTATCAGAGACTAGGATTGCAACCTCTGCCTTTTTTTGTTTTCCATTTGCTTGGTAGATCTTCCTCGATCCCTTTATTTTGAGCCTATGTGTGTCTCTGCACGTGAGGTGGGTTTCCTGAATACAGCACACTGATGGGTCTTGACTCTTTATCCAATTTGCCAGTCTGTGTCTTTTAATTGGAGCATTTAGCCCATTTACATTTAAGGTTAATATTGTTGTGTGTGGATTTCATCCTGTCATTATGATGTTAGCTGGTTATTTTGCTCGTTAGTTGATGCAGTTTCTTCCTAGCCTCGATGGTCTTTACAATTTGGCATGTTTTTGCAGTGGCTGGTACTGGTTTTTCCTTTCCATGTTTAGTGCTTCCTTCAGGAGCTCTTTTAGTGCAGGCCTGGTGGTGACAAAATCTCTCAGCATTTGCTTGTCTGTAAAGTATTTTATTTCTCCTTCACTTATGAAGCTTAGTTTGGCTGGATATGAAATTCTGAGTTGAAAATTCTTTTCTTTAAGAATGTTTAATATTGGCCCCCAGTCTCTTCTGGCTTGCAGAGTTTCCACCGAGAGATCAGCTGTTAGTCTAATGGACTTCCCTTTGTGGGTAACCCGACCTTTCTCTCTGGCTGCCCTTAACATTTTTTCCTTCATTTCAACTTTGGTGAATCTGACAATTATGTGTCTTGGAGTTGCTCTTCTCGAGGAGTATCTTTGTGGTGTTCTCTGTATTTCCTGAATTTGAATGTTGGCCTGCCTTGCTAGATTAGGGAAGTTCTCCTGGATAATATCCTGCAGAGTGTTTTCCAACTTGATTCCATTCTCCCCATTACTTTCAGGTATATCAATCAGACATAGATTTGGTCTTTTCACATAGTCCTATATTTCTTGGAGGCTTTGCTCGTTTCTTTTTATTCTTTTTTCTCTAAACTTCTCTTCTAGCTTCATTTCATTCATTTGATCTTCCATCCTTGATACCCTTTCTTCCAGTTGATCGAATTGGCTACTGAGGCTTGTGCATTCATCATGTAGTTCTCGTACCTTGGTTTTCAGATCCATCAGGTCCTTTAAGGACTGCTCTGCATTGGTTATTTTAGTTAGCCATTCATCTAATTTTTTTTCAAGGTTTTTAACTTCTTTGCCATGGGTTCGAACTTCCTCCTTTAGCTTGGAGTAGTTTGATCATCTGAAGCCTTCTTCTCTCAACTCATCAAAGTCATTCTCAATCCAGCTTTGTTCTGTTGCTTGTAAGGAGCTGTATTCCTTTGGAAGAAGAGAGTCACTCTGATTTTTAGAGTTTCCAGTTTTTCTGCTCTGTTTTTTCCCCATCTTTATGATTTTATCTACCTTTGGTCTTTGATGATGGTGATGTACAGATGGGGTTTTGGTGTGGATGTCCTTTTTGTTTGTTAATTTTCCTTCTAACAGTCAGAACCCTCAGCTGCTGGTCTGTTGGAGTTTGCTGGAGGTCCACTCCAGACCCTGTTTGCCTGGGTATCAGCAGTGGAGGCTGCAGAACAGCGGATATTGGTGAGCAGCAAATATTGCTGCCTGATCGTTCCTCTGGAAGTTTTGTCTCAGAGGAGTACCTGGCCGTGTGAGGTGTCAGTCTGCCCCTACTGGGGGGTGCCTCTCAGTTAGGCTACTCGGAGGACAGGGACCCACTTGAGGAGACAGTCTGTCCATTCTCAGATCTCCAGCTGTGTGCTTGGAGAACCACTGCTCTCTTCAAAGCTGTCAGACAGGGATATTTAAGTCTGCAGAGGATTCTGCTGCCTTTTGTTTGGCTATGCCCTGCCCCCAGTGGCGGAGCCTACAAAGGCAGGCAGGCCTCTTTGAGCTGCGGTGGGCTCCACCCAGTTTGAGCTTCCTGGGTGCTTTGTCTACCTACTCAAGCCTTGGCAATGGCGGATGCCCCTCCCCAGCCTCACTGCTGCCTTGCGGTTTGATCTCAGACAGCTGTGCTAACAATGAGTGAGGCTCCGTGGGCATAAGACCCTCCAAGCCATGCGCAGGATATAATCTCCTGGTGTGCCGTTTGCTAAGACCGTTGGAAAAGTGCAGTATTAGGGTGGGAGTGACCCAATTTTCCAGATGCTATCTGTCACCCCTTTCTTTGACTAGGAAAGGGAATTCCCTGACCCCTTGCACTTCCTAGGTGAGGCAATGCCTCGCCCTGCTTCAGCTCACGCTCAGTGCACTGCACCCACTCTCCTGCACCCACTTTTTGACATTCCCCAATGAGATGAACCCAGTATCTCAGTTGGAAATGCAGGAATCACCCGTCTTCTGCATCGCTCATGCTGGGAGCTGTAGACTGGAGCTGTTCCTATTTGGCCATCTTGGCTCCCCCTGCAATATTTCACTTTTAATTTTTATTTGCATATTTTACTTTTTTTTATTAGCCTAGTCAAGGTTTCGTCAATATTGTTGATCTTTTCAATAAACCAACTATTTGCTTAGTTGATTTTCTATACTGTATTTCTTTTTTCCACTTTATTTATTTCTGCTCTAATCTTTATAATGGCTCTCCTTCTGCTACCTTGGGTTTAGTTTGTTTCTTTTTCTAGTTTTTGAATGGTAAAATTTGGTTGCTGATTTGAGGTTTTTAAATTATTTTGCAACATAATGCTTTAAAATACATATGTTTACTGATAAAATTTTCTCTCTTTGTAATGCTTTTGCTGCATCCCATGAATTTTTGTATGTTGTGTTTCATTTTAATTTGTTGGATATTGTTTAAAATATTTTTAAGTCCCTTGTGATTTCTTTTTGACTTATTGGTTTTTCAAAACTTCATTGTTTAATTTCCACTCATTTGTGTATTTTTCAGTTCTCTCTCTGCTATTGATTTCCATTTTAATTCCATTGTATCAGAAAAGATATTTGATATGATTTCAATCTTCTTAAATTTAATAAGATTTGTTTTGTGACCACATATGTAAACTATTAGGGAGAATATTTTGTGTACACATAAGAAGAATGTATATTTTATTATTGTTGAGTGAAGTGTTCTGTATATGTGTTAAGCCAAATTAGTGCTTAGTGTCACACATGTCCTCCATTTTGTTATTCTTTCTGTGTAGTGGTTCTATAAATTAGTAGCAGTTGAGGACTTAAATGTCATACTATTATTGTGTTGCTGTCTATCCCTTTAATTCTGTCAAAGTTTGCTTCATATATTTGGATATTTGGCTGTTAGGTGCCTATATATATTTATAATTGTTATATCTTCATGGTGAATTGACAGTTTTACTATTATAAAATATCTTTCTTTGTGAAGGTTTTTATAGTTAAAGTCTATTTTTGTCTGGAATAAATATGGTCACTCTGCTCCCTTTTATATCATTTGAATGAAATATTTTTCTCTATCATTTCATTTTCAGCCTGTGCTCATCATTAAATATAAAGAGAGTCTGTAGTTGACAGCATACATAAGCATATCTTGGAGATATTGCCGGTTTAGATCCAGATCAGCAAAATAAAGGGAATATAGCAATAAAACAAGACACACAAATTATTTGGCTTCTTGTTGCATATAAAAGTTATGCTTATTCTTATATTATAGTCTATCAAATGTTCCATAACGGCATTATGTGTAAAAATACACATACCTTAATTTAAAATATTTTATGCTAACTGGGCAGCCATTTGGGCAGACAACAAGCTAGCTGCAGGAGTTTTTTTTTTTTTTTTTTTTTTTTTTTTGTTACTCCAGTGGATCCTGGAATGCCAATGAGACAGAACCATTCACTCCCCTGGAAAGGGGGCTGAAGCCAAGGAGCCAAATGGTGTAGCTCAGCAGATCCCACCCCCACGGACCCTAGCAAGCTAAGATCCACTGGCTTGAAATTCTCGCTGCCAGAACAGCAGTCTGAAGTTGATCTGGGACACTCAAGCTTGATGGGGGGAAGGGCGTCTACCATTACTGAGCCTTTAGTAGGCGGCTTTCTCCTCACAGTGTAAACAAAGTTGCTGGGAACTTCTAACAGGGTAGAGTGCACCACAACTCTGCAAAGCCACTGTAGCCAGACTGCCTCTCTAGATTCCTCCTCTTTGAGCAGGGCATCTCTGAAAGAAAGGCAGCAGCCCCAGTCAGGGGCTTATAGATAAAACTCCCGTCTCCCTGGGACAGAGCACCTGGGGGAAGGGGCGGCTGTGGGCACGGCTTCAGCAGACTTAAACGTTCCTGCCTGCCGGCTCTGAATGGATCTCCCAGCACAGAGTGCAAGCTCTGCTAAGGAACAGATTCCCTCCTCAAGTGGGTCCCTAACCCCCATGCCTCCTGACTGGGAGATGCCTCCCAGCAGAGGTCGACAGAAACCTCATACAGGAGAGCTCTGGCTGGCATCTGGCAGGTACACCTCTGGGAAGAAGCTTCCAGAGAAAGGAACAGGCAACAATTTTTGCTGTTCTGCAGACTCCGCTGGTGATACCCAGCAAACAGGGTCTGGAGTGGACCTCCAGCAAAATCCAGCAGACTTGCAACATAGGGGCTTGATTGTTGGGAGAAAAACTAACAAACAGAAAGAAATAGCATCACCATCAACAAAAAGGACATCCACAAAAAATCCCATCCAAAGGCCCCATCATCAAACACCAAAAATAGATAAGTCCACAAAGATGAGGAAAAACCAGCACACAAAGTCTGAAAATTCCAAAAACCAGAACACCACTTCTTCTCCAAATTATCACAACTCCTCACCAGCAAGGGAACAAAACTGGATGGAGAATGAGTTTGATGAATTGACAGTAGTAGTCTTCAGAAGGTGGGTAATAACAAACTCCTCTGAGCTAAGGGATCATGTCCTATCCCAATGCAAGGAAGATAAAAACCTTTAAAAAAAGGTTAGAGGAATTGCTAACTAGAATAAGTTTAGAGAAGAATATAAATGACCTGATGGAGCTGAAAAACACAGCATGAGAACTTTGTGAAGCATGCACAAGTATCAATAGCCAAATTGATCAAATAGAAGAAAGGATATCAGAGATTGAAGATTAACTTAATGAAATAAAGTATAAAGACAAGATTAGAGAAAAAAGAATGAAAAGGAATGAACAAAGTCTTCAAGAAATATGGGACTATGTGAAAAGACCAAACCTACATTTGATTGGTGTGCCTAAAAGTGAAAGGGAGAATGAAACCAAGTTGGAAATCACTCTTCAAGATATTATCCAGGAGAACTTCCCCTACATAGCAAGGCAGGCCAACATTCAAATTCAGGAAATACAGAGAACACCACAAAGACAGTTATCAAGAAGAGCAATCCCAAGACACATAGTCATCAGATTCAACACGGTTGAAATGAAGGAAAAAATGTTAAGAGCAGCCAGAGAGAAAGGTCGTGTTACCAACAAAGGGAAGCCCATCAGACTAACAGCAGATGTCTCCGCAGAAACTCAACAAGCCAGAAGAGAGTGGGGGCTAATATTCAACATTCTTAAAGAAAAGAATTTTCAACCCAGAATTACATATCCAGCCAAACTAAGCTCCATAAGCGAAGGAAAACTAAAATTCTTTACAGAAAAGCAATTGCTGAGAAATTTTGTCATCACTAAATCTGCCTTACAAGAGTTCCTGAAAAAAGTGCTAAATATGGAAAGGAAAAACCGATACCAGCCACTGCAAAAGTATACCAAATTGTAAAGACCATCAATGCCATTAACAAGCTGTCAAATAACAGGCAAAATAACTGGGTAGCATCATGACAGGATCAAATACACACATACCAATATTAACCTTAAATGTAAATGGGCTAAATGCCCCAATTAAAAGATACAGACTAGCAAATTGGATAAAGAGTCAAGAACCACTGGTGTGCTGTATTCAGGAGACCTATCTCATGTGCAAAGACACACATAGGCTCAAATAAAGAAATTGAGGAATATTTACCAAGCAAATGGAAAGCAAAAAAAAAAAAAAAAAAAAAATAGCAGGGGTTGAAATCCTAGTCTCTGATAAAACAGACTTTAAACCAACAAAGATCAACAAAGACAAAGAAGGGCATTATATAATGATAAAAGGATCAATGCAACAAGAAGAGCTAACTATCCTAAATATATATGCACCCAATATAGGAGCATGCTGATTCATAAGGCAAATTCTTGGAGACCTACAAAGAGACTTAGACTCCCAGACAATAATAGTGGGAGACTTTAACACCCCACTGTCAATATTAGACAGATCAAGAGGACAGAAAATTAACAAGGATATTCAGGACTTGAACTCAGCTCTGGAGCAAGTGGACTTAATAGACATCTACAGAGCTCTCCACCCCAAATCAACAGAATATACATTCTTCTTAGCACCACATCACACTTATTCTAAAATTGACCACACAATTGGAAGTAAAACACTCCTCTGCAAATACAAGAGAATGAGAATCATAACAAACAGACTCTAAGATCATACGGCAATCAAATAAGAACTCAGGATTAAGAAACTCACTCAAAACCACACAACTACATGGAAAATGAACAAGCTGCTCCAGAGTGACTACTGGGTAAATAACAAAATTAAGGCAGAAATAAATAAGTTCTTTGAAACCAATGAGAACAAAGACACAATGTACCAGAATGTCTGGGACACAGCTAAAGTAGTGTTTAGAGGGAAATTTATAGCACTAATTGCCCACAAGAGAAAGCAGGAAATTTCTAAAATTGACACCCTAACATCACAATTAAAAGA
This sequence comes from Homo sapiens, assembly GCF_000001405.40. Taxonomy (NCBI): domain Eukaryota; kingdom Metazoa; phylum Chordata; class Mammalia; order Primates; family Hominidae; genus Homo; species Homo sapiens. The sequence goes on from NC_000008.11 coordinate 50,518,396, forward strand.
GCTAGAGAAGCAAGACCAAACAAATTTAAAAGCTAGCAGAAGACAAGAAATAACTAAGATGAGAGCAGAACTTAAGGAGATAGAGACTCAAAAAAACCTTCAAAAAATCAATGAATCCAGGGGCTGTTTCTTTTGAAAAGATTAACATAATAGACCACTATCCAGACCAAGAAAGAAGAAAAGAGAGAAGAATCAAATAGACACAGTAAAATATGATAAAGGAGATATCACCACTGATCCCACAGAAATATATTACTACTATCAGAGAATACTATAAACACCTCTATGCAAATAAACTAGAAAATCTAGAAGAAATGGGTAAATTCCTGAACACATACACCCTCCCAAGACTAAATCAGGAGGATGTCGAATCCTTGAATAGGCCAATAACAAGTTCTGAAATTGAGGCAGTAATTAATAGCCTACCAACCAAAAAAGCCCAAGACCAGTTGGGTTCACAGCCAAATTCTACCAGAGGTACCAACAGGAGCTGGCACCATTCCTTCTGAAACTATTCCAAACCATTGAAAAAGAGGGACTCCTCCCTAACTCATTTTATGAGGCCATTATCATCCTAATACTAAAACCTGGCAGAGCCACAACAAAAAAAGAAAATTGCAGGCCAATATCACTGATAAACATTGATGGGAAAATCCTCCAAAAGCAACTCTCAAAATGAATCCAGCAGCACATCAAAAAGCTTATCCACCACGATCAAGCCGGCTTCATCCCTGGGATGCAAGCCTGGTTAAACATACACAAATCAATAAATGTAATCCATCACATAAACAGAACCAATGACAAAAACCACATAATTATCTCAATAGATGCAGAAAAGGCCTTCAATAAAACTCAACACCCTTTTATGCAAAAACTCTCAATAAACTAGGTATTGATGGAATGTATCTCAAAATAACCAGAGCTATTTATGACAAACCCACAGCCAATATCATACTGAATGGGCAAAAGCTGGAAGCATTCCCTTTGAAAACCAGCACAAGACAAGGATGCCCTCTCTCACCACTCCTATTCAACATAGTATTGGAAGTTCTGGCCAGGGCAATCAGGCAAGAGAAAAAAAATAAAGATATTCAAATAGGAAAAGAGGAAGTCAAATTGTCTCTGTTTGCAGATGACATGATTGTATATTTAGAAAACCCTATTATCTCAGCCCTAAATCTCTTTAAGCTGATAAGCTACTTCGGCAGAGTTTCAGGATACAAAATCAATGGGCAAAAATCACAATCATTCCTATACACCATTAATAGACAAACAGAGAGCCAAATCCTAAGTGAACTCTCATTCACAATTGCTACAAAAGAATAAAATATCTAGGAATACAACTTACAGGGGAAGTGAAGGACCTCTTCAAGGAGAACTGCAAAGCACTGCTCAAGGAAATAAGAGAGGACACAATCAATTTGAAAAACATTCCATGTTCATAGACAGGGAGAATCAATAGAGTGAAAATGGCCATACTACCCAAAGAAATTTATAGATTCAAGCTACCATTGACTTTCTTCACAGAATTTGAAAAAAAACTACTTTAAATTTCATATGGAACCAAAAAAGAGCCTGAATAGCCAAGACAATCCTAAGCAAAAAGAACAAAACTGGAGGCATCATGCTACCTGACTTCAAACAATACTACAAGGCTGCAGTAACCAAAATGGCATGGTACTGGTAACAAAACAGACATACAGACCAGTGGAACAGAACTGAGGCCTTAGAAATAATGCCATACATCTACAACCATCTGGTCTTTGACAAACCTGACAAAAACAAGCAATGGGGAAAGGATTCCCTATTTAATAAATGCTGCTGGGAAAACTGGCTAGCCATATGCAGAAAACTGAAAATGGACCTCTTCCTAACACCTTATACAAAAAATAACTCAAGATGGATTGAAGACTTAAACGTAAGATCTAAAACCATAAAAACCCTTGAAGAAAACCTAGGCAATACCATTCAGGGCATAGGCATGGGCAAAGACTTCATGACTAAAACACTAAAAGCAATGGCAACAAAAGCCAAAATTGACAAAAGGGCTCAAATTAAACTAAAGAGCTTCTGCACAGCAAAAGAAACTATAATCAGAGTGAACAGGCAACCTACAGAATGGGAGAAAAAAGGCAAAGGCTGATATCCAGAATCTATGAGGAATGTAAACAAATTTACAACAAAAAGCAAATAATCCCATCAAAAAGTGGGCAAAGGATATGAACAGACACTTCTCAAAAGAAGACATCTATGCAGCCAACAGACACATGAAAAAATACTCATCATCACTGGTCATTAGAGAAATGCAAAACAAAATCACAACGAGATACCATCTCACGCCAGTTAGAATGGTGATCATTAAGAAGTCAGGAAACAACAGATGCTGGAGAGGATTTGGAGAAATAGGAACGCTTTTACACTGTTGGTGGGAGTGTAAATTAGTTCAACCATTGTGAAAGATAGGGTGGCAATTCCTCAAGGATCTAGAACGAGAAATACAATTTGACCCAGCAATCCTATTACTGGGTATATACCCAAAGGAATATAAATCTTTCTACTATAAGGACATATGCACACATATGTTTATTGCAGCAGTATTTACAATAGCAAAGACATGCAACCAACCCAACTGCCCATCAGTGATAGACTGGATAAAGAAAATGTGGCACATATACACCATGGAATACTATGCAGCTATAAAAAATGAGTTCATGTTCTTTGCAGTGACATGGATGAAACTGGAAACCATCATTCTCAGTAGACTAACACAGGAACAGAAAACCAAACACCAGGTTCTCACTCATAAGTGGGAGTTGAACATTTGAGAACACATGGACATAGGGAGGGGAACATCACACACCAAGGCCTGATGGGGGCTGGGGGTCTAGGGGAGGGATAGCATTAGGAGAAATGCCTAATGTAGGTGATGGGTTGATGGGTGCAGCAAACCACCATGGCATGTGCATAGCTATGTAACAAACCTGCGTTTCCTGCACATGTACCCCAGAACTTAAAGTACAATAAAAAATAATTTTTGCTAAAACATGCTAAGAATCATCTGAACCTTCACTGATTTGCAGCTTTTTTGTTAGTCTCTCTATTGATGGATGCTGACTGATCAGAGTGGTGGTTGCTGAAGTTTGGAATGGCTATGACAATTCCTTGAAATAGACAACAATGAAGTTTGTCACATTCATTAACTCTTCCTTTCATGAAAGATTTCTCTGTAACATGTAATCTTCTTGGGGGATTTTACCCATATTAGAACTTCCTTCAAAATTAGTCAATCTTCTTAAACTCTGCAACCATTTTATCAACTAAGTTTATGTAATATTCTAAATACTTTATTGTCATTTCAACAATGTTCATAGCATCTTCACCAAGAATAGAGTCCATCTCAAGAAAACACTCATGAGATTGGAACAATTCAGTCACATCTTCAAGCTCTACTTCTGATTGTAATTCTCCAGCTATTTCCATCACATCTACTCTTACTGCCTCTACTTGAGAAGTCTTGAACTCCTCAAAGTCACCCATGAGTTGGCATCAACTTCTTCCAAATGCCTCTTAATATTGATATTTTTACCTACTCCTGTCAATATTAATCATGAGTATTCTTAATAGTATCAACAATGGAGAATCATTTCCAGAAGGTTTTCAATTGATTTTGCCCAGGTCCATCAGAGTAATCCCCATCTATGGCAGCTGTCCCTGTATTAAATATATTTCTTAAATAATATGACATGAAACTTTGAAATTCCTTTTTCATCCATGGGCTGCAGAATGGATTTTGTGTTAGCAGGCATGAAAACTACATTAATCTTTTTCATCTTCATCAGTAGTCTTGGGTGTCCAGGAACATTGTCAGTAAGCAGTGATTATTGGAAAGGAATGTGTTTTGATGTGTGTTTCAGGGTGTGTGTGTGTGTTTCTGAGCAGTAGGTCTCAACAGTGGGCTTAAATATTCAGTAAACCTTGCTGTAAACAGATATGCTGCCATCTAGGCCTTGTTGTTCCATTTCTAGAGCACAGGCAGAGTAGATTCACCATAATTGTTAAGGGACCTATCCTTGCCCTAGGATTTCAGAATGGTAAATAAAAATGGAATTCAACTGATAGCAGCTGCATTAGCCCCTAACAAGAGTTCGCTGAAGCTTGGAAGGCAGACATTGACTTCCTTCCTTTTTTTTTTTTTTTTTTTGAGACAGAGTCTCGTTCTGTCACCCAGGCTGGAGTGCAGAGGTGTGATCTACACTAATTGCAGCCTTTGCCACTGAGGTTCAAGCAATTCTCCTGCCACAACCTCCCAAGTAGCTGGGAATACAGGCATGCACCGCCATGCCCGGCTTATTTCTGTATTTTTAGTAGAGATGGGGTTTCACCATGTTGGCCAGGATGGCCTTGATCTCCTGACCTTGTGATCTGCCTGCCTCAGCCTCCCAAAGTGCTGGGATTATAGGCATGAGCCACTGTACCTGGCTTGACTTCCTTTTACCTATGAAAGTCTTAGATGTCATCTTCTTCTAATATGAGGCTATTTAATGGATACATCAAAAATCTGTTTTTTAATGAAGCCGTATTCATCATTAATCCTAGCCCTAGTTATAGCTTCTAAAGCTCCTGCAACAGCACTTGTTTCTTCATCTTGTAATTTTATATATGGTGACAGTATCTTTTCTTGAGTCTCATAAAGCAACATTTGCTATCTTCAAACTTTTTTTTCTGTACCTTCCTCACCTCTCAGCCTTTATAGAATTGAAGAGAGTTAGTATCTTGCCCTGGATTAAGATTTGGCTTAAGGGAATGCTGTGGATGGATTGATCTATCCAGGCCACTAAAACTTTCTCCTTATCAGTAAGAAGATTGTTTTGCTTCAAAATGCATGTGTTCACTGGTGTAGCACTGTTAACTTCCTTCAAACACTTTTCCTTTGCATTCACAACTTGGCTAACTGGCAGAAGAGGCTAAGCTTTTGGCTTATCTTGGCTTTCAATATGACTTCTTCACTAGGCTTTTTCTTTTCTAGCTTGTGATTTTAAGTGAGAGACTTGCAATTCTTTCTTTTATTTGAACACTTAGAGGCCATTGTAGGGTTATTCTTTGTTCTAATTTCAATATTATTGTGTCTTAGGGAATATGGAAGCCCAAGGAGAGGGAGAGAGATGGGGAACAGCTAGTCAGTTGAGCTGTCAGAACACATACAACATTTATTCATTAAGTTCCTTGCCTTATGTGGCGTGGTTTGTGAAGCTCCAAAAGAATTACAATAGTAGCATCAATGATGACTGATGACAGATCACCATACCACGTATAATAATAATGAAAAAGTTGAAATACTGTGGGAATTACCAAAATGTGATGCAGAGACACAAAGTGACCACAAGCTATTATAAAAACAGCATATAGATCTGCTGGATGCATGGTTGACATAAACCTTCAATTTGTAAAAAATCTGTGAAGCAAAATCGAGCAAAATGTAATAAAATGAGATATGTCTGTACTTGGATATTGGGTTTTAAAATCCACTTAACCACTTTATCTCTGTGGTTTTGGAAGTTTATTCCACTTAACATTTAAATAATTGCTGATAGGGAAACACTTACTGCTGTCATTTTGTTGTTTTCTGTATGTCTTATAGTTACAGTGCCCCTCTTTTCCTCTTTAGCTACTTTCATTTGTTTCCTTGTTTTTTGTAGTTCCATGCTTTGATCCTTTTATCAATTTCTTTTGTGTACCCCTTATAGGTATTTCTGTGACTCTAATAGGTATTGCATAGAACATACTATAACAATCTATTTTAAATGGATAATAACTTAATCACAGTACACAGATCTTACTTCTTTACATCCCCTCCCCACCTTCTATACCATATATTGGTTTCAAGTTAGTGTCTCTGTTGGGGAATGAAATATAGAGATTTCTATCCCACAATCTTGCTGTTATTAATTCCCTTTTACCTATTTTTAATGGACAAATATACTTGTTAAATTATTATTTTCTATTAAAAATAAGTCACCTAGGCAAGAAATAATCATGTTAATATACTTTATTAAATACTATTAACCGTTTTTAAGTAAGTGAATTTAAACTGATAACTCCATGTCAATCACATACACTGCCTTATAAATACAACTTGTTATATTTTATATCCCTTAAACCACTTGTATAGGTGTAGTTGTGATACAAATTCCACATCTGTGAATTTAGCCTGCCGCAAATCAAAATTGTTAATTAAAATATTACACAACAATAAAAATAATACAAATAAACAGTACAGTATAACAACTACATACATATTTACATTGTATTTGGTATTATATGCAATCTGGAGATGATTTAAAATATACTGAAGGATGTGCATAGGCTATATGCAAATACTACACCATTTTATGTAAGGGACTACAGCAGATGTGAATTTTGGTATGTGAAGGGTGTCCTGGAATCAATCTCCCATGGAGGAATGACTGTATAGTTATTTTTCACAGTTTTATCATTTAAATTCTGTACCACAATAAAAATTACTATGAATACACCTTCATTATTCTGTATTTGTCTACATCTACCTTTACCAGAGGACATTATTTTTTATATGCATTTCTCTTTCTATCTAGTGTTCTTTTACTTCAATTTGAAGAATTGTCTTTAGCAATTTTGTAAAACAGTTCTAGTGGTGATGAAGTCCCATGGTTTTTGTTTATTTAAGAAGATCTGTATTTCTCCCTCAAATTTATTGAACAGGTTTGCTGGGTATGGTATTCTAGATTGGCTGATTTTATTTTTCTTTCAGCACTTTGAATATATCATCCCACTCCTTTCTCCCTATAATGTTTCTGCTGAGAAATGTGTTGATCTATGAGATCTTCCCTTTACCTGCAAAATTGCATTTTTTTCTTGCAGCTTTCAAGATTATCTGTTTATCTGTGACTTTTGACAGTTTGATAATAATGAGTTTCAGTGTGAGCCTTTCTAGGTTCATCCTAGTTGGAGATCTTCAAGTTTCTTCTATTGTATGTTCATTTTCTTCCCCAGATTTGGGACATTTTTGAAAATTATTTCTTTGAATAAGCTCTCTGCCCATCTCCTTCTTTTTTCGGACTTCTATAAAGTGTCTATTGGTCTGCTTGATGGTGTCATATAAATCTCTTAGCATTTCTTCACTTTTCCTAATTCTAATTTCCTTTTAGTCCTCAAATGTCATGCCTTTGAATTCACTTTTTCTTCTGCTTGATAAAATCTGCTATTGATTATCTCTAGTGAATATTTCACTTCATTATTGTATTCTTCATCTTCAGAATTTCTGTGTGGGTTTCTTGTCTTTTCTATATTTTTGACATTTTCAGTTCATGCATAATTTTTCTAATTTTATTTAGCTATCTGTGTTTTTGTTTTAGCACACTGAGCTTCTTTGAGATGATTATTTTGTGTTTTTAAAGATAATTTACAGACCTGGTTTCCACTTGGTTTTCGGTGGTTTATTTTGTTTCTCTGTTGCTTCATATGTCTGTGCTATTATTTTTTTTCTGGGATTTGTGAATTTGAAAAAATCAGCCATGTCTCTTAGACTTTTTCTAACTGATTACACACCGGAAAAGAACTTCACCAATCAGCCTGGGTAAAGTGTCTCCCAAACATTTTCAGGGGATTCATCTTCTCTGGGCATGTAATATCCCAAAAGAGAGGTTTGTTGGTTTCTTTTTCCTGACCTTATAATTACTATTTCCTCTGCTGGTCTGGCTGCAGAACTGCAGGTTCTCTAGTGCTGCAATGAGCCCCTGAACTCTTCTGTGTTCTCTGAGCCTCAGGCATCCAGAGTATGCTATGTCTATCAGTGCACCCAGTCAGTGACACAGAAACCAGACCCTTGTGCACTCCCCCAAAAGCCAGAATATTGGATGAGTGTTTTTTGCTTTTCTTCCACTCTAGAGAGTGGCTGCAAGTTTGACACTTACTTCTGATCACACCAAGTTATTCCAGCTTAGTGGAAGGGCTGTCATGGGTGAAATGAAATGGTCTTTTTACCCATTTTTAATGTGGCTGCTCTTGGCTTTGAGCTTACCTGGGTTACTGTGACTTATTAACTAGTTTCTGGAGCACTCTTCAAAGCTTTCTTAACTATATATTGTTGCAAAGTTGGTGTGTCTATGGGAAGCAAGGTCTGAGGTTTCTATTCCACCATCTTTCTGAACTTCATCAAAGTCAGCATATATATGTGTGTGTGTGTGTGTGTATACACAAACACATATATACACGCATATATATATATATATTTTTTTGAGATGGAGTCTCCCCCTGTTGCCAGGCTCATTGCAACCTCTGCCTCCTGAGTTCAAGCAGTTCTCCTGCTCAGCCACCCAAGTAGCTGGGACTACAGGCGCTTGCCACCACACCAGGCTAATTTTTGTATTTTTAGTGGAGACTGGGTTTCACCATGTTGGCCAGGATGGTCTCGATCTCCTGTCCTTGTGATCATCCCGCCTCATCCACCAAAAGTGCTAGGATTACAGGCATGAGGCACCGCGCCCGGCCCGAAGTCAGCATGTTATTAAACAACTCCCACTGTGTTCCCCAGAAAGGTATGCAAGCACTGGTTGCCCTACATTCTTTCCAATATTTGATGCTCAAATATTTCTTCCAGCCATTCTATTGAGTGTGCAGTGAAATCTTATTGTAGTTTTAATTTGCATTTTCCTGATGACTAATAATAATTATCTCCATATTGTGTGATTATTGGCCATGTGCATATCTTCTTTTGGAAAGCTTCTGTTCAAGACTTTTCCCCATTTTTCTGTTGGTATGTTCTTTTTACTATTATAGTGCATGAATTTTTAAAAATATTATCTATATAAGCCTTTTGCCAGTGATATAAATTACGAAGATTTTCTCTTAGTCTTTGTATATCTACATTTTTCACTTGAGGTTGTCTTTGTTAGCAGAAGCTTTATTTCCTTTTATTGTTTTTGTATCCTCTCTAAGACATACTTGCCTACCCCAAGGTTGCAAAGATATTTTTTCTTATTTTCCTCTAGAGGCCTGTTGCTTTAGCTTTTATGTTTACATTTATAATACATCTTATATTTTTGTGCATCTTACATAAGAATCAATTATGTGTGTGTGTATTTGATATATGTATATATATGATTATTATTTGATCATACATGTTTGGATTTATTTTGAGATACTTTGTTATTTCCACTAATTTACATGTCTATTTTTTTAAATGAAAATCATATTATTTATTATTGTAACATATCCTAAAGTGACCTAGAAGAGGTTCTTCAACTTTGAAATCTGTAAAGATCATTTGGCTATTCTACATCTATTGTATTGCTGCATATATTTCAGAAATCGCATGCCAATTTGCATAAAAAATGTATTGGAATTTTGAATGGAACTAAATTAAATTTATAAACAATTTGGAGATTACCTTTTCATTTATGTTTTCTTCTCAGCAATATATTAGTCTTTTTAATTTGGAATTATTGCATATCTTTCATTAAATTTATTTATATGCATTTTATGTTTTAATTTTATTGTAAATAATATTTTAAAACTTCATTGTCCAGTTGTTTATTGCCAACACATAAAATATAATTTAATTTTATATATTAACATATTGCAACATAGCATAATTCTAGAAAGACTTTTCTGCATTCTTAACGTTTTTCTATATACACGATTGTGTTATCTGCAAATAAGGTTTTGCTTCTTCCTTTCCAATCTACATTTCTTTAATTATTTTGACTTTCCCGTTGCAGTGGCTAAGACTTCCATTTTTATTTTTAACAACGTGTTAAGGGTAGACATCCCTTTCTTTCTCTTGATACTAGTGGGGAATAATCTAGGTTTATTTTGTCATTAGTTAGGGTATCGGATATAGGTTTTTAAAGATGTTCTTTATCAGATAGAGGAGCACATCTATTCCTAGAACGCTAAAGTTTTTAATTTGCTTTTTGTAAAAAACAAAAATTGATGGTGAATTTTCTCAAATATTTTTCTACATACATCAAAATATTACATATATGCTTTCGTTCTTTAGCCTTTTGATATGGTAAATGTTTAAAATGGATTTTGAATGTAAAACCAAGCTTGCATTTCTAGAATAAATACCACTTACTTGGTCATGATGTGATATATTTTTCATATATTACTAGGCTTGGTTTGCTAATATATTGTTTACATTTTTCTTTTTTGCATATGTCCATAAGAGTTGATAGTCTCTTTCTTCTTTTGTAAATTTTGGTTAGATTTTTTTTAATGTATTTGTTCACTTCAACTAAGTTGTCAATTTCTTTCATGAAGTTATTTATCATGACCGCTCATCATTCCTTTTAACATCCGTTAGCTCTCAGTAATGACCCCTCCTTCATTCCTGATGTTGATAACTTGTATTTTCTGTCTCTTTTTTCTAAATTTTTTTTTTGCTATGGGTTTATCTAATTTATTAGTTTCCCCAAATATCTGATATTTGCCTTAATTAATTTTCTTTATTATTTTCTCTTTTCTATTTAATTTTTCCCAGTTTTATTTTTATTTTTCATTTATTTTGTTTGTTTTGCTTTGGTTCAATTTGCTCCTCCATTCTTAAGTTCTTAAGATCATTAAGTTTATACCTACCTTCTTTTGGTGTATGTATTTAAACATTTAAATTTCACTCAAATGACTACTTAAGATTCAGTCACAGAGTTTGATATGTTGTATTTTTATTTTTGTTCAGTTCAAAATGTATATGCTTTAAAATAATAAGTATATACATTTGCTTTAAAGTAATACATATATACATTAAAATGTAGAAGATATAAATGCAAATAAACTTCACAGGAAAAATAACTAAAACATAGTGTGATATTCTTACAGTTTAAAGATTAGAAAAATTATATCCAGATCAGTATAGCGAGAAAGCCTATATTTCCCATCTTAGTTCCAGGAAAATTACAGAATGTGAGAGTAATAAAAGAGAAGAACAATATCTGTTTTTTAGCACATGGACTATTATGTAAGTAGTGTTCCCTATGACCTATGATGTTTGAAATCAAGTATAATATTTCAAATATTAATTGAGCGTCAATTATATTTGTGGGTAATATTTATAAACATTAGTAACTTTAAAAAATATCTTTAGAAAAATCAAATAATCAGAAGTCAGGAACTATTGTGACTCTAACACTTACTAAACTGGGAAATCTTAGAAAATGACAAATCTTTAAGGCATTACTCATCTTTAAAAAATAGATATTAGTAGGCATCTCATTAAAATCTAATATGAAGTTTTTTCATTGCAATTATACAAAATGTGATAATTTTAATGGATACTTGGATACTAACAAAGAGTACCTACAAAAACAGAACATGCAAACATTTTTGCATCATGGAAAATTATAGTTTCTAAGGGTAGGATTTACCACTTGGTTGAAATATGACATTAAATAGAACTCTGTAGACAACCAAAATCTTGTATTATTTTAAGTATGGTTTCTAAGAGCAGGCCACTTTAGATAATTAAACAAAATAATACTTTTTATAAGGCTGTACATTTTCCTTTATAAAGTCTTAATGTTTCTGAAATCAAAGACAAATTTTTGTGAGTCTCTTTTAGTGCCCAGATACCTGTAGTCACTTGGCTTACTTGCAAAACTCTGGCTTTAGTATAACTGAGATAAAATTGTATTGTAATATCTGATTTACTTGATATTACTGAGTATCCTTGAAAGTGTAATGGAATGCATCAGTTTAGAAGGTTATGGCATTCTCACCAGTGGAATGTTATGATTTTGTCTCCTGCAGGTGCTCCAAGTGACCAGAGCAGTGGCACCTCCTCTCCTCTCTGTGACAGTGGCTTACATCTCAACTACCATCCCAACAATACAGTAAGATGACCCAGGCATAGCTCAGATTAATAAGGAGATAACACATAGCTTATAAAAACTGCTAGTGAATCTGATTTATCTGACAGATAGGAAATCCCTGGTTGCATAATCATTTAAGAATTATGATAAACAAGAAATGCAAAATAAATAGATCAGGTTTCTTATGCCATTTTTTTCCCCTCTCAAGTCTGTATGGATTAAGTTCTTTTGAAGCAATAGATACTATTAACTTGGGGATGTCACTGGAGATGTATAATATACAATCATTTTAGAACATTGCACATTATATGTGATTTCAGGTTCAAAATGCTTTGACATTAGTTTTCTCACTTTTTTCTTTTGAAATTACTTAACTAAAAGTAACTATTTAATTTGCTATTTGTTAGGATTTTTTTAGCCAACTTTATTCACAGTAAGCAATTACTGCAAAGTGAGAAAATCCAATTCACACATTATTTTGACATGTAAAGAACGTTTAACTATACATGTATTTAGTAGAAGTTAAAATTAAACTTTGTTTTATAGATATTTAATACAATTTTAATCTTTGTTCTCTACTTGCATTTTGAGTAAATCGATTTTAATATCTTATAAATGTTTTTGAAGTTCCTTGCATTTCATCCTTCAAAACACTCACACATTCTTAAAGAAATAATTTTCTCTGGTTATAAGCAGATCTAACAATCATCTTTCATGCTTACAAACATAAAGAGAAGCAGAGGTGACGTTAAGCAGAATTTTATTGTTCTATTCCACATATCATGGTACATACGTCATATAGCTTCTTCAACCGACTGGTATGATTCATCCTGCAATTTGAAATTTTTGTCAAAATAGTGGCATTTTACTTCAAAGCAATCTTTTTGAACATCTTCAGTCCTGAATGGCTTTCACGGTACCTGATTTCCCTAGTATTACTCCTCAGCTGAGTACCTTAGGCCCTCAAGTTGTCAACTTTTTTCCTTCGTAAAAAGAAATTTGCCAACACCAAAGGTTATCTGTACAAATCTAGGGATATTTTCTAAAACCATCTTCAGCTGGATATATTTCATGTGGCCATCTTTGAAACTTTTTTTTTTTTTGCCAAAGAAATAATTGCCACACAATAAGTGGCATTTAAAACCACAATACAGCATGATTGGAGTGACTTAAAGTTTATGAGGAAATATACAGGTTTCCTAATGAAAAACTTAGATATACAACCAAATTTTTTACCTCTTTATTTTGTAATTGCTTTGCTCACCTTCTTCCCTCCCGATCCAGATGCCTTCGATAATTTCGATCCACTTCTGTTTTCCTTCACCGCGCTGGTGCACCTGCCCTCAGTAGCTGGAGGTGTTGGCTGTGCCCATTCACAGCTTATCCCTCTTGTCTGGATCCCCTTTGCCTGGGAGTCAGAGCTCACAGGGGTGTTTGGCACCACATGCCCTGCTTCCATCAGTCCTCAGAGGTTGTTCCTGAGAGTGCCCCCTCCACGTGTCCCTCACACAAGAATCTCCATCTCACCTCTGCTCCTAAGACAGAAACAAGAGCAACTTACTTCAGAATGGGAGAAAGCTCTTTGGAGCTGTTTTGTTCTAGGTCTTGCCTCATACCCTTGAACTCCTGTATAATAAGCAGAGCAGAGGAGTCAGAGTGGCAGGTCTAAGGGTAGAAATCATTCTGGTTTGTTTTTAATCCATTCCATTGACATATAGAAAAACATATATAGAATAATGTCCTTCCTTATAAAACTGTAATTACAGCAAGAAAATCACTCCAATTCTATAACATCCCAAATAAATTCAGTTTTATAAAATTAAAAATAAAGCAACTGTTATAAATTCTTCTTACTGGAGCTATGTCTCCCCATTTCCAGAGGCACATTTTATTTTCCTTTTAGCACTAGGATTGAACATTCTTTTGACATTGCTGAAGATATTTCAGTGTAAGGAAATTGAAAGTATCATGATGCTATAGAGAATAATAATAAAACCGTATGAAAACAAAATAAAGTATATTCAAAATAAAGACAAAAATCTCAATGCATATCAATTAAATGCATTTTTGTTGAGAACTTACTCTGTGGAAATACCCCTCTAGCTATTTTACTTTGGGGAGCTGTTAATTATGATTTTAACACAAAAAAATTAAGATCCAGATCTATAGACAAAAGCATACAATTAACTATAACATAAGCAGAAAAAGAGAAGAATGAGTAGCAGCATTCTAGTAACAGAGATAAAGAGTTGTAGAGACTTTGACCATCTGACTAAAAATTCAACGTAAGTTGAGAGACTACAAACCAAGTGTGTGCTTTGTTGCTCGCACGGGAGCATTAACCTGCAATGGTAATCAGACCGTGCAGGCTTGCACAGCCAGGGCTAGCACGTGCTGTTCCTTCTGTATCTTGAATAAGCTTTGATGGAGGAATGGCAAGTGGAGAACATCTCTACTCAGAGATGTACAAAATTAGGAGAGGTCAAAGACATGAAATAACAACAGACAGTGGGCACTCAGAAGAAAGAGTGCATTGTGAGGCAAATTTTCTTTCCACAGAATATGTGTATATTATAGACAGTCTATTTAAAAGAAACATTTGATTTTCTGATGTGTGTTAATTCTCAGTTCTATCCTAGGCTCACAAACTGCCTTTTCAATGTCTATACCTTGATCTGAAGCCAATTTTGAGTAGGTATTATTCTGGTTTTCTAACATGTCCTTACTGTATTTTAAGGCAGCATTTTAATTCTAAGGGGAAATAAAGGCTTATAGTATATTAGCATCATTCCACTATCCTACATAAAAATATAATCTATTCCTTCTAAAGATGCGCGACATCACTAATTTGAAGGTACATGAAAGTCACTTGTTTTGCCAACCAAGACCTTGGCTCTTAAGCCCCAGCCCAGATTCACTGAATTTCTTCTCTCTAGAGATGGAGTAGAAGAATTTGTTCTGTGCTTACCAGAAGACTCTGATTCAGATAATCAGCCAACCAGACTGAGAAACATTCTTCTTAACTGTACACCTTTAATTAATACATCCTATGCCACCAAATCCTTAATAAAATCTCAGTTAGCAGTTTGCCCTTTGTGCAGTTCTGTTCTGGTAAGATAGTTGTTCTTGAGGATATTGTGTGGCATGTGTAAAATTTTGGGAAACAAGCAAGGAGACATAATTGCTGCTTTTTCCAGTCACATTATTAATATTGTAGGAAACAACATTCTTGACATTGTAGAGTAGAGCTATTGAAAAATAGTCATGGTTCTCAAAAGCACAAAAGTGATTGTGTTTTTAGACTATCTTTTATGCAAAAATAAATAAACTACTATTCCAAAAAAATGATTAGAAAGTAAATTTATATTCTATTTACATAAATAAAATAAGTAAGGAGAAAAATTCTTTAAAGGATAGCTTGTGTTCCACTGTAAATAACAGGTCTATAATATGAAATACATCAACTCTGTTGAGTCAAATAACTGAAGTGGGACTTATTACATATTTCTTATAAAGAAGAAATATAAGAAAGTGACATACTTATACCTTTGGTACATACAGGCATCAAATCAAGATGCCACAAGAAAGAATGTCAAAGGCCACATATATTTCCATACTTGCCAATCTATGAAGTGTATTGATAAGATTTGTAAAACCTACCGTACTCATGTATTGGTGATTAGTCAGTCCTCAACATCTCATTACCCATATCTTTAACAATCTTTGACATTTTCTATCCCATTTATTGAAGAAACACAAAATTTGAAAGAAATTATTATTGTATTTTATGAAAGATGAGAAAGCATCTTTAAATAATATACCTGAAGTTATATAACCAAAATGTGAAATAATCAAGTAAAAAAATCCAAATTATTTTTCCATTGTTTCACTCCTGATTATCCAGGTTGAATGTTAAATGTTCCACAGTAGATCTGTTGGCTCTGCTATCAAAAAGGTGTTAGTCTGAGTGAATCCTGGGGGTGCCCTTTGCTGGCTGGGTGACTTGGGTAAATTGTTTACTATAGAACTTAGGAATGCGTGTGTGTGCACTGGGGTTCTGGGAAGGAGTTTCAGTCATTGCCAACGAGGACCTTGCTTTGTGCAGCTGGGTGGGTCCTGGGCCACTTGCAATCCCTGTGGACATCTCTGGCCTGGTCACAGAAACCTTGTTTGTTTACCCAAGCCTGCCACACAGTATTATTGCTTCTTCATGTTCCCTCATGAAGAAAAGTTGGGAAGTAATAATAAAATACTTCTTTAAAAAAACTTTCTTGTCTCACGCCTGCAATCCCAGCACTTTGGGAGGCCAAGGCAGGTGGATCACCTGAGGTCAAGAGTTCAAGACCAGCCTGGCCAACATGGTGAAACCCCTTCTCTACTAAAAATACAAAAATTAGTCAGGCCTGGTGGTGGGCACCTGTAGTCTCAGCTACTTGGGAGGCTGAGGCAGGAGGACCACTTGACCCCAGGGGCGGAGGTTTCAGTGAGCTAAGATCACACCATGCACTTCTAAGTGATAGAGTGAGACCCTGTCTCAAAAACTAAAAATAAAAAAACCTTCTGTTTTTCCTTTCAAATATGAACATAGTAATAGCTTTGTTTTTCAAAGATGTTGCAAGTGGTGTAAGTCAAGCACTTAGTACAAGTAGGTATTATTAAAACTACTATTAAATAGTAACAGTAATATTCCTAAGAATGCCCTCCCTAAAAGTTCCATGTTTAGAAATAATTTTGCCCCTTATTTCAGCTTATTATTATTTCTCGAGAATATAATATTTGATACATTTTACTTACAGCTACCAAGCCAGGCATCTAAGTAGTTTGTTTTACTAAATGTTAAATTACCATTAGCCTTTTAGATATATTGAAAATAGTATGGAGCCATTTAGCTGGGCTAGATTATAAGAAATTTTTTATTTGTTGCTATAATCTTACCAGTTGTTACCATTATTATCCCCACTTTGAAGATAAACATAGTAAGATAGAGACTACAAAACTTGCCCCCAGGTAATGGACTACTCAGTTGGGAAACTGGTATTCAAATCTAAGTGTTCTGATTCTGACTTGCAGCTTAAGACCTCGCCACCTTGTACTATCTCCCAGCTGATCCCATGTCATATGCTGACCACCTGTACAGCTGACATGAAGATCTGACCTCACATCACATGCCGATCATCCATAACATCTGACATGAGGCCAGGAGAAAGAGTAATATGAAACCTAGGTTTGTGCCTTTGCAGTCACCAGAGAGGCATTAAAAGCAACTGACTAGCATTGAAGGACAGGTGACTTGGAAGCTGAGGTGCTCATTGAGTCACCAGTAGGGACCCCTCACTAAGTGATCTTAGCCAGTCCACACTTCCAGGTATTCTAAACTGCTCCACTGACTTAGTACATTTTTATTTGCTCAATCTGCCACAATTAACATAAAATGCCAGGCAACATACAACCTTAAGTAAAAGTAATATTGTTTTTCACTGGAAGCATTGTTAAAAAGTTTAATGCCTGAGAGTAATGCTTAATAATATTTAGACTTCACAGAGTTTCAATATCTAGACTAAAATAGAATCTTCTTCCAACACTATCACTCAAAAATTAGTGAATAAAGGGAAGTCAATGTTACCAGTTTACTGGTCAAATTGAGCTTACAACCCATGCCAATTTAAATATTAATATTATTTGATGTGTTGGTGTGATGAAGAAATTTTAACATTAAAACTGAAATAATGAAGGAAACATGAATCAAGTGAAAAAGCCCAAATTTTATCAAATATTAGTCTCCTCTATATATAAAGGAAGAAAAAAGCTCTAACAAAACTTAATGTATGTGTAATTTTAAGCCAGCAGTAGTTGCCTTGATATGCAATTAAAACAACATAAGAAAGTATAAACTTTTTATGAACATGAAGTTAGAAAAAGGAGCACAGATTTCCTTGAGCAGTGTTTTGAAAGTTGTTTTATAGGAAAGCTTATTCTATTCAAAAATATTTGCAAAAATCTGATAAATTAAAAACACTTATGATTGTGCTTGGCACTCATAAAATACTCTCTATTTGAATGAACTACAGCTGATTTTTATTTCTTCACTTAATTGGTTAATTATAGTTACAGTTTTTTCCCACTTTTTCCATTCTTGAATAAATTATGTTCTGTCACATTCTTATCCTTTCCTTCCAGCTCCCCTCATTTTAAAATACGTTTTCACTAGCACTCTTAGTCTCAATGATTCCTTTCTTAACTTCTTATAGCATTCTGTTAATAAATAAGTTAACCAATACAACTTTAGTGTCCATAATTTGGACTTCTTCTCATGGTATTCCATTAAAGTCTTTTGATCATTTAGGGGAAAAATAATATCCCCCAGATAAAAGGGGTTTGAGATACAGAAACTCAAAGCACAGAAGAAAAAAATTACGTTGAATATTTATCTTCCTTTCAGGACACATTATCATGCTCGTCGTGGCCGACGTCTCCAGGCTTGAGGTGGGAGAAGCGATGGTGCGACCTCAGACTGATCCCTCTACTTCATTCGCGCTTCTCTCAGTATGTGCCCGGCACAGATTTGAGTCGGTGAGTCCGTGTTTAGGAGTTATGACTGTTTTGTTTATGAAAAAAGAGACCTTTTAGAAAACCTTTTGACATATCACAATACGCCTTATGATTTTAGTATGTTTTTGATAGTAGAAAGAAGAGCTTCAAAATAATAATCTAACAAAGTTAAACACTTATTATTCTGATGACAAAACCACAAGTTAAAGCCCTGACTCTGCTATTAACTTATTGTAATGGATTCAATAGACTCAATAGATAGTTTTATTAAGTTTTCATATTTCATATTTGTTAATTGTTTACTTCTCAAGAATATTGCATAGTTTATCTATTTGTTTGTTTGTTCACTTATTTTGAGGCAAGGTCTAGCTCTGTTGCCCTAGCTGGAGTGCAGAGGGGTGATCTTAGCTCACTGCAACCTCCACCTCCTGAGTTCAGGTGATCCTCCCACTTCAGCCTCCCGAGTAGCTGGGACTGCAGGCACATGCCACCATGCCCAGCTAATTTTTTGTTTTGTTTTGTTTTGTTTTCGTAGACATGGGAGATCTGCCTGCCTCAGCCTCCCAAAGTGCTGGGATTATAGGCATAAACCACATGCCCAGCAGCATAGTTGGTCTAAATTATAAGATTTATTTTCTGCTTTTAATATTCTTATATTATTATCTATTTTAGTAAGTGTAAGATAAGTAGTGCCCTCCTTTTCATTCTTGAAACTTTTTTTCTCTTTTTATCTTGATCAGTTTTGCTAAGGAGTTGTACATTTTGTTGATTTTTTAAAAATGATTAATTTGGGACTTTCTTGAATCTCTTAACTTGTATGTATACTTTATGAGTCTCTGCTTTTTCCCTGATTGTTTCCATTTCTTAAGTTTTTCAGCTTGAATTTTTGTTCTTATAGCTTTCTGAGAGATATAACCTCCAGGGGTTGGGAAACTTTCCTGTAAAGAGCTGTATAGTAAATATTTTATGCTTTGCAGGCCTTAATGTCTCCATCACAAAGTACTCAACTCTGCTCTTCTGGCACAAAAATAGCCATATACAATATATAAATAAATGAGCACACCTTTGTTCCAATAAAACTTTTTCACAAAAACAGGTGGCAGGCTAGATTTGTCCCATAGGCTGTAGTTTGCCAGTCCATTTTGATAATTAATTTTAAGATGTTTATCTCTTAATATATGTAGTCAGATCTTCACATTTCCAGCAAATACTGTTTTAGTTACTCCTGCAAGTTTAGCATTACCTCTTGATTTATTTATAGTATTTTTGAGTATATCACTTTGCATAGTTTTCTGACTGGTTGCTTGAGGTATTATAATATGTGTAGGTAATATATCACAGTCTACTGGTAACGTTTTACCACTTTGAATGAAGAATAGAAATGTTGCTTCCATTAAGATTCCTTTATCTTTCCTGTTTGTAAAGATATTACCTTAACTTCCTATATATACATCAAACACTATATCGGGTGGTATTATGAGTTTTGCTTCAACCATCAAATAAGATTTTAAAAACTCGTGGAAAGGATAATCCATTATACTTAACCCAAAGTATACCCATCAATGATCTTTCTGAATTTCAAAGCTTCTTTTACCGCTTCCTTTCTGCTTAATTTTTTTAGACATTCTTTAAAGGTAGATTTGCTAGCATCTAATTCCCTTAGTTTTCATTTATCTGAGAGGATACAGACTTTGGAGTTGACAGTTCTTTTCTTTCAGTACCTAAAATATGTTAGGCATTAATGTCTACTGTCATTCAAATCAGTGTCCCCTGTAAGTAATATGTTCTTTCCCTCTGTCTGCTTTCAAGACTTTTTTTTCTTTTCTTTTCTTTTTTAGTTTCAGAAGACTAATTATGACGTATGTTGGCACATATTTCTTTAAATTTCTCCTAAATGGGCTTTATTCTGCTTCTTAAGTCTGTATGATTATGACTTTCACCAAATTAGGAAAGTTTTTGACCTTTATTCCTTCAAACACTTGATTAGTCCCGCTTTCCATTCTCTCCCTCTACATCTCTGTTGATGCAAATATTAACCCTTTTATTATTGTCCTGCATTTCACTGAGAAACTTTTTAAAAAATCTGTTTTCTTTCTGTTAAACAGATTGGGAAAAGTTTATTGATCTGTATTTATGCTTTCAAATTTTATTTCCTGTCATTTAACTCTGCTCTTCAGCCAATTCAGCATTTTATTTTTTGTCGATTTATTTTTTTCAGTTCTAGTTTATCCTTTTAAAAATAACTTCTTTTTTGAAGTTTTTAAAAATATTTTTATTTGTTTCAAGAAAACTTGTAATTGCCTGTTGAAGCATTTTTAGGATGGTTACTGTAAAATCCTTGTGAGATATTTTCAATATCTCATTCATTTCATTGTTAGTATCATTAATTCTTTTCTCATTCAACTTGTGATTTTCCTGGATATTGATATGACAAGTGATTTAACAAAATCATCCTAGACTTTTTGGATATTAAATGTTGAGATTCAGATTACTATTTAATCTGGGTTTTGTTGTTGTTGTTGTTGTTCTTGTTCTTGTTGTTTTTAGCAGGCAATCTCTTTGTTGTGAGGACTGGGTGGGTGTATATGTTAAGTTTCCTACTGCACCATGCTGACACCTGGAAAGGTAGATGGAGAGGGCTATTCATATTTCTTGGTTACTAAAGGTTGGAGGTAGAAGCTCAGCTCCTCAGGGAATTCTACTGACATAAGGAAGGAGGTGGACGGATAGGTGAGGGCAACTAGCTCCACCTCCCACCACCTCATTCCACTGCGGTGATGATGGTGGGAGAGACTCAGCTCCTTGCTGGGCCACACCTGTCAGCATGGAAGGGGAGGCACAGTACTTGTCCCATCTCCCACAAGCCCATTTATTCTAATTGCTGCAGGTGAGTATGAAGGTTCAGCTGTCCATGACACCCCACTGACACTACCCTGGCAGGGAAATTGGAGCCTGCTTCTTTAAGGTGTAGGATGGAAGAACAGCTTCTTGCTAAGCCCTGCTGAAAACCTTGTGAACAGGGAGACAATGGTTCCATTGGTATTTGACTGGATTTGGGCAGGTATTGCCAAAAGTTTTTGTTTTGTTTTTATTGTACCCATTCTCTAGTCCTTCAAAAAGGAGTTACAGATTTTTATTGGAGGCTTTACGTTTTTAAAAGTCTTGCTGTTAGCCATTCAGATTGGAGGTTTCAGAGGGTCGTGTCTAGGACATGCAGGAGGAAAACCCAGGGGATTCAGCACTTTTTTTATCCCTGAATTTGAAGTCCCTAGCCATTCATGCTTAGCTGTTCACCTCACAGGGGCTTCCCATACTTTTGTCATCTTATGTGTGAAGTTCTTTAGTTGCATCAGAAAGCAGCTGATAAGAATGAGGCCACTCTGTCTTGGCCAGAATAAGAAATCCACAAGTATTGATATTCATGTATTTTAAAAAATTCATTTGATAATGTTTTATTTTTTGTTATAATTACTTCTATGACCTATGGACTATTTAAAAGTGTATCACAAAATTTCAAAATATTTTGGGATTTTCTAATTATCTTTTTTTGCTATTTCTATTTAGTATAATTTCATGCTAGATGATTTCAATACTTTGATATTTGTTGAGGCTTGATTTTACTCAGCATATACGTTATTTTGGGAAATGTTTTATATGTATTTATAAAGGATGAGTATTGTCATTTTTTTAGTGCTGTGTTGTACGTATTTCAATTAGGTCATATGTGTTCGTTAGAGGCTCTGATCCTCTGCATCATTCATGATTTTTTTCTGTTTATTGTATTAGGTTTTACATAAACATGGTAAAGTGTCCCACTATGATGGTAGATCTGTGTGTTTCTCTACATTGTTGAGTCAGTGTTTGCTGTATATATTTAATTATGTTGTCAGATGCAAGTAGATTTAGAATTTTTATAAATTCCTGTTATATGATGCTTGATAATTATGGCATGTCCAGTACCTTTGGAAATGTTTCTTGCCTTTAAGTCTATCTGTATTAGGATAAATAAAAAACAGATTTCTATTTGTTAATATCTACTTGTATATTCTTCTATCCTATTCTTTAAACTTTTATTAGTCTTACTGTATAAAATATGCCCCTTCTGCATTAAATATATATGTATATATACACATCTATATATTATACATATATTTGCAATATTCTTTGTTGTTTTTAATCCAAAGTAACAAACTTGGTCATTAATTCAAATTAGTCTAGTTACCTTTAATGTAACTACATATATATTTTGATTATACATCTTATTTTTTTCTATTGAAAATCCTAGCTTTTTATAATTAAACCTTTTATTTTGAAAAAATTGAATATTCACGTGCACTTGTGGGAAATAGTATTTTCATTTACTCTTATTATCCCAGATTGTATCACATTGCAAAACTGTAATACAATATCCCAACCAGGGAATGGACTTGACAAAATTCACCACTAAGATTTTACCTGTGTGTGTGTGTGTGTGTGTGTGTGTGTGTGTGCATGTTTATTTCTGTGAAATTTTATCACATATGCATGTTCCTGCATCCACTAACGCAGTCAAGTTTTGTATGAACAGTTCCATCATTGCAGGCATTCTCCTGTAGTCCTTCCATAACTACACCAGCATCCCTCTTGCCCTCCTCCCTCACCACATTTCTAATCTCTGACAACTAATAATCTGTTCTTCACCTCTGTTATTTGATCATATTAAGAACATTATATATGATACTATATAACCTTATTTAATTCAATTTTTGATGCATAATAGATGCATAGTTTTAGAATACATGTGATCATTTAATACATCCATAGAATTTGTAAAAATCAAGTTAGTATACTTACAATATCCATCATCTTAGTATTTGTCTTTTCTTTATGTGAGAACTATTCAAATCCTTCTTTTCCAGCTATTTTTTAAAAATATACAATAGATTATTATAAACTACAGTCACCTTACTAAGCTATTTAATACTAGGTCCTATGTCTTATACTATACTATATATTTGTGTTCATCAATCAACTTCTCTTCATTCTCTCTCTCTTCTAACTTTCCTGGTCTCGGGTAATGAACAATTTACTAGCTGTCTCAATGAGATCAACTTTTTTAGCTCCCACTTAAATATGAGTGAGAACATGGAATACTTGTCTTTTTGTGCCTGGATTATTTCACTCAATATAATGACCTCAAATTCCATCCATGTTGCTGCAAATGACAGAATTTCATTTTGTTTTTCATGGATGAATAATATTTTATTGCATATGTATATATACATATATATATGAATGTAGTATATGTATATATACATATATATGAATGTAGTATATGTATATATACATATATATATATGAATGTAGTATATGTATACTACACTTTCTTTCTGTTTTTTTTTTTTTTGAGACGGAGTTTCACTCTTGTTCCCCAAGCTGGAGTGCAATGGTGTGTTCATGGCTCACTGCAACCTCCACCCCCGGGTTCAAGCAATTCTTCTGCTTCAGTCTCCCGAGTAGCTGGGATTACAGGCGCACCCCACCATGCCCTGCTAATTTTTTGTATCTTTAGTAGAGATGGGGTTTCATCATGTTGGCTAGCCTGGTCTGGAACTCCTGACCTCAAGTGATCCACCCGCCTCGGCCTCCTAAAGTGTTAGGATTAAAGGCATGAGCCACCGCACCTGGCCAAATGTATACTACACTTTCTTTAGCCATTTATGCACTGATAGACACTTAGGTTGATTTCACATTTTGGCTATTATGAATATTGTTGCAATAAACATAGGAGCACAGATGTCTTTTCAATATATTGATTTCCTTTCTTTAAAATGTATACCCACTAATGAAATTGCTGGATCGTGTGGTAGTCTTATTTTCAGTTTTTTGAGAACCCTCCAAACTGTTCTGAAGTAGTGGTTGTACTAATTTACATTTTCACCAACAGTGCATAAGGATTCCTCTTTCTCCACATCCTCAACAGCATTTGTTATTGCCTGTCTTTCATATATAAGCCATTTTAACTGGGGTGAGATATCTCATTGTAGTTTTGATTTGCATTTCTGTGATGATTAGTGATATTGAGCAATTTTTCATATACCTGTTGACCATACGTATGTCTTCTTTTGAGAAATGTCTGTTCAAATCTTCTGCCCATTTTTAAGTCAGATTTTTTATTGTTATTGAGTTGTTTGAGTGTCCTGTATATTCTGTTCAGTAATTCTTTGTCAGATGGGTCATTTGAAAATATTTTTTCCCATTCTGTAGATTGTCTCTCACTTTATTTTTTCTCTTGTGGTGCAGAAGCTTTTTAGTTTGATGTAATAACATTTGTCTATTTTTGCTTTGGCTGTGCTTTTGACGTCTTACAGAAAACATCTTAGCCCAGACTAATGTCCCAGAGCATTTCCCCAGTGTCTTCTTCCAGCAGTTTCATAGTTTCAGGCTTTCGATTTAAGTGTTTAATCCATTTTGATTTTATTTTTGTGTATGGTGAGGGATAGGGCTCTAGTTTCATTCTTCTGCATATGGATCTTCAGTTTTCCCAGCAACATTTATTGAAGAGACTGCCCTTTCTCCAAAGTTGCCACCTTTGTTGAATGTGAGTTGGCTGTTAATGAGAGAATTGATTTCTGGGTTCTCTATTCTGCTCCATTGGTCTATGTGTCTGTTTTGTTGTTGTTGTTGTTGTTGTTGCTGTTGTTTCCTCCCACAGGATAATTTCCTGGAGATTCTTCCAAGTAGTTTTATTTTTTCAGTTGTTCATTCCTTTTCATTTCTGAGTGATATCCTATGGTATAGATGTAGCACATTTAAAAAATTCAACCTTTGAAAACATCTAGGTTGCTTCCGGTTTTTGATTATTCTAAGTAAAGATGTATGAATATTTGTATATAGATTTTTTGGAAGCATACATTTCCATTTATTTGGATAAATGCTAAAAAGTGCAATGAATGGATTATATTTTAATAGTATTTTAGTCTTTTAAGAAGCAACCAAATTGCTCTCTAGAGTGATTGTCCAATTTTACACTTGCACCAACAATGTAGGAATGACTGTTTCTCCACATCTCTGCCAGCATTTAGTTTTGTTGCTTTATTGAACCACTTTAATGGGTATGTAGTGACATGTCCCTGTGGCCTTGATTTGCATATTATAATGACATTGAGCCTCTTTTTATGTACTTATTTGCCATCAGTGTATCTTCTTCGGTGAAGTGTCTGTTTATGTCTTTTGCCCATTTTGAAATTGATTTGTTAGATTTTATACTGTTGAGATATACATATATCTCAAATTCCTTTTTCTCAACACACGAGTTTTTGTGCTGTTTTATTTCCTTACCTCTTGTAATAATTAAAAATGTTTATTATTTAATATTCTCTCTATTCAATTTTCATATATTCGTGTTTTTGTTATCATTTAAGTTATCGCCTAAGCATTATCATAGAGCCATACATGTATAACTATTACAGTTTAACACAATTTATATCAATTTCAGAAAATGTTAGAACTTTAAGACCCCTTAATTCCTTTGTTTTTTCTTATCTTTGGGCATATTTTTGATATACTTAAAATCGTATGTTAGATATTTCAAAATTTATTATTGCTTTCATATAACTATTCAAACATATTCTATTTTTAATCTTTCTTCTCATTTCTTTCTTTTGGTTCTATTTTCCTTCTACCTTAAGAGCTCTGTTAATATTTCTATTAAGAGAATGTATATTTTTTAAAAGCGTACATTTATTTACTTTTTGATTTAAAAAAATGCAGTTACATTATTTGAAGACATTTAGCTAGAGAAATTTCTGACAAGAAAGGAATTGTCTGAATGGGTCCAGATGACTCCTTACATTTTCATTTTTATGGCATTCAGCACATCAACAGCTTCATCAGCTGAATTAATTACACTCAATACACATGACAGCAATAAGCATTTACAAACATAGCACTATTCAGAATGGATTTCATAGAGATTCACATTCAAGAGCTAATTTATTGTTTACTCATTCACTCAACCAATATTGACTTAATATCTGTAAGTGGGAGACATTATGTTTGATTCTTTCTCTGTAAAAGCTCACAGACTAGTAGTAGTAGATTCAGTGAGGGAGTGGGGGGCAAGAAAAGATAAATAAGTGATTTATAATAGATTCATGGATGAATAATACACTATTGCATATATATATGTATATATGAATGTAATATATGTATACTACACTTTCTTTAGCCATTTATCCACTGATGGACAGTTAGGTTGATTTCATATTTTGACTATTATGTATAGTGCTGCCCATGATTACAAATAAAGAAAATTATTTAGCTTGGCTCAAATGTAGGATATTATTTCTTGGTTGCTTTTTTTCCATAGCCCATAATTTTAACTTCAGTGATATAATACCTGTCATATATAATTGCAACCAAGTTGTGTTACAGTCATGTACTATTGTGCATATATAAATTAAAACATCATGATATTTTTATCAGTAATAATACAGTTTATATTTATCATAATGTAATGACCCTGATTCAGATATAAATATCTGCTTTAAATTTTGAAGTATGTTATAATATTGCAGTGTCAAGGGCATTAGAATAAGAGATAAAGATTGTTAAAATTGGCTGGTCTTTTAATCTCTTCAAGCTTTATTTTTCTTATATGCAAAATGAGCATATAAATATATGCACCTGTCACTTTATATAATATTATATACATGTTATATAAATATATATATATATATTTGAATTTGAGAAGTATAATTTTGAGGAGTACTCTCAGTGTTTAGCATACTTTATGGCTGAAAGTACTCAATAAATATTTATAAAATGAATTTTAATAAAAAAATTCATGTCTTAGTTTTTTCTTTAGGTAGAATTATCATCTACTGCATGCTTTTTAAACACTATGAAAATCGATAATATTGAAAGTAGGCTTTTGGACTTTAAAAATTCTCAAATGACAGTAGAATTTCTAGTTTTCTCCCAGAGTGCACACACTTGTTTACCTTGAGATGAAGACGTTTCAGATGGTGACAGGTTTGGCACTGGTGGATGAAATTTAGTATCTAAACAGTAGGCAAGTTTAGTGGTTATGAGAATTGTGCTTTTAACAACACAACAATCTTAGCAAATGGGTCTCTAACAATAAAGCGAAATATGAATCTGACTTATAGTAAATACTTAATTCATGGTTGTTCATTGAAGGAGGGAAACCTACAGGAATGTATATTTTGGGGGATCTGAGGAGGAAGCACAATCAGCGAATGTGTGAAGCAGAAAAAAGTAGGTAGGAAGAAAAAGAAAAAATACTATCACGTAAGGATGTCATAGAAGTTATTTCAATCAGGGTTTTAAGGAGAAGAAAGAGTAGATTGTATCAACTACAGAAAATAAATACTGAAAGAACTGAGGAGCAGTGATTAATTTGGGGATGACTTTGGATAGAATAATTGTAGAAGCAAATTGATAAAAAAAAGTTTGTAAGAAGAAACATATTGACAGTAGAGAAAGGAGCACAATATGTAAGAGTATATTCATAAAATGTGATGAGGGGGAAAGGGGAATATAAAATTTAAGCATATCATGATGTTGGTTACTAATTGAGAAGGAAGACTTTTTTATTATTATTATTATACTTTAAGTTTTAGGGTACACGTGCACAACGTGCAGGTTTGTTACACATGTATACATGTGCCGTGTTGGTGTGCTGCACCCATCAACTCGTCATTTAGCATTAGGTATATCTCCTAATGCTCTCCCTCCCCCCTCCCCCTACCCCACGACAGTCCCCAGTGTGTGATGTTCCCTTTCCTGTGTAAATGTGTTCTCATTGTTCAGTTCCCATGTATGAGTGAGAACATGCGGTGTTTGGATTTTTGTCCTTGTGGTAGTTTGCTGAGAATGATGGTTTCCATCTTCATCCATGTCCCTACAAAGGACATGAACTCATCATTTTTTATGGCTGCATAGTATTCCATGATGTATATGTGCTACATTTTCTTAATCCAGTCTATCATTGTTGGACATTTGGGTTGGTTCCAAATCTCACTCTGCCACCCAGGCTGGAGTGCAGTGGTGCAATCTCGGCTCACTGCAACCTCTGCCTCCTGAGTTCAAACAATTTTCCTGTCTCAGCCTCCAGAGTAGCTGAGATTACAGGTGCCCACAACCATGCCTGGCTAATTTTTGTGTTTTTTAGTAGAGATGGGGTTTTGCCATGTTGGCCAGGCTGGTCTCGAACTCATGATCTCAAGTGATCCACCTGCTTAGGTATCCCAAAGTTCTGGGATTACAGGCATGAGCCACCATGCCCGGCAGAGAAGGAAGACTCAATGGCAAAAGTGCTCATAAACAGAAACAGCACCCACGTCTGATGCGGCAGCTGCCCCTGCAGTTTCATCATCCTGATGTTACATGTGGTTCTCAAAAGTGGATACAGAGGTTGAATTGATTGCATTCCACTTCACAGATTGGTCAGGAGGTCCACAAGGACTGGTCTCTGTGTAACTCAGGAGCAATAAATAATTTTTAGAAAACATCAACTAAATACCATTAAGACCCTCTCCATAAGGCATGCAAGTATTCCTTCGTCTGGCATAAACCTCTTCACTTGTTCTTACACAATTATGTAGGGGATTAAAAAAGAAACTGCCACAATCCCCTTAAAATATATGAATCTCTTTGGAAAAGTCCACTCTTCCTTTGAACAATTCTAGATGAATTTTGTATAGTTCTTTCAATCTAGGGCAAATTATCTTGCCAAAGAGTCGCTCTTTGTTTCATTTCTCCAGTTTATTATAACACACTTATTTAATGATATGAATTTATTAATTAATATTAATTTTAATTTTGCCATAGCCAGAGGAGGACAGTATTCCAGGGTGCTTGAATATCTCTGGAAAACTGAACAATAAAAATAAAAAGAAATAACCCTTGAAGAAGTATATGTATTCTGGTAGGCTTCAGTCACAGAATAAAAAATTACATTTGATCAAATGATCGAATATATATTTTCAAAGACCATAAATTTTAACCAAATATAGGTTAAAGGTGTATAATGTAGTGCTTCTACTGATGTCATGAGATATTCAAAATTTGCATGACAATGCTTTCTGCTTCAAATGCCTTCGAGATGGCAGGATTCAGGAATAAAAGGACAGAGAAATTATGGAAGAGCTGTTATGTGACTAGGATTAGCCAGGAAGAGATAAATAAAATGATGTCCAGGTAAGCATCTGCATATGTAATACCTGCTCCTGTGAGGGTAGAAAGGTAACAAAGTAGACAAGAGCAACTAAGGACCTTGGGGTCCCAGAGATCAATTGTACTGGTGCTTCTTTGCACAATTTATTACTTTTGCCAGGGAATCCTGCTATGCCAGGAAGAAAAGGGTATTCATTTAGTTAAACTGGATTTATTGAGGGCTGGGAAGTAGTAAGATTGGAGTGACTGGAGGTCACAGTGACAGGAAATTCTAAAATGAAAAATAACCACGTAATTTGTGTGGATGAACAGGAAGCTCAGTCTAGGCAATGCAGCTAGATCCTGGATAGATATATGAACTAGGGTAATTGGAAGGGCTAAGAAAGATCAGAAAAATAATAAGGTAATTTGGTGGTGATGGAAAGGAAGAGGGTGTAGTTAAAGAACAGAAATGTGAGAATTCAAGTCTGACAGTGGAGCTGTCTTGGATAACATCAGATCTCAAGTTAGCAAAAGCAGGAGATTGCTAAAGTAAAGTGGAGATGGACTTGTTTGTTTTTGTTTCTTACTTACAGATTAAAGATTCCGAGCACTGTGCTAATGCTATGAGAGGTATAAAATAGCATATATGGCTTTTCCTTCAAGGAGCTAGCAGCTTGGTAAGATCGAACAGTATTTAGCGCTACACAAACATGTTTAATACCACAGAGAACAAGTGTTGCAATAAAGGAATCAGGAAGTCGAGGGGCACTAAAGTGGAAGAGATTCATTCCAAATACATGGGTTAAAGAAAATCTCATGGAATAGATGGCACCTGAGTTAACTTCTTAACATTTGAAATGGATTTTGACAGGTAGAAATAATACAACTGGTATTTTTAACGGATTCTTCAGTTGTTAAGAAGTCCAGTCGATAGTCTTCAAAATACAGCCTGAGGTGTGCAGAATATGTGTTGCCTTCTTCATTTCACGACCAGAGGAACTGCGGGTCAGAGAGTTTCACGGTGTTAACTGACTTGCAAGGACCTCAGAGATATTGAAGGAGCATAGATGGGCATCTCAGACAAAGGAGTACTGGGGAGAAAGACGCTGTTGCAAAAAGTGCAGGACTTCTTTAGGGAATGACAAGTTATGTGGTTTCAATTCATGAAACAACTGGTGAATTTAAGATCTGGAAAATAAGTCACAAAAAATAACTTGAAAAAGCTCCTGATGTATCTAAACAGCTTAGGTTTTGTGCCTGAAAAATTAAAAGAGATGACATGGCAGTGAACCAAGGTAGTGCACACAGGGAAGAAACAGCTCAGGCCTGCTATGTGTGGATTACACTCAACAAGACAGAGTAAAATGCAACAGTCACAAACCCAAGGGGCCTCTTCTTATTTCTTTCTTTCCTTCAATAACATCCCCCTACCAATTAAGTGATAATGAAATCAAGTAAATGAGTCAATGTTCTGTCCTCACACACAGGGCCACTCTGTGAGACTGATTTTTCTCATTGTTCATTTTGTGTACTTTATTCTCTCTTTTTTCCATATCCTTCACCCCACAGAGAGATATTTCTAAAATATAAACATGATCCTTTTCCTCCAATGCTTCAATGTCTCCACTGGCTCCCCTGACTCTCAGGATCAGAGAGAAAAATTGCAGCAAGATATGTGAGTTATCACTGATTACACCTTGTCCGATCACCAACTTCATGGATTGCCTCTTCTTCAGATCCACACACAATGTGCCAGACAACCCACATTTCTTTGGATATACTATGTTTTTCATGCCTTGGACATTTGCTTTTGGATTAATTATCTCCTCTCTAAAAATTTTGCTTTCCCTTACCTGCCCCAACCAAGCCGTTCCACTGTTTAGCCCAATAGGGTGGAGTAGCTTTGATTCTACTCACTTCTTCTTAATTCATTTTAAAAAGCAGTTATTGAATCACATCGTTTCTAATGACTTTAAGGGGGAAATTATACATAGAACTTCAGCCATATGTGAAAGTACCGGGATCCACCAATTACTCATCAAATCCTTATTAAATCTGTAAATTGTTCTCATTTTTAGGGGAAATTGAGGCACAACTAAGTGAACTAAGTTGCTTCATCTTCACTCTCACTAATATAAGTTTATTTCAGTTTCATATCATCTCAAGTTTTACCAGTGACAGTCTTTTCCTCACTGGTCTAATAGGACCACCCAAGCCACACAAATCTAGCCACTCTGGCCCTCTATATGGAGGTGAGCAGTGGTTCCTTGCAGACTTTAAGCCCACCTCATTCTGAGCCTGCCTGTTTTTCCATGGGGAGCTTCCAGAACTCATGCTCATTCCAGTCACTCCAAACTTTTACATTTTAGTCTCTGCAGCTCTTGCTCCTTGTGCATGAAAGTACATGCCCTCATGTGGGGTAAAATCAACAATGAATCAAAACAGGAATCACTAACTATATTAATTAGAAATGATATATATTTATTTGATTGCTTATGTTAGGTTGAAAATTATTCATGAATTTGTATAGTGAGCAGTATATTTTTCATTCAAGGAAGACTAAATTTGTATTTTAAATGAATAAACCTACTTTGAGATTGAGCAACATTTAAAAATACTTTTTACTGCCAGAGCAGTTACCAAGAATCTTTAGAAAGCTGTATAAGTGCAGAGTGGAAAAACAAGCCTGAACAAAAAACTTCAGACTAACTCTTCAGTGATGTAATTTTTTTTAGTGTGTGTGTATATATATATATATGACACATAATTTTGTCTGAGTATCCATAAGGTTACCGTTAATGCTGTAAAAGTTTAATGTCTCACAATGCTAAATTAATGGGTAATGGAGTCTATTGATTTCATAATAAATATTAACTATTTTTGTTTATCTTGAGTTAAAAAATTACATTTTCTAAAAGCTACAAATAAAAACAAAAGCACTTCAGTTTTTCCCTAGTGCTTGATGAGACAATAATTCTATGTGGGGACATTTTCTTTTAACACTGAAATATTACAATCAAGAGCATATTGATGGATTATTCAAGGGAATATTATACATAGAACTTCATCCAGGTATTAAAGTATTTAGATCCACCAATTATTCAGAAAATACTTGTTAAATCTGTATGGTAAATTGTTCTCACTTTAGATGAAATTGAGGCCCAACTAAGTGAGCTAATTTACTAATAACCTTCTTTACTTAGTAATGGAGGCCCCAGATAACTGTAATTTTTATGATCAACTTATACTATAAGAGGTCATATGTAATAAAAAAACTGTTCAAGTATTTCACTTATGTTCATAAAAGAGTTTCCATATTTGAAAAGTTGAAACAGAATGTAAAAAGTGATATGTATTAACTTATAAGCCTAGTTTCATAAAAGATCAGCCCCTCAGAATTATTCTATGTAGGCACTATGTAACATCTATAATTACATAGATTGAAGATTTGATCTAAGTGTATTGACTTTTATTAGCTAAAAAATCTAGCTGCTATTTAAAGCAGAGAAGACAAATATGATCAAGATATGCTTTAATTTATGGTACATGAAGCAATGGTTATAACCAGAGAGCAGAAAGAAATATGTATTACTAAACTCCAATTATTTCTCATTTTCTATGGATGGTTAAACTTCTGTCTGAATACTTTAAACATCATACTTGCCATTATACATCAGAATTAAAGCTAAAAATATCATGTGAAATTATAACATTCTTTTCATTCAATGTGTATGCTGTCACAAATTCAAACTAACTTTCTTTCAAAAAGATGGACAATAGTTATACTTCTGAAATTCTTTTAGTATATTTTCAAAAGAAAACAAAAGAGCATATCTAAGCACATCCCTTTTTTCATTATAAAATGCTGTGTCCAAGATATGAGAACCAGTTTCTCTAAAAATATTAATAATTTGAACCCTCAGAGTCGTGGATGCCCAAGGCCTTACCATGTGCCCAGTTCTGAGACAGGAAGGCAGAGTGGCGTAGACCTACCAGTAGACCTGAGCCAGACATGCTCTATGGGGTTTTCTTTGTTTGGGGAATAAACTCTGTTTTATATCCAAAAATGTCTAGTAGAAGAGCCAGGAAAGGTGTTTGGAGAAAACATATAAATTTACACATTTTACATAGCATTTTGAATACTGAATTGCAAAAGTTTTCTGTTACTGTCAAAATTGACTGGAATTGAAATATAGTTTGTGTATTGTGTTGCACAATGAAGTAATTCTTAAGCCTGAGACTTTGGCTAGTTTCCATCCATTTTGGGATTTTATCTATTCCTGTCCATTAAGTTTATATCTAAACATTGCAATATCTGGAAGTAAGGAAGTCATTGAAGCTATATGAAACACTTTTAAATTCAATAGCACTTTTGTGAACAATTTTAAAAGGCATCATTTAATTGTCTATGACAACAAAAACAAAAGTCAATAAAATACTGTCAGAATGCTTAGACTGATCATAGCATTTTAAGAAAAAGTTTAATGTTAATGAAATTGGCAACATCCATGCAAATGGAGAGCATGATCATTTACACCTGGAAAGAAGGTATGAACCTCTTGTTCCAAATCATCTTTGGGAAGATGAACAGACTGAGAATGAGGGTGGAGAACAATGGACAAAGTGCTGCCACTCATGTTATCATCTAGTGACTTTTTAATATCACGCTTAATATTTTATTGCCTGTTTTTACGATCTTTCTAAGTCAGAAAATGCATTGACAAATGTTAAGAGGAGACAATGGTAGCCAAAATAATAAGTAAACTACGCATAATGTTATAGCAAACTGGGAAAAGAATGCATCTAAAATTTCTTAGATTCTCTTTTATCTACATGTTGTATGTTTTAGAAGTCAAAGTTTCTCCATAGTTACCTGAATCTAAAGATGCTTCCTACGAAATTGAAATTGTATGTCATTTGGGTCTATCTTCAGTGTTTCATTTAAAACAGAGATGCTTATAAAGTCAGGTAACCAAATATGAATTTGGAGGCTGATATTTATATTGTATGAAAGATAAGCTTTTCAACAGATACTATTACGAGCTGCAAATAGATCAATGACATGAGGTTTTGATCTGATTTGTTCTGAACATCTGCAGGCAGAATGCCTTTCAAGTCATTGCTGTGGATGGGGTCTGCACTGGGATTATTCAGTGCCTCTCTGCTGAAGACTGCGTTGACTGGCTACAAGCAATAGCAACTAACATTTCAAATCTCACAAAGCACAATGTAAGTAATGATTCAAGGAATACCTAGCCAGGGTTTCTCAGGCTTTATAAAATCCTTCAGTATATATGTAACTTCACATCAACTGTTTGGTGTTCTTCTCAGAATGAGACATTCATGAAAGCTATTCTGGAATACTTATTGTAAGAAAACTGAGAGTTCTGGCCCAATTTATGAGTTCAATAATACACATAGATTTCCATTAACAAGCATTATAAACCCCTACATTACTTAAGCAAATGAAAATAACTAGTTAGCATATAATCCCTAAATATATTTAAGTAAAAGCATTCGGGAATAATATAGTACTGGGTTTCAAGACAGCATTATTGATTTACCTTTAGTGATCTTAGAATTGCAGCTAGGAAGGTTTGAGGAGTAGTAGGCTAGGAGGAAAGGAGTTAGCATAGAGACTGAAGGGAACAGTCAGAAGATTGCCATTGTCTCACATTAGATAGAGCCTGGTCTGTATTATTAGAAATGGCTTCTCTGCATTTTCTCTCTTTCCACTACAACCGTTGCTTCCTTCCACATTCCTGTGTCTCTTTATTGTAGCTATCTTCTCATTATTTTAACTCTTTAATAACCTAAATAATTCTTTCCCCCGTTATTAATAATTCTATGAGAAATATAGTCTAACAAAATATACAAAACCACAAACCTCACCTTACTGAGTATCAATCTAGGTATCATTAATGATAATTATTTTAGAAAAAGTACTTGTCATCATCCATGCCTTTGTGTTAATTCTCTCCTCAGTCCGCAATTGTTCCATGCGATGTTGAGGCATTTCAGAAGTCCTAAGGGAGATCAGGAGTCTAATATACAAATGATCAAGCAGAAATATATAACTCTGTCACCAGCACGTGAACACACAAAATTGTTCTTATGTAAATGACCCTTCAGATCCAAGTATCCTTGCACAGAGTAGACTTTGCTTTGAAACCTAAGAAAGGATTGTGGCCACTATACCTTTCTAAAACGACAGGAGGACCACTAGCCAATAAAGGCAACTGTCTAGTTTCCAGTCTATGGCTATTTCAAACAACGCCATCATAATAGCCATGCATATGGTGATGGGATCCTCTGGGAATGGGGTTGACAGTCATGGGATATGTGCATGGTCAATTTTACCAGGCAATGCTAAGTGTTTTCCAATTGGCTGTGCAATTTACCCCTCACTCTTGGTGGATGATATGTTTCTTTCTATAATCTTCAAAACTCTGTGTCACGCTGCCTTTTGAATTTTTGGTTGATACATGTGGAAATGTGCTTCCAGTGTGAATAAAAACAGATTTTCCTTTTTTTTTTTTTTCTGGTGGTTCCAGGATAGGTGTAAATACACCAAGCCTTACCCAGGCTCATCCCTCAACAAGGAGGCTAAACATGGGTATGTCTAGTTTGGGCAAGAGTGAGCTCTCACTCCCAACCCACCCTTGCTAATCTGGTGTTGTCACCATATTAGAGTTGAGGTTGCACAAGAGGGCATAGGTTTCAGAATGACTGAAAAACAAAGAAAAAAATAGAAAAGAAATGCAATGTTTCTCTAGGGATTGTTTCCTCTCCTTCGACTGACTTATATGGATGCTTCTAGAGTTAAACACAGAAAAATACCTGAGAGTAGGGAATTTGTTACAGAAATGATTAGAGTTTCTTAAAAACAAGATATGAACTTATATTTGTGAGACAAATATAATTGTGTTCTTTTGAAAGAACAGAATGTTAAACTTTGAATCCAAAGTTTTTTTTCCTTATCTAGATCCAAATTTGCATTGACCTAAAATCCTAGGAATATTGTCATGCCATATTTCTTCAAACGTCTATTCAGTTAGAATGCTGTGCTTCAGCTGACAAGCATTTGAAAAGTCAATGCTTTAGTTAAAAGCAACAGCAACAACAAAACAGTGAAGATGCAAATGTCTCTACCCTCTGTAAGCCTAAGGAGGGACAAGCCGCATTTTACTGCTTGTTTTTCATCCTTGTAATAAGTGCTCACCGTCATATGATTCCCCTATACTACTGTTTTAACTGTTTGGAGATCCATATGTCTGTTGCATATTAAAAGTTATGTATTTCTTCTTTCACCTCCTGTTTCTATATTCTAATTACATGTTCTTTTGTTCTTGCAATCAGTTTCCATTCAAAAGTATTAGGTTCCAATGTATTCTGATATGGAAAGTACTACATAAATGTTGAAAAGTTATTAGGCATAGCAATAAAAAATGTGAAAGTCACATTGATTTCAGAGAAGGCAGAATGCATTGATGAAACAATTAATATGGTTAATTAGCATAAAGAAAGAAATTAGGCAGAAAGAGTAGCTAGGAAAGTTTTGCTTAGGTTAGTTAGATATCAGTTCTACTTCTCTTATTTTTTAATTCTAAAGATATACTGGAAATAACACCTTATGGAAAGATGTAGACCTTTTTCTTTATTTGCCAATATTCTGAGAGTATAGGCTTGTATAAGTCTGACTTGAATAGCTTGTTAATAATAGGTGCAGAAATAAAAACATTGTGATAAATATTTAAAGAAATTCCACTCAAGAGATTATCAGGCATAAAATAAAACTGAAAAAAGGATTAAAATGCATATAAAATAATAAGTTTGACAGTTTAAAAATTATGCTATTGAAATAAGACATACATATGTATATAAACTTTTTAATGATGAATCACATTTTATTGTAAAGCTAGTTGGAGAACAGACAGGGGAAGGATAAAAGCAAAAACAAAAAACGAAAAACAACCTGTGTTAGAATAATTAGATCAATGTGTTGATCATTTTCTTTTCTCTTTGCTCACTAGTTTCTAAAAGTAACTTTGTGAGACAGGGATTTTCATACCCAGTTTTTAAAAATTCTATATAATTATAGTTGCTATAATTTTTCTTCCAGAAATAATTGATCATAATGGCTAAAAATACCTAGGCAAACACTGACAATGTAAAATTGTATTTTATCATTATTCAGAGTGGCTCCAAAATATTTACAATAGTTGTTAATATTTAATACTTAGTAAATGATGTCTACTAGAATGAGGGTGAAGGCTTTAGGGACTTGTCTTAAGCTGTATTGGCACAGCTTTCAACTCATTTTATTTAAATTCTATGCTTTCACATTGGAAAGCAAAGCATGGCAGAGGCTATGCTGTTGTGGGGTGGGTGGGGTTCAGCTCATTTCTTAACCAACTCTCACATAATGAGCATTTGCTATATTTTAGGTGAGCATTCACTCCCAGTGAACTATTATTTTAGGTAAAGTGGACTTGAGTAGATTCTAAAAGGTAGAATTTATAAATTGTAA
Organism: Homo sapiens; assembly: GCF_000001405.40. Taxonomy (NCBI): domain Eukaryota; kingdom Metazoa; phylum Chordata; class Mammalia; order Primates; family Hominidae; genus Homo; species Homo sapiens. Next base: position 50,556,481 of record NC_000008.11, read on the forward strand.
AAAACAGTAATTGCTTCCAATTAATAATTTACCAATTTTTTATTCATTATTTCACCAGCTATATGAACAAGTATTAGTAGAAAGTTATCAATTTTTATTTCCATGATCATTTCTTATTAAATAATTGAAGACTTTAAAATATGCAATGTTGTAATAGGGTGAAGTTTTTGGGAACCTTGGAAATAAGTAAATATATTTGGCATAATATATAAGGGATATGAATCATCAGACTTTGATGGGTAGGTTAGTAAGATGCACCTCCGTGATGTTCACTTCCTGGCATTTACACCCTTATGGGATCACCTTCCATGTGCGTTGGCTCCATAGTGAGCTCTGAAGCAGACACTTCTCTTACAAGACTTCAGATGAGATAGCAGATGACCCTTGAGAGCATTTTTAGAAATCCAGTACATTCTAACCCACACTAATCACATGCTGAGGACTCAGCACATGTCAGTCACATGCTGAGGGCTGGCTCAACACACAAAGATGTCCCAACCAGAGGCCCATGCCAGCTCTCCCCTACCCTGCACCCCATCTCACACCACTCAGACAGGCACAGGCTGTACAGACAAGTTATTTACTTCTTATTATAACCTTGGGCCCTTTCTGCCCTGGAAAGTGGGGGTGGGCAAGGAGGCTGGGCCCAGCATGCACCCCCACTTCTTTAGGGGCTGATCCCTCCTACAGTATCAGGCGGGTGGTGGCAGGGGTAGAGGTTGGAGAGTAGGGGAGAAAACCAAAAAAAAAAAAAAAAACAGGATGAAGACCCAGCTATGCCACATGTGGACTCCTGACATACAGAGATTATAGGATAATAAATATTTAGTTAAAGTCACAAAGTTTTGGGGTATTCTGTTACACAGCAATAGGGAACTGTATTAGTTTCCTAAAATTCCAAAATTTCCTAAAACAATTTCAAAGCAAATTACACAAACTTGGTGCCTTCAAACAACAGAAATTCATTTTCTCACAATTCTGTGGCCCATTTGTCTGAAATCAGATGCCAGCAGGATACATCCCTCTGGACTCTGTAATGCAGAAGCCTTGTCTCTTCCAGCCTCTGGTGGCTGCCAGCATTCCCTGGCTCACAGCCACATCACACTGACCTCCGCTTCTGTGGTTACATTGCTTCTTTCTGTGTGTGTCACTTATCAGAACACTTGTCATTGGTCCCAGGGCCCACTCAGGTATTCCAGTCTGACCTCAAGATCTTTAACTGAAGTAGATCTGCAAGGACCCTTTATCTGGTTCCAGGTTTTCCATGTGGATATTTTGGGAGGAGCATTTTTGGCCTACCACAAGAACTATCTGGCAGGTGAACAACATGATTAGATTTAGACAGTTCTGTCTGATTTTTGTGCAATGTCTCCTATAGCAGTTCAGTTTCAAAGCCTTTGCTTTGTCATTTGGGTGTTCCACACGTGCATTGCTTGGGGTGGGCCCAGAGCTTCTTGCAGTTCACACATAAAATCGGGATATCGCCTCCTTCCCTTCACTCCTAAGTGGGAGTTCCCCACTCTTACTGGATCGCAGCATCACTCTCTTTGGTCTTCTCTCCAGAAATCCAAGGCTCTTCTCAGAGTTTAGTTTCCTGTACTGATGCACATTTCCTCATGACTGGAGAAAACAGCATGAGAAAAGGAGAGAAGAGTGGGGATCCCTCATGCCACAAAAACTAATTTTTCCAGAACCTTTAGATAGAGGGTGGATTTTCTCTCTGAGTTTCCAGCTGGCCCGGCTGCCCCAGGCTCCATGGCAGCAGCTGCATGGCCAGGGGGGCCTTGGAGTCAGCTCAGGAACCAAAACAAAGGAACAGTAACAGAGATGTCTTCCACAGCTGTTGGCTCGCAGAGGCCTCTTCCCAGGTCTCTGATCAGCAAGACATGCTCTCTCAGAGTTTTTGTTTGTTGTCCATGACTTAATTTGTCTTGACCTCAAGTCCATGCTGGGAGATAAAGGAAGCAAGAAAAAGAAAGGAAAACAAAATAAAAACAGGTAAACTCCTGTTTGCCATATTAATCATTATTCAATTTTTACTTCTTTCAAAAAAGTTCTTGCTATTATTTATTGTACAATGTTCTCAGATAGTTAGTTGCCTTTTGCATTTTATCTAGTGCATTGAGGTATAACCGGTGGGAAAGATGGCTGCAGTGTTTTTTTTTTCCTTCTTGGCTCTAACTGGAAGCAATAGATACTTTTAATAGAAAACAAAATATAAGAAACAAAACAACTACATGATATTTGTAGAGTATCAGAAAAAAATAACTGCTATTATACCTTGGAAATATTTTTTAAAAGTCCTGATAAAATAAATTTATTTTCAGACAAATAGAAAAATAAAGAAAATTCAACAAAATAAAGATTTACTAAAAGAAATATTCAGGGTACTTTTAAATTTTTTGTATTTTTTATTTATTCAACAAATATTTATTGAATACTTGCCTATGATGTGTCAGATACTGTGTTCTATTTTTTTGTTTGTTTTGTTTTCAACTTTTATTTTAGAAACAGGAAGTACATGTGTAGGTTTGTTACAAAGGTGTATTTTGTGATGCTGAGGTTTAGAGTATAATTGAAACCATCAACCAGGTGGTGAGCAAAGTAAGGGGTGCTATTTCAGGCAAAGAAAAATCATGCCAGATAGAGGCTTGGAGATGTCAGAAGGAGTAAATAGTACAGGAGAAAATGAATACATAGATGAATCTAGATGAACATTGTTTGTATTAAAATGGGAATAATTTCTTGTAGTGTTTAGATAAATAAACAAAATTAAAATATATTGCAAAAGCAATAACAAAAATATCCAAAGGAAGCAAATGTAATTAGTATTAAATTTTGTTATGTCAAAATGGATTGTTTGTTTCCTAGAGAAAGCCTTAACTAAGTAGCCAGAATGTGTATCTTCTAAATTAACAAAGGAATAAGTGAAAAAATAATGCTAATACCTACTAAAAGAAGTTCATAAAAAAATAAAAAAAGAAAGCAAACTAGAGCAGGTTGAACAAATAGTAAGCATACAGTAAGATGATGATTTATATCCAAGTATAAGATACACTTTTTACAAGAGGAATTCTAAAGATATTGGAAGATTGAAAGTCAAAATTTAGAAAAATACCTTGCACCTGAAAAAATAAGAACTTGGAAAGGATTCCCTATTTAATAAATGGTTCTGGGAGAACTGGCTAACCATTTCTGGAAATTGAAACTGGACCACTTCCTTACCCTTTATACAAAAATTAACTCAAGATGGATTAAAGACCTAAACGTAAAACCCAAACTAAAAAACCCTAAAAGAAAATCTAGGCAATACCTTTCAGTACATAGCCATGGACAAAGATTTCATGACAAAAACGCAAGAAGCAATTGCAACAAAAGCAAAAATTGACAAATGCAATCTAATTAAACTAAAGAGTTTCTGCACAGCAAAAGAAATTATCCTCAGAGTGAACAGACAACCTACAGAATGGGAGAAATTTTTTGCCATCTATCCATCTGACAAAGGCCTAATATCTGGCGTCTACAAGTAACTTAAACACATTTACAAGAACAAAAATACGTTAAAAAGTGGGCAAAGGACATGAACAGACACTTCACAAAATAAGACACTCATGCAGCCAAAAAACATATTAAAAAAACCCTCAACATCACTGGTCATTAGAGAAATGCAAATCAAAACCACAGTGAGGTACCATCTCAGGCCAGTCAGAATGGTGATTATTAAAAAGTCAAGAAGCAACAAATGCTGGCAAGGTTGCACAGAAAAAGGAATGCATCTATACTGTTGTGGGAATATAAATTAGTTCAACCATTGTGGAAGAGAGTGTGGTGATTCCTTAAACATCTAGAAACAGAAATACCATTTGACCCAGCAATCCCATTACTGGGTATGAACCCAAAGGAATATAAATCATTCTATTATAAAGACACATGCACGTGTATGCTCATTGCAGCACTATTCACGATAGCAAGGACATTGAATCAACCCAAATGTCCATAAATAGTAGATTGAATAAAGAAAACTTGGTACATATACACCATGGAATGCTATACAGTCATAGAAAGGAACAAGATCATGTCCTTTGCAGGGACATGGATGGAGCTGGAAGCTGTTATCCTCTGCAAACTAACACAGGAACAGAAAATCAGACGCCACGTCTTCTTACTTATAAGCAGGAACTGAATGACAAGAACACGTGGACACATCGGGGGAACAACACACACTGTGGCTGGTTGTTGTTGGAGGGGAGGGAGAGCATCAAGAAGAACAGCTAATGGGTGTGGGGCTCAATACCTGTATGAGGGGTTTATCTGGGCAGCAAACCACCATGGCACATGTTTATCTGTGTAACAAACCTGCACATCCTACACATGTTCCCCAGAACTTAAAATAAAATTTGATAAAATAAAGAAGGAAAACAAATAAATAAATAAATTGACATAATTAGAATATTTCTCTAAGTGTTTAATAACTAAATGGATTTGAAGCTTTTAGACTGACATTATGACATTTTAAGTAATGCTTCCATGTAACTGAATGATTTGGTTTGTTCTGTGTCCGCATCCAAATCTCATCACAAATTGTAATCCCCATGTGTCAGAGGAGGGACCTGGTGTGAGGTGATTGGATCATGGGAGTGGTTTCCCCCATGCTGTTCTCATGATAGTGAGTGAGTTCTCATGAAAGCTGATGGTTTTAAAAGTGTGTGGCAGTTCCCCCTTTGCTGTCTCTCTCCTGCTGCCTTGTGAAGAAGGTGCTTGCTTCTCCTTTGCTTCCACCATGATTGTAAGTTTCCTGAGGCCTCCCCAGCCATGAGGAACTATGAGTCAATTAAACCTCTTTCCTTCATAAATTACTGAGTGTCAGGTATTTCTTTATAGCAGTGTGAAAACAGACTAAAACAGTTAATTTACAAATTAAATAAATATGTATTTTAAAAACCAGAAAAAAGGAAAAAATACAGTGCAAACCATAAAAGAAAGGTTTGTAGCTTTGTTAATACTAGGCAAAGCAAACTTCACAGCAAATATATTACTAAATATAGATATGGTCACTTCATAATAATAAAAAAGTTTAATGCACTAGGAAACAAATGCAAACATCATGTCACATGGGCTTAAATATATCTAGATGGAATTGAAAATATAGACTGATGAGAAAGTAAAAATCATGAAATCTCAGAACTAGAGACACAAAATGGTTAAGGCCTGGCTATGAGGAAACTGAAAGTAAAATAATAGATTACGGAATCAGAAGAAGAAAATAAAATTCATGCTCAGCCTTTATTTTAACCTATAGGGCTAGTCATTATCACATTATTCCATCATACACAAGCGACATTTCCCATTGAACTATTCATTCAGTACTAGGTGTCTAGAATGTCTCCCCAGCCTGAGCTGGACATTAGAACTCACTTTAATTATCTGTCTTCTATAACCTTTCAGCTTTCCTCACTGTCATTCCTTAGGGTCAAAATAGTCCTGTGAAGATTCTCGCCATCCAAAATCCATCTTATATATGTCCTTACCCAAAAAAGATAACTGTTCATACATTTTAAAGACTCCTAAAATTTTCTGATTTATAAGTTACAATGTGTAACTGGAAAGCAATTTGAAAAATGTTATTTTGTCAATAATTCAAAACTGACATTTTATCTTGGTTTCATCTTATAAGATTTAACTCTACCCATCTGTGGTAGGAAGAATAATGCCCACGCAAAGATGTCTATGTCCTAACTCCCAGAACCTGTGACAATTCCATGTCATATGGCAATAGAGAATTAAGGTTACAGATACCATTAACATTGCTAATCAGCTGGCCTTAAAATGGGGAAATTAGCCTAGATTATCCAAGTGGGTCTAATGTGATTCTCTACAAGTGTAAGAAGTCAAAGTGAGAGAACAAGAGACAGCAGTGAAAGAGGAACTGAACCCAGTATTTCTGGCTCTGAAGATGGAGAAGGGAATGCAATTCAAAGAAAGCAGTAGTCCAATAGCAGTGAAAGGCTGCACTTCTACTCTAGAGCCTCCAGAAAGCAGCACAGCCCTGCCAACACCTCAATTTCTCCCCTGTTTGATTCATTTAGGACTTATGACCTACAGAACAGTATGATAATATATAAATGTGTGGGTTTTTCTTAAACCACCTTAGTTTGTAGGAATTTGATATGACAACAATAGAAACTAATACAACATATCTTTATCCAGTTGCATGTTTTCACTTAATGTAAAGTTCACAGTTTAATTTGAAAATCATGCCTTTAACTCATGTCATATGTAGCTTTTTCAGAATAACCATAAAATGTACTTGCATATGTTAGAAAACAACCTAACATTTACGTTATTAATTAGTCCCAGTGCAAATCAGCCTATAGTAATACCACTAGAGTTCCTAAATACTTAATTTATAACCAACTGACATCATCAGAGAAACAATGATCAGAATCGTTGCATTCACGCAGTCTGAGCAAGGACTGTCTTTGGAACTGGGAAGCAGTGTTGGCTCTCAGTGCCTGGATAAACATGGCTAGAAGCTTTCAAATATCACAGGAAACCAGGAGGGAGAAGCCACACAAGACGAGAATAAGGAACTGCTGTCCCTGAAGAGCAGACAAGACTGTTGAATTGTCAGGCAGTCACAACTGAGAAAGACGGCAACTGATCCCTGAGAGTGTCTGTGAAGATGGGGCCTAGTGCTGGCTGGCTCAGATCACACAGCAACTACTGCCTGTATCCTTGTATTTCCAGTACTTAACACAGCCCATATGGAGCAAATAAGAAGTGAATGAATGAGTCCCTTATCAATCAACAGTTGTTTGAAGGAAACATTGCTGAGAATGTAAAGAAAAATGAAGACAGAAGAGAGAAAAACACATTTAGCTACAGTAAGCACTGCAATAAGAGATTCACATGTACTACTCCTTAAATTCTTACATGTTCCGTGGGGCCACTGTGCTTTAGAGTAGGGAAAAGTTGCTGTGGTCATGAGGAAACAGAGGTGCTGTCCATGGTAGATGTTCCCTGTGTTTCTGGGTGTAGTTCCTTTTGTCCATCATAAATCTCTGTCTCTCATAATGAAATGTCTGATAGACAAATTTTTTTTAAATAAATTTTGTTTCTATAACTCACTGAGTCACTTTCTAAGTGGCAAGTACAGAAAAATACAGTGTAGCAGAGCAATTGGAAATAAGTGGACTTTAAAGCACATATCTAGTTGCAAATCAAGACAAATAGTTTTGAACAGGTACCATGTACAACAACTTGGAGTCTCCTAAGAATACATTGACTTGTGGTTTCCTAAAACCTTCTTACTGGAAGGTATCAGGAGATTATCTAGCCCCATTTCCTGCCCAATTAGAAATCTCTCCTGAAAAGATTCTTTCAGACAGCTCTCTCCTGGAAATCTTTCAATGACATAGAAAGCCATTGCTTCACAATATAGCAATTAAATTTTTTGACAACTTAATATTAGGAAATACTTTTACTGAATAAAAATCTCTCTCATTACATTCATCCATTTGTACTAGTTCTGATTTGAGAAAGACACACAATAATCCAACTTTCTTTTTCAAAGACACACAATAATTCAACTTTCTCTTCCTCCAGCATACAAATACAAGTGTCACATGTTGCAGTCCGTTTTTTTTTTTTAAAATAGAAATATCACTGACTCCTTTCTGTTTCTCTCTGACATGTCATCCAAGACTTTCCTTGTCCTGGTCGCTGTCTCTGGATGTAGAAGCCCTTTAGAATAAGTAGAGTGATAATATAATTAACTTTGTATTATTGTAATTGTCATGAGCTCAAATATTTTTGAGATTCATTATAGTTTGATGTATATTTACTGATTTTGTACAATAATATATAAACATATATAGAAAACAACAACCTTACATTTTATTATAATGATCAATGAAGGATCATATTTTCACATTACCTGATATTGCACCTCATGGTGGCAATAGTAAATAAAATTCAAAGTTTGAATAGTTATTTTGCATTTAAACTCATGTATGGGCCAGAAAGCCCAATTCTTGTGCTGGCTGCACGAATTACTAAATACTCAAAGGGATGAAAGCCCCTCCCTCCCATACTCAAGTATTTACATGAAAATCTAGCTTCTCAGTTTTTTACTTTTCAAAGACTGAGATTTTAGTGTTGTTGCCTTCTTTCTTAGCTTACAATGATATTTAAGATGTTTAACAGAAGTGTTAAATATCATAGTCTATAAGTTTTTTTAAAGATTAATAATTCATTAAACACTAACAGAAGGCTAGTTTTTGCCTTATATCTTTGAAAATAATGCCATACAATGAGGACTTCAAATGCAATATTGTGGATGTTACAATCTCCAATAAAAATATGCTATTATTAAAAATGTCCTTTCTTTCTTAATTTTGTTTATTAATGTGTATAGCAATCTTCTTCCAGCGTTAAGAAGGGAAAGTGGAAAATATACAACTTTGGAGTGGACAAACCTAACAAACGCTACTGCAGCTGGGTGGTTAACGTCAACTGTGATGTCAAATTAATAATATGTACCCTTGATATGATGTAACAAAAATGGCCCTTTGCCTCTGTGATTTTCGTCCCCAAATCCATAATCCTAGTCTCATCATGGAAAGATAGTGGACAATCCCAACTGATGAACATTCTACAAAATACCTGACCAGCACTCCTCAAGACTGACAATGTCTTCAAAAATAAGGAAAAATTAAACTGTTATAACCTAGAGATGCCTAAGGGGACCTGTTGAATAAATGTGCATCAGTCCAGTTGGGATCCAGGAACAGCAAAAAAAAAATGTTTGGTAAAACCTGTGGAAATCTGAAAAGAGTATGGACTTTCGTTAATATTAGTGTATTCATATCATTGTATTATTAATCATAATAAATGTGTCATTGTTATGAAATGTAAAATGCCAATAATAGGGGAGACTAGCTGTGTGGTATATGGCAACTCTGTTCTATAACTGTATGTTTTTTGTAAATCCAAAACTGTCCTAATATTAAAAAGTTTACTTAAATATATTCATATATATGTATAATTAAGTTAACCCCAGGTATTAACAAACTTGTGAGATGCTTATCAGCTTCCTGATGTATTCATCCATGTATTAATTCAGCAAACATTTTGTGAGAGCTTACTGTGTCAAGTTGTTAGGGAGCAGGACTGTAATATTGAGCAAAAAATGGTTAGTCTCTGCCTTCGTGGAGCCAAGAGTCTAGTTGGGAAGGGAGACACTAATCAAATTAGCACATAAGCAAATGTGAAATTACAACATTCATAGATAATATGAATAAGTGCTATGAGAGGTTGATTCTGTAGCTATCCAGGAGTATGAGGACAATTTCCTAAAGTTTATATATAAACAATGAGTAAGAATAAAATAAGAGAATTGGTGGGAAAATATATTTTACGCAGAGGTAATAAAAGGTACCTATTCAGGAAAAAAAGTAAAGAGATACAATCATAGCAATGGATATTATTTTTTTACGGAAATTTTCACTTGTCTAGGGTAAAATGAAAATGTTTAATATAAGTGAATTTTTCATAAGACTCAATTTATTTTTTAAGGATAGGTCTTTAATTTTATATATTGTCTTCTTACATTTATGGAGTTAAATGTCCATCCTCTTATCAAATGATGGTAATCATAGAAAAATTTTGTTTTGTCTGGTATCCTTGCTTAATAAAAGAAAAGGCTATTTAATCAATGTCATTACTGTTGAAAGGTTTAATACTCCAACAAATACACTCCTCAAAATCATTGACCCAGAATCTTTACAGATAGGGCAAATCTGCATATAGTCCCAAAACAACCGGAAACTTTGAGATTAAAACCAGGTCACTGAATCCTGAGGCTGGAAGAAAATGATGATGTTATCAGCAGAATACTAACCATGACAAATGGGTCAAATTTTGGAAAATCACAGAAACCATTTCCACAAGTCTCTAGAAGTCTGGTCTTTTATAAGTCTACAACGTTTGTGATATTAATTGACCAAGTAATAAAACTATCACACACACACACACTTGAAATATAGTAGGAAAAACAAATATTTATCAAAATTTAGGCAGCATAAAAGACAGAGGTCTGTATGACTGAGTTGGGAAGCATTACAAGCAACCAGTATTAAAAGGTATTTGGATATGCTGGATCTGAAAAGAGGAGGAAGTATAACCTCAAAACTCTCCATTGTTTAATCAATCAAGGGAGCAAAGTCTACTGTTTTGTTTTGTTTTGTTTTTCAGAAGTCTTTTTGTGTTGTGGAAAATGCATGAGTTTGATGTTATCAAACTTGGGAACTTGGGTACAAAATCCTAGCTTCTCTAGTTACTAGTTATGTGTACTTGACTTCAATTTGCTCCTTAGAAACAGAAACTAGGTAACTTTAAGTTACTGTGAGCATTCAATCTAAAAAGTGCTTTAAACATTCTGTCCCTTATATGATGCTGAAACATTTGCAATTTTTCTTCTTTCCAGTTGAATTCTAAATTAAATGATGTAATCCATAAACCATCAATAAATGGCAGCCTCTATTTGTTTATTGTATAAGAGTTTACACATCTTTGTTGATGGAATAATAGTCTTTGGGATTCTCAAGAATCATTATTTGGGTAATAGAATGTTGATGAAACTGGACAAAATTAGTTGAAATAAAATTGTGGCATCTTAAGCAGCTATGATCTTTGCCAAGTGATACATCTGTACTGCAGTTTCCTCCTCTGTAAAAGAGACAGAGAGGAGGCAGGTAAAATGCTAACCTCCCTTTCAGCTAGCACTTCATGAATCAATCCTTCCCAATTATGCTTTCCTACTGGAATACTGAAATTAATACCAATCTGTAAATAGAGATAATTTTACATGACATTTCTATTAAGGTTACTTACAGATGTAAAGGAATCTCCTCTTTGATTCTGATTCTTCCCTATATACCCTATATGTGTTGTTTATTTAGATATATTTTGTTACTTTGAAACATATGTGTATGTGTATAAATGTATATGTATCTATATAGAAATATACATATACATACACATATGTATATGAGATATTATTCTAGCCTTAAAACAAGAGAAACTCTATGTATCGGTGGAGTAAACTGTTGTTTTTCCCCACCTGACAAGAATTCTAGATGGTAGCATTTGCTAACTATATTTCAGTGTGATGGTCAAATTAATAATATGTACAAGAACCAATTTCCTTTATTTTTTAAATTAATGTTTTAAATGGATAATGAACTCATTACAATTGTACATTTTAATGGGGTACATTGTGATGTGCCAATTCATGTAAAGATTGTATAATGATCAAATCTAGGCATTTTTTACAGTCATTACATTAAACATTTGTCATTTCTTTGTTTTAATAACATTCAAAATCTTCTATTTTAGCTACATTGAGATACACTTTACATTGTTATTTGCTCTAGTCACCCTACTATATAATAGAGCACCATATCATTCTTCCTTCCTGTATCTCTGTATTCATTGGTCAACCTCTCCCAATTCTCCCCTTCTCTTTCCCTTCCCCAGGTTCTGGTAACCAATAACCAATATTCTACTCTCTACTTCTGTGAAAACAACTGTTTTAGATTCTACATATGAATGAGCTCATGCAATGTCTGTCTTTCTATGCCTGGCTTATTTCACTTAATACATTGTCCTTCAGGTTCATCCATGTTGCAGCAAATGTCAGGATTTCATTATTTTTAATGGCTGAATAGTATTCCATTGTCCATGTTTGTGTGTGTGTGTGTGTGTGTGTGTGCTATCTATTTATCCATCTATCTATCTACCATTGTGAATAGTGCTGCAATAAACATGGGAGTACAGATATCTCTTGGATAAACTGATTGTCCTTTGGATATATACTCAGTAATGGAATTGTTGAGTCATATGGTAGTTCTGTTTTTACTTTTTGAGGAACCTCCCTACAGTTTTTCACAGTGGCTGTACACTCCCACCACTGGTGTGTGAGGGTTCTCCTTTCTCCACATCCTCGCCAGCCTCTGTTATTGCTTGTCTTTTTGATAAAAGCTGTTTTAACTGGGGTGAGATTATATCTCATTGTGGTTTTATTTTATATTTCTCTGATGATTAGTAATGGTGACAATTTCTTCATATACCTCTTGGCCATTCATATTTCTTCTCTTAAGAAATATCTATTTAGGTCTTTTGCCCATTTTTTAATCTGATTTTTTTAGTTGAGTTATGTTCCTTGAATATTCTGGGTATTAACTCCTTGACAGATGCATAGTTTGCAAATACATCTGTAGGTTGTTTCTTTACTTTGTTAATTGTTTTCTTTGCTGTGAGGAAGCCTTTTAGTTCAAAGCAATTCCATTCATCGCTCCATCTTCTATCTATCCACATCATTTATTTCCTATCATCTGTAGAGTATTGGCTTTTATCTTATGGCCTTCAAGTCCTGGTCATGGAGGGCGACAACAGCTACAAACATCACTTCAGTTTCAGGAAGGAAAGAAAAGGAAGAGGGATGAGTAGAATCAGCCACACCTGTCCCCTTGTATCAGGTAAGAGAAAATTTCCCAGAAACCCTTTTGGTAGTTCTTCTCATTCTGTTTAACAAAATCCATGACAATTCTTTATGGGGTCGGGTAAGACAAGTTTGGCCAGTACTTAACTTTCCTATCCTCTGTAGTGCCATATGACACAGAAGTGGTGGCTGTGAATAGCTTCTGGATCAGTCAGTCAGTAGTATTTACCACATTGCTTAATACGGAAGATGTATTAATTCTAAAGAAAAAGCACGGATAGCCAGTCCCTCTGTGGGATGAACACAGCCCTTCAGGATTCACAGACACACACACAAATAATTTAATCAGTTATTAGAGTGTATTCTACAGGCATTTCACCCATCTTTCTATATTTTACACACTTACGTGCAGAAGTGAAAAAAAAAAACTGTTTGGAAGCTATATATTTAATCCATAGAGATCTGCTGTACTACCACTTGCAAGTTAAAAAATCATTTTTTTTCCATAAAAGCGTTGGTTTTGAAAAGCAAAAAAAAAATCAAAAAACAAAAAACAAACAAAAAACAAAAAAAAAACCTTCTATTCTGTCTGCCACATTGAAAAGGCTCAACAAAGCTTGTAGGTGAATTGAAAATCATGATGGAATAAAGACTAACAGAAGGAAGATTTACCAAAAATGAACTAAAGACTGTGATTAGAGGTTGTGGAGTGTGGTGCTGACAGGCATGGGTGTCACTGAAGCTGACATTTTCTTCCTTTTTTATAGCCGCTGACATTTCTGAGTCCTAAAGTCTACTTTTTAGCATTAGTATGTTGCTGTCTGCTTGTCTGCATTGTTATTCTTTATCCACCAAAATGTGAATGTCAGACAAAGAGGTGCCAACCAAAAATGGGTTAGTGTGAGTGAAATAAATAATTGCAGAGAGAGTCATTTAAGTCAGAATAAAAGCAAGGGCAAGTTTGGGCACTGCACTGCATTCAGATTCTTAACAATCATATTTTTACATTTTACATAATTAGAGTTTATGTCAAGAAGTATGTCAGGAAAGTAAAATATTTCAGTAAAATAGCCTGCTTTGTAGCTTGGAACAGTACTCACCGGAACTTAATTTTTTTAACAAGTTTTAATATTGGAAATTATCAGCTGATTTTTATTTACCACAACCCAAAACATCTGCGTTGATTTCCTCTCCTTCGGATATATACTCACTAATGAGATTGCTGGTTCATATGGTGGTTCTATTTTTATTTTATTTTATTTTATTTTATTTTATTTTATTTTATTTTATTTTATAGATGGAGTCTCGCTCTGTCACCCAGGCTGGATTACAGTGGTGCGATCTCGGTTCAATGCAACCTCCGCCTCCAGGGTTCAAGCGATTCTCCTGTCTCAGCCTGCGGAGTAGCTGGGACTACAGGCGCACACCACCACACCCAGCTAATTTTTCTATTTTTGGCAGAGACGGGGTTTCACCATATTGGTTAGGCTGGTCTTGAACTCCTAACCTCAGGTGATCCACCCACCTTGGCCTCCCAGCGTGCTGGGATTACAGGGTGAGCCACCACGTCCAGCCTTATTTTTTATTATTATTATTATTATTATTGTTGTTATTATTATTATTATTATTATTATTATTATTTAGGTGGAGTCTCGCTCTGTCACCAGACTGGAGTGCTGTGGCATGATCTCGGATCACTGCAGCCTCTCCCTCCCAGGTTCAAGCGATTCTTCTGCCTCAGGCTCCCAAATAGCTGGGACTGTGGGCATGCACCACCGTGCCTGTAGAATTTTTGTATTTTTTAGTAGAGACAGGGTTTCACCACGTTGGTCAGGATGGTCTCAATCTATTGACCTTGTGATCTGCCTGCCTCAGCCTCCCAAAGTGCTGGGATTACAGGTGTGAGCCACCACACCTCTGGCTCTTATTTTTAATTTTTGAAGAACCTCCACACAGTTTTCCATAGTAGTTGCACGAATTTACACTCCCACCACCAGCGTACAAGCGTTCCCCTTTCTCTACCCCTTCGCCAGCATCTGTCATAATAAAATGGAGCAGTTTTCCTGAACATAGTTTCCTTCCCTCTGCCTCCACCACCCTTTTGTCCAATGAGCCCTGCCTGCCTGCCCCCATGCCCCTCTTTGCTTTGCTTGTCTTTCTGGCCAGGGCAGCTCCAGCTATTAGCGTTTCAGCAGCCGTGGAACTATGACCCTGCACAGGGGCCACCCCATAGCATACCAACGCTGCTATCTCCTTCAGTGCCTAGGGCTGGAGTTAGCATGGCCTTCATCACACCCAAAGAGACCGAAGCTAACTCCCTGGGACCTGCCTCCTGTCCCGGGCTCAAGAGAACACAGCAGGAATGTGGGGTAATTGATCCCCAGGTGACATACTTTGTCCAGTGAAAGACCAGGGCAAAGAAACAGCCTGCTGATAAATTTGCTCACTCTTGCTCAATAGACGAGCTGTTTGGATTTGGGAGTGCAGTGATGGCACAGGCCCCAGAGCCAAAGCACACTTAATGAAGCAGTGCTTCACTGAGAAGCTGAGGCCAGTTCAGGGATCTGAGAACTCCCACTTCATATTTGTTTTCTGCTGGCCTGCCTTGCTGGCCTTCACCTATGACCCTAAGTTCCTTAGGCTCAAATATCTTCCCTAATCAATTGTTAACATGTGAGACTTTGCCTCACACTCTATTTCTACAGAAGCAGGACTAAGGAAACAACTTTCACCTCTAAATGTTCATTGCAGAGTACTGAATATTCCCTAGGTGATTCGCTCTCACCTCCTACCAGGCATAGGAGTAAAGAGGTGTAAGTGAATTGTGTTAAGCAGTAGATGAAAGGCCATTAGAAAATTACAAAAGAAATCACTTTGAGTGGGCAGTTGCTCCACTGAACATGTTTTAGAAACCCCTCATTCTAAAATGGAGCTTCAAAGCCAAGGACCCCTGATGAGGGAGCAGAGGTGGTCACACACGTCACTTGAGGGTGCTTTGAGCTTCTTATGTATGAACACTGTGCATTTCATTTATAGAATACTGGCTAATAATATACCAATGGTAAAACTATTTTCTTCACCTGTGACTAAAAGTAATACTGATAAACAAAAAACAATTTTTATTATTTCCTGAAGCCCACGGTGACTGTGCTAGGTAGGTACACCTGCCCCTATGAGAAGATTCCCCTCCTTCTCATACTCCTATAGCATCTTGTTATAATACTCGTCTCAGAGACTTAGGATTATTTATTGTATGTTTGTTTCTATCACCTATTTTATATATATATATATATAGAGAGAGAGAGAGAGAGAGTCATTTCTGATGTTTGGTGAATTCATGCAAAAATGAATGATTCGACACTGAACATATACCCATAGATATTTGTAAGTGATTGCGACCTACTTTCAGGCTTCTGATTCACAGTTGTATGTGTGTGCATATGCTAATCTTAAAATGATGACTGAGACAGATAAAATTGGATAATTCTTGTTATAGGAAAATAAAGTTTAAGAAAGCTCACTCAGATATAATATCTAATCATCCTAAGGCATTGATTTACTGTTAATGGATATGTTTTGAAAAGCAACATGGCCTGATTTTAATTTTTATACATAGTCATGAGAAATAACCAAAGTAAAAGGGCATAAAAGGAAAAATATGAGCTGAAATGTGAGCTCTAGAAGCAAAAGTCATGTTTAAATTCTTCTCTTCTCATGGTAAAAGTAGAGTTTTCTCAACAGTTAGAGGTGATATATGGTCATCTTGTATCCTTACACTAATGTCGTTATTTGTCAAGTGAATTTATTTCTATAGAATAATGATCTCTCTAGGTTCTAACACATTTGTTAAATAGCATTGGCCACACATCTCTAAAAAATTGGAGGAATGTTTCTAGCTTTTTGGTTAAATCTTCAAAATGGTTCTAGCTTTTTGGTTAAATCTTCAAAATTGATTTTCACCAGAAAATATACCCTGTTAAACAGCATCCTGCATTGTCCATCTGGAGAGCACAACTCCCCAGTCATCAAGGTGTCTTGTATATGAAAGCTGGAAATTAAAAAATTGGTATCGTTAAGATACAATTTAAACATATAAGATCTTTGATTAAACTGGCAATGTAATTTTAAAAAATTCTATCCTTAAAGGCATTTAAATTCAGAAAAGAGGAATATTTTTAAAGGAAGATTTGAATTTGATTGAATTTCCCTGCTGGTCTAAAGAGGTCATCAAAGAGAATATTATTACTACTAAAAGTACATTACAAATTACTGCTAAATCAATGCTGCTAAAAGTTAATAAACAAAATTCAGGGATTTAAGAAACAGGACAATATTTAAAACAAATGTGCACTTCTGTTTCTTAAATTTTTTAAGTAAATTAATTCCAAGCAGATCTTTATTAAAATCAGTTGTAAAACTGGCTCTATTTAATGGATCTATAATAATTGAACTTACTTTAACCACTTTAAGAGGTTACCATTATTAACATTCAGTGGAATGAGTTTCTAAGAAAAAAATGTGCATATATTTGTCATTTTCCCAAGGATTTCCTGAAAGTGAATATTATTCCTTTGAATGTTGTCCGTAATATCTAAGCAGATATTTAATTTTGACAACAATATAGTTTATAAATTTTAGTAATTTGATAAACAGGATAATTCTCATTATCATTTCAGTTCTTGAGTATGAAGCATATTGTTTGATTTGTAATATATGCATTCCATAACTTTATATTTGTCCCCATGTTTTAGAAACAGAATACTCAAATTTTAAAATCATAGTTCCAGTAAAAAATGTCTAATGAAAAAGTTTCTATTTAATTTAACTGAAAATTTAATAACTTATAAGTATACTTCTTATATATAATAGTCTTATTTCTTTAATAACTGTTTTTAAATGTAAGGTTTCATTAATGCTAGTGATTCCTGTAGGAAAAAAAATAACGTGATAGAATCAAATAACAAGAATAACTGGTGAAAGTTCTTAATAAAATAGGATGATCTTAATTCTAACATTTTTTAATGTCTGGAAAAATATATATGATATTCAGCAAATACTATTTTCAGTAATTACCTGTAACATCTCAACCCATTTATGCCTAGGGTTCCATTATTGGAACGCTAAGCATGTGGGAGTTATTTATATTCTACTGCTCAAGGTCATTACCAAGGTCTGATTGCAAAAACTAAAAAAGACTGCAGCCTCAGGCATAAATAGGTTAAAATACTATTTTTTACCATTCCATTTCAAACAGAATATGAAGATTATTTTCATCTTGGGTATTTAGTATATTCTTTCACTTAAAAATACTATTCAAACTCCAGTTTCTGAAAGAGTACATCTATATTTACCTGATATTTTTATCTTTTGGAAATAAAACATGGAATTCCGTTTGCTTATGGTTGGTAAAAGATATTTTTTAAACGTGTGCCTTAATTATATTTTTACTTTAGAAATACAGTAAAGTGCAGAAAAACATTAAAGTGAAACATGTAGCAACAATAATGGCTCATGAGTGTAATATTAATGTTTTATGAGTATATATTACATATACTTGAAAATGTGTATTTTTCTTTACACATATAAAACAAAATTGCCAGCTTCCTATGTTTATGGTATTATCTTTTGTTCATATGTGATCATAAACACTTCCTCAGAACAGTAATCATATTCTGAGATTACCCACTTTTAATGGATTAATAGATGTTTGGTTTTTTTGTGTATATTATATAATAACTTACGAATGGTTTAATATTTGACATGTAAGTCATTTAAAATATTTTATTAATCCAATGAAAGCCTATGGATTTTTTTGGTGTACCAGTCAATGAAAACATTGCTGACTATTTATTTGCATAAGAACATGAATTTTTTTATTCTCATGAACCTAGCTTGACTTTATGTAATGTGACAACAATGTGTGAAAGTATATTAACATGCTGTTCAATATTTGGCCCTTATTGGTTAAGATCACATTAATGGTTTTAATCTATTGATGTTTGATCATATGCAAAAGTGGCATTTCACATTTTCACATTTTTATGAATTTTCTCTTACATAGATGTCCTTTTCTGTTTGGTCATGTTTGTTTGGCACTCTGTGCACTAGGTACTGAGTGTGGTGGTGCAATTATGTCAGACCTAGTCTGTTCAGTCCTACAGCTATGAAGGAGAGCATATGTATTTTTAAGAAGAGTTTATTATATAGTGGAGCTACTAATCATTTTGTAATGTTTTCTTGTTTTCAAGTTCGTTTATGGGGGCTTTATGAATAGCCCACTTTTTGAATATTTATTTTTATGTAGTGTTCACATTAACTTTTCTACTGAAATGACCTTCTTTGAATTTGATTAGTCCATTGCAAGGCCAAACACACCTACTTCTAAAATATGCCTCCTGATGAAGGTAATAACAGTGTGAGAATAACAATTGACAGAGCTATCATTTTCCTCTACATTTGTGGGGTGGCATCTTGAGTGACTGCATAGCATGCCCAAACACACCTCAGCTCCTTTTCTGTTTTCCAGACTCCACCATACCAAAGTAGCAAGCCCAAGGCCCTTACTTCTCTGATCTGCATGTTGGGTGCCAAATTTCTTGCTGTTTGGGGTTTAAGGTTTGGATGACTCTCCGTGAGGGCACTGCTGCTACCTCTGTATCGTTGATTGCTTGTGTGTCCTCTGTAGGGCTAGTGTGCAGGGTCGGCAGTGGAACAGTGTGAGCCACAAGGAGACAAACCAAATGTGAGTCTGTATTTCCTTTTCCATATTCTTCAAACATGTACTGGTCTTTCAAATGTGAATCTCATAGACTATTTCTGGAAATTTCTAAAAAATATTTCTAAATGAAGAGATCACAGAAATGTTCATTCATATCTTCTTCCAGGAAACTTCTTTCAGCCTCATTTTGTTTCCTTGAAATAGTTCCTCTTTCCCTCTGTCTGTATTCAATTGTTTTTTCTTTCCTTATTTTTCAGCAGTTTTACTATGGTGGGCTCAAAATTAGTAGATTTTCTTAAATTTGTAGATTAATGGCTTTATCCATTTGGAAAATTTTCAGCTCTTCCACACTATTCCATTCTCTCTCTGCTTTTCTTCCAGGATGCCAATTGCATGCATCCCAAAAATGTTTTACAGCTTTATGTCTTATGCTCAGGTCTTTGGGTTAATTTTTGAATATAATGTAATGGAAGGTCCAGCTTCATGATTTTGCATATGAATTTCCAGTTTTCTTAGAATCATTAGTTAATACGACTGTCTTTTTTCCATTGAGTGGTTTTGGCATCTGTGTTAAAAATTATTTGAACATATATGAGGGCTTATTTCTGGACTCTATTCTATTCTATGTATCTATGTGCCCGTTTTTAGACCTATAGCACATAGTTTACTGTAGTAGGAAGTTTTGAAATCAAGAAATACGTGTTCTCTGGTATTGTTCTTTGTTAAGATTGTTTTGGCAATTCGGGAGGGCCCTTGAGATTCCACGCAAATTTTTGGATAGATTTTTTATTTCTGTAAAACACCTCATTGAAATTTTGATAAGGTTTGAGGGAATCTGTGAGTTCCCTTGAGTAGTGTTGCTGTCTTAATAATATTAAATCTTCACATCTATGAAGATGGAATTTTTTCCATTTATTTGTCTTGTTTAATTTTTTAAGAAATGTTTTGTAGATTACATTTTATAAGCGTTTCACCTCTTACTTAATTCCTAAGTATTTTATTCTCTTTGATACTTTTGATACTATTATAAATAAAAATTTTAAGTTTTCTTTTCAGATTGTTCATTGTTATTACATAGAAATGCAATTTATTTTGCATGTTGAATCTGTAATCAGATAGTTTTCTAATTTATTAATTATAACAATTACTTTTGGATAAAGCTTTAGAATTTTCCACATATGAGATCATATCATCTATGAACAATGATAACATTATTTTTTCCTTTTCAATTCTTTCTTATATTTCTTTTTTCTTGCTTAATTACAGCTGCTAGGACTTGAAGTACTGTGTCAAATAATATGGTGAAAAGCAGGCATCTTTGTCTTGTTCCTGATCACATAGGAACATATTATCCTTTTCATAGGAAAAGGTTTCAGTCTTCTACCATTGAGTATGATATTCCCTGGCGGTTTTTATGTATGGCTTATGTTCCGTTAAGGTAGTTTCCTTCTATTTCTAGTATGTGGAGTGTGTTTATCATAAAAGAGTGTAGAATTTTGTCAATTGCTTTTTCTGCATCAGTTGAGATGATTATCTGCTTTTTGCTTTCATTTTGTTAATGTGGTGAACTACTTCGATTGATTTTCATGTGTTGAACCAATCTTCCATTCCAGGAATAAAACCCACTTGATAATTGTATATAATCTTTTTAATGTGCTGTTGCACTGTTGAATGTGCTGTTGAATTCACTTTCTTAGTATTTTGTTGAGGATATTTTCATTAGGTTCATAAATAATATTGGTCCATAGTTTTTTTTTTTTGTTTTTTTTTTTCTTCTGGTGTCTTTGTGTGGCTTTGGTATCAGAGTGATAATGGCCTCGTAAAATGAGTTAGGAAATGCTCCTTCTTTATTTTTTGGAAAAGTTGAAGAAGGATTGGTGTAGTACTTCTTTAAATGTTTATACATTGAGATTTGACATAAAATACATTTTTAGAAAACATAATAAATATGGAACACTGTGTTATATGTTGGCAAAGCAAGAATGTGTCAAATCTTAGTGTTAACTTCCCTCATTAGTCAGGAAAATATACTAACTTGATGATTTCCATTATTGTTGCACTGCTGTTCTTTTACTTATGTTAAAATCATTGACAAAGTAGAAAATGAGGTTTCTTTAACAAACTACAAGATGTTGAGATTATACAAAGAAAGAGGTTAAATCAGCTTCTAGTAAAAGAAGAATTAAGAAGCCTGACCAGTTATAGATTTTCAAAGTCCAGTCCTCAGTGATAAGATGCAAAGCACCAAGAGCACAGAAAGAGAAAATGGCATTATGTTTATTCAGAGCTAGAATCCTCAAAGCATTTGAAAAGATAGAAGTGGCATACAGTTTACCTCAAAAGATAGCTAATTTTTTCTGATAACACTTGTTAGGGTCATATGGACATTCTGCTAGACTGAGGGAAGTTAAAATGAATAAGACACATGTCTCTTCTTAAGGATTACACTGCATTTAGTAAACACATGCAGCAAGAGGAATAGCAGATGGAAATGTAGACCCAAAGAGAAAGTCACCAGACATTCTTTCTGAGTCCTCAGAAAAGCTTTCATGGCAGATATGGTTTTGATTATGTGGTACATGGGCATAGCCTTTGTGTCAGACTGAATTAGCTGGTGCCAATTTCAGGGTGAATTAAAGGATATTTAATCTCTGTGTACCTCAGCTAAACATGAAAATAAAATAGATTCTTGCTAGGTGAAAAAGTGAGAGGATGAGAGAGAAAGAGAGAGAGAGAGACAGCAAGAGCAAGGGAGGGTGGGAGGAACAAAAGAGGGAGAGAAAAATAAAACAGGGATGAACTGAGCTTTGGTGGGTGATATGATTTGGCCGTGTGCCCACCCATATCTCATCTTGAATTATAGTTCCTATAATGCCCACATGTTGTGGGAGGGACCTGATTGTGGAGGTAATCGAATAATGGGGGTAGTTACCCTCATGCTGTTCTCATTATAGCGAGTGAGTTCTCACAAGATCTGATGACTTTATAAGGGGCTTTTCCCCATTTGCTTGGCATTTCTCCTTGCTGCCGCCACGTAAAGAAGGATGTGTTTGCTTCCCCTTTTGCCATAATTGTGTTTCCTGAGGGCCTCCCTAGCCGTGCTGAACTGTGAGTCAATTAAATCTGTCTTCTTTATAAATTACCCAGACTTGGGTATGTCTTAATTAGCAGTGTGAAGATGGACTAATATAGTAAATTGGTTCAGGAGTGGGGTGTGGCTATAAGGATACCTGAAAATGTGGAAGTGACTTGGGAGCTGGGTACCAGTTAGAGCTTGGAACAGTTTAAAGGACTCAGAAGAAAACAGGAGAATGTAGGAAAGTTTGGAACTTCCTAGAGACTTAGAGGGCTCAGAAGACAGAAAGTTGTGGGGAAGTTAGGAACTTCCTTGACACTTGTTGAATGGCTTTGACCAAAATGCTGATAGTGATATGGACAATGAAGTCCAGGCTGAGATGGTCTCAGATGGAGATGAGGAACTTGTTGGGAACTGGAGTAAAGGTCACTCTTGCTATTCAATGAGACTGGTGGCATTTTGCCCCTCCCCAGAGATCTGTGGAACTTTGAACTTGAGAGAGATGATTTAGGGTATCTGATGGAAGAAATTTCTAGGCAGCAAAGAGGAATCAGAGCATAAATGTTTGGAAATTTTCCAGTCTGACAATGCAATGGAAAAGAGAACCCCGTTTTCTAGGGTGACATTCAAGTAGGCTGCAGACATCAGCATAAGTAGTGAAGAGCTGAAAGTTAATTACCAAGACAATGGGGAAAATGTCTTCAGGGCGTGTCAGAGACCTTCATGGCAGCCCCTCCCATCACAGCCACAGAGGAAGGAAAAATGGTTTTCTGGGCCTGGTCCAGGCCCCCCTGCTATGTGCATCCCTGGGGCATGGTGCCCTGCATCGCAGCTGCTCTGGCTATGGCTAAAAAGGCCAATGCATAAAGTATAATAATAAAAAAAAGGGGGCCAATGCGCAGTTCAGGCCGTTGCTTCAGATGATGCAAGTCCCAAGCTTTGGCAGCTTCCATGTGGTGTTTGCCCTTTGAGTGCGCAGAAAACAAAAATTGAGGTTTGGGAACTTCTGCCTAGATTTCAGAAGATGTATGGACATGTCTGGGTGTCCAGGCAGAAGTTTGCTGCAGCAGTGGAGCCCTCATGGAGAATCTCTGCTAGGGCAGTGAAGAAGAGAAATGTGGGGTAGGCACTGCCCAGTGGAGCTGTGAGAAGGCCACCATTCTCCACACCCCATAATGGTAGAACTACTGACGGCTTGCACCGTGTGCTGGGAAAAGGAACAGACACTCAATGTCAGCCTGTGATAGCAGCCAGGAGGGGAGCTATACCCTGCAAAGCCACAGGGGTGGACCTGCCCAAGGCCATGGGAGCCCACCTCTTGCATCAGCATGACTTGGATGTGAGACATTGAGTCAAAGGAGATCATTTTCGAACCTTAAAGTTTAACAACTGCCCTATTGGATTTTGGACTTGCATGGGGCCTTTAGCCCCTTTGTTTTGACAAATTTGTCCCATTTAGAACAGGTATATTTACTCAATTCCTGTACCCCTATTGTATCTAGGAAGTAACTGACTTGCTTTTGATTTCACAGGGTTATAGATGGAAGAGACTTGCCTTGTCTCAGATGAAGCTTTGGACTTGGACTTTTGAGTTAATGCTGGAATGAGTTAAGGCTTTGGGGGACTGTTGGAAGGGCATGATGGTGTTTTGAAATGGGAAGACATGATTTTGGGAGGGGCCAGGGGCAGAATGATATGGTTGGGTTGTGTCCCCACCCAAATCTCATCTTGAACTATAGTTCCCATTAGCCCAATGTGTCATGGGAGGAACCCAGTGGGAGGTAACTGAATCATGGGGATGGTTACCCTCATGCTGTTCTCATTATAGTGAGTTCTCAGGAGATCTGATGGTTTTATAAGGGGATTTTCCCTCTTTTGCTTGGCACTTCTCCTTGCTGCCACAATATGATGAAGGACGTCTTTGCTTCCCCTTCCATCATGACTGTGTTTCTTGAGGCCTCCCCAGGCATGCTTAACTGTGAGTCAATGAAACCACTTTTCATTATAAATTACCCAGTCTTGGGTATGTCTTTATCAATAGAGTGAGAATGGACTAATAGAGTGGGCCTGGGGAGAGTGAACATGAGCAAAGACACTGTGCTGTGGCAGGACAGGGCCTACATCCTAGAGTTCATACATACAAGGACCTGATACAGAAGTGACTCCTGAGAGACACATGGGCCAGGATGTGGAAGGATTTGAATTATATGTGATTTTGTTCTTTTGTTTCTGAAGTAATGGACAGTGTGTAATTACTTAAGTAAAAAATGGCCATTTCAAATTTACATTTTTAAAATGCTCCTGTAGAAACAATAGGTGCATATATAATAGAAGGTCAAACCTAAAATATTATTCTTAATCATCCATCTTATCAAGAGCACATAAAATTATAAGAATGTGCACTTGCATTTATGATGTTCTTTTGTGTTAAATGATAAATGGGATGACTAAATTCCAAAATCTGCTCTGCAACAAAGGAGGTAGATCACTTGCAGAAGTCACCAGTGATAAGGAGTGACAAGATGCTAGGAAATCCTACTGAGAAGGTTATATTTAAGAATCAATAAATTCTATGGTCATGTTTCATAAGACTACATCTCTCTTTTTTGAACAGAAATCAATTTAAATTTCATCATATTTACTCTATATTTTCTACTGATACTTCAGATGCCTCTCTCTCTCCATGTTTCATTTCAGCCCAGAAACAATTATTATTGTAATATAAGAACTTCCTTTTAAATTATAAGTATTCCTTTCAAATCTTGTATGCATGGTATGAATTCTACATTTTGAAGCCATCAGAATTACTATTGTCAATCTAAAAAAAATTAGAGATTAGTATCTCCAAATATGTTGCATTTACTCAGGAATGAAATATGAGGATTAATATTTGGGATGCCACAGTGTATCAAGTGAGGGAAGGGGAAATGGAAGCTTTTATTGGCACAATGGGAAGGGATTACATAAGTTGCTTAGAAACAAAGTTCTTTGGTTTCACAGACTCAAGCTCAGTTCGTTGTTGGAGATGTCCTTACTCGGCAAGTGTTCTTGGCAGAGCATCCTATTGAAAATATTGCAGTCCTAAAGAATGTCTAGTGATAGACCTTGTCATACAAACATAAGTATATGTGCAAAATTTGCAAGCCATGCAAAGGATAAGATGCTTGAAGGAGGTTAAGAAATTTCTTGTGGAGTTTTAGAGAGTCCTTGGAAACAGTTCTTTTCTTAGACATGTAATCATGAGTTCCCTCTCCTTCATGTCTTCCCAGCCCTATTTTGTCTGGATCTGACAAAAACAATCATCCAGTATCTGCAGGTTTCACACTATAGACATTAAGACTCAAGAACTTAGAGGGTTTTTGGTTGTTTGATTTTGTTTGTTTGATTGCTTGTTTGTTTTGCTTTTTAAGTGATTAGCTTTCAAGGCAAAGTTAAACTTCAAATTCATGAGTTTAACTTTGTTGTAACTGAGCTATTCTCTGTCTTCATTCATTCAACAAATATTAATTGAGCACCTACTAAGACCTAGGCCTTCTCTAGGTGCAAGTCGGTGCAGTATAGACTGAGACAGACAGAAGTCTGTGACCTAGAACTTACATTCTAGTGAGGGGAGCAAATAAATTACAAAAGAAAAGTATTAAAATAAGCAGTTATTAGATACTGATAAGTATCTCTATACTGATAAGTATCCTCTATACTGATAGTATAGAGGAAATAAAGATATAATTAAGCACAATGTCACATTTTTAGTGTGTATGGGTGTGTGGGTGTGTGTGTGTGTACATGTACTATGCATCTGAAAGTATCATCCTGTCTGATTTATTTGAGGTACTGCAATTTTTCTTTTAGCAGAAAATATTCCAATACAATTCTAGAAAAAAACAGGAATTCAAGCATAACATATTTTTTTTATTGAATAAGTCTGGAGGTTCCCATTTAAGCAAATACGATGACCTAGGCTTGGTTTTGAATAGCATATTTTAATGAATGTCCTTTTAAGAAAATACTACACAAAAGTGTCATTTTTAACTTTCTGTTCTATGTTTTGGGTCATTCATAGAACTAAAATCACATATTTTGGGAATTAAAAGATAGAAAAATACAGAATTCCCAAGCTCAAAGAGCCTATAGTTTTCTAGAAATCAAAGATAATTATAAGAATGACCCAATGAGTTTCCTTATCACAACTGCAGCATAAAATGAAATAAACTGATATTTAAAAAAATTGAATTTTATATTTTATGTTCTTAAAAAAATAAGAACTTAACACTACTTAGATTTTGTTTCCTTTGTGTAGGTCACACCATCCTGAATCTAGGTATGCTCTTTGAGAATACACATGAGAGCAGGCATGGTGGCTCATGCCTGTAATCTTAAGTACTTTGGGAAGCCGAGGCGAGTGGATCACCTGAGGCCAGGAGTTCGAGACCAACCTGGCCAACATGGTGAAACCCTGTCTCTACTAAGAATACAAAAATTATCAGGGCATGGTGGCGGCGCCTATAATCCTAGTGACTTGGGAGGCTGAGGTGGGAGAATTGCTTAAACCTGGGAGGCGGAGGCTGGAGTGAACTGAGATCACACTACTGCCTCCAGCCTGGGCGACAGAGTGAGACTCAAAAAAAAAAAAAAAAAAAAGAAAGAAAATACATGAGCCATTAAACCAATTTATATGATAGAAAATAACTAGCATCAAAAATTCTTGGAGCTGCAAAGCCCTCTGTCATAGACATATCACTCAGCCTCAGTTCCTTTTTGCGATAGTCATCCTGAGGAAGGATATTCACAATACATTTTACTACCCAATGGAAGGAAATAGGTCAAATCAAATGTTTCTTATGCAGTAATACGAATTTTCTTTTTTGCTGGAAGTCTCTATAAAGTTTCAAAGTGTCTATAAATCCCCTGGAACTGTAAGTAAATAGCAAAATGCTGAGCTTTTTTTTTTTTTTCTGCTAGAGGTCAGGTAAGTTTCTTCAGATTTGTTTTTTCTTTTCTTTTTTTTTTTAATTATGCTTTAAGTTCTAGGGTACATGTGCACAACATGCAGGTCTGTTACATATGTATACATGGGCCATGTTGGTGTGCTGGACCCATTAATTCCTCATTTACATTAGGTATATCTCCTAATGCTATCCCTCCCCGCTCCCTCCACCCCACGACAGGCCCCAGAGTGTGATGTTCCCCTTCCTGCGTCCAGGTGTTCTCATTGTTCAATTCCCACCTATGAGTGAGAACATGCGGTGTTTGGTTTTCTGTCCTTGCAATAGTTTGCTCAGAATGATGGTTTCCAGCTTCATCCATGTCCCTACAAAGGACATGAACTCATCCTTCTTTATGGCTACATAGTATTCCATGGTGTATATATGCCATATTTTCTTAATCCAGTCTATCATTGATGGACATTAGGGTTGGTTCCAAGTCTTTGCTCTTGTAAATAGGGCCGCAATAAATGTATGTGTGCATGTGTCTTTATAGCAGCATGATCCTTTGGGTATATACCCAGTAATGGGATGGCTGGGTCAAATGGTATTTCTAGTTCTAGATCCTTGAGGAATCACCACACTGTCTTCCACAATGGTTGAACTAGTTTACCGTCCCACCAACAGCGTAAAAGTGTTCCTATGTCTCCACATCCTCTCCAGCACCTACTGTTTCCTGACTTTTTGATGATTGCCATTCTAACTGGTGTGAGATGGTATCTCATTGTGGTTTTGATTTACATTTCTCTGATTCTTTTTTTTTTTTTTTTTTGACACGGTGTTTCGCACTGTCTCCTGGGCTGGAGTGCAGTGGTGCGTTCTCGATGACACTGAGAGAGTCCACACTAGCTCCTGAAAGAGACAACAATGCTGCTGTCACAAGCATATCCCAGCATAGCACCTGAACAGTGGTAGCCCTCTAGGTTTTAGTTTAGACAGTATCTGGAAAGAAACTTGATTGCTAAGATTTACTTTAGTGGTGGAAGGATGATGCATTAGTGTGCCTGTAACAGAAGAATACCAGTCTTCTTACTGTGATCTGGCACCGACCACAACTGTGCAAGTCAAACATGATGAAGTCCCCGCAGATGGAGCTGCCCTTCTGCTGTGTTGTGCTGAACAGCCACTGACCTGGGTGGGCACTGGGTCCATGCGTTGTTTGTTTCTCTCTGCCTGGAAAGCCCAAAGTGCTTGGAAAGGAAAGTGCTCTCAGTCAAGGAAGCCTGAGGCCAGTATTTGGGAAGAAGGGGCAGGCATTGGCTCTGGGTCATTCATACAGAATTTTCATAGATAGAACTTACTTGTCTGCTACCTGAAACAAGAACACAAGAAAACAAGACCGTATGCTTTGGCAGCTGTCTGAAAAATGAGTTTCCAAGAAATCAAGCAGAGATGAATATAATTTATGAATTTATCTTCTGTTTTTCATTTTTAAAAGGCTTAACGTGGCCTTCATTTATCTGAATCCATTTTACTTTGTGGTCATTTATAGCTCTTGCTGGTTTTGTAGAGTGATGTGTTGGGCAACCCTGGTCTAAGCCATTCTGCTCCTTTTACAGCCAGAGGATTAATAGCTTAAATAACTGTGATCCAAAAGCAGCCGGTTTTGTGATACGGACAGAAATTATGTCCTTTGATCTCTAAAAGCCTTCAAGTTCAAACACAGCCTTTATTTTAGTCAAAATTATACTCCCTTTTTAGCTACGTATAACACAAATTGTTCTGATAACATAAAATTAGCATTGGTTTCTAAGAAGTGTAACATGGAAAATGCCTTTTTGAAAAACACTGATTTGTCTTATTTGAAGATCAGTCTTAAAATGATGCAGAGAATTTAGAATTTTCATTATTTGGAAATAGTATTACTACCAAGAGTAGAAAATTTTTAAAACTTTGCTCTCTGAATGCATTTTATTACTAAAAATATTTATTTTTTAATATTTGACTGTATATAATATAGCAGACACTATATTAATCATATGAATAATACCATGTTTTAAAAATAAATTTAAATTGTAATTAATGTATCTTTTTGGGTTTTCTAATTAAATTTTAATTTGCTTTATTGATATTAATGTTATAATTAAAAAGTAAGTATTTTTCAAAGCAAATTATTGCCAGTATCTTTATATTGAGAGTTCACTTATAATTTAGGTTTCCTAGAGAATGGTTGTAAACAGAAATGAAGGTATACTATGTCCAATTGATAAACACTAGGATATTCCACCAGTGCCACTTATGAGAAAGCATCAATGGATTCATTTTCCCTCTATCTGTTCATTCCCCACCCAGCCTGATTCACACATGATTGTCACCCATTTGGCACCTGAGTGTGCAAATCCTAGTCTAGAGTTGACAAGAAAATAGAAGGGAGTATGAAAACTACAGTGTAAGAAAGACATCTTTGCTCAGCATTCTTTAAAATGCACTTCTTATCTTCAAAGGGAATTCAAGCTTACTTTATATTAATTATAATCACTACTTATTAAGCTCTATATTCCTGTCAATTTTTCCAACAAATATATGCAGTTAATGTCATTATTGATGTTTTACAAATGAAGGGATCTAGATATTTGATAATTAATGATCTGTCTGAGGATATTTAGTAATAATTACAACTGGAATTCAACACCAGATCTGTCTGACTGCACAGCCTGACAAAGTCTTATGCAACTACATTTTAGCTCCTGTGTTGAACTTATCCTCATTCCCCTCTGCAGCCTCCTTGGATTGTTTGGATTCTGTAAAGGGGGCATCCTTATGCCATTGTCTCTGCATGGGATCTTTCATTTCCATGTTCTAGCACTTATCACCATGAGTCACACTTGGTAGAAGGTCATTAAAAGATTTTAGAAGTAAATAATGACATTCTCTCCTGTCTTCATTTCATTAATACACACACACACACACACACACACACATTACTGAGGACTGAGGATCCTTATAAGCCTTTAAAATGTTGTGAAAGATTTAAAAGTTTAGCTAGAGAGAGGAAAAATAAAACAGGTGTTTTTGAAAAATGTGTATTCTGGGGGTTGTTTTGATGACATTTTAGATTTTCGAAGTTTTAAACAATGGAGAGCTTCGTTAAAAAAAAAGTAAAGATTAAACTAATTTTATTTTCTAATGATAAAAGTTATATTTCAAAATAATAATAATTATAAAATACAAAGCAGCAAAGGAAGCATTCATGTAATAACCCCTAAATAAAAAACAAAACTGTTTGAATTTTGTATTTATAACTGTCAGTATCATTGTCATACACATATGTCTACTTATGTATGCACATTAAACATAAAATCAATTTCGGTTCACGCTTACAGACATTAATCTAAATTTGTAAGACTGGATGTATGCCCAAATTATCAATCTTTGTGCATGTGTATATATATGCATATATAAATTTATATATGTTTAATATACATACACATATATGCATACATACATATATGTATATACATATATGTAGGTATATATGTATGTATGCATATATATGTGTATATGTAATTTTTAAAATACTGCATAAAACTGCCTTGAAATTAGAACATTTTGTAAGCATCGTATCTTATCAATCTTATCAATCTTATCAATCGGTAAATATCACCATAAGCATTTGTAATGAATGCACAGTGTTATAAAGTTTTGGATATATTGATTATTGTTTAGCATAATAAATACTTCAGTGTATGCTACATATGTTTTAATTGCTGTGATTTTTCCACTTACTTTATACTCTCTGTGTGTGTATATTTAAAAATGTTAGACTGTTAAAAATTAGTGGCTTGGCCGGGCGCAGTGGCTCACGCCTGAAATCCCACCATTTTGGGTGGCCGAGGCGGGCGGATCACCTGAAGTCAGGAGTTCGAGACCAGACTGGCTAACATGGCGAAACCCTGTCTCTACTAAAAATACAAAAATTAGCTGGGTGTGGTGGTGCACGCCTGTAGTCCTGGCTACGCGCGAGGGTGAGGCAGGAGAATCGCTTGAACCCGGGAGGCGGAGATTGCCAGCCTGGGGGACGAGAGTGAGACTTCGTCTCAAAAAAAAAAAGAAAAGAAAAAGAAAAAAAAATTTAGCGGCTCATGGCTCATGCCTGTAATCCCAGTATTTTGGGAGGCCGAGGCGGGCGGATCACGAGGTAGGGAGATCGAGACCATTCTGGCCAACATGGTGAAACCCTATCTCTACTAAAAATTAAAAAATAAAAAAAAATTAGCCAGGTGTGGTGGTGGGCACCTATAGTCCCAGCTACTCAACAGGCTGAGGCAGGAGAATCGCTTGAACCCAGGAAACGGAGGCTGCAGTGAGCTGAGATTGCACTGCTGCACTACAGCCTGGGTGACAGAATGAGACTCCGACTCAAAAAAAAAAAAAATTGAAGATATGAAATGTTCTAATTAGACCTACTTTAAGTTATTGTTTTATTTTAAAATGTTAGTATAAGTACTAACAATATAACATTTTATATTGTTATATTCCACTTGGTACAGGAAAGATGGAAATTATCTTTAAAATGGATGTGGGTGTGTGTACAGATTTTAAATCTTAACAAGGAATTATTTTGTATCTACAACACCAGGAAAAATTTCTGAATACAATGGAAGCACATTTCTTGCTGCCACAGTGAGGGTAACAGGCGGACGGAGTTTTCTGTGCTGGACATCCCACTCCCCATTTTGGTTACCCGCCTTCCATTCCTGTGCAGTCAGTAGTTTGGTTAGTTAAGTGTATATTTCCACTGAAACATGAATAAACATGAATAGATTATATTACCCTAATACACAATTAAAAAGCTACAAATTTCAGTAGAAATCAGCTTACACAATTTATTTTCTTGCCAAATAAATCTATTAATACTACACACAGCAGTATTCAAGCATTGACTCATTCTTTTTGAATATTTTTACATAATCCTGGGATAACATAAATTGTTCAAGTATAAAGTATTATGAAGTTACAGAGAAGAAGTATTTGAAAAGTTATGATGATATCATTTGACTAAGAGGCGCACAATTTATTAGTATTTCCACTTTAAAGAATATTACTTCTTCAATAATTGACTTAATGTCTTGTTCTACTTTATTATTTTATTATTGTATTCGCCACATTACAAAGACAATCTACACATAATTTCTAAAGGCCATTTTCATATTTTGCAAACATAGTTTTTACATATTATTATTATTATTTACATTTTATTCTAGTTGTTGGCATATCACACTGTCTTGTCATTCTCTCTAGTCATTAATATACTACCTCTTTTCTGTATTCTAATTTCTGATACAGATATTCTAATGTAAAATATAATATATTCTATATTCTAAATTGCTCCCACTTTCTTGCCTTATTTTTGAGCCGTGGTAGGAAATACACCATACATTTTATTATTTTAATAGTAGTAATGTTATGTAATAAACCATTCAAAGGATAGAGATGGTAACATTCACATATCAGTTAATAAGTTGATCTTTTCCAAGGTAAGTCAGGTATGTACTAAGGGAAACTAACAAAAACAAAAAATTATAATATAACAATTCCTCACAGGTAAATAATTCTGATGGTCTAGTAAACACTCTAGTGGGACAGAAAGTAGATCTCTGTGGGAGAAAACATCTCAATTCTGCAAACGCTCCCAAGGGTGGGTTAGCAGGACAAGACGTCTGTGCTTGGCTCAGAAGTTTGGCTCAATCACTACTTTCTATCCCGTGTTTTGCTCAACCACTACTTTCTATCCCGTGTTTTGCTCAACCACTACTTTCTATCATGAAGTGTTTACTTTCATAGCTGATCTTCAAGTTTCCTAGAAAGATGGTTCAGACTATTTTTCAGATTAAAAAAAAAAAAAACATTGCAGTTTACGAAGCTACATAGTACATTATTGAAGACAAGGGCCCACATAAAATATTAGTTGAATTTTAGAATTCTTTATAACAATTCATATGAATTAGCAAAAAGTAGATTTCCACAAAGTACTCAGTATAGATTTTTTAATTGATTAATAAAAATGTTTAGAGATCAGTTTTTTCCATCTGTATTTCCAGGCTATGCTGATTTTAGCTGAAGGCATATATGAGTAGGTTCAGAGATTCCTTAGCAGAGCCAGAAGGTATTTTGAAATGATTATAATAATGTAAGAAGTACATGGTTTCTGTACCTAACCTTGCTCAGATCACACATATGTTCTCAAATTTTCTTTTCTTTTTACATTTTAAGTGAGAAATATCTTGCTAGTAAATCTGTTCTTGTAGATGTGACTTTTGTTGATTTTCCAACTTTGTGTACTTTTTCTGTTTAAATGAACTGTTATTTCACACTAGTCAGTAGGATAAAAGGGAACCAAAAAAGGACAAAATAAAATAAGTCAGTGGCATGATTTATAAATGAAAATAGTCTGCATTACTTCTGCTGTAAGTGTATACCATAGAGAGTTAGCATGCTTAAGTTTCTCTACAAAGCTATTGGAAGGTAATTATTTTATTCAGCAAAAGCACTATTGAAGAAAGACTTTGTGTAATGTCCTTTATCCAAGCCTAATGTTCATTTTTATTAGGTTTTTAA
Source organism: Homo sapiens (assembly GCF_000001405.40). Taxonomy (NCBI): domain Eukaryota; kingdom Metazoa; phylum Chordata; class Mammalia; order Primates; family Hominidae; genus Homo; species Homo sapiens. The sequence continues at coordinate 50,590,317 of NC_000008.11, forward strand.
AGTTTGTTTCCATGGCATATGACAGAGGAAATGCTTTCTCTGGAGACCTACTTTAAATTCTTATAAAATGTCATTGATTAAATTTTCTTAAAGTAAATGTTAGACTCTATCTGGAGTCTTGACTGAAAATGTTCAACACACATACTTTATCCTTTAGCGTTTGGATATTGCGCTTCCCTGTTCTCTTGAGTGCTAAAACAAATTGGATATAATATAATTTCAAAGTGCAAAAAATAAACCACAGAAAGTTACACTCTGCATTCTTGATAGATAATCATTTAGTATTGTTTGAACACAGGCTTTTGGTTTCTCTGAGTTAAAAAAATTTTAAAGGGAAATCTTTTCCAAACTGTTTACATAAGAAGTGTGGGATAATTTTGATAGCCAATTTTAAAAAGAAAAAATCTGTTTATATATGTTGTTTTATATGTGATGATTTCAGCATATCAAAATAGGATATTAGTATATATTAGCTCACTAAAAATAATCTGCATAAAATTCTGGGGACCTTGTGTTACCATCTATTGTTCTTCTCACTTTTATTATTTATTTATCATTGCAGATTAAAAAAATCAACAGAAACTTTCCTGTAAACCAGCAGGTAAGATCAAAGCATACTTGGAAAGCTAAATAATATATTTCTTTAATTTTATTGATTATAGAAGATAACGTTACCTGATTTCTAGACAGAAATAATTGGTACTGTCATTTACTATCTTCAGTGAGAAACATACATTTCAGATATCTCCTTCATATTATGTAATATATTGGTTCCTCTACTTATATTAAAAAGTACTTTAAAAATGTTTATCTAAGTCAAAAATTATTGTTTCTACAAAATAATTTATTTGAATACATTGTTGAAGAACTTAGAGTTTTATTTACATATGTTAGTTTTAGTATATCTTAACTTCTGGGAGACCTACTTTTAATTTATCTCAAAATTCAAATGAATTTTTCACAATTTGCTGACAGTATTTCAAACGAGTCTAAGTTAATGCATAGAACAAAAATAATTTTGATTATTCAGTTCTATAAACCTCTTACTCTTGATATCAACTTTGATTTGAAACCACTGACAAATCTAAATATCTATGATAGCTATTTATAAATGATACATAAATTACAAATTAATTTTAATGATAAAAATGTTTAAATGCTCTTCAACTTATAAAATGTAAGATATTTTTCTTATCTAAACCTCAGTTCCCCTATGTGCAACATTTGTGTAAGGGCGACTATCCTGTAAGTTTATTTTGAGGATTAAATAATAGCACATGTAAAGTTCTCAATCTATGCTATCATTATCATCAAAGTTTCTAAATGTTTACACTTGTTCTTTGGAATACAGAATTTATGTTTTGTAGAAATTGTATCATTAATGATGCTGCTAGCCCAAATCAGCCTCCAAAGCCATGTGTAACTAGAACACTGTAGAGAACAGCTTTGGAGAGTTAATTGTGTCTACAATGCTCTGATTAGTTCTTTTCAGCTCCAGAGGTCCCCTCCCTCCTACCTTAAGTCCCTCTGCCCTGAGCCAAGTTGATATCTTGGATAAATGCAGAGGTTGGAGAGATGTACGTGTCTTGCCACATGCTGCAGCAGCCTGTAGTTGTTTTTAAGGCCCTTACTTACAGTGTGGAAACCAGAGCTGTCACCAGCAGCTTCTGCTTACTTGCTCTGTAACAACACCTGGGATGTTCCCTTTGTTGCTCCCATGCTGTCCCAGGTGATTCTGGTATGGGTGTCATCTTGAGAACTGCAGATAAGTGTAGTTCAAGATAGGTGTCATCCTGAGAGCTACAGTTTAATGCTTTTACAGGGTTCCAGTAGAGGGAAAATGTCATTAATAAGAAATTACTCAAATAGAAGAAAGTATCAGCTATGAGGGAAGATTATAATGTCCATCAGTAGACAAGGCTGTTTTATAGTCAGATCTTTAAAAATGGAAATCTACTGTTTTGTAAGTTCCTCTCCAAAATAAAAAATGGTGAATTATTTTTTAATTTAAGAATGACTCTAGAGCTGTGTCGTCACCCTCTCATGCCCTTTCTAAACTCAACATGGGAGATATTAATATTGGTGTAATATATTACTACAGAGGTCATTCCGCTGATAGCCCCAAAGCTATTCTGTAATCAATGACAACTACAGCTAACACTTCTCATGTAGTCAGCTTGCTGACTGGGAGCACTTCTTGCCACCTTTGCTTATACCCAGGTTTAGAATAGTATTAAGTAAAATAAGTGAGAATTTGAATAAATCACACATAGAACAAGTAATAAAAACTTTAATATTCTAACACTATAATATTCTGACACATACTCATATGTAAGCATAGATGTTCATTAGTATTCATCATTTTTATTTGCTAGCCTGTTAATATTATTCATTATATAATAATTTCAAATCCAAAATTATATAATTCAAAACTATTTCAGATTTTATTTCAATTATCTTGGCAGCTCACAGTTTTGAAAATTGTAACAAATTCATCCTGATATTTAAGAAACCTGAAAAGAAGGGTTAATAGACTTTTTTCCTTACTACTTCCCATTGTGTACATGAAGAATTTTAAGAAATAGGATTAATTTATAGTTAAACATTTATATTATTGCATAATTAGGAAAACTCACTGCACAGTATGATAACAACGCATTAATTGACTAGAGTACATTTCCTATTTAGTAAAATCTGAGCCAGTTTTAAAAACACATATAATCCCATTTCTGATGATATCTACATTAAATAACTCCCTCATATTCCTGATGTTCTAGGTATCAAAACAGAAATTAAAAGTCACCCAAGCTACAATGAATCCGAAGTTCTCTGCTCCCTGAGATTTGATTTTCAATTTGTGCTACCCAGATGGTACCACTACCCTAACCAGAGAAATTAAAATGAAAGCAAAACATAGGGAGAAAGCCACTGCGGTCCAGCTGAGACAACCGCTAAGATTAGCTCCACATGAACTCTGCCACACTCCAGAATGCATAAGGCTTTCAGACACTGTGTCTGAAGAAGAGAGTTGGGCCCAAAATTATAAACCATATGAGGAAATAAACCATTATAAAGAAATGCATAATCTAGACACTAAAGAACTATCCAAAATATTTTTAATCATGATTTTTTAAATAAAGAAATCAAAATCATAAGACAAGAAGAGGACATGGTGCTAAAATTTGTAGTTGTAAAAAAAACCAAACAGGAGTTCAAAAATGAAAAAAAAACCTACATTTAAAATTAGTTAACCAACTAAATAATCTTAGTTATTGCCTCCACTTGAAATCATATTAGTGTATCTCCTACTTCACTTTTCATGAGGAGTAAGTTTTCCATTTTTTCTATGCATCTGGAACACATTCATGTGCTTTTGTTCTATTAAGATTCTGATTTGGTTCTTTTTTTTTTTTTTTTGAGAGACAGAGTCTCATTCTGTCACCCAGGCTGGAGTGCAGTGGCACAATCTTGGCTCACTGCAACCTCCGCCTCCCTGGTTCGAGCGATTCTCCTGCCTCAGCCTCCCAAGCAGCTGGGATTACAGGCATGCACCACCACGCCTGGATAATTTTTGTATTTTTAGTAGAAACAGGGATTCACCGTGTTGGCCAGCCTGGTCTCAAACTCCCGACCTTAAGTGATCTGCCTGCCTTGGCCTCCCGAAGTGCTGGGATTACAGGCATGAGCCACAACACCCAACCTGATTTGGTTCATTTTTACAGTGAACACACTGAAATTAAACTTGCCCTGGTAACTTTCTGTTGAAAAGATGAAAGGCGGGACAGTTGTCTTGCTGATGAACAAAACAGGGATAACTGAATGGAAGTCAAGTGATGTTGTGATAATTCTCTCAATGTATTAGAGGTAAAGGCATATAGGCCCAGACAACCAGGCCTACATCACACTACTATATGTACCTAGACCATTAGGTTATAATTTATTATGTGTGTCATTTTTACTCATTTTTAACTGAAATTTCTTCATCCTGAAATATATCTCATTCCTCCCACAAAAATATCATTTTTCAATAAGTTTCTTCTATAATTACCTGGGAGTAACATTATAAAGTATTAATTTGTCATTAAAATATTAATATAGTGAGCTTTATATTAGGCAGTATACAAAATAATATAATCAAATTATTTATATTAGTTTAAATTAATAAGGTTATACTTATTTAAAATAACATATTAGCTCTGGTAGCTATTCCTATAGAAATATTGACATTTGACGAACCATAATAATTTGGACACATTATTATAGATGTGTACATACCATACATAGAATGTTGGCAGCTGGAATTAAAAGTGACTAGAGTCACTAGTCATGCTGGGGAGAATTAGGGAATTACAGGACACTTTAAAAATCTATTTCTGTAGTGGTATCAGAAAAGAAAGAAAAGTAGGATAAATTTTGTCAGTTTTGCTTCTCTATAAAAGCAACAGAAAAATGGCAAAAATAGAATCAACTTTTAACAAATATGGAAATTCACAAAGGCTCACTGAACCCAGGGAGCATTTATTCAAGAAAAACAGCTGAGTCTTGGTAAGAACAGTAAGCTTTGTGGCATTATAACTGGACCTGGTCCCAACCCCTCTCTTTTCTCTGGCAATATGTTGGCTTACATAATAATGATGCATACCCTAAAATTTATAATCTAATCAGTTGTATATTTAATTCATGAAATTTTAGCTTTATTGAAGATGTGTGTGTGTGTGTGTGTGTGTGTGTGTGTGTGTGTATTTAGACAAAATATTCTATTAATGAAACTGACAATTGGTCTTTATTTTTGGGGAATGTCAAAAATCTATTTTTTTCAATTTGAGAAAGAAACTCTCCTAGTTCTTTATACATTCAATTTATTAATGTTAAAAACACATTATAGAGTCACACAATCTGAAGATAATGAGCCTGTTTTTGTTCTGGTCTATTTCATAACACTTGGTGATAAAATATGCTGGCACTTTATGATCTAAAGGAGAATCCACCTCAAAAAAAGTAATGTGTCTGTATAAATTAACTCTTGGAAAATCAACCAGCTCATAAATCATTTGATAACAAACATGATGGATATTTCCCAGGAAAAAGAGGTGTAAATGTTATTTTAAGTTAAACTAAAGGAGCCCACACCTAATTATGTAAAAATTTATGTATTACAGTTAAAATAAAATATACACTTCAGAAGACTTGGAAAAGTGTTATTCAAATAATAGAAAGTTGTATATGTGTGTGTGTTGAATTTATACACATAAGTACCTGGGTTTCATTATTGAAAGAACTGTCTTAATTCTCATTGGCTTTCTTTTCTAAATATATAGATTTTCAAAATCCTGAGGGAGCGGGGAACAAATGTAGCAAAATTGTCTTGTTTTACATTTTCCAGATTGTTATATAAATGGGATCATACTGTATGTATGAATTTTTGTGGCTTCTTTCATACAGCATAATTCTTTTTAATATTGCTCATTTAGCAGCGTGCATCAATCCATCATTCTTTCTAATGCTGGGTAGTATTTTATCGGTGGCTCTACTACCATTTGTGTATTGTGTATTATCCCATTAATGCACATTTGCTTCATTTTAAGTTTTAGTGTATTACAGATAAAGCTGATATAAATATTTATGAAAAGTCTTTGTCTTGACATATGTTTTTATTATATTTGGGTAAAATCCTAGTAGTGTAATAACTCAATATTATGGTTGTGTATTTTGAACATTTTAAGAAACTGCAGAACTGTTTTCCGAAGGGTTTTACATTTCACATTGACACTAGCAGGGTAAAGATAATCTCGTAGATATCCCTATGGTCAGGCTTTTAATTTTTGGACATTCTAATAGATGTGTCATGATCTGTTAAATTTTAATTTACATTTCTCTATAGAATAATGATGTTGAGCATCTTTTCATGTGCTTATTTGACATCTGTATATATTCTTTTGTGAATTATCTCTTCAAATGTTGCCCAAGGACAGAATTTTTTAAATTTGATGAATTCCAATTCACTGTATTTTAATGAGTCATGCTTTTGAAATTGTATTTAGTAAATATCTGCCTAACACAGGAAATAAATTTTCAACTATTTTTTATCCTAGGTTTTTTACAGTATTCTTTTTATTTTTAATCTATGATTTATTTTTATTTAACACTTGTTTCAAAAGTGAGGTATAGATTAAAGCTATTTTTAAGGGGAGGTACAATAGTTCCAGCATATGTGTTGAAAGTATTATTCTTTCTTCACTGTATTATTATTCCTCTACCAAAATACAAATTGATCACATACATGTGGGCCTATTTCTGGACTCCAAATGCTGTTGCCTTGGTCTATTTGTATCTCATGACACAAATACAAAACCGTCTTGAATACTGTAGTACTACGATGTCTAACATGAGTAGTGTAAGTCCCCTAGCTTTGTAATTATTTGCTGTTGTTGATAAAACTTCTAATATTTTTTATTAATGTTTTTATATAATTGAAACATAATAATTGTACACATGTTTGGGGGACAGTGTAATATTTCAAATCATATATACACTGTATAATGAGTCAATCAGAGTAATTGCCAAATCCATCACTTTAAACATTTATCATTTATTTTGGTAGTAACATTCAAAATCTCCTCTAGCTATGCTGAAGTTTACACTACATGGTTATTTGCTGTAGTTACCCTACTGTGTAATAGAACATCAGAACTTACTCTTCCTGTGTAACTGTAACTTTGTACCCACAGGCGAACCTCTCCCAATCTCCCCTCACTCTTCCCCTCCCTAGCCTCTGGTAACCACTATTGTACTCTCTACTTGTATGAGATCAACTTTTTTTTCGATAACACTGATGATTGAGATCATGTGATGTTTGTCTTTCTATGCATGGGTCATTTTACTTAACATAATGTCTTCCAAGTTCATTCATGTTGCTGTGAATGACAAGATTTCATTCCCTTGTATAGCTGCAGAGAATATATACATATATATATACACACACATATATATACATATATACACGTATATATACACATATATATACATATATACACGTATATATACACATATACATGTATATATACACATATATACATATATACATATATACATATATACATATATACATATATATATGCCACATGTTCTTTATTCATTCATCTGTATATGAACATTTAAGTTGATACCATATCTCAGCTATTTTGAATAGTGTTGCTTATTGGGAGTGCAGCTATCTCTTTGACATACTGATTTCATGGTCTTTTGAGTGTATACTCAGTAATGGATTGCTGGATCATGTGGTAATTCAATTTTGATTTTTTGAGGAACCACCATACTGTTTTCCATAATGGGTGTACCAATTTACATTCCCAACAACAGTACAAAAGAGTTGCCCTTTCTTCACATCCTTTCCAACATTTGTTATTTTTTTTGTCTTGTTTTTTGATAATAGTCATTTGAACTGGTGTGAGGTGATACCTCATTTTGGTTTTGATTTGTATTTCACTAATGATTAGTGATTTTGAGCATTTTTAAATGTAAATGTTGGCCATTTGTATGTATTCTTTTGAGAAATGTCTATTCAGATCTTTTGCCCATTTTAAAATCCAATTACATGGTTTCTTGCTATTGAGTTTTTTGAGCTTCTTATATATTACGGTTATTAATATCTTGTCTGTGAGTTGTCTCTTCACTTTGTTGGTTATTTCCTTTGATGAGCAGAAGTTTTTTGTTTGTTCGTTTGTTTGTTTTTGTTTTTTGTTTTTTTTTAGTTTGATGCAATCCCATTTGTCTATTTTTGCTATTGTCACCTGTGCTTTTGAAGTCTTATTTTAAAAACTCCTTGCCCAGCCCAATTTCATGAAGCAATTTCCCTATGCTTTCTTCAAGTGCTTCCATAGTTTCAGGTCTTACTTAAAGTTCAAGTCTTACTTAAATTTAAGTCTTTAAGACATTTTGATTTGATTTTTGTGTGTGGTGAGAGATAGGGGTCTAGTTTCATTTTTCTGAGTATAGACATGCAGTTTTCCCAACATTGTTATTGAAAAAACTGTTCTTTCCCTAATATGTGTTCTTGACACTTTTGTTGGCTATAAGTGTATTGATTTATTCTTAGGTTTTCTTTTCTGTTCCATTGGTTTATGTATCTGTTTTTATGCCAGAACCATACATTTTATTTACTATATCTTTGTAGTATACTTTTAAAGTCATGTCGTGTGATGCCTTAACTTTGTTCTTTGTGTTCAAGATGGCTTTGACTACTGGGAGTCTTTTACATTTCCATATGAATTTGAACATTGCTTTAAAAAATCTGTGAAAATGGCATTGTCATTTGATAAGGATTTCATTAAATATGTAGATGGCTTTGGTTAATATTGACATTTTAATAATATTAATTATCCCAATCCATGAACACAGACTACCTTTCTATTTGTTTGGATTCCCTCCAATTTCTTTCATCAATGCTTTATAGTTTTTATTATAGAGATCTTTCATTTTTCTGGCTAAGTTTATTCTTAAGTATTTCTCTGTGGCCATTGTAAATGAAATTGCTTCCTAATTTTTTTATGATAGGTTGCTATTGGTGTAGGGAAATACTACTAATTCTATGTTGATTGCATATTCTGCAAATTTACTAAAGTCATTCATTAGTTATAACAACTTTTTGGAGTCTTTAAGGTTTTCTACATCTATGGTAGGTGTGTATATTTATTGGGTGCAAGAGGTACTTTAATATAGGCATGCAATGCATAATAATCACATCATGGAAAATGGAGTGTTTATCCTCCATCCAGTTTTCCCAGCACCATTGATTGAAGAGACTGTCATTTCCGCCAATGTATATTCTTGGTACACTTGTTGGAAATGAATTCACTGTAGGTGTATAAACTTGTTTCTGGGTTCTCTATTCTGTTCCAATGATCTGTGTGTCTGTTTTTAACAGTACCATGCCATTTTTCTTACTATATCTCTATAGTATAATTAGAAATGAAGTAATGTGATTCCTCTAGTTTTCTTCTTTTTGCTCAGGATAGCTTTGTTTATTCTGGATATTTTGTGGTTCCAAATAAATTTTAGGATTGTTTTTCTATTTATGTAAAGAATGTCATTGGCATTTTGTTAGGAATTGCATTGAGTCTGTAGATTGCTTTGGGTAGTATGGACATTTTAATAATATTGATTCTTCAAATCCATGAATATAAAATGTCTTTCTTTTTTTGCATCCTTTTTAATTTCTTTCACCAATGTTTTATAGTTTTCTTTGAGGTGATCTTTCATTTCTTTGTTATTTGTGACTATTACAAATGGGGTTACAGTTTTGATTTCATTTTCAGATTGTTCACTGTTGGCATTTAGAAATCCCACTGATTTTTGTATGTTGATTTTAAATCCTACAGCCTTAATGAATTTGTTTATCAGTTCTAATAGTTTTTTGGTGTCTTTGGATTTTTCCAAACAAGGATAATTTGACTTCTTCTTTTCCAATTTCGATGCTGTTTATTTCTTTCTCTTCTTTGATTGCTCTAGCTAGGACTTCCAGTACTATTTTGAGTAACAGTTGGGAAAGTGGGCTTGTCATGATCCAGACAAAGATGCTTTCAAGAAAGGCTTTCAGTTTTTCTCTATTCATTATAATACTACCTTGGGTCTGTAATACATGGATTTTATCATGTTGAGATATGTTCCTTGTATTCCCGGTATTTTTTAATCATGAAGGGATATTGAATTTTATCAAATGTTTTTACAGCATCAATTGAAATGATCATATGGTTGTTGTTCCTCATTCTGTTGACATGATGTGTCACATTGATTGATTTGTGTATGTTAAACCATTGTTGAATCTCTGTGATAAATCCCACTTGGTCATGATGAATGATCTTTTTAGTGTGTTGAATTTGCGTTGACAGTATTTTGTTGAGGATTTTTGCATCAGTTTTCATCAGAAATATTGGCCTGTAATTTTTTTTTTCAGATATGCCTTTGTCTGATTTTGGTATGAGGGAAAACTGTCCTTATAGAATAAGTTTGGAAGTATTCACTTCTCCATTTTTTGGAAGAGTTTAAGTAGGATTGGTATTAGTTCTTTAAATGTTTGATAGAATTTAGCAGTGAAGCCATTGGGTCCTCAGATTTTCTTTACTGGGAGACTCATTAGAGCTCCAATCTCCTTCTTTGTGATTGGTATGGTTTGGTATTGGATTCTTCCTGATTCAATCTTGGTAAGTTGTATATGTCTACGAATTTACCTATTTCCTTTGGATTTTCCAATTTATTGCCATATATTTTTGCTCATAATAGCAAATATATAAATTTCTATTGAATTTATGTGGTATCAGTTGTAATTAGAAATTCATCTCTAATTTTATTTATTTGGTTCTTCTTTCTTTTTTTCTTAGTTTTGGTAAAGGTTTGTCAATATTATTTATCTGTTTAAAAAACAACTTTTCACTTTGTTATCTTTTGTATTGTTTTATTTGTTTATTTGTATATAATTTATTTCTGCTCTGATCTTTATTCTATTTTTTTTTCCTTCTACTAATATTGGGTTTGGTTTGCTGTTGCTTGTCTAGTTCTTTAAGGCATATTAGGCTAGCTGGGCACGGTGGCTCACTCCTGTAATCCTAGGACTTTGGGAGGCCAAGGTGGGCAGATTATGAGGTCAAGAGATTGAGACCATCCTGGCCAACATGGTGAAACCCCATCTCTACTGAAAATACAAGAAACATTAGTTGGGCATGGTGGCATGCACCTGTAGTCCCAGCTGCTTGGGAGAATCGCTTGAACCTGGGAGGTGGAGGTTTCAGTGAGCCGAGATCGCGTCACTTCACTCCAGCCTGGTGACAGAGCCAGCGAGACAAAAAAAAAAAAAAAAAAAAAAAAAAAAAAAAGACATGTTAGGCTATTAAGCTATTTCTTTGAAGGCTTTTTGTTTGTTTGGCTTTGTTTTTTATGTAGGCACTTATAGCTATAAATTTTCCTCTTAGCTCTGCTTTTGCTGCATCCCATAGGTTTTATTATGTTGTGTTTCCATTACCATTTGTTTCAAGAGGTTTTTCAATTTCCCTCTTAATTTCTTCATTGACCAACTGGTCATTCAGGAGCATGTGCTTAATTTCCATGTGTTTGTATGGCTTCTAAAATTCCTCTTGTTATTTATTTCTAATTTCATTCCATTGCAGTCAGAGAAAATGCTTGAGATGATTTTAATTTTTTCAGTATTTTCAGACATGTTTTGTTAGCTGACATATGGTATCTCCTTTAGAATAATCTATGTGCTGAGGAGAAGAATGTTTATTCTGAAGCTGTTGGATGAAATATTCTGTAAATATTTATTAGGTTCATTTGTTCTAAAGTGCAAGATTAAATATGATTTTCTTTGTTGATTTTCTTTCTGGAAGATTTGTCCAGTGCTGAAAGTTGGGTGTTGAAGTGTGTAGCTATTCTTGTATTGAGATCTGTCTCTCTTTTTTACTTTAATAATATTTACTTTCTATATCTGGGTGCTTTGGTACTGGGTGCATATGTAATTGCTATATCCTCTTGATGAATTTAACTTTTTATCATTATATAGTAACTTTCTTTGTCTCCTCTTGTAGTTTTTGTCTTGAAATATATTTTGTCTGGTATAAGTATAGCTACTTCTGCTATTTTTTGTTTCAATTAGCATGGAATATCTTTCATTATTCCTTTATTTTCAGTCTTTGTGTATCTTCAGAGGTGAAGTGTGTTTACATTAAGCAACAGATAATTGAGTCTTCTTTTTTTAATCCATTCTGCCACTCTATGTCTTTTGATTGAGAGGTTAGTCTATTTACATTCAATGTTATTATTGATAAGTAAGGACTTACTCTTATTTTGCTATTTGTTTTCTTGTTGTTTTGTGGTCTTCTCATTCTTATTTCCTTTCATCTAGTCTTCCTTTTAGTTAACATGATTTTATCTGGTGGTATGATTTAAATTCTTTTTTATATTATTTGTGTATCCATTGTATGGTTTTCAATTTGAGGTTGCCATGAGGATTGATAGAGTATCTTAAAACTCGTAATTTTAAACTAATGACAACTTAAAAATTGTTGCATAAACCAAAACTAATATAAACTCTACACTTTAACTTCTTCCTCCAACTTTTTAACTTGTTGTTTCTCTTTATGTCTTATAGTACTGTTTGTCTTGAAAAGTTGTAGTTATTATTTTTGATTGGTTTATCATTTAGTCTTTCTACTTAAGATGAATAGTTTACACACCACAATTACAGTGTTATAATAGTTTGTGTTTTTCTGTTTGCTTACTATTACTAGTGAGTTTTGTACTTTCAGGTGATTTTTTCTTGTTCATTAACATCATTTTCTTTCATGTCGACAAACTGCTTATAGCATTTCTTGTAGGACAGGTCTGGTGTTGATGAAATCCCTAAGCTTTTGTTTGTCTGGGAAGGTCTTTATTTCTTCCTCATGCTTAATGCATATTTTCACTGGATATACTATTCTAATGTAATAGTTATTTTCCTTCATCGCTTTAAACATGCTGTGCTAGCCTCTACTGGCCTGTCAGGTTTCCACTGAAAAGTCAGCTGCCAGATGTATTGGAGCTCCACTGTAAGGTATTTTTTTTTTTTTTTTTCAGTTCTCTTGCTGGTTTTAGAGTTCTTTCATTTTCTCTGGCCTTTGGAAGTTTGATTGTTAAATGCCTTGAGATTGTCTTCTTTAGATGAAGTCCACTTGGTGCTTTATAACCTTCTTGTACTTGAATGTTATCTTTCTCTATGTTTTGGAAGTTCTCTATTATTATTTCTTTGAATAAACTTTCCACTCTTATCTCTTTCTCTACCTTCTCTTTCAGACCAATAACTTTTAGATTTGCCTTTTCAAGGCTATTTTCTTGATCTTGTGAATGTGCTTGATTAATTTGTTTTTCCATTGTCTCTTCTGTGATTTTCAAATAACCTGTCATCAAGGTCACTAATTCTCTTTTCTGCTCCACAGTTCTGCTATTAAGACACTCTGATGCATTCTTCAGTAGGTCAGTTGCATTTTTCAACTCTAGAATTTCTGCTTGATTCTTTTAAACCATTTCAATCACTTTGTGAAATTTATTTGATAGAATTCTAAATTCCTTCTCTGTGTTGTCTTAAATCGCTTTGAGTTTCTTCAAACCAGCTACTTTGAATTTTCTTTGTGAAAGGTCATACATCTGTATTTCTCCAGGACTTGTCCTTAGTGTCTTATTTATTTTTTTTGGAGAAGTTATGTTTTCCTGGATAGTCTTGATGCTTATGGAGGTTTGTCAGCATCTGGGCATTGAAAATTTGGATATTTATTGTAGTCCTCACAGTCTAGGCTTGTTAGTACCTTTCTTTCTTGGGGAGGCTTTCCAGCTATTCGATGCAACTTGGACCCCAAGACCAATAACAGTGATTCTTGCAGACTCATAGGTGTGCTGACTTGGTGGCCTTGGATAAGATCAGAAGAATTATCTGGTTTTCAGAAAGACATTTTTGTTCTCTTCTCTTACTTTTTTCCCAAAAAGAAGACTCCCTCTCTGTGCTGATCAGCTTAGAACTGGAGGATGGGTGATGCAAGACCCCTGTGGCCACCATCATTAGGACTGCACTGGGTCAAACCCGAAGCCAGCAGAGCACTGAGTCTAGCTCAAGGCCAGCTGTGATCACTACCTGGCTACCACCTAGGTTCACTCAAAGCCCTAGGGCTCTACAGTCAGCAAGTGAGGAAGCCAGCAAGGGTAATGTCTTGTACTTCAGGGCAGTGAGTACCTCCATGACCCAGAAGGGTTCAGACATGTTTTCTAGGGGCCAGGGACTAGAGTCAAAAACCTTAGAAATCTACTGGGTACAGAGGCTCATGCCTGTAATCCTAGCACTTTGGGAGGCTGAGGCAGGCAGATCACTTTAGCTCAGGAGTTTGAGATCATCCTGGGCACTTGATGAAACTCATCTGTACTTAAAAATACAAAAATTAGCTGGGCATGATGGCACATGCCTGTAGTCCCAGCTACAGGGGGCTGAGGTGGGAGGATCACTTGAGCCCAGCAGGTGGAGGTTGCAGTGAGCCAAGATCACACCACTGCACTTCAGCCTAGATGACAGAGGAAGACCCTCTTTCAAAAAAGAAAGAAAAAAAAAAAGAAAACCTTAGAAATATACCTGGTGTTCTATTCTGCATGGCTAAGATGGACCTCAAACTACAAGGCAATGCCCTTTCCACTTTTCCCTCCCCTTTTTACAGGCAGGGGAGTTCTGCCAGGCTACCACCAATATTCACTTAAAGTCCAAGGGCTCTTCAGTGTGCTTGTGGTGAATGCTGCCAGGCCTTGGAGTCATTCTTCAGGGCAGTGGGCTCCCTTCTACTACAGGACAGGTTCAGAAATGTCCAAGAGTCTAGGCCTGGATTTAGCCACCACAATAGCCTGCTTGGTGCTCTACCCCATTGTGGCTGAGCTGGTTTCTAGGGTGTGAGACAAAGTCCCCTTCATTTTTTCCTCGCTTTTCTCAAGCAAAAGGATTCTTTCACCCTAGTCACAACAGCTGGAAATGTACTAGGTCTCACCTGAAGCCAGCATGTCTTAGGGTGTCACCAAAGGCCATGGCATACGAACAAGGTATCCCTGCAGGTTATTCAGGGCCCAAAGGTTCTTTAGTCAGCAGGTGATGAATTGTCCCCAGACTGGGTCCCTCCCTTCAAGGCAGTGGGTTTCCTTCTGGCCCAAGGTGTATCTAGAAATGTCTAGGAGCTAGAGCCTGGAATGTGGCCTCACAACTCTGCCCTGTGCCCTGTCCTATTATGACTGAGCTGATATGCAAGATTTAAGACAAAGTCCTGTTTACTCTTCCTGCTCCTGTCTTGAAGCAGAATGAAGGAGTCACTTTCATTTCTGTGAGCTGCACAGCCTGAGGTTAGGGGAGGGGTGGTGCAAGCCCTCCCTTAGCTGCCTTGGCTGGTATCTCCCTAGGTCAGGTGTTTCCCTGTTCCACTGGCTCTAAGCCCAGCCTAGCACTAGGAATTCCATAGGAATGTCAGTCCTTGTGGCTTAGACTGCCTTTCAACTTTACTTAGGATGCTGGAGCATTTTAGACTGCAGTGGTGAGGCTTGCCAAAACTCAAGTTCTGATATCTGGGATGGGTAATTCCTTTCTGGCTGCTCCGAATGCTCCTTCCATGGGCAGGAACCAGCTGAGCAACAGTCTTTGGTCTTTATTGTGACAGTGCAGCAAAACAGTTCAATGGCAAGCCCGCCAGTCGCTGTGCTAGTCTTCCCCCAAGTGCACAGATTCTCTCTTCACACCATGAAGCCACTGCTAGAGGATGGGGGAGGGGTGGTCTCAGTGATTCAAAATTTTCTTTTCTATCCTCTTCAGTACTTTCTCAACAATATGAAGTTAAAGCCAGGTACTGTTATTGTTCACCTGATTTTTGGTTCTTTCAATCGTGCTATTTGATGTGTGGTTGTTGGTTAAAATTTGGTGCTTCTGTTGGGGAGAGGGGATTATCCACGGAGGCTTTTATTCAGCCATCTTGCTCTGACCTAACTGAAAAAAATAAAATAACACAAAAATAAAATAAAAACATCTGTCATATTTTTGTCCTTGATTCTATTTATGTGATATATTATGTCTGTTGATTGGTATATGTTGAACCATGTTTGCATCCCTTTGGTGAATCCCACTTGATCATGGTGAGTGATCTTTTTGATGTGTATTTGAATTTCCTTTGCTAGTATTTTGTTGAGAGTTTTTGCATTGGTGTTCATCATAGCTATTAGCCTGTAGTTTTCTTTTCTTTGTTGTTGTTGTGTCCTTGTTTTTATTCGAAGTAATTTTGTCTACTCTGGAATCTTGCTCTTTCTAAACAGAAAGTTAGAAACACGTGAACAACTTGTAGACTTATTCAAGAGTAGTTGGGTATTTTTGAAATTGCATTGAATCTTTATATTTAGGAAAGTTGACATATTATGAATATTGAGTCTTGAGATCCATGAAGATAGGTTAGCTCTCTACCTTTCTTAGAACTTTAAAAATTTCTCTTAGAAACCATTCTAGTTTCCAGTGTATACATATCATGCATACTTTATCAGATTTATTCCTAAGTACCTCATATTTTTAATGTTAATATAAATGACAAATTTTTGATTTTTATATTGATTTAGTTTCCTGCATTATTTCTAAAATGACTTCTAAGATGTAGGAACAATAGACAATTATGTTATCTACATAAATATAAATATTTTGAATTCTTTATTTCATTTTGGATACATTTTATTTCTTTTTAATAATTCATGGCACTGTGAGATTCTCCAGTATAATGCAGAATGTAACTGATAAACACATACCTTGTATCTGATCATAGGGGAAATCATTAAATATTTCAACATTAAATATGTTAATAGCTAGATGTTTTTCATAAATGTTCTTTAGCATGTTGATGAAATACCTTTCTGTTACTAGTTTGTTAAAAATTTTAATCAGAATAAATGTTCAACTGTGTTAAATGCCTTTTCTGTGACTATTAATAAATATACTGTGCCTTATGCCTTTTTTTTATTTCTATCAATATGCTATGTTCTATTAATGTATTGTTAGATATGAAACCAAGTTTGAATTTTGCGAATATATCCCAGTTAATCATAATGTTTTTATCCTTTTTATTTATTGTTGGACTCAATTTTCTAAAATAAGAAAATTTAAGAAATTTTTCAACTGTGTTTCTGAGAGACATTGATATGCAGATTTCTCTGCTTTTAACGTCTCTCAAAAAAATCAAATTCGATATGTTACATTTTATTTACATTGCCCTTCAAGATCGTTTCTAACTTATTTTTTACTTTTTATTTTACATGTGAATATTTGGAAGTATTATTTAATTTTCATATATTTGGGAATGTATATGATCTGGTATCAGAGTAATGGTAGCTTTGTAGATTGAATGAGAAAGCATTTACGCTTCCTAAATTTTCTGGAGAAGTTTGTGTAGGATGGGTTTTATTTATTCATTATCTGGCAAAAATCTCCCAGTTAAGCTATCTAGTCCTGGAATTTGATTTATATGTAGGGTTTTAACTATTTTTTTTTTGTTCTTTTAAAAGTACAGAGCTATTCAAGTTATCAAATTTATTTTTGAGTAAGCTTTGGTATTTTGTGTCTTTCTAGGAATTCATGCATTTCATTTTACTTATTTAAGTCATTGGTATATATTTATTTGTAATATTCTCTTATAATACTTTAACGTTTCTTCTTGCTTTTCAATTTTGGTAATCTGTGACTTTTTATTCTTTCCCTCTCTCTTTTTTGTAATTTATCAGTCAACATAAAGCCTTATCAATTTTGTTGATTTTTCCAAAGAACCACATTTGATTTCTGTGACTTCTTCGTTGTCTTTCTTTCTTTATTTTTTACTGTTTTTCATTCCAATATTTATTTATGGATATTTATTATTTTCTTCCTTCTTTTGGCTTTCTGTTTAATTTACTCTTCTTTTTTAGCTTATTGAAATGTAACATAAGTTTTACATCTTTCAGCCTAACATATGTTTTAAAGGTATGAATTTTTTCTGAAATAATGCTTTACTGCATCTCATTGAATTTGATGTTATACTTTCCCTTATAAACTCATTCATGGTAGTTTCTTAATTTGCCTGTAATTTATTTCTTCTACACTTGTCTATTTAGAAGAGTGGTGTTGTTTAATTTTCACGTTTTTGGAGCTCCCCTATTTTATTTATTTTTTAAGTATTTCTAATTTAATTATGTTTTTAGTCAGAGAACATATTTCACGTGATTACAAATCTTTCAATTTTACTGGCATCCATGTTACTTTTCCTGGATCATGTTGCAGGGATTTTTATAAAACATGGATATGTACTCTGCTATTTTGGAATCAATAGTATTTTTCAAATGTCAAGTATGTCAAACTGACTGATAGTTTTGTTCAGGTTTTCTATATTTCTATTGACTATTCAGTTAGTTTTTCTATCAATTATTATGAGAGTAATACGTAAATCTCCAACTCTCATTTAAAAATTTTTTTTCTTTGAATTTTGTCTTATTTTGTTTCATTATATATTGTGTTTCTGTTGTTAGGTACTTATATATTTATAACTGTTATGTATTCAAAATATATTGACATTTGTGTCATCATGAAATGTCGTTCTTTTTCTGTATAATATTTCTTGGCTTAAAATCTATTTTCTATGATGTCAATATTGCTTTTCCATCTCTCTTATGGTTGCTATTTTCTTGGCATATTATTTTCTAATCTTTTAGCTTCAATCTGTTTTCCAATGGTAAATCAAATGCACATTTGTTCCAGTCAGAATAAACTTGGGTTATGTGTGTTTTTTTAAATTCAGACTGACAATATCTACCATTTGATTAAGGTGTTTCAGTCAATCACATTTGAAATAATTATGGATATGCTTAGATGTATGCCTGCAATTCTGCTATTTTTTCTAGATGTTTTATGTCTTTTTAATTTTCTATTTCTTTTTACTGCCTAAGTTATATTAAAGAGATAGCTTCAATGTAGTGCTTTAATTTGTCTGTTGATTTTTTAACTATATATTTTGATTTTTGAAAAAGATTGCTCTTGGGAATCACATATGCATCTTTAAGTGATCATAATCCACTTCAATTTTATACTGATTTAATTTTGGAATTATATAAATATTTTGCTGCATTGCAGTATAGATCTATTTCAAACTATTGTTTTTCATATTACATGCATGTATAAACTCAACAGTCCAGGATTATTCATGTTTTAAGCAATCTCATTCTTTAAGTTATTAAAACAGAAAAGTTCCTTTTTTAATAAAAATAAGTAACAGCTTAATTATCCTTTTCTTTCCTGTGAATACAAGTTACTGCCTGGCATTAGTTTTCGTTTCTCACACTGTCGGACTTCGTTAAGTATTTCATGTGGGGAATATTTTGTAGCTGTGAATTCTCTCACTTCTTGTTTATCTGGTAAAGTATTTTGTTGTTGCTTCTGAAGGATAGTTTTATTAGAAATTGAAATCTTTGTTGACCTTTTTTGTTTGTATCATTCAACACTTTAAATGTCACTCCAGTCTTCTGGCATTCATTTTCTGATATAAAGTTAGCTGTTACACATATTGATACTTTCCTATATTTGATAAATGTTTTTTTGCTTTCAGTATTTTCTTTTATCTTTGTCTTCCAGAAGTTTAATATTCCTAGCTGTACATCTCTTTGTGTTTATTCCACTTGAGACTTCTTGAATTTCTTGAATCTCCAGATTAATGTTGTTCCTTGAGTTTTTAAAGTTGTCAATTATTTCTTTGAATAATAATGTTATTCTCCCTCTTCTCTCTCCTTTCTGCCTTAGACTATCAATACACATGTTGATATGCTTAACACTTTTCCAAAGGTCTCTAAACCTGTCCATTTCTTCAATCCATTATTCATTCTGCCTTTCAGATTGGATAATTTCTATTAATCTATCTTTTAGTTTACTAATTATTTTTCCTGGCTGTTTTCTATTCTTTTCTACTCTAAAAGTTTCATTTGTTTCTTATTTTTAAATTTCTGTTTCTCTATTGAAGTTGTCTATTTGTTGAGTCATTGCTATAATAAATTATTTGAACATATTTAGAAAACTTCTGTAAGTTTTTGTTTGCTAAACAAAACTTGTTTTTTCATCCAGAGTCAGTTTCTATCAACTGCTTCTTTTTTCCCCCAGAAATGAATCTCACTTTCTTCTTCGTTTTCTTGTTTGATACTCTTTCGTTGAAAATTGGACATTTTAGATAATAAACGTTACCAATTCTGGATTTTTGTCTGAAAATTTTTAATTGTGTCTTATTGTAATATGCCTGAGCAGTAGCTGTAGGATCTGTCTCCCTTGTGGTGTGCAGCCACTGATGTCTATGTATTTTAATTCTTATTTTTATTTTTTGCTTGACTTCCTTGGGCCCAGTTCTCTATTTTAATGGCTAGCCAATGATTTGGAAGGAGGTTCTGTGAAGACATCTTACACCCATAGGATTCCACTATCTACTGATCAATCTGTTCAGGTTGAGGTGTGTATTCAAAGTGCAGCCAGTTCTCAAGTTCTACTTGGCTTCCTCCCCACTGTGATTTGGGGGCTCTTTTCTCTGCATGTGCATAGCTTCCTACTCAGCCAGGTGTATGTGGAAAACTCATTTAGGCCTTATTTGACTTTCTCATTTCTAGGGTCAACCTGTTAAATTTGTCAGTGTCTGACAATTTCCCCAGTAAGCATCACAACTGCACTGTACCAAACTGTGAATTGTGGCCATTTGTAAACTACCAAATTTGTTATTTCAGTTGTCAAAGCCACAAGTTTATGCTACTCACTCCTATTTGATTCCATGCCATCAGATATCAAAGTTGTTGGGTTTCGTGTCATGTTCATGTGAACAAAGTAAGTAATTTCATCGACCGCTGAGAGTAGGGGTGGAAAATGGGAATAAAATGAGGTAGTAAGACCATAAACTCCTACTGTTCTTACCCAAAGTTATAGCAGTTTTTGAAAGACAACACTTCTCAATTTATAGTCTGCATTAGGTTGACTATGAAGTTCCCAAATCATTGTTCGTGACTGTTTATTTTTCAGCTTTATATTTGTTTTATGTGATTAGGATTTCTTTTTCGTATCATTCACTTCATGACACTGGTAGATAAGAAATAGCAAAAAAAAATTAAACTTTTAACTTAAGGATATTAAAATTAAGGAACTGTTTAAAAATGCATGGAACTTTTTTTGAGAAACTAAAAAGATTATATATAGTCACGAGGGAGGCACTAACTCGGCCTGAAGAGGAAAGGAAAGGGAACTGTTATATTAATTATTAAACAGTGGTTATATGTACAAGAATGCCTGAGAGGAGATGTATCCTTTGGCAAAGGGTCCTGTTCCAACCTTAGCAGTCTCTGCAGGGACAGAGTTAGAAAATATACAGCATCATCTCACTCTCCTTCTTCCCTTTGCCTCTGAGTAGTTTCTCTGATAGAAGGACTTCAACAGGAAGCTACAGGGCAAGGACATTTCTTCGTGAGCTGCATAAAAGTGAGAATCCCAGACAGAGAACAGAGGGTAGGAGGATTAAAATTATAGTTAGTGTGGGGAGGGGTAGGGAACTGTAGATACACAGCATACTTCGTAAGTACCATCATATTTGATTGTTTTCACTGCTGGATTATAATCGATTTGCTGGAAATTTTTATTCAGAAAAAAGGCATAAAATAAGTGACTATGATATTTATTCTATTATACACCATAGTAAATTTATATTTAAAAGCATTGAAGAATGTATTTTGCTTTTACTACTGTGATACCCTTAATATGTTGAATAAGCCAAGTGTGGTGGTACATGCTTATAGTCCCAGCCACTTAAGGAGGCTGAGGTAGTAGAATTGCTGGAGTCCAAGAGTTTCAGTTTAGTCTGGGCAACACGGAGAGACTCCGTTTTTTAAATTTACTTTAATTTAATTTTTTTTGAGTCAGGGTCTCACTCTGTCACCCAGTCTGGAGTGCAGTGGAATGATCTTGGCTCACCACACCCTTGACCTCCTGGGTTCAAACAATCCTCCTACCTCAGCCTCCTCCATAGCTGGGACTACAGGCATTTGCCACCATGTACAGCTATTTTTTGTGGAGACTGGGTCTCCCCATGTTGTCCAGGCTGATCTCGAACTCCTGGGTTCAAACGGTTCATCTGCCTCGGCCTCCCAAAGTGCTGGGATTGCAGGTGTGAGCCACCACACCCGGACAAGACCCTGTCTTTAAAACAAACAAACAAAAAAATCTGAAGCACATGTGAGAGCATAATGTTCATTGTAGTAACTTTACAGCAAATAAAATTAATGCCTAATATTGTATTTTGTAATCACCTTGTCAACCTTTGTGCTTTCTAAGAGTTTTTGAAAACCTTTATCTCCATAGTAACAGCTGGAAGATTTTTCTAATGTAGTGAAATATACAGGATCTTTTACACATTCTTCATGCACAGAAAAAAAGTATTTCATTTAAAAATGTCTTTAGATCTAGTAGAATCCTTGACTACTATATGAATGCTCTAAAATGTACTCACTTGTGTTACTAAACATATAATTTTATTAAAATGCTTTCTCTAAATTTCTCTTCATAATACATTACATTTCAAGTAAAAGGAGAGAGAATTCAGCTATTCTCCTTTGTCACTTTTCATTAATTCTGTAATATGTTAGACTATATATTAGAAAAGAATGTTCCACCTTCAGTTTTCTATGTGAAATCAGTGTGATATTAGGAAGTAGACAGTAGGCTAGCAGTTGGAAAATTAGAGTCATAGTTATGTTCCCTACTATGCCTATGACGTTAAAAAGTTCTGGTGTATGTGCTTTACTATGTATATCTGACTTATTTTCTATATTAACTTGAATACAAAGCCAAGATTTCTAACTGATTAAATAGAAGTCCAAGTAGGTGAATTTTTCAGGACGTAAGAGCAATAGAGTCGTGGGCAGTTTCAGGTAGCCATTTAGAGTCTGGACTCTATAGGTGTAGCATTTACCTTACTAGCAGTTGCACATGGAGACATGAATATCTTGCAGCAGATGTGATTCAGAAATGCAAGCAATAATTTAGTTGCAGAGTTCAATTCTTCGGTGGTTAAAGAAATCGGTAATAAGATGAAAGCCAAGTGTACAGGAAAAAAAACACTAGCCAGGATTACTGAGGTTACCAAGGCTGCTTCTTAGACATATAAGACAAAAAGTGCCCCACTTACTAATTGAAGAAGAAGGAGAAGAGCATCTGTTAAAATCCAAGAGCAATATTAGAATTCAATAATAGAAACATTGCAAAGTTTATGGTGAGTCTCCCTTTCCTGCTAGAGTGCAATTCAAATCAATGTTTTCTGCATATAGAATGCATATGAAAGACTTGGGTGAAGTTCGTTTTAAGCCTGTTGTGGTGAGACTAGAAACGTAGGGTATTGATGGCTCAAAATTTCCTGAGTTTAGGGTACCTTTATTTTGAAATTTGGAACAAGTAAAATATGTGTCTTCCAACAAAACATAGAATGTGTGCCTTGAACTGATGTATTTATCACCAGGAATGCCCTTAGAGGGCAATGATAAATTGCAATAACACTTTTGAAAATTCAAAAGAAATAATATGAATTTAATAATTTAAGTTTTAATTATGATCAGGTGAAGTACAGAGACAGAATGCAGGAAGATACATTTTAGCTATACTCTTTCATATTCTAATGAATTGATGAATACAGATATTTTGGGAAGCACAGATATCATCATTTACATTTAATTAATCTGCTTATGTTTATAAAAACATATGTTATTCAAAATACACATACATGGCTGGTGAGTGTGAATTGTTATATAACTTTTGGAGGGTAGTTTTGTGCTGAGTATCAGATTTTAAATTGCACACACCATTTTTTCCAACTCTTCTTTTTAGAAGAAGTTTTTTAACAAAATATTACATGTAATAGAAAAATGAAGACAACATAATTGTCTTCATTATAGGAACGATAACATAAATTTGTACAATCACTCCATAGATTATACCAAAATCCTTGAGTAGGTCTATATGTGTAAAAATAAAAGTTGTAAAATAAAACACTCACACATTCACAAAATAATTCCATCTGTTTATGTCTTGTTATGCCTATGAACACAAGTTTTGATTCAACTTTTAGAATGATGTCTATGAGATTGTACACCCTGAGTGGTCCTAAAACAGACACTGGAGCTGGAGGAGAGAAAGAACTAAGCTTCCATATTTTATTTTGTGTATTTTTATATGTTTGACTTATTTTTAATCAACATTTATTTAGATATTATTTAATGACTTAAGAAACAATTGAAAATAATAACATATTACATACAATTTATTACAAAGGAATAAGAAAAATTAGATGGGATATATATTTTTTGTGGCATTGTGATTCTTACAGTTTCAAGTAAATTGTAACTCAATTATATTTTGAGAAAATGTGAACATATTTCTGAAACATAGAAAAGCATTCAATATTAAGCTTGAAATAGTTTCTTTCTAGATAAGAAGGCCTACAATTCCTACAGAAGGAGAATTATACCATTTACAGTAGCAAGGAATCAAGAGATCATTTTATTTTACCATCTAAGGAAAATTTCTGGGTTGCTAATTTTACTTTATCTAAAAAAAAGAAATTGGATATCTAATGGTAGATTTAATTGGAGTATGTTGTGACAAATTGACGTATAGTAGAATGCTATGATAACATTTGTAGTTATTTTTAACTACTCAATGAGCAATGACCTATGTTGAAATTTGCATTTTAATTATACAATCATACCCACAGAAGCATGAGTAAATTTTAATTATAGTTTGAACAATATGCACATTTAGAAGAATGGCTAAAATGGATGTGCTTTATATGTATTTGTGTCAATTATTGAAAATGAAATTTCAAAAAATAAAATTTATTTGGATTTCTTACATTCCATAAAATAATTCATTTTGTTCCATTAGCAAAACCATGAATGCATTATACATACCAATGCATATGTTAAATATATCAAAATATTAATTATTACTTAATACAATTATTTTAAACATTTCTGATTATGTAATGTTTTAAGATAATCAGGGGTTTCAAGAAGTAGTTTTTTCTTTTTTTTTTTTTTTTGAGACGGAGTCTCACTCTGTCGCCCAGGCTGGAGTACAGTGGTGCGACCTCGGCTCACTCCAAGCTCTGCCTCCTGGGTTCAAGCCATTCTCCTGCCTCAGCCTCCCGAGTAGCTAGGACTACCCGCGCCTGACACCATGCCCAGCTAATTTTTTGTTTGTTTGTTTGTTTTTGTATTTTTAGTAGAGACGGGGTTTCACCAGTTTAGCCAGGATGGTCTCGATCTCTTGACCTCATGATCTGCCTGCCTCGGCCTCCCAAAGTGCTGGGATTACAGGCATGAGCCACCGTGCTTCCTTAGAAAATTAGAAGTTAATGAATATTGAATAGTTGCTGATATTTCTTAGAAGAAAAAAAGTATAGCAGCTGAATGGAACTGTGGCTGGAATAAGAAACATGGAAGCAAATACTTATCAGCTTATTTTGACATTTAGTTTAATTAAAGCATCTTAGGATTTCCATGGGGAGAAAACTATTCTGCTGTACTTTCTATAAAGACCTTGAAAAAGCAGGATGAGGAGGAAGCATAACCGAATACAGAGACAGTCGACAACATGTTTCTACTAGGTGACCAGGGACTTGTTGGAAGTAGAGGGATAAGAAATCATCATGCCATAGGAACTCTACAAAAGCTTCCAGTCACTCTTAGAATAATGTTCAAAGCCTTTACAAGAAAGCATCAGAGTGCATCAAGAGACAGAAATCACACCAGTTATTTAACTAGAGAGAACTTAATGTAAAGAATTTTACCTAGATATATAACATGTTAAATACGTAACTGAAAAGGTGAAAAGACACAGCTGACTTGTGTGCCACAAAAATAGCAGCTGTAGGAAACAGACACCACATCTGGGGCTGCAAAGATACAGGAAAGAGGCAACGCATTTGTCAGTGTTCTCCAGAGAAACAGAACCATGGCACATACTGATCAATCAATCACTTGATCCAGACAAATTTTAAGAAATTGGCTTATGTGAGTATTGAGCAAGTGTGAAACCTGTAAAACAGGCCAGCAGACAGAAAGTGGAGGCAGAATTCCTGTATTAAGGCTTGAGACACAATTTCTTCTTCTCCAGGAGTTCTCAGTTTTTGCTCTTACAACCTTTATGTGGTTTGAAGAGCCCTGCCACATTATTAAGAGTAACTTGCTTTACTTAGTCAACTGATTGTAAATGTTAATCACATATACAAAATAGTTTCACAGCAACATCTGCTCTACGGTTTGACCAAACAGCTAGCCCAGATGACATATAAAATTAACTGTTACAGTAAGAATAATTAAAAGAATAATTAAAACATAAAACCTTAGATAAAGTGTTTTAAGGAAATGAGATTCGGGCTTCTAAGAAAGAGAAGTCGGTACTTAGCTAGTGCTGGTGTCCCTGAGCTCAGAGAAGGGACTTTATGGGTCAGGGTCATAGACTTGTGTAAAGGGCCACTGACACTATCCCTGAGATGAGCATACAATGAACTGGGTTCTGAAAATGTGGAAAAAAGCAAGAACAGGATTCAGCTGCTGCTACAGAAAGGAATTGCCACTGACAAGGTGAAAAAGCCTTGCTGGAGTGATGCTCACAGGAAGCACGAGCAGGCAGGAAGCCACAGGCAGGCAATAGGACATGGATGAGAACAACCAAGTCCTTTTTCACTCTTTCAGTCTCTCTCTTGAGCCCTCCCCCTCAGCTTCTCAGAGTGCACACAGCCAAAGCCAATCAACAAGATGTCACCAGTGTAGTGGACCTGTGTTTCATGTGCAGAATGATTAGATAATTGTGCCTTTCTGTGGAACATATTACAGAAAATGCAGGAGCATTAACAGACCAGAGGCAGGATTGTGGCAGATTTACTCCGTAAGGCTTTAAATACCCTGCCTTCTGCATATCACTCAGCATTAGTGCTTAACTATTCTCTTCCTCCGTCACGCAAGCCCCAGCTGTAGTGATCTACTTGCTACCCATCTACACAACAGCTGCATTCCCAACTCAGGGATGTGGCATTTGCTTTTGCCTCAGCTCATAAAGCTTTTCTATCAGACAGGAACTTGATTCAGTCACTTGCTTCATTTGTTTCTCAGCAAATGTCACCCCTAAGCTACATTTTTCCAGATACTGTATCTGAGATATCATCTCTATTGTCCTGTGATTGTTTATCTCACTCATCCTGTTTTACTACTCCGCATAACACTTATCACTGCCTGAAACCACAGTATACATCCATTTACTCCTTTATTGTTTACTTGACCTGCAAGAATACAAGCTTGGAAGGGAAGGAACCTGCTAATTTATGTTCACTGAACTTTGACCTATAACTGTGCTTTGCATTTTTTCAATCCTCAGTTAATTTGTTCAATGAGCAAATGAATCTTGGCATGCATAAAAGGTTAATATGACCACACCAATTAAGATCAAGTAAGCATTTCACACACACACACACACACACACACACACACACACATAAATAACGAAAAACAAGAAAAATAATAAAAATGTGCTCCACTGGGAAAGCTAAGCTGAGCTAAGAAAATATAAGGCCTGTGGAAACAGAAATCTTGTTGCCCTTTCTTCATTGTACTCTTGAAGCAGAATGAGCCACAGACAAAACTCCTCAGACACCAAGTTAAAGAAGGAAGGGGTGTATTCGGCCTGGGGCATCGGCAAGACTCCTGTCTCAAGAGCCGAGCTCCCCGAGTGAGCAATCCCTGTCCCTTTTAAGGGCTCACAACTCTAAGGGGTTCCCGTGAGAGGGTCGTGATCGATTGAGCAAGAAGTGGGTACATGACTGGGGGCTGCATGCACCAGTAATTAGATCGGAACAAAACAGGATAGGGATTTTCACAGTGCTTTTCTATACAATGTCTGTAATTTATAGATACCATAACCGATTAGGTCAGGGGTTGATCTTTAACTACCAGGCCCAGGGTGTGGCACCGGGCTGTCTGCTTGTGGATTTCATTTCTGCCTTTTAGTTTTTACTTTTTCTTTCTTTGGAGGCAGAAATTGGGCATAAGACAATATGAGGGGTGGTCTCCTCCCTTACTCTCAGTATATGGAAGAAAGTCTGGCAGACAGCAACTTCTCAATTATGAATTAATTTAATTTATAAAAATGAAAGTGAAAGACATTACTTATCTTCGCCTAAGTTGTTATGATGTTTGCATTAAACTACTTATAATTTTGTGATTTCCACAAAGCTGCAAATTACAAGTAACTGGAATATAGTCAAAAGAGAAACAACCAGTACCACTACCACAGCAATGACAAAAACTTAGAAATACCTAAATATACCTGTAACTGTTCCTTTGTTCTCCCCTAATATTTTTTCTGTGTATTTCATTTTCACCAAGCAATTTTACTTTCTACGTTTTTATTTCATACTGAAAGTATTTTCTTACTGTTGCATGCATAATCACTATTTTGGTATCTACATACTATTCACATTATAATTCTACCATATACTACATTTATCTCTATGGTAAAATGTTTACTTCAAGAAAAAATATTTGACTAGAAGCCTGATTAGTTTTCTCTCACTGCTATAATAAATTACCACAAACCAAGAGGCTTAAAACAGCACACATTACATAAGCTCACAGTTCTCAAGGCCAAGATTCCTGAAAAACTAAGCTTGTTTCACAAGGCTGCAATCAAGTTGTTTGTCAGACTGTATTCTCATCTGGAGGCTCCGCTGTGGAAGAATTTGCATCCTTGCCCATTAGGTCGTTGGCAAAATTCAGTTTCTTGTAGCTGTATGACTGATGGCCCAGCTTCTTACTGGTTGTCAGTTGGAGACCTCTAAATTTTACAGACCACCCTCAATTCTCTGTCATGGGGCCCTGTATATATAGAGTTCACAATATGGCTGTTTGCTTTTCAAGGCCAGCAGGAAATGCATTTTAGAGTGTGCTAGCAAGATGGAATTATATATGTGTATATGTGTGTGTGTGTGTGTGTATATATATATATGTCTATGTGTGTGTGTGTAATTAAATGATCAAGTGACATTGATCACTGCCCAAGGACAATCACTATAAACATGCATTTTCCCTAGTCTGTCTTGTGCATATGGCTGTTTATTTTTCTGTTTCCTGCTATCATTTTTATAAAACAATGTTTTGTTCTCTATAATTTAAGCTTTATATTATGTGCAAATTTTGATTTTCTATGATAGAGCATCAAAGTGGTTCTGCTATTATTAGAGCACTATGCTGAATATCATGGCAGATGAAAATGTTCTACTTCTCAGATAAGAATTTAAGATTCACTCTAGGAATAGATTTTATTTTAAGTATGATGAATATTTTAATTTTTATGATAGTAATAGCAAAATTAGATTCAGAAAGGGTGCTTACACCCATCTGGAGTACCTATATATGCTTAAGTACCTATTTATCTGCTTTCTGTTCAGTGTTGGGTGCTCTTATTTTAATTTTTAAATATTTTCCCAAAGTTTTTATCATCTCTGGGCCATTATAAGCTACATGGCTCACAGGGGCCGGGCAAGGTGGCTCACGCCTGTAATCCCAGCTCTTTGGGAGGCCGAGGCGGGCAGATCACGAGGTCAGGAGACCGAGACCATCCCGGCTAACACGGTGAAACTCTGTATCTACTAAAAGTATAAAAAATTAGCTGGGCGTGGTGGCGGGCGCCTGTAGTCCCAGCTACTGAGGAGGCTGAAGCAGGAGAATGGCATGAACCCGGGAGGCGGAGGTTGCAGTGAGCCGAGATCGTGCCACTGCACTGCAGCCTGGGCGACAGAGCGAGACTCCGTCTCGAAAAAAAAAAAAAAAAAAAGAAAGATACATGGTTCCCAGGAATCAGAGTCAGTTGCCTTTTACCCATGCTACTAAGACTCCTATTATCTTTTTCCTTTCATAGACTCCTGATTTAACCCCTTTCTATTTGAAATATATTGGCTTCTACTCTTCAGCCTCTCTTCCAGGCATGTCTGCAGAAAAAAAAAAAAAAAGCAAGCATGATTCTATTAGTTTTGCATTGCAGCCATATCAAATTGACACAAATTCAGCAGCTTAAACAGCACAGATTTCTCACCTTGTGTTCCTGTAGGTCTGAAGATGCACATGAGTCTCATTGGGCTAATCCAGGTGTGGGCAGGCTGTGCTCCTTTCCAGGGGATCTAAGGGAGACTTGTTTCCTAGCTTCCTATGACTGGCATCCTGCTGTTCTTGTGGTTGACGATCTGAGGTCCCGATTTCCTTTCTGGCTGTCATCTGGGGGCCATTCCAAGACTCTCCAGGTTCACTGCATCCCTTGTCTCTCTCCATCTTTAAAACTAGTGACGTGGGGTGAGTCCGTCTCATATTTTTAATCTCTGCTCATTTTTCTGTCACGTCTCTGATGGATTCTTCTGCTTTCCTCTCCCGCTGTGAAGGGTCTATGTGATTGGATGGATCCTACCTGAAATTCAGGGTCATGTCAGCAGCACAAACTCCTTCATCTTAATCACACTTGAAAAGTCCCTTTGGCACCTGTAGGAACACAGTCCCATGTTCTGGGGTTTGGGAGACAGGCATGTGTCAGGCGTACTATTCTATTGCTGTGATGTAGGAGTGAAGAGCACATACAGAATTCAGAGCTAGACATAGCTCCAGATATTTGCTGGGGTGCCTCAGAGAGAGTAGCTAATTTTTCTGCACTTCCACGTTATCATCTATAGAATGGGCATAATAGTTCCAGTTAAGAGAGGTAAACAATGAACAAATACATATTTACAGGAGAAGTAACAGGTTGTTCCATGTGGAGGAGACTGGGTAGCAACTTTTGCTTGTATATTAAATAAAAGTCTCACTCAAGGAGTTATCTTTTAAACTGACTTCTAGATAGAAGTCACCAGCTTGGGAAAGAAGTATAAGAAGGGTGGAGCAACCCTGTTCAGAGGTGAATGATCTTGGCCTTTATCTAGAAATAAATAAAGTGATTGTGGCTAGAGAGGCATGGATGATAGAAAGCAGGATCTCTGGTGAGCTTGGAGACATAGGCTATTGCCAGGCCATGCAGAATTTGCCATCAGAGCAAGGGGGTTGGAGGCAATTAACTGAAACAGAAACACATATAGTTATGCAGGGCTGTAACCATAAAGAGATAACTTTTTTTTTTTTTTTTGAGATGTGGTTAGAGTTTTACATTCTATACCATTTTCTTTTGGTGGAGTATAGTCATAATTTTATATGTTTTTTACTCTATTTTTCTCAGATCTTTCAAGTAAATATAGCATTTTTTGAGATGCCACACTGGTCCTAAAACTGAACACAGGCTGTGACTCAGACCATGCCTCCAGGGAGATAGTTCACACTTTCATAGGCAAGATAAACAGATTATTCCCACATGGCTGGGCTGTCACTACCCCAAGATACGGCCTTACAAGCACAAAGTAGGTGATTCATGAAGTAACATCACAAGTCCTCCAACAACAGGAAGAGGTGTAGAAGCAGGGGAAGAAAGTTCTTGTTATTTCCTTTTAATATTTTGTTCAGACAAATTTAAACAGACTTTGCTAATGTTTGATAGCCATTATTAGCTTAGAGTTAATAAAAAGCAAAGATATCAATTGCTTTCTAGTTATTTTTAGAGTAGAGCCTCGATAATACAAACAATGAAATAAGTAAGCACTAATACAAACTTAGGTGTTTGTCCAAAAGAAACTATTGATTTGTAATTCCTCAGCCTGAGACAGCCAACAGACAACTGCCAAGCCTCATTAATGCATTATCCTGACAAGTCTATATGAGCCACTGATTTGTAGGTAATTCAGTACACATAGATAGCTTTTATTGATTTAGAAATCAACTTGGAAATGAAATTTAGCATCATGATAACCTATAAATATTTGATTTTATTTTAGTTGTATAAAACTCTTAGAAATAATTAGTCAATAAAATAACTTTTAGAAATAATTAATGACTTGCACTAAATGAAGAGTCATATATCTCTGATTTCATACCCAGATGCTTTCTGTCTTCTTTCCTCTGCTCCAGCCTTGCTCCTATATGGGCTAGGTGTCAAATGCACTGAGGGTTCTCATTCTCTGAGACTTTGTGCTCACCCTCTATGCCAGCAGTGCTCTTCCACCTGATATATTCATGCTAATTCTCCAACTTGCCTCAAGATTTTCCTCATAGGTATTGCATCTGCCCCAATCTCTCTGCTTACCCTATTAGCAACTACCACATCCCATATGCTGATCTACTCTTCTCTCCTGTAGAACATTAAAAACTGCCAGTGGAAGAAAGTTTGTCAATGTGGTTCACCAGGGTATCCTACGTAGTTAAAATAGTGCTTGGAAAATAATAAGTGTTTAGTAAACACTTGCTGAATGTAAGAATAAATAGTGTTCCATAAATGATGCTAATACCATTTATATTACTTCCAAACACCTCAACTTGTATAGAAACAGTTAATGTTTAATAACATACTTTGATAATAATCTGTAGGTTTTTTTCCTTAAGTTTAATTGTTATAGAAAACTTAATTTAGGGAAAATAGTGTTTGAATGTATGATATGTATTTTGTCCTTGGGAAGCTCACCATTAAAGTTTATGTCTTAAGGTAGTCGTTTAGTTAGGGTAAACTATAAGTTCTCTTTATTTGTAAATTAACCATAATCAATTTACATTTAAAATTATATTTTACCAATGACATTTCCATATTTCTGTTGAAATTGTGAATCTGACCATTGGTAATAAAGAATATATATGTAAATATTAAATTACCGATAATCATACAGATAGTTAATAGTGTATTACAGATGAGATTATAATAAAAAAGGTCGGTGGTAA
Organism: Homo sapiens; assembly: GCF_000001405.40. Classification (NCBI taxonomy): domain Eukaryota; kingdom Metazoa; phylum Chordata; class Mammalia; order Primates; family Hominidae; genus Homo; species Homo sapiens. The sequence continues at coordinate 50,622,753 of NC_000008.11, forward strand.
CATTGTTGCTTTCTTGTAATTTCAAAGACATTAGCAGATGAAATTTCTAAGAACATAATAAAATAGAAATCTTTAAATAGTTAGGAGTTTTGAAGATTTCAGTTACATCTTCTCAAAGGTAAATATGTCTCCTTATAATGAATTCTTTCAAGATGAATTACCGATGTTTTCGGTGAAAATGTTTTCTGAAATTCCATTTATAAGTGTTTTTAAAAATTTATTTTTAATGCACAGAAATGCGACTGACTTTTATGTATTGATTTTGTATCCTGAAACTTCACTGAATTTGTTAGTCTAACAATTTTTGGTTTTGTTTTTTGTGTGTGGAATCTTTAGGATTTTGTACATGTAAGATCATCTTTTCTATGAAGAGATAATTTTAGTCTCTCCTTTACAACTTAGACACATTTATTCTTTGTGATCAATTGTTCTGACAAGGATTTCCAGTATTATTTTTAAAAGAAGTGGCAAAAGTGGGCCACCTTGTCTTGTTTTTGATCTGAGAGGAAAAAATTTCAGTTTTCACCACTAAGTGTGATGGTAGCTGTGGGGTTGTTATACATGGCCTTTGCTTTGTTGAAAAAATTTCCTCTTTGGCTTCTATGTCCAGTTTTTTGATTGTCTTTGTCATAAAAGGGTGTTGAATTTTTCAAATGTAATTTTTCTTCAATTTATTTTCTTGTAGAATATAGTTGATTTATATAAAAACATCTGAGTATCTTGTAGCAATGAAGTTCTAGAATAGGAAGAACCTATTTAATTCAATGATCAAGAAATTCAATTTCCAGATTCCATGTCCCTGTATGTGCCCATTTCTACCCCACAAAAACATTTTCAGAATGTTCACAAACTATTATTCTTCACATCAATTTTAACATAAAATATATCATGACTTTTTGAAAATTTCTTTCTCTATATCATGAAGTATTTGAAAATATTTGTTTTTATATATTGATTTTAAAATCAATGTTTTTATTATGAAAAGTTGAAAAATACATACAAATAAAATAAAGTGTTGGTCTCATAATATCAACATACAGAACTAGTAATCTTTTAAAAATCATGGATTTGTTTTGTTTATATCATATGTAATTTTTGTTGAGATCATACTTTTGTTTTTATTATCTCTTTTTTTAAACTCTTAAAATTATACTCAATTACTTTATTGTGAGATTTTTCCCATATTCTTTTGAAATATGATTTTCAGTGGTTATGTTAAGCTATCTGGAAGTAATCCTCTATTAATGTAAATTCATTTTTTCTATATTCTCCCTCTTACAAATACTAATTCAATAAACAGGCTTTTGTGTTTGGTGGTATGGATTTCTAATAATTTCCTTAGAAATTCTCTAACAGTGGAATTCTTGAGCCAGAGATGATTTTCTCATGGCTATGGTTATACACATAGTCATATATCACAAAGCTCCTAAAGAAATATAAAAAATGTTTCTTTATAGCTATGTTAGAGTAACCACTACTGACATTTAATTCTAATGCCTCTCACTAGAATTCATGCATTTACTCTCCTTTGGTGAGATAATTTAGCTTTTGACCTCTGAAAGAAAAACAAAAAAAAAAATTATATTTTTTTTCAACAATAGCAAGTAGCTTTTTATAATTTTGTTTGGCAGCTCTAAAGGAGAGTTTTATCTGCTCATATGTCAAGAATTTCTGGTTGTTATTGGGTCACTAAAATGACCAAAATGGCCCTGGATGTCATTTTAAGTCAGAAGAGGCATAAATGGAATTTGGTACTTGAAATTCTCGAGAGAATGAAGCCAATTCCAGCTAAGAAAGTTACCTTGGTAGTACTGCTACTAGAAATATAATGGTTTTGATTTAAAGTAGTCTGAGGCAGTATTGACATCTCTTTATTGAGCTATAGCACTCTAGCCTTGAAAAAGTCATACACGTTTTGTGAACTAACCTCCATTCCTTAACATCACCGTCTTTCAAGTTTACAGTACTTAGTTCATGCATTGCACTTTCACAACTAACTCCATTATTTGTAGGTTAGTTTTTTCTATTTCTGAAAAATCTATACTTTGAAAGCTTTCTTGAAATGACAAGAAGTCAAGTTCCAACGGCATTGAGGTTCATACTGCAAGACACAAGGAAAGTGACTCTGTCTTCCACACGGAGACGTTCATAGAGTCAAAGAAATGTCCCTTCCTCTACACCTTCTCTTCTGTGGTCCAAAGTACTCAATTTATTTTCCTGTTTTCCTTGGCACTTGCTTTCCAAAAGCTTCAGCATTTCTTTTGCTCTTCCCTAATCATACATTAACTGGTCAATTTCTCTATTATAATATCACTACAGATTAATGATAATAACCAAGGGCCTTGTCTAAGCTCTTCACATATATTATCTCATTTAATCCCATCACATGTATACACTAAGTTCAATGACCTCAACTTACAGGTAAGACCCTACAGCACATGAAGGTGAAGAAACTGAGCAGAACTACATGGGTAGTTGTTGACATGATTAGCTGCTGGGCTTTATCAATACATCCTTTCCTAAATTTTTCTGCAGGCATTGCCCCAGATGTGGCAGATCAATGCAGATACAAGAGGTTTCCCACTTCCCTTTTTGTAAGCACTGTATTTAATGAACGTTGTGAAGGATGCTGTCAGCAGTTCTGATGACTATGTCAAGATGAAGTCATGGGTATACTGATCAACTTGGTTTAACCATCCCATAACACATGCATATAGCAAAACACCCTGTAGAACACCATAAATATATACAATTTTTGTCAACTAAAAATCAATAAATAAGGACCAAAAAAGAACAAATCATTTGCTTGTTTTGATCATTGTCAGTTACTTTTGTTTCTGAATCATAGATTATCATAGATAATCCCACTCACACTTGTGAAGTCAACTTGCTAAAAGTAAATGAATACTTTAAATACTCTTAAATCCCATCACTTTGTTTCAGTATGACAAAAAGTATTCAATTCTTGCTTTTAAACTCCAATTCATTAGCGAATATTCCCAACTTTGTAGCAAGGCAGTTTTGATAGAATATTTTCTGTTTTCATCTAAATTTGTCATAAAATTCTTAAAAATGACAAGAGTTTTCTGATATATGTAGATATGATACAGGCAGTTGGAATAGAGATAAGAGTACATATTTATTGAATTATTTTTAAAACTCCTTTTGGAAGATGGACACCCCATGTGTGCTTTCCTTCCCAGTGAGACTATGGTGGTGGATTTTTTTACACAGCCAAAAGATACACACATGGCTTCAAACCGATTATATAAGTTGTTCAAAGTTTTTTCTGATATGAGAATTCAAACCCAGGTTTGCCTGGTCTGCCAGCATATGCTTTTTTGTAATATTCTTCTAGATCCGTGGGCTTCCTACATACATTCTTGGGCATTACTATGTTTATGAGAATATATGTGCTGAACTTCCTTTATATAACACTCGTTTTACTATGAATTTCTTCTTGGAATCTATCAAAATATTTCAAAAGGATGATGAGAATATTTGTTGCAGGCAGTTACTGACCACTCATTGAAGTAGACAACAAAGGCAGAAGTGCAAGTGGAGATTCCATAGTTCAATTTGAGAAACTAGATACAATGTGTTATTGGACTGTCCCAAGACCAGCTCGGTTGAGGAGACCCTAACCCAGTAGCACTAGATGAAATAAAGACACACACAGAAATATAGCATGTGGAGTGGGAAATCAGGGGACTCACAGCCTTCAGAGCTGAGATCCCCAAACAGAGTTTGACTCACATATTTATTGACAGCAAGCCAGTGATAAGCATTATTTCTGTAGATTATAGATTAACTAAAAGCACTCCTTACAGGAAACAAAGGAATGGGCCAAACAAAGGGATTGCCTCTGGCTAGTTACCTGCAGCAGGAACATGTCCTTAAGGCACAGATGGCTCATGCTATTGTTTGTGGCTTAGGAATGCCTTTAAGCGGTTTTCTGCCTTGGGTGGGCCAGGTGTTCCTTGCCCTCATTCTGATAAACCCACAACCTTCAGCGTGGGTGTCATGGCCATCAGGAACATGTCAGTGCAGCAGAGATTTTGTTTATGGCCAGTTTTGGGGCCAGTTTTTGGCCAGATTTGGGAGCCTGTTCCAAACAGGACTGGAAAGGGCAAATTCTTTTAGGTTATTATTTATGTTTTATCTTTTTGAGTCATTGTGGAAAAAATATATATATATTAAGGTCTCATCTTATATGTCATTACAATCCCTATTTATTTTTCACTATTGATGTTGATGTTTTTATTTGTGTATTGATTTTGTCGACTGCACAGCTTATTATTTTAAAGTGGCTTTCTTAGCATCATTTAATCCTTTTTGTCTGACTTCTACTTTTTCTGATTTAAACACCTCTCTTCATTTTGTTCCATTTCCAGGCATGACTGCCATTGCTCATCTTTGTATTTTAAACTTTCCTGAGTCACTTTGTTTTCTGTGATTTTTTGTAGGTATTACAAAGTTGAGTTTTGTTTAATGACTAAAACTCAAGTTTATATTTTAACAGATAAATTTACTTTTATTCTGAATCATAGATTATCATAGATAATAAAAAACCATCATGAATGGATTAAAGCTGCTATAAACAAGGCTTGCAGGAGTGGGTCCTCTCTTGCTCATCTGTCATGTGAGGACAGAGTGTTCCTTTTCTATGGAGGACCCAGCTTTCACAACAGCATTTTGGAAGCAGACAAAGTGGGCCCAGCTTTCCAGAGCCTTGATGATAAACTTTCCAGCCTTTAGAACTGTGAGGGATAAATTTTTGTTCTTTATAAATTCCCCAGTGTTAGGCATTCTGTTATGGCAACACAAAACAGACACAACATCAATTGTACTTCTAGTCAACTGGCTATAAACCAGGGTTCCCATGACCCCACCTTCAGGTTTGATTAATTTGCTAGAGCAGCTCCCAGAATGCAGGAAACATTTTACTTCTAATTATCAGTTTATTATAAAGAATGTTACAAAGTCCGCAGATGAATAGCAGATGGAAGAAATACATGGAGCAAGGCATGAGAGAAGAATGGAGCTTCCATGTCTCCTTCAGGAACATGGGGTGCTACCCTCCAGGAACACGTTCAGCTATCTGGAAGCCTTTATGAAGCCTGTTCTTTTGAGTTCTTATGGAGACTGCATTACATAGGCATGATTGATTACATTATTGGCCATTAATGATCAACCCAACCTTCAGCCCCTCTCTCCTCCCCAGGATTAAAGCATGGGCTGAAAGTCCTAACCTTCTAATCAAGCCTTGTTCTTTCTGGTAACCAGCCCCATCCTGAAGCTGCCTAGGGGCTACCAGCCACCAGTCATCTCATGGAAACAAAGATCAAATATGTATTTCACAGTATCACTGTATTAAAAAAGTTCATATTTTCTTTCTTCCAGAACATTACTATCTTATCATGTTACATTTTGCTCTTTGGATTAATGAAGCTACTTTTTTTTTTCTTTTATGAGATTTTTGTATTGACCTGGCTGACTAAAAGAGTCTGTCCTTTTTTGAAATTTAATAACTTGATTGATTTAAGCCTCGGAATTGATTTTTCCAATTTCACTATTCTTGAAACAAGATGTGTTCATTTAATTGGTAGATGCAAATCATCTTATAGTTTGTGCATTTTTTTCTGTAATTGTTTGTTTATATTTGTTTCCTGTTAATTGTTCTGATCTTATTTAGGGTCACTAATGATGTACATGGAGGGTCTCCTTTGCTTCTCTTCCAGAACTGTCATGTTCTAGTCAATCTTTTTACATTTATCTTTTACTTCCATTTTTTTTCTCATTTTCTCAGTCCTGTTGTTCGTTCTTTGAGTGTTCATCAGAATCTATTCTTGTTGTACCTTTCAATTTCACCTTCCTTTATGTGAATTTATAAACTTTTGTTTCTGCTTCTCTTCTAAAACTGAATAAGCTATATTTCTTTTCCTTTTTGCTTTACTCTCTTACTTGTGGTCTTTAATAATAACAAGTAAATCAAAATATATGTTTATTTTTGCTTGTTTACTTTATTTTGAAGTAAAACTTAGAATGACATGAACAAATATTGAGGTATCTTTGTTGTGTTTTCACAAATTCAGGTGCTTGTGTAACACAGTTACCTATCAACATGTAGAATATTACCAGAATATTCCTGCATACCCTCTTTCTAGTGAATTCGTCTCTTGCTCCCAGTGGTAATCCATGGTCTGATTTTTTTCCCCACAGAAAGACAAGTACTACATGATCTCATTTATATGTGGAAGCTAAAAACCTTGAAATCATAGAAGCAGAGAGTAGAATAGTAGTTGCCAGAGCCTGAGGGGAAGGCAGAAATGGTGAGATGTTGATCAAAGGGTATAAGCTTTCAGTTGTAAGATAATTTCTGGGGATCTAATGCACAGCATGAGGACTATACTTAACAATACCGTGTTGCTCACTTGTGGTATATCTTCTTTGTTTCATTATTCTACAGCAGAGATTTTTTTCAAATTTCTTTAATGTATACAATTTTTTATCACTATTAGATTTTTTATTGCAATATTTTCTGTTGAATATTTTTTTGTTTTGAAATAATATTTTCTGTTCGTCATCTCCTTTATGTTGTAGTAAGTTTACATAGAGACTATGCTTGTTCCTTCAAATGAGATGATTTTTTTCCACTCAAATCTATAGAGAAAGAGATAACTCAATTTAGATATTAGGATAATTCTCTGAAACAGTATATCACACTATGTAATCTAACAAATCCTTACTGTCCATACTCAGTTAATTGATACAGAATTCTGTTAAGATACATGGTGTTTGCTAATCTTGTATGCTTCTCATGTCTGGAGGTTATTTAAGTGTGTCCTCAATGATATTGACTAATTTTAGAACCTGAGTGGTCAAATCCTTAAAATTAAAACTGGAGCTTCTGTTCATAAAAGATTCTTTTGCTCTCCTCTTGTTACACCTCTGTAAGATTTACATATAGCATTTATTTTAGTGACTTCAGAGTCATATTGGTTGTGTCATTACCTCTGTTCATGTAAACTATAAATTCCTTATTTTCTCTACTTTTTAAAATGCTGTATGGTAGTTGATACATCTTATAACCCAAAACTATAGGGACGACCAATTGTCTGATGAATTTAGCTACTGTGTCAAAAGAAATGCATAACAGTGCTGCTTCGATATTATAAATACATGTGGCATTAGTACCTAGGCCAGGGCCTATGCAATGATAGCCATTTGATGTTTTTGTTCAATAGGTAAATCAGTGGATTATTTTTAACATCTGGATAGTTTTTCAATTACTTTCAAGATTAAATTTCTATTTTGCATGTTGTTGGTAAAAAATTACAGGTGATAAAAGGTAAGTAGGAATTTATGGAAAACCTAAATTATTTATATAATCTTCATATTTACCCAAGATCATAAAATGAGGCTTGAAATATTAATTTGTGTCTATATCTGTATTTTTCTATTATTGAGTGATAAAGAAAGAATATCATGCATTTACTCTGCTTTCAAAGAGAGAAAGAGAAAGAAAGAGAGAAAAAGGTAGGCTTACCTTAGTTTAAGGTTTTTAAGAAAATAGAATGCAGCAATCATATGCCTTGAGCTCTTAAATCCTAATAAATGCCATGTGTGATAAAGGCAGCCTAATAATTAATGCCAAGGGTTTTGGGGTTATGCCAACCAAATCTTTTCTCCACAGTTCTTCAGTTCTTACTGGCCAAATGTCCTCAGTAGTTGAGCTATACTTTGTCTTTTAATTGCTTCATCTATAAGATGAGTTGTTTTAAAACATAATGTGACTTAACAGGTGTGAATAGCACAGAATTTATTTTATATATAAATACTACAGAAACACAAAGCACCTCCTCTTTATTTATACAACCATATCTACAGCCAAAGTAATCTCAATGTCAGTCACCTGCACCTAGACCTGCAGGTAATGTGATGAGAACTGATGGAATTTTTTTACTTGAGAGTTATACCCCAAGAAGACAGATGAAGAACAGTGAATTTTCTTTATTTATGTGCAAGTGAAGGACAACTGTCAAACAGCACTCTACTCCTGAAAGGAGAGAGATAACTTGTCCTTTGGAGACTGGATGGAAAGGATCCTAGGCTCTCTGCCTAACCTTTTGGAATGCCAAAGACTCTCCAAAAGTCAGATACATCCGAAACGTCTCTGGGTTTTATGAACTAGAGATACCTCCAAGATTTCTCCTTTGTGAGATGTACATATCCAGGGAGAAAGCTTCCTAGTTTTCCAGGAGACCTCAGGGATAAACCTAGGAATTTAGTCTGGGCTGTAACCTCTTGGCCCTCTTACGGGGATAGGAGAAGTGTTGTTATCTTTTCTGCTCAGATGAGAGCAATTCACTAGAAAAATATCTCCAGATGTAATTCTTATGGTATGTAAAAAGAAAAAGCAATGTTTCCAGTAGAAGTGAAGGCAAATATTCTTGTCTTTTTCTGTATACATTTCCTGTCTCAGGAAGCTGGGGCTTTGTATAAGCACACACAGAAATCTAGAGAAGTTTCATTTCCTCACAGCACCATAAATGGGAACAAATATTTATAATGTAAATGCAACAATTTTTGGAACACCATTTCTTCATAGGCACCAATTGTTATCCTGATTATATTACATTATATTATAGAGACATGAATCTAGTTTAACCAGAACCCATTTTGTGTGCTTGCCTGAGCAACATTCTTTTTATTTTTTTGGAATAGTTTTTAACACTTGATTGACCTCATCAAATTAACAGTGAATGACTCTGAATCGCAAAACCAAAGGACTTATTCAAGGGGGTGATCACATGTTATATAGGCAAATTCGAGAAGGATAAGTAAAGAGAAGCCCCATGGGTGAGAACTTTTATATTTTTAAATAATCCATTGATAGGACAACTGTTGTATTCTGCTTCCTTTATTACTTCTTTAAGTGTGATTTAATTGACCATATTGTGTAATTCATCCTCCTTGATACATAAAGAGAAATGTGATTTGTTCTACAGAAAAGCACAGTGTGAATCTATGGTTTAAGAGACCTATTCATCCCATTTGCAGTTTAATGGACTGACTCTACGCTCTGTAGTGCAGACACTGCAGAAACTTTCTATACTGCTGGAATACCCTTCTTACCCATTTTTGATGATTAGACACTAAATCAATGCTCACGTCTGCTATATTTTACTAGTCTAGTTTTTAGAGTTATTTGAAGCATTAAAGTAACTCAGAGTATATGACTATGTTAAGCGATTTGTCATTAGGAAATACTTCAAAATGAGGTCACTTGAAATAACTACTGTGCTGTTTAGGAAACACATTTTTAAGCACTAGTTAACTTTCACAAACATAGGATATGGCAGTCACTAAAGGGCAAAACAGGTCAAAATACAGAAGTGTCAAGTACATTATATTTATATTTATAGTTACATTCTAGCCTTAAAGGATGGGTAAAAGCTTAGGAATTGGGGTAATATATGATAAAATGATAAATATCATGGCATGTATTTTATTTTAATAGTCTTTTTAATTTTATTTATTTATTTATTTATTTATTTATTTATTTATTTATTTGAGAGAGGGTCTCACTCTGTTGTCCAGGTTGGAGTGCAGTGTTGCAATCTCGGCTCACTGCAACCTCTGCCTCCTGGGTTTAAATGAACCGTATGTCTCAGAATCCTGAGTAGTTGGGACCACAGGCATGCACCACCACACCCAGCTAATTTTTGTATTTTAGTGGAGACAGGGTTTTGCCATGTTGGCCAGGCTGGCCTGGAACTCCTGGCCTCAAGTGATCCACCCACCTTGGCCTCCCAAAGTGCTGAGATTACAGGCATGAGCCACCACACCCAGCCCTATTTTTATAATCTCTTATTAGGTTAAGAAAAATATATTTTATATGCTATTACTATTATGAAATAATAAATAAGTAAAACAAGTAAATCATGTATAGCTGTAAATCAAATATTTTAAAACTAGTAAGATGCATGCCTTTCCCAAACCAAAATTCTGAAGACTGTTATATTCAAAAAGAAAATGTGATTATGTGGCAGGGGAAGGTTTAGGCTATCAGTGTCTATTTGCAGGCCCAAGATGTCAGCTGTGCCATAATTAATAAAGGTCCTTTGTCTCTGATTCAAGAATACCGTGTCTTCTACCAGTACCTATAAACCTGTGTTAAGCTAACATATTCACTTGCAAAACCTCAGACCTTTCATGGCCTATAACAATTTGTCAGTGCGGCTGAAATGCTGATGGAGACATAGCTTTGCAGTAGAAATAAAGATGAGGGCCTCATTAATCATTAATTGGATTTGAGAGCATTCATGGGCATTAGTAATAAATATATTGATCAAATTGTTCCTTCAACCAGGCTATAAAGCTGTCTTCCATTTCATTGCCTATTAATGTGGAGTAATTTGAGAAAAGGGTATAGGAAGAGAATTGAAAAGTAAGTTCAAAAACAGCTTTCTGAACAATGTCTTCTGTGTTTCTAATGGTTCTTCACGTGGGGCCATCTTGCTCCCCAGTCTTGCAGTCAGTCTCAGGCCTGGTACTCTGAAATTGCTATTAAGAGATTTATCTCTTTTCAGACAACAGGTACATTTATGTTTCTGCCCTGGGCATTAAAGCAGGAAAATTCATAGCCACTCTGGGTAAAAACCAGTGGAATAGTTAGAACTTTACCTGGCTCACCAGAGAGATGAGAGAACAGGTGCATAAAGCTTCCTAAAGATGGATAACAAGGGCTGTGCTCAGAAAGGAAAAGAAATATGCTCTGCTTACTAGCATGAAGTGTCTTTCAACTTCTGGGCCCTCATCCCTCCCTGCCTTACTACCTTGACCCCAGCTTCCTTAAGGAGGAATATGAATGTTGAGGTGGGCTGTGCACTAAAGTCTCTGTCTTTAAGAGGAACTGATACATAACCATCCAAACGAGCTGGGGAACTTTGTGTAGGAAATGAACCCCAAATTCTATGGCGCTGAAACAGGTACCCATGTTATCATCTTCCTATTCCTATGGGGTGAGGAGTGCCAGTATTTAATCAATGGGATTTGGGAAGTGTTCACAGTGTAGGAGAGGCTAATGGGACATTGCTGTTTAGGCCTATTGGGATTCCATGGAAGGTTGTTTTTTATTCCTATATCTGTGTATGCAGTAGAAATTGTTGCATTATATGCCTATGATTCTCTCTTCCATAAGTGCCAAAGGGGAGTCTCTTAATTGAGAATAGCTGCATATATTCACAAAGTTCCCCATATGCTGGGCTTGGGCTACCAGTGGTTCAGCTAAGCTGAAGCCTAGCAGTGTCCACTGGGCTGCCGCAGCTGTCCAGCCTCAGCACCCACCATGCGGAGTCAAACACTGACATGGTAGTCTCCACAGTGGACAAACACAAGGCTGTTCTCATGGATGTTGTCAATATACCCCTAAATAAACCTCATTATATTTTTACTGACATTTAATCTGTTGCCAATAGCTTAGCTGTTTGGTCTGCCACTTGGAAAGCTACAACTGGCAGATTAAAGCCTCCTTTTCTGTGGGGCGGCTAACTGTGGCACAAATCACCTTTGCTGGTCAAATTGTCTGGGTCATGCATCCGGATGCCCTCTGCTGAGACTTGGGTCCTGTCTTGTGCAGTTAAATCTTTGAACTCATTTCATCTTTGAGCTTTTCAAACGTGATTTTTCAACCACCTTGCTTTATCTTATTAAGTCAGTTTTTTAACTGAAATTTTATTGAAATAATTGTACATTTACATGCAGTTCTAAGAAATAATGAAGAGAAAACCTGTGTACCCTTTACCTAGTTTCTCCCAGTGGCATCATTTTTCAAAACTATAGTATAATATGATACAATATCACAACAAAGATATTGAAATTGATAAAAACCTCTTCATATTGTTTAGCTTTTTTGTCTATTTTAATTTTTGCTTGTGCACATTGGTGGTATGAGTATGTGTAATTAGTTTTGTACAATTATAGAACATGTTTAGGCTCATATATCCACCACAAGTCAAAGTAGTGAACATTTGCAGCCCCACCCTAATACCTTCTGTTGCCTTGTATAAACATCCTCATCTCTGTCCCCACACTCTTTTGTAACCAAAAATATGTTTTCCATTTCTACAATTTGGTCATTTCAAAAATGTTATATAAACACAATTACATATTATGTAACTTTTTGGTATTGACAGCCGCAGTCTGTACCTTTGGGATTGGTCTACCACAGTAGACCTGTGGTATCCTGGGCCCTAGTGGTTCATGCTCCTCCCAAATGTAAAATACATTCAACCTTTCAAAGCTTTCCAAGAGTCTCACCCCATTTTAACGTCAGCTCAAACTCCCAAGTTTAATCTAAATCTTATCATCTCAAAGTCCAAAATGTCATCATCAAAAGCATATAAATCATGTGCAGATGAGATTTCTTGGCATAATACACTAAGCACTGCCCCTGGGACTCAATACCTGTCCCTCTATGGATCTGTAAAACTAAAGTGACAACTTTAGTTTGGCCAACAAAAGCCACTTTCTCGCTACTTCCTACATTCGCTCAAGGCCCTAGCACTCTACAATCAGTAGGTGGTGAGGTCAGCCAGCCTTGTGTCTTTCCCTTAGGGGCAGTGAGTTTTTTCAGGCCCTAGGCTGGTTTAGAGATGATTTCCAGGAGCCAGGGCCTGGAGTCAGAAACCTTAGAAATTTACCTGGTGCTCTACTCTACGGCAGCTGAGCCAGCAGCCAAAATGCAAGACAAAGTCCTTTCACTCTTCCTTCCCTTTTACACAGGCAGAAGAGTCTCTCCCCATGGTCACCATCACCAGAGGCCCACAGGGAGTGCTTCCAGGCAATTGCCGATGTTCACTTAAGGCCAGGCCACTGACGAGTCCACTCAGCTTGTTGAGAATGCTGCCAGGCCTGGGACTCACCCTTCAGGGAAGTGGGCTCCCCTCTGGCCTGGGGTCAGAAATGCCATCCAAGGGCCAAGGCCTATAATCAGAGATCCCATGAGCCCACTTGATGCTCTAACCCCTGTGGTTGAGCTGGTACAAAAGCTGTAAGACAAAGTCCCCTTTACTTTTATCTCTGCTCTTCTAAAGCAAAAAGCATCAAAACTACCACAGCTAGGAATGTGCTTGGTATCACCTGAAGCCAGCAAGGCTCTGAGTCTTAGCCAAGGCCCACAGTGAGCTCTGCCTGGGTATTGCTGCTGATTGTTTAGGGTCCAAGGGCTCTTTAATGAGCAGGTGATGAATCCTGCCAGAATTTGCTATTTCTCTTTAATGCAGCAGGTTCTCTTTTGGCCCAGAGTGTGTCTAGAAATGTCCTGGAGCTAGGGCCTAGAATGGGTTCCTCATGACTCTGCCTGAGGTGACTACTATGACTGAGCTGGTATCCAAGTTGCAAGACAAAGTCCTCTTTACTCTCCCCTCTCCTCTCCTCAAGCAGAAGAAAGGACTCTTTTTCAGAGCTGTGAGCTGTGCTGCCTGGGGTTCGAGGACAGATGGTGCAGGCACTTCCTTAGCCACCCTGGCTGGTGACTCACTAGGTCATATGCCCTCAAATCCACTGGCTTTGAGCCCAGCAGAGCACCAGGACTTGCCTAGAGTTACAGCTCTTGTGGTCTAGACCACCTTTCAACTTTATTTAAGACCCCAGAGCACTTTGGCACACGGTAGTAAAGCTTGCCAAAACTCAATTTTGTCTGCTGGGATGTGCAATTCCCCTGTGGCTATGGCTTATCTAAATGCTTCCTCCGTGGGCATCAGCTGAGTTCTACTAATGTTGGCAGGACTGACTTCCAATGAAAATTCCCAAAGTCACTATGCTCTCCTTCCCCAAAGAGCACAGATTCTCTCCTCTTGCCAAGCTGTCACTGACAGAGTATGGAGGAGAGGTGGCACTTAGTGAAACAATTCAAGATTTTCTTTCTACCCTCTTTAGTGCCTCTTTCAGCAGCGTGATGTTAAAATCAGGTACTGTGTTTGCTCACCTGATTTTTGGTTCTTATGAAGGTCCTTTTTTAATGTAGTTATTAAATTTGGTGTTCCTGTGGGAGGGCAATCAATGGAAGCTGCTATTCAGCCATCTTGCTCCATTCCAAGTCCCCAAATGTATAATGTCTTAAACACTATGTAAGTGTTTATAACTTTTTCTCACCAAACAGACTAAAACAGGTGTTCTTGATTGGCAGTCAACTTCCCTCCATAGCATAATTCAGAAATTTGTCTTGTAGCTTTACCATCTTCCAGGGTCTTTTTGTCAAAAGACAATAAATTAAAAGAATAAAATAGGGAAGCCTTGCCTGAAAGTGCATGCATCATTTCAGCTCACATCCCATTGGTGAAATCTAATCACATGGTCATATCTACCTGCAAAGAAGCATGAGACATGTAGTACCTTTGTTTACCTAACTGTATTTGTCATTTTAATTTACTAAAATTATCTCTAAATCTTAGTATTTTGTCCTTGCTTGCTTGGGGCTCAGGTGTTTTACGATGATTAAAATTTTCTTGTTATACAATCATGTCCTTTAAACTCATGAACTCTTTATATAGAGTAGGCTCTCTCAATTCATGAGTTTACTTTTCTTATTTGCAGAAAAAATGTCCCACGAAGTTAATTCAATTAGGTAACCTTTCTTGCTATTATTTCTGTATGATAAAATTTGAAGGTTCTAGTATGCCCAAAGTGAATAAATCATTATTACTTTTAAGGAGCTTAAAATATAGTCTTGGTTAAATGGCTTACCCAAGGTCATAAGGCACATGAATTTTGGAAACAGGCTTAGGTTTCAGGTATCCTAAATCTTCTTCCACTACAGTATTTAGTACAATTTTTAGTATAGTACTCTAGTAGATCACTCACTCCTATTTTACCTTTGATCCAAGCAATGCGCAGGATTGGATGCATTATCTTATTGATGAAGGAAAGATAGGTTACATAAAATCCCAGAAATAATTTGAATTGTTTACGAATATATTTAAATTAGTCATATCAATATTTTATTTATTTTTAAAATAATGTATCTAAAATACATATCTTTATCTGTATAAATATTATTTTATTGTTCAATTAAATTACTGTAAGGTACAAGAGTTAATTAAACATCAAATAGTGTAATTCTCTGTGAGATAAGTATCTTAAACCACACCAAATATTAAGGTTAAGTTTTGCAAGAACATTTCCTCAACATACTTATTCTTATAACTTTGCTTTCAAAACATGACTTATCTATGTGATAGGTAGAAGAATTACCCCCAAAGATGTATCCACGTCCATACCCCAGGTACTTCTGAATATGTTACCTTATGTGGAAAAAGGAAGTTGGGTAGAGATGTTACACTGGTGGCTTTCCAGATGGAAGAAGAAGAGACCATGCTATAAGGAGTGCATGCAGTCTCTAGAAACTAGAAAACAAAAAGAGATGGACTCATCTCTAGAGCTTCTTGAATGGAATGAAGCCTACTGATATCTTGACTTTAGCTCAGTAGGACCTGTTTCATATTTCATGTAGAACTGTAAGATAATACATTTGTGCTGTTATAAACCACCAAGGTTTTGTGGCAATTTTTACAACCACAATAGGAAATGAATTCAGACTTAAGTGTCTGAAAGTGAGGTGCCACTATAATGTACTAAGCCTGTAATTATTTATAAATTATATATTCAAAGCTATCATATAATAAAATTGATTTTCCTGGATTGCTTTCTGCTATGGTTGAGTGAAAAATCAAGAAGTAGAGTTACAAAAATTTTTTCTATAGCACTGGGTGCTCCAGTGAAGAAGGCTGAGCAGGAGAAAATTGTGCCTCTATGTCTTAACAGAAAATACCTTACAAAATAGTGATATATTCCGATGAAGAATCAAAGCAGTTACTTTTGAGGTTTTAAGGTATTCTTGAGAGTCTTCTTGAGATTCTGTGAATACATCCCTCCACCCTAGAGGAGGCGGTGTGTCTCAGTAGACATTCTTTCCAACAGAAGAAAACCCTCTCAAGTTTGCCCCATAAGTCACTATTTTACCTCACTGAGGATTTCTCCAAAAATCAAATCATGGAGTTTAGCATAGAGTATAACAGTAGCAGTTTTTCTGCACCAACAAAATATCAGATGTCTATAAAGACTTAAATATCACTATATGAGCAGATTACATCCAACTAGACCCAAAGCTATCACTGTTTTACTTTACAATGGTTAGCAAATAAGATCATTTTATGCTAAAAGCTGAAAAATGCTTGTTGCTATTGTTTTTTAAACTTTCAAATTATTCAATTATTGAGGTTTATATAATATCATTTTAATTGTATAATAACTTGTTCTAACTACAACCTGATATTAAGAAGGAGACATTATTTACACAAAAGTAAAAACTAAGAATAAAATGGAAATACAAGTTTAAAGTTCTGTAAGAGCAGTTCATTATTGTGTTATAAAATAATGATAGTGACAGAAATGCTTTTCAGTTAAAAAAAAAAAAGCTATTTCTGTATTTCAGTGGCTTCTTTATTTTTACAGTGGTTCTTTACTCATTGGCTTTTACCAGAATAGGAAATTGTGACTAATGCCTCACTATGTTTTTAATAATTTGCATCCCTTCATATGCTTCTTATTCTTTAATACACATTTCTGAAATATTTATGGGTGTAAATTATTGCCTTTTTGTTTTTCTATGAACTTGTTTAGGAGAAAAAATGTAATGCCATTTTAGCAGTATAAATTAAAAAGAACTATAAGAAATATTATTTGACTTTATTGCTTCCATATTATTTTCAAATATATATTTGCCTAAAGTACTAACACATATGTTATTGATATCAACAGAATTGTGTGCAATCATGCTTATAATGTCCTACCTGCAGATTAATACAGATTACTGACAGAAAAAAATATTAAATTACACCTCTGCTACAATAATGTACATTTTAAAAATACTTATATTTAAATAATATATCAAGTAAACTCTCAGCCTCAGTATTATAAACTGAAATGTGTAACAATTAACAAGCCTTACCTTTTAGTATATTATGATTTTGTAATGTTCTTGGTATTTTCAACAAATTATTCTAATGGGTTTATTTTCTCCATAAGTAATTATCAACAAAAATGTCCCCATCTGTAATCAGTATTTATTAAAATAGGTGACATGATAGGTTTTACTTTTTTCAGGACCAGTTATCATATATATCCTCATCCTTCAGCCACTTCTAGTTCTTATTTGGTCATAAAATTTCTTAAGTACTATCATTGTGGATTTAAACACATTCTAATTTTACCACCAAAAAAGAATTTGACAAATTGCTTGAGAAGTTGATTTAGCATTGCAAAAGAAAACTTAATTAGATACTATGGATCAATTAATTTGCTTAATGAAAACTTTAGCTGTCTGAGGAATATGGTTACACAGAAAGACGGAAGTATGACTTCCTTTATTGTGTATGGTGCATCTGCCTATGAAAAGAAATGGCTTTTCTTGATTTCCTCTATTTATACCCCAGGCTGTTTTCTTCCCTCCCCACTGTCCTATTCTGAACATAGTACAGGTTGAAAGACTTATAATAACAAGGTCAGTCATCTACAAAGCCTCTCTTTCCTCTAGCTTGTTAATCTACATTCTTTTCACCTTACTCTGCTAATTGAAAGCTGGCTTTCCTGCGGAGAATTGTTTGATCCTGCAGTTCTCTCAAGTGGTATCTGATTTCATTTCCTGTTTATAATCTTACTAAACTTGGAGATGGATAGGTATTCTTCTTGCTCCTCAGTCTTTTCTTCATGCCTTCATCACACACATATGTACACATTCAATCCAATTCCACCATCCACGATCTCAGACATGGACACCTATCTACCCATCCTGGTAATGATTCTAATCTCTGGATCATTATCAAATCTCTAACGTTTTTCTTTCAGTACTTTCCATATGACAAAACTGTACATGAATGTTTCCTGGCCTTTCTGCTCTTGATCTGCTCTTCTTTGATGACCTTAGTCTTCATGTCTCCTTAACACATTCTCATGTTCAAACCCCACACCTTGTCATTACCAGTAATTACAATGTGAACATAATTTAAATTTCAAACAATCTTCCCTAGAGTGATACCTTCAAACCTTCCACTGTAGCCCCTCTTGTGCCCCAAGCTCATAATATCCCAACTTCAATTTCCTAATCCATCATCTTTCATTTTAGCGCATTCATCTTATGTCACTTATCCAGCTTAAATTCCATAATCAAGTATTATCATTCCCCAGCATACATGCTCAGTTCAATTGCTTCTTTACTCTTCCTTATTCTCCCTGAATTCAGACTAACTCCAACTTTCCTTCTGCTATATGCCTGAACTCATTTAACTAAACATGGCTGAAGAAAAACAAATAGCCATAGTGACTCATCCCACATTAAATTCATGATCACTGACCTGAAGTACACGCCTAAAGCAACCTGCAATTATTCTTTCTTCCCCCAGTCTATTCTCTCCATTTCTTTTAAATACATTTCTGCTGTCACCTTAAGCCTCCAATACCACTGTCCTCATCCCCATTCTCAAAAGATAATTCTGCTTCCTGCTTCATTGAGAAAATTGAAGCAATCGGAGGAGAACTGAACACATCTGCCCACTTCCCTGCATCTGTGTTCTGCTGTGGCTGGAAAGGACCTGCACGTGCTCCCAGCTGTTGCTGTTGCTCACTCAAGCACATTGCTCAGCAGGTCTCTCCTCTGTCCTTGCATTTCTCTCCCTAATCCTTTTAATGACCAACACTTTCTGTGCTTTCATTTAGAGAGAGCCTATTTAAAAGACAGGCTATATCTACTGTCTCCAATTAGCCTCCTTCCCTTCTCTCTTGAATCAAATCCAATAACGATTTGCCCCCACTACTCCTGGGCAAACTTCTTTTATCAACCCCACAAATGAACACTGTTTCACTAAATCAAATAGTCAATTATCGGTCCTCGTGATAATTGAGTCATCCATGCATTTGACACAGCTAGTCGCTTTCTTTTCATTTGTCTTTCATGACGTAAAAATTGCTTGAGTTTTTTCTTACACCTTTGTGGTTCTCTCCTCTTCTCTATTACCACACAATGTCTGCTGTCCCAGGACCTTGCCATTCACTGAGTCTCCTATCTTTGTACACATTCACAGTTTCAAGACTTTAAATATCAGTCTTAAACTGATGAGACAGTCTTAAACTGAATAGTCTATCTGACAAGACTAGACCATGCCTTAGAACTCCAGAATGGTTTATCAAATTTATTTCTTCGTATTTTCTATTTCTTTCTAAAATAACCACAGTCTTGAAATGTCTAAAACTGAGCTCCTGGTTTTATCTCCAAAGCAGATTTTCTCAAAATCCTATCTTTTAATGGCCTCCTCCATTCTTCTGATTGCAAAGATCGAAAACTTTCTATCACTCTTAACTTCCATTTTTATTTCACACCAGAAGTAAAATTCTACTTTCAAAATAGATCGAGTTAAACTACTCTCTAAAGCCTTCCCTGCTGCCAATGTTTCAAGTCTCTATCATCTCTCACCTGCTTTGCTACAACAGCATTCTAAACAGGCCTTCTTGCTTCTTTTCTTTCTTTCTCTTCAGGCAAGCAATCCAGTCAAAACGCACATTAAATTCTGTCTCTCCTCTGTTCAAACCCTCCAATGGCTTGCAGGGTGACTCAGACTAAAGCCAAAGATCTGTCAGGGACCTACAAGGATGTGTGCAACTGAAGGCACATTCCATTTTATCTCATTATCAACTACTCTCTTCAAACAATTTTTCAGTAACCATAACCATAATGGACTCATCATCCCCAAGATCGTCCTGGCAAGCCCTTGTATTTCAGCCCTATCCTTGCTGTCCCCTCAGCCTTGATGCTTTTCCTTCAGATATCCATACAGGTAACTCACTTCCTTTAAGCCTATACTCAAATGTCCCATTGGTGTGATGTTAGGGCAATCGCAGCTACAATTTCAGCCCTTCCCAGTATTTTCTGTCTTCTTTTCCTTGATTTATTTATTTATTTATGGTTCCCCCTTAGGATTCTTACTATTTAACATAACATGTATTTTACTTTTATTTTTATATTCTCATGCTTCCAAAGTAGAATCTAAGTTACATTTTCACAGGTATTTCCATCTATTTGGTTTCCTGCTGTGTCCAGTGTTTATGACAGAGGCTTGAATGAATTACTGTATTTTGGAGAGAATGGGAGATGGAGAAGAAAAAATGTTCAGGTTACCAATCATCTGAAAATGTCACCCTTATATGTGGACACTGTAGATGCCATTATATTTGATATTCCTCTTGGCAAAAAAACAAACAACCTTGGGTTTTACTCCTTCTCATGAATCAAGATGGCCTGGAATTATTTGAATTGTCAGGGAAAAGTCAAACTCAGATAAAGAATGCATTTTAGATAACACTGAAACATGTCGACAGAAAATAGCCATCGTATTTCCTTTTAGCACACTGCTCCAAGTCTACCTGCTTTCTTATGCTGACACTGGTGTCTCTTTTTTCTTTCCTGATTGCCACTCTCCAAAAGGCCCTGGCATAGTCCCAAACTGCTTAATTTCAATGTCTTGAAAGAAGCTTTTATAGCCAGCCCTCTGTGGTGACAAATCAGGGTAATTGCCGTGGTCTCCCCATTTGAGGGGCTTTGTGCTGCTGCAGTAATTGCTGGCTCAGCAGTGGTTTTCAGGGAAGCAGCTGGCAAGAGGGGAAGGAGATGGTTTCTACAGCTGATATAAAATGACAATAGGCTCATTTGTAAACTCGCAACCAACTATGTGCCCTTCCCGAAAGTGAAGATTACTTCTTTCTGAGTGTAACAGAGAACTCGTGGTATGTTTAGTTCATTTTATAACTTCTTTTCCACTTGAAGCACTTTTTGAAATTTATTTGATTAAGATTCCTCTTACAGAAATATTAACACAGGAAAAGGCTTGCAGAAACCGGACAAAAATAAAATTATCTGATAAAATGTATATCAGTGAGTGACTCACAGTAACAGCAGGGCTGGGGAGGGGAGCATTTCCTGGAAGGGATGGAGGGAGGGTTTGCTTGCTGCCCTGGAGAGCCAAGAGGAGGCTGAGCCCTGGTTTCCGAGAGGGTGAACATGGGTGTCGCAGAGTATCAATAGCTTTGATGAGACCTGGTCTGACTTGTTATTTGAATGGCTTTAAGCACTAGGAATGGTGCTCCTGAATGGGGAACCATGGAAGGAGAGTAAAGGATGCCTCCATCTTTGAAAGTAAATGAGTCCATCACAGCTCAACTGCAGGGCTCCACAGAGGGAATCCAACTGTGAGACAGGTGCCCTGGATGCCGAGGGAAGATAGCAGTGGAGTAAACAGTGGTTGCAGTGGCCACGCAATGTCATCACTATGGGTGCATTTTTGTCAGAAATCTCCTGGAAACATCAAAAGCAGATGTCTGGATTTGTTAGGTGCTGTGGACCTCACTGTCTGGAAGAATAAGAGGCCAGGTGAAACATGAAAATGATTGTACAGTTGACCCTTGAACACTTGAACAACACAGGTTTGGACATCGAGGGTCCACTGATAATGTGGATTTTCTTCCACCTCTGCCACCCCTGAGACAGCAAGACAAATACCTCCTCTTCCTCTTCCTCCTTCTTCCCAGCCTACTCAACATGAAGACAATGAAGATGAAGAGCTTTATGATGATCCACTCCGACTTAATTAATAGTAAATATATTTTCTCTTCATGATTTTCTTAATCACATTTTCTCTAGCTTACTTTATTGTAAGAATACAGTATATATTACATATAACTAATAAAATGTGTGTGAATCTCCTGCTTATATTTTCAGTTAGGCTTCCAGTCGACAGTAGGCTATTAATAGTAAAATGTGGGGGAGAGTCAAAAGTTATACATTAAATTTTAACTGTGGTGTGGTAGTGGTAGGGGATTTCTGTCCCAAACTCCTGTGTTGTTGAAGGGTCAACTGTAATTTCTGAGATACATGTACCCTCCCTTGATTTAGAGACTTGACATTAATTCTTGAGTTCTGCAGGGTTAGGAGTGTTGTGGGGTGACAGTGCTAACAAACCAGGCCTCCTTGGCAAATAATTTTAACATTACTCTCTTGCCTTTTGTAGGCATTTTGGACTGTTGTGGCCTAAAGAAACACTTGCTATGCCCAGGTGCTTTTTTTTTTTTTTTTTCCTACAGATGAGGTCCGCTATGTTGCCGAGGCTGGTCTTAAACGCGTAGGCTCAAGCGATCTGCCCACCTTGGCCGCCCACAGTGCTATAATTAAAGGCCTGAGCCACCCTGCCATCCCTCAGCTGCTTTCAGTTGTAACATTTAAACTTCTGCTAGCACACACACATCAAAGATCAGAAAAATGTTCTTTTTAATATAGAAACATGTTTATTTTATAGAAGGTTCTATAATGAACCTTGAAACATATAGAAAATATGTTTATTTTATATATGTTAACAGTTAAATTCACTTAATTCTTTGCTCCTCTCTTCAATTGTGTATAAACTTCTGGTAAACTCATATATTGGGTTTATCGTTTTAGTTTTTCTATTTTTTATTTGTAGGTATCCATTTTATTATTTTGTAATTTTTTTTATATAATTTCCTAACTAGCCACCTAATGTTTGAACATATTAAGCATGATAGTTTTAAAGTCTGTCTGGTCCCTCCAAAATTTAAATATCTTATTTGTGTGTGGATTTTTTTCTCTTGTCCATTTTATCCTCTGTTTTTTTAAGTTGTATTCTTATCTCCTTGTGTGGCTTATAAATTTTGGTTCAAGAAAAGACATTGCATATAAATATATAGACATAATTTGGGGTTCATAGGGATATTATCTTCCTCCAGAGAGAATTTACTTTTATTCCTGGCAAAATAAAATAACAGGTACAATTTATCTCACTGTAATGAGAGGACTAAGGACTGTGTGCTTATGAAGGGCTCGTGGAACACTTAGGCTGCAACCTTTATGAGGTGTTGGTTATTACTCATTTATTTTTCCTCCTGTGTTATATTTTGCCTCATGTTTTTCTCTAGGAGGGCTCAGAAATCAAATATATAGTACTTAGTCCTTTGATACTGCTGGGATTCTCTGTTTTAGCCTCTCGGCAATGATTTTACAATGAGGAAATGCTGAGGGGGAAAGTGTCTCGGAGGGGATGCACATCTCTGAGCTTTTCTTTTCCCAGGCAGCTTGGCTGGTCAAGTCTGTGTTGCCTTGGTAACATTGCAGCACTTTGTAAAATGTTTTTGTACTCGTTAAAAAAAGAATATTTCCTGTTTTAATCATCATCCCTGAAGTAGAATTGATTTGTAATAAAGTGGTCCAATATGTCGTATTTGGAAATACCATGTTTATCAAGAGCCCATCATTTCTTTTTCTCTTTCAAGTGCTAGGACATTTTCATTAATGGTTTCCTCTGTCTTAAGTAATAAACACGGTTCTCATTAATACACAGCCTTACCGGCTGTTGGAATTATAACATAATTAGATGGCCTTCTCCACTAAGCTTGAGGCAGCATCTCTGTCCTTTGGAAGGTTCATTAAAATATTGAGAGGTAGGTTCCACCCCTAAAGTTTCTTTTGAATTCAGTAGGTCTGGGTTAAGACCTGAGAATTTGCATTTCCAATAGGTTCTCAAATGATGCTGATGTTGCTGGACTGGAAACCATGGTAATATTAGATTAGCATGCTGTCCTTCTTCACTTTAGCTGAAAAAATTTACAGATAAATTTGTGGGTTTGTTTTAATAAAAGTAAAGGAAGTAGTGTGCTATCAAAATTAGACTGTGAGAATTTGCCATTTTTTCAGTTTTATTATTTATTATGAACATGTTGCAGGTTATGTTGATTCCTTCTTATAAAACACCTGAAATGCTCCCTCCTTCCTATTGTCTTCCAAAAACTAGGGACAAATGTAGAAATGTAATTATTATGATGTAGATATATATTAAAAACTCTTTCTAAAGTTTATATGGAGGAGCAAAAGACCCAGAAAAACCAACACCATACTGAAGTAGAAGAGCAAAGTCAGGAGGCTCGTATTATCCAACCTCAAATCTTACTATAAAGTGACAGTAATCAAGGTAGTGTTGTATTCAGTGAGAAGACAGACAATATCTCAATGAAACAGAATGGAAAGCCAAGAAATAAAGTCAAACAAGTATAGTTAATCTTTAAAAAAGGAAAAAGAATACAACAAAAAAGGTGATGTTTTCCACAGATGGTACTGGAAAAACTGGACATCCACATGAGGAATAAAAAAATAATAATCTAGACACAAACCTTACACCTTCTACAAACATTAACTCAAAATGGATCATAGACTTAAATTTGAAAGGCAAATAAAACACCTAGAGGATGACATAGGAGAAAATGTAGATGACCTTGGGTATGGTGATGACTTCTCAGATACAACACAAAAACCATAATCCATGAAAGAAATAATTAATTTATTGGACCCCATTAAAGGTAAAATCATCTGCTCTATGAATAATAGGGTCATGAACATGAGAATACAGGCTACAGACTGGAAGAAAATATATGCAAAAGGCATCTGATGAGGAACTGTTCCCTGAACTACACAGAGAACTCTTAAAACTCAACAATTAGAAAGGAAACATCCAATTAGAAACAGGCAAAATACCTGAACAAGCACCTCATGAAAAAAATACACACACACACATATATATATACATATATATGTATACACACACACACATACACACACAAATGGCAAATCAGTTTCATTCTGTTGGGGTATTTTGCTAGTGGGGCAGCTGTGCAAGTTAGGGCAAGAGGTAGATGGGAGCTCTGTGCTTTCTACTCAGTTTTGCTGTGAACCCAAAACCACTTTAAAAAAGAAATTCTATTGAAGAAAAAATAACAAACTAAAATACATTTTAAAATAATAACAAATAAATTATTGCTGTGTAATACAAGCTTCACATATGGGGCATGTTTTGTGATAATGATACATTTAATTTAAAGTGAACAAGCTTCCAAATTATTTATCTTAAAATGATAGATGTTTGGAAGTCCTCTTGTCATTTAATGTATTTAGGGAAATTCTCCTTTTAATTCTACTTTTTTCTAAAACATCCTATTTCTATTATGCCTGTAATTCCCATTTTTACATTTTTTTTTTAGAAATTAAGAGATACACTGTTTCTTTAGAATTATTATTTTCTGTGATACTCATAGGAAGAATGTACTGAAACTGCTTTATGTCTCTTCAACTGCGTAATTATTATACCCAAGTCCTGGCAATGATGGAAAAGGAAAGGTACTTTTTGGCATCTGAGACCAATTGAAAAGAACTCCCTTTTCCTGTTTGGCATAGTAAACGGGAAGGTGAATGTTTGACTGAGAGAGCAAACATGTAGATATATCCCTCACAGATCTGATAATCCCATTTTTATTAGGTATATTCTCAGCTCATTTCCAAAGCTAAACTCAGTTCAAAATCATAAAACTGCATACAGTGATGATATTTCTGGAAGAATAATAGTACACCACCCTTAATATTTCAGCCTGCAGCAAAGTATAGAGGTTGGAAGAGACAACAAACTCAAATGTCATAGTCTTAAGAGTCTCGAACATATTCTTTTTTGTGATTATGTACACCACCGCATTCTTTTTTTTCTTTCTTGCCAAAACAGAGGAGTCATTAATAGAGAAACTGTAAGTTTTATCAGACTGAATTAAAACTAGAAACCCTGACTTAATTGAGAAATAATGCTTATGGGGATATAATTTACAATAACTAAAATTTCATCTTATTACAATGACCCCAGAATGACAATCTAACAATATTTGTTAGAATACTTTTTTCCTATACAACTTACAAAACTCTACATTATTTGAATAAGATAGTGGTAGAAAACTGTTATTAATACACATTGTATGACATTTTAAAAACAGGATTTAATAAAATATATTGTATATATAGAAAGTTCCTAAAACTTAGGCATACAGTTTAATTATTTAAAAAAAATCAAACCTCCATAAACAAGCTACATGTCAAAGAGAGTCTATTGTTAGCCATTGTGCTGCCTGCTCCCTACTTAGTGCACAACTGACTTTCTCTCCTCTCACTTAACTGTTATCCTGAAAGGCTTGATAATAATGGTCTTGCTTTGCTATACTACTTTTTTCTTTCCAACCATGAATGCATTCCAAATACTATAGTTTATTTGAATCAAATCATATATATGTATGACTCTATATTGGTTTCTTTCAGTTAACATGATGTTCCTTGAGATTCATTCATGTTGTTCCATGTAACTATAATTTAATAATTGTACTTACTCTATACTCGTACTATAACACAGCATGTTACTGTATTCATCTACATAAAATATATTGGTGGCACAGTTTATTGATATTTTCCACATCGGCACATAGTTGGGACTACTAAAGAGAATGCTGCTGTGAACACTGGTACACATACTTCTCTAGTGCACTTGCATGCACTGATGTTCAGTTCACATGAGAAGTGAGGAGTCCGAGGTGGGTGAATAACTTGAGGTCAGGAGTGCAAGACCAGCCTGGCCAACATGGTGAAACCCCCTCTCTACTAAAAATACAAAAAATTAGCCGGACGTTATGGTGCGTGCCTGTAATCCCAGCTACTCGGGAGGCTGAAGCAGGAGAGTCACTTGAACTCAGGAGCCGGAGGTTGCAGTGAGCTGAGATTGTGCCACTGGACTCCAGCCTGGGTGACAGAGGGAGACTCCTTCTCAAAAAAAGAAGTGAGGAGTCAGTCTCACCAGCTGTGTTGGAGCTTTTCCATTACTACAGTTACTCACCAAAATTTATCTCTTTCTGTCCTTTTAATTGTAGCCTCTTTGGAAGATAAACACAGGATATACAACAGTGGTTTTAAATTGCATTTCTTTGATGAGCACTTTGGTTGAATACTTTCTCTAAGTTGAATAAGCCAAAATCTCTTTTCTGAAAGCCTCATTAATGCTCTTGCCCACTTTTCTACTGGCTCGTCTTTTTTAGTTTTAGTCTATTATTATCTTATTTTTAAATTTCTATTTTTTACTATTAATTTAGGTTACTCAGTAATATAATTTATTTTGGATAAAATTTTATATTTGGCAACATTGAGAAATTTACAAAATAATTTTGTTTATTTAAAAGTTTTGTGTTTTCTATATATAAATTCATATTATCAATGAAAATCATGGACTTGTTTATCTTCTAAACCTAACATTTAATTTCTTTTTTTTTTCTCAGCACATTGAGTAAAAGTAGAAAATCATTGATTGTTAGTGGTGGTAGTGTATATTCCTGTATTGTTACTGATCTCCAAAGAATAATTTAAATAATTCACCATTAAATACATTTTTAAAAAATACAAATACCCATATTTGGATTATAAATTTAAAAAATTCTATTTTAAAGACAATTTCTATTTATAATTTAAAGATTCTATCATGAATACATGTTGAATTTCATCATTTTTTCTTCGTTTTTTGAGTATGTGATTTTAATCCTTCATTTGGTTCAGATTGTGAATTATATTGATGCTTTTAAATCTCAAGTTATTTATTTAATTAATAAATTTAGACCTCATATAAAGAATGATTTAAATGTAAATTTCCCTTTTTATAAATATTCTTGTCAGGTGCTGTTCCTTTAGATTCATTCACATTGTTCACTCATTCATGTAAAGTTATGGCTGGTCCATAAATTAAGTTGGGACTGATCACCCTTTTATTCTATTCTCTGGAGGACCTTACAAGAATTTAGATCATTTTTAAAAAACAATTAGTAGAAATTAAAAAGATTCACTAGTTCCTCAAGTTTTTTGTTGGAATGTTTTAAATTACAGATTACATTACTTTAATAATTATAGGATTCTATATTTAAAACAAATTTCTTTCTGCATCTATTCTGACATTTGTCTAAGAATTAATATATTTCATTTCATTTATTTATTTATTTATTTTTTGAGACAGAGTCTCACTCTGTTGCCCAGCTGGATTGCAGTGGTGCCATCTCAGCTCTCTGCAACCTCCACCTTCTGGGTTCAAGTGATTCTCCTGCCTCAGTCTCCCGAGCAGCTGGGATTACAAGCATCTGCCACCATGCCTGGTTAATTTTTGTATTTTTAGAAGACACAGGGTTTCACCATGTGGGCCAGGCTGGTCTCGAACTCTTGACCTCAAGTGATCTACCCATCTTGGCTTTCCAAAGTTCTGGGATTACAGGCATGAGCCACTGCGCCTGGCCTCTCATTTAAATTTTAAAAGTAACTTGCAAAATATCATTTATAAGATTTTTAAACATAATTATAATATCTGTAGGATCTGATATCATGGATATTAGTAATTTATGCTGATGCTTGCCATGAGTATTTACATTATTATTCTCTCTTAACAATTATTTTTTGTTTTGTTGAATACCTATTTGTATTTTTTTTCTATTTCATTAGTGCCTGCATCCAATACTTCCTTTTTTTTTGTTTTATTTTGGCTTTTGGGTCTCTCCTTATCTCTCATACTTTCTCTCTTTCTTCCTAAACTTTTTCTAAATTCTTGATCTAGATTCCTGGATTACAGATGTTGAGACTTAAAAAAATGCATATATATAAGATATAAAAGCCCAAGGTTAGCCTTTGTTGAATCCCTCAAGTTTGATATTTCATATTTCATTGTATTTTAGTTCAAACTATTTTTTAACTTCATTTTGTTTTCTTTTGGGGGGTGGATGGATTTTCGCTCTTGTTGCCCAGACTGGAGTGCAATGGCATGATCTTGGCTCACTGCAACCTCCACCGCCCAGGTTCAAGCGATTCTCCTGCCTCAGCCTCCCGAGTAGCTGGGATTACAGGCATGTACCACCAAGCCCAACTAATTTTGTATTTTTAGTAGAGACGGGATTTCTCCATGTAGGTCAGGCTAGTCTCAAACTCCTGACCTCAGGTGATCCACCCACCTCGGCCTCCCAAAGTGCTGAGATTACAGGTATAAACCACCTCACCTGGGCTTATTTATTTATTTATTTTCATTAAATTATTTATTTTTTTGAGACAGAGTTTCGCTCTTGTTGCCCAGGCTGGAGTGCAATGGCATGATCTCAGCTCACTGCAACCTCCACCTCCCAGGTTCAAGTGATTCTCTGTCTCGGCCTCCCGAGTAGCTGGGATTACAGGCATTTTTAGTAGAGATGGGGTTTCTCCATGTTGGTCAGGGTGGTCTCGAACCCCCGACCTCAGGTGATCCTCCCACCTTGGCCTCCCAAAGTGCTGGGATTACAGGCGTGAGCCACCACAACCGGCCTTAACTTCATTTTTGATTTCTCCTTTGATCTGTGAACTATGTTGCTTAATTTTCAAATCTTTTGGAGGGGGATATTCTAATTTTTTGTGAATATTGCTCTCTCATTTCATTCTATTTAGGACACCACATGTCATTTGAATGGCAAAACGCATTTAATACGTGCTTTATCACCTAAATATAATGATATAATTATTATAAAGGTGTAATCACTTCTTGTCATTTCCAGTGCACTTGAAAATAATTTATACTCAATTTTTGTTGAGTCAAGTGTCTTAAACATAATAAATTAAGCAGATTGTATTAATTGAATTGTTCAAAACCTCTATGGCTTGATGGATTTTTAACTCTTATTTTATAGTTATTCAATGAATTGTGCTAAACTTGTTCTACAATTATCAGTTTGTTCATTTCTTTTGTTGTAGTTCCATCCGTTTTTCATTTTATATATTGTAAAGGTATGTTATCAGGCCGGTGCAGTGGCTCAAACCTGTAATCTTACCACTTTGGGAAGCAAAGGAGGATGGATCATTTGAGGTCAGGCGTTTCAGACCAGCCTGGCCAACATGGTGAAAACCCGCCTCTAGTAAAAATATAAAAATTAGCCGGGGTTGGTGGTGGGCACCTTTAGTCCCGGTTACTCGGGAGGCTGAGGCAGGAGAATCACTTGAACCCAGGAGGTGGAGGTTGCAGTGAGCTGAGATCACACCACTGTACTCCAGCCTGGATGACAGAGTGTGACTGTCTCAAAAACAATAATAAGTAAATAAATAAATAAATAATAAATAAATAAAAGGTATGTTATCAGATATAAAAAAATCTAAACATTATTATGTCTTTTTGATAGGTTTGACACTATCATTATTAAAAGTCCTTTTTATTTCTAGAAATAATGTTTGCCTTAGATCTACGTTTTCTAATACCAGTATTGCTAAATCAATTGATTTTTGGTCTCTGTTTGGTATAATTTTTTTATTCTTTTCTTTACAAATTTTCTGTACTTTTATGTCTTAGATAAACCTTACAGAGACAGAATATAGGGTTTTTCTTTTGCTTTTGTTTTTATTTTATTTATTTATTTATTTATTTAGTGTAGTGTAAAAAACTTCATAAGAAGCGAGGCATGATGGGTCATTCTTGCAATCCCAGCACTTTAAAAGTCCTAGACGATCAGCTCGCTTGAGGCCAGGAGTTCAAGACCAGCCTGGGCAACATAGCAAAACTCCGTCTCTACAAAAATTAGCCAGAAGTGGTGGTGTGTGTGCCTGTAGTCTTATCAGGAGGCTGGGGCAAGAGGATCACTTGAGCTGGGGAGGTCACGTTAGAGCTGCAGTGAACTGTGACCCCCACACTTCAGCCTGGTTGATAGTGAGATACTGTCTAAAAAAATATATTAGTAAAAACTTTATAAGGTTGCGTTTATTCTATTTACCTGCTATATAACTAATACCTTGTTTTGATTACATTCTACCACCTTACCTTGTGCCTTACATTTTTCCGCCACATTTGTTTCTTTTTAATCTCCTTTGCTTTTGCATTGTTTATGAAACAAACTGTTTATTTTTTTCTATATGTTTATTTTGAAGTTTTATACATTTCACTAACGTAGTTACTTTTCTTTTATACTTCTAATAAGTGATTACCTGAAAGATCACGACATTTGCTAAAGTTTTTACTTTACAACAGTGGCCCAGAGTATTTTGTACGCCCTTGAATGTTCTTTGGATACTTTTCAAGGATCTAGAAGGTCAAAACTATTTTCATAATAAAATGTAGATGGTATTTGCCTCTTTCACTCTCATTCATTCATAGGTATAAAGTTAAAGTTTTCCAGAAGCTAAACGATGTGTGGTATTACAGGAGAGTAAATGTGGAAACATATATTATAAATCGTCTGCCTTCTATTAAACCAATCATTAATGTACACGTTTTTTTTTCCTGTCTTCTTGCCAGTTTTACTATGCTCTTTGCTGTCTTTGGTTCTCTGAAGACACATGCCAAAGTGCCTTGGTGTGCTTATATTTATCTAGCTTTTGTTTTGTTTGTCTTCTGAATCTGTGTATTGACTTCTTTTTATCTATTTGTGAAAATTCTTAGCCATCATCTCTTTCAATATATCTTCTGTTCATTCCCTTTCTTAGCTGTGCTTGGGTTGGGACTCAAGTTTGAAGTTTTGTATTTCTCAGTGTAACACCTTTTTCTCTTATTCTCATATATGTTTTTTCCAAACTTTTGTCTCTCCAATCATCATTCTAGACCTTTTTTACTGAGCCATCTTTCTATTCACTAATTCTTTCTTTAGCTGCTTTTTAATGTGTTGTTAAACCCAACTTTACGTTTCATAAATATTTATTTGTCTAATTTCTAAATGGAACATTTTATAATCTATTATCTCAGATATACCCTGATGAAAGTTTCAATTTTGTATCTTATATTCATATACATAGCAAACTTAATTAATGTCTGTATTAGAAAATTCCAATATCTGAAATGCCTAAATATTCAGTTCTGCTGTCTATTGTTTTTATTCTTCATGTTATTCTCCTGATGTACTTCATGAAGTTTTATTTCCTTATATTCTTGGTTATTTTTATTCTCTTCCAAGAAACAAGTCTTATGAAAATATATTGACATAAGTAATGTTATTGTCATCCAGAAAGAATTTCCATTTTCTTTAGTCAGGAGCCTGACAGAATTCCAGGATCATCATAAACCATTTAAAGCTTGGCATTTTCTGGATCATCTCAATGGCTTAAATCTGAGCTCCAGTCCTGGCAAGGGCTTGATGACTTCTGCCTTAACTTTGTAATTAGGATGCAGACATTTCTGATCCTAAGTAAAAGCAGAGCATGTTTACTAAGGCCTCCACATGTGGAAGATTCTGGACTTTAACATTTTGATCCAAACCTGTGAGACTGGCCAATGTAGCTGATTCTCTCATGTGACATTTCCGTGTAGAAAGCACACCTATGGCAAAAGTTGACCCGCATTTGTATTAATGATTAACCTCTCTCAATTTTCATATTCCTATAAATTTTTCCTGGTTGTCTTTTAATAGCTTGTAAAACATCTAGTGCTTTAAGCATATTCTTTTCCAGTTTCCTAAGGTAACATTAGATGGTGGGTTGTCTACATTCTCTAATATGCAACTACTGGAAGTGTAAGCTATAATATCCTTTTCATTTTAACTCCTGTAATTATTCTGACACAGTAAATATATATTAAACTAAGTCATAGTTTTCTTTATGGGATGGTTATCTATTAAGCTTCATTTACCTTTTCAAAACTGTGTTGTTATCTGATCAACTATACCTGGCCATATAAGCAATACAAAATAATCAGTTATTATAGCTGGTTCTTATTATGTTATTATTAACCAGTGAAGTCTCTATGTAATGCATATGTTAGTAACCTAAAAGATTACAGAATACATTATATAATTAAAAGAGCAAGGCATCTTGGTTCAAATTCCAATTCTAACTTATATCAAGTTTGATTCATTTGTTAAGCTAATTTATTTAAATCACAATCCCTTAATTTGTTAATTCAGGGACTTTATAGCTCATAGGCTTATTGTAAGACAAACTGAGATAATGAGATGGTGAATAATCCAATTATTTTAGAGAGTAAACATAATTAATGGAAAGAAGATGAGATCTATGAGTAGACGACAGTAATATTTCAAATCTTGCATTTCAAATTCTTGCATTGTTATTAGTCAACTGTCACCACATTAATGCTGCAAAACAAACCATCCCCTTACTAGCTGGAATACAACAATAAGTATTTCTTTCTTTCTGAAAGTAAACTGATTGTCATTAGCCACCAGTTTGGAGCTAGCTGGGCTTGGTCCAGGTGTTAAGCTGAGCTCTGGTCTGCTGGCATGTGTTCCTATCCTGGGTATGAGTTTTTCATGATAATGGCAAAAGCACAAGATACTAAGCTAACTCTACTTGCGACACATTCATTAATATCCTATTGATGATAGAAGGTCTCATGAGCCAAAAAAAGAAAAAAATATCTAGGAGGAGGACTTAACTCTGCCAACCATAAAGCCAACGTAAATTATATGAAGTGGGAGGTATATCCTCCCGCACAGAGTTGTGATGAGAAAGAAATTGAATGCCACATGAATATGTTGTTAGAAATGTCATACTTATTTGTTAAGTGTTTGTGTATATGTTTGACTCTCAAGAAAATCAGATCATAAAAAGAGGAGTGGCTCATCTCACAAAATCTTTGTTTGGAAATCGATCTGCCTTTATTAAGCACTAGAGGCTAAAGAGTTGATTTCAATGCCATTTGATATATGAATACACTAGCATAAATTGTATTCATCTAAGATCAATGATTAAAAGGAGGGCATTTATCATTCTCCCCTATCAGGCACAGAGGAGAAGTGGTGTGCCGCCCTAGTGGTATTGCCATAAGATGTCTATCTGATTTGCTTTCTTTACTCACTTCAACATTCTGTATTAAAGCACATTCCCAATTAATAAAATGTCAGTAATTGGTAAACAAGTGCGATGCATCAATGAATTCTATTATAAATAAGTATTTTTTTCTGTAAGAATTGATAGAGTGGGAAATATAATCCATGGCAGGTTGGATGGCATAAACACTTGATAAATGCTGGTAGAAACGTATAAGAAATTCTTATGAGAGGTTTACATTCATTTACTGAAGCCAAATCTGGTTTAATGTACTTTTTTGCATCAATCAATTTGATAATTTTATGTGAGTTTTTAATACTACATGAAAAATACCTAAAATATTTTTAATATTTGCATCTAAATATTTTTAGATATAAGATATCTAAAATAAGAAGTTTTGACAGTTGATTGTATTCCATTTTCTTGCAGATTGTCTACATGGGCTGGTGTGAAGCCCGGGAGCAAGACCCCCTCCAGGACAGAGTGTACTCCCCGACCTTCCTGGCCCTGAGGGGCTCATGTCTCTACAAGTTTCTGGCACCTCCAGTACGTGTTTTATTGAAATGTATTGGTCGTTTCCATATTATCACAAGAGATTGACACCAACTTAACAGCACCAAATAGTATACCATCAATATTTTTAAAAAATAATATAGAGAAAAAGTAGAAATCAGTTTATCTGATTTAACTTACTAAAATATATATTCTGACATTAAACATTTGCTTTAACACCCTTGAAAAGTCTGGAACTTACTTCTTTATAAATAGTGAACCTATAAAATAATGGATCAAATTATAATGCCATTACAAATCTCATGACGACATGGGAAAGGAGATTTTAAGAAACATTTTCAAGCATATGTCAGTGTATTTTGTTTATGGAATAAAAATTAAAGAAATGAATATATCAAAAGTGAAATAAAAAAGAATAAACTGTTTTAGGGCTATACATGAATGAACATGTTTACTAAACTCTTATTTTCCAAGGATCTTTTGAAAGTTCTTTTAAATTTATTCAGCACTTTTAATTACTAGTAATTTATTATTAGCAAAGAATAATAAGGAAATTTCAAAATGATAGCATCTTATCTAGCTACTATTAAGTCTATCTCACCCTATGGTAATCCCATAGGATGATGTTAACTCTCATGGTGTTCAACATTTAAATTAGAGGATTCTATCCTTGGCAAACAACACAAATACATTCTGGTAAGCTATCATTTATGACAAGTCGAACTTGCTTATTTATGTTGTACAGGTCTCTCTATATAAAATCAATAACATTTTCATCTTCTATTATATTCTATATCCTAGTTATTGAGATTTGTACTAGATATGTATAGATACCTATTGCACCTCAAGTCTTGCTTTTGGAAACATGTACCTTGCAGCTCAGAAGACACTTAATAAATATTTATTGAATATAAATACCAAATGCCAGACCAGTCACTTGCAGGTCTAATAATACATAAGATTTAGAAATCATCAGGTCTAACTTGCTGCTGTTTTAAATGTCTGTCTCTACACAAAGTTTAAAGCACTAGGAAGACAGAGGAAAAATTGATATTTATATATTTTACTCTATTCCTACTCTGAATAATTTATTTGACAAGACAGTTAAATATAGTTTCCAACCTAAGTAAGTGAAATAACTGCATTATGCTTTGGGTATGTTTGCAATGTCACAGTCATCTTGGAATTTCTTAATATAAATGATGTATATTTAAAAAATATAGCTGTGTTGAGGTCTGGTATTCTCTGTATTTAACTAGTGGTAAATTAAAAAAAAAATATGAGTGTGGAATGTAAATACTTAGTATTTATAGGTAGAGAATGCGTATATTATTTAAGATATATAAGGACACTGGGCAAATGAGAACTGTTGCACATAATATAAATCATTTGCTGAAAGCATAAGACAAATGGTAACAAAGCTTGGAAAAGAGGAAACAAAAGCATTATGTAGGGTCCTTTATGAGCATGGCTTCACAGATGAGAGACTAGATACATCTGTGAAAGTTTTTTCTTATTTTTCACTATATTATGCAAATCAAATACAGTGGTAAATAACTTTCTAAAACAAATTAAACATTATTTTCTTATCTTTTAAAGGTGACCACCTGGGACTGGACGAGAGCAGAGAAAACATTCTCAGTTTATGAGATTATGTGCAAGATCCTCAAGGTATGATCAATATGTAGTCAGTATTTGAATGGCTTTTCCTCAGCAAATAGTGCCTCTGGGCTCATAAGCAGCTCATGAAAACAAATCATTCATGGAATGAAAGAAGAGACACGATAAAGACAAATGAAAGAGAAAGAAAATAAACTGGACAAAAAAGAGAAAATATAGAATGCACAGAAGTGCACTGGCACTCAGCTATCTGCTTAAATAACTTGCAAGCAGACTCTGCAGTCCCACCGTGGGTGAGGGAACAGGGAGAAGCTCCTCAGGAGTTCACTGGGGAAGAAGAAAATTCAGTTGAAAGTAGTCTGAATTTAAACGTTGGTTGTTACCATGTTTTTTTTTTTAATTCTTTTTTTCTGAATAAAATGCAAAAGAGAAAGATTTGGGTGAGACCTGGAATTAGAAAATATAGAAAATATCAGGAAAAATGCAAAGAAAAGTTTTGCTGTTTTGTTCTTAATCTCATGGCTTGACCATCTTTTTGCATATGTAAAAGAACATTCGATTGTCATATATCAGTTGAATTTCATGCCATATGCAGGATTATTACAATATCAAGCCATCACAAATTCTATAAAATGTCACATGGTTTCTATAGCGTTTTTTAAAGAATTAAAATTGGAATAACCTATAAAACATGAAGACTAATATATATTCACTTTCTACTTTAGGGTTTGTAGGCTTGGACTCACCACAGATTGATAATTAAATTCCTGCATAAGGTTGACCTTGTTTCTGTATCCAAGGGGAGCTAATTTCCCTTTGCTTTATGTTAGCTATTTCTCTTCCCGTTAAAGACTTAGCAGAGTAGAAAAATGCTGAAACATTTAAAATATAATAAAATGCATCAAAAGTGTCTGAAGGCAGAGAGACAAAAATTATAATTACCTCAAAATTGTTTATAGTTTCTGTTCCTTATAGAGAACTTTGGATTAAAGCTGAAGTTCTCTGAAGTGCAAAATCCAGCCAAAAGTATAGTTCATTGATTGCTCATCACTGTGCATGCTTTGAGTTCTTCTGTAGGCGTAATGGTGGAAGGACAACCTGAAATACTTGAGTGTATTGTTAGTAAAGAAGGGTCTGACAATTTCTTAAACAGAGGCTAGTATCTGAGGAAAAGGAGATCATACACGACTCCAGTTTTCTGAAATAATTGCCAAAATGGCTAATGAGATAGCTTTCTTTTTTTTGGAGATGGAGTCTTGCTCTGTTGCTTAGGCTGGAGTGCAGTGGTGTGATCTCGGCTCACTGCAACCTCCACCTCCCAGGTTCAAGCAACTCTCCTGCCTCAGCCTCCTGAGTAGCTGGGACTACAGGCACATGCCACCATGCCCAGCTAACTTTTTGCATTTTAGTAGAGACAGGGTTTCCCCATGTTGCCCAAGCTGGTCTTGAACTCCTGAGCTCAGGCAATCTGCCTACCTCCGCCTCCCAAAGTGTTAGGATTACAGGCATGAGCCACCGCGCCAGGGCGAACTGTGTATTTTTAGGAAAGCTACTCATGTAATTAGGGGAAGAAAAGAAAGAAAGAAAAGAAAAGAAGGAAAAGAAAAGAAGAAAAGAAAAGGAAAGAAGGAAGGAAAGAAGGAGGGAAGGAGAGAGAGAGAGAAAGAAGGAAAGAAGAAAGAAAGAGAAAGAAAGAGAGACAGTAAGAAGGAAAGAAGAAAGAAAGAAAGAGAAAGAAAGAAAGAAAGAGAGAGAGAGAAAGAAGGAAGGAAGGAAGGAAGAAAAAGAGAAAGAAAGAAAAGAAAGAAAGAAAGAAGAAAGAAAGAAAGAGAAAAAAGAAAGGGAGGAAGGGCAGGGAGTGCACAGAGGGGAGAAAGGAAAGAAGGAAGGAGAAGGAAGGGAGGGAGGGAGGGAGAAGGAAGGAAGGAAAGAAAACTGCCTCAACAAATCAACTTTGTCTATTCTCTATCTGTACACTAATACAACTTTTATCATAGTAATAACGCAACACATATTTATATATTCTTACTTAGACTTAAATTATTTTCTAACCACTCTCCAAGTAGCTGCATGATCTTTTAAATCCTCTCTTTTAAAAAAAGCTATTTAAACATTAGAACATAATGCAGTTTACTATAGTAGTTAAAAAGGATAATTTTAAAGGAAATAATAAACATTATGTTTAGCTCTATCAAGATATACAAACAATATGTTCTATCTCTTTGTTACAATTTTTGACAAAGATTATGCAATTCATGATCTGCTATTTTGTGTAAAAATATGTCTTGAGATTTTTTTCTATGACAGTTAATGTTCCTTAAAAACACTGATAACTTTTTGATAGATTTCATCTATCCCATCATTTGCTTGTATTCATTGAGTCCACTTTAAAATTTTACATTTAGTTTTTTCCCCCACTTGTTATTGCTATCAGGCATATCACAACAATCATTATTTGAATGGTTTAATAGAAAATTAAATGTTTGCTATATACCAGGTAACCTCAGCACTTGTTATGTGGCTGAGAAAAATGCAGAAAAAGCCACTGCTTTCATTGAGCTTGCATTTTATTAGGTGATATGATGTTAAGTAAATCAATAAAGAAGACAAAAATAGTAAGTAAATAAATGAGACAAAATAATAATATGTAGGAAGGACTGATATTTGCTCAGACTTTTATGCAAATTCTTATTTCCTTTAGTCTAAATTCTGAGCTTTGGAAACCCCATGTGGAAAAATATTTTAATGTATTCAAGATATTAAATCCATGTGTACAAATTGCCTCCTACAAGTCATCTTAACTTATGCGGCCATCAGAAGTGTCTATGAGAGTGCCTGTATATTTACATTCTGACCAAATTAAAATCAAAGACTACTTCTCATTTTAACTTTCTATATACAATTTTCTATAAGCCTTAGTTTACTTGAATTTTTTTAATACTTCAAGTTCTGGGATACATGTGCAGAACGTACAGTTTTGTTACGTAGGTATACATGTACCATGGTGGTTTGCTGCACCTATCCACCCATCATCTAGGTTTTAGGCCCTGCATGTATTAGGTATTTGTCCTAATGATGTCTCTCCCCTTGCCCCCAACCTCCCAACAGGCCCTGGTGTGTGATGTTCTACTTGGGAAAATGTTTACATAGGTTAGTGAGGCCTGGCGATAAGTATTCTCATACATCAAATACAATGTAAATCTACCTTCAATTGTTGTATGTAATCAAGGAAGTCCCCCTCCCCTTAGTAAGTACAATGCTGGTGCTTTATGCTTTGTGGCTTGACATTAGACATATAAAGCCATCCTTCAAGCATTCCTTTTCCCAAAGGAAAATTTCATGTAGCATGAGAACAGAGGAGTGGCTTCTAGATTCGATGCTAATGGATTATTTTCCTGCATGCAGATTACCTTCTGGCCTTCTCCTGTGTCAGGATCACTGGTTGATAAGGAAGCCAGTCAGATAGGTGGGGCAGGTGAGCAAATAAGAAGGGGCATCTTCTACAGCCTAAATCAGAGGGGGAGTCTTCTACAGCCCAGCCCTCTCCTGCCATGAGGTATCACTTCTGATGCAAGCTGTGCAAGTTGTAGACTTCTGCCTCCAGAAAATGGATCCCTCAGGTGAGGCTAATTAAAAGTCAGATTTGAATGTCTGGATCACAGAAGAACTTGCCTGTGACCATTAATCAGGAAAATCCTGTCCCTTCTGATGTGTTCATAATGAAGCTACACCAGTAATAACAAAAATGAAGCAATAAGGTTTATCTGGTACATATAGTTTATATGTATGTGCCAGGTGTTGTCCTAAGTGCTTAGTATATGAATTCAGTTTGTATTTACAGCACCACTATCTGTCAGTTATTGTTATTCCCATTTTAGAGATTTGGAAACTGAGGCAAAAAGCAGTTTAAGTAAATAGCCTAAGGTCACACAGCTAGTAAATATCAGAGCTAAAGATATGAATCTTGCAATGTGTCAAAATTCTGTGCTCTTGCACATGATACTACACTGTCTCTGTCTCTCAGCGTAAATATTGATAATTTGGGAAAAAAGATGGGAACCAGAGAGCCAGCCTGGTACTGATGAGAGAGCAAAGGTTTCAGAAAAAGGAATTTGGCAACAAATGCCACTTCTGTTACTAAAACATTACCCTTTATGAGTGTATTGGGCACTATGAACTTCAGTTCTTCATCTGTGAAATGCAGCTATGGATGCAGAGGGTGCTGTGAAGATTAGGAATTGGTTAACTGATTTGTGAATGCATTTTTGTCTGTTAATTCATATCAGTTACTTCGAGTACCTTCTATGTGCCAAGCACTCCACTAGGTATTAAGGATAAATACAACAGTATAAGAGAGTTGAACTCACAAAAATTCCAGCTGATGAAGGAGTTTAGGAAGGGCATTTTGGAGGAGGCTTTTAATGAACTGAAACCTAAGTGACTGTGAAAGGGCTCCACAGAGGAAGATGTGTCATGGCAGGGGTTGGAGTCCAGCCAGTAGGAGGGGAGGAGCAACCTGGTCCAAGGAATAATGTATAAACTTGCCCAGAGCTACAAAGAAGTATGTGTCCCTTCAACAAGGCAAACAAGTTTGTTACAGCTGTAGTCATCTTGGGTATGAGGTTGGTGTTGGTGTTTGGATGGAACAGATCATAGGAAAAGGCCTTAATAAAGCACATGAACTTTATCTGAGGAACAAAGGACAGCCACTAAAGCATGTCAAGCATAGGGAGGGACTGAGGTTGCCCATTTAAAAATCCTCTTCGAATGCAACGTGAGATGGAGATGAAGGGGCCAGAGGGGAGTGCTCCTGGGACATCTTCTGGTCAACCAGGGCATGGACAGCGGGCTAGGAGGAGAGAGGCAGAGGAGTCGGGCCTGAATAGATAGTGCCCTCACAGTAGCTACTCACCTGCATAGACCAGCCTTCTTGCACCGCTCTGGTTTGACTCGTTTTGCTCTGATTCTAGCCTGAGCTGTAACTCCCTAACACGGCACTGTAGTGGTGCATGGCTGGAAAAAAGACAACCTGCATTTTCAATTACAGACTAAAATCTCAAGAAAGCCTCTAATTCTTCCTATTGTTATGTCATATTTTCTTAGCCTATTCTCTTGTCTAATCTACTGGAACTTATATTAAACCTTTTTCATTCTTTTTTGAAATTAATATACACTTCCCATTCTCACTTTTAGGAGATGATCCTACTTCCTACATGCAAACTCTCTCAGCATTGCAAATGCCTCCTGGCAGCCCTATCCTGACAGATAACTATCCTTGCTCTTATCTAATACTAAGCCTCCCATTGGGTAACAGATCTCAACCACACTTACATAAACAGCAATTCTATCCTGATGACTCCAAATGCATATGTTCTGCCCAGATCTTGTCCCCGAACTCTAAGTATTCAACAGTTTATATTTCTGCCTACTGACATACCTAGTAGAAATGTCCATGTTACACGTCTCAAAATTTAGGATCAACAATTGGAGAGAATGTAAAGCAACATGGAAGTTAGAGAAAAGAGAAAAACAAAAGCAAAAACTAGAGTTTGGCTATTTTTTTAGAAACTCATGGCAATTAGCTGAGATGATACTAAGTTATAGCACGGAGTACATTTTAGCATTACAGACCTCTGGTGCCTGCCAACAGGGGTGTGTTGAGCTGTTAGGGAAACTGTCATTTATTCAACTTTGGGACTTTAATAATTAAGAAAATGCAAAACTAGGAATATAAAATTAGGCATGAAAGTGAATATATATCAAGAATGAGAAAAAGCTCATGATGCAGAATAAAGTTGGCAAATGCCACAAACATTGAAAATCTATGAAAAATACCCTATATTTGTAATTAATTCACTAAGACACTTATTGAGTACTTTTTCTCCTATATTTTTGGGGGGCTGTGTATTCTTTGATCACCTCTTTGAATAAAAAGGATTTTGTAAACCAGTGTCTATGGGAAAAAGAAGTAGACCCCCTGCATCTTGCCCTCATCTCTCTGGGCACCATGATCACCTGCCTCCCAGAGGATACCCAAGGCCTTTAGCCCAGGGACAGCTACCAATGGAACTTAGATCTCATCCTACAGCTGAATTCAGGAGTACAGTTGCAATGATCAGGTTCTTCCTAGTGAGAGGAAGATCGGACGTAACTGCATGACTTGAAGCCCAAGTGTAGTAGTTGTTATGCTAACAGAGCATACATGGGGAACATAGAGGAGTAGTGAAAGGAATGTCTGTCTTCATTCATAATAGATGAGCAGTGTATCATTTGTATAAAAATGTACTCCCTATCATTTGGCCAGGAAACCCTTAAAAACTAGAGGATCATTTTGTTTGTAGATATTCAACAACTGCCTGTTTCAGAGCTAGCAATAGATTTAGCAAGAACAAGTCTTTGGATGACAGAGATTATTTTTTTAAACAGTATTTTTCATGATACTGTTTTTCAGCCTGGTATTACAAATAAGTTTACATTTTTGATAAAATATACATAGTGAGCAATACAGTCACACTGATATTCATCTAAAATCATTTTTAGAAAAAAGGAGAAAACATGCTTGGCAGGGTTGAATGAGGAGGGTATTCAGAGTGAATGCAGGTGGGAGATGGGGAAGGAGAAAGAGGGATTGATCAACTAAGTAGATATGTTATGCGGAAGGTGAAATAGGAGCCTTATTTCTCACTGTTAGAGATGAAAGTCATAAATACAGAAAGAAAGAAGCCAAGAATAAATTCTGTTGTATTGGATTACAATTAGAAATATTGGTATGCAGCCTCAGTTTGTAGTGTGTGTTTGTGTGTGTGTGTGTGTGTGCATGCATGTATATGTATGCAGCTGTACCTTACTCTGTCCCCAAAATATCTGGGGTCAGAGAGTTCTCAATAGCAAGGAGCACACTCAGCAAAGCTCTCCATTTCTCAATATTATTCTCCACTGCAAAAAGCCAGAACTCTGTAGAGAAATGTTTGATGGCTGGGTTGTGGCGTAGAAAGTCAAAGATGAGGCTAAGTCATATTACTGTGCTAGGAAATAA
This sequence comes from Homo sapiens, assembly GCF_000001405.40. NCBI lineage: Eukaryota > Metazoa > Chordata > Mammalia > Primates > Hominidae > Homo > Homo sapiens. The sequence continues at coordinate 50,665,649 of NC_000008.11, forward strand.
GGAGGTGTTCAGAGAATGATGGAGATAGATGAAAAGACATAAAAGCAACTTTCAAGAGCATCTATTGGGCAAATTCGGGACAAATTGAGCAATTCTGGGATAAAATAAATGTTAGCAATGGATTATAACTCAGCAAATAAAATAGGAAACCATTAAGTCTATCTTCATAAAAATAAAGAAGTGAAAAATGTGACAAGGGACAAAGAACTTACTTAGTTTCAAAGTACCTCCTCAGAAATAACTTACTGTAATTATAAAAGAATAAAGGAGAACTTTACAGAGCACAAAAGTGACAGCATTGCCTTAACAAATTGATCAAAGTGAACACTTCATTAAAGCAACACATCAAAAATTATGCATGTCTGATAGGGAGACAGACTATAATAATTAGCAAAATAGCAGGTTCATGACATTCCCACTAAAGCTGGGTACAAATGAAATCTAACTAGGAGGAAACATCTATCTAATGTAATGTAAAGGAGAAAACCAATGTAATCTAACCAAATCTAATGTGATTTAACCTATTCTAGTCCTGAGAAAATCTCCAACAAACCCAAGTGAGACACATTTCATATAAAATGAATGTCCTATTTTCTTCAATAGTGTCAAAGTCATTAAAGTTAGGAAAAGATCAAGGCATTTTTCTCACTGAAGGCAAGTAGCATCACAGAACAACCACATGCAGCAGAGGATTCTGAACTGGTGAGTCATGAATGAAGCCCAAGGACTAGACCACATCAGAGTCCTTGCTTTGATGATTGCATTGTGTTTATGTAGGTGAATGCCCTAATGTTCTTGTTTGTAGAAGGTACACACACACTGAAGTATGAGGGTGGGAGGTAATGAAGTATCACATTGGTAGTTAACAAACAGTTCAGAAAATAAGTATTTGTAATTCACTTGCAAATGTTCTTTAAATCTGATTGTATTAAAAATTATTCCATGTCAGGAGTTTCTATATAAATAGAAATGCAAAACAAGCAAACAAGAAAAAGTGAACCTGCCTCATATAGAGACAACACAGTAAATTATTATAGAAATCCCTAAAGGCTACCAGGCTTGTACAACATTCTAAGACAGTGCTAAAACTGTGCTCAAATTAAGAATAGCTAAGAAGAAATACTAACAAAAATAAGTAGAATAAACAAAGGCATAAATAGAAAAAATAACTTTTTAAAATTAAAATAATGGAATAATTACATCTTCAATAAATAATGTGTCAATTTATTTATAACCCTTATATTTTGATATCAAATATATATTTTCCCATACCCCATATTTACTTAAATGTGATTGAAAAGCTAAATCTAATATTATTATTTCTTTTATCGCAACTGCTTGCATTTTAATAGAAAAGAGATGCTCCAAATTAGAGTATGTTTCTTATAATATGGTTTAAAATAAAAGCAAAATAAATCAATATACAAAATATAGAAATATATAATATACACATAAATTAAGGTATAACGGAAGATAATACATGATATAAGAGTATATCGATATCATTATTAGGCAAATGCTAAAGGTTTGGGAGAGACCAAAATATTTCCAGCAGACTGTAATTTATGTGAAGAATCATTTTACGATAGAATTTTATATCAATGGCAGGTATTAGTAGAAACTATTGTAAGAACGCCAAAGTAACCACTTTTTTAAAAAGTTACATTTTAGGGAGGCCATTTGTCTTTATCTGTTTTCTGTTGCTATAACTGAATACCACAGTCTGAGTAGTTAATAAGGAACAGAGGTTTAACTATTAGCTCATGGGTCTGGAGACTGTGAAGTCCAAGAGCATGATGCTAGCATGTCGTGAAGGTCTACCAGTTGTGTCATAACACAGAGGGAAGCATCACAAGGAGAGATAGCAAGCATAGTAACTCAGGTCTTTTTCTTCTCTTTATAAAGCTAATAAACCCATCACGGGGCCCCATCCTGATGACCTTATCTAATTCTAATTGGCTCCCCAAGTCCCTACCTCTTATCAACATATAAATTTGGTTATTAAGTTTGCAACACATACAATTTTGGAGACATATTCAAACCATAGTACCATCTTAGTAAAAAGAGGTGTCTCTGCATTTTCTGACTATAATTATATCCATTTTCATTTTTAAAGTAATTTTTCTTAAAAAGGTTGATTGCTTTACATTTTATTAAGTAATTTAAAATTAATATGGTTATTTTTTTACTGTAACACTTTATAATTAAATTAGTATAAAAGTTTAGTCTCTTCCTAAGCTACAAGCTTCTGAAAATATGTTTTTAGTTTTTCCTCTGATAATAGAACTTTAATTCCCTGGTGATTTTTAAAAAACGTTACAGGCCGTGCACTTAGGTTTTAGTGTTGCTGCTCTGGGTGAGAACTAAGGTTCAGCCATTCCTCGTTCTGTCTATGAACATGCCAGAGAGAACACATCAGAAGGAAGTCACTGCCATCCACAAAGCTAATCCCAGCAACTTCAAATCCAGCTTCCTGTCTTAAAAATATAATAATCGTCATTGATTAAAAACATAATTTTATTTTTTATTTTTGTTATCTAATAACATTTTCTTGGTTTATTAATATTTTATCACATATCCTTTTGTGAAAGTGACTCCCATAAATTCCCCATCTGTTATATAAAGTACTTATTTCCCTTTTACCAAGACATCTTTCAAGTGCCAAGTATTAATTAATTAATTCTCATGTTTCAAAATTTGTTTCATTGACCTATATTTGCTCTTAAAAGTTCAAAGACATCATTGTTTCATACTCTTTTCTTGTTTTGTTTTTTTTTCCAAGGAGAGGTTTCTGATTCTTTTAGCTAGATCTTGTCTAGAGATACCTATGTTCTTCATCTTTCGCACATTATTATTATTATTATTATTATTATTATTATTATTATTATTTTGCTTTAAGTTCTGGGATACATGTGCAAAATGTGCAGGTTTCTTACCTAGGTATACGTGTACCATGGTGATTTCCTGCACCTATCGACCTGTCCTCTAAGGTACCTCCCCTGACCCTTAAACCCTCAACAGGCCCTGATGTGTGTTGTTTCCCACCCTGTGTCCATGTGTTCTCATAGTTCAACTTCCATTTGTGAGTGAGAACATGTCAGTGATAGTTTGCTGAGGATGATGACTTCCAGTTCATCCATGTCCCTGCAAAGGACATGATCTCATTTCTTTTTATGGCTATGTAGTATTCCATGGTGTATATGTACCACATTTTCTTTATTCAGTCTGTCATTGGTGGGCATTTGGGTTGGTTCCACGACTTTGCAATTGTAAATAGTGCTGCAGTAAACATACGTGTGCATGTGTCTTTATAGCTGAATGATTTATAATCCTTTGGGCATATACCCAGTAATAAGATTTAAAAGAATCTCTGGGACACATTCAAAGCAGAGTGTAGAGGAAAATTTATAGCAATAAATGCCCACAAGAGAAAGCAGGAAAGATCCAAAATTGACACCCTAACATCACAATTAAAAGAACTAGAAAAGCGAGAGCAAACACATTCAAAAGCTAGCAGAAGGCAAGAAATAACTAAAATCAGAGCAGAACTGAAGGAAATAGAGATTTAAAAAAAAAACCCTTCAAAGAATTAGTGAATCCAGGAGATGGTTTTTTCAAAGGATCAACAAAATTGATAGACCACTAGCTAGACTAATAAAGAAAAAAGAGAGAAGAATCAAATAGACGCAATAAAAAATGATAAAGGGGATATCACCACTGATCCCACAGAAATACAAACTACCATCAGAGAATACTACAAACAACTCTATGCAAATAAACTAGAAAATCTAGAAGAAATGGATAAATTCCTCGACACATACACCATCCCAAGACTAAACCAGGAAGAAGTTGAATCTCTGAATAGACCAATAACAGGATCTGAAATTGTGGCAATAATCAATAGCTTACCAACGAAAAAGAGTCCAGGACCAGATGGACTCACAGCCGAATTCTACCAGAGATACAAGGAGGAACTGGTACCATTCCTTCTGAAACTATTCCAATCAATAGAAAAAGAGGGAATCCTCCCTAACTCATTTTATGAGGCCAGCATCATCCTGATACAAAAGCCTGGCAGAGACACAACCAAAAAAGAGAATTTTAGACTAATATCCTTGATGAACATTGATGCAAAAATCCTCAATAAAATACTGGCAAACCAAATCCAGCAGCACATCAAAAAGCTTATCCACCATGATCAAGTGGGCTTCATCCCTGGGATGCAAGGCTGGTTCAATATAGGCAAATCAATAAATGTAATCCAGCATAGAAACAGAACCAAAGACAAAAACCACATGATTATCTCAATAGATGCAGAAAAGGCCTTTGACAAAATTCAACAACGTTTCATGCTAAAAACTCTCAATAAATTAGGTATTGATGGGATGTATCTCAAAATAATAAGAGCTGTCTATGACAAACCCACAGCCAATATCATACTGAATGGGCAAAAACTGGAAGCATTCCCTTTGAAAACTGGCACAAGACAGGGATGCCCTCTCTCACCACTCCTATTCAACATAGTGTTGGAAGTTCTGGCCAGGGCGATTAAGCAGGAGAAGGAAATAAAGGGTATTCAATTAGGAAAAGAAGAAGTCAAATTGTCCCTGTTTGCAGATGACATGATTGTATATCTAGAAAACCCCATTGTCTCAGCCCAAAATCTCCTGAAGCTGATAAGCAACTTCAGCAAAGTCTCAGGATACAAAATCAATATACAAAAATCACAAGCATTCTTATACACCAATAATAGACAAACAGAGAGCCAAATCTTGAGGGAACTCCCATTCACAATTGCTTCAAAGAGAATAAAATACCTAGGAATCCAACTTACAAGGGATGTGAAGGACCTCTTCAAGGAGAACTACAAACCACTTCTCAAGGAAATGAAAGAGGATACAAACAAATGGAAGAACATTCCATGCTCATGGGTAGGAAGAATCAATATCATGAAAATGGCCATACTGCCCAAGGTAATTTATAGATTCAATGCCATCCCAATCAAGCTACCAATGACTTTCTTCAAAGAATTGGAAAAAACTACTTTAAAGTTCATATGGAACCAAAAAAGAGCCCGCATCACCAAGTCAATCCTAAGCCAAAAGAACAAAGCTGGAGGCATCACGCTACCTGACTTCAAACTATACTACAAGGCTACAGTAACCAAAACAGCATGGTACTGGTACCAAAACAGAGATATAGATCAATGGAACAGAACAGAGCCCTCAGAAATGACGCCACATATCTAGAACTATCTGATCTTTGACAAACCTGAGAAAAACAAGCAATGGGGAAAGGATTCCCTATTTAATAAATGGTGCTGGGAAAACTGGCTAGCCATATGTAGAAAGCTGAAACTGGATCCCTTCCTTACACCTTATACAAAAATTAATTCCAGATGGATTAAAGACTTAAATGTTAGACCTAAAACCATAAAAACCCTAGAAGAAAACCTAGGCATTACCATTCAGGACATAGACATGGGCAAGGACTTCATGTCTAAAAAACCAAAAGCAATGGCAACAAAAGCCAAAATTGACAAATGGGATCTAATTAAACTAAAGAGCTTCTGCACAGCAAAAGAAACTACCATCTGAGTGAACAGGCAACCTACAAAATGGGAGAAAATTTTTGCAACCTACTCATCTGACAAAGGGCTAATATCCAGAATCTACAATGAACTCAAACAAATTTACAAGAAAAAAACAAACAACCCCATCAAAAAGTGGGCGAAGGACATGAACAGACACTTCTCAAAAGAAGATATTTATGCAGCCAAAAGACACATAAAAAAATGCTCATCATCACTGGCCATCAGAGAAATGCAAATCAAAACCACAGTAAGATACCATCTCACACCAGTTAGAATGGCGATCATTAAAAAGTCAGGAAACAACAGGTGCTGGAGAGGATGTGGAGAAATAGGAACACTTTTACACTGGTGATGGGACTGTAAACTAGTTCAACCATTGTGGAAGTTAGTGTGGTGATTCCTCAGAGATCTAGAACTAGAAATGCCATTTGACCCAGCAATCCCATTCCTAGGTATATACCCAAAGGACTATAAATCATGCTGCTATAAAGACACATGCACACGTATGTTTATTGCGGCACTATTCACAATAGCAAAGACTTGGAACCAAGCCAAATGTGCAACAATCATAGACTGGATTAAGAAAATGTGGCACATATACACCATGGAATATTATGCAGCCATAAAAAATGATGAGTTCATGTCCTTTGTAGGGACATGGATGAAATTGGAAATCATCATTCTCAGTAAACTATCGCAAGGACAAAAAACTAAACACCACATGTTCTCACTCACAGATGGGAATTGAACAATGAGAACACATGGACACAGGAAGGGGAACATCACACTCTGGGGACTGTTGTGGGGTGGGGGGAGGGGGGAGGGATAGCATTAGGAGATATATCTAATGCTAAATGACAAGTTAATGGGTGCAGCACAGCAGCATGGCACATGTATACATATGTAACTAACCTGCACATTGTGCACATGTACCCTAAAACTTAAAGTATAATAATAATAAAAAAAAATGTCTGGATCAAATGGTATTTCTGATGCTAGATCCTTGAGGAATTGCCACATTGTGTTCCAAAATGGTTGAACTAATTTACATTCTCACCAACAGTGTAAAAGTATTCCTATTTCTCCACAGTCTCTCCACCATCTATTGTTTCTTAACTTTTTAATAATCACCATTCTAACTAGCATGAGATGGTATCTCATTGTGGTTAGATTTGCATTTCTGTAATGATCAGTGATCTTGAGTATTTTTTTTCACATGTTTTTGGCCACATAAAAGTCTTCTCTTGAGAAGTGCCTGTTCATATCCTCTGCACACTTTTTGATGGGGTTGTTTGTTTTTTTTCTTGTAAATTTGTTTAAGTTCCTTGTAAATTCTAGATATTAGACCTTTGTCAGATGGGTAGGTTGCAAAAGTTTTCTCCAATTCTGTAGGTGGCCTGTTCACTCTGATGATAGTTTATTTTGCTGTGCAGAAGCTCTTTAGTTTAATTAGATCTCATTTATCAATCTTGGCTTTTGTTGCAATTGCTTTTTGCATTTTTGACATGAATTCTTGGCTTATCCCTATGTCCTGAATGATATTGCCTAGGTTTTCTTCTAGGGTTTTTATGATTTTGGGTTTTACATTTAAGTGTTTAATCTATATTGAGTTAATTTTTGTTTAAGGTGTAAGGAAGTAGTCCAGTTTCACTTTTCTGCAAATGGCTCACCAGTTTTCCCAGCATCATTTATTAAATAGGGAATCCTTTTCCCATGCTTGTTTTTGTCAGGTTTGTCGAAGATCAGACAGTTATAGATGTGTAGTATTATTTCTGAAGTCTCTGTTCTGTTCCATTGCCTGTTTTGATACCAGTACCATGCTGTTTTGGTTACTGTAGCCTTGTAGTATAGTTTGAAGTCAGGCAGCCTGATGCCTCCAACTTCATTCTTTTTCCTTAGGATTGTCTTGGCTATAGAGGGTCTCCTTTGATTTCACATGAAATTTGAAGTAGTTTTTCCTAATTTTGTGAAGAATGTCAATGATAGTTGGATGGGAATAGCATTGAATCTATAAATTAATTTGGGCATTGTGGCCATTTTCATGATATTGATTCTTCTTATCCATGAGGATGGAATATTTTTCCATTTGTTTGTGTCCTCTCTTATTTCCTTGAGCAGTGGTTTGTAGTTCTCCTTGATGAGGTCCTTCACATCCCTGTTAGCTGTATTTCTAGGTATTTTATTCTCTTTGTAGCCATTGTGAATGGGAGTTCATTCATGATTTGGCTCTCTGCTTGTCTATTGTTGGTGTAAAGGAATGCCTGTGATTTTTGCAAATGGATTTTGTATGTTGAGACTTTGCTGAAGTTGCTTATGAGTTTAAGGAATTTTTTGGCTGGGATGATTGGGTTTTCTAAATATAGAAATATGTCATCTGCAAAAAGAGACAATTTGACTGCCTCTCTTCCTATCTGAATACGCTTTATTTCTTTCTCTTGCCTGATTGCCCTGGCCAGAATTTCCAATACTATGTTGAATAGGAGTGGTGAGAGAGGGCATCCTTGTCTCATACCGGTATTCAAAGGGAATGCTTCCAGCTTTTGCCCATTCAATATTATATCTGTTGTGGGTTTGTCACAAATAGCTCTGATTATTTTGAGATATGTTCCATCAATACCTAGTTTATTGAGAGTTTTTAACATGAAGTGATGTTGAATTTTATCAAAGGCCTTCTCTGCATCTATTGAGATTATCACGTGTTTTCTGTCATTGGTTCTGTCAATGTGATGAACACATTTATTGATTTAGGTATGTTGAACCAGCTTTGCATCCCAGGGATGAAGCTGACTTGATCATGGTGGGTAAGTTTTTTGATGTGCTGCTGGATTCGGTTTGCCAGTATTTTATTGAAGATTTCACATCAATATTCATCAGGGATATTAGCCTGAAGTTTTGTTTTTTTATTGTGTCTCTTTCCAGTTTTGGTATTAGGATTACACTGGCTTCATAAAATGAGTTAAGGAGGAGTCCCTCCTTTTGGATTGTTTGGAATAGTTTCAGAAGGAATGGTACCAGCTCCTTTTTGTACCTCTGGTAGAATTCAGCTGTGAATTTCCCTGGTCCTGGGCTTTTTTTGGTTGGTAGGCTATTAATTACTGCCTCAATTTCAGAACTTGTTATTGGTCTATTCAGGGATTAGACTTTTCCTGATTTAGTCTTGGGAGGGTGTATGTGTCCAGGAATTTATTTATTTTTCTAGATTTTCTAGTTTATTTGTGTAGAGGTATTTATAGTATTCTCTGATGGTAGTTTGTATTTCTCTGGGGTCAGTAGTGATATCCCCTTTAACCTTTTTTTGTTGTGTTTATTTGATTCTACTCTCTTTTCTTCTTAGTTTAGCTAGCAGTCTATCTATTTTGTTTTTTCAAAAAACCAGCACCTGGATTTATTGATTTTTGGAGGGATTTTGTGTCTCTATCTCCTTCAATTCTGCTCTGACCTGAGTTATTTCTTGTCTTCTGCTAACTATTGAATTAGTTTGCTCTTGCCTCTCTAGCTCTTTTAATTGTGATGTTAGGGTGTAGATTTGAGATCTTTCTAGCTTTCTGATGTGGGCATTTAGTGCTATAAGTTTCCCTCTAAACACTGGTTTAGCTATGTCCCAGAGATTCTTGTACATTGCACCTTTGTTCTCATTTGTTTTGAAGAACTTCTTGATTTCTGCTTTAATTTCATTATTTAACCAGGAGTCATTAAGTAGCAGTTTGTTCAGTTTCCATGTAATTGTGTGTGTTTGAGTGAGTTTCTTAATCCTGAGTTCTAATTTTATTGCAGTATGGTCTAAGAGACTGTTTGTTATGATTTCAGTTCTTTTGCATTTTCTCATGAGTGTCTTACTTCCACTTATGTGGTTGATTTTATAATAAATGCCAAGTGGCATTCAGAATAATGTATTTTCTGCTGATTTGGGGTGGAGAGTTCTGTAGATGTCTATTAGGTCCACTTGATCTAGAGCTGAGTTCAAGTCCTGAATATCCTTGTTAATTTTCTCTCATTCATCTTTCTAATATTGACAACTGGGTGTTAAAGTCTCCTATTATTATGTGGCAGTCTAAGTTTCTTTGTAGGTCTCTAAGAACTTGATTTATGAATCTGGATGCTCCTCTATTGGGTGCATATATATTTAGGATAGTTAGCTCTTCTTGTTGCATTGATCCCTTTATCATTATGTAATGCTCTTCTTTGTCTTTTTAAATCTTTGTTGGTTTAAAGTCTGTTTTTTCAGAGACTAGGATTGCAACCCCTACTTTTTTTTTTCCATCTCCTTGGTAAATTTTCTTCCATCCCTTTATTCTGAGCCTATGTGTGTCTTTGCACATGAGATGGTTCTCCTGAATACAGCACACTGATGGGTCTTGACTCTTTATCCAATTTGCCAATCTGTGTCTTTTAATTGGGGCATTTTGCCCAGTTACATTTAAGGTTGGTATTATTATATGTGAATTTGATCCTGTCATCATGATGTTATCTGATTATTTTGGCCATTAGTTGATGCAGTTTCTTCATAGTGTCATTGGTCTTTATATTTTGGTGTGTTTTTGCAGTGGCTGGTACCCGTTTTTCCTTTCCATATTTTGTGCTTCTTTTGGGAGCTCTTGTGAGGCAGGCCTGGTGGTAACGAAATCTCTCAGCATTTGCTTGTCTAGAAAGGATTTTATTTCTCCTTTGTTTATGAAGCTTAGTTTGACTGGATATGTAACAATGTTGAATATTGGTTCCCAATCTCTTATGGCTTGTAGAATTTCTGCTGAGAGATCCACTGTTAGTCTGATGGGCTTCCTTTTGTAAGTGACCTGGCCTTTCTCTCTGGCTGCCCTTAGCAGTTTTTCCTTCATTTCAACCTTGGAAAATCTAATGATTATGTGTCTTGGGGTATATCTTCTCATAGAGTATCTTAGTGTTGTTCTCTGCATTTCCTGAATTTGCATGGTGGCCTTTCTTGCTAGATTGGGGAAGTTCTCCTGGATATTATCTTGAAGTGTGTTTTTCAGCTTGTTTCCATTCTCCCTGTCTCCTTCAGGTACTCCAGGTTTGGACTTTTTATGAAGTCCCATATTTCTCAGAGGCTTTGTTCATTCCTTTTCATTCATTTTTCTCTGGTTTTTTCTGTATGGCTTATTTCAGCAAGGTGGTCTCCAAACAATGATATCCTTTCTTCCATTTGGTTGACTTGGCTATTGATGCTTGTGTATGCTTCACAAAGTTCTCGTGCTGTGTTACGCAGCACCATCAGTTCATTTGTGTGTATGTTCTTCTCTAAACTGGTTACTCTAGTTAACAGTTCCTCTAACCTTTTATCAAGGTTTTTAGCTTCTTTGCATTGTGTTAAAACATGCTCCTTTAGCTCAACATACCGTTTCTGATTCTTTTAGTTTTTTCTTATCTAGTGACACCTATTTATTATCTTTCTCACACTATTGTTTTTAAATAATGTCATTTGCACTCCATTTTTTTTGACAGGTGTGAGTAAAGCATAGTTTTCTCAAAATATTTTTAAATAATTTCATATTATTCTGTAATTTATCTTATAATTCTCAAAATGTTTGTTTATTCTTTTGTTTAAAAAGTTATATTCTCACTATTTTTTAAAGATATTTCTAAAACAATGCAAGATTATTATTTAGGTCAAATAAGTATTTATCAGCAATGTGATTTGGTAATAGAAAGATTCAGTCACTTTATCTCATTAAGAATTTAATATGTACACAAAAGCTATCTAATTCTGTTTTCCAATATTTGGAGTGAAAAAAATTCACACATATACAAAATAAACCAACATCTTATATTTATCTCTCTCAAAATATATTTTTGGGGTATTATTTCCTCATTAAAGTGAGTCTAAAAGCAATATATTTATGAATGATTATGGATTTCCATGTTGCAGAAATTTGTTCCCCTTTAAGCTGAGTCAGAAGATAATCCAAATATACTGAAAATAAGCACTGGAAAAGCATAGCTGTTTTAAATCCTAACATTTTAATTTACTGTAGTAATTTTAATAAAAATGTGAGAGTACATCTATATTAGGAAAATCTACCTATCATATGCAAATAAATCTTTATGAATTGTGAATAAATCGAATGCTTAAAAATATTATGTTTAATAATGACATCTTCCATAATAATATCTGGTTAGTAAAATTTTATATGGACACCCATAACATAACATATCCTTAATGTAAGAAAAAAGCTAGAAAATGGGTTTTGTTGCACAAATAATTTGGTGCCAATCTCAAGGATTCATCCCTTAGAATGAGAATTACTTTTAATGCTCTATTTAGCTTAAATTCCTTCAGGTCTATTTCAGGTTTTTCCATAACCTTTCTAGACTTAATTTGTTTAGATTTCTGTTTACAGAAATGTTCTGCCTTGCAAATTTACATAGTATATGATTGTAAAACTGTTTGACCTTCCAAAACCTTATATTACTGTTTTAAAAGTAAAAATATAATTTTAATGTCAGAAGAAGCCCAGATGTCATCTCCTTCTGAAGCCTTCATCCACTAAGAAATATTATGGAAAAGTTTTCCAGTGGCCTTCAAATTGATTTAGAATATATTTTTAATGATACAGTGGCATAGATAGTTTGCAGTGCCAGTTTTCAATACATCATTTCACTACTAATGAAATTAACAATATTTTAACTGTCATGCATTATTTTATTAACAATAATAATATTGTTCTTAATGAGAACACATGAACAAAGGGAGGGGAACAACATACACCAGGGCGTGTGGGGAGAGGAGGGCAAGGGGAGGGAATTTAGTGGACTGATCAATAGGTGCAGCAAACCACCATGTCACATGTATACCTATGTAACAAACCTGCACTTTCTGCACATGTATCCCGGAACTTAAAGTAAAATTTAGAAAAAAAGAAAGAAAAGAAAAGAATAATAATAATAGTGTTCTTGCTATTTGTGCTATTTTTTTTTTAGAATAATATCAAAATCTATTATTAACATTGTTTCTTATGGAAACTCAGCAGCATATATCAAACATTCTCTACCTCCTGTTACTTAACCTTTGCATATTTTAAATAATTGAATTGATATGTTCTATTGCTCAACATTCATTTTTAGTAAAAGTAGAGAAAGTGAAGATTACAGATATGCTCAGCAGTAACTGCTGAAATCCATAAGCACCCAACTTTTCTGGACCAAGTTGCTCTGTGTTCTTACTATATCCAGACAAGTCCTATTTCTGGAAAATGTGGTTGGACAGGGCTGTAATGTTTACAAGTGTGTCAACATATTTATATTGTTTGAAATGGATTTGGAGCAAGTCAAGTTTTTGAATATTTAAGGAACATATCTACTTGATTTACTAACCGTAAGTTATACAATTTCATTTTTATTTGTTTTTGCCCTTCCAGCTTGGGGACTTTAAAATTTTGTCCATACATGATTGAAGGAATGTTCAGCCAAACTTTATCTGAAATATTTCCTATTAACTCATATTTATGTAAATAATAAAATTAGAAGCATGCAAAATTTACCTTTGGGATTATATCCCATAACTGGCTCTTGTCAAAATTGACGTTGTTCATAATTTTTTGTAAAACTATTGAGAAAATTTTTTATAGTGTTCCAATTCATTGTGATGAAGAGTAGTTGAGAGAGAAATAATGCACTCCTGTGGTATGTTTTCTTTTCCAAGGATATATCTAAAGATATAGATAAATAAACACATACATACACAACTATATGTGTATATGTGTGTTTTATCATTGTGTCTTGGAGGTATTGGTTAAAATGGTTTTTAAATAATAGCTACATTTTTGATAGTTTTTAAATCAAAACATGGAATAATATTCAATTTTGCTGTAGTATTATTACAATATAATCTATTAACTGTTTGCACTGGATAACAGCCTGTGGGCTTCATAGAAACTAAGACAAGTTTTCTGACTTTATTCATGGCTACCATTTATTTCTGGAAATAATCTTATTTTTGTTTCTGTAAATGCATTTATACTTCAGTTATTCATTATGTACTAAGTATTACTTAGTTGTTGTATGTCTAATTAACATGGATTACTGAATTAGTTGGTCAAGAGAAAGAGTAGTGATGTGTTAATAGAATGAACTAGCCTGATGTTACCTGAACTTGAATTCTGGCCCAATTAATATCAACAATATCTCAATGGTATATTATCTTAAGTATCTTCAGAATCCTTACCTTTAAATCAGGAATTATAATTATAGCCACATTATGGGGTTACTATTATCAATAAGTCTGTTTAAACTAGTCACTTTGTAAGCATTCAATACATGTTAGTGATTTCTGACTCTAAATTGCTTGTGGAATAAATGCTACCCTTGAAGTGATATCAGTCATGCTAACAATGGCAATTCCCTTATTTTTTATCCAGTGTCATTCTCACTTTTTCTGAATAATATAACTTTCTGGCAATTCTGAAGACTTAGATTTATTTTACCTTAGTCCAAATAGGCATTAGAATAAGTTGTCCTCCCAGGCTTGGAATCAGGGAACTGTCTTCTGAGCAAGTGCTTGCTTGACACTAAGAGGATGGATTTATTTCTCTGGTGGTGAGATGACATTTGATCATATTTGTAACTTTTGAAGATTGCTTTTCTCTGGGCATGGTATGAACTCAATTACAACTACATACAGTATGTAAAGGAAATTGAGAGAGGGTCAAGATCAGAAATAAGGCTACTACTCAGTGGTAGGTAATATGCAGAAACCTGTATTTGGGCAAGGGGACCTTACCTGGCCTCCCTTGGGCCTTCTGTTGCATGGAATCAAGAGCAGAAATGGACATATAGCCTTGGCCTGTTAACCCTTAGAGTTCTCCTCTTTCTCCACTGCCCTCAGTCACCAGAAGTCTTCTGAGGATACTAATTGACTCCATCATGTACAATTCCTAAAACTTGCTGAATCATCTGCTTATGTTGTATGTCAGTGGGAGAAAGAGGCCAGTCATGCAGTGCAGATAGCTTCTTCAAAAAGGATAGTGTATGTGACAGGCAATTTTATTGTAAAAACTTGCTTAATAAAACAATTCAAACAGAATGAATAAGATAGTATTATATAGTATTATCCTTTGTCCACATTCTCACACTGAATTTGCAAATCCTGTCAGGACTGTTTGTTCAGTACACTCTTTATGGGCTTCAGCCTCTTGACTTAGGGGCATATAGCTGATGAAGCTGTAGTTGGTCGATACCAATTATGTGAATGGGATCAAAACACCAAGAATGCAATTTTCAATTTTTCTCATTGGACTTTAAGTGTTGTTCTTAGTAGGCATCATTTTCAGATTCTTTTTCTGCTTGGAGAGGTTTTAAGCTTGCACACATTGAAATGTATGAGAGCAAAGTGCTACAAACTAGAGCACAGTTACAAAATGGTAGTGGCTCTGTCTACCATTTCTACCAACACCCTTCGGAGGCAGTCTATCTCTATTGTTTTCCATTGTTTACCAGCCCCTAATCTGACCAATGGTCCTCAAGCGCAACATCCTAGGGCTCTGGTGACGTGGAAGCATTGGGCTGCGGCCCTGGAATGAGAATAAAGGTGAGACCAGATCCAGGTATGTGCTCGCAGCTCCAACCAGCTTAAAGACTTGCAGACAGTAAATGACCCGCAGGTAAGCAGCCTTCCCATCTGCATTGGGAATCCATCCCAATGACTCTGAGAACAGGTGTTTATTCGCTACAGTAATGTGAAAACACAATGTAAATAAAACTAAACAAATACTTAAATTTCGTTTGGTTTATCTTCTCCCTTATACTTTTGTTTTAGGAGAAATGCTTTCAAGTAAAAAAAAGTCATACTCATCTCAACAAAAGATTAAATGCCATAGAAAATATTTACTAATTGATCTGATAATTTTTGAACTAATATAATAAATTATAGACATTAAAATTTTATCAAATTTGAGTGCAGAAATAATAACCTATTTTGGCCAGAATACCAATTTGCTTTGTATTTACATAAGATTGGAATTATGCAGGTTACATGCTTATGTTTTTTTGATGTTGAAATATTAACTAATACATTGAACATTATAGAGGATATAGTTTTTTTTTAAATGTCATTTATGGAAGAGAATTACATACAAAAGGAGAGAGGGATGTGTTTTATTACATATATAAATAATGGCTCTGAGATACACCATGCTCAATCATTTTCATAATCCATTTTTCCAGTAATGTTAAGTAAATAAAAACATATTTCATTAGGGTATATGTACACATCGCATAATTTTATATAGTTTAAAACTATTCATTGTTATTTGTAGTTCTTATACATAATACATAACCTGTTTACTATTTAACTGAAATGTGTAAAACTGACAACAATGCTATTTTTGGATTGTGAGAAGAAATTTATTTTTGAAGTATTTTTTGAGTGTTGTACTATTTTGTAAAACAACGAGAGAGGAGGACCGAAAGCCTCAGAATGAGCCAGCAATGCTAAGAATTCTTTGTCAAAACTCACTTTTTAGGAATTCCCAACCTATTTCCAACTGCCTTGCATTAAATGCCATTTATATGCCAATGATTCTAAATTTATTCAGAGCTCTCCCTTGCATTTCAAACAAATACTTTTAGTGCCTTCTGGATGATTCCATGTGGATGCCTAATGAATACCTCAAATACAACCAACACAACATGTCCTCTGACTCTGCAGACACACACCTCAGTCAAGAGATGTTCTGACTTTTCAGTTGCTCTTGCCCAAGACCTTGGAGTCACTCCTGAAATGTTTTATCATGACCCATATCTGACACATCAGCAAAACATATCTGGAACCACTGTTGTGACACTGGTGTTAGAAACAAATGCTTGTTCCTTGGTACCAAAAAGAAGAAATAGCACTTGAACATAAATTTAATTTTCTCGGCAAGACAATCTTTACTTCTATAGAAGGGTGTGACTTGCAGATGGAGTAAAGGTGAGGGCACACATGGACAGGGAGGGTAAGGGGTTCTTATTCCTGATGTAGGTAGTCCCTACTGCTGTGTCATTCCCCTATTGGCTAGGGTTGGACCCCACAGTGTAAGCTAATTCTTATTGGCTATTTTAAAGAGAGCAGGGATACAAGCTGGAGTGGCGGGGTGGGTAGTTTGGTGGGAAGGGCAGTTACAGAACAGGTGACTCAGGATGATTCAGGTCAGAGCAGGTGACCAGAGGTGACTCAGGTCAAAGCAGGTGACCAGGGGAACAGATGTGAACTACTGATTAGAGCTGGTGGGAAAGTTGTGAAACTAGAAGCAAGGGGTCAAAGAGGACAAGGAAGTTAAACTTTAAAATAGAGAATCAAAGAATAAGAGAGCTGAACATACTGACACACTGATTCCTTGAAGAGAAACTTGGAGTTCACTATATCTAACACTGGTTATCCTCAGCCCTCAACTGTGTCAGTCTCACATTTCCCACCTGGTTCCCACTTTGACCTTTGCCTCCTATCAGTTTCCAGTTTGACTCCAAGTAAAATACAAAGTTCTCAGGGCCCTCTGTAAGATCTGTCCCCCAACACCCTCAGGCATGCCCTATCTGCTCTAGTCTTTTGCTACCCACCCAATAACTCAGACCAATTCCACTGTTCTGTTTAGGCATACACAAGCCTGAGGTCCTTTGAATTTGTTGCCTTCCTCTCCAAATAGCTTAAATAGTTTACTCTTTTACTTCACGCCTATTTTCAAATGTCACCTCCTGAAGATCATTTTTCCTATTATGCTTTATAAATGGCAATGCCCCAAAGGATAGTACTCCCTACTGCATTTAACCAGTTTTATCATTGCCTGACATATTATGATTAAGCATTTTCTTATTTGCTTTATGGTTTGTCTTGGTCCCACTCAAACCAAAGCTCCACGAGGGAGAGATGTCATCTGTTTTGCTTAGTGCTATGTCCCCACACTGGAACAGCGCCTGGCACACAGCAGGCTTGCAATCCATTTTTTGGTTGAATGCCTACTATGGATATTTCTGTAGCCCCCAAATAAAACACTTTCTGAAATAGTAGTGAGTAGTGAGAACTTTGCTTGAAAATATTTCCCCGTTGAAAGTTATTTGTATTTGCTTAAAAGAAAGAAATAACTATAGGCATGTATGGGGTGGGGGTAAGGGGAAGACAGTATCTAATGGGACTGGGATGGAATGAACATTCTTTAGTCCTGAGTCATTCTTTAGAAGAGGACTCAGAAGCCAGGCCAAAGATGATATCATCCATATTAATGAGCACTAATTGAACAGTTTGGCCAAAAACTTCCCCTTTATCTGACAAAATGTGCAGGACTAATTGAACACATTTTATGAGAGGTTTTGCTGCCAGATACC
The DNA here is from genome assembly GCF_000001405.40 of Homo sapiens. Lineage (NCBI taxonomy): Eukaryota > Metazoa > Chordata > Mammalia > Primates > Hominidae > Homo > Homo sapiens. The sequence continues at coordinate 50,683,554 of NC_000008.11, forward strand.
ATTTCCCACAAAGATCTGCAATTTTTACATCTCCCTAGGCAAGATACTAATACAGTATACTAGGGTATATAAATAGGAGAGCAATTTCAAGTGACACAAGTATTCCCTTTATATCCCATGGTGGCCAGATCCATATGAGTCCATTCTGCTACTTTATGGCTTTTACTACTTGAGGGATTTAGGAAAAGTGGAATAAGTTGCAGTGGAGGGACACTAAGATAATTAAATAGCTAAAACGTAGCACCTGTGAGGAAGGTCCAGTCATTTGCTTCATTTGATTTTATAAAGAGAAAGCTGAAAGGTGATTTCATAATTGTCCTCAAGGATATAAAAGGTTACTTTTCAAAAAGTGGTGACCACCTGTTTTTAATCACAATTGAAGAAAGATTAGGAAAAAAATTGGTATAAGCTGCTATGTGAGGATAAAGTTTTCAAAAAGGAAGACTGGAACATTGAAGAACAGATTCTACATACAAATTATTAAAGATTAAGAACTGTAATTTCATTCTTAGTAGACATTTAAGTGTGGGTTTGTTTGAATTATTTTTTGGAGGCAGGGCCAAATGACCAACCATAATTCCTACTGTTTGTGACCCTCTGATATCCCCACTTACATAAACAAGTAGTATTTCCCCCTCACTGGATAGCTATTTCTCTGGAAAACCACATGCTCTCTGCCTGTGTGTTTTCTAAACATGAATTTGAGAACGTTTTTTATTATGATACAATTAGTCTCAGAGATAGAATATTAGAGTTCAAATCTGGAAGATGAATCTTAGAACTATTAATCCTGGTTTGGATTAATCTCACTAAGCAATTTTGAAAGTAATCTATTCAACAATATTACAAGAAATTAATTTTGTTTTGTGTGTCTCTTGTTTGTTTGCTTTTCTGGTTCTAGGAATGCTAATTTATGGTAGTAAAGCTTCTTTCTGTTTCAATAATAATGTCTTAGGGAAAATTCTGTCTGATGTCAATCAAAAAAATAATGAAAACTGATTTAAGTATATTAAATTAAAAATTCAAGAATGCAAATAAAATACAATGATAAAAAGGGTTTTAATGATAATTACATTCTACATATGATCTATCCATATTTTAAGAAATTATCATATAAAAAAGTATTTTCCCTTTGAAGTTGCACAACATTTTTCTTTTTTTTTGTTTTTGTTTTTGTTTTTTTTTTCTTTTTTTTTATTATACTTTATCTTTTAGGGTACATGTGCTCATTGTACAGGTTAGTTACATATGTATATATGTGCCATGCTGGTGCGCTGCACCCACTAACTCGTCATCTACCATTAGGCGTATCTCCCAATGCTATCCCTCCCCCCTCCCCCCACCCCACCACAGTCCCCAGAGTGTGATATTCCCCTTCCTGTGTCCATGTGATCTCATTGTTCAATTTTCCATATGTGCTACTTACCTTTACTCAAATTCACCTTTTTCTTACTTAAAAAAAAAATAGAGCTTCACTTCTCCAAGCCCAGTGGAAAGCTAAATCTAAGACTTATTAAGTTAGTGAAGGAAATTAAGCCATGACGTGTAGATAGATTTAACAAATAAATCAGTAAGGATGCTATAAACAAAGGGGCATGTTAGAAGAACAAGAGCATGGTTGTGGTCAATGTATTCTCTGCTTATGACAAACATAGGAAAATAACCTTGCTTTTCCTCCAAGAGATTGGTTAATGTATTTGTTTCTGAATGAGGTAAATGCTAGTGACATGAGAGACGCTGCTAGAAAGAACTATGCCATTTAAACTACCAGTCCTCCAGGGTAATAATGGTGTCCAGGAGTTTATCCATTATCTACCTTATATAAGCCCCTTTGCCTCCATAGATTTCCAAGCCTAAAATTGCTAATCTTTGAATATGTTTTCTAACTCTGATAATACAAAAAACTGTGGATGGTGGTTATATTTTTTAAAAAACATATTTTACCTGTAAATTTCAGAATCTCTGAGTTTTCAATATTTGAACTTGTTTGTCATTTGGTCTTTTCAAACCTTAATTTTTTCAAAGGCAGAGTGGAAAATGAAATAATTTCCATAAAAACATTTCATAATATAAATCATATTCTTCAAATAGAAAATATTATTATTAACAGGAACAATAAATACATATCTATAGAGATCAGTATTTGTATTTATACAGCTATTTTAAGCTGTCACTGAATTCAGACACTTTTGTGGGCACACACACACACATACAGCACATGATCTCTAGAGAATGGAGGAAGAGTCAGATTTATCTATGTAGTACACAATTCTGGTGAGCATGTTTTCATTTCAGTGTTAATACTGTTAGCTAATTGTGTTAAAGATGAAGTCTTCTTTTCTCTGCCTTATATATATTGTATTCTACCATGCAATATCACACTGTGTTATAGAGACATGTGTGTGTGTGTGTTCTTGGGTGCACGGGTACCAAACATGTACGGGATTCAGTGTTAGTTAGATATGCTCTAGTTTTGTAGTAGTAGTCTATTTCAATTATGGTAAATGTTACAATTATTAGTCACATTATGAGATATTAGAAATATTATGGACTACTTAATATGTTCAAGTCACTTTTTCTAAGTGATATACATCAATCAATTCTTTTAATATTCACAGGAACTTAAGGCAGGTACTATCAGGCAGTATCATCTCCTGTTGAAAATGCCTACACTAATTCTTAACGAGATAAAAGGAGTGGTCAAAATTGCCTTCAAACTTAAGCTGAATGTCTCCAAAACTAATGTTTATAATTTTTAGGCCAAGTATTAATAGCTTCTAAAGCGGGAAACTTATCAATGTGTTTGAGACCTATTTCCCTCATTAGATAAATTAAATTATAGCCAACTTTGGTGGATTACTATAAAGATTAAACTAGAGACAGTATTTGAAGAATATGTCAATTTATATTAGGGATTCTTTCCTAAGAAGAAGGAGGAAATTTAAACTTGTATTCTCCTTTCTTTTTCTCAGGTAAAGCAACTAAAACTCAGAAATAAAGAATTAATTTGTATATATGAATATTTATTTGGTTTTAAAAATAATTTTTAAAATATCCCAAATGTAATGTTTTATTTACAATTATTTAAAAATTTATTTAAAATTAATAATTGTAAAAATAAGTTACTTTTTTTCAGTGGTTGAAAATGTTTTCAGGTATAAAGTAGTTTTATGCAATCAAAGTTGTCAGCTTGAAACAGACAATTATAAGTAATAGAAATAGACTATGAAATAGACTATTGTAAGCTTTCTGGTAACCAAATAGCAAAAATTGCATGACCTGCACAAAATAAACATGAAGGGCCGGGCGCGGTGGCTCACGCCTGTAATCCCAGCACTTTGGGAGGCCGAGGCGGGTGGATCATGAGGTCAGGAGATCGAGACCATCCTGGCTAACAAGGTGAAACCCCGTCTCTACTAAAAATACAAAAAATTAGCCGGGCGCAGTGGCGGGCGCCTGTAGTCCCAGCTGCTCGGGAGGCTGAGGCAGGAGAATGGCGTGAACCCGGGAAGCGGAGCTTGCAGTGAGCCGAGATTGCGCCACTGCAGTCCGCAGTCCGGCCTGGGCGACAGAGCGAGACTCCGTCTCAAAAAAAAAAAATAAAATAAACATGAAAACAATTCAAAACATATGACTATAGAAAACCATGAAACCACAAAGAAAGACAGCGAGAGATGAAAAATGAAAAAAAAATGAAATAAACAAACAAAAAATCGCAGAAAACAACTAAGTAGCAGTAGTAAATCCTTAACTATCAATACTAATCTTGAGTAGAAATGAATTAAATTCTCCAATAAATGAATGAATGGATAAAAACAAAACCTGACTATATGCTGATTAAAATACATGTACCTCCCTTTTAAGGACACACATGGAAGAAATCGAAAAAGACATTTCATGCAAATAGAAATTAAACAGAATCAGAGGTAGCAATACTTGTATTAAACAAAGCAGATGCTGAATCAAAAACTATAAAAGGAGACAAGGAGCAACATTATGTAGTGATAAAGGGATACGTTCTTTTTTTATTATTATAATTTAAGTTTTAGGGTACATGTGCACAACGTGCACGTTTGTTACATATGTATACATGTGCCATGTTGGTGTGCTGCACCCGTTAACTCGTCATTAAGCATTAGGTATATCTTGTAATGCTATCCCTCCCCCCTCGCCCCACCCCACAACAGTCCATGGTGTGTGATGTTCCTCTTCCTGTGTCCATGTGTTCTCATTGTTCAATTCCCACCCGGGAGTGAGAACATACAGTGTTTGGTTTTTTGTCCTTGCGATATTTTGCTGATATTTTACAGTCCCACCAATGGTGTAAAAGTGTTCCTATTTCTCCACATCCTCTCCAGCACCTGTTGTTTCCTGACTTTTTAATGATCGCCATTCTCACTGGTGTTAGATGGTATCTCATTGTGGTTTTAATTTGCATTTCTCTGATGGCCAATGATGATGAGCATTTTTTCATGCGTTTTTTGGCTGCATAAATGTCTTCTTTTGGGAAGTGTCTGTCCATATCCTTCACCCACTTTTTGATGGGGTTGTTTGTTTTTTTCTTGTAAATTTGTTTGAGTTCATTGAAGATTCTGTATATTAGCCCTTTGTCAGATGAGTAGATTGCAAAAATTTTCTCCCATTCTCTAGGTTGCCTGTTCACTCTGATGGTAGTTTCTTTTGCTGTGCAGAAGCTCTTTAGTTTAATTAGATCCCATTTGTCAATTTTGGCTTTTGTTGCCATTGCTTTTGGTATTTTAGACATGAAGTCCTCGCCCATGCCTATGTCCTGAATGGTATTGCCTAGGTTTTCTTCTAGGGTTTTTATGGTTTTAGGTCTAACATTTAAGTCTTTAATCCATCTTGAATTAATTCTTGTATAAGGTGTAAGGAAGGGATCCAGATTCAGCTTTCCACATATGGCTAGCCAGTTTTCCCAGCACCATTTATTAAATAGGGAATCCTTTCCCCATTGCTTGTTTTTGTCAGGTTTGTCAAAGATCAGATAATTGTAGATATGCGGCATTATTTCTGAGGGCTCTGTTCTGTTCCATTGGTCTCTATCTCTGTTTTGGTACCAGTACCATGCTGTTTTGGTTACTGTAGCCTTGTAGTATAGTATGAAGTCAGGTAGCGTGATGCCTCCAGCTTTGTTCTTTTGGCTTAGGATTGACTTGGCAATGCGGGCTATTTTTTGGTTCCATATGAACTTTAAAGTAGTTTTTTCCAATTCTGTGAAGAAAGTCATTGGTAGCTTGATGGGGATGGCATTGAATCTATAAATTACCTTGGACAGTATGGCCATTTTCACGATATTGATTCTTCCTACCCATGAGCATGGAATGTTCTCCCATTTGTTTGTATCCTCTTGTATTTCATTGAGCAGTGGTTTGTAGTTCTCCTTGACTAGGTCCTTCACATCCCTTGTAAATTGGATTCCTAGGTATTTTATTCTCTTTGAAGCAATTGTGAATGGGAATTCACTTATGATTTGGCTCTCTGTTTGTCTGTTATTGGTGTATAAGAATGTTTGTGAACATTGATTTTGTATCCTGAGACTTTGCTGAAGTTGCTTATCAGCTTAAGGAGATTTTGGGCTGAGACAATGGGGTTTTCTAGATATACAATCCTGTAGTCTGCAAACAGGGACAACTTGACTTCCTCTTTTCCTAATTGAATAGCCTTTATTTTCTTCTCCTGCCTGATTGCCCTGGCCAGAACTTCCAACACTATGTTGAATAGGAGTGGTGAGAGAGTGCATCCCTCTCTTGTCCCCATTTTCAAAGGGAATGCTTGAAGTTTTTGCCCATTCAGTATATTGGCTGTGGGTTTGTCATAGATAGCTCTTATTTTTTTGAGATACATCCCATCAATACCTAGTTTATTGAGAGTTTTTAGCATGAAGCGTTGTTGAATTTTGTCAAAGGCCTTTTCTGCATCTATTGAGATAATCATGTGGTTTTTGTCTTTGGTTCTGTTTATATGCTGGATTAAATTTATTGATTTGCATATGTTGAACCAGCCTTGCATCCCGGGGATGAAGCCCACTTGATCATGGTAGATAAGCTGTTTGATGTGCTGCTGGATTCGTTTTGCCAGTATTTTACTGAGGATTTTTGCATTGATGTTCATCAAGGATATTGGTCTAAAATTCTCTTTTTTCGTTGTGTCTCTGCCAGGCTTTGGTATCAGGATGATGCTGGCCTCATAAAATGAGTTAGGGAGGATTCCCTCTTTTTCTATTGATTCGGATAGTTTCAGAAGGAATGGTACCAGCTCCTCTTTGTACCTCTGGTAGAATACGGCTGTGAATCCATTTGGTCCTGGACATTTTTTGGTTGGTAAGCTATTGATTATTGCGTCAATTTCAGAGCCTGTTATTGGTCTATTCAGAGATTCAACTTCTTCCTGGTTTAGTCTTGGGAGGATGTATGTGTCGAGGAATTTATCCATTTCTTCTAGATTTTCTGATTTATTTGCATAGAGATGTTTGTAGTATTCTCTGATGGTAGTTTGTATTTCTGTGGGATCGGTGGTGATATCCCCTTTATCATTTTTTATTGCGTCTATTTGATTCTTCTCTTTTTTCTTCTTTATTAGTCTTGCTAGCAGTCTATCAATTTTGTTGATCTTTTCAAAAAACCGGCTCCTGGATTCATTAATTTTTGAAGGTTTTTTTGTGTCTCTATTTCCTTCAGTTCTGCTCTGATCTTAGTTATTTATTGCCTTCTGCTAGCTTTTGAATGTGTTTGCTCTTGCTTCTCTAGTTCTTTTAATTGTGATGTTAGGGTGTCAATTTTGGATCTTTCCTGCTTTCTCTTGTGGGCATTTAGTGCTATAAAATTCCCTCTACACACTGGTTTGAATGTGTCCCAGAGTTTCTGGTATGTTGTGTCTTTGTTCTCGTTGCTTTCAAAGAACATCTTTATTTCTCCCTTCCTTTCATTATTTACCCAGTAGTCATTCAGGAGCAGGTTGTTCATTTTCCATGTAGTTGTGTGGTTTTGAGTGAGTTTCTTAATCCTGAGTTCTAGTTTGATTGCACTGTGGTCTGAGAGACAGTTTGTTATCATTTCTGGTCTTTTGCATTTGCTAAGGAGTGTTTTACTTCCAACTATGTGGTCAATTTTGGAGTAGGTGTGGTGTGGTGCTGAAAAGAATGTATATTCTGTTGATTTGGTGTGGCAAGTTCTGCAGATGTCTATTAGGTCTGCTTGGTGCAGATCTGAGTTCAATTCCTGGGTATCCTTGTTAACTTTCTGTCTCGTTGATCTGCCTAATGTTGACAGTGGGGTGTTAAAGTCTCCCGTTATTATTGTGTGGGAGTCTAAGTCTCTTTGTAGGTCACTCAGGACTTGCTTTATGAATCTGGGTGCTCCTGTATTGGGTGCATATATATTTAGGATAGTTAGCTCTTCTTGTTGAATTGAACCTTTTACCATTATGTAACGGCCTTCTTTGTCTCTTTTGATCTTTGTTGGTTTAAAGTTTGTTTTATCAGAGACTAGGATTGCAACCCCTGCCTTTTTTTGTTTTCCATTTGCTTGGTAGATCTCCCTCCATCCCTTTATTTTGAGCCTATGTGTGTCTCTGCACGTGAGATGGGTTTCCTGAATACAGCACATTGGTGGGTCTTGACTCTTTATCCAATTTGCCAGTCTGTGTCTTTCAATTGGAGCATTTAGCCCATTTACATTTAAGGTTAATATTGTTATGTGTGTATTTGATCCTGTCATTATGATGTTAGCTGGTTATTTTGCTCGTTAGTTGATGCAGTTTCTTCCTAGCCTTGATGGTCTTTACAATTTGGCATATTTTTGCAGTGGCTGGTACCGGTTGTTCCTTTCCTTGTTTAGTGCTTCCTTCAAGAGCTCTTTTAGTGCAGGCCTGGTGGTGACAAAGTCTCTCAGCATTTGTTTGTCTGTAAAGTATTTTATTTATCCTTCAGTTATGAAGCTTAGTTTGGCTGGATATGAAATTCTGGGTTGAAAATTCTTTTCTTTAAGAATGTTGAATATTGGTCCCCACTCTCTTCTGGCTTGTAGAGTTTCTGCCGAGAGATCAGCTGTTAGTCTGATGGGCTTCCCTTTGTGGGTAACCCAACCTTTCTCTCTGGCTGCCCTTAACATTTTTTCCTTCATTTCAACTTTGGTGAATCTGAAAATTGTGTGTCTTGGAGTTGCTCTTCTTAAGGAGTATCTTTGTTACATTCTCTGTATTTCCTGAATTTGAATGTTGGCCTGCCTTGCTAGATTGGGGAAGTTCTCCTGGATAATATCCTGGAGAGTGTTTTCCAACTTGGTTCCATTCTCCCTGTCACTTTCAGGAACACCAATCAGATGTAGATTTGGTCTTTTCACATAGTCCCATGTTTCTTGGAGGCTTTGTTCATTTCTTTTTATTCTTTTTTCTCTAAACTTCTCTTCTCACTTCATTTCATTCATTTCATCTTCCATCACTGATACCCTTTCTTCCAGTTGATCTCATCAGCTACTGAGGCTTCTGCATTTGTCACGTAGCTCTCATGCCTTGGTTTTCAGCTCCATCAGGTTCTTTAAGGACTTCTCTGCATTGGTTCTTCTAGTTATCCATTTGTCTAATTTTTTTTCAAAGCTTTTAACTTCTTTGCCTTTGTTTTGAATTTCCTCCTGTAGCTCGGAGTAGTTTGATCATTTGAAGCCTTCTTCTCTCAACTCGTCAAAGTCATTCTCCATCCAACTTTGTTCCACTGCTGGTGAGGAGCTGCATTCCTTTGGAGGAGGAGAGGCGCTCTGATTTTTAGGGTTTCCAGTTTTTCTGCTCTATTTTTTTTCCCATCTTTGTGGTTTTATCTACCTTTGGTCTTTGATGATGGTGACATACAGATGGGTTTTTGGTGTGGATGTCCTTTCTATTTGTTAGTTTTCCTTCCAGCAGACAGGACCCTTAGCTGCAGGTCTGTTGGAGTTTGCTGGAGGTCCACTCCAGACCCTGTTTGCCTGGGTTTCAGCAGCGGTGGCTGCAGAACAGCGGACATTAGTGAACCGCAAATGCTGCTGCCTGATCGTTCCTCTGGAAGTTTTGTCTCAGAGGAGTACCTGGCCATGTGAGGTATCGGTCCAACCCTACTGGGGGGTGCCTCCCAGTTAGGCTACTTGGGGGTCAGGGACCCACTTGAGGAGGCAGTCTGCCCGTTCTCAGATCTCAAGCTGCATTCTGGGAGAACAACTACTCTCTTCAAAGCTGTCAGAGAGGGACATTTAAGTCTGCAGAGGTTACTGCTGTCTTTTTGTTTGTTTGTGCCCTGCCCCCAGAGGCGGAGCCTACAGAGGCAGGCAGGCCTCCTTGAGCTGTGGTAGGCTCCACCCAGTTCCAGCTTCCTGGCCACTTCATTTACCTAATCAAACTAACCCGGCAATGGTGGTGCCCCTCCCCAAGCCTTGCTGCCACCTTGCAGATTGATCTCGGACTGCTGTGTTAGCAATGAGCAAGACTCCGTGGGCATAGGACCCTCTGAGCCAGGTGCAGGATATAATCTCCTGATGTGCCCTTTTTTTAAGCCCATTGGAAAAGCGCAGTATTAGGGTGGGAGTGACCCAATTTTCCAGGTGCCGTCTGTCACCCCTTTCTTTGACTAGGAAAGGGAATTCCCTGACCCCTTGCACTTCCCGGGTGAGGTGATGCCTCGCCCTGCTTCGGCTTGTGCACAGTGCAGGGCACCCACTGTCCTGCACCTACTATCTGGCACTCCCCAGTGAGATGAACCTGGTACCTCAGTTGGAAATGCAGAAATCACCCGTCTTCTGCATCACTCACTCTGGGAGCTGTAGACCGGAGCTGTTCCTATTCGGCAATCTTGGCTCCTCCCCCGGGATAAGTTCTTTAAGAGTGTGTAACAATTGTAAATATATAAATGCACCCAACAGTAGGACACCTAAATATATAAAGCCAATATTAAAGGACCTGAAAAGAGAAATGAATTGCAATATAACAATTATAGAGGCTTCAATATTGGACAGATCACCCAGACAGAAAATTAATAAGGAAATACTGGATTTGAACAATGCGTTAGACCAAATGAACCTCATAACATTTGTAGAACCTTCCACTTAACAGCAACAGAATACACATTCTGCTCAAGCACATATGGGACATTCTCTAGGATAAATCATTTAAGCCACAAGACAAGTCTCAGCAAATTTATGAAGATTAAAATCACATCAAGTACTTTTTCAACCTCAATAATATGAAACTAGAAATCAATAACAGTAAGGATTTTATAAATTCACAAATATATGAATATTAAACAACATGCTCCTGAACAACCAATGGGTCAATGATAAAATTGAAAGATACATTTAAAAATTTCTTAAGACAAATGAAAATGAAAACATAACATACCAAAACCTATGGGATACAGAAAAGCAAATCTTATAGGGAAGTTTATATCAACAACCACCTACATTAGAAAAGGAGAAAGATTTCATATAAGCAACCTAATGTTACACCTCAAGAAATTAGAAAAGCAAGAGGAAACAGTCCAAAATTATTAGAAGGAAGAAAATAATAAAGAACATAAATAAACAAATTAGAGACTAGAAAAGAAAGACCAAGGAAATGAAGTTTTTTTTTTTGAAAAAATGTATCATATTCACAACCTTTAGCTAAACTAAGAAAAAAGATAAGAGACTCAAATAAATAAAACCAGGGATTAAAAATGAAATATTACATCTGATACCACAGAAATACAAAGGATCATAAACAAATTTATGAAAAAGTATATGCCAAAAAATTGGATAACCTAGAAGAAATGAATACATTCTGGGACACATACAACCTACTAAGAGTAAATGCTGAAAAAATAAAAATGTGAAGAGAACAATAATGAGTGAGGAGACTGAATTAGTAATAAGAAGTCTCCCATCAGAGAAAATCCCAAGGCCTGATGGCCTCACTGTTGAATTCTATCAAACATTTTAAAAAGAACTGATGCCAATTTTCTACCAATTACTCCAAATAATTCATGAGGGAACACTTCCAAACTCTTTTTATGAGGATAACATTACCCTGATACCAAAGGCAAAGACATCATAAGAAAAGAAAATTATAGGCCAACACACTTTATAAACATAACTGTGAAAATCCTCAACATAATACTAGCCAACCAAATTCAACAACACATTAAAATAATCATTTACCATGATCAAGTGGGATTTATCCCTGGAATGCAAAGATGGTTCAACATTTGCAAATTAATAAATGGGATACGCCACATTAATGAAATGAAGGACAAATATCATATAATTATTTTATAAAACACAAAGCATTTGACAAAATTCAACATTCTTTTATAATTAAAAAAAAAAAACTCCCAACAGATTAGTTATAAAAGAAATGTACTTCAACACAATAAAGGCCATATATGACAAGCCAAAAGTCAACATTATTCTCAACAAGGAAAAGTTAAAAGCATTTCCTGTAAGACCTGAAACAAGACAAGAATGCCCACTATCACCACTCGTATTCATTATAGTGTTGAAGGTCCAAGCCAGAGAAATTAGGCAAGAGGAAGAAATAAATGGCATAAAGACTGAAAAAGAAAATGCTAAATTGTCCCTGTTTGCAGGTGATATGATCTTATATGTAAAAAAAAACCCAAGATCCCCCCACTCACACACACACACAAAAAAAACCGTTAAAAATAGAAACAAATTTAGGAAAGTTACAGGATACAATATCAACACAAAAATTAGTAGTGTTTCTTTACATTAACAACCAATGTTTTAAAAAAATCAAACAATACCGTTTATAATAGATACACAAAATGCTTAGCAATAGACTGTTTCTGACAGTCAAGTATAGTTTATTTACTGAGTAGATAAGCCAAAATATTAATAATTATTCCTAAATGAAGGAATTATGAGTGACTTTTAATTTTTGTCTGTTTTTTATTTCTTATTTATTTATTTATTTATACTTAGGAAGTACCAGTGTATATTTCTTACATGCATATATTGTGTAGTGGTGAAGTGTGAGCTTCTAGTGCGCCTATTACCCAAATAGGTAAATTTTTAATCTTTACCCATATTCCACCCTCTTACTCTTTGAAGTCTTCAATGTCTATTATTCCATTCTATATGTCCAGGCTTACCCATTGTTTACTTCCCATTATAAGTAAGGATCTACAGTATTTGACTTTCTATTTCTGAGTTATTTCATTTAGGATAACGGCCTCCAGTTCCATCAATATTGCTGCAAAAGACATAATTGTATTCTTTTTAATGGATGAGTAGTATTGAATTATATATACATATATGTATATATATAATTTTTATTATTCATCACATAGGTTGATTCCATATGTTTGCTATTTTGAATAGTGCTGTGATAAACATATGAGTGCAGGTCATGTTTTGATAAAATGATTTCTTTTCCTTTGGATATATACCCAGTAGTGGAATTGCTAGATTGAATAGTAGTTCTATTTTTATTTCTTTGAGGAATCTCCATATTGTTTTCCATAAAGTTTGTACCAATTTACATTTCCACCAACAGTGTATAAGCATTTCCTTTTCTCTATATCTTCACCAAATCTGTTATTTTATGACATTTTAGTAATAGCCATTCTGACTGGGATAAGATGGTATCTCACTGTGGCTTAAATTTGAATTTATCTTATGATTGGTGATGTTGAGCATTTTTTCAAATGTCTGATGGTCACTTGTATGTTTTCTTTTGACAAAATGTCTGTTCATGTCCTTTGCCCACTTTTTAATGGGGTTATTTGTTTTCTTCTTGTTGAGTTGTCTGAGTTCCTCATAGATTCTGGATATTAGCCCTCTCTTAGTTGCATGGCTTGAAAATATTTTTTTCTCATTCTTAGGTTGTATATTTACTTTGTCAGTTATTTCTTTTGCTTTGCAGAAGTTTTTAATTTAATTAAGTCCTATGTTTGCTTTGAGGACTTGGTCATAAAATCTTTGCCTAGGCCAATGTCCAGAAGACATCCCTAGGTTTTCTTCTAGGATATTAATAGTTTCGAATCTTATGGTCTTTAATTCATCTTGAGTTAATTTTTTATATGGTGATTGATAGGAGTCTGGTTTCATTTTCTGCATATGGCCATCCAATTTTCCTAGCACCATTTATGAAATAAGATGTCCTTTACCCAGTGTATATTCTTGTTGACTTTGACAAAGTTCACTTGGCTGTGGCATCACTTGACTGATGGCTTTATTTCTGGGATCTCTCTTCTGTTCCATTGATCTATTTGTCTGTTTTTATGCCAGTACCATGCTATTTTGCTTACTATAGACATCTAGTATTATTTGAAGTCAGGTAATGTGATGCCTCCAGCTTTGTTATTTTTGTTTATGATTGCTTTGGCTAATTTGGGGTCTTTTGGGGTTCCATATCAATTTTAGAATTTATTTTCTAATCTGTGAAATATGACATTGGTACTTTGATAGACATTGCATTGAAATTGTAAATTGTTTTGGGAAATATGGCCATTTTAACAATATTAATTCTATTGATCCATAAGTATGAGCTGTTTTGTCATATGTTTGTGTCAACTATAATTTCTTTTATCAGTGTTTTGCAGTTTTTCTGGTAGAGCTCTTTTACCTCCTTGCTTAAATGTATTTCCGGGTTTTTTTGGAAGTTATTATAAATAAGATTGCCCTCCTTTCAACTGCATTATTGTTGCTGTGTAGAAAAGCTACTGATTTTTGTATGTTAATTTTGTATTGTGAAACTTTATTGAATTTATTCATCGAAAATAAAAGTTTTTTGGTGTAGTCTTCAGATTTTTTGAGATACATGATTATATCATCAGCAAACAAGGACAATTGACTTTCTGTTTTCCAATGTGGATGACTTTGGTTTATTTCTCTTGCCTAATTGTTCTGGCTAGTACTTTATTACTATGTTAAATAGGAGTGGTAAGAGTGGACAACCTTCTCAAAGTCCAGTTCTTATGGGGAATACTTTCAACTTTTCCATTTTCAGTATGATGTTGACTGTGGGTTTGTCATATATGACCTTTATTATTTTGAGGTATGTTCCTTCTATGCTTCATTTGTTGAGGGTTTTGAGCTTGTGCTCTTATGAAGCGATGTTGAATTTTAAAAAATTCTTTTTCTGTGTCTATTGAGATGATCATATGATTTTTGGCCTTAATTCTGTTTAGGTAATGTATGACATTTATTTGTGTGCATATGTTGAATCATTCTTGCATCTCTGGTGTAAAATCAAGTTGGTCATGATGTAATATCTTTTTGATGTGTTGGATTTAGTTTGTTGAGAATTTATTGATAATTTTTATATCTGTGTTAATTAGGGATATAGGTCTGTAGTTTTATTTTTTGTTATTGTGTTTCTGGCTGACTTTGGTGTCAGGGTGATACAGGATTTGTATAATAAGTTAGGGAGAAATTCCTTTTCAGTTTTTTGAAAAGTTTCAGGAGTATTGGCACCAGTTCTTCCTTGTACATTTGCTAGAATTTGGTTGTGGATCCATCTGTTCCTGGGATTTTCTTTGTTGGGAGACTTTTCGTAGTTGGGAGATTTTTTTATTGGATTTTAAATCCAATGTTGTTATTTCTCTATTCATGGTTTTTATTTCTTCCTGATTCAATCTTAGGAAGTAGTAAGTTTTCAGGAATTTGTCCATTTCCTCTAGGTTTTCTAGTTTGTGAGCATATAAGCATAAGGGTGTGGACTCAGTACTGCTACCTTGGCCAAGAGGAGTGAGATGTGATTCTCTCTCATGCCCCCATTTTTGGTGGGGCTCACCACCTTCTCAACTTTGTCAGTAGGTTTGGCTGTTCACTTAGTTAGTGCAGTTTACTTCTAGTTGTCAACACAAGCTGCCCCAGGCCTTAGGAGTCACTGCACAGCCCAACACTATGCCTCCCAAACAAATCCCCTCCTGTACTGGTGGGGGAAGGGGGTGAAGTGAAAGATGGGGTGAGCCTGGTTCCAGCATGCCAATGGCTGGAGCCCATGCCATACTTGATTCTCGGTTCTGGCTGTGGGAACCTCTTCCCTGCTTGAGCACCAGATCCCCAGGATACTGTTAGAGCCTCTTTAATGACAAAGGCTGCCACTGCTGCTAGTTTTCAGGACTGTGCACAGCTTGCAAAGAGCTAGGATCAAGAATGGTGTTCTGTTGTAGGTTCCAAGGTCTCGGGAAGTGCATGGGACACTTCCCAGAGCAGGTACTTCTTACAGTCTCCCAGCCACATCCCAAGGTAGATCTAGGGCTTAGAAAAGTCATGGTGCTCTACCGTGGCCTGAATTATATGATTCTATAGTGGGAAATTGGACCACAGAAAGATACTCACTCACCCTCTCCCATATTGGGAATTTACTCTCTTCTCATTTTCAGCCAGTCCCACAGCCACACAGGCTGACTGTTCTTCTTTTTCTGGTCAGATTTTGGAGTTTCTTCGTGTGTTACTGTTGAACTCCTGTGTTCTCTCTTGGATAATATGTTTGTAAACAAAAAAGTTACTGAGGTGGATCTTAATCAATTAGAGATTTATTTTGCCAAGGTTGAGAACATGCCTGGGAAAAAGAAACACAAATCACAAGGAGATCTGTACCCTGTGCTTTTTTTTAAAAAGGGTTCTGGGAACTTCAATATTTAACAGGGAAAAAGCAAGCAGGAAGAGGAAGAAAGAAAAAAAGTCTGGGTAGGCAATGAGATAAGTGGTCACATTCTTGTGAGGATCTTACTAATGAGCAGAAAAGCTACATTTTACATAAAGTAAACATGAAATTACAGCTTTTTGGGAATGAAAGGAAGGCAGTTTTTTCATGACTAACTACCTAAACTTAGCCCTTTGGTATAGTGAGTTTGGGGTCCCAATATTTGATTTTGCTTTCATATGTGCAAAGTGTGATTGTCTACACACCATTGTCATTCTTCTAAGTGGATGAAGTACCCTGGAAAAGCATCTAGTCAGCCATCTTGAAAAAAAAACCTGTTGTTTCTTTGTAATATTGCTTTATAAATCTGAGAGAACTTGGAACAAATCTAACAAAATAGAAGATACTTCTGGAGAAGTGAGAAAATTGAGAAAAATGCAACTGATGAGTTCTTGATATGTTTAGCTATTATTATTATCATTACTATTATTAAATGATACTTTCCAGTTGGCAAAAAAGTATTCTGGAGGCTATTCTTTCTACTGGGGCATAAGTCAAACTATGACAAAAGAGAAATGCATGCAGAGAGCAAGCCATAGAAGGCAAGTTAGGAAATGATACGAATATTTATCTGTATTTATTTTATTGAATCAATACTGACAACAAAAATTTCCAACATTAAGTACTTCCAAGTATTAGATACTAAGCAAAGAATTAAATATAGTATCTTATTTAATCATCAGATCAATTAATTATTTCCACTTTAGTGATGAGTGAAGGAAGCTATATATATGGTAATCAACTTGACAAGGATTACCTATTAATAAATAAAAGAGAGGAGATTCAAATCAAGACAGAATTCTGAAGCTAGAACTTTTGTTCTTATCACCTTATAACAGCTCCTGCATGTGTGTTAGAGAGAGAATGAGGGTGAGAAAGAGGAATATATACATTCTTATTTAAACCTATGTGGATAATCGTGTAAATACTCCTTATTATACTAATACTTCTAGTCAATGCCAGTCTCTAAGAGTATCTTATTTAGTTTTTCAGTTAGTTATATATATATTATTACTTGCATATAACTTGATAATGACTGCAACCGTAAAGGAACACAATCTTTTGAAATGTTATAGGCAGCAAAGGTAGAAACTCTAGTAAAAGAAATCTAGTGTCAATGATTTTAGATGATTATGTTGAAAGTAGATCTTTAAAATGATTGAGCTATAGTCACTTTTCACTAAATTTCTGATAAAGGAACCCCTGCTTTTTCCAAAGTTTCTCCTCCTCCCACCCATCCACTCTTAGCCATCTAAAGCTTAGAGTCTATGCTGCCCCCTTCTCACTTAACTCTCCAATATCTTTTCCTGGCAGGTGCATTCTATGAATTTCTTAGCAGGATCACCTGGTCTTTTTCAGGCTTGCACCAGGTTGCTCTTGCATTTGTCTTTAAGTCCTTGATGGTACTACAGTCTCTCCCTACAATACAACTTTCCCCCTCCTACTTTCCCTCAAGATGATTTATCGTTCCTTATTCTGCTTCCTTAGCATGTTACCTCTATAGCACTGTCATATGCTCGTTATTTTAACATATTTCTCTCCCTCACTAAAATGAGACCTGGGTGCTCAGATGCCATTTGCAGTGTGAGTCAGTTCATGAGAAGTATATTATAAATAACAACAGGAAATGGCAAGAAGTTTTCAGAGATGCTGAAACTATATTTGCAGAGTTGATTAGAGGATGCTTTGTCTGAGAGAGAGTCACGACTTGGGTAATATAACAGAAGATCTTAAATTGAGTTTTAAAAGAGCAAAGGAGTAAAGTTTTGCTAAGAGAATAGAAAATCTTACATGAAGTCCATTTTAAGATCCTATTGCTACATGTGATTTATGAAAAGGAAAAAATAACAAAATTTTCTGACTAATAATGACATTAGATAATATTTTTTATTATAAGGAAAATGAAGGGCAATTTAATAAACCATAAAATTGGCAAGGTTTCTGGAAACTGCAACGTTTAGTTATAGATTTTTGCCAATTTATCAATTTAAAAAGCTAAGGTAGATGTTGAAATATCTGCAGTATAAAGAGAGGGCATACTAAAATTTTTGCTATAGTAGCTTGTCATTATACTGTGTTCAAGTCCAAAATTTATAACCAGATCAATCATCCCATGTCCTTCCCTAGCTTCAGCTCTCAATGTTTCTGCCTCCTTTTCTTTGAATTTCTGAAATGCCTGACTTGGCCCCAGCCAGTCCCATCCACTCTCTGGAAAGAACACCCTTTTTCTATACTTTATCTTTGATATTCTACTCGTTTTCAGCCACTGTTTAAAATTTACTTCCTAGAGAACATTTCTCTAGCTTTTCAATCTATTGTGATATAATACCTTTTTCTTCCTCTTCTTCTTCTTCTTCTTCTTCTTCTTCTTCGTGTTCCTCTTCCTCTTCTTCTTCCTCCTCTTTTTCTTCCTCTTCTTCTTCTTCCTTCTTCTTCTTCTTCTTTGCCTTCCTCTTCCTCTTCATCTTCCTCTTTTTCTTCTTCTTTTTCTTTTTCTTCTCCTTCTTCTCCTTCTTCTTCTTCTTCTTTCTCTTCCTCTTCCTCCTCCTCCTCCTCTTCTTCTTCTTCTTCTTCTCCTCCTCCTCCTCCTCCTCCTTCTCCCTCTTCTTCTTCCTCTTTTTGAGATGGAGTTTCCCTCTGGTTGCCCACGCTGGAATGCAGTGGCACAGTCTTGGCTCACTGCAACCTCCTCATCCTAGGTTCAAGTGATTCTCCTGCCTCAGACTCCCACGTAGCTGGAATTACAGGGATGCACCACCATGTCCGGCTAATTTTTGTATTTTTATTAGAAATGGGGTTTCACCATGTGGGACAGTCTGGTCTGGAACTCCCCAACCTCAAGTGATCTGCCCACCTCGGCCTCCCAAATTGCTGGGATTACTGACATGAGCCACTGCGCCCAGCCTCTTATTTTTTTTATAATGGCATTTACAATAATTTGTACTAATATATTTACTTGTGTAGTTATTATCTCTCATTGTTCCCTCCATAGATATTATAACCCCAAAACTACTAAAAAGTATTTATAATTTATCATTAGATTGTACTCTCAAACATATTATGTTTTCATTTTTTTCTCCCTTCAGACAGAGTAGGAAAATCAATAAGCACAGCATTTATCATCCTTTTAGCTTTCTGAGCATCTACTGGCAGCAAGGGTCAGAGCTAAATTCTACAACCCTGGAAGTAAATGCCTTCCATTAGCTCTCTTCCAGCAATTATAAGAATGCAAGCAGGAAACAATGAAAATAGTTATTATTTTTTAAACATTTGCCAAAGCAGAGAATTCCATCTAACATTTTGGGTGTTTAATAATGATACACTTACATCCCTCCTTATGAGAAATGATTACAGATACCAGTGATTAACCCTTTGACAATTTTCAGTACACTGCATAGATATAGCATATATACAGTCATTTAATAACTGAGATATATTTCAGGAAATGCCTCTCAGTTAGATGGTTCCACTGTTGTACAAACACCACAGAATTTGCTTGCACAACCTGAGACAGCATAACGTACTGCACAGCGAGGTTATACAGTACAGCCTATTTCTCCTAGGTTACACACCTGTATAGCATATGACTGTATTGAATACTGTAGGCAAAAGTAACATAATGGTAAGTAGTTGTTTAAACACATCTACACATAGAAAAAGTAAAGTAAAAGTACAGTCTAAAAGATTTAAAAAAAAAATGATACACAGATACAGGGCACTTACCATGAATGGAGTTTGCAGAATGGTAGTTGCTCTGGGTGAGTCAATGAATGAGTGATGAGTAAATGTGAAGGCCTAGGATGTTACTATACAGCACTATAGACTTTATAAATACTGAGCACTTAGACTACACTACATTTATAAGAAGTATTTTTTTCTGCAATAATAAACTAAGCTTAGCTTACTGTAACATTTTTTACTTTACAAAGTTAATTTTTTCAACTTTGGCCTTTTTTGTAGAAGTGCTTAGCTTAAAACACAAACACATTATGTAGCTGTACAAAATTATTCTATATCCTTATTCTCTACATTTTTTTTCTACTTTTAAATTTACAAATTACTTTTTTATTTTTGGCTTTTTAAAATTTTTATAAAAAATAAGACAGAAACACACACATTAACCTTGGCCTGCATATAGTCAGGATGAGTTCCATCATCACATCTTGTCCCACTGGAAGGTCTTCAGGGGCAATAACACGCATGGAGCTGTCATCTCTTATGATAATGATGCCGTCTTCTGGATACCTTCTGAAGGAACTGCTTGAGCCTGTTTTATAGTTAACTATATTTTTAATAAATAGAAGGAGTACACTAAAAAAATAGGAGTACAGTAAATACAGTAATATTTACTGTATTACTATAATACAGTAAATACATAAACCAGTAACATATTCTTTCTTATCATCATTATTATTATGTAGCATACATCATAATCGTATGTGCTAGACTTACACAGCTGTCAGCACAGCAGGTTTGTTTACACCAGCATGACCACAAACACAAGAGTAATGCATTGCTCTATGACATTACAACGGCTATGACATTGCTAGGGGATAGGAATTTTTCAGCTCCCTTATAACCTTATAGGATCACCGTCGCATATGCAGTTCATCATTAACCCAAACATCCTTATGCGGCACATGACTGTATTTAAAATGCTATATCTGACATGTTGCATTGGGTTACTCTGTTTCATAAATTATTTGCTTCACTTTTTTTTCTCATGTTAATGTCTCTTAAATTGGAATATATGTAAATTTGTGAACACTTCAGTTGAAAACTTCTGGTAAGACCAAGAAATTGCCAGCATCAAAGTCGTTTTTTTGATACAATGAAATACAGTTACACAAGTAAGGTAAATAATGCGTTTTTTTTTAAGCAATATTATTGCTGTAGACAAATTAGACTCATTTTCTTTTTCATTTCTCATGGAGAAGAATATTTTGGTTTGCTTATAAAGTTCCTTAAAATTTACAAACATGTTCACAAGCATTATTTAATTTCAACATCATAACAGTTATGTAAGGAAGGGAAGAGATAGTGTGTCACCCCTTTGTAGAGTAATAAACCAAGTCTTGTATGTTAAATGCTTTGGTGGTTATATTGTTAGTAAGAGATGAAGCCAGAAACCCTAACTTCTATTTTATGGACATGCTTCAGTGTAAAGACAGAGAAGTCATGTGTTGGGGCTTTGAAGCCCGGAGTTCTGGTATAATGTCTAATGAAGACTTGGTGAATTCGCAGAGTGTTGTCTTTTTACCTGTGGCTTCTGCACCTTGGTCCAGTCAGGAATGGCCAGGTTAGCAATGTGAAGTGATGTGTGCCAGCCTGTGTAACTCCAGGTTTTCACCAGGACAGTGACCTGCTGGACCGACGGAAACAGTGCTTCACCGTGCAGTCTGAGTCTGGGGAGGACCTGTACTTCTCAGTGGAGCTGGAAAGTGACCTCGCCCAGTGGGAAAGAGCCTTCCAGACAGCAACCTTTCTAGAAGTAGAACGGATACAGGTGAGAGTCTGTGGGACTGCAGGATGTGTGGCTCCCTCAGATGCATGACCACTTCCCTAGAGTTCTAATATCATTCCAAAGTAGTGTAAAAATACAGTTCTGGGAATCTTGACCTCATATACATTCTATAATTAGCCATTTTTGTTTAGTGACTAGTAATACAGCTCTGAATAAAATTTTAATTTTTCCACGACTTGATCTTTCCAGGCTATTTCCTACTACTAATTAAAAATATATTTCTAATTTTAATTAGACATTACTCTGACTTAAATCTAATATAGAAAATACTCTGATTTAATGAATTGTTGACAAGGTCACTTCCTGTTCTCCAAATATGACCTCCTAATTTCCAGCCTGTTGGCGTCATTTACTCACAATGCTCTTTCCCTTTGCCTCCATCCTTCAAAGCCACACAGAGTTTTTGAGACTTTTTATCAAAGGTCATATCATCCAGGAACATGTCCCTGATTTCCAGTCCACCCTGCCTAATGCTTGCCAATACTCCTTCTACAACTATCCTGTTCAAACAACTCTTCTTCTCACTTTTGAACACAATATAATGTACTTTTCTGGTTTTTTTACAGATAAGAAAACACAAACTAATCAATTGTATTCATACTACTCATGAAAAGCAATTACATTTTTACATGAAGTCATTAACACATACAACAATAAAAATCATAAAAGTAATACATCTGATTAGAAATACAATATAGGAAATAGATTTTAAAATAGTGTAGTTTAGTGATAAAATTTATACTGTGTTTTCTACTTATTTATAGCAGCATCTATAAGATTCTTCTATTTATTTGTCTTTTTTTTTTAAGGATTGCACACACTCAGTCTGTTTTGTATTGCAGTGACATGTGCTTGTTATTCCCTGCACTAAATTATAGGTTGTTTGGAATTATCTTATCATGTGCCAACCAAAGTCCAGTGCATTTTGCACATCATGAGTATTCAACAGATATTTATTGAACTTTGTTTCTTAAGTGTGAAGTTATACACTAGATCAAACTTTATAGAGCCCTCAGCTTCTGTCTTCACAAGACCATTGAACAAAACAGCCTCCCAAAGTTGGTCCTGTGGCTGACCTCAAACAGACCTGTGGACAAATTAAAAGGTTTTCATGCGCTTGCCACATGCAAATAGATCCATAGAGCAAGGACCTAAATACACACATGGACACTTAATTTTGAAAACAAATGTGGTGAATAATCTAGCATTGACTATACTGGAATGTTTGCGTAAAACAGGATTGTTGGATACATATATTTTGAACATGTTGAACTGATTTCTATTTTCTGACTACAAACCTCTGTAATCAACACATCAAGTTGTACCAGTATGACATTACAATCAGGGGAAGAGGACAGAAAGAAAACTCCAATTATAGTTTTTTTAATTGTTCAGTTGACTCTTTTCAATAACTCTGCTTTTATCTTCATGCACCTAAAAAGTCTTAAATAGCCAAAAAATAGTTTCCACAATTAGAACCTCAATTCAAAAAAATAGATATTATATCAAAAATGGAAACAAAACTATATTAAATATGATTTTATTCTGAGTCAAGATCCAAGACCATTTAAAGCATTAAAATATAATTTAATGGAATGTAAGTTGACAGTTTTGTTATTGAAATTTATATTTTTAGGTTTCTAAAATTATTATTTCTCTACAATAGTCCACTTCGCTTGGAAACAGCTACATGGTAATTTTAACATTTTGGTTCCAATTTAGTATTTTATTTTAAGTCTCCTGATATTTATAAATTAGATAGAGATAAAATCTTTGAATCTGGGCTTTGTATTCTGTAAACTGATATTCAGTGAAATACATTGGCCTATTTCCTTACCCATTCACAATGCCAGTGTAAGATAAACATCAGAAGTGAAAGGTAAAACATTTAATGTCTTTTTAGCTTTTAGTTGTTCTACAGATTTTATAACTCTTATTTATTTACCACATAAGAAATCAATGAACACCTTTGTAGTATTACTTTCAAATTTAAAGTATGTGAATATATTTACATGAAGAACCTTAACACGTTTTTCTTCTATATTCTTAATTTATCACTTCCAGTAAAGTTGATAGGGAATTAAATAAAGAAGGAATATAAGTTCTATCGTAAAACAAGCAGAAAGAAAAAAATTAATGAATTGACTTTCAAAGTGTTCCTCATTTAAACTTCCTTAAAAAGGATAATTTATGTATTGATTTTTCTCTGTATAATTTGTTTTTAAGGAAACAAATTAAACAACAAATTAAATATTTCAATATTAAACATATTAACTATACGCATGATATGCTATTAATATTATAAATGATAGAACTTGAGTCTGTATATAAATTGAGACTTCAATGAGTCTCAATTTATAGCACATCTATTTGTTTCAATTTCATGATTATTGAGAAAATCTAATTTAATTTGTAATGCTGAACATAATAAAAAAATTTTAATACACTGCACCGAATTTATTTTCACCTGACATTTTCTTGTTTAAATGACAGTGCTTGAAATAAGCAAACCATTATGTCTAAATTAGGAGAAAATTTTATGGCCTTAAACATTCCTTAATGTTGATAATAGTTTTAATAAAGTGCTAATAGGTGGATGTAAGCATGCACAATGCTTATGTATTAAACAAATATAATTACTCCTGAAAATGGACTTTTGAGGCCCATTAAGTATGTTCTTTAGTCTGCTTTTTTTAAAAAAATGTAACTCTAAAAGAATAATTTTGCATTATTATAATTTTTCTATGCTAATAAGGCTTAAACACATGAATGTAATTTTTGGTGAAGGCAACTCGATGTATTTAGTCATGATTACATTCAGAATGGGATTCAATTAATGTAGTTTTATACACAGTACTATAAAAACAAATACAATGCAAGGATAGGTGTTAAAAATTTGCTTCAGATAAACTTCTCTTCCTTTTTTTCTTCTCTCTCTTTGTCTCTATTTCTCTCTCATCTTGTACATGGATCACAAATATTTTTCATGATTGGAATATCCCACTACGATTTAAAATTAAATGCAAATAAAACTGGCTTATAGATGTAACAATACATCATGTCGTATATAAACCTTAAGTTTTTATTTCATATTTGATTTATATCCTGTTTTCTTTATATTTCAGTATCCGTATTTACTATGAAAAATTAGGCTGGGCACAGTGGCTCACGCCTGTAATCCCAGCACTTTGGGAGGCCGAGGCGGGTGGATCACGAGGTCAGGCGTTCGAGACCAGCCCAGCCAAGATGGTGAAACCCCGTCTCTACTAAAAATACAAAAATTAGCCAGGCACGGTGGCGGGCGACTGTAATGCCAGTTACTCAGGAGACCGAGGGAAGAGCATTTATTGAACCCAACAGACAGAGGTTGCAGTGAGCCGACACCGCACCACTACGCTCTAGCCTGGGCAACAGAGCAAGACTCTGTTTCAAAAAAAAAAACCCCAAACAAGAAAAATTATAATATTATCTGATCTCATTGTGAAAAGTAATTACTTGTTGATTTTTAAAGAATTATCTGTAGTTATAAACAAATAAATTGGAAAGTGGTAAATATCTGTAGGAATATCTCGTGCAATATCGAAGAACAGAGTAAGACTGTTAAGATCAAGATCTATTCTTTTGGCTTGGTTACTGAATCTGTATTTGTGTGCATGAGAATGTGGTTTAATAATATCCATGAAATTGATATCCTGAGAATTCAAGACAGTGCTATTTAACAATAGTTCTCTTTTAGTTTAATGAAAATGGTTGGCTACAGTAAATAACAACTTAACATAAACTTGCCTACACCTAAAACTTTTTATATTATATACCACCTTTATTGTCAACACAGCAAAGACAGACAGTGTAGCACAATGTACAGACAAAACTAGAGGGAGCAGGATTGGAAACTCGGCGGGGCATACACCTTGGCAAGTTAAATAAAACCCAACACTCTCAGCTTCTGTTTCATTAACATTAAAATGTTGATAATACTCCCTTCTTTATACAATTATTGTTAATATTAAATTAGATATTGTATGAAGTACTTATTGCAGAAGCTGTAACATAGTTCATAATATTGATATTGCATCAATAACATGAAAAGTAACAATACTTTCTGTTCTACCTAGTGCAAGACCTATGCATGTGTGCTAGAAAGTCATCTAATGGGACTCACAATTGATTTCAGCACAGGATTTATCTGCTTTGATGCTGCAACAAAGGTAATGTGTTCAGGTCAGCTCTGAGAAATATGCTGCAAACATTCTAATTGAAGAATGATTTAAATGCCTCATAACTCCTTTCAGCATTTTAATTGTAATCGTGTCAAATTTAAGATCTTCGTTTTTGTTAATGGAAGATAAATTATGCTTCGATCTGAAAAAAAGTTTGAATTTTTAATAAAACATATGTAGTACCACAAAACTATAACTATGTGAAAGTATTTATTTATAAGTCTATCTATGTATGTATCTATCTATCAATCATTTCCCTGTTTTTTAAAGATATGACTTTATAATTGAAGGGACATTTTCTTCCCCAAAAAGCAGTTTTTAAAAAACATGTTTCTTTATACTTTACCTGCATCAACTTCTGCAATACAAAAAGAAAGAAAACATGTTGTTTTTTTAAAAAAAATTATAGCTGACATGTTAGAATTATTGAATGGTGAAAATTTAAAGTTTAGTTTCTAGCCAGGGAGTAGGACTTTTATAAACACTTGACTTAATAAGGATTATGCACTATGAGGTGCTCTTTTCCCAAAGTGTACATCTCTGGGAGTGATGCACATTGAATGACAGAGGGTGCCTACTCAGCCAGTCATACCTAAAAAAATCCAATTTTGATTATTATGGAATGACAAATGACAAAGCCAAAGCATTGCACATTATTATCATTATTTTTAATTGGAAGCGATCTTAAAGCTCAACTGATCCCCATTCAACTGCTAATCTCCTTCTAGTCACTGCTACAGTTTGTGACTTGGAACTGTTGTCCCCATGGAAGACATCCTCTTCCCTCTCATTGAGGATCTCAGTTCCTTAGATCCATTCCATTTCCTCCTTCATCAAAGTATGGCTTGGGTATAAATTGATTTGTTCCTTCTCACTAATTTTAAGGATTCATGAGTAATCCTTTACCAGAACACACATATTTTATCTAGAAATTAAGTTTTGTGTAGGATTTTCTAAAGCAAATGGCAACAAAATAAAACAGTGATACGAATGTGTAAGAAAGATGGAGTGTAGGAGGCAGTGGGGGTTCTTGAGTTGGGAAAGATGAATGTCTAATGGTGGGATCCAGGTAGGATGCCGCCCTGTGTTCATTCACCTTGTGAATCTTCATGACTCAGCAGTTGGCATTGTCCTGCAAAATCTCACATTACTTAAACATATAGTTATTTTTATTTTAACATGGTAAAATTAGACAGCACACATTTGCTGGTCAGATTTGGCCATCTAATGTGTTGCCTTCACATCATGACAAAGGAATACTTTGTGAATAAGGAATTTTAAATGCCAATGACTCTTGAAAACTTTCAAATGAGGCTGCCATAAACTATTCCTATTACTAAAGTTTTTTTTATTAAAATGTTCATCAAATCAAGATAGGCTCCTGAGTATTAAATTAATTTGATAAATTAATTGAATTATTAAATTATCGATTAAATGAGTAATAAGTTAATTTTATAAATAAATTTAGAAACAAATTTCACTAACTAGAAAAGTCAAAGTCTGATTTTAAAAAGAAAACGCTATTGCCAGAATTGTCACCAAACTCTAGTACACGAATGTATAAGAATCTTACATTAGCGAATGAGAAAAATAAAATTCACATGAATATATTTCTGAGTATGCGAATCTATTCTGAGTTTATTTTAAAGCTAGCATAATACAGACCTATGTCAGTGTCCTGTTGGCTCTGTATAATAAGGGAGAAAATCATGACACCAATGTCCTATCTGACATTCCTGTCTACTTCTGCTGGGTGTTCTGGGAACGAGTGCGTAGTCAGGAGTGTCTAAGTGAATGATTATGATGCCATCCAGAGAAAACAGTTTAGTAGGAAATGAGAATTTAATCAGTCCAAGCTTGATACTCAAGGAAAGCACCAGAGGCCTTCAGGAATAGTAGTCACTGTTCTATTTTCTGATTCTTTCATTGGAAGCATCTAACTTCAAGGTAATCTCAGAATTGGGAAAGGCTAAAAGGAATCTACACATTAATCAAGAAGGTTATATTATCCATCACTGATTATACTTGGAGAATGAAAGTAGGAGCTATTAATAGTTATGTCAGACATAAGGAGGAGGACAAGCATAAATGGAGATTCCTGGGCAACCCACTGAGCTGGGCTGACTGCAAGAAACTTGCACCCCTTCATCAGATGAGGCTGGAAGTTATTTTTAAATATGATAAAAAGGTAATTGTTACATACAAATCAAAACATGCTTTGTCTAATGTTTTATTAAAATAAATAATATCTAGTTATTTTCTATCTATTTTTTCTAAGTAATATGAATGTGAAAAATATCTTTAAGACTATATGTCCAAGAGTTTTTGAATGTTTGGATTCAGGAGAGTTTACCCTTTAGCTGAACATGCTTTGTCCTTCTGCACTTCATCTTGATCAAGTCCTCCAACTTTGAAGTTACTACAGAAGCAAACCAAAGGTCTTGAAATAAAGAAGAGATTCCAGGAAAGGGGTGGACTCTATTCTGGGTCATTATTTGAGCTCCATATAAAGCAAATAGTGTATTCTTAATACATCAGTGAAGGAAAGAATTGCTGCATCTCTCTTATTGCAGGGAATGAGAGTCGGCATGATTTTAGATTACACTGGTATGCTAAACGTTTGGATATAGAGGGATGTCTGGGAATGTCGAGCTAATTCTCATTACTTACCACCTGTGCTTGGAAGTTCCCAGAGTAAACGATTACCCTTGACTTGCCAGAGCATAAGACGTATTAAATAGCATTCTGTTCCCTATACTTACATTTACATTAGTAGCATATCAAGAGGTGATACATTCTTCAGTTCCCTTACTGTTGCTGAGTGATTCCCTCCCTAATTCATTACTGTACAGCTCAGCTTGTTCTTTGTAATTCTCTTCCTTATTAAAATGTAGCATTTTCACTGTTAGAGAAGGGTATTATTATTATTATGTCAAAGTATAATGTTAACCATACTTAAATAATTTACATAGCTAAAAGCATAATCTTGTTGCCATTATATTCTTTTAAAAATGTATATGTGCATTAATTAATTTTATATAGTGATAGAGTTCCTAGTTAAACAGAAACCTCATCAGTGGCATCTACAAAACACTCATTTAATTTGTGAATAAATCTTCACTGAATGCCTGCTGTCTCTTGAGAGACATGGGAGGGCATACACATCAGTCTTCACAGACGTTTCCTTGAAGTGGAGACAAGGAGGATGAAACTATCCAGACAGATATCTGTAAGTGAGGATGGACATGGAATTTGAGGGAAGAGGAGATGAGAAATCATGTCTGTGGGTATCTAAGAGCCAGATTTGAAAAAAGGTCCAGTTAAGAAATTGGAAGTGATTCTAAGAACAGAGGAATACCTTTAGGGTTTGAGACAAAGGAAAGAAATGATCAGATGTGTGTTTGAGAATCGAAAACTAGTGGAATAATGTACGACTGAAATTAAGACAATCTGGGCAAAACCCAGATTCCAAATGTGTTTTTAGATTCTTTTTCTTATTTTTTATTTTTTATTACACTTTAAGTTCTTGGATACATGTGCAAAACATGCATGTTTGTTACATAGGTATATATGTGCCATGGTGGTTTGCTGTATCCATCAACCCGTCATCTAGGTTTTAACCCCCACCTGCATTAGGTATTTGACCTAATGTTATCCCTCCCCATATCCCCACCCCTCAACAGGCCCCAGTGTGTGATGTTTCCCTCCTTGTGTCTACCTGTTCTCATTGTTCAACTCCCACTTATGAGCAAGAACATGTGTTGTTTGGTTTTCTGTTCCTGTCTTAGTTTGCTGGGAATGATGGTTTTCAGCTTCATCCATGTCCCCGCAAAGGACATGAACTCATCCTTTTTTATGGCTGCATATACTCCATGGTGTATATGTGCCACATTTTCTTGATCCAGTCTATCATTGATGGGCGTCTAGTTTGGTTCCAAGTCTTTGCTATTGTAAATAGTGCTGCAATAAACATACGTGTGCATGTGTCTTTATAGGAGAATTTATAATCCTTTGGGTATATACCCAGTAATGGGATTGCTGGGTCAGATGGTATTTCTGGTTCTAGGTCCTTGAGGAATCACCACACTGTCTTCCACAATGGTTGAACTAATTTACACTCCCCACCAACAGTATAAAAGTATTCCTATTTCTCCACATCCTCGCCAGCATCTGTTGTTTCCTGACTTTTCAATGATCCCCATTCTAACTGGTGTGACATGGTATCACGTTGTGGTTTTGATTTGTATTTCTCTGATGACCAGTGATGATGAGCTTTTTTTCATATGTTTGTTGCCTACATAAATGTCTTCTTTTGAGAAGTGTCTGTTCATATCCTTCATCCACTTTTTGATGGGGTTGTTTGTTTTTTTCTCTCAAATTTGTTTAAGTTCCTTGTAGATTCTGGATATTAGATCTTTCTCAGATGGATAGATTACAAAAATTTTCTCCCATTCTATAGGTTGCCTGTTCACTCTGATGATAGTTTCTTTTGCTGTGCAGAAGCTCTTTAGTTTAATGAGATCCCATTTGTCAAGCTTGGCTTTTGTTGTAATTGCTTTTGGTGTTTTAGTCATGAAGTCTTTGCCCATGTCTGCGTCCTGGATGGAATTGCCTAGGTTTTCTTCTAGAGTTTTTATGGTTTTCAGTCTTATATTTAAGTCTTACGTTTAAGTCTTTAATCCATCTTGAGTTAATTTTTATATAAGGTATAAGGAAGGGGTCCAGTTTCAGTTTCATGCATATGGCTAGCCAGTTTTCCCAGCACCATATATTAAATAGGGAATCCTGGCTGGGTGTGGTGGCTCACATCTGTAATTCCAGCACTTTGGAAGGCCAGGGCGGGCGGAACATGAGGTCAAGAGTTTAAGACCAGCATGACCAACATAATGAAACCTTGCCTCTACTAAAAATACAAAAAATTAGCTGGATGTGGTGGCAGGCACCTGTAATCCCAGCTACTCAGGAGGCTGAGGCAGGAGAATTGCTTGAACCCAGGAGACAGAGGTTGCCATGAGTGGACATCGCACCACTGCACTCCAGCCTGGGTGACAGTGTGAGACTCCATTTCAAAAAAAAAAAAAAAAAAAGGTGGGGGGAGGGAATCCTTTTCTTATTGCTTGTTTTTGTCAGATTTGTCAAAGATCAAATGACTGTAGATGTGTGGTGTTATTTCTGATCCCTCTGTTCTCTTCCATTGGTCTATAAATCTGTTTTGGTACCAGTAACCATGCTGACTTGGTTACTGTAGCCTAGTAGTATAGTTTGAAGTCAGGTAGCACGATGCCTCCAGCTTTGTTCTTTTTGGTTAGGATTGTCTTGGCTATATGGGCTCTTTTTTGGTTCCCTATGAAATTTGACCTCTTCAAGGAGAACTACAAACTGCTGCTCAAGGAAATAAGAGAGGACACAAACAAATGAAAAAAAAAAATTCCATGTTCATGGATAGGAAGAATCAATATCATGAAAATGGCCATAAGGTCCAAAGTGATTTATAGATTCATTGCTATTCCCATCAAGCTACCCTTGACTTTCTTCACAGAATCAGATTTCAGATTTTTGAAATCTGTCCTCCACTGGGCATTTGCCACTCTATCACATTCCTGAGAAAAAAATACATGCATGGATGACAAAGTCAAAGAATAACACTATGAATTGAGGGAGGAAAATGATCAGAGTGTAACCTGAGAACAAAGAGACATCAGTACAATTGAAAGTTAACGTTCCAGGAGGTGGGTGTGGAGAGGAAAGCTGGAGAAACAGATTGGGCCACATGATCAAGGTCCAGCACAGGCTCAACCACAATCTAATTTACACAGTGGAAAGACCATTCTAGCTGAGGTACAGCTTGCATCAAGCAGGTGGGGGCAATACTTAATGGGTGCTTATGTTTTCCCTCAATGACTCATTATAGAATAATTTTGAACTTTGGTTTTGTAAAAACCAAAACCAAAAACAACAACAAAAACAAAAACCGTAAAAGGTAGATACTTGTTATGGGCACCTCCATTTTATGTTTTTGTTTTCGCTTTACAAAATTCCATGATTCTAAAAAAGTTTGAAAGTTATTCTTTATATAATAAGTATGGGCGTCCAACAAATAACACCTGAGTGTTAGTAGTTAAAATAAGAATGAAGGCATTGGAATCCCACACCTGAGACCTAGCATTTACTCCTCCTGCTGCAACTCGGGAGTCACAGGGCTGCACGGGATGTCACTGTAGCACAAAGAATATTCATACTATGTAAATATCCATTGTGATTATTAGAACATCATAAATTTGACTCTTAAACATGGGTAAGAGTAAAAGACAGCATTACTCATATCATTGCTGGTCTCTAGAATACTAGGTCCCCCAAATTGTTATAGTCTGATTGCTTTTATTATTATTTAATGTTTTAATAGTTGAAATTGAGAATGGCTATGATAGAATACTTATAAAGGCTTCTTTACTTCAATTTATTTAAGAGCCAGTACTGACACATAGCTTGTTAAAAACATTTTTTGGAAATCAAGATTGGTTAACAGATCTATGAAGATAATAAATATGAAGTAAAAGGAAACAGTCGTAAGAATGAGCTCTATCACAGGTTATAAGCTACTGTATACTATTATATAATGATTTTATGGTTTATTTTCTCTTTATCTCCTTTATTAGCCTTAATTGAATATACATTAAAAGCATTGTTATGGAGGATGTTTGTTAAAACCCACTCACATGTATATTGACCTTCATTTTGCAAACTTACATTCTGAGAATTAAGAGGCAATCAACGTAATCTTAGCTGAAATCACTTCATTCTGGTTTTTCATATTTTTTCTACAAAATTAGAGGACTTAATTATTTTCCAAAATAATTATGATTTACAATTAAATTCACTGTTAACACATTAACATTTTAAGTTCATGAAATACCTTAATCTTTCTAATCCACTTAATCCTTTAAATCGACACTGATTTCTAGAATCTTTCAAGGTAAAATTTGAATTGAAGTTAATATGGCCCTTTTAATTTTTAAAAATCTTTGATATGGCTTTGATAAACTGAAGGAGCTCTGAGCTACTGTTTCTCCCAAAGGTGTATGACCCTCATGTACACACATGTGCACACATACACACACTTTATTACACATCTTTAGGCTTTTTATATAAAGCATTTATATGATCATAATATGAATTCCATAGCTTAAACTTCTCAACATAGAATTAACCTTTTATTTCTTAAATTTTATGTTATTATTCCATAATCTTTCAATTATTTCACATCAAAGACAGTTACTAAAAATATTAAAAAAATTGAAACATCAAAATGAATTCTTTCTTGAAATGTCTCCTGTGTAAGTAGAAATCTTCACTATACAAGTTATAATATAGTTCTGACAATATTCACATAAATCTTAGCATTTTAAAATTATATATATATTTTTTCTTTCCAATTGTGTTACAGCTCAACAATACAAAGAGCTGTTTGATGTAATTTTTATGTTCTTCTTCAGATAAATTATTTCTTCTTTGCTTTTAGGGAAATGAAGAACATTGTATTTATTGCAAAACGAACTCAGACATTTAGGGAAACTCTCAGGTACTTGTTTCCTAATCTTCAAGTATTTCAAAGATAGCCCTAAAGTAAATATTCAAAAAAATTTAAACAAAAAAGTATTTTGAATGACATTCAAAAAAACCCAACTTTTCATGCAATATGTTATTGTGTAATATGAAAAATAAAATTCCCTGCCTTTCTTATTCTTTTTTTTTTTCTTTTTGAAACGGAGTCTCACACTGTCGCCCAGGCTGGAGTGCAGTGGCGCGATCTCAGCTCACTGCAAGCTCCACCTCCCGGGTTCACGCCATTCTCCTGCCTCAGCCTCCTGAGTAACTGGGACTACAGGGGCCCGCCACCATGCCCGGCTAATTTTTTTTTTGCATTTTTAGTGGAGACTAAGTTTCACCGTGTTAGCTAGGATGGACTCGATCTCCTGACCTCGTGATCCGCCTGCCTCAGCCTCCCAAAATGCTGGGATTACAGGCGTGAGCCACCGCGCCCAGCTCTTACTCATTTCTTGATATACAAGGACATTATAGAGCATTGTGAAAATTAACACATAATTCACTGCTATGTTTATAATTCAAATATAGAAAAAACAAAATCAAGAAAGATTCAAAAGGTCTTTGGCTAATATATACTTTTCATACCCTTAAATTTTATGTCTTGTTTTCCTTCTCCTTAAATCTTTACTTTTTTATTCTTTCTTTCTGTGGCTTCTGATATATTTTATTTTTTTCTGGATTAATGTTTTTATGATTAAGAATAACTGACTTCAAACTTTTCTCATCGTATTTTAGTTTACCTTTGCTTAAATTATCATTTTTGATTTCCATAAAAGTTTTGTAACTCAAAGTATTATCCTTCAAACCTGCATGAATTGAATGGGAATGATATAACTTTGCTTTTCCTTACAGCGTTATTCTAAAATTAAATGAGATAGCATGTTAAAAATAATAAACTGTAAAACATAAGGTAGAGATTCTGAAACATCTGAGCATTATTTCCAGCTAGCCCATATTTCAATAGATCTTGTCTCAACCACAACATATCCTTTCATCTATAACTAGAATTTTATCATGCTTTTTCTTTCTGTTTCAAATTCCTCAGAACACATCAGGGAGTTGCTTCTGCAAATCATACAGACACAGTGAGCCTCATTTTCTTCATCTCTAAAATGGATATCTTAATAACACTTTTCTCCCAGGCTTATGGTAAAGTGTAAGCAAGAAAATGTGTGTGAAGTGTTTTGCACAGTGAGACTTGCATGATGAACCCTTAGAAAGAGATGAACATTTCTGCCCCTCACACACTGTGGGATAGTCCCACCCACTGCAGTACATGAGTACCAGCGACCCTTTGCTACTGTGCTACCATCCTCAAGATGTCGAAGGGGCACTGTGTTTTCTGTAAGTCTTGATCAACCAGTCAGCAGAGTTAATGTCTGTTACATTTCAGTCCTTAGGGTTTGTGCTTTTGGAGGTCTCTGTCCTTTTAGCCCAATGAAGATTGATGTTGAACAAGTAGTCGTGAGTTTAAATGGTTCTTAGCAAAGAGAGTTCAGGATAACCTGGAAGCTGCAAACTAGATTAATGGGCCATTAGCAATAGTTGGAAAAAAATACATTTCACTTGAGAATTTGTAGGTCCTGGGTGTCTAAGTAGGCACACGGTGAAGGAAGATTGAAAGGCAAGTGTGAAATCCCTGAGACTTGACAGAACACTGACAGAGGAGGAGGAAAATTAGGGGTTGGGAAGGGCACACAAAAGTAAAATAGTCAGGCACCAAATCTGAGGAACTTTGGACTTCATGTTGAAGAGTTGGCACTTACATCAGCAGTGGCCCAAGTTTGCCATGTAACGCATAATGACTATGCATCACTGCCTTACGAAAGTAAACATTTGTTTCTCGTGCTTCTGTGGGATTCAGAAGATTGATCTGGACAGGCTAATTTATACGGCTGCAGTTCGGATGGTTCTCTCGAACATCCTCTGATTGTTCCTTATTCTTCTCTAAGAATGAGGAGGTTAGCCCAGGCATGTCCTTTTCTTGTAAAGGGCAAAGGGAGAAGAGAGAAAGCCCTAATGCGCAATTCTATTTTAGTCTCTGTATTGGGAACAACTGCAAAATCCCACTGTCAGTCAAAGCATGTCATGTGGTTGAGGCCACTATCAAGTGGGAGGGCAGATCAGCCCGGTCCATAGAATTTGCATCAATAAAGTTCATAATTAAATTCCAGAAGTCATATTAGTAAATGTGAAGAATAGTGTGGCCTCAAAAATAAAACTATACAGATATTTATTAATTTGTCAGTTATTTTATTTTATAAAGTGCTTAATCTCTGTCAGTGGGCCAGCCTGCAGACAACCTTGAGGAGAACAGAGACAGTGGTTGTTTCTTAGATTGCAGAATGCATTTACTTAGATGTACATCTCTGAGGATACTCATTTGTTTTTCTCTTTAGAATGTTTACTATCCATTGAACTGGCAACTGTGTGTTCATATGTTAAAAAGAAATAAATAGAAGAGTTTATTCCTACAGAAAATTGATAATACAAATTATTAGTGTGATTGAATTTTATCATGTTTGCAGAAAAAAGCAACAATAACAAGTTAAACAAAAACAAAAATAACCTTTGCCATGATTTGAATGAATGTGTTCCTTCAAAATTCATACATTAGAACCTAATACCTCATGTGATAGCATTAGGAGGAGAGCCTTTCGGGAGGTGATTAAGTCATGTGGCTCTGTCCTCATGAGTGGAATTAGTGCCCTTATAAAAGAAGTTGAAGTGGTGCCCTAGTCCTTTTTGCCCTTCCTCCTTCTGCCACGGGAGAAGGCAGCAACAAGGCACTATTTTCGAAGCAGAGAATGACCTTTCACCAGACACCAAATCTGCCAGCACCTTGATCTTGGACTTCCAGTCTCCAGAACTGTAAGAAATACATTTCTATTGTTTCTATGTTATTCAGTCCTGGATATTTTGTTATAGCAGGAGGAACAGCCTAACATGCTCTTAGAATCCAAGAAATCTGTACCAACAAAACAAAGTTTTTTGCTATTTTCATCACACAGATGGCATGTAAACTTTCTGAAAATAAAATCTGTAGGTTAAGAATAACAAACAGCATACCATGACCAGTAGTATGTGGAAATGTGCTGGTGCTTTCTTTACCACATGAATTTGGGGCATTCTTTTGAAAAATTTTACATGGCTATGATTAAAATAAATATTGTAATACATCAACTTACCAGATTGATATCATTAAGGTATTATAAAATTAATCTATAATGTTTGAGTTTTAGAAAAATTTTAATAGAAAAAGATTAACTTTTCTCCTTAATAGATTTCAAATAAATTCTCAAAGTGAAGACCTGTATACTCCTCTGAATTTTTTAATATAGTTGATGAAATATATTTTTTTTATGTGAAGTTAATTTGAAGGGAATAAATTTAGATGAAATACATTTGAGGGAGAAGTTCTGAGCTTGATTAGACAATTTAGTTCAATCTTTAATTTAGGCAACTGGCCCAATGATAATGCATTCCTGTTCTATTATGTCCAGTTCAAACATGCATGATCTCTAAGACTCCATAATAACGACATTTCAAAAGTGTGTTCAACATTGAGCTTGCTGTCCATTTTAGTCTCACACCTTTGTATTCCCATCTCAACTATCTAAATAAATCCAGATTTAATTCTATCCTCTTGCCTTATCCTTACCCTTGCCATTTAGCCTTTTAATAACTTTCTCTAAACAAATCTAAAAGGTGTTCCCTCTTTTCCATTTTCAATATTACTAACTTAGCTAACCTCTTCTCATTTGTATTACCACAATATCTTCCAAATAGGACTTGTCAATTTATTTATTGAAGACATTCTTATTATGCATCAATTATGCTACATGACTATTGCTACATACTAGGAGTATAACAACAGATGCAGTCCCTCCCCTCAAGAAGTCTACAGTCTAATGAAAAGGACAGATCTAGAATTGGGTAGGTACTTTCATGCAGTATGGAGAAAAGTCTAAGCATTATGAGGGCCTAGTTACAGACTCAAGAGGGATAATGCCAAATAGAAATAGGATTTGGTGGGACAGTTTGATCAATTGCTTAAACAGAAGATTCATCAAGACAATTTGCAAAGGATAAAAGGTATGTTTACGGTTATTGCTGGACACTCATGAGTCAAATATCAAATACCAGGTGATTTGTGATGTGAGAAGAGTATAAATAGATACTGCCTTCAAAGCATTATTGTTGTAATTTTTAACATGTTCTATAGAATAAGTTATAAGCTACATAAATCGTTCTTTCAAATGTTGTTGTTTTTGTTTTTTACCTATGTGGTAAAAAGCTACTTTTATTGCACATAAAATAGTTAACATAGGGTTTAGTTTACCTTTATATGTGAAAGTTGCTTCAGTTTCTTTAAACAGAAATTTTTCTCTAGGTCATGAATAATTGGACCTGAAAACAGTGAGCTGGTAAGGAAATGAATAAAGAATGTGCTGGGGGATTTTTAACCTTTTTTGTTCAACATGTAAGCCTTTCATTAGCATTAATACAACTTCACCTTCCATTTGTACATTATTAATGCATTACAGTTTTGAATGGTCTGCATCCAAGGAACACTTGATGTCATTTGAAAGTGAATTTATTCATTAACCTGTGTCCCTTAGTTGCAGCCAGCTTTGTATCCCTGTTTTCTGATGGAGCTAGCAGCCAGCTTTGTACCTGTATTGTAAGTGTCAAAAATAAAAAGTTAGGGCAAGCTTTGTTTCCTCTTCCCTTCCCACTGACATTCTCTAGGTTACTGGCATTTTCAAGCTTTGAGCCAATTTTACAATGGGCCTTACTCAAATGAATAGCTTATGGGAAACTTTTCACATATGGTGGAGACAAATTCTTAAAATAGCAGCATTATTATAAGAAGAAGTGATGACTCAGAGCATGCTATGAATAAATTGCTTTCCTGGGTTTAGTGTCTTATTCTAAATGGGACTCTAAGTCTTTCCTCTATTTTAAGAAAGAAGTCAGGCATTAGCAATAAGAGTTTATTTATAATCATGTTCAATAAATGAGTCTGATGTTTGGTTAGGGAAATCACTAAAAAGGTAGGTCAGAATAAAAGAAGAAATATATGTGGAAAATGACAGACTTAGTTGTGATTTCTACTTCTTAGCTATGAAATGTGGTGAACGTGTATGGTGCTTCCTTTATTGTATACTGGGAAATTGCAATAACTCTAGCTATTGCATAGCTCTTGCAGGGATCAGAGATAACATAGGAAAGGGCCCAGCACAGTGAATGCCCATTTTAATAAATAACAAAGATGTTGCTTCACTGAAAGAACAGCAGACTCTCAGAATGCATCACACACACTAAATGAAGTATTTTCAAATTACTTATAATCTGTGCTTGTGTTCAGCCATCAAATGATTCAGTGTCAGGAACAAATGATGGATTACATATTATATGCCTCATTCTCTTAATATGAAAAATTCTGCTTGATAAAATTTCAACATTTCATCTTCAATTGCACATGGATTAATCATTACTTATGATCACATTGTATGTATGTATATATATACATATATATGTATACATATGTGTATATATATATACGTATATGTGTGTGTGTACATATATATATTGAGGTGCAGTCTTGCTCTGTCACCCAGGCTGGAGTGCAGTGGTGCGATCTCAGCTCACTGCAACATCCACCTCCCAGGTTCAAGCAATTCTCCTGCCTCAGCCTCCCGAGTAGCTGGGACTACAGGTGTGTGCCACCACTCCCAGCTAATTTTTGTATTTTTAATAGAGACGGGGTTTTTACCATGTTGGCCAGGCTGATTCTGAACTCCTGACCTCAACTGATCCTCCCACCTCAGCCTCCCAGTGTGCTGGGATTACAGGCGTGAACCACCACACCTGGCCCACATTGTATAATTCAATGTGATTGCATTGAATCCAAGGTTCTGTAATGCTTACCTGTTTGCATGCATTCCTTCAAATAAGATTTATCTCTTATAGATAGTAGCTCATAGGCAAATTATTCTTCTGCAGAACGTATTTTTCTTTTATATTCTTTAATTAATTATTTAATCAGCCCTTAGATTGAAACAGTTTTACCACATACATGGCTTTTGCCATTGACAGTCTTCAATGATTCTGTTATAGTGAACTCCAGTAGTAAAAGTGCTGGGATTTGTTGTGTTGTTCTTTCTTCATCTTTACTTTCAGGTTTTGCGTATGGGAAATATTTAATTGTATTTTAAAATTCAAGAAAAATTATATGCTTATCATTTCATATAAATGTCCAAGGAATATTTTTAATGAAACACTGTTTTTGACTGTCAAAAACAAACAAGTTTTAATAAATCAATAGGTATCTTAAATCCATTAACACTATATGTAAATGTATTACATATTCTATTCTATAGTGCATATTTTATCACTTCTCAACTTGCATTTCATGGGAAAAAGAAAGTGCTTGCATAAACAATGTTAAATGATTTTCTTTTATGAAAATATCCTCAGACTATCGTGCTAATGAAGCTCACCAAACGTACGTGACCACATTTGACTTCCTTGTTCTGGAGGAGCAAGCAGGAGCTTCACAGGTCCATGGAAAGACATGGGAAAGTAAAAATCTGGTCTGTAATTACTTAATATAAAGGTTTTGGGTCAAATTCCAGGCTTTAAAATATTCAAAAATTTCATCATACATTGCTATTAGTTTTGTTCATTTATTTATTTCTTTTGCTCTCTCCTTTCGACTTGATCTCTACCAAGTTCAGCAAATTAAGACTATTACTAATGGCAGGAATTATTCAATCCAAATTCAAGGTCCTTTGACCAAAGTTCTCGAGAGAAGACAGAGACCATTGGGCTTGCACAGTCCAGAAAATATTACTGGCTGTTTTCACCATGCCTTCTCTAAAGTTGGGCATTTCATAGGCTTTTATAAGCTCTCGTTTTAGTATATGTTTCCCCCACTTCCCGATTACAGGCCTCCAATAACATGACAACCACATAACTACAGGGAAATGAAGTGATTTTTCTTCATTAAAATTGATTCTGTTTTAATATGTTTATTTTACAAAAGTTGGAATTATTGCACGTCCCCTGCATGCCAGTAACTCCATTAGGACCCAGGGCTTCAACAGTGGGTCAGTTAGACTGACTGGAAGCTCTCATTACAAGGAGAGGTGCACAGCAGGAGGGATTCATGGCAATGAGGCCTATGGAAAAAAAAAAGGAGAAAGGTATTGACAGAGAGGGGTTTCAGAAGGTCTTTTAGTAGTTTTGCAGGAAAAGACTCCCTAAGGCAGTAATATTTGTAGTGAGACCATAGCAAGAATGGAATAGCTATGAAATGAGTAGGAGTAAAAAGGTTTCAAAGAGAGGAAATGAGAAGTGTTAAATCAGAGGCATGAAAGGGCTTTGCTATTTGCTTTTTTCCAAGAACATAAGGAGGGCAGGGTGAGGAAGAGGGAGCGAGAGAATAAAAAAGATAATTCTGATTGTAGTGTAGAAAATAAATTCATGTTTACTTTATCAAAAGCTTTTATTCCATGGTGTTATTTGTATTTAACATTTGCTTTGTATTTTAAACAATCTTAGTTACATTTTTTATATTTGATATCAGAAACAGGAAGGGTCACTGGCTGTGGAAGATATCACAGATATAATATAGATAATCACAAACAAAGCAACAGAGGTGCCAAATGATTTTAAGTAAGGAATCTCTGTTTGGGAAAGGGGTGGGTGTCGGAGACATATTTAAATGTTTTCCTCTTATCTGAGTTCCGTATAGTTTTAGTTGAATATGTGGTCTCCTCGGGCTAATAATAAGTAATGTGGCCATGCAATTTGCTGCCCAAGATGTGATAATAAATAATTATTAGCTAACAAATTGGTTTCCTGGTATTGGTTCACCTGTAAGATTATTTTGTCAAGCATTATTTTTAAAAGACTGTTATCTCTAAAATATAAACATATACTAGGCACACTAAAGAGAAACTGAGAGATATTTCATTCTATTAATTATCTAATCATTAATAAGTAGACTAATCATTTTTGGTAGATTATTTTTGGTAGAGGATCACAGTTTGTTGAGATGCAATTATGAATGGCATGTTCACCAAAATCAATTCAGGTGCACTTCAGGTACATATGTT
This sequence comes from Homo sapiens, assembly GCF_000001405.40. Taxonomy (NCBI): domain Eukaryota; kingdom Metazoa; phylum Chordata; class Mammalia; order Primates; family Hominidae; genus Homo; species Homo sapiens. The sequence goes on from NC_000008.11 coordinate 50,724,722, forward strand.
TTTTAATTTAGAAGAATTTGATCTTGCTACAACTCTGTGCTCTATTAATTGCATATATTCATATTATCAGTGTATAGTAAATAACATAACCAATGTTAAAGGTTTAGATGAATTTATGGTAGCATTCAAAATAATAGAGATAGTTTAATTTGATAGAAATAAATTTCTAAAACTTTTATTCTACAAATGGGATGGAAAAAACAGTTATTAGAGTTAACAGATTTTTTTAAATTTGAAGCATTAATAGAAAGAAGACATCATTTAATTATCTGTGGATTTATTCTACTAATGGAGACAAATAAATATCATTCGGCTCACTTTGATAAGAAAACTTCATATTCAAAATGAGTATATTTCATTTATATGGAGAATCGTTGGATCAAAATAAAAAGTTATGCATAAAGAATGATTTGTAAATATACCTTCTCCATCTAAATATATTAGATCAACTTATTTGGGCGACGTTTTGTTTTTAAAATAACTACTAATCCTGTATTTCAAGCATATGCTAATTTGTTCCATTTGGCTTTTATGCAATCAGTTATTCCCATGGTGAATGGGTGAACATTAAACAACATTTTGTGCAATTGCATACTTCTTATCAACTTTATGATATATTAGAATTCACTAGTCAATTTTTCATTTAATGCTCACCTTACTTTTTTAACTTAACTAAAGTTGAGTCTAAAACATCAAACTGTAAGATAAGTATATATAGTTCTATATTATAATCCAAAATAATATAAAAGTAATAAATATAGTCTTAATAATATAATAAACAACAAAACGTCTTTTACAAGCATTCAGGTTACTGCTTACAAACTCTACAGAATGGCCATTTATCCTCTTTCCTGTCCATATTTTAAGTACGTGACACCTCTAATTTCCTCTGTTTTTCACCGCCCCGTTGAAAGATTGCCTGATGCCAGAGGACAGGTTGCAGCAAGCAGGCTGTTACACCAACTGGCTCATGAGCAGAGGTGTTGAATACTTCCCCTGCAATAGACCTGAAGAAACAAGCTGCCTTTAGCACCTCATATCCAGATGCACTTAGTTTTATCAGCAAGTACCATGTCTATTGCATTTTTGCTAACCAGGAGAATATTCTGGTTTGATATAAATTTTGACCACCAAAAACAAAGCCTTGTGCCGATGCTGCTGAATTACAGAGGTGCATCTTCTCTACCCACGCTTCCTGAGTGTGACTGTAGGATTGGCAAGGCTCTTTAGTATTCCACACTTGAAAAAGAAATGAACTTCTACCTACTCTGTCTTCCCTCTCAGGTTATAACACAATAATACACATCTTCACATTTTATCCTTCTTCAGTGCCTAGTTGTGTACAGGTATGTGACATGTGGTATGTGTGTGTACAAATATAATTTCCATTTGGAGAGCTAACTTCCTAAACCCACATTAACATGTTATTAACCAGGAACTCCTCATTGCATTAAAATAGTGCACTGAAAGAGCTCATAACAAAGTCATTCATAATCTTCTCATCAATATCACTAATTTCTAAAAATTAATAAATAAAATATTTTATTACTGTTTATTACACAAGGTGCTATGGAGCAGTTAGTAAGGACACATATTTCAGCCAGTAGTGTGTTTTTGAAAAAGCTTCCCTAAGGAGTTATGATTTTCCTGGAGACTGAAACATAAAACGAGACATGAACTGGCCGAAGTTGGGGGAGCGCTCAAGTGGGGCCCCTCAGGCAGAGTGGGCAACAGGCAAGGTGGAAGGAATGAGCAAAAGCATCATGATTTGTGAATAATCAAGAGTTGCTTGGCTGGAACAGAGTACAGTTGAAAGTCAGTGGCAAAAATGAGATTAGAAATTTGAGGCTGGGCGCACTGGCTCACGCCTGTAATCCCAGCTCTTTGGGAGGCCGAGGCAGGTGGATCACAAGGTCAGGAGATCGAGACCAGCCTGGCTAACACAGTGAAACCCCGTCTCTACTAAAAATACAAAAAATTAGCAGGGTGTGGTGGCGGACGCCTGTAGTCCCAGCTACTGAGGAGGCTGAAGCGGGAGAAAGGCGTGAAACCAGGAGGTGGAGCTTGCAGTGAGCTAAGATTGCAACACTGCACTACAGCCCAGGCGACAGAGTGAGACTCTGTCTCAAAAAACAATAAAATAAAGTAAAATAAAATAAATAAATAAATAAAATTGAGCAAGGCTAAATCTTGAAGGATTTTGTGTGTCTTAACAAGGATTTAAATCTGATCATGATACTACCATTGAAAGATGTTATGTAGCAGAAATATGATTTAAGTTGAAAAAAGGGAAGGGAGTGGGCTTACATTATACAATGTGGAATGTCAAGAGTAGAGAAAATAAATTAATTTTGAATTTACTGTGAATACGCAAGAGAGAAAAGGTATCTAAACTATATTAGTGGTGTATAATGATAATGATGACATAGAGATTCATGAGGTGTGTGGGAATTAGAATTAACAGAATTAGAGGCAGGGAGTCTGATGGTAAAGTTGATTTTATTTTCAAATGTAATGCTTAGAAGATGGAGTAAAAGTGCTGACAATCCCTAAAATAAATTAAAGAAGAGAGTGGTTGAGGGGAAGATGAAAATTCACTTCAAATATATCAATTTTAATCTCTATACAAGCTGTCTTAGATTGGGTTCCGTTAAGAGTTTTCTTTGAGAGAGCTTTCAACAGATGATATTTCTAGATGCTGGGAGTCCAGCAGCCCTCCCAACAGATGTGAGCAGAGAACCACAATATCCACTGCAGTGCACATCTCCCATTCCACAGCCCCACTGGCTTTTTATGCTAAAGTGGGCCCATCCAGGTGCATTTTGGATTCTCACTGGCCCTGGATTCTCACTGGTCCTTCTGTAGAAAACAAGAGAAGGGTTAGTGAGATGATAAATAGCCCCTGCTGCTATGGCTGTTGTCAAGGCCATAACTGACAAGCATCATCCCCTCCTCCACTCCTCATTCTTGATTGGCCCTGTCATTACCATAACATCTGCTGCTCTGGGAAGTTTGCCTCCTGGGCTAACTCACACTGTCATCCCAAGAGCTGATCCTGTGGCTATGGATGCTGATTTATTCCCACTGACCATTAAAAGTGACAATGGCAGCATAAACATTTAGCAGAGTTATTGCATGCCAAATAAGTTCTTCTTCACCTTCCTCCTACCTCCTGATTGTGTTAAGGGACAATTATCCCTGCAGAAGGTGACTCCTTAAACTGTTTACTGATCTCTTGGTACAAAGTGTTTAGAAGCACCAGAAAGCACCGTGGCTTATGGCCTCCACTTGCACAGTACAGAGTTGTCAGCACAAGATGCTCACATTCCCCATTTGAGCAGCTGGGAAAGGTGATAGCTGCAACCTGTCCTAAATCCACCTCTTCGTTCTCTGACCCATGTAGTCTACCTACCTGCCAGGGACACAGAACTGTGTATTGGTCAGTGATTCCAGGTCTATTCCACCACACCTTGGGGGTGGTGTCCCCTTCTCATAGTATATCTCCTAGATGAAACACTAACTATATACGAAGAGGCCATTGAACTGTCTGTCCTCTTTTGCCCAAACTCTGAGGGTGATGCAGCGCCGAGGGCACCACTAGGTGTCTTGATGATGCTCCAGCACCTCTTTTGTTGTACAATGGTTCTGTAGGGATGAGGAGTTACAAAGACTCCTGCAAAAATTCTGCAAGTCCTAAAATGTTGAGGCCTGGTGAACAGGAAAGGCAAACTCATACCAGAGTGTGTGTCTATTCATGTCTAAATAAATTAATGCCTCTTTGGGGTGAAAAGAGCCCAATATTATCAATCTGCCACCAAATAGTTGATTGATTTAGCCACATTGGTGGCACCTTGAGCACTCATTTTTGGCTTCTATTGGTGACAGATTGAACATTCAGCTGTGGTAGAAGCTGGATCCTCCTGTGTGCATGAGGAGTCAGGTTGGGCTCATGTGTGGCCCGCATTTGTTAATGCATTCTTTATGCCAATGACAGAGCCAGGCTGTTGTAAAATCTCTGAAGTATTAGGAGTGCTCATTGTTTGGGGCTTTTTCCTCGGACCCCTTTTTCCCTAATGTGATATTTTAGTAATCCTAGATCCCTGACTGGGTCAAATCTTTCACCTCTGTCCATGAATCACCCATATTCTTATCTCATTCCACTTGTATTTGCAGAAAATGGATACCCAGATGCACTGTCCAGAGTTCTGTGCAGTGGGGAGCATTTTCTCCTCACTTATGTTTTAAGAACAACTAACTGAGGGGCTGTTGAAGAGGAAACCTCAATATTTAGCTTGCATGCTGAGCCTGTCTATCTGTGAGCAAATCTTCGCCTTTTGTTCTATCTTAGGTCACCATAGGGATTGTCCCTTAGGTGGCATATTTGCTAGTTGTTGAGTGGTGCAGGTCCTAGGCTGGTGATGAGATGGACACCTGGGCTGCCAGCTTGGATAGCTTGCTGGTGCCCTGTGGCTTGGCTCATCCCTGATTCCAGGTGAATACATTACATACTACAACTTTTTACATTGCCCTGCTGTACCTTATAGCTTATTAGGCAGACAGAGTCCAAATATAATGTGTAGCCCTGGATACATGGGATACATGTAAGCATTTCTCTCTACAAGGGCCTCTGACTAAGAAATGGTAAGCAGATTTGCTGGAGATGGAATCACTTTTCTCCAGAGACCAAAGAGGTCTATATTGTGATTCTCCTATGAGGGCTTCACATAAATTTCACACAGGTTCTTTCTTTGGAATAGACACTTCTAATGTCATAGAGTTTGGCAAATTAAGTTAAGCCCATGTCTACCTCCCCTCCAGTGATGGGGGTCTCTTTTGTCAGCCAGCTAGCAGGCAATCCATGTCCAATATTTCATTTTTGCCTTTGTATTGAGAACTACACCTAGCATGAGCTATGCTAGTTTGAATTTCATAGAGTAGTATTCACGGCAGAGAAATAGGTTTGTGAGTTGGTACACTCAGGACACACCTGTATGTAAAGAGGAAGGGAGGATAGGCAAGAAGGATAAGCTGACCCACAGGTAATTGTACCTAAGGGCTAGTCATACTTAAGGGGAATTCTGAAGCTTTGATTGTCCTACAGAGTTATCCTAACAGAAACAACAGGGTCAGACATTTATATTTCTATATCACCTAGGACTTCAACTGTGACCAAGGAATTCATTATGATGGGTAAAAAGGCAAATCGGCAGCAGCAGGTACCCCGAGCAGCTGGGAGATGGGAGTGCTAACCCTGACCTGGAGGGAGCACCCCGTATTCACTACACGGACTGCGATGCTAAAAAGTAGTTGGATAAGAAAAAATGAGAGCGATTGGGAAGAGAAGATAGATCAGTTTCAGAGGAGACTGGAAGAAAAAAATTTCAATCCAGAATATTGTACAAATATACTTTGGAAATGATAAGGTTTAATTAATTTTGAATGAAAGAAAGTGATTTGAATATATGAAAGTAAAACTATATTTGGAAAAACAAAGAGAACCGTGGAAAGACATGCTTAGTTTTCTCTGCTAAGTGGAGGGGGCTATGCCACATATTGAGTGAGGCCGAGGGGATGAAGGCATTAATTAGTGTGAAAAAGAACACTGCTATTTAAAAGGCTTTGAAATAATCAAATTAGTGAAAGCACATATCTCTTCAAAGGATTTAAGCATTCACAGTAAAAAATTATTTCTGCTTTTATTATTTCACACTATTTTGGCACTACTCAGCACTCTGTTTGCTCTGACATTAGGGGCATTACATGACAAAAGCTTTATGCATTAACGAAGATGAACAAAAAGATTATAGGAGCAAATGGAACAAGAGGATGTGTTTTGCAGACGTGATATAACCTAGAACTAGCAGTCAGCATATGTACCATTAATGGCATTGAAAAATCATTATAGACATTCATAAGGATATGTTGTCTCAAAATGCTATGAATTTTATGACATGTTTAAGATGAAATAAAAAGAATTTTTAATGAATACAGAAAGATCCATCATAAAATATGAAGGAGGCAATATTCATCTTCAGAAAGTTCTTACTTCTGCTTCCATATCCTCCCAGAAGCATCACCATTAGTACTTGTATTCAGGTGACTTCTGACATTCAAGTTTGCCATCAGCTTACTGTTCTATTGGAAGAACGCTACTAAACTAGTTTGAAATAATAGAGGAAAAAACTTTGCAATCTACAAAGCGATTTTATGAGCATTATTATTTCACCCCTTTTTACACTCACCTTTAAAGTAGAATAGTCAGACATTATTACTTCTAATTTACAGTAAAATATGATCAGGCTCTAATAAATTAAGAATCTTGCCCAAAGTCATGTGGCTTATAAGTAGAATATAAAATTCAGATTACATTTTAGGGTTTGTGGCTCTGAGCTCAGTATTCATCTTTATTTCAGTACACTGCCAACAACAAAATACATGATCATTCCTGGGATATATGCATTGTAATAGGGGAAAGCATCTTAATTTCCTGATGATGGAGTTCAGGCCAGTGCCTGGAGAAGAGGGCACAAAAGGAGATAAACAGGAGAGAGTGGTTTCTGGTCTTTAGAATCCCCTTGATCTCATTCGATGTAGGCAACTACTGATTATCCTAGAGTGCATGAACTTTACCAGTATGAGAAAAAGGGAGACAAATTGGCATATTTTTTTGAGAGTTTTAGTATCATTATGCAAATTAGTAAATTCTACACATATTTTATACAGATCTCATTACTATATCTTGATTTACTTTCTACCTGATTGAAAAGCTTTTGACGCCAAAAATTCTTGCTCCTGTGTTTCTTACTAGCACCTGGTTTCTAACCAAATCAAAGTGAATTAAATAAGCCATCCCACTCTACACGTACTTCTAACAGCTTACTCAACACTCTCCTGTCTGGGTCTACCTCAGAGCCAGCTATAAGGCATTTACAATGGCACTCACAATTTGCATTACAGAGCAATGTAAACTACATGCTATCAAAAATGGTGATGTCTGCTCATCCTTTTCATCATTAATATTCTTAACACAATTGCCATAGTGTTTATCAGAATCTTAGGAACAAAATATTGGTAAAAGAAATAAGACTGCCAATAAGTCCTTGAGTTTAGCCATTTTTCAGAACTTTATAACTTTCATTGACAATAATTTTGACTTAGGTTATTCCAAATTGGCCTTAGTAAATTTCTTTGAGTTTTACAAGTTTACACAATTTGCCTACGTTCTTGTCTCTTTTCCTAGTTTACTGCATTATCTTTTAGCTGACAAGTCCTTCAGTTAAGTATATTCATTAACTTCTTTATATCCATCTTTGGGGTATCCTACTGATAGCCAAGGATTCATGCTTCATATTCAAAAATGTATCAAACCTCTTTCATATGACTCTAATACACATTCTTATAGCCAGAGGAACTTTATTATGAGTTTTTAAAGTCTGTTCACTCTTAAAAGTACATCTAGTTGAAATAGCAAATACCTGTTTAATAGTGTAATTACTATATATAAAATATCATTTCAAATTTATAATTATAATTTGAGAATTTCAAAACCTTGCATTTATAGTTAAGCCAAGCTAAAAATAAAGTATCTTGTCCAACACTACACAGTAGGTTAATGTCAAGGCGTGCTACAAACAGTGAGGTACTTTGGCAGACATTTTTTCTCTATTTGTTACAGGTGTCTTTGTTTGTTTTAACATAAAATAAATTTCACGTCCTTATGTTTCCCCTAACATTATATTACTTGCATTTTTCCGTATATCTACATAATACTCATCAGCATTATTTTAACACAAAATGTTTAGAATTTTCATTTTTTGATATTCATTAATAATAAGGTGTTTAACATATTCCTTTACATTTTATATATTGTATTTCCATACAATTAATTTTTATAAATGGAATTTCTGGATCAAATAATATTAACATTTTAAGGGCTTAAAATATATATTTAAAATTGCTGTACTAAAATTTTACAACGTCATCAACAATGTTATGTAAATATTTTTTCCACATAACCTTACTAGCTTTAGTTAATATAATTTTCAGTGATCTTTACTAATATAATGATGAAAAAAACAGTCTCTGTAATATTAATGCAGTCTTCTTGATTTCTAATGAGGTTGAACAGGTTCTCCTATGGTTGTTAACAAAAATAATTGTTTTTCCTTTTTTAAAAAATAACATCTTTCTGCAATATTTTTTGTATTTTGTGTATTTTTTTCAACTTTTATTTTAGATACAGGAGGCAAATGTGCAGGTTTGTTACATGGGAATTTTCATGATGCTGAGATTCAAGGTATGGATCCTGCCACTCAGACTGTGAGCATAGTACCTGATAGACAGTTTTTCAACAGACAACCCCCTCCCTACCCCTCTAGTGTTCTTCAGTGTTTATTGTTCTCATATTTATGTTATTTTATGCTCAATGTTTAGCTCTCCTTACAAATGAGAACATGTGGAATTTGGTTTTCTGTTTTGCATTTAATTTGCTTAGGATTATGGCCTCCATCTCTATCCATGCTGTTGCAAAGGGAAAGATTTTATTCTTTTTTATGACCATGTAGTATTCCATGATGTATAGGTACCACATTTTTTTTTCCAATCTACCATTGATAGGGACTTGGGTTGATTCCATGTCTTTGCAATTGTGAATAGTGCAGCAATGAACACATGAATGAATGTATCTTTTTGATAGAATGATTTATAGTCCTTTGGATATATACCCAGTAATGGGATATCTGGGCTAAATGGTATCTCTGTTTTAACTTCTTTGATTAATCATGAGACTGCTTTCCACAGTGGTGGTGCAAATTTACATTCCCACCAACAGTGTATAACACTCTCTTTTCTCTTCAGCCTTACCAGGATCTGTTGTTTTTGACATTTTAATAATAGCCATTTTGACAAGTGTGAAATGGTATCTCATTGTGGTTTTGATTTGCATTTCTCTGATGATTAGTGATGCTGAGCATTTTTTCATGTGTTTGTTGGCTGCTTGTATGTCTTCTTTTAAGAAATGTGTGTTCGTGTCCTTCGTCTATTTTTTAATGGAGTTTTTTCTTTTCTTTATCAGGTGCTTAGAGTTTTTCTTACATTTTATCGTATTTTATACTATATAGCATTATGACTATTATTTTTCTTTTAATATTGGTTAATATGCATTAATTTTACTAAATGAATTTGTAATTTCTTATTACTGTCATGTCTAGGACTTCATATATTTCCAAAATTACTAAAAATTCACTTATATAATTCTATGTAATTTTTCTATAACTTAGATTGCTTAAATTACTTTACTTTTTGAAATATGAGAGATTTGCTTTAAAGGAAGTTATGTGATGAAAAACTTAACTTTAAAATATTTTTTCCAAAGACTTAATTGCCCCAAATAGTTTTATTGTGAAAGGGATACTATATAAAATATATATAAAGGAAACATTGAAGATGAATTGAAATGACTGGATATTGCTTTTCAATAACTTGCATAGGTTAATGTAGTAAGAAACAAACTATAGACATTTATTTATACAGAGACTATTGCTTCTCGGCCTTTTGGCTAAGATCAAGTGTAGTATTTATATAGAGACTGACATCTTCAGGATAGTGACAGTATCTTTTTCATTCTAATTATCTAGCAAAATACTCAGTATATACTAGCCACTTCATAAATATCTGTTGAATAAATAAATTTTTTAAATGAAATTCTATATTAATTTATTCTGCCTCAATATCATTACATATTACTTGAAAATTCTCCCATCATTATTGACATATCTATGATTTTAATGTTTCACTATGTATTTTTAAAATATAAAAATTTTAATTAGTATTTGCTTTGAATGGATTTTGAACTATGTTGTTTCCAGAATCTTTTCTTTCTAAATGGTGGCACTTTCTCTCTCTCTTTCGCTCTCTCATCTCTTTCTCTGTCTCTCTCTCTCTGGAGATATATATAGATATGTATATATGGACATATATATATCTCTCTATATATGGACATTATATATCTATATATATGGACATGTATATAGATATCTATATATATGGACATATATATAGATATCTATATATATGGACATATATATAGATATCTATATATATGGACATATATATATCTATATATATGGACATATATATATCTATATATATGGACATATATATATCTATATATATGGACATATATATATCTATATATATGTCCATATACATATATAGATATATATGGACATATATATCTATATATCCATATATATCTATCCATATATATGTCCATATATATATATCTCAACCATGCAACTTGTAATGTTAAACAATTTTACAATTCAGTGGCTTTAATTAATTTACACCACTGTATAATCATTACTACTATCTGTTCATCATCCGAAACAGAAACTCTGTAACTATTAAGCAATAATTACTCATTCTTCCTGCCCGACATATTGGATTTAAAAAATGATCTAACTGTATGCTGTACACAAGAGGCTAACATTGGATCTAAAGACACAGGTGGTTTAAAAGAGAATTGTTGAGAAAATATATTCCATGCAAATGATAGCCAAAGAAAAGCTAATTTTCTAAACTAATATTAGACAAAAACTCCTCCAATCTAAAGGAGCATGTTCTAAACCAATGAAAGGAAGCTAAGAAACTTGAAAACAGGTTAGAGGAATTGCAAACTAGAATAGCCAGTTTAGGGAAGAACACAAATGACCTGATGGAGCTGAGAAACATAGCACAAGAACTTCGTGAAGCATACACAAGTATCAATAGTCAAATCGATCAATCAGAAGAAAGGGTATCAGAGATTGAAGATCAACTTAATGAAATAAAGTGTGAAGACAAGATTAGAGAAAAAAGAATGAAAAGGAATGATCGAAGCCTCCAAGAAATATGGAACTGTGTGAAAAGACCAAACCTATGATTGATTGGTGTACCAGAAAGTGATGGAGAGAATGGAATCAAGTTGGAAACACTCTTTAGGATAATATCCAGGAGAACTTCCCCAACCTAGCAAGATAGGCCAACATTCAAATTCAGGAAATACAGAGAACACCACAAAGATACTCCTCAAGAAGAGCACCACAAGACACATAATCATCAGATTAACCAAGGTTGAAATGAAGGAAAAAATGTTAAGGGCAGCCAGAGAGAAAGGTCGGGTTACCCACAAAGGGAAACCCATCAGACTAACAGTGGATCTCTCTGCAGAAACCCTACAAGCTAGAAGAGATTGGGGGCCAATATTTAACATTCTTAAAGAAAAGGATTTTCAACCCAGAATTTCATATCCAGCCAAACTAAGCTTCATACCCAAAGGAGAAATAAAATCTTTTACAAACAAGCAAATGCTGAGAGATTTTGTCACCACCAGGCCTGCCTTACCAGAGCTCCTGAAGGAAGTACTAAATATGGAAAGGAAAAAACAGTACCAGCCACTGCAAGAACATACCAAATTGTAAAGGCCATCGAGACTATGAAGAAACTGCATCAACTAATGGGCAAAATAACCAGCTAGCATCATAATGACAGGCTCAAATTCACACCTAACAATATAAACCTTAATTGCAAATGGGCTAAATGCCCCAATTAAAAGATCAAAAAACACAAAGAAGGGCATTACATAACGGTAAAGGGATCAATGCAACAAGAAGAGCTAACTATCCTAAATATATGCACCCAATACAGGAGCACTCAGATTCATAAAGCAAGTTCTTAGAGATGTACAAAGAAACTTAGACTCCCACACAGTAAGAGTGGAATATTTTCACACCCCACTGTCAATATAAGACCGATCAACAAGAGAGAAAATTAACAAGGATATTCAGAACTTGGATCAGCTCTGGACCAAGTGGACCTAATAGACATCAACAGAACTCTCCACCCCAAATCAACAGAAGATACATTCTTTTCAGCACCACATCGCACTTATTCTAAAATTGACCACAAGATTGGAAGAAAAAACACTCCCCAGCAAATGCAAAAGAATGGAAATCATAACAGTCTCTCAGACCACAGTGCAATCAAATTCGAACTCAGGACTAAGAAACTCAGTCAAAACTGTACAACTACATGGAAACTGAACAACCTGCTCCTGAATGACTACTGGGTAAATAAATGAAATAAATAAGTTATTTGAATCCACTGAGAATAAAGACACAACGTACCGGAATCTCTGGGAGGCAGCTAAAGCAGTGTTTAGAGGGAAATTTATAGCACTAAATTCCCACTGGAGAAAGTGGGAAAGATCTAAAATCAATACCCTATCAGCACAATTAAAAGAACTAGAGAAGTAAAAGCAAACAAATTCAAAAGCTAGCAGAACACAAGAAAAAACTCAAATCAGAGCAGAAATGAAGGAAATAGAGACATGAAAAACCCTTCAAAAAATCAATGAATCCAGGAGCTGGTTTTTTGAAAAGAGTAACAAAATAGACCACTAGCCGGACTAATAAAGAAGAAAAGAGAAAAGAGTGAAATAGAAACAATAAAAAACAATAAAGGGCATATTACCACTGATCCCACAGAAATACAAACTACCACCAGAGAATACTATAAACAGCTCTATTCAAATAAACCAGAAAATGTAGAATAAATGGATAAATTCCTGGACACATACACCCTCCTAAGACTAAACCAGGAAGAAGTCAAATCCCTGAATAGACCAATAACAAGTTCTGAAATTGAGGTAGTAATTAATAACCTACCAACCAAAAAAAGCACAGGACTAGATGGATTCACAGCAGAATTCAACCAGAGTTACAAAGAGGATCTGGTACCACTCCTTCTGAAAGTATTCCAAAAAATAGCAAGAGAGGGACTCCTCCCTAACTCATTTTATGAGGCCAGCATCATCCTGATAGCAAAACCTAGTAGAGACACAACAAAAAAAGAAAATTTCAGGCCAATATTTCTGATGAATATCAGTGAGAAAATCCTCAATAAAATATGGGCAAACGAAATCCAGCAGCACATCAAAAAGCTTGTCCACCATGATCACGTCGGCTTCATCCCTGGGACATAAGGCTGTTTCAACGTATGCAAATCAATAAACGTAATCCATCATATAAACAGAACCAATTACAAAAATCACATGATTATCTCAGTAGATGCAGAAAAGGCCTTCAATAAAATTCAACACCCTTCATGCTAAAACCCCTCAATAAAATAAGTATTGATGGAAAGTATCTCAAAATAATAAGAGCTATTTATGACAAACCCACAGCCAATATCATACTGAATGGGCAAAAGTGGGAAGCATTCCCTTTGAAAACCAGCACAAGACTAGGATGCCATCTCTCACCACTCCAATTCAAGATAGTATTGGAAGTTCTGGCCAGGGCAATCAGGCAAGAGAAAGAAAGAAAGGATATTCACATAAGAAAAGAGGAAGTCAAATTGTCTCTCTTTGCAGATGACATGATTATATGTTTAGAAAACCCCATCGTCTCAGACCAATATCTCCTTAAGCTGAGAAGCAACTTCAGCAAAGCCTCAAGATACAAAATCAATGTACAAATATCACAAGCTTTCCTATACACCAATAACAGACAAACAGAGAGCCAAATCATGAGTGAAATTTTATTCACAATTGCTACAAACAGAATAAAATACCTAGGGATACAACTTACTAAGAATGTGAAGGACCTCTTCAAAGAGAACTAGAAACCACTGCTTGAAGAAGTAAGAGAGGACACAAACAAATGGAAAAACATCCATGCTCATGAATAGGAAGAATCAATATTGTGAAAATGGCCATACTGCCCAAAGTAATTTATAGATTCAATGCTATCCTCATCCAGCTACCATTGACTTTCTTCACAGAATTAGAAAAAACTACTTCAAATTTCATATGAAACTGAAAAAGAGCCCACACAGCCAGGACAATCCTAAACAAAAAGAACAAAGCTGGAGGCATCATGATACCTGACTTCAAACTATACTACAAAGCTACAGTAACCAAAACAGCATGGTACTTGTACCAAAACAGAGATATAGACCAATGGAACAGAATAGAGGCCTCAGAAATAACACCACACATCTATGACCATCTGATCTTCCACAAACCTGACAAAAAAAAAAAAGCAATGGGGAAAGGATTCCCTATTTAATAAATGGTGCTAGGAAAACTGGCTAGCCATACGCAGAAAACTGAAACTGGACCCCCTTTTTACACCTTATACAAAAATTAACTCAAGATGGATTAAAGACTTAAACATAAGACGTAAAACCATAAAAACCCTAGAAGAAAACCTAGGCAATACCATTCAGGACATAGGCATGAGCAAAGACTTCATGACTAAGACACAAAAAGCAATGGCAACAAAAGCCAAAATTGACAAATGGGATCTTGTTAAACTAAAGAGCTTCTGCACAGCGAAAGAGACTATCATCAGGATGAACAGGCCATCTACACAATGGGAGAAAAGTTTTACAATCTATCAATCTCAAAAAGGGCTAATATCCAGAATCTACAAGGAACTTAAACAAATTTACAAGAAAAAAACAAACAACCCCATCAAAAAGTGGGCCAAGTATATGAACAGACACTCTCAAAAAAAGACATTTATATAGCCAACAAGCATATGAAAAAAAGCTCATCATCACTGGTCTTTAGAAAAATGCAGATCAAAACCACAATGAGACACCATCTCACACCAATTAGAATGGTGATCATTAAAAAGTCTGGAAATAATAGATGCTGAAGAGGATGTGGAGAAATAGGAACACTTTTACACTGTTGGTGGGAGTGTAAATTAGTTCAGCCATTGTGGAAGACACTATGGCAATTCCTCAAAGATCTAGAACCAGAAATACCATTTGACCCAGCAATCCATTACTGGGTATATACTGGATGTGGGGCTGGGGGAGGGATAGCATTACGAGAAAACAACATAGATAATGGATTGTTGGGTGCAGCAAACCACCATGGCATGTGTATCCCAGAACTTAAAGTATAATAAAAAAATAAAATAAATACAACGTGGCGGCATCACTCCATTTGATTTTAAACAGGGCTATAGTAACCAAAACAGCATGGCACTAGTTCAAAACCAGACACATATACCAGTGGAACAGAATGGGGAACCCAGAAATAAGACCATACACCTACAACTATTTCATCTTTGACAAACCTGACAAAAACAATCAGTGGGGTAAGGATTCCCTATTCAATTAATGATGCTGAGATAACTGGCTGGCCAGTTGCAGAAGAAATTGGACCCCTTTTTTTGCACCATATACCAAAATTAACACAAGATATATTAAAGACTTAAATATAAAACCCAAACTATAAAAACTCTGGAATACAGCCTAGGCAATACCATTCTAGACATAGGACTGGGCAAAGATTTCATGATGAAGATGCCAAAAGCAATTACAACAAAAGCAAAGATTGGAAAATGGGATCTAATTAAACTAAAAAGCTCTGCGCAGCAAAAGAAACTATCAACAGAGTGAACAGACAACCAACAGAATGGGAGAAAATTTTTGCAAACTGTGCATCTGACAAAGGTCTAATATCCAGCATCTACAAGGAACTTAAACAAATTTACAAGAAAAAAAAAACAGCCTTATTAAAAAGTGGGCAAAGGATATGAACCACACTTTTCAAAAGAAGACATACATGTGGCCAAAAAACATATGAAAAAAAAAAAAACCTCAACATCACTGATTATTAGAGAAATGCAAATCAAAACCACAGTGAGATACCATCTCACACCTGCCAGAATGGCTACCATTAGAAACAAAACAAAACAAAACAAAACAAAAACAATGCTGACAAGGTTGTAGAGAAAAAGGAAAGCTTTTACCTGGTTGGTGGGAGTATAAATTAGTTTAACCATTGTGGAAGACAGTATGGTAATTCCTCAAAGACCTAAAAATAGAAATATTATTTAACCCATCAATCCCATTACTGAGTATATACTCAAAGGAATATAGATTGTTCTATCATAAAGAGAGATGCACAAGTATGTTCACTGCAGCACTGTTCACAATAACAAAGACATGGAGTCAATCTAAATGCCCATCAGTGGTAAACTAGATAAAGAAATAGTGGTGTATATACACCATGGAATACTAAGCAGCCATAAAAAAGAATGAGATCATTTACATTGCAGGCACATGGATGGAGCTGGAGGCCATTATCTTTAGCAAACCAATACAAGAACAGAAAACCAAACACCACATGTTCTCACTTATAAAAAGGAGCTAAATGATGAGAACACATGGTCACATAGAGAAGAACAACATACACTGAGGCCTATCAGAGGACGGAGGTTTGGAGAAGGGAGAAGAGCAGGAAAAATAACTACTGGGTACTAGGCTTAATACCTGGGTGACAAAATAATCTGTACAAAACTCCTCCATGATGTAAGTTTACCCACATAACAAACCTTCACAAGAACTTTTCTTTTTTTTCTGAGGCAGAGTCTTGCTCTGTCACCTAAGCTGGAGTACAGTGGTGCAATCTCAGTTCATCGCAACACTCACCTCCTGGGTTCAAGCAATTCTTCTTCCTCAGCCTCCTGAGGCTGGCATTACAGGTGTGTGCCACCAGTCCTGGCTAGTTTTTGTATTTTTAGTAGAGATGGGGTTTCGCCATGTTGGCCAGGCTGGTCTTAAATTCCTGACCTCAGGTGATCTTCCCGCATCCACTTCCCAAGTGTTGGGATTACAGGCACGAGCCACTGCACCTGACCAAGTACCCCTGAACTTAAAATAAAAGTTAAATGTAAGAAAAAGATAATTTAACAGTTTCTCACATAACAAAACATACTGTTACCATCCAAATCTTATTCCATGGTATTTACTCAAAGTATCTAAAAAGCTATGTCCTCACAAAAGTCTGCACATGGATATTTAGAGCAGTTTTATTCATAATTGCCCAAACATGGAAACAACCAGCATTCACTTTAGTATGTGAATGGATAACTAAACTATGGTATACCTGGAAAATGGAATATTATTGAGCATCAGAAAAGAAAAGCCATGAAATGGCATGATGGAAACAAATGCACATTACTAAGTGAAAGAAGTCAATTGGAAAGGATTATATACTGTATGATTCCAACTATATGAGATTCTGGAAAAGGCAAAACTGTGAAGATGGTAAAAGACCAGTGGTTACCAGTGATTGTGGGAAAGAGAGGGATGAGTAGGTGGACCACAGAGGATTTCCAGGGCAATGAAACTACTCTGCAAGACACTGTAATGGTAGATAAATGTTATTACACATTTGTTAAAATCCATAGTATTTATAACACCAAAAGTGAACCCAAATGTAAACTTAGGACTTTGAAGGATAATAATATCAATGTAGGTTCGTAGATTATAACAAATGCACCACTCTGTTTCTTTTGCTTATTATTTCTGTGAACATGAAACTGCTCTCAAAAATAAAATCTATTATTAATTTTAAAAAAATCATACACACACAAAATTAACCAACTGGATCTAACAGACATATGCATGCCATATATTCAACCACAGTTGAATACACATTTTTCTGAAGGGCACATGGGACATTCTTCAGATTAGACCATGTGTTAAGACACAAAATACGTCATGATAGATTTTAAATGATTGAAATTATACAAAATATCTTTTCTGCTCACAATGGAATGAAACTAAAAATCAATAACAGAAGAAACACTGGACAATCCAGAAAGAAATGGAAATCAACACACTCCTAACTGTCAACTGGATAAAGAAGAAAACAAATATTTAGAGGAAAATGAAAGTGAAACACAAACATACCAAAATATATGAGACAAAGCGAAAGCAGTACTAAAAGGGAAACTTGTAGGAGTATAAGTATATATATATTAAAAAAGAGGATGAAAACAAAAACTCATCTAAAAATAAGAAACATCACAAATCAGTGACCTGACATTACATCTTAAAGAAGTAGAAAAAGACGAGTAGACTGAAAGCTAGCTAGAAAGGTGAAAACAATAAAGATTATAGTTGAAAAAAATAAAATAGATACTAGAAAGTAATGAAGAAAAATCAACAAAATTAAAGGTTGGTTCCTTGAAAAAATAACAAAATTTATAAGTCTTTAGCCTGATTGTCTCAACAAGAAGACCCAAATTACTAAAATCAGAAAAAAAGAGAAGAGACATTTTGATAATATTGTAAAAATAAATGGATTAAGAGACAATTTTATGAGCAATTGCATTTCAGAAATTTGATAACCTAGATGAAATAGATAAATTCCTGGAAATATACACACTGCCAAAAGTGAATGAATCTGTAGCTATTAAGGGGATTGAATCCATAATCATAAATCTGTCAACAGAGAAGAGGCCTGGACCACATAGCTTTATTGGTGAATTTTACCAAACATTAAAAAAATCAAAGTTATTCTCAAATTCTTACCAAAAAAAAAAAAAATTGAAGGAGTGGGAATGCTTTGTAAGTCATTCTGTGAGGCCAACATTACCTTGACACCAAAGCCAGAAGAAGATGCTACAAGAAAAGAAAATAGTAGCTCAATATTCCTAATGAATATTAATTTAAAAAACTCTCAAAAAATACTAGCAAACAGAACTCAGCAACATATTAAAAGGATTATACACCATGGCCAAGTAGTATTTATTAATGAAATTCAAGGAAGATTCAATATATGTAAATCAATCAATGTAATACAACACCTTAATAGAATGAAGTTTAAATAAAAATACAAGAATCTTCTCAATTAATACAGAAAAATACACTTGTCAGAACGCATCAACCTTTAACAAAAAAACTTAATAAACTAGGAATAGAAAGATATTTGAAATATGAAAAACGACCCACAGATAATATTATATCCAATGCTGAAAGACTGAAAGTTTTCTCCTAAATCAGGAACAAGAATACTTGCTTTGACTTCTTCTGTTTGACATGGTATTATTGACAGTTTTAGCCAGAGCTATTAGGCAAGAAAAAAAAAAAGCCAAAGAAAATTGAAAATTAGTAAAATTATCTCTGCTCACAGATGACATAATCTTGTATGTAGACAACTACACACACAAACACACACACATCAGATGTATTAGGCCATTCTTGGATCAGTATAAAGAAATACCTGAGACTGGGTAATTCATAAAGGAAAGAGGTTTAGTTGGCTTACTGTTCTTCAGCCTATACAGGAAGCACGGTGCTGGCATCTGATGGCTTCTGGGGAAGTCTCAGGGAGTTTTTAGTCATGGTGGAAGATGAAGTGGAAGCAAGCTTGTCACATGGCAAAAATAGGAGCAGAGAGAGAGAGAGAGGAGGTGACACACATTTTTCAGACAGGATTTCCTATGAACCCAGACTGAGAGCTCACTTATTGCCAAGGGGATGGCCCAAGCCATTCGTGGGTGCAGATCTTTCAGATATCTGCCCCCGTGATCCACACACCTCCTATAAGGCCCCTTTCCAAACACTGGGGATTAGATTTCAACATGAGATTTAAGCGGGGACAAATATCCAAACTAAATAACCACACAAAACCTGTTTTGGCTAATACATAATAATAGCAAAGTCACAGTATACAAAATCAACACACATACAAAAAGAGTTGTGTATCTATACACTAACAATGAATAATCTGGAAAAGCATTTGAGAAGACAATTTTATTTACAATAACATAAAGAGAATAAAATAATTGGGGATATACTTAACCAAGTAGGTGAAAGTCTTGTATACTAAAATCTACAGAAAATTGATGAAAGCAATATAAAAGAAACAACATCCTGTGTTTATGAATTGAAAGACATATTATTATTAAGATGACAATATGATACAACGCAGTCCTCATCAAAATGTCACTGATATTTTTTGAAGAAATAGAAAAGTCCGTCTTATAACTAACATAAAATTTTAAGGATCCCCAAATACCCAAAACAATCTTGAAAAAGAACAAAAGTTGTAGGTCTTTGACTTCTGATTACAAAACTTATTACAAAGCTATAGTAATTAAAATAGTGTTGTCCTGTCATAGAGACAGACATAAAAACATGGAATAGAATAGAGATCACAGAATGAACCTCATATGTATGGTAAAATGATTTTCAACAAGGGTGCCAAGACCATCCAATGAGGAAAGAGCAGTGTTTTCAACTAATGGTGTTTGTTAGTAAAACAAAATACTCACCTGCAAAAGGATAAAGTTAGACCCTGGCCTTATACCATACTCAAAAATTAACTCAAAATGAGTCAAAGACCTAACTGTAAGAGTTAAAATGATAAAACTTGTAGAAGAAAGCATAGGGGAAAAGCTTCATTACTTTAAATTTGGCAATAATTTCTTTGCTATGACGCCGAAAGCTCAGGCAACAAAATAAAAGATAGATAAATTGGACAACATTAAAGCGAATGACTTTTGTACATCAAAGGGTACTACAACAGAGTGCAAAGGTCACCCACAGAATGGAAGAATGTATTTGCAAATCATATATGTGATAATGGGTTAATATCCAAAATGTATAAAATGCTTATACAACTCAGTAACAACAAAACAAGCAACTCAATTCAAAATAGAACATGAGTAGATATTGCAACAAAGAATATATACAAATGGCCAGCAAGCACACAAAAAGATGACCAACATCACTAGCCATTAGTGAAATGCAAGTCAGAACCACAGGAGTTACCACTTTACATTCATTGGGATGGCAAAAATCAGAAAGAAAACAAACAAAGTTGTTGATGAGGATGTGGAGAACCTCATAAATGGAAGAGTAACCCTTTCTTTCACATTGCTGGTATAATTATAAAATGATGTAGCCTCTGAAAAACATTTGGTGGTTCCACAAAAAGTTGAACATAAGTTACCATATGATTTAACAGTGCAGCTTCTCAGTATATACACCAAAGAATTGAAAGCAGGGACTTAAACAGATACTTGTACACCAATGTTCATAGAAGTATGACTCACAGTTGACAAATGGTGAATGCAACTCAAGTGTCGGTCGATAAATGAATGGATAAACAAAATTGGGATTTTCAGACAATGGAATATTATTTAGCCATGGATGGGCCTCGAAAACCTTACGTTAAGTGAAATAAGCCACACACAAAAGGAGAGATGTTTTATGATTCCCCTTAAATGAAATACCTAGAATAGGCAAATTCTTAGAGACAGGAAGTAGAATAAAGGGTGCCTGGGGCAGTGGGGAAAGATAAGTGAAGACATATGATTAATGGGTACAGAGTTCCTGTTTAGGATGAAAAAAATATTCTGTAAATGGCTAGTGGTAATGATTACACAACATTGTGAATGTATTTAACATTCTTCAATCATACATGTAAAAATCATTACGATGCTAAATTTTATATTATGTATATTTTACCACACCAAAAGAAAATGTGAATGTTCTTTTTATTTTTATAATTGTTAATGTTAAATAATAATTTGAAATTAGAAAATAAGGAATTATAGATAATGTAAAAATACATGAGTATATTCTACTTAATTTTGACTGTTCTTATACAAATGTTTTAGTAATAAAGTAATCAAGATATGGAGTTTTAGTACTCTAAAAGTCATGCTTTTCTTCACATAGATCTATGTTGAAATAAACTATAAAACTGTGTTAAGACCAGCTACCCCAGCTGAACGAACACACACAACACATCACACTCAAATCACATGCCTTAA
This sequence comes from Homo sapiens, assembly GCF_000001405.40. Lineage (NCBI taxonomy): Eukaryota > Metazoa > Chordata > Mammalia > Primates > Hominidae > Homo > Homo sapiens. The sequence continues at coordinate 50,746,354 of NC_000008.11, forward strand.
ATGAAAGCCTCTCAGGGATATCCACTGGCATCATTAACAAAAAACTGTGAGTCCTTTTTGATTCAAAGAAAATCTTTGGCCTATCTATTCATGAGAAAAACATCGAAAACATTACAATAGGTGCTAGTCTACAAAATACCTGACAGGACTCCTCAAAGTTTTCAAGTACAGTCTGATGAGGAACTGAGAACCTGTCACAGCCAAGTGGAGCCTAAGAAGTCACAATGAATAAATGTAACATGACACCATAACAGAAAAAGACATTAGGTTAAAACTAAAGATATCTAAATAAATGATAGACCTTACTTAATAATCTGCTGATATTAGTTTATTAACTGTGACAAGACACCATACTAATGTGAGATATCATTAATTGGGCAAACTGGGTGTGGAGTGGATATGAACTTTCTGATTGTCTTAACATTTTTGTAAGTCATATATATGTATAATATATATTTGCATATACATATTGTAAATATATATAATATATAATATATTATATTGTAAATATATATAATATATATTATATATATACACATATGCTTTTTATTTTCCCTGCAAAACATCTTTAGACTTGTAGGATGGGTTCAATGTCATTATGTAGTCAAACAATAAATGCAAGTTTACTTTTTTTTAGTGCTTTTGCTCTTCTGCAGATTGTATGCTATCTAAATATGCTATTGTGATATTGGATGATGAGGTATAGTCAAAAAACCTTATAGACTTCTGGAAGGAATTCTGATCTAGTAAGAAATGAATTTCATTATAAAACTATTAGCTCCAGATTAACACCCCCTCAGGTATTCTTGGAGCTACAAATCTGGAAAAGTAGTATAATGCACTGTAGGCCTATATAAATTGAAAAATTGTCTCCTGAAAGGGGGTAGCAGAAAATATTGACTTCAATCATGAAGGGTTATGCTTCAGTAATTCCTTGTTGCATCTTTCTGAAATGATGCACTGAACTAGTAGAATTGTTCAGACCATGGACTTAAACTTTTTCTTGAGCGTGCTACTCATATTCCTCCACATTTGTCAAACTAAGGGTGCCTCAGAAATCTAGCTTAAGTACTACAAGTTTTTTTGTGCATGTGTGTTTTACTCTTAAAAAATTGGCGTATAAAAATTAATATTTAAGAACACATATAAAGTAAACTGGGTACTAGGATTCTACCTTATCATATGCTTACCTTATGTATTAGTTATACAATTAAGGTAACATTCTATTATTTTATATAATCTCCATGTCGAATTTTCCTTTTACCTCTGTTACTTTAATTCTTAAATTTTGATCTTGTTTTAGTATTAATCTGTTGAAGAAAAATGCCAAAATTTTAATTTCAAAAACAAAAATTTTCACACTTCGTTCCTTCCTTCTTTCTTTCCTTCCTCTCTTTTTCTCTTTCTCTCTTTCTGACAGGGCTCACTCTGTAGTGCAGTGGCACGATCACGGCTCACTGTAGCGTCAACCACTGGGCTCAGGTGATTCTCCCATCTCAATCTCCCAGGTAGCTAGGCCTACAGGCTCATGCCATCAAGTCCAGCTAACTTTTTGTCTTTTTTGTAGACAGGGTTTCATCATGTTGCCCAAGCTGTGTAAGACACAATTTTTTTTTAAATGTAAGGTACATTTTTTCCCCATGTACCAAGATAGGAAAAAAGCAAAAACACACACTTTATTGAGTTGAAGGTGAAAGTTGCAGTTTTTTTGTCTGGCATTGTTACCACTCACCATTAAAATACATATGTACAAATGGAGACCATGGGTAATGTCTCCTAATTATAAACCTGTAATATCTAAGCTGAAAATATTACCACGAGGAAAAGTTATGCATATGAATATTTACTGTGGAATTGCTGGTTGGAGATAAACATTTTCTCACTCCATTTACCCTTAAATGTATTTATTGGAACCTTTACCAATCTCATTTTCTCAGTGTCAGTGTGAGATAATCTTGGAGAACAGGCATTTTACCAGGAATTATTTTACATTTTGCTAGGTGAAGGGGTACTACTTTCTCATTAGAAACTCTGCTTAAAGAGGCTAAGACCTTAAGAAATCTGGGTTTTAAGGATCACTGGTGATATGTTAAAATTGGTATTCAGGATATGTTTAACTATAACTTGCTCTTCATATGACAGTGTGAATGTATTGACATAAGTGCTAATTTACAGGCATACCTCATTTTATCATACTTTGCTTTATTGTCCTTCACATATACTGTGTCTTTTACAAATTGCAGGTTTGTGGCAACCCTGCATTGAGCCACTCTATCAGCTGTTTTTCCAACAGCGTGCGCTTACTTTGTATCTCTGTGTCACATTTTGGTAATGCTTAAAATGTTTCAAAGCTTTTTAAATTACATTTGTTATGGTGGCCTGCAATTAGTAATATTTCATGTTATTATTGTAATTATTTTGGAGCACCATGAACTGTGCCCATATAAGATGGTGAATAATTTTAACCAAAAAGATGTGTGTTCTGACTGCTCCACTGACCGTTTCCCACCTCTCTCCCTGTACTTAGGCCTCCCTATTCCCACAGACACAATAATTTGAAAATCAAGCTAATTAATAATCCTGCAATGGACTTTCTAAGCATTCAAATGAAAGACTCACATGCCTCTCACTTTAAATCAAAATCTAGAAATGATTACGCTTGGTGAGAAAGGCGTGTTGAAAACAGAGATAGGCTAAAAGCTGGGCCTCCTGTGACAAACAGTTAAGCAAGTTGTGAATGCAAAGGAAGAGTTTTTGAAGAAATGTAATACTGCTACTCCAGGGAACACATACATGATAAGAAAGTGAAACAGGCTTTTTGCTGATATGGAGAAAGTGTTCATGGTATGGATAGATCAAACCAGCCACAACATTCCCTTAAGCCAAAGCCTAATCCAGGGGAAGGCTCTCTTTTCAGATCTATGAAAGCTGATAAAGATGAAGAAGCTGAAGAAGAAAAGGTTGAAGCTAGCATAAGTTTGTTCATGAGGTTTAAGGAGAGAAGCCATCTCTACACCATAAAAGTACAACGTGAAGCAGCAAGTGCTGATGGAGAAGCTACAGCAAGTTATCCGAAGATCTAGCTAAGATCATTGATAAAGGTGGCTACACTAAACAACAGATTTTTAGTGTAGATAAAACAGCCTTATATTGGAAGAAGATGCCATCTGAAACTTTCATAGGTAGAGAGGAGAAGTCAATGTCTGGCTTCAAAACTTCAAAGGATAGGCTGCCTCTCTTGTTGGGACCAATGCAGCTCGTGACTAAAGTATAGCCAATTCTCATTTACCATTCTAAACATCCTAGGACCCTTAAGAATTGTGCTAAATCTACCCTACCTGTACTCTAAATGGAATATTAAATCCTGAGGAACATCTGTTTACAGCATGGTTTACTGAATATGTTAAGTCCACTATTGACACCCACTGCTTCGAAAAAACAATTCCTTTCAAAATAATACGGCTCACTAAAAATGTACCAAATTATCCAAGAACTCTGAGGGAGATGTGCAAGGAGGCTAATGTCTTCTTGTCTGCTAACACAATATCCATTCTGCAGTCCATGAATCAAGGAGTATTTTCGACTTTCAAGTCTTATTATTTAAGAAATGCACTTTGTAAGGCTATAGATAACATAGATAAAGTGATTCCTCTGATGGATCTTGGCAGTCAATTAAAAACTTTCTAGAAAGGATTCATAATTTTAGATGCCATTACATTATATATGATTCATGGGAGGAGGTCAAAATATCAATATAAATAGGGATTTGGAAGAAGTTGAATCAATTCTAAACCCTCTTCGGAGACTTGGAGAGGTTCAGGACTTCAGTGAAGGAAGTAAATGCAAATGCCATGGAAATAACAAGAAAACTAAAATTATAACTGGAGCCTTGAAGATGCAACTGAATTATTGCAATCTCATGATAAAACTTTGGTGAGTGAGGAGTTTCTTCTTATGGAGGAGCAAAGAAAGTGGTTTCTTCAGATGGAACCTACTTCTTATGAAAATGCTGTGAATATTGTTGAAATGATAACAAAATATTTAGAATATTACATTAATTTAGTTGATAAACAGCAGCAGGATTTGAGTGAATTGACTGCAGTTCAGAAATTCTGTGGGTAAAATGCTATTCGGCTATATTGCAGGCTACAGAAAAATCTTTCATGAAACAGTCAATCAATGCAGCAGACTTCATTGCTGTCTTATTTTAAGAAATTGTCACAGCCACCCCAACCACCAGCAATCACCATCCTGATGAGCCAGCAGCTGTCAGCATCAAGGCAGCACCCTCCACCAGCAAAAGGACTACGGCTCACTGAAGACTTGAATGACCCCTGGCATTTTTTAGTAATAAATTATATTTTAATTAAGGTATATACATTTTTTTAGGCTTAATGTCATTGTACACTTAATAGACTACAGTATAGAAACAAACATCACTTTTATATGCATTGGGGAACCAAACAATTTCTGTGACTCACTTCATTGCAATACTTGCTGTTTCGTGGTGGTCTGGAACAAAATCCACAAAAGCCCTGAGGTATGCCTGTATATACCCCGAGGTATGCCCGTATATGCTTTTATCTATCACATTTTATTCTGAAAAAGATGTGAGACATATACTCTGTTCTTTCTTTACTATTTTATCAGCAACAATAGCTTAAATAGGACTGCACTCAGAAAATATTTGACTATATCAGCTATGTTTTGTTGATCTATTTAGAAACCATAAGAAATCATTTAAAAAATATTTGAAACAATAATTTGTTAAAAGTATTTTCTATCACATATTTAATGAGATAAAGGTATGCTAAGATAAGGTAAAACAAACTACATGGTGTGTGATCATGTTTGAACACACATACACAATTTTCTTCTTTAATGATTTATATCTTTGGTGTTTTACTTTGGACATGCATGTTTTTAGTTTCAGGACATACCAAAGAGTGAACTGCTGCACCTGCTCCCAGGAAATATGATTTATGATACAGGATAGACAAAAACTTGTTATAGACAATTCCCACTTATTGCCAATTTCACCTTTTATATCTCCATTTTTGTTATTTGGAAAGGCAACAGATTTCTGTTACTTTCTGCTTCAGAGAATTACATTTGTAGAATATGTTTCTGAAAGAGGCTCTACTTTCCAAGATATTACAGACTGATGCAGATGATGGCTCTATAAAATGCTTATTCTGCATCTCATGAAAGCACCATGTCAGTTTTTGTCATAAGGGTTTATTCAAGCTAATATGTCATCTTAATAAAGCGAAGGTTATTAGTTGAGCTTCAAGATGAAGTTCCAGAATGATCAATTCAAAATCACTTTGTCACTTCTATTGAAAAGGACTCAATGAAACATACAGTGCTTATTGACTGTGCACATAAGACAAGATACTAAGAGCAATTTATTTTTATGCATTTTTGCAATAATTATTTCATGGATAAAATATTTCTGAAAATTAAATGATAATATTGAATCACAAATGTTAACATTTGATAAATATTTTTAAATTTCATTTTAAAATATTGGGACATAGTACTAACTTTGTATGATTAACTTTTACCATTTAAAAAAGAACTATTTCTTGATTTGAAAGCAGATATTAATTCCACCGACTTACATTGTTTTTTTTCCCCCCTTTAGGCTGTCCTTTGGAGGTATAAATTCTCTCAGCTTAAAGGTTCTTCAGATGATGGCAAGAGCAAAATCAAATTTTTGTTTCAGAATCCAGATACTAAACAGATTGAAGCAAAGGTAAACCCAAGAAATTCATCACATAACACCTCTAACTACATTAATGCCATTAAGGAACAAAGAGGGGAAACTTTCGGGGAATCACAAGACCAAAAACACACATTCTCTGCTCATCTTGAAATATCCGTCATGGCCAGAAGAATAAACTTACTTTAAGATTTTATTGGCAACTTTTCACTTAAAGGCAGCACTTAAAATAAATTACACAAAACTAATTGCATTTCTTAGTTTTAATTCCTTATGAACTGCATTTTTGTCACACTAAAATAACATCCTGGGAACTAAAGCAGTCCTTTGGTAGTTTCATTCTAAATAATAATTTAAAATACTTTGTAAAAATCTGACTATATTTACATAAATTTATATATTTACATTTTATTTACATATATTTTTTCACATATTCAAAATCTGCATTATTTTCATTACTATAATATAAAATTGACAATAACAATATTTGCATTAGAATAAATTATAAATGCATTATCCCAGTATAGAGAAAAGGGTAAATAACAAAGTGAAAAAATTGTATCTATGGACATGAAAGCTCAATATAATTTTTCAACTATGAATTAACATTACCATATTTCTATTATACCCCTTTACTTATTAAATTCAGGGCTAAGAAGCCTTAGCCTGACATTCAGAACCTTCCCAGGAATGTCCCTTGATGATATTTTTGGCAAAGTATCCTGTAACACTGCTCTATGTTTAGATTAGACACTCTCCTTCTTTTAACAAGGTGACTCCTTGTAGCCTGATGTATCTTCTGCTTTTCTCTCAACTGTTTTCCTTAGCTTTTTGTCTGAGTATCTCTCGAGATGTCCCATTCTTGTCTCTTACTTGTCTTTGGACTCATCTTTTCTGCCTCTTCCTAGTTCACAGGTTGTGTAATGTGGGAACTGTGTCGTTCCTACAGCGGGCTCCTTTGCCACTGCATGTGTTTCCAGGGGGTTGCCTCACTTTGTCTCCCATCAGTTTAGACAAATGCCTTGCTAACTTCTTCCACTCCCTTTATTTTACATGCCTCACAAGTTTTTAGCTTACATTTCTAACACAGCCTCTTCCCTAAATATAGACCCATCTCTGCACCGGCCCTTTCTCTACCTCTCGCTACTGCTCCTCTTCTCCCACCTCAGCTACCACTGATCAATCATTTACTTTGTGCCAACCACTTATTTTGATAATATCAAAGAATGCATTACTCTTGTCAAATTTTTTTTACCTTTAGCTCTTGGTATATTTCTTAATCTTTCAAAGCACAGCACAAATTTTAATACTGGTGAAAGATGTTAATATTGTCAGTTCTGTATTATTCTGGCATTTATTCTGATGGGGAACCTCAACCACCAGTTGCTGACAGCGGTACAGTATTCAGTTGCTTACCCCAACACTTTTTAATGAGCTAACAAACCCTTTGCAAAGGAACAAGAGTGATAAATGCAATCTAATGGCTACTAACTATGGTATTTAGATATTAATTTAGTGTAGCGTGTATTATACATGCAATTAATTATACTGACAAGTATACTAGAAATTACCTGTCAGCTACTAAGCATTATTCATTCTTGTAATTTTTGTGTTTTTAAGCTTTCTCTCATATGTAATTCATTAAGAGATAGTGTAAGAATAGATATTTGGTTGAGTGTAATTCTCGAATTGATAGGAAGTAATTATGGAATAGAAAAAAAAAGTAGTCTTAAAAATAATGAGACTGTGACATTTGGTGAGTTGTTGAAATTCTTTAAAGTCAGCATCTCCCTTTATAAAATAAAAGAAAATAATACCTCCATAGGTAATACTGAAAATACCCAATAAAATATGATGACTATTTAAACAACAATAATGCTAGACAATCAGAATGTTGGCCAGCCCTACAGAATTGTTTAACCATACTTGTGTGTATCACCTGAACATTACCTCTGCTGACATAAAAATTGTGTAAGAACTGGAAGCAGGACATTTGCTAACTATTGTATAACCTCTATAACCATGACTTGTGAGCAGTAAGCTAACATACCATCACAGGAGCAAAACAATCGTAGTGTAGATGTTCTTGTGTGGACATAAGCTTTTATTTATCTGGGATAAATGCCTAGAAGTGCAAATTGCACCATAGAATAGAAAATGTTTGTTTAGTTTTAAATAAAATGCCAAATTATATTCTATAGTGGCTACAGAATATAGATAACATTTTATATCCTACCAATAATGTATAAAAGATCCAGTTTCTCTACATCCCTGCAAGGTTTGGGTATTGTCACTTAAAATTTTGGTTCTGCTCATCATAGTCTTCATTTACATATCCCTCAAGTCTGATAATGATGAACAACTTGTTATATGTATGTTATATCCTCTTTGTTATATGCCATGTATGTTATATCCTCTTTGTTGAGAAGATTTCTCTTCCTGTTTCTTGCCCATGTTCTGACAATATTGTTAGATTATAATTTTTTGGTGCCTTGTCTCTGTTTTTCTGTTAATTGTGCTAGAGGTTTTTCAAAGAACTACATTAATTTTTACTGATTTTTATATTGTGGTCTGTAATCCATTCAATGAATTCTGCCCTTTTAATATTTGCCTATTTTTTAGTTGCTTTGGCTTTTATTTTGCTCTCATTTTTAATTTTTTTGAGATAATATTTTAGATTTCTGATTTGAAGTGTCCTTTCTAATATAGGATTTAGTTCTATAATTTCCTTGTTAGCACTGCATTTGCTGCATCCCCAAAATTCTGACATCTTGTGTTTCTATTTTCATCGGTTCAATATGTTTTTATTTCCCTTAAGTCTTTCTCTTTGACAAATGGATTTTTTTCCTTTCCTTTTTTAAATAGACTTTAGTTTTTCAGAGCAGTTTTCAGTTCACAGCAAAGTTGAGTGTAAGGTACAAAAATTTCCTGTATACCACCTGTCCCTACACAAGCACAGCCCCCTCTGTAGTCAACATCCCCCACCAGAGGGGGGGATGAAGTTATAGCTGATGAACTTACAGTGACACATCATTACCATCCAGAGTCCATAGTTCACATTACAGTTGACTCTTGGTGTTGCATATGTTATGGGTTTTGATATATATAGTGGCAGTTATCTGCCATTATAGTATCATAGTCGTTTCACTACCCTAAACATCTTTTGAGCTCTTCCTATTCACCCCTATCTTCCCCCCACCCCAAGAAACCACTCATTTTTAAAACTTGTCTCCGTACTTTTTCCTTTTTCAAAATGTCATATAGTTGGATCATACAATAGTTACCCTTTTCATATTGGCTTATTTTACTTAGTGGTATGACTTTAAGTTTCTTCCATGTCTTTTCATGACTTAATAACTCATTTCTTTTTAGTACTGAATAATATCCAATTTTCTGAATGTACAACAGTTTATTTATCCATTCACCTACAGACAGACTTCTTTGTTACTTCCATGTTTTAGAAATTATAAACAAAACTGTTCTAAACATCCATATTCAGGTTTTGAGTGGACATAAGTTTTCAACTTCTTTGGGTAATATCATGGAGTGTGATTGCTAGATCATATGGTAAAACAGTGTTTAGTTTTTTTAAAATTGCCAAACTGTCTTCCAAAGTAATTGTAGAACTTTCCATCTCCATCACCAATAAATGAAAGTTGCTTTTGCTCCACAATCTCACCAGTAACTGTTGTTGTCCATGTTCTGGATTTGGACCATTCTAATAGGTGTGTAGTGGTATATTATTGTTGTTTTAATTTGTATTTATCTGATGATATACAACGTGGTGCATATTTTCATATGCTAATTTTCATCTGTATATATTCTTTGGTAAGGTATCTGTTAAGGTTTCTGGCCCATTTTTAATATTTTCATACGCTAATTTTCATCTGTATATATTCTTTGGTAAGATATCTGTTAAGGTTTCTGGCCCATTTTTAATATTTTCATACGCTAATTTTCATCTGTATATATTCTTTGGTAAGGTATCTGTTAATGTTTCTGGCCCATTCTTAATTGGAATTTTTGTTTTGATATCATTGAGTTTTAACAGTTCTTTGCATATTTTCCTTAGCATCTTTTATCTGCTATGTTGTCTGCAAATATTTTTGTCCAATCTGCAGTGTGTCTTTTTGCTCTCTTGAGAATGTCTTTCATAGAGCAGAAAATTTTAATTTTAATGAGGTCCAGTTTATCAGTCGTTTCTTTTGTGCATCATGCCTTTGGCATAGAATCTAAAAAGTCATCGCAAAAGTGAAGGTCATCTAGACTTTGTACTATGTTATCTTCTAGGAGTTTTTAAATTATTGTCTTTTATAATTGGAGCTGTGTTCCATTTGGAATTAATTTTTGTGAAGGGTGTAATATTTCTGTCTAAGTTCTTTCTTTTTTATTTTTCTGCATTGCCTGTGGATGTCCATTTTTTCCAGGATCATTTGTTGAACAGGCTATATTTACTCCATTGTATTTTTTTGCTCCTTAGTCAAAGATTAGTTGACTGTATTTATGTCGGCCTATTTCTAGGCTTTCTCTTCTGTTCCATTGATCTATTTGTCTGTTTCTTTCCTAACATCATGCTGTCTTGATGACTGTAGCTTTAGAGTATGTCTTGAAGTTTTATAGTGTTAATCCTTCAACTTTGATCTTGTTTTTCAATAGTGTGATGGCTATTCTGTGTCTTTTGCCTCTCTCTATATATTTTAGAATCAATTTGTCAATATCCAAAATTACTTGCTGGAATTTTGATTGGAATTTTATTAAATCTGTAGTTCAAGTTTGGAAGAACTGACATCCAGACAATATTGAGTCTCCCCGTCCATGAATATAAAATATATTCCATTTATTTAGTACTTCTTTGATTTATCAGAGTTTGATAGTTTTCCTCTTATAGAATTTTTATGTATTTAATTAGCTTTATATTAACTTACCTGACATGTGACCGAGAATATCTTTCCCTTTTTTATAATTTTAGTAGAAAATCTTTGGATTTCCCACCGTTAAGTATGGTATCAGCTCTTGGTTTGGTAGGTAATTTTTATCAAGTTGAGGATGTCCCCCATCTATTCCTAGTTTACTGAGAGTTTTTATCACGCATGAGTGTCGGATGAGTTTTCTGGATCTATTGATACAGACATGTGATTTTTCTTCTTTAGCCTGTTGATTTGATGTAATACATTAATTGAATTTCAAATTTTGAATAAGCTTTGTATATCAACTATGATAGTGGATTCTTCCATTTCTTCTTGAAGTTCTGTCAGTTTAGCCTTACATATTTGTATGCTCTATTATCAGGTGTATACATGCTAAGGATTGTTACGTCTTTTTTGGATAATTTATTTACCGTTGCTTAATGTCCCTCTTTTTCCCTAAACCTTTCCTTGTTGAAGTCTGTGCCACCTGGAATCAATAAAAACTATTGCTTTCTTCAGGTTAGTGTTAGCATGGCACATCTTTCTCCATTCACTGACTTTTAATCCATATATGCCTTTAACATTGAAAGTGGATTTCTTGCAGATAACATATCATTTGGTCTTATTTCTTCATCCATTTTGACAATCTTTATTTTTTAATAAGCACATTTAAGACCACTGATGTTAAAAATAATTTTTGATACAGTTGGATGAATATCCACAATATTTCTTATCCTTGTGAATTTATTGCCCTTGTTCTTTATTCTTATTTTAGTCTTCCATGTTTTACAGCTTTTGTAGTTTTAACACTTAACATAATTCTATTCTCTCTCCTTATTAGCACAACAGTTATATATTGTTTTACTTTTATTAGTGGTAGCACTAAACCTTGTAAAATATGTTTACAACTAAACCAAGTCCGCCTTCAAAACAACACTACACTGATTCACAGGTGGTGTATCTTATAATAACAAAATCCTCCTAATTCCTGCCTCTCCTTCCTTCTATTATTGTTGTCACTCATTTTGCTTATACACAATCCTATACAATCTAATACATTGTTATTATTTTGAATAAACTGTTATATGTTAGATAAATAACATTTCATTTGTTTCTCTTTTTTAGAATTTGCATTTTCTGCATACATTGCTTATTTGTTCTTGCATGTGGTCTATTTTATCTATTAAAGCTTGTGGTATATTAATCATAGTTGTTTCAAATGCTTGTTCTAATAAATCCAGTGTCCCTGCCATATCTGCACCTGGTCATGCTTGCCCTATCTCTGTAAACTGTGATGTCTTTTTTCCGTGTATTATGATTTGCAATATTTTCTTTTTTAATTGTTTTTATTATAATTTAAGTTCAGAGATAAATGTGCAGAATGTGCAGGTTTGTTATATAGGTATACACGTGCCATGGTGGTTTGCTGCATCCATCAACCTGTCATCTAAGTTAGGTATTCCTGCTAATGCTATCCCTTCCCTGCCCCACCCCACCTCTTGACAAGCTCCAGTGTGTGTTGTCTCCTTCCCTGTGTCCATGCGTTCTCATTGTTCAGCTCCCACTTACGAGTGAGAACATGTGGTGTTTGGTTTTCTGTTCTTGTGTTACTTTGCTGAGAATGATGGTTTCCAGCTTCATCCATGTCCCTGCAAAGGACATGAACTCATCCGTTTTTATGGCTGCATAGTATTCCATGATGTATATGTGCCACATTTTCTTTATCCAGTCTATCATTGATGGGCATATGGGTTGGTTCCAAGTCTTTGCTATTGTGAACAGTGCAGCAATAAACATATGTGGGCATGTGTCTTTATAGCAGAATGGTTTATAACCCTTTGGGTATATACTCAATAATGGGATTGCTGGGTCAAATGTATTTCTGGTTCTAGAGCCTTGAGGAATCGCCACTCTGTCTTCCAAAATGTTTGAACTAATTTACACTCCCATCAACATTGAAAAGCGTTCTCCACATTCTCTCCAGCATGTGCTATTTCCTGACTTTAATGATCACCATTCTAACTGACGTGAGATGGTATCTCATTGTGGTTTTGATTTGCATTTCTCTAATGACCAGTGAAGATGAGCATTTTTTCATGTCTGTTGGCTGCATAAATGTCTTTTTTTGAAAATTGTCTGTTCATATAGTTTGCCAATTTTTGATGGGGTTGTTTGTTTTTTTCTCATAAATTTGTTTAAGTTCTTTGTAGATTCTGGATATTAGTCCCTTGTCGGATGGATAGATTGCAAAAATTTTCCCCCATTCTGTAGGTGGCCTGTTCACTCTGATGATAGTCTCTTTTGCTGTGCAGAAGCTCTTTAGTTTAACGAGATCTCGTTTGTCAATTTTGGCTTTTGTTGCCATTGCTTTTTTTGTCTTAGTCATGAAGTCTTTACTCCTGCCTATGTCCTGAATGGTATTGCCTAGGTTTTCTTCTAGGGGTTTTATGGTTTTAGGTCTTTGTTTAAATCTTTAATCCATCTTGAGTTAATTTTTGTATAAAGTGTAAAGAAGGGGTCCAGTTTCAGTTTTCTGCATATGGCTAGCCAGTTTTCCCAGCACCATTTATTAAATAGGGAATCCCTTCCCCATTGCTTGTTTTTGTCAGGTTTGTGAAAGATCAGATGGTTGTAGATGTGTGGTATTATTTCTGAGGACTCATTCTGTTCCATTGATATATATATATATTGGTACCATTGGTATATATATGTATATATATGTCTGTTTTGGTACCAGTACCATGCTGTTTTGGTTACTGTAGCCTTGTAGTATAGTTTGAAGTAAGGTAGCATGATGCCTCCAGCTTTGTTCTTTTTGCTTAGGATTGTCCTGGCTATGTGGGCTCTTTTTTGGTTCCTTATGAAGTTTAAAGTAGTTTTTTCCAATTCTGTGAAGAAAGTCAGTGGTAGCTGGACAGGGATAGCATGGAATCTATAAATTACTTTGGGCATGTGGCCATTTTCATGATATTGATTTTTTCTATCCATGAGCATGGAATGTTTTCCCATTTGTTTGTGTCCTCTCTTATTCCCTCGAGCAGTGGTTTGTAGTTCTCCTTGAAGAGGTCCTTCATATCCCTTGTAAGTTGTATGCCTAGTTGTTTTATTTTCTTTGTAGCAATTATGAATGGGAGTTCACTCATGATTTGGCTCTCCATTTGTCTGTCATTGCTTATAGGAATGCTTGTAATATTTTCACATTTATTTTGTATCCTGAGACTTTGCTGAAGTTGCTTCTCAGCTTAAGGAGATTTTGGGCTGAGACAATGGGGTTTTCTAAATATACAATCATGTCATCTGCAAACAGAAATATTTTGACTTATTCTATTCCTATTTGAATACCCTTTATTTCTTTTGACTGATTGCCTGGTCAGAACTTCCAATACTGTGTTGAATAAGAGTGGTGAGAGAGGGCATCCTTGTCTTGTGCCAGGTTTTAAAGGAAATGCTTCTAGGTTTTTGCCCATTTAGTATGATATTGGTTGTGGGTTTGTCATAAATAGCTCTTATTATTTTGAGATATGTTCCATCAATAACTAGTTTATTGAGAGCTTTTAGCATGAAGGGTGTTGAATTTTGTTCAAAGGCCTTTTCTGCATTTATTGAGATAATCATGATCAACAAAATGGATAGACCTCTAGTCAGACTAATAAAGAAGTAAAGAGAGAAGAATCAAATAGACACAAAAAAAATGATAAAAAGAATATCACCACTGATCACACAGAAATACAAGCTACCCTCAGAGAATACTATAAACACCTCTATGCAAATAAAATAGAAAATCGAGAAGAGATGGATGAATTCCTGGACACGTACACCTTCCCAAGTCTAAACGAGGAAGAAGTCAAATCCTTGAATAGACCAATAACAAGTTCTGAAATTGAGGCAGCAATTAATAGCCTACCAACCAAAAAAAGTCCAGGACCAGACGGATTCACAGCCGAATGCTACCAGAGGTACAAAGAAGAGCTGGTACCATGCCTTCTGAAACTATTCCAAACAATAGAAAAAGAGGGAATCCTCCCTAACTCATTTTATGAGGCCAGCATCATCCTGATACCAAAACCTGGCAGAAACACAACAAAAAAGAAAATTTCAGGCCAATATCCCTCATGAACATTGATGCGAAAATCCTCAGTAAGATACCGGCAAACCGAATCCAGCAGCCCATCAAAAAGCTTATCCACCACGATCAAGTTGGCTTTATCCCTGGGATCAAGGCTGTTTCAACATACACAAATCAATAAACGTTAATTCTTCACATAAACAGAACCAATGCAACGTTTTCCTGATTCAGTCAGGCATGACGTACTGAATAAAAGGTGCTGTTACAAACTTGCCTTCAGTAATGTTGTGTTAAGGTGGGGGAGGGGAGTGTTCTACAGCTTGTGAGTAGGACTCAGTCTTTTAGCTGGCCTGTGCCTCTGAACTGTGGCTTCACATATGCTGCTCAGTCACCCCCGCTTAGGTTGGACAGGATGGCTGGAAGGGGTTGGAGTAGGGTATTTCCCTTCTCCAAGGTGAGTTAGGCTCTGATAAAACACCAGCAAGTTAGGCTCAGGTTACCTAGTTTCTCTTGAGGGCAGGCCTTGCTAAGAAGAACATAGTGCCTGAGCTATTTTTTTTTTTCATGATCTGTGGTTTTCTTTTTAATTATCTTGTCTTATGATCACACATAATTTTAAAACTTGTGTATATCTCCTCTACTTTAATCCTTTTAAGTTGGCAAAAGCACCATTCCAATCACAAATACACAGCAGTTCTACAGTTTTATGTTTCTGAATGGCTGTTTAAAGACAATCCTAAATTATAACTTAGTTTGACTTAGATTGTGAAGAATTCAAGAATGAAGTTTAACTTACTACTATTTTAAAAGCATGTGACCTTACAGATCAATAAAATGTAAGAAGTGTTAAATAATCTTTGATATTACACATAAATCACACTAAAATGCCTTTCAATAAGTAAAAGGAACCATTTTAAATATAGGGAATTCTAATTACACTGGCATAGTTAAGGCCAAAAATATAAAGTAGACATTGCTACCTTATTTATCTTCAACCCTTGCCTTTAAGAGGCAAATTAACACAAAACACAAGTGAATCTTGCTTGGTTCTGAGACAGTGAAGAAATTTCCCCCGTATTTAAATATACTCACATAACCAGTTATATAAATCTAAATATAAAACCAATCTCCAGTAAGTTTTAAGATGGTACTCAGCGTCTTTGTGAAAAGTTGAACATTACTAATGAAGTCTAACATATCTTTAGAAGGGGTGAATAGCGATAGCATTTACTGAATTGGAATTACTATTAAAATTCAAAAACTGAACATATTCATTTAACCACAAGCCAGTCTTTGTTTTAAATCAGGACTGCCCAACAAAATATTCTGTCAGTCATTCATGATCTGAATTCTGGTGTATGAGATCTCTTAAAGTATGGTGGACATAAAAAACTCACGGGACATTCTGTTTTGTAATAAATAAGGCAGTGGCCAACTCATTAGTAGCTTTTTTGAGATAAGCTATCAAGTCTGCCCTTTCTACCTTCTTAATGCAGGCAAAGATCATTTTTGTTCCAAGGATGTGCTTCTTGGGAGTCTCCAAATACACCATCAGTGTATCCTCTCCCCAGGTGATGCCTTTGTTCTTATTAGCATCTGTGTAAGAGAATCCAACAGCCTGACCTGTCTTCTACCCGAAGAGACCATGGAGATTAGGCCCAGTCTTGTGCTTGCCTCCCTTTTCCATGATGTGGCACTGGACACACTTCTGAACAAAGATCTTCTTGCCTTTCTCAACATCACCCATATTTAATTCTCTTTTAAGTCTCTTGAGCAATGAAGGTTCCTGCTCCGAAGCCAGACGTCACACTCTATTGCCTTAGCTATTTTTAAATGTTTTCCCCTCCTACCAGCAGCATTGGGGATTTTTCTCCAAAATCCACTATGAGAATCTGGTCAAGATCCTGGAAGTAAAAATTACAGAAGTGTGGAGACACTGATAACTATGCTCCCCTAGAGTTCTTATCTCTCAGACTTGTCCACACTGAGCCTCCAGCAAGTCATCAATGATACTTCAGGCTTCCCCACCTCAGCACCGGTTTCTGCAGAGGTTTTTACTCAGTGATTTCTGTTCCAACAATCCGTGATTCTTGGAATATGACTGTCTGTCCTTCCAATTTTGGGGACAGTGGTTTTCCCCAATGGAGATAAGGAGAGTTGTCGATTTTTCAGTTCGTTTGGCTTTTTCCTTGTTGCCAGGATGGGGTAGAAACTTCTAGGTTCTTACACATTGAACTGGAAACCTGAAGCCCCTGATACTCAGAATTTTAGAAAGGGGGTGTTTAGTTTCTAAGTATTTGGGGATTTATCTTTCTAGAGTTGATTTTTAGTCTGATTCCAGAGAACATACTCTATATGATTTCATTTTTTTCATCCTCTGCATCATATATCATATAATTTTGATTGAGGAAGACACAAATATATGGAAAGAACTCAGAATGGCATAGATTCTCTTCTGGCCTCTCTTTTATTTTATTGGTTGATGTGTCTGTTTTTATTAGTATTATACTGTTTTAATTCCTAGCTTTGAAATACAGTTTGAAGCCAGGTAGTGTGGTGTCTCCAGCTACACTCTTTTGGCTCAAGATTGCCTTTATTGTGTGTGTGTGTGTGTGTGTGTGTGTGTGTGTGTGTGTGTGTGGTTTTAAGAGAAAAGCATGAAAGATAATTCTGTGTTCAGGGATTGGAAAAATTAATGTTGTTAAAACGTCTATATTACCCCCAAAAGATTAATAGATTCATTAAATTTTTTACCAAAATTTCAATTTTACTTTTTTAGAGATAAGCTCTAAAATTAATACAGAAACACACACACACACACACACACACACACACACACACACACACACACACACAAAAATAACCAAGGCAATTCCTATACATAGGTATAGGAATTAAAACAGCAGAATACTGATAAAAAAAAATAGACACACTGACCAATGAAACAAAATAGAGAGGCCAGAAAAGAACCTGTGTGATTATGATCAATTGATTTTTACAATGGCCCCAATAATACAAAATGGGAAAAGAACAGTCTCCAATAACAGGGTGACAAGAAAATGGAATTTTCATGTTCAGGAGAATGAAATTGGGTTCTTATCTAACACCATATATAAAAACAACTCTAAACATTATATGACTTTGGTCTGGGCAATGACTTTTTGGATTTGCCTCCATAAGCTCAGGCAACAATAGCAACAACAACAAAAAATAAACAAACAGGATTATATCAAACTCTAAAGCTTCCTCACAGCAAAGAAAATGAACAGAGTGATGAGGCGACCTATATCATGGGAGAAATATTTATAAGCTGTACATGTGATAAGGTGTTAGTAATCAAAATATATAAGGAACTAAAACAACTTCAAAGTACAAAACAAATAACCCATTAAAATTGGGCAAAGGACTCATTTTGAGACATTTCTCAAAAGAAGACATAATAATGGCCAACATTTATGTACATGTGAACCTATGAAGCAATGCTTAACATCACTAATCATTAGGAAAATTAGAAACTCAATGGGCTATCACCTCATATCTATCAAATGGCTATTATCAAAAAGGTGAAAGATAAGTGTTGGCAAAAATGTAGAAAAAAGGGAACCCCTGTATGCTGTTGGTGGCAATGTAAATTTATACAAGCCACGTTGTAAACTGTGAAGAGCTTTCTCTAAAAACTGAAATAGAACCACCACTCTGTGTAGAGCCAGCAATCCCATTTCTGAGTATATATGCAAATGATTTGAAATAAGTATATTGAAGAGACATCTGCAATTTCATGTTAATTGCTACTCCACTCACAATAGCCAACACACAGAATCAACCTAAATGTCCATCAACTGATAAATGGATAAATAAAATATGGTATATGTATACATAATGGAATAGTATTCAACCTTAAAAAAGAAGGACATTATATCATAGAAGAATCTGGGGGACATTATGCTAAGTAAAGTCAGCCAGACACAGAAAGACAAATGTTCCCACTTATATGTAGAATCAAAACCATGGAACTCTCAGAAGAGAAGTAGTATTTACAGAGACTGGAGAATAGGGGGAATGGAGAGATTTTGGTCAAAAGGTACAATGTTTTGTTAGACTAGAGTAAGAGATGATAAGTATCTGAGGGGAAAAATGCCCAAGCTTATTACTGGGCCTTTGCAGGCATGAGTGGGTATGGGGCCATGGCTTTTCTGTAGCATTTGGCTAAAGAATATCAATTATTGTATAACAGTTTCTGTCTTGCTAGACTGCCCCTCTCAGGTCACGTGGCTAGAAGGAGTAGGCTTCTCTTAGGTTTACTGGTCTGCATCCATTGGTATTTCTGGGCTGCCAGCCTCTCCACTATCTTGTTTGGGGGATATGACACAGAGAGGCAAACCCAGAGAACTTGTCACGTGTTGTGAGGGTCCTGGGGTCTCTGGGTTCTTAGTCTGCCTGCCTCTTCTCTCTCTTTCAGGGTGTCCTTACATTCATTTTATGTATGTTGTCCAGGGTTTGTGATGATACTTAGGAAGAGGAATAAGGAAAAGTACATCTATTCTATCTCCAACATAGTACTATGTTTATTTTTAAACTGTTAATGCCATTTTTTAAAAGAAAAATTATTTGACTTATTTTGATTACTCTGATTGTTAGTTTCTCACTCTTGATAACCCCAATGAATAGTGACAAAAAATATTTTTAAAGTTGACAGTGGAAGTAAAATTATCATGTGGCTCTTGTTGTAACTGCTGAGTAGTCTGGAGAGAGAACTTTTAACATGTAGAGACATTGTTATGTAGGCTTATTTTGTAAAATAATGTTTTCTATAATGCAATGCCTAGATTTCACCTTATTTTTACACATATATGACTCAAATAAGAGTAGATTTTATATGAGTAAACAATACTGAGGAATTTACGTGGCTTAAGATAATTTAACCCAATTTAATTTTTACACAGTTATTTTAAACCTCAAATGTTAAATATAAAATACCTGTAAACTGCTGCTAAATTATGAGTTGCAGTGGATTCTATTGAAGGAGAGACTGGAAACCCAGGACAGTTTGTTCTGGTGGAGGCCACTGTCTGCATAACAAGAAGCTGGTTGTCTCCATACCTCCCTTACCCCATTAGTTACCATTCAATAGAACATTTTTCATCCCGAAAATATTGAACAACATTCATTCATCAAAGTCAAATTTTCTATTTCTTGCTCTGATCTCTCTTTACCAGACTTTAGATAGGTAAGCTAATAGGTAACTGTGAGTGATGTCTAAAAGTACTGTTACTAAGATGGTTTCTTACAGTATTTCAAAATTGTATGTGGCTTGTGATGCAAATTATTTTTTGCCTTGCTTACTGCTGATTTGGGAATAATAATTGAAGGCTATCATTTTCACTTAATTTTATATAGCTTAATAGCTATTTGCGTGTAAAGCTTTCATCAGAACGTATTATAAATGAAATGTTTGAGTATTTAAGATTTCATTATGAGACCAGGCTTGTTTTAGAGGGATTTAAGATTATACTTTACACATATTTCTACAGAAAACAAAACATTATTTTGGGGGTAGAAGCAAATAATATTTACCACTTTGTTCTCCTGTGTCCCCATCTCAAATATATTGAAGGCAAGAGAATATACCTATTTATTAACAATTAATGCCAAAAATTGTTGAACTTGTTTACAGAAACTTATTGGAAGATTTTACTTATCTGCTGCCCATATGTCCTCCCATGCATCCAAGAATTCCAACAGTATGATAAGTAATTTGCAAATCTTTGAAAAATTCTAAGATATAATATATTTAATAAAGTGCTACATTTTAAAATCACCATCTTGATATGATATATTTTTGAAGTTATGATTGTCAATAAAAGATCATCACCCAAAAGAAATAAATTATTAATAAGTGAAGAGATTTTATTTCATCAAAGTTAAAAAGAAAAGGTGAGCCAGGGTGTGAAATATGGGTCTGAAAATGTGGTTAAATGTGGAGGCTGTTACAACGTTTCTTTCCTTTTCTAAGGAAAATAATCTAAGCAGTGGTGAAAATGGTTCAGAATAGACTTAGAACTTACCATATGTGATAATAGGGAAATACTTTCAACAAAACATGCATTAGTTTAACAATTCATATACATATTCCCAGGGCAAATACATCATAACCAGAGCTTATTTAACAAGAAATATGGTTTCTTTGGGGAATATTATTGCATGAGCCACCATATGTATTACAACATTAAACATTCCAAATAGTGCTTAATTCATTGGTTGTGAGAAAGCGTCAGAAATACTGAAGAAAATCGTGTGGGTTTACATAGGAATTGGGAGAACTTTGTTTTATCTTTTTGCTGTTGTTGTTGTTGATCTATATAAGACTAATGTCATAATACAAAAAACCTTTTATACTTTCTTCCTCTGATAGCAAAAATTCATAAATTCTTACTTCATTACTCAGAAAGCTTAATAAATTTCCCATCTGTTTTCCAAAGCCTAATTAAACTTCTCAGAACTTCCCTAGTGGAACAGGGGAGTGGTTCCCAATTGAAGCCTTGAGCGGTATTATAGTTTTTTTTGACAAGTTACAAAAGCTTATTTTATTGCCACTGATAACTTAAAAGTTGTTTCTATATATAATATTCATTTAGACACTAATACAGCTAGGCTTACTGATATATTCTCATAGTCATTTATAACTAAACATTCTGAGTCACAATACTTTTCTTTACTGCCTCTAATATTATATGTTTATGTATATGTATTTTTTCTTAAATTATAATTGGACTTAACATGGAGAGAAAATCCCCTGATTTCAAAACGTGCTGTATTCTACACACATTGGTGTAGCTTTATTCATTGAATTTCATGATAATTCCCCTTATGGAAATAATGTTAAAATATTTCCTAAACTAGTGTACACAGCATATTCGTCTAAACTACTGAGTTTGAGATCTGAAAGTCATGCTAGTGCATTTTGTACAGTACATAAGAGAAGGGAAAGAAATTTGCTTCTCTATTTAGTGGAACAGTGCAGAACTTGGGAAGATTTTTAAATGGAGCTGATCATCGGAGGCTCCTTTTCCCCAAACATCTCCTTGCCCCAAGTCCCCACCATCTCAGGTACTACAGCATCATAAGAGAAATTTTCAAATATATTAAGTATTAGTGAAATTCAAGTCAGAAATTGAGGATTGACTCCCATTAATACTACTTTCTGGCTAGTCTCTATAAATCTTCATTTTCTCATTGTAAATTGTGCCTTAAAGCACCTACCTTAAAGGGTCGCTCTAGAGAAAAAAAAATGTTTCTGATTTGAACATAAGGATTGAATACATAACAAAATTAATGGAACACTTTGGATGCTCAGTTTTTCAAAGCTCCTGACTGAAGAATTCATGATGTGTTGATGTTTGGATTTCAGAAGAAGATGGCTGGTAATCTAAATGAATCCCTGTTTGGCACTTGAGTCTTATAAATAAGGTCTTTTAATATTCACAAGGCTGGGTAGGTATTTGGGATCAAGGCTCTCTTTCTGTCTTGTAAATAAAGGATCAGCTTTCAGTCTATCTGGCTTTTCACAATTTGTGACTCTATCTGGTATCTGAAACCAAAGGTTTTCTAAAATTCCAAGATCCCTTTCCCTCTCATTTCCAGCTGTACAAAGCACTGGCTGTTTAGACTACAGAGAAGACAAAATGAGGATGAGGCAGAGCATCTGCTTAATAGCACAGGTCCTGCATAAATTCATGTTTGGAGTGCTTCGTTCTGTAAAATAGACTTAAGTAGATAGAAATAAGTTAGGACAAAAATTGAACTCACATTTGTGCAGGTGTGTGTTTGTGTATAACTTCCATAATAGCTTATTTTATGTGAAATTTTATTTCAAACTAATGATTGAATTGAGAACAGGAATGTGTGGTGAAGAAGATATCTGGACAAGATAGTGCCTCTCTCTCCCTTAGAAGAGATTTTAAACTCCTGGGAATCACTGAGGATTCTGAATTATTTTTATTTTTCATTGATATATTTTTTCTCCTTGCATATAATTTATTTTCAAATCTCCTATTCTCCATCAGAATAGTGAATTTCTCTACCCGTTTGTGTTAAGAGTACTCTGTACTCTTAACACTCTGTACATTTTCTCTCTCGGTAGACTATAAAATTTGCATTAACATCTTATAGATAAAACAAATATATTAACTGCCTCCAAAATAGTAGCTGTCAAAGGGAACATGCCTATAGTATGCAGCATTTTGTTTTATCCTTTTTGACAAAAGTAATCATCTACGAAGAGAAGAATTGTAAATAAATTTTTAGTAAGTGACCCAAGTAAGAACATTTTGAAAATCAGAATTTTAAAGTTGAAGACCTTCTGGAAGCAATTTCCCAGGAAGTAAAGTAACAAAACACAGAGTGTAGTAACCAAGTACTGTATTATGTTCTCATAGTAAGGTAATTGTAACAAAAAAACACCATCATCATCAAAGCATTTAAGGGTAGAAATAATAAACTGCATTTCAACTGGAAAAACAGAATTATCCTGAAGCTATACATATGTCTATTTATAATTATTTGCACAATAAAGTAAGACTAACTGTATAAATTTAGGTCTCCTCATGCCCCAAGTAAGTTTCTTAACTGCATTCATCATGCCACCTTAACATTTATGGCCATAGGTATCAAGATATTGGCTGACATATTAATATTCACCAAATAATTTAATATGAGAAGAACAGTGTAAACCTGATATTGAGATACAAATCTCTTATTTTATTTACATTAATTTAAAAGAGATAAAGCAAAATTTTATTAAACATTGTTCTATTACATCAAAATCCTAAAAGAACCTAAAAGATTTTGAAGCAAGCAGTTTAGCAGAGATAGGCAATGTAATAAGTTTCTATTTTTATTTGCCAAACTCAGTAATGAGGATCAGGAGATTAAGATACATAATAAACCAATAATCCAAATCACAAAGAGTACAGGTTATAGTCCTTAGAAACCCATAAAATAGATGAAGAGAGTAAAGGATCAAAACAATAGGTTGGATTCTGATCTATGCCTATAAACGCTGGAATGCAAATTAATTGATACTTATGGACCATAAACATTTTGCAAATTACTGTGCCTTAGGCATTTTAAGAAATCAAAAGTGAATGTGGGCTGGATTTTCAGAATGGCATAGTAATGACTTTTGAAATTCCACTCTTCTGGAAAGGCAATGAGAAAATATTCATAATTATCAGAATCAATGTTATTCAGAATTGTGGAAATAAATTAAATGTTTGGAATAACCATACAGCATTTATTAAAAACAAAACAAGCTTCAAGTTTTGGTAAGAATGGAGAGCTTTGCAACATTGTAGCTTATTATATTCCTACTACCCTGTCCAGACCACCACTGTGACCTCGAAAATATGCATCCTAGAAAACATGGTAGCTAGCTATAAGACCCAGCACCTCAGAACCCACTGAAGGGTGTGGGCTGGGCTTGCAGATTCTAAAAAAGCATAATCTCAAGAAGATCATAATCATCTGACCTATCTGGAAGCTTCCTAGAGAAGTCAATTTGCAGGCTGCTATGGTTTTAATATGGCTTCTCCCCTCTGAAACTCATGTTAAAATTTGATTCTCAATGTGACAGTGTGATGAGGTGGGGCCTATTGGGAGGTGTCTGGGTCATAGTGGTGAATAATGCCCTCTTGTGGGAGTGGGTGAGTTCTCATTCTAGGAGGAAAAAATGGATTAATTTCCATGAGAATTGGTTGTTAAAACAAGTCTGGCTTCACAGGTTTGTCTCTCTTACTTCCTCTCTCACCATGTGGTCTCTTTGCATATTCCCACTTCACTTCCACTTTCTGCCATGAGGTCAAGCAACCTAAGGCAGTCACCAGATGTGGCTGCCCAACCTTGAACTTTCCAGCCACCATAATCAGAGCCAAATAAACTGCTTTTTTAAAAGATAAATTATCCAGTCTCAAGTATGCTGTTATAGCAACACAAATGGACTAAGAAAATTGGCATGCAGAGTGGGGTGTTGCTCTACAGATATCTGAAAATGGGGAAGTGGCACTGGAAGTGGGTAATGACTGGTGGCTGGAAAAATTTGGAGGAGACTAGAAAAAGCCTGTATTGCTATGAATGGGATCCTTAGGGTGATTCTGGTGAGGACTCAGAAGAAGACAAAAAGATGAGGGAAAGTTTGGAACTTCTTAGAGATTCATTATGTGGTCAGGACCAAAATGCCATTAGAAATAAAAACAGTGGAAGATATGCCTATTACACCCTTGCAAAGAACCTGACTGCATTATGTCGATGCCCTAGTATTTTGTGGAAGGTCAAACTTAAGAGTGATTAATATTTGACAGAAGAAAACTTCAGGTAGTAAAGCATTCAGGCAACTGCATGGTTGCATTTAACTGCATGCAGTAAGATTTAAGAGCAAAGACATGACCTAAAAGCACAATTTATAATTAAGAGGAAAGCAGAACGTAAAGATTTTAAAAATTTGCAGACCAATTATATAAAAAGAAAAGGCATGTTTGGAAAGGGTGCTGAGGGTTGGGTCCAGTGAGTAGTTGCTAAAGAGATTAGCATGGCTGAAAGGAAACCCAGTGCTAATAATCAAAATAATGGGGAAAATCCCTAAAGGCATTTCAAAGATCTTTGAGGCCAGTCTCATCACAGGCTGAGAGGCCTAGGAGTACAGAATGGTTTTGGGGGACAGGCCTAGGCTGTTGAAGTCCTGTGCTGCCTCAGGATGCTGCTCTCCACATCAAGAGCAGCCATGGCTCAAGTGGCCCCAAGTAAGGCTCAAGACTCTGCTTTGAAAGGCACAAGCAGTAAGCCTTGGCATCCACATGGTGTTGATTCTGCAGGCCTGCAAAATGTGAGAGCTATGGAAACAAGCCTTTATTGACTGAGATTTCAAAGGGTATATAGAAAAACCTGCAGGCCCAGGCAGAGACTTGTCACAGGACAAAGCCACCACAGAGAACCTCTCATAGGGCAATGCTGAGTGGAAATGTGGAGTTAGAGCTCTACCAAGTCCTCACCAGCACAATGCCTAGGTGAGCTACTGGGGCCACCATTGAGACCTCTGAATTATAGAGCCACCAACACCATGTAATGCCCACCTAGGAAAACTACAGGAACCAAACTTCAATCTATGAGGGCAGACACATGTGTGACACTCAACAAAGCCACGGGAGTTGAACTGCCCAAGACCTTAGAACACACCCTTCACAACAATGTACACAGGGTGTGAGATATGAAGTAAAATAAAATTATCCTGGAGCCTTAAGATTTACTGTCTGCCCTGCTGTGTTTTGGACTTATGTAGGGCCTGTCATTTATTTCTTTTTGTCTAGTTTTCCCTTTTAGAATAGGAACATTGAATAAATGTCTGTTATACTATTTTATCTTGGAAATAAATAACTTGCTCTTGATTTCACAGATTCATAACTACAAGGAACTTGCCCTGAGTCTCAAAAGAGAATTTGGACTTTGGGCTTTCAAGGTGATGCTGGAAAAGTTAAGACCTTTGGGACCAAATGGAGGGAATGATTGTATTTAGCATTGTAAGAAGAACATGAGTTTTATGGGGGCAGAGGTGAAATGCTTCACTTTGAATATGGTTTGTTCCTCTGAAACTCATGTCAAAATTTGATTCCCAATATGGCAGTGTTGGAATGTGAGGCCTAGAGGGAACTGTTCAGGTCATGGGGGTAGATTCCCCCATAAATAAATTAATTCCCTGCTGCAAAGGTGGGTGAGATCTTACTCTTGTGGAAATGCATTATTTCCCACAGGAGTGGTTTGTTAAAAAGAGTCTGGCTTCCTCAGTTTCTCTGTCTTGCTTCCTTTCTCACCATGTGATCTCTTTGGACATGCCCACTCCACTTTCCCTTTCTGCCATGAGGTGAAACAGCCTGAAACCTTCACCAGATGCAGCTTTCCCACCTTGGACCTTTCAGTCACCAGAGTAATGAACCAAATAAACCTCTTTTTTCTGTAAGTTACCCAGCCTCAGATATTCTATTATAGCAACACAAACGGACTAAGACACAGGCCTTGTCATTACTTGACCTCACTCAGACCTTTCTCATTGGAAAAATTGCTAACCTAAGTATTTAACAATCAACAGTTTAAGATCACACCTACTTGAATTGGCAATACCAGTTGTGGCAAGAAAGATGCTGGTGAAAAACTTAAGATCTGAGGAATGAGGTTCCAATGAGGGTCTTTTAGAAGCTCCAATACATTCCTGAGAACCTAGAAGGGCACATGAATGTGCCGAGCTATGCACATGATGAGAAAAGATGCCCTAAACTCTCAGTTCTGGCTAGCCTTAAAGATCTGTGCAAGAAGAAAGTAAAGACTTAGAAAGAGTTGTAAATTTCCAGAGGATTAAAGAAGTGCCACAAAACACACACAGAGCCCCATGGAAAAGTTGTAAGACTTTGCTTCTAGTAATTTACAGAAATATTGGTCAAAACAATAGATGACCAAGAAGCTAAATAGACAGAAATAGTCTGTTTCCTATCAGTGAAACAGATAGGAAAACATCAACAACAAACTGCAACAGCATCAGACTCTTGGGAAGAATGAGAATCTGATGTCCAAGAATATTCTTTGAAATGCCAGTTTTAAACAAAAATTATGGGACATTGAAAACATTCTCAAAATTGTGGCCTTTCTGTAAGAAAATAGACTCAATAGAAGCTTTCTTTGAGGAAAACCAGCTGGTGCACTTACTAGTAAAATAATTTCAATTGTGTATTACAAATATATTAACTGGTCTAAATGAAGCTATGCCCAAAGAATTAACCTGTTTGACCAAATAGAGAATGTTAATGAAAGGATAGAAGTAATGAAAAGAATCAAATAAAATTTTCAGTTGAAAAGTACAATTACTGAAATTTTAAAAATTCTGAGATGAACTGAACAAAACATTTGAGTTTATGAAGAAAGATTAAGAGAATATGAAGAGTTCACAATATCTCAATGTCAATAGGGCAACTGAGATTATCCAGTCTAAGGAATAACAAAAATATAAATGAAGAAAAATAGCAGAGTCTCAGAAGTCTCTATAACAGCATAAGTTATACTGTCATATATATAAAGGGAATACCAAGAAAACAAGAAGGGACATGGATAGAAACAATATTTTAAGAAATAACAGCTGAAAACTTCTCAAATTTAATATTAATATACATATTTGAAGAGCTCAGTGAACTCCATGTAGAATAAAAACAAAAGACATAAAATTATCATGATTCACCAGCAAAAGGCCAGAGAATCTTGAAAACAGCAAAATAAAAATGACTCACAACATGCAAAGAGTCGTTAATAAGAATAACAGCTCATTTTTTATAGTAAACTGTGGAAGTTAGAAGGTAATAGAACGGCACATTTAAGTGATGAAACAAAAAGGCTGTCATATAAGAGGTTCTTATTTAGTGAAACTCTCCTTCCAAAGTGGAGGAGAATTAAGTCATTATTACATATAAAAAAAAGAACATTTGCCACTAGTAAATATACACTACAGAAAATAATTTTTAGATAATAACTTGAATACACACTTAGAAATAATAAAAACACCATTAAAGGTAAATACATAATTCAATATAAGTGACAGTATAAATGCATTTTTATTGGTGTTTTACTTCTAATTGATTTAAAAGAAAAATTGATAAAATGATAATTATATCACTGTGTCTTTGGGCTTGTAATATATAAAGATGTAAAGTGTATGACAATAATAACCCAAAGAAGTGGGGGGAACAGAGTTATATAGAAACAAATTTTTGAGCACTATTGACGTTGTCATTGTTCTGAACTAGAATGTTTTAAAATATTATTATATCCCTCCAAATAACTAATAAAATAACTAATGATAAAAATGGGAGAATTAAAATTATATGAATGTAGTATATACTTATATATAATTTATATAAAAGTGTATACATATATATACATGTACATATATAGTGTTATAACCCCCAAAATAAAAACAGTAATGGAAAAATAAAGGAACAAAGATAAAAACTTATGATATAAAGTGAACATAAATTTTACCTTATGTATAATTGCATTAAAAGCAAATATATTAAATATTTCGACCAAAGGCAGAGATTAACATAATGCATTTCCTTAAATGATTTAGCTATATGATGTTCTCATGAGAACTTGTTTAAATTTTTAAATTGAAAGGTACTCTAGTGTATATATGACTACAATCAAGAGATTGACAGTGAAACAGTCAAAGCAGAACACCTGCATCCTGATCCTGTTCTATTTTTATTGTTATTCAGTTCAATGTATTTTTTTATTTCTTTTGAGACTCTCTTGTATATAAAGGATTATTTATAATTCTGTGCCTTCATTTTCAAGTGTCAGAAATTATTTTTGTTTTCTTTCTGTTTCTTTCTTCTCTGGTCAGAAAACACACCTTCTATGACTTTAATTATTTTAAATTTATTGAGATTTGTTTTATGCCCCCAGTATGGTCAAGTTTCTACAGAAACTTGCAAATAATGTATATTCTATTTGTATTGTCCAAAAGTTCTAAAAATGTTAGTTTGATCTTGTCAGTTGATGGTGTTTTCTAATTCTTCTACATTCCTGTTGATGTTCTGTTTAACTCTTTTACCAATTGTTAAGAGAGATGTTGAAGTCTTCAATGTAATTGTGTATTTATCCATTTCACCTTTCAATTCTATCAGTTTCTGCATTACATACTTTGCATCTAAGTTATTTGATGCATACATATTTAGAGTTGATATGTTTTTCTTGTAGATTTATGCTTGTATTATTAATTAATCTGTCTCATTTCATCCAATAATTTTCTTTACTTTGAAGTTTAGCTCATCTAATGCTAATATAGCCACTAGTCACTTTTCTTCATCCAAAAAAATCATTCTTTTACTTTAAATATAACTATATCATTATATTTAAAGTGAGCTTGTAGATAGCATATATTTGGGTCATGTTTTTTAATCTATTCTGCCAATCTCTGTGTATTGATTGGTGTATTTAGACAACTTACTTTTATTTTAATTATTGATGTGTTGACATATTTATAATTATATATTTGAATTTTGTTCTCTCTCTTTTCCATTTTTCTGTTTTAATTTTTCTGCCTTCTTGTAACTTTTTTGAATATATGCTTTTAGAAATCAATTTTATCCATAGCATTTTTGAGCATACTTCAACATATACTGTTCTTAGTGTCTACTCTCAGCATTAAATTTTGTATATATCTTCACATTCTAGTGAAATCAACATCTTATCAGTTAGGTGTAGAAACCTTAACATATTTTAAGTCTCTTTACCTATTTTATTATATTTTACATTTTATAATATATAATATATTATAGCTTATAATATTTATATGTTATATTTAAGCATATATTAACATATACTTATGTACTATAAATATTGTTTATATTTATAATATATAGATATATTATGTCTTATATTTCATATTTTATACTATTCTTTATATAATATTTTAAAATATTTCATTTACATATAGTAAGAACCAAACCAGACAATATTACAATTTTTGTTTCAATACCCAAGTATAAGTTAGAAAACTCAAAAGCAGAAATAAAATATTTAAGGATCACTTTTCTTACCATATTCTTTCTTTCTTCCTAAGTTCCAAGATAGCTTCTATAATTATTTTCTCTTTTTGTCCTTTTTAAGCCATGCTTTTAGGATAGGTCTTCTTATTATAACTTTACTTTGTTTTTCTTTAGCTGAGAATGTCTTGATTTTCCCTTAATTTCTGAAGCACTATTTTGCTGGATATAGGATTCAGGATTGACAGTTCTTTTCTTTCAGCAGTTGAAAAATCTTGTGCCACTTCCTTCTGGCTGTATGATTTCTGATGAGAAATTCTCTGTCATTTGACTTGTGTTCTCCTATAGGTAAGGTTTTATTTCTCTCTTGCTGCTCTCAAGACTTTTTGCTGTCAAGTTTTCAGAAGCTGACTATGATGTGTCTTGGCAAGGATTTCTTTGAGTTTATCCTCTTTGTATTTCACTTAGTCTCTTAAATCTATAGGATGTATTCTTTCACCAATTTCAATGAATTTTCGCTATTACGTCTTTCAATATTTTTCAGTTCCCTAATTTTTGTCCTCATTTTTTGGACTCTGAAGACATGAATAGCATATATATATATATATAATAATATAATATATATAATATATATATTTGTTTTAGTCTCACAGTTCACTGAATAGTCTTTCCTTTTTTCAATCTTTCTTACAACTTTTATTCTAACTGGTTAATTCTCACAATTCTTTTATCCAGTTCACTGACTCTTCTGTTCTCTTCTTTCTGCTGTTGAGCCATCTATTCAGTTTTTTATTTCTGTTATTATATTTATCAGTTCTAAAATTATTATTGTATTCTTTTTTATGTCTTTTATTTCTTCCTAGGGTTTCTGTTTCTTTTCTGAGACTTTCTACACTTTCATTTGTTCTAAGCATGGTGATAATTGCTTATTGGAACAATTTTGTTGTGACTACTTTAAAATATTTGTCAACTGATTCTAAAATCTATGTCATCTCACTGTTGGCATCTTTTGAATTTTTTTTCCATTCAGTGTGAGTTTTCTTTTTTTCTCTCTCTCTCTTTTTTTTAATTTTTTAAATTTTATTATTATTATACTTTAAGTTGTAGGGTACATGTGCACAATGTGCAGGTTAGTTACATATGTATACATGTGCCATGCTGCTGTGCTGCACCCATTAACTCATCATTTAGCATTAGGTATATCTCCTAAAGCTATCCCTCCCCTGTCCCCCCACCCGACAACAGTCCCCAGAGTGTGATGTTCCCCTTCCTGTGTCCATGTGATCTCATTGTTCAATTCCCACCTATGAGTGAGAATATGCGGTGTTTGGTTTTTTGTTCTTGCGATAGTTTACTGAGAATGATGATTTCCAATTTCATCCATGTCCCTACAAAGGACATGAACTCATCATTTTTTATGGCCGCATAGTATTCCATGGTGTATATGTGCCACATTTTCTTAATCGAGTCTATCATTGATGGACATTTGGGTTGCTTCCAAGTGTTTGCTATTGTGAATAGTGCCGCAATAAACATACGTGTGCATGTATTTTTATAGCAGCATGATTTATAGTCCTTTGGGTATATACCCAGTAACAGGATGGCTGGGTCAAATGGTATTTCCAGTTCTAGATCCCTGAGGAATCGCCACACTGACTTCCACAATGGTTGAACTAGTTTACAGTCCCACTGACAGTGTAAAAGTGTTCCTATTCCTCCACATCCTCTCCAGGACCTGTTGTTTCCTGACTTTTT
Organism: Homo sapiens; assembly: GCF_000001405.40. Classification (NCBI taxonomy): domain Eukaryota; kingdom Metazoa; phylum Chordata; class Mammalia; order Primates; family Hominidae; genus Homo; species Homo sapiens. Next base: position 50,778,382 of record NC_000008.11, read on the forward strand.
AATGATTGCCATTCTAACTGGTGTGAGATGGTATCTCATTGTGGTTTTGATTTGCATTTCTCTGATGGCCAGTGATGGTGAGCATTTTTTCATGTGTTTTTTGGCTGCATAAATGTCTTCTTTTGAGAAGTGTCTGTTCATGTCCTTCACCCACTTTTTGATGGGGTTGTTTGTTTCTTTCTTGTAAATTTGTTTGAGTTCATAGTAGATTCTGGATATTAGCCCTCTGTCAGATGAGTAGGTTGCGAAAATTTTCTCCCATTTTGTAGGTTGCCTGTTCACTCTGATGGTAGTTTCTTTTGCTGTGCAGAAGCTCTTTAGTTTAATTAGATCCCATTTGTCAATTTTGGCTTTTGTTGCCATTGCTTTTGGTGTTTTAGACATGAAGTCCTTGCCCATGCCTATGTCCTGAATGGTAATGCCTAGGTTTTCTTCTAGGGTTTTTATGGTTTCAGGTCTAACATTTAAGTCTTTAATCCATCTTGAATTAATTTTTGTATAAGGTGTAAGGAAGGGATCCAGTTTCAGCTTTCCACATATCGCTAGCCAGTTTTCCCAGTACCATTTATTAAATGGGGAATCTTTCCCCATTGCCTGTTTTTCTCAGGTTTGTCAAAGATCAGATAGTTGTAGATATGCGGCGTTATTTCTGAGGGCTCTGTTGTGTTCCATTGATCTGTATCTCTGTTTTGGTACCAGTACCATGCTGTTTTGGTTACTGTAGCCTTGTAGTATAGTTTGAAGTCAGGTAGTGTGATGCCTCCAGCTCTGTTCTTTTGGCTTAGGATGGACTTCGCAATGCGAGCTCTTTTTTGGTTCCATATGAACTTTAAAGTAGTTTTTTCCAATTCTGTGAAGAAAGTCATTGGTAGCTTGATGGGGATGGCATTGAATCTATAAATTATTTTGGGCAGTATGGTCATTTTCACGATATTGATTCTTCCTACCCATGAGGGTGGAATGTTCTTCCATTTCTTTGTATCCTCTTTTATTTCATCGAGCAGTGGTTTGTAGTTCTCCTTGAAGAGGTCCTTCAAGTCCCTTATAAGGTGGATTCCTAGGTATTTTATTCTCTTTGAAGCAATTGTGAATGGGAGTTCACTCATTATTTGGCTCTCTGTTTGTCTTTTATTGGTGTATAAGAATGCTTGTGATTTTTGTACATTGATTTTGTATCCTGAGACTTTGCCGAAGTTGCTTATCAGCTTAAGGAGATTTTGGGCTGAGACAATGGGGTTTTCTAGATATACAATCATGTCATCTGCAAACAGGGGCAATTTGACTTCCTCTTTTCCTAATCGAATACCCTTTATTTCCTTCTCCTGCCTAATTGCCCTGGCCAGAACTTCCAACACTATGTTGAATAGGAGTGGTGAGAGAGGGCATCCTGTCTTGTGCCAGTTTTCAAAGGGAATGCTTCCAGTTTTTGCCAATTCAGTATAATATTGGCTGTGGGTTTGTCACAGATAGCTCTTATTATTTTGAGATATGTCCCATCAATACCTAATTTATTGAGAGTTTTTAGCATGAAGGGTTGTTGAATTTTGTCAAAGGCCTTTTCTGCATCTATTGAGATAATCATGTGGTTTTTGTCTTTGGTTCTGTTTATATGCTGGATTACATTTATTGATTTGTGTATACTGAAGCAGCCTTGCATCCTAGGGATGAAGCCCACTTGATCATGGTGGATAAGCTTTTTGATGTGCTGCTGGATTTGGTTTGCCAGTATTTTATTGAGGATTTTTGCATCAATGTTCATCAAGGATATTGGTCTAAAATTCTCTTTTTTGGTTATGTCTCTGCCTGGCTTTGGTATCAGGATGATGCTGGCCTCTTAAAATGAGTTAGGGAGGATTCCCTCTTTTTCTATTGGTTGGAATAGTTTCAGAAGGAATGGTACCAGTTCCTCCTTGTACCTCTTGTAGAATTCGGCTGTGAATCCCTCTGGTCCTGGACTCTTTTTGGTTGGTAAGCTATTGATTATTGCCACAATTTCAGAGCCTATTACTGGTCTATTCAGAGAGTCAACTTCTTCCTGGTTTAGTCTTGGTAGCGTGTATGTGTCAAGGAATTTATCCATTTCTTCTAGATTTTCTAGTTTATTTGCATAGAGGTGTTTGTAGTATTCTCTGATGGTAGTTTGTATTTCTGTGGGATTGGTGGTGATATCCCCTTTATCATTTTTTATTGCATCTATTTGATTCTTCTCTCTTTTCTTCTTTATTAGCCTTGCTAGTGGTCTATCAACTTTGTTGATCTTTTCAAAAAACCAGCTCCTGGATTCTTTAATTTTTTGAAGGCTTTTTTGTGTCTCTATTTCCTTCAGTTCTGCTCTGATTTTAGTTATTTCTTGCCTTCTGCTATCTTTTGAATGTGTTTGCTCTTGTTTTTCTAGTTCTTTTAATTGTGATGTTAGGGTGTCAATTTTGGATCTTTCCTGCTTTCTCTTGTGGGCATTTAATGCTATAAATTTCCCTCTACACACTGCTTTGAATGTGGCCCAGAGATTCTGGTATATTGTGTCTTTGTTCTCGTTGCTTTCAAAGAACATCTTTATTTCTGCCTTTATTTCATTACGTACCGAGTAGTCATTCAGGAGCAGGTTGTTCAGTCTCCATGTAGTTGAGCGGTTTTGAGTGAGTTTCTTAATCCTGAGTTCTAGTTTGATTGCACTGTGGTCTGAGAGACAGTTTGTTATCATTTCTGATCTTTTACATTTGCTGAGGAGAGCTTTACTTCCAACTATGTGGTCAATTTAGGAATAGGTGTTGTATGTTGCTGAAAAAAATGTATATTCTGTTGATTTGGGGTGGAGAGTTCTGTAGATGTCTATTAAGTCCACTTGGTGCAGAGCTGAGTTCAATTCCTGGGTATCCTTGTTAACTTTCTGTCTCATTGATCTGTCTAATGTTGACAGTGGGGTGTTAAAGTCTCCCATTATTATTGTGTGGGAGTCTAAGTCTCTTTGTAGGTCACTCAGGACTTGCTTTATGAATCTGGGTGCTCCTGTATTGGGTGCATATATATTTAGGAGAGTTAGCTCTTCTTGTTGAATTGATCCGTTTACCATTATGTAATGGCCTTCTTTGTCTCTTTTGATCTTTGTTGGTTTAAAGTCTGTTTCATCAGAGACTAGGATTGCAACTGCTGCCTTTTTTTGTTTTCCATTTTCTTGGTAGGTCTTCCTCCATCCTTTTATTTTGAATCTATGTGTGTCTCTGCATGTGAGATGGGTTTCCTGAATACAGCACATTGGTGGGTCTTGACTGTTTATCCAATTTGCCAGTCTGTGTCTTTTAATTGGAGCATTTAGCCCATTTACATCTAAAGTTAATATTGTTCTGTGTGAATTTGATCCTGTCATTATGATGTTAGCTGGTTATTGTGCGCGTTCGTTGATGCAGTTTCTTCCTAGCCTTGATGGTCTTTACAATTTGGCATGATTTTGCAGTGGCTGGTACCGTTTTTTCCTTTCCATGTTTAGTGCTTCCTTCAGGAACTCTTTTAGGGTAGGCCTGGTGGTGACAAAATCTCTCAGCATTTGCTTGTCTGTAAAGGATTTTATTTCACTTTCACTTATGAAGCTTAGTTTGGCTGGATATGAAATTCTGGGTTGAACATTCTTTTCTTTAAGAATGTTGAATATTGGCCCCCACTGTCTTCTGGCTTTTACAGTTTCTGCCGAGATATCCACTGTTAGTCGGATGGGCTTCCCTTTGTGGCTAACCCGACCTTTCTCTCTGGCTGCCCATAACATTTTTTCCTTCATTTCAACTTTGGTGAATCTGACAATTATGTGTCTTGGAGTTGCTCTTCTCGAGAAGTATCTTTGTGGTGTTCTCTGTATTTCCTGAATCTCAATGTTGGCCTGCCTTGCTAGATTGGGGAAGTTCTCCTGGATAATATCCTGCAGAGTGTTTTCCAACTTGGTTCCATTCTCCCCGTCACTTTCAGGTACACCAGTCAGACATAGATTTGGTCTTTTCACATAGTCCCACACTTCTTGGAAGCTTTGTTAGTTTCTTTTTATTCTTTTTTCTCTAAACTTTCCTTCTCACTTCATTTCATTCATTTCATCTTCCATCACTGATACTCTTTCTTCCAGTTGATCGCATTGGCTCCTGAGGCTTCTGCATTCTTCACATAGTTCTTGAGCCTTGGCTTTCAGCTCCATCATCTCCTTTAAGCACTTCTCTGTATTGGTTATTCTAGTTATACATTCGTCTAAATTTTTTTCAAAGGTTTCAACTTCTTTGCCTTTGGTTTGAATTTCCTCCTTTAGCTCAGAGTAGTTTGATCATCTGAAGCCTTCTTCTCTCAACTTGTCAAAGTCATTCTCCATCCAGCTTTGTTCCGTTGCTGGTGAGGAGCTGCGTTCCTTTGGAGGAAGAGAGGTGCTCCGGTTTTTAGAGTTTCTAGTTTTTCTCCTCTGTTTTTCCCCATCTTTGTGGTTTTGTCTACTTTTGGTCTTTGATGATGGTGATGTAAGATGGGTTTTTGGGGTGGATGTCCTTTCTGTTTGTTAGTTTTCCTTCTAACAGACAGGATCCTCTGCTGCATGTCTGTTGGAGTTTGCCAGAGGTCCACCCCAGACCCTGTTTGCCTGGGTACCAGCAGCGGTGGCTGCAGAAGAGCCGATTTTCATGAACCGCAAATGCTGCTGTCTGATCGTTCCTCTGATAGTTTTGTCTCAGAGGAGTACCCGGCCGTGTGAGGTGTCAGTCTGGGGGGTGCCTCCCAGTTAGGCTGCTCGGGGGTCAGGGGTCAGGGACCCACTTGAGGAGGCAGTCTGCCCATTCTCAGATCTCCAGCTGCCTGCTTGGAGAACCACTGCTCTCTTCAAAGCTGTCAGACAGGGACATTTAAGACTGCAGAGGTTACTGCTGTCTTTTTGTTTGTCTGTGCCCTGCCCCCAGAGGTGGAGCCTATAGAGGCAGGCAGGCCTCCTTGAGCTATTGTGGGCTCCACCCAGTTTGAGCTTCCTGGCTGCTTTGTTTACCTAAGAAAGCCTGGGCAATGGCAGGCGCCCCTCCCCCAGCCTCACTGCTGCCTTGCAGTTTGATCTCAGACTGCTGTGCTAGCAATCAGGGAGACTCCATGGGCATGGGACCCTCCGAGCCATGTGCAGGATATAATCTCCTGGTGTGCCATTTTTTAAGCCCGTGGGAAAAGCACAGTATTCGGGTGGGAGTGACCCGATTTTCCAGGTGCCATCTGTCACCCCTTTCTTTGACTAGGAAAGGGAACTCCCTGACCCCTTGCACTTCCCGAGTGAGGCAATGCCTTGCCCTGCTTCGGCTTGTGCACGGTGCGCTGCACCCAGTGTCCTGCGCCCACTGTCTGGCACTCCCTAGTGAGATGAACCTGGTACCTCACATGGAAATGCAGAAATCACTGGTCTTCTGCGTCGCTCACGCTGGGAGCTGTAGACTGGAGCTGTTCCTATTTGGCCATCTTGGCTCCAGAACTTCAGTTTGAGTTTTCACTGGTTCTTGGTATGATGAGTGATCTTCTATTGGAATTACACATTTTTGTTATTTAGTTATGATATTCCAAATCTTACATAAACATTATGTTTTATCTAATTGCCATTGATATAGCTTTATCAAAGTAAGGGAGAATGCCATGTTGTTCTTGCCAGATAGGGGTAGAATTTCAGGTTTACTACTTTACCTCCACTGGAAGTTAAACAGTGGGCTCTTCATAACTACTGTAAAAGAGTAGGAGATCCAGTTCGCCAGTAGGCTTTCACTGATCCCGCCCTGAGTAGGGTGGGTGGAGTTATCTCATTAACATTTACCTTTAAAATTTCCTTACGTTTGTTTTACATATAATATGCAAATAATTCAGTCCTACTTAGTGGGAGTAAAAGGGACAGATATGTCTACTCCATCTTCCTAGAGAAGTAGAATTATCCAAGCTTTATAGCTAAACACACATGTAGGTTGCAAATAAAAGGATACAAATATATATATCTTGTATATAATAATGAAAAAAGAACCCGAATAACTATAGTAATTTTACAAAAAAGGCTTTAAGTCAAAAATTGTTTCAAGATACTAAAAAGGGCATTTTATAATGAAAAATGAATCAATTTTTCAAGGAGATATAACAATTATAAGCATATTTGATGATAACAGAGCTCCAAAAGGTATGGAACAAATGAGGCGAAATCGAAGAGAAAATGGAAGGTACCACCAATTAGTTGTAGACATCAGTACCCCACTGTAACTAATGGGTAGAGCAATTAAGCAGAAGAGTAACAATGATATTGACTTGGTCAGCATGATAGGCAACCAGACATGTTGACCTGTTTAGACTCTCCACCCAATTACAGAAGAACATACATTTTTAACTAAAATATGCTAATATCTAAGATCTAACTACAATACACTAATATCTAAGATCACTTGTATGTCAGGTTATAAATCAAGCCTCACTACATTTAAAATAGTTAAAATAATACAAATTATGTTCTATGAACACAATGGAATAAAATTAGAAATGAATAACAAAAGAACAATTGAAACATATGCAAATATGAGGATATTAAAAGCAAATTACTAAATAACCAATGGGTCAAAAAAAATCACGGTGAAATTATAAATTATTGGGAGATAAATAACAATGAAATCTCATCATGCTAAAACATATGCTACGCAGCTATAGTTTGTTTAGAGAAAAATTTTAACTTCAAATACTATATTAAGTAATAAAAAAATCTTAAATACCTAATCTTTCTCAATAAGAAATTAGAGAAAGAGCAAAATAAACACAAAGTAAGCAGGAACAAGGACAATTATAAATTTAGACCAGAAATATATAAAAAAAGAATACATAAACAATTGAGAAAATTAGAAAATCTCAAATTTAGTTTTTTAAAAAGGTTAACAAGAGTGACAAAACTTTAACTAGATAACCAAACAGCGAGAGAGAGAATATTCAAATTTTTTAAAATCAGAAATAAAAGAAGGTATATTTTAGAGATTAAAAAGAAAAACGTAACTATAAATAATTGCTAAACATTTACATAATTTAATGAAGTGTGTAAACTCTGAGAACAACACCAACTAATGAAACTGACTCAAAGATAAATCAATAATTGGAATATACCTAAAAGAAGGAAAGATATTGAAATGGTATTTTTAAAACACTTCCCACAAGAAAAAGCCCCAAATCAAGAGGTTTGTCTGATGAACTCCATTAAACAATGAAAAAACAATTATTACCAATCTTTCACAATCTTTTCAAAATATAGAAAAAGGGGAAACACTCCTCTACTTATTTGAGATTCGAATTAGCTTCATAGCAAAACCAAAACCATCAGATGAAAAGAAAGCCATAGACCAGTATCCCTAATGGGGGTAGATGAAACAATCTTTAACAGAAAGCTTGCAAACCAAATCCAGCAACATGCAAAAATTGTTATACACCATTATCACTTGGTATATATCCCTGGAATGTATGGTAGATATATATCTTAAAATCAATCAGAGCAATACACCGTATTAATTGAATAAGGACAAAAATACATAATCATTGTCATAGATTCAAAAATAAGAAAAAAATAAATACCATTTCATAATAAGTATACTGAAGAAAACTAAGTATTGAAGGAATGTATGTGTTCCCCCTACAATTAAGAATAAGAAAAGGATGTATGCCCTCCCCACTTTCATCAACCTTGTGTTGGAATTTCTAGCCAAGGATAGATGATACAAACTTAAATATAGAAAATGTTCATGAATTCACTAAGAAAACTATTGGTACTAACTAGTAAATGACTTCTGCAAGGTTGCAGCATACAATCCCAATGCACAAAAATCAGCTGTATTTTTATATGTTAGCAATGGATTAGAGTAGGTAAAATTAAGAAAAAATTTCATTTATAACAGTATCAAAAAATTCTAAGGAATACATTTAACAAAAGAAGTGCAAATATTGTGTACTGAAAACTACAAAACATGGAAAGAAATTCAAGAAGATTTAAATAAGGGGAGCTACATCCCATGTGCATAAATTAGAAAACTTAATACTTTTAATATGACAATACTCCAAAATTAATATGCAGATTTAAGAAATCTCCATCAAAATGCCAACTGCCTTTTTTTCAGAAATGGACAAGTTGATCCTGAATGTATATGAAATCCAGTATAGCCAAAATAATCTTGGCAAATAAGTTGGAGAGAACCCCCAGTTCCATATTTCAAAACACTACAAAGCTATGGTCACCATGGCTTTGTGGTATTGTCATAAGAATGGACATATAGAACACTGGAATACAATTGAGAGTCTAGAAATGAACCTTATTTATTGTTAACTGTCTTTTACCGTGCTTTTCAACACAGCAGAATGTGGAAAGGAACAGGTTTTTCAACAAATAGTGCTGGGAAAACCGGTTATTGAATCCAAAAAATTAAGTTGAGTCCTTTCCTCATACCATAAAAAATTACTTAAAAATGAATCATCAAATATATCTAAGAGCTAAAACTGTAAACCTATTTGAAGAAAACATGGGATTAAATTTTTGTAACCTTGGGTTTGACAATTGTGCTTAGACTCCACACCAAAAGCACAAGAATCAAAGGGGAAAAAAATAGACAAATTGGACTTTTTCAAAATTTAAAGCACTTGTGCTGAGTAATACTATAAAAAAGGTGAAATACAACTTGCAGATTGGCAGAAACATTTTCAAATCATTTATCTGTTAAGGAGACTGTATGCAAATATATAAAGGGTTTTCAGAGAAAAAAAAAGAAAAGAAACATAAATACCCCAAATAAAAATTGACAAAGGATTCAAATTGACATTTCTCCAGAGAAGATATTCAAATTGTCAATAAGCACAAGAAATGATGCTCAAATCATTAGTCATCAAAATGCAAATCAAAACCACAGTAAAATACAGCTTCCCACTCTATAGGATGGTTATAATATTTTTTTAAAAAAAGAAACTAGACAATAATAATGATTAGTGAGGATGTAGAGAAATTGGAGCACTCAGATTTTGCTAGTGAGAATGTAAAATGTGGTAACTCATTTAAACAAAAGTTCAACATTTTCTGAAAAAGTGCAAGCTGAAGTTGTCATATGACCCAGCAATTCCACTTCTAGATATATTCAAGAGCAATTAGAAGATATTCCCAAACACACAAAAAAGAAACTCTACACAGATGTTCACTGCAGCATTATTCACAAAAAATCAAAAGTAGGAACAACCCAAATGTTCAACAGGTGATGAATGGGGAGGAAGAGATATGTCCATATCAGGAAATATTCATCAATAAAGAGAAAAGAAGTACTATCTATGCCACAACATAGGTGCACCTTGAAAATAGTGTATTAAGTGAACGTAGATAATCACAAAATATCTTATGTGTATGATACTATTTATATGAAATGTCCACAAAAAGCAAACCCATAGAAAGACAAAAAAATAATGCTTATCAGGCTCTGAAGAGAGAGGAAATGAGGAGTGACTTGTACTGGGTATAGGATATATTTTTGGAGTGATAAAAATGTTCTAAAATTTGATGATGATAGTTGTACATCTGTGAATATTCTAAAATCCGTTTACTTGCATGCTTTAAACAGGTGAGTATTATAGTATGTGAACTATATCTCCCTAAGGCTGCTGCAGAAAAAAGGTGAATGACACATAAAGGGGATGTCAAGCCAGGGAACATATTCATTTACACAATAATGACATAAGTAAATCTGACCATAATGGCATTAACAAGAAATAAACCTATGAATAATGATGGAGCTATTTGTTTTTCTCTAATGACTGCAAGGCCATTAAGAATATTAGAGTTAAATCTGGCCTGGAAGAAGAGATGACAATCACAGTAGAAATGAAAGAGAAGCCTATCTTGAAATCAAGAGCCATAATGGAAACATAATAATGCTATTAAGCAAGTGATTTACAGAATGTAATTTTCTCCAGCAGTTTCAATATTTTTTTGTCCTCACATTCTAAGAGACTCACTTGAGTTATGGTTTAATGATCTATTGAATGTTGCATGGCCATGTTACTGTGGGAAACAGGTATGCAAATGTAGATGATGACTTAGTTGGCTCTCAATTTTGTTCAGAGGACTCAAGAGTTATTGACCCACTTATGCCATTATTGGAACGCTAAGCGTGTGGGAGTTGTTTATATTCTACTTCTCAAGGTCATCAGCAAGGTCTGATTGCAAAAATTCAAAAAATTGCGGTCTCAGGCATAAATGGGTTGAAAGCTTTTAAGGAGCAAGCAGAATGAGGAAGATAAATTCCAGATTTTATGCCTAAAATGATATCTATAAGTTAGTAGTTTGTCCAAATTCTCAACACTTCCTGCTTTATCCTATCAGGCTATGACTTTGCTTTGTATCCCACTTAAAACACAGAATGAAGCAAAGCTACACACTACCAAATCTACCCACCTTCCTTGAGTTGTACCCATATACTGTGCCTCATCTCCTGCGGCCTCAGATCAATTGTCCAGGTTTCCATCCATGTCCAGCCTCTCCATTTTTGCACCAGATCTCACCCTGCTCAAGAATACAGTTTCTACAATTGTCCTCAGATTTGATATCTCAACCATTTCATGCCAGCAATTCTACAAATATATACTAATTTCATAAACCTTGGAAAAACATTCTTGATTTCCTATTGATATATTCCTATGCCCCCTTTAAAAAGGAAAAGAAGGATTTCTTTTCCAAAGAGAAGCTGCTTGTAGTAGACTTGCCTGTAGTAACTCTAATACCTTCACATGCAGGCTCTCATGAAGCCATTCTTATGAAGTTTTTGTTTCCACTTCTCCATAAAACGACTCTTGTAAAGGATTAAAATGGCCTCTGTGTTGCTAAATTCAATGGTCAATTTCCAGCTGTCATTTTACAAGACTCCCGGGTTTTGCACTCACTTTCTTGGCAACTACAGCTATTTCTTCTTTGCTGGTTCTACCCCATCTTTCTTACATTTTTATACTGTGGAGTCTCAGGGATGAGTGCCCAGTCATTTTCTCTACCTATCCTGCACACCTTGATCTTCTCATCCAGACCACAGTGCTTTACCTACCATCTATGTGCTGACAGAAGCTGAACTTCTATTCTGAACTCTAATTTTTCCCTTAAATCCACACTAATATATGCAGTTCTCCACTTATCACCTATATGTCTAATATGCGTTCAGATGTAACATGCCCAAAACCAAAATCTTGATCTTTACTTCCAAACCTGCTTTTCCCATAATTTCTCCATTTGCAGAGCAACACGTTTTTTCCAGTTATTGAAATCTACTTTCAAATTCAACCCCTTTCCATATAGAAAACTTTGTAACTTCTCCTTCTTTCAATCCAATTCTCATAAAGCTCATTCTCAATAGTCTAACCAGAATCATCATTTTCTGACTTTTGTCAATGCCTGTCACTCCTCTGCTCAAAAATTTCCCATGGTTTCCCATGTCGCTCATAGTAAAACTCATAAAGGCTCATGCAGCATGCAAAGTGTTTTCTTTGATCTCATTGTCTGCCAAGTACTTCTTAATTCATTCCATTCCACACAAAATAACCCTTGCTTTTCTTCTGACTCTCCTGGAATGTCCCTATCTCTGGGCCTTTAAAATTATAATTCTTGTGTCTGGAATATTTCCCCACAAACATGGAAATGGCTCACTCCATCTTCCCTTTCAAGTTCCATATACAAGGCAACATGAATTTTCCTTCCCACGGCCCTTTGAGTAGTCTTTGCTGTCTCCTCCGCTTTATTTCTTGATGGTAACTGTCATATTCTGACATATTGTCCTTAATTTATTTCTGCCCTTAGTCACATTTTGCCTCCTGTCACTGGAAAGTAACTCCCATCAGGACTGTTTTGTTCCTTTGTTTGTTTTTGTCTGTTTTATTCACTGCTATCTTTTAACAACAACAAAAAAGAGTAGATGCATAGGAAGCATTTGGTATTTTATTGAATGGCTGACTCTTTACATTTTTGAAGATAGCTTATATTTAGTGATATCTGAGGGATCATGATGATCATAAGACTTTTTTTACAAGGGAAACTTGTAAGTCTGTGACTTGGTGGAAGCTGTCGGTGGATGGATAGATAGATGTTCATCATCAGTGGATGTTTGATAGGTGGTAAGAATGCAGGTCTAGTACTCACATAAGAAATTAGTAAATGAGCAGTGTGAGTTTACATAAAAGGAATCGTTGACACCCTAGGAGTGGAAATGGTTGCCAAGGCTGATCACTGAGGCAGAGGAAAGATGTGTGGGCATTGTAATGAAGAGTCAAACTTGGATCCATCTTGGTCTCCTGCTTTCTCTTCTAATCACCTGCTATTATTTCCCGTCTACCATTACTTCAAAATGGGTATAAAAAGTTTAAAGTGTCAATCTATATCAAATTATTGATAAATAATTGACAAGGTGGGAGTAATTGAAAATTTTTATTTTTCTAAAGATGCCTGGATACTTAGATATTTAAGGGTTGTTTATTTTTGGTAACCAAAATATAACCTCTATTTTAATAAAGAGATGGCAGAATTACCTTTGAGAAAAAGTTATTTGCCATACTATTTTCACCCAATTGTAACACTCAACTATATTCTCCTCCTTACCAAGAATGAATTGCTTATTTTTGTTGTTGTTGTTTTATTTTTTAATAACATGCAAGAACATTTTACATTTTCCCAAAATTTCCAAACCTTTCACATTAGGTGGATTTAATTTGGGAAGATAGAGAAAGTATTTAAAATGTGTTTGGGAAATAAACTGGCTACACCAAGCATTATGGGGTGAATGGAGGATTTCCAGGGTGAGTTAAGGCAAAGAGAAACTTGCTTATTTACAAATAACATGACTAGTGCCACTGAAGCAGATTATTATAAATAAAGCTTCTAAGATCATTATGATGGAGTTACTAAAAACTTTTTTGGTGGAAATATCTAAGGGAATTAGAATAGTTAAATGAATAACCTCTTCTATTCTCTAGGACAAGTTGCTATTTCACAAAGGAAACTATCAAATATTGAAGGTTTCAAGGGAGCTACTGAGAAAGCATAGCTATGTCTTCTATATTATAGGGACACCTGAATATATATTATGGGGTATCGTACTCCTGTTGCATGACCTGAGAAAATACTCCTCGGATGAATTATTTTATTTAAATAGCTGTCTGGTACACGACAGATATTACAATGTGTCATAAAGTATTGAATATTTTGTAATATTTTCCACTGCCACATGTAAGTTGTAAACACAGTCATGTACATATCAATTATAATTCTAAATTCTTTATTACATATATGTAGTGAAATATATAATAAAATAGCAATGAGTTTGTCAGAAATTTCATATGCTTTATTACCCTCTAGTTACCCTCCTTGTGATAAGTTCATCGTATTGATTTCATTAAGCACACAAATGTATTAGTCTTTCAATCATCTTGAAATTAAGACATGTTTATGTGATTATTGATGGTCTTTAATAATAATACTAGCAACATCATCTTTCTAAATGTATTCTGAGCATAGCTTTAAGATTTTATAGTTATTTTGACAAAATTATGGTTTGAAATAACTTTTTCTGTTTTCACTGCAATATATATAGTTTGGTTGCCACTGGTAATAAATGGGTTACAAATTTCCTTTGGTATTTAAATGAGAAACCTATTTCTAAAAATCCAAAATGAATTAGTGAGCTCTAGTTTATTTTTTTTTTTTTTAGTAAATATGCCACATAAACCATTAAACAGCCAGCCACAATTAAAATTAATGCAGGAATTATTTTTTGAAAGTGAACCATTTGGCTCCTCTGGTTATAAGAGTTCATATCCCCTTACTTCTAGCATTTCTTATTCAGTTTCTTATGGCAAATATTAACTCATTCTAGAGAATACTCAAGAATAGTTTTAAATTGCCCTAATCCATATTTATCATCTGATGTGTGCACAAAGAGATAAAAATACTTTTAAAAGTACTTCCAAGTTTATCTTTAATTGTACATTATCAAGAGTAAAATTTTGGCAAAATATATTTATCAATCAGTGCTAAAAGAACATTCATAGATGGTAAGAGTGATTAGTCCTCCTACCTCTTATCCACCATGTATTGAAATAAATTTTCACTACTTACGATGTTTACACGTTGACCAAAAATGTCTACATTTGAAATTAGTTTCCACATGTTACATATCATAGATTCTAGATAAGTGTATTGAAATTGAAAAAAAATCTAGCTATTATAAATTTTTAAAGACATTAATTTTTATGTTATCTGACCTGTTTCTCTTTCCCTTTCAGGAGTTGGAATTTTCTAATTTATTTGCTGTTCTTCACTGCATTCATTCCTTCTTTGCTGCCAAGGTAGCTTGTTTGGACCCTCTATTTTTAGGCAATCAAGCTACTGCTTCTACTGCTGCCAGCTCTGCTACCACGAGCAAAGCAAAGTATACAACTTGACATACTGAACTCTTCATTGACACACCCCATGACTGTATAAGCAGGACACATTTACTCATCATTTTAGACCCTAGAGAAACCATAACATCACCAAGTCGACAGTGGAGGCAAATCAAAATTTCGGCAGAAAAAGAAGGTCATGTGGAACCTCAAAAACACTTCTATTCTGGATGACATCTGTGAAATATACTACATGAACAGAACAGCTTGTTCTCACTCAGTTGCTTTGTACCAGTAAGTGTATTGCTTTCACCAAAAGTGGAGACAAAAGAATAAATTATTTGAAGAAGTATGTAAATAACATAAAAATAGTAAGCTACCTATGAATAAAAATACTTATTAAATGATTACTTCTGTATTTTAGATTATTTTGTATGACTAGTACATGTTGGGCAGAGTCATAGGAAAACAAATGCCCTATCTTGTATTATGAGGGACATAAAAGAGTTAAAAACCATAAATCAGCAAGGAGCATGCAAAAAAATCTCATCAAAGAAGGATGCACTTTAATTTGCTGATGTAAATTTGCCCTTGTGTTCTCATCCCATGATTTGACACTGGCATTCCAATTGTTTTTATCTTATTGTAAATATTCCGAAGAACTTCCAAAGGATAATTACATTGACCCATGATAGATACAATGTGAAATGGACTATTCTCCCTTGGATCACTGTTATTGAAATGTCTTATTAGCTGCCAAAGTCAATCAAATATGCCAACAGTGTATTAATTTAATTATGAGTGATGGAAAATTTCATGAACCTCTCATTTCTTCCTTGGTTTGAAAGAGATTTGTATTTTACCTAATAAGATTTATTATCAAATTAAAGTTTCATAAATTTTCAGTGAACCCAAAACCTTTTGTAGAGAAAATAATATAAACAAATATGGTGTGAGAAACAATTCTTTGTAATCCGAAGTCTACTAGTTAATCATGAACTAAAATGTCCCCCGAAAACAGTCCCAAAGCTATTATAGATGTTAATTAAATGACATTTTTTCATTTTAGTACTATTTTATGAGAAACAAAGGTGATATTTAAAGATAAAAGTTAAAATTCTTTAACCTCCCTTGTCATGGAAAGTGATTAAGTAATGCCAACTATGCAGGTTGTTTTAGGTATTTTGTCCTAAGAATGTAAATGTGAAAGGCTGGGAAATTTGAAAGCCTTAGAGGTGTGCAATTTACTCAGATTCCAGGTATTATTCAACTAGTTGTATAACATGGAACACAGTCTCTGTCCTTCAGTACAGCTTTTTTGAGATATTTTAAAAAGTCAGCTGTGTATGTAAAAAAAAAAAAAAATTTTTATTGATACACATGCTCCCAGGTAAACCAAGTATTATGTGTGTCCTTGTGGAGATAACCAAGTATCTAATAAATTGATTCAATTTTTTTTTTCAAATATGTTTTTAAAAATCACTCAAGAAGGAAACAAAGTGATTTCTATAAAGGACAGATTTACTAATTTAAAAAATTAATATCAAGTTGTTTTTATACTCATGATTCATTAATTTATTTTGCATCAGATTAATTTGTAAATACATCAAATTGAAAAGAAAAAGTGAGGGTTTATAATTGTCCCTGGGAAAATGTTAAACTGAATCTAACATACCTTACCCAAAGAACTGTGGCAAATTACAATAAACAGTTTCAGTGTAATGTATTTTGACCGTAAAACTAAGTACACATTTGTAATTAGGATAGAACTTTAGAATTATTGCACACTATATTGATCAAATACAACAGTCATTGTAAAATTGAAACCCACCAAAAGCAGCCTTCAGTAGTAGGCCACTTCTGAACTTATGGAGAAAAAGCAGTGGGATACATCGAACTTAGAATTTTCAGCTGTGGCAAGTGGTTCATTATGGAACTTCTGCTTCCAACCAGAGCTGAATCTCAGTGTGCCCCATATTGGGGTTACATGAATGTGTCCACAATCTGGAAGGCAATATGACATGGGCTAATTATCCATAAGCAAAAGAAAAACGTTTCAACAGTTTACCTACCTGTAATAGAATGATTTAAAAATTGTGAAATTTTGTAAACGTTCCATTTTAGAATTTAAAAAACCTATTAACCATTAGCTATCTTTTTAGTGTTATTATGAAAATTTAGCCTATGCTCATGTGTGTTACGAAGGAAAAGGTGCACAATGAGATATGTATAAATATATATCTCCTCAGAGAATACACACACACCTACATATGTATTTATATGCATACATGGGTGTATATATATATAAATATAATGAAATGCTGACCATTAATTATATTAGAAGAATGTTTTGTGTACATACATTTAATATACTTTAAATTACGTTGTAAAATGTAGCTTGATTAAAAACTTATGACAATACCATTATGAATATTTTTGATACTATTGATAAAAAACATAAGCCGTGATTTTTATTTAACATGATTAGTACAACAGCCAAAAAGTAACAAAATACTATTCTCGTTTTCATCAGTTTAACAATTAGTATTTAATGTTTTCTTTACAATGTGGTGATTAGTCATTGGCATTTGTTATAACTTGGACTACTTGAATGAGAAAGCTTTGAAATGAACAAAAACACTTAAAAATTTCTATCTCTCATATAATTTAGGTTTACATGTAAGAGATTTATTCATAAAATCCTAGTTTGTACATTAAGCACATTTTAACAGCAAAATGCTAATGTGTTAACCCCTCCAGTGCCTTGGTATGTGTGAGCGTGTATGTGTGTTTGGGTGTGTGTCTGTGTATGTGTGTGAGTGTGTAAGTGTTATCATTAAAGGGTTCATTACAGTGTACATAACACAAGCTTAATGGAGAATATTGTAGGTATTTAGGTCAGAGAATGAAGTTCAAAGTCATTTGAAAACTGCTAACTACTATAATAATGTCTTTTGCCTGATAAAGAATAACAATTCATCTAAGTCGAAGTATATTACAGAAAGGGCATTTATAATTTGTTAAAATGCAACAAGTATTTATTTAAAAAATAGTTTAATAGATAGTGTAAGTGTAATGTATATCTGAACACTTATCCAGCTTTTTTAAAATGGGAGGATAATCAGGTAATTATTTCTTGCCCATATTTCAGGCATGTACCAACTTATAATTTTGAAATCTTCGCTCATAAAGCTGTCATTCAGCAAGAAAAAGAAAGCAATTACTTGAAAATAAATGTCAAGTCCATATTAGCCATGCAAAGAGAGAAATTTTCCTTTGGGTGCATTAGTTTATAGATCAACATTTCCCTCATTTACAGTGCTGAAGCTTGATCATGAACTTTGTCTATGTTGAATGCTGGATTTAAGAAAAGCTTGATTTATTACTGAGAAAAATTAATAATCCTAACGATAATTTAGAATTACTGCTAGAAATCAGCAGTGTGGAGAAGCTTTAAAAGCACAAGGATGATCTTGTGCTTAACTTTTTAAGGTAAGTGTAGATGTTCGGATACTAATAACAAAGATTTTGCTACTATTAATATTGCTGTGCTCATAATTTCTCCTTATGAAATTGCTTTATTCATACTTCTAAAATTGTTCTTTATTGTTTATTCTTACTACCGAATACTTTAAAATCATAATGCCACTTATTTGCACATTTGAATTTGCTTTTGAAAATAAAATATTATAAATGTTATATATTTTATACATGTTAAAATGCAGTGAAAAGACAAGAAATATAAAATGTAAATATATTTATTTCATTTTTAATTGTTTTGGTGGATGTTTGTAAAATGTAAATTAATATCTGTGACAAAAATTTGTCACTTCATTCTTTCAGTTCATTAATGTACTACTAATGAAACCATACTTTTTTAAATGAAGCATACTGGAAAATAAAAACAAATACTTTTTACTAGATTTGGGTTTTCATTTCTTTGGGTTTGATTTGTAAGGATTTTACATATGTTTAAAACAAGATCCTGAGAGATTTAACTTCAATGAAAAGGTTTAAGATATGAACTGTGTATATATAAGTGCAGACTATGTGGTACATAATCTGTTCTGGTTGACAAATATTTGTGAAGAATAGACATCTAACTCCCAAATGTTCCCAAAGTTTGAAGAAAGATAGGATTTGTCAAATTACTTACCCAACTGAGTTACAACTTCTGAAAAATATGACGTTTGATATCACTGTAATTTATCAATTCTAGTGCCCTTTCTGTAGATTAAGATTTTCTGTGTTGACATCCATGCCATCTACAAGAGAGTCTGTTTTATTTCTTCCTTTTTATTAAGTAAGTTTTAATTTTGGCTTCCTACCATATTACACTGGTTGAAACTTCCAATTTAACACTAAATTGTTGTTTAACACTAACTGTTGAAAGTAGACATCCTTCCATTGTAAATGATTTTAGGGGGAAAGTATTCAATCTATCACCGTTAAATACTTTGTTGGCATGGGTTTTCAGTAAATGCCTTTATCAGACTAAGCAAGTTTCTCTTTCTTCGTAGTTTGCTGAGAACTTAAAAGTTCATAATAAAGTATGAATAAATACTAAATGTTGTCATAGGCTTTTCCAGCATCATCGAAAGGGTTATATGATTTTCATACTGAGTAACACTGATTCATTTTCAAATGTTGAACTATCGTTGCATTGCTGGGATCGATTCACTTGGTCATAACATAGTATCCTCTTTATAAACTGTTGGATTTAATATGAATTATTCTCTCTCTCTTTTTTTGTGATCACTTCTCCCCAGAAAGTCTTCTTGGTTGTATTCTCTTTCAAGAAAACACTGATCCTGATCTCTTTTATTGTTTCCACAAATATTCTATAACCATCTTGGCCCTGAGTCTACTGGAGCCCACCAGTCTTCTTTGGCAGCTCCAACCAGCTTTAGAGTTTCCTAGACACGAGTCAGATACTACTATTCCTTAAGTCTCACACACTCTAGGGACCACAGATGAAGCATTTTTGTTGATTTTTTGCAGATATTTCCCACCCCTTTTGTAGGTGCAAGAAGCACCCAATTGCCATGTTAGGCAGGAAAACAGAAATGTCATAAAAGTGTTACAACTCAAAAGTTTCCACTAGATTAGGAATTTAACACAGGCAAGTAAGGAGAGAAGGAAGGGAACATACACCTGAAATGACAACTCCATTTAAGAAAAATCCCACAATAATATATATTTTTTAGCCTGGTGAGGCTGGTCTCGAACTTTTGGGCTCACGCATTTCACCTGCCTCAGCCTTTCAAAGTGCTGGGATTACAGGCATGAGCCACTGCACCCAGCCCACAATATTTTTTTTTTGCATTGAAGGAAATGCACCAGTCCACTTTTGTGTGGATAGAGTTATTAAATCATTTGGATAAATATCAGTGAATTCAATTGTCAGATCATTGGGTAGGAATATATTTAGTTTTGTAAGAAACTGCCAAATTGCCTCCCAAAGTGGCTGTGCCATTTTGTATTCTCACAAGCAATAAATGAAAGTTTCTATTGTTCTTTGTCCTTGCCATAAATTTATGTTGCCAGAGTTCTTAATTTTAGCCACTCTAATAGGTGTATAGTGACTTCTCGTTGTTTTAATTTACAATTCCCTAACTCTCTTGTTTTTAAGAATTTCTGATAACTACTTATGCTAAAGATAAGGCAAAGATGGAAATATGTAATGTGATGAGTGTTTGCAAATAATTGTAGGAGGACAATAGAGACAGCTGGCAACTCTTCATAATGACATTGGACAGAAATTTACAGTACAGTAAATATGTAGCTTAAAGATACGTAAGGACACAAAAGAATGTAACTGTGCCTTGGATTGTTGTGATAAAGGCCAAAGCTGAAAGAGAACATTAGGTATACCTGTGAAAATAATTTATGCTATGATAAGGAATTTGAGGTTTAGTTTATTGACAATTGGAAGATTTTAGAATATTTTAACCAAGAAAATTACATCAATAGCTTTTTAAACAATTATATTTATTGGCAATATGAAGAATAAAATTAGAAGCGAGAAAAGAGAGATTGTAAGTTTGAGAATAGCCAGAAATAAGTAAATCCTTTCTAGTTGATTAAATTCTCAGGATGATTAAAATCTCTGATAAGCTAGAGAAATAGAAATAATAAAAAGGTATAATAGTGTGTAGTCCAAGTATAAACAGATTTCAAATGAGAATATGGAAAATTGTAAATATTTTCTTAAATGTGCTTATCTTTGTGAAAATCTAAATTAACAAACTTGGAATCTAAACTATCAGCCGGTTACTATAATACTCCCAAGAGAGTGTGTGTGATCACAATTTGCATGCTTGATATTCATGTTGAATATTATAGAATAAGCTCTGCATAGGAGTATCTTGTAAATTTCCAAGAGGTTAATAAGAAACAACAGGGACAAACCTGGAAGAAATGAAAGACTTCTTGAGTGAGAGACAGCTGTTGTGTTAGGCTAATTGTATATAAAATAATAAGAAACTGTATGGGAAACATAGCAAAACTATTCTCAGTAAAGAAAACCATTCCACCAAGAACATGTAGATTATTTAACAGTGTTTAAGAACAAAATTGGTATTGACAGAACTTAACTTGAACCAGACTGTTATAAAGATGCATCCCTAAGTTAATTATAACATGCCGCAGGATAGGGCTCTCTCTTTAAAGTACATCTTGTTTGCAAGCTGTGACTTACTAACAAATAGATTGCATGGGAAGATGAGTGTTATCACAGCAGAAAATTATCTCCAATGGTTCATATCATGGTAGAGAAGGATGAAAATATTGCTGAAAAATGAAAATTCTTTTTCACTATTTGTACCATACTTCTTACGTTTTCAGATTTGCATTGCATTGATTCTTTATATTAGCATAATCAAATTAATCTCTTGAGATTTCAAGATCCATCCAAGTAATTAACATCCTGGAAATACTAAGACAGATAGATGTCTTAATAAGAAAAAATAAATATTCATTTCCATTGTTAAATAAAATTTTTATATATAAGTAGTTATTAAAAATATTACAAATTAATTAATATTGGGGGAATCCTGTCTTTCCTTCTATCATTTAATAGTTGATTTCTCAGGTGGCTTTGTAATGGGTCAATCTGTCATACTGAACTACATTTTCCAGAAATTCATTTACTGTAGACTTTCTTTGAGGGTAGCCACAGGAGACATTTTGCACGATATTTGAACAGCAGTGGTCAAGCAACGTACTGTTTTATGCTTGGTAGGTACCACTGCAACTCACTTAGGTTGTGGCTGAGTCCAGGCACTGCTGCAATTCACGCAGGTTTTTGCTCAGCTACTGTTTCACCTCACTGGTATAGAGCAGCAGCCAGGCTGTAACCAGGCCAGTTCTCCAGTGAACCTTCCTTCAGTTTCTACCGCACGTCGGCAGGTGCATGTTTAAGTCCTCTCTCCTGAAAGACAATCGCATCTTTAAACAGGAAAGTGGGAGATGATGTAGGTTTCAGTCCATCTGCATGCCCTGAAGCTCATTAGTTCATGATTACGTGTTCTAGTTTAGTTTACTCCCGCTCTTCCCCACTTGACATCCAACTTCGCTTACCCATTGCCTGCACAGGTGCAAAGACAATAGACTTGCAGAGACTGTTTAACCAGCTCTCAAAGCTGGGGAAGGTCAAGTCCCTGAAATAAATTTATATATTTACATACATATAAATATACCAGATAAGATCAATATCTCTATCTCCTGGTTGTGTTGCATCGTATTTGAATCTTTTATGATACTTTTGCAAAATGTTTATGAAAATATGAATTATCAAAGAGAATTAATAAATATTTTCAAATTCAGATGGCAAATTTTAGTTTAAAAGAAGTTCAACTCGTTTAGTTTGATGTTTTTCACACCTATGGAAGTCATTCAATTAATGTTATTGATTACAGAATTTTCAGAGTACTCATTTGTTGATAGTTGAAAAGAAATATCTGTTGGTTCAAGAGGTATCAGAATCTCAGTCAGAGGAAAATCACTTAGAATTTAGAGTCAATCAGAAGCAATGGTGTGAAGAGATTTAAGGATCATTCCATTCTTATTTGTCAAAAAAGAAAATGGAAACAAAAAGTCATTGTTATCATACAAACTCACACAATTGGTAGACATAATCTTGAATATGATAACAAAATTACAGTGCTAAAAAAAAGGCCCGATGGAGTACCTGAAAGCAAGTCTGCACATAGGATATGGAGTAAGATCCAGAGACCTCGACACTCAAGTTACTTCATCATCACCACCACCAACAACAAATGATATATAGTGGCTTACGCGCATGAAAAGAATTTGAGGCATTTTAGTAACTTTAACCATGTTACTGTCCACTCTATACAACCTACCTTTTTAAAAAATAATTTATTCAATAGTTAACAAGACTATTTTTATAAAATCAGCTTTCAATTTTGAATTTTTAGGGCAAACTTTGTGAATGAAACATTCACAATAGCTAGATCATCTATAATCCTTTCAAATCAATTATTTGGAAAGAAATGGATTTAATTACACATAAGCACTTACAAATATATAGGCAAAACATTTGAATACATTCTCCTTCTAGATTGTCCAAACCAAATCAAATTTTAGAATGCTATCAAATTATACAAAGAAAACAAGTGTTAGGATATACATTAGAATCTGTCTTCTAACCCACAGATTATTTTTAAATCATTGTATTATAGTTACATATCTAATTTTCACTCATTTTCTTTTCCTTCTGATTTATAAAACTAATTGTTCTATTAATAGTTATTACTCTTGCAAAGTATTGATTTTTAAGCATAGGGCTTCAAAAATATGTAAGTAGAGTATTGAAAATTAAACAAAAATAAATTCTGAAATACTTGATGTGTAAGGATTTGCAAACAATAATGCAAAGAATATCCATGTACACTTATACCAATTTATCCAAATAATAATATCTTGCATAAGTATAATGTATTATCAAGACCAGGAAATTGGTATTATTATAGTATAAGTAACTAAACCACAAACCTTATTCAGATTTCATCTGTTTGTACATGCACTCATATTTAGGTGAAATGTTGTGACATGTAGAGACTTCATGTGGCCACCACCAGCAGGATGCAGAAAAGTTTTATCACCAGAGAGTAACTCCCTTGTTCCACCCCTTTATAGTTTCTTACTGGCCTAATTGTAGCCCCTGGCAACCACTGACTTATTCTCTGCCACTAAAATTTTTTATTTAGAGAATATCATATGCATGGAACCATACAACAAGTTACATTTTTAAATGACCCTTTTCACTCAATAGAATACTCTTGAGATATTTTCAAGTTCTTGCACTCATCAATTCTTTGTCACTTTTTACTGCAAATTCATTTCCTATTATATGGTTATCATGATACTGGAAAAAGGTGTCCTGATCCAGACACTAAGAGAGGGTTCTTGGATCTCATGCAAGAAAAAATTCAAGGTGAGTCACAGAGTGCAGTGAAAGAAAGAAAGTTTATTGAAAGCTACTCCATTACAGAGTAGGACATCCTCAGAAAGCCTGAGAGGGAACTCACCATCTTCGGTTTTAGTTTTTCTTATATAGGGGTCTAGTTTATGTAAAAACTATCCTTGACATTTTAGTTTGTGAGTTTATCAAAGTAGAACTATAATTATATTAAAAGCATATATTGTTATAAATATTGGGACACCTGGAATTTCCACTTTTGTAGGAGTGTGTCCTTGTAGATGTCTTTAGGCTATTTCCTCAACTATAAACATCTTAGAACCATGGATTGTGATTGGCAAGGAATGTTCTTTGCTGGTTTTAAGATGGGGTTGACTTTAAAATGTTGTCAGCCTGGCTTTCCTAGGTTCTTGCTTTCATAAAAAAATACCACAGTTTACTCATCATCCATTAAAGACATTTGAGTTGTTTCCAGTTTCTACATATTAGAAATAAAGGTGAAACAAACATTTATGTGCCCATGTTTGGTGAACATGAGTTTTCATTTATCTGGGATGAATGACTAGCAGTCAAACAGCCTCAAAGAATCATTGAGACAACAGCTGCTAGGTTTTCTTGTCACACTTCATAGATATATGTGGTAAGGAGATAAGGAGCCCGAGTGTATTTTTACAGTTCATTTTTCATGGCATACCAGGCAGTGTAAGCTTCATATTGTCCTTTGTCCCCCAAGATCCATGGAGGCAAAGCAGGCTTGGACCCAGGTAGTTACAGGTCCTTCAGTGGGTCTGCGTCTGGCTGAAGAGCTTAAAAATCCCCCATCTGTATAAAAGAATTGCTCCCAAGCCTACCTATTTGTCTTCTCTGGAGAGATAGACATCTTTATTACTGTGGTGTGTAAGCAGATCTTCACTGGGAAGGGGAGAAAATGGTCGTTACTGTTATACAGTATCTCTGGGAAGGGAGAAGTTTTCTATCTCCACCACCTTGGTGATAAGATAAATCTATCTGTAGCTTCAAAGGATGTTGCTGTGTGAGAATGCTTGCACGTGGGTGTGTAAAAATATTTGAAAAGATAACTCATGCTGCAAGATGTGCAGAAATATTATTGAGATGTGGTTCTCAAAAACCAATAGACAAATGTCCAAATGTTCTGTTATCTAATGTGTTTAACTTCACAAGAAACTTTTAAGTATTGTCCAGAGAGCTGTGATATTTTACATCCCCACTAGCAATGCCTGAGGTATCCAGTTGCTCTTCACCCTCCTCAGCTCTCAGTATTATTGGTATTTGTTTCAATCATTCTAGTAGGTAGGTAGTGTATTTTTCATCTTGGCATTAATTTGCGTGTTCTGAATGGATAATGATGTTGAACAAATTTACAAGTGCTTATTGGCTATGAATATATCTTTTTTTGCAAAAGCAGCTCTTCAATTCTTTCAGTGATTTTCTAATTGAGTTTTTAATATCTGTTGAATTTAGAAACTTACATATTCTTGATTTTGTCAGATGTGTGATTTCTGTACATTTTCTTCCAGTATAAGGCTTGAGTTTTTATTCTCTTAACAGGATCTCACACTTACCTTATACTTTTAAATTTGAAGTCCAATTCACAGATTTTTAAAAGGAATTTTACTTTTTGTGCTTTATTTATATTTATGTTCTTCTGTATATATGTATCTATGTATTTTAAAGTTTTTTATTTTGAAATATAAATTCACAGGAAATTACAAAAATAGTGCAATATGGTTGTCTTAATTTCTTCTTTTTTCCCTTATTAGAGTGACTACAACTTCCAAGATAATGTTAAGTAGCATTGATGAGAACATACATCCTTGTATGCTGCATCATGGGTAAAAGCGTTCAGTTTTTAACCACTAACTATAATCTTAGCTGTAGGTTTATTTCAGATGAGTAAGTTGAGAAACTTCGCCTCCATTTCCCTTTTACTAAGAGTCTATATTATATGTGGATGTTGAAATTTTCAAGCTTTTTCTGAATAAGCTTGAGGCAGCCAGGTGGAAATAGCTCCCTAGCAAAACTCCAACTGGTCTCTGAACTGGGAGGAATGTGCACCGGAGTGGAACCATAGAATTTCATGCCATGTGCAGCAGGGAAGAGCTTGGCTCCTCCTCTTCCTGGGTGGAAACTAGAATTCAAACTACAAGGTGGGAAGCACACCATCATGGACTCTGGCTTTGTGGATGGTCCCTATTTCCCTTTTATTTCCCTTTTCAAGCCAATAAAACCCTGCCTTACTCACCTTTCAAATCATCTGCAAGCCTAAATTTTTATGGCTGTGTGACAAGGACCTTGCCTTTAGCTGAACTAAGGAAAAGTCCTGCAACATTTTTGGCACCCAACATGGGGCCTCAAGAAGCAGTGAATCAGATGCAAAACAAGAAATCTTTTGCCTTTCCTTTCAAAGATATTTCATCCTCGGACTTCTGAGGGTAGGGATAACTGTGCCCCCACCCTCATCACTCTCAGGCCTTGAGGACTTTTTCATGGCCTTTTCCTTACTTTTTCATGGCCTTTTCCTTACTTTTTCAGGCCAGATGGGCGAGCAGCAGCTCCTTGCTCCCCCTCCGCTCCATGCCCAGGCTGGAACACGTGGCCCAAGGTTCCTGCATAGCTGGGTGGCTGACTCTCAGCCATGTGCTGCCCAATCCTTCCCCTTCCACAGCCAAGAGGTTCAGCTCCATCAGACAGTAATTAGGCTTTTCTCCTGGTGGAGGAACAAGTTGTGTAAAAATAAAATAAGAGACTCTTCCCCACGCATTTTAAAACTATTTCCTTTCTTATTTTTCTCCACCCCATCAGCAGTTAACTTTTAAACAAGGTTTTTACTTTTGGAAGATGTTTTACTAGGTCAGGAATGATAAGAACCACTGTTTATATTCTCTGTAAAGTTTTAATTGTGAGAAAGGATTTGTGAGGCTGATATTAAGCTGTAGCCAATCTGGTGTGCTTTGCATGTCTGTACGGTTCATAGTAAACTTCCCTGCAAGCCTCCATCTTGTTTTACATCCTAGGGGCATGGCTTGTAACTCCAGTGGCAGGGCTTTCTTTAGCAATCCTGCCTTAGCCAATAAGTTCCTTTCTGGTTTGATATCTACATCTTTTTCCAGCCCTGTCTCTTAAAGAACTCCACCTGGGGACTGGGTTTTCTCCTGCCTATCTGTGTAGTTATATGTGTATGTGTGTGATGTCTGTAAAAGGAGCTCTAATTAATTTGGCCTAAAGAAAGACAGGTGATTAGATCAAATATCTTTTAAAGGGAAGATAAAAGCTGTGGTACCTTTCATTTCACATGGCTTTAACCTTTGAGATATAAAAACAGTCTTATAGATTATTGGTAAAATGCAGGTGTCATTAAAATTTAAATAGGTGAAATAAGTTATGCAGGTCAGATGCAAGGTTTGCTAAATGTTTCAAGGTTATAAACTGCTTTTTGGGTTTTGAGAACTATCTGTTTTGCCTGCTTCACAATTGGTAAGGCCTGGGGACATATGGAACAAACCATGTCCTTAATTATGCTGGGAGACAAACTTTGGTGGAACTTAGCCCACAGTTAAAGCAACTTACAGGTGTTTCATTAAAGGTAAAAGTTGCTAGGAGTTACCATTATAACAAGTAATTGAAACTACTGAAAATAGATTTACATGTGAGGTGTAAAAACACTAAAATGTGCTTTATGGAAAGGTTCTTAAAAGGCATGGAAATGTAAACTTTTTGCCTAGGGTTAAATAATTGTTTTAAATTAGATAAGAAACAGCTGAAGGTTTAAACATGTCGTAGAAAGATTGTGGAAATTAATCTAGCAGAAGAGATTCTCTGAGTGAACTTTTGACTTAATTCAAAAAGTATATTTTATGGTTTTTAATGTAAATTGAGCATTAAAATAAAAGAACAAGGTATTCTTAAGGCACTAATCTGCTCCTTAGGAAAATTTGTAAAGAGTTACAACAGGTTTTCGCTTCTTTAAAATTTCTGAGTCATCATTTTGGCAAAATAAATAGCTTGTGGTAATCTAGAATTCTATTTCAGAATATCAAGTGTTTTAAACTTCAAACATATTTAACAGCCCTCTCAAAATCCTTCAGTTTCAAATTTGACTTTCCTAATGCCTGTCTGTTTGGATGGTTCAGATGTCCTTGAAACATCCAGAAAATAGGTAAACAGAATTATTTAACATGTCTAGGTGCGTGGGATTGCCAAAATGGTATTCAATCTTCTTTAGGTTATATTTTGGTGAATGTTAACATATGTTTCCAAATTGTATGGGATTTCTAAAATTCTAATATCTGAGTATGTGCTACCAATCATAATTAAGGTTTTATGTTAAGTTATTGTAATCCATGGAGATAAACAAGCTTCTTTGTCAATTGTGTTTCCAACTGTATCTATCCTGGACATTTTGCTATTTACAAACAATTGTTGTCTTGTCTTAATCCTTTTCAAAAGATGGTTTATAATAAGCTATAAGACTCTGATAGGTGCTCTCAAATAGTTATCAAAGTTTCTGATAACCTTGGAGAGTGTGACAATGGAATAAAGGCAAATTACAAGACTCATGAAGAGCTAAAATGTTCATGGATATTAAGAAAGTCAAGAGTTAACTGAATGGATTGAACTCAGAAAGCTGAAGCAACCTTTTTACCTTTGCTTGAAATATTGCTGATCCTTGTTTTGTTTTAGAGAGTCAAAGAAACTTATTTTTAACTATTTAGGCCTTTAATAATTAAGCAAGGTATATTCTTGTGATCAAATTTTGGAGCATGTTTGTTTCTCTCTGCCTGGTTCCTCCAGAATTTGGAAACTCTCTCTGAGTATTCTTAACTTATGGCAATATAGTTGTTTGCATCAGTGCAATTAGAATCCATCTTTCTTTTGCCACAGGACTCAATTGGTAAAACTGGTTATTTCATCAAGGCTTTGACTGGAAAGGTATGCTTCTCTTTAAGGAGTTGACCTCAAATTGCAGAGTCAATAAAGGCCCTGTGGGAGAAAGTGGCCTCATGCCCTTGCCTACACAGTCCATTTACAGGGTTCCTGACCTGTAGTCAGTGAAGAATGTCACTTTCTAACAGCTCCAGGCACTCCAAGTTTATCTTGTGACTTTAAGAGGAGAGGATCACCCAACTCACAGGAATTTGAGGATACAAACTCATGGCTGTGCTTGGCTTTAAAAGGTCTTATCTGAGATTCCTTAGGGAACAGAGTTCCATCAAATCTAATCCAAAAGGCCTATGTAGAAATAATTATTCTTGCTGCATTTTAGGCAAACAATCAGGCCAAGTATAAGATTAAATTCTATTTTGCAAACCACTCAGTTCTATGTTTATTTGGTTTTTTTTTTAACAAAAATGAGGACTGGGGAGAAATAAATTATGTTTCAAATTTTAGCATACATTTGTCATTAAATTCTAAACTCATTAGTTGTTTTTAAATTTTCACATACATTTTTAAACTAATCCTGCTTGTTCCTGTGAACCAATCAGCAATCTCTGGCTGCAGCTCAAAAAGAACAAGATGAATGGCTAATGTAAAAAACTGGGTCAATAATCTAGTTCTAAGCAATTATTCTGCAAATCTTGCCAGGTGATGGGAATAAATAGAATGCCCATCACTTGGAGGTTTCCTTTGAGAAAGTAAGACCAAGGGAGGTAACCAAAGCCAAGCACCAGGCACCCAAATCCTAGCACGCATAACTATAGCAACACATTTTGTGGGTGTGTAACAAGACATCCTTTTCTCTCCCTTGTTGGAGGAGGACTCAGTTCCACAGTTTCACTTCAACATTCAGCTTATGATAAGGAGTCCATGCTACCCCTCTGAGGCACATTTTTGTCCTAAACTCAATTTCAGTCTTCAAGTCAAAGCCCTTGGAAGGAATACTGGATCGGAGGGATCAAGACAAAGACAATAATGGAAGTTAAAAGGCACAGGGCAGGTGAGTGTGGCTGATTCCTACCAATTAAGCCAAGCCTCCCATTTCATGGATAAAGGCCATGTTAGTATCCACAACACAAATGAGGTCTAGGGAATTCAAGGCTACTGACAGGAGATGGGAAAGAGACATAGGTGACAGTGGATAATTCCTATTCTCTAGGACCTCCCTGCTTCATGGGTGCAAGCTGCTTTGGCACTCATGACAGCACCTGCCAAGGTTGCCAGGACTCAGGAATACAGGCACGGAAGAAGGAAAGAGGATGCTCTTCCTTCTGTTCCTCATGTACCCTGGGTATCTGCTAGGAACAGAAGGGAGCCAGGGATGCCTGCGTCTTTCTAGATGGGTAACCATTCATCTTCAGCCTGTATCCCTTTCAAATGCATACTGAACCCCTGGGACTCCATTGAAAAAAAAAAAACACCTTCCTTTTCCCCCCTCTCCTTCTCTGTCTTCTCTTCACAGATAAGTAATTGTGTCTCTGTACTATGGAACACTCTCCTCAGATGCATCCTCCAAACTGAGAAAAGTTAATTTTCCAAATCTTAAACTGGTTGGCTTAGTATTGGGCTTAGGGGAAGGGAACCCAGAAATAAGACATTCCAGCAAAGGGATGAAGTTTTTTTACCAGTTGAGCTTTTGGCCTCCCTCTCCCTGTGCAAACTGGCAAAACGCCTTGGGATTTTTGAGCTCCCCTTACTCCTCCCCTTGTTTCATTTTGATATATATCTTCTAATAACCAGGTTTGTCTCTTCTTGCCTGCAGGCCATCAAACTCAAAATCGTCTTGCAACCAGAGCCTTGGAGGATGGCCCCTTTTTTCTGAGAACTCTTAGATAGCCCTCTGAGGGAGCTCTGACTGCCATTTTCCCCCAAACAGCGCCCCCTGTCAGCAGGAAGCAGTAAAAATTTGTCTTCATCCTTATCCTTATTCTAACAGCAGTACATGTACTTTTTAGAAGGGAGAATGAGACAACCTGGAGGGAAGGGGTCCCAAGAGAAACTCAGGCTGGCCTGGGCACACAGGGAGGAGTGTGCACTGGGATAGATCCACAGAAGTTCTCACTGTTTGCAGAGGGGAGGAGCCTGGCCCCTCTTCTTCCTGGGTGGAACCTGGAATTCAAACTTCGAGGTGGCAAGCACACTAGCAGGGACTCTGGCTTTGAGGAGGGTCCTTGTTTCCCTTTTTTTCCCCCTTTTCAGCCAACAAAACCTTGCCTTACTCACCCTTCAAAACGTCTATGAGCCTAAATTTTTATGGCCATGTGACAAGGTCCTCATATTTAGTTGAACTAAGGAAAAGTCCTGCAACAAATTGATATAGTCATATAATTTTTCTTCTTTAGTCAACTTATATGGTGGATTGCATTGATCAATTTCAAATATTAAACCAGTCTTCTATATCTGGAATAAAGCCCAGTTAATCATGGTATATAGTTATTTTTATATATTGTTGAATTCTGTTTGATAATATTTTGTTGAATAATTTCGTGTCTCTACTCATGAGAGATTTGCCTATTGCTTTCCTTTTCTGTACTATCATTTTGGCAGAGTGGGTTTATATTAGAAGATAACTAAGCTTACATAATAATTTGGTCAACGCTTCCCTCTTTTATGCTAGTAAGAGATTGTGTAAAATTTTTGTTAATTCTTTTTTAAAAAATTTGTTTTTATTCTTTAATGAAATCATCTGAACCTGAAAATTTCTTTTCAAAGAGTTTATGATTTTTTTCTTAATATAGAGCTATCCAAATGATCCATTTAATATTAGACATATTGAAGTAATTTGTTACTTTTCAGGAAATTTAGTTTATCTAAATTATCAAATATGTGTGTTTAGTTTATGTATTTACAGTTGTTTATATCATATTTTCCTTTTCCAACCTTTTTTAGAATAAGGGGGTACATGTGCAGGTTTGTTATAAAGGCATATTGTGTGATACTAAGGTTTGGAATATGATTGAAACCATCACCTAGGTAGTGAGCATCGTATCAATACATCATTTTTCAGACCTTCCCCCTTCCCTCTCCCTCTTTCTATTAGTCACCAATGTCTATTGTTCCTATCTTTATGTCCTTGGGTATCCTGATCTTCCACAAACTTGACAAAAAATACAATTGGGAAAGACTCCTTATTCATATTCATATTATCCTTTCGATATCTGTGGGGTCTGTAGTGGTGCCCACGCTGGAGTGCAATGGTGCAATCAAAGTTCACTATAGCCTCAACCTTCCAAGCTCAAGGATTGTCTCACCTCAGCCTTTCAAGTAGTTGGCACTACAGGCACACAACACAATTCCCAGCAATTTTTTTTTGTTTATTTTAGAAGTTTATTTTTGTACAGATGAGGTCTCACTATGTTGCCCAGGCTGGTCTCAAACTCCTAGCAATCGATTCTCCCACCTCAGCCTCCCAAAATATTGGGATTACAGGTGTGAGACCCAATGCCCGGCCTTTATCAATTTTTTCTGATACCCTTGAGACATCACCTTTTCCTCATGGATTATGTAGAAGTGTGTTGTTTTGTTTCAAACTGTTTAGAAATTTTCCTGGCATCTTTTTTCATTGCTGATGTCTAGTTTGATTCCACTGTGGTCAGAGAACACATTCTGTATGATTCAATTTATTGAAGTTTTTTACGGCCCAGAATATGATATATTTTGATATGTATTCTATTAGTTCCATACATTTGATATGTATTCCATTTGTCCATGCAAATTACAGTGCTATCATGTATTGCTTTACAAATAGTTCAGCTTTATTTATTTGTTTGTTTATTTATTTATTTTGGTGTCTAAACATTTATCATGGATATATCTTTTTGGTGGGTTGATGTTCTTATGATTATATGATACTTATGTCTATCCTTAATAAATTCTTAACCTGAATCCTACTTTATTTGATATTATTATATTCAATCCTACTTTCTTTTACTTAATATTTCTGTGGCATATTTTTCCCATAGTTTTACTTTCAATTTGTCTATATTAATTTATTTGGAATGAGTTTCTTCCAGATGGTTGAGGGTTGAGTCACCTTTTCTATAAATTCTAATATATCAATATCTGTTTTTTAATTGGTGTGTTTAGATGATTTATTTACAATGTAGCTTGTCATATGTTGGAGCTTAAGTCTGTCAATCTTTTGTTGCTTTTTGTTTCCTCTTTGTCACTTCTTTGTGTTTTTTTCTATTTTTTTTTTTATCTTTCTTACGTTCCTGTAAGTAACGTTATCATTTATTTTAGAATTCCATTTGGATTTACCAATAATGTTTTTGGGTGTAAATATTTGCATTACTTTTTTTTTGTTGAGTTCAAGTAAAATGTAGACATTTTATTTTCCTTTATATTTCTCTACCCACCTCCCTTTCTAGTATAATTGTGTTGAGAACATCATCAGAGAGTGTTGTAATTTTTGCTTCTACCACATACATAATCTATGAAACTCAGACAAGAAGCTTAAGGCTACTGGGTGTGATCATTCCTTTCCTCTTCTGTTGTTCTTTCTTAAATCCTAATGTTCTAAGATTACTCAACTAGGATTTTTTTCCTGTGTAAAAAACTGCCTTTAGCAATTTTTTTCCAGGTAAGTATGCTGCCCATAAATTTTCTCAGATTTCCATCATTTGAGAATGTGTTGATTTCTGTATTATACTTGAATGATATTTTCATTGGATGTAGTTTTGTGAGTGGACAGTTCTTTTCTTTCTTGAAAAATGTGCTGCTTCCTTCTGGTGACTATAGTTTATAAAGTGAAATGTGTCATTGTTTTTTTCTCACTCTGTGTAAATGTCTCTTTCTAAATGTCCTTTCTTTCTCACTGCATTCAAGCTTTCTTTGTCTTTTATTTGACAATAAAAGTGTTTTGGTTTTGACAGTATGGCTGTGATATGTTTCTTCATGGATTTCACTGGCTTCACCCTGTTTGGAGTTCACTCAGACTGTTTAAATCTCTTGGCAGATATGTTCTACAAATCTGGAGAGTTTTCAGCCATTACTTTTCGAAATACCTTTAAAAGTCCACCCAAGTTTTCCTTTCCTTCTGGGATGCCCACAACACAAATGTTGTATTTTTTTCTTGTACACCCACAGCTCCCTGAAGCTATTGTTTCCAGTCTATTTTCCCTCTCTTGTTTAATCTTGCTAATTGCTATAGTCCTTTTTTTCACATTCATCAGTTCCTTTTATAGTGTTTAAATGTTTTCTATCTTGCTTGTTTGTTAATTTACTTGTCACACAACTAAATGAACATGGTGTTTTTGAGATCTTTGTTTGGGGCTGAGTGCGGTGTCTCATGCCTGTAATCATAGCACTTTGGGAGGCCAAGGCGGGTGAATTGCTTGAGCCCAGGAGTTCAAGAGCAGCCTGGACAACATGGTAAAATCTTGCCTCTACAAAAAATACAGAGGTTAGCCAGACAGGGTGGCATGGGTTTGTGGTCCCAGTTACTTGAAAGGCTGAAATGCGAGGATCTCTTGAGTCCAGGATGTTGAGGCTGCAGTGAGCCGACATCATGCCACTGCACTCCAACCTGGGTGACAGAGAGATCTTTGTTTGGTTTGCTTGTGTTCATTGATGTTCTGATTTCCTGATTTCTTTAGACAGTACCTCGTCTGAGGTGTGTGTGAAGCAACAGGAAAACCCAGGGAACTTGCTACTCTCCTCTTTCTCAGGCCCTAGGTTTCCCTGCTGGTCTGTTTTGTTCTCTCCCTGCTTCATGTAGCCAAGAAACTTGCATTCACACCTGAACTATTTCACTTATTCTTTGGTCAACCTTGTGGAAATAGATAGGCCATCCTCGTTTTTCTTACATAGATTGGCTAGGGTGTAGTTATCTGGATCAAATAATGAGATGTAATTCACAGGTCATGGTGAGGGTGTTAAGAAGGAGAGGCATAAGGGAAAGTTCCTTGAAACCATGACATGTGAAAGAAAACCTGAAGAGTGAGCAGGGGGTATCCATGCAGGTTGGTCAGTGTGTTTCCAGGTAGAGGCCAACCCCATTCCAAAGGTTCTAAGCAGGCAGGAGCATGAGGCAGCCGAGAGCTAAAAGTGTGGAGAGGTTGGAACCAAATGGACAAAGGAGCACTGCACAGAGGAACCTGGAGGGCTCAAATGAGCCATAGAAACTAAGGTCCATGCCAGCAGAGATGCCTGGGATGCTGGTGCTTCCCTGTGGCTGAACTTTTCTGAGTCATTATTAAACATATTTGCAGCAGGAGCCTCTGGGTATTATGTTCCAACTTATAAAGAGCATCTGCCCCCCAAAAGATAACCTTGCTTCCCACTGACATTGACATAGTTGTCACTGTGAGTGCCTGCGTATTAATCCATGAATCTGAGACATCAGCCATGACAAGCCATGGTGTGAAGAAAGCTAACAGGAGAATCCACAAGGCCACACTCAGCAATATGACACCACAGCCCCTTGGACTCGAATGCAGAGGAGCGGCATTATTACCTGCCTTTTGTGTATTATCAGTTGTACTTGGATAACACTCAGCCATAAAAAGGAATGAAGCACTGATCCACACTACAACATGCGTTACCCTGAGAACATTTTCCTAAGTGAAAGAAGCTAGGCACAAAGTTTCATTCTGCTTAAATAAAATCTTTGAAACATTAGGTTCGTGCAAAGTAATTGTGGCTTTTGCCATTACTTTCACCAATTACTTTTGCACCAACCTATAGATAAATCCACAGAAAGAACAGACACTGATGTTTGTCAGGAGCTAGCAGAGGAGGAGGAATAGGGAAATTCTGACTAATGGGTGAGAGGTTTTACACTGGAATGATGAAAATTTTTTGGGACTAGATAGAGGGGGTAATTGCACAAGACTGTGGGCATACTAAATGCTACTGAGTTGTTCACTTTACAATAGCAAGTTTTATGTTGTGTGAATTTCATCTCAATAAATCATTTTTAAATGAAGTAATTGATTATCATTTAAACTTTCTGTACACAATTATATAATAGTAAGTTCTAAATAATTAGCATACAGTAGAGTTTTAGAACAGGACTCAACCATGAAGATGCTATAATTAAGACTAATATTTACCCAGGGGAATACAAGACGGCAAAGATGTCTGGAGATGATGCAAAAAGTGAGCATGGCTGGGACTATTCATTGCGGAAGTTACCAACTGTCCAAAGATACAGGTCAGCTGAGCGCATCTGGGGATGCACACAATGGGCTCCAGTGGTACTCCATGAGCCCTGTGCAGAGGAAAGAAGAAACACATAGAATAGTAGGTATAAAAATACATCATGATATACATATTATAAGATTAAAGAGGCCGGATACGGTTGCTCACGCCTGTAATCCCAGCACTTTGGGAAGCCGAGGCAGATGGATCGCCCCGAGCTCAGGAGTTTGAGACCATCCTGACCAACATGGTGAAACCCTGTCTCTACTAAAAATAGAACAATTAGCCGGGCATGATGGTGCGTGCCTGTAATCCCAGCTACTCAGGAGGCTGAGACGGGAGAATCACTTGAACCCAGGAGACGGAGGTTGCAGTGAGCCAAGATCATGCCATTGCACTACAGCCTGGGCCTTGTGCAGTGAGACTCTGTCTCAAAAAACAAAAAAACAAACAACAACAGCAAAAAAGATTAAAGAAATAATTCTGTGTTATGATACTTGAAAGCTTAGAGAAAGTAGATAGTCTATTAAAATATAGACATGGTAAAAGTGACCTCAAGCATAACTGGAAAATATTTAACCTTTAAAGAACAGATAATTTTAAAATGACAAATCATTCCAGGCCATTTTAAAAAATAGATACTTTTAATATAATTAGGGAGGCCATCATAATTAAATACCACGACCATATTACATAAAGGTGCTGAAACTAACAAATCACATAGGAAAGGTTATTGTATTAAGCAGGCTTCTCGAGAAAAACAGAAATGCAAAGAAATCTATCTATCCACCTCTCTCTCTCTATGTCTCAAAAATTTTATTGTAATGGTTTGGTTTATGCTATTATGGAGGCTGAGAAGTTTTAAGATCAGCCATCTGCAAGCTGGAGACACAGGAAAGCTGGTGGTATAAATTCCAGTGTGAGTTTGAAGGCCTGAGAACCAGGAACACCAATGGTGTTAGTCCTAGTCCAAGGGCAGAATAAGACTGATGTCTCAGCTGAAGGAGATAGAAAGAATTCAACCTTCCTCCACGTTTTCATTCTTTTAGGGTCTTCCGTGGGTTGAATGATGCCCACCTACACTGGGAAGGGCAATTGCTTCACTCAGCCCACCAATTCAAATGCCAATCTCTTCCACAAATTCATCACAGACACAGAAACAATATTTAACCATATATCTGGGCATCCCAGGGCTGAAGTTTACACATAAAATTAACCATCACAGGCACAAATAAAAAAGATGATGGCAGTTAAAATACAGAAATAATGGAAAAATTAAGGTTGTTAATATCATAAAATATTATTAAGTATTAAAAAATGAGTTAGATTTGCACCAGCTGATTGAAGGGCTTTCTAAAGAGTGTTTTTTAACAAGTGCAATATGTAGCAACATTTACATAATAGGATCCCATTTTTATCAAATAATTTTATGTGGTATGTGTGTCAGGACATGCATGCAAACACACATATGTTTTCTCCTGTTTATTTGAGAGTGCAGAAAGCTATGCAAGATAATATGGTTTATGTGGGATTCAATTAATAAGGGTCAGGAAAATGTCTGTAGCGTGAGTACCTATGTTTTTAACACACATTTATCTCCTATGATTATTGCTGGGTTTATAGATGTTTTAGATTAGAAAGAGCAAAGGATTATGAGTTTGGCAGCTCTGAGTTCAAATATAAATTCCTCCATATATTAAAACTTTGACTTTGTGTATCTTATCTGGCTCTAGCTCCTCCAAAATTTGTTGCCATTGTTTATGTGTCAGGAATAATATTTTCCTGTTGGTATTGTTTGGAGATTAAGAAAATTAATTAAATCAAACTCTGTGATGCAAATTATTTATTTAGTATCAGGTCTTTTCCCAATCTCTGGGACCAAAGTTTTATACATAAAATTAAGAGAGAAAAGCAAGCAAACATATGTGTCACGTATTATAAAAGATTCAGTGTAATTGTGGTAAATGACAAATTTAATTCTTGTTTGAATAAGAATGTATCTACTGTGTGTAAATATGATTTGTGTTTCAAAAGAAGAGCATAGTTACATCTTTAGGTCATAGAAGTAAATGTCTTTATAAAAGTAAATGTCTTTACAAATGACAAGAGGAAATGGAGTTGAATGCACATTCATCATTCAAGTCAGCAATTAATGCGACCGGGTAGCAGGACATGGCATTGAGTCAGTCCAGCTTGCCACTACAGCTGTAAGGGAAACACAGCTTCTATTTTTGGCAAAAAGATAAGACTCTTACACAAAATTAAAATGTTTGTATGCCTGCGTGACATGTCTACAAATGTCCATAGACATCTTAAAAAAAAAGCCTAATTAGCAGTTTTCTGTTTTATTTTCATTACATTCTTCTACGTAATTATAAGCTGTAATTACAATAATCCTAACCTCAAAACCCAATGTATGTTGGGTCTATTTCATAATAAAATGTGTCACATAAGAATAATATATTAATGTTATGTATATTATATTATTTTTATTATATGTTACAATAAATGCAGACAAGCCTCAGAAAAAACCAACCCTGTTGACACCCTGGTCTCATAGTTGTAGCCTCCATAATTGTAAGAAAGTATATTTCTGTTGTTTAAACCACCCAGCATGTGGTACTTTGTTATTGGAGCCCTACCAAATGAATATACCAAGCCACATAACAATGGTCAAACTGGCTGGGCACGGTGGTTCACACCTGTAATCCCAGCACTTTGGGAGGCAGAGGTGGGTGGATCGCCTGAGGTCAGGAGTTCAAGACTAGCCTGACCAATATGGTGAAACCCTGTCTCTACTAGAAACACAAAAATTAACTGGGTGTGGTGGTGCATGCCTGTGATCTCAGCTGCTTGGGAGGCTGAGACAGGAGAATTGCTGGAACCCAAGAGGTAGAGGTTGCAGCAATCTGAGACCGCACCACTGCACTCCAGCCTGGGCAACAGAGCAAAATTTTGCCTCAAAAAAAAAAAAAAAAGATGGTCAATCTCATATAGACATAATTTGCCTACGTATTTCAATTAGGAAAGGGTGGATTTTTTTAAACCATTGGTGCTAGAAGAACTAGACATGCATTTAGAAAAAAATGAAGCTTAATAAGCAAGTCGTGACATACATAAACATTGTCTAAATTGATAATGAACTTAAATGTAAACACTAAAACAATAAAAATTATAGAATAAAACACAGGAGAAACATTTCACAGCCTTTCTGTAAGCAATAATTTATTAGTACACAAAATCTTGAACCATAAAAAATCCATTAATAACTTATTTGCATTTCTTTTTTCTATCATTGTATGCAAATCCTGATTATATGAGGCAGTGAAACTGTTTTGTGGCTCATTTTTATAAGGCCCAGGAGTAAGAATGGTTTCTACATGTTTAAATGTTTATAAGAAAAACATAAAGAGGATATACAATAGAAACCATATGTGGCCCTCAGAAGCTAAAGTATTTTGTCTCTTTACAGTAACAAAATAGCTAAACTATGCCTTAGCGAAGAAAATTAAAATACTACTTTAACATAAAACTTTACTGCTAAAAGTTTCCTTTTTAGTACTACTTTACAGCACCTCACCAGTTTTGATATGTAAGGTTTTTATTTTCAATTCAATTAAAAGAAAAGAGATCCTATATGATTCCTGCTTCCACCTATGGGTAACAGAGAGGTATGTTGTTTAATTTCTTAATATTGGTGAATTTTCTACCTATCTTTCCTTTATCGATTTCCAGTGTGATTCTGTTGTGGCCATACATATGTATCACATAATCTTGAATATAACAAATGTGTTCAGAGTTAAATTATGGCCTACCACAGGAAAACGGTTGAGTAAATGTTTTCTGTTTTACCAAGAAGACCTAAATATTTTAGAATTTGAGGGCCAGGCATAGCTTCTACATAACAATCTTTTCTGTTTGTTGTTGTGTTGGTTCATTCGTTTTTATAACCATTTTAGCATGTGATAAAAGCATATTGTTTTAGCTCTCAGTTTGTAGAATAGGCAGTGTGCAAAATCTGGTCATGGTTTTTCAATCAATCTTGAAAAGGTGTATATTCTGCTACTGTTGAGTGGAAAGCTCTTTTATCTGTAAATTAGGCAAGGCTGGTAAATAGTGTTATTCATGTCTTCTTTATACATATTGATTTTCTGTGTACTTGTTCCATCACTTACTAAGAAAATTATTCAAGTCTCCAACTATAGTCACAAGTTTGTCCAATTTTCTTTTCTGTTTTTTAGTCTTTGATTTACATACTTTGTAGTTCTAATAGTTCATATGCATTTAGGATTTTTCAGACTTTTGATAAATTGATGTCTGTAATTACGAAAGCTGCTCTTTACCTCTGGTACAATTTCTTTTTTAATAAACTCTTTTTTTCACTGAAGATGTAAATTACTTAAAATTGACTTAGTCATTTTTTTCTTCATATTATTGGTACTTTTTTCATTCTTGGGGCATTTTTTTGGCTTTTTTGAGGTATAATTGAAAAATCAAACTATATTAATATAAAGTATACAAGATGATTTGATATATGTATATATTGTGAAATGACTACCACAATCAGGTTAATTAACACATCTATCACCTCACATAGGTACCTTTTTTACTTTTACATTTAGGTTTTTGATAAGAATGCTTAATACTAACTGATTTTACTGTCATTTTAGCTATCTTTTGATTCATAACTTCATGGCACTTATTTTTCTTTCTTTTTTTTTTAACCAATATCTTCTAATTAATTTTTTTTTCTTTTTTGAGATGGAGTCTCACTCTGTAGTCCAGGATGGAGTGCAGTTGTGTAATCTCAGCTTACTGCAAACTTCACCTCCCAGGTTCAAGCGATTCTCCTGCCTCAGCCTCCTGAGTAGCTGGGATCACAGGCATACGCCACCACCTGTGGCTAATTTTTGTATTTTTAGTAGAGACAGGGTTTCACCATGTTGGCCAGGCTGGTCTTGAACTCCTAACTTAGGCTGGTCTTGAACTCCTGACCTCAAATGATCTGCCTGCCTCGGCCTCCCAGAGTGCTAGGATTACAGGGGTGAGCCACTGTGCAGGTGCTAATTTAAATTTTTTGGGTTGACTGAATGTACTTAGTTCTGAGATATATACCCAAGTAAATAATTTTTGCTTTTTAAATGGCTGTTAGACTACTTATATTTCAGAAAATAATTAATTATATTAACATACATCCTATTGGCTGTGTTTCCTGAAAATCCTCAATATATTATCACATATTAATATCTCCAGATATATTATAAATCCCTCAATAAGCGTTACTACTGTCACTGTAGGTAAATTATATTTTAAAGCATTTAAAAATAAAAATATATGTTTTATATTTATCATCTTTTTGCCATTTTTAGCTTCCTTTATTTTTGTAGTACACAACTCCTGACAATGAGTTCTTTTAACCTTTGCTTATTTGAATATTTTAAATTTCACCTTAATATTTGAAAAATACATTTACTAGGAAAAGAATTCTAAGTTAACACATTTATTTTTTCATTTAATACTTTTTATAGTACTTTTAATACTCATCATTCTATTGATGAGAAGATTAAGGTAGTTCTTAAGTTTGTTCTTTGGTACATTTCAGTTGTCTTCAAGTTTTTATTTTTTATTTTTGTTTCTGAAGTTTGACTAGAATGTGCCTGGGTGTGTGTGTGCATGCGTGTGTGTGTGTGTGTGTGTGTGTGTGTGTGTCCTTAGAATTTCTTCTGTATTAGATCCTGTCATCTAATCTGTAAACAGAGATTATTTTATATCTTCCCTTCTTACATGGATGCTTTTATTTCTCTGTATGGACTAATTCTGGACTAGAGTCTTATGTGCAACATTGAATAGACATGGTAAGAGTGAGCAACCCCGTCTTATTTCTGATCTTAGGTAGGAAGTATTCACTATTTCCCCCATTCAGTACAATAATATTTGTGCATTTTTCAAAGATACTTTTTATCAAGTTGAGAAAGTTCCCTTTTATTCCCATTTTGCTGAGCATGATTATTACAAAAGGGGGTGGATTTTGTCAGATACTTCTGTATCTATTGTGATGATGTAAATTTTGTCCTTTATTTATTAATTTGCTATATTACCTAGATCTTAATACATTAAATAATTCTTGCATCAGCGGGATAAATCCAGCTTAGTCATAGTTAATAATCCTTCTAATCTGCTGCTAATTGAATTTGCTAGTATTTTGTTG
Organism: Homo sapiens; assembly: GCF_000001405.40. Classification (NCBI taxonomy): domain Eukaryota; kingdom Metazoa; phylum Chordata; class Mammalia; order Primates; family Hominidae; genus Homo; species Homo sapiens. Next base: position 50,820,522 of record NC_000008.11, read on the forward strand.
AGGTTTTTACATAAATATTTATAAGGGAAGGGGAGTTTGTCTGAGGTTTTCTTTTCTTTTTATGTCTTCATGATTTGGTATCAAGTTATAATGGCTTCATACAAGATGTGAAAAATCTTCCTTGTATTGTTTATATATTTAAATTTTTTGTATATTTTGCCGTTTTGACCTTAATAAATAAAATTTCTCTGGCTGAGGAGAGACTGCCTCACCCAGAGCTGGCAAATTCTTAGAAATAGCAAAAGGTTCAGCTGGGAGCATACCTCTGACAGGCAAACTAACAATAAACTTTCTCTGTTTGGCCCCTGTATTCCAAAAGACAGTAGAGTCATGCATCATTTAATGATAGGGATACTTTCTGAGCAATGCATTGTCAGGCAATTTTGTAATTGTGTAACATCATAAAGTGTACTTACACAAATGTAGATGGCATAGCCTACTGCACACCTAGACTATATGCTACAGCCCATTGCCCCTAGGCTACAAACCTATACAGCATGGTGCTACACTGAATACTATAGGCAATTGTAACACAATGGTAAGTATGTGGTATCTACACATAGCTAAGCACAGGAAAGGCACAGTAAAAATACTGTATAAAACATAAAATAGGCCAAGCATGGTGGCTCCTGCCTGTAATCCCAGCATTTTGGGAGGCCGAGGTGGGTGGATCATTTGAGGTCAGGAGTTTGAGACAAGCCTAGCCAACATGGTGAAACCCTGCCTCTACTAAAAATACAAAAATTAGCCAGGTGTGGTGGTGGGCGCCTGTAGTCCCAGCTCCTCGGGAGGCTGAGGCAAGAGAATTTCTTGAACCCGACAAGTGGAGGTTGCAGTGAGCAGAGATGTTTCCACTACACTACAGCCTGGGCAAAAGAGCAAGACTGCATCTCAAAAAAAAAAAAAAGATAAAATATAGTACACCTGTATAGGGTACTTAAAATAAATGTAACTTGCAAGACTGGAAGTTGCTCTGGGTGTTAGTGAATGACTGGTAAGTGAATGTGAAGGCCCAGGACTTTACTGTACACTACTGTAGAATTTATAAACACTTGGGCTACACTAAATTTGTATTAAAAAAACTTCAATAATAATTTAATCTTAGCATACTATAAATTTTTTACTTTATAAACTTATTTTTTTTCACTTTTTGACCCTTTTGTAATAACACTTAGCTTATAATACAAACATTTTATAGCTGTATATAAATATTTTATTTCCTTATATTCTTATTTTATTTTTACATTTTAAATGTTTTTGTTAAATACTAAAACACAAACACATACATTAGCCTGGGCCTACATAGGGCCAGGATTATCAATACCATTGTCTTCCACCTCCATATCTTGTCCCAGTGGAAGATTTTCAGGGACAATAACATGCATGGAGTTGTCATCCCTCTGGTAAAAAATGCCTTCTTCTGGAATACTTCCCTAAGAACCTGCCTGAGGCTGTTTAATCACTAACTTATCTTTTAGGAGTATACTCCAAAACAATGATAAAATGTATAGTATAATAAAGAAGCAGTAACAGTCATTTATTGTAATCATCAAGTATTAGGTAGTGTACACAATTGTATATGCTAGACTTTCATAAAACTGTCAGCACAGAAGTTTTGTTAACACCTGCATCACCACACTTGGGCATGCTTTGCACTACAACTTTAGAATGGCTACAACATCACGAGGCAACAGGAATGGTTTCAGGGCCATTATAATCTTATAAAACCACCATGATATGTGCAGTCCATTGTTGATCTAAATGTCATTATGCGCCTCATGACTATATTCCTCTGTATTAACCATTTTAGGGGCAATGTAACTATTTTCAAATGATAGTTTATCCCCTTTTAATATTAAATTTATTGTAAGACTTTTAGTTGTAGCTTCTTTGTGTTATAAAATTTGCATAAATTTGGGCAATAAGAAATAGCAAATTCCATTAATAATAGATATGCTATCAAAATATCACCCAAGTGCAGTTTGACTCTGAATATAAAAACTGCAAAAAAGAATTGTCAGCAGCATTTTAAAAAATATGTCAAGTTTGATGAAGCCTACTGCAGGCAATTCATCAGCTCTTATCAAAGAAAACAAATATTTAATGAGACAGTAGCACCTCAAGCAAATGTGAACATTCTTTGAGATTGCTTGATTGAATGAATCATTCAAATTATATTTCACACTCATGTCCTCAAATTCATAAACCCCATCTCTTTGTAGCAGAGCTAAAAGTAACTGACATTAACAATCTATGCTAAATGTTTCATATTTACCTGAGCTTTCAAAATGAAATGGAACATTTTAAAAGTCTACTTAAAGCAACAAGTTTGCTCTGCACTATTAATTTTACAGATGTTCACCTGCTTCCATGGAGAATAATATTCTGATAATGTGTATATATATATGTATATTTCTGAGACAGAGTCTTGTCCTGTTGCCCAGGCTGGAGTGCAATGGTGCAATATCAGCTCACTGCAACCCCCGCCTCTCGGGTTCAAACAATTCTCCTGCCTCCGCCTCCTGAGTAGCTGGGATTACAGGTGCGCACCACCACGCCCAGCTAATTTTGGTATTCTTAGTATAGACAGGGTTTCACCATGTTGGCCAGGCTGGTCTCTATCTTCTGACCTTATGATCCACCCACTTCAGCCTCCCAAAGTGCTGGGATTACAGGCATGAGCCACCATGCCTGGTCCTGATAAGGTATATCTTTATGCAGCTTCTAAGTGGAGTACTGCGGATTGCTTTAAAAATTGGCAGAGAAAAAAATTATTGGGTGATATCTGCAATGTATGTATGTAGATTCAAGCAATTTTCCAGTCATCTCTTTATCTGAGGAAAGGGGCATCCACTATAGAGAATATTTATATAAATTAAGCAGTCTTGTTTTTATTATAAAAATTTATTCTAAAATTCTTAGGGAAACATTTATGTGAAAGGATATGAGAATGATCATTTAATATTGTAGATGTGAGTTATTTTGTGTACATGTAAAACTATTATCTCTTTAGCATCATTTCCATGATTTAGATGTATCTCATATTTATTCTAGTGAAGATAATCAATCTGTTCTAATTGTCTATGAATCTAAACTATTAATAAATACATAAGATGCCCATATTCTAAAATTCACTTCTTCCACCTGACCTAGTCAAACCTATTTTGATTACTAAATTCCTGCCCAATTCAAAGTAGAAAATCATTTTTGCCCATCAATGATAGACTGGATAAAGAAAATGTGCCACATATACACCATGGAATACTATGCAGCCATAAAAAAGAATGAGTTTGTGTCCTTTGCAGGGACATGGATGAAGCTGGAAATCATCATTCTCAGCAGACTAACACAGGAACAGAAAACCAAACACCATATGTTCTCACTTATAAGTGGGAGTTGAACAATGAGAACACATGGAAACAGGGAGGGAAACATCACACAGTGGGGCCTGCCAGGGGGCAGTGGGCAAGGGGAGGGATAATATCAGGAGAAAGACTTAATGTAGATGATGGGTTGATGGGTGCAGCAAACCACCATGGCACATATATACCTGTGTAACAAACCTGCACATTCTGCACATGTATCCCAGAACTTAAAAGTATAATTTAAATATATATTTATATATTGATGGCACGAAGTCTTCTCCTTAGGCAATTGGTATAGCTACTCAAATTGAGATGGTGTTTCTAATGTCAATTATGAGAATATGTGTATCAATCATATGTAAAGAAAAAGGTTAATTTTCTGTTGCCTCTCCCTCAGCAATAAATTTTTAATATTTTTTCTAGAAATTGTGTTTCTTTGTTCTATTCATATTTCTATTATTGGATTAAGCATTTGGAATCACACACATACTCAGCTTTGTTACATTACTAAGAAAAAATGACCACTAAAGTTATTTTGCTTTATTTTTATGTAAGTGTATGTTTTTGTATTGCCATTCCACCAATTTGGCCATGAGCTTTGTAGTCACTAATGTGAAGAGCCATAATTGATGGGTAGTGTCCACAAGATTATTTTTAATTGCTTGGAAAATTTTCTATTGTTTTTAGTAATTAGGTCAGAGAAAAATATCCCATGATGCTCGTCCTAGAAAAGACACTGGTGAACAATTAAAAATAATTGTTTATTTTCACACTGGTGAAAAAATAAAATTGCTAGAAACAATTCTGCCATTAAATACAGAGGTGAATTCTTTCAGAGTGGATAACTCAGTGGAGAGGAGGCTGAGGGGAGTAGGAGGGAGGCAGCAATTTAATACCAGGTGTCTGTAGATCTTTGTAGAGGTCTGGCTTAATTCCATGGTACATTGTAGAGTATCATTATTTTGACTGTACATTTAGGCATGCAAAACTTTTGATAAGCCAAAAGTGGCACTGCCTGTAAGATTTTATTTTGCTGTCTAGTGACTGGACAGCACATGTGGCATGATGCTCAACACGTGTAGAGCACAGAAATATTCATCTGAGTCAGGCACATGGCTGATTGCTCCTTCCAAAAGTTTTTTTTTTTTTAAGTATAGCCTACAAAGTCCTAGTCTTGCATACAGAGCACCAACTCTGTCCTTCAGTAGATAAGAAAAAAGCCATGCATAAAACAAATTATTGTCAAGGAATAATTTCAAGTAATCTTCAATATTCGGATAGATGGGTAATAGTATCTATCAATCTCAACATTAATTATCTATAATTATTATAAATTATTTCAGAGTAAAAGGCATAGTAATGAAAAGTTATACTAGACGCTTACATACTCATTATTCTGATAAAATATAAATAATTCCCAAAACAGTTAAAGCCCAGTGCCCTGTCCAATAGCAAGCATTTCCCCTTATGAAAGACAACTACCAACCTGAGTTTGGTGTTTATTATTATAATGCCTTTACTTATCTTTTTCCGACAAATAGTACACCCTTAATCAAAATATTTTATAGGTGTGCATGCTTTAAATCCTTATGTAAGTGGCGTCATACTGGATATAGAATTTTGAAACTTACATTTATTTAATTTATTTATTTATTCATTTATTTTTTTTTTGAGACAGTCTTGCTCTGTTACCCAGGCTACATATTTGAGATTTTTGAAGTTGATTCTTATAGGTCTAGTTTATTTATATTCAAAGATGAATAAGTGAAAATTTACATGTATATGAATATATACACACATAATCAAATGACTCAATGCAAATTACCTATAATTTGGAACACTTCACAGGTTTTAATTCATTTAATTTCCACAACACTTCTAAGATAGTAACATAAGAGTACCCATATTATGTCTAATTTATAATTGAAGAAAAGTTGTCAGGAAGTTTATAGTATTTTAATCCACTTTACCTATTTTCCACAAATCATTGTTTTATCTCTACTGGGGAACATTTTTCTAACTATTTGCTATTTTTAAAATGCTGCTAGTGACATTTCTGCACACCTATTTTTGTGCATTTCTGTGAGGGGTGGAGCATGCAAAGAAGCTGTAAAAGCTACCCAAGCAGATAGACGGTGGTGGTGATAATTTTGGTTTTAATTGGAATTTTCCTGATTTAATTTGCATAGATGCTACTGACTATTTAATTTTCCTCTTCTTTAAAACAACTTTTCATACCTTCATGTCTTTTGCAAATTTGTTTTTGCAGCAATCTGTATTTTCATTGAAGTGCTTTTTATTTTTCAAACACTTATATCTTGTTGGAAATATGTGAGGCAAATGCTTTTTCTGTTGGTGGCTTATTTGTAAACTTATTTTTGTTTGTTTAATTGACAATATTTTTAATCTCTTATATAGCAATATTTAATAACAATCACTTTTATGGTTCACAGTTTTTAGTTTTAAGAAATTCTACTTTATAAGATAGAAGATATAAAGATATCATTGCATACTTTCCTCTAAAATGTTATATATTTTTGGGTTTTATTTAAGGTCTTGGAACTAATTTTTATGAAATGCATTATATTGATATGATTTGTTTTCCTATGGAAACATAGCCAGTTGCCACTCTATCATTTTTGAGCAGGCTATCCTTTCCCTAGGGATTATTTTTGCCATCTCTATTATATTAACTTCCATATCAATGTGAATTTTTGTGTAGCTCTATTGTTTTACTGGTCTATTATTCTACCACTTTGAAAGGAGTCTAATTAATATAGTTTTAAAATAGGTCTTGCTATCTCGTAGGTTGAGTTGCCCATTTAATTTGCATTATTTAAGAGTATCCATACATCCTTCTTTACTATTTTACATACATATATTTTTGGATTAGTTTATTACTCACAGTGATAATAACAGCTGTAATGACTCTTCTATTGGTTCCTTAGGCCCCATTTCCCACAGGTGAGGTGATGAAGGTGAGCAGCTGCCTGCACACACTGTGTGTGTATTTCTGTGTGTGTGTGTGTGCGTGCACACACATAGGGTGTGTTACAAAAGGGATATCTCAAGACCAGGAGACCCTGATCTTATATAAGAGCAGCTGTCAAGCCTGCCCATTCTCTCCTCCAGAGAGAAAGACATTGTCTGTGTATCTCTGAAACGTAAGAAACTGATCTAGGGAGAGGAAGAAAGAATCTCTCTATTTCTGTTCTTTGAATTTTTCTGTGGCCCAAATGTGAACATAAGGTTTGAAACAAAGCAAACCTAGGCTCTAATTACTACTACCTCACAGCTGTTTGACGTAGGCAACTAATATTGTAAATATTAGAAGAGAGGATGAGTAAACAATATAAGCTGTGTTCAAAATATGGTTCTGCTGCACATAGGGCATAGGGTAACGTCTAGGTTAATGTCTTCGGCCTCAGCTTCTTCACCTATAAAATTAGAATGGTAAGATCTACCTGATGAAAGAGTTCTGATGATTAAATGGTAGAATGTAGGACAATGCCTGAAACATAGTGTTTAGTCTGTTCTCAAGCTGCTGATAAAGACATAATCAAGACTGGGTAATTTATAAAGAAAAAAGGTTTAATGGACTCACAGTTCCACGTGTTTGGGGAGGCCTCACAATCATGGCAGAAGGTGAAAGGCATGTCTTACATGGTGAGAGACGAAAGAAAATGAGAGCCAAGCAAAAGGGGAAGCTTCTTATGAAACCATCGGATCTTGTGAAACTTATTCACTACCACGAGAACACTATGGGGGAAACCATCCCCATGATTCAATTATCTCCCACCAGGTCCCTCCCACAACATGTGGGAATTATGGGAGCTACAATTCAAGATGAGATTTAGGTGGGGACACAGCAAAACCATATCACATAGTAAGCACTGTAATAAATGATTTTTTTAAGTAACAGGTAACACACCCAGAAGTCATTAAATTATTAATTTGTTTATTTCATCAATAAATATTTATTGAATACACCTGGTGTCATACTACTGCTAAGGACAAAAGACAGTCACAGACTCTGTGCTCATAGAACTTACACTGCAGATTAAAATCCCAATTTAATAATTTTCCTGCCCAGATACTGAATCAAGTCCAGCCAAGATAAAGTAAATATATTAAAGGTGGCAAACGATGGTCATTAGAAGTCAGAAGTCAGTGATGTGAACTACGTATCTTCCACCAAAAGAAGCTCTCTCATATAAAGCAAAATTATGAAGAGCCCTAAGATATACCTAAAACTTCAGTCTTAATAGTCATTTTAAAAGATGTATAAAATAAAATTTAAAAAGGTTCCCATATAACTTACCTTTACAATGTAAATGAAATATAGTGTTTAAATCTGTCTTAAAAAATAAAACTAAAAAATAATCTGTCTTAAAAAATAGAACACTAAGAAAATGTCTCCATAAAATATTCTACAATAAATGTAAATAAGAACCTATTTTGGTATTATCACTTATAGTTCTAAAATAATATTAGATCTGGACAAAATTTTAATATACATTTTCAAAATTATATCTTCAATTTCAAACAAAAATCTAATTTGGAAGTAATCACTTCTATTGCCATAGACTTTAAGCATAGATGTGCATTTATTTCATGTGTGAAGGTGACTGAATCCAGCATACACTTGTCACCCAATAGAGAAACAACAGTGTATTGAACTAATTTTATGAGCTTTGCAATAAACTTAACAGTTACATTCAGTGGTATTACTTACTTTTATTTTGTTATAAATTGAACACAGCATTTTCATAAATTTTTTATTGTTTTTGTTTATTATTATATATATGGCAGGCCCAACTCCTAGCTTGCTCATATAAATGCTGGTGTGCAAACTTTCTAGTGACAAGTAATAAACAGTATTGCCAATAAAAAGTTATAACATTTTGAGAATTATCTAACTTTATATTAGTTAAATGATTGTTAGTTAAATTTTGTACACTTACATGTTTGTATATATCATTAAGATTTTTTTCACAACAAACTTATTGAGGTATAATCTAAATAATATATAATTTACCTCTGTAAAATGTAAACAACAGTGAATTTTAGTATAGTTACGAAGTTGTGCAACCATCACCACCATCAAAATCCAGAATATTTCATCATCACAGAAAGAAACCCCAGACCCATTAGCAGACACTCCTAATTTACCCATTTCCCTAATCCCTGACAAACACTAACCTACTCTTTGTTTCTGTGAATTTGACTATCTGGACATTTTATATAAATGGACAATTTGACTATCTGGACATTTTATATACATGGAACCATACAAGCTATGCTCTTCAGTGACTCACTTCTTTCAATTAGAATAATGTTTCCAAGGTTCATCCATGTTGTGTCACACATCAATACTTCATTCTTTGTTTGGTTAAGTAATATCCCATTATACAGATATAAGATATTTCATTTATCCATTCATCAATTGACAGATATTTGGGTTGTATCCATCTTTTGGCTATTTGGAAAAACTTATCCAATGAACATTGATTTACAAATGTTTGCATGGACATATATTTCTAATTTTCTTGAGTGAATAGCTAGGAGAGATATTGCTGGGTCACTAACTCTACATTTAGTTTTTGAGAAACTACAAGGTTGCTTTGCACAGTGTCTCAGTCATTTTATGTTTCCAACAACAGTATGTGGGACTTCCAATGTCTCCACCTCCTTGCCCATAATTTTATTATGTCTTTTCAGTTTGTCTAGTTGGTATCATTTGTCATCTGTGATTTTGATGTTGCATCTCTTACAATAAGATAAATTATATATTTGGAATTAATTTTAAGGTATAATCTGAGAAAAGCCTCCAAACATTATTTTGCTACAGACATCCATTTGTCCTAGCACTATATTTTGAAAAACTTATTCTTTTTCCTTGAATTGTCTTCACATGTCTATCAAAAATCAGTATGCTGTAAATGTTAAGGCATGTTTCTGGACTGTCAGCACTTTTCCATTAATCTATATATTGGACCTCAAGCTAATACCACACTGTTTTAGTGTATATGTGTAGGAAGTTTTGAAATTGGAAAGTTTGAGTTCTCTGACATTGTTCTTCTTTTCAAGAAAGTTTTGATGGTTCTGAGTTCCTTGCACACACATATGAATTGCTTGTTAATCTCTGAGAGAAAAAAAGCCAGCTGACATTTTGTTAGTGTTTGCCTTGAATCTGTAGATCAGCTGTGAATCATTGCGATTTTAACAATATTAAAACTTATGATTCAAAAACATGGGGTTTTTCATATTTAGGTATTATATAATTTCTTACAACAATCTTTTGGGGTTTTGTGCATACAAATCTTACAAATTTTTGTTAAAATTTTTCCTAAATATTTTATTACTCTGGTGATGCATTATAAATGGAATTGTTATTTTTATTTCATTTTTAAGTATTTTCTTGATAACAGATACAAATAAAATGAATGTTTATATTGACCATGTATCCTACAACTTCCTTTACTTGTTTATTAACTCTAACCTTTTTTTGTTAAAATAGGTTCCTTGGAAATTTTTATATATGCATTCATGATATTTGTGAGTAAGAATAGCTTTGCTACTTTCTTCTGAATATGGATGACTTTTTTTCCCCTTGCCTGTTAAACCTGACTAAAACCTCCACTGAAATGTTAAGTAGGAGTAGAAAGAGCAGATATTTCTGTCTTGTTTCTGATTTTAGAATTTAGTCTTTCAGCACCTTTATTTTAGGGATAGAAACTTCCTTCTATTCCTAGTTTGTTCAGTGTATTTTATCATGAAAAAATTTTATTTAGTCAAGGGCTTTTTTACATCTATTGAGATGATCATGTTTTTTTTTGTTGTTTTTTATTCTACTGATATAGTGTATGACATCAATTGATTTTCCTATGCTAAACCAACCTTTACTTCCAGAGATAAATTCCAGTTGATCATATCATGTGTTGCTATTTTATATATTGCTGGAATCTACTTGCTTGTATTTTATTTAGGATTTTTGTATCTAAACTTATGAAAAAAGTTAGTTTATAGTTTCATTTTGTTATGATATATTTATCTGAATTACTAATTCATTTCGATCTCCTTACTTTTATAGCTGTAATCAGATTTTCATTTCTTATTGTCTGTTTTGATAGCTTATAACTTTCTATAAATTTGTACAATTCATCTAGGTTATCTATTTTGTTATCAGCATACCACTGTTTATACTATTCCCTTAAATCCTTAGTTTCTGTTCATTTTACTTTAGTTTTTTTTTTTTCTTTCTGTTTTTCACACTGGAAAATCACAATTGTCCTGTTTGCAACTTTGCCGTTCTTCCTTTTATGTATTGTCCATATTTTCCTAATTTTTTGCCTATTTTAGTTTTTTCTTGATAAATCCATATTTTAAATATTATAATGCGATAACTCTGGAAATCAGATATTCCCTCTCTCCCCAGCATGTGTTTTTCTTCTGTTTGTTGTTGTTATTGTTGTTGTTGCCATTTGTTTGTTTAGTGAATTCTCCGCACAATATGATAAAGTCTCCATTCTTTGTTGTGAGCAGCCACTGAGGTCTGAGCTTGTTTAGCATAATGGACAGGTAACGATTGGGCAGCTATTTCCTTAAGGCACTATTTTGAAGTTTTCAAAGCCACTTACGGATATCTCATTCCCTAGATTTTCCTCTTACGTTTTTGGGTCAGCCTTTGGTTAGGCCCATTTGGGACCAACATCATCGCAGACAGCTGCAACTTTGTAAAGTGTTGTTGATTGTATTTGGCAAATATCAGAAGGACAGGGCTATTACAAAACAGCTCTGACCAGATGAAGAAAAGGAATACCTGAGAATGGAGCCTATGGTAGCTGTTAGGAAGGTCAAATGGTTACAGTTCTCCAGGGATTGGATTGCTTATTGTTGGAGCTCTAAGCCCACTTGGTTTTCAGAGCTACCTTAGTTAAACAGCTGCTGGTTTTCATGAGTATACGGTGAATTCAAATACCACAAATCTTATTGTCTTTATTATGATGCATCCATTTTTCTTGATAAACACTTTTGGATGATTGAAAGCTTTGGTTAATTTCCATTTATTTTGACAATATTTTACAGTGCTCTCTTTGTTTTTATGGGGAACTGGATAATCAGATGTTATTACCCTGATATTCCAGAAGTTTTTTCTTCTATCATTAAGTTTCATTGTTCTAGAGAAAGGAAAGATCGGAGGAATGAGTGGTAGGCATGGAATTTTGGAAGAGAAAATGTCACTACAAGAGCAAGAAAAAAAGAATCTCTTTCTTCCACTTCAATTTCATGGTTGACATGGTAAAATGACCCCTTGACTATACTCCAGGCTGTGAGAAGAGATTTAAACATACAAAATTAGAAATAGCAATTCACATAAAGCTGTTTAAAGGCATTATTTTCAAAACAATAAATGCATCTCTTTTCTTTTCAAAAACTAAAACAAAAACAAGAAATTTGTTTATTTTTTCCTGAGTTTGTTTTTTTTAATGATACTTTGTATGATTTTATTGATTCCATATTATGACCATACTTGCAATCTTAGCCTGAGTTACATTGATTTGTTTTTGGTAAATATGATTGTCGCCTCCTGAATTAAAGGAGGAGTTATAGTTAGCCTCAATGTTCCCCCGTTCTCTTCTCTAATTTGTTGATGTGTCCTCTCTTCTCTTCCACATAAGCTCTAGCTGCCTCCTCTCTGCATAACATCTAGATTTTCCTTCTCCAGTGCTTTACACTTTGACTCTTTTTGTATATTTTTTTCTACATAGGTAAATGTACTTACCCTAAATGTTGTTTCAGAAAGTGAACTAATCCCCTTTTACATAATTTTCAGATTATCCATTGTTTTAGTTGGTGAACCTATTAAGATCACTTATTATGTGCTTGCTAGGCACTAGAGAATTTCCACAATAGATTTTTACCATGGCACAACTAGGTATGGAGAACAGCAGACACGCCTCCACCCTGAGTGGCCACTGACACCATGTGAACATACACAGAGAACACACACAGTCCTGCACCCACCAGCAGCCCTCCCCCAGGCTAACATCACCCCTGGTACAAATGCCTTCACAGACACCAGCGGGGGCAGCAGACACCTGTCTGCCACCCTCCTGTGCTGTGCTGCCACCACTGCTGCTGCAAATGCCCACACGGAGTTGGGCACCTCACTGCAGCCATAAAGCCTGCAGCCCACTGTGTTGCTGTTGTCCCTGCTGCAAGCACACATGAATGAGGATGGATCCTGCTGCCAGCACCCTATGAGGAACTTTGGCTGGCACCACCCATCCGAGTGTTGTGACCAGCAGTTTGGGAGCACCTCAGCCCCTCCAGCACAGCAGGTTTCTAAAGTCAAGGAGCCAGAGAATAAAGCTGGGGCCTGATAACAGTCCCTGAGTCCAGAAGCCCTGAGCTGAGTCTTGGCCCCCTGAAGTCTTCCAGAAATGAAGCCAGTTGGCAAAACACACCTTATACTACAATCAAACACCTAAGGTCATCAAATAGGATAAAAGAAATAAAAAACATTCAAAGGACAGTAACCTCAAAGGTTGAAGGACCATCAGGCCACAAAGATGAGAAAAAAACCAGTGCAAGAACTCTGACACCTCAAAAAGCCAGAGTGCCTTCTTTACTCCAAACAACAGCACTATTTCTTCAGCAAAGGTTCTTAACCAGGCTGGCATGGCTGAAATGACAGAAGTATCATTCAAAATATAGACAGAAATTAATGACGATCATTGAGATTCAAGAGAACACTGAAACCCAACCCAAGGAAGCTGAGAATCACAATGAGCAGATACAGGAGCCGATAGAAAAAGAGAGTCAGGATAGAAAAGAGCATAACTGACCCCACAGAGCTGAAAAACACACTACAAGAATTTAATAATACATTCACAAGTATTATTAGCAGAATAGACGAAGATGAGGAAAGAATCTCATAGCTTAGACATTGGCTTTCTGAAATAAGACAGGGAGACAAGAATAGAGAGAAAAAATGAGAAGGAACAAAGGTTAGTTTGATAAATTTCCCTTTGTAGGTGACAAAGTTTCTCCTTTGTGGGTGAAAAATGTTCTCCTTGGTCAAAATTAAAGAAAAAAATGTTAAAGACAGCTAGAGAGAAAGGACATATCAGCCACAAAGGGAAGCCCATCAGATTAACAGTGAACCTCTCAGCAGAAACTCTACAAGCCAAAAGAGATTGCGAGCTAATATTCAATATTCTTAAAGAAAAGAAATTCCAACCAAGAATTTCATATCTGGCCAAACTAAACTTCATAAGTGAAGGAGAAATGACATCACTTTTGGACAAGCAAATGCTGAGGGAATTTGTTACCATCACACTTGCCTTACAAGAGCTCCTGAAAGAAGCACTAAATATGGAAAAGAAAGACCATCACCAGCCATTACAAAAACATGCAAGTACACAGAACAGTGACACTATAAAGCAACCACAGAAAGAAGTCTGCATAAAAATCAGCTAAGAACATGATGGCAGGATTAAATTCACACATATCAATACTAACCTTGAATATAAGCATTAATTCAAGCCAATTAAAAGTCACAAAGTGACAAGCTGGATAAAGAAGCAAGACTCAATGGCATGTTGTCTTTGAGAAACTTATCTTACATGCAATAACACATATAGGCTCAAAATAAAAGGATGGAGAAAAATCTACCAAGCAAATGGGAAACAGAAAAAAGCTGGGGCTGCAATTCTAATTTCAGGAGAAAAACAGACTAAGCCAGAAAAGATAAAAAAAGACAAAGAAGGGCATTGCATAATGGTAAAGGGTTCAATTCAACAAAAACTGACTATCCTAAATATATATTCACCCAGATATAAAAAGCAATTTCTTAGAGACCTTCAAAGAGACTTAGACTCCCATACAATCTAAGTGGGAAATTTCAACATGCACACTGACAGTATTAGACAGATCATCAAGGCAGAAAACTAACAAAGATATTCAGGACCTGAACTCAACACTAGACCAAATCGGTCTGATAGACATCTACAGAACTCTCTACCCAAAAACAGAATATACATTCTTCTCATCACCACATGTCACATAATCTACAATCAACCACACAATTGGACATGAAACAATTCTCAGCAAATTTAAAAGAACAGAAATCATACCAACCACTCTCTTGGACCACAGTCCAAGAAAAATAGAAATCAAGACTAAGAAAATTACTCAAAACCATACAATTACATGGAAATTAAACAACTTGTTCCTGGAAGACTTCTGAATAAATAATAAAACTAAGGCAGAAATCAAGAAGTTCTTTGAAACTAATAAGAACAAAGATACAACATACCAAAATCTCTAGGACACAACCAAGACAGTATTAAGATGGAAAATTATGACACTAAATGCTGCTATCAAAAAGTTAGAAAGATCTCAAATTAGCAACCTAACACCACAACAAAAAGAAGTGGAGAAGCAAGGGCAAACCAACTCTAGAGCTAGCAGAAGACAAGAAATAACAAAAATCAGAACTGAACTGAAGGAGATTGAGATATGAAAACCACTCAGAAGATAAATAAATCCACAAGTTGGCATTTTGAAATAATTAATAAGATACATATAATGCTAGCTAGACTAATAAAGAGGAAAAGAGAGAAGATCCAAATAAACACAATTAGAAATGACAAAGGAGATGTTACCAGTGACCCCACAGAAATACAAATAACCATGAGAGACTACTATGAATGCCTCTATGCACACAAACGAAAAAGTCTAGAAGAAATTGATACATTCCTGAACACATACATACTTCCAAGACTGAACAAGGAAGAAATTGAATCCCTGAACAGACCAATAATGAGCTCCAAAATTGAATAAGTAATAAATAGCCTACCAACAAAAAAAGCTTGGGGCCAGACAGATTCACAGCTGAATTCTACCAGATGCACAAAGAAGAGCTGGTACTGTTTCTACTGAAACTATTTCAAAAACTTAAAGAGGAGGTACTCCTCTCCAGCTCATTCTATGAGGCCAGCATCATCCTGATACCCAAACCTGGCAGATACAAAACAAAAAAGAAAACATCAGACCAATATCTTTGATGAACACTGATGCAAAAATCCTCCACAAAATAGTAGCAAACCAAATCCAGCAGCAAATCAAAAAGCTAATTCCCCACAATCGGGTAGCTTTTATCACTGGGATGCAAGGTTGGTTCAACATATGCAAATTAATAAATGTGAATCATCACATATACAGAACTAAAGACAAAAACCACATTATCATCTCAATAGATGCATAAAACGCTTTTTATAAAATTTAACATACCTTCATGTTAAAAACTCTCAACAAAGTAGGTACTGAAGAAGCATACCCCAAAATAATAAGGGCCATCCGTGACAAATCCACAGCCAACATTATACTGAATTGGAAAGAGCTGAAAGCATTTGCCTTGAAAACTGGCACAAGACAAGGATGCTCTCTGTCACCACTCCTATTAAACATAGTATTGGAAGTCCTGGCCAGAAAACTCAGGCAAGATAAATAAATAAAGGGCAACCAAATACAAAAAGAAGACATGAAACGATCCCTGTTTGCAGATGACATGATTTTATATCTAGAAAACCCCACAGTATCTGCCCAAAAGCTCCTTCAGCTGATAAACAACTTCAGCAAAGTTTCAGGATAAAAAAATAACTATGTATAAAAATCACTAGCACTCCTATACACCAACAACAGCCAACCCAAGAGTCAAACCAGGAATGCTGCAATCACATTCACCCAGATAGCACAGTCCCCAACAGCTAGTTGTTCAACCACTGCCTGCTTCTTCCCTCCTCTAGTATTTCCCAGTATCCATTATTGCCATCTTTGTGTCCATGAGTACCTAATGTTTAGCTCCCACTTAGAAGTGAAAACATGCAGTATTCAATTTTCTCTTCCTGCATTATTTTGCTTAACTATCCAGGCTTAGTACCAAGGTAACAAAATAGGTACTAACAAACCTAACAAAACTAACTAACAAACATAACAAAACAAACCCCCATAACCCTACTTTATCTATGTAATAAACCTGCACATATACCCCTAAACCTAAAATAAAAATTTAAATAAAAATGCTAGAATTTTAATAGAAATCACATTAATCCTACAGATAAATTCAGGGAGAATTGACATCTTTCTTATATTGAGTCTATGAGTGTGAACTGTCTCTCTATTTATTTATGTTCTTAGCATTTTGTAATTTTTAGCAGGCATGTCTTGTGCATTTTTGTTCAGTTACAAATAAACATTTCATTTTATAGACAGTTTTAAAAGGTAATTTATTTTTAATTTCAGTTCTTGTGCATTTATTGGTTATATATATATATGTATAATTACTATTTGTAAGTTGATCTGTCCTCTCACTTTGTTTAACTCACTTAAATTTCTAGGATTTTTTTGTAGATTCTTTGGAATTATCTACATAGGCTATCATGTCATCTGAAAACAAGGACAGTTTTCTTTATTTACTTCTCATTTTTATGTATTTATTTTTTTCTTGCCTTCTTGTGATGGTTGAAACCCTCAGTACTACATTCAATCATTTTGATGCTGTTTGATTTCTGGAGCTAGGTCAGGTTGTGTAATGTAGCTATCAACTTATAGGCCATGATACTCATGCTGGAAGCCTTCCATGGCCTTATGAGTCTTGATACTGCCATTCTGTGAGGAAGCTACACTAGTGCATCTGAGATCATGTAGAGAACCCTGAAATGGGGTGTAAAGGAGATGGCCCATAGCTGCTGGCTGCTCCAGTGACCCATTGTCTCAGCACCGCCACTGTCTGACTGAAACTGTATGAAGATCTCTGATGAAAGCAGCTCAGCTGAGCCCTTCCTGAGTTCCTAACCCAGAGAAACTGCGAGATATAATAAAATCATTGATTTTTATTGGAGGTACTAAATTTTGCAGAGTTTGAAACAAAAATAGCTACAACGCTATCTTTCAAGTAACTTTATGGGTGTTACATGTAGTTTTACAACAGATTTTACACAGAGGTATATATTACTTGTGATTTATTTCTGAACAAATGATAAATGTGCTAATGTGCACATACTTGCTGGTTGAACTCTACTTATTCATTGAGTGTGCCATGCATGACACAATTATTGTAAACAGAATTTTTTCCCCAATAATTTATAATTAAAGTCATAAACATATATATATATATAGAGAGAGAGAGAGAGAGAGAGAGGGAAGCTCACAGAAAAAAAAATATTTTTGAGTGTTTTAGATAGAAAAGTCTCCAAGAATGTTGAATTGTAAGGAAATTTAGAGCATACATAAGTGGACAGAAAGTAAAAGGACGTTCTATTCTAGAGGAAATCGAAGCATGAGCCACAAGATTTCATATATACTGATATGGTTTGGCTCTGTGTCCCCAGCAAAATCTCATCTTGAATTGTAATTCCCAGGTATTGAGGGAGAGACCTAATGGGAGGATATTGGATCATGGGGGTGGTTTCCCCCATGCTGTTCTCATGCTAGTGAGTGAGTTCTCACAAGATCTTATGGTTTTATAAGTGTTTGACATTTCCTCCTACATACGCTCTCTCTTGCCATCTCTTCTGAGAAGCAGTACCACTTCCTTTTCAGTCATGGTTGTAAGTTTCCTGAGCTCTCCCCATTCATGAGAAACTATGAATCAACTAAAACTATTGTCTTCATAAATTACCCAGTCTTACGTATTTTTTTTGTAGCAGTGTGACAACAGAGTAATAGAAACTTTGTAGAATGATGATGATTCCACTGCAGCATTATTAATTAGAATATCACCAGGTGGTAAAGTCAATAAGTGATTAGGGTCACAATTTCTAAGCAAATTATTATGGTCATATTATGTAAGAAATAGGATTACTTAAAGGTTCATAAAGAGATGACTGAGGGTGACAGAGTGGTTCTTGAGAAAACCTGAAGTTAATCCTTGTGATGGAATGAAGACCAAATCTCAAAAGAATGATGCTTGTATGAGTGCTGATATCCTAAATTTAGGCAGTAGAAACAGGAAGGGAAAAAAAAAAAAGAACAGAAGAAAATACATTTAAAATATGTTCCCCATTACCAAAATAAAGTGTATTTATTGTACAAAGAAGAAGGGGAGGAAGAAAAACAAAGAGAAAAATCCCATGATCATAGTAATTGAGGTACAGAAATCATTTGACATTAATTATAATGTCATTCATCAATAACAAAACTACAAGAAAAGTGGTAAGAATAGACAGAAAGTTCTTCAACTTGATAAAGAGCATTTACACAAAATGTCATTATAGTGAGAGACTGAATGCTTTCCCCCTAGGATCAGGAACAAGGCACAGATGACAGCTACCCCTGCTGTTATTCAAAATAGTACTGGAAGTTCTAGCCAGCACAATAAAGCCAGAAAAAGAAGTAAGAGGTAAATAGTTCTGAATAGAAGGAATATTACTTCCTCTCATTTATTGAATACATGATTCTCTACACAGGCAATAAAAATCAGCAAAAATAACCCTCGTTAGATTAACAATTTAATTCAGCAATGTCACATAATACAATGAAGGAATAATAGTTTTTTCAACAAATGTTGCTGGAGTTATTGAATATGAATGAGCAAAAAAAAAACCCCTACTTAAACCACATACCATATCCAAAAAAACTTTAAATGTATCATAGATTTCAATGTAAAATATAAATCTATAAAACTTTTGAAGGAAACACTGGTGAAAAATCTCTACAACTTAGGGCTCGGTGAAGAGTTTTTAAACATAACCCCAAAAACTCGATCGACAAAATAAATATCCAGAAATGCAATTTCTTCAAAACAACCACAAAAATATTTTGCACCTTGAAAGACACTGTTACAAGGATAAAGACCAGTTATAGACTGTGAGAAAATATTTGCAAACCACATATCTGACAAATGATGTGTATGGAGAATATATACAGAACTTAAAACTCAATATTTTTAATAAAGAAAACACTTCAATGAGAAAAACGGGCAAAGGATATTTCAGCAGAAAAAATACACACATGACAAAAAGCACGTGAAAACTTGTTCAATATCACTAGCTAATAGAAAATGCAAATTAAGTTCACAATGAGATTTAATATATTAAATCCATATATTAGCTATTGTGAATAGCAATGTAATAAATATGGGAGTGCAGCCATCTCTTCGAAATACTGATTTCATGCCCTTTGGATGTATACCCACCTAGTAACAGAATTGTTGGATCATATGATATTTCTAACTTAATTTGATTTATAAAATTTTCACAAATTTTCTTAACTTTAGGCAAAAAAAATTTTTCACTGAATATAATGAAAACTTCAACCAATATTTTTGTTTAGAGATTTTTTTTATTCCAATAGAAGGAACACCATTGATTATTAGGAATTTTGCTGCTTTTTTCCTTTAAGAAACTTCCAAGATGAGGAATTCTAGTTATATCCAAAGTTCCAAGTAGCACTGTAATTCTCAATTATTTCTGGTGAAATTGTACCATTTTGTAAGATAGGAAAAGAATTTGGACGGTAATGAAAATACATAAAAGTCGAGGAACTTCCATGCCACTTTTCATAATGACCGTAATAATTTACATTCCCGCCAACAGTGCATAAGGATTTCCCTTTCTGCACATCCTCACCTCATTTGTTATTTTTTTGTCTTTTTGATAATAGCCACTGTAAGTGGGGCAAAGTGATACTCATTGTGGTTTTAATTTGCATTACCCTGATCATTAGTTATGTTGAGCATTGTCTCATATGTCTTTTGGCCATTTGTATGTCTTCTTTTGAAAATGTCTATTGAGGTCTTTTACCAATTTCTAAATATTTTTTTTTTTTTTTTTGCTATTGGGTTGTTTGTGTTCCTTATAAATTTTAGAAATCAACCCCTTTTCAGATGCATAATTTGCAAATACTTTCTCCCATTCTGTAGGTTGTCTCTTTATTGATTGTTTTCTTGCTGTGCAGAAGCTTTTTAATTTGATATAATTCCATTTATCTACTTTTGATTTTGTTGCCTGTGCTTTGGAGGCCTCTACTCAAAGAACCTTTGCCCAGTCAAATTTCGTGAACCATTTCTTCCATGTTTTCAATTACAGGGGTGTGCCACCACGCCCAGCTCATTTTATGTTTTTAGTAGAGACGGGGTTTCACCATGATGGCCAGGCTTGTTTCAAACTCCTGACCTCACACAGTGCACCCGCCTCTGCCTCCCAAAGTGCTGGGATTACAGGCATGAGCCGCTGCTCCCAGCCAAAAAAATACCAGTTTTCTAGTGACATTATGGTTGTCATAACATTGTTACCTTCATAGCATCATAGTAC
Source organism: Homo sapiens (assembly GCF_000001405.40). Lineage (NCBI taxonomy): Eukaryota > Metazoa > Chordata > Mammalia > Primates > Hominidae > Homo > Homo sapiens. The sequence continues at coordinate 50,841,208 of NC_000008.11, forward strand.
AATGCATTAACATATTACTTACTATTGTGTTACAGTTGCATACAGTATTCAGTACATCACATGCAGTATAGGCTTGTAACCTGAGAGCACTGGACTAAACCATGTAGCCTAGGTGTGGAGTAGTCTTTAACCTTAACGTTTAGGGTTATGTGAGTACACGCTATGATGCTCGTTTAATGATGAAATCACCTAAGCATACATTTCTCAGAACATATCCCTATTGTTAAGTGACACATGACTTTATTTTGAGGTGAGATAGTGTGATGCTTTGTTTTGTTTTGTTTTTGCTCAAGATTGCTTTGGCTATTGGGGATCTTTTTCATTTCCATATGAATTTTAAGATTGGTTTCTCTATTGTTGTGAAGAATGTCATTAGTATTTTGATAGGTGTTACATTGAATATGTAGATGACCCTGGGTAATGAGGACATTTCAGCAACAGTAATGTTTCTAATCCATAAACGTGGGCTATTTTTCCATTTACTTGAGTCCTCATTTATTTCTTTTATCAACGTTTTATATTTTTTATTAGTTGTGTATCTTGATTTTGGTGTGGTTACACACATCTACATCTGTGATATACATAAAAAACGCTGATTTTGACATTATGCTCTGATTATGTGAGCTGTAACTGTCAGGCCTCTGACCCCAAGCTAAGCCATCATATCCCCTGTGACCTGCACATATACATCCAGACGGCCTGAAGTAACTGAAGAATCACAAAAGAAGTAAAAATGGCCTGTTCCTGCCTTAATTGATGACATTGCCTTGTGAAATTCCTTCTCCTGGCTCAAAAGCTCCCCACTGAGCACCTTGTGACCCCCGCCCCTGCCTGCCACAGAACAACCCCTTTGACTAATTTTCCTTTACCTACCCAAATCCTATGAAACAGCCCCACCCCTATCTCCCTTCGCTGACTCTCTTTTCAGACTCAGCCCGCCTGCACCCAGATGAAATAAACAGCCTTGTTGCTCACACAAAGCCTGTTTGGTGGTCTCTTCTCAGGGACACGAGTGAAAGTAACTATTGAAGCAAACTGAATGAGGATACACAAATTTCTTTGTGCTATCTCTGTGACTTCCTATGGTCCTATATATCAAATTTTAAAAGTTATATACTAAAAAATTGGCAAATCAAAAAATTTGGAAATCAAAATCACACATAGTATCAGAATAAACCTGTATTTAACTTTATAATTTTCTTCAATGCACATGTATGTATATACATGTAGCAGCCTGTTTTAAGAGAAATTCAAAATGTACTGCTTTTTAACCTATTTTATTACTTGAAAATATGATGCAGATACTTTTCCTTCTCATTAACTATTTCCTGAATCAAACTTGCGTAATGGCTGAGGTTTTTTTTTATGTGTATTTGCCCATTAATTTAACAATTATATTGTTACACATTTGTATTGATACCAATATTGACCTCTTTAAATACAGATGTTATGGAAACACGTATACATGAATTTTATGTAAAAGAGCTGTACAAAATTCCTGAAAGTAGAATTATAAGGTTGAAGATATAAATAACTTAAAGTTATTAATAAACATTTAAAGAATTCCCTATGAAAATATTATATCAATTTACATGACTTTTAGCAGTATGTGAAATAATGCTATGTATCAGTTCCAGTGGCTAAGAACTGATACATAGCATTATTGACTTATTTGTTTAATAAGTAATAACGTTGACATTTCTTTTCAAGTACTTACTAATCATTTGCAAAAATTATTCAGGTATGCTTCTAACTTTTTTTTCCAATTTGTTCATTGGTTTGTTGCATATTGTCTTTTATGTTTTCTACATGTTAATGTGTACTATTTGCATTTCATCATATATGATAAATGTTTTTCAATTTAATATTTACCTGTTATTTGACTTGCCATTTGCCTATTGTTTGTTATGCAGATGTCTCAAATTACCTAATGAAATGTACAAAATTTTCTGGATGACTTCCTTTCCTTTTAGATATGAAATACTTTCTCCATGTTCAGGTTTTTTATAGAGAAAATTTTCTGTAAGTCTCTCATGATACTGTACATCCTGCCAATAAGTCACTCACTGTTCTTTCTTCTAGACTGTACTAATGTCTTAGTCTATTCAGCCTGCTATAGCAATATACCACAAACTGGGTAGCTTATAAACAACACAATTGATTTCTCACAATTCTGGAGACTGGGAAGTTTGAGATCAAGATTCCGTACTATTCAATGTCTGGTGAAGGCCCATTTTCTCTTTCATAGATGGTGTCTTTGCACAGTATCCTTATATGTTAGTGTTGAGGGGGGGCAGGAGAACTCTCTTTAGCCTCTTACACAAGGGCATCAATTTCATTCATGGTGCCTCTGCCATGATAACCTAATCACCCCCCATAGGCCCCACTTTCTAATACCAATACATTGGAAATTAGGATTTCAACTTTCAACTTTTGGGAAGACACGAACATTCAGAAAATAGCAGTGAACAAGGATGTTTTTTATAGCTAAGTACCTTTCTTGGAAGACAGAGCTAGTGTCTCCTTTCATAAAATATAGCATGCTTGCTTACAGCTTTAGAAAAAAGAGATAATGTCTTCTATGAATCAAAGGGCAGGAATGTTTATTGCTCAGAGTAATAAAGATAATATCATCCTCTGAAGCCCTGTTTAAGCATAATTACTTTCTGTTATAAAGCTCTGGGTTTCTCTATCATAATAGACCCATTCCTTCTGTCACCTGGCTCTCTTTTTATTGCCCTACCAGAATTGAGTGTCAGGGAACCAGCACAAAAATAATGAAGCTCTAGCTATTGCAATTGCTGTGACTAATGAACGAAACTTAATCACTTACTTAGGAGTCTCATGTCTTCTATAACATCCTGAAATTGGTAGCTTGCTGCATGGCAGCTTTCAAATTGGGAAATCTCAGAGCCTTCAAAATTCTTAACAATCATATATGATACTTATAATATTCCTCTATTTCATTTAGGTTTTTAATAATTTTTATTTAACACTTAAGCAGTTTAGGCATTTCTGGGTTGCATATCAGAGGCAACAAAATAAAAGCAAAGTAGAGTTAGACTACCTAGTTTCAAATTCCCTCTTCCTCTTCAGTGGTCAATGAGCTGGAGTGTGTTACCTAGTCTTTATTGGCTTCAGTGTAATCTTCACAAAATAGCAAGAAAGATACTTCTTCATATAAGTTTCATGAGGATTGAATGAGCCTAAAGTACTTGGAACAATGCCTAGCACATATTAAACACTATATAAATTTCATTAAGTTTAGGAATGTAATTTCATTTTACTTAAAGTGTTAGCCTATTTGTCAATAATTTTACTGTGCATCAGGAAAGACCATGCTTCTTTTTTAAAATTAAAAAAGATGACTAACCTATATAATGCACATACTGAATCTATTCCTACACCTTAGAACCTTTGTAGACTGTCTTTTATTCATTTTAAACTCTTAAGCTTAATATTTTAAATTAATGTTATAAATCATTTTAAGAGCTTCATAGAAGAAAATAGATAACAACTTTGTGACCTTGGTTTTGGCAGAGTTTTTAAGTAGGACATAACATCAGTAAACATTGTGGGAAATTTTGATTAATTGGACTATGTTTAAATTAAGACTTTATGTTCATCAAAATTCACCTTGAGAAGAGGTATAGGTAAGTCAATGACAAGGAGCAGATAGGCAAAATCCATTTATTGGATAAATAACTTTCATTTAAAAATATGCACACATAAATATATATGTGCATACATTCATACATATATGCACATATACACATAATTCACAGGTTAGAGTTGACCACAATTACCCATGGATTCCATACTTGCAAATTTGCATACTTCCCAAAATGTGTTTCTAACCCCTAAATCAATAATCAATGCATTTTGTAGTCTTTTGTGGGTATATTTAATTTTTGTGGGGTGAAAAATTAAAAAAAAAATTGAATAACCTCAGCTGAGGTCAAACAGGGTGACTTTCTGCCTGCTTGCTTCAGCTTTTATATGTAAACAAGTGTCTTTTTTATGATCTATTTAGTTCTAAGTTTCTCTCATTTTTGTGCTTTTTGTTGGGATTTGGTCTTTAAAACGTTCCCCAAGTGCTGTTTATTGTTTTTAAGCGCAAGAAGGCTGTTACTTGCCTTATGGAGAAAATGCACAAGTTAAATAAGCTTCATTCAGTCATGAATTACAGTGCTATTGGCCATGAGTTCAATGTAAATGAATCAACAATATACACATATTAAGTAGGGAGTTTTTAAATAGAAACACATATAAAATAGGTTTTGTATTGATCGGTTGACAAAAATGTTATGACGAGAGGCTTACAGGAACTTATACTTGTATTTCCCCCAGGAGCATCTGTACAGTATTCACTAAGTCAGTGTTTGTGATGACTTTATAAAACATAATTACCATGAATAATGATATTTGGCTGTGTGTGTGTATTTGTATTCTATAAGTCAATTATAAAAACTTAGCCAATTTTTAATTGGGAAAATTACTTCCGAAGTGAGAAAATACAATAGCTCATTAATGTTTTTAGGAAGCTAAATTTAAGAATGACTTCTGACTTCATCCTACCTTTCAGTCAAGCCAGTGCCTTCTGTCAGTTGACCCTAATGGAAAGACAGTTGATAAGGGAGTTTTCAGGCTTCCTTCCCTGACAACAAGAGGGATAGCTATAAGAACCTGAGGAATATGTGTACTATCCTGCACACATATTAAATGGAAAACACTGGCCTGGGGGTGAGCTTCTCCTCAATAAATGACAGTTGCCAGTCTGTAATTCCCAAGCTTCTTTTATTATCTCAAAAATATATAAGTGATCTCAAATACTAAGAGTGACTGAAATTTCTGCAATTTTTGTGTCAGGACTAAGATTAATTGTTTTAGCAAAAAATCAAGGTTTTTGCCTCTGAAGACTGTTTTGCCATATTCAAGAGGTGGTTGGAGAACTATTGCTCTCATTTTGCTGCAGAATAAATTATATAGTGTGGAAATTGTCCATTTCTAGATTTGAAAATATTTGTATTCATCCATTCACATTTGCTTGGGGTAATTTAAAAATCTATTACTTTGTAATGATTTCAAATGTATTAGGAAAGTGTTGTAAATTTATAATTAATTATATGCATTGCCTAAATTTCCTTCCTTTTACCTAGTTAGCATATTTACATCTTCTCTTTTTTATAGTAGCTTAAGGTACTAATTTACTTTTACAGGCTAAGCATTTAGAGGTATCAGGTATATTTTTATCTGTTCTTATTTTGTCTGTTTTTCACTTTATGCCCTCTTCTGCATTAATTTTATTTTTATATTTCTATTTTTTGAATTATTTTAAATATATTTTTATATACTTAATAACCAAAACAGTTAATCCTGTAACTGTTCCTAAGAATAACATTTTGCATTCTTTAAAATTCTAACTAAGAATATTTTCAGATACTCTAAGTTTAATAATTTTTCTAGTTGATGCAATCAATGTTTAGAACACTATTTTAATTATTTCAAAATTAGTTTTTTAAATTTTGATTTTTTATTATTTTAAAATTTGTGATAGTTTATTATTTATCTCCAATTTATTGTTATGATGTTTGAAAATGTGGCCAGCTTAATTTCTGCTTGTTATTTTATTTAAATTGTCCCATAGCCTCAATAATATGTGAATGTATTTGAAAATATATAGAAATGTGGCATTTTTAAGTAGGCGCTTTTTAAAATGCCAATTCCCTTTTCCGAATCATGTTCAGAAAAAACACTATTATGTTAAAATTTGTTACTACATATTTCACTATCTATAACAAAAAGAATATAGTGAAATATTACTATAATTTTAGGCTTTATAAATAGACTCAGTAAATTGATTTTCTTTGATTTTTAAGAAAGTTTTATTTATATATTAAACTGCTTGATTAATTGGTCTATATACTTGTGTGGCCTATTTTCTATTTAAATATAATTTTTGCTCTGCTCAAACATTTTTCCTAAAGTGTATTACCCAATATAAATTCTTTCTTTGATTCTAAAATGCAATTTAAAAAATTTTCTCTCATTTTTATAATGTCAAGTTATAAGGATTTATCTTATGAAAGGTATTTAAATAAACATGGCAGCCAACACACAGTAAAAATGTGCATTTCTTGGGTAGTTTATCATCCAGTTTTGAAAATACAGTTGTGATAAAAGATTGAATTATTTGAACTGATAGTGTAAGTGATTTACATGAGGGACACACAGGTGAGAGACACAGACAAGGTATCCTTTCTCTTTCGGTGCACAGTCCTCTGAGGCTGAGGGGGACGGGCAGAAAATACTAAATATGCTAATGGAGCAAGAATTATGAGCACAGGACATACAAGCTAGTATGCTACCATTATGCCATGCTTAATTACAGATGGCCCAAAGAATATGATCAACATCAAATCTCAAACGATATTGTCTTTCTAAAATAGAAACTAGTATGCATTTAAGTTTTACTAGTAACATAAATATAGTTTAATGTAATCTATTTTATTCTAAGAAGAAATGTTATTTTTTAATTGTAACATCCCAAAATCAGATGAATCTTATTACTACATCGAGAAACATGTAGTGCTATGATCCCTCCTGTTTGCTTTGTCTGATAAATCTTTGTGGGTATACTTATATATTCATTTCATATAAATGTATATTAGCATCGAGGTATCTGAGGTTTGTCTCATAAAAAGAATTTTAGGCTTTTTAAAAATCCATTGTGAGTATTTTTCTTTTACTGGGTATACAGTATTCAGCTAATTTTGGTGGTCTAAATTTCAGGTCTTTTTTTTAATTTCATACTTCTTTTCATTTTTCTAACTTCTTTTAATGTTTTGTTTGATTATAGTGTTTTTGCTGAGTCATACCTTTTCTGATCTTTCTTACATGTTATTATATTGTCCTCTTGCCTGACAAAATGGCTTGAGAGCAGAATCTCCCAATGTTGCCTCTTTAATTTTACCTCCCTTGTCCTTGAGTGATTGATTTTATGGAGACAGTTGAGAACGATAGGACTTTTCTTTGTTTGAACAAAATTATTCCCAACAAATATATAGATTTTACCTTTATTCACTATTGTTCTCTGCAAGGAAAATGTACATTTGCTTAGCCTCATTTTCTGAACCATCTATCTTCTGTGTTTTGAATTGTTTTCCTGTACATGTACATCATACTGTATCCAATCTTTATTTCTTTCTTCTGTATTTTGAAGTTTTACTGAAACACTCATGTTTAGTATCAAAGCATTTCATATACTACAGGGACATTTTTTCAATATACAGTTTACAGTGAATTTTAAATTTTTTCATCTTCACACTTTTGACTAATTTCATCTACTCAAAAGAATTAACTCAAGTTGTTGTCTAATTTCTTACTTTTCATCTTACTTCTCAGTGTCCATATTCTCAGAAATGTTGAGAGTTTAAAGCAGACACTATTCAAATTTCCCCTTTGTATCCTAAAGGAAATATTTTGTAAAATTTAACCTTTATCATTGAAGGCTGTAATTATTCTTCCTTTATATCTTAGATATCTTTTTCCTCATGGAATTCATATTTTGCTTGCTTACTTAGTTGCTGTTATTTGGTCCATCAGTGATTAATATTTTAGCTGTCTTTGCATTTAAGTAATTTTTTTGTTTATTTCTCCCTTTGGATGCTATAAGAGTCTGCTCTTGGTCGGGCACAGTGGCTCATGCTTGTAATCCTAGCACTTTGGGAGGCCGAGGCGGGCAGATCATCTGAGGTCGGGAGTTCGAGACCAGCCTGGCTATCATGGTAAAACCCCATTTTAATTAAAAATACAAAAAATTAGCTGGGCGTGGTGGTGCGTGGTGGTGTAATCCCAGCTAATCCGGAAGCTGAGGCCGGAGAATCACTTGAATTGGGGAGGCGGAGGTTGCAGTGCGCCGCCGAGATGGCGCCATTGTACTCCAGCTTGGGCAGCAAGAGTGAAACTCGTCTACTAAAAAAAAAAAAAAAAAAGAATCTGCTTTCAGAACTTCAGCTAATAATGTAGCATTTAGTAACATGTGAAGAGATTGGAAAAGTCTTAAAAGATGGGAGTTGATGGAGAATGAAGTTGCATGTACAAGTCCGATCTGTGTGCCCCCGGCACTACTGCTCCTCAGTCTTTAAAGAAGCCTTGCCTTGTCTTTGAGTATAAGCTGCCCTGGCTTAGCCAGGTTATCCCGTCCACCTGGGCCCTTCAGGCAAGTCTGGTTTTAAGCCCTAGACCTGAAGTGCTGTAGGGCTCTTCCGCTGTGGTGTCCCACAGCCTGCCCTTGCCTCCAGCTCTCTCCCACCTATGGGAGCATTCACGTGGCCCCAGAGTGAAACCTCCTCACTCTCTGGATGACACACTGCTTTCCCAGGGCAATGAATTGTAATTCAGCCAGAAAGGTTATTTTATTAACTGCCTTCCATCAGTGTGCATTGAAGTGTCTGACATGGTGATTACTGATTTCCTAATTTTACTATTGCTGCTGTCATTATTTCTTTCTTTTTTTTTTTTTTTTTTTTTTTTTTTTTTTTTTTTTTGAGACAGAGTCTTGCTCTGTCGCCCAGGCTAGAGTGCAGTGGTGTGATCTCGGCTTACTGCAACCTCTGCCTCCCGGGTTCAAGGGATTCTCCCTCCTCAGCCTCCCGATTAGCTGGGATTACAGGTGCGCGCTACCACACCCGGCTTATTTTTTTTATTTTTAGTTGAAGTGAGGTTTCACCATGTTGGTCAGGCTGGTCTGAAACTCCTGACCTCAGGTGATCCTCCCGCCCCAGCCTCCCAAAGTGCTGGGATTACAGGCATGAGACACCGCGGCTGACCTATTTTCTTTTTTAAAAAAATCACCTTAATTAATGCGGTTAGAATTTTGAGTTACCCCCAAATTTTTCCTTTCTAAAAAAAAATACAATGACCATATTCACTTTGCTACCCCAGATCATCAACTATTTTATTGTATTATGACCTCAGGTGACCCCGGAAACTATTGAGGTATCTAAATTCTTTTGTTAAAACCTTGGTGGATCCAGGTGCTACTGTTGACAGCTTTTTACACTGCCTTCTGTCAGTTCTTTGTTTTGGTCTTGAGACAGAATTCCTCTCTGTGGCTCAGGCTGGAGTGCCGAACTCCTAGGTCCAAGTGATCCCCCTGCCACAGGCTCCTGAGTAGCTAGGACTGTAGATGCACATCATCTTCTGTCGTTTCTAATAAATACTCCACCTTCTTTTTAATATTAATTTTTAATTGGTATGTCATAGTTTAACACATGTTTGGAGTACATGAGATGTTTGGATACATGTATACAAGGCACTATGATAAAATCAGGGACACTGGGATCTCCATCACCTCAAACATCCATGTTTTCTTGGTGTTGAGAATATTGCAATTGTTCTTTTCTAGCTATTCGTGACTTAATAGGTATTAAGGTACAAACAAAAATAAACAGATTAAAAAACAGATGATAAAACTTATTATGAATTTTAAGTAGAATAATTATAAATTTTATTAGAGGCCTAATAGTATTTTCTACAAATAAGCTTCCCAACTCATTCATTGCTTTTGTGACTTCTGCTTTGAATATTGAAGGAATTTCTACTTCTTTCTTAGTTCTTGACAATACTGAAGACAGTTGAGCTGTCAGGTAATTTCTGGAGAGCAGAAGTTTTCCACGAATTTACCTATGTTTAAATACAATGGTATCAGATATTAAAACTATGGAGAGTTGCCCCTTATGTTAGTTGATGAGCAATTTTTAGACATTGTATAAAATGTACATTTATATTAGCACAATAGTCTCTCAAATATCTCATCTCCAATAAGTGACAAAAAATAATAATGTGATGATTCAATGCATGAGTGCTTGAAAAGAAGTGCTTCGTGCATTTGGTCTCTCTTATTCAAACCAGCCCATTTTAACCGATCAAAGAATATCGAGCATCTCAGCTTCAATAGCCCATTGAAGACCTGATATATTTAATATATTTTTTCCTTAAAGAAAGCCTATAATCTCTCAGAAGGTAAACGCCTAAATTAAAAAACAAAACAAAACAGTCCATCTTTTTTAGAGAAAATGTATGTTTTTCCCCTTTAAAAATATGTGTTTTAAGATGCAAACACCTTATGCAGCAGCCACGTGCTTCTTCTGCCTTGCTAATCATATTCATTATATTCTGTGGTTCTACAGATGTTTTCTGGAGTGACACAAAGGAATAGATAATCATTAAAGAGAACTGAGAAATGGCTTTTTCTTTAAAGTCATCATAACATAAAAAAGGATGCCCTGAAGATCTGTCCCTAAGAAGCACTAAAATCTGGCTTCATGTATTATAGATTTGTTATGTAATGACCGATTTTTAGTTTAATAAATAAGTAAAATAGAAATGAAAACTTCAAAGCAGGAATCTCATACTTCAAACTCTGGCAGTAAATAACTAAAAATGATATTATGAACTACTTACTTACAGCTGGGCAGCTTTTATTTTTCTCCCCAAATTGTAAAAACAAGACAAGTATAGAAAGGAAAAACAAATGATTTTATATATACTCAGCACTTAAAAACAAACAAGATAATTTACTCATAAATCATTGATCACATCATAAGCATGTCAGAAATGTTCCTCAGTCTACCTGTATATGTGCCAGGATTCTCTTTTTAACTCTTAGAAGCACCTTTGTGATCTCATCTTGCTTGTTCTACTTGCCCATAGTGAACCTATCACACCCCAGTGTGTCACACCTGATAGTTATTTGATTTCTTGGCCACTGCTAACCACACTGATATTGGTATATGGGTAATCATGTTTGCCTTTATTGGTTTTGAGATTTCACTGTTGAGGGCCTCTGCCTTATTAAATGTCTAAATGACACAAAATTTCCCATAGAATCATTGTGCCATATTATTTTTGTAAGAATAAAATCTAATATATACCATATATATGTGTATATATATATATTCCTTTATATGATAAAACTCATTTCATCATATGATGAAATATGTTTACATGTTAAAACTCATTTCATCCTCATGAAACCTATGAGATAGGTGCTGGTATTATCAATCCCCATTTTTGCATTTATGAAAACTGATCTGTAGAGTAATTTGCCTGTGGCCATTCAGCCAGCAAGTGATAGAGCTGGGCAGTGTGGCTCTGGCAGGCTACAGCATCTGCTTCTCAGTCACCCAGGAGATTGTGAGAAGTTGAGATGTAAAGGGGAAAAGGAGTTTTTCCAGTGTTGGTTTGCATATATAGTAATGACTATCACAAATTTATATAGAAACAAAAATGTAATTTTTAAAACTATGTATTTCACTCATTTCACTTTGACACAAACTAAAACTGAAAGTGGCCACCATAGCATCTGACTATAGAATGAATGCAGACTCTTAATATTCTCATTCTGCCATGGTAGAATAAACCATCTTGGAGTAGATTTGTTGTTATCCATGATCATTCTTAACACTCTTCATCATAACACCTGGTCAGTGTGCCTACCCTGTAGAAAGCACTATTTGGGGGGCTAGAGTCTCTATAGTGCACCAGGCAGGCACACACTGGGCGAACTAATGGTTCAGCACTCTCCAAGTAGCTTCAGCTGTTGACTCACCCTGCTCAGCCCCAACACTGGGTATTGTGTCTTTTATTTTTGTTGAGATGTTTGTTATCATTTGCTAGAACCTCCCTGCTCATTAGGGTGGCAGGCACAATCGTGTGCTACTTATGGTTTTCTGGTTTCCTCTGCTTTTGAGGACCTCAGGTTTCAGGACAACTGTGCAGATCTGAGGCAACTATATCCCTCTTACAGTCCAACAAGATTAGCCACATTAGCCACATCCTCATTTTCTGTCCGTTCCATCAGTGACAGTGGCTGGAAGGCACCCGTCCTTAGGTTAGTCACTTGGTGATCATTTTATTCCATCACAATAACAATTTGGATGAATCTTATAGTACTTATGCTGAATGAAAAATTCAGTTTCAAAGGTTACATATTGCATAATTCCTTTAATACAACATTCTTGAATCAGCTGAATTTTAAATAGAGAATAGATTAGTGGTTGCTAGTGAGAGAGAAGTAAGAGTGGTTCTCAAGTGAAGTCTTGTAATGACTAAATAGCACTTTTCTGAGTGATGGTTACATAAAAATATACATGATAAAATTGCCCAGAACTGTGTGAGTACACATGTACACACACACATTAGCACCTTTGAGTAACTATAAAACTGCTGAAATCTGAATAAACCCTTTGATTGTACCAATGTCAATTTCTAGTTTGTTGTTATGCTATTCTTATGCAAGATGTTACAATATGGGGAAACTCGTAAAAAGCTCATGTGACTTAGCTGGATATTTTCATGTTCTGGTGAATCTATAATTGTTCTAAAAAAAGATAAAAAAGCAAAGAATGGGACTTATTTTTTATCATGCAACATTAATAATAAGAAAACAAGAATGGATACATGAGAAGCTAACAAAGAAGACTGACAAGAAAGGGATCACCAGTGATAGATAATTATTCCGTAATGTAAAAGAGCCAATTTATCAAAGAGACATACAATCTCAGTTGTAAATATGCAACTAACAACAAAATATTGACCTTCAGGAGCAAAACCATAGGAAAGGAAAGCAGATATAGAGAAGTTTAGGAGTATTGCTGTGGATTTTAATACTCTTCTCCCAAAAATTAAAACAATAAATAAAACAAATGGAAAAGGTTAGTAAAAGTAAATAATATTTGGACAATATTGTCATCTAAATAGACTTAATATTTGTAAGAAACTACGACATTGTACTCAAATAAAGAATTCATATACTTTTCAAACATACAACTTATTAACAAAGATATACCATATAGTGAGCTATAAAACACATTTATTTCAATAAAGTAAACAAAATTATAAAGAATATGTTTCTTATCCACCATAGAATTAAATTATAAAGAAAAGGGAACTATCTAGAAAAATATAAAACATGTAGAAAACATTCCATGTATTTTTATATAACTCATGAGTTAAGGAAGAACTTACTTTAAAAATAATAAAAATATTCAAACTGAGTAATAGTGAAAAAAACTTCAAAAATTATGGAATGAAACAATAGATCAGTGGAACATAATAAAGAGCCAGAAACAGAAACACACACCAAAAAAAAAGGAGCAAAAAAATTCAATAGAAAATTTTTTTCAGCAAATCATGCTATAACAAATGCTCATTCATTTGCAAAACAAGTAAGTCTAGACAAATACTTTACATCTTTCACAAAAATTAACTCAAAAAGGATCATAGGCATAAATGCAAAGTGTCAAATTATGAAACTCTTAGAACATAACATAGAAGAAATCTAGGTGACCTTAAGTTTGATGATAATTTTTTAGACACAAAAACAAAAGCATGATACATGAAAGAAAAAATTGTTAATTTGGTCCTCATCTGAATTTTTTAAACTCAGTTCATGAAAGACACTATGGCAAGAATGAAAAGACAAGTCATATACTGGGAGAAAATATCTGGAAAAAAAACTATACCTGGTAAAGTACCAGTTTTGAAAATTAAAAAAACCACTTAAAATGTAAGGATACGAAAACAAAAAACCCAATTGAAAATTGGGTGAAATACCTAAACAAACACCTCATTAAGGAAGATGTACAGATGGCAAATAACCATATGAAAAGATGTTCACCATCAGATGTCATTAGGGAAATGCAAATTAAAACAATGATGAGACACCGGTACTCACCTATTAGAATGTCTAAAACCCAAGACACTGACAACAACATATGATAGCAAGGATGTGAAGCAATAGGAACTGTAATTTATTGCTGGTGGGAATGCAAATTGGTGCTGTCACTTCGGAAGACAGTTTGGCTGTTTCTTACAAAAAATAAACATACTTTCTTTGTTTGTTTGTTTTAGAAGGAGTTTCACTCCTGTTGCCCAGGCTGGAGTGCAATGACGCCACCGCAACCTCCAACTCCCGGGTTCAAGAAATTCTCCTGCCTCAGCCTCCTGAGTAGCTGGGATTACAGGCATTTTTAGTACTTTTAGTAGAGACGGGGCTTCTCCATGTTGGTCAGGCTGGTCTCGAACTACTGACTTCAGGTGATCCGCCCACCTCGGCCTCCCAATGTATTGAGATTACAGAGGTGAGCCACCCCGCCCAGACATAAACATACTTTTATTATACGATCCAGCAAGAGTTTCTTGCTCTCTTTCCAAAGTTGCTGAAAGCATGTCCACAGCAAAACCTGCACACAAGAGTTTACAGCAGGCTTATTCATAATTGCTAAAACACAGAAGCAGCCAAAATGCTCTTCACTAGGTAAATGAGTAAACCAACTGTGGCACATGCAGAAAATGAAATACTATTCAGTGATAAAATGAAATGATTTATGAAGCCACAAAGGGACATACCAGAAACTTAAATGTATATTACTAAGTGAAAGACGCCGATTTGAAAAGACTACATACTGTATGATTTCAACTACATGACACACCTGGAAGAGGCAAAACCAGGGAAACAGTAAAAACATCAGTGATTGCCAGGGGTTTAGGGAGACGGAAAAAATTAGGTGGGACAAAGAGGATGTTAAGGGCAGTTAAATTGCTTTGTGTGATATGGTAATGATGGATCCATGCCATTTTACATTTCAAAACTCAGAGAATATGCAACACAGAGTGAAACCTAATACAGACTGTAGACTTGTCAATAATATTGTATCAATATTGGTTCATCAATTGTAGCAAGAATACCACACTCAATCGAGATGTAAATAATGGTGGAAGCCAAGTATATGTGGTTGAAGAGGGGGTATGTAGGAACTCTTTGTACTGTCTGATCAATTTTTCTGTAAACCTAAAATTTCTCTAAATATTAAAGTATATTAATTCAAAAACAATTATGAAATGCAAGTGAAGCAATATTAAAGAGAAACAAGAATTTCACTGTTTTTGTAAGTAAAAAGAAGAAAGATATTAAATCAGGTAACTATGTTAACATCAAGCTAGTTTAAAAGAAAATGCAAATTAAACCTAAAGTAAGTGGAAGAAAGTAAATAATAATGATAATAGCAAAAGTTGGTGAAATTCTTAAAAAGTCAAACAATAAAAGAATATTAAAGAACTAAAAGTGGATTTTTCAAAAGATTTATTAATTTTAAAAGCTCATAAATAAGACAATCAATGAAAGAAGAAACAGATATGCAATATCAGAAATGAAAAAAGAACTTCATTAAAGGTCACAGACATTAAAAGTATTATAATGAAATTAGATGAAAACTTGATGTCAATATATTCAACAATGTTAATGAAATAGACACATTCCTTGAAAGACAAAAATTACTAAAAGTGACAGATTGTAACATTTAAAAAATTCATAAAATGAACTAAATTTAATGAATGTAAATAAATATAATAAATATTAATGGCAAATGTCTTCATTGGTAAATGTTACCAAGCATTTAAATAAAGAAATAGTATAAAATTTACACAAGCTCTGAAAATAGAAGAAAATAATTTGTATGTTATTTTATAAGTCCAGTGAAAAACTTTCTCAATAATAAATATATACACGCAAAACATGGCAAGTCAATAATAAATAACCTAATAAAACATGGGCAGTAGATTGAACATGTCTTCACAAAAGAAGATAGGATAATAACCAATAAGTACATGAAATTAAGCTCAGTATCATTAGTCATATGAATAATATCAATTAAATCCACAAAGAGATATCATGTCACACACATTAGAATGCCTGAAATTAAAAAAGACCTACAAAACTAAACATTAGAAAAGGCATGGAATGGACACACTTATGCATTACTCATAGCATTGTAAAATGTTACAACTGCTTTGGGAAATTATTTGGCAGATTGTGATAGATCTGAATAGACATGTACATATGACCCACAGTTCTGCTATTCATTAGAGAACTTAAAAAAAAAACTGCTCAAGAATATTTATAGTAGCTTTATTCACAATAGTCAAAGATTAAAAACCTCTCAAAAGTTTATGGACAGGTGACTAGATAAACATATTTTGGCATATTCATCCAATATGTTACTTAAAATAAAACTAATTAGCTATTGATACGTGCTACAACATGGATCAATATTAGATGTGATAGAAAGCAAAATAATACAAAGAAAGAGTCAATACTGTGTAATTCTATTCATATTAAATTAAAAACTGGGCAAGATTTTACTAAAGTAATTGAAATCAGAACACCTGTTTCTTAGAGAAGATGACATCATTTGGGAAGGGACAAATGGAGATAAAGAAATGTTCTATATTTTTATTGGCATGTGGGAACTTGTATATTCATTTGCTAAATTTCATTGTAGAGTACAGTTAAAATCTGTGAATTTTACTGTATATATGTTTGTATGTGTATATATGTGTATGTGTATGTATGTATATATGTATAATATATACATTGTATTTGTGTATATATGTATAATATATATAAATCATTAATGATATGTATTTGAGTCCTTTTCTAGAATCTCTGTTGTAATTTCATGTATTTATCTGTCTGTCCTTTCATCAATACCAAGCTGCCTTAATTATTGTTGCCTTAAGATAAGTCTTGAAATCCAGTAACGTTTGTCCTCTGTTCTGTGCGGGAAATGAGCGAGGGGAAAAGAAAAGACACACACACAATACTTTTAATGGTAAACAACGTTTTTCCCATGTAAATGGCAGTGCAGTTATAATAAGCAAATGATATAATAAGCAAATTGCAATGAGAAGGGGAGAAGGGAAAAGATACATGTATATTTATACTCACCCGACTCTGGAGGATTCATCACAAGACCCGAGAAGCAACAGCCTGGGCTCCAGAGTCAGCTGCCCATCCGTGCACAGAGAAAGAGAGGTCTCACGAAGCTTCAGCGCGGTCTGGGACCCTACCTCTTTTTGTAAGGACCCTAGCTCTTTTTGTAACGAGTTGTTTGGCATGAGGCCCAGTCACGAGGGCCCTTCGCGACTGGGCTCAAGGAACACAAAAAGGTCAACTTGTTTTTGCAATTGTCTGTTGTTTTTCAATAATTAACGTATACGAATAGATTGAAATAGAGATTTCTCCTAAACAGTGTTGGATGAATGCCTCAAGGGGCTCACACTACCTATTCCTGGATTTGGTGACTACTGTTTGTGTCCACGTTCAGTTGGGTTCAAATTTAATATTTAACTTTTCCTCCACATCCTCCAGCTTTATTCTTTCTCAAAATTGTTTTGACTATTCTAATTCCTTCTGCTTTTCTATGTAAATTTTATCATTTGCTGCACAGAAGCCTGTTGTAATTTTTATTAGGATTGCAATGAATCTACATGTTAATTTGAGGATAATTGGCAACCAAAAATTATTTGCTTTTCTAATTCATAAACAAATACAACTCTCCATTTATCGAAGTTGTCATTGGTTTGCTTTTAAGAGTGATGTATAGCTTTAAACAATAGACATCCTATTTGTATCTTATAATATGTATAAGTAAGTATTTTTGGTGCTGTTGTAAATACTTTAAAAAGTAGATTTTGAATTCATTGTTTTTGCAATGATTTTATATATTTACCTTATATCCTGCAATCTTGTTAAACTCATAAGTTCTAGAAGTTTTTTCTGGTAGATTACATGGGAGATTCTATGTAATCATTAATAGAGACAGTTGTATTTCTGCTGTTTAAATCTGTTTGCCTTTTATTTCTTTTTTTGCCTTATAATACTGGCTTGAAATTCAGATATGATGTGGAAAGAAGCATTGAGAATAGAAATTCTTATTCCTGATCTTAGGAGACAACTATTCAGCATTTCACAATTAAGCATTTTTTTAACTATTTTTTTAAAAATAGATTGCCTATTCAGTTTAAGGAAGCTTTCTTCTATCCTTAGTGCACTAAGAGATTTAATTTAAATGGATGTTAATTTTTCTTTTTTTCTGTAGCTGTTGAGACAAGCATGTAATTTTCCTTGTTTGGTCTGTTAATATGTGCCACAATACATGGCTTGATTGTCAAATATCAAACCAGCTTTGCATTCCTTGGCTAATCTCCACTTAATTGTAACACACACTTTTAAGACCATCACTTTCTTCTCAGTGCAATTTTAGTTGAATCTCCAAAGGTTTTCTTTTTTTTTTTTTTTTCTAGATAAAGACTAATGAAGGTTCTGGGTGGTGACACAGAAGTACTGAGAGAGTGGAGCATCCAAAGAGGACATGGAAGCTCAGCCTCACCCCAGCCCCATACTTTGCCCTATACATGTCTTCTTCTTGGCTGTTACTGAGTTGTAGTTGTGTCCTTTATAATGAAATCAGAAAACCTAAAACTAGTAAATCTGTCTGCAGCTCAGATACTGAGAGTGGCTTTCATTAAGGCCAATAAAGGAAACCCTGGTCTCACACAATACATTGTTTTGGCAACTTTAGAGAAAAAAAATATAAACATTAAGATCACAGGATTTCTTCTTATGGCAGCTGTTAATGTATAATAGTAGATAATTGAATGACTAGAGCCAGAATTCCAGGATGTAAATGAAAGTCACAAGCACTTACACAAATTCTCAGTAAGTTTCCAGTGAGCTCAATGACAGAGTGAGGATTCTGTAGACAATTAAGGATATAAAGAGTGAAATAAAAGAGCTCGATATAGTGAATAATGTCTTCAAGAAATATCAATACCAGAACTACGGGGCACTTGAACACCAAAAGAAAGTATTTTTAAAGTATTCTAAAAGTTTCAATGGTATTCTGAAAACTTATTTCAAAGATGACAAAGCAACAAATGTTCTCAAGTGTTTATTGATTAACTCATCAAACAAACTTGATTATTCAGACACTAAAAATTGTGGCCTGAAAGTTCTATGTTGGATGTGCTTCCAGCAGTGTGTCAAAATGCCTTTATCTGTAAATTTTCATGTTTGACTGTATCAATTATGTCTTCCTTAAAGAGTTATAATGAAGGATTTTAAATGAGATTGTTGCTTTTTTTACCATGTTTTTGTAAAATGTAGCATAATCATAGTTTCACACCAAAGATTTTGCGTCACTTTTGCTCTGATCGTTTTTTAAGAACTGTAGATCAAAAAAGTATGCCTTAATGTGTCATTATATTCCATTTTGAAAAAGAATTATAAATATTGTTGTTTGTTTCTGACATTTTAAGATCAAAGCAATATGCTGCAAGAGAATGTATTTAACAATATTTGGTGGAAAATAGTTTATGTTTAAAAAGATAATCATAATTGGAAAATAATAATAACATCTATTTATTATTCTATTTGTTTAACAATTGTCTTCTTAAATTTTATAATAAGAAGTACATAAGAAGTACACTAACATGAAGTATATAAGAGTTCACCAATCACACCAGGATTACAGGAGTCAGCAAAGAATTCCTGAAGAAGTTATTCATAACCTGAAACCTGAAAGATAAGTAAGACAATCTGTTGAAATAGGTCTAAAATTAGACAGGAAGAATATTTCTACTAATGAAGAGGTTTATTGGCAAGCTCATAGTCTACGTTGCTAAGATAAAGAGATCCCACCAATCTCTAAAGGAATTATTGTTTATTTTTCTCTCTAATGTGAGTTTGGAGATAGGATATGTCATGGAGCAGACAAACTACTTCAATGCATGGGATTATGAATGATTGAACCCTTTTCATCTTTTCCTTCGTCATTTTTTGAGTGTTTTCCTCACTGAAGGATTCAAGTTAGCTCAAGTTTATATTCACATTTTACCCCTGGAGAATGGCAGAAAAGAGAGGAAATGTTCAGGATAACTGGCTCACGTTTAAGTTGTAGATAACTTAGAAGCTGTATACAATACTTCTGTTCATACTTCATATGTTATTTATTTAAGATAAATTATATGGGAAAAACTTTGAAAGCATGGAACTTAAAAAAAGAAAAACTGGAATGATTTCTCAATGCAGTCTATAAGATGAGCGTCCCTGTTTTGTTCATCGTTTTTATTTTTTTGCTGTTGTTTGTTGTGATTGTTGTTTTGTGACCATTTCTCCCCCAGAGAAGGTTAAAAAGTTAGAAATCCACCAAAGCAATGCTTGCCCTTCTTTGATGTCCTCCTTTTCTTCTAGTCATAGTTTCTGATAAATACATGTTTAGTGTGAATAACTGTGTATAAACAAAGAGGATGTATTGCTATGCAAGACTTTGTCATTTAATTTCTATTTTTAGACTTAGAGTGAAAAAGAAGTTTGCTCAAATTTAGGTCCCAGAAGCAATTAAAAGAAAAAAAAATGTGTATACAAAAGTGTAATATTGCTTAGATGTGCTAGTAGAGTCATAAATTAAATCTCAGCATATGCATTATAAATTTATACAGAACTTGATTTTGTTGGTATTTAAATAAGTATAAAGAGCATTTAGTGCAAGGTGCCTTATCAAGCAGTATTCAATTTTAATAATTATGAGCAAAACCATAGGTATTTTGTAGAATTATCAACCTTTTAATTAATTATTTATGTTTGCTAATAAACTTTGAATTTATCTTTGTGAATTTAACCCTTGGAAGTAATCTGTGACTTGGATAACATGGAAGGATATCTTGCTTATTTAGTTCTGTGAAGTGAAGCACAGCTTCCCTCCCCAGCACTCCCGCACCACTGTGCTCATGTATCATAGCTTTCCTTTCCCATTAGAGCCTTCACTCAAACTCTTCTAATCATTTTTCATTGTATTTGTTCAGTTCCTCTAATAAGCTCCTTGGAGGCCATAATATTGTTCTATTAATTTCTGTCTCCCACAGCCACAAATTAAGCAATCAAATTTTTTCGAAAGGCATTGTGAGGTTTGCTTATTTTTCTTAATTTTCCCATTCCAGAGTGCCCTTGTCTTTACCATAATCCATGCTACTGAAAACAAATTTTTCTTGAATCGCCTGGTGTTAGCAATTGAAATGAAAATTGTATGGTATAGAATGAACTAAATGGCCACTTCATTATTTGTCCATTCTAAACATCTTAATAGTTGTGGACTGCCCCATCCATACTCAGCTATTTTCCTTCCTAGTTTTGTCAGTCCTAGAAACAAGTCAGATGATGTTCAGGCAAGGGCATTAATGAATGTAGTGAAATGACAGAGACAATGACCTTGTCTATTTGCATTCTCTAACTATCCTTGTTCAACTAAGAGCATATAATAACTTCAAAAGTGAAGAATTTGATATCAGAAAATAAATATTCATGGAAAGTGAATTGTTTAATTTGAATGTTTTAATATTTATTAAATTCCTATTACTACAGTCTACTTATTAAATTATCTCTTCTGTACCAATATAAGAGAACACCGGCAATATAACCACTCTAACATGTTATTATTCTAAATGCATACTTTGCTGACATTTGTTTGCCCTCAGAGCAGGTCTATTAATTTTTTTTTAATTTATAGTGTAACAATATTTTCCTACTTCAGGATAGGTCATCTTGCAAAGTAGGCACTTACGAAATTATAGATAAAATAGGAACAAATGAAAGATTACTAGTGAAAAGAAGCAGTTGTTCTCTTAGTCTTTTCTCCCACAACAGTTAGACTTTGTTTTCCAATATACTAAAATTTAAATTTCAGAAGGCTATTTCAACTGCTATTAAATAAGCTTTAAAGCATGCTTATCCCAGAATAAAGTTTTTACACACTTAGACGTTTTAGTAAAACCATATAAGATCAACTAAGTACTTACAATTGTTTTCTAAAAAATATTCTTGGGCTCGAGAGAAATTTTAAGGCAAACCTAGGTAGCTTTAAGCAGCTAATTAATATCCAGAGAGCTCGGCATATTAGACTATAATCAAATGCTGTTGATTTTGGTTTCCTGCCATATAAAATGCATAGGCCCTGACTTATTCAAGGGAATAATGGAGCACATTTTGGAGAATATGAGATTGTGATTAATGCATCAAAGTACCACAGCAGAATGAGAAGGCCAGTCCCAGCTTTAATTACTTCACAGAAGCAGCTGTTCACCCATTATAGGGCATGAGTGTCATTGGCATCCTCTCTGTCCTCACCCCACAGATGCGGATGTAATGTCTCCAGGTGAGGGAGCACAGCTGCTCAGTGGCTGCGCATCCCTAACAGAGCCAGTGGCTGCCTGCTGCTGTGGAACCGCAGTGTCTGTCAGGCTGCCCTCCAGCACCGTCACAGAAGTACAGTCAGATTCATTTTATGGCAAGGATATGTGCATATCTCTCTCAGGAGTCCTGCCACTGAAAAAAGACTTTCAGAAGTCACTTCCTCCTGGGCTCCGGTTTTCCAGTAGGCAGTGTGAGGAACATCTGGGTGGTCAGTTCCTAAAGGATTCTACTTTCTGCAGCCAGGAAATCTTTGTCTTCCCAGAGATTATCAATGATAAAGCATAGCCCAAAATAACTGCTTCAAAACAATACAATTATTAGAAAAAAATGCTCTTTAATGCTATTTGAATAGGCATGATTTTTCCTAGGAACTGTGTGTAACCATAAAGGAAAAGTGAGACAGATACAGTGGATAGAAATTATAAATGCTTGCAAAACAGGAGTTACCATAAATAAAGTTGAAAACAGAAATAAGAGAAAATGTTTGCTGGGTAAATAATAGATGAAGAATTTAGCTTTGCTTATATACAAAGACTGACTGTTAATAAGAATGTGACAAACAATCTAATTGATATGTGGACAAACAGCATGTGATAGATTGTACACACGGCCACGGAATTTTACAAGTCATGTCATATAAGTGGAGAGCATTTTCCTAACTTTCACATCTTTTCTGGCTTTGCGATTTGCTTTGACCAATAGAATATCGTCAGGGTCATACATTGCTAATTCTTCTTCTTTTTAATTTAAACTTTTAGATACAGGGGGGATATTTGCAAATTTGTTATATGGGTATATTGCATGATGCTGAGGTTTGAGGTATGGATCCCATCACCCAGGTAGTGAGCATAGTACAGGATAGGTAGTTTTTCAACCCAGGTTCACCTCCCTCCCTCCCCTTTTAGCCTTGGCAAAGAAGGTTTGGCTGAGTCCCTAAAAGCAATTGCAGCAAAAACAAAAATTGACAAGTGGGACTTAATTAAAGAGCTTCTGCCCAGCAAAAGAAACTATCCACAGAGTAAACAGAAAACCCACAGAACAAGAGAAAATATTTGCAAACTGTACATTCAAAGATGATCTAATATCCAGAGTCTATAACAAACTTAAACAAACCAACAGGCAGAAAACCACCCCATTTAAAAGTGGGCAAAGGACATGAACAGACACTTCTCAAAAAAAGACATAGAGGCAATGCAAATTCTAGGCAAAAGCCTCAAGAATCCTTGCAGTGGCTTTTAGACTTCTCTGGTGAGTTCTTCTGCTTTTGGAACAGAGACAATTTATTTCAAAAGTGCCAGGAAAATCTGCTTGAAAATGAAAGCTATTTGGACTGAGCCACTGTTATCATTCCCCGCTGACATCATGCCAACTTTTGGACATGTGCTATAAGGGCATAGTAGACCACCTAATTCCCAGTAAGCCTCCGGAGAACCACACACTCAGAAAGATGATAAACATTGCTTTGCACAAAAGCTAACTGATAGGGAATATGACCATGTGATTTACGAAGAAATGTAAATCAACAGTAAACCAGGATATTATGCTAAGGTTTACTAACTACTAAGGAAATCCAAACACACACATTATAAGATTCATTATACAATTCTTTTTTATTTAATTGGGAACAAAATTATTGAAGGCTGGAAAATATCTACAGCCAGCAAGTATGAGTAAAATAGGTACACATGCAATTTATCTGGAATATAAATCAGTGCAAACTTTGTTGAAAGTAATTTAGTAGTTCCACTTCTATCATTCTCTCTCATAGAAAGAATGGCACAAATGTGCAGAGATCTTTGTAAAGATACTCATTGCAATATGGTAGTGAAATAAAAAGAATCAACACATTTCAAAAATTGGATTTGACTGTAATTGATAAAACAAGGATGTAATGGGAGCTTAAATGGCATATTGTTTTTCTCTATCACATACAAAAGGCTGATAGGCAGCAGCAAGATCATGAAAGGAGCTTGGTCCTACCATCTTGTCATCACACAGTTTTCAATGTGAGACTTCAGTGGTTTAAAGTATACAACATGTTCATATATTAAAATAGTATTTTCTATGAATAATATTATTAATCAATATAGCTGATCCACCTACACAGACAGTCCTGGAAAGACATTCAAGAGATATTTTTCGATAATAAAAGCAAATTGGCAGAACACTGTGTACATATAGATATGGGTAGATGTGAATCGATCTTTAGAAACTTCATAACATTTTAACAATATAAAGCCATATAAAGTGTAAGTTATTTTAATATTAATTTACTTGCATTTTTATTTTGATAAATATACATATCATAAAATTTACTATTTTATTTATCTCACAATTCAGTGGCATTTAGTACAATCACATGTTGTGTGACCATCACCATTATCTATTTCCAAAATATTTTCATCATCTCAAAAACAAATCCTACACTCATTAAGTAGTCACACTCCATTCTCTACTCTCACATCTGGAAACCACTAATCTGTTTTTTTTTTTCTCCATAAATGAACCTATTTTGGATATTTCACATAAATGGAGCCATATAATATGTTGCTTATTGTGTCTGGCTTCTTTCACACAGCATAATGTTTTCAAGGTTTATTTATGTCATAGTATGCATCAGAACGTCGCATCTTTCCGTGTCTGAATAATATTCCATTATACGGATATTTTGTTTACCCATTAGTCAGTTTTGTGAACATTTGAGTTGTTTCTGCCTTTGGGTATTATGAATAAAGTGCTATGGAGATTTTTGTACAAATTTTGTTTGAACACCTGCTTTGAATTCCTTGTAGTATGTAACTAAGTTTGAAACTGCTGGGCTATATATAAATTCTATGTATAACGTAATTAGGAACTACCAAACTGCTTTTCACTTTGCATTCCAGCAACCTATGAGGGTTCAAATTTCTGCACATCCTTGCCAACACTTGATATTAAAAATAATAGTAATCATAGCCACCTAGTGAAGTGGTATATCATTGTGGTTTTGATTGACATTTCACAAATTACTAATGATGTTGAACATCTTTTCATGTGCTTGTTAATTATTTGCATGTCTTCTCTGGAGAAGTATATACTCAAGTCCTTTCTTAATCTTTTATAATTTTTGATTTTTTTGTTTGTCTTTCTGTTGTTGACCTGTAAGATTTTATATATATAAACTCATATATATGTGTGTATATATATTATATGTGTGTATATGTATATATATTATATACCTATGTATTCTGGATGCTATATCTTTATAAGAAAATTTACAGATGTTTTTCACATTCTGAGGGTCATCTTTTTACATTCTTGATAATGTTATTTGATGCATATAGATTTTTAATTTTGATAAAGTCCAAGTTATCTATTTTTTTAATTGTTGCTTTTGCTTTTCATGTGATATTAAAAATACATTGTCAATCTAATTTCATAAAGATTTAAACCATGTATTCATCAAGAGTTTTATAGTTTTCGTTTTTGTGCTGTGTCTTTGATATACTTTCTATATAGTGTGAGATAAGAGCACAATTTAATTCTTTCACATGTGACTATTTAGTTGTTCCAGAACCATTAGTTGATGAGACTATATTTTTTCTATTGAATGGCCTTGGCACCCTATCAAAATCAATCAATCTCAGACATACAGGTTTATTTCTGCACTCTAATATTCTATTGCATTGATCTGCACTCCTATGCTTGTGACATTAACACACTGTTTTGAGTATTGTAGCTTTGTAGAAAGGTGTAAACCAGGAAGTGTGTTTCCTCCTGATATGGTTTGGCTCTGTTTCTCCACTCAAGTATCATTTTGAATTGTAGCTCCCATAATTCCCACGTGTTGTGGAAGGGACCCAGTGGGAGGTAATTGAATCATGGGGGCTTGTCTTTCCTGTGCTGTTCTCATGATAGTAAATAAGTATCACAATATCTGATGGTTTTACAAAGGTGAGTTCCCCTGCACACGCTCTCTTGCCTGCCACCATGTAAGACGTGACTTTGCTCCTTTTTTGCCTTCCACCATGATCGTGAGGCCTCCCCAGCCATGTGGAACTGTGAGTCCATTAAACTTCTTTCCTTTATAAATTACCCAGTCTTGGGTATATCTTTATTAGCAGCATGAGAGCAGACAATACACCTCCAAAGTTGTTCTTGTTCAAGTTATTTTTGGCTATCCAGAGTTCCTTGAAATTTCATATAAATTGTAGGAACAATGTTTCCATTTCTGCAAAGATGGATGTTAAGCATTTGGTAGGGATTATATTGAATCTGTAAATAGCTTTGGCTAATATTGCCATCTTCATAATATTAAATCTTAGAAACCATGACCACAAGATGTCTTCCATTTATTCAGCTTTTTCTTAATTTTTTTCACTAATATCATGGAGTTTTCTGTGTGCAAGTCTTGTTCCATCTTGGATGAATTTATTCCTCAGTATTTTACTCTTGAGATGTGATTATACACTGTATTATTTTCTAATTTTCCTTTTGCATCTTTCACAAATAGAAAACTTTTAAACATAGTTAAAAATCGGATGTGTTAATGAAAGGAAGCTCAGAAGTGGCAACAGCTTTACTTTGTTTTTACATAAGAAAATAATGTGATTTTTTAAACTATGCTTTCTGTGATTTTCTGCATTTTTCATACAAAAATTTAAGAAGCAAAACATTGCACACATATAAACTCCACTGACATAAAAATGCCTCAAGGTGACTGTCAAGGATTCCTGTATCCTTTTGCCATAATTAAGCCCTGGGACTATTTTTAAGCCCACATCTGCTTTGCTGCTTCTTTTTTCTTTTCAGCAAACCCCAGAAACCCAGCCAGCTCTCCTTTTCCCTTGGTAGTTCCAACCACAGACTCAATATATTGGTGTCCATCTTCTCTCTTATACTCTCCACCAAATTAGCCTTTGAGTGTAATGCCTCAGAGAGGCAGTTAGAGTTTCTTAAGCTCTTATTACCTGAGAGACAAGTTTATTTTCAGATCATTCTAATAGCTTGGATGGGAGCAGGGGGTAGTTAGAGTCAGGACCTGATTACTAGAACAGACAACCTTAAAATAAATAAAAGGACTCTTAATGAGAAAACAGTGAATTGAAAGCCTTTGACCTTATATTGCTACTTATAACTAAATGAAATCAAATCAGGAAATACACATAAAACTGTATTTCATGGTGTTGCTTTTCCTCCTCTCCCCTTTTCACAAATTTTCTTTGTTCTTTTGGTGATTTGTGATTTTTCAGGATTAATCCTTTTGAGAAGTCTTTCATCACCTAAGAGAAACTAAATCTTATCTTAGGTAAGGTTCTGTTTAGGAAGCTCCTTTGTTTTAACCTGATTGTATTTTCTTCTATCTTAGCCTCTCTTCCTTTCAAAAAGTCACCTTTATCTTTTGAAATTCATCCACCTTTAAGCTTAATATTACAAAAATATGTATCTATATAAACATATATATTTAATCATTTAAAGGCTTTTTTCTCTTTTCCTTTTAAAAACTCGTTTGAAGTTTCCCCTGCTGTCTGCTATGTAGAGGGAAAATAGCCAGCGATAATTGAATAGATTTGTACATGGGAATGAGAGAGAGTCTGAAGGTAGGGATAAATGACAGGTAGCTATTCCAGTAGTGAGGTAAGGAATGCAAAACTTCTCTAGCTAACCAGGGCAATCATTATTCTCTTAGAGCAAAAAATCCTTTTATTTGCTAAATTCAGTAACTTTTTAATTACTATGGTTAGTAGTATATGTGTGTGTGCATGTATAGAATGAGTAAAAGAGTAAATCTGGCTTTCAAAAATATAAAATATATCATTAGTAATCAACTTAAAATGTGCAATTTAAGTATACTTTGTATAAAGTACTGCATTCTCAATGAATTTTCTAAAGAAATAACTTATTATAAGCTCTGGTATCTGCCCACCTCTCTGGAAATGGTCTAACTTGAATCATCTGTTCACTTCCTCTCCATTTCATGTCTTAGAAGTTTCTTTCTAGTTTTATTTTGATTCAGAGATTTTTAAATTATTCTTTTTTGTGTGTAGTTGAGGTTGATTTAAATACAGGATTTCTGAAGTATGGAAAAAGATTGGCCTGTGATAGAAAGTTCAAAGGAAATTTTGTTCCATTATGAATACCAAGTACAAAACAGGCAAATTGTTCCTTAGAATTTTGTGGGTTGGTAAGCGACACACAGAATGAAACCTGAAGTATTCCTTAAGAAGTGCAGGAGAACCTAATCATGTTGTCAGATTCACCTCTGCCCCTTTCCATGATATTTGATGTATTCAGCAAATTGGAGAAACATTCAATTTTTCCTTTCTTATTCATTAAATGCTGACTTGCTGGCTCCCGTCAATCTGCAGCTCTCAAATCATGCTACTGTCACCAGAAAATAGAAAATGGCACGGCAACAAATTCAAAACTGACTCTGAGCTTCAAATGACTATATTTTATTTTTAAAAACTAATCAAAGAAATATCAGTTGAAATGTATTAGCTGAGTGTCTTCACAGTTTCAGTTGTATTAGCTGAGTGTCCTCACAGTTTCAGTTCATTTGCTCCCTCTTAACTAGTAGGTCTTGCCTATTCTCTGCTGCTGTTGCTTTCTGGGTGTTTTTTGTTTGTTTGTTTGTTTGTTTACACAGTCTGACTCTGTCACCCAGGCTGTAGTGCAGTGGTGTGATCTTGGCTCACTGCAACCTCCGCCTCCCTGGTTCAAGCGATTCTCCTGCCTCAGTCTCACGAGTAGCTGGGACTAGATGCACCTGCCACCATGCCTGGCTAATTTTTGTATTTTTAGTAGAGACGGGGTTTCACCATATTGACCAGGCTAGTCTCGATCTCCTGACCTTGTTATGCACCTGCCTTGGACTTCTAAAGTGCTTGGACTACAGGTGTGAGCCACCACGCCCAGGCGCTTTCTGGGTCTTTTCTAAGAACATCAAGGTAATCAACCAGGGAAGAAAATGAAAGATATAAAAAGAGAAATGTAGCCAAAAATATAAATTTTTCCTAGTAAGAGGGTCTTCAGTGCAGCAAAATTCATGTATTCTCTGTTAGGGATATTGCAATGGGGAATTTTGGAAAAAGAGGGAAGAAAGTTTTTGGAACTACTTTTGGGTGAATGAAATAAAAAGCAAGTCAAACAAAGGAAATATTAAGATTTGCATGACCTCTCCTGGCCTTCTAGCCATCTCTAGAGAGACATTGTCAGAATGTATGAACTTTAAACAAAATTTTCCAGAAAATTCTGATTTTCATTTCTTGTCTTCCACACCCTCAACCTTGGCCAACTGTTCTACCAGATAAGGGAATAAATGGAGACAATATTTGAATGGCCCATCTCGAATGGTAATTTAGTTTAATGCTTTTTCCTCCACAATGTTTCATTTATCTTATGATAAAAGGGTAATACATAGCGAGAAGGAGATACATGAAAAATTTTCATCTACAACCTTGGCTGTCTTATGCTGTGTATCTCAACAAAATTATGTCTTTTGATAAATTTGAGACAACAGGTGCTAACAAATCATTGCTAACAATGAAATTAGAACAAAAACACTAACAACCAAAAATTGTTAAAATTATAGGGGAAAAAACCCAGCACTGCATAAGTACTTCTAAAGGAAATGAATGTTTTCATCCCACTTTATTTTTCACAGTAGAGGTTGAAAGAAAAAAGGAAAAAAAAATAGTAATATAATAACCTTTGTTGTATTAGGAAGTCCCAGTGGCTCTTCTCTTCATGAGAGCTTTGTTTCTGTTTCTTTCATTAATAAAAGCTGTCAGCAGATAAAATGAAACAAACAAACAAAAAATCCAAAGAGCAGTTTTTGAATAATTTCTAGGTAATGAGGTTTACTGTGAGAAAACACACGATGTAGTCATTTTATGACCCGTTATGTTATTAGACAGTGGAACCATTCTACTGTGTTAGACTCCCTTATTGCATTTCTAATAAAACCACAGGCAACAGTTCTAAATGGCATGTGTTGTTTACTTCAAGGCTTTTGTTAGTGACAAAAATAAATTATAGTAGCATATAATAATACATGGTTTTGGTCATTTCGCTTGCTTTGAACATATTTTGGGATTTGTGCGAAGTTTTAACCAATAAGCTAAAGAAAACCTTAATAGAAACAGTTATGGGATACAGCATCATATTTTATGTCTTTGTAAGTGTACTAAGTGATAGAATCAAACATTTTTATAATTTTGTATAGGTTAGAAAAGTCATGTGACATTATCAATCAAACAAATGCTTGTAATTCTCTACTGCAATTTTACATATTATAGAACAGACCCAGACAGGTAAACAGCTTGTTTACTTGTTTAAAATAGTATACCTTTCCTCTGCTATACCAGAAAATAAATGGAATTTTTTTGAGTCTCACTTTAGTAACTCTCAAATAATCTCTTATTTCTAATAGGATTATCCTTGGATTTGAATTCTTACCAGTTTTGCCAATTCTAGTGATCAGCTGGTTCTCTTGAGTGAACTGAACTGTGTGTGTGTTTGGCTCCCTTACGATCTTTTAGAATAAATCCGTTCTTAATCAAGACCTTAAGTCAAATCCTTGACCTACATGCAAAATTTAGTATTTTTAAATTAACCCATACAAATATTTATCTGTAAAATTAGAGGGTTGGACAAAATCATTTTTAAAATCCTTTATAGCTCCAAATACCTATTAATTTTTGAGATCCATTTATTCAGAAAGAGGTTATTTTTTTCTCTTTCCTAATTTGGTAATCAGATTTTGTAACTCAAGTGAAATGATTCAAAACTAGCAGTATTGAACCCGTTATACACATAGAATGCAATACTATTTTTGAAGCAAGGAAATCATTGAGCTATATTTTAAGATTACAGTAAACATACATATTTATATGCTGATGTAAATCATATTTATTCTTTTATTTATTCCTCCAACAATTATTAATTACTGAGCTCCTACATGCCATTGACTTTTTTGGTGTTGAGATTCCCAAATGAACATGAATTTTGACCTTGAGCTGGAACTAAAAGACTCCACTCAACATTATAAATTATTTAATGAAATATTTATAGTAGTAACTTAAAAATGATTATAGTATGTGTTCATATAAAAAGTAAAATCTTCAGTAAAACTTAGTGCTTACCCAGTAAAAGAAACTATCATCAGAGTTAATAGACAACCTACAGAATGGGAGAAAATTTTTGCAATCTGTTTATCTGACAAAGGTCTAATATCCAGAGTCTACAAGGAAATTAAACAAATTTACAAGAGAAAAACAACAAAAAAGCATTAAAAAGTGTGCAAAATACATGAACAGACACTTCTCAAAAGAAGACACTCATGTGGCCAATAAACATATGAAAAACAGCTCAACAGCACTAATTCTCATTAGAGAAATGCAAATCCAAAGCACAATGAGATACCATCTCATGCCAGTCAGAATGGTGATTATTAAAAAGTCAAGAAACAACAGATGCTGGTGAGGCAGTGTAGAAAAAGGAATGCTTTTACACTATTAGTGGGAGTGTTAATTAGTTCAACCATTGTGGAAAACAGTGCGGTGATTCCTCAAAGATCTAGAAGCAGAAATGCCATTTGACCCATCAATACCATTACTGAGTATATACCCAGTGGAATATAAATCATGCTATTATAAAGATACATGCACAAGTATATTCACTGCAGCACTATTCACAATAGCAAAGACATGAAATCAGGTTGAAAAGTCACGTGGTAGAAACCTTCACAGCTGCATCTTTCTGGGCCTCAGTGATAACACTTATCTCTAAAATTCCATATTTTTTTGGCTTACACTTTAATTAGGTAGGAGCCCTTTCATGGCATGCTCTTACATTTACTATCAAAATCGCCCTTGTTCCACATGTCCGGGATCCAGTGTGTGTTTCTGCTACTTGCTGAATATATTGTTTCAACCACGTAATTGAGAACTTGGAAAGAAACTATGGAATGTGTTGAAGTATATTATACCCACTTTGAGATCAATTGGGGACAAAAATTCCATTAATCACCTGATCTCTATGGGTCACTATGCTGACTACTGTACTACGGTATTGTTTTGGATCTCAAGGAATTAACGATAATTTAGCATCTTTCTCGATTAATATTCAAAAGTTTGGTTATTTCCTCTTCCTCAGTGTATAGTTGCCATGGTGAGGCTTCAAGTTCCTCTGGTGCAGGCCAAATTTGGCTTAGTAACTTTTCTTTTTATTAATTAAGAAAGTTTTAGGGCCAAGATGGCCAACTAGAAGAAGTGGTGATCAGAGGCTCCCATAAAAAGAATCATAACAGCATTTGAAACCTGAACCAGCAACTGATGTGTCCAGGTTCTGTCATCAGAACTGACTATGCGGCTGGCGTGATCCACAGAGAGGAAGGAAGAGCAGTGTGGTGCTAGAGGCCACCTGAGAGTTTCAGGCCCCCTAAGGTTTCAGACCCATAGAGATCAGAGTTCTGTCCCTGAGCCTCTGGCTGAAGTTGTCAGAGTTCCTGTAGGGAGGCCCCACCCAGTGAGGAGGGATGGGTCAAGGTCAGGCCTGAAGAGGCATTCTGTCTATAGTCTGACACAACCAGTGTGTTGGGCTGTGGGGGATACCTCTTGGGGACCAAGCCATGCAGCCTGAGAGCCACACGGGGCAGAGGAACTCCCACCCCCAAACCAAGTGAGATGGTTAGTGAGTGTGCTACCCAGCCTGGGAAACGTGCATGGAACTGTGCAACCCATGGATTGGAAGATCCCACTCATGAGCCCATGCCTCCAGGGCCTAAGGTCCCAACCACAGAGCCAAGCGGATTCTCAACAGCCACTAAGCTAGAATCTGCTTAAGCCTGCTGAACATCTTGGGGGAAGGGTGACCAGCACCACAGCTGTGGCTGTCTGTTGTCTAAGCCATTTGAGCTCCTTGAGGGAGGGGCAGCAGCCCCATTGGGACGGATAGTCACCTAACACAGTGAACTCCCAGGGCAAGGGAAGGCTGGCAGCCATCTCTATAGCTCCAGGCCACATTTTTCCACTGCTGGAGCTGGGAAGGCTGCATGGCTTGGTCCCAAGGAGGTATCCCACACAGACCAACATACTGGCTATATCAGACTCTAGACAGAATGCCTCTTCAGGCCTGACCTTGATCCATCCCTCCTCACTGGGTGGGGCCTCCCTACAGGAACTCTGACAACTTCAGCCAGAGGCTCAGGGACAGAACTCTGATCTCTATGGGCCTGAAACCCGAGGGGGAGGAGTGGCCACAGTCTCCATGAGCCGGCAGACTTAGTCTTTCCTCCTGCTAGTTCTGAAGAATCCGGAAAACGAGTGGGTTTCCCCCCAGCGAAACACACCCCCTCCACCAAGGGACAGTCAAAGTGCTTTGTTAAACATGTCCTGCTCCCCCATGCCACGAAACTAGGTGAGATCCTCCAACAGGGGTTATCAGACACTCTATACGGGAGCATTCCTACCGGCATCAGGTCAATGCCCCTCAAGGTCAGAGATCCCAGAGGAAGAAGCAGGCACCCATCTTTGCTGTTCTCCAGTCTTCTTGAGTGATATCTCTGGATGTGGGAGTGAACCAAATGAATAGCGCCTGAAGCGAACCCCTAGCAAACCACAGCAGCCCTACAGAGGAGGGACCTGACCATTGCAAGAAAAAGAAACAAACAGAAAGCAACAACAACAGCATCAACAAAAAAAGTTCCCACAAAAACCCCATCCAAGGGTCAAAGGTGGGTAGTAACAAAATTTGCTGAGCTAAAGGAGTATGTTAGTAGCCTCAAAGATTGAAACTAGACAAACTCGTGAAGAAGAGAAGGAATCAACAAAAATATGCTGAAAACCCAAAAGGCCAGAGTGCTGCTTCTCCTCCGAATGTTAGCAATGCCTCTCCATCAAGGGATCAGAACTGGACAGAGGATGAGATGGACAAATGGACAGAAGTAGGCTTCAGAAGGTGGTTCTTTAGCTCTTTGCTGAGCTAAAGGAGTATGTTATAACCCAATGCAAAGAGGCTAAGAATTTTGATAAAAGGTTACAGGAGTGGCTAACTAGAATAACCAGTTTAGAGAGGCACATAAACGACCTAATCAAGCTAAAACACAACATAAAAACTTTGTGAAGGATACAAAAGTATCAATAGCCAACTCAATGAAGCAGAAGAAAGGATATCAGAGTTTAAAGACTATCTTGCTGAAAAGTGGCATGCAGATAAGATTAGAGAAAAAAGAATGAAAAGGAATGAACAAAGCTTCTGAAAAATACAGGACTATTTTAAAAGACTGAAACTACAATTGATGGGAGTACCTGAAAGAGATGGGGAGAATGGAACCAAATTGGAAAACACGCTTCAGGATATTATCCGGGAGAACTTCCCCAACCTAGCAAGACAGGCCAACATGCAAATTCAGGAAATAGAGAGAACACCAGTAAGATACTCCACAAGAAGATCAACCCCAAGACTCATAATCATCAGATCCTCCTAGGTCGAAATGAGAAACAAACAAACAAACAGAACAAAACATGTTAAGGGCAGCCAGAAAGAAAGACCAGGTCACCTACAAAGGAAAGCCCATCAGAATAACAGCAGACATATCAACAGATACCCAACAAACCAGAAGGGAGTGAGAGCCAATATTCAACATTCTTAAAGAAAAGAATTTTCAACCCTGAATTTCATATCCAGCCAAACTAAGTTTCATAAACAAGGAGAAATAAAATCCTTTCTAGACAAGTAAATGCTGAGGGATTTCATCACCACCAGGCCTGCCTTGCAAAAGCTCCTGAAGGAAGCACTAAATATGGAAAGGAAAAACCAATATGATTCTACATTTAGAAAACCCCATTATCTCAGCCCCAAAATATCTTAAGCTGATAAGCAACTTAGGCAAAGCCTCAGGATACAAAATCAATGTGCAAAAACCCCAAGCATTTCTATACCCTAATAATAAACAAGCAGAAAGCCAAATCATGAATGAACTCCCATTCACAATTGCTACAAAGAGAATAAAATACCTAGGAATACAAATTACAAGGAATATGAAGGACCTCTTCAAGGAGAACTACAAACCACTGCTCAATGAAATAAGAGAGGACACAAACAAATGGAAAAAAAAATCCATGCTCATGGATAGGAAGAATCAATACCCTGAAAATGGTCATACTGCCCAAAGTTCTATTCCCATCAAACTACCATTGACATTTTTCAAAGAATTAGGAAAAACTACTTTAAATTTCATATGAAACGAAAACAGGGCTCATATAGGCAAACAATCCTAAGCCAAAAGAACAAAGCTGGAGTCATTACACTACCTGACTTCAAACTATACTACAAGGCTACAGTAACCAAAACAGCATGATACTGATACCAAAACAGACATATAGACCAATGAAACAGAATAGAGACCTCAGAAATAACACCACATATCTATAACCATCTGATCCTCGACAAACCGGACAAAAACTAGCAACAGGGAAAGGATTTTCTATTTAATAAATGGTGCCAGGAAAACTGGCTAACCATATGCAGAAAACTGAAACTGAAGTCCTTCCTTACACCTTATGCAAAAATTACCTCAAGATGGATTAAAGACTTAAATGTGAAACCCCAAAACCTACAAACCCTGGAATAAAACCTAGGCTATATCATTCAGGACATAGGCATGGGCAAAGACTTCATGATGAAAATGCCAAAAGCAATGGCAACAAAAGCCAAAATGGACAAATGGGATTTCATTAAACTAAGGAGCTTCTGCACAGCAAAAGAAACTATTATCAGAGTGTACAGGCAACCTACAGAGTGGGAGAAGATCTTTCCAAGATTGTAGATTCTATTATCCAGAATCTACAAGGAACTTAAACAAATTTACAAGGAAAAAACAAAAAAAACATCAAAAAGCAGTCAAAGGACATGAACAGACACTTTTCAAAACAATACATTTATGCAGCCAACAAACATGAAAAAAAGCTCAACATCACTGGTCGTTAGATAAATGCAAATCAAAACCGCAATGAGATACCATCTCATGCCAGTCAGAATGGTGATTATTAAAATGTCAAGAAACTAAATGCTGGTGAGGATGTGGAGAAATAGGAACACTTTTACACTTTTGGTGGGAATATAATTTAGTTCAACAATTGTAGAAGACAGTGTGGCAATTCCTCTAGGATCTAGAACTAGAAATACCATTTGACCCAGCAATCCCATTACTGGGTATATACCCAAAGGAATATAAATCATTCTACTAAAAAGACACATGCACACTTATATTTATTGCAGCACTGTTTACAATAGCAAAGACATGGAACCAACCCAAATGCCCATCAATGATAGACTGGATAAAGAAAATGTAGTACATATACACCATGGAATACTATGCAGCCATAAAAAGGAACAAGATCATGTCCTTTGCAGGGACATGAATGGAGCTGGAAGCTGTCATTCTCCACAAACTAATGCAGGAATAAAAGGCCAAACACCGCATGTTCTCACTTTTAAGTGGGAGCTGAATGATGAGAGCACATGGACACATCAGGTGGAACAACACACACTGGGCCCTGGAGTCGCGGAGGGGGAGCATCAGGAAGAATAGGTAATGGATGTCCAGCTTAATACCAAGGTGATGGGTTGATCTGTGCAGCAAACCTCCATGGCACACGTTTACCTATGTAACAAACTTATGAATCCTGCACATGTACCCTAGGACTTAAAATAAAAGTCAAAAGGAAAAAAAGAAGACGTAGTGCTTACCTTGCTTAGGAAGCAAAATAAATTACCTAAAATATTTTCTTTTGTTTTAGTTGGATGTTTAATGATATATGTAGAGATTAGATAGATAGATAGATAACCAGATATACAAATAGAGATTTATTTTAAGGAATTCACTCACGTGATTGTGGAGACTGACAAATGTGAAATTTACAGGGCAGGCCAGCAGGTTGGAGGCCCAGGGAAAAGCTGATGTTGGGTGCTGAGTCTGAAGGTAGTCTGGAAGCAGAATTCCTTGCTTCTCAGAAGACCTCAGGGGACTTCAGTATTTTTGTGTTAAGTCTTTCACTGATTGCATGGGGGTACACCCACATTGTGGAGGGTAATCTGCTTTAATCAAGGTCTACTGACTTTAGTTTTAATCAGATATTAAAAATACCTTCACAGCAGCATCCAGTATGGTGTTTTATCAAACATCTGCACACCATAGCCTAGCCACATTAACACATATAATTAATCATCACTTAAGAAGATGTTTACAATGACTTCATGAGTGACGATTCCTCAGGTTCAAAAAAATGAGATTGTTTCAAAGGCAACTTCTGAAGGCATGGCTTCAAATATATTGTATATGAGATTCTACTGCTTATAGTTTTGGAGTATTTTGGCTTCTATGTTCACGAGAGATTTATTTTCTACCTAGTAACTTTAAAAAATAGTTTTGGTATTAGGCCAACAATGGCCTCAGAATTTCAGAAAATGTTCTCTCTGCTTTTGTAACAGTGAATGTGTTTGTTGTCCCTGTAGTTCTATCAATTTTGCTGTGTGTACTTTGATGCTCTATTTATTGTTAGGTCCATACACACATAGTACTATATCATCTTGGAGAACTGATCCCTTTTTCACTAGAAGGCTCATAGGCAGAAGGGACTTGCCTTGTCTTGAATGAGACTTTGGACTATGGACTTTTGAGTTAAGAAATGAGTTAAGATTCTGGGGGACTGTTGGGAAGGCATGATTGGTTCTGAAATGTGAGGACATGAGATTTAGGAGGGGCCAGGGCGGAATGATATGGTTTGGCTGTGCCCCCACCCAAATCTCATCTTGAATTCCTACATGTTGTGGGAGGGACCCAGTGGGAGGTAATTGAATCATGGGGGCAAGTCTTTCCTGTGCTGTTCTTGTGATAGTGAATAAGTCTCACAAGATATGATGGTTCTAAAAATGGGAGTTTCCCTTCACAACCTCTCTTGTCTTGTCTGCTGCCATGCGATATATGCATTTCACCTTCTGCCATGATTGTGAGTCCTCCCCAGCCACAGGGAACTCTAAGTCCAATAAACCTCTTTCTTTTGTAAATTGCCCAGTTTCAGCTAGGTCTTTATCAGCAGCATGAAAACAGACTAATACAGACCTATTATAAATAAGAAAAATAAAATATTTTATCTTTATTCCTTCTCCAAAACTCTTCCTTTTGTTATGTAAATTGAAGTTTCCGACACATATTCTTTTTTCTAGAGAACTTTATTTTAGCTTTTTTTTTGCAGGGCACATCTGTTGGCAAAGAAATCTCTCAGATTTTGTTTGCCTGACAAAGTTTTATTTCTCTTTCCCATTTAAACCATAATTTTTCTGGATATCAAATTATAGATTGATGGGATTTTTTTTCTTCACTCCACTATTTAATAATTTCTGACGAGCCCACTATAATTCTTATCCTTGCTCCTATTGAGTAAGGTGCTTTCTTACTACTTTCTAGCTACTTTCAAGAGTTTCTCCTTTTACTGTTTTTTTTTTTAGTTTGAATATGATGTGCTTAGTTGTAGATTTATAAAAATTAATCTAGTTGGTGTTCTCTAAGCTTCTCGAATCTACAGTTTGGTGTTTGTCATTAATTTTATAATGCTTTTGGCCATTATAATGTTAAATATTTCTTTTGCTCAGTTCTTTATCTTCATTCAGCTGTTCCAATTACGTGTGTGTAACACTTTATAGTAGTCCCAAAGTTCATGGGCGTTCTATTCTGAACTTTCAAATTACTTTTTTTTTTTTTTTGCATTTCAGTTTGGGAAGTCAATTGAACTACCATCTAATTTCACTGTGTCTCTCCTTGACTGTGTCCATCCTACTGATGAGCTCATCAAAATCATATCTTATTTCTGTTCCAGTTTCTTTTTCATTTCTAGCATTTTCTTTTGATTCTTTCTTAGAGTTTCTACTTCTCTGCATACATTACTCCTCTGTTCCTGCATGTCATCTTAGTTTTTCCCTACTAACATATTAACTTACACAATAATTAAATTTTATAATGTAATGTATAATTAATACAAATTAATATGTTAAATATGAATTCCTGGTGTAATCATTGAAAACCGGTATTATCCCTGAGTCTAGTTCTGATGTTTGCCTTTTCTCTTCAAACTATGATTTTTCTTGACTTTTAGTATGCCTTGTATTTTTTGTTTAAACCAGAGAATGAATTTTTGGCAAAAGTAGCTGAGGTAAATTGGCCTTTAGTGAGAGGACTTACGTAAATCTGTCTAGGAGTTGGGCTGTATTTAATATTGCTGTACCTGTAGGTGCCAGAGGCTTCAAGTCTCCTGTGTCCTTAGTTTTCTCTCCCTTGTTGTCTATGGGCTTCTCTATGAAATCCTTAAACAGAGTCTGTATCAGGTATAATGGGTATAATGTAGCTTTTTCAGTGGTAATTTCAGCTGTAGTATCAGCTGTATTGTGGTGGTAAGGAATGGAGGGCATCCTATAATTTTACTATTAAATCTGTGTTTTCACAGTGTGTGTCCCTGCTCTGTGGCATTCTCAAGTTCTTCTTGCCTTATCTGACTCTTAAATGAGACAGGAAGCCTAGTGGGATCGCTCGGGAAAATTCCCTCCCCCACATGGGATATGGCTCTGGTAAAAGCTTTGTCCTGGAGATGAAGTTTTTGGTGTGGAGAATACTCTGGACATATAGCATAAAGTTTATTCTTCCCACTTCCTGCCAGAGCCATGGGAGGATCTTTCTTGGAACTTCACCATGAGAAACTAGTGGGTTTCCAAAAGGCAAAATGCTCAACTGTGGGAGAACATTAAGACTACTGCCCACAGCTGGGCGTGGTAGCTCATGCCTGTAATCTCAGCATTTTGGGAGGCCGAGGCGGGTGGATCACCACGTCAGGATTTTGACGTGGTGAAAGCCTGGCCAACAAGGTGAAACCCCACCTCTACTTAAAATTACAAAAATTAGCCGAGCGTGGCAGCATGTGCCTGTAATCCCAGCTACTTGGGAGGCTGAGGCAGGAGAATTGCTTGAACCCGGGAGGTGGATGTTGCAGTGAGCCGAGATCGTGCCATTGCACTGCAGCCTGGGTGAAAGAGTGAGACTTTTGCTCAAAAATAAATAATTAAATAAATTAAATTAAATAAAGACTACTGCCCCTAATGTTCCCTCCCTCTCCAGCTAGTTCACACCCAGCATCCAGCAACTCATTAAAATTACAGTTTAAGTGATCGCACCAGCTTATGGCTGTAGTGACTTGCCCTCCAGATAAGGTCTTGCCCCTGAGCCTCTGGATTTACCTGTTTCACTAGTTTTCAAGGGGGTGTTTACCTTTGGGCCTCAATACTCTGGCTCTAAAGAAGTCATT
This sequence comes from Homo sapiens, assembly GCF_000001405.40. Classification (NCBI taxonomy): domain Eukaryota; kingdom Metazoa; phylum Chordata; class Mammalia; order Primates; family Hominidae; genus Homo; species Homo sapiens. The sequence continues at coordinate 50,881,636 of NC_000008.11, forward strand.
GATTATCAACTTCATTTAATGTTTTGCTCTTTTAGTCTGGTAGTAATGACTTTAAAGTCTTCAGAGTTGAAGCTGAAACTGGAAGCCCCACGATAGTATATATTATGGATACCACACTTAAAGAACTCTCCAAGTTACAGATTACAAGTAATGAATAATTGATCATTACTATCGGTCTGTTGGCTTAATTTTTTTTCCTTAACCCAATTTTATTTTACATTGGCTTTCTCAAAGTAAAAAATATGTATTGTAATAATGATTTTTGAAATCAATTATATTATAAATAAAATAGGTCTGCACTAAATTAAATTAGAGAAACTGTACATGTTCCAGCAGGTAAGGCAGGAAAATAAACAAGATCAGACTAATCAGGCAAAGGTTTCGAGGGGATGAGGAGAAGAATTAAACTACAATAACGATATGGGTGAAATTTAGTAAAAAGAATATATGTTTTGGCAAGTAAAGAGAATAAGAAAGTTAAAAAAACTATAATGTAGAAATCATACGACATTTTCATGAGATGGAAGGTGGCTGTCCTGACCAATGTTTTGCCTGTGAATGTACTGGGTTAGATCAAAGACCAAGGGAAATGCTATCTTAAGGTAATTAAAATTATGGTGTCATTTTGGTTTGTGTTTTGATTAGAGAATTAGCAATTTAAACACTATGCTGAGGGCAACAAGCATAAAATAATAGCAAGTAAGTCCAGGAAGCATTTAAAAATTAGCCTTAGGTCAGTTTTTCCAGGTCAAAGTCTATTGAGAAATTGATACTTCAAAAAAGTATGGATTAGACTATACACAAACTAGACTATAATCACATAGCCTAATGTGATTATCTAGCAAGAATACAATGAAATATTATATATGAGAAAAATGTGAGTGAAAAAATCTAAATTAGTTGATTGGTCTAATGGGAGAAAAGTATATAAAAATTTACAATTATTTGGAAAGCAGTGGGCAAAATATGCTGCTTTGAAGGTAAAGATCTGTTAATGAAAGCATTTAGCAATGAAATGTAAATATGAGATGTTTGTCCCACAGATTCTGATCTTGGATTTGTTAAGAGTGTAAATAGAAATATTTACCCTAATAATCAAGAATATGGCCAAAGTATATATGTATATAAATACATATTATACATATTATGTATATATATATGTGTGTGTGCATATACATAATGTGTAGTCAACTGTTAATGTCCACAATAGCAAAGGCTAATTAAAGTAATTATTAAATTTCTATTATTATTGTGATGTCACAAGTAATTATTTAAAATCCAAATTTGTAATTATTGCTCTTGGTAGATGAAGCTGGAAGAAAGTCTAGTATGTCTTAGTGATTAGGTTTTCCAGTTTAGACAGCAAAGTCCATCACAATGTCTCTTATTTGTCATCTCCCCTAGAGGAACAACCTGGGCATCTAGGTCACAGGGACTTGTTTTTGGTTCCTAAAATCCCATCTCATCTTTTGTGAGCCAGCCTAGTTAGTTTCAACATCCCCTTCTTCAGCAGCTTAATATGGCTAGACAAACCAACCTCTTAATGCCTAAAATTTTTCAGCATAAATGGAAAAAATATGAGGTATATTGACAGTAATCCAATATATACTTCATTTTGTCTGTTTTGTTCTTCTTGTATGATAGTCAGGGATACAAAAAAAATCAGCTCATAATCTAGTAATAAAATTCTTTTTTTCTCCATTTAAATTACAACTGTTCTGAAGCCCTTACTTAAAATACTATCTATGTTCAGGTTGTCTTAAACATTTTAAAAGTGAAATGTTAACTCTTAAACCATTTTTAAAAATTATTCTTTAACATACAATGATCTAGGCCTTAGCTAAATTATAAGCAATGGGTAAGAAAAATATGTTAAAATAAATAAATTTATTTACAAAATTTAGAGGTTTTTTCCCAAGTTCTGAGTTCTCACTTAAAAGCATGAGATTCAATACAGTTGCTGTAATTTTTTAAACATACATATAATCCTAATTACTAATAATCTTAAAGCAAATAATCTAACTTCAAACAAATTACTAATCCTGATTCCAAAAAGAAAGTCAAATACAATTTACTAAAATGTTTCACTGCTATGAACATTATTTATTATTCATTCCTGGTATATATGCAATCCACTCTAGATTTTATGGTAATGAATGATGAGAAATACACTGACATATTGAAATTCCCCTAATCATCTTTGCTATCTGACTTTGGCTCACTAGAAATATTATAAAGCTTCTTCCAATCTCCAACAACTGGTTTTCACACCCAAGATAACATTTTCCCTCTTGCTTTCAATCATATCCCAGTAGGAGTCCCTGGATGTTTTGCTTTGACTGGTTGCTCTAGCACAATGAGTAAATATATTCAGGCTTTTGGGAAAAAAAATTATAATGTTTATTATATTCAATTACAGATTAAAGTTAGCAACCTTTTTCATGTTTATATTTATAGTTCCAGATAAAGTGTAGGATCTTACTGAAAACTTTTTACATTAGCTATATATAATGACTTATTTCTTAACTGTATATATATATATATGAAAGTTTAAATGAAAGAGTCTTCTTACATGAATGAATATACATATGAGAAGTAATATAATACTAGGAATAATAACCTACATAAATAATTATTTTTGTTTATCCAAAATTTTACATCTTTCATATTCTTTAGGCTTCACAACATACTTGAAAGTTAAGAAAAATAGAAATGTGAATTTTACATTTACCCCCCCATATGCAATTCTTCTTTCTTCCATTTTGGCTGCCTCCTTTTAAGTTCCCTATTGATAAAAACTTAGTACCTTCTACAAGAAATGTATCCACACAAGCTTAATTACTTTTTTTTTTTTTTTTTTTTGAGACAGAGTCTCACCCTGTTCCTTAGGCTGGAGTACAGTGCCACGATCTCCACTCGCTGCAGCCTCTACCTCCCCAGTTCAAGCAATTATCCTGCCTCAGCCTCCCAAGTAGCTGGGATTGCAGGCGTGCACCACCACACTCGGCTAATTTTTTTGTATTTTTAGTAGATAGTCTGTTGGCCAGACTGGTCTCAAACTCCTGACTCAAATGATCCACCTGCCTGGCCTCCCAAAGTGCTGGGATTACAGGCCTGAGCCACCGCTCCCTGCCAAGCTTAACATTTTATTTCGTGAGTATAAAAGGGTTGGGGTTATGAGCAATTATTACCCTTGCAAAGTTCATGGATGTTTTATTTTAAAAATCTATGATTTCTACTCCTTTCTTTGGGTCTGAGGAAGTATTGCCAACCTCAGTTGTGTCACCCCTTATTTTTGCCACTCAGAGGCAAAAGTCGACTAAGGAAAAAAGACAACAACACTCTTGAGTCTCATTTCTTTCCTATTGAATTCAGACATGTACCCACAAATCAATTGCTCCCTGAAGAAAAATTCTTCACGGGTCCATATATTCTATGCCCAAACTTTTTATATTCCCAGATACTATGATATTCAGTATGCAAAAGCTCTCTTTCTTAGACGATAACGGCATTTAATGGGACAAGAAAAACCACCTAAGCCGTATGTCATATAACATTAAAGAAGCAGGCATGACTTCAGTTATGTCCTGCAGGTTTGTGCAGAAAGCTACTTCCAGAATTGGGATTAGCAAGTAAGATGTTCACTGCAATGACAGTATGTGGTGTCATGCTGAGGTAAAATATCAGAAGGATATTAGGCAAGTGTGATTCCTCCATTTTCAATCATTTCCTCCAATTCTATTTTTTAAAGATGTAACAATGTAGCCAATAAAACTGCTTAAGAATGATAGTCAGAATTGGAAAGGATAGGCTGAAAGATGGACGAATCTGGGGCATCAAAACTTAAGCCTTGTTGAATAATCTCCCTGCCATCAAGTTCTTCCTTAGTCTGGTGTCCAATTATTCTTTTTCAAATGCATGAGAGGGAGGGATGCATGTCAGAAAACATTCAAAGTGGGAAGATAAATAAAGGTCATACTCATTAAACTGCACAACGATCTTAAACTCATTCAGTTACAGTAAATAAAGTGAAATTATTATAGAAATGTATACACTCTAAATTTTCCACTTATATTTTTTACCAAGGAAAAGTGTAATTGCATAACCTTTACAGCTGCATCTAGCAGAAACATTCAGCTATATTGTTTCCAGGTTATAATAGCTTTCATTATAGCACTTAGCTTAAAACACAAACACATTGTACAGTTGTATAAAAATAGTTTCTTTTTTAATTTCTTATTCTGTAAGCTTAATTTTACTTTTATTTTTTATATATGTTTTTACTTTTTCAACTTTTTGTTAAAAACTAACACACAAACACACATTAGCCTAGGCCTGCACAGGGGCAGGATCATTAATGTCACTGTCTTCCACCTCTACATTTTAACCCAATGAAAGGTCTGCAGGGGCAATAACAAGCATGGAGCTGTTATCTCCTATGCCAGTAATGCCTTCTAGAATACTTCCTGAAGGACCTTCCTGAGGCTGATTAACACTTAACGTTTTTGTTGTTGTTGTTGTTACGTAGAAGGAGTATACTCCAAAATAATGATAAAACTATAGTGTAGTATTTTTAAATACAGCAACCACTAACATAGTCGTTTAGTATCCTTATCAAGTACCATGGACTGTACTTTGTGCTTTGACTTTTACACGACTGGCAGCACAGTAGGTTTGCTTCCACCAGCAGAACCACAAACAAGCTAAGTCACGCCTCACTGCTGTGTATGAGGTTTGCTGTTGAAAGAAATGTCTTTATGTGGTATGTGACAGTAATAACACATTCATAAACAATATGTATCTTAAAAATCACTTTCATAACGTCATTCCCAATTTCATCACAAAGCCTTTGCAAATCAGAAAGCTGCATAGCTCATGGTGGCAGACAGCTTTCTAAAAGTTTACTCTCACTAGATGCTGAATTTGGCAACACAAACAAAGCTGTCAGTGACTTTCCTTGAAGGAACAAGCTCACTTTTTCCAATTTTTGTGAAAATGTCTGCCAATTAACCAAACTCATGTAATGCTAGTTTGCCGCTCAGTCGTTCTTTCCAGGGAAAAATGCTGTTTCATGAAAAAAGCGATTAATTCAACTCACAACTCAAACCATCCCCAGATGGCTTTTTCTGGCAATGGTCCATCATTCTGCAAGTTGCAGCAGAAGTGCTTATGTGAACTTCCTGTCTCGTCTCACTGAAAATGTGTGCATGCAAAGTTGCAATTTAATAAAAACAACCATTTTTACTGAATCATCAAGAGTATTTTAAAGTGGATCTGGCTTTATTTTTCATTCTACCATCATATGGCCATGAGGGGTGGCTTTGAGTACAGTGCAATTCCCGTAACTCATGCCCTTGAGCAAGCAGCCTCAGCACCGTGGCTTATGTTCCATCAGAGCACATGTGCACACAAGGAAAAGGCACATAACACTCGATTACCATGAAGTAGGCTTTTCATTTAAAGGTCCTCTGGAAGTGTCTCGAAGACCCTGGGGGGCTATAAACTACACTTTGATAGCCATTTCCTTAAAGGAATGAAATGAAGAGAATTTGGAAATGCAGAGGAAAATAAGCTGGAGAGGAGAAGATAAATGGCCAGTTTCCAAACATATCAGAAGGAGCAATTTATTAACAAGGCTCTCAAAGCCAGCATGGAAGATGCAGAAAGGGATTGGTCTTCCTGGTCTATATTTGCTGGACTCTGACTGTTCGTGTGCCAAGCACACACCATGCCATACAAGAGCTGAGAATATCACTCAATGATTAAGTCATAATTATTCGTTTTCAAATATGTTGAAAATCTAAAAAAAAGATTTTAAAATATTTTGAAAAAGAATAAATTATTGCATTTATATATTATAAAGCCTTTTTATAGAATTATTATGCATTCCTAGAATTTTTGAGCAAGAGTGGACTTTAGACATCAGATACCTTGTACTTCAGCACAACTCACTTTATAACTGGCAAAATTAAAGTTCAATAAATTTCTCACTTCAGCATCTTATAACTTGTCAAAGGCAGAACCAGGTCGAATACTCCAATTTTTGGATTTCACACTTCTTTCTATGTTTGCTGGAGTGAAAATTGTTGCTTTCCCACCATATCATTTAGTTATACTTTCACCTGATAGTAATAGAAAACCCCATCACACTGACTTAAACAGAGTTTTATTTTTCTCACATAATAAAGAATCCAAAGGTATGCATCTATAGAAGTTGTTTCAGGGGCTCAATGATACCAGTTTGACTTGATCTTGTTGACTTTCACTCTTGGTCAGAGGATGACTGTTATAAGAAAACCCTCAAGGAAAATTTTTAGATAGGATAAATGAGGACAACAGGCATCAAAGCACCAAAGACTTTTGCTTATAGTTCATCAAATAAGTTTGCCTGGGAGGAGGCATATTGTAAATTCTAGCCCCTATGGTAGAACCAGGCAAAGAAAGTGAGCTGGGTTTGATGTGGTGTAGATCTCCCTACAGTTTCCGTCTCTCCTACTCAGCAGCTAGTTTTATTTTCTAAGTTTTCCTCTATAACCCTATGGTCTCAAGAGAAGTTGACCACTTTCTTAAATCTATAGGTGTCCCTGATGGTCTGACAGTATTTTGTTCTCTTGTCTGCAGCAGGTTTAGTGACTCTAGCCTAAGCAAATCATCACATGACAATCCACTTTCACAAAGATTAAAATTCACATCAGCATTAAATTATTTTTTTTAATTTTTAGTTCAGGGGTACATGTGCAGGAAATGCAGGTTTGTTACATAGGTAAATGTGTGCCATAGTGGTTTACTGCACCTATCAACCCATCACCTAGGTATTAAGCCCAGCATGCATTAACCAGACTTTCTCATACTCTCCCTCCCACCACCCTACCCTGCAACAGGCCCCAGTATGTGTTGTTCCCCTCCCTATGTCCATGTGATCCCATCGTTCAGCTCCCACATGTAAGTGAGAAAATGTGATGTTTGGTTTTCTGTTCCTGCATTAGTTTGTTGAGGTTAAAGGCTTCCAGTTTCATCCATGTCCCTGCAAAGGACATGATCTCATTCCTTTTTATGCCTGCATAATATTCCATGGTATATATGTACCACATTTTCTTTAACCAGTCTATCATTGATGGGCATTTGGGTTGATTCCATCCCCTTGCTCTTGTGAATAGTGCTGCAATGAACATAAGTGTTCATATATCTTTGTAATATAATAAATATATATTCTTTTGGTATATACCCAGTAATGAGATTGCTGGGTCAAATGGTATTTCTGGTTCTAGCTCTTTGAGGAATCACCACATCGTCTTCCAAAATGTTTGAACTAATTTACATTCCCACCAACAGTGTAAAAGCATTCCTATTTCCCCACTACCTCGCCACGATCTGTTGTTTCTTGACTTTTTAATAAAGGCCATTCTGACTGGCATGAGATGGAGTCTCATTGTGGTTTTGATTTGCATTTCTCTAATGATCAGCGATGTTGAGCTTTTTTTCATGTTTGTCAACTGCATGAAAGTCTTCTTTTGAAAAGTGTCTGTTCATGTTCTTTGCCCACTTTTTAATGGGAATGTTTCTTCTTTTTTCTTGCAAATTTTTTTGAGTTCCTTGCAGATACTGGGTATTAGACCTTTGTTGGATGGATAGATTGTGAAGATTATATCCCACTCTGTAGGTTGCCTTTTCACTCTGTTGATCATTTATTTTGCTGTGCAGAAGCTCTTCAGTTTAATTAGATCCCATTTGTCAATTTTTGCTTTTGTTGAAATTGCTTTTGGCAATTTCATCATGAGCATTTTACCCATCTTCCTCCAACACCTATCAAGGTATTTTTCTGGATCTTCATGAAAATGAACTCCCTCTGCTTTGAGCCTACCATAAGAGTCAGTCATTATTTCTCTGCATGGATTCAGGCTAATGGGTCAATATCTTTTTTTGCCACTATCTGAGACTAAAATTGTATTTGGAGAAGGGTAGAACCAGGACAACTGTGTGATAAATCAGCAAAACATTATAAATCCCTGCCTTCTCATGTCCTACATTGAGACATTATGGTTATATAAGCTAAGATATCTCCTTTATTTTAAGCTAACTTGAATTTTCTATTACTTGTAGTTAAACACACCTATCTGACACATTAAGAGGCACAATTAGAAACAATAATGGATACAAATAATTGAAGTTTCTGTTCAAAATAAAAATGCTGAGAACCCAGTATGTAAAGCAATGTCTAGATGCCAGAGGGGATCACAACAAGATGCCAACATTTTTGGGGGGATCTTATTTTAGTATGTAGATAAGAGTATAAATTATTAAAGAAGATAAAAATACATACTATAAGGTAACCAAGATTGTTTTAAGGTCAATAAAATGAAGGAACAATGAAAATTGTGAGGACTATTTATAATGAGGCAGAGTTTGCATATAAATTTAATGTCTGAGTAGACTATTGTCAGATATAGCTGGATTGAGGAAGAAAGCACATTCTAGCAGAAAAAAAAAATAGGCAGCAAAGGCATGAGGACTACTGATATGGGAGCTTATTTGTGGAGTAGCCACTATTCAATTTTTCAGAAGTTTAGTGCACATAAGGAAAAGTAAGAATTTATAGCTAAAAATTAAAGAATTCAATAAATTGTAGGGCAGGCTTGGAAACTTTTGAATAAGGGAGCTTTGATTTGAAAATACTGCTCTGACAGTAATATTTGGGATTATCTGGAGAGGAGGAGTGCAGGAGACTATTGCCATATTGCAGGTGAAAGTTAACGTGATTATAGGAAAACAGGTTGATTTCTGGTCCAGTGTGCTTTCCACTTATTCACACAGCCACAAAAATCAGTATGCAAAGCAAAGGACTTCCAAGAGGTTGAGGCTCTGCTGTCTATAAAGTTGTATGCTAGGATTTTTGTGGGTGTGTGTGTGTTTTAGCTGCAAGTAATAAAATGGACTCTTCTTACTGCAAGGTGAGTTGACTGGATGGGCATTTGAGTATGTCAGAGAATCAAATGGATAGTTGCAAAATTACACATCACCAATGACAGGGACGTGGACTACTCTGGAATGTTGACCAACGTCCATATCCCTCTGATGTTCAGCCATCAGAGGAAACATCACCTATATCTTGTTCTAATCATTCTCTTCTCAAGATTCAGATTTTTCATAGAGTATATCTGTCCTGCCTCACTGGATTCCGTACCCCTGTGAGAGCATTGGCAGCAGGTTAATGTTATCAAAACAAGGTGGCACAGACAGAAACAAGGTAGTCAGATGAAAACAGTATTTATGGTACATTCCTTTCCTAAGAAAGTAAGCCATTTGGGAAGAGATATATTTACCCTTTATTCCAGATACTGCCAAACCTTATTGGAACGTTAGCACAAAGTAATGCACAGGACAACAGACAATATTAAAATATTCCTGAGCTACAAAGCAGACAAAACAAAGAAATGATTTAACATTGCTTTTTCAAGGACAAAGACATAATTTTTCAAAATCACATTTAATTCTTTTTTTTAACTTCTCTTCTCATGTTTAAAATATTGTGCTTTAAATATAAAGTTATGTACTAACATAAATCACCATGCCACTCCCCATTTTTCAAAAATAACACTACATAGCGGGAAGTTTAGAAAAATGTAGTTATAGTCATTTCTGAAATAACCAGAGACCAAAGGAGAATTTTATATATATATGTGTACATCCACCAAATTTTAAAGATGTAGGATTGGAAGACACTTGCGTTTCAATTTTATTTCTATAAAAATATATTCAGCTGGGCGCGGTGGCTCATGCTTTTAATCCCAGCACTTTGAGAGGCCGAGGCAGGCGGATCACGAGGTCAGGAGATGGAGACCATCTTGGCTAACACGATGAAACCCTGTCTCTACAAAAATAGAAAAAATTAGCCGGGCATGGTGGCAGGCACCTGTAGTTCCAGCTACTCGGGAGGCTGAGGCAGGAGAATAGCTTGAACCCAGGAGGCCGAGATTGCAGTGAGCCGAGATCGCACCCCTGCACTCCAGCCTGGGCGACAGAGGGAGACTATGTCTCAAAAAAATAAAATAAAATAAAATAAAAATATATATATATATATTCACATAGCACTTTGATATTGAATCAACATGTATTCTAAGGGAATATTAAAAAATTAAAGGAGTTCCTGACCTCAGTGTATACTAGGGAGTTCCATTACAACCTTTACATGTAATGCAGATTTGCTTATGCATTTTGGGATCTATAGCAGAAAATAATATTTATGACTGTTAATAATAGAAATAATGACTTTCAATTAAAACAATTAATGGTGTTAAAGAGGTAATCAAATAAAAAGGGGTCATCAGTGTCAGCCTTAATCCAATATGACTAATGTCCTTATAAAAAGGGAAAATTTAGACACAGAAACAGACATACACAGAGAGAAGATGATGTGAAGACATAGAGGGAGAATGCTCTGTGAAAACAGGATTGCAGTAATGCATCTGCTAGCCGAAGAACGCCAAAGGCCGCCAGCAAATGCCCAGAAGCTGCAAAGAGGCAAAGTATATCCCAGGCAGGTTTCAAAGGAAACATGGCCCTCACCAAACGTTGACTGTAGACTTTCAGCCTCCAGACAGTGGAAAAATACACTTCTGTTGTTTTAAGCCTTCCAGTCTGTTGATACTTTGTTCCAGCCTTAGGAAACCAGTGGGTAGCATATTTGGAAAGCCAGTATTCCTATATGCTGGCCATGTTAGTATAATGAAGAACAAACCTAATTGATTCTACATGTCTTTTAATTGTATCTTGTTAATTGATGATAATTTTCTACGTTGCTAACCTTGACCATCTCGTTATTCATCGTTTGCTGAAACAAAAAGCAAGCCCAGAATACCAGGAACACATTTATTTCTCTATCGCAGTCCTGCTGGTTAGAATCAGCTGATCTTTGCTGGGCTCAACTCAGCTCAATTGCCTCTGTTTCAGACTTGCTCTCCATTTTTCTCATTCCAAAACACAAACTAAAATATGTAGATGCTCCCTTGAGACACGCTTTTTTTTAATAGTACATGCAAAAGATATGGATAGAAACGTCTTCTACCTTTTAGAAATTCTGATCTGAAATGCAAGTTTTACCCACAATAAATTGCATGGGAAAATCTCAAAACCCGTGGGATGGAGATAAATATCTCCACAGCTTACTCAGAGGCATCACAAGTGCTGGGGGTATAATTCTATTATGTAGAGAGATAAGAATTATTGGAAACAATATTCCAATTCACCTAATTGGTCAGGAATATATACTTTCCTCAGATACACAAAATATTCTCAACTCCTTACCAAAATAACCCAAGGCACTTTGGACATCAGACACATAGTCAAAACTGCGTGGTCTACATCCTGTTCAAATCTGGCTCCCATTGTTCCAAATGACTAGAGTATGTTATCTGCTTGCCACAACCCAGTATAATGGAAGACAATCAACATGCCCATTCCAAATGGGGGAGAACTGAAGGCAAAAAGCTGTCCCTGATACATAGCTGTTCAGAAATATCACTGGGAAAATGTTATGAGGGCCTGGTGCTTTGTGAATAAAGAATATATACTGATCAAACACCGGTTTTATGCCAGGGACCTCATGAATCCTAATCTCGTGTACTCCCAAATATTACTCTCTTTCTGCGAGGTTCCATTTTTTTCCATTTCCTTCTTTTCTACATCTAAATGAGTGACCGAGAAAACATATGTTGTAAGATGAGAAAGTGGGAAATCTTCTCAGCTATTTTTTTAGCCTGTAAAAAGTTGGAACCACTGCCAGGCACAGTGGCTCACGCCTGCATTCCAGCACTTTCGGAGGCCAGATCACTTGAGGCCAGGAGTTCCAGACCAGCCTGGCCATAACAGCAAAACCCCATCTCTGCTGAAAATACAAAACTTAGCTGAGTATGGTGGTACATGCCTGTACTCCCAGTTACTAGGGAGGCTGAGGCAAGAGAATCTCTTGAACCCGGGAGGCGGAGGTTGCAGTGAGCCGTGATCACACCATGCACTCCATCCTGGCAACAGAGCAAGACTTCGCTTCAAAAAAAAAAAAAATTGAAGCCGAAGGTGATTTTAAATATCAATCACCAACAGCTATCATCTCTTCTAGTCCAGGCTGCGGTTGTGTGTGTGTGTGTGTGTGTGTGTGTGTGTGTGTATTTGATTATAGTAAGTTTTGAAATTGGGACATATGAGTTTTCCTTATTAAAAATAAATTTGGAGCATTGATCTTAATTCAGAAATCTTGCTATTTTTTATTTCAAATAATATAATCAATAGATGTATTTTTTAACATATACAGTGAAACAATCTGAAAATGTTAATTAGGTGTGTTTATGTTTTTGTTTTCACTTATTTGCTGATCTTTCAGTGCATGTCCTTTTCAGATTAAAGGCTAATTTCATTCCTAATTTGCTAAGCTGTTAAATTTTATAGTATATAAATAATGAATATTATCAAGTGGTTTTACCATATCTATTGACATTATAATAAAATTTTTGCCCTTTACTCTTTTAATATGGGAATTATACTGACTAATTTTTAAATGCTAACATAAACATACTTCATTGCACAAACACACCTTGGTTGTGACATACAAGACTGCTTCTATATTGGAAGCTCACCATCTGATAATATTTTGTTCAGAATTGTGGCATCTCTGTTTATGAGTTTATCCCTTGCCTTTCTTGTAACGTTCTCGTCATGTTTTGGTATAGAAAATACTAGCCTCATTCAAGCAGTTGGAATGTTCCTCTTTTTCTTAATATGTGGCAAAATTTTGCAAAATATAAATCTTACTTCCTATATTAGTAGATACAAATGGATGAGCAGCCACTTTTAAGGGATGAAATTTTCTACATTTTAAAAGTTTAATTTATGCTTTTAATGATTAATCCTTTGAAATCCAGATAACAAATATTTTTTCTCAAGTTTCATGTTAAGGAAGTAAGAAATCATAAGACGATACTATTGACCTGTTTATGAACTGAAACTGACTGAGATAGCAATTACTCAGGATCATCTGAATAAATTGTTTCTAACAGTTTTCATAACAAGTAATTGCCAGGTGGCAGATGTACAGCAGCATGTTTGACTTCTATTTTATTTAGAAAGTAACATACAATGGGCTGGTCTTAAACTCTGGGAAGAGGGTATATATCTTCAAGTGGAGAGCTTTGATTGAGCTGGGCCTCTCTGTATTGACACAGTTATATTTTAAACAACATTAAGTGATTCTAAATAGCCATTCATCATCGGCATATACTGATCTTAAGCAGTTCTAACTTGCTTGGCATAAATCTGCATGGGATATTATTATCACAGCAAGGCTTATCTGGATGGAATAAATGATTGCCATAGCAACATCATCCACATATGATAGTTGCAATGAAAGGGATGGTAGGAAGAATGAGAAAGACTGCCAAACATTTTTCTTAGCATTAAAAAAATATATATAACCATCGAATGGCCTGATGTTTTCACAAAATCCAATTACTTTTTCTTATTTAAAAGGCTTCATTGTCACTGTAGGCATCTATAACTCAAGCATATAGGAATATTTGTGTCTTGTCTGTTATTTAGAGAGCATAAATTAGGAGACACGAGAACACACGTACACACACATGCACACACACACAAACATACACACATTTGTTTCTAAGAACTTTCCAAACCCTATATTTTATGCTTAAGAACAAAAGAAACTAACATATTGGTGGAAGTTTCTATAAATTACAGGGAAAAACATTTGTAAACTGGATCAATCTGGAAACATCATAAAGACAAATATATGCTTTAAAAACATTAAGGGACATTAATGTATTTAATTAGTAAACATGCTGGTAAATGGGAAGTACAACCTGAACCATGGTCACCTTCTGTGCTAAAATTGGTAAGGCATCACTCTACCACATTTCCCAAAGACTTCAAGATGGTTTCAGATTGAAAAGAAGCACTCCAGAATTTGTAGACAGTAGGCTTATAAAACCGTTTAATACTATGTTAGAAATGAGAAGGAAAGTTTTGATACCATTATATTTTATAAGTAATTTATTTTTTCGTGTTTCAACAATTGCTGGATGTAATAGTTTATTATCTATTTAGTTTCTAATTTTACATTCATTCAACACATCTGAATTTTGCACTTACTTTGTATTCAGTACCTTTTCTTCTGTTTTAAAAAGAACATACACACATATATACAAAACAACAACAAAAATCTTTATTTAGTATTCCTTTATTGAATAATTATATGGAATACAAAATTGGAGCTAACATGACTACTAAAGGTACCACAGTTGTAAGATATTGCATATACCTTTTGTAGGATCTGATGTGTTAATACAATTAAAATAATCTATATCTATTTTTACCAAATTATTTATCCTCCAGAAAACATGAAACTTCAAGAGAACATACCCAATTTTAGATGCAAAAAAATTTCCTTTCAATAAACCCTCTAAATATATCATGAAGAAACACATTCTGAAATAAAAGAATTTATGAATAATTATTAGTAATTTACTTGAGTATTTTAGAAGCTAATATATTAATTTATTTAAATTAACATTGAAAAGTGGCAATAAATGAATTTAATTATTCAAGTAAAAGAAAATTGTACTTAGTAGAAAAAGTAGTTTTAATTATGCAATATACTAAAGATAACAGGAAGTATATCTCTAGATCCAGACAAAAACATTCTGTTTAGATATTTTTCTTCTAAAGAATATTATTAAATAAATGGGCCTTTGTCATTTTAAGATAAAATTAAAATTCATAAAGTTTTTAAGAGGACATTTATAGTCAAAAATTTTAAACTCCCTCTCTTCTAGAAATAGAACTATATTAATCACTATGCATATTAAGGTAAAAAATAACTACTTTTATGTAGCGAGTATGGCAACTGATTTGAGAGATTGCCACCAATATACTCCTACTGAGACTAATACATTTTAGTTATTTTCTATAGAACAACATTAAAAAAGATTGAAATCTGTTGTAGCCTAGCAACAACAGAATAGAATATTGCAGTTAATCAGACAGAAGAAAATAATACTTTCTTTCTATGTAATTCTCTAGTAATGACAGAGGTAGGGCAGAGGAAATTATTATGTGTCACGTAATGCTCTTTTGAATAAATGTTAAAACAGGTAAAATTTACTTTACTATAAAATGTGAATTATGAGACTACATATTGAATAGAGTTGTTTTAATTAAATCTGATTATTCTTAACTTTTCTCATCTCTCAATTCCCAATTATTAAAAATGCACATAGCAACAGGGCATAATGTAATAATTTTAATCCAACAGACTAAGTTACCCTTAATTAAGTTATGCAAAATTTGGCTTAGAAATCATTCACCTATTTGCTTTTGTACAGTCCTGAATAAATATAACTATGGCCAGAGTGGTATAAATTTATTGCAGAATAAATTACATTTGGAGGATAATAATAATTAAAATATTGAAATATCATGACATGGTATTTTTATTTATTACACATAGAAAATATAAGAATTTTAGAGCAGAATAAAGACTGCTTCACCAAATATCCTTGGCTCATACATCAGAAAGTTCAACTATATAGATAGTAAATTAGTTGTTCAGTGAACAAGTTAAAACATCCTACATTGAATAAAAGTTTCTCTGAATTCAAGTCTAGTGGTTTATTATACGTAGTGCATTTTGTCTTTTTCACCTCTTTTTAATTACCTTAGATAGAACATTCAGCAGTACCATGAAGGCGGAAATAGTATATGAGATACACAGTTCAGCAACTCTCACCTTAGCTTATGATCACAAACTCCTTCATAGAGAACATTGAATCACAATTGATTCACATAGCAAACGTGAGCATTGAATCACATAGCAAAAGCTATGCTCAGAAATAGATGTATCAAATGTGATTAACATAAGAATGTCACTCTGTTTAATGTAATAATTTACTATGATTTAATGAGAGTTTTCAAGTGAATCAAATTATGTAATAATCATAACTATCTACAATAATAGAAAATAAAGCTAAGAATTTGCAAGCAAAGTTAAAACAAAATTAATTCAACTTCAACTTTTCATCTATGAGAGTAATTGATTGGTACTAGACTTACCATATTTCCTTAAATAGCTATAAAACTGAGGGAAAAAAAAGGTGAGGCAACATTTTTCAGATACTAGGTAAATAGCTGTAAGAGGGTCGTTATCCTTGAGAGAAAGGAAATACACAAAAAACACCCAATATACGCAGGCTCTCTGCCCAAGAATAATGTTCCTATTGCAGACAGAGACGAGGCCTAGATCCACATGTGGAGAGCCAGGGCTGCTGGAACCAGCGGGTGGGAGAGAGGACCAGCTCCATGGCCCATAAGCTGTGCAGTCATGCAAGCCCCACACTCAGAAGGGCTCACATTTAGTCTAGTCCTCTACTGCTACAGTCTTGAAATTCTCAGCACCTTCATCTTTGAACTTGTGTTTCACAATTGAGACCCAATGGGACCATAGTGCATGTATGTGAGGCGAGGTGAGACTCGCACACGCATGTCTGCTGTTCCTTGCTGCGCCACTCACAGTGTTTGTGGTGGAACACAGAATTCCAGTCGGCTCAGAAGGCGTGGTGTTTGTTCAATGGAATCCCAGGGAGTGCACCATCAGCCTGTCACATCCGCGACTGAGTAGGTGGCAGCTGCGGGAGTTCATGTTTTCTTTTCCAACTAGGGCCTGCTTCAAACGCAAAAAGAAGGCAATGACATTGTAAGGACCCCTGTCATATCCCTTCTTATTCATGTTACCTCCACGTTTAAACAAACACTTATGCTGAAAATGATAACATGAAAAGAAAGGGAAAGGCTGGTCATTTTGTAATCTTCTCCTTTTGATCATTTCTAACTAATCAGTAAGCCTAAGGTCAAGAGTGCTGACAGAAATGCAGATATCAGTAAATGAAATGTTCTAAAAAGCTGAGTTTGTTTTTTGCAACGTTTCCATAGTTGGTAAGAATGAAACACGTATGTGTGTATGAGCTATAGAATGCAAATTGTGTGATTTTGATGAGTTTACATTATGAGTTAAATGCCTTTATGTCTGCTTTTTAAAAAGTGACATTTCACAATATAAAGGTGAATAATGAAATAAATGATAATAGTTACATTTTGAGATAATGTTAGATAGCAAATTAAAACTCTATGACAAATCCAGAGACTAGAAATCATTGAAGAAAGTAAAAAGCTCATGTTTTAGTATCTTCAATGAAATTTTCTTCCTGTTTTTAAATAAGGGATCCTGCATATCATTTTGCACTAAACCCCACAATTATTTAGTTGGCCAGACTGGTAGGAGAGGAAAAGCAAAGAGGAGATTAGAAGGAGAGACTGCCAGAAGGGCTAAATCTGGGCTGCAAATACACAGAATGTGGTGTTATGAGGCTTAGCAGAGAGTAATTTTCTGTGGCTTAGAAAGGAACATGAAGCAAAATACTAAGAAACATTAGGTTCTGGCATAGTAAGGAAATACTAAGAACAAAGACATCTTGTTAACATTGCTGGCGTTTGTGAGACACATGAAAAGCCAGCCTGCAGGATTTACTCTGTGGGAACAAATGCTATTCATTTATATAATAAAATCAAAGGAGAAGGTAAGAGTTCCAAACTTATTTTATCAGATCATCACGTAGCCCAGATACCAAAACATGAAAAATAAAAATTACACACTCATAATGTCTTTTATGAGCATAAATACACAAGTGCTCAACAAAGAATTAACAAATATGGCAAAATCAAAACAATAGTAATAATATATCACAATCCAGTAAAATTTCTCCCAAGAATATAACTAGCTTATCATTAAAATATCAATAAATTAATGTTTATCAAATTAAAGAGAATAAAGAAGAAAAATCATATGATCATCTGGATACACAAAGAGCAAGCATTTGATAAAATTCAACATCCATTCATGAAAAAATATTCTCAGAATATTAGATGTCAAAGGGAAGTTATTCTACCTGATAAAAAAAATCCTAAAATATACTTCTAACAAACATTATGATAAATTAAATAATCTATTTGATGTTTTCCTTCTAATTACAATAAAAGCAAGGATATCTGCTCTCACCACTTCCATTCAACATTGTTTTGATAATCTCAAACATTGTTTGAGAACTTAACAAAAGTCATAAGTTATAGAAAGTGAAGATTAAACTGTTTGTATTCATATATGACATGACTTTCTATTAAATCCTAAAGAATATTAAAAACCTTACTGGAATTAACAATAACTTGAGCAAGTTTAAAAGGTAGAAAATGATACATAAAAATTAACTGTATTTCTGTACACAGCTGACCCTTGAATAAGGCAAGGGTTATGGATGCTGACCTCCACATAGTCAAAAATTTACCTATAACTTTTGACTCCCCCAGAACTTAACTACCAATAGCTGGCTGTTGGCCAGAAACATTACCGATAATATAAACAGTCGATTAACATATATTTTGCATATTATACATACTATATTCTTTCAATAAAGTAAGCCAGAGGAAATAAAATGTTATTAAGAAAGTCCTCAGGAAGAGAAAATATATTTACTGTTCATTAAGTGAAAGTGAACCATCATAAATGTTCTTCATCCTCATCAACTTCACATTAAGTAGGCTAAGGAGGAGGAGGAAGAGAGGGGTTGGTTTTATTGCCTCAAGGGTGGCAGAGTCAGAAGAAAATTCATGTACAAGTGGAGTTGCATGGTTCAAACCCATGTTGTTCAAGGGTCAACTGTACTAGCCACACTAAAATAGAAAATAAAATCTGCTGATAAGCTGATGATCTACTTAAATGTAACCAAAATCATTAAAAATTTATATAAGAAACCAAAATAACTAGAATACTTTGAAATTCTGAAAAGAAAACAATTTGGAAAAAAAAATTCTCTATCCAATTTGAAGATGTAACATGTAGCTTTATTTACTTTATTTACATAGTAAATAATACTATGAACTATAGGTGGTGGGATTGGCAGGTTAGTCAATGGAAAAGAATAGAGCATGTGGAAATAGCCCCACACAAGTATGACTAACATTTAACTAAGACGCAAAAGCACTACAGTAGATGAAGGATACTCTTTCTTTTTCTTTTTTTTTTTCTTTTTTTTTTTGAGACGGAGTCTCGCTCTGTCGCCCAGGCTTCAGTGTAGTGGAGCGATCTCAGCTCTGCTCACTGCAAGCTCCGCCTCCCGGGTTCACGCCATTCTCCTGCCTCAGCCACCGGAGTAGCTGGGACTGCAGGCACCCGCCACCGTGCCCGGCTAATTTTTTTGTATTTTTTAGTAGAGACGGGGTTCACCGTGGTCTCGATCTCCTGACCTCGTGATCCGCCCCCCTCGGCCTCCTAAAGTGCTGGGATTACAGGCGTAAGCCACCGTGCCCGGCCGATACTCTTTCAATAAACGATGCGATAATCAGGCAGAAATAGAACCTGGGCTTAAACTACATAACATCCTTAAATATTAACTCAAGACAGACAGTGGACTTAAATTAAAAAGATAAAACTCTAAAAGTGTTTTTAAGAGAAGAAAACTAGGTAAGGACTTAGGACTTGGTAAAGAGTACTTATTTTGGCAAAAAATAATCAATAAACTGGACATAATTAATACTAAAAATTTTGTTCTACAAAGGACCCTGTTAAAAAGCTAAAAAGACAATCAACAGACTGGGAGTAAATATTTTCAAACCACATATCTGAGAAAGGACTTATATCTATAATACATAAAGAGCTCTTGAAACTCAACAGCCAAAAGACAACTGAAAATGAATTAACTAGAAATGAACAGAACATTTCACTAAGGAGAATATATAGATGGGAAATAAGCACATGAAAAAATGTTCACCATTACTATGCATTAGGGGATTGAAAATATGGACCATTGCATGGTATCATTAGACACCCATTAGAACAGATACAATAAAAAATGAGTGGCAATACCAAGGGCTGGCAAGGTGATGTGAAAAAGAATGATTCGCTGATACACTGCTGATAGGTATGTAAAACAGTGTGGCCACTTTGAAAAATTGTTTGGTCTGCTTTGTTTGCTTGTTTGTTTTATGAATATTGACCATACACTTATCATACAACCCAGAAATATCATACCTGGGAATTTATTCTATGAAAATGAAGACATATGTGCACACAAAACTTTATGCAATTGTTCCTAGTAGTTTTATTTTTAATAGTAAAAAGCTAGAAACAAGTAAAATGTCTCTATTACATGAATAGTTAAATTGGATGGCTTTCAAGGGCATTATGCTGAGTAAACAACAAAACTCAAAGTGTGCATACCACTGAGATAACTGTATGATACCACTGAAACAACATTCTCGAAATGACAAAATTAGAGATGCTTCACATCATCTCAGCCCAAAAGCTTCTTAAGCTGTTAAGCAACTTCAGCAAAGTCTCAGCATACAAAATAAATGTGAAAAAATCACAAGCATTCCTATACACCAACGATGGGCAACCAGAGAGCCAAATCGTGAATGAACTCCCATTCACAATGACTACAAAGAGAATAAATACCTAGGAATTCAACTAACAAGGGAAGGGGAGGATCTTCTCAAGGAGAACTACAAGCCACTGCTCAAGGAAATAAGAGAAGACACAAACAAACGGAAAAAAAATCCATGCTCATGGATAGGAAGAGTCAATTTCAGGACAGGAAATCAGAATCAATATCAGGATAGGATAACATGGATAAAGAGAATCAATATCATGAAAATGGCCATACTGCACCTGTATCCCCAGAACTTAAAATACAATTAAATTAAAAGAAAAGAAAAATACAATAACCAAAATAAGAAGCTCGGGAGATGGGTTCAGAAACATAATGAATGAAACAGAGGAAAGAATCAGTGAACTGAAAGATGGAGCAATAGATATTACCCAATCTGAACAGCAGAGAGAACACACACTTCAAAATAAATAAACAAATGTAAAGACAGAGCAACAGGCACTTACAGAACTGTAACCGAAGATGTAACCTTTGTGTGTTTGGAGTAACAGAAGGAGAGGAGAAAGATGGCAGGAATGAAAAATGACAATGAAATGATGGCTGAAAACTCCACAAATTCGGCAAGTGACATAAACATGAAGATTCACGTGGCTGCATGAATCCCAGAGGAAAATCCCAAAGAAACCTACACAGTAAGATATATTGAAGTCAAATTTCTGGAAAGTGAAAAAAAAAAAAAAAAAAATCTTGGAAGCAGCCAGAGAGAAATGGCACATTACATATAGGAGAAAAACAATTCAAATGACAGTGGATCTTTTATCAAGAAATTAGACAGCTAGAAGAAACTTATGGAATAATTTTCAAGTGCTGAAAAGAAAGAAGCCAGAATCCTATACCCAGTGGAAGAAATATTCTTCAGAATTAAAAAAAGAATCAAGATATTGACGGATGAAGGAAATCTAAAACTAGCATTGTTAGTAAACCTTCTCTAAAACAAAGGCTGAAAGGGAGTGTATTTTTTTGTTTTTTTGGTTTTGTTTTTTGATTTTTTTTTTTTTTTTTGAGACAGAGTCTCCCTCTGTCGCCCAGGCTGGAGTGCAGTGGCGTGATCTCGGCTCACTGCAAGCTCCGCTTCCTGTTTCATGCTATTCTCCTGCTTCAGCCTCCCGAGTAGCTGGGACTACAGGCATCCGCCACCACATCCGGCTAATTTTTTTGTATTTTTAGTAGAGACGGGGTTTCACCATGTTAGCCAGGATGGTCTAGGTCCTGACCTCGTGATCCATCCGCCTCGGCTTCCCAAAGTGCTGGGATTACAGGCGTGAGCCACCATGCCTGGCCTGAAACAGTGTTTTCTAAACAGAAAAGTAACAATGAAAGAAAAAAATTAAAACAAAAGAACAGAAAGAAAAACTATATACATATGACTAAGTAAAATAGGCTTTCCTTCTCCTCTTCCTTTACTATGGTATGTTTAATTGAAGCAAAAATTAAAATAATAACCGAGATATAGATAGTATATGTACATGTGAATACATATATATATAAGCACACAAACACATAAATATACATATGCACATATATACTTGCAGTTCATTTTCTAATTCATTAAAATAAAATAAATCTGGACATATCCAGTCAAATAAATTAAGGAGAATTTATTTAAGATGAGACAATGGAGTTAGTTACGTAGACCATGTGGTTACTACCTTTGTAACCACGAGGTTACAAAGGTAACCTTCGTTACCTTTGTAACACAAGGGTAGTACACAATCCCAGGGCTCGGTCTTGGTGAAGTCATTACCGATTAGAGGGCCTGAATAGATCAACGAGGTATGAGACACCAGAGCCTTAAGGGAAAGACGCATAGAGATACATCTGCGTTGAGAAGAGAAATAATCTGTGGGTACAACAACCAGGACAATTTCAGTCATTACTGCATGGAGGAAGGCAGGGGAATGGATATCCTAATATCAGTCCTCTCTCTTTCCCTAGTTCCCTGGGCTTCCCATTGCCCAAGCCTTACAAGAAACCAAAGATTATAGAAATTTACTGATGGAGCACACAAAAGTTCAGCTCCTAGTGCATTGAAGAAAGTAAGGAAGGGTGAAAAGCCAATTGGAAAGGGCAAGCAGAATATGTGCAACACATCATGCTCATCAAAAGGCACACATGTGATAGTAAGAAGGGAAGCCACAGACTGAAAGAAGATACTTACCACCTGTAAACTGATAAAATGCAAATATCCAAAATACATAAAGAATGAATTAAAATCAATTCAGAATAGAACATTATTATGTGAAATACTTGGAGAGGCAGTTCAAAAACAAGAATAACTAAATTGCTTGTAAATATATAAAAAAGTCCTCATCTTCACTGCATCACAGAGGGGTGAATTAAAACAGAATGTAACACCATTATGTATACAACCAGAGTGGAAAATAAATATAAAGATGGATTATACAATGTGTTAGCAAGGATGCTTATGAATTTAAATCCTCATACACAGCTGGCATGTCTGTAATTTTGTGCTAACACTTTATAAAACTGATTGCCAATATCAAATGATGTAACAACCTCATCACTAGACACAAATTCAGCAGAAATAAGTGTGTTTATGAGCCAATACATGCAAAGTATTGATTGTTCTTAGTAGTCCATTCACCACAGGATACCTAAGTAATAGTAAAATTTCCAAACAACAAAATGTTGTAAACAATGGGAGTAAATTAATCACAGCAATACAAAGTACAGAAAGGACTTTCATGTAAACATTGATTACAAGAGTTCAGACACACTATGATCTGGACTGGAGACAAATATTTTTGGGCCATGCAAATGTGGAAACAGTGAGTATAAAGAAGAGCCAAGTAAAACTAGGAAAAACCCCAGAGGAACTTAGATGTCAAATGATCAAGAAAAGAATGAGAATCCAATAAAGGAAATTTTAAAATCCAGTCATGGATATAGGAAGAAACCTGGAGTGTTTGATATTTGGTACATTAAGAAAGAGAATATATTAGTGTCCCATTGCCGTTATAACATGTTATCCCATATATGGTGACTTAACACACAAGAGATTTATTATCTTATAATTCTAGAGGTCAGAAATCCAAAAGGGTCTCACTGGATTAAAGAGGTGTCAGCAGGGCTGTATTCCATCTGGAGTTTCTGGTGGAGAAACTGTTTCCTTCACAGTTTCCACAGGCTGCCTACATTCGTTGGCTCATGTCCTGTTCCTCCACCTTCGAGGCCAGCAATGCCAGTCAATTCTTTCTTATGCTGCTTCTTGCTGACTCTGCCTTCATTTTCCACATTTACAGACCCTTGTGATCACATTAGACCCACCCAGGTAGTCCAAAATAATCCACCCATATCAAAATCAGATGATCATCAGCCTTAATATCATTCATATCATCAATTCCCTTTACCCACAGATGACAGGGATGAGAAATTTGACATCTTTGGTGGGTCATCATTCTGCCTAACACAGAGGGTGTTTCAAGAAAAATTGCTGAAAAAAGATCAAATCAAATGAAAAGTAATTCTTAATTTAGTCATATGGATATTATCGTTGGAGAAAGTTTTGATGGATTTCATCTTGAAATGCATTGAAGAATCAATGGGTTAGGAAGATAACATCTCTTGGCTATGCAACATTCTGGACAGAGTTCTCCTGTTTCTACATGGAACTTTAAATCTTCATTTTGTTGGAATAGGATTGTCATTGCTGGTATCTCTTAAGCACCACTTTTAAATCAGGAGAACTAAAAAATAAATTGAGCATCTCTGGTCAGAAAATACAAAATCTTAAAGACTCCAAAATCCAAAATTTTTTGAGTGCAGACATAATGCCACAAGTGGAAAATTCCACACCTGACCTCATGTGCTACATCACAGTCAAATTTTGCTTCATGTATTAAATGACCTTCAGGCTATGTTTAGAAAGCATATATAAAACATATATGAATTTCGTGTTTAGACTTGAATCTCATCCCCAAGATATCTCGTTATGTACACGCAAATTTTCTAAAATCAGAAAAAATCTGACATCCAAAACACTTCTGGTCCCAAGCATTTAAGATAAGGGACATGTAACCTGAAAGAAAATCTAATGAAGACACATAGACTGTGACAAATTGAGATAGATTTAAAAAGGGAAATGGAAAAAATAGATGATAGAGATAAATCTCTAAATAAATAGTCCTCAGGAAAATAATACAATTATAATGTGAATTTGCAAAACCCTCTCTTGATTTTTAAGGTATATCATATTTTAATAATTGCCGTAACATCATTTTTTAGAAATTCAACGCATGGTTACATTGGGATACTGAGAAAGTATATATTCTATATGCAAATAGCTACAATTTAATCTTGGTCCAAAAATCAGAAAAACATTCACATAAGAAATAAACTGTTTTTTCAGTCTTAAAATGTAGCAATTTAGATAACTTTTATTTATTTATTTATTTATTTACTTAATTTATTTATTTATTTTGAGACAGAATCTTGTTCTGTCACCAAGGTTGGAGTGCAACGGCGTGATCTTGGCTCACTGTAACCTCTGCCTCCTCGGTTCAAGCAATTCTCCTGCCTCAGCCTCCCAAGTAGCTGGAATTACAGGCACATGCCACCATGTCAAGCTAATTTGTGTATTTTTAATAGAGACGGGGTTTCACTATGTTGGCCAGGCTGGTCTCGAACTCCTGACCTCAGGTAATCCTCCCACCTCTGCCTCCCAAAGTGCTTGGGATTAGAGGCATGAGCCACCAAGCCTGGTCAAAGAACTTTTAAATAGAAAATGAAAGTGTAGGTCAGAGAGGTTTTTGCATTTTTTGAATGTTTTCTACCATTAAATATGAATTTAATACTTTATACCTAAAGTCTAAAAATGGAAACAATAAAAGTACAGTAAAGTGTTTATGATTTGATTTTTTGTTACTAAAGCCATATTTTAAAGAAACTGCCAGTGCCATAACTTAAAATAACCGTGTAAGAAATCAACTGGAAGTAAATGTTTTCCTCTAATGTGAATAATCATGACTATAGCTCTTATGTACATATGTGTATGTATTTCTTGCATACCAAAAGAATCAACATTAAAGAGAAAATAGTGGTAAAAGAAAAATACTGTATTAAATGACCTTCAGGCTATTCAGGCCGTACTTATAGTTTTATGTATACTATTATTTTCCAAGCATTATATATATAAGAAATTATTTTTGTTTAATTAATATTAAAAGAAAATATTTTAGAGCTTTGTATATGTTTAGAAATATTAAGACAAGCTTATTCTCACTTAACCTGAAACAGTAATATCAAATATCTGTTTGAATGGCTTAAACTGTTATCTAGTTCTTGATATTTTGATGTTTATAAAATATGTGACTTCATGCACTAAGGTATGCTACTTTAAAAGCCCATGTAATAAAAGTCCATACAAAGATGAACTAGAGTCAAGTTTTCAATTGTGTCAAGATCTGGTGCAGTCACTATTTGCTAGTATGACTTTTAGCAAATGAGTCTATTTCTGACCATTAGTCCTATCTGATATAAATGGTGATTTTACATGTGCTTTGACTATAAGAAAGGAAATTATTATTGCAGGATTCTAAAATGTATAAAAAACCATATTAAGAAAAGGAAATAGTATTGGGCCACAAACATGATGTATATTGTGTTTGGAAGATTAATTTGACATTGGCAATAGGAAGGATTTGAGATTAAGAAATAAAGTCTAAACTATACATATATTCTAACAATGTTACGGAGTTAACTTTTACACTTAAAATGGTGGTAGTAGGGAGAAAAGATAGATATAAGTGATGTTGTGGAGAAATAATTAACATAAGATGACTGGCTTAAAAATAATAATACAGCAAAGATAATTTTTTTAAGTTGCATATTTGCCAGCAATGTAGAAGACAAAAATGGCAGTATTCAAGATGGAATTCTGGATACTAATCAAAGAAAGAGTACTGTTCCTAAAACTTACCTTAAAAAAGTTGTACTTCTAATTAAAGCTTAAATGTTAATATTAATATAAAAAAATGGCAGTGTTCTTAAAAAGAATAGAGATATTGTAAGGGTGTTGGATTTCTTTTCTTTTCTTTTTCTTTTTTCTTTTTTTTTTTTTTTTTGGAAAAGATACCTTTAATTTTAGACATTGAAATTAGATCACCACAGGTGAAAATGCCTGATAGGCAATTGGTTAGATAGCAATGAAGATTGGGTTTGTGGAAACACTAGGGTACAATATGCTCAGAGATAATGATTAAAGTCATGGGAGGGAACACAGTTTCCTAATAATTGACACTACAGAGAATTGCCTGAAGACTAAAGCTTGGGGAGTCCTTAATGTTAGGCTCAGGAAGCAAATTGGAATCAGGGGAGGAAAAAGTCAGCCTGTCCAAAAAAATCAGCATTCCAGGTGTGCTGAATATCAAAAGCTACAAGGCAATCAGGCAAAATGACAAACAGGAGTCTTTAATAATTAAAATTAAGGAGTCATTGATCAATCTTCAGAGCTTGATTTCAGCAATATAGATGAAGAATCGATTTTAAGAATGTAAGCTCTTGTTTTGAGAAATTTCACCTCCCTTTAAAATCTCATAGCAACAATTAATAATATTTTGTAGAGTAGCTTAAAGAAAACATAACCAGGTACAGCACAGAAATAGAACACCGAAAGCAGCAATAATGGCAATGCCTGTTAACTTTCAAGTCCACAAGGAGGTAGAGGCAGCTGCAGCATCCAACATCTGGGGGAAGAAAAGATGAAACTTTCCACACAATAAATTGAGGAGTAGGAAGAAGGACAGCATCAGCTGAAAACCCTGAGAATCTTGCCAAGTTATGCATGATAAATGCAAAATATTTAGTGATGGTATGCCTACTATTTCTATTTATTCCACCGGTCAGGAGCTTGAAACTACAAAAGTAGATTTTTAACTATGGCCATTCTAAATGTTTTATCATCCACAGACAGTTAATTGTTTTATTCTGAGACCTTTCTGAAAGCATTTGCAAGCAACTATAATCCTAAAATGTTTCCCTTTGAGAAGATTCATGGAAATAACTCTGGCAAGTACAAGTTCCCCGTAACTTTAAGATTATACCATTGGACCAGGTAAGAATTTTTACAACTTTAATGAAGAAACTGATTCATAAAACTGCTAAACCAATATCAAGCAGAACAATAATTAACTGAATACCAAGGAAATGCCTTAGCATATTTTCATGCTGTAAGCTAGTACTGAAACAGTTGAGATAAACAATTTCAATGAACATCATAAGATTGATCCACATCAAACAATCTTTGATAACCTATTTAGTAAATAGTATGTTGCACCTGAATTGGAGAAATAAAACTAATATTTAAAATGATGTAAATATAACATTAAGCTTGTACTCGCATAGGGCCCAGCTGGCTGCCTATTTCTTCCTGAGTACTTAAAGCTTCCATTGTTGAAAGCTCTGTACTCCTTAACTCATCCTGAAATAGATACAATAAGACAAACTGTGAAAACATATTGGTGGGATGACTGTTCTAAAATTGGTAAAATGATCTATAACTGATATTTTGTTTATCAAACCCATAATCCAGGTAAGACAATGAAAACCTCAGATGATACATTTCTGCCACTTGCTGGACCATTTGAACATTTTCAAAGAGATTTCATTCAATGCTACCCTCTATGGAATATCAATATGTTCTTGTAATTCTATGTTCTCTGGGTGGACAAAAGCTTTCCCAGGCAAGGAGGCTGATGCTATAATGGTAGTTAATTTGTTTATTAGAAAACATATTTTCTTTATAACGCATTGGGAGGAATCTCCAGTGTTAGGGGTGGTCCTTTCAACAAGTTTTAAAGCAGTTAAATAAGGAATTACAAATACAACAGCATTATCATTATCTTTACCTTCCTCAAACTTCCGATAAGTTTGAAAGGACAAATGGTATTTTAAGACTGAAATTGGTAAAGCTAGTCAAATCAACTGGATTGCCTTGACCAATGGCATTCTTTGGCCTTGAAGGCAATCAGATTCACCTCCACTGCAAAATACAAATTTGCTCCTTATTAAACTGTTACTGGAACTTATTAAACAGTTCCTGGAAGGACTCTAATGCTTTCTAAATAATAGAAAGTCATGTATTTCCTGTTCTTATAAACTCTGATGTGACTCAATACTGCAAAGCTTTAAAGCACTATGTCAAAGTATATTTTTGCCAGGTAAAAGAAGCCTTTCATAAACTGTCAACTGAGGACAGCCAGGCATTTCATGATCTACAACCCAAATATTGGATATTTTAGAGGCTACATCAGAGGAAGATTGTCCTTGAACTCCTTTTGGAAGGGACCATACCAAGTTCTTCTCACTACCCACACTGCAGCAAAACTTCAGGGCCTTAAGACTTGGGTCTGTATTTCTCAACTCAAGAGGTCCCCTCTAGGCTCTTCAGATTGTACAGTCATTTAAGACCTCATGGTAAAATTGACCATGGAGGTTTGTTCCCAGAAGCATTTCACAGCCTAGACATGAACAGCTTTCCCAAGATCATAGATCAAGATTTCTCTCCTCTGTTTTTGTAAAACTTGTGTCTCTTTTTCTACTTTCCTTGTGTTACTTTTCTGTTTATGCATAGCAAAATTATATGATAATTGATCATTTGAAATTGATAGCTTCTACAGTAAACATAACTGAATATCACATATGTTATGCTAAACTAAAATCTCCATATGATCTTAAAGTTTTTCCACTTTACCCTATAACAAATTTCACTGATATTTTCTGTGTGACTACTTGTTCGAATTGCACCTCTGGTCCTTGCTGTAGGTTAGGCTTTAAGATCCACATGTTTACATTCCTTGTTTCAGTCTAACAGTAAGTAAAACCTATGGGGAGGATTTATGGTTAAATTATGCCAGAAACTGAATAAGAAAACCAAAAACAAAATAATTTGAAATTTTACAGACAAATTAATAACCTTAATCTCCTAATTGTCGTTAGCCTTCAGTCATGCAAAGATTCAGTAGTGGAGACTTGGATAAATACTAGTAGTGCTTCCCTACAGGTGACTCCTAAATCACAAGGCACCCCACAGAGAACTGTCTATTGTGCCTCTCC
Source organism: Homo sapiens (assembly GCF_000001405.40). Taxonomy (NCBI): domain Eukaryota; kingdom Metazoa; phylum Chordata; class Mammalia; order Primates; family Hominidae; genus Homo; species Homo sapiens. The sequence goes on from NC_000008.11 coordinate 50,911,260, forward strand.
AGAATTCGTTTTGATCTGTAGAAAATATAATGGTCAACTATACTCACAGGAAACTCCATATCTCAATAAGTGGAAAATAAGAAGGCATTATGGATTAGGGATTCTAATGTTACCACTTTATAACAAACTAAAAATTGAATATTGGTCTACACCTCTTAATTTGCACTATAGAATAAAGAAAAATTTACCAGTAGGTATAAATCTCTCTAAATGGGCATCTCTTGGTAGAATGCATTTTTCCTAACTTGGCAAAAATATAAATGAGGTAATAATTAGAGAACTGTCTCAAACAGTTGCTACTATAGCTGACTCTTCTGCAAAGGTCACAGTTACGCAGCAAACTTTTCTAAACTTTCTTGATAAAGGTTTTGTTTTTGTTTTTAGATAACAGGATTGCTTTGGACTATCTGTTGGCTCAACAATGAGAAGTGTGTGTGACAGCTAACACCCCCTGCTAGACTTGGATAAGTATATTTGGTATTGTAGAAACTCAGTTACAAAATATCAACAAATGACTACTTGGTTTAAACAGATTCCTCTTCTGGCTGTTCTTTGATTTATTTGATTTTAATTAGTTTGGTCTGCAGAGTCTTTGATTAAAGGGCATATTTCAGCCTCTTGGTATTATCCTCCTGATAGTCATCACTTTGTTCTCTCTCATGCACTGTATCCCCTCAAGAGTCTTAAATGCTTGTATGCAGCCACCCACTGTGCATAAAATGGCCTCACTACCTGTAGAATGACAAAAAAACATGAAGCATCTTTTAGTGAGTCTGATATTATGACTTATCAATTCCTTAATGAAACCAAATAAGTCCATTATAATGATGACAGAGAGTGGCATTAATGCTCCCAATTTTTGTCAATCTATCAAGATTGAGAAGCTTAAACAAAAGGAGCATTGTCAAGGCAAATAAGGAAGCCATTAGTCTGAAGTTATCTCTGTAACTGGGGTATTAAATAAGTAGGCCAAACAGAACTTAATTTGGAAGCATTTATTGTAACTGACTTAAATAAATAAATAACGAACTTTAGCCAATGACAGCCTCCAGAAAATTTCTTGTACAACTAGGATCCCGCCATGGGACCACATCCAAACAAGGCAGAAACCTCACCGTACCTCACCTTTGAGGCAAATGTCTGGCTATAGCCAATCAATCAGGTGCTTACTTTACTTTTGTTTTCATGTTGGGTCCCCACAGATCATTTTCAGCCTATAAGTGCTGACTGTTCATGCTGTTGGAGAAGAGCCATTGTTTTGCTCAAATAAACTGTTAAATTTAGTTCATCTAAGTTTTTTTTTTAATTAAAGTTCATCTCAGAGATCAACCCCCACCTGTTTCTCTGAGCAGGAGATGAGGGTAACCTGCCCATTCAGCCCACCAACACCATCTGGTACAGATGTTTCTGTGAGGCAGGACCAGAAGTTGATCTGTCTTCATGGCCTTGCAATGGAACTGGGTGCTGTCTGTGCTTCTATAGTGTAGTGAAGTGGGGGCTGAAACCCCAGTGGGGTCCATTTTATGTTAGGGTTGACTGGAGTAGTATGGGTACTGCCAAAGGTTTTCTGTTGTTAGGTCACCTTTTTTTCATGGACTTATGACTGGGGGTAACAAGGATTTTCTTGCAACATTTTTGTCTGTGTCTTTTTAGTTCTGGATTGGAAGCTTCCCAGCACTCTGTCCAAGATACTTGGGAAATAATAAGAGAACCTAAGGAACATCTTCAAGTCCCAATGTTACAAGGCAGCCATTCTTCTTCATTCCACCTTTCAGAGTTTTCTAACACTCGTATTTTTCTGTAATGTCCAGAGTGTTTTAGAGGTAACTGGGAGTACTTGGGAGGAATGGAGCTAATACATCTTAGTAGAACTAGCATAGCTTCACTTTTAATTTTGAAGAGCTCTCTAATGGCTATTGATGGCCAGAAATGACAGAGGAAATTCCGCTCTTTCATTGGGGCTCTTAAATTGAATGAGTAGGCTATGTCTTGTTTGAAAGGCAGTGGCCAAGTAGTGCCACCTAACCACCAGACACAAGGTAAATGTGACTATTCTACTGGGCATCAAAGTAGAAATCATAACAAAACAGAATAAACCACAAAAATATTTGGCATTTGCTAATGATAATGGTTTTTGTGCAATTGAAATAGATGGGCAGTCTACCGAAGCCTAACTTGATGTGATAATAGAAAAGTTCTAGATCTGAAGAAGGGGGCCCTCACTTAAATCATTACAAAAGGGTCCTGATCCCTCAGCCAACTCTCAGACTTGATCCAATTCACAACACCAGAGCTCCTTTAAAAAGAGGTAAGGATATTGAGGGAAGACTTTGTACATTGCCAAAAATTTATACCATAAGTCAAATGTCACCAAACTTTGTCTGTATAGGAAAAGATAGTAAATATTTGAGGCATTGTGGGCAAGTACTCAATCCAGCCATTATAGCATTACAGCACCTGTAGACTCTGAGAATGACTATGTTCAACTAAAACGTTCTCAATTAAAAAAGAAAGTTACTGAGCCAAATTTGGCCCGCACACGAGGAACTTGAAGCCACACCATGGCAACTATACACTGAGGAAGAGGAAATAGCCAGACTTTTAAATATTAATGGACCATATGCAAAATTAGCATTAATTCCTTGAAATCCAAAATAACACCATAGTACAGTAGTCATCATAGTAACTCAGAGAGGCCAGGTGATTAATGGAATTTTTTCCCCGACTGATCTCAAAGTGGGTATAATATATTTCAACACATTCCATAGTTCCTTCCTAAGTTCTGAAATACATAGTTGAAATAATATATTCAGCAGCTAGCAGAAACACACATTGGACCCCAGACATGTGGAACAATATTTTAATAGCAAATGTAAGTGCATGCCATGAAAAGAGTTCCTACCTAATTAAACTGTAAGCCAAAAGTAATATGGAATTTCAGAGGAAAGTGTTACCACTGAGGCCCAGAAAGATAAAGCTGGGAGACTTCTACCACATCACCATTCAACTTGTCTGTTAGGCTTGGGCAGAAGACAGGAGTACCTCAGGAAAGGAAAATGGATTCACATAAACTGAAACAAGGGGTCTCCAAACATAGCTGCTATTACAGATGTGATTTTGTGGTGACAGCAAATCAATATATGTCCTGGTACCTGTATGCCCCAATGAACTGATAAATTTACCCTGTACTTCAGAGCAGTGGCCATCAGAAGCAGTTAGGTTCAAGGCAACATATGAAGCATTGCACCTTTGCTGTTCTGTCTCAGTTGTACTAAAACCTTTTCTAGCCCTGTCCTATCATCAGTGCTCAGGAACTGTGATTTTACTCTGTTCTACTGGACATCACACTAATCCACTACATGGATGTTTTCATACTGATGAAAGTAGTAAAATATCCTATACGTTTTTGTAAGTCACACGTGTGCCAGAAGTTAGGAAACAAACCTCGCCCAAATTCAGAGACAAACATACACCACCTTGGTAAAAATCTTAGGGCATAGTGATCAGGATATATGAAGAAATGTCCCACAAGGAGGACAGTTGCTGTACCTGCTCCCTCCTTCATGAAAAGGTGTCATCCTTAATGGGCCACTTTGGATTTTGGAAACAACATACATCTCATTTGGGAATGCCATTCCAGTTTATTTAATCCAAAAGGCTGTATGTTTGGGGAAGAGAGGCTCTGTAAAGGCCCCGACTGCTGTTCATGTTCCTGTGTAACCCTGGGGTGTTTGTAGTATCTACAGGTACATAAGGATGCACTATGGAATATTTTATAAGCCTTAGGGGTGAATCACAGTGCAGATCTTTTTGACTTTGGAGCAAAGCTGTGCCATAAACTGTAGGTCATTATTTTTCTTTAAAGGAGAAGATATTTTACTATATCCAGGGCCTAGAACATAGCCTGAAACTGTTGGTACACAACACAAATTGGCTGAAAGAAGGCATGAACTGGAGTGAAAATGAGTTTTGTGTCTATAATTTAATAGGACTAGTAAATAGTACAGATATAAATTTAATAGAAAAAATTTTAAGCTAAAGAATGTATAGATTTTATGTTGCTATTATCTTCACTTAGTGCTTTTTATAGACTTTAGAAACCCAAGGGAGTGCCAGCACAGTCCTCAAGAACATCTTGCTCGTAATGCGCTGTTCATGTAAATAGGCATTGAGCAGTGCCTAATTCCACTTCTTTCCAATAATACCCATTAATTATTCTAGCAGAGAATTAAGCAAATATGTTAATGCAGGAAAAACAACATCGTTCATTGAAATCAACTTTAAATTGATATTTATCTCATAACAGACACGACCAAAAGGCTTAATTCTCAAAAATGTCATGATTAATTTTCATTTTTTTATTATAATGCCTTCTTTTTATTTCACCACTATTTTCAGTAACCTTTTACTTATTACAGTGTCTTTAAATAATTAGTCACAAGTATAAAATACTATCTCTCTAGTATTGATTATGGATCATATGAAAGTCCTTTTTAACTCTTTTGATTAAACATCCTCATGGAAAACACTGTATATCATTAGCCTTTTGATATTTCTTTGTGTCATTGAAAAGCTTCTGGCATGGAATTGTGAGGGGCAACTGAATAAGAGTAAGCTGATGTTATTGCTCACTCTCTGGATTTATTATTTTTTCTTTCCAGCTGCCAGTATCTTTTTTTTTATTATTATATTTTAAGTTTTAGGGTACATGTGCACAACATGCAGGTTTGTTACATATGGATACATGTGCCATGTTGGTGTGCTGCACCGATTAACTCATCATTTAACATTAGGTATATCTCCTAATGCTATCCCTCCCCCCGCCCCCCACCCCACAACAGGCCCCAGTGTGTGATGTTCCCCTTCCTGTGTCCATGTGTTCTCATTGTTCAATTCCCACCTATGAGTGACAACATGCGGTGTTTGTTTTTCTTGTCCTTGCGACAGGGCTGAGAACGATGGTTTCCAGCTTCATCCATGTCCCTAAAAAGGACATGAACTCATCATTTTTTATGGCCGCATAGTATTCCATGGTGTATATGTGCCATATTTTCTTAATCCAGTCTATCATTGTTGGACATTTGGGTTGGTTCCAAGTCTTTGCTATTGCGAATAGTGCCGCAATAAACATACATGTGCATGTGTCTTTATAGCAGCATGTTTTATAATGCTTTGGATATATACCCTGTAATGGGATGGCTGGGTCAAATGGTAATTCTAGTTCTAGATCCCTGAGGAATCGCCACACTGACTTCTACAATGGTTGAACTAGTTTACAGTCCCACCAACAGTATAAAAGTGTTCCTATTTCTCCACATCCTCTCCAACACCTGTTGTTTCCTGACTTTTTAATGATCGCCATTCTAACTGGTGTGAGATGGTATCTCATTGTGGTTTGATTTGCATTTCTCTGATGGCCAGTGATGATGAGCATTTTTTCATGTGTCTTTTGGCTGCATAAATGTCTTCTTTTGAGAAGTGTCTGTTGATATCCTTTGCCCACTTCTTGATGGGGTTGTTTGTTTTTTTCTTGTAAATTTGAGTTCATTGTAGATGCTGGATATTAGCCCTTTGTCAGATGAGTAGATTGCAAAAAATTTCTCCCATTCTCTAGGTTGCCTGTTCACTCTGATGGTAGTTTCTATTGCTGTGCAGAAGCTCTCTAGTTTAATTAGATCCCATTTGTCAATTTTGGCTTTTGTTGCCATTGCTTTTGGTGTTTTAGACATGAAGTCCTTGCCCATGCCTATGTCCTGAATAGTATTGCCTAGGTTTTCTTCTAGGGTTTTTATGGTTTTAGGTCTAACATTTAAGTCTTTAACCCATCTTGAATTAATTTTTGTATAAGGTATAAGGAAGGGATCCAGTTTCAGCTTTCTACATATGGCTAGCCAGTTTTCCCAGCACCATTTATTAAATAGGGAATCCTTTCCCCATTTCTAGTTTTTGTCAGGTTTGTCAAAGATCAGATAGCTGTAGATATATGGCATTATTTCTGAGGGCTCTGTTCTGTTCCATTGGTCTATATCTCTGTTTTGGTACCAGTACCATGCTGTTTTGGTTACTGTAGCCTTGTGGTATAGTTTGAAGTCAGGTAGCGTGATGCCCCCAGCTTTGTTCTTTTGGCTTAGGATTGACTTGACAATGTGGGCTCTTTTTTGGTTCCACATGAACTTTAAAGTAGTTTTTTTCCAATTCTGTGAAGAAAGTCATTGGTAGCTTGATGGGGATGACATTGAATCTATAAATTACCTTGGGCAGTATGGTCATTTTCATGGTATTGATTCTTCCTACCCATGAGCATGGAATGTTCTTCCATTTGTTTGTATCCTCTTTTATTTCATTGAGCAGTGGTTTGTAGTTCTCCTCGAGGAGATTCTTCATGTCCCTTATAAGTTGGATTCCTAGGTATTTTATTCTCTTTGAAGCAATTGTGAATGGGAGTTCACTCATGATTTGGCTCTCTGTTTGTCTGTTATTGGTGTATAAGAATGCTTGTGATTTTTGCACACTGATTTTGTATCCTGAGACTTTGCTGAAGTTGCCTATCAGCTTAAGGAGATTTTGGGCTGAGATGATGGGATTTTCTAGATATTTTATAGAATATTTCTAGATAATTTCTAGAATCATGTCATCTGCAAACACAGACAATTTGACTTCCTCTTTTACTAATTGAATACCCTTTATTTCTTTCCCCTACCTGATTGCCCTGGCCAGAACTTTGAACACTATGTTGAATAGGAGTGGTGAGAGAGGGCATCCCTGTCTTGTGCCAGAAAAACTGGAAACTCTAAAAATCAGAGTGCCTCTCCCCCTCCAAAGGAACGCAGCTCCTCACCAGCAATGGAACAAAGCTGGACAGAGAATGACTTTGACAAGTTGAGAGAAGAAGGCTTCAGATGATCCAACTACTCTGAGCTAAAGGAGGAAGTTCGAACCCATGGCAAAGAAGTTAAAAACCTTGAGAAAAAATTAGACGAATGGCTAGCTAGAATAACCAGTGAAGAGAGGTCCTTAAAGGACCTGATGGAGCTGAAAACCATGGCAAGAGAACTACGAGACGAACGCACAAGCCTCAGTAGCCGATTTGATCAACTGGAAGAAAGGGTATCAGTGATGGAAGATCAAATGAATGCAATGAAGTGAAAAGAGAAGTTTAGAGAAAAAATAATAAAAAGAAATTAGCAAAGCCTCCAAGAAACATGGGACTATGTGAAAAGACCAAATCTACATCTGATTGGTGTACCTGAAAGTGACAGGGAGAATGGAACCAAGTTGGAAAACACTCTGCAGGATATTATCCAGGAAAACTTCCCCAATCTGGCAAGGCAGGCCAACATTCAAATTCAGGAAATACAGAGAATACTATAAAGATACTCCTCGAGAAGAGCAACTCCAAGACACACAATTGTCAGATTCACCAAAGTTGAAATGAAGGATAAAATGTTAAGGGCAGCCAGAGAGAAAGGTCAGGTTATCCACAAAGGGAAGCCAATCAGACTAACAGCGGATCTCTCAGCAGAAACTCTATAAGCCAGAAGAGAGTGGGGGCCAATATTCAACATTCTTAAAGAAAAGAATTTTCAACCCAGAATTTCATATCCAGCCAAACTAAGCTTCATAAGTGAAGGAGAAATAAAAACCTTTACAGACAAGCAAATGCTGAGAGATTTTGTCACCACCAGGCCTGCACTAAAAGAGCTCCTGAAGGAAGCACTAAACATGGAAAGGAAAAACCGGTACCAGCCACTACAAAAACATGCCAAATTGTAAAGACCATCAAGGCTAGGAAGAAACTGCATCAACTAACGAGCAAAATAACCAGCTAACATCATAATGACAGGATCAAATTTACACACAACAATATTAACCTTAAATGTAAATGGGCTAAATGCTCCAATTAAAAGACACAGACTGGCAAATTTTTAAAGAGTCAAGATCCATCAGTGTGCTGTATTCAGGCAACCCATCTCATGTGCAGAGACACACATAGGCTCAAAATAAAGGGATGGAGGAAGATCTACCAAGCAAATGGAAAACAAAAAAGGCAGGGGTTGCAATCCTAGTCTCTGATAAAACAGACTTTAAACCAACAAAGATCAAAAGAGACAAAGAAGGGCATTACATAATGGTAAAGGGATCAATTCAACAAGAAGAGCTAACTATCCTAAATATATATGCACCCAATACAGGAGCACTCAGATTCATAAAGCAAGTCCTTAGAGGCCTACAAAGAGACTTAGACTCCCACACAATAATAGTGAGAGATTTTAACACCCCACTGTCAACATTAGAGAGATCAATGAGACAGAAATTTAATAAGGATATCCAGGAATTGAACTCAGCTCTGCACCAAGTGGACCTAATAGACATCTACAGAACTCTCCACCCCAAATCAACAGAATATACATTCTTCTCAGCACCACATTGCACTTATTCCAAAATTGACCACATAGTTGGAAGTAAAGCACTCCTCAGCAAATGTAAAAGAACAGAAATTATAACAAACTGTCTCTCAGATCACACCACAATCAAATTAGGACTCAGGATTAAGAAACTCACTCAAAACCACTCAACTACATGGAAACTGAACAACCTGCTCCTGAATGACTGCTGGGTACATAACAAAAAGAAGGCAGAAATAAAGCTGTTCTTTGAACCAATGAGAACAAAGACACAACATACCACAATCTCTGGGACACATTTAAAGCAGTGTGTAGAGGGAAATTTATAGCACTAAATGCCCACAAGAGAAGGCAGGAAAGATCTAAAATTGATACCTTAACATCACAATTAAAAGAACTAGAGAAGCAAGAGCAAACATATTCAAAAGCAAGCAGAAGGCAAGAAATAACTAAGATCAGAAAAGAACTGAAGGAGATAGAGACACAAAAAAACCCTTCAAAAAATTAATGAATACAGGAGCTGGGTTTTTGAAAAGATCAACACAATTGATAGACCACTAGCAATACTAATAAAGAAGAAAACAGAGAAGAATGAAATAGACGCAATTAGAAATGTTAAAGGGGAAATCACCACTGATTCCACAGAAATACAAACTACCATCAGAGAATACTATAAACACCTCTATGCAAATAAACTAGAAAATCTAGAAGAAATGGATAAATTCCTCAACACATACACCCTCCCAAGACTAAACCAGGAAGAAGGTGAATCTCTGAATAGACCAATAACAGGCTCTGAAATTGAGGCAATAATTAATAGCTTACCAACCAGAAAACGTCCAGGACCAGATGGATTCACAGCCGAATTCTACCAGATATAAAAGGAGGAGCTGGTACCATTCCTTCTGAAACTATTCTAATCAATATTAAAAAAAGGGAATCCTCCCTAACTCATTTTATGAGGCCAGCATCATTCTGATACCAAAGCCTGGCAGACACAACAAAAAAAGAGAATTTTAGACCAATATCCTTGATGAACCTCGATGCAAAAATCCTCAATAAAATACTGGCAAACCGAATCCAGCAGCACATCAAAAAGGTTATCCACCATGATCAAGTGGGCTTCATCCCTGGGATGCAAGGCTGGTTCAACATATGCAAATCAATAAACATAATCCAGCCTATAAACACAACCAACGACAAAAACCACATGATTATCTCAATAGATGCAGAAAAGGCCTTTGACAAAATTCAACAACCCTTCTTGCTAAAAACTCTCAATAAATTAGGTATTGATGGGATGTATCTCAAAATAATAAGAGCTGTCTATGACAAACCCACAGCCAATATCATACTGAATGGGCAAAACTGGAAGCATTCCCTTTGAAAATCTAGAGGCCAGTATCTTATGTACACTTCAACAACCGTATTAAGAACCATTTCTTTATATTTTACATGGTGATTTAACTCATTTAAGATGTTTTCCTTTTTATAACTTTTTAAAAATATTATCTTAAGCTAAAAACATAATAGGACAGTGTGAGGCATAGTGGAGGGCACAAGAGTTAGAATCAGACAAACTGATTTTCCTGCTTGCTGTCCCCATGACTGCACAGAGTTTTCTCATTACAGTGTCATACAACCTTGACATTTATAGTACTCTTTTATCATTGATTACTATAAATATGAGGCAAGCTCACTTTTAAAAGGCACTGTGTATTCTTTGTGCTATATACATTTTGTGTTCCTAACACACAGCTGAATTCTGTGGGTCCTAGTTACTAAATAAACTCCCATTTGTTGATTTTATTTTAAGCTCTTTTGAGCAAACAGAAATAATAGTATCCTGTGGTCAGAGTGAAATAAGGAAAGGAATCTTCACAGCTTGTTCAAATGAGGACCAAAAAAATCACTGTAACAGAATTTATAATACAATTATGTCTTGTTATACCATACCTCTTTATGTTGTGGATTCAGAAATTTTGATCTCCCAGAACTGTAAAGTTTAAATAACGTTCTATCCTAGGCTCTGAATGTAGCCTCCTAATATCTGCACTCTGCTGGGGCTTTCTGGCATTAGGCATAGTGTCCTGGTGGATGCATTAAAGTGCAAATTTTCATCAGAGTGGCTGTTAAGAAAGAGATAAAGAAAAGATGAAAGAACCTTTGAAATAGGAAGTTTCCACTGCTCTTCCAAATAAGAGATTCTGCCACAATCCACCAATAAATTGAGTGCCTGCTATAGAAAGGAGTGAATCTTCAAGGAGCAGTATTGGCTAACCATTTGAAAACAGTTAATACAAAGACACAGCTTTTTCTCATAGGCTTAATGGTTATCAAAACCAAAGCAGTTAAATAATTTTTTCCATACCTATATTTAGTGACATTTATAATGCAAGCTCTGTAGACAAAAATAGGACTGATTTCTGCTTTCATTAAGTTCTCAGTAGAGTGAGGAGCACAGAAAGGAATAAAAAATAATAGAGACTGCATAGGGGCATAAATAAGGCATTTATAAGGTATGGTGGCAAGAGAAGTGGCCCAACTTGCTTGAGGATAGAGTAGAATAGAAACCATTTAAAATACCATATCAAAGGACAAACATAATATAATAGTACTTCGTACCAGATCTTGAAATTACATTCATGTGGTAATCTCTAGCTCTACTATGAATGGCTCTCACCATATGCTTTTTTCCTGAAATAAAAATAATTTTCAAATAATTAAAATATTGTCATTTATGATTATTTTTATTATTAATAGACATATAATATGCTTATAAATAAAATATTCTGCTCTTGCAAAATCAATATTAATGATTCAAAACAAATAAAGATACTCCACTGATGCCAAAATCCTTTTAGGCTAAAGGATAAAATTTAGGCTAAAGAAGAAAGTAACTCACTATTCTAGATTGGAGACAAGTCAGTAAAATAGTATATCCTACTAAACTCACAGGGGATTTCTCCAGAAGTTTTCAAAAGAGCTATTCTTGATCTTTCCCTCTGATCCAGTTTGTACTTTAGAATGCAATTTTGGACTTCAATCTAAAGACATCTCTTAAATCGCTGCTCTTCCCTGACCAGTAACAATCCTTGGTAGACAAGCTTTGTTTATTTTCCTTCAGCAGCTTAAATATGTCATCTTGCTGCCTTCTGGCCTCCACGGTTTTTGAAATTTGCTATTAACCTAACTAAGGGTCCCTCATCTGTGATGAGTGACTTCTCATTGTTTCTTTCAAAGTTCTCTTTGTATTTTCATATTTTTGCTACAATGTGTCTTGCTGTAGTTCTTGACTTTTTGCAACTTGGAGTTATTCAGTATCTTCAGATTATTACTTTTCGTATTTGGACATTTCCAAGTATCAATAATTCAAATATACTTTGTTCTCTTTGTCTCTTCTCTCCTCCCAGTACTATGACTATTTGTGTATTAGTATACTTGCTGGTGTTCAACAGGTTCCCAAAGCACTGTTTTCTTTATCTTAATTCTTTTTTTCTTTCCGTTTCTCATACTTTTCCCATACTGATTTATCTTCAGGTACCCTGATTCTTATTCTTTCACTTCCAATCTGCCTTTGATCCACTTAGCAGTTAACTTTAAAAGTTCCAGTAATTGTAGTTTTCAATTCCAGAGCTTCTAATTGGTTCTTTTATATTATTTTGATATCTTTATGAATATTCTCTGTTTGGTGATACATCATAGTCATTCTTTTCTTTATTTCTTTACACATGGTTTTATTTAGTTCTTTGAATTTATTTATAATAACCGATTTAAATGTTTTATATAGTAAGTCCAATATTTGAACCTCCTCAGGGACAATTTATATTGGCTGCTTTTTTTCTTGTTTATTTACTATATTTCACTGTTTCCTTATGTGTCTCATAATTTTTGTTGTTGTTGTTGAAAACTGAAGAATTCAGATAACATAATGAGGCAACTCTAGAAATCAGATTCCCTCTTACTCCCGGGGTCTGTTGTATGAGTTCCTTTGTTTTGTCTCATTGTTGTGGTTTTTGTTAATGTCTGTTTATTAAATGACTCCTGGACTAACTCTATTCTTTTATTGTTGGAATCTCTGCAACCACTATTCAGTTTGTTCAATGGTCAGCTATTAGTTGGCCAGAAATTAACTTAAAATTCTTTGAACTGTAATACTTCTTCTTGATAAGGGGTCTCATGTCAGTGTTGGGACACTCCTTCCACTCTTAGGCAGTTGAAAATTCTCTCTTAACCATTACTTATGGTTTGCTCAGGGCCTCAAGGTCAGTCAGAGCTGACAGACAGGATCCTGTCAAGTTGTTCCTGTGCATACACACGGCCTTGTCCTTTCCCTGGCCTATAATAGCTAGGAAGATGTCAAAACTTTTCAAAGCCCCCTGTGGGTATCTCACTCCCTGGATCTATTCACCTTTTCCATTATCTTTAGTTCTTTCACATGCTGTTTAAGCAATCTTTGCCTCCTGTAATATTATTAAAATATCCTTTCCAGAACTTAAAGCATAATTTAAAAAATCTAAAAACTTTATCAGTTTTTCTTTCATATTCACGTTCATAATCAACCTGTGACTGATTTTATGAATGAGGAAATGATGGTTATTTTTGTGCCAATAAGTAGCTGGCAGACACAGAACTAATTTTAAAAATTATCCTGTCCTCACTGTTCTGCAGGGCTACTTTTGCCAAATATATATGTGTGTGCATATACATATGTATGTGTGTACACATACATAAATATACACATACATACATATGTGTGTACACACACACATATATGTATACACACAAATACATATATAGATACACACACAAATGTATGGTGATTTCTTCAGATGAATGGACTTGAATTTGATGGTGATTTAATTTAATTTTTAAACTATTTTATAGAATATAAACACATTGATAATATAGACATGTTCAAACTATGAACTGGGAAAATTATTTATTTAGATTTCTTTAATCTACATCAATAACATTTTGCAATTTGATATGTAGAGATTTTGAACATTGCTATGGGCTGAATTTTGTTCCCCAAAGATAATATGTTGAAGTACTACCCGCCCCCCGCAGTTGACTGAATTTGAGATAAGTTTTCTAAGGAGGTGTTTAAGGTTGAAAGAAGTCATAAGAGTGGAATCCTTATCCAATAGAACTGGTATCCTTATAAAAGAGGAAGGAACACTGGATGTCTCTCTTTCATGAGGACACAGTGAGAAGGTGGATGTCTGCAAGCCAGGACAAAAGCCCCCACCAGAAACCAAACTGATTGGCATCTTGATATGAAAATCCTAACCTCCAGAATTGTGAAATTTCTCAGTTTTAGGTCACCCAGTCTACAAAGTTTTCTTATGGCAGCCTGAACTGAGACCAAAAAAACTAATTGGTGTACCTGGCTAGTGCATCAACTCACTTTAAAGGTTTATCTCAAGTTTCTATGGGATTAATCACATACATGACTACGTTATCTGCAAATAATTTCTTGCTTTCTAATGTTTAGACCATATATTTTTCTTTCTACTTTGTTTTGTTGGCTAGATCTCATAGTTTAGTGTATGACAGAAGCAGTGATAATGTGGATTTCTGTCACATGGGGGAAATTTAAAAATATTTAATCTTTAAATATAATATTTGCTGCAGATTTTTATGTTTCCTTTATGGGAAAAAAATAAATGTTTACAAATATTTATGTAATAAGCCGAGTTTGAATTTTACGAAGTATTTTCAGTCTGTTGACGTGATGCTATGATTGTTCCTTGTCTCAAATGGGAACCCAACATAACATTATTGGAAGAGTCTAACATAGCTTTGATTTGTTATGTGTACATGATAGGTAAATAGATAGGTAGATAGATAGATACAGAGATATAAAGATTCAGATACAGATAGAAATTGGTGTATTGTATGAAATAAATATTCATTTTTTTTTTTTTTTGAGACAGAGTCTCATTCTGTCGCCCAGGCTGGAGTGCAGTGGCAGAATCTCGGCTCACTGTAATCTCCACAACCCAGGTTCAAGCAATGCTCCTGCCTCACCCTCCTGAGTAGCTGGAATTACAGGCACCTGCCACCATGCCCGGCTAATTTTTGTTTTTTTTTTTTTTTTTTTTTTTTTTTTTTTGGTAGAGACGGGGTCTTGACATGTTGGCCAGGCTGGTCTCGCACTCCTGACCTCAGGTGATCCACTGTCCTCGGCCTCCCAATGTGCTGGGATTACAGGCATGAGCCATCACACCCAGCCAAAATATTCGTTCCTTATGTTAATTTTCTTAACATTTTCTTTAAGATTTTTATATGTATTATCCTGAGACATATTGACCTATATTTTCTGTCACTTGTAATGTCCTTGCCAATATCAAGATTAAGCTGATCGTAAAAATATATGGAATGAAAAGTTTCACCTTTTTCCATTATCTGGAAGATTTATTATAAGATTGCTTGTTTTTTCTTTTTAAATATTTAAATGATTTACCAATAAAGTCATCTGGGCATGACATTTTTGTTGTTTTGCTGTTGGAATGATTTAACGATGCTGAATTAGTTTAATAGATTTTGGACGTTGCATCTTTTAAAATTGATTATTACACCCTCTTTTATTAGTGATATTTGTTACAAATTTGTACGTTTAATCCAAATTTTAAAACTTATTAGCCTAAATTGTTCACAATGTTATCTTCTTATTGTACAAATTTTATATTTTATGTACTGATGTTATTTTATTATAGACAGTGGTTTTATGAAACTCTTTTATCTTGACTACTTTGGTTAAGAAAAAATTTTATCATTTTATTATCATACTTACTAAAATAATCCAAACTAATTTATGGGGTACATCTTGATTTTTTTATTCATTGTCCATATAAGCCTTATTTTGAATTATAACTTTCATACTTTGTTTGGGGAAAAAAACAAAAAAATTGAATAAAATACTGCAAGCGATGTTACATTTTGAATGTTCTAATGATGATGAAAGCATTATAAAACCAAAGACAGAAGCCATTGTACATCATCGTTTTTGAATTTGAGATACCTTTTTTTGTCAATATAAAGTTCAATTAAAAAAATAGATTAGACTGCTCTTGAAAATATCTGTAGACTATGTTAAAATAACAGAAGCAAAAGAACAAAAATGATGTATTGCAACTGAAGGATGAAGTAAAGGAGACTCTTCAGAAGCATTTGACAGTCCTGTAGTTCTGGGTACTGACTCGATTCCTGCTACAAAAACAAATAGTAAAAAGAATAAAATTAAAATATCATAAAGAAATTTCTAGGAACATAAATTTAACCCTGAAAGAATGAAATACAATCTATGAGACATAACCACCAAATATTATAATGATAAATACAATGGATGCTACATGTGCACAAATTTACATGTTATAAATTAAAGGAAAAGCCCATTATGTTATATAAACCTAACTTACACTAAAATCTCCAAATTTATTAATGATTCCACCAACATTTGCCAATATTAACATTGATTTTCTCATGTTTATCTGTAATTTGCAGTGCTGCTCAATAACATATCAGTATAATATTATGTCAATATTTAGCAAACATGGTATGTAATAAGTAATGATCTAACATATCTCAGAAAGAGG